>NC_000006.12:76398261-78898261 GCF_000001405.40 Homo sapiens
CACTTCTATGTGGAAAACCTAGATGAAGTAGCCAGGTTTCAATTTAATGTGAAATTTATCCAAAGTTTGTTAGCACTAAAAGAGAAGCCATAGTTTGGCTCTTTTCCTTTTGGCTTATGCAGATTTATAACCCAGACTTGGTGATCCTTCTTTCTCCTGCCCAGGTCTGAGATTTGAGCTTCATGGATTTAAATACTATTGTTTGCTTATATATTTTTTCTTATTTCTTGATACTTTTTGATAGCAAATACATTTAGAATTAGTAATAGTTGATTATATTCTATCATTTGCTTGGTTTTGTCTATTTTGCCAAAATTTAACCACATTATTTAACTTACTTTAATTTTTTTCACTTAAAATAGTATTGGCTTATTTCTAAACTATTATTAATATAATGTGTTTTATAGAAAATTGGATATATTTCAAATTCTAAAGAGCAAATAAAATCATCTAAAATCTAATGCCCAGAGATAAATCATGGCTTGATGCATATTTGGTGATTTTTTTCTTATCTCACACACACACACGCACACACACACACGTGCATGCACATGCATACATACATTTTTTTCAGAATAAAAAGGGATCAAAGTGTTTAAACAGTTAAGTGTCTTCTGCCCATTATTTAATTTTCTATCACAAACATTTTCCCTTTTGGTATCATAAATAACATTTATAAAAATACCTTCCACATTTTATTATTTATTGAAAACAATTTTTAATTACTGAATATAAGTTTTAATTTATTTTCCTCTGGAATCTATAATGTCATGGAATCAAATAACAGAGTCACAGTAAATTTTCTACCATAAAAGTTTAACAGCTTGTAACTATGGAAAGTTGTTGGCTATCTTTATGGTTCTTTTTAGGTGTTTTGTAAGAACAATTCATAAATATTAAAATGTCAAATATATGTGAACTAATTAAGAAATGTAATTTAGTTTTTTGGAAACTATGTTGCCTAGGCTGGCCTTGAATTCCTGGGCTCAAGGGATCCTCCCACCTCAGTCTCTTGAATAGCTGAGGCTACTGGTATTCGCCACCATGCCTGGCTAAGGACTGTAACTTCAAAGAGAATACTTAATGATTTGCAAACTAATACATACACTATAACTATAACTGAGTTTACATATTTGTAGATTTTCCAT
The DNA here is from genome assembly GCF_000001405.40 of Homo sapiens. NCBI lineage: Eukaryota > Metazoa > Chordata > Mammalia > Primates > Hominidae > Homo > Homo sapiens. The sequence continues at coordinate 76,399,410 of NC_000006.12, forward strand.
AGAATAACTCATTTTTGGTTAAACTCATTCTTTCAAAAATAAATGTTTACTGAGTGCCTACTATGTGTCAAAGGCTATTCTAATCAGTAGAAATAAAGCCGTGAACAAGTTAGATTCCCTGCCCTCTGGGAGAATTATGTATTCTAGTGGAAAACCAAAAATAAACAAGTGTAAGTAAGTATATACATTTGTGGTAGCTAGACACAAGTGCTATAAAGATAAATAAAGCAGAGTGAAAGGAGGTAGAGTTTTTGGGGATCCATTTGAGATGGGCCTATTTCAGGTTGCTTGGTAAATGCAGGCCTTTCTAATAATAAGAAGGGAATATTTGAGCAGGAGAATTGTGGTCTTTGGTAGCAAATATAGGCTGCTTTCTCTTTCTTAATCATACCTTTATCTTATGGAATAATCTTCACAGATAGCAGTTAGCATATATTAGTTTTAAAAAGTAATCAAAGGAAAAATTTAAAAACCGAAACCAAAACAAATGAAAACCCAAACCTATAATGTCTCCTTAATATGCAGAAGAGAAACGGTAAACACCCATCCTGGTTTTCAGGGCACTCTGCATTCTAGCCTTTGCTTTTCTTTCCAACTGAATCTCTCACCTCACCCCAATATGTTACTTCCGCATCAAACATACAAATTTATTTCTTGCATATGAACAAGCTGTATTCCTCTCTCTGGCATTGCTTTCTCCTTTATGTTGGTAATGTCTTCCTTTCTACTTTTCCAAAACAATCTATTTTTAAAGACAACTCCAACCCTACTTTCTTATTTATTGAATTTGGATTTATGAATAATAATTTTTTGGTTATTATAGATATATTGAATAATTTACTTAGCATCAGATATATAAAAACATTTTTAATGTCCAGAACCTATTTTCTTGCCTACTTAAATATTTAATAGTAAGCATCATTTAATCAGCCTCAGTGATACTGCACTGATTTGTACACTGGTAAAAGCATTCATACCTTTACTGTTTATTTGGTAGCTTATCTCTATATGTCCATTTCCTCCCTCCATCTGATTCATCCATCCATCCTTCCAATCTATTTTTCCATTCTTCATCTATTCACCCATCCATTTACCCATACTAACACACACATGGACACATGGCTTTGGATATGAAATACATCCAAAATAACATTTATATTCTTTCTCTTTAACTAGACTTTAAGCTCAGCTGTACAGGTCATAGGCCTCTCTGTGGTCTTAGCTCTAATTTAGTGACAGGCTTATATAACAAATGCTCAATAAATACTGGTAGAGGATGAAAATCCTAAGTTGAAAACATTACTGAACTGTTTGTGAAATGACCTTCTCTACAATCTATTTTTAGCTAAATTAATAATTTAGGCCCTGTTGGTATTCAGAGGGAAGAACAGAACTCTTCTAGTTCTGTGATTCGATGAATCTCATAGTAGCTGATAAAAACATTCTCATCACTTTACTTTTTCATGCCTCTTTAAACCCATTTATAAAACAGAGATAGCTTTTTTCCTCCTTACTTCATAGAAAGATGATGGGAAAAGATGAAAGGACATGCGTAAAAGGCACATTAGCTTTTTAGAGGAGAGGCAGTAGGTACCATAATACGTATTCAGCCTCACAAGAAACAAGCTTTCCTCAGTCAGTGGTTTTCACATTATTTTCGGCAAAGCCTAGGGCTCCCTTTCCTTGAAGAATCTCCAGGGGCAACTAGAAGTATGAGGTGGGGCTGTGTGTGAGCAGGATACTCACTGCAGCTTCCATCAGAATAATCATACATTTGTACATTGTGCCTACACTTCTGGAAAAGTTTGTCTCTGGATAAATGTCTCAACTTCCTCTTTTGTAGAATGGGAAAAATAGTAATTCATATTTCAGAGGGCCATTACATTGATTGAATAAATTATTTTAGAGAAAATGCTTGAAAGAGTACCCAATACATGGTGGTAGAAAAGTGTTAGCTGCTATAATATTAGTAACCTTAGAACAGTGTTAGCTGCTATAATATTAGCAACCTTTATTTACACATCTTTACCACATATTAAATACTCTCAGCTTCATGTGCTTTTTGATGCTTGTTTGAGTTGTTACTAGAAGATATGCCAAGGATAGTGGGAATTTTTGTTTCTTTTGTTTCATGGTTTTGTCTAGCTCCTAGAGCAGCACTAGTACATAACAGACACTCAGTATTTATTGAACAATAAATCCTATTAAGTTTTCTTTCCTTGCTAGGTCTTCCTTTTACCCTGTCCTTATTGTACTTCTGGTAGTCTTTTTCCCTTGTGACTTGGTGTTTCTATTCTGATATAAGCATGACACCTAGATATATAGGGCTGTTAGAATTATATGTAAACTAAAAATAAATAGGCTAAGAGGGAATGCCTATGAACATGAAGATGAACTTCATGAGAACAGAGATTATTTTGCTAATTAATTTATGCTTAGTGATCAGCAAAATGCCTGGTATACAGTAGTGAACACTTAATTCCTTTTGATGAATGACAGAATGAACATATCAATGACAGAATGAAATAAAATGATATCTTTCTTGACTACTTAGTACTTAGCTGGGTTTTTTTTTTTTTTTTTTTTTTTTTTTTTTTTTTTGCTGTGTTCCCTACAGATCCAGTTTTTAAGATAGAAAGTTTCAGATAGGAAAAATATTGTAACTGTAAAGTAATATTGTTGTCATTTCATGTATTCTCTTACACATTGTGATAAGCCAACATAGGGAAAAGCTTATAGAACTTAGAACTTGTCTATTCTATTTCATCCTTAATTTTAAATTGACCAGTGATTCAAATTCCTAGCTCAGATAAAAGTAAGGAAGATTAAAAACTAGTTGTAAAGTATGTACACAGTTTTGTTTTTAGAGACTCCCTGAAAGAAAGAGCTGTAAAGTGTGTGAATATCTGATTTTGCAAATTGAGTTGATTTGCCATCTTAAAAGCAGAGTATTTTTGTTCTTGCGATAGTTTACCGAGAATGATGATTTCCAATTGCATCCATGTCCCTACAAAGGACATGAACTCATCAAAAAAACCAAACACTGCATATTCTCACTCATAGGTGGGAACTGAACAATGAGATCACATGGACACAGGAAGGGGAATATCACACTCTGGGGACTGTTGTGGGGTGAGGGGAGGGGGGAGGGATAGCATCGGGAGATATACCTAATGCTAGATGGCGAGTTAGTGGGTGCAGCGCACCAGCATTGCACATGTATACATATGTAACTAACCTGCACAATGTGCACATGTACCCTAAAACTTAAAGTATAATAATAAAAAAAAAAGCAGAGTAATTTTTTTTTTTAATTTACAGGGCCTGAAGACAATAATCATTTTCAGGTGAAAGTTGCTTATTTAACAGAGCAGAGCCCAACAATCTGCTAATTAGATACTTGATTCCTGAAGACACATCTGATTTTTGAGTGTATGAGGTTGTGTCCCCAAAAGTATTCATGTACTGACTTCTTCAAGGCATCCTGAAAAGGTGGATGGACTTTAGATCCTATAGAGATTGATGTCTATAGTAATGTGGCTCACTTGGAACAAAGGCTTATCTCATACACAAAACAGCATAATAAACAATCCTGTTGATGGGCTCAGTTTACTCCAAGTCACTTTTGATTTCCTCTGATACTCTTCATTTAGAATGGCAGTTCCTGTGTCCCTAATCTTAGCAATATTTCCTAAATTGTTTCTGAATATCTAGTCTGAAGGGTCACAAATAATTATGCCTAACTTAAAGATTCATAATTAAGCCTAAACCATCTGGTTCTGAAGTATTTGTGCTTAAATACATTCCACTCAGGCTCCTGAAGTAAAATGAAATGATTTGTTGTAAAATGCTGAGTAAGTAGATTTCAGTTCTTTGAGAATATTTTTATATAAAGTTTTTCATTTTCATATAATAAATTTACTGTGAAATGTAGAATTAACATTCAGTTGTGAGAAAAACATAAGGCATAATAATAATACAAGCAAGTCTTCATCTCTTTCCCCTTTGTCCAGGACCTTTGTTTTTTTGTGAAATAAAGTCACCTAGAGCACTTGAATTTCTTTTCTTCCGCTGATTGGCTTTTTATGTCTAGTAAAATACTTAATCTCTCTTTGGTTTTAAATACAAATTACAATATCTCTCTTGTTTTTGCCATAAAATGTTGGGAAGGAATGAGTGAGAAAAATGCTTGTGACCATGTTTCTAAAGTGCTATACAAATGCAGTAATTACATGAAGAGGAAGGTATTTGATTGCTCTAATCTCACTGACCAGCCATCAGACTTCAGTCCAGGGCAACAAAAATCCTTGCAAAAATGTCTAAATTGTTTGCCTCTGTCCCTGGAGCTGCAATGAAATCTGTCAGATAAAAGTGCAGCAGGATACACAGATGAGCTATGAGTGAAGAGTGAGTACTCAGTACAGTGGCTTTCAAATTTGAAGGGCACAGAATCTTTCGTTCAAATAACATGTTTTTAGGAGGTCAAAATATATGGTGCGGTAAACAAAAGCTGCCTTTGCTGGAGAGGAAAGGCAGATGTTCAGGTGTCCCAGTGATTCTCCTGCTGCTGTTTAAGTACTAAATTCAGTTTGAAAACTATGTAGTCTGAAAGAAGGGCTGTGGTGATGAAGCCACTGTGAGGGCAAGTTATAGCCACAGCCCCGCAGTCAGCATGGGGTTCTATTTCCCTTGTCGGACAATCAAATTTGCTGGCCTAGCTGCACGGTTTCAAATGTTCTCACTGAGATCAGATCTCAGAGCACAAATATGAAATGACTTACGATTATTATTAAATATGGCAACCTTACACTTTAATGTTTCAGTGAGAATTAAGCTTAACAATCTTTCAATCCAATGGTTTTCAAACTGTCTAATCCATTGGTTTTCATATTGTCAAATAGATTAGTTTCAATCCACTGGTTTTCAATCCATTGATTGGGCAATCCACTGGGTCCTGGAAGAGCCTTCTCGAGGGCAATGTGAGGGTTGGGGAGACATTGAGGAGGAAACAGCAACGACCTAGGTCTGTTTTATAGTTGTTGTTTTTTTTAAATTAGTCATTGTATGTCTTGATTTTTAACAATTCAATTGTTTCTTTTTTATTTTTATTGAGATATGTTTGACAAATAAAAACTATGTTTCAGTTATATAACATGATATTTATATATATAGATAAATGATTACTGCAATACTGCTAATTAACATATCCATCACTTCACATAGTATACACTACATTGTTATTAACCACAGTTATTAGATCACCAGAACTTATTGATATTACAACTAACTTTCTACACTTTGACCAACATCTATCCACTCCCCCAGACTCTGGTAACCACCCTTCTGCCCTCTAAGTTTGACTTTTTAAGATTTCACGTATCAGTGAGATCATGCAGTATTTGTCTTTCTGTATTTGGCTTATTTCATTCAGCATAATGTCCTCCAGTCTCATTCATGCTGTTGCAAATGACAGAATTTTCTTCTTTTTTATGGCTGAATCATATTCTGGTATGTGTCTGTGTTTGTGTGTGTGTGTTTTTTTTTGTGTGTGTGTGTACATTTTTTATCCATTGATCTATTGGTAGACACAAGTTATTTTTATATTTTGGCTATAATGAATAATACTGCAAAGAACATGGAGGTACATATATCTCTTTGAGATACTGAATTAATTTTCTTTGGAAACCCAGTAGTGGGATTGCTGGATCATATGATAGTTTTATTTTAAATTTTTGGAGGAATCTCCATCTGTTTTCCATAATGGCTGTACAATTTACATTACAATAAACAGTGTATATTTTCTACATCCTTCCCAACACTTCTTTTTCATCTTTTTGAGAATAGCCAGGCTAATGGGAGTAAGGTGATAGATACTTCATTGTGGTTTTGATTTGCATTTCCCTGATGATTATTGATTTTGATTAGCATTTTTGCATGAACCATGTTGGCCATTTGTATGTCTTCTTTTGATAAATATATTTTCTTGTCATTTATCCATTTTGTAATGGCTTTATTTGCTTCTTTTGCTATTGACTTGCATGAGTTCCATGTATATTTTGGATATTAACCCTTTATGAGATACATAGCTTGCAAATATTTTCTTTCATTCCATAGGTTGCCTTTTCATTTTGTTGATCATTGCCTTTGTTATATGGAAGCTTTTTAGTTTGATGTAGTCCCACTTGTTTATTTTTGCTTTCGTTGACATGCTTTTGGGATTAATTCTAAAGAATCATTGCCAAGACTAACATCAAGATTTTTCCTTATGTTTTATTCTAGGAGTTTTAGATGTTCAGATCTTACATTTAAGTCTTTAATTCAATTTTGAGTTAATTTTTGTATATGCTGTAAGACCAGGGTCCAATTTTGCTCTTTTGCATGTGGTTATTCAGTTTCCCAGTACCACTTATTAAAGAGACTATCCTTTCCTATGTTTCTTGATGCTTTTGTTGAAAATTAGCTGACCATATATAAATGGGTTTATTTCTGGGGACTTTCTTTTATTCCATTGTTACATATATCTTTGTGCCAGTAGCAAACTGTTTTAGTTATTATAGCTTTGTAGTATATTTTGAAATCAGGCAGTGTGATGTCTCTTTGTTCTTCTTGCTCAATTGATTGAAATATTTGGGATCCTTTTGGGTTTTCTATGAATCTTAGGATTGATCTTTCTATTTCTGTGAAAAGTGCCATTAGTGTTTTGGTAGGGATTTTATTGAATCCATAGATCTCTTTGGGTAATATGGACATTTAAACAATATTCTTCCTATCAATGAGCATGAGATATCTTTCCATATTTTTGTGTTCTCTTTAATTTCTCCCATCAATGTTTTATAGTTTTTATTATAGAGATCTTTCACTTCTTTGGTTAAATACATTTCTAGGTATTTTATTTCCTTTGCAGCTATTGTAAATAGCTTTTTCAATCCTATTGTAATAGGATTACTTTTTCAGTTTCTTTTTCTGATTGTTCACTCTTCACTTATAGAAATGCTACTGGTTTTTGTATGTTGATTTTTATAGTTTGCAACTTTACTAACTTTGCTTATTAGTTCTAATAGTTTTTTGGTAGAGTCTTTAAATTTTTCTAAAAAATAAAATATATTGTCTGCAAACAAGGATAATTTGACTTTTTCCTTTCCTATTTGGATGCCCTTTATTTTTTATTTTGTCTCATTGCTCTGGCTGGGACTTCCAGTACTATGATGAATAAAGGCAGTGAGACGGCTCACCGGAAGTCAGAGTTTAAGGTTATCTCTCTTATTCCCTGAACAATTGCTGTTATCCTGTTCTTTTTTCAAGGTACCCACATTTCATATTGCTCAAACACACATGCTTTATAATTTGTGCAGTTAATGCAATTATTACAGGGTCCTGAGGTGACATACATCCTCCTCAGCTGACAGGATTAATAGATTAAAGTAAAGACAGGCATAGGAAATCACAAGGGTATTGACTGGGGAAGTGATAAGTGTCTATGAATCTTCACAACTTATGTTTAGAGATTGCAGTAAAGGCAGGCATAAGAAATTATAAAAGTATTAATTTGGGGAACAAATAAATGTCCATAAAATCTTCACAATCCATGTTCTTCTGCCATGACTTCAGCCGTTTGGGGTCCCTGACTTCCCGAAACAGATGCCCTTTATTTTTTTCTTTTGTCTCATTGCTCTGGCTGGGAATTCCAGTACTGTGATGAATAAAGGCAGTGAGAGGGGCATTATTGTCTTGTTTCTGATTTTTCAGTTTTTCACCATTGAGTAGGATGTTAACTGTCAGCTGGTCACATATGACACTTATTAGGTTGAGATACATTCCTTTTATACTGGTTTTGTTAGAATTTTTTTAATTTGCAAATTTATTTTTAAACTGATATATAAAATTGTGTGTATTATTCATGTATAGCATAATGTTTTGAAGCATATTATACACATTGTGAAATAGTTAAATCTAGCTAAATAACAAATATATAGTTATCATTTTTGTGGTGAGAACACTGTACATCCACTTTCTTAGCATTTTTCAAGAACACACTATATTATCATTAGTCACTATGCTGTACAACATGTTTTGAACTTATTCCTCCTCTTTAACTGTAAATATGTATCCTTTGACCAACATTTTCCCAAACTCCCCTCTCTCTCTGGTAATCACTATTCTATTCTCTACTTCTATGATATCAACTTTTTAGATTCCATATATAAGTGAGATTATATAGTATTTATCTTTCTCTGCCTGGCTTATTTCACTTAACATGTCCTCCAGTTTCATCCACGTTGTTGCAAATGACAATATTTTCTTCCTTTTGTAGCTGAATACTATTCCATTGTGTATGTATACCACATTTTCTTTATCCATGTATCTGTTTATAGACACCTAGGTTGATTCCATATCTTGGCTATTGTAAATAGTGGTGCAATACATATGGGAGTGCAGATATCTCTTCAACATACTGATTTCCTGGGCTATATGGTAGTTCTATTTTTAATTTTGGGGTGGAACCTCCCTATTTTGTTCACAATGACTATAATAATTTACATTTCCACTGGCAGTTTGCAACTGTTCCCTTTTATATACATCTTCACCAAAATTTTATATTTTGTCTTTATTGTGATAGCCATTCTAATGGGCTATCTCATTGAGGTTTTCATTTGTATTTTCCTGGTGATTAGTGATGCTGAGCATTTTTTCATACACTTGTTGGCCTGCATATCTTTGTTTGAGAAATGTCTATTCAGGTCTTTGCCCAATTTTTAATCGAGTTGTTTGTTTACTTGCTATTGATTTGTTTGAGGTCCTTACATATTTTGAATATTAACTCCTTTCAGATATATGGTTTACAAATATTTTTGCCCGTTCTGTAGGTTATCATTTTACTCAGTTGATTGTTTGCTGTGCAGAAGCATTTTAGTTTAATGTAATCTCCCTTGTCTATCTTTGCTTTTGTTGCCTGTGCTTTTGAAATCATATCCAGAAAATTATCATCCACAGCAATGTCATGGAGTATTTCTTCTATGATTTTTTTGAGTAGTTCCATAGTTTTAGGTCTTACACTTAAGTTTTTAATCCATTTTGAGTTGATTTTTTTCATACGGTGAGAAATAATGGTCTAACTTCTTCCTTTTTTTTTTCCCTTTGGCGTGTGGCTATCTCATTTTCCCAACACCATTTATCAAAAACTGTCCTTTTCCTATTGTGTGTTCTTGGCATCTTTGTCGAAAATTAGTTTATTGTAAATGCATGGATTTATTTCTGGGCTCTCTATTACAATCCAATCCATGTATGTGAATTGGATTTTAAGCCAGTTTTTAAGCCAGGACCATGCTCCTTTGATTGCTAAAGCTTCATAATATATTTTGAAGTCTGGTTGTGTGATGCCTTCCGCTTCATTCTTTTTGATCTATGTTGCTTTGGCTATTTGAAGTCTTCTGTGGTTCCATACGCATTTTAAAATTGTTTTTTCTATTTCTGTAAACAATGTTATTGGTATTTTTACAGGGATTACATTGAATCTACAGATTGCTTTGGCAGTGTGGACACAACAATATTATTTGTTTTCAATACAGGAATATAGTATGTCTTTCTTTTTATTTGTGTTTTCTTCAATTTCTTTCATCGATGTTTTAGAGTTTTCAATGTAGAGATTTTTCACTTCCTTGGTGAAATTTATTCCTAAGTATTTTTAGTGTAGCTATTGTAAATGGGCTTGTTTCCTTGATTTCTTTTTCAGGTAGTTTATTGGTATATAGAAATACTATTGTTTTAATATATTGATTTTACATCCTGCAACTTTACTGAATTTATCTATTAGTTTTAGCAGTGTTTTGTGGAGTCTATCTATACATAAAATGATGTCATCTGCAAATAGTGACAATTTAACTTCTTCCTTTCTAACTTGGATGTTTTAAATTTCTTTTTCTTGTCTGGTTGCTCTGGCTGGGGCTTCCAGTACTATGTTGACTAGAGGTGGTAAGTAGAATTCTTGTCTTGCTCTAGATCTTACAGGAAAAGCTTTCAACTCCTCCCCATTCATATAATTTTAGTTGTGGGTTTGTCATATATGGACTTGATTCTATTAAGGCACAATTCTTCTATACCTAATTTATTGAGAGTTTTTATCATGAAGGAATGTTGAATTTTGCCCAATGTGTTTTCTGCATCTATTGAGGTGATCAATGTTTTTTGTTTTTTATCCTGCTGATGTGATATATCATGTTTATTGATTTGCATATCTTGAACCATCTTTTCAACCCTGATATAAAGCCTACTCAGTCATAATGAACTATCTTTTTAATGTGCTATTGAATTTGTTTTGCTAGCATTTTGTTGATTTTTTTTTTCAGTCTATGTTCATCAGAGATATTGACCTGTCGTGTTCTCTTTTTGTTGTTTCTTTGTCTAGTTTTGATATCAGAGTAATGCTGGCCTCACAACATGAGTTTGAAAGTATTCTTTCCTCTTCAATTTTTGGATGCATTTGAGAAGCATTTGTATTAGCTTTTCTTTAAATGTTTGGTAGGATTCAGCAGTGTAAACTATCAGTTCCTGAGCTCTTCTTTGAAAACTTTTATTATTGATTTAGTTTCCCTACTTGTCATTGGTTTGTTCAGATTTCTATTTCTTCATGATTCATTCTTGGTGGTTGTGTGTGTCTAAGAAGTGATCCACTTCTTCTACCTTTTCCAATTTGTTAGAACATAATTTTTCGTTAAGTCTCTTGTGATACTTTATATTTTTGTGGTATCAGTTGTAATGTCTCCTTTTTTATCTCTGATTTTAGTTTTTGAGTCTTCCCCCTCTCTTTCTTAAAATTAGCCTAGCTAAAGGTTTGTTAATTGTATCTTTTCAGAAAACCAATTTCCTATTTTGTTGATCTTTTCTATTTATTTTCTAGTCTCTCTCATTTATTTATGCTATGACTTTTATTATTTTCTTCCTTGTACTTTTGGATTAGTTTCTTCTTGCTTTTCTAGTTCCTTGAGATGCAATGTCTGTTTATTTCAGATCCGTCTTCTTCCTTCCTTCCTTCCTCTTCTTCTTCCTTCTTCCTTCTTCCTTCTTCTTCTTCTTCTTTTTTTTTTTTTTTGAGTTGGAGTGTGGCTCTGTCACCCAGGCTGGAGTGCAATGACATGATCTCGGCTCACTGCAACCTCTGACTCCCGGGTTCAAGCGATTCTCCTGCCTCAGCCTCCTGAGTATCTGGGATAACAGTCACATGCCACCATGCCCAGCTAATTTTTGTATTTTTTTACTAGAGACTGGGTTTCACCATGTTGGCCAGGCTGGTCTTGAACTCCTTTCCTCAGGTGGTCCGCCCACCTCAGCCTCCCAGAGTGCTAGGGTTACAGGACTGAGCCACTGTGCTGGGCCTAGGTCTTTCTTCTTTTTGATGTAGGAATTTATTGCTGTAAAGTTTACTCTTAGAACTCTTTTTGCTGTATCCCATTTTAGTATGGTTTTAGTATGTTGAGTTTCCATTTTCATTTGCCTGAAAACATTTTAAAATTTATCTTTTAATTTCTTCATTAGCCTCTTGGTTGTTCAGGAGCATGATGTTTAATTTCCACAGTTTTGTGAATTTTCCAAAGTTTCTCCTGTTATTAATTTCTAGCTTTATACCATTGTGGTCAGAAATGATACTTGATTCAATATAAATTATCTTAAATTTGTAAGATTTGTCTTGTGGCCTAACATATGATCTTTCCTGGAGATTTTTCCATGTGCAGTAGAGAAGAATGTGTATTCTGCAGCTGTTGGATGTAACGTTATGTATATGTCCATTAGGTCCATTTGGTCTAGAGTGCAGCTTTAAGTTAAATGTTTTCTTGTTGATATTCTGTCTGGATAATCTTTCCATTACTATAAGTGGGCTGTTAAAATCTCTCACTATTATTGTGTTGCATTCTATCTCTCCATTCATATCTATTAATATTTACTCTATATAGTTACATGCTGCAATGTTAGCTACATACATATTTATAATTGTTGTATCCTCTTGCTGAATCAACCCATTTAACAATGATATAATGACTTTCTTTATCTTATCTCTTTTAAATAGCTTTTGACTTAAAGTCTATTTTATCTGATATAAATATAGCTATTCCTGCTCTTTTTGGTTTCCATTTGCATGGACTATCTTTTTCCAGCTCTTCACTTTCAGTTGTTGAGCATTTTTATCATGAATAGATGTTTATTTTTGTCAAGTACTTTGTCTGCACTTATTGACATGATCATAGTTGGTATTCTTGATAAGATATAAACTGAAGAAAGGATTCTTTTGACTTTTAAAGTTTGAAAAACCACTTCTATAACTAGCCTTCTTTTTTGCCATGGAAGGCTGTGGAGACTCAGTAGGTTTTGTTGACTGGCCAATATGACAGAGCTTTTCAGAGGCAGAGCTGGCTGTAGAGTGATCCAGGTTGCTGGACTCACAGTTCAGTGTCTTTTCAAGTATTGTGTACTGTCCAGACTAGAAATAAGAAATTCAGTTACTTTTAAAAGCATTTTCCTTTTTATCGCCAGCTTCCAAGTCCTGGCTAGAGACAGCAAAATTAAAACTTTTTTTTTTTTTTTTGGCTAACATGTATGTTTTTCCTCAAGAAGAAAGAAATGTAAAGAGATAGATGAAAGACGCTGAATTTAGAAAAGATGCTAGATTTCAGTTGAAATATGACCAAAGTTTTTTTTTAAATTTAATATTGATTCCACTAGCAGTTCTGTTTCCTGCACCCACTTTTGAGGAGGGACGTTTTCAGATCACAGCTATAAAAGTGCTCATCCTTGAGGTGCCACTCTTCCTAAATATTTAGAAATAACAATAATCCTGTCATTTGGTAAGAGGTTAGATGGGTCAGGTGCCATTCTCATGACTATACATATATTTTCTCAGGTTTCTGTATTATTAAATATCTAGTGAGGTAAATATCATTACCCAAGTTTTAAAGATGAGGAATCTAAGGCTCTGCCAGCTTCATGAACTTGCCCAACTTCTCAGAGCTAGCAAGGTGGAGAACCTGGACTCAAACCCAGGTTGTTTTCTCTCAACATTTCAGCTCTTAAACACTGAGTTTTATTGCCTTATTCTTTGTCCCATTAGAGAAAAGTCTCCTCAACAGACCACTAAACCAAAACTCTTTAAGTTAAATACTATAATACTAGGTTCGTATAATATCTATTTCAATGTGGCTTAAATAATTTTTGAAGGAGAGTTTGAATGACTGTAGAAAGGACACAGCAGATTCCTAGGTACTCACAGTGTTAAGGGTTTGCAGTTGTGAAAATGAAGTCTATAGACCAGGGAAAATTGGAGCATGGAATCTGTGTTCTGCCTGACTTGTTACAGAAGCACCTATCTTACCACAAGATTGAGAATGATATAAATGTTTAATAGCTAATAGAAATTCCAGCATTCCCCTCATACCAATACAACTTTGCCTATGATATTTTGCAAACTGAACTCCTGTCATCTAATAATTTATTATAATATTTGATCTTCACAATGTTTTAGGTTAATCACCACTATAATAACTTGCAGGAAATAGTTAAGACCATCAGTGGTTTGAGAATCTTGCATTTGAGAAAGCACACAAATAATATATTGTTTTCTTGTAAGGTTCTGATACTTTTTTGCGATAACTAATATGGAATTAAGTGCAACACACATTAAAATATTATCTGTCTGCTATCTTCTGTTCCCCAAAAGGATAGTAATTTTATCATTGTTCTTAATCTCATTGAAATATATTAGTGCTCTATCTTGAATAAAGGACTATAATATTTCTGTCAGTTTCCTAAACAGTTATGCTTTGTTCTGGAAGATTTATGTTTACTTGAAATTAAAAGATAAAGAATTATTGAATAGAAGAAGATGAATACTGATAATTCCCTTGCTCGAACATGATTAAACATTAAATTAATTAACTTTGTCCTGCTGAATATTCTGCTGTTTCTTGAAAAATGTGTGTAAAATATACCATAATCACTGAGCTAGTTGGCCAAGATAGCAGAAGCAGCTGCCACCCACATATCATAACTTTCAGTGTCACTCATGAACATTTGGAAAGAGCTGGTGTTTTGCTTCACTTAATGGCAGATTATTCCAAGATCCCTTGTACAACACTTTGTCATAGAATAGATATTAACTTCTCAGTTTGAATATGTAGTTTTCTCAGCAAGCTATTCCTTGTGCTCATAGAATACAATTATTTCATGAAGTGTTGTTAAAGTTGAATTTGTTTTTCTAAAACTGTAGACAGATGAAAATTTTTATAGTCTAGATAGCTTTAGACAAAATGATTATTTTTGTAATCAGTGTGTTTCCTTTCTGATTAAAGCATGCCTGCTATAAACTGGCTAAAGATGGTCTTTAAACAGATAATTATTGATTATAATATAACAGTTGACTAAATTTAATATCTCATTAATTTAAGAAATATGTATAAAAACAATATTCTGAAAAAGATTTTGTTATTGACTAGAGAATAAAAAAATCAGGTGCATGTGTATACAGATGCCATTCTGTTGTCTTTACAACATGAGATATTACACATAAAGCACAGAGACTTGGTCACAGGAAGTGGCTGATAGACACTAGTGATGAGGAGGTGTGGCGTCAGCTCCATGCCATCATCTCGTGCCTTTCTCATTTCTGTGAAATGTGTGGCTAAAGATACGAATAACTTCCAAAAGGAAATACACCAGTTATGTGGGAGGTGCCACATGACTTTAGAAAAATTGTGTATTCCAAAATGCATTTACTTATATCTTAAGTAGAGCAGATATAAAAGCCCAACTGGGCCTTTCCAGGATGTGAAATATCTGGCCTACTTATATGTTGCTAGTGTTCATTGGTATAATGTATTTGGAAAACTGACAATATCTATTAAAGCTTAAAATGTGCATAATATGTGGTCCAGCAATTTCATTCTTAGGTATATACCAAACAGAAATATGTGTTTGTATCTGCATTTATGTGTGTGTGCATGTGTATGTATACATATATATTTCTTTTTATCTAAGAACATCTACTGTGATGTTCATAGCAGCATAGCTTTAAACTAGAAATTACCCTAATACCTATTAATAGTAGAATGGATGAATACACTGAGGTATATTCACACAACGGGCAGTAATAAGAATGATTGAACTATAACTACACAATAACATGAATAAATTTCAAAGATAATATTAAATGAAAGAAGCCAGGCACAGAAGAAAACATACTGTATGATCCCATTTATATACATTGTAAAAGCAGGCATAATGAATCTATGCTGTTAGATGTCAGAATAATGGTTATCCTTGGGGAGCAGTGACTGCAAAGGAGTATGAGAAGGTCATGCGGTTTCTTGATCTGAGTGGTGGCTTAACGGGTGTGTTTAGTTGTGTCAATTCATCATGTTTGCACTTATGTGAGCTTTTCAGTATGTATAACATATTCTGATGTTAACAACAATAACAACAACAAACCACAGTTACTACGAACAAGTAGAAAATATGTTCTCTAGTTTTCCATAAACATTACTAAGTAAAGAACAATGACTTTTAAATCTCTCAAACCTATCGCATTGAGAAAGAAAAGTTTAGGTTTACTAATACCAGAAAATGGAGTAGGAAACTATTTGAATATTACCTATGATTTGACCTGTATTACTGTTATTTTTTTTCTTTGGAGATAGGGTCTTGCTCTGTCACCCAGGCTGGAATGAAGTGGCACAATCACAGTCATTGCGATAGGGTCTTGCTGTGTTACCCAGGCTGGAATGAAGTGGCACAATCGCAGTCTTTGCAGCCTTGACTTCTTGGGTTCAAGTGATCCTCCCGCCTCAGCCTCCTGAGTAGGTGGAATGACAGGCATGTGCCACTATCCCCAGCCATTTTTCTTTAGTTTTTTTGGTGGAGATGGTGTCTCACCATGTCAGGTTCGTCTTGAACTCCTGGGCTTAAGCAATCCTCCCCTGTCAACCTCCCTAAGTGCTGGAATTACAGGTATAAGCCACTGTGCCCAGCTTTACCTATGTTTCATTTTCTGCCATCTTCTTTATTTCGTTGTCATGGTCCATTTAGATTTTGAGATAACTTAAAATAAAAATACACTGGTTAGTCTGTGAAACTTCATCTCCTCACTCCTTCAATAGAACAAAGATAATAATAATATTTCCTGTGCCTGAGTTATTTCATTTTATATCATGGTTGAGACTTATCTGTATGAAGATTTTATTATCTAACATGACATGGGAAGCCATGCAGTATTCTAGCCGAGGTCTGAGTCAGATAGGAGAAGGTGAGCAGAATTCTATAGTTGATAGCTATTCCACATTATGAAACCACATTGATCCTCTCTTAATTCCACCCTTCTCCTATGCCAATGGCCTCTCCCATGGGCAATTATCATTAAATCTCCATAAAACAAAAATCTGATCACATTACCCTCTTGCTTAAAATCGTTAAATAGTTGCTTATGTTCAGGCCTCTGTCCACACTTTGACCACACTTTTTTTCGTTTACTCCTTGCTCACTCCCTATGGCCATATTGCCACTTATTTTTTGGCCTGTTAAATCAACCAGGATGGTTGCCATCAATAGGCCACTACAACAAGTGTTCATCTACTGGGAATGTTCTTCAGATCTTTCTGGGCCTTCTCCCCATTTAAGTCTCTATTCATAGTTAACCTCTTCAGAGAGATCTTCCCTGACTGCCTGCCTTTCCTGATTCCCTGCTTCCTAAAATATGAAAAAAATTATCTTAGTTTTTTTTTGTTTATTGTCTATATCCTTCATCTCCCTGCCCTCCAAGAGAACAAAGATAAAAGAGACTATTGTTTATTTCCTGTTGCAGCCCAAGGCCTAGAATAATTAGTACATAGTAAGCACTTAATACACATTTGTTAAATGTGAGGATATAGTATAACAAAAATGGTGAGAGAAACATGCTTCTGCTCCTTTTGGGGTTCTTCTAACAAAACTATTTGGATTCCTGATAGTTTGTAGATTCTTGGGTAACTTACAGTATGTTAAATCCTCACGTATGTCCATTAGTAGGGACCCATATATCAAATGTACCAGATAACATTATTCTTTATCTTTCCCCTAATTATACCCTTGTTAATGGGAGGCAATAAGAGGCCTCAAGCAAAGCTACTGTCAGAGGAATCTGTACGCCATTAGCAGAGAGCTAATGGAAATAAAAGAGCCATGAGCCACTATACAGACACAGCCAGTGGTTAAGTTCTGGGGGAGAATGTTGGCTCCCCATAAAAATTGGGGAAATGTGGTTGATTAAAAAGATTTCAATAGTTGGGTATAAAATTTACCTCATTTCTCACCAAGCATTCCATTAGGACTGTTGCAGAGATTTACAAAATTCAGAGAATATATAATTAAATTTTATATTTAAATTTTAAAATTAAATATCTTGACTTTTTTTGTGCTTTGTGGTGACTATTCAGCACTGTTTGCCTAGATAATCAATTGCATTCTTTGTTTTGGGTTTGCAGGTGTTGACAAAATGTACCATAAGAAATACGTGGTTTACACAAAGGGACAGAATAAGCCAGTGCTGAATGGCAAGGATCGTGTGTCTTGCCCTCTTCTGTTTACATAAGCTGTGCCTTCAGGCAACAATTGCAGAACTCTTTGGAACTCTGCTCTGCTTATAATACTTTTAACACAATATATTCATTGTGTCTGAGTTTTTACAACCAAGTACAATAGTATGTTTTGTGGCAATGCACAGGTGAAATAACATTGTCTGTAAGGTAAATGACCACTTTGGTAGCTTAGGATAGTGATGCTGGGCATTTATCTGAATATTCCTAGGTGCTTAGGACTAAACTTTTGGGCCAGGAAAATGTATGGTGCTACGTTTCTTCTGCCATCACTTTGGACCACTGATAATTTTGCTCTGGTAATTCATAAGGACAGAGGTCACTCTCAGGTCAGACAGTCTTCAGCAGAATGCCACTGTCTTTGAGTGGGTGATAAGGAAAGATAAATATGGGCTGGCCACACATGTTTCTTTGTCGTCCCATCCATACCACCCGACACAGCTGAATGTGTCTATCAGGCTTTCCTGAATACTTGGGGCAAAAATAACAGTTAACATTTATGTAGTTGAGGGCCAGGGGCAGTGGCTCATGCCTGTAATCCCAGTAATTTGGGAGTCTGATGCAGGTGGATTGCTTGAGCCCATGAATTTGAGACCATCCTGGGCAACAAAGTGAGACCCTGTCTTACAAAAAAAATACAAAAATTTGGCAGGCCTTTACTCCCCAGCTACTTGGGAGGCTATAAGGTGGGAGGATTGCTTGAGCCCCCGAGTTCGAGGCTGCAGTGAGCTCTATCGTGCCATTGCTCTCCAGCCTCGGTGGCAGAGTGAGACCTTGTCTCAAAAAAACAAAATAAAACTCAAACCAACCAACCAAACAAAAAACATTTATGTAGTGGATTAACAACCCTATAAATATGTACATTTGTATTTCAAGGTTACATTTGAGGAAGTGGAGACAGGGAAAGATTGATAATTCTTCTAAGCTTCTGGCAATTCTAACAGGGTTCTCAAGATTGCTGCTTCCTAGTGCAAGTGGCCTGGATGATCTGCTCATTTGAGCGTGAGCAAGACTTGTGAATACGATGGGCTATCACTCCCATTATGTTACAGTATAGGACAGAATGTTTCCAAATGTTATTAAGTTTCCTAGTCAGTTGAGTTGACTTTGAGTTAATCAAAAGTGAAATTATCCTGGGTGGGCCTGACCTAATTCAGATGAGTCTTTAAAGGAAGTCAGAGATATTTAAGGCAGCAGAGATTCTTCTGCTGGTCTCCAAAGAACAGACTACAACGTTGTGGAGAGGGTCACAGGGCAGGAAATAATGCCTCTCAGGGCTGAAAAGGGCCCTCAGTTGATAACTAGCACCAAAGTAGAAAACTCCATCCTGCAACTATAAAAAACGGAAACTACCAAAACCCATATGAACTTGGACGAGGATCTCATGAACCAGAAAGGAGTGTTGAATGGCTCTAACCTTTATTTCATCCTGTGAGATCCTGAGCAGAGAAGCAAGCCATGATGTGCCTAGACTTCTGGCCTACAGAACTGTGAGATAAATGAGTGCTGTTTGAATCAGCTAAGTGTGGGATAATTTGTTATATAGCAATAGAAGGTAATGAATATGACTTTTCACATACTATAGGAAATTTTAGATTTTTATGAGTCAGAGCCCTTGTAAATGACCTGTTTCCTAATCTTGCTTTGTGTACTTTTCCTGGGCCTCTCTGTGAAAGTATTGAGGAGTTTTTGACTTCTGTATGCAACCTTCTACCACTCTCCATAGCCTCGCTATCCTCATCCCCATAACTGCCAGGCAGTTCATTTACTCAAGTATGAATAAATACATCTAGAATTGCCTTACTCTCAGATGTCCTGATTTATTTGTTTTGGGTTGAGGCCCAGTTATTTTTAAAATGTGCTTTCTTGATTTTATTTTAAAGTGTCTCAGGGATTTTATTGTGCAGCCACGAGGGAGAGTCTGTGGCCTAGAATGACATCTTGTGAAGCTCAGAAGGTCAGACTGTGGTAGCCATTAGTTATGCAAAGTCCTGTGCAGTGGAAGGACCAAGGGTGGAGAGCATCTGGAATGCCAGTTCATGACCAGAAGCTTCAGATGTGGTCACTGCTGGGAGTCTCCACTAGGAGAGGTTGAGTACATGTCTGTTCAGTCTCTAGCTCTTGCAGAAGATTCAGAGACACACACAAATGACACATTTGAAAGAGCACGCTTATTTCCTGAGACAGTATATTCTTAAATTTAAAAAGAACAAATTGTCTTTTATAAATAATATAAAGTGAAAGTCGGCCTCACTGTAATGTATTCAGTGCTTCACATTACTACGCAGTCATTGAATCTCCTGCTTTGCAATTATGACTGTTGGGTTACAGCCGATTAATTTGTCTCTTAAAAGCCATTGTTTTAGCTATACAAGTAACTGGGAAAAAAACTTTAGAAGAATTACTTGTAAATCATAAATTAATTTTTTAGCAACATATATTAGTCTATTTGAGCTGCTGTAACAAAATACCATAGGCTGGGTATCTCATAAATAACAGAAATTTATTTCTTATTCTAGAGGCTGGGAAGTCTAAGATCAAGGCAGATTTGGTGTCTGGTGAGAGCCCACTTTCTAGTTCATTTTCAGCACCTTCTTACTATGTCTTCACATGGTGAAAGAAGTGACTGAGCTCCTTTGGTCTTCTTTTATAAGGGTAGCAATCTCATTCCTGAGGGCTCTGCCCTCAAGATCTAAACAGCTCCTAAAGGCCCCACCTTCTAATACCATCACCCTGGGGATTAGGATTTAACTATATGAATTTTGAGGAGACACAAATATTCAGTCAATAGCACAAAGATTTATATCTCTTCTTATTCTGTGTGTGGGGGTTGAGGTGAGGAGGGAAGTTGATTTTATTATTGCCAATTTACAGTATCATATATATTAATGCATACCTTGGTGTGCTTCCATTCATACATACTTAAAGACACATTCACTTTTATCATCCTGGTGTAAATTAGGATAAGGTTTGATTATCTTTCAACATTATTTGTGTCTTGACTAGTCCTTATAAAAGCAAACAATATATTTGAGAGTCTAAAGTTCTCTCTGTAACACAGGCTAATCATGGGAGGATAAGTAAACTGATGGAGGGGAAAAGCAATATTTTATTTGGTATGTGAAATACTAGCTTTTGAAGTACTACATCAGGTGGAAAATTTTTCCCTAACTTACAGAGAAATGTTAGATTTATAATAAAATTAGTGGTGTGTGTGTGTGTTTGTTCAGGTTTGCTTTGTTTAGGGGCTTTCCTGTGAATCAGCTCCAGGAAGATGAAAAGCCAAGTGTGGTCTAGTTTATTAAGTGAAACCCATAGCTGTGAAATAAAGCCTGAGGATATAGAAGTAAAAGGGTGAGCAGCTGTGAAGTGAGCTGCCAGGTAGGAATCGATAGAGATTGTCTTGTCGGGGCTGACCCCCATCCTGGGAGCCCAATGAAAGTGAGGTGGGGAAAGTGCTGAACCACCAGTAAGAGGAATCTGAGTTATAGCTCTCTGTAGAAGTAGCAAAATAAATTGAGTTTTTAAAAGAAGAACACTCTAAGTTCTACAATAAATTTTAATGCAATAAAGAATATTTGGATGGAAAATATTAATGTAAATGTACCAACAATATATCCATCATTATTGGAGATGCAAAATTTTCAGGTGTTTTTGTTTGTTGCTTGCTTCAAATGAAGCAATAGAAGAGATGAGCACAGTCCCTGGCATGTGGCAGGCACTTAAATAATTTTTGGATAAATAGGTGAGCAATGTAAGAGCCTTATTACCGTATTTTTGCAGTTTCTGATAGTTTTGGAGGAGGTATGATTATAAGTACAGAGGTTCTGTGTTTTTGAAAAAAATACAACAACCAAAAACTTGATGTTCTACAAAAATTTCCACTAGAACTAAGAGGATCTAATGGGGCAAAGAGTGAGGGTGAGGGGAGACCATTCCCACCAGTGCAACTTTGTGACCACAGCACTACACAGAAGAGTAACTGGTACTTTGGTAGAAAACACATCACTCAGGCAGGCAGTTCAGTATGGCTAGAGGATGGCACAGAGGATACTAAAAATGTACAAAAAAAAATACAATGAAAATGTTACAGGAAAGGGGTTTGGATCCAGACCCCAAGAGAGGGTTCTTGGATTTCGCACAAGAAAGAATTCAGGATGAGTTTGCAGTGCAAAGTGAAAGCAAGTTTATTAAGAAAGTAAAGGAATAAAGAATGGCTACTCCAAAAATCGTTGCCCATTTTTATGGTTATTTCTTGATGATACGCTAAACAATGGGTGGATTATTCATGCCTCCTCTTTTTAACCATATAGGGTAACTTTCTGAGATTGCCATGGCATTTGTAAACTGTCATGGTGCTGGTGGGAGTGTAGCTGTGAGGATGACCACACGTTACTCTCGTCCCATGTTAGTTTTGGTGGGTTTTGGCCGGCTCCTTTTCTGAAACGCGTTTTATTAGCAAGGTCTTTATAACCTGTATTTCATGCTGACCTCCTATCTCATCCTGTGACTTAGAATGCCTTAACCATCTGGGAATGCAGACTAGTAGGTTTCAGCCTCATTTTACCCAGCTCCTATTTAAGATGGAGTTGTTCTGTTTCACGTGCCTCTGACAGAAATACTAGTAGCTCTTAATTAGCATAGAGGCAGGTAGATAGATAGAAGTAGAACTCTAAACCAGAGGGGCTGCTTTGAAGGTGTTCTTTCTGGGGAGTGCAACCTCTCATCAGGCACAGCAATACAAAGCTTGAGTGTTCCTTTTGGAGGAGGGATGCCCTGGTGCAGGACTTATTTATAATTTTATTAAAATGGAACGGAAAGGGTTTCAGCTGCCTGAGCAGCATAGGCTGAAGTCTTTATTCTTCATTGCTGAATGTTCGGTTTCTACTCTTGATTTTCTACTTCCCCTTGCTTATAAAAAATCATGTATAAACCAGATTATGTCCATATTATTCTGACATAGTTTCTCTATTTTCCAATTGTTTATGAGCTGATTAGTGTTGTAGAAATACATTCTGCAGCAGAATAATCTGCTCAGTAATTTGGAATTTTGTGAAGAATGAATTGGACCCCAGACTGTTAGATCTTTGGAGATCTTAATAGCCACTTACCAGGTTCCATTTTATAAGTAAGGAAACAGAATTAGAGAAATACATGTTTTGTTCAAGGCGCTACAGCAGGGATGTCCAATCTTTTTGGCTTCCCTGGGCCACATTGGAAGAAGAAGGATGGTCTTGGGCCACTCATAAAATACACTAACAATTGCTGATGAGCTAGAAAATAAAAATAGCAAAAACAAAACAAAACAAAACAAAAACCAACTAATAATGTTTTAAGAAAGTTTACAAATTTGTGTTGGGCTCCATTTAAAAGCATCCTGGGCCATATGTGGCCCTCAGGCCGCAGGTTGGACAAGCTTGTTGTATATTAATTTAGTATTTTCTAAGTAAAAAACAGTTTAAAAGTCATAACCTTGAGAGTGCATTGTAAATTTATGACAGGTGATAGAAATAACAGAATTTTAAGATGTCTTTTAAGTAGTTTAACAGCATTTAATAATTACAATTATATCACACATAAACATTCTGCTATTTTGGGTGGGTTTATGGAGTGTCAAAGCTAAAATTGCACTGAACAATGTTAAACAGACAAGGAAGACTTCATTCCAGGCTATTGCAATAGGGAAGAGAGGCCAAAACTCAATCTCACCTCATCTCCATAGAAACAAAGCGCTAAAGAGTTTTTAAGGGCTGGAGTGAGGGAAATTATAGGCTGCCTCTGTTTGCTAACTGGTCTCACCCAAAGGAAAAGTAAGCTTTCTCATATCTTTATGACAAGAGGTAGCTTTACAACTCGGACCAAGGCTTCCATCCTTTCACAAGGATGGGCTCATAGTTTGGCTCCTGCCCTCCTACAGAGATACCTTCCCTGATGATTATATTTCACAGGGAAGGCTCCCACATCTTTGAGAAAGGACATCCTGGGCTGTAAAGCTAGCAAGAGGCTTTTTAGAAGATTTACATCTCAAAGAGGCAAAGAGAGAATTTACACTTAGAAGTTTTCTAAAGTAAATGCTGTAAAGAAAAGGAAGGTCAGGAGCCTAGCATCAGGAAGAAGCCTGTCTAAAGCTTAGTCAAGCTGAGGGAAATGTTAAAGCTGTCTGGGTTAGGCATTTTATCTACCACTCCTTTCAATGGCCCAACGTTAACTCACATTTTTGAGACTGTGATAAATTCTCATTGTTTTTATTCTATCTCCCTCTTCAATATCAGGTCTAATATGACATGTATTTATTTGTTACTTTAAAGAAATTTGATGCTCTTATGCTTTGCTGGCAGGAGGGCAAATTGATATAATCCTGTGTGAAAATAATTTATCAATAAGCATCAAAAGCTTGAAAAACCTTCATACTCCTAGACTTTTTAACTCCACTCTAAGAAATAGTTGTATAGAAATAATCGGAAGTGTCTTCAAATATGCACACAACTCTGATTGCAACATTTTCTATAATAGTGAAAACCTGGAAATAACCCATAGGTCCACAAGTAGGAGATAGCTAATAACAAAAACGAAAAAAAATTACATTTATATTATGGAATTCTTTTCAGCTATTAAATGTGGAAGTTAGAAGAGTGCTTAAAACATTGATATACTTTTTAAAAGAACAGCATTTTTCCAATTTTGTTATGCATTGCTGTGTAAATATTAATATATTCTATGATAAGATAATATGGTAATCTATGATAGAATTTTTTCTACTTCCTAAAAGTTTATATTCTCCTGGTCACCTCCTCTTCAGATCTTATTCCTACAAAATCCTGATGTCTTGCCTTCTGCAGTTCCTCATTTCACTACATCAAAATGTGGAGCATACTTAAAAAAACATTTCTCCTAAGCATCGTCAACACAAGGCAGCTGGGTGTAGTGGACCACTTGTACTGAATGTTTGAGGGCAATTGGAAAAGGGTTATAGCACATCAAGCTTTCAACCTCAAATCAAATGATAGCATCTCTGTTCGCAATGTCCCTTAGCCATTTCTTCCAGGCATTTTTAAAAATAGATTATTCTTCCACCTTGCAGAGTTGCTTCCTGCCAATCTCTTTGCTTTTCTCTCCAGACTTCTTCATCATTATCCTTTTCTAGACAGTTCTCATTTTTCTACAGATATGTCTGAGCAATTTCAAGTTCTTTGTAATGTAAAGCAATTTAGCATTCTTAGTCTTTATGTCTTCAGGAGCATGCCCCTGGCTGTCTTCCTATTAACACACTGTCTTTTCATGAAAGGAGAATAAAAGTCTCTTTTTCTTACAATATACCAATAAACATCATGTGTACTGACAGTCTATACAAGCTCTATATTTCATTGGTTCTTTCCTCCTGTCTCCAACAGGACCCTGCTCCTACCCACAAAGTGCTCTTTTTTATTTTCTGGAGTCCCTTATGCTGCTGATAACGATAAAGCTTTTGAAGTGTCACTGTTGCTTAAGAATTCTGGAACCCTTACTGCCAAAGGTAGATGCCAAAGCCATACCTGTTTTTGCTGAAATGAAGAGAATGCCTTATTGTGTTGTAGTCAGCTAGAAAAGAATTCACAAAGAACAATCTTGCATCTCCAATACCTTCCTGAGATATTGGAGAAAGTAGTCTTCAGTCATTCCTTTGTAGCATCCTGCTCCCTGGGATTTCATTGGAGTTGGGCCAAAGGACGACATGAATGACTATCTCCATGGTAGACTTGGTGTCACTTTGGCTGACTACTGGCTTTGTTAGTAGATCTAGTTGGTTGTGGCTCCTTCCTTTCTTAGGATATATCCTTGCATTATTCCTAGGAATCTCTTCAAATGCTCTCAGAAATAAAATCCTATCTACCCTACCCTGAGTTTATTAGAGCAGTCTGAAAATGTGAGTATTGATGGTAGTTAACCTTAAAGACAGTAAAGAAATATATTAAAACTTTGAGTTGCTATCTTTAAGTGGTAAGATCATGAATAAGTTTAATTTTTTTGCTTTTCTCTATTTTCTATATTTTTTCATTGACTATATATTACTTTTATAATCACAATGGTTAACCTATGGTAATAAATGCAAAAAAAATCAAGCTACTTAAAATATATTATACTTTGAAAATGAATAATAGTTTTTGAGGGATGGTTGATATTCTCTTTCATGTAACAAAAAACTAGTCTGAACACAATTATCCTAATTAGTAACAGGCCGTTCTGTGGGCAAATAGTTGATCAACTTTATCCAAAAGATTTTTTTTTTCAATTCCTGAGGAAAAACTTATCCAGAAATAATTACAGAGAATTATATATTCTAGCAAAACTGGGGGACACATTGCCAAAACTCCTAGAATTGTGTGTAGCACTAAATCTATGGGAACTAGGTATTTTTTTTAAAGAGAAAGAGATGGAATTTCATCAGTGAAACATAAAAAGAAAAGTTTTTCTTTAGCCATTTCTAAATTCCTTGAGTCTCTGAGTCAGCTGTTGCTCCTTGGTATGTGTTGGATGAATGGTCGATTATCAATACCTAATAGGGGAGAGCTGTGGGATCTGAGGCTGATGGGGGAATGGGGTGCCCACTGCTGAATTTCACGCTGAGAGGGGAAGCTATCTTTACTTTTCCGTAACTGAATCATGGTGAAATTGTGGCAGAAGCAGAGAGAAACAGAATGGGATGGGTGAAATAGAGGATTCTACTTCCCACTTCCTGTGAGTTGTTTGTAAAACTTACCAGCTATTGTGATGTCTTGCTGATGCTTTGGCCACTGGCTAGGCAATGTTTTGATGGAGGTGGAAGCTGTGTTTGGAAACATAGAAACCTGCTGTGAATTGACTGAGACTCTAAAGCCTCAGGGGGCTCTGCAGTAGCCTGTTTTGAAGGCAATTAGAATAAAGTGATATCAACAGACATATTTTTCTGGGAGGTCAGGCCTCAGGAATTCCAGAAGACCTTTCTCAGAGTGGCAAAATGGGGGCTGGCAGCCATATTAATTTTATTGTTAAAATTCATATGACTATATTTTCTACCCCAGACTGGGGATGTGAGAGATCTTAGTTACACTGAGAGCATTCACGCCTATGACATGGCCTCTATCATATTAGACACTGTAGTTGAAGAATGTAAAAATATCATTGCTTATGTATTGAATATATCCTTGTATCAAGCATTATGTCAGGCTTTGTGGGTAAACAAAGATGGACAAGACATTGTTACTGTCTTTGAGAAGGTCAGAAATGAATTAACGTTTATTGAAACATGAATTACTATAATAGAGATATATAATAAGTGCTATGGGAGTATGCATAAAACATAAGTGGGCTAAAAACAGACACCCACCCAACCACAAGCTCCGTGAGTGAAAAGATCACTCTGATTTTACCTAAATTACATTCCCATACCCAGCAGTGTCCAGCCTGGAGTAAAAATAGATGATTAACAAACATCTTTTTTTATGTGTAAAACCCCAGGCTTCTTTCTACATAACGATGTAACTCAGGAAAGAATACGAATTAGTGATATCTGTATAGCACTTTTAGAGGTAATATTAATTCTGTAAATTGCTTTCATTTTGTCTAACACCATCACTGTATATGACATTTCAGTCACATTAAAACTGGGGGACACATTGCCAAAACTCCTAGAATTGTGTGCAATATAAGCACCTAGGAGAGAGTAAAGAGAGAAAGCCATTCTCGGATATAGGCTCATGGAGAGAAAAGAGAAGAATCGTTACTGCAGAGGTTAAACGGTGCATGCACTTTTATATCAGAAATATCTTGGTTCAAATCCTGTCTTCAATCCTACAATCCAGAGTTATTTAACTTCTCTGGGCCTCACTTTACTCATTTATATAAAAATGAAGACAATAATAGTAGTACCAACCTTGGTAGGCAACAGTAATGAATAAATAAGTTCATTATTTAAAACAAGTGGTTCGGCCCGGCGTGGTGGTTTATGCCTGTAATCCCAGCACTTTGGGAGGCCGAGGCGGGCGGATCACGAGGTCAGGAGATGGAGACCATCCTGGCCAACACGGTGAAACCCCATCTCTACTAAAAATATAAAAAAAGATTAGCCGGGCGCCTGTATTCCCAGCTACTCGGGAGGCTGACAAGAGAATGGCGTGAACCCGGGAGGCGGAGCTTGCAGTGAGCCGCGATTGCGCCACTGGACTCCAGCCTGGGGACAGAGCGAGACTTCATCTCAAAAAAAAAAAAAAAAAAAAAAAGCAAGTGGTTCAACTATTAAAGCATAGTGAAAGTTTAATGAACATTGGTTACTCTCAGAAAGTTCCAGAATTTCCTAGTTATATTGAAGGCAATTTAAGAAAAGAAGGTCCAATTAGTGCAGTACACTGGATACAGAGAAATAACCATTTTAACAAAATCATTACAAGATGGGAACAGCTCTGGGATGGAAAAGAGAATCCATGTATGAAACAGAAGTAGGATGATAGAGGAATGACAGCATCAGGCAGAAACGCAGCATTGTTAACATTTTGGTGTACATGTTTTGAGACTTTTTGATATCGACTATTTAATTACTCAGCCATTCTATCCACATATATTTTTTTCTACATCATGCTCTCTGTAGATTCTTCCCCATTAGTAAAATGTTACATTATCTATTTGATAACTATATATCTAAAACGTCATGTATTTTTGTATCTTGTCAGGGAAAGCAGCTCTCAAGCCATGTGTACTTTTGCCAGGCTCCTGAGAATCAGTGTGTCCAAATAGAGAGATGCACTTACATCACACACACACAAACAACACAAGGAGAAGAGGTTGGGGCAGCCGTTTCTCTTTGTCCATGTGGATGTAGCCTAGCATGCTTATCAATCAATAAGAAAGTAGAAAAAGCATAATATTTGTATTTGATGAACATTTTAATCCTTTGAAAGATTAGTCCTTGTGGTTGTGGTACTGTTGGAATTGAAACACTTCTCTTCCTTGGGAATGCAGTAAAATTTTTAGATTTTAACTCATTCTTGATGGAAGAGTGATGAGGAGGATCATAAGAGAAGAGCTTTAAATCAACTTTCTCCCCCCAGAAAACCAATAAGCTTGAACAATTTTTCATAATTGCCATTAACTTTCATCTATTATGGATGGTTTATTCATGTTCTTACCTATTATTCTATTAGGATATGCATTTTTATATTGAATTGTATGTGCTCTTTATGCATTTAAGGCCACTGTCTATTTGCTGGCCATATAGGCTATAAGCATTTATTTCCTGGTTGATGTGTACCTTTTATTTTGCTTATGGGATTTTTGGATGCACAGATATTACAATATTTAATACTGTTATATATTTCAGTGCTTTCCTTTGTGATTTCTGCCTGCAGTATCATGCTTAGAATACTTTTCATTGTCTGGGCATATTTAAGAGATAATCTGTATTTCCTTCACTCTTTTCTTTAAAGAAGATGGAATAGGTTTTCATTTCACATTAGCATTTATAATCCTCAATAACTGTGGTGGTTTTCTACATATAGGTTTCATATTTTTGTTGCACTGTTATTTTTAGGCATCTGATATAAATTTCAATTTTGAGAATGGTAAATTTTTTCCTTGATTTTTAAAACTTCTTATTTCAAGTGTAAAATAAAAGATTTGGAAATATCTGTGTACATTAATACTATTATTTAGACTGGCTCCTTTAGTGAGCTTTTATTTGAATTTTGTTGCATGTTGTTGATCATGCTGGGCTTTCCAGAGAGACAATCATATCACCTGCAAATATTGGAAACTTTGCTTTTTCTTTATTTTTTTCCCTTATTCCTAGTCTTGGTTAGGATTTTTTTAATGTTATGGCTTTTTCATTCTAAAGTCCTTTGATGTGATTTACCACTCCCTCTACAAAACATTTTGAAATAAGTTTTTATTTTAGGAAGGGTATGTGACTTGTACATTGTCTGAAGGCTTGAATATCCCAGAACATCTTCCTTTTGTCTTTGTACATCAATATCAACTTGGTTGGGAGCAGAATTTCATGTCACAACTTTTTGCCCTCAAATTGATATACATCCTGCCTCAATACCTCTGCCATTTTGTGTTGTAGGAACATCATAGGTCAACCTGAGTTTGCTCTTTTTTGATTAGAAACATTACTAGAATCAAAGAAATTATTTTTTCTCAGATCAATCACCTATGACATTAATAATCTTTATAACATTTCCCTTTGTGTCATTCAGAAAACAGGCCCTTGAGATCTTTAGAACTAAAGACAGGTGGCAGCCTTCTATCTGTGACACACAAACTTATCTCCTTATCATTTGTCTACTGTGGTATGTTTAAACTGTTCAGAGAGCTGTGATGAAGATGCTGTTGCTGCTGCTGATCAACTGCATAGGGAGGCTTTATTGTATTCTATAACTGTTTTTCAGTGTTTAAAAAATTATCTTTCTTCTTTTGCATCTGAAATTGATCTCTTTCTCGTGACACTGTACATACAAGACTGCATATGCAGATAGAATGGATTTTTATCTGCTTTTTCTTTTTTTTAATTGAAACAGGGTCTCACTCTGTCACCCAGGCTGGGTTGCGGTGGTGTGATCATGGCTCACTGCAGCCTTGACCTCCTGGGTTCAGATGATCCTCCTCCCTCAGCCTCCCAAGTAGTTGGAACCACAGGTACATACCACCATGCCCAATGAATTTTTTAAGAAATTATTATTTGTAGGGATGTGGTCTCACTATGTTGCCCAGGATGATCTTGAACTCCTGGGCTCAAGTGATCCTCCTACCTCCCCCTCCCAAAGTGCTGGGATTATAGGCATGAGCCACCATGACTAGCTTTATCTCCTTTCTAATGAAGATTTTTAATAAGCTTAAGAATCAAGAAATACTTGAGCTCTTCTGATTGAAGTAAAGACTTTCCAGTGATTCTACATTTATTACTCAAGTTGTGGTCATCTGCTTTTTTGTCTACATTCTGGAGGACAGGCACCAAACACAGAGCATGCCCTCACAACAACACAGAGTAATCTCTGTGGAGACTTCTCAGAACTGGACCTAACAACTTAGGACTGTTTTTGCTCAATCGTACATTTGTTTTTTATATTTTATTTATTCTGTTCCACTCTTTAACAATACAAATTATTAGTAGATTGAATCTTTCTTTTTCTCTCTCTTTTACTTCTATCTCTTTTTCATAGTTTTTCTCTTTGTTATTTTGCTTTGCCTTTGGAAAAGCATTTCACTTTTGACTTCCATATCAATAGTTTAGATTTCTGCAGTGCAGAGTCTGTACCTCACGGGTGGACATATAGTTTTATATTTTACCAAGGCACTTTGGCTTTTAACATTTTTCTTATTTATCTAAAAAAAAAGAAGAAAGAACATTATTTTCTAGTTCAAGTCTAGCTTACATTATTAAGTTATTCATTCAAGAGGAAGTAGGTCCTGTAAAATTAGTGGCAATAACGCAGCTGAAGGGATGTTCGAGTAGTTGGAAGAGGAGAAGGTCCTTGATGGTTATTTATTGCAACTACCCTTTAGAAAAATGGAATCTGTTTTTGCTCCTCTTATCAACATGGGTGTTTGATGCTTCATTTTAGATCTCGGACTGCTTGATGAACTCATCCTGTACTCAACGTGATAGTGTCGGGACATCTGTTGATTGTGGCTCTTCCAGACTGAGGCTTATCCTTCTTTGACTTCTTGATTATCTTGCATTGTGCAAGAGAAGTTATTCAGAAGTGGTTTGAAGGAATCTGAAGTTTTTCTCTTGTACCATGTGTACAACTATTTAACATTTCTCCTGCTGTCTACTGTTAAGTTTACACCCCAGGCCTTAATGTACTGTTAATTTCTCTTCTACTTTTAGCTGTATAGTATTACATGAAACTGTCATTCCTAAAAGGATGGAGAAAGGAATGAAACTTGAGAGCAGTGTAGTAAGGGAATGAATTGTGAAATAGTATCAGTTATTTTCAAATGGAACTCCTGAGCGTAGGGAGCTTTCTTATGTTCTGGATATTGTAGATCTGTGTCTCTGAAGAAAGGACACACAAGGTAGGCAGGCAGAAGTCATCTTTCCCTGACCTACCTGATTCCAAATGAGTCTCAGAATTCATCTACCCTGGACACAGTGAATGTTCTTTCAGGGTTCTTGAAATCTGTCCAATATTCCCAGTACTCTACGCTGTATTGTTGCTTCCTGCAGATGTTTTATGTATATATGATTGTATTATTAAAAACAACTGTCAAATTCTTTTGGATTGAGGCTGGTTATAAATAATCATATGCCCATGCTGTTGGCATGTCATAGTGTGTTAGATTATGTACAGGAAGAAACCATGTGGGATTCCTTTTACTCAACATATACCACTTTTGGGTTCCAAGTTAAGGGCCCATGAATTTTCTCTTTTACTTTAGGCCTCCAAAAATTCAACTTTTTTTCACAATTACCAGCACCTATATTATGTTTTCCCATTGCAGATTTTAATCTGTATCCTCATATTATACTGCTATAGTCAGCTGTATCTGTGTCATGGCTCTGCTGAGTTCTGTGAGTCCTTCTACTGAATCACTGAATCTGAGGGTGGTCTTGGGGATCTCTGAACACCTAATGTACTTTATATAGTTTGGATAGAAAATATCTTTTGAGATTTGTTTTCAAAATAATTTTTTTAAATAAAAAGGATAAAATACTGTTGCTACTACTATGACTACAGTGTGAACTTCCTTACTGTGGTTGGATGAAGGAAAGCATTCACTCACTCATTTAACAAATATTTTTAAGCACTTACTCTATGCCAGAAAATGTGCTTGATGTGAAGGACATTGCAAAGAATATATGGAAAAGATTCCAGGCCTCAGGGAGATTAGAAAAAAAAAGTAAATAAATAATTGAGTAAATAAACAAGCATTAAGTCGTATGGATGAAATAACATGAGAAGATATGGAGAAGTTTAAGTCAGGAAAGTCTTCTTTGAGGAGAAGACTGTCGTGATGATTTCCCAAGGCTTAGAATGGTCTAGACATTTTAAGAGCACAGAAGCAACCAATGCAAATGCCTTAATTTGGGAAAGGACTTTCCCAAGTCTCAAAAGAGGAAGAAAGCTGGAGTGGCTGGCATGTACTGACAAAAGGAAAAAAAGGCACGAGACAAGATGAGAGAGGGAAGCAGGAGCCTGGTCATGCATTGCTGGTAGGCAAAGGTAAGAAGCTTGCAGTTTATTTTAAGGGAAATGGAAAGGCATTTAACACAAGCAGATAGTGTTATATTTCTATAGCTGGACTTATTTTTTTGAGAATCCCTTCAACTCCATGTAAAATATGTAGTAATGTCAGTCATCCTAGGAGGAGTTCTTCTGTCACACCAACACATTTGGTGTTGGGCTGGGGGTGATGAAAGGTGTGTGGCCAGTTCCATCTCTCCATGTTGGTATTCATTGAGGCATACTTTTTCTATCTGATCCTTGGCTATGAACCATGCAGACTGCTTCTTTTTGTTTCTCACCTCAACCACAGGGACTCTGTAGATGCCCCTTGTCTCCTCTCTGTTTGTGTCTCTGTTGAAACACAGGACATATTTGGTTGCTTTCTCATGGTGGTCTAGAGATGAGAGGAACTTTAAGGGGTCTTCCTTGTCTCCTCTGTTGAGATGTGACATGCAGCCTTTTCTTCTTCCTTACTCTTGCTTGCACCATGCTGGACTCAGAAAATGCTAAGGCTTTATAACTGTCTCAAGTTCTGTTTAGGACACAGTCTTCCTCATTGTTCTCAGATTCTCAAATATACCCAGACTGTTTTTTCCTCCCTAGAACTTAGCCTAGCAGGTGAGGACAAGGCCTGGGGCCTTCTCTCAATGTTCTCTTTGAATCCCTCCTGACCAGAGAAAGTTTGTCTAGTCTAGGGTTGGGCTGTATGTCCTTTCATCTGTTTTTTTTTTTTTCCCAAATCATACTGTTTACAGTATAAACTTTATGCCCCCGAAAGACTTTGAAACTTGAAGGGTCTTTTTGTTTTCACAAACAAATGCCTCTGCCAAGAGTTTCAAAAGACCTTTTCTCTTTTCTTTGATGCCATTTTCTTTCCCCTGAGGCAATAAGCATAAAATATCTTAGCTGCTGCCTGAGGTGGGGTGTCACAGGAAATATGGAAAAAAACACTTTTGCCAGTCTAAAATAATAGCTAGTTTACTTATGCCAGGTATTCATTTTAACATTCCTCGTGGATTCTTTCTTCTTTTCTTTTCTTTTTTCTTTTTTTTCTTTTTTTTTTTGATATGGAGTCTCACTCTGTCACCCAGGCTGGAGTGCAGTGGCAAAATCTCGGCTCACTGCAACCTCTGCCTCCCAGGTTCAAGCAATTCTCTTGCCTCAGCCTCCTGGGTAGCGGGGATTACAGGTGTGTGCCACCATACCCGGCTAATTTTTGTATTTTTAGTAGAGACGGAGTTTCACCATGTTGTCTAGGCTGGTGTTGAACTCCTGACCTCAAATGATCCACCTGCCTCCGCCTCCCAAAGTGCTGGGATTACAGGCATGAGCCACCACACCCGGCCTCCCCATTGAATATGTTCATTGCATATTCAAAACAATCTTGTGAAGGAAGGGCTATGAACATCATTAATTTACAGATGAGGTCATAGCTAGGAAGTGACAGATCTGGAATTCAAGCCCGGGGAGTGACTTGATCGGGTTTACATTTTTAAGTTATCACTTTTACTGCTGAGTGAAGTGTGCAGTACAGAGGAACAAGAGAAGCAGGTAAGCTAGTAAAGACACCACTGAATTCAGAGAGAAAGACAAGGTACTGGCTGTGTATGTGAATGTGCAAATGGAAGCACAGCCTGATGAAGTAGAACAATTCTTTCATAGATGGTTTGATGAAGCTGGAGATGAAGAGAACAGATTTACTAGTTCACAATTTGATCTGGACCAACTCTGGGTTCTAATGGTAACCAGTACATATACATTTCATAGTTAAATGGGAGACTATACATTAAAAAGATAAATCTTAACTTGGTTAAATTATTAGCCAACATCATTATTTAGTTGGTAAAATTCAGGATATTTAGAATGTTAAAATGGTCCTGTAAACATTTTCTTTTTCTTTCTTTTGTACCGCTCTGGCACTGATTAGGTTATTTGATATTCACGCAGGAAAAAAATGTATTGTCAGTAATTGGGGAATACTATGTGGTGTCCCTAAAGAGCTTGATATGAAGGATATAAGTGTGCTTTCTGGCATCAAAAATGAGAAAGTACCACATAATGGGGAAGAGAGTGAATTTATTCTTCAGGGTATGTTCTCAAACCCAGCAGCTGTCAGATGCACTGAAGATGCTCATCATATATTTGTGGAAGGCATGAATGAATAAAAATCACTTTATTGAGACCGAGTAGCCCTTAACTCATGATTTGATTATATAAATGAAAAAATTTCTAAAGAAGAAATGCACTGATCGTAGCTGTGTATGTGGAAGGGAATTGGTCAGGGTAGGGGTCACATTTATTTGTTGCCTTAAAAACTTAGTAAAAGACAGTCAGTGAGATTAATTTTGGCAGTGCAGAGTGAGACACTTTTCAGGGGACAGACTACCTGTGTTTTCTACCCTGTATCTCTGGAGAGTATAAAGGCAGTGGAAGAGGTCCCAGGCTTTGTTAGGCTGAGGTCAACAAATATTTGAATAATGTAATTAACTCCCCTCAGTCTGAATCTAGACTTAGCAAACACACTTTTGAATATTTTTATTATAAAAGTTGGTTTCTCATGCAAAAAGTAAAAACCGGCAAGAAGACTCAGGCCCCCAATCTTCCTTACAACAATATTCATTATTGTATTTTAATGAATTATCACTCTGATTTTATCATGTCTTCCTGAAGTTTTAATACCATGTTCTCTAACGTATGAATCTAATATGTTAACAAGTAAGGTTCCTGAGTTGAAAGGATGAAAATAAGACCACAGTTCATGTGAAAGGTATCAGGTAGTTTTGTCCTGTAAGCAGTTAGGGTTTTGATAGAAAATAGAGTATAACCTGGGTGTTCAAATGAAGAGACTCAATTGAGAAACTACTTGCTCAGATGTGAAGCCAGATTAAAAGAACAAGCAGGTAATGATGAGGTACTCACAGAGAGCAAATGGAAAAGTCTTTCCTACCCTTTGGACCAAAGGCAGTAGGAAAGGAAATGGAGTTATCAGAATCCAGTGGAAGTGCGAACCATTGAAGAGGAATTGCCCAGTGGGAGTTGTAGCTGTGGAAGGAAATGGCTATTTTAAGAGGCTGGCCAGAAGAAGAGCAGAGAAGGAACAAGACAGAAATACCACATCCCCTTTTTCCTCTTGCTCTCTTATCTCCTGCATGTGAATTCCATTGGCCTGAATGAAGCTGGCAAGTAAGAGAGCACAGGAGATGCCAACTGCAACCACAAGTCAGCCTCTCAGGCCACAGAGCAGGCAATGGAGGGGAGAGATGGCTGAAGGGGTGTGGTGTGGAATATGATTAGGAAGGCAAGTGCAACCTCTAAGACAGAGCCAACTGGATTTGAGAGAGAGCCCAGATGGACAATAACCTCTTTGTCTTTTTGTGGGCCTTACCATCATTTTACTATAAGAATTTATATTGCTATTAATAGTTTGTTTTCTCATATAATTCTGATAGAAAAAGTGAAATTTATTGTTTATTTGTGTATCACTGTGACATACCAAAATTCTTAGTTCCATCAAGTTAGCAAGGTTCTTATTCTGAGAGCAACAGCTAGGCTGTTTGAAGTTCCAGTGTTCCGTTGAATTAAAAACAGACTAATTTTCTCAAATATTTATTGTTCTTTGAGGTGCTTGAGGCCGAAGTTCAAAAATAAAGACTTCACACTGTGCATTTAGTACAAAAACATAAACTGCCACATGAGAAAATATACGTAGAATATTTAGAACAAAATAATGTGCCATGCCCATTATTGAAATACATTATTTATAGTCATGTGTTGCTTAACAATGGGGATATGTTCTGAGAAACGCATCATTAGGTGATTTCATTGTACTGAGAACATCACAGAGTATACTTACACAAGCCTAGATTGTATAGCCTACTGTGCACCTAGGCTATATGGCATAGCCTAATGCTCCCAGGCTATAAGCTTGTACAACATGTTACTGTACTGAATACTGTAGGCAATTGCAACACAGTGGTATTTGTGTATAGAAACATCTACACATAGAAAAGGTACAATAAAATACAGTATGAAGGATAAAAAAAAGCACTCCTGTGCTGGAGAGGATGTGGAGAAATAGGAACACTTTTACACCGTTGGTGGGACTGTAAACTAGTTCAACCATTGTGGAAGACAGTGTGGCGATTCCTCAAGGATCTTGAACAAGAAAACCATTTGACCCAGCCATCCCATTACTGGATATATACCCAAAGTATTATAAATCATGCGGCTATAAAGACACATGCACACGTATGTTTATTGCAGCACTATTCACAATAGCAAAGACTTGGAACCAACCCAAATGTCCATCAATGATAGACTGGATTAAGAAAATATGGCACATATACACCATGGAATACTATGCAGCCATAAAAAAGGATGAGTTCATGTCCTTTGCAGGGACATGGATAAAGCTGGAAACCATCATTCTCAGCAAACTATCACAAGGACAGAAAACCAAATACTGCATGTTCTCACTCATAGGTGAGAATTGAACAGTGAGAACACTTGGATAGAGGAAGGGGAACATCACATACCGGGGCCTATCGTTGGGTGGGGGGAGGGGTGAGGGATAGCATTAGGAGATATACCTAATGTAAACGATGAGTTAATGGGTGCAGCGCACCAACCTGGCACATGTATACATATGTAACAAACCTGCATGTTGTGCACATGTACCCTAGAACTTAAAGTATAATAATTAAAAAAAAAAAGCACTCCTGTATAGGAGTTAATGCAAAGGCCTAGTATATTACTGTTCACTCCTGTAGACTTTATAAACACTGTACACTTGGGATACACTAAGTTTATAAAAATATTTCTTTAATAATAAATTAACCTAAGCTTACTGTAACTTTTTTAAACTTAGAAGCTTTTTTTTTAATGTTTTGACTCTTCTGTAATAACACTTGGCTTAAAACACAAACACACTGTATAGATGTACAAAAGTGCTTTCTGTATATCCTTATTCTATACTTTTTTCTATTATTTCTATTTTTTACTTTTTAAACTTTTTGTTAAAAATGAAGACTCGAACACACTCATTAGCTGAGGCCTACACGGGGTCAGGATCATCAATATCACTGCCTTCCACCTTCATATCTTGTCCCACTGGAAGTTCTTCAGGAGCAATAACATGCATAGAGCTGTCGTCTCCTATGATAACAATGCCTTCTTCTGGAACACCTCCCAAAGGATGTGCCTGAGGATGTTTACAGTTAACTTTTATTTCATAAGTAAAAGGGGTACACTCTAAAATAACAACAAAAAGTGTAGTATAGTAAATACATAAGCCAGTAACACAGTTGTTTATTATCATTATCAAGTATTATGTACTGTATATCATTGTATGGGTTACACTTTTATATGACTGGCAGTGCAGCAGGTTGTTTTACACCAGTGTCACCACAAACACATGAGTAATGCATTGCATTATGATGTTATGATGGCTATGACGTCCACTAGATATTGAGAATTTTTCAGCTCCATTACAATCTTATGGGACAACGGTTGCACAGGCGGCCCATCATTGACCAAAGTGTCGTTATGCAGAGCATGATTATATTCATGCATATAAAATGTAATGCCATGCTTGCTTAAAAGCTGACCAAAAGAAAATCTGTTGGCCTTTCAAGCACCCCAAAACATCTCTAACCTATCTGGTCTATATGGGATGTTTGAAGGTCAGTGATAATCACTGTATCTTTAGCATTTATAGAATTTCATATGAGTTATATATCCACTTCTGAACTTCTGCCATTAAAGGGATATAGAAAAGCTTTAGACAAAGAATACCCTCAAAACTTTTTGACCTAGCCTCATAAATAAGAAACAAGAAATAAAAACCTTTGAAATTTTCAAGTAAAAATAGTGATTTAAAAGCAGATTAAGATTGCTCAGTACTACACAAACACGAGCATTTGTATTTGAAGTATTTACATAAAATATTGGTTATGGTTCTTATCCACGGGTAACAGAGACTCACTTATAACAGGAATTTGAATGGATATTGAGATGCTGGTAGAATTTCTGAGAAAACTAGAGAAACAGGTTGGGAAGCAGGCAGGAATAAAGACAGGCCAGGCCACCAGAACCAGTCTTGTGAGGACCCTGGTGTTGACCATTCTGGACCCTGGACCCAGTAGCTCATAAAGCATCCT
Source organism: Homo sapiens (assembly GCF_000001405.40). NCBI lineage: Eukaryota > Metazoa > Chordata > Mammalia > Primates > Hominidae > Homo > Homo sapiens. Next base: position 76,438,353 of record NC_000006.12, read on the forward strand.
GTGGACACTGGGCATAGTGGTGGCACCATTGCCACTGCTGCCATCCAGAAATGGATTCCCTGTGCATCACCAGCTGCCCAATCACAGTTCCAGCCCAGTGAATCTGAGGAGCTGGCCTATGGCACATACCCACACCCTAACTGGAAGGGGCTTCCGATCTTGAGCATCTGGCTTTTTTGACTTCTATAGGGAAGGCATACTCAGTTTCCTATTAAGATTCATAAGTTCAAAGATTCCACAAAAAGGCTAGAAAGAGTCTAGATTTATCTCTATTACGTAGTAAAATTGAAAGGGGTTCAAGATGTAGTATAAAACATTTAGAGTCATGTTTAACTTTTGTAATCAGGTAACTTCCTTTGACCTGGTCTAAATGTTTGTCTCCTTTCCAGAAATCTTTTAAACTAGGATTCTCACTTCATTAGAGAGTTGTTTTTGTTTTATATAATTTCTCTGGCCTCACAATATTTGACTTAACTGGTACTTATTTTGAAAGTTATATTATTAAATAAGGGGAAAATTATTACAATAAACTCAAAGAAGATAAAAACTTAGTAAAACTTGATAAGTAGAAGAAAGCAGAGTCAGAGTAGAATCTGATGAGTCATATAAGAGCATTCTTTTTCACTTTCAGCAAAAGCATTCCAAAAATTTAATGACATAGACTAATATTATGATTCTACTGGGCGTTTTTAAAAATGTAAATGGATTCCTCTAAAATAGATAACCAAAAGATGCAATAAATCTTTGCAGCTAATTTGACTTTACTCTTAAATTAGTTTCAAGGTGATCTCTCTCCATTCTTAAAAAAATTGAGGATGACAGCATCAGGGTCTTGGTGTGGAATTTTACTGAGTGATTTCAGAAAGATGACTTTTTAGATGAATTCTCTTGCTGTTTATTAAATACCTTTTACATTAAAAACACTGGAATCACACATAAAAGAATAATGTGACACCATTTCTGTTTTCAAGGAGCTTTCACTCCACTGTGGTGAGAGACTTATGATATGACTGATATAAAGCAGGAAAGCAAAAGTGCCAAATAGAGAAGTTCCAAACCATAGCAGGCTAGAAAAAGGAGGGATGCACCCCATTATGGGGAAGTAGATGAGGCTGCCTTTGAACTAGGCTTTGAAAGATAAAAATAAGAAGAAAGAGGTGAAAAATTCAATAAAGGATGAAGGGACTGAAATTTCAAAGATAAGATCAACTTAAGTGCTTGGCCTATTCAGAAAGCAGCAGATAAAGCTACAGAGAAGGAACACAGGACTCATAAAGGATGGCAAAGAATTTGGCTTTTGTCTTACACTCTCCTCTGGAGCTCTCCTGGGGCAGACAGTGCTGGCTGCCTACCCCACAACCATACCCCTTCTTATCGGTAAGCAGAACCTTCATTTTGGTCATTATTGAGCATCCCAGGGATTGAATGACTATTTTTCTAAGCCAGTTATACAATTCCTTCTCCCTTTGCAGTTATTGGTTTAGATATGCAAGTGGGATAAAACCTTGGTCACTGAGTGGTAATAGAATACATGCTGGATGCTTTCTGGAAAAGGGACCTGAGACAGCAAGTTGATCCTGCCAGTCTTCGAACATCATTCTGGGGATATGTTGCTTGAAAAGGTAGCAAGTAACCTGTGTCCGTGAGTAGAGCAGAGAAGTCATGTGGAGTCCTCTCTAGATTGAATTGCTGAAGTAACTGACCTTAGTACCACCTACTTGGGCACTTATTGTTATGAGGAATGAGGAATTTTGCTTCCTGCTTATGGTGATTTTGATATTTAATTACTTGTAGTGAATGCATTTGCAGTAATAGATTTATCCTGTTCTGACTCAATCCTGAAATCTGCTTGGAACATTCAGATTAAAGAAAATGCTTACTTTTTCATCTGTCACTCTATTTAGGCAAAATTTTTCCTGTTAATTACTTTTGTATTTAATACTTTTTTTCCTTTAGGAACAAATTTACTCTCTTAAGTTCTGTTAAATATTTATTTAGTTGTTATACCCAAGAGCAGAGGAATAGATGAATATGGAAAATGGTCCAACAGTTAAAAGTGCTCAGATATATTCATATGCTAGAATGTGCTTTTATTATTTAATGGAGAAAATGAATTTTTCTGCAGAAATGTTATTGTTAGTACTTTCTGCACTACTGGGGAGAATGGAAGTCATCTTTATTAGCCTTCTCATTTGAAGAGAATACAAACTTTCAGCAAAGTTTTCATGAAAGAGATTATTCTCACTTCAGGGAGCTCAGTATGATCTGTGCTGTGGATCAGAAAACTGAACCAGGCCACGAGGACTCCATTGGAACCTAAATTTGCTTGTTGGGATTCTGCCAGCTGAGGCTTTATTCTTTTTTCCTCACTCCTGATGATTCTTTTATTCTCCTTTTGTTTTTAGCAGACACTACTGGAATTTCATCTATTCTGTTCTTCCCATTTAATGCCAAATCTTTTCTTCTGATCAGTGTGTTAATTTGTAATTAAAGTTGCCCAAGCACCTTGAACATATCCTTATCTAATCAAGTGAAGCCTGGAAGTCGATACACAAGTCACAATCTCCTTTAGCTACATGATTATTTAAAACTGAGAGTGTGGTAAACTTCCGGAGTTCAAACAAAGTTGAAACCCAAAACTTCATACACAATAACACATTTATTTAGTCTTAAACATCATGAGTTTCTGAGTGTCTACTTTTCCAACTTCTTCAAATAACGAACATTATTTGAAATGTCTGATTTGTATTTCTTCATTTAAATATAAAAACATAGGGGCTGTATTTTGAAGCCATTGTTTATGTAAAACTTTCCATAAAAGAGTTTTTAATTTTCTTTTTAAATGTCTACTTCTTCTATTTTAACAATTTATATGTATTTTAAAATTTGGAAAATATTGAAAAAACACAAAAAAAGAAAATTATTCTAAATCACATCAAGTGTGGTGAGATAGCCTATTTATTTTTATCTATTAAGATGTGTGTTTATGAGTGTGCCTATATTTGTGTATACACACACATATGCAAGTATATTATGTATTTAATATAGTGGTATATAAATAAATTCAGATTGGTATTTACTGTACTCACTATTTTTAAGGTAACTTTTTATGTTGATATAATTTTAAACTTTCATATAGTTTCCAATTTTGGTACAAGGAACTCCCATATACCCTCTATTCAGATTTAACAATTACTTACATTTTTCCTATCTGTTCTCAGCATTTTATAACTTGCTGTTTTAGTAGCAAGGATACCATATTTTCTAGAAATTACTAAATATGCTTGTACTGCATGATTCTAATGATGATGATGGGGATGATGTTGACAACAATGATGGTGATTGCTAAATAGTTATTGGACACTTTTATGTGTCAGGCAGTGTTCTAATTGCTTTACATGTAATATTTTAATCCTTAAAATAACTAGGAGGTATATATTCTTATTGCTCTATGTTAAAAGAGTACAAACCAAACACAAAGAAGTGAAGCAACACAAACTGGCAGGTGAAAAGCAAGGAATTGGTTAGGGAAAAAACCTCAACCTTCGTAGCAGAGGCGCTGAAAGTAAACTGTACTACTCATTGGATCAGAGCAAGACAGGTCATTACTCACAGCACAGCGACAGCAGAAGCATCAGTATGTTAGTGCTAGTTCTCCTTACCCTAAATATCATGGGATGATGCAATGGCCTGGTTGGGCTGGAACTCAGGGCTAAGGGCTCAGTACCTTTTATGGTATGCAATAAACAAGCCCCTCCTGAGCAGTCACATGGGTATGTTTTTGTTGCCTTGACCTACTTAACTGTGTTTGAGTCTATCTGCAGAAACAGCATCAGGCTAGAGGAGATTAGGCCCTGTAACTTGACACACTGAGCAAAGATGTGCATGAATGCTTAGGGCCATGGCAGACTGCCCTTCTCAACTAATATGTAGTCAAATAAATTGATCCACATGATTGATTATATTATGACACCTTTGATCTCATTTTAAAAAATTTACTATAAATTATTTGATTAGTTCCATTGTTTGGGCTATAAAAGGTGTTTCTATTTTTCTTTTTTTGAGGGAACTTATAGTCTCATTTGTTTTTAATTTTTGTCTTAAAGAAAAAAGTTAGAATTTTATAAACCTTATTGTAGCATAAATGGTCTGTATCTCAAGTCCCATTTTTCCCCTGGGTTTTCTTGTTTTATTTTAATTATATATTGATAAATTATAGTTGTATATATTTAAGGGGTACAAAGTAGTGTTATGATTTTTAAAACAATGTGACATGATTAAATTAAGCTAATCAACATATTCATCACCTCAAATGAACATTTTTTATGATGAGTTCACTTGAAATGTATTCTCTTAGTGACTGAAATATACAGTTTTCAAGTATTAGCAATATTCACCATGTTATGCAATATATCTCAAAAAAGAAATCAAACATTCTTCTTATCTAACTGAGATTTCATACCCTTTGACTATCTCCACATTTCCCCCATCCACCAGCCTCTGGTAACCACCACTCTACTCTCTGTTTCTATGAGTTCGATTATTTTAGGTTCCACATATAAAACATATAGTATTTGCTTTCCTGTGTTGGGCTTATTTTACTTAGCATAATGCTCTCCAAGTTGATTCATATTACAATTGACTGAATTTCTCCCCTTTTTAAGGCTGAATAATATTTCATTGTGTTTAGATACCACATTTTCTTTATCCATTCATCCACTGATGGACACTAAGGTTGATTTCATAACTTGAATATTGCAAATAGTGCTGCAATCAATGTGGGAGCACAGAAATCTCTTCAACATACCGATTTCAAATCTTTTGAGTAAATACCCAGAATTTAGATTGTTGGATTATATGATGATTGTATTTTTAGTTTTTTGAGGAGCCTCCAAACTGTTTTCCATAATAGCTCTACCAATTTACATTCCCACCAACAGTGTACAAGGTTTCTCTTTTCTCCACATTCTCACCAACACTTATTTTTCATATTTTTGAAAATAGCCATTCTAACAGGTGTAAGGTGATATCTCATTGTGGTTTTAACTTGCATCTCCCTAGTGATTAGTCATGTCGCAGACTTTTTTCATATATCTGTTAGCCATTTGTATGCTGTCTTTTGAGAAATGTCTATTCAGATTGCTTGCCCTTAATCAGATTTTCTTTCTATAGATTGAATTCTTTATATATTTTGAATATTAATCCCTTACTACATGTATGACTTGCTAATATTTTATTTCTGTCCATAGGTTATCTTTCAACTCTATCAATTTTTTTTCTTTGCCACACAGAAGGTTTTTATTCTCATTTGTCTGTTTTTGTTTTTGTTGTCTGTGCTTTTGAAGTCAAATCTAAAAAATCTTTGCCCAGACCAATGTTGAATAATTTTTCTCCTGTTTTCTTCTTATAGTTCTATGGTTTCAGGCCTTATGCTTAAGTCTTTGAAACATTCTGAGCTTATTTTCATATATGGTGTGAGGTAAAGGTCCACTTTCATTTTTTTACATATGAATGTCCACTTTTCCCAACATCATTTATTGAAGAGACTGTCCTCTTCCCTTTGCATATTCTTTGTACCTTTTTCAAAAATGAATTGACTGTAGTTGTATGGGTTCATTTCTGGGCCCTTCATTCTGTTTTCACTGGTCAATGTGTCTATTTTTGTACCAGCACCACGCTGTTTTAATTACCATCACTTTGTAGCATTGCTTGAAATCAGGTGATGTTGATGCCTCCAGCTTTGTTCTTTTTGCTTATGATTGCTGTGGCCATTTGAGATTTTTTTGGATCCATATGAATTTTAAAATTGTTTTTTCTATATCTATGAAAAATGGCATTGGAATTTTGGTAAGGATTACATTTAAATCTATAGATTGCATTGGATGGTGTGAACATTTTAATATTAATTCTTCCAATCCATAAGCATGGGCTATCTTTGAATTTATTTTTGTCTTCATTTATTTCTTTCATTAATGTTTTATAGTTTTCAATGTACAGGTCTTTCATCTCCTTGGTTACATTTATTCCTAAGTATTTAATTTTTTTGTAGCTATTGTAAATGTGATTGTTCTCTTGATTGCTTTTTGGGAAAGTTCATTTTTAGTGTAGAGAAATGTTACTGATTTTTGTGTGTTAATTTTGTATCCTGCAACTTTACCAAATTTGTTATTAGTTATAACAGTTTTCGGTTATAGACTTTAGCTTTTTCTGTATATAAGATGATTCCATCAGCAAGTAGCAATGGTTTTAATTCTTTTTTATTTAGATGCCTTTTATTTCTTTCTTCTGGCTTATTGCTCTAAGCGGGACTTCCATTACAATGCTCAATAGAAGTAGCAAGAGGTGGAATTTTTGTCTTGTTGCAGTTATTAGAGAAAAGGGTTTCAATTTTTCATCATTGGTATAATGTTAGCTGCGGGCTTATTACATATGGCCTTTGTTGTGTTGAAAGACTTTACTTTTATACCTAATTTGCTGAGTGTTTTTGTCATGAAAGGATGTTGAATTTTGTCAAATTTTTTTCTGTGTCTAATGAGGTGATTATATAACTTTTTGTCCTTCAATCTGTTAATACGGTGTATCACATTTATTGATTTGTGAATGCTAAACCATCCTTGCATCCCAGAAATAAATCTCACTTGATCATGATAAGTGATCCTTTGTGATGCTGAGTTTGGCTTGCTACTAATTTGTTGAGAATTGTTGTGTCTATATTCATCAAGGATATTGGCCTGTAGTTTTCTTTCCTTTTATATCGTTGTTTGGCTTTGGTATCAGAGTGATGCTGGCCTTATTAAAAAAAATTCTGGGTTTGAGATCAGCCTGACCAACATGGAGAAACCCCGCCTCTACTAAAAATACAAAATTAGCCGAGCATGGTGGCGCATGCCTGTAATCCCAGCTACTCAGGAGACTGAGGCAGGAGAATTACTTGAACCCGGGAGGCAGAGGTTGCAGAGAGCCGAGATCATGCCATTGCATTCCAGCCTAGGCAATGGGAGCGAAACTCTGTCTTAAAATAAATAAATAAATATAAATAAATAAAGTTTGGAAGTAGTTTTCCTCTTTAATTTTTTGCTAAGTATTACTATCCCTGCATTATTTTGTTTTTTATTTGCATAGAATATCTTTTTTCAATCCTTCATTTTCAGTCTATGTGTATCCTAAAAAGTGAGGTAAGTCTCTCGTAGGCAGTATATAGTTGGGTCTTATTTTTTTTATACATTCATTTACTGTATGTCCTTTTATTGGAGAATTTAATCAATTTACATTCAAGGTACTTATTGATAGGTAAGGACTCACTACTGCCAATAGTAAGGAATTACTGTTCACAATTTTGTTAATTGTTTTCTGGGTTTTTGGAGATACTTTGTTTCTTCCTTTCTTGCTGTCTTCCTTTGTGGTTTCATAAATTTCTGTAGTTGTAGTTTTGAACCTTTTTTATTTTTCTGTGTGTCTCCAATAGACTTTTTTGGTTTTTGTTTACCATGAGGCTTACATAGAATATCTTCTACTTATAACAGTTTATTTCAAGCTAAGAGTGAGCAAATTTTGCATACAACAAATCTACACTTTTACTTCCCCCACACACATAATTTTCATTTTTAATGTCTGAATTACATCTTTTTTTATAGTATGTATTCCTCAACAATTTATTTCAACAGTAGTTATTAATGTTTTTGTCCTTTACCCCTGTACTAAGAATAAAATTATTTTATATACTAACATTATAGTCCTAGAGCATTCTGATTATTGCTCTGTATTACTTAGACCACTGGGTTTGTGCATTTATAACTTTTATGTTATTTATTAGAAGCTTTTTGTTTCAGTTTAAAGAACTTCCTTTAGCAATTCCTGTAAGGCAGGCCTAATGGTGATAAACTCCCTTAACTTTTGTTTACCTGAGAATGTTTTTATTTTTTCCTCATTTCTTTTTTCTTTTTTTAATGTTTGTAGCAACTTTATTCATCAGAACCAGAAAACCTGAAAAATATTCAGCCATCCTTCAATGGGCATGTGGTTAAACAAACTGATACATCCATAACATGGACTACCTCAGCAATACAAGAAATGAACTATTGATACATGCAGAAAATTGTATGAATCTTCAGGGAGTTATGCTGAGTGAAAAAAGCCAATCCCTAAAGATTAGACATTATATGATTCTTCTCATATAATGTTCTTAAAATGACATAATTATAAACATAAACAACAGGTTAGTAGTGGCCAGGGGTAGGGAATGGAAGAGGGGAGAGGAGTAGATGGGAACGTGGACAACACAAGGGATCTTTCTGGTGATGGAAATTTTCTGTATCTTTACTGTATAAATGTCAAAATCCTGGTTTTGCTATTGTGCACATCTTGTAAACATCTTATTTTGTAAGATGCTACCATTGTCTCCCTCATTTCCAAAAGAATGCTTTGCCACGTATTCTTGGTTGACAGGTTTGCTGACAGGTTTTGAATATTTCATCCCACTCTTTCTTGCCTTGCAAGGGCTCTACTGAGAAGTCCACTGATAGTGGTATTAAAATGCCATTGTATGAAATGCACTTCTTATCTCTTGCTGCTCTCAAAATTGTCTTTTATTTTTAATAATTTGATTATTACTTGTCTTGATGAACTCTTTGGGTTGAAAAATATGGAAAGATTCACAAATTTTCATGTCATCTTTGTGCAGGGACCATGTTAATATTCTATCATTCCAATTTTAGTACAAATGCTCCTTGGCTTACAATAGAGTTACTTTCCAATAAACCCATCGTAAGTAGAAAGTATTATGTTGAAATACGCAGATGACTGAAAGCAATGGCTGACTACTTTAGGGATGGTGAAATAAGTATGGTGTCTACCAAATGTTTATCACTTTTAAGTTATTGTAAAGTTGAAAAACCACAAGATAAACCACCATAAATCAAAGATTATCTGTATATGTGCTGCTAAAGTGAGCACTCTATTTTTTTTAACCAGAGATGTAAAGTTATTGTAAACATTCTTCACACACACACATCTTCTCACATCTCTGATTATTTTCTTCAAGTAAATTTCTTGAACTAGAATTATTGCCTCAAAGAGATTGCATATTTTAAGTATTCTTTTTGCCATATTGCCAATTGCACCCCTGAAATATTTCATGAGTCAGTTCTTCAGCAGCATTTTCTACAAATATCATTGTCTCTTCTTTTCAATATTTATGTTTCAATATCTCTGCTTAGCCTTCCTTCATCTTACTGAATTGACAAGAAAGTCCAGAATATTGGTATTGGGAACATTTATACAAACAAATATCCATTTCTAATGAAAATTCTATGTTTTCAAATTATTTGTTGGCCACCCAGATAACAAGCCTTGTTAAAAACCAAATTTATTTGCTCACCTATTTTGTGTTTTCTAAGGATCAGAACTTTGATGAATATATGGAGGGGTTGTTAAAGTTAGCATAAGACAATAAAAATGTCTTCTATGTAACAAAAAATACATATAGCAATACTAGACTAAAATTGTTTAGTTTTTGTTTTATAATTATGGATTCTCAGCAGCACGTACTGATACTTCCGTTTTCTTATAATAAAATTAATAAAAATTATCAGACAGTATAGACATGGGAGCAGTTTTTTTACATGTTTAATTTCCATGTTTCTTCTCCCAGTTTCCACTGACTGACTGTCTTCTGCATTCTTCCCATTTTTATTCCACAGTATTTTAGTCCTCTGTCAGTCGGCTCCAGATGTTTTCTTGCAACTGTAATTTGCACAAGAATTCTAGTCTTTGCCTGTGCCTTTGCTCAGCATTCATTTGAATTTGAGTTTTTATAACTGCCTTACCAAAAAGCTTTTACTTCTCTCTAAAATACCCTGTAAAATGCTTGCTCTTGATTACTTATACCCTGAGAACAGCTTTGCTCTCTGTGAGGTACCAAAGCTCTGACTGTTGCTCTACTCTCATTACTCTATGCTTTTGCTGCCTCTGGCCTTTTGTGTTTTGAACCTCCTGTGGTCTGTGGCTGCTATGAGAAGGTCAAAGCTATGGAGTGGCTAAAATGATTAGTGAAGGGCCAACCTGAGAGGATATTGATCTGCTTCTCCACGAAATGGCAATCATAATGTTTCTTTATTTTCAGAATTTATTTTCATAACAATTTAAAATGTTAACAGGGATAAAATAGAATTGAATAAACAGTATAGTTTATTTAATATGCCTTTTCACTGTGTCTCATCATATTGGTGATACCGAAATATTCTTCTTCTGAGATAGATTTGGGATCTAAGGGCAGGCATGTTGTAATCTGAGGGAGAGGGGCTGACTAGTTAATGTCATAGACTTTTGAGTCTGTTGATTCATTTTCTATCCTGTAGAATGAGCAGTTAAGAATTCTAGCTGGCCCAGGTTCTGCCTACTGGTATAATTTCTATATCTGATGTCCTTCAGAGATACCCTGAAGGGAGTATTGGGGCGGATTCTCATAACGAGGCTGTTCATAATGCATAGAAATCCAGTCTGGCTCTGCCAGCATCTTTTGTAGTCCTGACTTAAAACAAAGCCTTACTTCAGCTGAGTTTCCCATATTGGTTTGAGTCATTTATGTTCTGTTGTTCAGATTCAGAGTTTTCTTTTTTTGTTGTTGTTGTTTTTCTGGGACGGAGTCTCACTCTGTCGCCCAGGTTGGAGTGCAGTGGCGCGATCTCGGCTCACTGCAAGCTCCGCCTCCCGGGTTCACGCTATTCTCCTACCTCAGCCTCCCGAGTAGCTGGGACTACAGGCGCCCGCCACCACGCCCTGCTACTTTTTAGTATTTTTAGTGGAGATGGGGTTTCACCGTGTTAGCCAGGATGGTCTCCATCTCCTTACCTCGTGGTCCGCCCACCTTGGCCTCCCAAAGTGCTGAGATATAGAGAGTTTTCTTTTAAAATATTATTGGTCTTTTTAAAAATCTTTGTTTATATTGTTTGGTTTTAGAGACTGTATTTGCAGTAAACCAAGCCAGATAACTTGTTGCATCACGGTGCTTAATGGATTTGCTTGGCTGAACTGTCAGAACTTGGTTTATTATTTTTATCCACGTCTTATCCTGGAATCCTGTCTCCATTTTTATCTACTTAATGGCTTTAGTCTTAAGGCCCAGAAGAAAAACAATGACCAGCAGAGCACAATTCCTTAATCTGCTCGTGTGTATTAAGACTAAATCATAAAATCCAGATTATGTTTTGAAGATATTTGCAAATGTGTTAAGTTGGAGCTAGGTATGGCACGCGATAGAAGGCCATTCTCTAGCTCACGAAGGAGCACATGGATAATGATTTCTTTCCATTACCTTAGTTAGTTGCACATATCCCATTATCAATATTAGTATTCAATAAGGACATCAGCCTAATTTGGAGATATATGATTATTCAAATAATTTTGTTGTTGCCATTTTGGCAGGACAAATAATTTATTGATTGGAAAGACAGTAGTCTTAAACTGCTATCCCTGATTTCCTCTTGGTCTATGTAATTTCTTCTCTTAAATCTTAAAGATACTCTGATACCTTTAAGTGGGCGATCACATCCTTTAAAGCTTCACTTTTTATGAAAATACAGACCGAATAGCCAAAGATAACAATGATAGCTGAACTATTTTGTTATTGCCAAACCAAATTGCTATATTTCTATTCCTTGATAGAGGAATCATCATTGTCCCCCAACCCAGAACTCACTTTAATTTATCCAGTTTAATGGTTTTATTTGGAATTGTTAAATATAATGTCATTTCTTATACTAATTTCTGTTGCCTTTAAGGCTATTTTGACTGCAAATAACTGAAACCCACTTAAGAGCTTAAGTAAAAGAGGAGAAATTATTATAAATGTACTCTAGTATCTCATGGAAGCCTAAAGCAGAAAGTATATTAGGCTTTAGGAAGGACATAAAACAGGAATCTAAACAGCCACACTTTTTAGTTTCTACTAAGACAGTCTCTTACCTCCTTATATCTATTTTACTGATTTATTTCTATGAACTAGAATTCTATTTGGCCACAATTCAAGTTCCGATAGTACATATCTTCAGCCACAGGATCAGTGTCTCAATTCCAGGCAACAGGGCAGAGGATTTGATTGGTCTAGTTGGGTTTATTATGCATTCATATTCAATCAGCTCTGTCTGTGAGATAGGGCCATGTAGGACAGAGAGAACTGTATAACCATAGGAACTCAAGAGGGCAGAATTTAGAATAGGAGATCATGGTCTACTAGACATCCAAATAATTATCTACCACATTTTCCACTGGATAGAAACATAAATGCCATGGAACAGCATTAAATAACATCTCAGTTAAAAAAGCTCAGAGAGCCAGGCACGGTGGCTCATGCCTGTAATCCCAGCACTTTGGGAGGCCGAGGTAGGCAGATCACAAGGTCAGGAGATTGAGACCATCCTGGCTAACATGGTGAAACCCCATCTCTACTAAAAATACAAAAAATTAGCCAGGAGTGGTGGCAGGCGCCTGTAGTCCCAGCTACTTGGGAGGCTGAGGCAGGAGAATGGCGTGAACCCAGGAGGTGGAGCTTGCAGTGAGCCGAGATCGCGCCACTGCACTCCAGCCTGGGTGACAGAGCGAGACTCCGTCTCAAAAAAAAAAAACCAAAAAAGCAAAAAAAAAAAGGTCAGAGAGTTTGATAGTTTTATCCAGATTGACATGTAGGCTGCACTTGATTTTGAGGATAACTTTGAAATATTGAACTCAAAATAGTATTATTATTATTTCGATTTTATTTTCTAATGTGTGCATAATAACCACATGGGTTTAGCTTTGTCTCAAAATGTAAATTAATTTTTAAGCTCATGTCTGAGTAGCTTTGTCTTTCCTAGTTTATTTCACTTCATTCTTTCTTGGCTAGATTTCATTGGCTAGTAGTTTTATGAACAAAGCTCACTGATGCTGTAATCCTGTCTACTTGAGAATGTCTGATTTTATTTTTCTAATAGTTGAAGAGTGACTTGGCCAGACAGAATCCTTTAGTCCTACCATATTTTCCTCAAAATTTTGGAGACTGTGCTTCACTCTCTACCTGCCTGTAGTGTTGTTGTAGAGAAGTTTGATACAGTCTGATTATTTCCTTTTGCTTGGAGTGTGCTTACCCTACCTTAAGTTCCACGTAATTGTTTTCCTTATCATGAAAGTTCCATAAATTCATCAGGATATAACTTGGGATTGATTATGTTTGTCAGTATTTCTTAGGACATGATGTGCTAATATTTCAGGGAGGTTATATTATAAAATACTTTTGAATGTTGATGAGTTCTCTTTTTCAGGAATAACAAATAAGCATATTTTGGATCTTCTTTGCTATCATTTTCTAGATAAAGGCTGTCTATTCTACCCTAAAACTCTGTTATTACACATTTCATTTCATTTACCAACCTATTATGCCTTTTCTTGGATTTTAGTCATGTTATTTTATTTTGATTACTACCTAGTGTTCTTCTTGATGATTTTCTGCATTGCCCTTGTCCTTCTTTACTGAGTTCTGCTAGCTTATGTTTCATCTTCTGTCTTCATGCAATTGTCAGAGGATCCTTTGGGTGTTGCCTCACCAGCCAGAAACCTCTGTGGCCAGTGGTGCCTCTACTTGAGTTTTACTCATGCCTGCTGGACTCATTCTGCCCACTCAGCCCGGCAGGCTGTGCTTGGCTTGTGCTACCAGCCTGGATCTTATGCCTGCGAAGGGTAAGCCAGGTGTGGAGTGGCGAGGGGTGTGTGAGTGAGTGAGCGCGGGGTCTGGCCATTGCGCACAGCCAGGCACGCCAGCTGCTGCAGCGAGGCAGGCAGCCCCGGGCACCATCACAGGTGCCAACTGTGTTACAGGCTAGGCCAGATCACAAGCAGCTTCTGCTGTGGGCACCAGTGTCTGGACGAGGGGAACGCAGTAGCACCTGGAAACTAGGAGACATCAGGAACCTCAGAGCCACAAAGAGGGTGTTAAAGCATGTCACAGCCCTGGCGTGGGGAGCCGTGAGGTCTGGGCTCCCAGAAGGGCTGCAGCTCTTCTCTGCTTCTCATCACCTGCAGTGCAGTGAGTGGGGGAGGTATGTTTTGGGGGGATGTGTTTCACCCCATTTGTGTTACATCTCTTTCAGTTTGGTCATCCCACTCCAGCCCGCGGCTCCAGGGCTGGCCTAGCTCCCGCCACTGCTTCCGGTCATGTGGAGCGCCTGCCCTGCGCTGGCAGAGGGCAGGAGGGCTGTAGTGTCACAGCCCCTTTAGCTCCTGCCCATAGCTTGGCAAGCAAGCCAGGGAAGTGTTACAGCTCCTTTCGCTCTGCCCTTTGGTGGGTCCTGAGTTCTTGTCCTGCATCCAGGAAGAAGGAAGTTACACAGACAACTGGAGGGTGAACAAGCTTTACTGGGAGCTGCTGGGCTTTACTGGGAGCTTTACTGGGAGACAGAAGAGTGCTCAGCAAAGAGGAGACCCGAAGTGGGCAGCTCTTATCTGCAGACAGGTAGTACCAATGAATGTAGAGGATACCTCAGTTGGGTAGTTCCTATCCGCAGACAGGTAGACCCCACAGATGTCCGACTGAGTCTGGCTCAGTGGGTGGTGGAGTGGGGTGGGGGTGGGGATGGGGCTTTATGGGCTCTGAATGGAGGAAATGCATGCTGGTTGGCACATGGGCAGGAGGAAGTGTGTGCTGATTAGTCCATGGGTGGCCATGGGTGAGTGTGGAAAAAACCCTATTTAATTAGCCAAAAGGCATCAAGGAAGTTCTCACTCCAGGTTGCAGACTCCACTGCGAACTGGCAGCCTGGCCCCCAAGGTTCAGACCACCCTGGCTTGAAGTTGAGGTTTCACTGGGGACTCACCTCTTTCTGCCCAGGAACCTGTCTTCTTCCGACCGCCATCAACATACTGTCTACAGCACCCAGGCTGTCCGCACTGAGGGACGCCCACAGGCCCGTGTCCAGCTGCCCTCAGCACTCAAGAGTTTCCCTCCCATGTACCTTGGTGCCCCAAGTCCAAAACAGGCCAAGGCGGCAGGTGGCTGGCATGTCAGAGCCACCCTGAGCGTGTGCACACCTCGCCAGGTCGTGACAGTGCCTAGGTTTGACCACAACTTTGCTCTGCAGTGGAGCAGGCGCCTAGAGCAGGGAGATGCTAGGAAGCAGGAGCAGGCAGGCTTCCCGGGCCCCAGGGAGTGCGGGAATGCCTGTGTCCAGAGCTGTGGCTGGGTGGCTGCAGCTGTGCCCAGTAGCACAGGCTCCTGCCCCGCCAACTTGACGGGGTGCGGGGTTCCCGCCGGAATCACCTGTTCCTATCTCCTGCCAGCTCCGCAAAACACACAGCCCCAGCCACACCTTCCCTGCTGTAGCCAGTGTCTTTGCAGTGGCCACTCCAGATGGGCTGCCACTGCCATCATCCTTGAAACTCTGTATCCCTTCCTTGAACCTTATCCCTTTGTGGTACAATCAGTTTGTTGTAATTTGAGATTGGAAAAACATGGAGAAATTTTATTATTTAGCTTGTTCATATACTTTTTTCCGCTTTATCTATTCTTAGGTTCATGTTAGTTGTACTTTGAACATTACTCATGTTTAAATGGGATCAGATTATATTTTTATGTGAATAATGTGGAACAACTTTGGTAGCTGTTCCAGTCAACTGTGAGCTGCTGCAGTCTCAAGCTTTTTGGGACTTACTGTCTCAAACATTCTCTTACCAAATCTACAATCTTCTTTGCCCTGGATGCACATCAGCTTTCAATATTGCGTGTGTGTGTGTGTGTGTGTGTGTGTGTGTGTGTGTGAAATTAATGGTTTCTAAGCAATACTCACTAAACCTCTAGCTTTCTGATTTGAAATCTCGTTGTTTCTCCTTACCTTTACCTTCCTACTGTATTCTCCATTTTTCTATTTTCTTGGTTTACTCTCTACTTTTAGTGGGACTTATCATTCAGCTATTTATTAGAAGATGATATATTTGAGTAAAATTTTGAGAGCTTACATTCATGAAAATATCTTTGTCTTTCCCTCAAACGTAATTGATAATCTGCCTGGGTATAGAATACTGAATCTAGAATATGGAAGACTTTATTCAAGTTTCCAAAGTTGCCATTAAGAAGTCTGATGATTTTGGATTTCCAGTCTTTGTATTTACATTTTTTCCTCATTGCTTTGAAAAACTTCTAATTTTCTCTAGTGTTATCAAATTTTCAATGGGTTCCTTCATAAAGGCAGTATTCATCCACTTTGCTTGGCATTCAGTGGTCTCTTTTAATTTGGATGGTCATGTACTTCAGGTCTAGAAAAATTGTTTGTGTTATTTATTTGAGAATATTTACCCTGCCAGTTCTCTTTTCTCAGATCAGAATTCTTTTGAATTGGATGTCAAACACCACAGACTGCCATCCATTTTCTGATCTCTTCTGTTTTATTTTTATCTTTTGTTTCAAAAATGCTTTTGAGAGGTTTTTAACAACTTTAATGGATTAAAATTATTTCTGTAATATTTTTAATATTTCAGATTTGTTGAGAGCTTTTAAAAAATAACATTCCTTTAAAATAGATATAGCATATCTTAATTACAGTATATTTGAAATATACTAGTTAATGGATGTAATATATAGTTATCTGTGTATGCTTATATATGCATATATAAACTTATATGTGTAAATTATATATATTAAATATATACATAATATTATGTTACAGTGTATTTGCAGTTTTCTTTTGATCCCACATAGTCTTTGTTGCCTCTGGCTACTTGTTTGTTTCTGTGTCTACATTGAATATTGCAGGCTTTTCTCAACTACCAGGTGATTCTTAGCAGTCTTTTCATATTCTAGAGTGAAACACTAAGATTCTGAGTGCAAACTCTGTGGTAAGAGCAAGGTTTGTTGACTGCAGGGTTTCACTGGTAAGTCAAAGATTGACCGTCTCATTAGAGGATCCACAATGGCCAATATCAATTGATCCTTTATCCTAGTCAGTTTTTCCTAAGAGGATATCTTCAGTCTAGTCAGTTTCTCCTAAGAGGATATCTTCAGTCTCATGCCTGGAGATACAAATCAAGGTTCTGGAAGCCCCAGTGGGTCTTAACTCTTCATGTGTCATATTTTTTGAGTTTCCCTGGTTTTGATTCTAGTTATCTTTTGCTTAGCTCTGCCTAGTGTCTTGACTCGAGACATTGTGTTCTGCCTCATTATAGAGTGAATCACCAGGCTTCTCAGAGTGGGGAAGAATTGCTTGGCTATTTAAGTGATCCAGAAGCCCAGCTGCACCCTATAAAGCTCTTCCTTCAATCATTCTGTTTTGAAACCGCAGTATTTCTTCCTTTTTTGTAGTTCCAATTATTGCATTCCTTGTATTTCTAATTCTTGAGATTTTACAAGGTTCTGAGATGTGCATTTCTAAATTTCTTGGCTTTTATACCCCTAAGCTCCTAAGTAACATCTTTCTCTGCTCTGCATAGTTACTGATATGACCTTTTCCTTCTAAAAATTTTTGTTTACTGAGATTTACTTTCTCATTGTCTTCCTAGATTAATATCTTATTAACTCTTTGTAACTGTAGTGGTATTTTCAGAGAGGTTGGTGATAAATGCATGTATTTAATCTGTGACAATTCACTGAAAACTCTTATGTACACTTTAAAGATCTCTATCTCTAATAAAAATATATAACTTTTCAGGGTCTCTGATGAAATGTGTGAGTCAATGTTCAAGTACTTCATGTTGTGAGAATGATAGATATGGTTCATCCTGCTGAGATCAAGCATGTTTCTATTAAATCTTGTAGTTTTAATGATGAAACTTAGAAGCAAAGTCTTTCTTTGATAATGGAAAACTATATATTGTTATTAACTAAAATACTACAACTGTTTCAGAATGTTGACTGAGTATATTCTTTGAAAGATTTTCACTTGAAATGCTGTAGAGAAGTGGAAAATGGTACAACCAGAATGGTATTAAATTGAGATGAGCTGACAGAGAGTCCAGTCTAATCTTAAATTTTCAGACTGCATTTAAACTCCATTATTTTGTGATTTCTACTCTATTATTTTGTGATTTTTGGATTTAACTTTAAAAAATTTGTGGGCATTAACACTGAAGTAAATGAATAGTGAAAACACTGTTGCAGAACTGTGTAAATAATAGCTTTATTTTTGTATTAGCAATTGCAAGAACTTCTTAGGGTTCTGATAGACTTCAGGGTAGCTTTTCAGAAAAATTCAAATTTATTGACCTTTATTTGATTATTATCTGTTAAAAATTTTTAAATTGCAATCTTACCCTCCTAAAGGAACTTTTTTTCTTTTTTTGGTAAGTGAATCCTTTAGTGATCATTTTAATGCTGGATTTCTTTGGAACTATGGTGTCATTTACAATATGTGCCATCTCAATTTTTCCAAACATTTATTTAACAAAAGAAAGAAGAAAAAAACTAACGAATATTTTTGTTAGTGGTATAAGATACTTCAACATTTCACAAATATTCAAATGTGAAAAATATCCCAGTCAATGAAATACGGTAACTAATGTTTATATTAACTGCCTGTATATGTATGATGAGTTCTGGTATCAAACAATAAAAGAATAGTAGAATGTTATGCTTCCTAATAAGCAAATTATAGAGTGCTTATTATTATAAAATTTGTAAATGTTTTTAATGCTTAAAATAGCAATTATTGATATATTACTTTCTAGAAAAAGTCAGAATTGCTATTTATTTTATTATTTATGTTAATTGGTAGGATATGATTTAAGGCAAATGGATAGCCATGTTTAAGTTTTTTTCAAAATTTATAAAACTTACAAGGGAAATTTTAAAAGTAATATTTCTTAATTTTTCCTAGAAGACCTGTATTTTCTATAATTCATATAACTTTTTTAATAAAAGATATTAAAACTTTCTAGTACTTTAATTCTAAAAAATAATTTATTATCTACATACACTATACCTCCATATTGCTTTACCCTTTTAAAGAAACTTTACGTAAGTTGCATTATAGATATTTTCTTTTTATGTATAGTTACGTGCATGCATTGAACATTTATTTATTTTTACTTTAAAAAAAGTTTCTTCTTTTTTTCCAACTGAACTTTAAAATCTATGGTTTCTTTCTTTCTTCCATTCAGGATACATGTAGTGAAGGCATAATGTACCCTAAAAACTTATTTCTTTTCATATGTTTTAGCAGGAGAGGTAAGGAGGCAGAGTGAGATTAACTAATGCTATGCTTTCCCCTTTTTCTTCTAAAATAAGTTTTACCTTTTGAGCATTTCTTGTAGAATAAACAAATATCCCTGTGCCTCTTTAGCTCTTTCCTATAATGTGACTAGTGAAGAGCTCAACTTTGGTCCTGTCAAGTGCAATTTTTTTTTGTATATATTTAAATGTCTTTATAGTACTAAAATAAATGTTTTGAAGACAGCTGCAAAGCAATCTGAGTGCATAATTCCTTTAGAATCTTGTCGATTTTCCTACAACTTTTAAGGTTTTCTTCTGTATCTAATTTCATAGCACTTTTATCTTAGTAACTTACCTTTATTAAGTTTTCCAAAGAATTCAATTTAGTTTTCGTAGAAACAGCTATATTTAGCACGTATATTTCTTTAATTTGTGCTATAATTACAATACCATGTAAAACTGTCATATATTTTGGTGAAAATGTAACAGACTTTTGGAAACTGGTGGAAACAGAAGAGACCCAATAGAAAGTAGCTTGGCAGCTTTGAGTATTTAGTGTGACATGGTCATTATTTACTGTATTTTACTGAAGAAATGGGCATTGCCTAAACTGATGAGTCAATTACTTAGAGATTAATTAAGAAATCTATTGCTGTAGTGAAACCCTGAGCATCTGCTGAGTGACAAAGGGGTAATGGAATTTGTTATGTTTCCACTGAAGTAGGTGTAATTTATTTTATAGATATGCAAAACTTACATAGATTTAAGTACTTTTAATTCTGCTCAAATAAATTGTAGTACAACCATATGATGGACTACTACTTATAAAGTAGTATCATGCATCATGAAACCAACTTAAATACTTAAAAGAAAGATGCCTATGAGCTATACTGAAATGTGTGCATATATTTATGTGTGCCTGTGTGTTTAACTGCTTCAGAGGGGGATTACAATGGGTGAGGAGAAAAATTACTCTTTAAACACTTCGAACTGTTTGTACTTATATTATAATCAGGTATTGCTTCTACAATGCTACAGAAAAGAATATATTAAACCCCTTGCACTGGGAAATTTGTCTTTTCTTGCTACAAATGCTGTTTTTAGTTAAAGGGAAATAAGAATACTTTCCATACACAGTTGTTAGAAGGATTTTTTAATAGTTAATATTTATTCAGTACTTAACTTGTCCCAGACACTTCCCATGAACCATCTTTTTTTTAAAAAAATTATTTTTTGAAATGACATATAAAATTGTATGTATTTATTATGTACAACATGATGTTTTGAAATATATATATACATTGTGGAATGGTTAAATCTAGCTAATTAACAAATGAATAATCTCACATAGTTTTGTTTTTGATGAGAACACTTAACATCCACTCTCTTAGCATTTTTCAAGAACACAATGTATCATTAACCATAGTCACCATGCTATGCAACAGATCTCTTAAACTTATTATTCCTAATTGTAACATCTCCCCTCCCTCTCCCAACCCAAACTACCCCAGCCTCTGGTAACTACCATTCTATTCTTTACTTCTATGAGATCAACTAGAAGGATTAAATGAGGTAATAAATGTAAAGTGCTTAGAATTCTGCCTTGCACATAGTAAATGCTGTATATGTTTGCTGCATTATCCAACATTATTACTATTATTGTTCCAGGATCTGTGAACCAACCCCGTACTCACACCTCCAATGCCATTCTTGACCGATCTGGGCCTTGAGTGTAGAAAGAGTGTGTGTGGGCTTTGGAGTCAGACAGATGTGGTTTGAATTCAGGCTTCATCTCTTACACATGTGTTCTTGGACAAATTGTTTAAATTCACTCTTTCAAGTGTTTATTCTCTAAAATAGTGATAATAATAACTACCATCCAGGGTTTGTGACTATAAAATAATTGTAAGGGATATAAAATATTTAATGTGATGGCAAACATACAAGTACTCAGTGATGCTGCCTGCCTTCCTTCTTTCACTCCCTCAGGCCTCCTTCTCATCATCACTTCCTGCTTTGCTCTACATGACTGAACAACTTTTTTTCTCACTTCTTTTTTAGTACCGGTAGGAGTCTGTATGCTCTTTCTCTTAGCATTTTATTTGTTTAACTCCTACACAGACGCATGCCAAATGCTGTTATAGTATTAGTCTTGATTGCAATATTTGTTATTAAATTTTGTTATATAATTTTACAATTTGGGTTTCTATCTAGAAAGAATAAACATTAATAGCTCTTTGTGTTTTCCTGATATCCATAGGTGCAGATTGGAGCACAAGTTTAATTATTCATTTCTACTTTGATGGTTCCATCCATTTTTTATGATTTTGAGAGTCATTTAGCACAGCTACCTCACTTAACCCCAAATAAGATGACTTTTGTTATTATGCCACTGACAACATTCAAATGAGTCACATGACTTAATGTACTTTTTACCTTGTAAAAGTGTCCGAAATTTTAGAGGACATCCAAACAGATTTTTTCATACTTCCTTTAATAAACAAACTCTCTTTAAAAAAAGCAACTTGGAAGAGGAAGTTAGAGAAAATTAGGTATGATTCAAGTTCTTGGTATCATTTGTCAATACACTTAAATTGAATATGTCTACATTTTCTGTTACCTGGATTTTTATAAAAGCCTTCTTGGTGGACATATAATGTAAGACTGATAACACCGTGTGCACAGAGTACCCTTTATCTTTAACTTTGCATTTCCAGAGATTACTCTAAGTTTTATTGTACATGCAGGTGTAGATTCCCAGGTTTTCTGGGCTAAAGGTTATACAGTTGTTGAGGGCCCTCTTTAATAAGAGGAATCCAGAATTTAAAATTCAAAGTTATATACAAATATAAACATTTCTTTAGGGTAAAGAAAGCATAACTTAAAATTTTATAAAGCTTACATATTCTATAAATATTTAAAAATCCCAAAATAGAACTTGCTACATTTGTCACTGCAGCATGACTTCAATTCTTTCAAAAAGCCCCTAAACCTGTAAAATTAACCTGTGCACACCTGTCTGCTTGCTTATAGAAATGAAGGCCAGATACTGGCAACAACAAACTAGCCACAAGGTGAGAAATGAGCTCTGTAGTGCTACCCTAACCTGAATGCTTGCCTTGTTACCAGACTAAATCCCCATGCAGTGGGAAGGGATGCACTTTGCTAGGCACATGTAGTGTTGGGCACAAAGGAAACAACTAAACTGCTACACTTCGACTCTCTCTGGAAAGTCCCACCTCTTTCCCTGAATCCTGCCCCCTGTCTCCACCCACCTGCCTTAAAAGCCCTTAAAATCTCCCTTTACCTTACCCCACAGAGAGAGAGTGCTTTGAGTATAAGCTCACCTTCTCCTTTCCTCAATCAATGAATAAAGTTTCTGTTCTGCTTTACTGAACCTGGTCTTATTTTATTGGTGTGAACAACACTGAGCAGGGAAAGGGCCCATTAGGGTCAATGACCTTTTTGAAGGTTGGTAACATTTTATTAATTAATGGCCTCACAAAGTTCTATAATACTCTTTCGTATGTATTTAGTTGCATGCCCTTTGATATCCTCATTGTGAAACAAATATTTTTAATATCCTCTATGAAAACTATAGAAAGATATTGGGGATGCTACCCCAATAGTCACGTAGGTTCTTTTCTATTTTCCCTAAGCATCGGCCGGCTTGAGAAATAAAGGGAAAGAGCACAAAAGAGAGAAATTTTAAAGCTGGGCATCCGGGGGAGACATCACATGTCAGTAGGTTCCGTGATGGCCCACAAGCCACAAAAACCAGCAAGTTTTTATTAGGGATTTTCAAAAGGGGAGGGAGTGTGTGAATAGGTGTGGGTCACAGACATCAAGTCCTTAATATCACAAGGCAAGTGGAGGCAAGGCGAGATCACAGGACCACAGGACCAGGGCGAAATTAGAATTGCTAATGAAGTTTCAGGCACCATTGTCATTGATAACATCTTATCAGGAGACAGGGTTTTGAGAGCAACCCGTCTGACCAAAAATTTATTAGGCGGGAATTTCCTCTTCCTAATAAGCCTGGGAGCGCTATGGGAGACTGGGGTCTATTTCACCCATGCAGTCTACAGACCATAGGAGACGGCCACACCTAGCGGTCCCGTTTATAGGCCTATGCCCCCAGGTGCATATTCTCTTTCCCAGGGATGTTCCTTGCTGAGAAAAAGAATTCAGCGATATTTCTCCCATTTGCTTTTGAAGGAAGAGAAATATGGCTCTGTTCCACCCGGCTCACTGGTGGTCAGAGTTTAAGGTTATCTCTCTTATTCCCTGAACAATTGGTACTATCCTGTTCTTTTTTCAAGGTGCCCAGATTTCATGTTGCTCAAACACACGTGCTGTACAATTTGTGCAGTTAATGCAATTATTACAGGGTCCTGAGGCGACATACATCCTCCTCAGCTGATAGGATTAAGAGATTAAAGTAAAGACAGGCATAGGAAATCACAAGGGTATTGATTGGGGAAGTGATAAGTGTCCATGAAATCTTCACAATTTATGTTTAGAGATTGCAGTAAAGACAGGCATAAGAAATTATAAAAGCAATAATTTGGGGAATTAATAAATGTCCATGAAATCTTCACAATCCACGTTCTTCTACCATGGCTTCAGCCGGTCTCTCTGTTTGGGGTCCCTGATGTCCCAAAACACAAAGATAATTGTCTTCTAGCCTAGCTGATTGAAATTTTTTTTTTTTTTTTTTTTTTTTTTTTACTGTTAATAGCTGGGACACATTCAATATGTGATTATACAAGATATACTTACTATTTGTAGTACTGCTCTTGGTTTGTGCCCTACAAATGCAGGTATTCTAATACTATTCTGAAGAATGTCTGAAAAACATGTTGTTTTTATAATTATGCAATATTATTCAGAATATTCTTGAAGGAATAGAACTTTCATTTTGATTGGTGTCAATGAGAACTGAATCATTTTCTTATAATTTTACATGTCTGATAATTAGAAGAATTTTCCATAGACTAGATTGTTGCTCCATATATTTCAAATCTATTTCTCCTCCATTATCCATGAATATTCTGTGCTGAAAATCAGAGGGCATGTTCATATCAAATTATAATCTCTGGAAATATACATTAATTTCAGTGATGCCTGATGAGTCAACAACAACTTAAGTATACATATAAAAACTGTGAAACTTAAGTAGATTAGAAACAAGATAATATATCTCCAACTTAACTTTCTCTTAGCCAGATTCTAAAACATCCATGGCTAATCCATTTCTATTGGACCTCAGGGGATTTGTAATGGGGATGAAGTCAGAAAAGAAAGAGACAGCAGTCCAACCAATTACCATTAAAATATCTTATGTTTGAAAGTTTTAGAAAAACTAGTGATTACATGAACACGTTGCAAGGGAGCCTCCTAGGGCATTGCAAGGGCCTCATCTAGTGAGGTGCCCTAGAGAGAAGCTTCATTAGTTTCATAGGAAATCTCCCTCGGATTACAGAAACTTCTGAGTGACAGATTTGCCTAGAGGGACCTTTCTTTAAACTCAGATATGTCACATTTGATTTTGTGTCTGTTGTATTTTCCTATTTAGTTTTTTATTAAAAGTTAAGAGCAACTCCAAAGTCACTGAAGTTGTAACCTAAGAACTATTCCCTGTTTCTTAGAGTACCAATTCTATATGGACTATTAAAAATGAATGACTCACAACATTGTAGACAACAAGGAAGTTGGAAGGAAGCAAAGAATGTGTGTTGATCTAAAAAAAAAAAAGAAAAGAAGGCCTAGTTTTAAACTGTTGAAGGTAGAAAGACAAGTTGTAAAGCCAGGAATTCCCAGAAGATAGCCACTTTCTAAGAGTTCTATGATAACTTACTTACAATAACAAGGCTCTCTCCAGACACTGAAGTATAATCTCAAAAACTAAATTATTAATTTATAGGAAAATAAAACTTTACACAGATCAGATTACTTGTGTTAACATGACAAGGTTTCTCTCCTATAGGCTAGCTTGAATGGCAAGTCTGATTATGAACAAAAAGTTGCCTGGTAAGTGTGAAATGTGAACATAGAGTGTATGTGATCTTAAGCAGTTCCTCAGACAACATATTTTGATCTTCCTTCCTCATATCTATTGGCCAAGGCTGCTTTTCCCTTGACTTGTTTAGATGCACATTGCCATATTTGTCATGTATGTTCTTCCTGATTGAAACAGTCTTTGTTCACACATATTAATGCCATTGTTATGACTGTGGTCAAATGTTATGCCAAACTGGGAGCTATTTTAAATCTTCCAGGTAACATAACATACATAATATATATGTATGTATATTACATTTTTAGATGTTTATCAAAGTAATATTCACCTACAATTGACAAAGCATAGGGCTTAAACAAAAACAATGGCCCATTGCCTCATCAACCTCCATTCCTAGATCTTTCTCCTAAAGATTACCTGCATATCTGTGAATGATGTGTAGGGAGGAATTTCTTGTCAATTTTTAGATATTTTGTATTAGGTTCTTACCAAGGCAGATGAGGATTTAGCCTACTTATAGCTACCCCATCTTCCTTCCTTTTCATATAGTTATAATATCATTTTGTTCCTGAATCCTTATATTTGAAACATTAAATAATATTCTTAACCTTTGCTATTTTTTCTGCTAATTATAAACAGTAATTTTTAAATTCTATAGTTCATAAGATGTAGATATTAGTTACCTCTTGCTCCTCCTCTCAGCATTTCTCTCTTCCAGTTTCTGTTATGTATATTTTAACTTTTACATTGTCACAGTTGATAACAATTTCTTACTATATATTACATGAAAGAGGGGGTTAATTAAACTCAAGATTAATAATGTTTGCATTCTGTGAATTGGTTAAGAAAAAAAATAGACCAAAACCAATTTTGTTCACAATAATCATGGTTTTAAGAAACCTGTACCTTGTTTTGCTTAAAAACTCCAGAAGAAGCCTCATAATATGCAATATGAAATGTGTTTAAAAGTTGCTTTGGGTGTACACTGTAAGATCTTAACACAGACACTGGGTCAATCAGTTCAAGATAACCAGTCTTATAGTTGGTAAACAGCCTGATATTACTTTCTGATATTCTGTGTGAAATCTTCTCCTAAAAGTCCTTGGTGAACTCATGTCTTCACTGACTTCTATGTATGCATACATGTGTTCACGCCCACAATGAAGCTGTACAAGCCGTTAATTCAAGTGCTGCTTGTGGTTTTTAATCTTGTAAATTGAGAAAACTAATAGCAGGACTTACTATACAATTATATTTCATTGAGAAGTGTCATTTTTTACATTTCTGGTTCAGTATTTTGTTTTTCAACTGCCCTCCTTTTTCATCACTGTTTACCTTCATTATGTAATCTTTTCTTCCTCTTACCTCACTTCATATAGTACAGCAGCATTCAACAAGTCAAGATAATAAGAATAAAAATTGTCTCCTGGATGAATCCCAGGAACCCTAAATTCAACATGTTAAAAACTTAATTCAGAACCAGACACAGTGGCATGTGCTTGTAATCCCAGGTACTCAGCAGGCTGAGGTTGGAGGAACCCTTGAGCCAAGGAGTTGGACATAGCCTAGGCAGTACAGCAAGACCCCATCTCAAAACCACAACAACAACAAACAAACAAAAACCTCAATTCATCCTCTTGTATCTAGCCCAACTCCTCCTACATTCTCCATCTAAGGACACCCACTGCTAAGGACAAAAATCAAGAAGGCATCCTGGGTTTCTCCTGTCATACTTCATATCTTGTCTGCTGTGAAATCGTTATTTGTTCTGCCTCACAAAGAACAAACGGATTAGGATAGTTTTCTCTGTCCTCACTACTCACCTTCAAGCCATCCTACATTTCAAGTTAGAATAATGTTTCTTATACTCAGATCTGAGTAACCACATTTTCTATTTAGAAGCCTTATTTTTTTCTCATTGTGTGCATGATAATACCCCAGATTTCTCACACAATATTCAATGCCTTTGATTATGTAGGTTGAGCTCATCTCACCAGCCTTGTATCTTAATGCATCTCCCCTTACTCTTTACTCCACTCTGAACTGTCCCTGACCCTCCAATATGCCACTTCCTCTTTTGTCTTTAGGTTTTTACATGTTTTGTCTGTTCTCACTGGAACATCCTCCAGTCACTCTTCACATGGTGAACATGTGTGCCCAGTCTCAGTTTAGATGGTAAACCCTTCCTTGAATATTTTCTTTTAGAGTCATTAAATGCCAACTGTATTTTCAAACATAATGTCTTAACTGCTTTTCAGAATACATATAGTATGCTGAGATGATCTCTTTAACTGTTTTATACACTAGAGTGTACATTCTCCATGGAGATTATATTTTATTCACTGTGTAGGCCTAATGCCCAGTATAGATGGCAGCATTGCCTGGTGTCTGTTTGCCAGGTGAATGAATGAAAACATCCAAGTCCTTTTCATAGATTCCTTGATTATCTCAAATTATTTTCATTAGAACAGATGACTATTTCATGGGATGATATAAGTATAATTTGGCTTTAAAAGGAATAGATAGAATAGATGACACCTTCAAGTTGTTATGAGGGTTCTGAGAGTAATAAATTTACTGTCTTTACAAATTCCAAAGTAGATACCATTAAAATGGCTTTTTCATAGCCCTCTTCAAGATACTGAGAGTGGCAGGAGGCATTCAGATGCCTAGGCATAGGGTGGGTCCCCAGTGAAACCCCACCTCCAAGCTGAAGACTGTTTAATGCCTGAAAGCCAAGCTACAAGTTAAATCCTCGGAATGGATTCAGAACATGTCTTTCTGTTTGGTGCACCTTCCTCCATAGTTCCCCACCCTTCACCTATTTTACATATACCTATCCTTTCCTAATTTGTTTCCTACACTGTATGTCCACCTTTGACTCGTGTCTTTGCTTTAACCTTTTTTGCATATGCACAGGCCAGTCAGCATGCACTCCCTATTCTGAGTCATATGAGGCCCCAGACCCAGCCACATGGGGGACTTTCCTGCTTTCTGGTAGGGGAATCACCCCCCAAATCCCCTCTTTGCTGAGAGCTTTCCTTTTGCTTAATAGGTTCTACTACACTCACTCTCCAGTGTCCGCATGCTTAATTCTTCCTGGTTGTGAGAAAAGATCTCGGATTTAGCTGAGCTAAGGAATAGAAAGACTGCAACAATACCAGGTCTACCTATGGCTTGTAGAAATTGCCACATGACTAAGAAAGCTACTCTTCTATATATTTTAATTCTCCAATGACATCAATGTAAGAATAGCAATTGCTGCTTGTATTTTGGGGATTGTAAATAAGATCTTTGTAGTTATTCTGAAAGAGATTGCATTATGATAAATTTGTACCAACTATTTAAATTTAACAACTTATTTTATTTTTCTCCCAGAAAGCTATTTGAAATCTTTTTCTGTAATAAATTGATTCAAAAGAAACTTTCCAAATGGGAAATTTGTTATCCAGTTCTTTAACCTCCACAAACTGTTAGCTGGCATTCTTTCTGCAGAGATTTCAAAGTTTCTCTATGCCTTCTAACATGGATATATCACTGGGATAGCTGTGTTTCTCTTGAAGGGTTAGATTTAGTTCCTAATTCTGGCTCATTCATCTCTTCCATAGTCATATCCATTGTTAATGCAGAAATTTTCTTTTCCAGATATTCTATGTCTTTTTCTGTACCTTCCCATAAAGATTTGCTCTTCTTGTTTTGTAATGGCATGTTTGGTGTTTGAGGCCAATTTTGGCTAGTTAAATTGTCCACTTTTAAAAGTTACTCCAAAAATCGTATTTTCAGACTAGAAGTTGGTATAAGGCAGAGCAACAGTTTTAACAGTTATAAGCCCTGCTCTTTCATTTGTTCTGAGACTGACTTTGTCCACTAGAATGATGGATTTTCAGCAGCTTTCCTTGAAGCCCCACTTCACACACGAGCCTTGGGGCTGATGGCAGGAGAAAGCTGGGGCCAGATTAGTGGCACAGTGCCTTCTTCTCTACCACACTCAACTGAAATATCTCTCCTTTTGTTTTATTTACATGTTGAGCTTCTGAGTAAGATTTCATCTGGGAAAATAAACTGAATAGAGCATGTTATTACAAAATAATTTTAAAACCTCTGCCAAAGAAGGTGAATAACACTTAGGAAGTAAATGTGATACAAAACTGCCTAAGAGCATAATTTACCTTTGGTTCTGGCTATCTTCTATATGGCCTGAGTGCTCTATTCATTCCATGTACAAACTGATCAACACTTCTGTCATAAAACTATGACTCGTCACACTCAGAATCTTCAAGGGCAATTCCTATTTATAATAAAATGGATCCAATATTTACCTTCTGCAATAATTGTCCAGTGAGTCCCTTTGAAACTTCTGCCTCACTTGGGGTTGAGAAAGGCTGGATTCTTCATGTTGAGTAGCATTCTAAATGATACTTTTTTTTTTCCTGAAATCTTAAGTAGGCACAGTACGCATTTTATTCTGCTTATCTTTGCATTTTAATATCCACTATAAATTTAATATAGTTATATATCTATATTATCAATGTTAAATATCTAAAATGTGCAAGTGCATAGAAGTGACTCAGATCTTGTTTATTTCTATTTACTTCCAGTGCTGCTGATATCTCACTTGTCACTTGTAGAAGACATTGCCTGGTTTTTGTCTGACCACCATTCTTTTTCTCTACTACTGGAGATAGCAACACCCACCCCACTGGGGAAATGCTCTGCCTCCTCTCCATGGGTTTTAGGGAGGAGAGTTTCAATACAGCCCTCTGGAACATGGCTGAGAGTGAGTCAGCTGACCCAATTAGCTAAACAAAAATGCTCATGTAGGATTTATACTTTATTTAGAGAGAAATAAGTTCTTTTTCCTGTGGGCTTTATTAAAGTGAGATGAGGTGAGTCTCAGTAATTGTAGAATGTCCTTGGTTACCTCTAGGTTTGCTGAGCTGTTGCTGTCTGTTGATTTATATACTCTCATAATAATATTCTTGGGGGTGGCAAGAAGTGTATCTCCCTGGAAGGGTGCCTGTAGCATGACTCTACCCAGAAAAAAAGTAGTTTCTATAAAATAGATGATTTCTGTTTCCAAGATTTTCAAAATTTTAATCTTCCCATTTCAAAACACTGCCATCTCTTCTTGTTGCAGAAAATGTATGAAAACTAAAACTGAATTTGATGATGGATTGCCGTTCCCAGAGATTCTGTGGATGATAAGAAAACCAAGCATTTAACATGCTTACCTTTTAACTCTTTCCTGTTTGTGATGTACTGAATAAATTCACACAAATTATTACAATATGCATCCTAAAAAATGTCCACTGTAAAATATATTCTTTTCTTGTAGCCTCTTTGCTTATATTGATTCCATGGGTCTACCCTATAAACATTTGCATTAAATTAACTATTAATGATGATCCATATGAACTATTCTAATTGTTTTACCTTCATGAATCTTCTTTCATGAAAATATAAACATAGCTACCCTTAAACTCAAATATCTCTTTCATACCTTGTGAGTTAGTTTCTAGCTTTCCATCAATGCACATCGAATAGATTCCTTTTCACTCCCTGACAAGTACAGTGAGAAGGAAAAATTAGAGCTAGGGATGAGACTGAAGTCATCACTATCCAAATGACTATCCAGGAGAGAAGATAGCTAGGAAATAGGTCATCATTTTGGTTCTTATTGTTTAACTTGACTGAGTCCTACTTCTCTTCATCCCTCAAGACTATAGTCATTGAGATAAGACATCATTTTGCAGAGTGTATTTTGTTAGTAATAAAAATAAAGGAAAGCTTTAGGGGTTTGTTTATTCTAAAGTCACAATCAAAATAATTTAATTGCATTACTTCTCTAATCATTGACTGCTTCTCTTCTGGTACAAGGGTAGGTAAACTTTGTAGCAAACCTAACCTTGCCTACAAAACTTGGGATTGCTCTTCACTACAGTAATTGCTACCCCTCTGCTTAGGACATCCCTTTCCCACTCATCAGGCAAAGGGATACCAAAAGCTGGAGGGAAAATCATCTGTTATATCAAGAAATTTCGGATTTATATATGGTGTTGAAATCTGAATCTCAGGTGCCTTGACATGGCACATGATTTAGACTGTTAGAAGAAAAACTTCAGCTGAATTAAATTTAAAGGAGTTTAACTGAGCAATGAGCAATTTCTAAATTGGGAAGCCCCCAGAATTACAGCAGATTCAGAGAGACTCCAGGGATGCCTCATGGTCAGAATAAATTTATAGACAAAAAAAGGAAGTGATGTGCAGAAATCAGAAGTGAGGTACAGAAACAGCTGGATTGATTACAGGTTGATGTTTACCTTATTTGAACACAGTTTGAGCACTCGGCAGTGTATGAGAGGTTGAAGTATGGCTGCTGAGATTGGCCAAGACTCAGTTATTGTTAAAAGCACATACTCCTAAATTAGGGTTTCAATCTTGTCCACCTATTAAGTTAGGTTGTGGTTCATCCACAAGGACTCAAATATAGAAGTACAGAGTCCTTCTCAGGTTATATTTAGTTTACTTTAACAAGACTAAAAGGTTATAGCATTTCTCTCCCACTGACAATCATTACCCAAGAAAAGTTTTCGTTTGAATGAGGTGGATCAAGCTAAAACAATTATGCATATAGTTTAGCAATTAATTTAGCTCCAAGTAAGTTAAAGAACTAACGGGTGTTCAAAAATAGATTTCTAAAGATATCACAATATCCAAAAGTATTTATGAATTATTTTGTAGTGAATTTTCCTATGTAGACCTTTACTAAAATTTACTTAGATAAAAAGACATTGAGAAACACATTTCTCAACCATAGGTAGAGGAGGAGCCAATTCCCACAATAAGAATTAGGAATTCTCACAAGTGATATAATTAGAGGAAGAAGTAGTAATCTTATATTTGCAGTTCAAATGCTGAAATGAGGCTGTTGTTGTTTGAAACCTAACTGTGGTGTATATTCTGAAAGTGTTCACATGTTACAGCAGTGTAAGGGCCAGCAAAGTTATTAAATACTTCAAGTATAAATGATATGGCTGCAAAAGGGGAACCGTCCCATGGATATGCCCAGCTGTCATTAACAAATAAGAGCTACAGATAGCATTATCAGATATTCTTACCAACACTATACATTGCTCACTGGAAAGCCAGCACAGGTCTATAATTATTATGTTCCATACATTGTGTTCAAAATATGTAATTATTTCTAGACCCATAGACAAATATGTACTGCAGCATTTAGAGTTGCATAATAAAAACTTTTTGAGTGTATAGGATGAGGTGAAATGTGAGCAAATACCATAAATATTTTTAGCTTCAGATAAGATGATTTTGAATTAGCAGAAAAAGACAGTAGTGTTAAGCTCTATATTACTTTCTGAGGTAAAGTCATCTACGTGGTCTAAATGTGTCTTACTAAGGCAAATCAGATTTAATGTTTGCATTATGAAGAGGCCAAGTATGAAACAGAACAAAATTCTATCTAGTCTGTTAACCGCATTAATAAAAAACTCTACTTATGAGATAATCTATCTGATAATTTCATGAACCATTAAAAGTATTTGAGAGGTTTATCTGCAATATGCTTTTGAGGTCCTTTAACTTAAAATCTTTATGGGGGGGAAAATTTAATGTTCCTTCTGGTGAATTCTAAACTACTCCTTCTTCAGAATTCTGGGTCAGGTTTTACATTTGATTTTTATTGAGAATTGGGAAAGAAAGACCACCTTGTGTCACTCCTGCCTTAAGGGGTATAAAAACCCAGCTACCCAACAGGAGGGCAAGTTTGCTTTGTTTATCCCAGCTCTCACTGTGAAACTTTCAGTTTTAGGGGTGATTGTGGTAGAGGTGAAAATGGATCTTTATTTCCCTGTCAGGTGCCAAATACCTTAATTTATCTTTTCCTTTAACTTTTCCACAAAAATAAAAACCGTTTCATCAACGTGTTGAATATTTTAATCTTTTTTGAGACGAAGTTTCACTTTTATTGCCCAGGCGGGAGCGCAGTGGCGCTATCTTGGCTCACTGCAACCTCTGCCTCCTGGGTTCAAGAGATTCTCCTTTGCAGCCTCCCCAGTAGCTGGGAATGCAGGCACCCGCCACCATGCCCAGCTAATTTTTGTATTTTTAGTAGAGACGGGGTTTCACCATGTTGGCCAGGCTGGTCTCAAACTCCTGACCTCAGGTGATCCCCCTGCCTTGGCCTCCCAAAATGCTGGGATTACAGGTATGAACCACTGCACCTGGCCCAAAGTGTTGACTTTAATAATCAGTTGGAGAGGAAACATAGTGATTAAGTGTGAATGTGTGAAAGGTTGGCCTTCCATGCTTGTTTATAGTTTATAAGAGTGTGTGTAAATGGAAAAATGTATTGATGAGGACAAGAAGTGCAGGGGCTTCATAGTCAAGAGAACAAAGTAAGAAGGGTTTTGGTTTATCTTGTTATTCACTTGCATATATAAAATTTAGGAACAATTTTGGCAGTCTCCTTCTCAAAAAGGTTGTGGTACTTTGTTGTAAGAGAATTGCGTGTTGATGGCCACTTTGTATACACATGGATTTGGACGTTCCAGAGATTGAGAGATGGAAAGATTCCCTTTAGAAGGGTGTGGACAGGGCCAGCAGTAACTATCAATTGTAGCTTACCTCACCTTTTTGTCTTCTTTCCACAGTATAATTTCAAAGATGCCTCCTTCTAACATATTAAACTACTATTCCCATAGCTGAAAATACTGCAGTGATTTTCTCTGGAGGGTGAGGTAATCAGGATATTTTTACATTTTTCTTCCCTTTGTATAGTTCAAGTTCTTACAATTAGCTTATAATCATTTTATATTTAGAAAAAAGCAGTTTCTATTGAAAATGAAATAAAATGGATGTAAAACTAATCAAGAGAATCAGTGGTCTTCTAATGAGCTATTGAAAAGTATGTAAGTAATGAGAATTTTGAGACAAAGAGAGTATTTGGTATTAACTGATATGCTTTAGTTGGAGAATAGTATTTTGAATCAAGCTCTATAATTGAAGAAAATCTTCTGAGAGTCATTGTAAATGTGTAGTAGGGATAGTAACTCACCTGGAAAGAACTAAGGAGAAATGAGTGGAGAAAAATCAGAAGTAGGAGTAGCAAATGTGCCTCAGGCCCTTAGATGCTTATTTTGCTTATTTTTAATTTATCTATGAAAGGCAAGGGTTGATAGCTGGTCTGTGACATTTCCTCAAACCTCAGAAACATCTGAGAATTTGATGCGGAATTGAATCCTCCTGGAACTCAAACTCAAGGAATTATAGAAATATACCAGATCCACAATAACAGTACACCTACTGAGCACCTATACCTCATCCTAGGAACAGTTTATTGATTGCCAAATCAGTGTATCGATGAGAAGGAGCTCCACCAGAGAATGAGAGTAAGTCATGTATCCTGATGGGCAATGTGACTAGAAGTGCATAAATGCAGGGTACAGTTATATACCCTGAGGGACAGTAAAAGAACTCATTGCTCATGGCTTTCTTAGGCTGAAGTGGCCTGTCTACACCCAGCCTTGTCTCCCCTGACTGCCCATGTTTAAAGTTCAGCCACGGGGCTTCTGCTATGCTGTGGATTTCTATTCCACATTGCCTGTATTGGCTCAATAATTTGGTACTAGGAGCAACATGTGTCTTTCACTGCTGCTGACTGAGCAGTGAGTGTTGCAATGTATGCCAGTGAGTCTATTTTGCAACTTTTAAATACTCAATTGTATTCAAAAATAGTCTTGGAAAAATACATTCAAGTCATAGTATAAGTTCTTCAGTATCTTTTGGGGAAAAAAGTAGCTGCTTTTACCCCCTTTACAAAGAAATCTGATGGCTTAATTATTATGATACCAAAAAACCTCTCAATTATAAAATCAGCTCTTTCTCTGAGATCAGAATATTAAAAAAAGCACACCATAAGGTACTGAATTTTATCAAATTGAGTGGAGACATTTTCAAACATTAGTTTTTGCTATGACTAAATGTGTAAAATAAAGGACATTTTCAAAAAGGAAAATTATTTTCAATTTTATTCAGTCACTCAGAAGGAATCACAATGTACATTTTATAAATATCATTTAGTTTGTCTTTGCACTTGTCTTTTCAGGTAACTTTTACAGATAAAGTGATAAAATGTTACATTTCAATGGAAGCCTTGAGTATAATTCAAATAGGACAAAGTTGCTAAAATATGTGTTTTGAGAAATTTAGGACTTCACACCAAAAAAAGATAGGATAGTGACATATAGATAGGATAGTGACAAAGTCTTTTCTGAGGAATCCCAAACACCTTACATGTATTATGTCATTGTTCTCACAAATCAATATAGGGAAGCTGAAAGACAAAAAAAAAAAGTGGCTTTGCAGTATGTATCACATGGGTTGGGGATAATACATATCAGGGTAGAACATGTTTTTTTCATGATCTGAGATTTCAACGTCTGCATTTTTTGATACAAAAATATTGTTTTTATATCCCTTTAGACCTTATTTTTATTTTATTTTGTAGAAATAGTATTTTAGGAATTATTAGAATGAGTAAAATTTCTAAAGACAACTTTCTAAAGACATTTCCTAAAGAAAATTTTTTTCTTTTTCATATTTTGTAAGGGATGTTTCTGAATGAGTAACAATAAACAAACAAATTCATTCTTATTGAAATTTAATTAAAATATTTTATGCATAAATTCCTTTTCCCAGTGAGAGTTACCAGACTGGGCATATAGTTAAGAATTTTTAGTTGTCCACTTTGTGGACATTGATTCGATAATGTAGTTGCTGGGGTCAATAAAATGTTACATAAAAATTGAAATGCCACAAATAAGCTTTTTGTTGTACTGCAAAATAGATACATTTTGAAAGTGTAGAAAATATCATCCTTTCTAATTTTCTACCTTTTGGAGGCTCAGTTGGTATCCAACTGTCACTATTTACATCTCATGCTATCATTGCAAGAAATAATTACCTGAACCCTAAGAGAGCATTTATCTGAAAAAAGGTAAGGTCATCTACCACAAAAATGTAACTATTTCATTTGTAAAGCTATTCTTTGAGAAAAGTTTAAAAAATCAAAGGTAAACTTTATATTTACACAGTCTCTGATCAAGATATTAATGGATAGACACTGATGAAGGTTTATCACTGATTTCTACTCTGTATCTTTCCTATATTGTCTTAGTTTTACTTTCCTTTCTTATTTTATCTTCTTTTTTCTTCTTTAGCTTTCTTTCTCCAGGGCTAGATGGATTTTATTTATCTTAGATGAAATTTTAGAGATTCACTGGAATTGAAGGCGGTTGGAAGGAACATGAAAGCTCAAGTAAAGAAACAATTATTAACAACAACAAAAATACTTCCACAGCTGAGCGTCAACACTTCCTCTAAATTAAGTTCATACTACATTATTAGCTCTAACTGGAGTATATGTAGATCTATTCTGAAAATTAGCCTCCTTTCCTCTGTTGACAATTTTTTTTTTTTTTTTTTGATATGGAGTCTGGCTCTGTCGCTAGGCTGGAGTGCAGTGGTGCAATCTTGGCTCATTGCAACCTCTGCCTCCTGGGTTCAATTCTCCTGCCTCAGCCTCCCCAGTAGCTGGGACTACAGGCGTGCACCACCACGCCCAGCTAATTTTTGTATTTTTAGTAGAGATGGGGTTTCACCATGTTGGCCAAGATGGTCTCGATCTCTTGACCTCATGATCTGCCTGCCTCAGCCTCCCAAAGTGCTGGGATTACAGGTGTGAGATTCTGCACCCAGGCACTTGGCAGTTCTTGAGGGCATCTAGTCTTTTAGTCTTAGAATTTTCTCATTGGTTGTTAAAGCATTTTGGTGGAGAAGGGGACTTCCAGTATACAGACAAGGAAGATTAGTTAGGTCTATAAGCTGATCTTAGGTGGTGGTGGGAGAAATCTTCCTTCTGTTGCCTCTGCTGGCCATTTGGTATACTAGCCACTGTGCCATGGCCTGTGCAGAGTCCTGGTTAATGCCTCAAAGAACAGCTCTGAAGTTAGCAGAAACAGTTGAGAATGTGGAAAACTATAGATTGGATGTACTAAAATGTATTTCAGTACAAAACATTGTTGCAGAAATTAAAGGCAAGAAATATTTCTTTAGAATACATAGAGAACAATATGAACATGCTTACTATTGTGGTTTCATCATTTACAAATATGCAACTACATATTTAACTATTTCATAAACATTTTATTTTTCAGCATACCATTTTGGCAGCAATAAATTAAAAATGGAAAATGCAGGTTTAATTATTAGTCCAATTTCTGAATGCCAAGAAAATTGTTGATGATTATGCAACTTAAACATAATGTCTGTGAATATTTACACCCACCATGGGGTCTATAATGATATTACTGATCACATAAAAACCAGAAGACATAGGAACACTAAAAAAGCATCAAAAAAAGGAGGAGCCTATTCAAGATAGCAGACTAGTGGGTGCCTCATCCATGGAGATGAATCAAAATAGAAGTAACTATGCCTAATTCAAATAGATAGTCTAAGAAAGCACACTGGAATTCATCAGAGAAGCGATGGGAATCTTGAAAAGCAAAGAAGAGTGAAGCCAAGTAGCTTGCTGAGCTAGGATCAACATGGAGCCAGGGGAAGCTGCCTGATGCATGGAAGGGGTGAGTGAGTAACTTCCAGGGGTCCACACTCCTATCATGGACATTTACAACCCTAGCTTTGGGAGAGGCCCCTTGACTAGTGCACCAGCTCTGGCCTCTAGTCTAACACAGGGAGCTGCTTAGAGATTTCACAGAGGCATTAGTGGAGCCCATATGAGTTTCCACAGGCTTTTGATCCCTGATCAGCTGCAGCCCAGTGCCAGTTGCTGGCGAGGAAATGAGGCCAGGCATTTTTGTGTGTCCCAAAGATGGAAACTGTAGCTGCTGCCATGGGACAGAGGAGCAAACCAGTTGCACACCTGTAGGCCTGTTTTAGTGCTCCCACTAAGGGGGAGCCTACCTTTCCTGGCAGCAGGCCCTCAGTGCAACTGCCATACCCCTTCTGAAAGCCCAACCCCTGGAGGCCTGCATTCTGCCCTGGGGCAGATCACCTCTTCTCTTACAGGAGAAAGATGCAAGCAGGTCACACACTCCATAGATCTGACTGACAGGGGCCTATCTTCCCTGGTGACAGGTCAGAAGCACGGCTGCTTTGCCCCACTTGATGATTGCAGCTCCAGCCTGTACTCTCCTAAAAGCCCAGTCCCCAGAGGCCTCTGATCTGCTCTGAGCTGCCACCATCTGAATATTCTGGCCCTGATTGAATGTTCTGCTGGCGGCCTGGGGGCCAGTCCTTCTCTCCCTATCACAGCTAGTACCTAAACCATGGGGACTTGAGGACAAGTCCATTGGTCCAGTCCAGGTCCGATTCCTCCATGACTCGTGTATGCTGTCCAGGGGACCATATAGGGACCTGAGCATCAGGGGATTGCCAGTCCACCACTGCTGGCACCTATTCACTTTTCCTAGGGTCTGAGGTTTGGCCAACCCAACTAGTGAGCATCACCATCACAGCTGACACAACACCCACCTGCACATGCTGAAAGGCAGAGCCCCTTACCCACTCTACATGAAGCAGTAGCATTACTGCATTAGAGAACAGGTGAACAACAAGATATATGTACTGGGCTGAGGGAAGAGGTTCTTCCTTGAAGTCATTCGTATGGAGAACAATGGGACAGGTGTTTTCTGAGGCTCTCAGCTACACTGTGTCATAGAGATAGACAACTACATCTGTTGGATGTCAGGGTCATGAATCTTGGGATGGAGTGTGATAGGGAAACAGACTGCATTTCTGCCTCCCTGGGACATGGAGCTGGTGCAGCCCCTTTCCTCCCTGCAAAGACTTCAGTGCATTTCACCAGGAGTTCCTCTAGGACCTCCTCTGTTAGGGCAGTGCTTGTGCTCATCATTGGTGTATTCATGAGCAAGTTTGGTGGTCCAGCTCCATCAACATCTATCCCCATGCGGCCCCACACTGAAAAGGGAACTCAAGGTATTGAGTATGCTACAGACCAGCCCATCATGTGAAAC
Source organism: Homo sapiens (assembly GCF_000001405.40). Lineage (NCBI taxonomy): Eukaryota > Metazoa > Chordata > Mammalia > Primates > Hominidae > Homo > Homo sapiens. The sequence continues at coordinate 76,477,612 of NC_000006.12, forward strand.
AACAGGGAACACATCCCAGTATACAAAAATCAAGCACATACATATTTGCTTCTGCCACAACCGGCTCTTACCCATAAGCAGCACCTATGGCCAGGAGGTTGAGCTGCACAATCCAATGTAAAACCTGCTGACAGAAATGCACAAGGTTAAAGAAGAAAAGCCAAAGCACCCTACTTAACATACACTACAGTCACACCTTCAAGGTGAAAAAGTCCCATCCAAATGAAAATAAGTTTAAAAATAAGAAGCAAAAACTTTGCCAGATAAAAAGAAACCAGCATAATAACTCTGGCAATGGGAAACATAGTGTTGCCACACCCTCAAAGGATCACACTAGCTCTCTAGCAATGAATCCTCACCAAAATGAAAATTCTAAAGTGACAGATAAAGAATACAAAATATGGATTATAAAGAAGTTCAGTGAGATCCAAGAGAAAGTTGAAAACCAATGCAAATAAATCAGAAAAAAAATGCAGGAAATGAAAGAAGAGATTGATATATTAAAAAAAATAAAATACAGTTGAAAGGTTTAAAAATAGGCTCCACCTAGCAGAGGAAAATGTTTCAGAGCTTAAAGGTAGGCCCTTCAAACTAACATAGTCTAACAAAATTTAAAAAAAGTTTAAAAAAAATGAACAAAGCCTTCAAGAAATATAGGATTGTGTAAACCAACCAAATTTGAGTTATAGGCATTACTGAGGGAGAAGAAAAAGTAAAAAGTTTGGAAAACCTATTTAAGGAAATAATTCAGGGAAAATTTCCTGGCTATATTGGAGATATAGGCATCCAGATACAAGAAGTTTAGAGAACACCTGAGAGATACTTTATAAAACAATCATCATCAAAGCATATAGTCAACACATTATCTAAAGTCAACTTGAAGAAAAAAATTCCAAAAGGACAAGGAGAGAATCACCAAATCATCTATAAAGGAAATCCCATCAGACTAATAGTAGACTTCTCAGCATAAATCTTAGAAGCCAAAGAGGACTGAGGTTCTATTTTCAGTCTTCTTAGATAAAATAACTGCCAGCCAAGAATTTTGTATTTTGCTAAACTATGCTTCATAAATGAAGGAGAAATAAAGTCTTCCCCAGATAAGCAAACATTAAGGGAATTAGTCACCACTAGACTAGTTCTACACAAAATGCTCAAGAGTTCTAAACAAGGAAACAAAATAATAATATTCATAATTATACAAACACATGAAGTGCAAAGCTCACAGGTCCTATAAAGCAGTTACATAACTGAGAATAAAAAGCAACTAGGTAACAACATTATAACAGGAGCAAAACCTCACATATCAATATTTACCTTGAATGTAAATGGCCTAAATGCTCCACCTAAGATACAAACAGAAAAATTGGATTTAAATTCAACATTGAATTATTCACTGCTTACAAGAGACCCATAAGAAGGTCAAAGATATCTACACACTCAAAGAGGTGGAAAAAGTTATATCAGATAAAAGAGACATTAAATCAACAGTAAAAAGACAAAATAGATCTTTAATAATAAAGGGTTCAATTCATCAAGAAGTTATAACTATCCTAAATATATATGCACCCAACACTGGAGCACCCAGATTAGTAAAGCAAATACTACTAGACCTAAGACAAATATAGAAAGCAATAAAATAATAGTGAGCAACAGATCATCGAGGCAGAAACTCACAAAGAAACTTAGGACTTAAAACAGAATTCTAGACAAATGGACCTTATAGACATTTACAGATCATTCTGCCCAACAACTGCTGATTATACATTTTTCTCATCTGTGCATGGAACATTCTGCACAATAGACCAAATGCTTGGCCAGGAGGCAAGCCTCAATAAATTACACAAAATAATTAAAATTATATCAAGTATCTTCTTGGACCAGAGTGGAATAAAATTAGAAATCAGTATCAAGAGGGACTCTCAAAACAATACATGGGGCCGGGCGCGGTGGCTCACGCCTGTAATCCCAGCACTTTGGGAGGCCGAGGCGGGCGGATCACGAGGTCAGGAGATCGAGACCATCCTGGCTAACACGGTGAAACCCCGTCTCTACTAAAAATACAAAAAATTAGCCGGGCGTGGTAGCGGGCGCCTGTAGTCCCAGCTACTCGGGAGGCTGAGGCAGGAGAATGGCATGAACCTGGGAGGCGGAGCTTGCAGTGAGCCGAGATCGCGCCACTGCACTCCAGCCTGGGCGACAGAGCAAGACTCCGTCTCAAAAAAAAAAAAACAAAAAAAACAAAAAACAAAAAAACAATACATGGAAAGTAAACAATTTGCTTCTGAATAATCTTTGGGTAAATGATGAAATTAGGGCAGAAATTTAAAAAAAAAGTTTCAAGATAATTGAAAATGGAGACACAGCGTACCAAAACCTCTGGGTTACAGCAAAAGCACCACTAAGAAGAAAGTTTACAGTGTTACATGGCTATATCAAAAGATCTCAAATTAACAGCCTGATTTCACATCTCAAGGGATAGAAAAACAAGAGCAAACAAAATCCAAAGTTAGCAGAAGAAAAGAAAAAAACAAAGAGCAGAACTTAATGAGACTGAGACAAAAATTATACAAAGGATCAACAAAATGGCAAGTTGGGTGTTTAAAAAGATAAACAAAATTGATATACCACTAGCTAGGTCAACCAAAAAAGAGAGAAGATTCAAATAGGCACAATCAGAAATAATGAAGATGACATTATACACACTAATACCACAGAAATACAAAAATCAGAGACTACTATGAGCATCTCTATATGCACAAACTAGAAAACCAAGAGGAAATGGATAAATTCCTGGAAACATACAAACTCAAGATTGAACCAGGAAGAAACAGAAACCTTGAACAGACCAATAATGAGTAAAGAAATTGTAGTAGTAATTAAAAAAAAATCCACCCCCTGCAAAAAAAAAAAAGCCCAAGACCAGATGGATTCACATCAAAATTTTACCAGACGTGCAGAGAAGAGCTGGCCCCAATCTTACTGAAATTATTCTAAAAAAATTAGGAAGAGGAAGGATTCTTCCCTAACTCATTCTATGAAACGAGTATAACCTCGATACCAAAATCAGTCAAGAACACAATAGAAAAAGAAAATGATAGGCCAATATCCTTAATGAACGTAGAAGCAAAAATCCTCATCGAAATCCTAGCAAACTGAATCCAACAGTACATCAAAAGGATAATACATCATGATCAAGTAGGTTTTATTCCAGGGAGGCAAGGATGGTTTAATATATACAAATTAATAAATATATCAATAGAACTAATGACAAAAACCACATGATCATTGCAATAGATGTAGAAAAAGCATTTGATAAAATCCAACATCCATTCATGATACAAATCCTCAACAACCTAGGCATCAAAGTAACATACCTCAAAATAACAAAAAACATATATGACAATGTGGTAGCACTCCTCATACTGGGGCACCAGCTGCGGGGAGATATGTCCCCTGCAGACCCCTGACCTGGCAACAGATGAATAACATACACTGACACACAGATATTCTACTTTGCCAGTCCCACTGAGTCTGTCCAGGCTGCTTACAGACTCCCTGCTGAGTCCAGTAAACAGTTGCAACTGTGGCCCTAGTGCCCTCACAGCTAGTGAGACGTTTATTCAGTAAGATTAATTAACAAAGGCTTGAGTTAACACCATTAGAAGGTAATTGACATTGTGGATTTTCTGAGTAAAAAGCAATAAGCACCACCCACCATTGTGGACTTTCCGAGTAGAAAGCAATTAAGCACCACCCACCCCTGCCTGGCACATCAAAGTTTAGTCTTAAGATCACATGAGTAAACAAGCTAGCTAGGTAGATTACTCTGCCTTCCTTTGTTACTACTTTAATTTGTTTAAAGGTAAAGAGACCAGGCCGCCTTCAGCCAGATCTGTTACCGAAGTTATGCAAACTTCTCGGCCTTCCAAGAAGACTTGTGTCTATCTCTATAACTATCTCTGTTATTTTTCCCACCGGCCTGATTGAACTCCAGCATAACCCACAATCAACATTATAATGAATGAAGAAAATCATAAGCATTTCCTCTAAGACTTGGAATAAGACAAGGATGCACACTTTCACTACATCTATTCAACACAGTGCTGGAAATGCTAACCAGAGCAATTAGGCAAAAGAAGAAAAAAGGATCTAAATTAGAAAAGAGGAAGTCAATTTATGTCTGTTCACTGATTAAATAATTTTATACCTAGAAAACCCTAGAGACTCTTCCAAATGTCTCCTAGAATTCATAAATGATTTCAGTAAAGTTTCAGTACACAAAATCAATGTACGAAAATCATTAGCATTTTGATACCCCAGTAACATTCAAGCTGAGAACCAAATAAAAAACTCAATCTCATTTGCAGTAGTCATAACAAAATAAAATACCTAGGAATACATTTAACAAAGGAGATGGAAGATAAGATCTCTACCAGGAGAGCTTCAAAACAGTGATGAAAGAAATTGAAGAGGCTATAAATAGAAAAAGACCCCATGTTCATGGACTGGAAGAACCAATATTGTTAAAATGACCACACTCCCCAAAGCAATATGCATATTCAACACAATTCTTATCAAATTACCAATGACATTTTTCACAGAATTGGAAAGAAAAATTTCTAAAATTCATATGTAACCAAAAAAGAAAAAAATCTGAATAGCCAAAGCAATCCTAAACAAAAAGAACAAAGCTGGAGGCATCACATTACCTGGCTTCAAGTTATATTACAATATCATATAAGGTTGGTGCAAAAGTAATGGCAAAAACTGCAATTGCTTTTGCACTAACCCAATAGTAACCAAAACAGCATGGTACTGGTACAAAAATGTATATATTGATCAATGTAACAGAATAGAGAATCCAGAAATAAAGCCACATACGTACAACCAACTGATCTTTGACAAAGTCAACAGAAATATATAATGAGAAAAATACATGCTATTTAATAAAAGATGCTGAGAAAATTGGATAGTCACTTGCGGAAGAATAACACTGGATTTCTGTCTCTATAAAAATCCTGGAAGAAAACCTAGAAAAAACTCTTTAGTACATTGGCCTAGCCAAATAATTTATGATTAAGACCTCAAAAGCAAATGACACAAAAACAAAAATAGACAACTGAAAATCTTCTGCACAATGAAAGAAATAATAAACAGAGTGACAGACAACCTAGAAAGTGGGGGAAAATATTTGCAAACTATACATCCAACAAATGACTAATATCCAGAATCCGTAAGGAACTCAAAAACTCAAGGAGAAAAAAAATAATTTCATTAAAAAATATGCAAAAGACACAAAAAGACATTTCTTGAAAGAAGACATACAAGTGGCCAATGAACATAAGAAAAAATGCTCAGCATTACTAATCATCAGAGAAATGCAGATTAATGCCACAGTGAGATACCATCTCACACCAGTCAGAATGGCTATCACTGAACAGTCAAAAAACAACAAATGTTGGTGAGGATGCAGAGAAAAGGGAAAGCTTATACACTGTTGGTGGGAATGTGAATTAGTACAACTTCTATGGAAAACAGTATGGCGATGTCCCAAAGAACTGAAAATATAATTACCATTTAAGCCAGCAAACCCACCACTGGGTATCTATTCGAGGGAAAAGAAATCGCTGTATCAAAAAGACCTGTACTCTGTTTATTGCAGCCATATTTGAATAAGATATGTACATCATGAAATACTAGACAATCATGAAAAAGAATGGAAATCATGTCTTTTGCAGGAACATGCATGGGGCTGGAGGCCATTTTCCTAAGTGAAATAACTCAGAAATAGAAAATGATTAACTCAGGATGAATTAAAAACTTAAATGTAAACCCCAAACTATAAAAATCCTGGAAGACAACCTAGGGAATACCATTCAGGACATAGGAGCAGGGAAAGATTTTATGATGAAGATGCCAAGAACAATCGAAACAAAAGCAAAAATTGACAAATGGAATCTAGTTAAACTTAAGGGCATCTGCACATCAGGAGAAACTATCAACAGAGTAAACAGACAACCTACGAATGAGAGAAAATATTTCCAAACTATGCATCTGACAAAGGTCTAATATCCAGCATCTATAAGGAACTTAAACAATTTATCAGAAAAAAAACTGCATTAAAGTAGGCAGAGGATACGAATAGACACATTTCAAAAGAAGACATACATGCAGTCAACAAGCATATTTAAAAAAGCTCAATGTCACTGATCATTAGAGTAATGCAAATCAAAACCACAATGAGATATCATCTCACACCAGTCAGCATAGCTATTATTAAAAAGTCAAAAAATAACAGATGCTGGTGAGGTTGCAGAGAAAAGGGAACACTTATATACTGTCCATGTAGTGTAAATTGGTTCAATCATTGTGGAAAGCAGTATGGCAATTCCTCAAAGATCTAAAAATAACTACCATTTGACCCAGAAATTCTGTTAATGGGTATATTCCCAAAGGAATATAAATCACTCTATCATAAAGACACATGCAAATGAATGTTTATTGCAACACTATTCACAATAGCAGAAACATGGCATCAACCTAAATGCGTACCAATGACAGATAGGATAAAGAAAATGTGGTAGATGTGCACCATGAAATACTATGCAGGTGCACAAATGGTCATTCTTTGTGTGTGTGTGTAGGAACGTGGATGGATCTGGAGGCCTTTATGCTTAGCAAACTAACTCAAGAACAGAAAACCAAATACCACATGTTGTCACTTATACATGGGAGCTAAATTATGAGAACTCATGGAAACCAAAAAGGGAACAACAGACACTGGGGTTTGCTTGACAGTGAAGGGTGGGGAGGAGGGAGAGGAACAGAAAAGATAATTATTGGGTACTAGTCTTAGTACCTGGATAAAGAAATAATCTGTACAACAAACTCTCATGATGCAAGTTTACCTATATAACATACCTACACATGTACCCCTGACCCTACAACAAAGTTTAAAAACTTTTAAAAGAGAATGAAAGATCTCATGTTCTCACTTATAGGTGGGAGCTAAACAATGAGTAGAAGTGGTCATACAAAGGGAAATAATAGACACTGGAAATTCAAAATGGGGGAAGAGTGGGATGGAGATGATGTCAAAAAATTAACTATGGGGTACATTGTTCACCATTGAGGTAATGTATAGTAGAAGCCCAAATCCCACTACTATGCAATATATCCATGTAACAAACTTGCACATGTACCTTCCTAAATCTAATAAATAAAATCAAAAGTATCAGCACCTATTCTAAATGTTATCATTTAAGAAGACCATGCATGAAGACAATGATATAACACCTATAGTTATAGGAGGTCAATTTATACATCAATCTTTGAGTTATGACTTTCATTTAAATCAAATGACATTTGTTGTATATTGACTTGCTCATTTTTATTTCTAAATTTGTATGGGCATACGTATAGCTGTTATTGTGTTTCATTTCATTAGTGGAAGAATAATTTCCCAAATGTTTAAGATGATAGCTTTATATCAGTATTATCAGAGGTCAATCAAAATGGAAATAGAGATGAAATAGAAATTAGTTAATTCTAATAATGGTTCATATTTTTCTTCCAAATCATGGGTTGTTACCAAACAAAACCTTGTTTTTTGCCCATGTCAAATTGAAAGCCAAACACCGAAGTACTTCTCTCTTGTAGAAAAGTTTATTGCAAAGCTGCTGAGAAAGAAGAGAGGAGTCAGCCTCAAATCTGTCTCACTGAGCTGAAGGCTGGGGTGGATTTTATGGGTGGAGGGTAATGAGGCATTATTGGGGGAACCAGCCTCTGATATTTCAATGTAGGTCCTTTTCTATTTTCCCTAAGTGTCGGCTGGTCTGAGGAATAAAGGGAAAGAGTGGTGTGAGCGGTATCTCATTGTAGTTTTGATTTGCATTTCTCTGATGGCCAGTGATGATAAGCATTTTTACATTGTCTTTTGGCTGCATAATGTCTTCTTTTGAGAAGTGTCTGTTCATATCCTTTGCCCACTTTTTGATAGGGTTGTTTATTTTTTTCTTGTAAATTTGAGTTCATTGTAGATTCTGGATATTAGCCCTTTGTCAGATGAGTAGATTGTAAAAATTTTCTCCCATTCTGTAGGTTGCCTGTTCACTCTGATGGTAGTTTCCTTTGTTGTGCAGAAGCTCTTTAGCTTAATTAGATCCCATTTGTCAATTTTGGCTTCTGTTGCCATTGCTTTTGGTGTTTTAGACATGAAGTCCTTGACCATGCCTATGTCCTGAATAGTATTGCCTAGGTTTTCTTCTAGGGTTTTTATGGTTTTAGGTCTAACGTGTAAGTCTTTAGTCCATCTTGAATTAATTTTTATATAAGGTGTAAGGAAGGGATCCAGTTTCAGCTTTCTACATATGGCTAGCCAGTTTTCCCAGCACCATTTATTAAATAGGGAATCCTTTCCCCATTGCTTGTTTTTCTCAGGTTTGTCAAAGATCAGATAGTTGTAGCTATGTGGCATTATTTCTGAGGGCTCTGTTCTGTTCCATTGGTCTATATCTTTGTTTTGGTACCAGTACCATGCTGTTTTGGTTACTGTAGCCTTGTAGTATAGTTTGAAGCCAGGTAGCATGATGCCTTCAGCTTTGTTCTTTTGGCTTAGGATTGACTTGGTAACGCGGGCTCTTTTTTGGTTCCATATGAACTTTAAAGTAGTTTTTTCCAATTCTGTGAAGAAAGTCATTGGTAGCTTGATGGGGATGGCATTGAATCTATAAATTACCATGGGCCATATGGCCATTTTCACGATATTGATTCTTCCTACCCATGAGCATGGAATGTTCTTCCATTTGTTTGTATCCTCTTTTATTTCATGGAGCAATGGTTTGTAGTTCTCCTTGAAGAGGTCCTTCACGTCCCTTGTAAGTTGGATTCCTAGGTATTTTATTCTCTTTGAAGCAATTGTGAATGAGAGTTCACTCATGATTTGGCTCTCTGTTTGTCTGTTGTTGGTGTATAAGAATGCTTGTGATTTTTGTACATTGATTTTGTATCCTGAGACTTTGCTGAAGTTGCTTATCAGCTTAAGGAGATTTTGGGCTGAGAGGATGGGGTTTTCTAGATGTACAATCATGTCATCTGCAAACAGGGACAATTTGACTTCCTCTTTTCCTACTTGAATACCCTTTATTTCCTTCTCCTGCCTGATTGCCCTGGCCAGAACTTCCAACACTATGTTGAATAGGAATGGTGAGAGAGGGCATCCCTGTCTTGTGCCAGTTTTCAAAGGGAATGCTTCCCATTTTTGCCCATTCAGTATGATATTGGCTGTGTGTTTGTCATAGATAGCTCTTATTATTCTGAGATATGTCCCATCAATACCTAATTTATTGAGAGTTTTTAGCATGAAGAGTTGTTGAATTTTGTCAAAGGCCTTTTCTGCATCTATTGAGATAATCATGTGGTTTTTGTCATTGGTTCTGTTTATATGCTGGATTATGTTTATTGATTTGCATATGTTGAACCAGCCTCACATCCCAGGGATGAAGCACACTTAATCATAGTGGATAAGCTTTTTGATGTGCTGCTGGATTCAGTTTGCCAGTATTTTACTGAGGATTTTTGCATCAATGTTCATCAGGGATATTGGTCTAAAATTATTTTGTGTGTGTGTGTGTCTCTGCCAGGCTTTGGTATCAGGATGATGCTGGCCTCATAAAATGAGTTAGGGAGGATTCCCTCTTTTTCTATTGATTGGAATAGTTTCAGAAAGAAACTCCCAGAGTGGCCATTTTAGAGACCTCCTCCTGGGAAATGCATTCTCTTTCTCAGGGCTGTTCCTTGCTGAGAGAAAGAATTCAGTGATATTTCTCCTATTTGCTTTTGTAAGAACAGAAATATGACTCTGTTCTGTCTGTCCCCACAGGCAGTCAGGCCCAATGATTATCTCCCTTGTTCCCTGAAAATCACAGCCATCCTGTTCCTTTTGGATGCCCAGATTTCATATTGTTCAAATACACATGCTTTAAGAAAAATTTGTGCAGTTAACACAATCATCACAGGATTCTGAAGTGACTTACATCCTCAGCTTATGAAGATGATGGGATTAAGAGATTAAAGTAAAGACAGGCATAGGAAATTATAAGAGGATTGATTGGGAAAGTGATAAATACCCATGAAATCTTCACAATTTATGTTCAGAGATTGCAGTAAAGACAGGCGCAAGAAATTATAAAAGTATTAATTTGGGGAACTAATAAATGTCCATGAAATCTTCACAATTTATGTTCTTCTGCCATGGTTTCAGCCAGTCTCTCCATTCAGGGTCCCTGACTTCCCACAACATCTCTCTCTTTCTTTTTATATAAATGTGCCAGGCGATGAAGGCTTGTTTGTTCTCTTGATTTTGATGCAGGATTCTTTGACTGGTCTGGCACACTAAAGACAATCCAATTAAACAGAGAAACATAATTCCAAAATGTACTATAGTGGAGCCCCCAGTAGACTTAATCCAAGTCATGGGGTTTAGTCCAGAAAGATTTTCTGCCACCTGATCTAATGCCTCAGCTCCAGGCAAAATGGATAAATAAGCTTGAGAGGCTTCAAAAATTTGTTTCTCTAGTTATGTCCAATGATAAGTTATCTTCCCTACCCAGAAGGTGTCCTTTGACCATTTCCCATGAATGATCAGTCTCATTGTAGGAATACGGGGTGATACAGAAATCAGAAGTGTTCCAATCACACTGCATTTGCATGTGATGTTCAAGATTCACTACCTGATCTCAAAGCCAAATAACAGACTGTCTTAAATCATTAATTTGATTAGCCAATTTTTGATCAATGCCTTATTGAGAATTCCACACTTGGGAGGAATTGGCTTGCCAATTATTAAGAAAATGAGCCATTTGAATCGATCGATGTAATGCCATTCTGGCCATGGTGGCCATTGCAGTTACTGTAATTTGGCCCATGATCACAGTGATTAAAGTGAAAACAAATCTCTTGCATCTTTTAGAATTTGCTGTAACACTTCATTAATTAAATGTGTCAAGGGGGAGGATTCCCAAGGTCTCAGCAAAGTTACCAGAATCCAAATTCCTTCTTGAGCTAGAACCAACATTACACTTTTCCTGGAGTCAAAATGAGAGTTAATACAAGTGTATAAATGACAATTAATGCATTGAACAGTTTGATTGTTTGTCCAAATTTTGATATTTCACACTAACAGCATGTAAGGAGGCTTAACACAACTCTGTATGGGAACAGTCAGGTTGGAGGTAAGCAAAGCAGAATGTCTGAATCTGTGTTGATACTGAGAGAGGAGGATGGTAGCGGGGACAACAGACAGAATAGTTTCCCCTTCCCATACTTGCAGTCCAGACATGACAATAGACAATTTCCAAAGTTCTGGGTGTTCTGGGCTCAAAATGGGGAATATCATATGAGGCCTTGGTGGGGTAATGCATTTATCTTCCCATTTTAAGGGAAAGAATGAGCTGAACCTCCTATGCAAAGTAGAATGATGATTCTCGTTCTCCCAATAAGAAATAAAATAAGTAGCCTCCAGACATTCCCTTCCGCCAGAGGAGCAATTGTTTTTTAAATAGCCCTTTGATGCCCAGTCTATTACTAAACCATATGAGTCGTTTTTTAATATTACTGCATGTAAGTTAACACAATCTTCCCAAATTAAAGTTTTAGATGGGCCCTCAAAATTTTTAGGGCATGGTTTTCCTGCAGGTTTATATTGAAAGTATGGGGTATCTCCCATTACTTCCCCTTTCATTTGTTTTAAAGGAAAAAGGGAGAGGCTGGAGACCAAATGTCCTGGTTTCTCTGTAGCTGATCTCTCAGGAAGATAAGCAGCCCAGACTTGGGTTTCTAGATGGATACAACCAGGTGTATGTCTGAGCACAGAGGAGGGTATCTATAACCCGCAGTAACATTAAATGCAGTGCCTTACTCTCCTGGTTGAGTGGGGCAATGGTCATCTGTAGCTCCAGGCATCCACACACTATCATTAGTGTAGATTTCTGCAGGAGCATCCAACCAGGTGAGAGGTTGAATAAGTGGAGGAAAAGGCACATAAGCCCGATAAGAATAATTTTCTTTAGCAGGTAAATCAGTGTGAGAAGAAACTGGTGAGAGAGAAAGTATAAGGAGGAGAATCATTAAATAAAACCTAGTGTAAGCGAGATTCAGTGATGAAGGAGGAAGAGAAGAACAGAGGGATGTTATTTTCAGGCTAATATAAATGGTGAGATTTTTAGGTTTGTAAGAGGAAAAAGAAAGGTAATTAGGAGAAGTGGGATTAGTTACATGGGTCTCCATTGCCATCAGGGAGGATTGAACCAGACCCAATTTGATTTGATGTGCCAGCTTCTGAGGAGTTGGCACAGATCTCACCACGTCTGAGGGCGGTCTCTGATGTGGACGTCTTTTCCCTATGGTTTTTGTCGTCAGTATTCACACAAAGCTTGAGTCTCCTAGTGGGTATCCAGCTATGGGATTGATGATCTCTTGATGAAACACAAGCATATTCTCTCTCCCACGTTATAATTGTGCCAGGTTCCCAGGTATTAGTTTGGGAGTTTTTCCACAACACTGGCTTTCCTTCATTTAGGGAGAATTTTTTGCCTGTATAATGGCATTTGGCTGCAGTTAGATTATTATCTTTAGGAACATTTAAAAAATTTAAAGTAAACAATGCCAAATGTAATTGGGAGTGGGGGGGGGGGTAGTTAAATTATATTTTTGTTGTTCAGACTATTTGGATGATTGAGTTTTTAAGGTGCAATTGGCCTGTTCCACCACAGCCTGTCCCTGAGGATTGTAAGGGATTCCAGTAATGTGGGGAATTCCTCACTCTTGCATAAATAAATCAAAAGCCTTACTAACATATCCAGGGGCATTGTCTGTCTTTATTTGATATGGAAGCCCCATAACTGCAAAGCAAGAATACAGATGTTTTTTAACATGGGCCATGCCTTCCCCTGGTTGGCAAATAGCCCAGATAAAACCTGGGAAAGTATCTACAGAAACATGCACATATGAAAGTCTACAAAAGGAGCTAACATGAGTCACATCCATTTGCCATAAATCATTAGTAGTTAGGCCTCTGGAATTAATGCCAGTTTTCTGATTTGGAAGTACAAAAACCTGACACTGAGAACAGCTGTGAACAATAAGCTTAGCCTTTTTCCAGATAAGAGCAAATTTATCTTTTAATCCAGCAGCACTGACATGAGTGAGATTATGGAACTCCTGAGCTTCTTGGGTTGCAAAAGAGACCAAAGATTTGACTTTATGGTTACCGGCAGTCATGGGTCCTGGTAAAGTGGTATGAGATCTAATATGTGTAATATAGAAAGGGTGTTTATGTTGGTGAACCACCTGTTGTAACCTTGAAAATCAAGAAGCCAATTCAGAATTATCAATATGTTTGATAGTAGTGGTTTCTATATTTTTAGTAGCATGTACGACATAAGCAGAATCACAGACAGTATTTAAAGGTTTGGGGAAATACTGTAAGGCAGTAATCACAGCAATTAACTCCACCTTTTGAGCAGAAGTATAAGAGGTAGGAATAAGTTTGTCTGTAGGACCTACATAACCAGGATTCCATTGCTGGAGCCATCACTGAACACTGTAGCAGCCTCAGGAATGGGCTGGTCTTTGGTTAATCGAGGGACCACCCAAGAAGTCATTTTATAAAATCAAACAATTTGTTTTTTGGATAATGATTGTAAATAACGCCAATAAAATCAGCCATGTGAATTTGCCACAATACGGAATGTTGAAAAGCGGCTTGAACTTTGGGCCGATTTAAAGGAACTACAATTAAATTCAGATCAAATCCAGAAATTTTAAGTATTCTACACCGAGCTTGTCCAATTAAGATGGCCAATTGGTCTAGATAAACAGACAAAGTTTTTGACAAAGAATGAGGAAGAAAATACCACTCCACTAAATCATTATGTTGAACTATTAGCCCAGTAGGGGAGTGCGATGAAGCAAAAACTAGAAGCTGAAAAGGTTGAGATGGCTGTACTCTAGATAACTGGGTGGTCTGGATTCTTTCCTCTATGAATTCCAGTTCTAGTGAAGCCTCAGGGGTCAAAGTCCTGGGACTGTGGAGATTGGAATCTCCCTGCAGCATAGAAAACAAGTTAGACAGCACATAGGTCAGAATGCCTAAAGTAGGTCTTAAATAATGTTACCCAAAAGTTTTTGGAAGTTATTTAAAGTTTTCAAAAAATCTCTCCTAATTTGAACTTTTTGAGGTTGAATACGTTGTTTGTTGACCACCATTCCTAAATATTGAACAGGAGTGGTCTGTTGAATTTTATCCTGAGCTATGTGTAATCCAGCCTCTGTAACACGGTGGCTCAAAATTTGATAACAGTCAATTAATTCTTTATCAGTGGGGGCAGCAATTAAAATATCATCAATATAATGAAGAATATAGGCCTGGGGAAACTGGGCTCAAACTGGCAAAAGCACTTGCCCAACATAAAGCTGGCAGATTGTAGGGCTATTTAGCATTCCTTGAGGAAGTACTTTCCATTGATAATGAGCTGCAGGCTCCTGATTATTGATAGATGGTACAGTAAAAGCAAATTTTTCACAATCTGATTTATGTAAAGCAATATAAAACAACAATCTTTAAGATCAATAACTATGAGAGGCTAATTTTTAGGTATCAAAGCAGGGGCAGGCATGCTGGGTTGGATGGCCCCCATAGGTTTAATTACAGCATTAATAGCCCTTAAATCAGTTACCATCCGCCACTTGCCTGATTTCTTTTTTACTAGAAACACAGGATAATTCCAGGGGGAAATAGAAGGTTCCACATTTCCAAGTTGTAACTGTCCAGAAACTAATTGAGTTAAAGCCTCCAGTTTTTCTTTAGAAAGCGGCTGCTACTGTATCAAAACAGGTATGTCAGATTTCCATTGTAAGGGTATAGGATTAGGAGGCATAGCAGCGGCCACCACTAAAAAGGATAACGTAAACCAGCTCTGTCTTCTTTTACAGTAATTGGGAGGGGTTTAGTAATCCCTTCCTGTTTTGGACTGAGGCTGAGTCCAGGAACAAACCCCAGGTTTTCCATCATATGCTGACTGGGAGCACTATAAGAGTTATCTGGAATATTAATTTCAGCCCCCCATTGTGCCAGTAAATCTCTACCCCAAAGATTAATGGGGATTGGCATGATATAAAGCTGAATTTTACCCTTTTGCCCATCAGGGCCAGTGCAAGGCAAGATAAATGTACTCTCATAAACTTCCTTGGCTTTTCCAACACCTACTAGTCCCATGTTAGCTGGATGTTTAAGCCAGGAGGAAGGCCATAAACTAGAGGAAATAATAGAAACATCAGCCCCAGTATCTACTAGGCCCTCAAACATTTTCCTTAAATGTGTATGGTGCAAGTGGGCTGTTTTTTAGAAATTACATTAATCCAATAAGTGGCTTTTTCATCACTGGAGCCCATCCCAGGGCCACATGTCTTATCTCCTTTGTTTAAAACAATATTAGGTAGTAAAAGCAATTGACCAATTAACTCACCGGCCAGAATGGAAACAGGAAACTTGGCAGGCATGATTAATTTAATCTCATCAATGGAATCAGAATTAATGAGACCAGTATGAATGGTGATTCCTTTAGCAGAGGTGGATGCCCTACCTAACACCAGGCCCACCGAAACTTAAGGTAAAGGGCCAGTGACCCCCATGGGGACAATTAAAGGCAAAGAGGTAGTAAATTTAGAGGAATAGTACTACAGAGATTGACCACCCTGCCCCCCTACTGTGGAGGTGGACAAGCATTGTACTGAGATGGAAGGAGAGGATGGGACCCATCTGGGTTGGCTGTAGGTAAATTTATTTGTGCTGGGGGCTGCATTGGGACCGCCTGAAGTGGAAACGCAATGTTGGTCTGAGTCTGAAGCATCCCATTTGATATTAGGTCCTGGGACTGGCCCCGCTCCCCATTTCCCTGGTTTTGTGGCAGGGGGTTTCCATCTATATCATACTTAGAGTGGTACTTGCCCAATGTTTACCTTTGCAACAATGTGGGCAAACAGTAGCAGTAGCATTTGGCTGTGTTTGTTGAGCCGGCTTGGCTGCTTTTAAGTTTTTAACAGTGCAATTTTTCCAAGTATGACCAAGTTGACCACAATTACAGCAGGCTCCAAGAAAAGAATTAGTGGGGCCAGTTTGATTGGTGTCCTTCATGGCCCGTGCCCACAGAATAGCTTTGTGGATGTCTGATCCAATGCCTTCACAAGCTTTAATATATGTAGGCAACACCTCGTGATCAGGTAAATTTTGTCGTTGGATGGAATGCATGGCCATTTTACACTCATGGTTTGCATTTTCAAAAGCTAACATACGAGGGAGAATACCTTGAGCATGCTCATCAGAGACAGAGTTTTCAACAGCGTCTTGTAATTTAGCTAAAAAATCAGGGTATAATTCAGCATGACCTTGTTTAACCATAGTAAAAGAAACAGGAGCTTGGCCTGGGGCATGTAATTTATCCCAAGCTCTCATACACACCTTTGTTACTTGTTTTGTGGTAAGAGCATCAAAGTTTAATGGGGCATAAGTATTAGAGAAACTACTGGAGCCTGTGAGCTGAGCCTAAGTGATTAGAATGCCATTAGTCCAATTTAGCTGAGCCTGCAGACAGGCCTCCTCTGACCACCAGGTACAAAACTGTAAATGCTGAGACGGGGTTAGAACAGCTTTTGCCAAAAGGTCCCAGTCTAAAGGAAGCAAAATGACCTCAGTACAAAAAGTTTGTAATACCATTTTAACATAAGGAGAAGTAGGGCCATACTGAGTACAAGCATCCTTAAATTCTTTTAAAAAGGTAAGATTGAGAGGTACATAATGATGCATTTGTACCCCTTGGAAGTTGAGAGGTTCTAGTGCGACCAGATAATCCCATGCATCTAATCCACTTGTTTCTTTGTTTTGGCATAATAAGTGTTGCATTGAAGTTTCAAGAGTAGGCATCTGAGACAGAGTTGGCATAGAAGTGACAGGAAAAGCATGTGTAGATAAGGGAAACTAAGGGTGAGGGAGTCAGACCGGAATGAGAGTGTAAGAAAGGGGTGTTGGGAGAGCAGAAGTATACTGGTGGTTACTGGCGTCCATGTGTGAAGAAGGGTACAGAGAAGCAGGCTGAATGAATGGCAAAGTGACTGGTTGAGGAACCGAAAGGACAGGAGGGTGAGGGGCTGAAGTGGATGGGGGAGGGCCTGAAGAATTATAGGTACATTGTAGTTTGGTCCCGGAGCCAGCAGGTGACTCCAGAGGTTTGAAGAGAGAAGAATTAGTGTATATATGGTCCCAGGCTGTCTGAGTCGGGGCCGTGGGAGCCACAAATACCAGCTCTTCATGAAAAGAAATAAGATCATTAGGGGGTGACTGTAATCCAGAGTCACCAGAGTTAGACTTTGAATTCTCAACATTGTCAGGTGGGGGAGGAGTAGCCAAAGGGAGAGGCTGATCAGATAATGAAAGCCATGAGGCAGAGGAAGGTTGGGGAAGAGGTGGAGGGTCATCAGATTCAGAAAACTGTGGTAACTGTAGGGGGTCACAGGATTGGTATGTCATTAGGACAGCACGTACCAAGGCCCAGTCACCCCAAACAGTGGCAGGAACATAATTCCCTGTGGAGACCAGTTCCCGGAATATTGCACCAACATGATCCCATAGTTGTACATCTAAGATTCCTTTTTCAGGAAACCAAGGACAGTGTTCTTCCACTGCCCTGAATAGAGTGACCATATTTTCCATAGTTACTGGGACACCACCCTGTTTTAACAGGAGTTTAATATAGCAGAGATAAGTATAATGTTTAGACTCCATGTGACCCATAGTTAACCCAGACCATACACAGACTACTCACCAGTCATCAGGGAGTCGAACAAGTGTTTCTGTAGACCTAACTGATGACATTTCTCTGCACCTACCAAAGGGAATTGGATTCCCACATGCACTTGGGAAAAAAGAAAGACTATGTTGGAGTGCCAGATATTGGGGGAACTAGCCCCCAATATTTCAATGTAGGTTCTTTTCTATTTTCCTTAAGTGTCAGCTGGTCTGTGAATAAAGGGAAAGAGTACAAAAGAGAGAAATTTTAAGGCTGGGTGTCCGGGGGACACATCATATGTTGGCAGGTTCTGTGATGCCCCCTGAGCTGCAAAACCAGCAAGTTTTTATTATGGATTTCAAAAGAGGAGGGGTGTATGAATAGGGTGTGGGTCACAGAGATCACATGCTTCAACGGCAATAAAAGATCACAAGGCAAATGGGGGCAGAGTGAGATCACAGGACCAGGGCAAAATTAGATTGCTGATGAAGTTTCATGTCCCAGTGGGCACGCACTGCCATTGATAACATCTTATCAGGAGACAGGGTTTGAGAGCAGATAACCGGTCTGACTAAAATTTACTAGGCAGGAATTTCCTAATCCTAATAAGCCTGGGGGCACTACAGGAGACTGGTGTTTATTTCATCCCTTATCAACAACCTTATAAGACAGACTCTCCCAGAGTGGCCATTTTAGAGACCTCCCCCTGGGAAATGCATTCTCTTTCTCAGAGCTGTTCCTTGCTGAGAAAAAGAATTCAGCAATATTTCTTCTCCTATTTGCTTTTGTAAGAAGAGAAATCTGACTCTGTTCTGTCCAGCCCAGCAGGCAGTCAGGCCCAATGTTTATCTTCCTTGTTCCCTGAAAATCACAGCCATCCTGTTCCTTTTGGATGCCCAGATTTCAGATTGTTCAAACACACATGCTTTATGAACAATTTGTGCAGTTAACACAATCATCACAGGATCCTGAGGCAACATACATCCTCAGCTTACAAAGATGATGGGATTAAGAGATTAAAATAAAGACAGGCATAGGAAATTATAAGAGGATTGATTGGGAAAGTGATAAATGTACATGAAATCTTCACAATTTATGTTCAGAGATTGCAGTAAAGACAGGCATAAGAAATTAAAGAAGTATTAATTTGGGGAACTAATAAATGTCCATGAAATCTTCACAATTTATGTTCTTCTGCCATGGCTTCAGCCAGTCCCTCTGTTCAGGGTCCCTGACTTCCTGCAACAGGCATGATCTGACTGGATCTTGGAATGATTTGATGCCAGGAGGCACTCTCTGACTAGATCATGTCATGGGGTGATGCCAGGGTTCATGATAATGGATCATGTCATGAAGGTGACTACTTCTTAATTCAGTCCCTGTTCCTTCATCTGAGCACCTAGGTTCCACTGCTGGTGGCATGCCTTTTTCATCTGGGTTTGCTCAGGTTACATAACTTGAAACATGGGGATTCATGGCAACTGAAAAAAACTCATCATTTTATTACACAAACTTGAACCAGATTGGGCTGCTTCTGTGGTTACAGAATCAAACACATTGGATGTTCACTCTGTGGTTACAGAATCAAACACACTGGATGTTCACTCTGTTGAAGATGAAATATTTGACAATATTATGATTGCTATTGTAAATTTGGTGAACATGTTCAAAATTGAAGATAAATTCGTTTTTGTGGTGATGATAGGAATGTGCATTTTGGTGCACTACATTATCATGGTACCAGCAACATTCCTGCTAAATTAAGAAATTCATGAATCAAAAATGAACTTGGAATTGACATTTCTGAACACATAGTTCATAATTGCATTTGAATAAGCTGCAATTGTCTACTGACCAAACAAACAGCTGTAGTTGGCAAAATTTAAAAATATTTTTATATATAAACTAGTAACACCTATACACAATACTGTAGCATAACAGACATACTTTCTCTCTTTGCTATTCTTATCAGATTTTAAAAATATTTGACTTTACAAAACATTTTGTTAAACTTCCTGTTTGTGAGCCTTGTAAATATTTATTGAATTTTGCTTGAAATCAATTGAAAATCTTTAATCAAAATACTCAGTTATGTAGGGTGTTAAAAATTTTAACTTTTGAATATTTTAGCAAATTGTGATTACTAAACACTAAGCTTACAAATAGGAAGGCTTTGAAATCTCTACTTACAAAATCAAGAGAAGAACTCAACAAATAGACAATGAGAGGACAGAATTTGCAGAAGGTCTAATTTTGAAATTCTAAAATTATGGTTTGGAATCTTGATTGTAGGAAGATTTTTTTGATGGAGCATTTATGTGTAATTAGACAAATGTAGATTCTGTGCCTTGTTAAAATGTAGCACCTAACTTTAGCAATATTTTTAAAGGAATTATAAATATAAATAACATTAGTAAATTTTACGGTAAAAACATTTGTTGAAGAGAGATACTTTGAACAGAGGAAAGACTACCTATAAAAATACTTGGGCTGAAATATTTACACAATTTAAACAAAAATTTGAATTGGAAATATTCTTCACTTTGCAGAATTTTCACTGAGTTTACCAGGTACATCAATAATTGTAGAGAGATAATTTTCATGATTAAAAATATTTTGGGATGCTGAAAAGAGTCAACTGAGAGTATCAACATATGAAAAAATTAATTATATAATTCAACCCTGATCAAATTAGAAGGCAAAATGTATTAAAAATTTAAATAATAACCTTTTTAAAAATACATTATTTTAAAAAATACCTATGACATTATATTTGGTACACATGAGGTCAGAAAACTAATTAAAGTAGATGAATGTATACCAAGCTTAAAATTGCTTATAATCAATATAAAGACTTTATCTTGTTTTAATACACATTGATACACAAAGATATATAGCATTTTAATTTTTATAAAATGTTTTATCCAAAAATTTGCTTTTGACAGAATCATTCTGGTAAATGAAGCCATTACTTGTGTCAAATGGAGTGACTGTTTTAATAGAACTGTTCTTTTTTTAATAGAATCATTGTATAAGTATGCCAAGAAAATAAAACTAATCGTCATTCTCTATGTAAATATCCCCAAAGTGTATAATTTTCTTATTGCATTATTTCTTGTGCCCCTTTTTACTCTCAAAATTTTCTACTTCAGACATTAAGTTCTATCTTCACTGGCAAACCTACTTGACAGAGATCTAGCCTAGATTGCTGTATTGCTTTTGTTCTTATGGGATATATTAACTTCCCTGTAATTATTGTGACATGATTACCATGGCAGTTTTACAATCCAGCTTCTGCTTTTTTTTTAAATTAAACCACAAAAACCGACTTGTCTGTGTCTCATTTGTCTATATAACCTATTTTCCAGCCTTTGATCCCTGACCACATTTCCAATTTAAATGTTAAAGGAGGTAGTAATGAAATCTCTAGACTGTAAAACCGTCATTCTCCATATACCTTCACTTCAAATATTCTTGAGGCTCAAAAATAATCTCAAGGCACTCATTTTCTCCCAGGGTATGTAGAATGAAACTGCGATACATTCCAGATTGTGTTCCCGTAAGCATACAATATCATGACAGATATCTCCGGGGATTATTAACAAGAGGACACTGATAGTACTCCTATAGCCGGAGAAATGTAAAGAAGAGATGGTGTTACCAGAACCCGAAACCAGGAAAAACTAGACCAAAGGAGGGTGAAGGTGCTCAATGAAAACTAAAATGTTAAGAGAGATGCAGCTGCTGAAAGGAAACGAAGCCACTTAAAGCAGATTTATGGGGCGGGAGAAATAACCTGGTTTTTCTCACCTCCAGCCTTCTAATTATCTTCCAGTGTCCTCTTTGGTCAAAGCTACCACCTGTGTGTACATGCATTGTATACAAAGATTATTTGCCTGTACACACAGATCTACACAGAGATAACCTTTGTACATAATGCATGTTCCCAAAGATAAGATTGGGTCTCCTCAATGGTCACCATATTTATAGTAAAATATGGCACATGAATATAACTGTCTGGCAACTCCACGTAGTACAGAACAACAGTTACTGATTTTCAACAATGAAAGTATAATAGCCAACCACTTTATTCAGAGGCCTTCACTCAGAATCTACTTATTTACTCTAATTTTGCACAAAATTACCCTGTGTGCTAATTGAAAGCCGACAAGATTAGCAATTTAGTGAGGTAAAATGGACTGTCAGGTGTAGGCAAAGACAGATCCAAAGTTGGAATATTTAGCAATCTAACAATGAGGAGAACAGAAAAAAAAAACAAACAGTAAAATTCAGACAAAATTATTTTAAAGTTTTTCTGTGGTTGTTTAATACAGAAAAACCATCTATTAGACACAACTTGAGAGCCCCTGAGGGCATGCCCCTGAAGCTGGAAATCTTGGCATTTATTGATGTTGTTAAAGGTGAACATGAATCACTAAGAAAAGGTTAAATTATTCACAATATCAGCTGTTGAAATGGGGAGAATATATAAATGTTATACAGATCTGTAGACTCAAGTAATGCCTGACCCCAGTTGAAAAACTAATTATTTTGAATTATTCATAACATCTTAACACAATATATGTGGTATATTAGAGTAAGATATATAAAAACACTAAATGTGAACAAGAAAAGTTACTGTGAACAAGAAAAACAGAGGAAATGCTGTGTTAGCTTCCCTTAAACACACACACACACACACACACACACACACACACACACACATCTTATAATAAAGAATCCAAAGGTAACATTAATCTATTCCACAAATATTTATTGAGCACAAAATTTTCAGACAAATTTTGAATATGTTTTCTTTGCTTAAAAGTGACTTAGTTTCAAAAAATCATCTCAGAGGGTAATTATAAAAAGCTGAAATAGCTAGATGCATTTTTAATTATATCATTTATTTTAGATTGTCTTGGATATATGTAACTGGTTACATGCATAAGCCTGACATTTTACTTTGCTTATTTACTGATATTAAAATAGTTCATTGGGGACATATTTTTTAACTGAATAGATTACATTTTAAAAATATGGGACATTTGGCAAGGATGTCAGATAATTTAAAAAAGAAGAGAGATGAAACTAGTATTTGCATATTATGGCTAAAATATCTACAATGTTCATAAAAAGATATTTTTGTGAAGATTTTTGAAAAACTAGAATAGAAAGTCAGATGAGAGGTAACACTAGAGGTTGAGTTCCTACCCCCATACCTGCCACCAACCTTACCACCCAAAATAATTTGTAAAATTATTTTGTATTCCTCTGCATATTTCTGGAGAGAAAGCTCTTAGCTTCCATTAAATAGAAACCCTCCAGGCTGGGCGCGGTGGCTCAAGTCTGTAATCCCAGCATTTTGGGAGGCGGAGGCGGGCAGATCACGAGGTCAGGAGATCGAGACCATCCTGGCTAACACGGTGAAACCCTGTCTCTACTAAAAATACAAAAAATTAGCTGGGTGTAGTGGCGAGCGCCTGTGGTCCCAGCTAGTCGGGAGGCTGAGGTAGGAGAATGGCGTGAACCCGGGAGGCGGAGCTTGCAGTGAGCTGAGATCATGCCACTGCACTCCAGCCTGGGTAATAGAGCAAGACTCTGTCTCAAAAAAAAAAAAAAAAGAAACCCAAACCCTCCAAACAGTCAAGTAGCATTGAACTAGAGTAATTGCAGTCTGTTCTCTCAGTATCTCAACCAAAGTTATACTAAGAATCACTGCTGAAAATACCTCATTTGTGGGTTTCGTCATTTATATGTTTTAATGTGTTTATAAATGATTAAATTCTCACCATTATTTCCCCCAATGTCTAGGCAAGTTTTAGTGAGTGACAAAAGCAATTACAATCATTTTAATGTTCTTATGTCATATTTGCTATTGGATATAAAATTCCAATGAGCTAAAATTCAGTGTAGCCCTTAGGGGAGGGATATAAAAAAAAGACAGCTCTTCATTTGTAAAAGTTAAATGGTGGAAAATGGAATGGCATTTTTAATAACGTATAATGTAACCAATGAGTAAGCAGAGATATTTATCGTCTCACAGAAAAGTATATTTTATATGTTAAGTTTATACCTATCCTGAATAGTCTCAAATCACTAAACGTGAAAAAAAGTAAATTTCTGAAAGGGCCTTAAATAAAGAAATCATAGGCCGGGTGCAGTGATGCACACCTGTAATCCCAGCACTTTGGGAGGCCAAGGCGGGTGGATCACTTGAGGTCAGGAGTTTGAGACCAGCCTGACCAACAAAGTGAAACCCCTTCTCTACCAAAATACAAAAATCAGCTGGGTGTGGTGGCATGTGCCTGTAGTCCCAGCTACTCCGGCGGCTGACACAGGAGAATCACTTGAGCCCAGGAGGTGGAGGTTGCAGTGAGCCCAGATGGCGCCACTGCACTCCAGCCTGGGCAACAGAGTGAGACTCTGTCTCAAAAAAAAAAAAAAAGAAATCATAGAAGACAAGTATATTAAACTCACCTTCCTCTCTCTCTAACTTTCTCTCTTCTCATTTCCTTTCAAACCCCAGCTCTCATTTTTATTCTTGGGCAGGAGTCTATGTGTTACAAAATCTAAAGTTCTTGAGGACAGTTTACTACATACATTTCATCTGGTGCTGATTTTTAATTTCTCATCAATGAGTAACAAAATTATTTCATCTATACTTATAAATTTATCTTTTTATTTGTGTTGTAAAATACAGTGGGCTATTGTCATTTTAGGCCTGAATTTTTTTTTTGATGAACCAATTTTATTGGAATTGAAGAATAAGTAGATAACAATAAGCATAAAAATAGGAATCAGGAATCAACTCATCCTAATGTGTTTCTTCATTAAAATAAAAATTTAAGCCTGACCGATGAAAACATTTTTATCAACTTTATCCTGTAACATTCTGAATTGTATTACAGTTCGTGGAATTCAGGTTTATTTCAAATGGCATCATTAACAAATTGGTAAATTTTAAAGGAAGTATAGACAATTAAAAATCCTTAAGCTGCATGAAAATTAATTGAGAATTAAGTGAGAAAACTAGAGAGGCAGACTTCACAATTTCTTGACATTTGTATTTACATATGACATCCATTTATGTAGAATGTACTAAATGACAGTCACTATGTTATGTTCTGAAAATTAGTCTGCTCAATGACCTGATGAGGTACACAATATTGCCTGCATTTTATCTGTTCAGAGGAGTTAGCAATTTGTTAAAATTTACAGACAATAAATAGGTAGTGACCGAGGATTAAAATCAGGAATATATGATGATGAAGTTGATGATTGTTATTCTACTCCAGTTAAAAGTTTTCAGCATAAAATAACCAGAACATATACTGATAGAAAAATGAGCTACAGTAATCCTAATTTATGTTAGTAGAACAAGGGGCTACAAGCTACACTGGCTGTATTTTACATGGCTTTCTCTCTTAGCTGACTCTAGAGGTCCAGTGGTTGTCTCTTGTTATTTCTTCTTATTTTTTTCTTATTATATTTGTAATATAAATGATACTGGATGAGGAAGAAAGGTATTTTGATAGCCAAACAGGCATTCATTAAATTTAGATTCAGCTACCAATATTAACTGAGCATCTATGATATGCTGACACTAACAATACCAGAGAGTTTTCTATGCATGATTTCATTCTGGCCACATAACATTCCTTTAGCGGTATTAATGGTATTGGTTCTGTTTCCTATATCCAGGTTGCCTCGTATTCTGACTGTAAGGTTCCCTTTCTCTCTAGCTCTCCATTGCTGACTCTCTGTCTCTCTCATTTCTATTTCTGCCCTTCAACTTTTAAGTTCCAGGGTACATGTGCAGGATGTGCAGGTTTGTTACATAGGTAAACATATGCCACGGTGGTTTGCTGCGCGGTTCAACCCGTCGCCTAGGTATTAAGCCCAGCACCCATTAGCTATTCTTCCTGATGCTCTCCCTCCCCCTGCCTATCCCCCATGAAAGGCCCCAGTGAGTGTTGTTCCCCTTCATGTGTCCATGTGTTCTCATTGTTCAGTTCCCACTTATAAGTGAGAACATGCGGTGTTTGGTTTTCTGTTTCTGCCATTGGTTTGCTGAGGATAATGGTTTTCAGCTCGATTCATGTCCCTGCAAAGGACATGACCTCTTTCCTTTATATGGCTGCATAGTACTCCATGGTGTATATGTACCACATTTTCTTAATCCAGTCTATCATTGATGGGCAGCTGGGTTGATTCCATGTCTTTGCTATTGTGAACAGTGCTACAGTGAACATACACATGCATGTATCTTTATAATGGAATAATTTATATTCATTTGGGTCTATACTTAGTAACGGGATTGCTGGACCAAATGGTATTTCTGCCTCTAGGTCTTTGAGGAATAGCCACACTATCTTTCACAATGGTTGAACTAATTTAAACCCCTACCAATAGTGTAAAAGTGTTTCTTTCTATCTGCAACCTCTCCAGCATCTGTTGTTTTTTGACTTTTTAATAATCACCATTCTGACTGGCATGAGATGGTATCTAATTGTGGTTTTGATTTGCGTTTTTCTAATCAGTGATGTTGAGTTTTTTTTTCATATATTTGTTGGCTACATGAATGTCTTCTTTTGTGAAGTGTGTTGTCCTTTGCCCACTTTTTAATGGGATTTTTTTTTCTTGTAAATTTGTTTAAGTTTCTTGTAGATTCTGGATATTAGATCTTTGTCAGATGGGTAGATTGCAAAGATTTTCTCCAATTCTGTAGGTTGTCTGTTCACTCTGATGATAGTTTCTTTTGCTGTGCAGAAGCTTTTTAGTTTAATTAGATTACATTTGCCAATTTTTGCATTCGTTGCTATTGTATTTGGCATTTTTGTCAAGAAATCATTGCCTGTGCTTATGTCTTGAATCGTATTGCCTAGGTTTCTTCTAGGGGTTTTTATAGTTTTGGGTTTTACATGTAAGTCTTTAATCCATCTTGAGTTATTTTTTGCATAAGGTGTAAGGAAGGGGTCCAGTTTCAATTTTCTACATATGGCTAGCCTCTTCTCCCAGCACCATTTATTCAATAGGGGATCCTTTCCCCATTGCTTGTTTTTGTCAGGTTTGTCAAAGATCAGATGGTTGTAAGTGTGCAGTCTTATTTCTAAGTTCTCTGTTCTGTTCCATTGGTCTATGTGTCTGTTTTTGTATCAGCACCATGCTTTTTGGTTACTGTAGCCCTGTAGTGTAGTGTGAAGTCTATCAGCATGATGCCTCCAGCTTTGTTGTTTTTGCTTAGGATCGTTTTGTTCATTTGGGCTTTTTTGTTCTATATAAATTTTAAAATATGTTTTTCTAATTCTGTGAAGAATGTCAATGGTAGTTTAATGGAAATAGCATTGAACCTATAAATTACTTTGGGCAGTATGGCCATTTTCATGATATAGATTCTTGCTAGCCATGACCATGGATTTTTAAAGAAATTTATTTGTATCCTCTGATTATTTGGAGCAGTGGTTTGTAGTTCTCATTGAAGTGGTCCTTCATTTCCCTTGTTAGCTGTATTCCTAGGTATTTTATTATCTTTGTAGCAATTGTGAATGGGAGTTCATTCATGATTTGGCTCTCTGCTTGCCTGTTGTTAGTGTATAGAAATGCTAGTGATTTTTGTGCATTGATTTTCTATGCTGAGACTTTGCTGAAGTTGCTTATCGGCTTAAGAAGCTTTTGGCTGAGATGATGGAGTTTTCTAGATACAGGATTATGTCATCTGCAGACAAAGATAATTTGACTTCCTCTCTTCCTATTTGGATACCCCTTATTTTTTTTTCTCTTTCCTGATAGCTCTGGCCAGAACTTTCACTACTATGTTGAATAAGAGTACTGAGAGAATTATTGTTTGTGCCAGTTTTCAAGGGGAATGCTTCTAGCTCTTGCCCATTCAGTATAATAATGGCTGTGGTTTTGTCATATATGGCTTTTATTAATTTGAAGTATGTTCTTTCAATACCTAGTTTATTGGGAGTTTTTAACATGAAGAGATGTTGAATTTTATTGAAGGTATTTTCTGTATCTGTATAGATAATCATGTGGTTTTTGTCTTTAGTTCAGTTTATGTCATGAATTATATTTATTGATTTGTGTATGCTGAACCAACCTTGCATCCCAGGATGAAGCTGACTTGATTGTGGTGGATAAGCTTTTAGATGTGCTACTGGATTCAGTTTGCCAGTATTTTATTGAGGATTTTTGCATTGGTATTCATCAGGGATATTGGCCTGAAGCTTTCTTTTTTTTTTTCTGTATCTCTGACAGGTTTTGGTACCAGGATAATGCTGGCCTCATAAAATGAGATAGGGAAGAGTCCCTCCTTTTCAACTGTTTGGAATAGTTTCAGTAAAAATGGTACCAGCTCTTTGTATCTCTGGTTGAATGCAGCTATAAATCTGTCTGGTCCACTTTTTTTGGTTGGCAGTCTATTTACTACTGCCTGAATTTCAGAACTTATTATTGGTCTATTCAGGGATTCAACTTCTTCCTGGTTCAGTCTTGGGAGGGTGTATGTTTGCAGGAACTCGTCCATTTTTTCTAGATTTTCTAGTATATGTGCATAGAGGTGTTTATATTATTCTCTGATGGCTGTTTGTGTTTCTGTGGTTTCAATAGTGACTCCCCCTTATCATTTCTGATTGGGTCTGTTTGGCTCTTCTCTCTTTTATTCTTTATTAGTTTAGCTATCAGTCTATCTATTTTATTAATTTTTTTAAAAAATTGCTCCTGAACTTGTCGATTTTTTAAGGGTTTTTCATGTCTATAACCTTCAGTTTAGCTCTGATCTTGTTTATTTCTTGTCTTCTGCTAGCTTTGAGATTTGTTTGCTCTAAGTTCTCTAGTTCTTTTAGTTGTGATGTTAGGTTGTTAACTTGTGATCTTTCTAGCTTTTTAATGTGGCCATTTAGCACTATAAATTTCCCTCTTAACACTGCTTTTTAGCTGCATTCCAGAGATTCTGGTATGTTGTCTCCTTGTTTTCATTAGTTTCAAAGAACTTCTTGATTTCTACCTTAATTTTATTATTTACCCAAGTGTCATTCAGGGGCAGATTGTTCAGTTTCCGTGTAGTTGTGTGGTTTTGAATGAGTTTCTTAATCTTGAGTCCTAAATTGGTTGTGCTGTGGTCTGAGAGACCATTTATTATGATTTCAGTTCTTTTGCACTTGCTGAGGAGTGTTTTACTTCCAATTATTTGATCAATTTTAAAGTAAGTGCCATACAGTGATAAGAATGGATATTCTTTTGTTTTTGGATGGAGAGATCTGTTGATATTTATCAAGTCCACTTGATCCAGAGCTGAGTTCAGGTCCTATAAGCCTGTACATTTTAATGCAGTGTGTCATCACCAATTGTATTGTTCTGCCATATCTTGAATGAAGGCAGCCCTGTATATTTTTGAAACTTGTCTACTGACTAACAACGTAGGTGAGTGGCAGATGCCCTATATGTTTCACAGCACTGCTCCACTTAACATTTCACTCTTGCCTTAACTTTTGGCTTACCATCCTGTTCCTTAATTTCTTATATTTATGTTGATATTTGGTCACCATGGTTTGACACTTGGCTCTCTCTTAAGAACTTGATTTGACTCCAATTCTTGTGAAACATTTCTGAAAGACTTTTCCATATGTTAAAGTAATTTTAAATGACAAAACCTTCATATGCTGAGTGCACTATCTCATTTCTTCTGTAAATATACCCCTGAGGGTTTGTGTCTTGCCATTAATGATATTACAACAGTGCAGTGTAAAGTGTATATTATGGAGTTTAAATGGCATTTTTAAAAATGATTATATAACAAATTGAAGTAGTTTATTCAATTAGTGAGTGCTATAGAATATAAAATGTATCTAGTAGAAATGCAAGTAGTTATTTTTAGTAATAGCTTCATTATCACCTGCTGTATCATTGAATATTATACTCTCTTGAATATTTAACTTAGTGCAAGGGAAGTGTTAAATTTGGGTGTGCATGTTTAACTAGCTTCCGTCCAAAGAATTTGAGGCCAGCTGCTCTAGTATTGAGGTATTTGACAGACCTGGTCTTTGACTTTTAACAAATCATTGTTTGAAATACGTAAGATGTCTAACAATTTGGTGATACGTAAATGACTTTCAGTTCTGAGGTAATCTATCTTTCCTAATAGACTCTCCATTTAATGTGTGAACTACCGTGTAATGATCACTACCAGTACAGTTAAATGCTTTTATAATTAAATCTATATTGAATGGACTTCTATATCTTTTCTAGGCACTTTCCTTCTGTGCGTTTAAACTCTGTGTAGTTTGGAGTACTGTCATGTGAAATATGTGAGACTGAAATGGAATCATGTTCTGTGGCAGGGGGAATTATATTTTTGCTGAATAAATAGGCATTGAATTACATTCATCTATCTAATTACATAACTTGCAATGCCAGATATAACTTGAGAAAGATAATACCTTTTTGAAATCTATGGAAAATATTATTATAATATAGCTTATTAAATAATATAGAAATGCTTATAATGATCTCTTTTGCTGTACTATCTGCCTAAGTACTCCAGGGTAACTGTGAGTTATGGTAGTTGAAAGTACTGAGTCAGGAGTTAGCATGAATTTAAGTTCCAATTGTTCTATTTACAATCAATGTGATTGTGGGTTATTTATTTATCATTTGTAAGCCTATAAAATGGAGCAAATAATAGAGTTGTTTCAAATTTAAATATGAATATGTGTAGGCAAACTGCAGTACAGTGTTTGGTGACTAATATTATGATCTCTTTTTCTTATTCGATAATCTGTCAACATAAAATTATGTTGCAATTCTATTGAGGAAAACTGTATAAATGTACATTTCAAATTTGGCCTACAAATTAGAAAACAGATATTCGTCAAAAATTTATTTTCTTCACAAAATTACTCATATAATATTTCCTGTTCCACAATCATCTATGTTATAATTCACCCTGAATTGGGTTATATTCAAATATGTTAATTTAACTGTACATAGTAAAATCTACAAAATGGTTGTTTTGGAGCCACTGCTTTTTTTTAAGACTCCAGATTCTCTTTCAAAAACTATAGGATAGATTTATTAGCTTTAATAGAATAATATAAATATTCGAATATGTGTAACCTAAAAATGTTACAAAAAATATTTTAGTAGATACAATTTATGGCTCTATTTTACAGTCATGGATGAATAGATATTTCTAAATCTGTTATACAAACAAGTGACAGTTGTTGAACGTCTGAGTTTTCAAGTGTTCAAACAACTACTAGCCAGCAGAATATTAAGGTGTAATGGGTAAATTATTGTCTGTATTTGGCTTATTCTTCAACTTGTATTCTTTTTTTTTGAGGTGAGGTCTTGCTCTGTTGCACAGGCTGGAGTGCAGTGGCACTATTTCAGCTCACTGCAACCTCAGCCTCCCGGGCTCAAGCAATTCTCCTGCCTCAGTCTCCCAAGTAGCTGGGACTATAGGCATCTGCCACCACGCCCAGCTAATTTTTGTATTGTTAGTAGAGACAGTGTTTCACCAGGTTGGCCAGGCTGGTCTCAAACTCCTGACCTCATCACCTTGTGTTCTTAAATGTCACTTGGGTTTCTTTTTAATTGGTGGGATTGTCATATTTTTAGAATTTCTACCATCACAGCTTGTGTCGCATGATATTTAATCTGAAATTACTGTCACAAATTCATTAGGATATTTTGAGGTGTTTGAAAGAAAGAAGAAAAAATGAGATTTCCTACATTGTCACATAGTTCCAAAGGTTCCAGAAAGTAAAAGCTCAGAAATATGACTATAAAATATTTTAAGTGATTACTAAAATATTATTTGGTGATAGGAATTGCCAAAACAAATGGACAGATTTTGTTTTTCTTTTCAGTCTAGCAGAAATACAAATGTATTAAAATATATTAATGTTTTTGATATATCTGAAAGCAACAAGGGACTGGCATGTCAATGTGCAGCCTGTGACACTCTATTCTCTCATTGATAGGGATAAACTGGTTCATTTTTTTCTTTATAGAAGTGTACTCTAGTCTGAATCTTGCATTCTCTCTAACTTACATGGGCCAGACACTGTAAACCCAGAAATAACAAAGTATAACTCAGTCCATTTCTCTGACTGAGTGTGCAAACCTATGAGCCAAAAATCAGCTTATATCTCCCCAGTGAGTCAGAATGAAAGCACAGAGAGAAAACCTTGGCTAAGGGAAGGAGTGAAAGAAGCATTGTACAATTAACTGAGACATGAAGACGTGCCTTATTTTCTTAAAATTACCTGGATAAAATGGAGGTAATTAACACCGTGTCCAAATGAAATACAATTTACATAGTTTTGTTTCAAAAGTAATCTGTTTGCTATCTATTGACATAAGTAAAAATCTGAGTTGATTACCTAAGGTGAGTACAAATTCTTAATGCTGTATCACTGTAGTTCACATATAACATATTTCTGGCTATCTTCGAGTTCTATGATGCCTTGTGGGATTTAGAAAAGAAAAAAAAATCATTGGTTTTGATATTAGATAGTTCAAACCCTACCTCTGCCGATTACCAGTGATGGAGTACCGCTAATTTCTATGAGCTTCAACTTTTTAATTTATAAAATGGAGCTATTGAAGGGTTAGTGTGAATATATAGTTGTAACAGCCTCTCAAGTTACTTCTATGCTATAGTGGTTATTTCTTTGCTTTGGCTTATTGTTGATTCATTATTTTTTTACATTTGAAGCAAAATCTTGTGAGATTCATTAGAATGCTTTTTCTTATACTCATTCCATGTCAAACTGGACTTACCAGTGATGACAGAACCACTATATTAAAATATATTTTTTTCTCAGTCATGTGTTTGCAAAAAAAAAATGTGTATTAAAAAGAAATAAAGTACCAATAACCTGAGCGTTGTGTGCCTTCAACCTAATAGGTGTGTAACTTCTCTGGGTCACAGTTTTCTCACTTGTAGAATGAAAATAATAAAAATATCTCTCTTGTTGTCTCACAAGATGTTATGAGAATCAAGTCAGATTTATTTAAGATGCTTCTTAAACTGTAAATCAATGTGCAAATTTAGTCTTTCCTCTATATTCATTTGCTTTCCAAGTAACTGTTTCATTTTTGCAGAATGATTGAATATTGGTGATTTTTTTACATTCTTGACATACTTTTTCATAGTCACACTAGATCTTTCAAAATGCCTGGCAGTAGTTAGGAGGGCAGCCTGTTGCCTAGCAACAGTGTTTTCTGAATGCCCACTTTGGCAACAGAGCTGATGGACACATCTATGCACTACTAAACTATTGTTCACACTTACCAAACAAATCTGTGGCATTTCTACAGCTCATTATGTGAACAATAATTTGATGACCATGAC
The DNA here is from genome assembly GCF_000001405.40 of Homo sapiens. Lineage (NCBI taxonomy): Eukaryota > Metazoa > Chordata > Mammalia > Primates > Hominidae > Homo > Homo sapiens. Next base: position 76,510,816 of record NC_000006.12, read on the forward strand.
TAAGAACCATGGGTGTTATAACATGGGTTAACAACTCTTAGACAATTTTTAAAGAAATTATATTTTACTTATTCATCATAATTATAGTATTTTATTTTTTTACTGACATCTCTTTTATTACAATCATTACTGCCTATCAGTAAGAGCTACTGTCCTTGAATTTCACAAACATCTACAAAATTGTATGTTTCCTATATATTTGGTAAGTATTCAGCCTTACTAAATACATACTTGTAATAACAGCAATAGTCAAAGCACAGCTTTATTTAAACTATCAAATAATTAACCTTCACAATGGATGTATAAACAGGCCCTTTATTAATAAATTTGTCATTGGTTGTTGCTGATTTTAGAAATGAATTCAAATTAAGCTAACATAAACCCTTAGTTTTACTAAATATCACAGTGAATAGCTTTGTTCATATACATAAATATTAGTTTGTTAAAGAGAGCCCTCTCATAATTTCTTTGGGGTTTTTAATACTTGTAGTCCTTAGGTTCTTCTGAAGCACGTTTTTCTCAACGTGACCATGTAAATCACTGAAAGTGTGCAGGCATTTGGAGTAATCAGATATTTCTCAGTAATCAGCCTGAAAATAGTTCTGACAGTTCACATTAGAGCTAATTAGTTTGTGGCTATGTTAACTGATGTAAGACTAGCGGATTGTTGCCTTGGGTTTGTTACTTGCTCTTTTCCAAAGCCTTTGAAGCAATTATAATATCCCTTTGTAAAACCTGATATAATACTAGAGACAAGTAATACCTTGAGATTTTGCATTTGCACTTTAACATCTTATAATATGGCATTAGCAAGATAGATCATTCCTTGATGCCTTAAATTCAGGACATTAACTTTGGTTTGTAAAAACTACAATGGTGTCTAAATTCATCTAAAGTTTATTTCTCTTTGCTTGAGTCATCATATGACTTTTCAAAAAATGAAATCCTATACTTTATGTGTAGAGTCTTGTTTTACACACAGCATTCAAGAAACATGTGCAAATTATTTTTTTTTGCCACTTACTGTGATATATTCCCATGTGCTACTTCAGGAAAAGAATGGTTATAAGTAGTAGAGATTTTGGGGGTGGAAGAATTAAGAATGATGTTTCTTGGCATGCAACTTCTTTTTATTTAAAAATAGAGACCAGGTCTTGCCATGTTTCCCGGGCTGGTCTTGAACTCCTGGGCTCAAGCAGTCCTTCCACGTTGGCCTTCTGAAGTGTTGGGATTACAGGCTAGAGCCACTGTGCCCAGCTTCATGCAAATTCTTAACATTGGTTGATCATAAAGTAAAAATATTGCAACAGTGCTATCTCCATGTCTGAACATAAGGCATACACATCTCTTTTCAATCAACAATGCCACATTTCTAGTTTTCACTAGAAATCTTAGTATAAAACAATATGCTACTCAATGAATAACAACCATTATTATTTTTTAGAGAAATGGAAAAAAAATTAAAAAAAAATTCATGGCCATAACCATTTGAAAAGATGTGTTATGCTACTGTGATTAGGGGACTACAAGTGTAAAAATAGTTACATACTTATTTTGGAACCCATAGGATTGGGAAAAATGTAAAATTCTAACAATGTCAGGTTTTGAGATTTTCTGGAAAACAGCAACTCTACTACACTGTTAGTGGGGATTGAATGTATTGCCATCATTTCAGAGGCTATAAACTGAAAGTGTATACACTGTGACCAGCAGTTTTGATTCTAGGTATCTGCAAAAGAGATTAGCACATCTGCTAAAGGAGATAAGAACATAGATGAATTGTAAACAAATTAAATGTTAATTAAAAAAGGAAAAGGATAAGTAAATGTCGTACATTCTTATATGAAGAAACAATCCACTGCAAGCAGGATTTAGCAGAAATAACAAACTGCAGGATCAGGCCCCTAGAGAGATAAGAGGTACAGGAATGATGAAATAAAAAAATATAAAATAAGGCTACTGTGTTTAAAGAATAAAAGGTGGAATTTAAAGTATGATTGTGAAATAAAAGCCTGCCAAAATTCACAGCTAGATTTCTTTAAAAAAAGAATCTGATGGAATTTCCAGAAATCAGAACAGTATATAGCAATTGAAAGAAAAGCAACTTATTACAGAGTTAAAGTTGTAATTAATTAAATGGAAGAGAGAGCAGAGGAAATTTGTTCAGAATGAAGATGACAGAAAAAGAAGTGGAAAAAGCAAAGGTGAAATTTGAGCAAATCTGGATTACAGAGAGACAGTCCACTCCATGTCAAAAAGGGTTCCAGAAGGAGATAATAAGAGGCAGAAAGCTGGTATTTTGTGAGATAACAGCTGTTTTTCTGCCCTAGAATTTGTTAAAGATACAAATCCTCAGATTCAGAAAGGTTCACATATCTCAAGCAGGAAAATTTTTAAAAAGTCATACCTAGACTGTAGTAAAACTGAAGAACCCAGAAGACAAAGGAAAGATTTTAAAACCAATCAGAAGAAAAAAAGACTGATTACTTAAAAATTGACTGTTAACATTGCAACAATAGAAACTGAAAGGAAATGGCAATGATATCTTTCATGTGCTGAGAAAGAACATTCAGCCCATAAATGTAAATTCAGAAAGACTACCCTTCAATAATTGAGATGGAAGACTTCCCTGGACCCCTTTGTGGGACTTGTCCTGGGTGATGGCTCATTTTGTTCGGCCACTGCACTCAAACCCCTTGAAGGAGGTGGAGCATGCAGGTGAAAGGGAGCATTCGGGGGCTGGGGCTGGGGCTAGTGCTTTTGGGCTCCGACCCCACTGTAGTATCTAGGGGTGTGTTACAATTAATACTCTTTTAGCAGTTGCCATCCGTGGAGGGCTAAGTGTTAACCAGCTCAGTGGAGAGTCAGGGTGACAGCCTTTTACACCCTGCCCTCTTGGTACCCAGGTCCTTGTCTGGCATCCAGGAAGAATCAGGTAATATGGACTTGAAGGATGGTCAATGTGGACGTTTTACTGAGTGATGGAGGTGGCTCTCAGGGGAATGGGGAGCTGGAAAGGGGATGGAGTGTGAAGATATTCTTCCCCTGGAGTTCGGTAGTCACTGGCCGGACTCCTCTCACATTGTCCCCAGCTGAACTCCTCTTGTCATTCAGATGCTTCTTCCTTCTTACCTTCTCTGCTGCTCTGCCTCTCTGCCACTCTTCTGCTCATGGAGCTTGGGGTTTGGGGTTCTTATGGGCAGGAGGATGGGGGTGGGGTGGACCAGAGTTGTCTTGGAAAAGGCAACATTCAGATGCTGTATTAACTTGTTTTCATGCTGCTGATAAAGACATACCTGAGACTGGGAAGAAAGGGATGTTTAATTGGACTTATAGTTCCACATGGCTGGGGAGGCCTCAGAATCATGGCGGGAGGCAAAAGGCACTTCTTACATGGTGGGGGCAAGAGAAAATGAGGAAGATGCAAAAGTGGAAACCCCTGGTAAAACCATCAGATCTCATGAGACTTATTCACTACCACCAGAACAGTATGGGGGAAACCACCCCCATGATTCAGATTATCTCCCACCAAGTCCCTTCCACAACACCTGGGGATTATGGGAGTACAATTCAAGATGACATTTGGGTAGGGACACAGAGCCAAACCATATCAGGTGTGAGAATTCATTTAGGGCCACGGGTCCAAGTTTAAGGGTGGAGCCCTCACTAGGAATCCCACCCTCCTGCCTTCTGCCCATATCATCATGACACTGGAATAAAGGTATTGTCAGACAGCAAATACTGAGAGTGTTCGTTACCAACAAATTCTCCCTAAAGGAACTTTTACCCTTTACAGGGGAGAAAAGATCACAGATCTGGTATACTAGAAGGAAATGTCAACAAATAAAATGGCAAGTTTCTGAGTAAACTGAACAAACATTTGTTATATAATAATAATAATAAACATATCTAGTTTGGGGGGTTAAAATCAAGCTAGAATTGAAATCCTGGAGATCAGCATAATCATTTGTAAGTGGTCTTAACTCCCTTAATAAAAGACATTGATTGTCAAACATCAATTAAACTGCTTTATGTGAGATACAGCTGAAATATGACATGAAAGGAGGGTTCAACATAAGTGGTTTAAAAAATGTACATCAGGTATAAATCAACTAAAGATGGCCATTGGAACCATACTAATACTTTACAAAACAGATTTTAAAGCAAAAATCTTAAAAGATAAAAAGAGGGTACTATTTTGGAAAAAAAGTTTCAATACATATAGCTTTAAAATATATAAAGCAAAATCTACATAACTCCAGGGAAAATAGATATATCCATTATTACATTCTTATAAAAAATCTAGATTAAATTATTTTTTAAAAATCAAGAAGGATTTAAGATTTAAACAGCTCCATTAGCAGGTTTGGTCTAGTGGACATATATAGCACCATGTGCTCCAAAACTGAAGAATAAACATGCTTTACAAATTTTGTAAACATTTTGCAAAAATTGATGACATAAAAGGCTATAAGCTGAATAAATAATAAAATGCAAGTATTATACATCATTGTTGTCCGATTGAAATACAGTTATAGACAGAAGAAATACACTGCCATTTTTGAGTTATAAAAATGGAAATAAATTTATATATACTAGAAATAAATTACAAAAGTGGTCTTATTCTGTATATTCAGATATTTAAAAGGCATATTTCAAATGATCATGGTGGAACTGGCCTAATTGTCCCATAGAACTGATGTTTATTATTTATTTTGAATAAACATAGGAATTGACCCTCCCAGACTTACAATTGTTACATTTGTCTTATCTGAGTTCTTTTCTCAGGAAACCAAGTTTCAGGCCTCCCAGATGGTATCAAGGAACTGAAACTTACTGATAACCAAATATGGACAATGAGATGGCCAGACCCCTCACCTGCCATTAATGCCTAACTGATTACCTGCTTACTGTTAGCCAATTATTCTTCCTTACCCCTCCCTAGCTGATCTCCCATTTCCTCACCTACAGCACCTAAGTAAAGCCTTCTTCCCTGGCAATACTCATTGTCTCAGTGATTGGCTTTCTCTGCAGTGAGCAGCAGGACCTAAATGAAACCTCTAGAGTTTCAGTAACAGTGGGTCAAGGGAAAAATAAACAGGTAAATTAGAAAATATTTAAATTTGAAAAATAATAATAATTCTACTTGTCAAAGCATATATAAATGGACAACTTATAGGATTAAAATATTAATTTTTTTTCCTAAGGAATGAGGGTGGAAAATAGAGGCTAAGAAATCAATTTGAGAAAAAAACTAGAAAATGTTATAGAAATATTTTCTATCTTAAGGAAGAAAAAAATAAACCCAAAGTAAAATAATAAAAAGAAAAATTTTAATACCATAAAATAAATTAACAAATAGAAAACAAATATATCCTTGAAAGGATGAACAAAGATAAGACCAATTCTTTAAAAATAGAATGAAAATAACTTCTGGTAAGACTAATCAATAAAAAAGACAAAAAAAAAACTAGAAATAAAAAAATCATATGTAAAGAAGCAGCAGTTATTTAAAAACATGACAAAGATAATCAATTTGCTAGTCCCGCATTGGGTAGTAGAGAAGCTGCTAAATTCATATCATATGGTCCACTTAGCTCTTTTAAATCTGCTCTGATTAACTTTTTACAAGATAATCTTTCCCTGGAGTAGTAAAGGTAAACTCCCTGTAAATGTAATAGGGTAACCAGGCACATGAAATCATAGGATCTGTTTTTTTTATGTTTATTATTCTCTTTCTTTTAAATATTTATCTTTTTGTTGATGCTGTTAAGCAAATGATGCTGCCTGTAAACCTATAACTTCAGTTATATGATAATTAGGTTATTAGTTTTCTTTTTAGATGAGAACAGATGTTTATTTTTCTTTCATTTATCATAAAATTCCTGACATTCTTTGATTTTCTTTGACTACTTTGGATTGTCCTACTCAACTTCTATTTTATATCCTTCTTGTTGGAGAAGTTGGAAAGCTGAAAATGACCTTTCCCAAATTCTCTTGCAACTAGGTTTCTTGTGAATTAGTTTCCACCATTTAGATACAGTTATGTAGTATTCAAAAGGCAGAAGTGAGTTGGAGGCCACATGCCTGATGTTCCTGGCTTTGCTGCTGACCAGCAAATGGACACGTTTGCTTGCCTCCATGGGGTCTGTCTCTAGCTTTCAGGCGTAAAGAAGCAGTGATGGCAGTGGTGATGGTTCTTGCTCCTTCTTCCTAAACCCTAGGGTTGAGTTTCAAGTTTTATTTTATTTTTTATTCTGAGTGTGAGAAGCATTGGTGGCTGATATGCATTCTTGGTTTCAATTTCTGTATGGTGATGATTTCAGGGCATTGGCTTCACATTGTTCTGGTATTCATTCTGAGAGTTCCAGTCTAGAATCTGGTTCTTACGATATTTAGGTATGTAATTCCATGATTAAATTGCTTCCTGCTTTAAAATATAATGTCTTGTTTCTTGTCCTAAACCTTGACCAAGACAGACACGGAGATCCTGTGGATTTTTTTTTTTTTTTTTTTTTTTTTTGAGACAGAGTCTCTCTCTGTTGCCCAGGCTGGAGTGCAGTGGCGCAATCTCGGCTCACTGCAAGCTCCACCTCCCGGGTTCACGCCATTCTCCTGCCTCAACCTCCCGAGTAGCTGGGACTATATTTTTTTCTTTATACTATAGAGAATAATACTGAGGCAGGAGATCTTCTATTGTGCTTCTTAGCCACAGATTTGACAATAGAATCAATGTCAACCTAAGCAGTGTTGATTTGTTCTTCTCACATAAATCCTTAGGTATTAGTACAAAGATAGATAATCATTCAAGGTGTACAAACCAACATTGATTTCAATTTGAGAAACCTCCTTGTCAAGATAAGTCCTGCTACACCACTTTCTGTAACATAATTTTCCTCTAGCTTTCTCCTAGTCGGATGTTTAATTTAGGTAAAAGCCACTGCCTGAGAGAAACAAAGGACAGTACCAGTCTATATCCCTATGGTTAACCAGATATAGCACTAGGAAAATTTTTCATTAAAATTTCTCAGTGATAAACTGATTAATGTTTTTAATATCAGCAGATCCAATTAAGCCATAGTTATTCATGTTCATGTGTGATGTGATTGCTAATTTGGTCAATTTAATTATAACTCCAATGAGTTATCCATTCATTAATAAGAAGCATGTTTTACCTTGAGCAATACTTGGACACATCAACAGACCCTTGACCTAAGTCATGTGTTGCTCCTGGGAAGAACTGATGGGTGACAGGTGACCATTTTTCAAAATCTATACCTGCCATTTGGTTTTGCCTCAATAATGTCAGAATCTTCATTTTTAGACAAGTTTTGTAGAAAATAACCCCAGAGGATTTGAACAGTCATGTCCTAGGGCATAGCACTTGCTGTCAGCTATTCTCCCTGCATAGAAGATACATTGTGCTACTTCTATTTTTTAATGTTAAATTTAAGAGAAATAGAATAGGAATTGCGTTTTACTACTGTATCTAAAATTTTCCAGTTTAATGTATTACAAATTTAATTCTGTTTCGTAGAAAACATCTATTAATAGTTTTCCACTCTAAAAATGAATTTGTTTATGTAGATCTACTTTGCTGATTGTAGTATTGTCTTTGAATTAGTGATCAATATATGGTGCTATTTCTCCCATGTAATACATGTAATACATGAGTCCAAGAATCAAGGGATGTAAACTAACACAAAGAATTGAATTATCTAATCAGGCTCAGAGATATTACCCAGTAACATGCTTTACTAATAAATTCAAGGGTACAAACAATCAAAAGGCACAGATGAAGCAGGAGAAGTCTGTGTCATTCTTTAGGAAGCCATGACTCATGAATTCATAAGTTGGCATACCATAAGCAACTCTAAACCAAAGACAAGGAAATCCTTTAAAAAGTATCCATAAAGATTTTCTTTCTATTTAATGTCATTAGTTTATTTACCAAGATAGTGAGATATCAACTTGTTTGTAAGTTGATTAGACCACAGCTGTCTGTCTTCTTTCTTTCCCTTGGGTATTATTCCCCCTCATCTTTGCAACTGACAGAGAAATTGATCACTTGGCAACTTTAGCTCCTTTTTTCCCAGGGTGGAATGAGAGTGGCTTCCTTCACTATTATCCTTAACCTACCTGCAGAACTTTTGCTTCTCATCTCTGTAACTTTGAGCATTGCTGATTCAAAGGTCTTGGTTCCCAAGGGAAAAAAAATAATGCTTCCACCAGTCAATGCACAATGGTTCCGTTAAAATGGAAGTTGAGACTTTCACCTGACTATTTTAGTGAGTTACAATATTGGATGAAGTGATGGGTCCAAGTTATCAAGGGGAAATACTATTGTGGCTATACAATGGGTCAGGGAGCACTACCTATGGACCCAAGGGAGTCCTCTGGGGTGCCATATGTATTAATAAATATTAATGGAAAATCAAAATAATCCAAAATTTGCAAGACACTGAGGTTTCAGACGCTTTAGTGTCTTAAATGACCAAGTAGATATTTTCAACCTACTAAGGTGCTGGCCAGCTACAAAGGGAATACAGAATGGTTTGTGAAAGAAGGAGGTTATACATATCAACTATACTCATGGCAAGCTACAGAATTAAGACTACTACAGCTGTACATATTTCCTTCTGTGATTATCATATGTGTATACATATGAACTAATTTTTTCTCCCTTCTTTCATCTTCTAATTTTACATAAAGATTGTTGTTGATGGTTAATTTTACAATTAAGTTTTTAAGTTTCTCAATACTCATGAAATGTTGACAGAATTAGAGGAGAATTGACATTGCCCAGATATTGACACTGAAGCAGTCTATTAGAAATGAACAGAATGACAGTTGGGACACTGCGTCTGCTTTTCGGGGGAGAGTATTTAAAAATGAAAGTATTTTAATTTGTGTGAAGGATAGTTACATCTTATCTTATAAAGCATAAAGCTGTTGTTGTTATATGTGTAAAGGTGCAAAGTAGCCAAAAAGATAGACTGCCATTAGCTATTGTCTCTCAGCTCCAAATTCACCCTTCTCTATTCTGTTTTGTGATGATGGGGCTGGGACTTTGCAAAATATATTGCAAATATATTGCTGGCAAGAGTGCTTATCAGCTCTCTTCCTGTTAGGTTCTGCCAATGGAGGGCAATAAAGGGAGACTAGAAAACCCTGCTGAACTATGTTATTTGAGCTAGCATTTTATAATGTGCTTTATTTAGGCATCTGATTTAAAATGGATACCTAGGAATTCTCCCAACTCTTCCTCTAAGTCCCTGTGAAAACAATGAAAAGATGAAAACTCATCACTGAAAATACAGATAGTGTTACCGTATTGTCAGATTCTGAGAGTTCTTAAAAATTAATTTCAAGACTGGTGATAATTGTCAATTCATGTCCTTGGCCCACTTTTTGATGGGACTGTTTGTTTTTTTCTTACTGATTTGTTTGAGTTTGTTGTAGATTCTGGATGTTACTCCTTTGTCAGATGTATAGATTGTGAAGATTTTCTCCCACTTTGTGGGTTGTCTGTTTACTCTGCTGACTGTTCCTTTTGCCGTGCAAAAGCTCTTTATTTTAATTAGGTCCCAGCTATTTATCTTTGTTTGTATTGCATTTGATTTTGGGTTCTTGTTCATAAAATCCTTGCCTAAGCCAATATCTAGAAGGGTTTTTCCAATGTTATCTTTGAAAATTTTTATACTTTCAGATCTTATGTGTAAGTCCTTAATCCATCTTGAGTTGATTTTTGTATAAGGTGACAGATAAGGATCCAGTTTCATTCTCCTACATGTAGCTAGCCAATTATCCAGCAGCATTTGTTGAAGAGGGTGTCTGTTCCCCACTTTATGTTTTTGTTTGCTTTGTTGAAGATCAGTTGGCCATAAATATTTGCGTTTATTTCTGGGTTCTCTATTTTGTTCCATTGGTGTATGTGCCTATTTTTGTACCAGTACCATGCTGTTTTGGTGACTATGGCTTTATAGTATAGTTTGAAGTCAGGTAATATAATGCCTCTAGATTTGTTTTAGTTTTTTTTTTTTTTTTTTTTTTTTGCTTGGTCTTGCTATGGCTATGTGGGCTCTTTTTTGGTTCCATATGAATTTTAGAGTTGTTTTTTCTAGTTCTGTGAAGAATGCTGTGAAGAATGATGGCAGTATTTTGATGGGGATTGCATTGAATTTATAGATTGCTTTTGGCAGTATGTTCATTTTCACAATATTGACCATACTTATCCATGGGCATGGGATGTGTTTCCATCTGTTCATGTCATCTGTGATTTCTTTCAGCAGTGTTTTGTAGTTTTCCTTGTAGAGGTTTTTTGACTCCTTGGTTAGGTATATTCCTGAGTATTTTATTTATTTTATTTTTTTGCAGCTATTGTAAAAGGGGTTGAGTTCTTAATTTAATTCTTCACTTGGAAACTGTTGGGTATGGGTTGAAAAACTGTTGGGTACTACACTCACTACCTGGGTGCAATATATCCATGTAACAAACTTGCACACATATCCTCTATATCTAAAATAAAAGTTGAAATAAAAAAAATGACTGATGATAGAGAAATAAAGGACAATCAGTGAATGACACAGTCATATTCTGTGGCCAGAGCAGAAGACCCAACCTCAGAGAAATGTGGAATGAAGACACCCTTGATTCCTTTTCCTCATGACCCCTAGTACTTATGGTTGTTGATAAGAAGTTTTATGTTATTCTGATCCATGATCCATTATAAATCACCGAATTTTTTTTCTCTCTGAGAGCATTTGAACTTTTTATTTATATGTGATGCTTTTAAATTTACAATAATTTGCATTGATGTCTTGATTTTTATTATTCAATTTACAACTCACATGCTTGGCACTTATCTAAAGACTCACATGGAACTTCAGATCTATAATATTGTTTTCTATTATTTCTTTGAAAATTTCTTCCCTCTGTTTTCTCACTCTATGTTCTTATTAGTTGGATGTTAAACTCTTCTAAGTTGGTGCTTTTCCCTGGATTGTAATTTTTGAATCTGCAGTCATTTTTTGTTTAATCTTTTTTATTTATAGTGTCCAATATCTTTAATGTTTGGTATTTTTGCATTTTTTTTTTTGAGATGGTGTCTCGCTCTGTTGCCCAGGCTGAAGTGCAATGGCACGATCTTGGCTCACTGCAACCTCTGCTTCCCAGATTCAAGCTATTCTCCTGCCTCAGCCTCCCGAGTAGCTGGGACTACAGGCGCCTGCCACCATGCCCGGCTAATTTTTGTATTTTTAGTAGAGACAGGGTTTCACCCTATTGGCCAGGCTGGTCTTGAACTCCTGACCTTGTGATCTGCCCGCCTCAGCCTCCCAAAGTGCTGGGATTACAGGTGCGAGCCACCATGCCCGTCTGCATGTACATTTTTAATTAAAAATATTATTTTTAGAGATTTTGTCTGCTGTCTGTCTTCTGCTGACTTTCCCAGAAGTGGCAACATCTCAAATTTCAGAATGTGGGCATATACTAAGGCAAAAATGCATGTTAATACTGATAGACCAGTTTGAAGATAAACACATTGTTGTTGTTTTTTTGTGATTTCTTTCTTTTATTTGGCTAACGGGATAAATCCTTGCCTGCCAGGCATTCTGTACACTGAAGTGGAAAGTTTCATTGTTTAGTATTTATTATCCAATTATTCCAATTTTCATACCCACCTTTTTTTTCACACCGGTGATTTATAGTATTAAACGTTTCCAGGGTCTAGCCAGTCATATTAATTTCCTTTGCACACATCATAGGGGATGGATTCTCATACTGTATATCAATCACTACTTCTCTGTGTGTTCTCTATCTTGCAGAAAATTGAAATTACTGTATCTATCACTTTCCCCATGCCAAATGTCATTATTTTAGTTCACATACCCATAATGTCTCTTCTTTGACTCATAAAAGCCATGGTAATGTAACTTTCAGTTTCTTCTCATTTCAGTTAAAACTTGCTTTCACCATCAGGGTTTTCTACCTAAATAACAAATATAATTATGTCATTATAATGTTTAAAAACTTCTCTAATTTCACCATTGACTAGGGAATTAAATGTAAACCTGTATTTTAGCCTACAGTGTCTGTAAAAATCTGTCCCCAACATAATATTTGTGTATGCTTTTAATAATTAGCTTAACTTGACAGTATTTTATTCTATGTTTTCTAGACAGTATGCCTATTAGAAAAGGGGCAGGTTTTATTTACCTGCGCATCTCAGTGCCAAAAAAAGTTTGCCACAAAATTTTTTTATTAATTGATTCCAAACACTTTTCAAGAATTCCTACAATATCAATTATTTGTCTAGATTCTGGATATACAGTTTTGAAGGAGACATATAGAATTACTGTTTTCATAAAAATCTGTCAGACACATTAAATATATGTGTAAAACTTTCCATCCTGTCTCCTTCCCATCCATGTCCTGCAGCTGAATTTTTCACCATTTTCATAAAATAGCAAGAATATTTAGAATTCTGGGTCTTGTCAATTCATTTCTGTGGTGTAAGACTTAAAATTAATACTCAGAATTATGTGCTACCTTGATATCTGGTAAAATCAGGAGGGCTTGAATGTCCTAACCGCAAGTTCCCCTCTACATTCTGACTCCACAGATAAGGCCCCCTAGATAACCAACCCTATCTATCAAAGGATCAGGCATAATTCTGGTTCATCTCTGTATTGTGAGTTCAGTTTCCCAACAGCTATGAAATTATTCAAATAAGGAAATCACATTGTCCTACAGGAAACAGGAGTACCCCACCCTCTTGATGCCACAAAGCCAGTCTTCCATGACCCCTGGCTGCTCACTCTGTTCCTATGCACAATCCCTGTGTGGTGCAGTGTCCCCTTCCTCCTAGATGTGAGTGTATGTGACTAATAGCTGCTGTTGATCTAATTTGTCCAGTGTTGGGAATATATATGCAATTGTTCCTACAACCATAGGGCAAGAAAACCTCTCTCACCAATGAGATGAATAGGGAGCTATTGAAATAATTCCTCTGCTTGTAAATCTGAACATTTCTTTGACTTATCTAGCCTAAAGTGTCTTCTTTCGTAAAGGTTTTTCAACTTATCAGGAAGATTTACTCCATTTTCTTTACTATTTCTAATTTTTATTAATCTCTTTATAGTATGACACTTTTTATTGGTGCATATTATCTTCTCTCACATATCGTGAGCATCTCAAAGAAAAAATTCTCTTTTTATTCCTAGTAACTAGTAATATGCAGAATACTAAGTATTTGCTCAGAATTATTGGTTAGAAAAATCAATATATCCAAATATATGTTCTTCTTTTTAGCTGGGGCTCAGCAACCATTTAGAACCATTTCACTGAGAGAGTCTTCCATGGTACCTATTATTTAGCAAAACTTAGTAACCTAAGATTAAAAGTTATGGCCAAGAAAATTCAGTTTGATTCCTCAAATAGTTTTTGTATATAAAGAAAATAAGCATGTAATAATATGATTGAACTGGAATGTTTTCTATACAATTGTATACCATTTGAAGATTTCATTTTTATGATAGTATATTGAGATAACTAAATGTACAAGACAATAGAAAAAGACTAGGAAAGAACATGTTCTAAAATATGTCTCAATGAAGTAAATAGTTCCTGAGAGCTCTTGTATATTCAGGCAATATAATTTTATGGAAATTGCTGGAAAACCATTTGAAATCAAAAGAGTGGCAATCTCTGTTCCATTCAGATTGCTTCATTAAGTGTAAATAATAGAAAGCCATAGGAACTTTCCATCATCATTTCTGAACAGTTGATTGAATTCCTAATAAATAATGGAAGGCAGAATACACAAAGTGGCACATTGTTAAATTCTTGTACTAAATGTTTTGAGAGAAAGTCTGGGAAATAGGGTTCTGATAAATTTCTATATAAATCAGTAAATAACCTAATTTGCCAAAGGAAGGAGTAAACTACCTCTGTAGTGTAGTGTTTATTGGAGCAATGAGTTCTTTTATGTGAGAGAGAGAAGAAAAACAGAATGGAAGTACAGATAAATAGAGAAAACGAAGACTTCATATGGGAACCGAATAGCAGAGAATGTTCCTATGATTTTCAGTGAAACAATTGCAACATACTTTAGTGTGCATAATTCTAGATAATGGCAAGAAAAAAAGCATAGCCTTTTGACATTTTACACAAGAATTATCCTTAGTGAAAAAATATGTTAAGAATGCTATTTCATAGTGACATATCCATTCAGAACCCTAATGTATTAGACTTTGCAATGTCTAATTGCATCAAATAGATGCTACTATGAAATAAACCATCTCAAAACTTACCAGCTTAAAACCATTTATTTAGCTTATGATTTTGCTGGATGTCAAATTAGGCTGGGCTCAGTTGGACAATTTTTCTTCTTGGATGAGCTCCTTCAGACATTTTTAGTCAAGATGTGATCAGCAGCTTTGGTGATCTTGGCTGGGCTTTCTCATATGTCGGAGGGCTTTTATAAGACAACTAGATAGACTCTGTCCTGGTTCACACAATCTCTTATCATCCAGGAGACTATCCCAGGCTTGTTCACATGGTGGCTGGGCAGAGTATCAAGAGGAAAGGAAGCATGCAAGGACTCTGGAGGTCTGGTCTTTGAACTGCTACACTATTATTTTTACTGTATTGTATGTGCCACCACAGAATCATCTCAGATTGAAGGGGTGGAGATTTATGGACTTCTTCGTAAGAGAAGCTATGATGTCACATGGCAAAAGATACTCATATAGAGAAGAACAGAGTATGGTAATTGTAGAAATTTAGCACATACATCTACAGAAAAAATGGAGACTACTGAGAACAAAGTCCTAGAAAATGATGACGGACATAAAATATTTTAAAATCAGAAGTTCTTTCAGAATATTGTTTTAAAATTTGATAAGTATTTATTTTAGGTTTTTATTTCCATTCATCATTTCTCACAAGTATTGATGAATGTTATAGCAAAACAATGGATCTTGCACAACTTAAATGTAAGCTAATCTACAAAGGAATATAAACTCAGTTGCCATTACTAATTACACAAATTCATGGTCTTCCATTGATTCTTTTCCAGCTAAAAATAAATTTTCAGCTATTCTTGTGTAATTTATTATAGGTTAATAAATTTGAATGGAAAGGGTTTACTGATAAATTTGATATTTCATTAATATTATTTAAAAACATGTAATAATTTAAAAGATCTAGGCCGGGCGCAGTGGCTCACGCCTGTAATCCCTACACTTTGGGAGGCCAAGGTGGGTGGATCACAGGTCAGGAGATGGAGACCATCCTGGCTAACATGGTGAAACCCCGTCTCTACTAAAAATACAAAAAATTAGCTGGGTGTGGTGGCAGGCACCTGTAGTCCCAGCTACTCGGCAGGCAGAGGCAGGAGGATGGCGTGAACCTGGGAGGCGGGGCATGCAGTGAGCCGAGATCGCGCCACTGCACTTCAGCCTGGGCGACAGAGCAAGGCTCCATCTCAAAAAAAGAAAAAAAAAAAAGATGTCGATAATAACAATTTAAAAGGCAATGATTGATTGCAGTTTTCAGTTATATTTGTTATTAGAGAAAAAATGAATAGATTCTCTCTGTAATTGATAAGTATTTTTTTAAAAATTTCCTGTACCATAGCTAAAAATCTGACTCCGACAAAAACATGAAACCTCCTTCACGTAACTATAGAAGTTCCCACTACAGAGTGAGTGATCATAATCAACCGGTGTTGGTTCTAAAATATGAGCTAGTTAAATTATCTGCAATATTTCTTAAAACAGCATTTTCAGCTTCCATCACATAAAGATTGATTATATAGAAACAGAAAACTGAGGTACCCAAATAAAACACTCCCTAATTTATTTATTATTAGCTAGCTCAGACAGCAAGGAAACCAAAGTTTTATCCAATTCAGATAACTCATATTCAAAGAATATTACCATGAATATTTATATTAATAATCCATTTTTATATACTGGCAGCCAAACAAAACAGTGCTGAAATGAGTTAACACGAGATTTCAGAATTTAAAAAAGAGAGAGCCATCTACCTGAATTGCTAATTGATGAGAATACTAGTAAAGACACTAGTGTTATTATTTAAGTAAAATAGTGACTAAACTCTTCCCCCAAAACACAGAGGAGATGAAACAAGGTAATTGCTTTTCTACAGTCTAAATTATAAAGCATGCCAGTGCTAAAAATTATGTTTGACTTCATATGGGAACCGAATAGCAAAGTTCTATGACAGGGAAAAATAATTTTGCTTAACTTTTAGACAGATTCAGTGGCATATAGAAAGCATAAGATATTTTCCCTTTTCTCCATACAAATTTTAAAAATATAGAATAATTGAGTTGAATTGTAGTGCATGTCAAAGGAACATTTCAGTTGTTCTCAATTGGGTTATTATTGACATGATCAACCACATCAATTGTAGGCTATTGCCTATGGGGACAGAGTTGGAAAGAGGAATGAAAAACTTTCATTTTACTATTGGTTAAACCACAGCTATTTGAATCTAACTTTCAATGCCACTTAAATTTATCGTACATGTATTTCATAGAAATAAATAATTGGACTACAATAAAAACCTACCAGTGTTAGAAGCTCAACCTGAATGAATATGCTTAGCTAAGTCAATTTCCTTTCCAAGTCTATATATTTTCCAAAATATATTCATATATTTTGGTTATAATTTCAAATTATGTTGTTCAATGAAATCAAACAATATTTTTTTAAAAATCAGTATAAGTATCTGTAGCTATTGGCACATAAGATGTTAAACTGTTACATTATTTTCAAAACATGTTCCAAACTTAAAATACTATGTCATCCCAAACTGAGTCAGAACGTTTGGAGATTGTCTGTTATTAACATAGTACCTGATGAGCAGTGTTAGAATTATTTAGAATCACCAATTCAGTGTCTGTGTTATAAGCACGGTGTCTGTGTTATAAGCAGCGTGTTAAACTTTTCAGATTATGGCAAACATAGTTTCTTTCTAAGTCAAATTTGCAACTGAATGGAAAAGCTCACCATTTTTTTCTTAATCTTTTAATTGAATTTTTTATTTGTACAAATTTATGGGGCACTTGGTTACACATACATGATGTGTAGTGATCAAGTGAAGGTATTTAGAGTGTCCATCACCTGAGTACAACACACTTTTATTAGCTATAATCACCCTACTGTACCATCAAATATTAAATTTATTTCTTCCCACTGTATATTTGTACTTTTAACAGAGTTTCTCTTTGTCATTCCTCATACTGTCCCCGCACACTCACCTTTCCCAGTCTCAGTTATCTATCTTTCCACTATCTACCTCCATGTGATCACATTTTTAACTCTCACATGTAAGTTAACAGCATGAGGTATTTATCCTTTTGTGTCTGGCTTATTTCACTATGATAATAACCTCTAGATCCATCCATATTGCTCCAAATGATATGATTTAACTCTTTTTTATGGCTGAATAGAATTCCATTGTGTACATATATCACATTGTTTTTAAACTTTTAGGTACAGGGTACATGTGCAGGTTTGTTTTATAGGTGAACTGCAGGTCCTGGGGCTTTGGTGTACAGATTATTTCACCATCTAGGTGACAGACATAGTATCTGATAGGTAATTTTTCTGATCCTCTCCCTTCTCCCACCCTCCACCCTCAAATAGGCCCCAGTGTCTGTTGTTTCCCTCTTTGTGTCCATGTGTTCTTGTTGTTCAGCTCCCACTTATAAGTGAGAACATATAGTATTTGGTTTTCTGATCCTGCATTAATTTGCTTAAGGTAATGGCCTCCATCTCCATTCATGTTGCTGCACAAGACATGATCTCATTCTTTTTATGGCTGTATACTATTCCATGGTGTATGTGGTACATATTCCATGGTGCATGTGGTACACATACCACATTTTCTTTATCAAGTCTATTGTTCATGTGCATTTAGGTTGATTCCATGTCTTTGCTATTGTGAATAGTGCTGCAATGAACATACACGTGCATGTGTCTTTATGGTACAATGAGTTAGATTCCTTTCGGTATATACTTAATAGTGCGATTACTGGGTCAAATGCTAAGTTCTTTGAGGAATCGACACACTGCTTTCCATAATGGCTGAACTAATTTACACTCCTACCAAAAGTGTATAAACTTTCTCTTTTCTCTGCTACCTTGCCAGCATCTGTTATTTTTTCACATTTTAATAATGACCATTATGACTGGTGTGAGATGGTATGTCATTGTGTTTTTCCACTTGTTTTTGTCACCTCTTTTCACCTTCCTGGTTAGCTGCATTCCTAGGTATTATATTCTTTTTGTGTCAATTGTTAATGGAATTGCAATCCTGATTTAGCTCCTGGCTTAGATCTTGTTGATGTATAGGGATGCTACTGATCTTTGTATGTTCATTTTGTATTCTGAAACTTTGTTGAAGTTGTTTATCAGATCAAGGAGCTTTTGGGCAGAGATTATGATTTCTAGATATAGAATCATGTAATCTGTATACAGGGATAGTTTGACTTCCTCTCTTCCTATCAGGATGCCTTTTATTTCTTCCTTGTGCCTAACTGACCTGGCCGAGACTTCCAATACTATGTTAAATAGGAGTGAAAAGAGAGGGCACCCTTGTCTTGTGCCAGTTTTCAAGAGAGTGCTTCAAGCTTTTACTCAGTCAGTATGATGTTGGCTATGTGTCTGTCATAGATAGCTCTTATTATTTTGAAGTATGTTTCTTTGGTGCTTAGTTTCTTGAGCATTTTTAACATGAAAAAATGTTGAATTTTATCAAAAGTGTTTTCTGCTTATACTGAGATAATCTATTGTTTTGGGTGGTGTGACAGTTAATACTGTTAACTTGGTTTGATTGAAGGGTACAAAGTATTGATCCTGGGTTTGTCTGTGAGGGTGTTGCCAAAAGAGATTAACAATTGAGTCAGTGGGCTGGGAAAGGAAAACCCACCCTTAATCTGGGTGGGCACCATCTAATCAGCTGCCAGCATGGATAGAATATAAGCAGGCAGAAAAATGTGCAAAGAGAGACTGACCTAGTTCCCAGCCTACATCTTTCTCCCGTGCTGGATGCTTCCTGCTGTAAACATCGGACTCCAAGTTCTTCAGTTTTGGGACTCAGACTAGCTCTCCTTGCTCCTCAGCTTACAGACAGCTTATCATGGGACCTTGTGATTTTGTAAGTTAATACTTAATAAACCCCCCTCATATATATATTTGGTCAAGTGTTGATTTGAGGTCCTGAATATCTTTGTTAATATTCTGCCTTGATGATCTGTCTAAACTGTCAGTGAGGTGTTGAAATGTCCCACTATTATTCTGTGGGAATCTAAGTCTCTTTGTAGGTCTTGAAGAGTTCGCTTCATGAATCTGGGAGCTCCTGTGTTGGTGTGTATATATTTAGATTAATGAGGTCTTTTTGTTGAATCAGGCCCTCTACCATTACATAATACCATTATATAATATGTGTCATTGCATGGGAAATGGGTGTCTTGAAGACAGAACTGTTGGGTCTTGTTTATTATCCAAGTTGCCACTCTGTGTCTTTTAATTTGGGCATTTTAGGCCATCTACATTCAACGTGAGTATAGACATATATGAATTTGATCCTTTCATCATGTTGTTAGCTGGATATTATGCATACTTATTTGTGTGATTGCTTTATAGTGTCAGTGGTCTGTATACTTATGTGTGTTTTTGTAGTGGCTGGTACTTTCTTTTCTTTCCATACTTAGCACTCCTTTCAGGACCTTTTGTAAGGCAGGTCTGGTTGTAACAAATTCTGTTAGCATTTGCTTGTCTGAAAAGAATCTTATTTTTCCTTCACTTATGAAGATTAGTTTGGCAGGGTATGAAATTTTTGCTTAAAAAATTATTTTCTTTAAGAATGCTAAATATTGGCCCCCAATCTCTTCTGGCTTGTAGGGTTTTTGCTGAAAGGTCTACTGTTAGCCTAATGGGGTTTCATTTGTAGGTGACCTGCCCTTTGTCTCTAGCTGGCTTTAACACTTTTTTCTTTTATTTTGACCTTGGAGTATCTGATGATTATGTGTCTTCAGGGTGATCTTCTTTTGTAGTATCTCACATGGGTTCTCAGCATTTCCTGAGTTTGAGTGTTAGCCTCTCGAGTGATGTTGGAGAAGTTTCCATGGATGATATCCTGAAATATGTTTTTCAAGTTGCTTGCTTTCTCCCTATCTTTTTCAGGGACACCAATGAATTATAGATTTGGTCTCTACATAATCCCATGTTTCTTGGAGGTTTTGTTCATTCATTTTAATTCTTTTTTAAAAAAATTTTGGGCTGGGCACAGTGGCTCATGCCTGTAATCCCAGCACTTTGGGAGGCCGAGGCGAGTGGATCACGAGGTCAGGAAATCAAGACTATCCTGGCTATGGTGAAACCCCATCTCTACTAAAAAAAAAAAAAAATACAAAAAATTAGCTGGGCGTGGTGGCGGGCACCTACAGTCCCAGCTACTCGGAAGGCTGAGGCAGGAGAATGGCGTGAACCGGGTGGAGCTTTCAGTGATCCAAGATCGCGCCACTGCACTCCAACCTGGGTGACAGAGCGAGACTCTGACTCAAAAAAAAAAAAAAAAAAAAAGTTGTCTGAGTAATTTCAGAGAGCCAGTCTTCAAGCTCTGAGATTCTTTCCTAGCATGCTCTATTCTGCTGTTAATACTTGAGATTGCATTATGAAATTCTTGCAGTGTGTTTTTCAGATCTATCAGGTCAGTTTGGTTCTTTTTTGTAATGACTGTTTTGTATGTTAGCTCCTGCATTATTTTATTGTAATCTTTACATTCCTTGGATTGGGTTTTGACTTTCTCCTAAATCTCAATGATCTTCATTCCTATCCATATTCTGAATTCTATTTCTGTCATTCAGGCTAGTTAAGAACCCTTGCTGAGGACATAGTACAATCATTTAGAGGAAAGAAAGCACTCTGACTTTTTGAGTTGACACAGTTATTGTTCTGGTTCTTTCTCATCTGTGTGAGTTGGTGTTCCTTTAACTGTAGTGTACATTGAGTACAGTGAGTGGACTTCTGGATGTTTTCAAAGGGCCAGGGCTTTCTGTAGGGTCTTTATTTGTAGCTGAATTCTTGCCTTTGATTTCACGGGGGGGTATATTAGAAAAGTATTTTTGGTGTTGAAGTTTTGGGCTGCGATCCAGTAGACGGTACTTAAGTGTAATGGCCAGTAGGTAGGGTCCTGCTTGGCCAAGTGACTCCTCTATATTTCCGCAGGATTGCAGCGGAGCTCCCTCTTTCTTCTCTAAAAGTGTGGTATCCTTGCCCACTTGAGTACTGGCTACAGATCTTGGCTTGGCACTCCTGGGCTGCACACTGCAAAGCTCTGGGGCAAGTTCAGGCTTTATGTTCCTTTCCCAGCTTGGAGGCAGCAGGCTAAGGGACCTAAGCAGTGGCTATGGCAGGGGGTCTTTCACTTGTCTGTTGGGGCTCCACCCCAGAGAGATGCAGAGCTGCTATCAATCAGTGCAGTCACCTGGGATGCAGTAGCTGTACGTGGGGGTGGGGAGGGCGGTTGAGGGAGTGGGTCCCCAGGTTAGACAGATTGGTCTCTTCTCCTTAGGGGAAAGTGCAGCTTGCTGAAGATGTAGTGAAAGCACTCAGGGTCTTTGTTCCTTCCCTAGTCCAAAGGCAGCAAGGGCAGTACCACTACAGTGGCCATGGCAGAGGGGATTTTAGTTCCCTCTGGGAGCTCCACCTCAAAGAAACATGGAGCTGCTGCTACTGGTAATGTTCAGCCAGGGGTTAAGGTGGTTGCACTGCTGGCCTGATCTGAGGACTTCATGTGCTGAGGAGTTGGGGTGTTGAAGGCTCATAGGGAGGAGAAACTGGGCTCCTCTCCATGTAGTGACTGGTGCACTGGAAGCCCAGATGAAGCATTCAGGCTCTTTGTTTCTTTACCAAACCGAAGGCAGCAAGGGCAAAACCACTGCTGTGGCAGTAATAGAAGAGCTGTTGGTTGTCTCCACAGGCAAACTGAGAGCACCATCAGTAGGTATTCTCAGTTGTGGTTGGGGTGGCTGATCTGTGGTCCTGAGTCAGGGCCCCTGTTGGTGAAGAATGGGGCATGGGAGAGGCTCACAGGGAAGGGGGACTGGACTTCTTCCCATATGGGGGCTGCAGTGTACCAGAAGTACCAGTGTAGGACTAGGCTCTTCGTTCCTTCCTCAGCCCCAGAGGGGTTAGGGTGGCACCACTGCAGGTGCAATGGTAGAGAGCTTGTGGGTTGACTCTGGGATTTCCTCCTCAGAGAAACGCAGAGCTGCCTCCTTCTGGTATCCAGGTGGGCTAGGGTAGTTGTGCTGGAGTCCCAGGTCTGGAGGCCCCACCTAATGAGGAGAAGTGCAATAGGGACCCACGTGAACAGTCTGACCACATTTCTGTGGGGTGGCTGCACTGTCCTAGGGATCCAGGCCAGTCCCTAATCACCAAGCACCCTCCAGAGCCTGAGAGCAAGAGTGGCAAGAGACGGAGGACAGCCAAGATGGCAGTCTGCCTTTCCCTCTGAGAGCTCCTTCCCAGGGAATCTCAGAACTGCTACCAGCTGGAGAGCCCCTGTGTAGGGTAGCTGTAGTCCCAGGTCGGTAGGTTCTGCCCAGTGAGGAAAAACGGGATCAGGGACCTGCCTCTGGCTGCTTTTCCGTGGGGCAGCTGCACTGTACTGGGGATCCACCTTAGTCCCTCGTAACCACCCACTCTGTAGAACGTGAAGGCAACAGCAGGGAGGGCTGTGAGACACCCGAGATGGTGGCCTGCTTCTCCTTCTGGGAGCTCCATCTTGGGGAAATGCAGAGCTTCTCCCAGCCCAAGGGGGTGGGATGAGAGCGGAGGCGGGGGGTAGCTTTAGTTCTAGACCAGGGGACCTTATCCTGCAAGGTGCAGTGGAAGCGAGGCATACAGTCCATTGCTGCTCAGCTTCTTGGACTTGGCCCCTTTTCTGGAGGCATGTGAAGAAGGCTGACTTCTTAGTTGCTGCAGCTGCAGCCAGCAATGCCCACATTTTCTTTATCCATTCATCTGTTGATAAGCATTTAGGTTGATCCCATACATTTGCTCTTGTGTGTAGTGCTACAACAAACATGTGAGTGCAGATATCCCGTTGATATATTGATTTATTTTCCTTTTTGGTAGATACTCAGTAGGGGGGTTGCTGTATCAAATAGTAATTCCATTTTTAGTTCTTTAAGAAATATCCATACTGTTTTCCATACTAGCTGTACTAGTTTACATTTTCACCAACAGTGTATGAGTACCCCTTTCCTGCATCCTTGCCAGCATCTGTTATTTTTTATCTTTTTAATATAGTCATTCTAACTGGTATAAGATAATATCTAATTGTGGTTTTGAATTGCATGTCTCTGTTGATTAGTAGTGTTGAGTATTTTTTCATATACCTGTTTGCTATTTTTATGTCTTATTTTAGAAATGTCTATTCATGCCCTTTGCCCATTTTTAATGGGATTATTTGTGTGTATTTTCTTTTTCCTGTTGTGTTCCTAGCACAGTCTAGATATTAGTTCTCTGTCATATAAACAGTTTGAAAATACTCTTTCCCATTCAAGAGGTTTGTCTGTTCACTCTGTTCAGTATTTCTTTTGCTGTGCAGAAGTTGGTTTATCTGAGCCTTATTTGGCTATTTTTGTTTTTGATACCTGTGCTTTCGATCTTAGTCATAAATTCTTTGCCTAAATCAGTGTGATACCTCCAGCTTTGTTCTTTTTGCATAGGATTGCTTTGGCTATTTGGGCTCTTTTTGGTTCCATATGAATTTTAGGATTATTTTTTCGGTCAGAAATGATTCTGGTATTTTGATAGGGATTGCTTTGAATTTGTGGATTGCTTTGGGCAATATGATTATTTTACTGACATTAATTCTTCTGATACATGAGCATGGAATGTTTTCTTCCATTTGTGTCAGTTTCAATTTCTTTTATCAGTGTTTTGTAATTTTCCTTGTAGAGATCTGTAACACCCTTTGTGAAATTTATTTCTAGCTGTTTTTTCTTGTAGTTATTGTAAGTGGGATTGCTTTCTTGAGGTCTTTCTTGGCTAGATCATTGTTGATATATAGAAATGCTACTGATTTTTGTATATTGATCTTGTATCCTGCAACTTTCCTGAATTCATTGATCACATATAGGAGTTTTTTGGTGGAGTCCTTTGTTTGTTCTAGATATAACATATATGATCTTACATGATATCATCAAAAAAGAACAATTTGACTTCTTTTCAAATTTGGTTGCCTTTGTGAACCCCAAAACTCTGAGACAGATTTCAGTTCATTTAGACAGTTTATTTTGTCAAGGTTGAGGATGCATGCCAGGGACACAGCCTCAGGAGGTCCTAATGGCATGTGCCCAAGGTGGTCAGAGCACAGTTTGGTTTTATACATTCTAGGGAGACATGAGACATCAATCAACGTATGCAAGATGAACATTGGTTAGGTCTGGAAAGATGCAACAGCTCAAAGCAAAGGTGGGAAGACTGAAAGTGAGGGGGGTGTCTTCCAGGTCAGAGATAGATAACAGACAAATGGTTGCATTCTTTTGAGTTTCTGATTGGCCTCTCCAAAGGAGGCAATCAGATATGCATTTATCTCAGTGAGCAGAGGGGTGACTGAATAGAATGGGAGGCAGGTTGGCCCTAAGCAGTTTCCAACTTGATTTTTCCCTTAGCTTAGTGATTTGGGGGCCCCGAGATTTATTTTCCTTTCACACTTTTTATTTCTTTCTCTTGTCTGATGGCTCTGGCTAGGACTTCCAGTACTATGTTGAATAAGTGGGGTGGAAGGGGGTATCCTTGTCTTGTTCCTTTTCTTAGAGAAAAGGCTTTCAACTTTTCCCCATTCATTATGGTGTTAGCTGTGGGTTTGTCATATATGACTGTTATTATTTTGAGGTATGGTACCTTCTATGCCTAGTTTGTTGAGCTTTTATCATGAAGGGATGCTAATTTTATCAAATGCTTTTTCTGCATCTATTGAGATGATCATGTGGTTTTTGTTCTTAATTCTACTGATGTATGAGACTTACTGATTTGCGTATGTGGAACCATCCTTGCATCCCTAGAATAAAACCCGCTTGCCACTGGATTCAGTTTGCTAGTATTTTGTTGAGGATTTTCATATCTGCATTAATCGGGGATATTGGCTTGTAGTGTTTGTGGTTGTACCATTGTATGGTTTTAGTATCAGGGTTATGATGGCCTCCTAAAATGAGTTAGGGAGAATTCTCTCCTTTTTAAATTATTTTTTGATATGGTTTTAGGAGGGTTGCCATTGGCTCTTCTTTATGTATTTGGTAGAATTTGGTTGTGAATCCATCTGGGCCTGGGCTTTTCTTTTTTGGGAGATTTTTATCACTGATTCAATTTTGCTACTTGTTATTGATCTATTCAGATGTTCTATTTCTTCCTAATTCAATCTTTGCAGGTTATATATTTCTGTAAACTTATCCATTTTCTCTAGATTTTTCAGTTTGTCAGCATATAGTTGTTCCTAATAGTCTCTGATGATCTTTCATAATTCCGTGGTATCAGTTGTAATGTCCCCTTTTTCATTTCCGATTTTATTTATTTGGGTCTTCTCTCTTTTTCTTAGTCCAGCTACAGGTTTATCAATTTTGTTTATCTTTTTGAGAAACCAACTTTTCGTTCCATTCATGTTTTATATAGATTTTTTTTTTTTTTTTTTTGAGACGGAGTTTTGCTCTTGTTGCCCAGGTTAGAGTGCAATGGCATGATCTTGGTTCACCACAACCTCTGCCTCCCAGGTTCAAATGATTCTCCTGCCTCAGCCTCCTGAGTAGCTGAGATTACAGTCATGCACCACAAGGCCTGGCTAATTTTTGTATTTTTAGTAGAGAGGGGATTTCACTGTGTTGGTCAGGTTGATCTCGAACTCCTCACCTCAGTTGATCCACCCATCTCGGCCTCCCAAAGTGTTATATTTAACATATATTTCTAGGTGTTATTAGAATTAACAACAATTAGAAAATAGATTTTTTTCTACTTTTTTGATGTAAGCATTTATTGCTATAAACTTCTCTCTTAGCAATGCTTTTGCTGTATCCCATAGGTTTTGTTACATTGTGTCTTCATTTCCATTTGTTTCAAGAAATTTTTTATTTCCGTCTTAATTTCTTCATTGACTCAATGGTTATTCAGGTGCATGTTTTTTAATTTCTGTGTATTTGCATAGCTTCCTAAGTTCCTCTTGGTATTGATTTCTATTTTATTCCATTATGGTCAGAAAAGATGCTGGCTACTATTTCCATTTTTAAAAATTTGTTGAGAGAAATTTTTGAACTTCCAGGTGGCTTGCTTGGATGTTGGTAGTTGAAGCAGTAGACCTGGTGGGTGGGTGAGGTAGGTCCCTAGGCAGCCTGTGTGTCATGGGCAATGGCAGTAGCCATGACAAGACAATTTATTGGGTCCTGAGCAGCGTGTTTTGATGTTGGCAGTGGCTGTGGTGGGTTGGGTATGCCAGTCTCCAGGCTCAGAGGTGGTGCTTGCAGGTAGGTGCCAGCTGAGGTAGTAGTAGCCGGGAATTTAGACCCAACTTCAGGTACCTAGAAGGAATGCTCAAGTGGTGGCTTGGGTTGGATTATCCAAGACCCTGGATTATGTGCTATGTCTCAGAGGGAAATGTGATGCCAGTTTTGACTTACTTGTGTTCAGGCTTCTCAATGGTGAGAGCACACACTAGCCATGATGTGTGGGAGAGAGTTGATTCTGAGGCTCCAGGCAGAGACCTAGGTTGATGGGCAATAGGAGCAGCACTGAGGCCATACCACTTGGGTGGGGCTTGCCTCAGTGTCCATAGCCTGGGCCAGTAGTGGGGGAATGCATATCCCTCTCTTGCCCCAGTTCTGGTGGGGTTCTCCCCAACTCCCCGCTATAGGAGCCCTCTTCCTGCTTTACAACTAAGTCGCAGCAGCATCTTGTGCCCCACTTGTGTCCCAGTTTCAGTCCTGTCAATGCTCGCATCCTAGCACTGGCAGCTGCAGCCCATGTCCCACTTGATTCTCAGCTTCTGCTGAGAAGTCTGTTCACAGCTCATCCCGCAGTCCCAGCAGCGACAGCCTGTGTTATTCTAACGCCTCTGTCCCCGGGACAACAGCCATAGAACATGAGTTTCCCTAATGCTGGGCCCTAGGACAAAGGCTGTGACTGAAAATGGCTCCTTGCTGTAGCTGCTTGGGTTTCAGAAAGGGTACGAGATCCAGCAGGAGATTCCCTCCTGGAGAAGTGCCATCTCATGGTCTCCTGGTAGCTCCCTGTATTAGTTTTAGATCTCGGGAGGGTGGAGGGGCTATTCTGTGGTCAGGATTACACAGTTCCACAGTGGGGATGTGGAATGCTGGAAGTCTTATCCCAAGGTTGGGAAGTCACTCTGGCTCCCAGCTGATCCTGGCCAAGCAGACTGTCTCTTTTTCTTCTCCTTCCTTGGTTTTGGTGTTTCCTGTCAGTTTTCTGTTAAATTCCAGTGTCCTTTCTCGGATAATTATTCAAAGTGTAGCTGTCTGTACACTATTTTGGTTCTTCTAAGTGGAGCAGGTGAGCATAAAATACTTCTAGACCGCTATCTTGAAGCTGAAATTCTAATTTTTTAAGGTCATAAAGTTTATTTAAGCCCTATGTAATTTTAGCATTAAAGTCATAAGTAGCAATCTATTAAAAGACAAAGGGCATTTGCTATTTTTATAACTACATTGCAGTATTCTTATAATATTTTATGTAATATTTTCAATAGCTAAATTTCAATAGGATTTATTATGCCAGTTTAGTTAAGTTCTTAGAGACTTTTACCTATACACAGTAATTATGCAAATTAATATTGCTTTGAGAATTGACCACTAACATTGATCACATGCAGTAATCAGTCATATAATGGATACAGAATAATTTGTCCTTTTGAGAGTTTCAGCTGACTTATCAAGGCACTTGATGTAATTTAATCCTGGTCAGCTGTATATATAACAGGGGCTGCTTTAAAGTAAGAAAATTTTAAAAGTGCCGCAGTTTTAATGTTCATCTTATTACCTAAGCAAATGTTCTTGCTGGTATTCCAATTGGAGTCTAACTTTTTGCTACTTTAAGACAAGGTTATTGAGGACTATGAGTAAGTGAAAATTAAGCTTATAATCCACACGGCCTCAAAGTTGTCCTTAGAAGGCTGATAATGACTGTCTTAGTCTATTCCTTTTCTTGGGGTGCTCAGGCTTGTCTGGCCAGGACATGGTCTGATGGGTTGGAGGGAGAAGTCCTCATCTAAGACTGTGGAAGATGACAAATAAATCACTTGGGTTCACTGGTCCTAAGTAACAAAGTGAACCAGGACTAAATTAAGCCAAAAAGAAGTTTCTTGTAAGGCTGGAGAACCAGGCTTAATGGACTACATTTATTGGGTGCTTAATAGGTGAAAAGAGCTGTTCTCAGTACTTGAATTGCCTCATTAAATCTTTACTATAAGCCTAAGATGTGTTTTATTGTTCTTGTTTACAGCTAAAGAAACGGAGGGACGGAGAATTAAGTAAATTGTTCAAGGGTACACAGCAAGTGCAGTACAGGCCCCAGGACAGGAACTAGGCTGCCCTGGGTGACTGTGCATAACTGCAATACTGTTCTGCCTGGGAGGAGCAGCTGGATCAAGAGCACACCAGACATTTTTAAATCTGTGGAGCTCTCTGTCCAAGATTCAAACCTCACAAAAGACATCTGTTGATGTGACTTGGGTCTTAGCTGATCAGTGCAAGGGACTTTGAAAGGATTCCTATAATAATATGCACAATGAGAGATGAATAATTTCCCAAAAGGAAATGGCAATGCTGTTAGGAAGGAGAATGGGTGATGCATGTTTTAGTCCTTTTAGTGCAATAACAAAATACAATAAATTAGGTAGCCTTATAAACAACAGAAATATATTTGAAGGCTGGGAAATTCAAGATGAAGGCAGATTTGTTGTCTGGTTAAAGTCTATTTTCTGATTTATTTATTTCACATTCTTATGCTGTCCTCACATAGTGGAAGAAGTGACTGAGCTCCCTTGGACCTCTTTTATAAGGTATAATCTCATTCATGAGGGCTCTCTGCCCTTGCGCCGTAGTCACCTCCCAGAATCCCTATCACCTAATACCGTCACCTTAGGGGGTTAGGATTTCAACATATGAATTTTGAGAGAACAAAAGTATTCAGGCCATAACACTGGGTAATCCTCTAGAAATCAAATCCCTTCTACACTAGAGGACTAATAAAACTAAAAATCAAGTCTTATCTCTTGCAATAAGGAAGAGTCAAGAAGGTTATCAGTACCAAGGAACTAAGAGAGGAGTAAGAAAGATTTTTTTTTGTTGTTGTTCTAAGGAAGATGTAAACAAGCATGAGATGAAGAGGATAAAGAGTTTCCTAAAACATCAGACTGTAGCCTACTTTTATAATACATGCTTAGTTTATAAGCTACCAAAAAAATTGAGGGGAACTGAACCCACACTGTAAATTAGAATGGTACAGAGTTTACTCCCCATTTAATTTAAACACATAATCAACTATAAACCATATAGAAGAGTATTCAAGTAGTGATTAATTTACATTCTTCCCTAGTTAAGAAAGTGTTGAAACCCTTAACAAGGCATATCTAGTTTAAGTGCTGTGTTACCCACATGGACATACTTGCTTATATCCTGTACCATCTTTTCTTTACAGAGGCTGAAATAAGAATGGATCCTACTTAGATACATCTATAAAAAAATGGTCACCCTGCTCTTGGAGTTCAGCAGTGGGCAGATCAGGTAAACGTTCCTTCTTCTCTTAACAAGGCTTCATGATGTTTGGTGTGTACCATGCCATTCATTAACAAAGGCCCAGAGGAAGCTTTGAAAATGGTGTGTGATCTAGCTGCTGTATCTGTTAATTCTTTCAATTCAATGTCTTAAAGTTGCCAAGGGGAACTTCAATGTGTAGATGAGAAAAGAGATGAGAATAGACAAGCTGAGAAAGGCCAAAAGGGGGCAGGGGATACAGGGAACACTGGCTAGAGAATTTTCATGAAATTCTCATCTGATGAATGATTGGTTGCCTCTAAAAGAAAAATTTGCTTATAAGGTGTACTTGTAATCAATTCTTTATATTTAACCAAAATGTTTGATAAATTTTGTTTATAATTTTATACATTGTAAAATTATAGGTTATCTTATACAAAATTCTTTTTTGCTTATTTTTGTCCTAATTTTAAGAATCCTAAGGGTAATTTTTGTTTTAATATATTACAGGAGGGTCATTTATTATTATATTCTAATATAACAATTGTATTATTTACTATAATGTTTATAGATTTGAATAGCTAATAGTTAGGTTTTTTAAATTAAAAGAAAAATGTAATACGATTTTCTGATTCTGGGCGTACTTTGCTAATTATATATAAGGTTACTTGTTTGTTAGCTTTGGCGTAGACCCACTAACTTTTGTTGTACTTGACTGAAGTTCCTCTGTAACAGGTAAAAAGGAAAGCAGGTTGTGAGTGAATGCTACGATTTCTCTGCAGTGCAGTTCACTTGTTTAAATAAATTACTTTTTTAAAGTGTTTTTGTTTATATGGACCTTGTTTGAGATAGAATATAGAGTGGCTTACTTGGGTATGATTCAATTTAAATTCAGTCTGCTATATTGTAAGCAGCTCTGATTTTTCATTATTTTCTAAATTAATTTATGGAGACACTAACTTTATGTTTGGGCATGGTAATCATAACATTTTGACAAAATAGTCTAACATCTTAATATCTACTGTGGGTAGTATTAGCTCTTTCATCCAGTTGAAAGAAACAAGACAAATCACAAAGATGAAAAAAGAAGATGGGTAACAGCTGGGATTGTGTGTGGAGAGCAAAACACGAAGGGACAGCAAAGCCATGCGCTGATACAGGAGGAGATGCAGAATTGATTCTTAATGTCCTATCTGGAAACGATTTTTGAAAATAAAATGAAATAAATTATGATGCTACCTTAGAATTCTTAGAAGAATAGGAAAGTTCTCTTTCTCATTCAGTAATGAGTGAATGAATGAGCTACTGCTATACTTTCCCCTTCTCAAACTTGAATAAAACCTACAGCTTCTATCTACACTTACTGTAATTTTACTTTATCTTCACTTTTCCCCTGAAATTGCTCCTGTCAAGGTCAGTAATTAGCTTCTTTTCATTAATAAATCCATCTGGATATTTAGCTTCGGCCTATTAGCTTCTCTATTACATTTGATTCTATTGGTTTCTGTGTGTTTTTAAAAGCACTTAAAAAATAAAAATTTGTTTTTTTGTTTAAAAATATTTCATACAAAAAAAGTCATATATACTAAAGGCATCATAGTAAAAAATCATCATAATAATAACGGTCCTGGTCACCACCCAGCAGTACCCTTCTCCACAACCCTCTAGAGGCAAACAACTTCTAACCTTTTAGATGTTTCCTTGGTACATACATTGTAATTGTAAGTAGTTTTCTTATTCGACAAGCTAAAAACTTAACTTTAGACTTTAATTTAAATTTTTTGTTCTGTGAGTATTTTAGTTTATACCTTCTCTTCCTCTAACCATCTCATCACGATATAATTATACATAAAATTTTGGATAGCATATTTAGTAACTTCACTGTTATACGATAATTTAAATAGTTTATTTCTATTCCAAATAGTGTCTATAATTTTGTTTTTTCTTATATAAGTTTATTAACAATGCCTCATTTTTTATTTTCTAATAGTTATTAGAATAACTATTTGCAGTATCATTTTTGTAAAATATTTTCCAATACGGTTTTCTATATGGACGAGTCTGCTAAATAACTTATCAGTTCAATCACTTTTTTTTCCTGGAGACATCTTCCTGGAACTCTCTGATCTCTTCTTCTATTCAGACCCACCAACTCTTTTGGCAGTGGTATAGCATTTGCCTTGGAAATTCTTGCCTTTCTGCCCCTTTGTTAGTCTTTCTTATTCTTGATTTACTCTTTTCTTGGTGGCAATGTTTTTCTAGTAGTTTCCTGAAAATAAATGGGCCCATGGCAAGCAAATATATAAGGATTTACCTATTGAAAAATGTTTTTATTTTATATATTCCCTTTACTAGTTAGTTTAAGTAAGGGAAGAAATCAATACTGAATCTCATTTTCACTTAGAATTTTGAAAGTATGGCTTCATTGTCTTCTGGCTTCTAATATGGCCTTTGAAAAGATGAGATTGGCATCTTTTATTTTTTCTATGTGACTTTAGTCCTCTCTTGGGAATATTTGAAGGCTTCCTTTTTATTATTTTATTTTGAATTTTTATGATAATGTGTCTCAATACAGTTATTTAGTGTAGGTTTAATTTTTTTCTTTCCAATTATTTGGGTACTTGGGTAGTCATTTTCTTATAGCTTAGAGGTTCCCAAGTTGTGGAAAATATAATTTTCTTATTTTTTCAGTGATTCCCTTTATTTTCATATCCGCTTTCTTATTCTCAAATTTCTATTGGTTTAATATTTTACATTCTGGATACTATCCTTTTCCCCCCTATTTTTATCTTGATTTTTCTCTTATGTTTTGGTGGATTTCCTCTCATATATTCCAAACCCTCCATTGAATCATCTTTTTAGTTATTAGTTATCAGAGTTTTTGAATAGATCTTTATTTTTCTCTGAATGTCCACGTGCCTTAGCAGTGCACCTGCAGCACTTAGAGATTTGATCCCAGCCTCATTTCCTGTCACATCTCTTCAAGCACACAATTATCTGTGTATACAGAAACTTAAGTCAGTCTCCTGAATATGCCATGATGTCTCATAACTTTGTGACTTTGTGTATGAGGACTAGCTTTTGGAAACACTCTTTGGCCGTCTTGTGGTTGAGCCTTCCCTTGTATCTTGGTCACATTACATTTCTTTCTTTGTGTTTGTCATTGACTATTTTAATACTTTTGTGGTTGTTGTTTTTGCCTTCTCCATTAGATTATGAGTTTCTTATGGACAGAAACTGAGCTCCATTTGTCACTGTATCCAACATGGCTTGCTAGTTTTTATCACATAATAGATGGTCAATAAGTATGTATAATATTGTTTACTGATTCCACAAGACACATGTACAAATTAAACCCATGCCATTAAAGTTTTACTTCATATACAGTCAGCTCTTTTGTGATTCAAATAGTATGGTTTATCACTTTCAGGGAATTAATATATCATTTAGAAAATAATAAACAGAGAGTAAAAATAATTTGTGAGACAGTAGCCATTTAACATAATTTGTGAAAAAAACATAAACACTGAATAATATAAATAAAAAATAGACTTTTTTGCTTTTAAAGGACATCTATGGCTCATATCAGATGATTGCTGAAATAGCAGTTCATCCACAATCTCACCTCTCATATTAAACTAGATAAACCTACTCTATTATTAATATTGAAAGAATTTAACTGATAGATACACTACTGTATGTGAATAACCCACTTTTTTTCCTTTGCTTGATGTCTAGATCCTATGTTGGATAACATTAAGCATTAAACAATGCAAAGTATAAATGAAATAAAAAGGGAGGCTGTAAAAATTAAGATTATAATGTGGTACACACAAAAGAGCTGTTTTGATCCATGATATATTTTAAAAAGATTAATGTTATTTTCCAGAGACAAAGTGCAAAAGAACTACTCTAAAATGTGATTTGGAGCTTGAATTTCTCTGAGTTATTTTGTTATAGCCTGTAATTTTTTTTTTTTTTTTTTTTTTTTTGACAGAGTCTCGCTCTGTCACCCAGGCTGGAGTACAGTGGTGTGATCTTGGCTTACTGCAACCTCTGCCTCCCAGGTTCATGCCATTCTCCTGCCTCAGCCTCCCAAAGTTTTTTAAATTTTAATTATTAAATGTTACTTTTAAGAGCAGTTTTAGATTCACAGCAAAATTGAACAGATAGTACAGAGAGTTAGAGAGTTCCTATATATCCGAATCCCTATGTCCTCTGTAAACAAAAATAGTTTTATTTCTTCCTTACCAATATGTAGACTTTTTATTTCTTGTTTGATTGCATTAGCCAAGACTTCCAGTACGGTGTTGAAAACCAGTGGTGTGAGGAGACATCCTTGGCTTGTTCTTCATCTTAGCAAGAAAGCTTGAAATCTCTCACCATTAAGTATGATGCTAGCTATACATCTTTTGTAGATATTCTTTATCAGGTTGAAGATGTTCCCTACTATTTCCAGTTTGCTGAGAACTTCTATCATGAATGGGTGTTGGATTTTGTTAAATGCTTTTTTCTACATCTATTCATATAACCATGTGAATTATCTTCCTTAGGCTATTGATATGATGGATTATATTTGTTGTTTTTTTAAAAATATATATTTATAACATTGACTGATTTTTGAATGTTGAACCAGCCTTGCATACCCGGAGTAAATCTCACTTGGTCACAATATAGAATTCTTTATATATATATATATATACATTGTTAGATTCCATTTGCTAACACTTTGTTGAGAATTTTTGCATCTATGTTCATGAGAGAAATTGGTCTGTAGCCTTCTTTTCTTGTAGGTTGTTTGTGTGGTTTAGATATTCTGGTAGTGCTTGCCTTATAGAATGAGTTAGGAAGTATTCCCTCTGCTTCTATATTCTGAAAGAGAATGTAGAGAATTGGTATAAAATCTTTCTTCAAGGTTTGGTTGAATTCATTAGGGAATTTATCTGAACCTGGGTACTCAATTTTAAAAGGTTATTAATTTTTTTTTCAATTTCTTTAATAGATATTGTTTGCTATATTCTGAATGTTTGTGTCCCCCAACCCCAGATTTATATGCTGAAATCCTAACTCCCAAGGTGTTGATATTAGGATATGTGGTCTTTGGAAAGTGACTGGGCCATAATGGCAAAGCCCTTATTAATAGAGTTGGTGCTCTCACAAAAGTGACTTCAGAGAGATCCTTTGCCCCTTTTGCCATGTGAAATTACAGTGAGAAGGTGGCCATCTAGACCCTCATCAGATACCAAATCTGCTGGCACTTTGATCTTAGACTTTCCAGCCTCCAGAACTGTGAGAATTTTTATTTGGAAGCCGCTCAATCTGTGGTGTTTTGTTACAAAAGCTAGAACAGACTAAGACATAGGACTATTCAGATCTTGTATAAGTCTTGGAAGACTGTATCTATCAAGAATTTGATCCATTTAATCTAGGTTATCAAATGTGTAGACATAGAGTTGCTTATGCTGTTCTTTTATTATCATTTTAATGTCCAGGGGATCTGTATTGATGTTGCCCTTTTCACTTCTGATGTTAGTGTTTTAGTTTTCTCTCTTGCTGTTTTAGTTAGCCTGGCTAGAGACCTATAAGTTTTATTAATCTTTTCAAAGATCCATCTTTTGGTTTCTTTGATTTTTCTCTATCGATTTTCTGGGGTTTTTTTCAGTTTAATTGATATATGTTCTAATTTTTATTATTTCTTTTCTTCTTCTTTGAATTTAATGTGTTCTTCTTCAACTAGATTTTTAAAGTAGAAGCTTAGATATTTGATTTTAGATATTTCTTCTTTTCAAATATGTGCCATCAATGTTATAAATTTCCCTCTAAGCACTGCTTTTGATGTATACCACAAATTTTGAATAAGTTGTATTTCCATTTTCCTTTAGTTTATAATATTTTAAAATTTCTCTGGAGTTTTTTTTTTTTTACTTATGTGTTATTTAGAAGTATGTTGCTTAATCTCCAAGTATTTGGGGACTGTGGTGGTTAATACCGAGTGTCAATTTGGCTGGATTGAAGGATGCAAAGTATTGATTTTGGGTGTGTCTGTGAAGGTGTTGCCAAAGGAGATTACCATTTGAGTCAGTGGACTGGGAGAGGCAGACCCACCTTCAATCCGAGTGGGCACTATCTAATTGTCTGCCAGTGTGGACAGAATAAAAAGCAGGCAGAAGAACGTGGGGAGATTAGACTGGCTTAGCCTCCCAGCCTACATCTTTCTCCTATGCTGGATGCTTCCTGCCCTCGAACATTGAACTCTAAGCTCTCCAGCTTTGGGACTTGGACTGACTTCCTTGCTCCTCAGCTTGCAGATGGCCTATTGTGGGACCTTGTGATTGTGTGAGTTAATACTCCTTAATAAACTCATATATATCTCCTATTATATATATATAATATATATATTATATATATCATATATATCATATATCATATCATATATATATGATATATCATATATATCATATATCATATCATATATATGATATATCATATATATCATATATCATATCATATATATGATATATCATATATATCATATATCATATCATATATATGATATATCATATATATCACATATCATATATATATCATATATATCACATATCATATATATATCATATATATCATATATCATATATCATATCATATATATATGATATATGATATATCATATATATATGATATATCATATATCATATATCATCATATATATGATATATGATATATGATATATCATATATCATATCATATATATGATATATGATATATATATCATATATATATGATATAGCATATATATATCATATATATATCATATATATATTCTATTAGTTCTGTCCCTCTAAAGAACCCTGACTAATACAGGGACTTTCCAGCTATCTTTCTGTTATTGATTTCTAGTTTAATTACACTGTGGTCTAAGAGCAGACATTGTATGACCTATTTTTAAAATTTTGTTAAGATGTATTTTATGACTTAGAATGTGGTCTATCTTGATGAATGTTTCATGTGATCTTGGAGAAGAATGTATAGTATGCTGCTGTTGGTGAAATAGTTTATAAAAGTCATTTATATTCAGTTGATTGGTGGTGGTGTTGAGATTCTTTCTTCAGCTGTGTCTGGTCTACTAATGAGCTTATCAAAGGCATTCTTCATTCTGTTACAGTTTTTTATCTCTGGCATTAGTTTTTGATTCTGTCTTGGAGTTTTCATCTCTTTTCTTATAATGCCATCTGTTCTTGCATGTTTACTTTTTCAGTAGAAATCTTAGCATATTAATCACAGTTGTTTTATATTCTCAATCTGATAATACCAACATATCTGCCATATCTCACTCTGGCTCTGAGGTTTGTTCACTTTCTTTAAGCTATTTTTTGCCTTTTAGTATGCCTTGTAATTTTTGTTGAAATCCGGACCTGATGTACCGGGTGAAAAGAACTCTGGTAGATAGACTTTTAGTGGTATGACACGAAGATGTGGGAGGAGAAAAAGCATTTTATAGTCCTATGATTAGATCTTAGTCTTTTTGTGAGCCTGTGACTAGACTGTGAGCTTCAACAGTGTTTCTCAGTACCTCCAACCCTTAAGTGGGACAGGATGGCTAGAGGGGTTTGGAATTTGGCATTTCCTTTCCTCATGTGGAAGCATAGAGGGAGCTAAATTTGGGTATTTCCTTTCCCCCATGTGGAAGGCCAGATGATGTTAGGTATTTTCCTTCCTCTAGATAGATTAGAGTCTGATAAAACCCTGCCAGGTTAGGCTGTCATAAAATAGTTTCTCCAGAGGGCAGGCCTTGTTAAGATAAACAGAATACTCTGCTGTATTTCAAAATGGTTTATTAAAATAGATATGATAATAGCAATGCCTCATAAAGTTGTTGTAAGGATTAAATATGTTGATACATTTAAGAATAGTGACTGCTACATAATAAGTTCTAATATCTGATATACTTAGATTTTCAATGACTTCCTTGCTAGTTAATTAACTGTACTATGTACTTTCGTGTATGGATGTGAGATTTCACAATTAACAACGTTGATTGTGGCAAACTGAGAGTCTGGGAATTATGTCATTGTATTGTTTCATGCAAAAATCATTTTGTTATATACAAATAATGTGAGTAAATTTAATAAGTGCTGGTAAC
Source organism: Homo sapiens (assembly GCF_000001405.40). Classification (NCBI taxonomy): domain Eukaryota; kingdom Metazoa; phylum Chordata; class Mammalia; order Primates; family Hominidae; genus Homo; species Homo sapiens. The sequence continues at coordinate 76,548,759 of NC_000006.12, forward strand.
ATGATGGCACAATCTCAGATATTATTCTTAATAAAATTAAATAACTCATGGCTTATGTATCGACCTAGAAATGTTGGCCTGGACTAAAAATCCCTATTTTTGCTATTTCTACTTCAGTGAGACATGCAATTTAGAGAATACTTGTTTTTATTTCAAAGAAAACATACAAACAACAGGGTGTGTGTGTGTGTCTGTGTGTGTGTGTGTGCATTTATACAAATATAAAAATAGAAAAGAAAGTAACTACTGGGATAAACAGCAGCCAAATAATTGAGAGTTAGCTAATTTATTTATGTAATTCACTGCATAATAAGCCAAAATATATTAAATCAGATTGCTCCTGAGCTATTCCTTCAAAGATGATAGAGGATGGTTTTTGGAAAGACAGATTGTAACAATACATGTATCTCTGGACAATCCACATTATTATTATTATTATTTTTGGAATCTAACCAAGAAGTAACTCTTCCTGGTTAATCATGCCTTAGAATTACTCTTCTTTAACCCATCAGGTGAATAATGTACAGAGAGCACTGAACTGGCAAATGAAGACCTGGAAGATCCCACATTAACAGCCAGCATTTTGTGGAGCAAACTGGATAAAGCAGGACTCAGCAGATAATTCCATTCTTCACCAATTATCCTTTTCTTAACTCAATCCTCCCTGATTCTTGTTTCCTCACTGCTCTCCCAATGAGACACCTCTGGTCTCCACCTTACCACCTGCTCCCTTATCAGTACTCATCTCACGTGACCTCTCAGCAGCTTTATCAGTTCAGTTTGGCCTTCTTGAAACACTGTCATCTCCAGTCCTCTCTGATACCATCCCCGTGAATTTCTTCATGCTGCACTCCCACTTATCTTCTTGGCCTCATTGCTGGTTCCTCTTCCTTTGTCTTATGTGTTTTGAGTTTCCTAATTCCTCTTCTCTATCTGCATACTCTTCCTAGGTTAAGGTATCATTTTTGTGTTGACGTTTCACAAATGTCTATGTCCGGCCTTAATATTTTCTCTTAGACTCTATTTAAAATAAGTGGTAGATGTCTAATTGGGATGTTAAACTTAAATATATCCATAGGACTTTTGATTTCTCACCCCACCTTCAACCCTCATTCCTCATTATCTCAATAATGACAATACCTACCATCAAATTACTTAGATCCAGCTCCTTTTTTAAACTTTCATTTTAGATTCTGGGGTACCTGTGCAGGTTTGTTATCTATGTACACTCATGTCACAGGGATTTGTTGTACAGATTATTTTGCCATCCAGATACTAAGCCTAGTACCCAATAGTTTTTTCTTCTGATCCTCTCTCTCCTCCCACTCTCCATCCTCAGGTAAGCACCAGTGTCTGTTATTCCCCTCTTTGTGCGTTCGCACTCTTAAGAAGCATTCTCATTTGCAGGGATATGGATGAAGCTGGAAACCGTCATTCTCAGCAAACTAACACAAGAACAGAACACCAAACACCGCATGTTCTCTCTCGTAAGTGAGAGTTGAACAATGAGAACATGTGGGCACAGGGAGGGGAACATCACACACCGGGCCTGTCGGTGGGGGTGGGGGCCTAGGGGAGGGATAGCATTAGGAGAAATACCTAATATAGATGACGGATTGAGAGATGCAGCAAACCACCACGGCATGTGTATACCTATGTAGCAAACCTGTACGTTCTGCACATGTATCCCAGAACTTAAAGTATAATAAAAAAAGAAGCACTCTTGATTCCTCAGTTTTCTTTATACCCCATTTCTCATTTGTTATCAAGTCAGTAACACCTGCTGAAACTTCCTGAATATGACCCTTCTCTCTACTATTCTATACCCATCCAAGCTTCCAAGCTTTCTTACATTTTTCTACTGTGAATTCTTCATCCAGCCTTCAAAATGCTCTTGTAATCTTAAATGAGATCATATCCCTCTTTTTCTTAAGAGAATATGGTGAGAATTAAGTAACAAATGTGAATATGGTGTACAGGCCTCTGTCTTACCTGCACAGTGCCTATAGCTCACTTTCATATGCTCCAGATGAAATGGTCTTCTTTCCTCCTTTCAAATATACCAAACTTCCAGGACTTTTCATTTGCACTTCTCTATGCCTATAAACTTCTTCCAGATTTTTTTTTTTAATTTTCTTTGAGATGGAGTCTCACTCTGTTGCCCAGGCTGGAGTGCAGTGGCATGATCTCTGCTCACTACAACCTCTGCCTCCTGGGTTCAAGCAATTCTCCTGCCCCAGCCTCCCGTGTAGCTGGGATTACAGGCACATGCAACCATAGCTGGCTAATTTTTGTATTTTTAGTAGAGACAGAGTTTCACCATGTTGGCCAGGCTGGTCTCGAACCCCTGACCTCAAGTGATCCACCCACCTCGGCCTCCCAAAGTGCTGGGATTACAGGTGTGAGCTACTGCACCTGGCCTTCTTCCAGATTTTTAAAAGATTATCTCCTTTTCATTTAGTCCTCAGCTTAAATGTCATCTCTGCAAAGTGGTCTTCTAGCCTGGCTAAAGAATCCAACCTTCACTCCTACTATTTAACCTCCTTTTTTATTTCTTCATGGCACTATTATTATCTCTGATGAGCATGAAAAACAAACTCCACTAAAATATAAGCTTGATGAGGAGAGGAATTTGACAACTTTTTAATGTTGTAGTTAGAACCTAGAATAGTGTGCAGCAAGAGCAGATATTTGATAAATATCGGGTGAATGAATGAACTGATAAAAATTCAGTTCTTGAAGAATGCATTTGATGAATAACAAATTGAATCAATAATAAAGGACTTGTATAAAAAAGTAAGATATTATGGCCCAGATAGCATTAGGAAAGAAGCCACTGGAATTAGAGAATTGAGAGAATAGAACAAGGCTATGCTTTCACTCATAATTGTTTAAAATGATTAATAATATGAAGAGGAGCTGAATCTTGGTATTAGAATCCCTGTATTATTTGTTGTATATAAACTTAATCAATGATATATAAGGCAGAATAAATAATTCCTAACATTTGTTTTGTCGTCTTTAAGGAATCCACAGTTAGAGAATTTTTTCAATGATTATTAATGTGGATACTGTACTTGGTATATCCTGTCTATATGCACAAAACAAGGTAAGCGATGCGATGCTGTTTTTGGAATTCTGTCTTCACAAATTTCATTGCTATCAGAGTCTACTCTGATAGATATGAATATTAAAGGACATTTGGCAAAAATAATAAGACCATAACATTAATAATACTAATTTTAGTAGAAAGTGCTCCCCCCAGCCAACCCTACATCTGTATCTATATCTATCTATATACATTCTGCTCTATTTACTTATTTTCCAAAACATTGAAAGCCTTTGAATCGTCAAAACAGGTGTGCTGGAAACCCAGATATGCTATCTCAGTTTTCGAAAAGAGAGGAATATTTAGCTCAACAAGATTTGAATGTGAGAGTTTAAAGAGGACATCACTCCCTAAGGGACAGGGTGGATTTACTAAGAAGGCACACTTTGATAAAACGCATTTCTTTCGGTGAAGTAGTTTCTCATGGTAGTACAAGTAATATAGCAAATTCTAATGTCAGTAACAATTTGACAAATGTTAAATATCATATCTCATGGAAAAATACATGTATAATACTTGATAGGAAATTAAGTGAATTCTTAATCAGTGAAACCGCGGCACTTGAAGAGTCCTACTGATTATACTGTCATCAGCCTGCGGGACATAGATGTCTGGTGGTATGTTGTTGAGTTATTCTATTAATATCACTGACTTGAATGTTGACACAGAAATAATTCTTTCTAAGTTTGTAGAAAGCATGAAGCTGGGAGTATTACAAATATGTTTAGTGACAGAATCATCATCTAACATGACCTCTATATGTTGCAAAACAGTTCTTTAACAAAATGAAACTTACTTGGAAAAAAACCTGAAGTACTACATTTAACTTTTTTAGGAAAAATGTCATCTTTATTTCATATAGAAAAATTTTGTCTATAAAATCAACATGAACCAACAGTTTTGTTTACTAAATAAATATTTATTATGTACCTATATGTGCTTACCTTTTAAAATCCTTTATGGATTTACTTTTTGGTTAATTTTTCCTTTTTTTATGGTTAAATTATTCCTGTTACTATGTGTTCAGTTCTCAGAACTCACTCTAAAATTGTGATACACAAATTAGGGTTCATAGAATGGGGGAAGATTCTGACAATTTTAATTTATAAAAAATGATGTAAAATTCTGAGAGGATGACTTGGAAAAAAGACAATTTATTAGGTTGGTGCAAAAGTAATCAAGAGTTTTGTCATTATTTTCAATATAAAGTGTTACTAATTCTAAAATGGACTGCAGATAAAAATGGATTTATTTGTGGCTCCAGTGGGAAGGATCAGGACCAATGGACAGGAGTTACACAGAAATAAGTTTTAACTCAAGAATAACCTTTTATCTTTAAGGACTTTCTGGAAAATAAAATGTATTGCTTTACTGAGATTTTTCAAACACTGGGAAATGTTCAAAGAGAGATAGAATGTCCAATTGTAATGAATGTTGACTACAGGATGGATGCACAGGTTTAATTTGCTTCCCAACATTCATATTTACTGCATCCATCTTAACTTTTAGAACTACCTACTCTTGGCAAAATCTCTGTAATTCTTTTCAACTGAAGACAAAGTCATCTGTAATGCTTTCTCTTGGCTCCCCAAATATTCTGGCTCTACTCCTGGTTTCCATCAGACTGTAAAATGTAAATGCTCAGAAAATGCACCTGCAATTTCTTAAATTACTATTTTTGAATGTTGTTTTCATTTTTCTCTTATGTTTATGTAATTTGAGCTTTGAAAATTTCTGGTAATAATTTGTAATGACCTGAAGGGTTTTACATTTTCTATTAATTTTACAATATGTTGGCCAGGTACAGTGGCTCATGCCTGTAATCCCAGATATTTGGGAAGCCAGGGCGGGCAGATCACAAGGTCAGGAGATCAAGACCATCCTGGCTAACATGGTGAAACCTCATCTCTACTAAAAACACAAAAAATTAGCCAGGTGTGGTAGCACATGCCTGTAGTCCCAGCTACTCGGGAAGCTGAGGCAGGAGAATCGCTTGAACCTAGGAGGCGGAGATTACAGTGAGCTGAGATCGTGCCACTGCACTCCAGCCTGGGCAACAGAGCGAGACTCTGTCTAAAAAAAAAAAAAAAGTACATTTTGATAGCATTAAATTATAGATAGCATTAAAAATATTTTCCAATACACAATGTAAATATTTTAAAGACATATTTCTCTAGTGTTTTTTGGGGAAAATTGTACACTAATAAGTCAATTCCTTTTCTTGCCTACATGTATTTCTTCTGCATGAAGAATGTATACAATATTGATGTTATATTAGCCCTGCCACCTCTGTTACAATTATTTTAGCCTTTATAGAACTGTGTATTTTTTTTTCTTTTTCTTTTTCTTTTTTTTTTGAGATGGAGTCTCACTCTGTTGCCCAGGCTGGAGTGCAGTGTTGCGATCTCAGCTCACTGCAACCTCCGCCTCCTGGGTTTAAGCGATTCTCCTGCCTTAGCCTCCTTAGTAGCTGGGACTACAGGAGCATGCCACCATGCCTGGCTAATTTTTGTATTTTTAGTAGAGACAGGGTTTCACCATGTTGGCCAGGATGGTCTTGATCTCCTGACCTCATGATCCACCCGCCTCGACCTCCCAAAGTGCTGGGATTACAGGCATGAGCCACTGCACCTGGCCAGACGGGTGGAATAAGTAAATGCAGTTACTTTAGCATGATCAAACACATAGGCAAGTCTTATCTTAGTCTGCTTGCTCAGGCTTCTTTAAGATGGGTCCATGGGAAGGCTTTTGGGAGCACAGAAATCTATTTACATATTTAGGGCATATGAATTTACATAGTAACATCACATGTGCAAAAACTGTAATGTTCTTTGTTTCTCCATATCTGGACTTGATTTAACATATAAGCCCACATTTCTGCTTCATAGCAGAAAACTTAAACTCACCAAGTCAAGACAACTTAGTCAGTTTTGGTTTAAAACTTTGTGTCCTTTAGATAAAGTCAGGATTCCTTTCTTCTCTTCCTTTACTACCCTTTTAAGTGATGTAAGAATCTTGGAGGCTGAGGTAACAACTGACTTTTCTGGTCTGGGAGCCCTGAAATTATTTATCAATTTTTGCATATAAAATATTTTTATCTTGATTATTGTTAAGCTTCATCTTTTCTTTGTTCTGTATTTACACCAGTATCTTCATTCAAGTTGAGTGTGATGCACTTAAAACCTTTCAAGGGCTTTCTTATTTTTCTTGGGATGAAGACAAATCTTGATAGAACACTCACTATGTATTTAACATAGTTCATGGCTGAACTGTTTAAAATGGTCAAAATTTAAATTACATCAAAGTATAGCATGGCACACCCTGAGTTACTTGGAATGATTCAGCCAAACTAGAACAGATCAGATATCATGGTGCAAGAAAATGGGGCAGGCTGGTGGGTGGTCTCTTTAGCTTCAAGTGCAAGCTCCATGTGGCTCCTCCTACCTAATCCTGCAGAGAAAGTAGCTCTAATAGAGAGAATACAGATGCAAAGGCAATGTAAACAGAGCACCAGATGTCACAGAGAGAAAGCACTCCCACACCCAAAAGACACTCATGAGATTTCCAAGTAAAATCGACAGCCAGAAACCTTCATAAATTATTAGCAGAAGGAAAGCATTATGTTGAAATCAATGGATAAAGAGAAAATTCTTGGCCGGGTGCGGTGGCTCATGCCTGTGATCCCAGCACTTTGGGAGACCGAGGCAGGTAGATCACGAGGTCAGGAGTTTGAGACCAGCCTGACCAACATGGTGAAACCCTGTCTCTACTAAAAATACAAAAATTAGCCGTATGTGTTGGTGCACGCCTGTAATCCCAGCTACTCAGGAGGCTGAGGCAGGAAAATCGCTTGAACTCTGGAGGTGGAGGTTGCAGTGAGCTGAGATCATGCCACTGTACTCCAGCCTGGGCAACAGAGCAAGACTCCAACTGAATTAAAAAAAAAAAAAAAAGAGAGACAAAATTCTTAAGTATTGAGAAAGTACATTTGTTAGACCCTCCTTCTTGTTATATTTATTTTGAATCCCCATCCCCATGGTCCATATTCCTCTATAGATTCTCATTTTCATGTGTTTCATACATATCATTTAATATGAATGTATCTCAGTCAAAATATTTGGTATTCCATTCATATTTGTGTATACACATGATTTTATTTACATAAATATTAGGCTGCAGATCTTTCTGTTTCTATGCAATCTCACTTGCAATCCTTATCCATGTTGCTCTTTTTACTGCTATATCTTTGCTGCTGGTAGCTGAATACTATGTATACGTGATATATATAGTATGTATCTACCAAATTTGATGTATTCATTTCCCTTGAAATGACTAGTTGGGCTGTCTGTGACTTCCCATGACCACAACGTACAATGTACATTGAAATAAACATTGTTGAAAAAACATGTTTTTCAAGGAGCACATGAGAATTTCCTTAGAATACATACATACTAAAAAATGAAACTACTGAATTTTGTTTTACACATACCTAATCTAATTGATTTAGTTGAGCTGGATTGCTCTGGAGAATGGCTATAACAGTTTGTGCCCATTAATGATGGTTTAAATTTTTCCACGCATCGGTTCTTTGTCATCACTTGGTGTTAGCTCACTTTATTTTTTGACAATATGATGAAGTAAAATTGTGTCTTATTGATGTTTTAACATACATTTACTGATTACTTGTGTTATTAAACATCTTTATATACTTATAAACCATTCAAGTTTCTCCTTCTAGTAATTGACTTTACGTATCTATTGAACATTTACTTTTGGGTTACTTTTTTTTCTTATCTATTTCAATTAATTATTTATATATCATACATAAAACAATCAGGTATTAGTTTGGGAAATATAAATAACTTTCCCAGTCTGTCTTTTGTCTACTGTGGTTATCTATATAATCTTTCTTTGAGAAGAGTAGTTCTTATTTTTATTTATGTAATCAATCATCAATTGTTAAGTCTGTCTTTTGTCTACTGTGGTTATCTATATAATCTTTCTTTGAGAAGAGTAGTTCTTATTTTTATTTATGTCATCATTCATCAATTGTTAAATTTACACTTTTGAATTTTGAATTTAGGAAAGTCTTCCTTTGTTTAAAGAATGATATTCTATGTTATCTTCTATTAATACTATATTTTATCATTCTACATTTAAGTTCTTATCAAATGGGAGTTATATATAATATGAGGAATTAAACAAACTTTATTTTCTTCCTTAGTAATTCTTTTCCCAAAATAATCTGCTAACCAAATCATTTTTTCCTTTCTAATTTGTAGTGTCATTTCTATTAAGTATTAATTGCCCACATTTAGTGGGTTGTTTTAGTGTGAAGTTCTCCAAAGTGAATCCTCAGGCAAGCATTTGATTACACATAGTTTATTTGGATACAGGTGCATTTTGAATGTAGCTACTATAAATGAGTACCTTCATTTTTCTAAGAGATAGTTGGCTGGGCTCAATGGCTCACGCCTGTAATCCCAGCACTTTGGGAGGCCAAGGCGGGCAGATCACGAGGTCAGGAGTTTGAGACCAGCCTGGCCAATATGGTGAAACCCCGTCTCTACTAAAAATACAAAAATTAGCTGGGCATGGTGGCATATGCCTGTAGTCCCAGCTATTCGGGAGGCTGAGACAGAAGAATCACTTGAACCAGGGAGGCGGAGGTCGCAGTGAGCTGAGATCGCGCCACTGTACTCCAGCCTGGGTGACAGAGACTCTGTCTCAAAAAAAAAAAAAAAAAAAGATAGTTTTTTTTTTATATATATATATTTTAAATGTTAAACATATGGAACACTTCATGAATTGGCGTGTCACCCCTCTGCAGAGGCCATGCTAATCTTCTCTGTATTGTTCCAATTTTAATATGCGCCGCCGAAGCAAGTATTATTTTTTTCTCTTTTCTCTTTCCTCCTTTTCCCCACTTCTTACTTAGTGCTTTAGAAATGCAATTAAAACCTTTTACCTCTCCTTCACCAGATACTCCTTACAGGGCAAGCTTATCTAACTATATCCTTAGAGCTCCAGAACAGTACTCTCTCCCACCAGGAGATTGCCTCAAGAGACAACAGCCAATTTACAACACAAAATATGCCCACTATGAAACTCTCTCTCACCTGGAGATTTTTGGCCACTCTTACAACCTAATTCTGCCCATGAAGGCACCAGTGGTCGCTAGCTTGAGCACCCGGTAGACAAGGCACTGAAGCAAGTGTGGACTCCCATCTCCCCTGCATAACTTTCATGCAGACTCCTTTTAAAAGTGCCTGCTTTCTACTCCAAAAGCAAAGCAATACTCTTAAAGAAGGAAGTCAGTACTTATTCCCCTAAGCTAGCTTGGGAATAAAAAGTCACTTTCTTTATATCAGACCTTGCTCTTATTAACTGGACTCTGCAAGTGGTGAGCAACTGAACCTACATTTCATTTATACTACCACTTTAATCCCAGTAGTAAACTCTGGGAGCCAGAGTAGATACAGGAATTGGTACACCCAGAGTAAGGAATCCAGGGGTGTAGGTACACCAAACCAATGGAATGCTGATAAATGGTTAACAACTGCCTTTCAGGAAACAAACAGTTCATAGCATTTGTGATATCTGCAGTGTAAATATCCTCACCAGGCAGAATTGCAAACTGCTGAGTGATTTCACCTAGCTTGCAAAGTTTCTGAAATTTTAACAATTGGTTCCCTTGAGCTGGTAGGAGCCAGCTCCAGCACAACGCTGCAAACCCAATTAATAGTTATTTGTTGAGGGCTGTTCCTGAAGACTGTTAAGTCTTTGGCACTTGGACCATCTGTGCAGGTGGCAAAAAGTCTCCAGTGACAAGAGAACATCTCCAGGCAAAATAAATACAGGCGCTTGCAGTTGGAAAACCAGCACATGAGGGGATGCAATGCACAAAGAGTATCAGCTGCGTGGACTAGTTTCTGGAACAGAATAAAAAATCTATTTTATCCACCTCTGTCTATTACCAGGATGTTTAGTATGCCTTAACATTTCTTAGGGCTGGTTCTTTATTTGTTATTCTTTTTTAAACATTTCTTAGTTATTTATAGTTTCTTTATCTTCAAATTCTGATTACATTGGATTTATAGATTAATTGGGAGGAAAGTATACATCTTTAAAATTTTAGTCATCTTGTAACTGAGCCTTTATTATAAAGATCATAAGATGTTTGTTATACTTATTTTTTTATTTTTCCTTGTTGTTTTCTTCCTCTATGTGTGCTTGCTTACACATAGTCATTCAGTAGTCAGTATTTACTAGTAATTGATTAATGTCATATCCTAATTCCTAGGGCTTCCCACAAGACTGATGAACTTGTTTTTCTTTGAAAGAGCAATGATTTTTAGGTTATGTAGATCTCCTTGATGATGTCCATAAGTTTTATTTGGCTGAAGGATGAAAATATCTTGATCTTCGGGGGATCCCACCTCCCCTATACCTACTCTATTCATTAAAGCCCCCAGTTATGTTCAAAGGCAGGTCAGATTTGAGAGTTTGTCTCTCTCGTTCCCAAGCTTAGGCCAGATCAGAATAAACCTTTCTTTGCTCCTAAGTGTTGATGTGTCAGTGTTTGTCTTATTTACAGTACATTGAGTTTATGAACCCAAATTTGGGGGTTCAATAACAATCTCATATATGCTATATATTTATTTGTCCACTTACTCATATCTTTTTATGTTCTGTGAAAAGTTCACTGCTATTTTCTATAAAACTTGTAATCATTCATTCATATTTTAACTTCTAGATAATTCATGGGATTTGATGCTATTGTGAATAGTGTCATTTCTATCACATTATCTAGTTATTGCTGTTATAGAGTTTGCTTGTTGACACTATTGAGCTTTCTATGTACACGGTCAGATTTTAAAACTTGTGGTCCCATGACCCCTTTATAATCTTAACAATTATTGATGATCTCAAAATTATTAATCCCAAAGATTTTGATGAGCTTTCATTTATGTGTGGTGATATTTATTGTATTAAAAATTAAAATAGAAAATTTTAACCTATTAATTTATTGAATATAATAACTCATTAGATGTTAATATAAATAACATTTTTCTAGTCAAAAATGAGTAAATATTTCCAAAATAAGAATATATTCAAAAGAATTGAGTTGTTTTAGCTTTTTGCAAAGCCTTTAATGTTTGACTTAGTAGAAGTTGCTGAATTTTTATATATGCTTTTTATTTCAGTCTGTTGCCATGTTAGATGGCGTATAGCTTCTGAAATCACTGTACAATCATAAGAAAATAAAAATGAAAAGGTCAAACACAACTTAGTATTATGAAAATAGTTCTGACCTTATGAACTCTCTGAAAGGGTCTCAGGAACCTCCAAAATTTTCAGATTACATTTGAGAACTGCTGATGTAGATGACTTTCTCATTCATAATTATTTACACATTCAAATATTTTATCTATCATTTGTTTCTTTATTTTCTCATGCTGACGAGGATTTCTGGTTTCAGATTGTTCTTGTCAGCTTTGTCAAGGGTTTTCCAATATTAACACAATGTTCAATTTTTAAATTAATTTTTACTTAGTGGTTGTTCTCTAATTCAATGATTTATGCTGCAATTATGAAATTAATTTTTTATTCCTGCTTCTTTGGATTTGCTCTATTTTTTTTCTAATTGTGTTAATTGAATTCAAAATGTTTTATTACTATTTTTACTGTTTTGATTGACATGTTTAAAGCTATACATTTCCTCTAGGTACTGCACTAACAGTGTACTATAAACTTTAATGTAGTGCTTTGTTCATGGGTGACTCATTAATACATTTATACTTCTCCCGACCAAGGTTTTGTTGTTGTTGTTAGTTACGTTTAATTAATTATGGCCAGAGAACATAAACTATATAATCTTAATTGTTAGAAATTCATAGGGATTTGGTTATAGCTTAGGAATTTAAATGAATATGTATTTATTATTAAGTATAATGTTCTTGATAAACTTTTAATTTTTTTTAGTATTCTAAAACAAGATTACTTATATTACATAATAATAAGTAATCTATTACTTATTACTATTATTACTTAATAATAGATTAAGTAGTAAGTAATAATCGATTACCATCACATTGATTCCACATGGCCCATTCTTCCTCTTTCAAGAGTGATTCAATGATAGCAGATGTTACCCTGTGTCAGGCCTCTGAGCCCAAGCTAAGCCATCATATCCCCTGTGACCTGCACATATACATCCAGATGGCCTAAAGTAACTGAAGAATCACAAAAGAAGTGAAACTGGCCTGTTCTTGCCTTAACTGATGACATTACCTTGTGAAATTCCTTCTCCTGGCTCATCCTGGCTCAAAAGCTCCCCCACTGAGCACCTTGTGACCCCCACCCCTGCCAGCCAGAGAACAACCCCCTTTGACTGTAATTTTCCACTACCTACCCAAATGCTATAAAACGGCCCCACCCCTATCTCCCTTCGCTGACTCTCTTTTCGGACTCAGCCCGCCTGCACCCAGGTGAAATAAACAGCCTTGTTGCTCACACAAAACCTGTTTGGTGGTCTCTTCACACGGATGCGCGTGAAACCCTATACATACTGACAGAATATATTTTGCACTACAAAAGAAGAAATCCAAGCTTGTGAATTTGGAAGTTTATGTAGATATTGCTCTACACATACCACTCTCTTCTCTAAAGTAAGCTGAGTTTTCTCTGAGAAGAAAAAGGTGAAGATCCCTGCCCTCATTATGCAAGCACTTGGCACCGGAGAAGAAAAGTTTTATTGCCCTTTGAATGGAAGCAGATGGCTCCAGGTCTGACACTTGGTATGTGAGGAAATGGGTCTGGGGAAAGAAAAGAAACATTTTTTTTATGACATTTCAGTTTTCTTTGCTTAGAAATCCTACCCATACAGAAACATGAAAATGGTCATATGGTGTCTCAGAACTACTATAATTCTTTTGTTCAGGCTTATTGTGCTTTAAAAATCTTCTAGATCTTTGCTCATATTTATATTGCTTATGTATTAGACTCTGAGGTTTTTTTGTAAATAAATTTCCAGCATAATAGTTGGTTTATCTGCTTACTCACAGCTTTAAGTTCTTAAAAAAATCAATGTTGAGGCTATGTTGATAGGTGCATATATGTTTGTGATATTGCATTTTTTTAATCTATTGTTCTTTTCCAGATACGTGACATCTTTTGTTTTACATTGTGAATTTTCCTTGGTGAATTCTACTTTGCTTATTATTAAATTTTTCACCTGGCTTCTTTTTATTTCTTATTTGTTTGATACATCTATTTTCATTAACTTACATTCAAAATTTCTACATTCATTTACTTTAAGTTTGCCTCTTATAGGAAACATATTTCTGGATCTTTATTTTCTTATTTATTTTGTATCAAGCCTCAGATTCCTGTCTTTTAACTAATACATTTAATGCACATATATTTATTTTCAGGCCTCTGAGCCCAAGCTAAGCCATCTTATCCCCTGTGACCTGCACATACACATCCAGATGGCCGGTTCCTGCCTTAACTGATGACATTCTACCACAAAAGAAGTGAAAATGGCCTGTTCCTGCCTTAACTGATGACATTGTCTTGTGAAATTCCTTCTCCTGGCTCATCCTGGCTCAAAAGCTCCCCCACTGAGTACCTTGTGACCCCCACTCCTGCCCGCCAGAGAACAACCCCCCTTTTTCCTTTACCTACCCAAATCCTATAAAAAGGCCCCACCCCATCTCCCTTCGCTGACTCTCTTTTCGGACTCAGCCTGCCTGCACCCAGGTGATTAAAAGCTTTATTGCTCACACAAAGCCTGTTTGGTGGTCTCTTCACACGGACACACCAGTAATACAAATTAGAAATTTGTATTACTAATACATGTCATACATACATTTAATACATATAAGTAATATTACATTAGGACTTATTTTGCCATCTTATTTCATATTCACATTTTCTATTTCTGTATTTCTGTTTTGCTTCTTTTTGTCATTTTCTAACCCCATTGAAAAGGCTGATTATTCTAGTTTGAGAGTTTTTTTAAAAGTGTATGTTAGTTTTCTGGAAGCTACCTCTAATTTATTAAGATACATACCTAAGTTTATTTTTCTCTATCATTTCTGAAGTCGATCAGTATCTTTATATTTTTGGGCAAACAAGGCAATGATGTTAGCATGATCCCCTTTCTAGCTTTCTGGTATCTCTTGCCCTTCCCATCCTTTAACCCTGACATATTGGTTTCATCGATTTCTTGTTCTGGCAGACTTTGGGTATCCTATTTTAGGTAATGACAGAATGTTACAAGTTACTTATTTTAGCCCACTTCCATTATATATTTTAATGATTTCCTGTATTTATTTATCTTCTTGATGGAGTTCTGTTTCCCAGAGTGTTTTACGGAGTCTTTGTGTGATAAAACTTCAGAGGCATTGAGAATGTTTTCATTTACCCTCTTATTAAATAATAGTTTTGCTGTATGTAAGTACTATAAATTGAAATACTTCTGAAAACATTACCACATTTTTTTTTCTTAAAGTGTTACTCTTGAGAACCTAATGTAAATCTGATTTTTTTTTTTATAGGAAGACACAAGTTCTTTCTTTTTCTTTTATTTTTGTACGTATAAGTTTATGGGGTACAAGTGTTATTTTGTTACAGGTATAGATTGCATATTTGGGAAATCAGGGCTTTTAGAGTATCAATCACTTAAATAACATACATTGTACCCATTAAGTTATCTCTCATCATCCATCCTTCTTCTACCTCCTTACCCTTCTGGGTCTTCAATATCTATCATCCCACACTCTATACACTCTATATCCATGTATATACATTATTTAGTTCCCACCTTTTAAGTGAGAACATGCAGTATTTGTCATTTTATGTCTGACTTCTGTCACTTAAGATAATGGCCTCCAGCTCTATTCATGTTGTTGCGAAAGACATGATTTTATTTTTTATGAATGAATAATATTTTATTTTGCATGTATGATACATTGTCTTCATCCAGTCATCTGTTGGGGGACACTTTGGTGGTTTCCACATGTTTGCTATTGTGAATAATGCTGTGATAAACATACAGGTGTAGGTATCTCTTTGATGTAATGATTTCTTTTCCTTTGAGTAGATATTCAGTAGTGGGATTGCTGGATTCAATGATAGTCCTATTTTTTATTCTTTGAAAAATCTTCATACTAAAGGTTTCACTAATTTACATTGCCAACAGTGTCTAAGAGTTCCATTTTCTCCACGTCCTCACCAACATCTGTTATTATTTGTCTTTTAATAATAGCCATGCCAGTTGCTATAAGATGATATCTCATTGTGGTTTTAATTTGTGTTTCTCTGATGATTAGTGGGATTGTTTTTTCATATGTTGGCCATTTGTATGTTCTCTTTTGAAATACGTCTATTCATGTCCTTTGTCTAATTTTTAACGAGATTATTTGTTTGTTGTTGTTGCTGTTGAGTTCCTTGAGTTCTTTGAATTCGGATATTAAATTTTATAAATATATTATTTATGTAACTATGCCACATATAGTTTGCAAATATTTTCTCCCATTATGCAAGTTGACTGTTCATTCTTTTGATTATTTATTTTGCTGTAGGGAAGCTTTTTGAGTCCCATTTGACTATTTTTGTTTCTGATGCCTGTGATTTGAGGTCTTTGTCATGAATTCTTTGCCTAGCTCAATGTCCTGAGGAGTTTTCCTAGATTTTCTTCTAGTATTTTTATAGTTTCAGGTTTTACATTTAAGTCTTTAACCTATCTTGAGTTGATTTTTTACATGGTGAGAGATAAGGTCCAGTTTTATTCTTCTGAATACAGCAACCCAAATTTCCCAGCACCATTTATTGAAAAGGTGTTCTTTTCCAAGAGTATGTTCTTGTCATTCTTTTTCAAAGATGAGTTGGCTGTAAATATGTAGCTTTATGTCTGAGTTCTCTATTTGATTCCATTTATGCATGAAGACACAGGCTCATTATGTTTCTATGTGTTGGACTTCTTATGCTTGCTTAAATGTTTTATTCTAAAATCTTTCATTCTTCTTTAATTTTGGGACATTTGTAGTCATGTATTATAAATATTTTCATTCTTTTCTATTTTTGGTTGTTTTGAGACTCCCATTATATGGTTAGTGACACTTCCACTAAAGTCTATATATCTTAATGTTTTTGTAGCAACAGAATTAGTTTATACAATAAGTAATTTTTCTCAGTGGGGACAGAAAGCATAACTTCAACTAATAAGTATTAACCATTTGCCATTTCATTAATTTTCCTAAGAATTGCACTGTTAAACATGTGGGTGTTTTTTACTTTTATTTTTGCAGAGGGAGATTCTAAAACCCAGAGATGTTAGGTAATTTGCTAATCTACCTAACAAAAGTGGTACTAGATTTCAAATCTAAGCCATCTAATTCTAAGTCTTGTGTTCTTTTCATCCATGATATTGTCTCACCTAAATATGTAAAACTAGAAAGAAAAATGTAAAACAGTATCAACATATCTCTATTATGTAAATGATCTTTGAGGATTGCTTCAAAAAATAGTAAGAAAATATCTCTAACAAAATGCTCAGCTCATTAGATAAACTTAAAAGTCATGGGCAAACCCATCTAATCAAAGCCTTACTGAGTATATGTCACTCTAGTTTTATACATGAATACATGAAATATGTTAGCTGATCTTGGAAGCAATGTTTCAAATATGGTATTAAGTTAAATAAAATGTTTCCTCTTTATAAAGGAAAAATTTGTTGTTTTATTTTTTTCATTAGAAATCCCATCACATTTTACTTCACTGATGGACAGGAGTCAGTTTAAAGATATTACACATTAGAAAATAAATGTAGCAAAAAGGCAAATAATCCAGTCATATCAAGATCATTGTTTTCACAAAAGCAGCATGAGGATGTATTAACTGTCACATATGACTTATCAGGTCTTGACTTGTCTATATGTGCAAACTAAACATGCCATATGTCAATGCCATGCTGAGCAAAATTTCCATTTTCTATTAGCCCGTAATCTGAATGATAAATTAAATGGTTTTCAGAAAATAAACAAGATCTATAAAATTAGATAGTCAAAGGAAATTAAAGCTCCAGTTAGATGATTGTGTTGGGCTGTTCTTGCCTTGCTGTAAAGAAATACCTGAGGCTGGGTTCCTTACAAGAAAAGGGGTTTAATTGGCTCAAGGCTCTGCAGTTTGTACAGGAAACACAGTGCAGGCACTGGCATTTAGTGAGGGCCTCAGGAAGCTTCCAGTGGTAGAAGGTGAGGGGGAGAGCAGGTGTCTCATATGGCATGTGTAGGAGAAAGAGAGTGGGAGATGCCACACAATGTTAAACAATCAGATCTTGCATGAACTCACTCAAAACAAAGGTGATGGTGCTAAGCCATTCATGAAGGATATGCCCCCATGATCCCCATACTTTCCACCAGGCCTTACCTCCAGCACTGGAGATTACATTTCAACATGATATTTGGAGAGTACACAGATCCAAACTATATTATTCTGCCCTGGTCCCCACAAATCTCATGTCCTTCTCACATTGCAAGATAAAATTCTCTCTTCACAATAGTCCCCCCAAAGCCAGAACTCATTCCAGCATTAACTCAGAAGTCCTAAGTCTCAAGTCCGAAATCTCATTTGGAAATGAGTTTCTTTCACCCATGAGACCGTAAAATCAAACCAAGTTATTTACTTCAAAGATACAATGGGGGTATGGGCATTAGGTAGACATTCTCTGCCCAGAAGGGAGAAATTGGCCAAAAGAAAAGGGCTATGGGCTCCACACAAGTCTGAAACCCAGCAGAACAGTCATTATACCTTAAAGCTCCAAAATGATCTCTTTTGACTCCATGTCCCACATCCAGGGCACACTGCTGCAAGGGGGTGGGCTCCCAAGGTGTTGGGCAGCTCTGTCCCTATGTCCTTTGAGGGTTGAGCCACCACAGCTGCTTTTACAGGTTGGAGTTGAGTGCCAATAGGTTTTCCAGGTGCATCATGGAAGCTGATTGTGGATATACCATTATGGGGTCTGGTGGATGGTGACTCCTTTCCCACAGTTCCACTAGGTATGTTCCAGTGGGACCTCTGTGCTGGGGCTCTAACCCCACCTTTTTCCTCCTCCCTACCCTAGTAGAGGTTTTCTGTGAGGACCCTGTTCCTGTGGCAGGCTTCTGCTTAGGTACCCTAGGCTTTTCTATACATCCTCTGAAATCTCAGTGGAGACTGCCAAGCTTCCTTCACTCTTGTCCTCTGTGCACCTTCAGGCTTAATACCACATTGAAGCCACCAAAGCTTACAGCTTTTACCTTCTGGAGTGTTGGTCTGAGCTGTATCTAGGCACCTTTGAGCTAGAGCTGTAGAGTGGGGATGCAGGGAGCAGCCACCCTAGGTGGCACAAGGCGTTTGTGCTCCTGGCCTGACCCAGGAAACCATTCTGTTCTTCTGGGCCTCTGGACTTGTGATGGGAGGCGTTATCTTGGAAGATCTCTGAAATGGCTTGGAGGACTTTTTCCCATTGTCTTGGCTATTAGTTCATAGCTCCCTTTTAGTTATGCAAATTTCTCTAGCAAGTGGTTGCTCTGCGGCCTGCTTGGATTCTTCCCCTGAAAAGGGGCTTTTCTTTTCTACCATGTTGC
This sequence comes from Homo sapiens, assembly GCF_000001405.40. Lineage (NCBI taxonomy): Eukaryota > Metazoa > Chordata > Mammalia > Primates > Hominidae > Homo > Homo sapiens. The sequence continues at coordinate 76,567,503 of NC_000006.12, forward strand.
CAGGCTGCAAATTTTTCACACTTTTATACTTCTGCTTCCCTTTTAAATATGAGCTTCAATTTTAGGTCATTTGTTTGCTCGCACATCTAAGCATAGGATGTTAGAAGCAGCCACACCACATATTGAACACTTTGCTTCTTAGAAATTTCCTCCACAAGATACCATAAATCATCACTATGAAGTCCAAACTTCCACAGATCCCCACAGCATGAACAGAATGCAGCCAAACTCTTTGCTAAGGGATAACACACATGACTTTTGCTACAGTTTCCAATAAGTTCCTTATTTCCATTTGAGACCTCTTCATCCTGACTTCCCTGTCCATGTCACTATCAGCATTTTGGCCACAACCATTTAACCAGTCTCTAAGAAGATCCAAACCTTTGTTTTTTTTTTTTTGTTTGTTTGTTTTTTGAGACAGAGTCTTGCTCTGTCCCCCAGGCTGGAGTGCAGTGGTGTGATCTTGGCTCACTGCAAGCTCCGCCTCCTGGGTTCACACCATTCTCCTGCCTCAGCCTCCTGAGTAGCTGAGACTACAGGTGTCCACCACCACGGGCAATTTTTTTGTATTTTTAGTAGAGATGGGGTTTCACTGTGTTAGCCAGGATGGTCTTGATCTCCTGACCTCATGATCTGCCCGCCTTGGCCTCCCAAAGTGCTGGATTACAGGCACAAGCCACTGCACCCAGCACCAGAAGATCCAAACTTTCTTTGATATTCTTGTCTTCTTCTGAGTCCTCCAGAATCTTTCAACCTCTTCCCATTCCAAAATTTCTTCCACATTTTCAGGTATACTTATATCAATGCTCCACTCCTCAGTACCATTTTTTTGTGTTAGGCTATTTGTTCTTGCATTGCTATAAAATTACCTGAGGGTGGGTAATTTATAAGAAAAGAGGTATAGTTGGCTCATGGCTTTGCAGGCTGTGTAGGAAACATAGTACTGGCATCAGCTTCTGGTGAGGGCCTTAGGAAGCTTCTAATCATGATAGTAGGTGAAGGTGGAACAGGTATCTCACATGGCATGGGTAGGAGCAAGAGAGAGCGAGTAGGAGGTGCCACACATTTTTAAACAATTGGATCTCACATAAACTCACTCATAATAAAGGGGATGGCACTAAGCCATTCATGAGGGATATACCCCCATGATTCCAATGCCTTCCACCAGGCCTCACCTGCAACACTGGGGATTGCATTTCAACATTAGATTTGGGGAAGACATATCCAAACCATATCAATGGTAATGGCTTTTCACTGTATAGGATATTAGCAGATGAAGTGGTGATAAAACTTTAGATTTTCTATGCTAGAACCTCAGAGTTTCAATGCTGCAAGGGACTTTGAAAGCTTTTAATACAATATCCTAATATTGATAAGAAGAAATTGATACCCAGGAATGCTAAGTGACTAAATCAAAGGTAACAGAGTACAACTGGGCCCTTAGGCATTTAGCAGTGATAATGAGTCTTTTTCACTGATAGGCAGAATGGTTTGGTAAAAGGCTTTAGAGCCTGGTAGACTTGGGCTTGAAACCTGGTAAGGCTACTTATGGCCATGTGCCTTAGAAAAGTTATTTAACAGGCTTCTCTACATCCATAAACTGGGGGTAATAGGACTTAATCTGATAGGGCTACTGTAGATAGAAGTAGACATAATTATGTAAAATATCTGATTCAAAGTAGGCTTTAAACCAGTGTTAACTATCAGAGTTTATTATCAAAAGAAATGCTGTTATTATTTGTTGTAGATTCATTACATTTGAGTTTTTTCAAAATAGATCAATTTTTTTTCTGTTCTTTAGAATGAATTTTGATATGAGGTTATTTTGATCTTATATTACTTTCATTATTGATCATGTTTTCCTGTTGAGTGCTTTGAATTAAATTACATCAGAGGAATATGAATACATATAATTTTTGTTTTTTTTTTTAAGAAAAGGAAAAAAATTGTGGATATTTGCTCACCAGGCAAGTTTTTATTCATCATTTCAAATCTAAGAATAGAATGAGGATCTATGTGCTATTGTATTTGTGAAAGGAAATAATGCTACCATCTTGATAGAATGAAAAGGGATGATTTGGCTGGAAAATAAACTATAGAGGATAAAAAAAGATGATCAAATATTGGAGAATAACTTCAAATGTTGAAAAAGCAGATAAAAAAGTACATTTAATTGAAGATGGCCCTTAAAGAACTTAGTGATAATATTGAACTGTTAAAATATTCATAATGATTATCAACAAAGCTGAAGATAAATAGCTAAAAAAACAGGTGAAATAATGGAAATGGTAAATACATGTTAAGTGAACAAATTATAAAATATTATGTTTATATAAAGTGGTAGTAGGAACTTTTAAAAATGAAGTAAGGGTATGATATGGATTTTTTAGTTTTGCTGAAATCTTTTGCCTTCATTCGATTAAAGAAAAAGACAATATTCAATTCTATGGTTTTAAAGAAAGGACTAGGAAAAAGACGTAAAAATGTAAGTTGTTGGACTAAGAAAAATAGGAAAATTTCAAAAGGGCCAGATACATACTGCTTTCTGACTCTCAATGAATGTTTAATGCTGTTGGGTTTAGGTAATGGATAGATAAATATTTTAGCTTGCCTATTCACATCCACAATGCAGCAGAACCGGAAGAGTCCAGTCTGCAGCCCTCTTTCAGGAGTTTGGATTTATTAGACTGGGATAGGGCCTAGAAATCTGCATCCTAAAAAATTTCTTCAGATAATTTGCAACTAAACTTGGGAAGTACTGCAACATGTTAAAATATCAATTATGTTAGGAAAAATGAATATTGTGCTTTAGTTACATAGAATAAATTGTTCTAGACTCTTGGAAGCATAGATGATCATTTCCTAGATCCTCTTCTCAAAGAACTTAATCTGTTAGAAGATAGTTGCCCTAACAATCTCTTAAGAAAAGTACTCTTACATTAGCTAAATGTAAGAGTAGATTACTTTCCTTTTGGAAAGGAGAAATGTAAGAGAGCAGGCTTTCTGAATAAAGTTTTGATAAACTATTAGGTCTTAATAGGATCCATGGGAAAAAGGCTTTCCAGGAATGAACAATAATGTGAGCACCAGCAACAAAATCTGCTCAGAGTAGATTTGGAGAAAGGCAAATCATTTTAGTTTAGAAGATATTGATGGCCAAATATTCATTCAGTCAATAAATATTTATGGAGAGCAAACCAGGAGAAAAATAGTTGTAGTATGAAGAGAGAGAAGTAATTAGATTCAAATGATACTCAACTAGAACTTAAAGATTAATAAAATGTAGGCTAGAACTTAATGATTAATTGGGTTTGGGCAGGATGTGAATGAGGGAGAGGACGAAAAGATCACTTGAAATTTCTGGTGCAAACCACTGCCTGTGTTACAATAATAGGTACTGGTTTTTGGATGCCTCTTATAGACACTGAACTTGCTCATTTGACTTGGTTTCACTTAAACTTTTTGACAGTGCAGTACAGTGGGAAATACAGCACCTTTGTTGATACTAGAGATAGTCATATTATCATGAATGGATAAGGAACATTTTCCATACTTGACAGGACCACTTTCATTCATTTTCTCTCCTATTAAAGAAATCAGGAACAGTACAATACATTGATTAATATTCCACTACTGTCAATGGGAAATGATACATTCCAATTCATATTCAAAATAAAAATATTTTAAATTATCATTGCTTTACCTAAGATACTTAATTTTGGTTAACAACAGTCCTCTCATTGGAGATCAACTATGATTGTGCTTAAGATTGAACTTAAGAATTCATTAATACTGTTTATTACTCTCAATTTAGTTTCATGCTCTTGGACAAAGTTATTTATTTTAAAATAATAATCCCCTAAACCACTTATTATCAGGAGTTATGAAAACAAATGGAGATATTTTAGGGTGTGCAAATCAAATGTATTTTCCTCTTAATTTTCACTAAGAGAAGGGATGAGTTTTTAAATATAATCTCAGGAAGAGCTCATGTTCCCTCTCCAAAAAGTATGCTTTTTCACAGACATTAAAAATTCAGAAACAGAGTAAAATTAGAAAATCAAAGATTATTATGAATAAACATAATGCTCTTTCATAGTTTCTATTTTATTTTTCATTATAATTTATGGCATTATGAATTTTGTAAAAGAATTTGGTCAGAATTTAAAAAAAAAAAAAAGGAACCTAGTGTAATCGCCAATTCTAACTTTAATGACCAATTTATTGGAAGTTAAGCAGGAGAGCCACAGGATGAATACATGTATAATTACAATAATTCTCAACCAGAATATCATGCCAGGGTGTGGTTCCAAAGCACACAGTTCAGTGCTGCTCATACTTGCCCCCCAAATTTAGTTAGCACACATTTTTGCTTGAAGAAAGAACATCCTGTCAAAGTCTAGTTTAAGTCTGTAGTCACCAGTGATGACATGGAAGAAATTTAAATTCTACTGCCTAAAGACCCTGGGGCATGGGAGAGGTTTATAAGTAAGGCCACATTCTGCTCTTACCCAAACATCCCATCAGCCTTGGATCCTGCTAAATTCAATAGCGACTAGAGACAAGACTGTGTACCTCAGAGTCATTTGAAGTGTCTGTAATTAAGAGGATTAGAAAAATTTGGAGATACTGTAAATATTAATATACAGATGTATAAACAGCCTTGAGGTTGAAGTAATGGTATAAGTTGCAATTTTTGTCATGTTCATAGAGAAGAAACTGCTATCATTAATTTCTTTTCTATTCAACTTCAGTACATAGATTAGAGGAATGTCTTGTCTATGAATAAACAAAACTATTTATCAGACCCATATGAAAATAGTAATATAGCTAGGTTAGATAGATAGATAGATATCAACTTATTTCAACTACTGTTCAGAAGGTTGGGACAAGAATGTATGCTTAGTCTTTAGACCTGTGTCTTCTCCCATTTCTTGGTTTCTAGTAGTGAGGGGTGACAACCACAGTTAGAGCACAACCAGTGGAGACTACATTGGGGGCTGGATGAGGCCTAAGGCCTGCAGTTAACACTCTGGGTAATCAATTACTCAATCCATTTCTGTGAGACTAAAAGACATACTGCCAATAACAAGACAACATGTTTTTTTTTTTTATTATAGAACAAAGGAAAGTAAAATAAAAGCCAAGTGCAACCAGCAATTCATTACCAATGTAGTTAACACTGATTAATATACAAAGGTCATTTGCAGTTGTGCTTTCAGTCCTCATGATCCATTTGCCTCCAGGTTAATATTGTCCTCTTGCTTACTATTGTTAGTGAGAATTATAAGCAGCAAGCTCTTTTGGGTCCGAGCTATTTTGTGTCTTATTAATAGCCATCTTCCTACAGTAGAATAGTTTGATTCATCTCTCCCATGGAGCAAAACCTACTGCCTATTTCCATGCCCACCACCATCCTGGCTGTCTCTGTACAACACCCACTTTACCTCTAAGTTTAACGTAAGCCCCAATTTCCTGTAATTAAGAGAAGGATTACTTCTAATAATAGAAAAGGCCTACCTTTTCTATTATAGTGGTTATTAGGTCTGTTCACAAATACTCCAATTTGCCTCTCCTTACAGAAACATGGTAGAATTGCATTTTACTAGTAATTTTCAATTAAGTGTGGTCATCTAACTTGCCTTGGGCAAAGAAATGTTGAAGAGAAATGTCATGTGCCATTTCCATGTGGAAGCTTTAAGAGTCAGTGCATGCTTTGTCACAATCACTTTTTCCTGCTTCAGAGATCATGAAAATAAGAGCTAATATCAAATGTATGTCAGCAGCATCTTTGAATAATCACAAAGAGCAGGGCCTTCTTTCAAATCTGCAGTGGACATGAAGCATTAGACCACTGAAAATTTGAGCTTGTTTATTACTACAGCATAAATTAGCTTATTCTGACTCACTTTATACTTAGAACTTGGCAATTTTCTATTCAACTTGACTGTTTCACCAGCTAAAACTGGTGAATGATTTGAAAGTTGAGTTTTGAAAGCTTATTCTTATTTTAATCCAGAATACTTCCATTATATAATCATGGGAAACAAATTTTTAAAATTGATCTTTATTTTTGCATGATGGAAAATCTCTTTTTTGACTTTCTTTATAATTTGTCCCCTACATTGCAAAGTCCAATTGTCTAGAAAATATAAATGATATCTCCACAGAAATTATATGTTTATAACCCTTAGTCAAAATGGCAATTAAGCTGGGCACAGTGGTACATGCCAGTAGTTCCAGCTACTCAGGAAGCTGAGGTGGGAGGATTGCTTGAACCCAGCAATATAAACTGCTCAGGCAGTTTGAGTCTAGTATAGGCAATATAGTGAGACTCTGTCTCTGAAACAACAACAACCATATATCTAGATAATTGTTGCTATATATATATGTGTGTGTGTGTGTGTGTGTGTGTATTTGTTGCTAAGTATATATAAAGTTATTTGATTATATATTTGTAAATTTAATTATAATTAACTAATTGTTACATTATGTTATATAATATAATTGTAAGTTATAAACATATAACTTCTGCAAAGATATTTATATATTTATTATATATTTATATTTATATTAAATTTATATTATTTAGACAATTGGACCTTGAAATGCAGGTGGTAAATTATAAAGTCAAAAAAGGTTTTCCATCATGCCAAAAAAAATCCATTTAAAACATTTGTTTCCTGTTTTATATATATACACCAATTAAAATTATTTTGAACACCAAGTGTTTAAGCAAAACTATATAAAAGCAGATAAAATGGTCTCTGACTTATCCTACTTTTGTCTTTAAGCTGTTATATTAGCTTAAACTGTATATCATGTTACTTAAAAAAAATCGAAAATCTGTGTAGATCTGAAATATATTTTTTACCATTTTAAAGGTTTAAGTTTTTCTTGTTAAATGGCTGGCTGAGCCTGGTTATAAAGCAGGACAATATAAGGTACAGCTATTGCCATGAGAACTCTAAACCAGTATATGAGCTCAGTTTTAATCATTTTAATTTTTCCTTTTTATTTTTCCTTTTTATTTCATATTTTTCACTGAAATTGGAAATTCTTTTCTGTCTTTATAGTATCTTATCCAAGACTCAAGGAAGAGCTTAAAGTTGTAAATTAGAGAAAGTTTGGCTTTTGCTATCTCTGAGTTATTTCTTTGTCCTCTGCTCTATTCCCTGTCAACACCTCTCCTTTCCTCCGCTGTTTTCACACATATAAACACAGTCACAGATTCAACTCAGGTCTAATGCCAGTAAATTACATCTTTGCACAAATTGAAGTCACTAGTTTTCCTTTTCTTAAGAATCCATGTATTTTAAACTGTCTGTGATAATAGAAGAGCCCTTGTATATCCTTTGAAAAACATTTCATACATCGGATGGGAGAGGGGCTTTGGGGAACAAGAGCTGCTTTCTAGCACCTCTCAAATCACGTCGTTTGGTGGAAACTTTTCAGTCAACAGATGAGAGCATCTTGGCTTTGAAGTTTAGACAAAGCAAGAGAGGGACTCAGGCCACTCACTTGCATAAATACTTTTATTTGTATTCAACTGTGTTTCAACTGACTTTCTAACCTTTTAGAAAATAGCATTTTGGATTCTTTGCACCACACAGTAGCTCCGTGTGAAATTTATATTAATTTAAAAAGAAATTCCCTCTGGCTTTACATGACTGAACATTTGATTAAAATTAGAGAAACAGAGTTACTAGGCAAGTCATTCTAGCTCCGTATGGAACATCTGCTGAAGTAAGCCTTCAGAAGTCAGACAGAATTGAAATGTCATCCTCTGGGGGAAATATATATAACACAAAATTAAATGATGAACATGAATGGGAGAGTTCATAAGGTGTGGACTGTGTGTAAGCTGATTAGTTACTGGCTTAAATGTTGGGGCTTCAGGAAACAGTAAAAGAGGGGTTTGTGGATTTGTTTCTTGTTTGTATTATTAGCCTCATAGAGTGTAGTACTGTAGTACTGCACCCAAATCTAGGTGCAGTAAAATTGCAGGTAACATAAAGGTTTTAAAAAAACAATGGTTCACTATAATTCAATTTTAAAATATATTTAAATGTTAAAATATTATATACATTTAAAAACTCAAAAGAGTAAAAAATTATTATATTAAGAAAACATCAGTACACAAGCCAAAATTTTTAGAATTCAGGAAAAAAAGTGATTTGGCTTAATGTAACATTAAAGAACTAAGGCTTTTAAGGAAGTTGTAGTTAGAGATATTGGGAAATTAAAACATATGAAATGTTCTTGCTAAATTTTTAACATCTATTAAAGACATAACTGACAGTGACAATTTCACCAAAAATTATCTCCAAAGAGATATGTTACTATATTACTTAGCCAACTAAGCTAAAATTTTTTTCAGAGTTAAACAAGTGGCATATTAAACCCACTGAAACAATAAGATGAATAATTGTTGGTACTTTCTTGCTTTGACAAAAAAATATTACTGATATCATTTTGGGCTGATGCAGTATTTACATCAACCAACGTTCTTTATAGCTGAATAAATAATAGGTAGACGATAAGTCAAATCAATATTATTGATTATTTCTTCCTCTATTATGATTAATTAGCCAATTGCCATCAGCATAATAAAGTTTTATGTTAATATTTTATTGCTCATTTCTCAAAATAACCATGGGTATTAAGTTTTATATATTCAAAATTATTTAAATAATAGATTTGGCAATTGTTTGACATGCTTTACTACTGTAATATTCTTATTGAACAAAATGGTTCAGTCCACTTAAATATTGTCTATAGAATCAAAATTCTAATGCTTGGTACTTGAGAGTGAAATAGAAAAGTAGAACATGAAAGACTGAGGTGCAGTATAGCAAAGTGGTATTAAAGAGAAATGAATTTTGAAGAATTTATGTTTCATCTGTGCTGCATTGGTACCATTTGTTGAAATTCATACAGCTTGTTACTTTCAGCAAGAAATATAGCATAAGATTTAAGAGATTATAAAAATGTTAGCAACTCATTGGTTAATAGAAATATGTTTTCATAAATGGCTACATCAGAAAGATTTTATTTCAAATGTATGCTTTAATAAAATATACTCATACATATTCATGTGGAAATTATGTGTATGACTCACAGGACTTCTCAGTGATTTGTGAAAGAATTAAAATTAGCCTGTGGGAGAGGGCAGGTGTCTCTTCTGTTGCTGCTCCGTAGAAAACCATGGTACTCAAATGATTAGGTAAAATTTAGTTACCACGTTTAGTCCTTAAGGATTAAACTTTAGGACTCTGATGTTATTTACTAGTATTAATGTTCCACTAACATTTTAGAATACATTTCTTAATCTAGGTTAGGTTAATTGGGGTCCAGGAAAAGAATAGGAAAATTAAAACTTCAGTCTATGCACTATTGAAGTGGAGTCAAAATGTTGTATTAAGGTTAGGGGATAGTTTTGAAAAGGAAATGTGTATTAAGAAAACAATATAGAGAATTAAGCCTATCCATGTAAGATCATTGAAGGAAAACACCCCAAAGAATCAGAGGCAGAATAATGTTGAAGCCATAGTTCTAGCCCACATGAGTAATACACTGTGCTCGTGCACTACTCTGGGTATTGGAATTTGAAATTGAGGTTAGATAGGAGATTGGCTCTCCAAGAGCTCGTAGAATAAAGAAATGGAAAAGCATTAAAGAATTGCAAAGTACTGTATATGAGTTTGTGTTTTGGCTTCTAAATAATATTGAAAGGTGAAGATTTCTTTAGCATAGAACATTCTACAAAATAACTTGTGTAGTTATTAGGGATCAGATGTAATAAGCAATTATAATTAAGATATATCTCACATTATTTCTATCAGTTTGAGTTAAAGTATAGTTCACTTAGAACTTGTAACTGTGTTATAAAGTGTTGCTCTTTATTTTTATAAAATAGAAAGCAGATACAGTCTGGAAAACAAAGTTATTAACTTTTGACTTGGTTGATTCTCTAATGTAGTTAATGAGCCAATAAATTTATGTATATGTTAGAGAAGGTTCTAAAATAAGTTTTTTTGTAGACTTACTCAAAATCAGTGAGCATGCCTTAATAAGCAGTTATTTGAATAGATATAAAACAAACAAAATAAAATGTAAAAATTGACAATTTTGTCATTTACCCAAGCTGTTTAGCAGTATGAGTTAAATGTTTTATGTTTTACAATATTTCTATTTATTTTAGTGCAAAATGACTCATTGCCATTAAGTTTTTGTGGCAAAATAATACATTATAATAATGTATTCTTATATAAAATTTTATCTGGTTGCAAGCATGTCTTCTTTTCTCAACTAAGGATTTTTGGAGAATATACCACTCAATCTAAATCACTGTTTTAGGTACTGTATTTGAAATTGGCGAAATCTTTACCTTATCATTCATAAGGTTATTATTCATATGCATGCCAAGCTAAGTTTTATTTGGAGTTTAAAATAAGATACAAAATATATAAGCTTATGGTAATGCTGCCCGTTTAGATACTGCCTGATAATGCAGTACATGTGTCCACATTTGTATACTGGAAAAGTTATCATCCTGAGACATGTTAGTGGAGCGAAATGAGAACCAAGGTTGTACCACTCTCCTTATGTAGCAAAGCCAACTGGTAAAAGAGCATGCAACTAAAGGATTTATTGCATGTATTGACATGATTGGAGTCAACAAGAATACCATATTTGTGGTACCCAAAATACTCTCAAATATTTGGGTTAGATTTACATGTTTACATATTTATACAAAACGATAACTAAATTTTTCTTCCCTATTTTTCTCCCTTTACCTTGTGCCCCATATGTCTCTTAGGACTGACCTGCCTAAAACCATATGAAGCCTGTACTTCTGATTCTTTGTAATATAATATAATATGGAGAATTAGATGCTTTGTGTTACAAGTCACTAGTGATTTTGTTTTAAATGGACCTGATTTTACTCTCTTTTCAAAAGATGCCATTCTGGATTTTGTGACCATTTTTGTCAAAATGAACTTTTGTTTTGTTCTTTATCTCCTGGCTTTTCTATTTATTGCGACCTAATTCATTCTTTTTTATTTCATATTTACTTTGACTTGCTTCCTGTTTTTTATTCTATGAGCAGGTAAAAAGCTCAGAGGAGTTTGTGCCTTTTCTTAATATTATGTGGGTTTTCTCCTCTACATCTTACCTTACTCCCCATTTTCATGGACTTAACTTTACCCTTTGTTACAAACTATTCTAGATATTTTCCCCCTCCAATGATGTATACTTATTTGTTGCTGCATAACAAATTTTCCCTAAAATGATCAAGTTAAAACAACAATAAATGGGTATCTCACAGAATTTCCATGGATCAGGAATTTGGGAACAGCTTAGCTGGGTGTTCTGGTAATTTCAGCTGGTAATCTCTCATGAGTTCCAGGCAAGATGTTAGCAAAGGCTTGACTGAAGCTGCAGGATTCACCTACAATTAGCTTACTCATGTTCCTGGCAAATTAGTGCTGGTTATTGACAGGAGGCTTCAGTTCCTTTATATGTGTTTCTCTTCAGAGGGCTGTTTGAGTTACTCATCATACAGCAGCTCATTTCCTTCAAAGTAAATGAACCAAAAGAGAGTAAGAGAGAAAGTGCAACGTCTTCTATTACCTAGCCTTCAAAAGTCAAACTATTAGTTATCCAGGTCAGCCTTATTCTATGTAGGAGAGAACCACACAGTGTGAATATGAGTAGGCAAGAATCATTCAGGGACATCTTGGAGGCTAGTCACCACAAGTTTATGCAACAGATGACTTCCCATCTCAATTCTAATCATTCGAAATTTCTCAGTTGGATAATTTTTATTAAACACTCACCATCATTTACATATCTAAATTTATCACCCTATGAAACCAGTCCATGTTTGCCTTTTATTATCTTGCTTGACTGAAACTTCATATTAGACTCACAGAACTTTAGATGCTCAATGCACAGCTTTTTTTTACAGACAAGAGGGGAAACTCACATGTGCATACCCTGTAGCACAATTTTTGTTACCTTTTCCTGTCAGTGTCAATATCAACTTGTTCCGATTATTTTCCTTGTTGCTGCTCAGCTTCTCTTTTCTTGGACACTACCTTTTTATCTAGGCTGTCCTAGATAAAAGTTATTTTATCTAGGTTATTTCTAACGTTATCTTCAACTAAAGTTAAGACTTAAAGAGAAAAAATAAAAAGAATTGCTTATTTATTTTTAAAAAGTACTGTCAGCAGTCTATGACATGGGACTGAATTTACCGTGGAAAATGTTGACTATAGGAGGATACCGAAGCATGAGTATAGCTTTTGCCCTTTTACTATGCAGAATATTTCCCAAGCATTGGATTCCTCAATCCTTATATTTTGGCCTTAAACTGATGATTATTTAACAGAAGAAAACCATTTTTCTTGGAACGGTTTTGCACAGTTAGAAATATAATGTGTTCTCCTTCTCCCCCTAAGCTTTAAACAGTACTCACTGATAGATACAGAATGTCAGGCCAGATTAACTACTGATTTTTTAGGCTTAATAGCTCTTTTATTTTCATGGTAATTATCATTGGTTGGACATTAGTGTAGATAATGTACACATGAAGTTTCAAACTAACTATAGGGCCAAATTAGCTTCTGTGTCCCTCTAAGTGAGAGAGAACAAAAAAAGTCAAATGAAAAATATATGAATATAATAGCCTATAGAACCCCATGACCTTTATTAAAGGACCTGAAATTTTATAGGAGGTACTTTATGGGTGATTGGATGCAGTCTTCTAAATAAAACATGATGTAGAAAATTGATATAAAAAAACATGACACTAGATATAGAGGGAGAGATCTATTAGAAGAAAAAATGTATTAAAATTGAAAGGTATATGTTTGATTAAGAGAAGCAGAAACAAAACATTTAAAAATATGAAATTAAAATGAAATGAGATGATGAACATTTGTTAATAGCCCTGGGTGCGGCAGTGCAACCTGTAATCTCAGAGCTTTGAGAGGCCAAGGTGGGAGGCTCTCTTGAAGACCAGTCAGGGTAATGTATTGAGGCTTAATCTCTATAAAAAATAAAGAAAATTAGCCAGGAGTGGTGGTACATGCCTGTAGTCCCAGCTATGGGAGGATCACTTGAACCTAGAAGGTCAAGGCTACAGTGAGCTATGATTATACCACTGCACTCTGGGCTAGGTAATAGACCAAGACCCTGTTTCAAAAAAAAGCTTATTAATAAAATATGGAAACAAGTTATAAAATGCCAATAGCATGACTACCTAAAACAAATGCTTAAAACACTTGCAAAGCACCTTGCATATAGAGGACAACAATTATTTATTGAATGAATAAATTAATACCTAAACTGTTCTACCCTAAGATGCACTTGAAATCACCATTTCTGGGAACCCTTGAAAATAATAAATGAATAAATGCTCAATTTGTTGAATTTCTACAATGTATCTTCAAATATGCTAGATATATTACATGCATTATCCCTACAGTAATCATATCAGGTAATGTTTTTTACTCCATTTGACAGATGCACAAACTGAGGTTCAGAGATTGAATGTAACTTGCTCAATATTACACAAATAAGAAATGAAAAAGGATTTCAGCCTAGTCTGGCTGACTCCAAAGCCTAAGCTCTTAACATTTCTGCTACGTGCACCTCTACATTCAAGAAGAAAGAAAATATAATAGTTAAATTTAAACTTAAAGCTCATAGACAATATTCACTAACTTGTAAGACATTTCATGAGCATGAAATACAGAAGCAAATAATCTATGGTCTTGAATGGTACCAGAGTCAGGCTGAAACAGATGATTATATTTTCAAGTAAATGAGTTATGATTTGACAAAAGGAAACCCTAGGATGGCTTGGAAGCACAGAGTAAGGCCACCTATCCCTGTCTCGGTAGGTTTTTTGGGTATGAATTCTGAGCTAAACATTAAACAGTGTATAAGAGTGAAATCAGTGAAGTCAGAAGTGGGTTTTAAGAGGAGGGAGTAAGCTTTGTAAGGTTTATTGCAGTCAGGGTGCAGGGAAGAAGCCCAGATATAGGCTAGGGGAGATAATAGACCAAAAGGGGTCTCGTTGCTGAATTAGGGTTTTTTTTCCCCTGAGGCAGTGATAAGCTACTGAAGGATTTTACACAGGAGTCATGTTTTCTTTTGAGAATGACTCTTCTGTCTATAGTGCCATAAATGAAGATAGAACACTACTGCAACATTCTAGGCAGTGTAGCATGATGATACCTAGACCCGTGGTATCCGAAGTATGGGGTATATATTCCTGGGATACGTAAGAGCGGCTAATGGGCCAGACAACAAAAGAAACATTAGAACTTCTATTTATTTTTATTTTATTTCAACCATGTTTTTAGTTTTGCATATTTTTATAACATATAAATGTATACACATATAATAATGTTTTGAAATAAAATGTTTGGAGTACACTGTTTTAAAGGAGATGGTCAAATATAAGTAATGTGTTAGATTTTTGTAGGATTTTGTAGGATTTTATTAAGAGTTAGATAAACGGATGTAAGGTAGTGGGTAATACAGGTAAGAGAGAATATACAACAAGAGAAACATAAAATGAGTAATTTAATTTTATGATGAATTCGTGGTACTATATTTTAAGTAAAAATGCTTAAAAGATGGATCAATCTACTGGCACTAAAGCAAAATGATATATTAGCTAGTGCCATAAGTTTTGGAGTCAATGTGATATAGAGGTCGATTGAAACCATGTAAGTGAATGAAATCAGCAAAGAAGTCTAGGGAAGGTGAATAAAAATGATAACCTGGCCCAGAACCCCAGGAACACTGACACTTAGAATGAGCACTGGAAAGGCAGAGGAGGAGAATGAAATAGAAGGGCCACAGAGGAAGAATGAAAACTGAGGCAGAGAGTGGTTTAATGGAAACTGAAGAGTATTGATGTTGAACAAATATTGATGTACAATTCTGCTGAGAGGCTAAGTAGGAGAAGAGCTAAAATATATTTTGTGTTTAGAACATATAGTGATTGGCAACCTTTCTTTTCAAGAAGCAGCTTCAGTGACATTGTGGGAATGAACAACATCATGGGAATTCTAAGGGTGGAATAGTGAATGACAAGTGAGGAAGTGAGGATTAGGAATGATTTCAACAATTTTGGCTGTGAATGTGGATGAGAAGCCTGGAGTAGGATGAACTATTTAAAATATTAAAATAGGGAAGAAACTTACACGTTTAAATGATGCTGATGAAAAATCACTGACAGTAGCAAAGCAGAGGATACAGGGATCTGTGATTTCTTTCCTGTCTTTATCAATATCTATCTTGTTCCTTATCACAGCTCTGAACAAAGGAACTGAGAGGCTAAGTTTTCCCAAAACACAGTCGTAATCATTTGTGAATTGAACTTACAGGGAGGAATAGAATGAGCAGTACTTTCAGTACCCCATGACGATAAGAGTGAAAAACAACCAGAAATACATAGAGGCAAAGAGATCAAAATAGGCCTGCATTTTTTAAAAAAGAAACTATCCCGCAATGGATTCCTACAGAGGCTCCCAGTTCTCTTCCCCAAGGGTAGCATCCGCTTCTTGCGAAATCAGCTAATTTTAATGAGTAGAACTGAAGATGCTGAACATTGTCTTATCCATTAAATGTGACTTGGGCATGGGGTGGAATTTGGGGCACTGCTACCTCAGGTTGGGTTAGGAGTTTGAGAGTGGTAGGAGCTGACAACAGGAAAATAACTGCTATTGATCAGAAAATCTTACCTCTAGCCCATTTTGCATATTTCCTAATTTATTGAGGACTTGATGACATATTTTCCTTTTGTCTTATCCCATTTTACTCTGAGAAATAGATTTAATAGAATTTTCTAAAATTATCCTATTTTTTTTATATGCTGCCTCTTTTTCTGAATCTAGGTTTAATTCCTTAACATTTTCCATTGCCTTATTCATGTTTTTTTGTTTGTTTGTTTTTGGTACAGCATTTGTAACACCTTAGCCAACTAATCAGTTCATAGTACTATTTTTCCTAGCTAGTATGTGAACATTACATGAGAAGATGTCATAGTCAGTTGTACTATCCTTGGGCATAGCATATATTCTGACAACTCTTCTAAGCATAATATTTTGAAATGAGTGAGTGAATGAATGAATAATGCATCATGGGAACAATTTTCCTGTTTCTCTAAAATAGGTACTTTTTATGGATTATTTTTATAGATATAATGTAATTTAAATCCAAAATACAACTGAAGTCCCATTCATGCCAATAAGAAAGAGTAAAAAGCAATCAGAAACACATAAAGGTGAAGAGGTCAAAACAGGCCTGTACATAAAAAAAAGAAACTATCTAATTTTATAAGTCCCATTGTATTTGAGACTTAAACTTTGAGGACATTATGCTTTGAATTCTCACAAGCATATATGTTAGTGATAATCAGCTCCATTTTATGGGTGAGAAAACTAAGGCTAGAGAGATTAAGTAAATTGCTCAAAATTTCTCAACCAATAAGTAGCAGAGTTAGGACTGAATAAGAGATGTAAAAGATGACAATATGGCAGTTTTTGTTTTCTGGACCCTGATGTATAAGTTTTCAGCTCTTATTTGCTAATATTTTTGTGGCACCTTGTTTCCAAAGATGGTTACTATCCATAACTTCCCCTCCCATGAGGGGTGGAATATGTTTCTCCACCCCCTTGAACCAGGACTGACTTTTGCCTGTTTTGATCAAGAGAATACAGCAGAAGTAAAGCTGCTCCAGTTCCAGACCTCCTGTTAAGAGGACTAGCAGTTTCTGCCTCCTATCTCGGAGCTCTGAGCTGTCATGTAAAAATTCCAGGCTGGAGAGAGAGGCTACGTGGAAGTGTAGGTGTGTGAGTGAAGAAGTTATCTTGGATGACCATCCCAATTGAGGCTTCTGATGACTTCAGTCCCAGCCTCTATAGGATAAAACTGCTTGAGAGACCCCCCAAAGAGAACACCCAGGTTAACCTAATCAACCTGTAGAATCCTGAGAGATAATAACAAATTGTGCTTGTAAACCATTAAATTTTGGGGTAATTTGTTACGTAGCCATAGGTAACCGAAACAGTGTATTTTATCAAATTCAAGTTTAAATTGAAATTAGAAATCACAGTGTTCCTGGCTTATTATTATCTGATTAAATCTGTTAAGATCCTGTGACTATCACTGGCAGAATAAACCTTTTCTGGATGACCAAGGAAAAGATAGTCTTAGAATCTGTCTAGGACATAAAAGGGGAGATGTGCATCCTTTGAACATAAAAGAAAATGTAGTGAAAAGTTGCAATGTCACCATTACTAATACCATTCAAAAAGCTAATAGTGTTATTTAGTGCTGACTTACATTCATGACTATTTTACTACCTGTCACTACATTTATTCATAAAACTATATTTTATTTATAATTTTAGTTATAATCATTTATTAATTTGCCCTAACTTATTATTCAGCATTATCCAGTAGCTGATATACTTGACTTCAGAAATGTGTGACATTAGCCCAAATATGCATTTCCTGTCAGTGACCAAATTTGGCCTCATTTTATATTTGTACATGCTGCTAATTGCTCTTTAACTATTGAATCTTACTCATTAAAGGTTATTTTATGTTTCAAAAAAGCTCTATAAAGCTTTTCTAAAAATAAAGGTACTAATTGAGTGTTTTTAGATTGAACCCTATGAAATTCCCAATATTTGACCATTTTTGTCCTACAAAAATTGGTATTTCATAATACCATGTTGCAACTACCTTTTTATTGAAGCTTTATAATAACCTTGTAAGCCAAGGCAGTAGAAGATGGTGTATACACATTTTTACTGAGAAGGAGAGTAGGCTAGATGTTAAGTGACTTAGACTTTGTCTCACAGCTAGAAAGTAGGAGTTGGAATTTGGATTTATGACTGCTAACACTGAGTCTACTAATTCACACTTTTTCTTCTACAGTAATTATTAATAAACATCACTTATTCTCTGATTATAATACAAGCTTATCTTCAGGTGGCTGACTACATTTAATATTTCAAGGTCAATATGGTAAATTAATCTGTTATCGCTGAAAGTGGGTCAGATATAGAGAAGAAAACAATATAATGATGTGGAAATAAATAGCAGGAGCTGGTTTTTCAGTGATTCAACATGTCCTATAATGTTTTTCTACCCACATACCTCTATAAGTATGATTCCTTGTTAGATCTAAGTGTTTTCAATAAGACAAAGTATGCACAAACTTTCAAGAAAGGAGAAATGAGGAAAAAGATAGACAAAATTGGTTAGAAGAGCT
Source organism: Homo sapiens (assembly GCF_000001405.40). Classification (NCBI taxonomy): domain Eukaryota; kingdom Metazoa; phylum Chordata; class Mammalia; order Primates; family Hominidae; genus Homo; species Homo sapiens. The sequence continues at coordinate 76,585,809 of NC_000006.12, forward strand.
CAACAGAATTTGTCAATTCTAAATTAAATTGAGAAGAGAAAAACCTAACACAAATTTAGAAGGCAAGGTCTATAATATACAGGGAGGATATTTTTAATTTAACCTTCATATAGTGATTATTGTCACATGGCCTTTCCACCTGTAGCTCTGATCCTAATTGGCAAGGTATGCCAACCATGCCAAAAGGAGTTAAAGAAAACCACCAGTTCAGTTCAAAAGTCAAGACATGGTCTCTAGCTGTCACTGGAAGATTCCCTATAGGAACTGCTGTTATAGGAAGCTTCTGCAAGAGCTGTAATGTGACTATACATTATCATTTTATTTTAAATAATGTTGAAAGCCTGTGTCAAATGGCAAAAGGTGAAGAGAAATACTTGTCATTGGAGAAATAATAGTAATAATTGTTAAAATTAATAGTGCCTTCTTAATTTAGGAGATTTATTCTTTTAGCATGTTATAGCTCTCAAATGTAGCAGCCTAATTCAGGAACTATCCAGTCGATGCTGGTGTGGGTTTATCATATTACTTACTAAATACTTATATGTGTCCCTATTTGTCAATGGCTGATTTATTCGGCTCATTTGTGGCCATTCTGCTCCAATTACTGTCCCTGTTTAAGATTAGCCCACAGTGTCAAACCTGGTTCTTTCTCCTGAAGTCACATTTCCAAGTCACATTTACACAGCTCAAGCTTCCAGTTATTCTTCTTCCTAGAGTGGACTCATTTCCATTTGTCTCTGCAGTGAGTACTTCCAGAACTGGCAAGAATCAGAGAAAAATAATCGACTTTTGATATATCACTTGCTCAGAGTTATTTAACCATAAAAACTCTTGTGATAATAAAACCCTTACCTCTGTTTTGACCCATTCACCCCCATCTCCATTCTCTGCTTTATTTTTCTCCATAGTACTAATCATTTCTTAATCTCCAGTCTAATTTACTCATTTTTGCCAGTTGTTGTTTTTTTTTTAATTTTCCAGAATTCTCTAGAATGATAGTTAAATGAGGGTAGATACCTTTATTTATTCACTACTTTATTGTCGGTGTCTGACACATAGAATGTGCATAATAAATGTTTTTTAAATCAATAATGAGCTAACATGGAGATCTGCTTCTTCATCTGTATATTTTTGATAATGAAAGTATAGACATCTCTTATTAGCCAAAACTTTTTCATTCCTAAAAAGAGTGATAGCAAATTTCCAGATAGCAGGAGCCTATATTTCATTATTTTTAATGGAAAAAAACATAATAAGTTCTAAGCACATCCCAAAATGCCAACCAAGTGTTATTAAAACATTTAAAAATATCAAAGTCATAATCCACAAATGATTTCTGGATAGCATAAAACAGTCAGAATATAGCATACCTAATTATTTAACAAGTAATAAAGTGAAGTTACTTTACTGGTATGTTTGTGTGCAGTATACAATATTATTGTGAGTTCCTTTCACACTGCAAAGGGCAAGTACTCCAATGCAAATAAAAAATAAAATAATATGATAAATATAGAAAAGTGTCTAACTAAATTGAAACTTGTTAATAGTGCCCTCAGGCATCTGACATAGCAAACAGGAATCTGTTATAGTATAAACTTCAAAGTAAAGTGTGGAGAACATAATAGTAATAATATGTAAAAAGTTTAAACAACTTTAATATACATCATAATCTTATCAGGAGAACAGCAGAGATAAAACCGCAATATGATCGATGTTTTCTTACAAGGAGGAATGCCCAATTTAGATGTCTTTGCCAATATGCACATGCAATTTTGCTTAGGGACCTTTGGACTTTGATAGTGAAGTTTTGGTCAAAAAAATTTTCAAGTCATTTTAGTGAATGAATAGTGAAATTTTTGAATAGCAAGAGCTAATTGTATATTATCTCAAAGGGTTTTTGAGCATTAAATGGGATATTCTCTGTAAAGGACTTGACCCTATTACTCATTGTATAGTAATGAATGTTATGTCTGAAAGTAGTAAAAAAATAGATATGATTGTTGTCACTAAATTCACTATCAATTAATGATATGCCTATTTTTGCTTGTGAACATTCTCTGTCCCCTACTCATCAGTGACTTTTTCTAACTCAGTAATCTTACAATTTGCCAATTTTGGGAAAATGAAATAAAAGAGAGGCCCTAAAACAATCACATAGAAATGTCATTCTAATCAGCTGTGAGCAAGTAATCGGCTATCCTGTAGCTGCAATGATAACTGTTATTCTTTCCAGCTGCTCTTAATAGGACTCTTATATCGATTTGTCTGGTGTCCAAAATAATTTTCCAAAAGTGTTACCCTAAGGCCTGGGAACCAGTTAGGTTGTTAGCATCTAGTTTTAACATTTTGGGAAGGACTGATATTCTGCTTTGCCTACCTTAAGTCCATCCACATTATTTGAGATTCCTGGTCTCAAATAGGTTTATGTATCCAATATTGCACTTATGAAATTATATATTTATTTTGAAATTAAATAAATACTGTGTATGAAATATGGCTGGAAAGCTGATGCTGGTTTTATGGATTCTGTTAGTGCCACTGTGGAACTACCTTGCATAGCTAGCTTGGTTGATAATGACCAACAACAACAACAAAAAGGTAGAGTAAAATATGAGTCTCCCATGCTACCTGATAGTAAAATTTTATTTTTCTTTTAGAAAACATTATCTACAAGTAAACTAGAAAAATAAGTTTCTGGTTAAATAGCTAAATGGTTTACTTCCCTTTGCATGGAAAATGTCTGTAGTAGTCTACATAATTTAGTAAAGGGGTACCTTATTAAGCTAAAAAGTTAACTGAAAGAGATACCTGTTAGTCTCATCCTCTACATTACCAATGACTTAAAAAAATACTATTCACCCACAACAGTATCACTAATTAAAACCAGAATTTGTATTCATATTACCATTTTAGCTTCATATGCACAGCTTTAATTTAGTTTCTGTTTCTTTTTAAAATTCTCCTGTGCAATTTGGAGTTCAAGAATATATATTTTGAGTTTACAGGTTAAATAAACAGCATTTGCTCTAGTTCTGGTAAACAAGCTTGAATGCAATTTGGAAGAGAAGTAGATGCTAACCAATAAAGAGCTAACATGCAAACATACTGAGTAGATTAGGGAAATACAAGTTTCTCCTATGAAAAAACTAATTGCTTTTTATTGACAGTGGATTAATTAATATGCATATGACTTAACTATATCTTATTCACTCATTTAACAAATATTCATTTAATACTTTTACAGTTTCAAACACTTTACTAGCACAAATTAATTTGCATAATAACAAGAAGAAATACACAAAAAATTATAAGGAAAAATCAAAGACTAAGATTAATATACGCTACTATTCAATGGACTTATGGACTAGAAACTGGGAAATTCTCCATGATTCCAAAGACAGGTGGAAGACCACAGAAGTCTTTTTTCATGTAAGCAATATATCTTCAGTCTTATTTAACAGAGACAGTAAAAATCACGGAGAATACATAGAAAAAGTCTAAGAATTAAAGAGGAAAATGAAAAAAAGAGTGAAAATCAGTAAAAAAGAAATAAAGGATGCAAAAGAGATGTACAACAAAGCAAACAAAGTTGATGTTTCATAAAAACACTAATAGAAAAGACAAACCTGTGTTGTGATTGATTAAAACAGGAATTAAAGAAGATACAGATAAGTATTGTGAATAAAAGGAAGGCATACACACAATAGCGATTACAATGATAAGACAAACACTATAAAAATATAGCAATAATTTTGAAAATTTTAAAAATATATTAATGTCTAGAAAACTGCAATTATGAGAATTGACTCATGATGAAATAAAAACATCAATAGTTCTATGTCTGTCAAAGCAATGGAAGCACTTGTTAAAAATATTATTCCTCAAATAAAATACCAGGCCATGATGATTTTACAAGCTATATCAAATAAGAAAGAAACCATACCAATTTTCTTTCTTTTTTTTTGTGGTAAGAATGTTTAACATGAGATCTTGTATTATTTTCCTGATTTTGTTTAGTTCTCTCTCTGTATTCTTTGTAACTCACTAAGCTTCTTTAAGGTGATTATTTTGAGTTATTTGTCAGACAATTCATAAATTGGCATTTCTTTAGGGTCAGTTATTAAATATTTAGTTTTATTATTTGTTCTTTTAATTCTGTTGTTTTCCTGATTCTTCACGTTTATTGTAGTTTGCATTGGTGTCTGGTCATGTAAAGAAACAGCCACCTCTCCCAATCTTTACAGATTGACTTTGGCAAGAAAATATTTTCCTCAGTCTGCCCATCTAGAGATTCTGGGATCCTCTCAAACCTTCTCTATGGATGTATTATCTCTGGAGTTATATGTACCACGAGCCAAGACATTGGAGGCATGTTCCACTCCTCTCCCTTCCTTTCTTGTGGAGAAGGCTTGTGTTCTGTGCCTCTCCCAATCTTTCTGAGCCATGCTAGGCATATCAGGTACTCTGCCCCTTTTTCTTTGCTATTAGCTGCCACTACCGCCCCCACCCCCAAACCCCTGCCAAACTGTGAAAGTTCCACCAGTGCTCCAGGTAAAATGAAACAGAAACTAGCCCTCAGGAGCACACTGAAAGCAGGGACATTAGAAGAACCCTCCACTTCTCTTGCTCCTAAGAGAGCAGCTTCCATTTCTGCACCTCCTTTTAATCTTGCAGAGCTTTGACAGCCACAGGAAGCTTCCCATCATTTTTCTTTATTCTTAACTGCTCCCAGGCATCTGAACTATACTTGTTCAATCAGCACTTCATCCCAATTTTTTATCAAATTTTCTAAACAACAGAAAAACAGAAAAGTTATTTGCCCCATTCTCCAATTCATTTACCAAAATCAAAATTATTAGGAGAAAAAAATTACATATACATTTTAATCATACATATATAACAAAATCCACAAAGAAAATATTAACATTATTCAATGTGTATGAAAAAAAGATACACTCCAATTATGTTAGGTATATTTTACGTGTAAAGGAACAGTTTTGTTTTACAAAATACATAAATGTAATTCATGTTAACATATAAAAAAGAAAAATCATATGATCGACTCAGTTGATGCAGAAAAAACATTTGATTAAAAAATTAACCATAATTCACAAAAATCCTTATTAGAAAATTAGTGTTAGACGATAACTTTGTTTTCCTGAAAAATTGATTCTATTTTTTAAGTTACACTTTTTATACTAATTGGGAAAAAACAAAAGAGTTGGAAATATGGAAATACGCAAAAAAGTCACATAATCACCACTTCCATTCTATTTTATAGTGGAAGTTCTAGGAAAACATGACAAATTTTTACAATAGATGGTTGAGGAAGAATACTATATTGCTATACATGCCATATTCAGTTATATAGAATATCTTAAAAAACTAGAACAAATTATTAGACATGATAAGGATATTTATCCAAGTAACTATAAGATTCATGTATTAGAGAAAATCATATTAAATTTGCTATTATGTGATCCTTTAGACATATAAAAATGGTATATGTTATGGTTCAACCTAATACAAAGCCTGTTGAATTTCTAAATACCAAAAGCAAACAATAAGAAACATGTTTTGTCTGTGACATTATTTATAGTATTAATAAATAATATCAAGTATCTATAAGTAAAGCTGACCGAAAAGTATAAAATTCTGTTGTTTGATAGTAAGGATGCCTAAATAAGTAAGAATTTATGTCATGGTTATAAATAAGAAGGATTCATGCTATAAAGTTATCAATTTTCCCAATTGATCTATAGACTCAATAAAATCCCAATTAAAGGTTGTGAGAAAAATTAACGCAAATCTAATTACAGGGCCTTACAAGAAACTTTATTAGATGATTCTAAAATTTCTGTGGTAGAATAAGTAAACAGACTAGAAGAGCCAGGATATTTCTAAATAACTACAAGGAGCAAGAAATTATCCTACCAAGTTTCAGGATTTATAAAATTTTTGATTAAAATACTGTGGTACTAATCCATAAATTAAAAAAAATTTGTAACCAATGCAGTAGAATTAGGTAAGTGGAATACACCTATGCCTTTATGAATATTGATATATGACAGAAGTAACATTCTAGATCATAGGTGAAAGTAGAACTGATCAATACATGGACTAGAAAATTGGCTGTCTATATTTTAAAAGGTTACATTGAACTCCTACCTCAAACCACACACAAAAGTAAATTCTAGATGGATTAAATACTTAAATTTCAAAAACAATGATTAAAAATAAAGGTAGATATTTTTAAAATCTTGGGGTAGGAAATATTTTCTTAAAATCCAAAAAAAACACATAAAGAAAATATTGATAAATATTACAACGTTAAAAGTAAGAATATTTGTTCGTCAGGACATAATTTTTATAAGTGACAAGATTATATAAATTAGAAGAGGATATTCTTGTTACATATGACCAGCAACATATTAGTATCAAGAATAGCAAAGAACTTCTACCAACCAATAAACAAAGCACAAACAACTCAATAAAAAAATAAGCAAAATATATGCAAAAACATTTTACTGAAGAGGAAATACATGCAGCCAATAAATATATGAAGAGGTGTTCAATATCCTTAGTGATCAAGGAAATGCAAAACAAGACAGTATCGATGTTAATTTTTACACTTATTTTATTGGCAATGTTAAAGGCAATATCAAGAGATATTCTTGGCAATATCAAGAGATATTCTTGGCAATATCAAGAGATGTGTGTTCACCAGCTGTCTTATACCTTGTTGGTGGGAGGTTTAAATGGTGCAACAAATTTTGCAAATGGTTTGGTATTATCCTTTAAAGTTTAATAATCACAAACTGTATGACACAAAAGAATCTATAGGCATGTATTCAATAGGAAATGTACAATAGGAAACTGTGCCAGAATGCTCATAGTCACACATTTCACAGGAGGAAGAATCTGGAAGTAGTCCAGAGGCCCAGCAAATGGAGACAGGATGGGTGAGCTATTCACCTAGTTTTCTGGTATCATGCCAGACAGGGTGTGAAATATTCAAAGGTTGACAGACAATGATCTTGCTCTCCAGGACTTGTAATTTTTACAGAAATATAAATATTAGTAGAAAAAGTCCAAAGTGATGAAATTCAAATTATCTAATTTTGATGTTCTGATTTTCATAAGCCATATTATTTTATATTAAGTAAAATCATATTGAAACTTACGGCCTTAGTGTCATCACCTAGAATACCTAGAATGTATCACCTGGAATAGTGCCCTGGCACATAGTAGGTGTCCAGTAAACATTTGTTAGATGAATAAATATTTATCAAATTACTAAAATTATGCATATTTAGAATACTAAATTTAAGTAGCATTTTAAAATATAAAGTATTAAAATACTGAAAAATGAAAATGTTTGCCCAAAACTCTCTTTGGAGATGGTATTGACATGGACAGTCAGGAAAAATGGCATATAGGAAGCAGGACTAACATGCAGCTCCCACTCAGACAGACGGAGCAGCATTAGAAGACTCACATCATAAACTTTTGCTGCAAGAACAACTGCAGGGACATACCAGGAAAGCTACGATAATCCACAGACCCTTAGAAGGAAGTGGCTTGCTGCAACAGGCTCTGTGAGATGGCTGAAAAACTGTGGGTACTCAAAGTGTGAGAGGGGGAATGTCCATCCCTGAACACACATCCTTACCGGGGAACCTGAAGGTCCAGATCACGAGGAAAGGATTTGACCTTACCTATATAAAATATAGGGGTAGAGGCAGCAGCATCAAGAGCCCTGTGGACATTCTTTGTTCCAGGAATCCATTCCTGACTTTTTCTTGCAGGGGTCCTTGGGGAGGAAACCGCGGCAGGTGGGGAGGCATAAACCTGAAAGCCCTCCTTGCATTGTCAGTGGGGAGGCTTATAGCCTGAGGAAAGGTGTCAGCTCTGCTCACCAGCTGCCTGGAAACAAACTCGGTGCTGTTGAGGGGAGACATAGTGGGAGTGAGACTGACCTTTTGGGCTGCCTGCGAGCTGGGTGAGACCTGTCATTGCTGGCTTTCCCTCACTTCCCTGGCAACTTGTATGATGCAGCAGAGGCAGTCATAATCCCCCCTGGGAACATACCTCCATCAGCCTGAGAACCACACCCAGTCCTCCACAGCAGCAGCAAACCCTGCCCAAGGGGAGTCTGAGCTCAGACACCCTGCCCCCACCTGATGGTCTTCCTTGCCTGCCCTGGTGGGCAAAGACAAATGACATGATCTCTTGGGAGCTCTATGGCCCCGCCCACTGCCTGAGCAACCTGAATACTTATTCAGGCCACCCTAGGACAAAATTGTATCCTACCTTATATGACCACAGCTGATACTCTCTTGAAAGCACCACCTCTGGGCTGTAGACCAAGCAACAGAAAGCCAATGCACTAAACAAAAACACAACCAAGGACCCTCACAGAGTCAACTGCACTTCCCTGCTGCCTTCACTAGAGCAGGTGCTTGTATGCATGGCTGAGAGACCTGAAGAGAGATTGCATCACAGGACTCGTTGCAGGCACTCCTCAGTACTAGCCCAGAGCCTGGTAGCTCTGCTGGGTGGCTAGACCCAGAAGACAAGTAACAATCACTGCAGTTTGGCTCTCAGGAAACCTCATCCACAGGGGAAAGGGGAGAGCGCCACATCAGGGGAGCACTCTGTGGGACCAAAGAATCTGAGCAACCGTCCTTGAGCCCCAGATGTTTCCTCTGACATAGTCTACCCAAATGAGAAGGAACCAGAAAACCAGTTCTGGTAATATGACAAAACAAGTTTCCTTAACACCCCCAAAACATCACACTAGCTCACAAGCAATGGATCCAAACCAAGAAGAAATCTCTGAATTGCCAGAAAAAGAATTTGGAAAGTCAATCATTAAGCTACTCAAGGAGGCACCAGAGAAAGGTGAATACCAACTTAAATAAATGAAAACAAGTGATATAGAATATAGATGGAAAAAATTCCAGACAAATAGATAGCATAAATAGAAAACAATCACAGCTTCTGGAAATGAAGGACCCACTTAGATAAATGCAAAATATACTGGAAAGTTTGAGCAATAGAATCCAACAAGTAGAAGAAAGGACTTTGGAGCTTGAAGACAAGGCTTTAGAATTAACCCAACTTGAAAAAGACAAAGAAAAAGTAATTTTAAAAAATGAACAAAGCCTCTGAGAAGTTTGGGATTATGTTAAACAACGAAACGTAAGAAATGGTCTTCCCAAGGAAGAAAAGAAATCTAAAAGTTTGAAAAACATATTTGAGGGAATAATTGAGGAAAACTCCCCTGGCCTTGCTAGAGATCTAGACATCCAAATACAAGAAGCACAAAGAACACCTAGGAAACACATTGTAAAAACATCATCACCTAGACTCAAAGTAATCAGGTTAGATTACTGCCTGTGAGCTGGGTGAGACCTGTCATTGCTGGCTTTGAATCTTAAGAACTGTGAGGCAAAAGCATCAGGTAACCTATAAAGGAAAACCTATCAGATTAAAAGCAGATTTCTCAGTAGAAACCCTACAAGTTAGAAGAGATTGGGGTCCTATCTTTAGCCTCTTTTAACAAAGCAATTATCATCCAACGATTTTGTATCCAGTGAAACTAAGCTTCATAAATGAAGGAAAGATACAGTATGTTTCAGACAAATAAATGCTGAGAGAATTTGCCACTACCAAGCCAGCACTACAAGAACTGCTAAAGGGGCTCCACATCTTTAAACAAATTCTCAAAATACACCAAAAAGAACCACCTTAAAGCATAAATTTCATATCTATAAAACAAAAACACAATGAAAAACAAGGTATTCAGGCATCAACCAACACAATGAATAGAATAGTACCTCACTTCTCAATACCGATATTGAATGTAAATGGCCTAAATCCTCCACTTAAAAGATATAGGATGGCAGAATGAATAAGAATTTATCAAGCAAGTATCTGCTGTCTTCAAGAGATTCACCTAAAACATAGTAACTCATATAAACTTAAAGAAGTGGAAAACAACATTCCATGCAAATGGACACCAAAAGCAAGTAGGAGTAGCTATTCTTATATCAGAAAAAACAGACATTAAAGCAACAACAGTTAGAAAGACAAAGAGGGACATTAAATAATAATGAAAGGACTAGCCCAATAGGAAAATATTACAATCCTAAATATATATGCACCTAACACTGGAGCTCCCAAATTTATAAAACAATTGCGCCTAGCCCTAAGAAATGAGATAGACAGCAATACAATAGTAGTAGAGGACTTCAATACTCCACTGAAAGCACTAGACAGGTCATGAAGACAGAAAGTCAACAAAGAGACAATGGCCCAAATACCCTAGAACAAATGGACTTAGCAGATATTTGCAGATACATTCTATCCAACTGCAGAATATACATTCTATTCATCAGCACATGGAACATTCTCCAAGATAGACCATATGATGGGCCACAAAACAAGCCTCCAAACATTTAAGAAAATTGAAATTATATCAGGTATTCTCTCAGATCACAGTGGGATAAAAATGGAAATCAACTCCAATAGGAATATTCAAAATCATGCAAATACGTGGAAATTAAAAAATCTGCTCCTGAATGATCGTTGGGTCAACAATGAAATCAGACGGAAATTAAAGAATTATTTGAACTGAATGATTATAGTGACAGAATCTATCAAAACCTTTGGGATACAGCAAAAGCAGTGCTAAAAGGTAAGTTCATAGCATTGAATGCCTGCATCAAAAAGTCTAAAAGAGCTCAAATAGACAACCTAAAGTCATATCTCAAGGAACAAGAGAAACAAGAATAAACTGCTTTTACACTGCTGGTGGGAATGTAAACTAGTGCAACCACTGTGGAAAACAGTGTGGAGATTTCTTAAAGAACAAAAAGTAGATCTACCGTTTGATCTAGCAATCCTACTCCTGGGTATCTACCCAGAAGAAAAGAAGTCATTATACAAAAAAGATACTTGCACATGCATGTTTATAGCAGCACAATTTGCAATTGCAAAAACGTGGAACCATCCTAAATGCCCATCAATCAACAAGTGGATAAAGAAAATGTTACACACACACACACACACACACACACACACACCCCAACCATGGAATAATACTCAGCCATAAAAAGGAACAAAATAATGGCACTCACAACAATCTGGATGAATTTGGAGACTATGATTCTAAGAGAAATAACTCTGGAATTGAAAACCAAACATTGTATGTTCTCACTCTATGTCAGAGCTAAGCTATGAGGATGCAAAGGCATAAGAATGATACATTGGAATTAGGGGACCTGAGGGTAAGGGTGGTGAGTGGCGTGGGATAAAAGACTACACATTAGTATAGCATACACTGTGTGAGTGATGAGTGACCTAAAATCTCAGAAATCACCACTAAGGAACTTATCCATGTAACCAAACACCACCTTTTCCCCAAAAACCTACTGAAACACAGAAATTAAAATTTAAAAATAATTGTTTTTATTAAAAAAACATAGTCAAAACTATAGAAATTAGTTTTCTATTAGTGATTGTTAATATAGTAAATAGCACTCATGAATCACTATAAATAACTAATAGTTTTTTACTGTTAGTAATCCACAAGGTAGATATTTCATTGGTATAAATTAGTAAGTAATATGTAATGGCCCACTAATTGTATTATTGCAGCTTGTTGGGTTTAATGATACTTTTACTAGTACAAATACTAACTCTATTAAAATTTAGTGATGTATTTCTACGTGTTTTTTTTTTTAACTTTTATTTTAGGTTTAGGGGTACATGTGTACCTTTATTACATAGGTAAATTTGTGTCATGGGGATATGTTGTACAGATTAGTTTGTCATCCAGAAACTAAGCCTAGTAACCAATCGGGTTTTTATTTATTTATTTATTTATTTTTTGTCCTCTCCCTCTTCTTAACCTCCACCCTCAAGAAGGCCCTGGTGTCTATTTTTCCTTTCTTTGCCTACATGATATCTTAAATGATACAAAGTTTAAGAGTTCCAAAAAGAAGGTAATAAAATAATAATAAGTGCCATAATCAAGATCAACCATAGAGCATGGAAAGATATTAGAAAAAAAATTAAAAATTAAAAAAATTATTTGCATCAAACAAAAAATTTGGGGAGAAAAATATAGAGTGCCAGGGAAAAAGAAAAAATGTTTTAGTTTCAGTTATATATATCTTAGAAACATAAAATACGACTGATAAATTTCACCAAAAACTAAAACAGAAAAAAAATCTCAAGAATTATTAAAACTGACTCTAGATTTTGCAAATCTAAGCATATGATTATGTAATTTGACTAATAAATTACTCTCTTTTTGAAAATTATTGATCTCAAGCAAGAAATTCTAACTTTCCAGATGGTAGGAAGTTTTGGAAATGAATATTATACAAACATTTCAAATGGCAAAATAAATGATTAGAATCTTTTTACTTCATCCTATTTCAAATGATTCTTCATTTTGTCTATGTTTTAAACGCTTTGCTGACAGAACAAAATGGACCCAAGAGTGACAGGTTTTTCATGTATTTCAGATAAACATGAAGAAAGGGGAATATATGTTAAATTAAATATTTCTAATTGTATTCTGATTTTAAATATTTATAATTACCATGGTGCAGTAAAGAAACTATATGTAAATGAGGAAAATAATGCCATGTGGCATTTGAATGCATGATTCAGTTTTTAGTGATGCAATGTCTAACATCAAAGATTAGCCAAGAAACTTTATGAGCATGATTATGAGAACTTTTGCATTTGGCAGGAACTGTAGCAAAATTTGAATATTATGGGAAACATTTATGCAGAATACAAATATTGCCACCAAAACAACTACATGTTATTTGGGGCATGAAAAACAACTGAATAAGACAATAATAAATGGGTTTATGAAAATAACTGAATAAGAATTGATATTACTTGATACACACATGCACACATGTATAACTCATCACATAAACTTTGCTCAATTGAGAATAATTGCTGTTTGATTTGAAAAATTCCAAAATGCATATTTTGCAGATGAAATATTTTTGTGTGGGTTTGCTCAGTAGATGACAAAATTGAGGAAAAAATAAAGACATTTTTAGTAGACTTGTAATATCTGAATGTAACCAAAGATAATCTAAGTGGAAGGGTAAAACAATGTGCAAGGAAGAGTAAAGATTGCAACAAGGGGGGAAAGGACTCTCTATTCGATAAATGGTTCTGGGGTAATATGCGGAAGATTGAAACTGAACACTTACTTTCACCATATACAAAAATTAAATCAAGATGCATTAAAGATATAAATGTAAGACTACAAACTGTAAGAATCTTAGAAGAAAACCTAGGAATCACCACTCTGGACATTGGCCTTAAGAAAGAATTTATGACTAAGAGACCTATCGGTGTGCTGTATTCAAAAGGCCCATCTCACATGCAAAGACACACATAGACTCAAAATAAAGGGATGGAGGAAACTTTACCAAGCAAATGGAAAGCAGAAAAAAGCAGGGGTTGCAATTCTAGTTTCTGAAAAACAGACTTTAAACCAACAAAGATAAAAAAAGACAAACAAGGGCATTAAATAATGTAACGAGATCAATTCAGCAAGAAAAGCTAACTGTCCTAAATATATATATACTCAATACAGGAGCACCCAGATTCATAAAACAAGTTCTTAGACCTTACAAGGATACTTAGACTCCCACACAATAATAGTGGGGGACTTTAACACTCCACCGTCAATATTAGACATATCATCAAGGCAGAAAATCAACAAGGATATTCAGGACTTGAACTCAGCTCTGGATGAAGTGGACCTGATAGATATCTACAAAATTCTCCACCCCAAAGCAACAGAATATACATTCATCTTGGCACCACATGGCACTTACTCTAAAATAGATCACAAAACGGGAAGTAAAACACTCCACAGCAAATGCAAGAAACTGGAATCATAACCATGTCTCAGACCACAGCATAATCAAGTTAGAACTAAAGATTAAGAAAGTCACTCAAAACTACACAACTACATGGAAATTGAACAATCTGCTCCTGAATGACTACTGGGCAAATAATGAAATTAAGGCAGAAATAAGTAAGTTATTTGAAACCAATGAGAACAAAGGGACAATGTACCAGAGTCTCTGGGACTTAGCTAAGGCAGTTAGGAAAGTTTATAGCATTAATTGTCTACATCAAAAAGGTAGAAAGATCTCAAATCGACACCCTAACATCACAACTAAAGGAACTAATGAACCAAGAGCAAACAATCCCAAAAGCTAGCAGAAGACAAGAAATAACCAAGATCAGAATGGAACTGAAGGAGATAGAGACGTGAATAATCCTTGAAAAAAATCAATGAATTCAGGAGCTGTTTTTTTGAAAAACATAACAAAATAGATAGACTGCTAGCTAGACTAATAAAGAAGAAATGAGAGAAGAATCAATTAGACATACTAAAAAAGGATAAAGGGGAAATCACCACTGACCCTACAGAAATACAAACAACCATCAGAGAATATTATAAACACCCTCTATGCACATAAACTAGAAAATCTAGAAGAAATGGATGAATTCCTGCAAATATACACCCTCCCAAGACTAAACCAGGAAGAAGTTGAATCCCTGAAAAGACCAATAAGAAGTTCTGAAATAATAGTAATAAATAGCCTAGCAACCAAAAAAAGCCCAGGACCAGACAGACATATAGCTGACTTCTACCGCAGGTACAAAGAGGAGCTGGTACCATTTCTTCAGAAACTATTCCAAACAATTGAGAAGTAGGGACATCTCCCTAACTCATTGTATGAGGCCAGCATCATCCTGATACCAAAACCTGGCAGAGATACAACAAAAAAAGAAAACTTCTTCTTCTTTTTTTTTTTTTTTTTTTTTTTTGTGGCCAACATCCCTGATGAACACTGATGCAAAAATCCTCAATAAAATACTGGCAAACAGAATTCAGTAGATGCTGGAGAGGATGTGGAGAAATAGGAATGCTTCTACACTGTTGGTGGGAGTGTAAATTTGTTCAACCATTGTAGAAGACAGTGTGGTGATTCCTCTAGAATCTAGAGGAATCTAAAGTTTCTTGGCTGATCTTTGATGTTAGACATTGCATCACTAAAATCTGAATCATGCATTCATGATCTAGAACTAGAAATACCATTTGACCCAGCAATCCCATTACTGGGTATATACCCAAAGGATCATAAATCATTCTACTCTAAAGATACATGCACACATATGTTTATTGCAGCACTATTCACAATAGCAAAGACTTGAAACCAACCCAAATGTCCATCAATGACAGACTGGATAAAGAAAATATGGCACATATGTACCATGGAATACTATGCAGCCATAAAAAAGGATGAGTTAATGTCCTTTGCAGGGACATGGATGAAGCTGGAAACCATCTTTCTCAGCAAACTATCACAAGAACAGAAAACCAAACACCACATGTTTTCACTCATAAGTGGGAGTTGAACAATGAGAACACACGGACACAGGGAGAGGAGCATCACACACCGGGGCCTGCTGAGGGGTAGGGGGCTGGGGAGGGATAGCATAAGGAGAAATACCTAATGTAGGTGACGGGTTGATGGGTGCAGCAAACCACCATAGCATATGTATGCCTATGTAACAAAACTGCACATTCTGCACATGTACCCCAGAACTTAAAGTATAATGATAATAATAAAGATTATACACCATGGGCGGGTGCAGTGGCTCACGCCTGTAATCCCAGCACTTTGGGAAGCTGAATGGGGTGGATCACCTGAGGTCAGGAGTTTGAGACCAGCCTGGCCAACATGGCAAAATCCTGTCTCTACTAAAAATACAAAAATTAGACAGGTGTGGTGACACTTGCCTGTATTCCAGCTACTCAGGAGGCTGAGGCAGGAGAATTGCTTGAACCCAGGAGGCATAGGTGGCAGTAAGCCGAGATCATGTCGCTGCACTCCAGCCTGGGTGACAGAGTGAAACTCTGTCTCAAAAACAAAAACAAAACAAAACTAAAAAACAGATTATCCATCAGGATCAAGTCGGCTTTGTCCCCAGGATGCAAGGCTGGTTCAACATATGCAAATCAATAAACGTAAATCATTACGTAAACAGAACTAAAGACAAAAAACACATGATTATCTCAATAGACATAGAAAAGGCCTTTATAAAATTCAACATTACGTTAAAAACTCTCAATGAACTAGGTATTGATGATGAACTAGGTATTGATGAAACATACCTAGATTGATGAAACATCTCAAAATAATAAGAGCCATTTATGACAAACCCACTGCCAGTATCATACTGAATGGGCAAAAGCTGGAAGCATTCTCCTTGAAAACCGGCACAAGTCAAGAATGCCCTCTCTCACCATGCCTATTCCACATAGTATTGGAAGTTCTGGCCAGAGCAATCAGACAAGAGAAAGAAATAAAGTGTATTCAAATAGGAAGAGAGAAAGTCCAACTGTCTAAATTTGCAGGCCACGTGATCTTATGTCTAGAAAATCTCATTGTCTCAGCCCAAAAGGTCGTTGAACTTCAGCAAAGTCTCAGGATACAAATTAATGCACAAAAATCACAAGCATTCCTATACACCAACAATAGGCAAGCAGAGAGCCAAATTATGAACAAGCTTCATAATTCACAATTGCTATAAAAACAATAAAATACCTAGGAATACAGTTAACAAGGGAAGAGAAGAACCTCTTCAAGGAGAACTACAATCCACTGCTCAATGAAGTAAGAGAAGACAAAAACAAATGGAAAAACATTCCATGCTCATGGATAGGAAGAATTAATATTGTGAAAATGGTCATACTGCCCAATTTATAGATTTAATGCTATTCCCATTAAACCACCATTTACATTCTTCACAGAATTAGAAAAAACTACTTTAAAATTCATATGGAACCAAAAAAGAGCTTGAATAGCCAAGACAATCCTAAGGAAAAACAATGAGGCTGGAGGCATCACATTACCTGACTTCAAACTATATTGCAAGGCTGCAGTAACCAAAACAACATGGTAGTGGTACAAAAACAGATACATAGACTGATGGAACAGAGTAGAGATCTCAGAAATAAGACCATACATCTACAACCATCTGATCTTCGTCAAACCTGAGAAAACAAGCAATGGGAAAATAATTCCCTATTTAATAAATGGTACTGGGAAAACTGGCTAGCCATATGCAGAAAATTGAAACTGGATTTCTTCCTTACACTTTATTCAAATATTACCTCAAGATGGATTAAAGACTTAAATGTAAAACCCAAAACTATAAAAACCCCAGAAGAAAATCTAGGGAAAACCATTCAGGACATAGGCATGGGCAAAAATTTTATGATGAAACATCAGAAACAATTGCAAAAAGCAAAATTGACAAATTGGATCCAATTAAACTGAAGAGCATCTGCACAGCAAAAGAAAGTATCATCAGAGTGAACAGACAGCCTACAGAATGGAAGAAAAATTTTGCAATCTATCCATCTGACAAAGATCTAATATCCAGAGTCTTAACAAATTTACTTAAGGAACAAATGTATTGTTAAATTTTTTTAACAAGAAACTTAAACGAATTTATAAGAAAAAACAACCCCATTAAAGAGTGAGCAAAGGACATAACAGTTCTAAAAAGAAGACATTTATGTGGCCAAGAAACATATGGAGAAAAGCTGAACATCACTGATCATTAGAGAAATGCAAGTCAGAACCACAAGGAGATACCATCTCATGCCAGTCAGAATGGCAATAATTAAAAAGTCAAGAAACAACACGTGCTGGTGTAGTTGTGGAGAAATAGGAATGCCTTTACACTGTTGGTGGGAATGTAACTTAGTTCAACCATTGTGGAAGACAGTGTGGTGATTCCTCAAAGACCTAGACTAGAAATACCATTTGACCCAAAAATTCCATTACTGAGTATATACCCAAAGGAATATAAATTATTCTATTATAAAGATACATGCACATGTATGTTCACTGCAGCACTATTCACAATAACAAAGACATGGAATCAACCCAAATACCCATCAATGATAGGCTGGATAAAGAAAGATGTGGCACCTATACACTATAGAATACTATGCAGCCATTAAAAGGAAAGAGATCATGTCCTTTGCAGGGGCAGCGATGGAGCTGGAAACCATTATCCTCAGCAAACTAACAGAGAAATAGAAAACCAATCACCACATGTTCTCACTTATAAGTGGGAGGTGAACAATGAGAACATGTGGACACAGAGAGCGGAACAATACACAATGGGGAGGGAGAGCATCAGGATAAATAGCTAATGCATGTGGGGCTTAATACCTAGGTGATGGGCTGATAGGTGCAGCAAACCACCATGGCACACGTTTATCTATGTAACAAACCTGTACGTCCTGCACATAATCCTGGAATTTAAAATTAAATTACAAAAATTAAAAAAAAACTAAAACAAATTATGACTAAGTCCTCAAAAGCTAATATAGCAAAAACAAAAATTGACAAGTGGGACCTAATTAAACTAAAGAGCTTCTGTGAAGCAAAAGAAACTATCAACAGAATAAACAAACAACTAGCATAATGAGAGAAAATATTCACAAACTATGCATCTGACAAAGAGCTAGTATACAGAATCTATAAGGAACTTAAACAATTGAACAAGCAAAAAACAAATAGCCCCATTAAAAAAGTGCAAAAGACATGAACAGACACTTCTCAAAAGAAGACATACAAGCAGCCAACAAACATTTGAAAAAACACTCCACATTACCAATCATTAGAGAAATGCAAATCAAATCCACAATGAGATATCATCTCACACCTGTCAGAATGGCTATTATTCAAAAGTCAAAAAATAACAGATGTAAGTGAGGCTCTGGAAAAAAAGGAATACTTATATACTGTTGATGGTATTGTAAATTAGTTCAGCCGCTGTGGAAAGCAGTCTGGAGATTTCTCAAAGAATTTAAAACAGAACTACCATTCAAAACAGCAATCTGACTACTGAGTATATAGCTTCAGAAAACAAGTTGTTCTACCAAAAGACGTGTAATTCTATGCTATCTAGCACTATTCACAATAACAAAGATGTGGAATCAATCTAGGTGCACATTAATGGTGTATTGGATAAAGAAAATGTGGTAATGTGTTACATATGCATCATGGAATATTATGCAGCCATAAAATGGATGAAATTATGTTCTTTGCAGCAACATGGATGCAGCTGGAGGGCATTATTCTAAGCAAATTAATGCACTAGCAGAAAACCAAATACCCAATTTCCTCACTTATAAGTGGGAGCTAAACACTGGATACTCATGGACATAAAGATGGCAGCAGTTGACACTCGTGACTACAAAAGGTGGGAAGAAAGAAGGAGGGCAAAGATTGAAAATCTCACTATTGGGTACTATGCTCAGTACCTGGCTGATGGGATCATTTGTACTCCAAACCTCAGCATTATTCAATATACCCAGGTAACAAACCTGCACAGGTACCTCCTGAATCTAAATAAAACTTGAAAAATATAGATTGCCACAGGAGATTAAAATATACAGCATAGGTAATTTTATATTGCTCGTTTTGCGAACATTTAAATTTCTTAGTGAAAGATGCAGCTAAAATCTCTTTTGACACAGTTGATATTTTGTTATTGCTCTTGTTAAAGAACTATACAACTATTTTTCAGCTTCCAAGCAACATGGGATTATGTTAAAAGCACATTTATAGTCATAAACTTTAAACTGGCAACAGATAATTTTTAATGTGATATTATTTCTTAAAGAGGACTCTCTAAGGTTAAAATATTTTTAAAGATAGGATTTGACTTATTTTTAACTATGAAGTTTAAATTTTGGGCTATATTAATAGATTTTGATATAATATTGAAAAAACTTAACATTCTGTTACCTCATACTACCATCTCCCAAATTTTAGCTATAGTTTAAAAAAAAATTTTCAAGGTGTATGACATTTACAGTGTACTGTGTCACTATAAAATTGCATAGTTTTAATTCTATCTTTAAGTTACTTAGACTCACTACTCATTTAAAACAGCTAATCAGGTCCCATGGATGCTATTTTCATTTGTTTTTTAATTACTGGATTTTGGTTCTTGCATATTAAAATATCTATGACATGCTGAATAATGGCCTTTTAAAGAGATCCACATCTTAATCCCCAGAAACGGTGAATAAATTGCTTTATATGGCAAGAGAGAATTCACACATGTGGTTAAGGTAAAGATTTTAAGATTTGGAGATTAGCCTGTATAGCTCTAAGTGGGTCCAATGTAATTATACATGACCTTCTAAGAGGGAGGCAGAATTAGAGTGAGAGAGAAGAAATGTGATGAAACAAGCAGAGGTTGAAGTGATATGGCCAGAAGCCAAGTCATGCAACCTTTAGAAATTAGAAGACATGAGGAATGGATTCTCCCCCAAAAACTCCAAGACAAACCAGCCCTGCTGATACTTTGATTTTAGGCCCACAAGACTCATTTTGCAATTCCAGCCTCCAGGACTGTACAAGAATAATTTTGTATTGTTTTCAATCATCAGGTTTGTAGTAATTTGTTACAGCAGCAATAAGAAACTAATACAACACCTACATGTAATACTTATAATTGAAGAACACTTTTGCATCTTTAACTGCTTATAATATTCTTAGGTCATAATTCTATACTTGACAACTTTGGAAGCATTTAAAAATTTCTCTTGCAAATAAACATTAATTTAAAGAAGTCTAAAGCCAGTCTGATTTATTCCCCCATATTTTAACCTAATGTTTAAAATATTTTTATTTTTGAAGTTTAATAACTTCCCCAGAATACTTATGGTTTTAATATTTTTTCTCAAATTTTTTTCTGAAATAGCATGTTATTTTAATATATATATTTAGTTATTACTATATATAAGCAAATTATTATTTTATATTTGAATACAATTTCTGCTTTGTTGGACTTTCTATCTTAGTAATCAATGATATTTATGTTGAGTTGTTTTTGTTCTTCTTATTTTTTTTAATTGTTTTACTTTTATGGTTTTCCTCTACATTAACTATGATATTCAGCAGCCTCTGAGACAAGGATGTGTACTCTCACCACTTTAATTCAACATAATACTGGAAATACTGTCCAGAGAAATTAGGCAAGAGAAAGAAATAAAAGACACCCCAACTGGAAAGGCAGATGACAAATTTGCCTTGTTTGCAGATGACATGATCTTATACCTAGATAAACCTACGACTCCACTAGAAATCCATTAGAACTGATAAATGAATTCAGTAAAGTTGTGGGATACAAGATCAACATACAAAAATCAGTAGCAATTATATATGCCAATAGTGAACAATCTGAAAAAGAAGTCAAGAAAGCAATCCCATTTACACTAGCTACAAAGAATACAAAATACTTAGGGATCAATCTAACCAAAGAAGTGAAAAGTCTATATAAGGAAAACTTTAAAACTCTGATGGAAGAAATTAAAGAGGACACACCAAATCTAGACAGATATTCTATACTCATGGATTGGAAGTATTAATAGTGTTAAAACAACAATACTAAACAAAACAATTTACAAAGTCAATGAAATTTTTATCAAATACCAATGACATTCTTCAGAGAAATAAAAAATTAATTTGATTTTCAGATGCAGCTTGCAAATCTAACTTAGTCTGCTAGTGATATTGTTATGTCATTTTACTGGTGTTCTTATTTTTTGCAATCACAATCTTTTATTTTGTTTCCTTTGATTATGCTTTCTTCTGGTCTGAGTTTGTTGTTTATAGCACACAACTTTTCTTTCTTTTCTATTATATTTTGCCTGTTGTTTTATTGGATGGTTGCTCTGCCACTTGTCTCAGTCATGTACTTAAATTAACAGGATCATCCCTATCCAAACACATTTTTTTTTCCTAGTAGTTTCAAGTGTTGGTATGTTGCAGTCTATCTCATAAGGGAACCAAGAACTCAGGGGAAACTGTGCAGTCCATTGAAAAACTGGCCCTCATTAGATGTTTGTTAAATTTACTACAGTAAAGTTTACATCACATTATTGGAGCTGTTTGCCATGGGGAAATATCTGATGCTTTAAATATTTAACTCCAGTTGTTTAGTTTCCCCATTATACTTAACTTTCTTTAGTAACAATTGCTTATTTCCTTCTGTCAATTTCTCTTCTGATTTTAGGCTATTAGTGAGATTTGTTAGGATTATTTGACTCATTGTTGGGGAGTGAGATAGAGTTAAAAATTGCATGGCTTACTCAGTTTTTCTTTGAGTTTTGAGATATGAGTGAGGGTGAAAAATCAGTTTCCATTCAGATTTTGGAATATTAATAAAAATTCTTAGAATAAGTTTACTTACTTCTCAGGAATAGGATTTGCTTAATAAAAGTTGCATAGCAACTTTTGTCTTTATCTTTTGGCTAGATGCTTACCATATTATGTTGTAACCCTTTGCTTGCTTGTTGATGGTGAATATTTTTCTTGCTTAAAAAATTAGTTTGCAGAACATTCTGTGATACAGCTTTCTTCATTATAATCTAAAAAGTCCTTTTTTCACTATTGTGCCTCTATTTCTAATTAGACAAAATCCCTTCATAGAGTATATCTTATATATCTCTAGTCTTTGCTTTGTGCTCTTTACAAAGTTTGTACTCTAGGCTGGGCGCAGTGGCTCACACCTGTAATCCTGTAATCCCAGCACTTTGGGAGGCTGAGGCTTGCGGGATCACTTGAGGTCACGGGTTTGAGACCAGCCTGGCCAACATGGTGAAACACTGGCTCTACTAAAAATATAAAAATTATCCAGGTGTGGTGGCACACACCTGTAATCCCAGCTACTCAGGAGGCTGAGACATGAGAATCACTTGAACCCAAGAGGCAGAAGTTGCAGTGAGCTGATATTTTGCCGTTGCACTCCAGCCTGGGCGACAGACCGAGACTCTGTCTCAAAAAAAACAGTAATAATAATAATAAAGTTTGTACTCTACTATGAAATACTCTAAAATATATATTTTCAGCAAGTTACATAACTTTCAATAAACAAATATTAAGTATTTGTTGTACAAATAGTGCTGTATTTGGTATAAATGATAGAGACAGGAGGCAGAGAAATTCTAGTCAGGAATGGTGAGGGCCCACCCTCAAGCCAAAAAGCCTGAGACTGAGGCTCAAAGTGGGAACCAGTTTTCCTGCTTGAATGTTGCCTTTTCCAAAACCAGCCATGACCAGCCCCATCCCCATCCTGTGCCTATAAAAAACCCCAGACTCAGCCGGCAGAAAGAGAAGTACCTGGATGTCAGAGACTGTGGTTGGGCATTGGAAATAAGTGGCTTGACTTCTGAGGGACAGCTTGATGGTGGAACTTCAGAGAAGACTTCAAGGGAAGATTACCTTCCTTCTCTGTCTTCTTTTCAGCTTCTTTTTCCACTGAGAGCCACCTCCACTGACAATAAAATCCCCTAAGCTTGGGTGCCATGAGTGTGGATGCAAAAGGCTGTCACACTGGTCCTTTGCCTTCCTGGTGGAAGGTAGCTGCCTCATGTGAAAAGGCAGAGGGCGCACTGAGCTGTTAACACTTATACTGTCTGTGGATGGCAGAGCTAAAAGAACACTGTAAGACTCCCTCTGGGGCTTTGAGGGTCATGAGAGTCCCTCCCCCAGACTCTGCCGTGGGTCTGGCATGGAGTTGGTTCCTGCTGGCACCCCAAAGCGCTCGCCCTGGCTACTGCACCTGCTTACCTGTGTGCCCCCTCCCACAAGGGATGCAATGCAGTGGGTCTGAGTGAGTGGACTTCACTCCTGCCAGTGCCAGAGCGCTGGCTGACTCCAGCGCTCATGTACTCCAGTTCCTGCCTTTTTCACTCGTGAGCTCCCTTCCGTGAGGAGTTAAGAGCTGCAGGCTGAGTAAGTGGAGCATCCCCTTTGCAAGTCCCATGAAGGGGTCAGGGAAATATCTTGCTGTGATATTATAATATGCTGACAATAAAAATTAGGATGTTTTTGCTGGCATTATTGGTGAAGGACCCAGGAATAGGCAAATCCTGCCACACACCACAGTTATTCATCCCAATTACATGTCTGAGGAAGCTAAATATATAGAGAATAGTGGCTTAGAAATGGAATACTATGCAACCATAAAAAAGGATGAGTTCATGTCCTTTGTAGCGTCATGGATGAAGCTGGAAACCATCATTCTCAGCAAACTATCACAAGGACAAAAAAAAAACAAACACCGCATATTCTCACTCATAGGTGGGAATTGAGCAATGGTAAGACTTGGACACAGGAGGGGGAACATCACACACCGGGGCCTGTCGTGGGGTGGGAGGAGCGGGGAGGGATAGCATTAGGACATATACTTAATGATGTAAATGACGAGTTAATGGGTGCAGCACACCAGCATGGCACATGTATACATATGTAACAAACCTGCATGTTATGCACATGTACCCTAGAACTTAAAGTGTAATAATAATAATAATAATAAAGTCAGGAGTTGGATCTAAACCGAGAAAAAAAAAGAAATGTATAATAATACTTATTGTTAAATGTTTGGGTCCTAAACTCCAATAGCAATAACTCTGCTCAACTGACTGGGAGGCTATACACCGAACTAAAGATATGACTATTCTCCCCTTTGCTTTACCACTAGCAAGAACATAAAAGCATTGCCCTCCAAAAGAATACTGCATCCCACTGACCACCCCCTCTAAGTCACACCTGAGACTCAGATCTTACCACTTACAACCAGCTGTATGAGAGGAGAGAAGACACATTGTCTGTCAAACCAGCCACAACTTGTTTCCAGACAAAAACATGTGGGTAGTTTATGACATTTACCTCATGGTGGGAAATGGAGGTGAGAGACCAACCTGGCTCTGCTTACTCCCACATGAGAACCAATGTCAACTCTGATTGTTCCGGCCAAATGGAAGTAGTAGTCAGACAGGAAGATGGCATTTTAAATTGTTTTTCTCTGTGTCTTGACTATTAGTTTAAGCAGCCTGAGCCATGTGTTGGAATCTAACCAACAAAAATGTTGCCTAACACTAGCAACATTATGTGGGTTTAAAAAGGTATTTTAAATTTTTAAAATTTTTAGGTCTGGGGGTATAGGTGCAGGTCTGTTACATGGATATATTGCATAATGCTGAGGTTTGGGCTTCTAATGAACCCATCACGCAAGTAGTGAACATAGTTATTAGGCGGGTTTTTAGTCAGGGCTGAGTGGCAGCTATATTTTCTAAACCACAAATCAGGATATATGATCTGACAAAATATTTTTATGCCCCTTCTTGGTATAAGTGGCAGTTCAGGAGACAATGAGGCTAAAAAGTTGGCATATTTTCATTATACTGATTGTTTATGGGCTAACAGGAGAGTAAATATGAAATGTATATTCTTTTAGGATAACCTAAGAATTAAAGTAATGTAAGGTGGTTGTAAAAGAATAGTAAATATATAGCTGTTGACCTCCAGGAACTTAAAATCTAATTCTGAGTGTATGCCAAACATATGGAACATCTGGACAATTTAGAATTCTGAAGTTAAGAAGAGGATAACATTATTCAGGCATAAGTTTATAGGGGAAAAGTGGTGTTTCACTTGAGCTAGGATGGATGGGAAGTTCTGGGTTTGTGAAGTGGGAAATGAAGTCTATTTTAGGTAGAATGAACACTTTATATGTGAGGATGAAAAGGGATGTATAACAGGGCATGGTGATACCCGCCTGTAGTCCCAGCTAATCAGAAGGCTGAGGTGGTAGGGTCATTTTTAATCCCAGGAGTTGGAGACAAGCCTGAGAAACATAGCAAGAATCGAACTCAAAAAAAAAAAAAAAAAAAAGGAAAAGAGACAAGGTGAGAATGAAAATAAACTGGATTGTAGCACTGTGAATGCAAACCCTTGAGTGTTAAGGGGTAAAATTGCACAGGTAGATAAGGTGAGAGGGTAGAACCTGAGAGAGGTCCATCCATCACTTCCAGCTCCATACAGGACTGCGTAGCTACGTATCTCGATTGCTAAAATATATCACAAATTTAGCCATGCAAGATAAAGATTGAACTATCTGATTAATAGATCAAAGGAAATTACTTATTGTTCATCCAATTCTTAAATACAGTTGGCCCTCCGTATCTGTGAGTTCCACATGAAAATATTTGGAAAAAAATTGTGTCTGTACTGAACATGTATAGGCTTATTTTCTTGTAATTATTCTCTAAGCAATACAGTATAACAACTATTTACATAGCATTTACATTGTATTGGGTATTATAAGTAGAGATTAAAGTATAGGGAGTATTTGCATAGGTCATATGCAAATACTACATTTTATATCAAGGCCTTTAGCATCCAAGAATTTTGTATCCATGGGAGATCCTGGAAGCAAACCCCTACAGTTAACAAGGGATGACTGCATATATTTTAATCTCAAATTACATCTTAATAGTTACCTCTCACTTTGAAGGCACAGAAAAAGATGACAGTTTGCTGCCTTCCTGGGTAGAAAATGAGAGAAATTAAATAAATTATAATGGAGCCGATTTAGAAACACAAAACATTCATTTTTTTACCATCTGGTAAACTGAGAGGGAGTATACAGGACACGAAAACCTGAAATGTTCTAATGCCCATTGAAGCACATTTATATTAATCAAATAGAAATGTATCATGGCTTTAAACTCCCTTTATTGGCTCATCCAAATCAAATTGAAAAATTATGAGGTTTCTATCTGAAATATCTATAAGCTGGGCAGATAAACTTATGTGTGAATCAGGTTGAGTGCAAAACAATAGTGTGGGATGTGGGCTGAAAAGAGTACGTTTCTGTGCACTTCCTGAAAGGATTTCAATTTAATTTTTGTAAAACACTGTGTCGCAGAAAATATGTGCAATGGCCATATGCAACCTGTGGGCAGCCAGTTTGCCACCTTCATCCTAATTTGCAACCTGACCTTTAAAGATAGAACAGATGTACCGGCAGCCTAAGAAACTATCAGAAAAACAATATTAGCCAATTCAACTCCATGATACACCTGAAATCTTCTTTATAAACAAGGTAAGATATTAGCGACACATAAAATAAATATAAACCCAGTGGTCTCATCCTTCTAGGCTGTGTTCAGATGATTAGAGCTGCACTCCTACCAGCAAGCAGCTTTATAAACACAGGTGAAATTGTCAGCTCTTTTACTCTCTGCTGCACTGCTGCATTCATTTCCATTCCCCTGTATTCACTCTCCCTCCTGGCGCCTGAAACCAGATAATAGAGGCTAATATATTGGGAGAACAATAGAGGTTAAGTAAGGATATTGAAATGATTAAACCCACAGGGAAAAGCTGGACCAAAGTATTGCATTTCCATACATCTCCTCACTGCTTTAAAATACCATTTAGCCTTTTTTTTTTTTTGAGACCTGATAGCTGCTTATCACTTGTTAATTGACTCTGAGTGCCTAGTGGGTTTAGTTTCCATTCAAATTGAGCCTGCAGAGAGAAAGCAATGAAAGAAAAATGACAGCACTGAAGCAAAGGATGGAGGCAGACAGTGTCTCCTGCCCAGTAGCATTACAATGATCTGAGAGAATAGGGGAAGATGAACTCTCTGACATCTCATAACTGTGGCATGAAAAATGCGGATCAGGCAAATAGTAATGTAGGTAAGAAATTTTCCTATTACCATTGTATTCCACTTCAACCAGGCAAAATGACAAGAAAGTTTCAGTTGGCATTTGTAACCATGTACCAAATTATGATCTTGGTAGAATATTTTTTTCTTAATTTGCAGCTTCTTATTCTTTTTTTAGTTATAATGCTAAAGCCAAAATGAGAAAATAAAAAAGTGTTTTTGCAAAGTATTTGGTTTTAATTTTCCATTTTAAAAGATCAGAAAGATTATCTAAAAGATGAGGTCTCTGAATTGGCCTAAATTTTGTAGGCAGAAGAGGAAAGACAGAGAAATGTGTGTCTATAAATTTTAAATAAACAGAGTTTTATTTTTCAGCTATTAAAGGATAAGCTTTGAACTAGAAATAGAAGACAATTCATTAAGATTAATCAGCTTTCCAGTTAAGGAAAATATAGTAGTTTGACACCTGAATCACTGTTTCTAAAATAATTTTTAATTTATCTAGTTGTGCCTTTGTTTCTAGCATAGGTACTAGCAACTTTATTTCTCTATAGGTAAGTTTGGCCAGAATGCTTTCAGTCATTGTAAGGACAATTATAAATAAAATATAGGAGGCTTAATTTCCCTGTTGAAAAGAAGAGATTTCCTTCGCCTCTTTTTCTTAGTGCATTTATTTTAGAAATTATAAGTAGTTTCTCCTCTTATAAAAACTGTATATGAATACTTTTGAAAACTAGATAGGTTGTCAGTTTTATGACCCAGAGATGTCTTTTTCAAGGACTTGGGAATTATATCCTTTGAACATAAACACCTAAAAAGATAGCACTCCTGTATTCTATTTTCAGGAGGATACAAGCCTAACTTTAGCTGATGCCTGGCTCCAAGTTATAAAACTACCTAATTTCATAAAGATATGAGAAAATTATTTTTCTTTTGTATAAGCCAATTAACTAACACAGATGGTAACTTCAATTATTAGGTGAATTTAAGATAAATTATGTGAAATAAATGGTGCTGTCAGGGCCTCTTACTGGAGAACTAACATTGTTTCCCTTAAGGATATGTATATGATAGATTGTATTTGCTCGGCTATATGAAGGGTGAGATCTCTTTCTATCTTTTCTGTCTCTTGGCAGATTACCTGTGATGTGCATTACATGGAAATTTAATGCTTATTCAATCATCAAAGTATTTTATTCTCTGCTACTTTTGTGGAGAAGATTTCTAGGTTGAGAGAAGGGTTTGTTTTTAATTCTATTTCCCCAACATCATCAATAATACTAAACTTATTTTCAGGACATGTTTTATTTCATTTGGGTATAATATACTTGTACACAAAGGTGAAAGCTGGCAGCCTGATTATAATATGTCATTGTGTTTACTCACCATCAGGTGTTCATTGAGAGGAAACATGACGTTCAGATCCTTGATTCTAAAAATGTGTTTTAGACTATTTCCACCTAGGTTTTTTACAAAATAAATATGGAAAAGTCTTGCTTAGTTACAGAAGCTCTCCGTATTAAAAAAAAAAATACTCTGGATGGAAGGGAAGAACATCACGGTAAA
This sequence comes from Homo sapiens, assembly GCF_000001405.40. Taxonomy (NCBI): domain Eukaryota; kingdom Metazoa; phylum Chordata; class Mammalia; order Primates; family Hominidae; genus Homo; species Homo sapiens. Next base: position 76,614,996 of record NC_000006.12, read on the forward strand.
ATAGAAGCCTCCACCAGTCATCTCCCCCACAGGAACACCAAATTTAACAACTTTCTACATAAAAAACACATTTATAAGAACCAAAAATCAGGTACCAGGTCAGACACCATGGGGTAGAGCACCAAGCAGGCTCTAGGCTCTTGGACAGCATTTCTGGACATGCCCAGGGCCAGAGAGCATCCCACTGCTCTGAATGGTGAGTCCTAGGCCTGGCTGCTTTCACCACAAGCTGACTGAAGAGCCCTTGGGCCTTAAGTGAACCTCAGCAGTAGCCTGGTAGTACTTGTGGCTCTGTGGTGGTAATAGCCATGGGGAAAGGCTACTCTGCCTGTGGAAAGGGGAGGGAAGAATGGGGAGGACTTTGTCTTTGGTTCGAGTGCCAGCTTAACTGCAGTAGAATAAAACAACAGGTAGATTTCTAAGGTTTTTAACTCCAGTGCCTGCCTCCTGAATGACATCTTCCTGGGCCCTGGGTAAACTCGCTGCCCTGAAGGAAAAGACCTATCTGGCTTTCCTGCCTGCTGATTGTAGAGCTCTAGGGTCTTACATAAACATAGATGGCAGCCAGGTAGTGATTGCAGTAGGCCTGGAGCGACACCCAGTGCTGTCCTGGCTTCAGGTCTGACCCAGCACAGTCCCAGTGATGGTGGCCACAAGGGTGCTTGTGTCATCCATCTTCCAGCTCCAGTGGCTCAGCACAGAGAGACAGAGACTTCATTAGTTTGGGAGAAAGTAAGGGAAGAGAGTAAGAGTCTCTGTCTGGTAATGCAGAGAATTTTTTTCAGATCTTATCTAAGACCACCAAAGCAGTACCTCTACAAGTCTGCAAGAACCACAGCATTACTGGGTTTGGGGTGCCTCCTAATGCATATATCGCTTAAATTACAACACCCACATCTCTTTGAATACCTGGAAACCCTTCCCAAGAAAGATGGATATGAACAAGCCCAGAGTACAAAGACTACAATAAATACCTAACTCTTCAATGCTCACTTGAAAGACAATGGTTTTACTCTTCCTCTCTCACTGTCTATTCTTAGGGAGGCAGCCACAGAGAATTAAAAGAGAAGGCAGATCATGCCTCTCCTCCACTCAGACCCTCCATTGCTGCGTATCTCACTGGCGTAAAAGCCGGTGTTCTTTTGGCAAGACTCCTTGTGATCTGCTCCCCACTGCTACCTTTTTGACCTTATTTCCTACCTTTTCCCCCATCATTCCTCTCCAGCCACACTGGCCTCCTCCTTGTCCTCCAGCTCACAGGCCATGTGCATGGCATTTGTTGTCTCTGCCAGAGTTGCACTGCCATGTGGATGATTCATTACTTCACTTCATTTATATGTTCACAGAAATGCCACCTTCAATGGCCACCCTAGCTAAAATTATACCTCTTTTTCTCCATGAGTTGGGGATCCCTATATTCCTTTCCAGTTTTTGTTTTTGTGTTTAACATCTACCATCATTTACACATGTACATATTGTTTGTTTTTCTTGATTATGATCTATATCTTCCCAATACAATATAAATTCATGAAGGTAGAGATTTTTGTCTCTGTTGTTTACTGCTGTATCCTGAGTATCTAGGACAGTGCCAAGTATATAGTAAGTGTACAAAAACTATTTATGTGTTAAATAAACTGAGTCTGTACAATTTTATTTTAATTAAAAAAATGCATTTAGAGACAGTAAGCATTTGCCCAAGGTCCCAGGTACAGCTAGTGGTAGTGATAAATGAAGACAAGACTGAAATCAAAAAAGAGATTAACAAAGCCAAAGGTCATTTCATATGCAGAAACAGCTTCTTGTGATGACTGTATCCTTCTTCAATTGAAGCTTCTTTGTGGGTACTCCCAATATGATAACATGCATATTATTCAATAGCATTTATTAGCACGTTATATTCCAAGCCCTGTTCCAGCTGCTGGCAATTGGCAGCGAGCTCAACGAGCAAGAATTATGCTTGTTTTAAGCTTGTCTTCCAGTAGAGGAATACAAACAATAAAAAAAGAAAGTATCCATCAATGACAAATGTTGTAAAACATGTTGGTATCATATTAAGTGTTTGGTGTAGAGTGGGAGAGGGGGTTTATTTTAAACTTAATGTCCAAAGAAGAATTCTTCGAGGAAGGGAAATTTTAATCTACAGTCTTCATGAGAAGAGTAAGATGTCTGCAAAATGTCTGCAAAGATCTTGTCAAAGACCTTTCCAGATAGAGGAAATAACTATTGATAGTATAAAGGTTTATAGTTGGAAAGAGCCTTCCACACTGGAGTAACAGAATGCCAGAGCGGTTGGAACATAGCAAAAAGGGACAGCATTATATGAGATGAGTTTTGAGAGACAGGCAGATGCTAGTTTATATGTAGCCTCATAAGCCAAAGTAAACAAGCAAAGAATTGTTATTATTAAGCAAGAGAATAACACAATCTGATTTACTGAGCACAGATCACCCTACTTGTTACTTGACATACTGTGTAGTACATAGAAGAAGGAGAATATTGCAGTGATTCAAGATACATATGATGATATCCTGAAGGAGGGTTGAAACCATGGATGTGTGGAGAAGTGGATAAACTTGTGATGTAATTTGGAGTTTGAATCAACAAAAACTGTTTGTGGATGAAGAGAGTAAGGAACCAGAAAAAACTCAAGGTTAGAACTTTGGATTTTGGCTTCAGGTACTCATGAATGGAGTAGCCAAGGAAGAATGGGATGCATAAGATTTTTAGGGGGAAAAAAAAAACCAAGAGTTCTGCTTTGATCATGTAAATATTGAGATGTCTATTAGAAGTCAGGTGGAGATGTCAGATTGGTAGGTGACTATGTGCCTTTGAGCTGATGATACAAGTTGGGGAGTAAACATAATATTATGAATAGGATTTAAACCCAAGGGAAGGGGGTCACTTATAGAAAAGGTATAGTTAACAGTTTGAGCCAATATTTGATGTTTTAATAGAAGACAAGTCATCCAAGGCTTCTGGGAAGGAAAGGCCAGTAGGGAGGAGGGATACCTGTAGGGTGTGATGTTACAGAAGACAGGGAGGGAGTGGTTAACTCTGCTGGACATTGCCCATGGTTCACTGAGATGAAGACAGAGTAGTGACCACTCTGGCAACATGGAAGTAATTGGTGACCTTGACAAAAGTGGTGGCACCGAAGTGGTGGGGACCATACTATGGATAGAGGCTCAGTTACTTGATGACTTTCTTCACTGAGAGAAAGCAGCGATTGAAGTACACATCAGTTAATGAATTATCCATGACTTCAAATCTTGTTTATAGATACTAGTCCTAGTTTTTTCCATGACACTATTCAATATCTGTATTCGTATTTAATTATGGATATTCCAGTTGTAAATTACAGACACTTTGTTAAAAAAAGGAAAATCTCATGCATGAGTTTACCTATAAGATTAAACATTTAACCAGTTAGTTGAAACAGTTATGAAGCCAATTACATTTGAAAACCAATTACAGGGGAGGAGATTCTTCTCCTTATGGTTTCATCAGTGTATATATTTATAGGTTTAAGGAAATGTTAAACAGATATTTTCAAAGACACTTTGAATTTGTAATACCTGGAGGGAATATCTACAATTTACTCTTTCAATACTTGGCAGATGGCAAACCCCAGAAAATAATTTTGCCTTTTATAAACATAATATATTTCATCAAGACAGTAGTTTAAATCTCCTGCTTGCTAGGGCTGGTTGGGTTCCTCTGCTCCCCACTGACAGAGAACATGGGCAAAGCATCAACAAAATGCACAGAAATGCTCTGAGAAGCTAGTATTCATTGTTTAAACTTATCATGTTCTAATATTGAAACCTAGAAATAGTCAGATTTCAAACTCTTCACAGCAGGTATTAAGTAAAGAGGAAGAAGAGAAAATCATCATTAATTCAGCCTATTGAACTGTCCTGACATGTACAATATGGCATGCTGTTTCAAATATATGTTATTTTCCTGCTTGTAGTAGTCCATCTGTTAAGAAGGTTTCTTTGAGTACTTTAGTTAACAATAAGAAAACTTCAACAATACACTTTCTGAAACCTTTTGAGTTCTTGTGGATTGTATGACATTCAACATAATGTATCACAAATGAAGAATTTGCAAACAAAAGTCATTTTCTCTCTGTCATTTAAAGAACACAGCTTGAAGATGTTTAGAGCACAGCATAGCTCAGCACAAAGTGTTTCAGGGGAAATAAGTTGTGTAGGTGGCAAAATACCCCTACATCAGGGGGTTGATGACTGCTGTACATTAGCCAAATAAAGTTACCATTTATATTCCAATTGTAAATACGTTATTTTTTCTTAAAGTTGGCATGTTTTAAATATCTTAAGATGTATGTATAAGATATATATATAGAGTGGGTGTGTTTTAAATATCTTAAGAAGAAACATCTTTAATAGCAAAAAATGTTGCTTTATTTAAGTGTGAAATTATGTCATTAAATGTGTAATATAAATTCAAGGGGAATGAATATGGTCTAATGGGTCTCCAAGTACAAATTGTATAGGAAGAGACTTCTATACAATTTAATAAGCAATTCCCTCTCTCTTAAAATAGATCTTATACTTTCAAATAAGAGAATGCTTGCATTAATTCTAAAAGCATCAGTGTAAAATATACCCAGTAAAGATTAATATGGAAAAATTATTTGAATTCTGAAGTTCTTTTTCTTCCTCCGTTTAATTTCTATAAATACTTTTTAAGGAATTTATTTTTTAGAACCTACACTACATTGTCTCTATAAGTTTGGCTACTGTATATTAAATTCAATGGGCAATGCAGAGCAGTCTTATCAGAAGAGTTGTCAATGTCTTACTGGGATCCATTATTCTTAACAAGTACTCCATATGTCATGTAAAAGATTATTGAAAAAAAAATGAAATTCAAAATATTCCAAAGGCATTTCCAACAAAATGTGACTCTCAAGGCTTCTGCTTACTTTACATTCCTTTTCATGTTTTTTTCTAAACCTCTTTGCTTGTCTGCATTTTCCTCCCCCTGATCATTTTCAGCAGATGTGTATAAGGCATTAAAATAAAAAATTCTGTTTCTGCCTGAAGCAGCTCATGCGTTGCACAGTCATTTTGAGGTATGCAAGACAAAAATTTGAAAACATCTATGATTAGTTTGTAAACAAATTGCAAATCATTTGTGAATTTGGTTAAAGAGATTGTATTGAAAATAGTGATTTGTATCAGCAAAGATAAGGACATTTTGTGCTAAGCAGAATATATATCTGATTGTTTCTTAATAGAAAACCTAAAGCAATTTTCTGATAATTTGAGTGCCTAAGTGTTGGATCATATTACCGTAATCCTCACTTCATTTCTTTTAAACTGAGTAACACTTTTTTCCTTATTGAAGAGAATTTATTAGTATATCTTCCATTTAAAGATTTAATCTGTGATTTATGAGTGTTTGACACCCAAGACAGAAGGATTTTTCAATAGGACTCTGTCATATATGGTTTCTTAGCTTTTACTTTTTTTTTTAATTTTCTAGATTAAATTAAGCCAACTTAGATTCCTTCTAATATTACCCAAAAGGCTCCTTTTCTCACATTGAGATAAATAAAATGGTAGTTCAACCCTTCCATAAAAAGTGTGTGTTCAAAGTCATGCTTTTTGTTCTCTTTTAGGGTGGTTTGGATGTTAGGGACTTATTATGACATTTTTGTTTCACTTGTTTAGTAAGACTACTTCATCTCGCTCCCTTAAAGAGCTATTTACCCACAATGATGGCTCCTTCTCTTACTCTAAGTATCTCATCTAAGGGAGACGTGCAGAAAAGAGCTGATCCCCCGTACATGAGGCAATTAAATAATTTAACAAAGCAGAACACAGGTACTTCTCTATTTTATTTTTGTTTTGTTTTCAGTGTCCCAACAATTGACCATTTGGAGAAAACAGTAATAACAATAATGACAAGGCCCGTGTATACATGCTTTATAGTCATTGCATCATCAACATCTCTCTCTTATTTGACTCTGTAGTAGATTCTAAAGCAAGAAATGGTTAATCTAAGATGCAATCACCATGGAAATTGAATTTTCTCTTACATTTGTAAAAAAAATGCATCAGTTTGCTTCATTCACGCTGTGTCAAAGTTCTGATTCAAACCAAATAATTCCATGGAGTTATTTACTGCTTGACTCGTTTTCCTTAATGTAATAATTACAAAGACTTATTGCATTCAGGTTACAAAGTGCTTTTGAGCCTCACATCAGCTTGGTAAAAGAAGCAGTGCAGGTGTGTGTTATCATTCTCAGTGGTGAAATTAAGACGAACCCAAGCCTTCATCAGTGGCTCCCTTACTCACCTCCAAAAATTCAACACAGACTATCATATGTGTCCTGACACAATGCATCAAAGTACAAATAAACTTACCAGGGCTTTCTACGGCACAAATATATTTTAGCAAGCTCATCATCGTTCAAAGAGCCCCCAAGAGAGCAGAGCTGCCAGAATGAAGGTGTTAGTTAATTTCACCTTAAATTTAATCCTATTTGCTGCCATGGTTCATGTCACTTTCTAAGATCACAAGGCCACGGTGGTGCTGTGATCTATCCCAAATAGAATATAAGTCATTCTCTTCCACGTTTTTTCCATAACACAAGAACACCAGTGGGTGAGATTTGGTGGAAATAGAAGTTTGGGAGAAAATACCTACCTAACATTCTAAGCATTTATGGTAATCAATTTGTTTAAGACTGCTTTTTACTTTTGATGTTTCTAAATATATTAAGATGATTTGTTTTTGCGCTATCTGAAAAATAAATAACGCAGACAACAAACTGTTGTGGATTATGGGATTTTTAGACAACCCAGATGAGATATGTAAAGTAGACATTGCTCATTTTTTTACATATGATCTAAGGAGAAAATCTTATGTGGCTATTGAAAACTCTGGAAACATAAAAGTACTTCTTAGTTTCATTTTTCTCTTTTAAAACTAATAAGATAAATTAAAAAATCACATTATCAAAGGAATCTGTTATATTCAATTTGAAGAAGAACCTGCACCAGGCAGATGTATAGCATCCAGTAATGTCCCGAGCACTAAGGGTCATTCATTGTGGGAAAGGGGGGACCTAGTCCACCATGTCCTCAAGGAGTCATAATGCAGTACAGCTGCCTTGATATAGGGAGAGAGTTTGATCCTAGATCAGGAGGCAGGATGACAATGTGGCTAAGACTGAAGCCTTCAAAGTTAGATCTACCAGGCTTTAATTCCCTACTCTGTGACCTACTACCTGGGTGATAGTAGGTAGATTATTTATTATCGGGATTATTTATTATTGGGATAAACACACACACACACACACACACACACACACACACACACACACACTTGAAGTTTTGAATATGCCATACAGTCAAACAATTCAAGAATCAAAACAATATGAAAATATATAAAATGAAAAATCTTGCTTTTACCATTACCCCCAATTACTACTTCCCATTTCACTTAAAACACAAATATTTGGCAGGGCGCGGCGGCTCACTCCTGTAATCCCAGCATTTTGAGAGGCCGAGGCGGGTGGATCACGAGGTCAGGAGATCGAGACCTTACTGGCTAACATGGTGAAACCCCGTCTCTACCAATAATACAAAAAATTAGCCAGGCGTGGTGGCGTGTGCCTGTAATCCCAGCTACTCAGGAGGCTGAGGCAGGAGGATGGGGTGAGCCAGGGAGGCAGAGCTTGCAGTGAGTGGAGATGGCGCCACTGCCCTCCAGCCTGGGCGACAGAGCAAGACTTCGTCTCAAAAAAAAAAAAAAAAAAAAAAACCAAACATTTATGTAATATTTTAGACTTCTTAATGCAAATGCTTCTTTTTTCTTTTTTTAAATTGTACTTTAAGTTCTAGGATACATGTGCACAATGTGCAGGTTTGTTACATATGTGTATATGTGCCATGTTCGTGTGCTGCATCCATTAACTCGTCATTTACATTAGGTATATCTCCTAATGCTATCCCTCCCCTCTGCCTCCACCCTATGTCAGGCCCCAGTGTGTGATGTTTCCCACCCTGTGTCCAAGTGTTCTCATTGTTCAATTCCCACCTATGAGTGAGAACATGCAGTGTTTGGTTTTCTGTCCTTGCGATAGTTTGCTGAGAATGATGGTTTCCAGCTTCATCCATGTCCCCACAAAGGACATGAAATCATCCTTTTTAATGGCTGCATAGTATTCCATGGTGTATATGTGCCACATTTTCTTAATCCAGTCTATCACTGATGGACATTTGGGTTGGTTCCAAGACTTTGCTATTGTGAATAGTGCCACAGTGAACATACATGTGAATGTGTCTTTATAGCAGCATGATTTATAATCCTTTGGGTATATACCCACTAATGGGATGGCTGGGTCAAATGGTACTTCTAGTTCTAGATCCTTCAGGAATCGCCACACTGTCTTCCACAATGGTTGAACTAGTTTACAGTCCCACCAACAGTGTAAAAGTGTTCCTATTTCTCCATATCCTCTCCAGCACCTCTTTTTTCCTGACTTTTTAATGATCGCTATTCTAACTGGTGTGAGATGGTATCTCATTGTGGTTTTGATTTGCATTTCTCTGATGGCCAGTGATGATGAGCATTTTTTCATCTGTCTGTTGGCTGCATAAATGTCTTCTTTTGAGAAGTGTCTGTTCATATTCTTCGCCAACTTGTTGATGGGATTGCTTGATTTTTTCTTGTAAATTTGTTCAAGTTCTTTGTAGATTCTAGATATTAGCCCTTTGTCAGATGGGTAGATTGTAAAAATTTTCTCCCATTCTGTAGGTTGCCTGTTCACTCTGATGGTAGTTTCTTTTGCTGTGCAGAAGCTCTTTAGTTTAATTAGATCCCATTTCTCAATTTTGGCTTTTGTTTCCATTGCTTTTGTTGTTTTAGACATGAGGTCCTTGCCCATGCCTATGTCCTGAATGGTATTGCCTAGGTTTTCTTCTAGGGTTTTTATGGTTTTAGGTCTAACATTTAAGTATTTAATCCATCTTGAATTAATTTTTGTGTAAGGTGTAAGGAAGGGATCCAGTTTCAGCTTTCTACATATGGCTAGCCAGTTTTCCCAGCACCATTTATTAAATAGGGAATCCTTTCCCCATTTCTTGTTTTTGTCAGGTTTGTCAAAGATCAGATGGTGGTAGACGTGTGGTATTATTTCTGAGGCCTCTGTTCTGTTCCATTGGTCTATATCTCTGTTTCGGTACCAGCACCATGCTGTTTTGGTTACTGTAGCCTTGTAGTATGGGTAGCCTGATGCCTCCAGCTTTGTTCTTTTGGCTTAGGATTGTCTTGGCAATGCAGGCTCTTTTTTGGTTCCATATGAACTTTAAAGTAGTTTTTTCCAATTCTTTGAAGAAAGTCATTTGTAGCTTGATGGGGATGGCATTGAATCTATAAATTACCTTGGGCAGTATGGCCATTTTCACAATATTGATTCTTCCTATCCATGAGCATGGAATGTTCTTCCATTTGTTTGTGTCCTCTTTTATTTTGTTGAGCAGTGGTTTGTAATTCTCCTTGAAGGGGTCCTTCACATCCCTTATAAGATGGATTCTTAGGTATTTTATTCTCTTGGAAGCAATTGTGAATGAGAATTCGCTCATGATTTGGCTCTCTGTTTCTCTGTTATTGGTGTATAGGAATGCTTGTGACTTTTTCCACATTGATTTCGTATCCTGAGACTTTGCCGAAGTTGCTTATCAAAGCTTAAGGAAATTTTGGGCTGAGACAGTGGGGTTTTCTAAATATACAATCATGTCATCTGCAAACAGGGACAATTTGACTTCCTCTTTTTGTAATTGAATACCCTTTATTTCTTTCTCCTGCCTGATTGCCCTGGCCAGAACTTCCAACACTATGTTGAATAGGAGTGGTGAGAGAGGGCATCCCTGTCTTGTGCCAGTTTTCTTTTCTTTTTTTTTTTTTTGGAGACAGAGTCTTGCTCTGTCGCCCAGGCTGGAGTGCAGTGGCATGATCTCGGCTCACTGTAAGCTCTGCCTTCCGGGTTCACGCCATTCTCCTGCCTCAGCCTCCCAAGTAGCTGGGACTACAGGCCCGCCATTGCGCCCAGCTAATTTTTTGTATTTTTAGTAGAGACGGGGTTTCACGGTGGTCTGGATCTCCTGACCTCGTGATCCGCCCGCCTCTGCCTCCCAAAGTGCTGGGATTACAGGCGTGAGCCACCGCGCCCGGCCTTGTGCCAGTTTTCAAAGGGAATGCTTCCAGTTTTTGCTCATTCAGTATGATACTGGCTGTGGGTTTGTCATAAACAGCTCTTATTATTTTAAGATATTTTCCATCAATACCTACTTTATTGAGAATTTTTAGCATGAAGGGCTGTTGAATTTTGTCAAAGGCCTTTTCTGCATCTATTGAGATAACCATGTGGTTTTTGTCTTTGATTCTGTTTATATGTTGGATTACATTTATTGATTTGCATATGTTGAACCAGCCTTGCATCCCAGGGATGAAGTCCACTTGATCATGGTGGATAAGCTTTTTGATGTGCTGCTGGATTCGGTTTGCCAGTATTTTATTGAGGATTTTTGCATCTCTGTTCATCAGGGATATTGGTCTAAAATTCTCTTTTTTTGTTGTGTCTCTGCCAGGCTTTGGTATCAGGATGATGGTGGCTTCATAAAATGAGTTAGGGAGGATTCCCTCTTTTTCTATTGATTGGAATAGTTTCGGAAGGAATGGTACAGGCTCCTTCTTGTACCTCTGGTAGAATTCGGCTGTGAAGCTGTCTGGTCCTGGACTTTTTTTGGTTGGTAGGCTATTAATTATTGCTTCAATTTCAGAGCCTGTTATTGGTCTATTCAGGCATTCAACTTCTTCCTGGTTTGGTCTTGGGAGGGTATATGTGTTGAGGAATTTATCCATTTCTTCTAGATTTTCTAGTTTATTTGCGTAGAGGTGTTTATAGTATTCTCTGATGGTAGTTTGTATTTCTGTGGGATCAGTGGTGATATCCCCTTTAACATTTTTTATTGCATCTATTTGATTCTTCTCTTTTTTCTTCTTTATTAGTCTTGCTAGCAGTCTATCTATTTTGTTGATCTTTTCAAAAAACCAGCTCCTGGATTCATTGATTTTTTGAAGGGTTTTTCGTGTCTCTATCTCCTTCAGTTCTGCTCTGATCTTAGTTATTTCTTGCCTTCTGCTAGCTTTTTAATGTGTTTGCTCTTGCTTCTCTAGTTTTTTTAATTGTGATATTACGGTGTCAATTTTAGATCTTTGCTGCTTTCTCTTGTGGGCACTTAGTGCTATAAATTTCCCTCTACACACTGCTTTAAATGTGTCCCAGAGATTCTGGTATGTTAGTCTTTGTTCTCATTGGTTTCAAAGAACATCTTTATTTCTGCCTTCATTTCATTATGTACCCAGTAGTCATTCAGGAGCAGGTTGTTCAGTTTCCATGTATTTGAATGGTTTTGAGTGAGTTTCTTAATCCTGAGTTCTAGTTTGATTGCACTCTGGTCTAAGAGACAGTTTCTTATAATTTCTGTTCTTTTACATTTGCTGAGGAGTGCTTTACTTCCAACTATTTGGTCAGTTTTGGAATAAGTGCTATGTGATGCTGAGAAGAATGTATATTCTGTTGATTTGGGGTGGAGAGTTCTGTAGATGTCTATTAGATCTGCTTGGTGCAGAGCTGAGTTCAATTCCTGGATATCCTTGTTAACTTTCTGTCTCGTGGATCTGCCTAATGTTGACAGTGGGATGTTAAAGTCTCCCATTATTATTGTGTGGGAGTCTAAGTCTCTTTGTAGGTCTCTAAGGACTTGCTTTATGAATCTTGGTGCTCCTGTATTGGGTGCATATATATTTAGGATAGTTAGCTCTTCTTGTTGAATTGATCCCTTTACCATTATGTAATCGCCTTCTTTGTCTCTTTTGATCTTTGTTGGTTTAAAGTCTGTTTTATCAGAGACTAAGATGGCAACCCCTGCTTTTTTTTTGTTTTCCATTTGCTTGGTAGATCTTCCTCCATCCCTTTATTTTGAGCCTATGTGTGTCTCTGCATGTGAGATGGGTCTCCTGAATACAGCACGCTGATGGTTCTTGACTCTTTATCCAATTTGCCAGTCTGTGTCTTTTATTTGGAGCATTTAGCGCATTTACATTTAAGGTTTGTATTGTTATGTGTGAATATGATCCTGTCATTATGATGTTAGCTGGATATTTTGCTCATTAGTTATGCAGTTTCTTCCTAGCATTGACGGTCTTTACAATTTGGCATGTTTTTGCAGTGGCTGGTACTGGTTGTTCCTTTCCATGTTTAGTGCTTCCTTCAGGAACTCTTGTAAGGCAGGCCTGGTGATGACAAAATCTCTCAGCATTTGCTTGTCTATAAAGGATTTTATTTCTCCGTCATTTATGAAGCTTAGTTTGGCTGGATATGAAATTCTGGGTTAAAATTCTTTTCTTTAAGAATGTTGAATATTGACCCCCACTCTCTTCTGGCTTGTAGAATTTCTGCCAAGAGATGTGCTGTTAGTCTGATGGGCTTCCCTTTGTGGGTAACCCGACCTTTCTCTCTGGCTGCCCTTAACATTTTTTTCCTTCATTTCAACTTTGGTGAATCTGACAATTATGTGTCTTGGAGTTGCTCTTCTTGAGGAGTATCTTCATGGCGTTCTCAGTATTTCCTGAATCTGAATGTTGGCCTGCCTTGCTAGTTTGGGGAAGTTCTCCTGGATAATATCCTGTAGAGTGTTTTCCAACTTGGTTTCATTCTCCCTGTATCTTTCAGGTACACCAATCAGACGTAGATTTGGTCTTTTCACATAATCCCGTATTTCTTGGAGGCTTTGTTCATTTCTTTTTACTCTTCTCTCTCTAAACTTCTCTTCTCACTTCTTTTCATTCATTTGATCTTCAGTCACTGATACCCTTTCTTCCAGTTAATCGAATTGGCTACTGAAGCTTGTGCATGCGTCACACAGTTCTTGTGCCATTGTTTTCAGCTCTATCAGGTCATTTAAGTTCTTATGTACCCTGTTTATTCTAGTTAGCCATTCATCCAATCTTTTTTCAAAGTTTTTAGCTTCTTTGTGATGGGTTCGAACATCCTCCTTTAGCTTGGAGAAGTTTGTTATTTCTGATCTTCTGAAGCCTTCTGTCTACTCGTCAAAGTCATTCTCCGTCCAGCTTTGATCCATTGATGGTGAGGAGCTGCATTCCTTTGGAGGAGAAGAGGTGCTCTGACTTTTAGAATTTTCAGCTTTACTGCTCTGGTTTCTCCCCATCTTTGTGGTTTTATCTACCTTTGGTGTTTGATGATGGTGATGTACAGATAGGGTTTTGGTGTGGATGTCTTTTCTGTTTGTTAGTTTTCCTTCTAACAGGACCCTCAGCTGCAGGTCTGTTGGAGTTTGCTGGAGGTCCACTCCAGACGCTGTTTGCCTTGGTATCACCAGCAGAGGCTGCAGAACAGCAAATATTGCAGAATGGCAAATGTTGCTGCCTAATCGTTCCTCTGTAAGCTCGTCTCAGAGGGGCACCCGGCCGTATGAGGTGTCAGTCAGCCTCTACTGGGGGGTGCCTCCCAGTTAGGCTACTCAGGGTTCAGGGACCCACTTGAGGATGCAGTCTGTCCGTTCTCAGATCTCAACTTCCATGCTGGAAGAACCACTACTCTTTTCAAAACTGTCAGACAGGGACCTTTAAGTCTGCAGAAGTTTCCGCTGCCATTTTTTCAGATATGCCCTGCCCCCAGAGGTGGAGTCTACAGAGGCAGGCAGGCCTCTTTGAGCTGCAGTGGGCTCCACCCAGTTCGAGCTTCCAGACCACTTTGTTTACCTACTCAAGCCTCAGCAATGGGGGGCGCCCTTCCCCCAGCCTTGCTGCTGCCTTCCAGTTCAATATCAGACTGCTGTGCTAGCAATGAGCAAGGCTCCGTGGGCATGGGACCCTCCAAGCCAGGCATGGGATATAATCTCCTGGTGTGCTGTTTGCTAAGACTGTTGGAAAAGTGTAGTTTTAGGGTGGGAGTGTCCTGATTTTCCAGGTACCGTCTGTCATAGCTTCCCTTGGATAGGAAAGGGAATTTCCCGACCCCTTGAGCTTCTCGAGTGAGGTGATGCCTTGCCCTGCTTTGGTTCATGGACCGTGGGCTGCACCCACTGTCCTGTACCCACTGTCCAACAAGCCTCAGTGAGATGAACCCGGTACCTCAGCTGGAAATGCAGAAATCACCCATCTTCTGCATCGCTTACGCTGGGAGCTGTAGACTGGAGCTGTTCCTATTCGGCCATCTTGTCTAATCCCGCAAATGCTTCTTTTTTCTTTCTGTTTTACACTAAAGGTATCTAGCCAAACTTGCAGATCTAGAAGTCTCATTTTTTTTTACTTACTATATCTCAGAAAATGTGACAGATTGTATATGTGAGGATTTCTGAGGAAGGTGGAAGTGATATAGACTTTGGAGGTTAGGTCATACAGAGAATTTTAGTTTCCTTCTGTTTTTTGCAAGATGATTGCTCTTGAACCCAGCTAACACATTTTAAAGAAGCCCAAGCACTCAAGGTGCAGAGGAACCTTGGTCCATGGCCCAGAGCCTTAACCTCAGCCTCTAGCTGCCAGGCAGCACCTACTTGCCAGGTGTTTGAATGAGTCAAATTGAAAGCAGCTACTCCAGGTCCTAGTTGAGTAACTTCATATGGTGTTGCATCCAGCAACAATGAACTGTCCTTGCTAAGACCTACCCAAATGGTGGATTCATTGAAAAAAAAAAAGGGAGGCTGACGCTGGTGAATCATGAGGTCAGGAGATAGAGACCATCCTGGCTAACATGGTGAACCACCGTCTCTACCAAAAATACAAAAAATTAGCCAGGTGTGGTGGTGGGCGCTTGTAGTCCCAGCTATGCGGGAGGCTGAGGCAGGAGAATGGTGTGAACCTGGGAGGCAGAGCTTGCAGTGAGCTGAGATGGTGCCACTGCACTCCAGCCTGGGTGACAGAGCAAGACTCTGTCTCAAAAAAAAAAAAAAAAAAAAAAAAAAGATTGTTATTGTTTCAAGTCACTATGCTTTTTAAATAGCATTAGATATTTGCAATAAATTTATGGTGTATTTTGCCATTTTTCTCTTGATGGGCACTTGGACTGTTTCTAAACATTTGCTATTATAAACGGAGCTGCAATGAGTAACTTCCTATATGCTTCATTTCACATATGGGTATGTGTATTTATAAAACAAAATGCCAGAAGTAGAATTTATGGGCTAAAGGATAAATATTGCTTAAAACTTTCAATAGGTACTACCAAATTGCCTTCTATAATGTAGTTTTTTTAATTTATAAAATAGAATTGATGAAGTAGAATTTATTTTACAAGAGTGCGATGAGATTAAATGATATAATCCACAGTAGAGCAGAAAACATAATGCTCAAAATAGTAAACAGTAAATTTTACAAGACAAAATTATCCACAATGAACTGCTTTTCAAATTTTTTTTCAAAAATGTAACTGAATATATGAAAATGTTTTTACTTTGAATTTTATTTTGTTCAATAACTATATATATTGTTTAATGCTATGACTGAAAATGTTTTGAGGGACATTTAGTATGTGTACTTTCAATCTTTTGTGTGATTCTTGTCACAAAAATAAGACATAGTATTATTTTCCAAAAAGTAGCTTTTCCTTTAGAAAAATTAGTTTTCTGTCTAATAGAGTCATCTTATTTTCATGTTATTGTTAGTTAACTACTGTATTAATCAAGATTCTCCAGAGACACGGAACCAATAGGATATACACATATAGATAGATGTAAGAGGATTTATTAGGGGAATTATCTCACATAATTATGAAAGATGAGAAGTTCCATGACAGGTGCGCACCTGTAGTCCCAGCTACTTGGGAAGCTGAGGCAGGAGAATCTCTTGAACCCTTGAGGTGGAAGTTACAGTGAGCCGAGATCACGCCACTGAACTCCAGCCTGGGAGGTTGCAGTGAGCTGAGATCATGCCACCACACTCCAGCCTGGGTGACAGACTCCATTACAAAAAAAAAAAAAAATCTATTTGTTGTGAATCCAAAGGTGAAAAACAACAAAGCTGTCATGTGATTTCAATAAATTTTCATTAGTATAAAGTTGGTTAAAAGTAGATGACATTTTTCCAAAGAAGACATCCAAATGTCTACCACCTATATGAAAAGATGCCTAGCATCGCTAATCAACAGGGGAATGCAGATCAAAACTACAATGAACTATCACCTCACACCTTTTAGGATGGCTGTTAGCAGAGATAAGAGATAACAGGTGTTGGCAAGGGTGTGGGGAAAACGAAACACTTGTTTACTGTTGGTGAAAATGTCGAATGTTGCAGCCACTACAGAAAATAGTATGGGTGTTCCTCAAAAAATACGACTCCCATATGATCCAGTAATCCCACTCCTTGGTATATATAAAATATAATTGAAATTGATATCTCAAAGAAATACCTGCATCCCCCATGTTCACTGTAGCATTGTTTGTAATAGCCAAGATATGGACACAACAGATGAATAGATAAACAGAGTGTGGTATACATATGCAATGAAATATTATTCAACCATAAAGAAGAAGAAAAATCACTGCTTGCAACAATATGGGTGGAACTAGAGGACAATAAGCTAAATGAAATAAGCCAGTTGCAAAAGGATAAATATTGTATTGAAACGGGAGAGTTCCCCGAATACCATCACAGGGCATGTGACAAGGGTGTGGCTGGCCTGCCTGGTCACCACAGCTCAAACCCCCTAGGGGGAACATGCAGATGGGCAGGTGCAGAGGCCTGGGTGAGTGCTTCTGGGCTCCGCCCCGGCCCCAAGGCAGCTTCTAGGGGTGGATGTCTGAGACTCCAGAAGTCCAAGTGGGCGCGTGTTACAAAGCTCTTTCAGATTTGCCATCTGCAGATGGCTTGCGTGTTAATCATCTTAATGGACCCTCTGCCTTATCGCAAAGGCAGAGGGCCAGTGTGACACCCTTCTGTATCTGGAGCTCTTCCCCAGTGCCCCGAAATAGGATCACACCCAGGCTCAAAGGATGAGTGCAAAGTTTTATTGAGTAGTGGAGGTGGCTCTCAGTGAGATGGATGGGGAGCCAGAGAAGGGGATGGAGTGCGAAGGTGGTCTTCCCCTGAGGTCCGGCGTCCCAGCCACTGGACTGCTCTCCGACTGCCCCTACTTACTCCCATTGGCCTCCAGATGTCCCTCCTCGTCTCTGTTTCTGCTGCGTCATTCCATCCTCGCTGGTCGGCTGTTCTGCTAGTCTCCACATTCAGCCGCTGTGTGTGTACCCGCTAAGATCTTGGGTTTATGTGGGCACAGGATGGGGGGCATGGAAGGCCAGAGCAGTCTTGGAAAATGTAACATTGGGGCATGAAAACAGGAGTTCCTATTCTCACTTAGGTCCATGGGTGCAGGTCCGAGGGTGGAGCCCTTGCCAGGGACCCCACCCATCTCTACCCAGCACTTGCCTGCTCTCATCCTGTGTCAGTATGATTCCACTTACATGATGTATCTAAAACAGCCAAATGCATAGAAGCAGAGGACAGAATGGTGGCTGCTAGGGGATGGGGGAAGGGGCAAATAAGGAATTGTTGCTCAAGGGGTATAAAGTTACAGTTACACGACATGAATAAGTTCTGAAAGACCTGCCGTACAAGGTAGTACCGTTACTTAACAATGAAGACTGTGCACTTCAAAATGTTAAGAGGATAGATCATATGTTAAGTGCTCTTAGCACAAGCAAACAGACGAAAACAAAGCCACAAAATAACCAAAAGAAATTTTGGAGGTGTTTGGATATGTTCAGTGCCTTGTTAGTGATAAAAATACGTATGTGTCCAAACCCATCAAAATGGATACATCATATCAGTATTATTTTCTATATATCAATTAATTATATCTCAATAACATTTAAAGATGCAAACACAAAAAATACATATATACACACAGGCTTTGGGAAAAAAAGAGGCTTCCGTATTTTATTGTATTTTTTGGCTTCTATATTTTATAGTATGGACGGGTTATAGTTTATCCCCTCACCTATTGATAGATACTTACGTTGTTTCAACTTTTTCATAATTATTAGCAATGCTACAATGAGTATCTAAAAT
Source organism: Homo sapiens (assembly GCF_000001405.40). Lineage (NCBI taxonomy): Eukaryota > Metazoa > Chordata > Mammalia > Primates > Hominidae > Homo > Homo sapiens. The sequence goes on from NC_000006.12 coordinate 76,633,122, forward strand.
TAATTTTTCTGCTAATGTACCAGTATTTCTGAAACTCTGTTTCTAAAGTTGATGGTCAGGGTTTGAAGGATACATTTCTTCTTAATTTTATACTTAATGTATAGTAGAATTAAATAATTATCCACTGGTTCTACTATATTTATAGAAAATGATAAAGATGCAACTCAGGTTTCAACACAGTTAATATATTTAGCAACATCTGAACATTATTTTATAAAAAATAGAAGATTGCCTTGGTTTTCAAACGGGAAATATTCCCTTGTTCCCCTCACAGGGCATGCAATGAGGGTGTGGCTCGCTTCTTTGGTGCCTCGCTGCTCAAAACCCCTAGAGGGAGCAGGCAGATGGGCAGGCTGTGGGACTCCAACCCCACGGCAGTGTCTAGGGGTGAACACAGTGTAAACACAGCTGAAGCCCCAGTGGGCATGTGTTACAGAGTGCTCTTTTAGTTTGGCTGTCTGTAGGCGGCTTGTGTTAGTCAGCTCAATTAGACCCCTGCCTTATCTCAAGGACAGAGTGCTTTCTGTATTCTGGGGTTCTTGCCTTGGTGCACTGGAAGAATCGGATCTCAATTGGGCTTAGAGAATGAATGCAAGGTTTTATTGTGTGGAAGTAGCTCTCAGCAGATGGAGGAGCCAGAAGGGAGATGGTTTTCCGCTGGAGTTGGGCTGCTGAGCAGCCTGAGCTCTCCTCTGACCTACCTGGCCAAACTCTGTTGCTCCTCCAGCGGATGGCTTGTTGGCCTGCTGGCTTCTGTTGGTGTGCTCTTCTGCAGGCACGCTCCCCTTGGTGTCCTCTTGACGTCCAGCCACTTGTGTCTTCTTCCAGCCACTTGTGTCTTCTTCCAGCCACTTGAGTCTTCTTCCGCCCATGTGTTCCTCTTAACATCCAGCCGCTCGTGTGTGGGGGTCTCGGGGGTTTTTATAGGCACGGAGTGGGGGTGTGACGAGCCAAGGTGGCCTTGGGAAATGTAACATTTGGGCAGGCAAACTGAAATGCTTGTCCTCACCTAGGTCTGTGGGCACAGGCCCCGGGGTGGAGCCCTTGCCAGGGACCCACCCTTCTCTACCCAGCACTTCCTGCCTCCCTCCTGTATCAGTTTGACAAGCAAAATATAATACCATTTTTTGGTGGCAATGTAGGAAAATCTTAGAGCTACTTAAAATTAAGATTTAATTGAAATGAATTAAATGAAACTAGGTCTAAAAGCCTTAATGAGTCATTTGGATACATCCAACTATTCATATGTTTGACAATATTTGAAGAAATCTTTGGTTAATTATTATTGTACTGTTCATTCCTATTTTGGGCACTGTTTATGTGAAACAATTATGTGAAATGATTATTTTGAAACTGCCACCAGAAACTAGTGGTTAAAGAAAGGCAATTATGGATATCCAAACACCAAGTAAATTCCTCAAGAATTTCAAACAAATGAAAACAAAGCATTCATATAACTTTTCAATAGAGAACTTTCCCCTGAGGATACACCATAAGTAGCCTAGATAACATGGTAATTGAGTTAAAGCTTACCTGTCACTCTAAATAATGTCACAAAAGACTTTACTAATTACTTGCTCAGAAACAAGACATAAATGGCTGAGCATGGGGATAAATTTTAATTTTCTGATGTTTCCTATGCCTGCACTTAGAACTTTTAATTAAAAAAATTGAGAAATAGCAACTACTTATTGACTTTATGCAAAGTCTCATAAACTTGGGCAGTGTCTAAAAAAAACATATCTTCTCAACTTGCTGGATCAGAAATTTCATTTTGTCAATTCAGCAAGAAGTAGTAGGATTCAAAATGTTTCTTTATGCTAACAAAACTTGTAAAGGAATTATCTATAAATTACAAAGTAAAAATAGTTTTGGTGTGTTCCAGGCTCTATGTTATGTGCTTCATACTATGACACATTTAATTTCTACCATTCTATAAAGTAACCAGGATTAACCTCATTGTTTAGATAAGAAACTAAGCCCCAGTGAAATTAAACTATTTCCCCTAGGTTACAGAATTTTTTAGCAGCAAAATACGAGATGCAAACCATTGGAATGTTAATATTTTAAGGTCATGTACTTAGTCTTGTTCATAGCCATCTCTTCAGTGGATTCCAAATGAAGTCATAATAAATATTTGTTGGCCATTCTAGTCTTTCTTATTCCAAGGCCTGGGCTGTTTTGACTATGATACAATATCAATACATTTATTTAAAAAAATCTTTCCAGTCACCAGAATAGCTACTCATTAACAATATCACTATGCCAAGTTAATAATTATAAAATCAACTGATAAATTATATTGAAGTGTATTTTATTTAGGTCAATAAAAGACAAAGGAATTATATGTGCCTTGTAGTATATGTTTCATACAGTTGTGAAATAACCTCAGCAAATCTTATTTTAGTACAGTTTTTATTCATCATCATAAGTATTATTTCATACCAATTAAAATAAACATATTACAACTTCTTATATCAATTATATTTCAGCCATGTCTTTTTGAGGATTCATCTCCAATTTTGTTTTATAAAAATTTTCAAATATATTTAAAAGTAGAAGGAATAGCCATCACCTGGATTTAACAATTATCAGGATTTTGGCACGCTTATTTCATCTGTTTCAGCTTATTTCCTGACATATGTTAAAGCAAATCTCTGACTTTGTATCATTTTATTAAATGCTTTATTAGATTTAATAGACACTCAGAAAATCATTTGCTTGGAAGAATTGATCAGAACTGATATTAGAGCAGATCAGAAGATAATTTCCTTAGAATAATTCTAAGTCATTTTTTCCCCACTCATTTATAATTATCTTCTTCTGTAGGTAAGTGCTATACTAGTCCAGATTGGATAGCCTCATGTTGTAGTAACAAACAACCCCCAAATCTCAGCAGATCATAAATTTCTTCTCTGTTAGCAGTCAGTAGATTTCTGGCATTAGATGGATTATGCTATTACAAAGAGAAAGCGTAAAAAACACAAAAATATACAGATGAGGTATATCTTTGAGATATGAGAACAACAAAAGTTTTCAATAGTTAAGTATAAAACATCCTTATACAGTATTTCCATATTGGGATGATATTTGAATGCAGGAAGTACAACAGCTATTGCACCAATTAAAGAACAAAAGATGATACAAGAGGAGGGAATGCTGTTGTGAGAGAAGTGTACCGGAAGCAACACTACAGCTTTAAAAGTCCCTATGTTGAGAAAAAAGAGGCTGATTCTCTTCTGTATGATGTGTATGAACTAAGCATATAAATGGTTCTCATACTTCTATAGATTATTTGGACTCTTTCAAGAAACTAACTTGTTTCTAAAATCTCATTTAAACACATATCTGAACTCTGAAAAAAATCTGAAAATCAATCTATTTACTATGCCCCCGTAGTAAAATTGGTGTCCTGTCAACACATCTTAAATAAATGGTTCCTGATGAAAGGATGTCTGCTTTAGGACTGTAGCTCTGCTAGTGCCTCTAGTGATAGAGTAGAGAGAAATTGAGTAATAGAACTGGTACCAAAGGAAAAATATTAAGTCCATAATGCATGTTTTTCTTCAAGGATATTTATTGTTATGGACTAAATGACTAAATGTTTGTGTCCCTCAAAATTTATATGTTGAGATCCTAACCCCCAATGGGACATCATTAGGAGGTGGGGCCTTTGTGGGGGGTAATTAGATCATGGGGGTAGAGCCCTCTTGAAAGGCACTAGTTCGCCTATAAAAGAGACTCCCCAGAGAGCTCTCTTTTTCTTTCTGTCATGTGAAGATACAGCAAGAAGATGGCCATCTATGAACTAGGAAACAGGCCCTTGTCAGATATCAAATCTGTCAGTACCTTAATCTTGGACTTCCAGCCTCCAGAACTGTGAGAAAAAAATATTGTTTAAGCCACCTGGTCTATGGTATCTTGTCATAGCAGCTCTAACATACCAAAGGAAAGAAAAAATAATAATTGCAAACTCTTTTTGCTCCGGCTCTCTATGAACAAGTAAAATTAAATGGCCACTTGTTTAAACATTTGCTGATACCTTTTATTGGGAAAGAAGAGATAATAGTATTAGTCTCATAGTGAAAGTTGTAAGTATTTAATGAGTTAATGTTATGTCAAATATTTAGAAGAGTATCTGGTTCATAATCAGTACTTAATATTTCTATCGAACAACTATTATTATCAAAGATGGAAATTGCTTTATGTATGTAAAGCAGACTCCATAATTCATTCTTTTTCTTTTTTTGAGGGACAGTGTCTTAATCTGTTGTTCAGCCTAGAGTGCAGTGGCATGATCATAGCTCACTGCAGCCTTGAACTCTGGGCTGAAGCTACTCCTCTGCCTCAGACTCCTCAATGGCTGGTACTACAGGCAAATACCACCACGCCCAGCTTATAACTCATTATTTTATGAATATTCATTGTTATTTGCTAGGCATTGTGTTATGTGATCAAGCAGATATGAATGAAAAAGTTTCTATCTTTGAGTCAAATATAAGGGAGACAGACTAACAAACAGTTTAAATGATATAAATATAAAAATACGAAAGTATTCATGAGGATCTGTGAAAGCAACAATGATGACTGGGACTGATAATATATGCAGAAAAAAAATTCAGTCAGTTGCGTAGAATGATTCTATTTTTTGTTCCTCACAGTGAAAAGGAATGGTTTAACACTAACTTGTCCTGGATAGTTGAAAGATTTTTCATTAAAATTGATCTTATCAATTGTAGTCAGGACTGCCTGTACAGAATGAGGGAAATTGCATCAGTTTATACTTATAAATCTTAGTGATTCTCCTGGGCATTTTGAGATGATCTGACTGATAGTGATCCCTTAACTTTACACAATCTTAAGTGCACTTTGTTTTCTGGCTTTTCAGCAGATTTCTACTGAGAAAGAAGGGAGGCTTGTCGCCTTTTGTTATGTTTTAATGAGTTCCTGACACAGACATGACATTGCAACTACTCCCCAAATGGTTAAAATGTCCAAGTAATTTGTGCACATCTGTTTTTAATTCCATTTTTCTAGTTCTGAGTTCTTAATCCTTTTATTATTTGTCTCTTTTCTAGCTTGTTGTTATTTTCAGCAGGATATGTACAATAATTAAGACTACCATTTGTTCAGCATGCATTAGCAGAGACTGTGCTAAATGCTTTAGGTAAATTTGTTAATTTAATTCTAAAGGTAATCCTATGATGTGTATGTATGGGTATATATTTGTGTATATGTTTGTGTGCAAATATATGTGTTTTTTTTTTTCTTTTGAGATGAGGTCTCACTCTGTCGCTCAGGCTGGAGTGCAATGGTGTGATCTAGGATCACTGCAACCTCCACCTCCTGGGTTCAAGCGAGTCTTCTGCCTCAGCCTCCAAAGTAGCTGGGATTACAGGTATGCACCACCACACCCAGGTTTTTTTAAATTTTATTTTTAGTAGAGACAGAGTTTCACCATGTTGGCCAGGCTGGTCTTGAACTCTTGACCTCAGGTAATCCACCCACCTCAGCCTCCCAAAGTGCTGGGATTACAGGAGTGAGCCACTACGTCTGGCTCCACTGTTTTTTAAATTGAATTGCCTTTGTCAAAAGTCAAATGACCACCACAATGAGATACCACTTCATCACACTAAGATAGCTATAATAGAAATACAGATAACAAGTATTAGCAAGGATGTGGAGAAATGCTTTTGTTTGGAAATGTACAGCTTCTTTGGAAAACAGTTTGACAGTTACTCAAATATTAAATACTGAATAACCATATGACACAGTAATTCTACAATTAGGTGTATACTCAAGAGAAATGAAAATATACAGCAACACCAATCACTTGTACATAAGTATTCATAGCAGCATTATTCATAATAGCCAAAAAGTGGAAACAACACAAATTGCTATCAGCTGCTGAATAGATATATAAAATGTGGTATATCTACAAAATGGAATATTAGTTTGGTACCAAAAAATGAAGTACTGATATATGGTATCACATGGATGAACCTTGAAAACGTTATGCTGAGTGAAAGTCAGTCACTCAAGACAACACATTGGACCATTCAATTTATGCAAAATGTCTGGAACAGCCAAATCTATAGAGACAGAGAGTTGGTAGTTGCATAATGCTGAGGGGATTGGGAGAAATGAAGAGTGACTGTTAAAGGGTACTTACCTTCTTTTTTGGATAATGAAAATATTCTAAAATTGATGTAGTTATGGTTATTTTACAAATAATTTTTCTGCACGTTTTCTTCTCTTTTTAGAATTTTGATGATACAATATAAAGCATCATTCATTATTGTCCCACAAATTCCTGAGTTTCTCTTTCCATTAATTTTTTTCTATTTATTCAGACTGGATAATTTCTATTGATCTATCTTCAGGCCCACTAACTTTTTCTCTGTCGTATCTATTCTGTTACTTAGTAAAGACAGCAAATTTTAATTTTATTTTTCTATTGTTTTTTAGATAACTTATTTTTAGTTGTAATCTTTCCATTTTGCTTTTTAAAACATAGTGTTTACAATACTATTTCTTGCTGAGGACTTCTATCTTTCCATCCATTTAAAGTATTTACCTTTTTCTTACAGAACATGAATATTATAGTTGATCTAAAGATCTTGTCTGATCTTCTTGAGGTTGACATCTGTTGACTGCTCTTTCCCTTTAGAGTTAATCACATATTATGTTTTATTTAATGCTGAATAGCTTTGAATTACTTCCTAGACATTTTGAGTATTATGTTTTAAGACTCTAGGTGTTCTTAAAATTCTTCAGAGAATGTTGCATTATGTCACAGATGATCCATCATGTTGTATTTAGATTACAAGTTTGGTCTTTTGGGGATAGTTTCAATGTCAGTTCAGTTATTAAAGCTCTAGCTATGCTACTTTTTGTAGTGTGTTATACCTCCATAGCTTGAAGATGAGCCTAGGACTTGTGTCGTTTCAAAGCAGAGTAGGAAATACCTTTTGCTGACTATTCCTCTTTGGAATGTCTCACATAATCTCTGGATCCCAGGATGTATTTTCCCAGTCCTCAGTTTAGAAAGGTGGGATTTCTCTCAGAGGCTCAGCCACCTATGCTGCTCCCACCATTCTGTCAGAATCAGATCTCTTTGGGACAAAGTGAAAGAAAAGAGAGAGAGAAAAAAAAAATACAGGAATCCTTTCTGCATTCTTCAGACCAAGGAAGCCATCTTTCTCTGGTCAGAAAGATGGATTTTCTCCCAGGATTTTAGGTGCCTGTGTAGCTATCACCATCACTGGGTGGTTGCCTTTGGGACAGTGCAAAAATAAAGTAAAACGGCACTTTGCCCTGTAAACTCTAGTTTACAAGGACCTCCATCCCTAATCTTCTGGACAGAAAGACAGGGTTTCTCTCTGTGTTTTTGCTGCCCCTGCTCTACTGCATATGAGACTGCACTGGGGCTCCTGTTGGGTTAAAGCTGAAATAAAAGAGGAAGAAAAGCCCAGAAAATTTGCCCTATTATAAATCAGTCTTCAGGCATTGACTTCCCTCCTCAATATGCCTGTTATTATTAACTTTTCAGAGTCCTCAGCTAGTTAGTTTCTTTTTGTATTTTGTCCAGAGGTTTCAGTTGTAATCAATGGGGGAGATAGGCTGTAGTAGATTTATTCCTTCTTGACCAGCACTAGAGTTCCAGAAACCTTGCTTGATTATAGTAAAACGAGGAAAATGAAGATTTAGACAGTAATGTAAATAATTCCCAACCCTTATCTTAATCACTGCATTCTGCATTTTATATATGAAGAAGAATCCTTGACTTTTCTTTTGTATTTGTATTTTGCAAAGTAAAAAAAAAGTGGCCTGTGATTTCTATTGTGTTATGCGAAGATAGCTGAAGGAGAACAGGGGCAGGAACAGGAGCTGGAACAGAAGAGAGGTCACTAATAGGAAAAAGAATGAGAGAAAGATAAAATAGATCAAAAGATAGGTCGATGTGGGTTGGCTTACATCATTAAAATAGGCATTTGTCATATGTCTCACTCGGGGTTCAGGCAGGAAACAGATGATATAGTAAAAGTGTAGCCAGAAAGAGTTAAATGAAGACACTATCTCATTACAGGGGTAGGTAGGATTAGGAAAATCATAAGGGATGCCAACACACAAAGGGACTAGCAACAGCTGAAAGTTGTTCCCATCCTTGAACCTGAATGAGCAAGGGGAGGAAACAGTTATTAGAACCCATAATAATAGGCGCTGTGGTAGAGAGTTTATGCAGTTTTATTGAAATCTGTGATGATAGCCAGAGAAGTGTAGCCATGGTCACAAACTTGCTGGGGAAGAATTAGGGAGTAAATATTCTGTCCTGTCTTTCCTCCTGTCCTCTTATCTCCTGCTGGTGCCTCTCATTGTCTGAACTCAAACATCAAGGGAGCCCAGATGAGGCAGTTCATAGATGTCACCTTACAGAGCACAGAGTAGGTTGGAGAAAAGTGGGAAGTGGCTATCGAAGACAAATGGAAAATATCTACTCCTCTTGTCCATCAGCCACAATTCTTATATAACAAGAAGAAAACACAGTTATATCATCACAGAATGATATCACAAGTTTTAATCTCACCTTTTACTTAATATATTAGGGCCACCCGTGCCCTTCAGATATACTAGAAGAAAAAAGGGGGAGGGGAATAAATGATCAATTTACATAAAACATAGCTGCTATTGTCCACTCTTAATGTAGTTTGTCTCAAGGATTAAGTCAATAAATAGCTCTTTGCTTCCACGATCCCTTCTGTCTTTCCTGTACTCTCTACTAGCATGTTGACTGGTTTGATCTTCAATCTGGTGGAATGATTAAAACTTTTATTCACAGGAGATCTAAGTCCTTAGTGGTCCTGTATTTATTAGTTCCTGTAGCTCTCAATTATCTATTGACCATGGAAGTACCACAGGCTAACCTAGTGAATCCTCTGGATTTCAGAAATAGTAACCCTTGAGTCTATTATGCAGTTTCTTCTTGACAAAAAGGATTAATCACCACTTCTAACTAAGTGACCTTAGTTTCTGCTTAGCAGCAGGAAGAGCCTCAAATAGCCAAGGTACACTGTGGTTGGCAGAATAATGTCTCCCCCAAAGACGTCCATATCCTAATCTCCAGAATTGTTAAATATGTTAGGTTACACAGGAGAGGTTGTAAATGGAATTAAAGTGGATAATAATCTGACTTTATGATAGTGAGATTATCCTAGATAATCTAAGTGAGTCCAGTGTTATCACAATGGTCCTTGAAAGTGAAAGAAGGAGGCGGAAAGGAGAGACAGAGGAAAATGTGACTATGAAAGTGTGGCTAGAGAGATGCAGCATTGCTGACCTTGAAAATGGACAAAAGGGGCCGGTCCTGGTGGCTCATGCCTGTAATCCTATCACTTTGGGAGGCTGAGGTGGGTAGATAGCCTGAGGTCAGGAGTTCAAGAACAGCCTGACCAACATGGCGAAACCCCATCTCTACGAAAAGTATAAAAATTAGCTGGCATGGTGGCAGACACCTGTAATCCCAGCTACTTGGGAGTCTGAGGCAGGAGAATCGCTTGAACCTGGAAGGCGGAGGTTGCGGTGAGCCGAGATCACGCCACTGCATTCCAGCCTGGGCAACAGAGTGATACTCTGTCTCAAAACAAAACAAAACAAACAAACAAACAAAAAAAGATGGACAAAAGGAACCATGAGTGAAGGAATGCATGTAGCCTCTGGAAATTATAAAAGTTAAGAAAAAAATTATTCTTCCTTAGAACATTTGTAAAGAAACTCATCCCTATTGGTATATTAATTTTAGCCCCATGAGGTCTATGTTGAACATCAAACCTACAGAACTATAAAATAATAAATCTGTGTTATTTTAAGACACTAAATTTGTGATAATTTGTTACAAGAGCAAGAGATAATAGATATATACTCATTTCCAATTTAATGGATCTTTGCTTGTGTCTCTCTTGAGGAATAAGTACTGTAAATCCACTAAGCCCAAGGTTGGATGCAAGGCAAGGAATAAAAAAAATTTCAGTGGGATGAGCCATTCTGGCCTCTACCCTTTGGTTTTCAGACCCATGAGTTCTGAATTTGGGGGAATAATGTCATATATTGGTACCTGGCTTAAGATATTTTTCATATTCTATTGGAAAATGCCTCTTTTCTTCAGTTTTGTTTCTTAGCTGACAAATAACAAAGGCTTCAACACACCATTCCATCATTGTTCTATCAATTCAACGGCTCCTGGAGTTGGTAGATATTTAAGACTAGCTAATAGTCTCACTGTAAGCACATTTCCATGCTTTCTTTGCTATATAATACATTCGTTTGTTAGAGGTAATATTGCTGCAGTTTATTAAGGAATCATGTAAATCTAGAAATGGCAGTGTGGTCATAAATTTTGTGGGCAGAGAAGGAGGTATAAATATTTAATATGTATCTCCTCCCAGGAAGACAAACACAAGACCCTTTCCACTGTGGAAGGAGTTCAATATAATTAACATGCCTCAAAGTGTCTGACTGGTTTTGACCTGGAATGCTGCCATAACCAAAGCTTAGCAGTGTCCTTTGCATTTGGCAGTACGGATACTTATGATATTTAGACCAGCTTTGTTGAACTCATAAAGAGCTTTTATCTCTGCCTTTGCTTAGTGATTATCCTCTGAAATATGTGTAAATGTTGGTACTGAGTAATAAATATATGTGTGAATCTGATTTTACAATCAATTCCTTGTGCTATAACACTCGTCTTCAAATATTCTTTTATGTGTTCTTGACCAAGTTAGACACTGCATCTGAGTAAGTGTAGATTTGTATCTCAGAGTATTTCTTCTTATAAAATAAACAACCATATGAGATGAAATTTTTTAAACTGGGAGCCTACTCTTTTATTTCTGTATTTTAGGGTTACCCTAACTAGAAAGATAATACAGCAACTATTCATTTCTAGCTGGCTCCACATTCCCACGCAGACCCATCCATATTGCTGGCCTTCACTTCTCTTCCTCTCCCCATGAGGCCATAAGTATTTATGAAGCTTATTTTTGCCTTTTGGAGTAGCTGGGGCCAGGTGTCATACAGTGGGATGCTGCTCTGCACATTAAATGTTATGATTTGATGGATAAGTAACGCTCAGTTCAGATAGTTTAGGTGACATAGTTATTTGATGTGCCATGATCCAACATTGAGTTTCTACTCTACTTTTCAAATAGAGAATAGTTATGAGCAGAATATGCCATGGCCTCACTCTAAAACTCTAGGGATTTGTACCATGATTCAACTATCAGGGCCTGGAAGAAATTCCACAGAACCTCTCTATCTAAACTAGACACTGCTCATACCACCATATGAATCATAAGGTCCAGGAGTTAGGGCAGCTTGCCTGTAGTCTAGACCTGCTATAGAGCCTTCTTTTTTTTTTTTTTTTTTTTCAAAACTAGAAGCCTCACTGGTTATCCAGTTTTAAGGGACCAGAAATTATCTGACCATTGTACTTTTAAAATTTTTTACAATTTGGTATACTCCTATAGTGGCCTTCTACTTCGTAGAAGGCTCTTGAGAATTGTGGGATTTTCTAACTTCTATCTGGTAATGAACCAGTGTAAGTTCTTTGAGATGAGAAAAAGAGTGTATTTTTAATAGACTCTATAATGACAAGGGGTAAGAGTTGTTATTGACTTGAAGTATGATATTGAGGGTGTATTACTATCATGGACATAAGAAGGCAAGGTGCTTCTGATTACCCTTACCAAGCGGTATAGAAAATAAAAATTTCATAGGTTAATAGCTGCCACTAGCTGCCAGGAACTGAGTTGATTTGCAATTTGGTTTTTGCTCAGCAAATCTGTAGCTTGAATTGGCTTTACCCACCTGATTAAGATTACCATAATCTACAGTTGTTGTTTATAAAATGAATGCATTTCAGTTTTCCAGTGGTTAAAATATGTATTGAATAGGAAAATGACATCTGTCACCACCTCTACCTCCTTTGAATCTTTGAAAATGGCAATAATCTCTGCAATACCCCCAGGAACACAGGGCTGATTTTTAGTTTACTTTGTTAGTGATGTGGGTGAAGGTTAGTTCTTCGGACATCCTTCTGGTCCTTCCCACAAAATTAACTATTATTCCACTGGTGCTGGAATGAATGCAGGATTCTGCCAGTTGCTAAGTGTATCTGTTCTCAGTATGAATTTCGGGGGTAGTAACTACAGGAAAGTTCTGTAGTCCCACTAATATTATTGTGAGATGAACTAAGGCCAAAGCTCCATCTGTCTTCTAACTTCCATAAGCCCTAACTCTGACCCTGTGGTCTGTGATGGCTTTTTGTTTTCTCTGGAGACTGGAAGAAGTTTGGAGCCAATATCTAATGTCTCTTAAAATGTTTGTGTTTTGACCCTCCCCTAATGCATAGTCACCTTGACACGTAGCTGCAGGTCTCTCTGGGGAAAGAATGTAGAAAGATTTAAAAATATATACATTTTAGCATCCTTCATCAAATAGACATGGCCTATTTTTAACTGGAGGAGCTTTAAGTTGTGAACCGGGAAAATCTTGAGTCCTCACTACTGTACTTGAACTTAGATTTGTCTACTAAATCTAGAATTTTTCCACTAATTTTTGTCAAGAAATACCTTCATAGGCTTGGTAGTCTTGCCGTTTATTTTATTCAATGATCACGCAGCCATTGCCACAGAAGCCCACTATTTAAACCACTCTGATTACCATTTTCCCTGTGGCCTTGGTCAACCCTTCTGGCTGTGATTGCAATTACTGCTCTCTGGCATCTAGTACTCTAAGATCCTCTTATTTTCACTGAAATTAAAGAAATAATTTTCACTGCACTACACACCATCACCACTATCATCTCAAACCTGCAGAGATCTTCAAGGATGCTTGTGGCCTCTCTGAAATACATTTCTTAATATCTTAGTAAGGTTATTATCCTATGGGCTCTCCCATGAGAAGAGATTAGGAAGTGGTTGATTGGATTGCATATGATGGATCCATTTTATCTCTCTGAGCCTTAAGACTCCTTTCTCTCAAATGCCAGGGGAGTTCTGGCATCTCAAGTAACTGTAGACACTGTTGGGTCCCAGTTTCACTTGAACCAAGACATTAAGTCATAAATCCTTAGTAAATGTACTCACTCACATAAATTTGACCTAGTATAATATTTTGTTTTCCTTATATTAATAGTTTAGGAGGACATTGCAGTACAAGTCCTACAGATACAAATTGACAAGATCTTGCCAATTTAGTCTATGTGTACTTAAATAATATATCTTGTGTATTTTCTGAGTAATTTTGGGTTCTAATTCTGTTTATGAGCCTGGAGGCAAGAAGTGATAAGGAAGGCCCCCAAAGAGAACCTGTATGACTTTTATAGATAAATTTCCCAGGTGAAATCAGTGTATCTTTTTAAAAAAATTTTTTAAGGGCAGGAGGTACTGCTTTCATTAGCAAGGATGTTTCTTTCTTTAGCATAAGAGTCATTGAAAATTAAATTGATGCCAATACTCTGTAACTCTTTTAATTAATTAATATGTGAACCTGATTGTCATTCACAAGTAATTTGCCGTTACAGACAATAATATGTTCCTTTAAAGCTGACATGGTTTTCCTGATTTTCCATTTGTGCCTTTAATTTTGAATTTATTACTTTCAATAGAAACTTTTCTTAGCCTGCTTTCTCAAGGGCAATCAGAGCAACCAACTCACCCTACAATCATAATCACCATTGTCACCACAGTGACCATATGCTGCAGCCCATAAACTGAACAACCATGATACGAGGCTGTGCCACAGACTACCAGTATAACCTCAATGTGATCATTGAAGACATGTGCAACCAAACCCCAGAATTCCATTTTGATGGCTGTTTCCTCCCTCAGGCTGCTTCTGGTAAAAATTACTTTATTGATTAGGAAGCCCATCAGGAAAGAAATGGCACAACTGTAAAGGTAGAGAGAATTAAATACAGCAATAATTTGATCAAATAGTACAAACCTGCAAGATGAACAAATTGTGGGAATCTAATGTACAGCATGGGTGATGATGGATGTGTTAGTTAATTTGGCTGTGGCAATAACCACACAATGTGTACGTATATCAAATTATTATGTTGAACACCTTGAATATAAACAATCTTTATTTGTCTATTAAGTATTCTAAAATAAAAAAATTACAGAGACAATTTGCAAAGGTGTGGGAAGGTTAAGGAAACAAATAAGTGCTTGCAAAGAAACTAGAATCTTGCAACAGCTGGAAGCTATGAACAACCCTTAGTTTGAAGACCTGCGGGCAGTAAGCAGTTGTCAGAGTCTAATGCCTTAAGAGAATAGCATCCAGAAAATAGCTGTGTTTTCGGGTGGAAGAATACTGCTATTGTCATGCCTATTAATGAGGACTGAAGGGAATACATTCTCTGATTTATTTTCTCTGATCTACTGCTAGAGTATCCCATTCAAGGATCCTACCAGAAGCTAGAGGACAAGAAAGCCCGGATAATTCAGTGCATTCTGCCGACACCTCAGTCCAGAGAAAAGTTTCATTAGGTGGAAAGTGAATGTTGAGGGGACCAACAGAGAATATGGAGGATGCCCTATTTTAGTGAATCCAAGATGTCATTGAGTGTAAGACTCATTTGAGTTTTAGAGATATTAAAATGGGAAAAATTTGCTTTAAATGTGCGTTTAAACTTAATAAAATACCATAATACAGAAATAGGCAAGGATACAAAAATTAAAATTATTTAGATGGATTAAAAAACAGCAGGCCCTTGAGATAGTTATTTATTTTAATGGGACATTAAATGTACTATGTTTTCTGACAGTAGCAGAAAATTTAGTACTATACTTTCAAGACAGTAGCGGGGAAAAAAACCCTTGAGCAATAAAAATTTTATTGTTTGATAAAGTGAAGTAAACAAATTAATCTGGATTTTTTTTCTTTAGCTTAATTTAATGAAGAATGAACCATATCAAATCTTTGTTTTAAGGTATAATGATTCTAGTCCTAATGTGAAGTAGATCCTTAAGACAGAAATTTGGATATGGGAGCATTTTCAGTAGAAAAAGGATGGTTTTAAGCAAGGCTAACGAGACAACTCTTGTCTGTGACTTTTTGTATTTTTATACATTAAAGAAAATTGTTATTTGACTTCATTTCTATGTCCAGCTCAAGGTAAATTTGGGAATCACCTTCATTTGACCACTTTCACCTCGGCTTTCTTAATTTTACCATTATAAGATAATAACTATAAAAATTTATCTTGATGAAAATTAAATAGTGGGAAAAGGGAGATCTAAATAGGAAGTTTGAGGAACTGCAAAATCTATACCTGCTGAGAGACTAGTCAAGATGTTGGCTTATAAAATTAATAAATTGTTGGCCGGGCACAGTGGCTCACGCCTGTAATCCCAGCACTTTGGGAGGCCGAGGTGGACGGATCACAAGGTCAGGAGATTGAGACCATCCTGGCTAACACGGTGAAACCCCGTCTCTACTAAAAAAAAAAAAAAAAAATACAAAAAATTAGGTAGGCGTGGTGGCGGGCGCCTGTAGTCCCAGCTACTCGGGAGGCTGAGGCAGGAGAATGGCGTGAACCTGGGAGGCGGAGCTTGCAGTGAGCCGAGATCGCGCCACTGCACTCCAGCCTGGGTGACAGAGTGAGACTCCGTCTCAAAAAAAAAGAAAAAAAATTAATAAATTGTTAGAAGTGAGCAGAAATATAATTTAGGGAGATTTGGCACTCATCCTATACCACCAAGTACTGAACAGGAAAGATACTTTCCTACTGGGAACAAATTGCAGTGTCTTTAGAGGAAAACACAAAAGCACCCTCAGGAGAAGGAGTGTTGAAATCAAATAATAATTTTAATTTATGTCGCTTTTCATTTAAAGAACTCAGTCACATTTGCTTATTAGCTTTCGGAAAGTAGTTGTAAATTGTGTTTGAATTATTGTAATCCTTTTTTTTTTGTTACAAATAAATTGAGGCATAGAGAAATCGACATGTAGTAACTGCTATTGAGGTTATTTAAAGAGGGTGAATGTCTAATAGCCATGCTAGTTTTGGTGTCTGATAGAATAAGGGACCCTTCAGATAGAACCTGTCCTTTCTAGAATCCCTATTCATAATGGAAGCTTTAGAAAGTCATATTTGTATTATGTACTCTCCTTCCTTCTCCTCATACTCAGCCATGTCTGATTATATCACCAGCGGGTACATGATCCAGGGATAGGTAGATTTTGACTGGTAGCCTGGTCAAGCAGGGATGATCTCTTTCCAAGCAACACTTTTGGTAGAAATGGTTAGAATCAAGAAATTAGAAGCAATAGTAGAACTGATGAAACACATGTGGAGTAATTGTGGTACTCATTCATAGCATTTGCAGAAACAGCAGTAAAATAGACTTCCCAAAGAATTAAAGATGAGATCCGTCCTTTAATTCTTTTCATATTTTTAGAATTAAACCTCACTTAGTACATTAAAATACATATAACAGAATGTCAAGGGTCAGAGAGTTTATCCAATTCCAAGGCAACATGTTAGCCTGCCAAAGTTCATGGATGCTAGTCAAAGACATGAGACTCCTGGAATAGAGAAAAAGGTTTATTTATTACTTACAGCAATAGCAGTGGGCAGAGTATCAGCATTTTTGTGCTAGCTTGACAAGTCGCAATTCCTACAAGGTGACATTAAGGAAGCAAGATGACATCTGTGTGTGCACACGACAGAACTCTGAGCTTAGGAAACTTGAATCTTTTATGATGGGCAATGCACATACCTGTCCTTCTTTTAGGAGGCAGACCCTGAAAGCTGTAAGCAAACCTGTCCTTGCTCCAAGGGGGATACTATCTCTGTCTTCCATGGCTGTTTTAAATGCAAGCATCCTTAGAAAAATAGGCTAGAAAAAAGACAGTGCCTTTGCTCACAAGTTCTACAGAAACGTGAGATACCACAGAGAATTGTCTCTCAATATAGTTTAGCAGATATAGAAAGTTATTTCTTAATATATGAGATATAAAAATCAATAGAAAATATTAAGAATCTTAATCTTTGTAATATATGTAAACATTTCATATACAGAGAAATGGTAATTAAGTTAGGTGTTTTTTGGTATTACCAGACTATGTACTTCAACTTATTTCTAGATGCATGAACTTATTAATGCCACTAATGTAATATGTAAGATCTTTAATCCTAAGTGATCAAATTTTGCTTTAACTTTTTTCTGTGCTTATTCCACTAAGTTTAATATCTAAGTTTTCATGTTTCTAAATTGTACGTAATACATTTTAATATGTAAAATGCTTTGATTCTGAAACATACTTCTTCATGTAATGATCAAGTAAATAGATTATAAGAACGTAGATTAGTAATAGATTAGTAATAGATTATAAGAATGTAAATCAAGTAAATAGATTATAAGGACGTAATCTGCATAGACATTGTTCCACTCAAGGATTCTATTGAAAGTTATATTGCTTGAATGTATAGTTGATATTTTCATTACTCTCTTTGAGTAATCCTGAGTTTAGGATCTAATATCCAGAAATGTAGCCCTCCAATTTATTAAACATCATAAAAAATTTATTTTACTATGATGAATAGATGTTATATAGTTCAGTGTATTATAATCTGTATTTCTATATATGTCTATTCAGGATGTTCTAGTGGTTTCCAAAAGAAATATAAATAATTATTTCAAGGGTATTGAGATACTCCTTGCTGCTCAGTTTATATGAATGTATCTTCTGTTTTCAGCAACATGTACAAAAACCCATGAACTTGATTTTTTATCTTGATACAGTAGTCAACATTTTAGCATTTCTAACTAAATTTAATCCTGAAAATATGAATTTCTTTTGGGGGAAAATGATTTAGTGGATGCAGGATTTGTCCATATCACATTTCCATAAAGTTTCTTTCCAAAATTTGTGTCCTGAACATCTTCAAAAAATTATTATCAGTTCTAACAATTCCAAATGGGCTTGGCTAAAGCCTCACCTCTCAGGTGTGCATATTGTTTGTATTTATCTTAGTCATCAATCTGTTGATTTATATCGGAATGTAAGCATGTCCTGCTGTATAAACATTACTGTCAGGAGAACTTATTGTATAATAGAATATTATAGAACTTCACTCAATTCATTAAGCTCTTATACTTTATTTTCCTAGTGAGCTTGGAAGGTGTCTCCACAGTTATTCTTCTCCACAAACACAGTGAGTGTCCAAAACATTCATATCTCTGTACTGTTTCTAGGCACTCTTCTGAAGCTAGAGCCACCCCTATTATCTCATACCTTGTTTTATTTGTTCTTATTGCACTGTCTTCTACCTTACTAAGCAGTCAAATTATTTTTACTATCATATAAAAGCTATGTTTAGTAGCACTATTTTTAAACTGGAAATTGCTATCCTGACATCTGCCCCTTTATATAAATCAGAAATATTTCTCAGATCTCCAGAGCCCTCTGTGTTTAAAGGTAATTAAAAACTTTCTTTCAGAATTCCTACAAATGAGTCTAAGATCATTTTATCTATCTACACTTTTCAAATAAATATTAATTGTGGACATTTTTAACAGAACTTGTCTCCATTGATTACTCAAAATGACAGAATAGTTAGGATTGAGGTGAGCCTAAATTTGTTCTCTAAACAATTGAATAAATTAGGTCTCTTAATCTTTTCTAAATTGATATTTTCTAAATTATAATTTGAATCATTCAAATTATAATTTGATTCTCATTACTGTTGGAATTTTCATTTTTTCCTAGACCTTTTCTTTTCTTTCTTTTTTTTTTTTTTTTTGAAACAGAGTCTCACTCTGTCACCCAGGCTGGAGTGCAGTGGCACCATCTCGGCTCACTGAAAGCTCTGCCTCCCGGGTTTATGCCATTCTCCTTCCTCAGCCTCCCGAGTAGCTGGGACTACAGGTGCCCACCACCACACCCAGCTAATTTTTTGTTTTTTAGTAGAGACAGGGTTTTACCATGTTAGCCAGGATGGTCTCGATCTCCTGACCTCGTGATCTGCTCGCCTTGGCCTCCCAAAGTGCTGGGATTACAGGCGTGAGCCACCGCGCCCGGCTTTCCTAGACCTTTTCAATGGACAGAGTTAAATAAATATAAACTGTATTTGAATCATTCAGATTATAATTTGGATATTCTGTTGAGTATTTGCTGCTCTTATATAAAGTGTTGGGAAAATGTGTGGTTGGATAGCAAGCATCCTGTTTACTCTGTTGTAATGCTATGATTAAAAAACATTTTAATTATGTGAAATTTTAAACATGCACAGACATATACAAGAGTAGTACAAGTCCTCTGTGTACCTGTCACCTACCATCAATTCAGTGACATACTTGGTTTAATTATGTCTCTACACTCAGCCCATCTGGATTGTTTAGAAACAAATTCCAGATATAGCATTTTTCATCTTTAAATACTTTACTGAATGTTTTAAAAAGATAAATACCCTTCTAAAAGTATAATACCATTCACCACCTAGAAGTAAATAATAATTCCTTAGAATAAGTTTGTGTTCAAATCATCCCAATTGCCTACTTTTTTTTTTTTTTTTGCCAATTTACTTTGCATCACTGTGGCTTTGTTTGGCATGTTCCTGTGTTCCTTGCATTTTCTGTACATAGATAGATAGATAGATAGATAGATAGATAGATAGATAGATATTTATTAGATGCAGGTTTGATTTTTTAAATATCATGTGGCCAGAATTACTTTATGAGTGGAATTTTGTACTTCCATTGGAAGGTATCTAATATCTCACCATCCTTCATTTTATGATATTAGGAAATACTGATAATAACTCTTTAGATTATTTATTATAGAATTGCAAAATGGTAATATTGTAATTTTATTCTTTTTGCTTCCTTTCATTAAAAAGCTGGAATACTATTATAAAGAGAAGCTTCTTGCTTATCAATTATTTGATTTAGTTACTCTAAAGTTTTGTTGATACAGAGAAGGATAGATGCTTAATTATTTCCCTCAGTGTGCCAACTTTCATCAAACTTAGTTGCTTTCCTAGAATCCTTCTAAGGAGCTGACCAAATATACTTTTAAAATATACTTGTAAACTCATATTTGGTTTGTTTCAATCCACTGTAGTTATTATACTTATCGAGGCTCAAATAACCCCACCTATATATAAAGGAAAACTCTTCAAGTTGAATCTCTGGTCTTTTTGATGTTTTAATATTTTTATTACTTTCTACTATGAACAGATGTCCCAGACTCATCATGTATATTTTCTTTCCTAGCCTTATAATTATCTATTTCTTTATGAGGCTTTGGTATAATTTAGGCAGTAGGGATGCTCTTTACTGTTGGAATTTTCATTTTTTTCCTAGACCTTTTCAATGGACAGAGTTAATAAATTGCACCTTTTTAAAAAATGAAAGTTAAGTTTATACTAATATTTCTGACTCAAAATTTTATTACTTGTTTTCACTTGAATTTGCTGATTTTATATGTATTTCTCTTAAACCATAAACTGTGATTTTTTTCTATTGATGCATACATAATTATTTGTTTGTCTCACCATTTTATATATAAAACAATTTCAAAGATGTTATTTTGAGTGATAGTCTTCCAGCTCTGCAGAAATTATTAAATAATGTTTATTCTTCTGAACATTTCCACCTGACACAAGCAAAAACAATCACTAAGTAGGGAATTGGAAATCAAGGACATGGTCTATAATGCCTTCCTGGCAGAGCATTAAACTTTAATTCCCATCCTTGGTTATATTCTAGAAGCCACTATGACTTTGGACCATTGGGATAAAAAAGGCATTATTAGATCAGCTTTTAATACCTATGTTGCTGATGACTACAATGCTATCTTTGCTTACGGTGTACAAAATTTCTTTTTTTTATTATTATACTTTAAGTTCTAGTGTACATGTGCACAACGTGCAGGTTTGTTACATATGTCTACATGAGCCATGTTGGTGTGCTGCACCCATTAACTCATCATTTACATTAGGTATATCTCCTAATGCTATCCCTCCCCCATCCCCCGACCCCACGACAGGCCCCAGTGTGTGATGTTCCCCTTCCTGTGTCCAAGTGTTCTTATTGTTTAATTCCCATCTGTGAGTGAGAACATGTGGTGTTTGGTGTTTTGTCCTTGTGATAGTTTGCTGAGAATGATGGTTTCCAGCTTCATCCATGTCCCTACAAAGGACATGAACTTATCCTTTTTTATGGCTGCATAGTATTCCATGGTGTATATGTGCCACATTTTCTTAATCCAGTCTATCATTGATGGACATTTGGGTTGGTTCCAAGTCTTTGCTATTGTGAATAGTGCTGCAATAAACATACATTTCTATTTTACCAAATATTTGTTTTGTTAAAATTGCTCTATATCCTTTTGTGTGTCAGCTAGTTAACTCTTTTTTCACTATAAAACCTATGAAGACAATAAACCAACCTACATATAGTAAAATACAAATTGTAGGTAGCGTATAGCAAGTAGTTAAAAGAGGTTGGGCTTGATGTTTATTAGAGAACTTTCAAGGAACCACGTAAGTTTGAAGAGAATCCTTCTTGGTCAGAAGGTAAAACAACTAGTATATTTTTAAAAATTTGATATTAAAATTGTGGTGAAACAACTAGAATATTTCTTCAAACATAAGTTTTCTTCCTGTGTTAATCTTCAAGCCATAGCTTTATTTTTTAATGTGGTGTACAATGGACTTCTCAAATCTAGGCAAGATGTTCCATTCAGCCATCCCAGGTCCATTATGTTGATGTTAAGAGGTTTTTCTTTTTTGGATAGTTTTGAATTAGCAATTATACAACCAAAGAGAATGATTACTGCTTAATCTTGGGACTGTCATTATAAAATTAATAATCTGTCTCAGTTCTTCACTAGGGAACATTCTTCTTTTGCTTCCTGCTGGTAAAAATAAAATCACAAATGTGTTTAGTGCTTTCTTGTCCTTCACATTTCATTCTCTTTACATGAGAGAGAACAATTGATTTGGTATAATTTAACTTAATTTTGACTTTCTAATAATTAAACATTTAGTTTTGAGCTGAGAGTTTTTATTACTATGATTTTATTATGGCTGATGCTCTTCATAGGCTGCAGATAAATCTTTAGAGGGACTGTAGAACTGTTATAGGAAAGCAAAAGTATGAACAGCAAATGAGTGATTCTGTTGGTCTTACGACTTTTCTTTCAACATTACTTTCTCAAATAAACTGAAGAAATAGGACCATAAAATTTTCTTTGTAGGATAATAACTGTAACAGCTTGATTCGTTGAATATGTAAATTATATTTTAAAAATTCATTTTTGTATTCCAAGCAAGAGCTTCTGATCACTATAGCAAAACAGAAATATTGGTGTTTTCACAACTAATAAATCACTCACATTACAGGTCCAATCCTCAGCAACACTATGATATCCTCCTTAATATATTCATCTGCTATCTCAGATGTCATATTTTAAAATTAAATTTTAAACTGATTATCCAGAAAGTATTACTAGAACAAAAGATGATAATACCCATGGGATGAAGATGGAAATAGGATGGATTTTATTTTAATAGGGGATCAAATGTCTGTAAGTTGTCTCAAAATGGAACTCCAATTTTGAAATTTAGGTCAATAACCTCTAAAGGAAGGTTTTTCCAGCTGGCATACTTCAGGTCATGTACTCTTAGCACCAATATGAGCTATTTTCTTTTTCTGAGATTGAACAACCGTGGAAAAACTAAACTCATCTACATAAACTTCTAGTACCAGGATTTTTAACTGCTTCATTTTGCTTCATCCATTTTGAAAGCATATGTGTATTCACTTGGTTTAATAATTTTACAATGTATACATATATCAAAACATCACATGGACCCAGAATTATATACAATTATTTTCTGTCAATTAGAATTTAAAATAAATAAATAAATAAATAAATAAATAAATAAATAATAATAAGAAGAAGAACTTTTTAAAAAAGTATTTTTCCTGCTCTGGCTTATGTCATACTAACTCTCAGGGCTTTTTTTTTTTTAAAAAAAAGGCATTCTATACATGAGTATGACTAATTCATTTGCTAGAATTGTGCAACAATTAAATATTTAATTTAAGAAATAGCTCATCTTTTTTTCTCATTAATAACTTGGAGAACTTGAAAAAAGAATTTTCTCATAATTCTCTAAACACATCATAGACACAGCTCAACAGCGTAATAGAAAACCACCATGATTCAGCCTTATGGTTGGAGGTAGAAATACTGCTAGTGTACCCATGTGAATGGATTAGTTTAGGGGCCTTTTAAATCCAAGGAGTGGGTGAGATTTAAGATAAATTATTTTGATTGAATAAATTTAGTTGAGTAGGGGCAATGGAAAAAATTAAGGTCTACAAAGCCAGAAACACCCTACTATCCAATAAAGCAGAAAATAGTGAGTGATGGAAAGAACTAGAAATTAAACAATAGCTTTTTTTTTTTTTTCAATTCGGAGTCTCGCACTGTTGCCAGGGCTGAGTGCAGTGGCACCATCTCGGCTCACGGCAACCTCCACCTCCCAGTTTCAAGGGATTCTCCTGCCTTAGCCTCCCAAGTAGCTGGGATTATAGGCACCCACCACCATGCCTGGCTAATTTTTTGTATTTTTAGTAGAGATGGAGTTTCATTATGTTGGCCAGGTTGGTCTTGAACACCTGACCTCGTGATCCACTCACCTCAGCCTCCCAAAGTGCTGGGATTACAGGCGTGAGCCACCACTCCCAGCCTACAATGGCATATAAAAAATACTTAGGAATAAATTTAACCACAGATAAAAGATGTGTATGTACACTGAAAACTAGAAAACATATATGAAAGAAATTGAAGGCACAAATAAATGAAAAGATATCCCATGTTCAGAGATTGGAAGAATTAATGTTGCTTAAACTGTCCATGCTACCCAAAGTGATCTACAGATTCAACTCAATTTCTATCAAAATCCCAAGGACATTTTTTATAGAAATAGAAAAAATAATTTTAAAATTCATATGAAACCACTAAAGACCCCAAATTGCCAATGCAATCTTGAGCAAAGAGAATAAAGCTATAGTAATCAAAACAGCATGGTACTGTACAAGACAGGTATGTAGTCTAATAGAACAGAATACAAAGCCCATAAATAAATCCTTGCATTCGTGGTCAACTGATCTACAACGAAGTTGCCAAGAACACACACTTCAACAAATGGTGTTGAAACAACTGCATATTCATATGCAAAATAAATTAGGGCCTTATCTCTCACTATATATAAAAATCAACTAAAAATAAAGACTTAAATGTAAGACCTCAAACTGTAATACTTCTAGAAGAAAATGGGATAAATGCTCCTTGACATTGACCTGGGCAAAGATGCTTTTTTTTTTTTTGTATGTGACCTCAAAAGCACAAGCAACAAAAGCAAAAATAGATAAATGGAATTACAAATAGATAAATGGAATTACAAATGTTTGCAAAAGCAAAGTAAAAGCCTTTGCAGAACAAGAAAACAATCAACAGAGTGAAGAGACAACCTATTGAATGTGAGAAAATATTTGCAATCCATACCTCTGATAAGGGGTTAAATATTCAAAATACTTAAGAAAATCAAACAACTCAATAGCAAGAACGCAAATAACCCAATTACAAATTGGGTTATTTGATTTCCTTAAGGATTTGGCAAAAGACCTAAAAAAAGTTCTCAAATAAAGATATACAAATGGCCAAAAAGTACATGAAAAAATTGTTAATATCACTAGTCATCAGGGAAATGCAAATCAAAACTACAATGAGATATTACCTCATACTGTTAGGATGGCTATTATCAAAAAGACAAGAGATAAGTGTTAAGGAGGATATAGAGAAAGGGAACCCTTGTAACACCATTGGAGGGGATGTGAATTAGTACAGCCATATTGGAAAATAGTGGGGAGGTTCTTCAAAAAATTAAAAATAGAGCTATCATATGGCTCAGCAATTCCACTTTTGGATATATCTAGAAAGGAAATGAAATCATGGTGCTGAAGAGGTATCGGCACGCCCACTTTCATTGCAGCATTGTTCACAGTAGCTAAGGCATGGAAAGACCTAAATATCATGGGTGGATGGATGGATTAGGAAAATGTGGGAAATATACACAATTTTTAAGATTGAATAATATTCAGTCTTAAAAAAGAATGAAATTCTATCATTTGAAATAACAAGGATAAAACTAGAGGAAATTGTGCTAAGTTAAATAATCCAGGCACAGAAAGACAAGTACTGCATAATCTCATTTATATGTGGAATTTTTAAACGTCAAATTTATAGAAGTAGAATGTATGATGGTAGTTACTAGAGGCTGCAGTGTGGAATAGAGAAGATGTTCAAAGGATACAAATTTTCGGTTAGACAAAATAAAAAGTTCAGTAGAGCTACTGTAAAACATGGTGACTATGGTTAAAAACAATGTATTGTATACTGAAAAATTGCTAAGATAGTAGATTTAAATGTTCTCACCACAAAAAAAGGCAAGTATGTAAAGTAATGGACAGATATGTTCATTAGTTTGATTTAGCCATTTTACTGTATATATATATCAAAACATCACATTGTACACTATACATGCAATTTTCGTCAATTAAAAATTAATTAAAAATAAAAAAATTAAAACCAAAATGACCACGCAAACAAACATACAAACCAAAAAGAAATAGCTGAATTTCATATATAACCAGACCACAAACAAATTTTAAGTTTAAAACACCACAGCTAGGGTTTTGTTGGGTTTTGTTTAATAGCCAAGAGTCTAGGCCCCAAACTTACATTCCTGCTACTTAGCACAACATTTGAAATTCCACTAATAGAGATTCATTTGGAATGACATCCAGGACACGTTTGGAAGAAGTAAAAAACAAATTTGTAAAATTATTATTGATCTGTATGGGATTTTTTTTATCTCTTATTTTTGGACTGGTAGAGTGGTTAAAGGGGAAGACATGTTTGTGGAATATAGCCTCCCTTATTTAGCAGTTTAAGCGAACTGGAGGCCAAGGATTAATATTCTCCAAGGAAGCAAATGCCAATATTTGGAGAGGGAAGTGGGAACAGGAAAAATCAAATTATTATCCTTCCTAGAAGATTTCTCAGGCATCCTGCAACAATTTCTGCTTGGCAGGCTGAAGCTAGATACTCTTAAACAGAAGACAACTTTGCATTTCACAATTAGAGATGAAAGCTCACCATACAAACAAATAGAACAAGAATAGTTAACACAGAAGAAATGTGTTTTTTTTTTTTCAAAGTATAAATGTATTTGAATCTTTCTCGGTTTAACAAGGAGATTTAGAAATGTGCTTGCATTTGGCACTGAGAGTTATAGATGGGGGCAGAGGAGAAGAAAGAAAGAGGTTGCAGAGAATTTGTTTCACAAATTTATCTGTGCAGTTCCACTCATTTTTCTTGGTCAGTGATATATCCAAACTATGGCTGGAATGCATGTAAGTAGGACTGAAGCTGTTAAACTGAAAGCACCCTGCCATAGAAACAAGTGGATATTCTTAACCATATTTAATCAATACAGAAAAGACATCTGATAGGATGATATAGGAAAAAAATCATAGACTTTTCAAGAAGATGAATGACGAATGGCTCTTGGAAATTACATTTCACCTATATGATGCTTTTCTCTTCTTGCCTATAGTTAGTGAAATGTAATGTCTTTTTCTTTTGTTACCTAGTTCTCTATCTTCCACTGATCTTCCTTATGTCCATAAAGTCTATACTCTTTACCTCATCTATGCCATACATATCACTTTCTTATACTAGGTCTTATTTAATACAAGTAACCTTTGTTCTTTGAATTTACTCAGTTCCTGGGTTTAGATAACTTGTTCCTGGGTTTAGATAACTTGTTTGGATAGTTGTGTTCACATGTTAAAGGATGCTGTGATATCTGAATATCTGAATTATTTGGTTCCCTTTAGATATGGGATAGTGAGAGGTTTGGATAATGATGAATTTTTCTGAAAACTTACTTGAATCTATGTGAAAATAGAAATAGAGTTCAACTAGTAATCATTAATTGTGGTTCTGGAGAATTCTTAGTCCTCTTGTCAGCAATTTGTCAATGCTCATAGTGTGTTTGCCATGTTATTGGTGGTATTGATGATTTCAAAACACTGAGCTTAGAGAGAAAACATATCCTACCTGAATAAAGACTGGAATTTAAAAGCAGAAAAGCATGTGTAGCCTGCCCCTCCCTTTGTCACCAGCCAGGCTTCTCTCTCCAGCCAGACAGGCCTGTAGGCTACTCTGAGGATGTGGGATGAGGGTCTGGGTCAGCAGGCAGGCAGTGACAAGGCTGAACTTCAGCACTGCCCCCAACTGCAAGGGGAAGAGCAAGGAGTCTGACCTGGCCTTCTTCAGGTTCTGGGGGTTGTGGCCAGATGCCAGGAGAGGGTGGAGAATTGTAGCAGAGCAGAGACTTAGAAAATAAAACACCTAATCAACTAAATAAACATTATAAATTATATGCCGAACACTTTGAGAACTCTATGATCTGTAGACCTTGTATTTATAGGGCAGTTCTTTGAGATAATGCAACATCCACACGATGCGCTCTTACCAATCATTTAGACAATCCACATAGTAGACATAGAAAATGAATAAAAGAGTTGAGTGAAGATGAAATCAGAACATGGAAACAGAAAAAAAAAAAATGACCAAACTTCTCAACAGGAAAAGAAAATAATATAAAGAAACTAGTAACAGCAATGCTTAGAATCCCAAGTGCGGAAGAAGGAGATGAGGACATTTTATCTTTAACCCTTGAAGAGAAGCAAAACAAAGAATACCTAAAATTTCTATTAGAAATTTGTATTCTTACAGGAAAGCAAAACGTACCTCTATATAAACATGAAGCTGATGAAATCCCAGAAGGTCTCTTTACTCCTGATAACTTCTAAGAACTGGTAGAGTGGCTGGTAAATTCTGTTCAAGAGGTCCTGAGAAAGCACTTTGAGACAACTGCAGTTAACACACTGTTCTGTTAAGAAACCTATCAGAAACAGATGCTAGAGATCTGTCACAGCTATATTCAGGAAGAAATGTTCAGGGAAGTAAGAGACTCGCTCTTCTTTCCCTTATCACTGTCAATATAGAGGACATAATGGGGGAAGAGCATCACCTATGTTGGTGAGATTTGTCCATGAATCTCATAACCTGAAAGAGGATGTTGTAGGCTTCCCACCTTAGGAAGCTGATGCACAAAGTTTGGCTTTAAAATTCCACACTGTGGCAACTGAGAAGTGGGGGCTACAAATGGAGTATCAT
Organism: Homo sapiens; assembly: GCF_000001405.40. NCBI lineage: Eukaryota > Metazoa > Chordata > Mammalia > Primates > Hominidae > Homo > Homo sapiens. The sequence continues at coordinate 76,661,454 of NC_000006.12, forward strand.
TATGGGCAGGCTTCCATTCTGTCCACTGAATTTTCTTCCAAAATGAAGTACTTGCTTCTAGACTTTGAAAAACATATCCCCAAGATACCTACAGAGGAGATATCTCTTCCTCTTCTTATGTCTTAAATATGTGGTTGGTAGAATCACTGACTGTTATGGGGAGTTTCTGTTGCATTGGGAACAATTGAAGTTTGTTCCTTTTTTCTTTTTTTTTTTTTTGAGACGGAGTCTCGCTCTGTCCCCCAGGCTGGAGTGCAGTGGCGTAATCTCGGCTGTCTGCAAGCTCCGCCTCCCGGGTTCACGCCATTCTGCCTCAGCCTCCCCAGTAGCTGGGACTACAGGCACCCGCCACCACGCCTGGCTAATTTTTTTTGTATTTTTAGTAGAGACGGGGTTTCACCATGTTAGCTAGGATGGTCTCGATCTCCTGACCTCGTGATCCCCCCGCCTTGGCCTCACAAAGTGTTGGATTACAGGCGTGAGCCACTGCGCCCAGCCTGTTCTTTTTTTCTATCAATCAGTTACCACAACTGCTTTTAGAACATGAAAATGTTATTTTTTTTCTTTTCCTGAAGAGTGAAGAAAGGGGTAAAGAACTGAAGGAAATTTGCCATTCTCCATGGACAAGAGGGCAGGATGCTTTTGAAATTTTAGTGGACCTTGTGAAAGCACTTATTTTATGTTGGCATGGTACAAATAGTGACACAAATATCAGATGCAATAATCGTATAGCTGCCCAAGCATTTGTACCCTGAAGTACAGTAACAGATTTTGATTTAATTGTTACCATTGTTGTTCTTTAAAATGTCCTATTTTTTTTTTTTTTTTTTTTTTTTTACAAGAGACTTTTGGAAAAATCTCTAGGGGCAAACCTCTGAGGTCTTGTCTGCAGCCAGTAGCTTGACTGCAATACTGCAGTCACTCAGTAAAGTGACAGAAAAAATTGAAGTTTATAATGAGTTTTGGTTTGAGGAAGCCACAATATGACAATCCAACTTGATGTTCAAATGAAATTCCCTGGGAAATTCCACAGAGCTCAGCAAGGTAACCTGAAATTCCAACTACCCTATGAGAGTTTTTATAAAGAAAACCTGTGTTCAACAGTGGAGCACATTATTCAGGAACTTAAAGACAGATTTTCAGAACAGCACCTCAAAGCTCTTAAGTGCTTATCTCTGGTACCCTCAGTCATAGGTCAGCTCAAATTTTACACATTAGAGGAACACTATACTGGCATGTATAGAAGTGACTTACCCCATCCCAGTGTGCTCTCAGCCAAACTGCATTGTTGGGGAATCAAATGGAAAGACAGAGGGAAGAGTGTAGAGCTTCCATCCACCATTTATGAAACTCTCCACTTGACTAAATCAAGTTTTTTACTAATGTGTATGCATTGCTGAAGGTCCTGTGTATCCTTCCTGTGATAAAAGTTGAGAATTTTTATCAACATAAAATGAAAATGGACAAAAGCATCTCAAAACATACTTGAGGAACCCTTTGACAGACCAAAGATTGAGTAACTTGGCTTTGCTTAACATAAATTTTGATCTAAAGCATGATCTGGATTTAATGGTGGACACATATATCAAACATTATCCAATTAAGTCAGAATTCCCCACAGATAATTCAGAAATCATTACAAATACTGAAAAGCTTCTCTAAACGGGCTTTATCTTACATTTGATATTTGGAAGAAAAGCTGTAAGTTGTATGCAGGTCACTCAATCACTGACTATCTCTGCTGATAGGCCTCCCATTGAATACATTAATTACTGATAATCTTACTATTTAAATGGCTCCTGCTTGAAATCTGATGCTTTGAGGACCTATTTTTTTCTTCCAGAAGCTAGCATTGAAAACACCCTGTTTTATGTCTGCATTATCTCTGCTACTGGCACTCTGGAATTGTTCTAGTTAAGTCATTTTGGGTATAACATTTATTATCATTTTGGATTTGATTCTTGGATATTGAGTTATCAATTCTTTGAAGAAATATATTTTGGGGAAGTGTGGGAGTAAGGATTACATCTTATAATATGTTACAATAAACCTCATAATTGACCTTTGACTAATAAGGATTTCAGGTATGTTGTTAAAAATCTGTAATTGACAGTTAAAGAATTACCAGAGTGAGAAGCTTGTGAGATCAAGAAACAAGGATTTTAGTGCAGGTTTTATCTTTAGTAAATGAACTTAAGGGAACAAGTTACAGTTAAAGTTGAATGGAAAAGCCTGCCGTTGTTGTTCCACATTTGGTTGTTACTGTTTATATTTCTTTGTTGAACCTACATCTTCATATGCTTTTTAGCAGGTGTATGTATAACACTTTCATTTATGGTCAAGGCAGAATCAGAGGCCGTGAATACTGACAACTGACTTGTCTGTTTTCTTCTGTCTTTTTCCATGACTATATCTTCTGCCTCATCTTGATTTATAAGCAAAAGCTGGAAAACTACAAAAATAAGTGTTTTTTATTTTATCTAGAAATATTATAGAAAATATTGCTATTTTTGAAGAAAATCAATTTTGTATAATTTATTTTAATCTAAATGTAAATTTTGTTTAAAAAGTATTCTGTATATTGTTTTTTATTATATGTATGTATTTAGCAAGTGATATTTCATTTATTTCACCAAATAGGTTCAATTAAATTAAACTCTTTTCTTCCTATTTAAAAAATTGCAAGTGGGAAATGTCACACACACACACACACACACACACACACACAGAGAGCTCGAGCGAGCGGCAAGCTTTATGCTTATGAATTTTTTGTTAAACAAGCCCATCAGGAATTTCCTTGGCAGTGCTTTGGCACATTATCTTCCCTACCCACTTATGAAAATCATCTATAAATACATCTATAACTGCATTGCTGATTCAGAAAGAAGTCAAATAAATCCTCAAAAGGGAAGCATATAGTGAAGATCATTAATCTAGAGTTGGGTGAGCAAGATTCAAGTCCCTGACTGTTCTAGGGAACTCCATTTATCCATGGTTTGTTCCATGAGCTTCATTTATATGGCTGCATAGGACTATAGAGTCAAAAGACAAAGCCTAGGTCCTGCTATGTCAGAAGTTTAACAAGAGAACCTCTGCATAAAGTCAGACCAGCGATGGTTACACCATCTGTAAAATAATCAACAAGGAGTAATTACTCCTTTTTTTTCCTTTTTCTTTTTCTTTTTTTTTTTGAGACGGAGTCTCGCTCTGCCTTCCAGGCTGGAGTGCAGTGGCGCGATCTTGGCTCACTGCAAGCTCTGCTTCCCAGGTTCACATCATTCTCCTGCCTTAGCGTCCCGAGTAGCGGGGACTACAGGCACCCACCACCACGCCCGGCTAATTTTTTGCATTTTTAGTAGAGATGGGGTTTCACCATGTTAGCCAGGATGGTCTCGATCTCCTGACCTCGTGATCCGCCCACCTTGGCCTCCCAAAGTGCTGGGATTACAGGCGTGAGCCACCACGCCCGGCCAACAAGGAGTAATTACTCTTTGCTGAGGTTCTGGGTTCGGGAGAAAATATAATCTCTCTTAAGACAATCTAACTATAACTCTTGTGAGATTTGTGGTCAAACCTAAGATCCATCCTACTGAAACTGAAGATGATCAAAGACAAAGAAGAAAATCTTAGAAGCACCCAGAAGGAAAAGACAGATTAAATACTGGAAACAACATTTAGATCAGCCAAATATTTCTCATCCTCAATAATGGAGCCAAAAAATAGCAAAATAACATTTTCAAAGTGTGATACAAAAATAAATCTTAACCTGGAATAGTATAACCAAGGAAGAGGGAGATACAAAGACATTTTCAGTGAGAGTCAAACAGAGAGTTTATTACTAATGGCTCCTTACCGAAAGATATTCTAAAGGATACACTCTGAAAGGCTAGAAAATAATTCCACAATGAATATCTGTAATTAAAAAAGGAAAGAGTTACTAGAATATGTGATAAAAATGGATAAATCACCACAAATGTTGTCTGTAAAACCCAAAGCAATAGAATATGATTTGTGAAATAATAAAAATAACTAAAATAGTAGAGAATAATAGCATGTAAGTCAATGCTTAGACATTACAGTTAAATAATTTTGTTTGAGAGGATAAAAATAATAATCTTTGAAGAATTAAATATGCTTCTAACATTTTAAGGTAAAAACTAAGAGTAACTTTCAAATTCACAGAGAGAAAAAAATGGGATAGGAAAAAAGTTCTCAATCAATTCAAACAAATGGAAGAAAGAAGGAGGACATGCACATGTATTACAATTTGCCAAGCATTATGGCTCCTCTTGTTGTTGACAATTATACTTCCATCTTGATGTCAGGTTTGTTCCTGTAATTTGCTCTAACCAATGGAATGTTATTGAGGAAGCTTTCTGGGCCAGGTAATGATTTGGCATCTTCCTTCTCCCTCTGCTGTGAGACTGGCAGAGGCTGCTTCTGAGTCCTGGAGGTAAGGTGAGTGGAGAGACAGTGATGGACTTATTAAATGAGTGTGAAACACATCTTTGTAGTGGCAGGCCCCTGTGATTTTAAAGATTAATTGTTTCCGGAAGTACAATCTAGCCTATCCTGACTGATAAGCGAGGAAAATCTTTCATAAAGATCTTTGGGGCTAATAGCTGTGTGACTTTGGGCAAGTCACTTCACCTTTCTGGGTCTTTATTTCCTCTTCAGTGAAATGATGTATTGTACAGACAGAAAAATCTCTTGAAGATGTAAAGGAAAAAGAAAAAGAAAACATGATCCAATTTATTAAAACCTTCAAAATAATAATCATTTCAAATCATACATATGCATATCTGCATCTATATCTACCTGTTTGTAAATGTAGAAGAGTAAATCCAGATGGATACAAACTAAATTGTTAACAGGGATTATTACTAGAAGGGGCGGGCGGTAGGGAGGAAGATAAAGAAGGATGTACTTTTTAATTCTATTAATTTATTATTTGAACATTTTACAGTTATTTTTACATATTCAGTATAATTTCTTTCGCAAAGTGCAATAAAATGAATGGTGGTTAAAAAAAGCGATCCATAGTGCTTAATAAATGAGAGAGAGAAATATATCTTTCAGGTGATATCAATGGTTGGATGTTAAAGTTGTATTATTTCATTTGAGAAGATAAAAATAATAATTTAATCTTTCAAGAGTTAAATATGCGCCTGACATTTTAGGGCAAACAATAAGAGTAACTTTCAAATTCACAGAAATAAAAATACGTGGAATGGGAAAAAAAATTCTCAATTCAAACAAGTGGAAGAAAGAAGGAAGATGTGTACATGTATTACAATTTGGCAAGCATTATGGCCCCTCCAATTAAATGTTGCCCTAAGTATTTTGTACCTTCAGGGCTATACTGATATAAATGAAGAATTGAATGGCTATTTTGAGACACTTTGTTTTATTGCCTTTTTCAATCATATTTTTCTGAAAATTAGTTTCAGAAAAAATAGTCGTATTATGCTGAACTTCTTACTTCTTAATAAGTCATTCCTTCCCAAAGCTCAACTTGATTGAACTTGAGACTCAACCAACGATTGAGCAATTTGAAATTAAGATTCTGGTGTCCAGAGTCAACAATATCTACTTTTTAAAAAGTTCAAGTAAAGTCTTTTTTCTGTCTTATGTGCTGTCAGTTATACATGTACAAAAGCATTTCATGTCCAGAGTGCTTGTGAAGACACACACTCATATAGAAACTGTAGCTAGCAGTTACACTGTTACTGTAAATTTGGGGAAAAGAAGGCTGAGAATCTCATAGATAGAAGTGTGAATGTTCTAAGGTGGTTGACTGACATACTGTCTTTGAGGAATATTAGAAGAAAATATATAACCCTATTTCACAGAAACAGCATTATAGTCATTAGGAAACATTTTGAATTTAGTACAAATATGGCAAAGAATTATCAGGGTATATTTGTGCTAAAATATCACAATTAATTCAGCATACATTTAGCTAGTGCCCACTATATTTCAGAGTAGTTCTGAAATTACAGAAATGATTATGATGTGGTACCTGCTCTTAAGGAACCTAGAGTTTAGAAGAAAAAGTACTCATAGTCAAATAGTTGTAATTATAATAATCTGGTTCATGCTCAACTTAAAACATTTAGCTTGTCTTTGAAATAAAAACATAAAGTTCACCTAGGAGGAAGTCATCATATAATTAAAGACAAGATCTAGTTTTTAATTTTATAACATTGTAATTTTTTTTTTTTTTTTTGAGACAGAGTCTTGCTTTGTCACCCAGGCTGGAGTGCACTGGCTCGATATCAGCTCACTGCAACCTCCGCCTCCTGGGTTCAAGCAATTCTCCTGCCTCAGCCTCCAGAATAGCTGCGACTACAGGAGTATGCTACCATGCCTGGCCAATTTTTGTGTTTTTAATAGAGACAGGGTTTTGCCATGTTGGCCAGACTGGTCTTGAACTCCTGGTCCGAGGTGATCCAACCACCTCCTCCTCCCAAAGTGCTGGGATCGCAGGCATGAGCCACCATGCCCAGCTGACAATTTTAATAGTATCATTCTACATATATCCAAAATCATCATGATTTCAGAAAGAGCAAAATAGAACTGAAAGATTGTTATAATTTTTTAGTTATTTCTATAAATGAGTTTATGCATTCTAAACCAACCACAGAAAAAAGGAAAAAAATGAAACAGAGAATGTATCTCTGCTTCTTGATATGACTTCCCTATAGCTATTTTCATGTCCTCAGTCAATTAAATGCTGGCCTAAGTATTGTGTGCCTTCAGGGCTATACTGATATGAATGAAGAATTGAATGGCTATTATAAGACACTTTGTTTTATTACTTTGTTTAATCATATTTTTCTGAAAAAATATTTCAGAAAAAATAGTCTTATTCTGCTGAACTGCTTACTTCTTAATAAGTCATTCCTTCCCAAAACTTTTCAGCATTGTGAGGATCATAATTGTTTACTTAGAAGAATAATTTTTATGAAAGTGATGGAAAAAATGCTTCAATGAGTTTACATTTCAGATACTTTTCTGAAATGAACATTGATCAAAGCCTTTTTGAAATTATGACAAATTGAGAAGTCTTCTAGGTCTTGACTATTGATAATTGAGTTTCTCTGGTGATACACAGAAGTGGAAAGAGGAAAGCAGGTATTTAAAATGCATATACATATAAAGACAATATGGTGTAAGGGAATGAGCTGTGGACTGGGAACACAAGATAGGTAAGTTACTCTTACTTACCAGCTGTGTGTTTGGAAAAGTCAGTTAACAATGCTAAACCTCATAATTGAAGTGGGGAATGTGTCGATTTGGGGTCTCAACAGAAAGAGAAGTCACACTCTGATAAATTATTTATAGAGGTATGGTCAGGGTTAAGGAAATTGTTAGCAGATATCAACACATCTAAGACCTAAATATCATGGAAGCTGTTACCACACTAGGCTTGAAAATTCAAAGGGAAAAATGTGTCACTGGAGCCTGGTGAGAATAGGAGCCACTGAGGAGGGGGACTCCCATTAGATGCTGAAGCCATAGATGGATACAGCACTGCAAGAACTGTGGTACCGACATAGTGAGGGAGCTGGGGAAGAATTATTCCTCTTCCCGCCTTCTGATTTCCCAGTCATTCCTCCCATTGGCTGAATCCAAGTAGAAGCTAGCTCGGGTGGTATCATTGGTAGAGTTCATTCTTTTGGGTCACAGGGAACTGAGGAGAAGGGTAGACACTGAATGTTGTGGAAGAGGTTAATACAGAACATCAGGAGAAGAATATTAATGTCTGTTACTCATGATTGGTTCAAATTTAAGTGAGATTTCGTATATTAAAGTCTTTGTGAACCATGATAGTGCTGGCAAAGTCAGATGAGATTCTAACACATTTAATCAGTTTATAAATCCCTCCACTACCATTAATGAATAGCTGGAGGGACTGTGCTGTTCCTTCTCCACAGACCAAAGTGTTATACTCTTTTCCTACTTCTTTTCTCCTTCAAGGCTGCCCTTGAGATTTATTTTGAACACAATATTTTACTGGATAAAAATATTGAGTGTGGGAAGGTTACGGCATACACTGTGATTTGTCCTAGCAATCACACCACATAGCCCAGAAATGATCCTAATTGTAAATGGATATTATCACAAAGTATATATCAGTTATATTGCATTTTCTTCCTCTAATGCCTCCTGAAAAGTACATTTTACAATGAAATAACTTCATATGTTATTCATCATCATTTTTGTTCTGCTATAAATTTTATTCAGCTTAATAAAGGTTTATATTTCATAAAAGCCAGTAGAATCATAGCATGAGAAAAGTGTTAATCTGACAGAAATACTTTAATGTCAGAGTTTCCTCATGTCAATCACAGATACTCTCCATTGTTTTTCTGCCAGATGTGCCACGGCAGACCTGCTGGACCCTTGCAAAAGCCCTAATTAGTGTCTTATTCCCATCAAAGCCATTTTCTGGGCTGTTGCATATGCTACTTTGAGACCCAGTGCGTAATAGCACAGTGACTTTTGTACTGATAATAAGTGAGTCAATAAACTGTCACATCTGTGTTGGCCAAAGAGTGAGAGCTAATCTTCTATTTAGATTCCAAGATTCCATTTTGTATGAACAAAATGTACTTAAATCATGAAGTTACTTTATTGTGAACACTTCCTCTTTTTATTTACTTCTGTTCTCTCCTGCATCTGTATTCATGGGCCTAAATCCGAGACCATGATCTGTGATCTAAATTAGCCCCTTAATTTCTTCTTTGGATTCCTAAAATCTTAATTTGAATGTTACACTCTTAATGTGAATGTTGCTTTTTAACTGATATAATATCATTTAAAATGCTCTAGGCTGCAAGTACAAACTCCCCAATTAATGGCGACTTAAATAATTATTATCTCAATAAGAAATCCAGGAGAGGGTGATTTCAGGGCTGCTTCAGTAACTAAGTTAAATCATCAGGTACCCACATGTTTTTTACATTTTCCCTTTTTGCTATTTGTGTAGGTTACAGCTCTTTTCATTCTCACAGATGGCAATAGCAACTCTGAGGCACACAAAAAATATTGCTTTTTTTTTAAATCCAGAAGAAAACCTTATTCTATACACTCCCAGTAGATTTTGTCCTTATGTCTCATTGGCTAAAACTGGGGGTCATATAATCACTGTTAGTCTAATCACTGGCAAAGGAGTTTTGGATTTTTATGACTGGCTAAGATGAATTATAATCTACCCAGGGATACCCACCTTCCATATGAACAAGGCTACAGATTACTGGACAAAAGCACTGCAGGAAGATGGGGACGATCATTGTTGAGTAGTCAGAATGGTGTTAGACATAAGTACCTATGTGATGTTTGTTGCCCTGCGGCTTTCCATTGCCGTAATCCCTTTATCATGAATTTTGTCTCATTCAATTCTCTGTCCACATGGAACTAGTTTCACTCTTCCTGTCAAAGTAGTCTTTAATCTGTTGGGAGCCATCCACTTCTACTCGTGATTCTGAGTATAAATTCTTAGACCAGTATTAGGAAAGTATAGTCAAGAATTGAACAAGTACATTAAGAGAAGTACCTTTTCCTCCCCCAGGTAATACCACTGAATCTACTGCTTTGGCAGCTACTGAAGGCTTCTTTTCTCTTTCTCTCTCATTGAGATTTCTTTTTTTATTTACTATATCATAGAGACTGGAAAGTAAACTTCATTTCCTTATGACAGTGGGTGGTCATGGTACACGTTTCTGGCAGGTAGTTGTGAGTCCAAATATTTGAGGAAGTCTTGCTATCCTTAATGATAAGGCAAAACTTTGCTAGTACAGTTGGCTTTACTTATCTGCAGGTTCTGCATGTGCACACTCAACCAACTACCAATCAATAATATTCAGAGGCTAGGCACCGTGGCTCATGCCTGTAATCCTCGTACTTTGGGAGGCTGAGGTGGGTGGATCGCTTGAGCCCAGAAATTCAAGACAAGCCTGGGCAACATGTTGAAACCCCATCTCTACAAAAATTACAAAAATTAGCCAGGCATGGTGGCATGCACCTGTAGTCCCAGCTACTCTGGAGGATAAGGTGAGAGGATCATCTGAGCCTGGGGAGGTCAAGGCTGCAATGAGCCAAGATTGAGCCGCTGGACTCCAGGTGTCAACAGAGTGAAGCCCTGTCTCGAAAACAACAAACAAAAATGTTTGAAAAAAAACAATAAGACACAGCAATACAATAATAAAAAATATCACAAGTAAAAAGAACAATACAGTATAAGAACTGGTTACTTAAAGTATACTGGAGGATGTATGTAGGTTACATGCAAATACAATATCATGTTTTATAAGGCACTTGAGCATCTGTGGATTTGGTATTCGTGGGGGATACTGGAGCTAATCCCCCTGCAGATACTGAGGGATGACTGTATACAGTGACTGTACGAGTCTTTTGTTCTTGCTCTTATTCTGCTCAGATGCCAATGCATGACTGGAAATGCAGCAGCCAGCTTGCAAATTTAAGGTCAAAAGTCCCTGCTAAGTTCGGCAAAACAGGAAAAAGAGTTGAATGAGTCCTGGAGATGTCATTGAGCCTCCTTACTAGCCTTGGATTGCTGACAAGTGATTAAAAATCAGATAAACAAACAATAAAAAATTGTGTCATTATTGAAGTTATTTTTTAAGTATTTTAGGAAGTAGAACAAAGTTCCCAATTGACACGTTAGTGGTTGAGTCTGTCTGTTTACTTGTTAAGTTTTGTTGAGCTAGTTGTGTTTTCCTGAAATCCTATGAAATGTTCTCCTATTTTCAAAGCTTGGTCCGTTATTTCATCCATTGGAACCAAATGTAATGGTTTTTAAAATGCAGTTTTTGGAGAGTTGATTAGTCATTTCTCCATTCAAAATACTTCTAAGATAAATGGCATCCAAGGTTTCCACCTTATCACCCCTGCTTTGGTGTCCAGATTTATATCTTACCTTCTTGCTACTTACACTGTGGTCATGCACAATTAGCTTCCAGTAGCCATAAGCACTATTTTCCTACCTGCTACTTTTCTTATTCATGGTCTTTTCTTTGCCTAAAGCATATTTCAATGTTTCTCTAACTGTTGAAATTTTTTCCATCTTTATTACTTAATTCAGATGACAACTTCTTGAAGAAGGCTTTTAGTGCCTAGGAGAATATCCTGCTCATAGTAAGTGCCAAGTAAGTGTTAGCTATAATTAACTCTCCTTCCCTTGCATTATGTAAAACATACATTAATTAAATATAAATTGTGCTGTTTAAAGTAGTTACTTCCATATATAATTACTTTCCCCAGATGATTTTAAACTATTTAAGGGCAGACTTGACCTGCATTGTAAGTGTTCAATTGACAAATTGTACTCTACTTACGAAACTTGAATTGGGTGACATAAATACTCTGAATTCTTGCCTTAAGAGAATGATTAAATTAAAATTAATCCATGATGGGGGAATCACAAGCAAGTTGGAAATGCAATGATGATTCTTGTACCACTTTTCACACAAATACATGTAAATATCCATAAGTTAGTTTCATGCAGGACATCTTTATGATTATATTTTCTTAGACTCTTTCTAACTCTATTTATCTTTCTTTCAAAATTTAATGCACTACATACTATTTTTTGGTTCTTCATTATAAAATACATCTATTCTAAGGTCCCTGAAATAATAGAGGGCAAATTATCAATATAATAAAAGTGATAATAATCAGGATCAGCTCCTTGCACTGGCAGACCACATGTGGGAAAAATAACATTAATACATTAACTAATTGAATGTAATGTGTAGATTAATAACAGTGCTCTTTTATTAATAAGATAGTACTAAACGACCATCAGTTACGTGAAATAGAGACTTTCAGGAGAAATGATGCCTTTGCTTTTAATTCCATTTCTATATCTGTGCCTATTTCTGTTTGGTACCCAATATACACACTTAGTCAAAGCCATTTGGGTAAGATATTTCTTCATTAGAAAGAGATTTTTTTTGTCTTACATGGTGATGAAGTTCATCATCTTGATCTACTGATGCATTCCTTTTATAGATAAATAGTGAGGATTAAAGAAGAGCAAATACTTTTTTTAACTTGTTAGCATGAGCATAATACATATATGTGCTTTTCCATCCACAGTGTTTCATAAGTGGCAAGATATCAGCTTTGCACTGTTTATGTTTGGAGGTGGTAATGTAAAAGTTTAGGCTGAGCTATAAATATATTTTGCTCTAGTTTTCCTGGGATTGAACAGCATATATATGTGAACTGGTGGTTCAGGTAGATCATGACACTGGAATATTTTGCTTATCTGTGTAAAACTTATGATCTATGTTGAGAATTTCTCAGGACTTAACATAATTCTAGATCTTCCAAGATAGCACCAGAATGCTGCTCTCCAGAAGATGGTTCTGTTCCATTCCTAACAGTTTTGTATTCATACTGCCCACTGCCCATCCTTTTCAGCATTGCATAAATCTCTGCTGTTAACCTTTCTTGGGAACTATGTGGCAAGTGAAAACCCAGATACTCATGTGACACTGAAATAAGAGAATTCCTAACTCACCCCTCCAACATCCTGGTTCTCTAATGAGCAGTATTCACTTCTTCAAGGCTCCTTGCTTGGTTTTCATTTGTTGTTTTGTGAAGCACTTAAATTATTTGTTGTACTGCCTCCCATGCCACCTCTTCAGCCATGAATAAAATCTTGCCCTGACCCCAAACCATTTGATGTAGGCCTGAGAATCCTAATAGTCCCTTTCTGAGGCTGGATGGCTGGTACTGTTGCACATAATCCACTCTCCCAATGGTTAGACTATGGGTCTGGGTGAAACTATGTCATCAAGCTTTTTATGTTTTATGCCAAATGATTTCAAGTAGGTCTTCTGATTCATTACAAAGTGGCCAATACTCACTCTGTGTAAAAACAGTCAGAGTCGCCGGGCGCGGTGGCTCACGCCTGTAATCCCAGCACTTTGGGAGGCCGAGGCGGGTGGATCATGAGGTCAGGAGATCGAGACCATCCTGGCTAACAAGGTGAAACCCCGTCTCTACTAAAAATACAAAAAATTAGCCGGGCGCGGTGGCGGGCGCCTGTAGTCCCAGCTACTCGGGAGGCTGAGGCAGGAGAATGGCGTGAACCCGGGAAGCGGAGCTTGCAGTGAGCCGAGATTGCGCCACTGCAGTCCGCAGTCCGGCCTGGGCGACAGAGCGAGACTCCGTCTCAAAAAAAAAAAAAAAAACCAAAACAAAAAAAACAGTCAGAGTCACCATCTGCTTGACACTAACTAGCTTTCCAGGATCTGGCTGGCTGGCAGGTGGTCCACAGAGTGCCAGTGTTTTGTTATTCTTAGCTTTGTACTTCCCATTAGCTGTTTTCATGACTATTTGTGTGACAGCCAGTGTCTCCTGGTAAGATCTGGTCACAGTTGGGCATATGTTGTCCAATTGCTGAGCAGAAAGACAGAATTTAGAGAGCTGTAGAAGTTACCAAAGTGAGTCCTGGTATCCTGTTCTTATTTGTTAGCATCATTGTAGACATGATCTAGGCCTAATAGTCTTGATCATCTGGAGGAACGTATCTGAGCTCTCTCCAATTTTGTCGAGATCCTAGATAATTTTCTCACCTTTGTGGACAAGAATTAGAAATCAAGGGAAGGGGACACATTGATTTTGTTGCCCTGGAAACTTTAATACTACATTCAATTAAATCCAGAGTGTTAGCCAAACCCATAGATTATATGGGTACATGATTGTTTTTTCCTCTGGGAATTACCCACAGTGGCTTTTTGCTCATGTTGTTTTTCCTATTTTTTTCCCAATTTAAAAACTTTTTTGTAGGTTTACAGATGTGCAGGTTTGTTACGTAAGCCAATTACATGTCATGGGAGTTTGGCATACAGATTATTTTGCCACCCAGGTGATAACCATAGTAATGGATAGGTAGTATTTTTATCCTCACCCTCCTCCCTCCCTCTACCCTCAAATAGGCCCCAATATCTGTTGTTTCCTTTTTTGTGTCCATGTGTACTCAATGTTTAGCTCCCACTTCTAAGTGAGAGCATGCAGTATTTGATTTTCTGTTCCTGTGTTAGTTTGCTTAGATAATGGCCTCCAGCTCCGTCCATGTTGCTGCAAAGGACTTATCTCATTGTTTGTTATGGCTGCATAGTATCCCTTCCCCTTTCCCTTCCCCTTCCCTTCCCTTCTCTCCCTCCCTCCTTCCTTCCTTCCCTGCGTCCGTCCTTCCTTCCTTCCTTCCCTCCTTCCTTCCTTCCCACCTTCCTTTTTTCCCTCCCTCCCTCCCTCTTTCTTTCCTTCCTTCCTTCCCTCCCCCCTCCTTCTTTCCTTCCTTCCCTCCTTCTCTCCTTCCTTCCTTTTTTCCTTCCTTCCTTCCTTCTTTCTGAGTTTTAAAATGAACTCTAACATGCAGGCATTAGTAAAAATATATCACATTAAAGATGCTATGGCAACACTTTTAACAATGCCAGTTTCTCTATTCCAACTGTCATAGTCATAACAAGGCCTTCCTAAAAGTTTAGGCTATGCATTTGGGGTAGCTCTGATGAGAATAATTATTTTAATTAAGGAAAATTAACAGCATGTTTTTGTCTAACTTCTAATTTGTACAAATGATTTTAGCACTTAGGAATAGACCTATTCAATATCTTTGGGTGCTCAAGCAGAGGAATGAGTCACATTATTAATATTTATGGTTATGTTAGTGGTGTATGGTCATTGTAGAAAACACAGAAGTGTCTGGGTGTGGTGGCTCCCACCTGTAATCCCAGCACTTTGGGAGGATGAGGCGGGCGGATTGCCTGAGCTCAGGAGTTCGAGACCAGCCTGGGCAACACAGTGAAACCCTGTCTCTACTAAAATACAAAAAATTGGCTGGGCATGGTGGTGTGCAGCTGTAGTCCCAGCTACTCAGGAGGCTGAGGCAGGAGAATTGCTTGAACCCAGGAGGCAGAGGTTGCAGTGAGCCGAGATCGCACCACTGTACTCCAGCCTGGGCGACAGAGCGAGACTCCTTCTCCAAAAAACAAAACAAACAAAACAGAGAAGTAAAAATTTCCCATAATTCTAACAGATTTCTACTATAAATCTGCCTCATTGTATTTCTCTATCTAGCTCTCTCTCTAGTTATGTTTGAAATTATGATGAATTAATTATATCCCATTTTTTAAGTTGATATTATAATGTAAGCACTTTGGTTTTAAACATTTTTATAGACATGATGGTTAGAAATTTTTTTATATTTGTAAACTTTAAATAAGAGATACTCCTATTAACCCTCAAAGTTAATTCCACTAATTCAATATTACAAATAATGCTATGATATTCATACTTTTACATTAACCTTCATTACATTTCTATTTTTTTGTCTTAGGATATATTCTTGGAAAATTGTTCTTGAAAGGTATGAACAATGTAATATCTTATGATATATTTGTTGAATTGTTCCAGAAATGTTTTATAACAATTTATAATCCTTGTATTAGCATCTAAGAGTATATTTCCACAAATCCTTAAGCAGTATTAGAAATTTCTTGTTTATGATTAGTATTATTATCCTATCTCAAGATATAGTGACAAATAATCATGGGCCTGTATTATCAGAGGTTACCCAGTCTATCCACTGTATTCTGATACTTAAAGATACTTTATTCTGATACTTAAAGATACTTCATTTTTGTTATAACCTAACAGAATTGTAAAACTGTGCCTATGAAACTAAAAGCTGTCATAGTGATGAAGTGACAGTAAACAGAAACCGAAGTTATTCTGCTTGGCAAGTTATTCAAATTTTATTGAAGAAAGGGTTACTAATTTATTTTCACCTTTAAACCAGATCACAAACTTAGACTGCTAAGGAGATAGCCTAACTAACCTCTGCCCTCCTTTATGAAAGACGGAACATTGATTGGTTTCTAATTATCCATATTATAGCTTAATATATACCAATTAAGCACTATAATACTGGTTTTGTCAGGCTTCTTCAATAAACTTCAGAATCAAATAGAAGCAATGGTACAAAGGTTAACCAGAAATACATTGTTATTCTGGGGTCATTTCTTGCAAGTTCTGGGACTGTCATTTCAGTGGAATGGTACAAATAATGAACATTTGCCTGCCACAGGCCCTGAACTGCCTTGTGGGGTCCCCAGGTGCCTGCCTTTCTCCCCTCTTCAATTCTCAATAAGCAAGCAGATTTGAAGTTGTCTGTTGACCAAGAAGGAAAGCTCCACAACAGTTCAAAAGTTTTAGTTGCATCCTACCTGAGGGCATGATTTGTCTTAAGGAAATTTTCTGCCACAGCATTTGAAAAACCACAAGAAACAAAACCTTTCTCTTGTCAATGAAAACAAAAGTCAGAGTAAATGCTTTTAATGTCTAAAGAATTTTTCAGTTGCAATGTTCGAGTCCTTTAGCACATCTCATTGAATACTGTTCTATTCATTCAGATGACCGAATTAGGCAAAGTTATCATCAATTTCAGATTATTTTGACTCTTAATCTCATTTTTCTCTGACAGAGTTGCCATCCATCCCTTCTTTCCCCCAGGATCTTTCTTTTCTCTTCAGATCTATGTGTAATGATTACTGTCTTGTAGTTTCCTGATGTTCAATCCGATTTGTTTGTCCCTTTCAAATTGTGAGGTACCTCAGCGGGGAAAACCTCACATATGAACTCACTTGAATCATACAAAGAGGATAATACAGGCAAGATTCTTCCTCATTGCTGCCTCTTCTCTTCATCATTTGTTTAACATAGAAACTATATTGGTACTATTCCCCTTTTCTCTTTTCTCCTAAACTCACCTAACCTCTTGTTCTTAGCATTTTTTTCTACCTGCTGATGATGCTTACATAG
This sequence comes from Homo sapiens, assembly GCF_000001405.40. NCBI lineage: Eukaryota > Metazoa > Chordata > Mammalia > Primates > Hominidae > Homo > Homo sapiens. The sequence continues at coordinate 76,678,317 of NC_000006.12, forward strand.
GCTTCTTTCTGTAAGAATTAAAAGGCTTTTCCCCTTCTGGGTTAGACTTGGTTATTTTTTTGCCTCTGTATTCTATGTTGCAAATATAATTTAAATTTAAGAGAGTACTTATGTGTGTTGTTCTCATTTTTGGTGTCATAGTGTTCTTAGTCTTCCATCACACCGTGTATTAAAATGGGGACAACAATGACACTCTTGCATTATTCTTCCTACACAGGTTCTATTTATTAATATGTTTCTCTGAGAATATCTACAATTTGTCTCTTCTATCTTATAAGAAAAGTATAATCTTGATCTTTGATCACAAACTCATCTTTCATGGGAGGCCTACAAAGGCAATCCTCATCATTATGTGGGTGGGAATGCCAGATGACCGTTTAAGAAGGAGAATCATTTTAACTTTCCCTGGCCACCTCCCCTTGGCTCACTGTATTCTGCTACCCCTGCACCAACATATATTGTTCTACTCAAAAAATTTTGTGATTAACAACACCTCCTATAAAGTAAATTTCATTACATAGCTATGCTTAGTGACTACATTATGAATAAAAACATTTTTATTTAACTTACTGCAATTCCTTAATCAAATGAGTAGACTATTTTCAGGTGTTTGACATTTTGTTCTAACTGCTTAAGGGGTTTTATAGACTCTTGTTGGCACCACATGGGCAATAAATTTCTCAAGCTGTGGCAGCCAAATTGGTATTCATAATATTTTTCTGTAGGGGGAGGGGGGAAGGGGGTAGGTTTCTGGTACAGTAGCAGTTTCTATTCTCAGATATTTATCAATCACCCTGCATATGCAAGGATCTATATAGGACACCAGAGGGATAATAAACTGTACTGAAGACTGTATATATATATACAAACTTACTCAGAAAAAAGCCATCAGTTGACAAGATGCATGTAATCTAGAGTCTGTTCACAAAGGAGAAAGATGTTAATCAAAATCTTAAAACATTAAAACATAAATAGAATTTAGGAATGTGAAATACTATGGAGGGAAATTCAGTTACGCTTTGGTCCTAAATTTCAGGTTTTCTGGTGCATAAACAAAAAGTGGGGAGTGTGATCCTTAAAGGTGTGTCTAGGAATCTTCTTAAGTCATAGGAATGTTTGACTATATTGGAAAATGACATTACAGTCAGTTTATTTGAGTATGTCCACTCTGGATCCTGTAGGACAATTAGCTGCTTGATCATTCTGTGGCTACTCAGATATAGTCATTGGAGGTAAAAATGTTTTAACATGACTCGATAATTACATTATATAAATTTATTAAAAAACACATAGAAGTCACCAAGACTTATGCTTTAATTTTATCCTTTAAAGTGACCCAGAGAGGTAAACTTGCTCAAAGTTCTATGTTTAGTAGCAGAATCAGAACTAAAAATTTGCAGATGTTTTTGACTTCCAGATTGAGGAGGAGGAAGAAACAAAGCACTATTTTTTAGACATGCTGAATTTGATAAGCTTGTGAGATTTCCTAGATGATGTCTAAGAAATACTTTGTTAATTATGTTGGGACTTTAGGGAAATAGTTCAAAAGATAAGGATTTCAGACCTGTAAGAATATAGGATGATGTGAAGGATGTCCGCTAATGAAACACTTAGGTATCTTAAATCTGACTCAAAGGGGGAAATTTCAAAAATATTGTGAGTTATGCCTGGCCATTAATATCACATTATCCTTCTATCCATCCAGCTTCTCCCTATTGCTATGATCTGAATGTGTGTACTCTCCCAAAATTCCTATGTTGAAGTGTAATCACCAATGTGATAGTATTAGGAGGTGGAGACTTTGGGAGGGGAGTAGGTCATGAAGGTAGAGACCTCATGAATGAGATTAGTGCCCTTATAAAAGACACCACAGAAAACTAGTTTGTTCCTTCCACCAGGTGAGGACTCAGCTAGTAGATGCTACGAATCCTCAACAGACATCGAATTTGCAAGTGCCTTGATCTTAGACTTCCCAGCCTCCAGAACCTCGAGAAATAAATTTCTGTTGTTTGTAAGCCACTGAGTTTATGGTAATATATTATAGCATCTTGAACAGATTAAGATGCTCATCATCATACTAATACACATTCCACAAAGCTGTTCACACCATTCATGTGTCCATTCATTCAAAAATGTTTATTGCTAGACCCTATTTTAGGTATTAGGGGTAAAATGATTAACAAAGCAGATAAGGTTCCCGTTTTCAGGTAGCTGATACTATAGTGGGGAAAAGAAATAGTTTCGGAATTTAAAAAAAATGACTAAACAAAGGAAGATCATGGTAAGTACTGTAAAGTAAATAAATACATAAATAAATAAATGGGAGTGATGTGATAAAGAGTGCTTGGATTGGGGCCTACTCTCGGTAGTCAAGGAGCGCCTCACTGAAAGGTAACATTGGAGGAGACACCCTAATGACTTGGAAGAAGCGCATTCCAAACAGAGAAAACAACAAGTCGAAAGTGATCAAATGGGCATGCATATAAAGCATTTAAAGAAAGGAAGAAGGCCAGTGTGGAAGAGCAAAGTGAACAAGGGGAGAGCAGCATGAGATGAAGTAAGTGGGAGGGACAGGGAGCAGATCTTACAGGGCCCGTCAGGCCATTGTAAGGGACTTGGGTATTATTTCATGTGCAATGGAAAACTAGCAGTGGTTAAAGCAAAAGAGTGATATGCTCTGATTTATGTTTAAAAAATATGAGTTAGCTGCTGTGTTGAAAACGGGCTGTAGAAGGCAGGAGTAGAAGCATAAAGACCAATTAGGAGCTATTGCAGGAGTCCCCATGACAGACTATGATACTTGAACTACAGGTTTCACAGCAGTGGAGAGGAGGATGGAAACTAGGTATGTTTTAGTAGAAGAACTGAGTTAGCTTCATGACAGATCATATGAGGGTGGGTGGAGAGTCAGGGATGATGAATGAGAAGAATTGAGGGTTGTTCCTAGGTCCTGGCTTTAGAAAACTTGTGGATAGTGGTGCCGTTTATGAAGGTGAGAAGGAATTGGCTTTAAGGAAGAAATCAAGGCTTCTATTTGGGCTACCCTAAGTTTGAGATACCTATTATATATCTATATAGAGATGTGAAGAAGGAAATGCATGAATATATGAGCCTGGAGATGTGTGGAAAGACTGAGACAGTAGTAGTAGGGCATATGTTACTGAATGAGTGGTCCTAGTGAGACGATGTAGATGCAGGAGAATTGACCAAATTTTCAAGGTTGAAGAGGAAAAAAAAAAGAAACTGAGAAGACAAAGTCATGTCAGAGAAAACACAAATTATTAATAGGGAGACACAGGCACAGAGCTTTTGATATTTTTTTTTAATGGTTACTTACCCAATATATTTGTCTTTTGGTTTGTGCTACTGGCATCTCAGTCTGAACTATCTGCTATATAGCATTTTTAAGTTAAACAAGTAACATTTTCACTGTTCTGCGCTGAATTGTGTCCCAGCAAAATGCATGTTGAAGTCCTAACCCTCAAAACTACAGAGTGTGAATGTATTTGGAGATAATGTCTTTAAAGAGGTGATAAATAAAATGAGCTTATTCAGTTGGGCCCTAATCCAATCTGACTGGGATCTTTATAGGAAGAGGAGGTTAGAACACATACATGTGTGCACACAGAGGAAAGACCAGTGAGAAGGTGGCCAAGAACAAAACAAGAAGAGATGACTCAGAAGAAACAAGCCAGCTGATACAGTTTTGGCTTCCATCCTCCAAAACTGACAGAACACATTTCTGTTGTTTAAGCTACACTGTTAGCAGTATTTGTTATGGCAGCATTAGCACCATTGAAAAATTGTTGCATTTTATTAGTTCTGATAGAAACTTTGCTAGAGTAAAAGAGTCTCAAAATAACAGACTCATACTTAAGAATCAGAGTGTAAGTCCAGGGCTAGTGTGGTCACTCTGTGGTGTCAGGGACCCAAGTTCATTCTAAGAATTTGCTTTGAAATGCTTGGGGATTGTTTTCCTTCATGTGACCCCAAATAGATTACCTCCATGTCTACATTTCAGGAGGGAGAAAGAGCACAATCAGCCCTTTAAGGAATGACCTGAAAACTGTGCACATCTCTTGTCCTTACAAACCATAGGTCAGGAATTAGTCACATAGGCATGCCAGCTGAGACCAACTAAAAGGTGGGGATTCTAAAACCAGAGAGGAAGGAAAAATTGATTTCCAAAACAGTTTTATATATACTAGGCACTAAAAAATGAATTTAATCTATCAGTTTGATTTTATTTTATCACCAAAATCATTTCTAATTATTCTTATAAAACTTTAGAAAGTTTATATGTCCTAAAATTATTCATCCTATATAGTTTAAAGAATTGTATTCTACGTTTTTATTTCTCTATTTAACCAGTTATGATATAGTGGAAAGCAAAATAAGACTATACCACTATTTCCTAATTTTCTCACTTGTAAAATTAAAAGATTTAGTTAGATAACTAAAGATATTCCCTCAAGATAAAATTTCTATGAAGGTATATCATATAACACATATATTCCATATTTTAAAAAAATAATTTAAAAATAAAATATGTGAATGTAATTGTCATGTATAATAAATGTTATGGTAATTATTTATTTATAAATAAATATTCACCCAGTTCTTAAACAGCTCTTTACTATTAAACAAAACAAAACAAAAAAAAACTTTTCCGGTCTGTTTATACATATTTAGCCACAAGGTGGCAACAGTAGAGACATTTCCCTTTTATTTCTCTTATGCTAAAAAAACACCATGTTTAGAGTAATGTCACCAGGTAGGTACTGTTTCTTCCTCCCTCAGTTTCACATGTGCATACTCACCCTGATAAAGCAAGAGGGGCAGGAGTTTTGCTTTGTGTGCATCTAATTTTAGTAGGAAAAGGAAATACAACCTATTAAGTTTTGGTAATTGAGTACAAAAATTAAAATATCTAAAAACTGCAAATACCTGCAAAATTTATAATTTTAGTATAAAAAGGAAATAAAACCTACTAAATTTTGATAATTGAGTGCAAAAATTAGAATATCTCAAAACTGGAAATATCTGCAAAATATATAAGAGGATGTTCATGCAGTCATAGAAAACCCAAAAGCAAAAATTTCAAATTCCCCATATATACCATACTTACGCTTAACCTATAGTAGCTTAGCAGCCTGAAAAAGCTTCTCTACTCCTTCCAAGTATAGTAATTTTCTAATCAGCAATACATTCAATTACTACCTAGTCTGTATTGGAATAGTAATTTTTATAATGTAGACACAGCATTTATTACTTATCATAATGTATATTTCATAGAATAAAGTAGCAAAATATCTACTCTTTTCCAAAATTTAAAACTGTATTCTAATTAAATCTAAGGTGCAAATAAACAAACAAATATTATTTTCTATAATCAAAGACAACTTAGTCATTTGAGAATGTGAAGATATATAAATCAACTGTAGAATTTTATCTTAAAGTTTACACTATAAAGACATACAATGATATCTGTCAATTGAAAAAGAAAAAGTTTGCATGCTGTAAATGCAGATAAAAATCAAAGCACACTGACATAATTAGGAATCACATGTAATCTAAGTTTGGGGAAGCTGGTTTTTCTGTTATTGGAATTGCTCTTCATTGAGAATGACCAAAAATGTAGTCACCGAAACTGCTTCCTTCCCCTCCCAGAGGCATGCACCCTGCCCATAGTCAGAGGCCCTTCTCTCAGCTTCCTATTTCCCCAGATGGCCAATGTGGTCCTGGGCTTGTGATTACTCAGTAAATCTTAATGTGGGCAAATATGCTCTCTTTCTGTGGTGCTCCGCTCTGGCCTGGGATTGTTGGGCTCTGGGCTGCAGCTGCTACCCTGCTGTGTCTGGTAAACGTGGTCACCTGGGAACTGTGCTACCTGCCAGGCAGCTTGGTGCATCCTGCAGATGCCTCAGGTTTGCTCTGCCATTGGTATTACAGACAAGAACATCCACATTCCTACTTCCCCACCTTGGCTGATACAGGACTTTTCTTCCTCCATCTCCCTTCCATGTGCTTTTTCTCACTTCTTATTTAAGGAGCTGCCAGAATCCTTGAGAAAGTATCTTGTCTTTCTCTACCTCAGATTCTGAAAGTCAAATGTTCATCTTGTGGTCGTGGTGTTCAGTACGAGAGTGAATAGTCATAAGTTAATTCCCTTTGACACACTTGAAGAAAGCATTTGTTTTAGCAGGCTTAGGCCACACTTATTTCTCTGATTTCACCTCCCTAATTCATCGTATTTTGGGGTGAAAATATAGTACCTGACCAGGCTCAGGATGCTTCTCCTTAGAAACTTGTATACAAATCCAAAATACCCAATTCTCCCCTTTTTTTGAGACCTTATTCTTTAGTTCCCTAATGACTATCATTTGCCTAATCCAAATACAACTGCTTCCCATTTCCGCTGTCCCATTCCATCCACCAAGGACTCCCTATTTCCGCTCCACCCCAACTTTAATGCAAAACTTAGCTCTCACTCTCCTTCACAAGAAATCCAAGCACACTAGATATATTGCATTAGTTATCTGTTTTTATATTAAAGACACACACACACACACACCCACACACGTACACGTACTGGCTTTGTCCTGTATCGACTATTCGAAGCTGAAACTCTCTTCCCCATTTGTTACTGAGCTAGTCTTAGTCACAAGAGGCATTTACATGAGACTGGGAAGGGGATGTGAAGCAGCAGCTATGATTGTGCTTGGGAGGTCAATGTACGGTTACATGCTGCTGCAGCTCCTCTGTTGTTGTGGATCCACCAGCTCTTCCTGCAACTTCCTCCAGATGTCCTCATTTTGTTCCATTACAAAAGGCATCAGGTTCCCTTGCATGTTACCCACATATAGGAAGCATAGAAAAGATGAGAGACCAAGGCAACTTCCAGGTTGTCCTTGAGGTTCCCATCTTATTCTCACAGATTGCTATTTTTTCTTGCTCCACCCTCCCTTTATCCACCTTCCCCTACCACACACCTTACATAAGTCTGTCCTTACACTCATATGTCCTTTTCAACTGCTTGCCTTACCAGCTCCAGGCTGTAGCTCAGGTGCAAAAACAATAGGCATATATGAAAACTTTAGTAGGTTCTCACAATACAGTAAAGCCAATTTCTATGATAGATCCATTGTTTTGTGTATCACTTCTTGTAGTTCTTTTTCTGAAACCAAGCCCTGACCAATAAATAAGTCTGAGAGGCAGTTCCTGGAGAATCTAACCCTAAGTATGAATTATCTGAATTTGGTTAAGGGATATTTGGAATATGTTCTCTAATTTGGTTACACTTAAATTCATTAATAACCCTTTTTTTGTGTGTGAAAGGTAGCACTGGTGTTCCATGACACACAATGGAAAATATTTATTTAAATTATCATATTATGCACTTGTAATCAAGAACATATAGTGTCTAATCAATAGTGTATGTTAAAGTTAGGGCATTAATTGAGAAAGAGGGGGACCTCGTTAATTGGAAAGGAGTTATATGATCATATTTTGATGAAGCAGAGACCTTGAATGCACACATTTTTTGTCTGCTTTGACAGTACAAACAACCTCTTTTCCCCTGTGTGAGAAGTTGGTCTCCCTTTGCCCAAAGACACTTTAATAGCCTTTCCTGAGGTAGTTGCCTTGCAATAAGCTGATGATCCTCCTCCTGACCTACCTTCATTCCTTCTCATTATCTCTAAATCTATAACCAGACTAAAATCCCAACAAGATTCAGAGTGTGAGGCACAAGGTGCAACCAGTGAGGAGGTATGATATACATTTTAAAAATTGCAAGCTCTTTGCCAATTTAGTTCCATAGAGGTCTGGAGAACAAATGTGGGAATGGACCCTGGGGTGTGGGATGAGGTCTGAAGGAATATAAAATTGGATACAACCAAATTCATTGAAACTGGACACTAAGCAGAATTTGTAGATTCCCTGTATTCACTTGAGGAGCTGAGAATGGCTCTAACAGCTTATGTGGTTGCTTGTTTAAAACCTGGATGTGTTTGTGGCCTGTACTGAAATAGATCAAAATACCCGACTTCCTTGTTATACTAAATAGAAAAATAGAGACATTGTGATGCCAGAGTGGATCTATATAGCAAGATCTATATGTCCTTTCCCTAAATAGATCCTCCAGAAAGAGTACATTTCTTTCTCTAAGTCTCTCAGAAATACATTTAAGAGGGAATCGTTAACATTATTGAAGAGCTCTGTGATAGATATTTTCTGTAGGCCAGAAATGATTAATGGGCTGGATTCCTTGGATTCAGTGGAAGGGATGGCATTCCTGGGTGGCAGGAACCAAGTGGCCAAATGTGAAAGACAGTGTAGGCCTGGTAGCGGGAATGGGTGGTAGACATAAAGCAGTGATCAGAGGCCGGGTGCGGTGGCTCATGCTTGTAATCCCAGCACTTTGGGAGGCTGAGGCGGGTGGATCACTTGCGGTCAGGAGATCGAGACCATCCTGGCTAACACGGTGAAACCCCATCTCTACTAAAAATACAAAAAATTAGCCAAGTGTGGTGGTGGGTGCCTGTAGTCCCAGCTACTCGGGAGGCTGAGGCAGGAGAATGGCGTGAACCCAGGAGACGGAGCTTGCAGTGAGCCGAGATCGTGCCACTGCACTCTGGGCAACAGAGTGAGACTCTGTCTCAAAAAAAAAAAAACAAACAAACAAACAAAAAAAAAAAAAACAAAAAACAGTGATCAGAATGGTCTGAACAGCACAGGTATTTGTCTTTAGTTTAGTTATGATCCTATGATCCTCTTCCTCTCCCTCCTCTCCCAGCCTACTAAAATCTTAAATGATTTGTGTAAAGCAAAAAGGTTTTAGATCTGGTGAACAGAAATTGTGACCCCTGAATGAATTTCTAACAATAAGCCAATTGACAGACCCAGAGACCCCCAAATGAAGGAGAGGCCAGATCTTCTTAAACAAGGACGTGCTACCAGACCAAAATTTCTAATGTAAATATTCCGTCTAACCCTAATTTTCCCCCAAGGAGATGTGAATCCATTTCCTGGACTGACCATTTATAGCAGAAAGGAAATAATGAGATATTTAAGAAACTATTAGACACTGGTTCAGAGCTGACACTAATCCTTAGGCACCTAAAATGTTACTGTAGTCCATCAGTCAGAATAGGGACTTACGGAAGTCAGATGATCAGGGGAGTTTTGGCTTGGGTCCATCTTACTGTGGGCCCAATGGGTCCCTGAACTAACCTTGTGGTTATTTTCTCGATTTGGAATTCATATTTGGAGTAGACATGCTATTAGTGTCTGAAGCCTCACATTGTTCCTCTGACCTGTGGAATTAGAGGTATTACGGACAAGGAAGGGTAAATAGAAACCATTATAATTGTCTAGACCAGAGGTCAGCAAACTTTTTCTGTAAGGGGCCTGTAAATTAATAAATATTTTAGGCTTTGTGGGACACATATAGCCTCTGTTTCTTCACCTCTTCCTCCTTCTCTTTCTATTTTCTTCCTTCTTCACTTCCTCCTCCTCCTCCTTTTCTTCTCCTTAACATTCTTTATTATTATTAATAAAGTTAATAATAAGTTTAAGTTCTAGGGTACATATGCACAATGTGCAGGTTTGATACATAAGTATACATGTGCCATGTTGGTTTGCTGCACCCATCAACTCATCATTTACATTAGGTATTTCTCCTAATGCTATCCCTCTCCCAGTCCCCCATGCCCCGACAGGCCCCAGTGTGTGATGTTCCCCTCCCTATGTCCATGTGTTCTCATTGTTCAACTCCCACTTATGAGTGAGAACATGCGGTGTTTAGTTGTCTTTTCTTGTAATAGTTTGATGAGAATGATGGTTTCCAGCTTCATCCATGTCCCCGCAAAGGACATGAACTCATCCTTTTTTATGGCTGCATAGTATTCCATGGTGTATATGTGCCACATTTTCTTAATCCAGTCTATCACTGATGGACATTTGGATTGGGTCCAAGTCTTCTCCTTTTCCTTTTTCTTCTGCTTCCTGTTCCTCCACCTCTTCTTCTTCTAGTCATTCTTCTTCTATCTCTACTTTCATCTCCTCTTTTCCTCCTCATTCTCTTCTTCCTCCGTTTCCTTCTCCTCCTCCTCCATCCTATTTTGCTTCTCAACCCTTTAAAAATGTAAAAACAATATCCTTAGCTTATGAACTGTATAAAAAGGAGGCAGATGGCAATATTTAGCCTATGGGCCATGGTTTGCCAACTCTTGCTCCTGTGAACTGAGCCATGTTAAGTTATCTTGCCAAGAGAAAGGACAGGTCGCTGCATCTGGTCCCTCCTACCACCAAGAAAGAGGCCCAGCACTTTGTGTTCTTCCTGAAGAAAACAGATCTCATTTGGTTATACTACTCTGACTAGGTAACAAATAAACCAAAAAGCTGCCATTTTTTTACTGGATCCTGGAAAAAGAGCAGGTGATGAAAGAGGTCCAGGCTGCCATGCAAGCTGCTCTGCCATATATGTCATATGAACCAACAGATCCAATGGTGCCAAAATTATTTGTAGGGGATAAGCATGGGCTCATGGCCCAACCTCCGCCACTCCTCCCTCTCACCTTGCACCTAAGGCTTCATGGGGGGTGGCCTTTGACTATTTGACTGAGGAAGCAAATGATTCTGCACAATATACTGGCACTACCAGAAACCAGGCAGTGGCAGCACTACAGCCCTACCCAGAAGTGGCTGTGAAATGCTGTGGTGAAGGAAAGTCCTCTCGGTGGGCAGAACTTTGAGCAGTGCCCCTGGTTCTTCATCTTGCCTTGAAAAAAACGTAGAGATATACATATATTATAACTTATGATCAGTGGTTAATTTGGTTCTCAGTTACCTGGCCTCTCTTTCCTGCTATGCTCTTTCATCCCTATTCTTTTCAACTGCTTTTCTCTACCTCATTCTTCCTTCTCCCTGTACCCTACCTCTTGTCTTTCTGATGAAACCTCTTTATCATCTGACTCCTGGGCCCTAAAGTCTTTCTCTATCATTAAAAAATATACTCTCAACAGAGTCTATCTCTATTATGTTGAGTCTATCTCTCAACATAACAATAACATCTGCTAAGAAAATACAAATTTATCCAGTTTAGATGCATATGCAAGTGGCAGGAAAACAATGTTTTTGTTACTTTACTCATGCCTTCTTATAGGGTTTAGATGCTTTTGTCCCTTCCAAATCTCATGCTGAAATGTGTCCTCAATGCTGGACTTGGACCTAGTGGGAGGTGTTTGGGTCATGCCAGTGGATACCTCATGAATGGCTTGGTGCTGTGCTTGCAGTAAGGGGTGACTTCTCACTCTATGAGTTCACATGAGATATGGTTGTTTAAAAGAGGTGGCAGCTCCTTCTTCTCTCTCTTGCTCCCTCTCTTGGCATGTGATACATTGGCACCCCCTTTACTTTCTGCCATGATTGTAGGCTTCCTGGGGCCTCAGCAGAAGCTGAGCAGATGCTGGTATCATGCTTGTGCAGCCTGCAGAACTATAAGCGAGATAAACCTCTTTTCACTATAAACTACCCTGTCTCGGGTGTTTCTTTGCAGCAAGGCAAATGGCGGAATGCATCTCCTTTTCTGGAGGCAATTGGTCTTCAGTTGATATATTCAATAATATATTCAATAGCAGCATGATCTTAATAGGTTTTTAGCAAGACATCCAGGTCATTTATCTTTGAGATAAAGAACAACAACAAAAAAGTATTTCTTTTTTCATCTTGATCTGTCTAAAATTCAGCCATTTCTCCACTCACTATATCTATTGAGGTTTCCAAGACCATTTCAAACTTGATGATTCACTAGAAGAGCTTACAGGAATCAGAAGCTCTTATACTCATGGTCATGATTTATTACAGGAAAACAATACAGGTTAAAATCAGCAAAGAAAAAACCTCAGGGGGAGAAGTCCAGAAGAGAAGGCACAAGCTTTCAGGTACCCTTCTCAGTGGAGTTGTACAGGATGGACTTAATTTTCCTAGCAATAATGTACGACATCACATGCAAAGTGTTGTCAACTAGGGAAGCTCATCAAAATCCTGGTGTTCAGGTTTTTTATGGGGGTTCAGTCACGTAGTGTGCAGCACCTATGTGACTGACCTCAGCTACTCAACTTCAGCCCCTAGTGCAAAAACAAGTGTTTACCATAAATCACATTGGTAACATAAACTCTTTGGTCGAACTGTTATAGTGTGACCCAAGGTCTTAGGCATACAAAAACACTTAGGCAGAGCATTCCAAGGACTCAGAGTTCAATTGTCTAGAGTCCATGAATGGCTACTCCCGAAAACAGGTCTTTCTTGAGAATATAAGGATTTGTGAACCTGAAGCCTGCTTTTCTGCACACCGTGGGTGTATAGATTAGGACTACTGACTTGAGAGTGTCTGTGTTCAGTAAGAAACACCAGTAGAAGAAAAATAGCATCAGACAGGAATTATAGGGTAGAGATCAAGAGCTCTGGCTTTGATTAGACAGAGGAACTATGCTACACTTTCATGACTGATTATTGGGAGGTCACTTAACTTCTCTGTTGCTATTTTCTTTTTTTAATTTGTGGAATTGGGCTATTTGGAATATCTACAACAAAGATTTATTATGAAGAATTAAATAACTTAAATTATGTAAAATATTTACCACAGTAAGTGTTCAATACATCTTAACAAAAGACCAAATGACCACGGACACCAACTGCTAACTGTGTGGTCTCTTGCCCCTAGAATGTTTAATCTTTTCCACAGCAAACTCCACCATGCAACAGCTCAATGCCATCTGGAAATTGATATATTACAAATTAGCACAGAATAGGCTGTTGTGCTACTGTTTCTTGTGTTTGTAAGAACAGGGTTTGGGAAAGACCAGTTTCACAGGTTGTGTTATATGGGAAGTGGACTCTAGGAGGCATTAGCATGCAGAAATTATATTAGGGAATGCTCCTCAGACCCTCAACTGTGAAAGGCAAGGGAAGGGAAGAAAAGGGAGGAAAAGAAGTCTGATTGAGAACAGGGAAAAGCTGAGATGTGAAGTAATCTCAGGGGAGTTCTTAGCCAATTCTACCACAGCTCTGAAGTTGGCATGGCCCTACAGACTTTGAGTGAAGAGAGCGGAACTTTATAATCCTGTGTCAATACAATGATTAAATTTTGTCCACCCTAGAAGTAGACACTGCCCTGGGTGAGGCAGCTCTCTTTTGCTGAACCATCACTGCTGGTGGCTGACAGTTAGGGGCAAGGGCAGTTTTATAGGCATGCAACCTGTGCAGACTCCCTGGGCCTCATGCTCACGAGGGCCCAGCATTTGGTTAATGCTCTGCTGCCACCACATTAAAATTCTTAACAATATTTTAACAAAAGGTCTCACAACTTAATTTTGTATTGGGTCCAAAAAATTATGTAGTTGGTCCTCGCTAAGGGCTGTTAGCAGCACTCTTAGTAGCTGGGATCTATTAAAGAAAAACAAATATTTAATGATACTTGTTAAATAACAATAACGAAGACTTTATTCATGACCATTGCAATAGGTATAAAGACCACTGTAGTGGGGTCTTGCAAGGAGAGAGAGATTGGACTCAACTCTGAATACAGCATAGGCAAGTGGGAATTTATGGGTAAGGATCAGGGTGGGAGTCAGTAGATGAAAAATTACTAAGAGGAAACATGGGTCGGGGGTGCAATTGTGACTTGAAGTCAATCCAGGGTAATCAGACATCACCTGTGGGTTGGTGGAGGATAAGGATCCTGATCACATATCAGGGGTCACCAAATATTGGCGATGAGGGATTCTTGCTAAACTGACTTAGCAGAGTTCTTTGCTAAAACTGGATTTTATAAGGAAGTGCACAGATGGGCCTAGGGGAAGTTTCAGAAGCCCAACTAAAGTTTGGACAAGCAAATAATCTTTGTCAGATTATATGTCTATATTTCTGAAGGGGAATTTGGGTGGTACATCACAGTACCAACTACTTCTGGTATATTCATGGTGATAGTCACTTCTAATAAGAAATTGAGTAATTTAAAATGAGCAAATAGGATACATTAACTGATTAAAAAGAAAAGCTTTGGCTAGGTGTGGTAGCTCATGCCTGTAATCCCAGCACTTTAGGAGACTGAGGAAGGAGGATCACTTGAAGCTAGGAGTTCAAGACCAGCCTAGGCAGCAAAGCAAGACCCTGTCTCTAGAAAAACAAAATTTTTAAATAAAAAATTTAGCCAGACATGGTGACATATACCTGTAGTCCCAGCTACTTGGAAGGCTTAAGTAGCAGAATATTTTGAACACAGGAGTTTGAGGCTGCACTGAGTGAGTGCACCACTGCATTCCAGCCTGTGTGACAGAGAATCTGTTTCCAGAAACAAACAGCCAAAACCAAAACAAACAAAACAAAGAAGGAAATAAAGAAAAGTTTTAATTCCATATCTATAAATGAGGAGTTCTGTTCTATTCTCTGCCTTCCTGAAATATAAATTCTGATATTTTAAATTATCATACATCTATTTGAGTTACTGTTTGGAGCTTAGAACTTAAGTAGACAACAACAATAATGAGGAGTTTTATACATCCTGAAGTCTCTGTTAGAAAGATTAGGGCCTTGTGCCAGTCAATTGTTTGGCTTAGGGTCAACACAAGGAGAAAGCAGGGTGGAGAAGAGAAGCAGACATTTGCTTTTCTGGGTAGTTTTCTGGGTACCTGATTTTCTGGGTAGTCAACTTGCTGGGAATTATTTTACATTGTTCAATATGGGAAGAGTACATACACTAAGAAAAGCAAAATAATAATAATAATAATAATAATAATAATAATCTTTCTTTCTCCTTATCATCTAAAGACACTTTTCCTAGATTCTCGACTTTGAATTGAATTTGACTTTTGATATATCTTCTCTTTTCCTATGAGTAATTTTTTGGAAAATGCTGTAAATTTAAGATAGTAAGATCTTCAGGAGAAAAGAAATGTGTAACAGGACAAAATAAGGTTCCCAAGATATCTTCTCAGTAAATACATATTCAATAACTTGCTATATGGAAAATTTGCCAAAATAAATATTTTGAGCAAATCTATGTTACTACTGAATTCTTTGCCAGTTGTTTAATCTCTTGTTTTGAGAAAGGAGCTTGACACAGGTGTTTATAATAATAAAATGCCAGTCTTCATTCAGACTAAATCCTTTATTCAACGTCTATCTCAGATATATCTAATCTTTTTGAGGTTCAGGCAAATTTTCTTTCATTTTTGAGACAAGACAGCATCTCCCTGTGTCACCCAGGCTGGAGTGCAGTGGCACAAACATGGCTGACTGCAGCCTCGACCTCTTTGGCTCAAGAGATCCTCCTGCCTTAGCCTCCTGAGTCGTTGGGACCACAGATGTGTGCCACCATACCTGGCTAATTTTTTTAAACTTTTTGTAGAGACAGGGTTGCACTATGTTGCTCAGGCTGGTCTAGAACTGCTGGCTCAAGCAGTCCTCCCACTTTGGCCTCCTAAAGTCCTGGGATTGTAGGAACGAACCTCTGTGCCTGGCAAATATTTTTAATACCAATCATAACAAGAGTGTAATACATTGATTACTTTTTAAAAAATGATTTTGATGTTAAAAAATTACTGATTTTGAAAACACACACTAAACAATAGGTACACTTTAGGATGTCCAAAAATTGGCAAGAGAATGATTTACAGCTTAAGTATCATATTTTCCATGAAAACTTCCCTGACAACAAAACCTGTAGATAACTTGTTCTGTGATGTCAGAGAAGAAAGGAAGCAGTAGGGTCAAGCAATGGAATTGATATATAGTTAGGGACAGAAAATGAAATACAAGACAGTGACAGAGACCAGGTGGGAAGGCAGAATGGTGTGATGATTAAAAGTACTAGACCCCTGACTCAGACTGCTGGTTCAAATCCCAGCCTTCCCACTTTGTGAAGTTGACAATTTAGTTAGCCCTCCTTTCCCCCACCATGTCTTAGTTTTCTCATATATAAACAAACATGATACTTACCTCATTGGTTACTATGGGTATTAAATGAATTAATAGGTATAAAGTACTTAGACTAATACCTGACATGTAAGTGTCTTTATTAGCATTTCAAAATTATTAAAAGAAAAGGATCTCTAATATACCAGGCACTTTACATACCTTGATTCATATGATTCTTTCAATAACGGAAATATAAATCGTATTATTTATGCTCTACAGATGAGAAAACTGAGGCTTAGACAGATTATATAATTTATTTACAGACAAGCACATTGTGAGTGACAAAACAAATACCCAAATAGGGTCAACCCAAGTAGGACCATTGCACTTCTTTGCTTCTAACTCTTCAGTGATTCCCTACATGGAGCAAGGAGGTTCAGGTGAGAAAATGCCAAAAATGCAAGTCCCATTACAGCTGGCCTTAAGGGATATAAACAGCTGCTTATATTCAGATTGTGTCTATAGGTTTATTTTTTTGCATTGTGGACTTTGTACACAAATCTTTTCAGTTGTGCAGATTAACTTGAGATAAGTATCAGTCAGGCTTCTTACAGTCAAGCACTGCCTGACTGAAAATAGGGGACCTGTGGCAGGGGGTGAGTGCCCTCAGAATTGCTATGCAGTCTGGCTCAGGCAGGCTTCTTGCAGACTGTTAGCTAGCATGTGCCTGAGGGAGGTTGGGAAGCTTGGCCAAACTAACACCAGAGAGGGTTGCTGACCACTCTCCCTATGCTACCTCCCGCTGGTCAAAATGAATGTGTGTTGGACTGTGTAAACTGAAACTGTGAAAGATGTGTCAGTGATTGGTGGAGTGCATCCTGAAACACCAGCTTTTAACATTTGTCTCATGATTTCTCATAAATAACATTGCATATGAGTATAATGAGCATAATTCTTAGTTTTCCCAGGAGGGTACTGGTTTATGCCTATTGTCCCAGTGTATATTTATCTATAGCACTGGCTTCAATGCACAAAATTGTCCTGATTCCAATGACAAATTCTACATACCTGCTACATATAATGATCATTCTACATATCTGCTATATATAATGATCATTCTACATATCCGTTGTCTATAATATTTTCTGTCTCCCTTTCTAGCTATCTCTTCTTTTGGTCTCGTAAACATGATGAGTCCCTTTCTGTGTATTCATTTATCTGCAAACTATTTTTTTTACTTTTCAATTATTGTTTATTGCCTACTTAAACTTGTTTACACTGCTAAACTGATATGTTTATCTGTGAAAATTATTCGAGCATCTCCAGTTGGAATAGAATGCATTATAATTGTTCCCCCTAAAATTAATGGAAATGTATTTTTCATTTAATAATTTTTCACTTGTCAGCAGTGTTTTCAGGAATGAATTAAATGTGTTAAATTAGGGACAGCTTTATTTCTGGTACCTAGCACACTGTGGGCACTCAAAGAATGAATATTAATTAAATGCTAAATGAATAAATAAATGAATCCACAGGTCCATGTGTATCTTTACAGCAAGAATTCCAGCAGACTTCTGTAGACTTGTTACTGTGTTTTGTATTCATTGTCTTCTCATGTAAACACATTATATTACTCATTGTGGTTGTTACTTTGAATTTCTGATGATTCTCAATGCCCATGTTACACTGTAGTAAGTATTACTTCTCTTCACCAATATCTGATTCTTTTCTACTTCTGGGTACATGTGTGGATCACTATTCTCTATTTTATTGAAGTTAGGCGTGACTACATATCTTCCCTTAAAAGATGAAGTGTGGCTATATAAGCAGAACTGTGGATAAGCATTTATTGATGGTGTTCAACTCTCCACACTGCCTTTCATCTGCTTTCCTTGTTCACAGAAGCACATCGTAATACAGAGGTAAAATAAGATCCAAGCAACTTGGAGCATTAAACCAAAACAAGGAGGAGAGGTGTTCTGGAGAACTGCTTGAAACTGCAGTGGACTTTGCAACAGCAGCAAGTAAAGTGGTGTTCTGGCAGTGAGATTTGAGGATTGCTTGTTAAAGAAGTGTAACCTAACCTGTCTTAACTGATACACACGTGGAATACTGTGGAGATTCAGTTAAACTATTCAAGTGCATTTTATAATTATAGATTGTTTTCACCAATTAGGTCTGAAGACAACATTCCTTAAGAATTTGGACCTATGTTTGTTCACACATATATGTCTTAGCATTGTAACTCTATAAAGCAAGAATCCTGGAGACTTAGAAGGATGCGTACAGGTTGTGTGTCTCATGACTTTCTTCTACGACTGTAAAATTGGGATCTAGAAAGTGAGGAATGCCCTGCTCAATATCACATAGATGGCTAACTGTAGGGACATAAGTAGAGTCTAATGTTCTCATCTATATATTTAGTGTTATCTCGGTTACATTTAACTATATCTCATATTCATGATAATTCTTTCAACCACAAGCCATAGCACTGGAAATTTCCATCAGAATATTCAATATGGATTGAAGCTAAACACTAAACTTAAATGTTTGTTAAAAGTTATACTAGAAGAGGAGACAAGATTAGCACTTAATACTCATTCAAGTTAATAGAACCAGCCAGCAACAGTAATTCATAGAGCTCAAGGAATGAAATAAGAATTAGAGGCATTTGGTAGAGAGAAAGCTTGATAATCATAATGAGGTGCAGAAAATAGAAAGAATTGATCTCCAAGGGAGCCCCCTGGAGAAGTGCCAGCAGCTGAGGACCTTGGGGCCTACAGAGTGCAGTCCACTGGGCAGAAAGTCATGCAGAAATAGGGTCAGGGAGGGGCAGAACATGCAATCAAAAGGCTAAGTATGGTAGTTAATTCCAAGTTTTGATAAAAATTAAATCACTTATTGGTTAAATAAATTCACTATAATTAATTATTACCCATTGGCATTAAATCACATATCTTTTTTGTTGTTGTTATATATTCTCTTAATTGGATTTCCTTTGGGCACATGTATCCCTCTTTCCAAACTGCATTAGGCAATACTTCTATTACAGATGCTTTCAGCAGTTGGCAGGAGGCAAGAGGTAGGATTTCTAAAAGACCTATGATTTCATTCTGTTTTTCTGTAAGCTAAAAAAAACAAAACAAAACAAAACAACAACAACAAAATCCCGCACCTTGCCAACTAGTGTCCTTTTTGACACCAAGTTTAACTAATATTACATATCTGAAAACCACTAACAATTTTTCCCCAGCCTATTTTATATTTAGCCACAAATTCTTCACATATTTCTACTGGGATTAAAGAGTTATCAGCTATTGGGAAATCTTAGCATATAGCTCATTACAACGGAATATATTATTATAAAAATTTAGGAAACTATATTGTTTGTAGAAAATGTACAAAGATACATATTAGCATATATTCCTGCTCCAGCATTAATTCTAAAAACATTTGAGAAATAGAAAAATTTGCTATTTCATTTATGCCCCTGAAGGTGGCACTGATGATACTGAAACTTTATTGGTTTGTGCAATGTACCTGCAAGGGTTAATCTGTGAGATCTGGCCATTTCCTTTGATACCAGGGGGCACTGTCCTATTCTCAGGGTGTGATCTGCAGGAAGGGAGTGGAATTTGTAGAAACCGGTCTGATCTGGATTATCTGTCTCTCCATCTCACCAGCTCCCATAGTTTTAATTAAACTCAGTGTATAGTAATCTCTTATACTTAATAAAGCAGTTATTGCATTTCTTATTTCCTTCTAAACATTTATAAACTTCTATTCCAAGCTCGACTTTAGCATCAAAATGCTTTTGTAGGAATTTTGAGAAGAGACAGCAAAATATAGTGTCAAAGATATGAAAAGGAAGTCAACAGAAAAAAATGGCCCCTTTGACCTGAGCTGTGTGGCATTTTATTTAAACAATAGTGGGTTACTAGGAAATGTGGCCAATATTATATATGCTAGAAAATGACCAGAATAAATCACTGCCTTTCCACAGAAGTGTGGTACTCTGGTGTATTGAAGGGCTTTGTGCTCAGATGAGGTCAACAGGTGAAACTCGGCTTTTAGCATTGCCTTTGTAATTATGTGACCATTACTTTCCCTGACTCTCTATTTTTAGTCATAAAACGGGACTAATAATACCTAAATTAGTGAACATATGTGCAGAACCTAACAAATAGAATGTGTCCTCAATAACTTCTAATTAACCTCCTCATCCAATTCTGCCAATAACCGTTAATATTCCTTGAAATATCTTGCCAAGAACATTCCTATTTGTATGATCAATAATACTTGGAAAATATTAAAAATCTTGAATAAAATAAAGCTTAAAATCCCAGTAAAATTTAGACATTGGAAGGTGAATGTTTCTAAAAGTGCAATCATAACTGTTCAAATATTTCAAAATATAATTAATATAAACTTTAACAACCACAGAGACATTTGCTAAGAAATGAATCTGTAAGTCACCACAGAATGTTGACACTGCTTAGCACAGTCCTTGACACACAATAATTGCTTGTTTAATATGAAGTTTAGTTGCTAAGTAATCACTTATTGTGTTCAGCCCATTCAAGTGAAAAAAACTGATAGAGAAAGTAAGGAACTGACACAAATGTATCCAGCTTATTGGTGTTTGGGCTGAAACTAGCAGTAGATGTTAAGCTTTTTGGTTAGATGTCAACTATGAGCCCACGACTGCTGAGCACTCAATTATAAAAAGGAGAAGGGATTTCTTTCTTTCTCCAAAGTGCTAATGTGTAAAAATAAATATGCATTTTAAAAGTCAATCCTTGCTTAGTGTGCAAGATTTTGGATGGTATGCAAAAGTAGTGGAAAACACAATTAATTTCAGAGTATTAGTATTATGTGGTGAGAGAATACACAAATACTAGAAGATTTTTTAGGTTGGCAGACAGCATAAGCAAATGATGAATTGAGCATGGGTTGAATATGATTGGAGGTCATGCATTAGCTATGGAGAAATGTGAAGCATGCCCACCCCAGTATGTCTGGTTTTCTGTGTTTCTGAGAAAGGAGATCATACTGTTGGCATTGGAGGTACTGAACAGATGGAACAAAACCTCATAGGATCTCCTTTCTTTTCATAAGAAGCAACTATAATGGACAGGAGTGAACTCATATTGGATCTCATTAATAAACCATAGAATGTTGAAGCAACAGAGCCCAAGGATTATAGTACTATAGGGAGCAGTTATTAAGAATGGAGAGGTCTCTATGGTGTCCCACATGGAGTCTTCATAGTCAGCTGAGATGAGTGACTTCTCCAGAGAGTTTCAGTCTGTCACTGCCTTGTGCTTTTTCCCACTCCTACACGGGGCTATGTTTGCTCAGTGAAACCATGTTGTCCCTCTTTTAATCAGTTGTTTGTGAATGACAATGTGGAGTAAAAAGGACTTCTCCAAGCTGAGAGATACAAGGGATAGAAGAATCAACTCAATTTCTGCTTGACTTGATTTCTTTCTTTTTTTTTTAATTTTATTATTATTATACTTTAAGTTTTGGATTTCAAGGAACGGAGTCCACAGGAGAGAGTCAGATTCCTGTTAGAGCAAAACGCAAAAAGAATGTCTACAGAAGTGGTTGACATTAAAGTTTCTCTAATGACTAGGCTTTCACTGATGATTGACCTTGAGTTCATAGATGAATTAGAAAAACTTTCAAGAGACTAGTCATAAAAGAGGACAGACAGAGCCAGATGGAAATATAATCTGCTGGAGATGAAGGATGTCCAGTATTTCTTGGTACAAAAATGATAAGAATGAAGACACAAAAGTTTATCTTAAGTTGAGAGGCTGAAGGAAGTATCTAGAGGGCAGTAGGTCTATTTTGTCTGAACGTGCAGATTCCTTCTTCATTTCTGACATGGAGGCTTTGAGAAAAGCAGAGAAAAAATACAAAATAAATACATGAATTGAAATATTTATCATTTGATGGGTAAAATGCTTTATAAAATCATATATATTTATATATGTATACTAAAGATCATACTGTATATAATTTTCTATTTTACCTTATAACTTCTACTTTATATCATAAATATGCTGGTAATTATTCTTCTCAGCCATAATTTTTAAATGAATGTATGTAGATGTAGAGTAATTTATTTAACCATCCCTTTATTGTTGGAGAGTTAAGTTGTTTCCATAAGTATAGAACACATAAATTTTACCCAAGCCATATATCACTGAAAATACATTTAGAAATGGAGTTGTGAACACTGGGGAAGGTGCCAGTATTTACTGTCAAATTTAAATAAGTATTTTAGATTTAAGACTCTTTAGAGGCAAAAAATTGAAATGAGATCTATAGAAGTCACACTCAGAATGGTTCGAGGTTAGTTATTGCCTTACTCTTTTTGGGAGTCAAATTTACCTTTACATCTAAGAATGGTCATTCCAAAGAAAATGAACCCCAAATTCTGCATAGATAGGTCAGGGTCATAAGTGAAAGAGACACTGTGAATCAGCAGTATTTGGAGTTCAGAGATGCTGACTTCAGAAGTTTTCTGATGGTCTGTGGAATACGTAGGAATTTTAAGTGGAGAATGCATTTACTTTTTATTCCCCCATTCTACCTCCGGGAGCTACAGGGCTTTATTATAGACCATGTAATTGGATCCAGAAAGGAATACATCAGTGATGGTTTTGAGTTATATTAATTCTTTGGGACCCTGGGATACAATTTAATACCCGGAAAAAAAATGAAAATGAGTGGCATGCTTGTCATTAAGATTTTTATGAAAGTCTATCTCCAAGCCTTAACTCCTCAATCATTACTATAGGCTATTTATGAACAGAATGATAAACCCGTGCATTAACATAATTGGGTTTAGGTGGAATTTGTGAAACATTAATAAATTTTATCTAGATTAGACTTATATCCTCTCTATATGGGGGTTTAAATTACTGAATTTGCAGAAAGATCTCATCTCCATATGTTATTAATAAATGACTAGTTCTCAAGCAGGGGCAATTTTGGTCTTCTCCTTTCTAAGAGATATTTGGCAATATTCATGTATTTGTGACATGTTTAGCTGTCACAACTGGTTAAGAGTACTACAGGAATCTAGCAGGCAGAGGCCAGAGCAGCTGATGAACATCCTATAATACACAGGCCTATCCCAACAATAACAAAAATTTGTCCAGTTAAAATGTCAATAATGCTGAGGCTGAGAAGCCAGGCAATAAGCAGTCCTGTGTAATAGCTAGTGCTCTGGAAGGTTCCAATACCATTTTAGCTCATTACATTATTTTAGGAAATCTTAAGCCTTCTCAATAGGTATTGGAATGTCTTGTAAGTTTTAAAATATATTTTGTGCTTTTATATGTATAGATGTCTTAATCTCAGTCATAATTGATATGTGAAAAGTAGGAGGTGAGCTTGCCCCTCCTCAACACCTCACTTACACAACGTATTTTTCTGCTTACACATAATGTATTCCACAGATTGGGAGAAGAAAGGGGTTCTTCCCCCATGCTTTCCAAAACATAGACTTTAACTTTCTTCCTTGAAACAGTGACCATACCTACCAGCAGAGGCTTCTTTATGACTCTAAGAACAGCAGGCAGATTCACAGCTGGAAGCAAAATGCTTTCCTTGGAAAAATCTTTTCTAATAAATTGTGCTTTGTCCCTGACAGGACAGAAAACGGTTAAAGTAGCAGAAACAGCTTGCCCCTGGCTGGTGGGGAAGGAGGAGAGCCTAAATTAACATTCACTTCTCAATCCTGACTCGTTTCTTTTACTTTCTTTCTTCCTCTCATATCCTCAGGCTTTTAATGCCCAGCCTAGGTGGAAATTAATGACAAATCTTGGCCAAAAACTTTCAGGATAAAATTCAGCCTCTCTAGGGACAACCCACAAAGCTTTTCATTATCTAGCCTCTGCTTGTCTCTCCCACTTCTTATCTGTACTGGGTTCCAGGCATAAGCCCTAAAGCAGTGATTCACAAACTCAGGTGGACATTGAAATCAAAATGGGTGGGCATTAATGTAAAACATTTTGGGAACACTGATATGGAGTCTCTGGATCCATATTTTCAATAAACTCCCTAGGCAAATCTGATAAACCTCACTGGAATTCGCAATCCATTGCTTAAGTATGCCAGACCTTCCCATAAGTCTTTTCCTCTGCTTGAGCTCCTCCCTCTGGCTAGACTGTACTTTTAACCTCTGTGTAGTTCTTCCTGAACTTTCCAGGCCAACTTAACCACTCCCACTTCTCTCCCCATAACATATTGCTTATGCAATAAGCATATTGCTTATTGATATGGTTTGACTCTGTGTCCTCACCCACATCTCATCTGGAATTGTAATTCCCACATGTGAAGGGAGAGACCTGTAATCCTCACGTGTGAAGGGAGGGAAGTGATTAGATTATGGGGGCGGTTTCCTCCTTGCTGTTCTCATGATAGTGAGTGAGTTCCTAGGAGATCTGATGGTTTTATAAAGGGTAGTTTTTCCTGTGCTCTCACACACTCTCTCTCTCACCTGCTGCCATGTAAGACGTGCCTGCTTCCCCTTCCACCATGATTGTTAAGTTTCCTAAGGCCTCCCCAGCCATGCGGAACTGTGAGTCAATTAAACCTTGTTTCTTTGTAAATTACTCAGTCTCGGGTATGTCTTTATAGCACTGTGAAAATGGACTAACATGATGTCTATTATTAAAACAAATGGAATAATACATAACAATTCATTGTGCTACATTCTTTTCCTGGGTAGTTTGCAAGCTCCTTAGAGGATAAATATTTCTTAAAATAATCAATACACAAAATACAGTTCACAGCAAACTAGTCATGTTGGTCATCTCAAGCATCACACTGAAATCCTGCGGGTTTCAGTTTCTAGCTGTAGAAAAATTAAGAAAAAAAATATGTATATATATTCTGACCAGGCATGGTGGCTCACACCTCTAATCCCAGGACTTTGGAAGGCTGAGGTGGACAGATCACTTGAGGTCAGAAGATTGAAACCAGCCTGGCCAACATGGTGGTAACCTGTCTCTACTAAAAGTAAAAAATTAGCTGGGTGTTGTGGCAGATGCCTGTAATACCAGCTACTTGGGAGACTGAGGCAGGAGAATTGCTTTAACTCAGGAGGTGGAGGTTGCAGTGAGCCGAGATCGTGCCACTGCATTTCAGCCTGTGTGACAGAGCAAGACTACATCTCAAATATATGTAATATTTCCTAAGAGTAAACTAAGCCTTTAGTTATTTATGAATCACTTTGTTTTTTATTCTTTTCACAGATCAAAGGTGACTATTCACATTAGAATTTACAGAAAGATCTGAATACCTGAGGAAATATATGAGTAATAAATAACATTAAATAATAAATAATAAAATGCCTATGTAAAATGATAGATACACACATATATCAATGACTGGAATGAAATATACCAAGATTGCACAGTGAGATTAATTAAATTTAAGATGGATTTGCATATTGTAAGAACAAATGCAAATTAAAAGTAAGAGGCTTAGTTCTCCCTGTTAAGAATGAGGTAAGAGCTCTCTCCCCTCCTTTTTCTTAGAGCACTTATCTTAGAATATCTTAAATACTTTCTTGTGTCTTTGAAATGTATATAAATCCTTTTGAAGACTGGATAGGACTTTTGTCACCTCTATGACCTAGGGACATCTTTCTCAAGAACATGGGAGGGATTTCTTTGAAATGCAAACATCAAGGGAGATAGCACCTCTATCTCTCAGTTTCTGTGGTTAAGGTAGGAGCCTAACTTCAGCTGGAGGATTGCGAAACTACCTCCTCTCATATAGAGATGAGGAATTTGTTTTTCCTCTGGATACAGCTAATTAGCTAACACAGATGGTCACCTCAATGATCAGGTAAAGTGAGGATGGATTATGTGTGACAAATGTTCTTGTCAAGGACTAGTCATTGTTTATCTTGAAAACATGTATGTAATAGGTTGTATCTGCTTGTCTACATGAAAGGTTGAGATTTCTGTCTTTGCAATCTCTTAGTGGATTGATGGTGATGTACGTCACAGTCTGGCTTAGTGCTTGTCAATAATAAAACTTTCTGTTTTTGTTTTCCACTACTACTTTTAAGGAGAGGATTTCTGGGTTGGAAAAAGGCTTTGTTTTTAATTATATTTCCCAACAATATTTCTGTTTAATTCATACGTGTTATGTAATGAACTGCTCATTTAAATTTAAATCAAGAAATTTTCTTAAAATATTTTTGCTGCATGCCAAGAACAGCCTTTTGTTCTTGAACTTTTGAATTAAAAGATATCAAGAGAAAGAAAGTATGGCAGGCCAGGGGAAGGAAGGACAATAGGAAGAAGGTGGACAGTCAAATATTTATTTAATATAATTTGAATGCTAAGTATGTGTGATGTGCGGTGTGAAAATGTGGGAATAACAATAGAAATCCTGGTGCCTCTGCAGCTCAGAAAATAATACCCCCAAATGAAGGCCTCAGCAGCAGCCACAGAAGCAAAAGTTTTTCCCTGACCTTCTCTTGCCCTCCTGCCCCTCAGTCTATTCTCCCCGAAGGCTAACCATAGAAACTAGAATTCCTTTTCCCCAAGGATTTTCGTAGAAACCAGAATCCCTTTTCCCCAAAACCAGCCATAAAACCTAAAAATATTACTTTAACTTTCCTTCTGATTTTCTGTGTGAAAACTGGCCATAAAGAAATTATCTGACCTAGTTGTTTGACTGTAGGTTCTGAGACCCCCATTCCAGAAAGGGTCCCGCACCACCCCCAGAGGGAAGAAATGACGCTCAAAGAGGCCAAGAAGAATCTAGACAGACTGGCCTTGCTGGGCTTCCAGACTCCGTCTATTTGTATGAGATTATGCCCTTTTTGTTTAATCATATTTTTACACAACTGTCATATTTTTACACAACTGTTTTTTTTGAACCTAAGCATAAAAATAGACAATTTCTCTTGTATCTTTGGGTCACCATTCTGAAAGGTCCCTTGCATAGATGTTAAACAAAATTGTTACATTTTCACCAATTAATACGCCTTTTATGAGTTTGTTATTTTTTTCAGCAGAACTTCAGAGAGCCATCTTGGCCCCTACAGTGCCCAACTCAATCCAGAAGCCCATGGTGACGTTAGTTTATATGCACAATGTTGTACAACTGTCACATCTATTTTCAAAATATTTACATCATTCAAACAGAAACTCAGCATCCATTAAGCAATAATTTTCTATTCTCTCTCTCTCTAGCCTCTCTTAACCTCTAATTTTTATGTCTCTGTGAATTAGGTGCTTATAGATAATTTCATGTTAGTGAAATCAAACTACATGTGTTGTTTTCATTGTCTGGCTTATTTCACTTAGCATAATGTTATCAAGGTTTATCCATGTTGTAGCATGTATCAGAATTTCATTCTTTTTATTGCTGAATAACAGTCCATTGACTGTATTTATCATTTTTATTTTTGCTGGAATCTTGCTCTGTCACCCAGTCTAGAGTACAGTGGCTTGATCTCGGCTCACTGCAACCTCTGCCTCCCAGGTTCAAGTGATTCTCCTGCCTCAGCCTCCCGAGTAGCTGGGACTACAGGTGCCTGCCATCATGCCTGGCTAACTTCTGTATTTTTAGTAGAGATGGAGTTTCACCATATTGTCCAGGTTGGTCTCAAGCTCCTGACCTTGTGATCTTCCCGCCTTGGCCTCCCAAAGTGCTGGGATTACAGGTGTCAGCCACCGCACCCTGCCACTCACATTTTCTTTATCCATTTATTTGTTGATGGACATGAGTTATTTCCAACTTTTGGCTATGTAAATAATGCTACAGTGAACATTTGTGTACAAGTATCTGATTAGTCCCTGTTTATAATTCTTTTGGGTATACACCTAGGAGTGCAATTACTGGTCGTATGGTAATTCTATGTTTAATTTTTTGAGTGACCACTAAACTGTTTTCCACAGCAGCTGCATCATTATACTGTCAGCTACATATGAAGGCTTCAGTTTCCCCAAATCCCTGCCATTACTTGTCATTATTCATCATTTTTATTGTAGTCATCCGAGTAGGTGTGAAATGATACCTCATTGTGGTTTGGATTCTCATTTCCCTAATGACTAATGATGTTGAAAATATTTTCATCTGCTTATTGGCCATTTGTTGATGTTCCTTGAAGAAATGTCTGTTTAAGTACTTTGCCAATTTTTAAATTGAGTTGTTTATATGTTGTTAAGATGTAGGCATCTCTACATATTCTACATGCAAACTCCTTATCAGATCTATGTTTGGCAACCTGAGCAATGTTTTAAGGGAAAGAGCAGGACCAACTGTTGGGCTTACTTCTGTCCTTCCCTTCCCTCCAAGATTACGAGTTCAGGATTCCCAACTATCTTTCTATTCATTATGTTTAAAATTTTATCTCCCCAACCCCATAAGACTTTCAAAAGTTCAACTCAGCTTCTTAGCTGCTGTTTACTGCTAGGTATTTAGCCTCTTGGTTCTATGCCACTTCCAAATTGGCAGTATTTGAGGAGAAAAGCTGCATAGAATGTCTGGCTTACTTCCATGAGCTTTCTTTCTCTCCAGTATCTTAGCCGTTTATTCAAACACACAACACACACACACACACACACACACACACACATTTATATTTTGTCTAGCATATCTATTATTCTCAGTGGGACTGTGGTTAGCAAAAAGTTACTCTTCTATTGCCAGAACTGGAAATATTTGCCTCATTTTTTGACTGCTTCACAATAATCCATTGAATGAATATTCCATATTTTAACTTGGCCTGTATTGCTGGAATTTAGGTTTCCAGTCTTCTGCTATTAAAACAATGCTGCAGTGCCTAACCAAGTTATCTCACAAGTGTAAGTGAATTTTTACTTTTGATAAATAGTACCAATTGCCCCCCCATTGCAGTTATAGCAATTTTACTCCTACCATCAATATGTGATAATGCCTAGACCATCACCCCCTTGAGAACAGATTGTGTTCTTGTACTTTTTGATGGGCAAAAATGTATCACACTGCTAAGATATTTCTAATAAACTAGATTTTCATAATATAATGCAAATAATAGCAAAATAATGACAACATTTAATGCATGTTAGGTGTAGGCACATTTCTAACTGCTTTGTAATTCTTAAATATTTTAATTCCAGGCCTACCATTGGTTTATTCTTCTTCTACAGATGCTAAAACCAAGGCAAAAAGATCAATGGACCCCAAGGTCCTCAGAAGTTAACAAAATAATTGCAACACAGGATATCTGACTTCTGACTGCAGAGTCTGTGCTCTTAATTGAGTGACAGGAACCCAGATAATAAATTCAAAATAAGAATGCCTTTCCTAAAATAATCTGTCTTCCTATAATTAGAAGCCATTTAGAATGTCCACATTGTAGTAATTTCCTAGGGCTGCCATAACAGATTGCCACAAGCTAGGTGGCTTAAAATAATGGAAATTTGTTCTGTCATAGTTTTGGAGACCAGAAGTCTGAAATCAAAATGTCTTTGTCAGGGCCAGACTGCTTCTGAAGGCTTCAGGGGAGGGTATGTTCCTTGCCATTTCCAGCTCCTGGTGGCTGCTGGCATGCCTTGACTTATGGCCCTATCACTCTAATTACCAGAGTGATTCATGGTCACATTGCTTCCTCTTCTGTGACTTTTCCTCTGTGTGTCTCTGTGTGTCTCTTTCTGTTCTACCTCTGCCTCTCTTTCTTATAAAGATACATGTGCTTGATTTAGGACCCAGCCAGACTATCCAGGATAAGTTTTTCCTCTTCAGATCCTTAACTGAATCACATGTTTTACAACTGTTCACTCTTTCCTCATACAAGCTAATATTCACTAATTCTGGGAATTCAGACATGGACAAATATTTTGAAGGGGCACCCTTTAACTTACTAGATACATTTTCCATTCAACTAAAATACTTGAACCCCTTTCTTCCTTCATTCATCTATCTATTCATTCAGAAATATTCATCTAAGGCTTGCTGTATGAAAGACATTGTTCTTTCAAGGTATTAGGGAAAAGAGCAATGAAGAGAAAAGATGACAACTCTGGCTTCATGGTACTCATATTATAGTTGAAGAAGCCAAATAATATAAGAAATATGTAAATATAAGGAATGTCATCTGGTGATCAATGCTCTGGAAAAAATAATAAAGCAGAGAAGGGAGACAGAAAGTGCTGTGGGAGAGGATGGCTGACATTTTAATTGTGACATTATGGGAAGGCCTTTATGAGAAATGACTGTGGTAGACTGACAAACATCTTCCCCATAGGAAACAGGTTCAGCCTCAGAACATGTGAATGTTAACATACAGGCAAAGTTTCCTGATGTAATTAAGTTAAAGATTAAGAGACGAGGAGATTATTCTGTATTATCCGGGTAGGTGCTAAATGTTATGGTAGGTACCTTTGTAATAGAGAGGCAGAGATGATTTTATAGAGAGAGAAGAGGAGGCAATGTGACCATAGAGGTAGAGATTGGAATGGTGAGGCCACAAGTCCAGCTTCCACCAGAAGCTAGGAGAGGCAAGGAACAGATTTCCTGTAGAGCCTCTAGAGGGAGTGTGGCCTTCCCAATACCTTGATTTGGGCCCAGTGAAACATTTCATTCTGCCTTCCAGAACTGTGAGAGAATGGAATTTCTATTGTTTTATGACACCGAGTTTGTGGTAGTTTGTTATAGCAGCCATGGGAAAATAATACGATGATATTAACACAAATTCCTAAAGGAGGTAA
The DNA here is from genome assembly GCF_000001405.40 of Homo sapiens. Classification (NCBI taxonomy): domain Eukaryota; kingdom Metazoa; phylum Chordata; class Mammalia; order Primates; family Hominidae; genus Homo; species Homo sapiens. Next base: position 76,708,973 of record NC_000006.12, read on the forward strand.
GGGAGCAAGCCATGCGTATATATGAGGAATGGGAACCAGGCAGAGGAAGGCCTCATGTCCAATCCACCTTGAGGTGGAAGTGAGTACCCGGCATGATTGAGGAGACATTAAGGCAGCCACTGAGACTCCCTGCTGTGAGCAGGATGAGGGCAGTAGGAGATAGAATCAGAAAGATCAGAGGAATTGAAGACCCAGTCAGATGTTCATTCTTACTTCTGTGAGGTGAGGAGTCACTAAAGGGTTTCATGCACAGGATGATAAGATCTGACCCTTGCTCTGAGCGGTTCTAGATTTCTATCAGAAGGAGCCAGAACTACTCTTTGTGGTATTGTTAACAGACTGTAGGGGGCTAAGGACAGTAACAGGAAACCAATCAGGAGGCTATTGATTATGTTTAGTAGGCCACTTATGCTGAGTCTGAAGTTTATAGGAAAGGTCTGGATTGGAGATAAATACTTCTGAGTGTTATGACACTGGAAATGCGCTTTAAACTATTTCAGCATAGAGATAGGAAGTTATATATGTCTTAATTCAATTTCGCTCAAGAGACAGTTAATTTTCCTAATAGGGAATGCTTTATACACATGAAGGGTAATAACATTTAATCAAAAGGCAACTATAAGTGGTTTAGCGATTATCCCTGATCAACACCAGAGGCTTTGTGAATGTATATTAGAAGAGGATTTTCACTGGTGAACTTAGTGGCTTTTTAATGAGAATAATGAAGATGCCTGTAAATTATATGTGAATTTAGGTGTATTCAACATATACAGATCTAACTATGTTAGACTTCCCCCACTGCTTATATAGGATAATCAAGTCAGGAAAGCATTTTCCTCCTCATCTTTTAGAATGTCACTGAAGGCAGGATTCTAATGTGGTTACAGGTTAGAATATTCCAGCTGGCTGTTTCAAATATTAGGTTAACTGAATCCTGCCTCTAAAATATTTTTGGGCTAGAGAATTTTTTATGTAGGAAGTGGTTGCTTTATCACAAAACCCAGAGAATTGGGACTTTATCAAGCTGACAAAAGCAGGTTGTATAAGTGTTTTTGTGCCTGCTTATTAATAAGAGTTGGGCTTACAAATGGCAGTATATGTGGCAGAATTTAGTCTGTAATTTGCTTTTATTTAGAACCTGGCACAGTGATTGTAAGCAAATAGGAATCCTTTGTCTTCCTAATCCTCATCTTCCAGCAGCTTAGGTTCAACAGAATATTTACATTATGGTTTTAGAGCAGAAGTTCCCATGCTCAATATATACAAACTAATTTAATAGAAAGAGTCTCCTCTCTTCAGCTCAAACATGTAGGTTTAGAATTTATTTCCTTTCCCTTGCTACCTACATATTAACTAACATGTAATCTATTATCTTTCACAGAGTCACTCTGGTCACCATCTAAATGATTTTTTAACCATATTTTGTGCAAAACTTCAAAAAAGTGGATTCTTTCTTACTATAAAGTATCCTTTATACTTTATGGCATGCAAAATATTAGAGCATGGATACATTTTCCTCATGTCATACATGAAGCAATAACTGTCTAGAATAAATGAATATTATACTCAACATTCTATATTGACTTTATGATACAGTATAAAGAATAAATGTTCTGGAACACCTTTTATCCAGAAAAGTTTTTTTTAAGTTTTGTTACTTATTCATTTATTTTGAAACAATAATGAATTAAATAACAAATATAAAGTCCAGATATATAGAATCATTTTGGATAGTCTCAGATCCCAGAAAAGGTAAATTCTACCCATTCTCTAGTCTTTCTTGCTTTATACATTTGACTCTGAGATAAATGAATGAGGTTGTTGGGAGGATGTGAAAGTAGGCATTCTCTGCACTGTATTCTTACATGCAGAAACATTTCACTAGTCATTTTTCACTCTAGCTTGGGGGGTCTTTCTAATTCTAGAAGTTTGCCTTGAGACTCTGTATTATTTGCCATGTGAGGAAACTTGGGTTAAGGCTAGATAAATAACTTGCCCAGGTACATGTAGTTAGGAAGTAATAAAGTCAGAACTACAACAGAATTCTCTCTGAGTTGTGTATCTGTGCTCTTTTTATTGTCATACTACTTAATTACAGTAATCCTGAGAATTGGATAGAGAAGTTAATCATATTCATAATCCATACATGGAGAAAGTGAACTTTCTTCTTAAATGACAGAGCTCTTTAATAGTAGAATAGGCCTTTAACCAGATCTCTTTGGGTGGAATTCCCTTGTATGGACCTCTCAGAGGTCCAGTTTATGATGCATACTTTTGCTTTTCTTACCATGTCAAAGTAAGCACTCTGCAAAATTCTCCCTTTAATTCTCACTCCTGAATGCTTATAAATAAAGACTTTTTAAATCTCTGATTAGATAGGAAAATCTCTGTCACTTTCTTACTCATTTTATTTCCTTATGCCTTGCAAATTTGAGAAAATCCATTAGACAAATACATTGAGTAAAGTCACTTTAATCCAGTTTCTTAAAAAATAATTTCTATTGAACAAAGAAGAGAATTGGCTCCATCAAACATTTATTTCACCTTATCATGAAACCTCTAAAAATGTTCCTAATTTCCTTAAGGAAATTGGCTTACAGATGGTTTACTTTTATATATATAAAATCATGAATAGCTAAGAAGTTACAGTGTTTTCTTTTCTAGAGAGTAAAAGTAAACTCCATCTCATTTGTAGTGTGCAAACATAAAATCTACCATGGCATTTCACCAAATGCTCTTTTATGAATAAAAATAAAAACATTAGCCTAATTTTTCATAGTCAAAGATTAAGTCTCTTCCTTTTTGGCAGTTTATACAAATTAATTCCGTTTGGTATTTTGTTGATGAAAAGAAGATGAAGCAGGAAAAGGGGAAGGAAAGAAGAAGGAGAAAGAGGAAAAGTACAAATTAAGGAGAAAGACAACTAGAAGGAAAAATAAATATATAAATATATATATTTACATGTATTATATATACCTACATATGTATGCATAGGCAGGTACAGTCTAGTAATATTTTAAACTAAACTAATGTGATATAAATTTGTATAGTTTATGTGTTATATAAATATATGTGTACATCTATATGTGTTAACACACTTTTGTATCCTGGGAAATATGATTGTCTGAAAAGCATCTGTGATTGTGATAGGCAGAATTCTAAGAGGATCTCCAAGATTTCTGGCCTCTGTATTACCCCCTCTCCTTGAGTTTGGGTGCAACTTGTGAACATGATGGGATGTCACAGCTGTGATTAGGTCATGTGATATGGCAAAAGTGAGATGATTTTGTGATGTAATTTAGGTCAAATTAGTTGATTTTGAGTTCATCCAAAAGAAGAATATCCTGGGTGGGCCAGATACAATCTTGTTAACGTTCTTAAAAATGGGTCTGGGTGCTAGGAGTGGTGGCTCCCGCCTGTAATCCCAGCACTTTGGGAGGCCGAGGTGGGCAGATCACCCGAGGTCAGGAGTTCGAGACCAGCCTGACCAACATGGAGAAACCCTGTCTCTACTAAAAATTAGAAAAAAAAAAAAATTAGCCAGGCGTGGTGGTGCACGCCTGTAATCCCAGGTACTCAGGAGGCTGAGACAGGAGAATTGCTTGAACCCAGGAGGCAGAGGTTGCGGTGAGCTGAGATTGCACAACTGTACTCTAGCCTGGGCAACAAGAGTGAAACTCCGTCTCAAAAAAAAAAAAAAAAATGATGAAGTAAGGTGCTGTATTGTGAGAGGGTCTGTGAGCAGATCACATGGTCAGGAGCTGAGATCTAGTCCTGGCCAACATCCAGCAAGAGAGCAGGATCTCAATCCAACAGCGGTATGGAATGGAACTTAATTCTGAAAACCACTTAGGTTGGTGGAAAACTTCGAACTTTAGTAAGAAATGCAGCCCCACTGATATCTTGTTTGCAGCCTGTGAGACCCTTAGCAGAGGACCTAGCTAAGTTGTGCCTGGTCTCCTGATTCACAGAAATATTACAAAAAAGTATGATTTTAAGCAACTACATTTATGGCAACTTATTACACAGCAATAAAAAACAAATGTAATAATTTATTCAGAAGTTATGTATACCACTCATTCTAATAGAACCATACAGACACTTTCTAGAATCTAGGCTTAGGTAGATACATTCCTGAGGCTCTTTCAATTCTAAAACTTTGGGCTCAGGAGGTAAGTGTCATAAACTCAAATGCATTCACAGTTGACATTGTGACATGTAGTGTGAAGTGGTCCTACAGTAAGACAACGGGTCTACACTTGTACCATTGCTATCACCAAAGGCACACTTCCTGCCTAGTTACAGTATTTTAAAACACTCTTCAGACCAAATGAAATGACCAGAAACATTCTATGATCACATGAATTTTATGGCCTGAAGAGTGAGATTCTACTCTAGGATTACCCGTTTAGAAGAATGATTGAGAGATGACATTTTATAGTCTATCTCTCTAAAATAAAATTTAAAACAATATAGTTTTTTGTGCCAAGCAGTTAGGAAATCTGATATACAAATATGTATTAAATGTATCCTGCATGTGGTCACTGTCTAGTTATTGGGAATAAAGATTTGAATAGGTTCTATTCTTCTTTTTAAATTTTTTTTTTAATTATTTTTCGAGATGGAGTTTCGCTCTTGTCGCCCAGGCTGGAGTACAATGGCGCGGTCTCGGCTCACTGCAACCTCTGCCTCCTGGGTTCAAGCTATTCTCCTGCCTCAGCCTCCCGAGGAGCTGGGATTACAGGCACCTGCCATCACGCCTGGATAATTTTTTATTTTTAATAGAGATGGGGTTTCACCATGTTGGCCATGAATAGGCTCTATTCTAAAGAAACTCACAATATACTAGGTGATAGAGATATTTAAATAAATAAATAATGATTCAGAATAAATGAATGTATGAATTCAAATTCATACCTGTTGTAGAATCCTTTCTATTAGAGAGTAAGATACTTTGTATTAGGCATCAAAATGACTTTACATAAATAAAATAGGGCAATGAACCATGTTGTTTAAGGCTGAAATGCAAATGGTTACAAAATTTTTATAGGGAGACTGAAATTCTGAAAATCTGTTTACCATTGAAATATTGATCAAGTTATTATAAATGGAAAACAATTGATGAACATTCTAAAATTCATAGTTGATTAGCTGTGTTTCTTTCCATAATTTCAGGGTAGCATCCAAAGAGTGTTAGTGAAGAATGAAATGATTATCTCAATTGGAATCATGAAGACACTTTCCTTTGCTGAACTCAATTAGCTATTTTTTCCTATCTCCTAGCAACATTTTTGTATTGTTTGAATTTATCCTAAATGAGCTAGTGTCTGTAATTTCTAGTATGCAAATGGTTTATTGAAGTTATTTTAATAGAATTAAATCATATTACAGATATCTAGCATTTTTGCCAGAATTCTCACTGATTTTGAGAAAGGGCTGGCTTATCATAGAGACGTTGTTATACAGAGAGTGAAAACAGATTTTAAAGAGTGGTTTGATCTGAAGTCTAAGAATTATTGTAGCACTTCATTTATTTTCTAATGTTTAGTAAGTACTAAATTAATATGTGCACAGGATGGAGAGCTAGGCACAGTACATGGCAATAATGCATGATTTTCCTCTTTAGTCTTAAATAATTTCTTTTACAGATTCTTGTTCATATATGCACTGTATCCAAAAGACCCTTTATGTTGATTATATTGTGAATGTATTATATATATTACTCTTCCAAGAGGATACTGTTGCCTTAAAATGCAGAAGAACCATTGTTTCATTTTTAAAATATAGTCAGGCAATAAGATTCTCTATGAAATAAACAGCTTGTACATTTAAAATGTATACAATTATTTTGTATATGTGATTTTCCATTTCTTGGTTTCTTTATTTGGGGTAAGTAGTAGAACTGCTTTGGAAGTTATTTTCTGGGCTTTATTGCTCAGATACATAATTTTTAGCACCCCTTCTGTATGAAATGCTTTCTAAATGATTATAAAGAACTCCCAATATTTTACATTCCTTGAATGTAACTTCTCTTCCATTTCCGTGTTCCAGCTATTGCCAATAATGATTAAAAAAAAGTGAAAGAAGACACTACAAAATGAAGAGAAAGGCAGAGAAGGGTAAAAATAAATGCAGAAACCAAAAAGAGGTAAATGAAAAACAGTAGTTTAAAGGAGGCCGAGAACAAGTTATAGTAATATAGGAAAAGAAACAGGAAATTGAAGCATGCCATTTATACACACAATCATAGCACCCCAAGGATGCCTTATGTCTGTGTTCTGGGTTTTGCTTAATGAGGTAATATGAGTAGAAATTACTTTCTAACCATAGTCTAGACAGATATTCTTTAATAGTCTAAGTCCATGAGTTAGCCCTTGAATCAAATCTTTAAGTTAGATTTGTAAAAACTTGGGAGAGATGAGGAACAGAGTTGTTAGATAATTTAGATAAACACAAGCTTGGTTAAGGTATATGCATAAGTCTTTTACTAAGATAAATGTTATTCTTGAGCCGGAAACCCTATCACACCACTGCCTCTTGAGAGGACTTGAAGGTCATCCCAGTGTTTCTTTATTCCCTGCCACTAAACCCTCAGAACTTAGAGGCTGACAGTTGATGACTATTAAAGATCTGTGCCAAGAATTTAAGTACTGTTCATGACAATCCACTGAAGAACTGTTAAAAATTCAGATGCTTGGGCCCTATCTAAAACCAACTAAACCTCAGAATTTCTGAGGATGAATCTAGGGCATAGGTATTTTAAAATCTTCTCATGTAATTCTATTCTTCACCCATAATTGAGAATCAATTGCCCAAGGTGACCCCTGCCTCTCTACCTGCATTTCTTTAGTAACACCTCTCTCTGAAAAGATCACAGCTCCTTTTTTTAGAAATTTTAATCTTAGAGAAGGCCCCTGATCAGAACACCTATCACATAGGTCTTTATAAATATATCAATTATTTGGGAAAAATTTTTCCAAAGAATCTTTTCAATCAAGCTGTTGGTGGTGACAATTGAAATTGTGAGAATTTTTTTGGCAAAAATGATGGTCAACGATGATGAATATTTGAGTAGACACACTGAAAAATTATGAGATATAGCATGAGCCATTTATGTTCTCAATTTGTTGTTGTAAATATGTTAAAGTTTTTCTTTTTTCATTAGCAATTGCAGTTTAGTGGCTCAGGCTTCTATAGAAGAAGTATATAATTTATTAGAACATGTCAGATAATTCTTATTAGATTACCTTTTGAGAATGCTTTCAACAGGATCATTTCTGTCAGCATACAGATGTGCTGTAATTTCTCCCATCTTAAAACAAAGCAAAGCTTTTTCTTGATTCCACATCATTTATGTCTAGTAACCCTCTCATTACTGTGACCCCTCTATAGCAAAACTTCTCTGAATTTTTTCTAACTCTTCCTCCTGTCTATTTTCTCCTGAACCAACTCACTCTCTCACAACTCTGCTGAAACTGTTCTTACAGAGGTCACCAATGATTTAGTGTTAAATCCAATGACCCTTTGACTGACACATCAACATTTTTAGAGAGAATTGATCTGTATTTCCTCCTTGAAATATTTTCTTCACCTGGCTTCCAAGACTCAATTCACGCTTACACTTTCTCTCTTACCTCATTAATCACCTTTGCAGTTTCCTTGCTTGTCCCTTTTCTTCAACCTCTGAATGTTGATGTGCCCCAGGGCTCGGTACTAGGAGCCCTTCTATTTGCCCTGTACATTCACACCTTGGTGATTGCATCCAGTGTCCTGGTTTTAAAAACTGTCTTCATTCTGGTTACACCCAAGTTTATCTTTCACACCTGAAGGTCTCCTCACTCAACACCAACAACTAGCTGTGTAATAGTTATGACAAGCATAGTACGTCCCAATCCAAACACTTGCTCTCCCCTCTACTCCTGAACCTAACTCTGCTTCAGTGCACTTTTTTCCCTTTAAATGTCAGTTTTATCCATTTAAAGAGTGGATGCCCAGGTTACCCAGGTAAAAAGAAAAAAAAAAACGCTTAGAGTCCTTCTTGATTTCTTCCTCTCTTTCACATCCCACAACCATTCTGTCGGCAAGTCATTTTTGCCTCTACATTCTAAATATACCCAGAATATGACTACTTATTACCACCTACGTTGCTGAAATCCTGGTACAAGCCACCATATTCTCTTGCCCCAGTATCCTCCTAAGTGATTTTTGTCTCTGCTCTTGCTTTCTGTCTATTCTTAGCCAAGCAAGGAAAGTATTTCTTGAAATCATCGATGAAACCACATCTTTCCTTAACATTTCACTCAGAGTAAAAGCCGATATCTACTAAATGGCTCACAAGGCTCTCATCTCTTATTCTCCACACATTTTTACCCACCCCCATAAGTTCCCACCGGCTCCTTGCTCTTCCTAGTCATACCTCAAGCCTCAAGGCTTTCCACTGCCTACTTCCTTTCCCTGTTTCACAAACATCTGCATGGTTTCAATCTTTGTTCAGTTCGCCTTTCCAGTGAAGCCAACTCTGGAAATGATAGTAAAAACTATAAACCTACTACTCTCCTCAATATTTTTTCCCCTCTCCTATGTTTTATTTCTCTCCACAGTAATCTCTGTTTTCCGGAATACACACATCTTATGTAACTTATTGTCTATTCTCCTAAATTAGAATGTTAAGCTCCATAAAGACATGAATCTTAATTGTTTTATTCATGCTATATCCTTTGCCCTTTGGATATTGCCTACCACTTATGAAATGATTAATAAAATACTTGCTAATGGAGTACATCATTTATGTAGCACCATCACTGGATCACTAGATCCATAACACAGCAATTTTTATTACTTAATTAATCAGAGACCTTACATTGATTTTATATTAGAATTCTTAATCAAATGAAATAAGATTAAATTCCAAGAACACACAGGTTTTTTTTTTCTTAGCATTGTCTGCCTGCTGTAATTTTATAGAGACTCCATGTTACCTTCGTGCTGTGTTTGCAGTTACACAAAAGTGTTAAGAGTTTACACAGAAATATGCCAACTGTAGCTTTAAAAAGAGTGTGCAATGTCTTTTGAAATCCATAACTCTCATTTCCTGCTATGCTTAATTTCAGGACCCGGAGCTATTATTAAATTTTAAAAAGTATTTTTTCTTTTACCTGGAGATCATATTGTAACATATTTATTTATTTATTTTGTGTATGTTTGTGAAGACAGTTCTAAAACCTTTGCATCAAGTCATACTCTGGGGATTCTGTTTCTGAGAATTTTTTTCCTTGATTCCTGAACTTACCATCAATATGGGAACTAATTAAATATATTTTTGAGATGGTATTTCCATCAAGCTCCCCAAAGTGACTAGAAGTGCCTAGTACTGTATATTGAGGGTTTTTATGATTCAGACATGGATGATCTAGTTATAATTTAGCTTCTGGGGGCAGTAGGTATACCTAGGAACAAGTTGGTCAATGTTGATTTGCCAGGTGTAAGGAAAACTGTTTTGTTGTTGCTGTTATCAGCATGTTCCCTGATTAGTTAATGCAGTGAGGCTGTATTTAGGTCATAAGGATGGTTTCATGGAGACATTTTTACCTGACTGTGTAAACTTATGCCACTTATTATTGTGTTCATGGGAGTAAAAGGTGGCAAGGTTGAAAGATGTCTTTCATTATAACTCCTGTTCCAGTTGCTCAAAATGTATCAAGAAACCATACGTTTCTTAAGAAACTTTTAATATTTATTTTAAGTCTATAAACAGTTTCTGAATGATGAATCTGAAAAATAATAGATTTGGTAATTTTTGTGAGTACTTTTTGTTCACAAATCACACACAAACAAATGTGTAAAGACTTGTAAATTTCCCAGATTTATCTACCAAGGGGAAAAAAGGAGGAGGTGACACTATGTTGCTATGTAGCACATGTTTACGTGTACTACAATCTGTACAAAAATTAATGACCTGCCTAGCTTCCACTTTTAGCTTTATGAAGTGAGAGAGCAGAGTTATGAAGGTAACATTTTGCTAGCCTCTTCTGAATTATCTATTTTTATTGATTCTTTTAACTCATGCTATCTTCTTGATGTCCAAAGACATCTTTCAGGTGCAGTGACAGAGGGACCTAGTATAGCTTGATTGAGAGGGTTACCATGAAAATCCTAGCAATTTAACATATAATTCCACAGTGCTCAGTATTTGTAAATTATAATAAGGGATAATTTTGGGATTATTGGAACCTCACAGTAGGTAAGGTGTATTAGCTATGATGGCGCACATAGCTTTGTGCAATTGCAAATTGTCAGAATGGTTTTTGCTCATAATATTTACTAACTACAAGGAGTACATTTTAAAAACTCAATCCCAGACAAGGGGGTCTGCCAAAATAAAAATGTACTAATAGGGGCCATTACTCTTCACATTTGAAGGCAAGTCTTGGGCGATGGAAGGAGACTATTGGCAAAGGCAAAAGAGAGTGTAGACTAGAGAAATTTCTGGTGAAAGTACAGGCACTTGAGAGCATATAATGTAAATTTGTCCACAGTTTGTGGATGCAGCAAGCACACTTAAAGTTCTTCAGACAGTGAAGACACAGTCATGTAATATGCAACTGAAGGACATAGTGTTCCTGGAGTGAAATGGACACTAAAATGTGCAAAAAGTTAGAAAAGAAAATTTTGTCTATTCTGCAGTTTTGTCCAGAATGTACTAGAAATGACAAGTATTGAGCAAATTTTCTAAACTGAAGTGGAAGCAATTGATGAGATGAGAATAGAATACTTAAAGATACATCAACGATTATCCAAGACTTTTTATATGTGTAATAAAACAACATGTACAAAATTGATTCATTACCTGCCAAATTAAAACCCATGAGATTTAACAAAAATAAAATTAAAGATGCATGCTTATTGTTACATTAACTTCAGTTGGAGAATCATATTTTAGAGGAGATGTTTATTGTTAAATTAACTTCAGTTGGAGAATCATATTTTAGAGGAGTCAGCCATAAGATGGAGGCTACATAAAACAAAAAATTTATAGCTCTGCATCGCAAGGTTCTTATTAAAGCTCTAAAGAGACAGAGGGAGCTTGATGCACTGTATTCCAAATGAATTATCTATGATAACATTGATTTAAATGATGTATCATCCTCAGAAAGAAAAAGCATGTCTTTTGGGTGCATCTTCAAATTATTTATATAAATACACATTTTAAGGGAATGTCAACATTGTTTGATTTTAGATGTATTTTCACTTTATAACATAAACTTGGCAACTCAAGTATTCTGAATTTCATTTTAATGAATCTAAAATTAATTTGATTTTCTTTATACTTTCTTGTATAACATGGATCAGTGTTTTTCCTTTTTAAAGACAAGATTTTCAGAACTTAATATTACCTAGGTCATAGTTTCTTTTATAACAGCAGAAAATCAGCACAATATTCAATTAAACTGAAGTCCAACACAAGAAAACTGCACTGTGATAGATTCTTCAGTTTCTAAACCATTTAGCTTTGGCTCCTGGGTGATCATAAAGTGTTTCCTTTATTTCAGAACACTCTGTTTTTCACTTCTACCTCTTAGAACTCGGGGGTCAACATCTACCCATCATCTCTCTCAATTTTTAAACCTGGATAATCATTTTAGAAATGGAATTTTAGTCCTTGGCACAATAGACATCTCTGTATTTCTTCCCATTCTTGTATTTATGCATTTATCTCTTTTTTTTCTGATCCAAAATGCCTGAACTGAATTAATTTTTCCTTTTGAATTGTTGCTTCCTCTTTACTTTTAAATTTTTATTTGCCTTACTGTCCTCTCTGTTATTTAGGTACAAAACTGTAAAGTTGCTTTGATTCCTGTTGTTTCCATGACCTTCCTCTCTAATTTGTGACCAAATTCATTAAGTATTATTAACTAAACCTCTGAAGGTCCTGTTACAACTCTCTCTGTCTCTAATCTTATTGGCTTTGCCCCTAGTTGGAGTTCCATGACTTTTCATCAAGCCTATTGTAATAGTTTCTAAATTGATCTCTTGTATTTACTTTTTCCTCATCTCCAATTCTTTTTATATCACAGGCTTACCATAGCAGTAATTACTTAAGTATTTCAGTTATTCTCTATATTTTTAAGAAGACGGCATTTATTAATTGAGGTATCAGGTAGCTATGTATTTCTCCTAGAACCTATACAAATTTCTCAACACTGATTACTTCTCAGCTCTTAATCTTCTTTGCCTAAAATGTGAAACTTCAAAGCACAACTTTCACTCATCTTTAATTAATTTAGTAAAAATGTATTGTTTTCTGTATTACTAAATACAAAGATTTAGTCTAGATGAACAGAGTATATAGTTGGATACTTTTTTGCCCCCAAGAAGCTTATAGCATTCCAGGGAGAGTAAATGTATACTTAAGTACCTCTAAAAAATAAAAAATACTATGAATAGATTTCAAAGAAAATTTTATTACATTCAATTTATCTATTTAACAAATATTTATTGAATGCCTACCCTGTGCCTATCACAGGGTTAGGGTTAGGGTGCCTATTGCTATGCTGTATGTTGTGGATGTAACAGCAAGCAAGGCAAAGATCTTACCCCAATGGAGCTAATATTTAAAAAGAGTTAAAAATAATACACAGATTAATAAATAAATCCATATATAGTATTTTGGAAGATGGACATAAATCATATGGAGGCAAATAAACTAGAATAAAGGAACAAAAAGTAACAATATAGTCAGGAAGTTCTTTTGGGAAGTGCTGTAAAGAAAGTTCTCTCAGAAGATAGGACTGTGTGACAGAGACCTAATGAAATGAGATAGCCAGCCACAGGAGGATATTAAGGAAGAGCATTCCAGGAAAAAGAGCAACAGTTGAAAGGGCCAAAGGGACAGTGAGCCTGGATACCCAAAGGAAATGAAGAAGGCACATCCACAGGGAGATAAATGGATTTGGAGGGTGGGTGTCAGAAGTCAAACTTGGAAGGCAGGCTCAAAAATAAAGAATATGTGACTTTATAGGCTGCTATAAGGGACTTGGGGTTGGATGGCTTTTTAAAATATTGTGTATATTTAAGGTATACAACATGGTTTTTTAGATATACATAGATAGTGAAATGTTTACTACAATCAAGGAAGTGAACATATCTATAAACTCACATAGTTTAATTTTGAAAGAATTATTCCAGGTGCTCTGTGGAAAAATTTCAAAAGGAAGTGGAATCCAGAATATCTGTGAGAAGGCTCTTGCTGAGATCTAGCCTACAGAAAATAGTTGCTTAGGCTCAGGTGATGGTTGAAAGATAAGAAATGTTCCATCCAATTCACAACTACATTTGTAAGACAGAGCTGATGACACTTGCTCAGAGTATATTGGATATGTGGTGTGATGGAAATAGAAGAATCAAAAATAATGCCTGATTTTCCTGTCTTTTTAAAAAGAAGAATGAGAGAACGTCACTTGGGAGAAGAATAGTGAAAGTTCTGTTTTGCTCATGTTAAATTTGAGATTTCTGTTAATATCCAAGTGTAGATGTAATATAGAGAGTTGACTACATCAGAGGAGAGGTCAGTGTTGGACAAAATGGAGCTAACCAATTATAGATGACATAGAAACTTTTGAGACTAGATGAGATCACTTAGAAATGAAGGTAAGAATTGGAAGAGAAGAGGCTCAAACACCAAGACCAGGAGACACTGACACGTTGACATATGGATAAGGAACATCAAAAAAAGTACTGAGATGGCACTCATAGATCTGGGATCAGAGAAAGCTTTATGTAAGGGATGTCATTTGAACCATGACTAAAGTATGGGCAGAATTTTCACAGTAATGCTGGCAGGAAGAAGTTGAGACAGTAAGGAGCTGCACCAGCAAAATAACATGGGCAGCAGTGTGGCATTTGACAAATCATTTAACCACCAGCCAGATTGGAGTAACAATTCTCTAAAAAAGCTCAATACATTTCTTATTACCATTCCTTTGTTTGGCATTATGCATCATGATAGGTTTTTTTTTCTAATGTTTTATTCCTTTTCTATTCAAAGTGTTATGGTGAAAGTAGATTAAAGCCTAGAAACTATGTTATTTCATTACAGTGGACGCAAGTTGCTATTTATTACCACTGACTTTTCACTTTCCGGAGAGGGTTCTTTGCATAGCCATGAAGTGACAGATGGCAATGATGTACCAATTATAATTAAATAACAAGTGTATCTATAGAATGGAACTCAATATAAATTCATCAAGAAGCCCTGGATATTATCATAGAGGAACTTCCACAATTTTCTGTGCTTTTTATCTTCCAAATTTATAATAAACATACATTTCTCTTGGGATTCTATATAAATTAAGCATTATTCTTGCCTGCAAAGTGTTTACCCTCTGGTACAAGGAATATGTTAAGCACATATGTTAATTGTTACACAAAGCTGACTATGCTCTTAGTATTTTTACCTCTAGCTACTGATTTAATTTTCTAGTAGTCTAAAAGTTTTTAGTTGCTGACATCCTCTTGCCTTAAACAGGCTTACACAGGCAAACACAGGCTCAGACCAAAGTGTCAGTATCCTCAGTTAGATTCTGTTTTCATTTCTCTGTCTAGTACTGCTGTTTCCCACTGAGTGTTGGTGAACACCTACACCTTCTTGTCTTATTTATGTTTACTTGTTTATTTCATTTTTTGAGATAGGGTCTTGCGTTGTCACTCAGGCTGGAGTGCAGTGGCACCATCTCAGCTTACTGCAATCTCCACCTCCCGGGCTCAAGGGATTCTCCTGCTTCAGCCTCCAGAGGAGCTGGGACTATAGGAGCATACCACCACACCTGGCTAATTTTTGTATTTTTTGTAGAGACAGGGTTTTGCCATGTTGCCCAGACTGGTCTCAAACTCCTGAATTGAGGTGATCTTCCAGCCTTGGCCTCCCAAAGTGCTGGAATTACAGGCATGATCCACTGTGCTTGGCCCACCTACACCATTTTAACACTAATTCTATCTCTAGCACACCTTTTTTCCCCAGTGAGTATGGCTCTTTACACACTGCAAATTGCTGGCCAGATATCTGCTCTTCATACACTAATGGCCTGGAAACATTAAACTACCATTGTAACATCAAGTATATCCCCTCATTCTGTCTTGTTTTAACCACACTTGGAATTTCCCGAAACAGCTGTTGTCAATGGGTCTAAGTCTACACAGATGTCACTTACTTTATGTGTTAATGTAGCTACTGTCCCTCAGGAACAGCCCTGCTGCTGGGTTGGTTTTCCTTTACCTGTCCTGGTCCTGGGTCTTCTTCCTTCTCTCTTTATTGTTGGTTGTGCTGAGGTCCCAGGATACCTTAATCAAAGCCCATCAAAACTTTGGCAATGACTATCAAAAAAGAAGTACAAAAGTGCTTAAGTAAGTGGGGACTACCTGCGCTGAGGTTGTTAATGAAAATTTTGTGTGTTGTCTCTCTGAGTCCTGGAACATGGAGGGCATGAGGAGTGGAGTTAAGCCTACTCTTCCTGACTCAGGAAAAGGGAAGCTTTGGATTATGGGGAAGAGGGCTAAAGTCTTGTGGTGATGGGAGTACTACTTTAGATTCTCCCTTTTGTTTTCAAATGAGATATTCCTCTTCTGAGTGTGCCATGAAACCTCACACTGTTCTTTGTTATACAGGGTCCACCAGGAATCAGCCATAAATAGAGAGTGGTGCCACATGATGTTAGTTCACCATCTGCTTGTTTCCTTCCTTCTTTCATGCCAAGAAAGAAGCCATGAAAATGGCTTATGTCAATCGCTTATGCTAGTTCACTTGATTATACACAACTTGAATTGGATATAAATATAATAGCAGTAAGCGTAATCTAATTCCAGCATCTAATTACTTGCAGCAATATTGTGCTTTTACCACACTATCCCAACATGTACACGTAACACTCTATTTTCAGCTGATCTCAATGCCATCAATTGGATGCTGAAGCTTTTCAGTGTTGCCTGAGGCTCTGCTTCCCATTTCTTACTCCTGCTGTACCTGTTCTTGCATTTCACTGTTATCATGAAATTTCTGGAATGCGATGTCATTATTCCCACTCACTTCCCCCATTCTCCAAGAGTTCTTCTCCCCACCCTTTCTTACTTATTGGTTTTCCAAACATATTTTTTTTACTTAACTCTTTGATGATGTCTGGAGGAAGCTCATATTCTTTCTTCTTTCTTTTGTTATTGTCATTTCCCTGGGATCCTGTCTCCACAGGCAAAGCTCATCACATTCTCTAACATAAGGCACTGATGGAGAATGTAGCACTGGAACTTGGAACTCCAAAGTTAGATAAGATTTCTGCAAATGGAGTTTAAAATGAAGACATTCTGGATGAAAGAAGTGGCGGAAGTACTGTGTTTGCTAGCAAAGCAGTCTCTTACTAAGAGGCACATTTTTTATTGTGGTAAAACCACATAAACCTGAGATACCTTATTGAAAAAGTTTTAAGTGTACAGTACAATATTGTTAAGTATAAGCCACAATGTTATACACTAGATATCTAGAACTTTTCATCTTGTACGACTGGATTTCTATATCTATATGCATTGAACAGTACCCCATTTCTGCTTCTCCCAAGCCCCTGGCAACCACCATTTTACTTTCTGTTTCTATGAGTTTGACTACTTTAGATACCTCATATAAATGGAATCATGCAGTATTTGTCTTTCTGTGACTGGCTTATTTGACTTAATATAATGTCCTTAGGGTTCACACGTGTAGCATATGATAGGATTACCTTTGTATAGATGAATAATATTCCCTTTTATGTATACATAACATTTTCTTTATCCATCAATGGACATTTAGGTTACTCTGGACAAGAGCTGCTCTACCTAAATCTTACTCAAAATTATTGCATATGAAATTGTCATTTTTATAGGTCAAAGCATTCAAATATCCAGTAATTTAATATGATTCAATATATTATATTTACAGCAACTCAAATGACGAAACATTAGTATGAACTTAAAAGTAAAGTGCAAACCTAAAGCCCATTGTTCTCTGGCAAAGTTGATGTCACTTCCTCATTAGTCAACAATCTTTTCGCGAGCAAAGGCAGTAGTTCCCAAACTTTACTGCACTTTACATTTATCCAAGGGGATTTATAAAACCAATGCCAAGGTTGGCACCCCAGAAAAGATAAATCAGAATGCCTGGAAATGGGTATTTTTTAGTATTCCAAGCTAATCCCAAAATGCATTAGTGTTTACAAACCATGTGACAAGGGAGTTTCTTTCTATAAGGCATTCTTTGTATTCTATTAATGAATGTAGGATGAATAGTCATCTCATGTCATCAAATAGGATTATCTTATTATAAATTACATTATTCTTTCTTTGAATTCACTGTTCTAGAACGTGTATAGCTAGACATTTATTCACTTATTGTCAGAGAGGATGTAGTCAGAAGACATGCTCACATATTTAGCTCTAGGTCATCTTTTCCTGCTCGTGTATCCCCTCACTTTCGTCCTGGGAAACAAGAACAATTGTAATAATAATAGATAATATGGTTTCAGTCCATGCTATATAATGCACCCAAATTAACCATTTAATATTCACAAATACTATGACAGATATGATTATTGTACTCATTTTACAGATAAGAAAACTGGTCAAAGAGGCAAGGGGCAGTTAAGGTGGCAAAGCAATGATTATGACATGGCAATCTGGCCTTAGAGCGTGAGCTGGTAACCACTATACTGTCCTGTCTTTTCATTGAATGAAGATTTCTCCTCCTTCTCTTCCTTTTTCCTTCCTCCTCCTTCTCCTTTTCTTCCTCCACTTCCTCCTCCTCCTACTTTTTGGTGTTCACCTAGCACAACATAAGATCTGCAACTGATGTCAACATCATATAACCTTATAAGTTTCCAAATCCAACCTTCTAATTACCTCTCATTGCCATACATCATGGCATGAATTTCCCTAATCCAACAGATCATAGTATTCATATTCATCTTTTGTAAATTTATTACACTTTTGCATTATTACAACATCATTTTAAGAAGCATTCAACATAGTATTTAAGGATTCTGGAGGCATGTTAGAACAAGGTCCTAGTACTTTTCCTTACTTCATTTGACCATTTGTGTTGACACAATGGCTTCAAATCACAAGCCACAGGGCTCCTACAATTACGACTTATCCACAGTAAATTTTTTCTTACAGTACAGTTCATTCTTCATCTTCTCATTTATGCTTCCACAGTCTGGAATCATTTTCTTTTTTTTTTTTTATTATACTTTAAGTTCTAGGGTACAAAGGACATGAAATCATCCTGTTTTATGGCTGCATAGTATTCCATGGTGTATATGTGCCACATTTTCTTAATCCAGTCTATCATTGATGGACATTTGGGTTGGTTCCAAGTCTTTGCTATTGTGAATAGTGCCGCTAAACCTATCAGATCCTCTTAGTGCAGAGCTGAGTTCAATTCCTGGATATCCTTGTTAACTTTCTGTCTCGTTGATCTGTCTAATGTTGACAGTGGGGTGTTAAAGTCTCCATTATTATTGTGTGGGA
Source organism: Homo sapiens (assembly GCF_000001405.40). NCBI lineage: Eukaryota > Metazoa > Chordata > Mammalia > Primates > Hominidae > Homo > Homo sapiens. Next base: position 76,727,519 of record NC_000006.12, read on the forward strand.
GTCTAAGTCTCTTTGTAGGTCTCTAAGGACTTGCTTTATGAATCTGGATGCTCCTGTATTGGGCGCATACATATTTAGGATAGTTAGTTCTTCTTGTTGAATTGATCCCTTTACTATTATGTAATGGCCTTCTTTGTCTCTTCTGATCTTTGTTGGTTTAAAGTCTGTTTTATTAGAGACTAGGATTGCAACCCCTGCCATTTTTGGTTTTCCATTTGCTTCATAGATCTTCCTCCATCCCTTTATTTTGAACTTATGTGTGTCTCTGCACGTGAGATGGGTCTCCTGAATACAGCACACTGATGGGTCTTGACTCTTTATCCAATTTGCCAGTCTGTGTCTTTTAACTGGAGCATTTAGTCCATTTACATTTAAGGTTAATATTGTTATGTGTGAATTTGATCCTGTCATTATGATGTTAGCTGGTTATTTTGCTCTTTAGTTGATGCAGTTTCTTCCTAGCATCAATGGTCTTCACAATTTGGCAAGTTTTTGCAGTGGCTGGTACTGGTTGTTCCTTTCCATGTTTAGTGCTTCCTTCAGGAGCTCTTTTAGGGCAGGCCTGGTGGTGACAAAATCTGTCAGCTTTTGCTTATCTGTAAAGGATTTTATTTCTCTTTCACTTATGAAGCTTAGTTTGGCTGGATATGAAATTCTGGGTTGAAAATTCTTTTCTTTAAGAATGTTGAATATTGGTCCCCACTCTCTTCTGGCTTGTAGAGTTTCTGCTGAGATATCAGCTGTTAGTCTGATGGGCTTACCTTTGTGGGCAACCCGACCTTTCTCTCTGGCTGCCCTTAACATTTTTTTCTTCATTTCAACTTTGGTGAATCTGACAATTTTGTGTCTTGGAGTTGCTCTTCTCGAGGAGTATCTTTGTGGCATTCTCTGTATTTCCTGAATTTGAATGTTGGCCTGCCTTGCTAGGTTGGGGAAGTTCTCCTGGATAATATCCTGCAGAGTGTTTTCCAACTTGGTTCCATTCTCCCCGTCACTTTCAGGTACATCAATCGGACGTAGATTTGGTCTTTTCACATAGTCCCATATTTCTTGGAAGCTTTGTTCGTTTCTTTTTACTCTTTTTTCTCTAAACTTCTCTTCTTGCTTCATTTCATTCATTTGATCTTTAATCACTGATACCCTTTCTTCCAGTTGATTGAATCAGCTATTGAAGCTTGTGCATGTGTCACATAGTTCTTGTGCCATGGTTTTCAGCTCCATCAGGTCATTTAAGGACTTCTCTACACTGATTATTCTAGTTAGCCATTCGTCTAATCTTTTTTCAAGGTTTTTAGCTTCTTTTCGATGGGTTCGAACTTCCTCCTTTAGCTCGGAGAAGTTTGATTTTCTGAAGCCTTCTTCTCTCAACTCATCAAAGTCATTCTCCATCCAGCTTTGTTCTGTTGCTGGCAAGGAGTTGCGTTCCTTTGGAGGGGGAGAGGTGCTATGATTTTTAGAATTTTCAGTTTTTCTGCTCTGTTTTTTTCCTATCTTTGTGGTTTTATCTACCTTTGGTCTTTGTTGATGGTGACGTACAGATGGGGTTTTGGTGTGGTTGTCCTTTCTGTTTGTTAGTTTTCCTTCTAACAGACAGGACCCTCAGCTGCAGGTCTGTTGGAGTTTGCTGGAGGTCCACTCCAGACCCTGTTTGCCTGTGTATCAGCAGCGGAAGCTGCAGAACAGCGAATATTGCTGAACAGCAAATGTTGCTGCCTGATTGTTCCTCTGGAAGCTTCATCTCAGAGGAGTACCCAGCCGTGTGAGGTGTCCATCTGCCTCTACTGTGGGATACCTCCCACTTAGGCTACTCGAGGTTCAGGGACCCACTTGAGGAGGCAGTCTGTCCATTCTCAGATCTCAAACTCCATGCTGGAAGAACCACTACTCTCTTCCAAGCTGTCAGACAGGGACATTTAAGTCTGCAGAGGTTTCTGCCACCTTTTGTTTGGCTATGCCCTGCCCCCAGAGGTGGAGTCTACAGAGGCAGGCAGGCCTCCTTGAGCTGTGGTGTTTCCACCCAATTTGAAACCTCCAGACTGCTTAGTTTACCTATTCAAGCCTCAGCAATGGCGGGCACCCTCCCCCAGCCTCGCTGCTGCCTTGCAGTTTGATCTCAGAGTGCTGTGCTAGCAATGAGCAAGGCTCCGTGGGTGTGAGACCCTCTGAGCTATGCACAGGATATAATCTCCTGGTGTGCCATTTGCTAAGACCATTGGAAAAGTGCAGTATTAGGGTGGGAGTGACCCAATTTCCCAGGTGCCATCTGTCACAGCTTCCCTTGGCTAGGAAAGGGAATTCCCTGACCCCTTGTGCTTCCCCGGTGAGGCAATGCCTTGCCCTGCTTCAGCTCATGCTCGGTGGGCTGTACCCATTGTCCTGGCCCCTCTGTCCGAAAAGCCCCAGTGAAATGAACCCAGTACCTCAGTTGGAAATGCAGAAATCACCCATCTTCTGCATTGCTCACGCTGGGAGCTGTAGACTGGAGCTCTTCCTATTTGGCCATCTTGGAACTGCCCCATCTTTTTCATATTCTTACAAAAACACACGTTTTCCAAACTTTGTTCTACATGTCAGCACGAAAGAGGTGAAAGACCAGACTGCAAAGCAGTAAGAGAAGGCATTTATTGGGATTTTAGGAATTGCAATTTTGGAGACACAGATTTGGCCAAAGGTCAAATTGAGTTCCAGAGGGAAGGGTGTAGGGGTTTATGAAAGAATGCTGAGGGTGTTTACATAAGTTATTTTGAAAGAATTATTGTTAATGGAGGTGGCTGTCTTAGTACATGAGTTCACAGTTCACTGGTTGTCACCGTTCAGGAGTTGTAGCACTGGTGAAATTCAGCTGTTTTCCAGGATATTGTGGTCACTGCCGTTTGGCTAAGTTTGAAAGGTTCAAGGCAAGTTCCTATTTTTCTCAGGTTTTTTTTTTTTTTTTTTGGTTGCAGGTTGATATGATTTGGCTCTGTGTCCCACCAAAATCTCATTTTGTAGCTCCCATAATTCCCATATGTTGTGGGAGGGACCTGGTGGGAGATGATTGTATCATGAGAATTGGTCTTTTCCATGCTGTTCTCATGATAGTGAATGGGTCTCATGAGAAGTGACGGTTTAAAAATGGGAGTTTCTCTGCGCAAGCTCTTTTGTTTTTTTGCCTGCCACCATCCACGTAAGATGTTACTTGCTCCTTCTTGCCTTCTGCCATGATTGTGAGGTTTCCCCAGCCACATGGCACTGTGAGTCCAATTAAACCTCTTTCTTTCACAAATTTCCCAGTCTTGGGTATGTCTTTATCAGTAGCATGAAAATGGACTAATACACAGGTTGTGCAAGTAGTTCTTTTTTCACATGGCTTTCTGACTTCATTTTGGAGCTGTGAACCGAAGTGATGTCATTTTGTATATCACATCTCATGTACAAAACACTATTTGGCAAAACTGTAAAGAAGGTTCCATGGAAAAGAGAACTCCATGGCTGTGGTTGGCCTCCCTAAAACGGCCACATCTTTATCTCCCAGAATCTGTGAATATGTTCTTACATGACTGTAGGGACTTTTCACATGTGATTAAAAGATGGGTAAGATTATTGCAGAATATTTTTGTGGGCCCAGTGCAATTTACTAGGGTCCTTATAAGACAGAAACAAAAGGATCTGGGTAAGAGGTATGACAATGAAAGTAGAGGGACAGGAAAGAGATTCGAAGATCCTGCTGGCTTGAAGATGGAGGATGAAGTCATGACTCCAGAAATGCAGAAAGCCTGTGGAAGATAAAAAAGGCTTCTAGATTCTTCCCTAGAACATCCAGAGGGAATGTGGCCCTGACATGAAAAGAGTCCTCTTTTTCATGGAAACTTCTTTACAGTCTTGCCAAATAGTGTTTTGTACATAAGGCGACCCTTTTCAGACTTTGGAACTGTAAAAGAACAAATCCGTATTGCTTCAAGCCACTAAGTCTGCAGTAATTTGTTATAGCAGCAATAGGGAACTAATGCACTGGCCAAATAAATTTCAGAAATGCTACATGCTTTCTTATCTTTTAGAAAATGTACAGAGTATATTAGCATAAAAATATTAATGCTTAATACTAAAACATTTAATAGAATTGCAGTAATTTTCCCCTTGGAAAGGAGCTTTCATGGACAGAGAGCTTTGGTTGTGAATGACCTTAATTACTTGGCTATATTTTTGTTTATAACCTGCTCCACACTCAATGAATCCAAGGTGTTGTAAATTAGAAGACTGAGTTATGAACAGTATCTTGACCATTGTTCTGGAAGGATACAGACTTACTTCATGACTCCTTTATTCAGTTGATGCATTTTAGTTACTGTATTTTCTCTGTGTTTTCTGCTCATACAGAATGGTAGCCCTGTAGATAATAGGTTTATGCTTGTATTAATAATTGTTCGGAATGGCTGCTGGTTTACAGATTAATGTTTTTTGCTAACAAGCTTGAGTAATGTTTAATTTTATGACAGCAGGGGTTTTAAATAATAATGCATCTTTTAAAAAATCACTATGTTCTGAGAAATATTTTATAATGAACTCTATATTTTAGGATGAAACGTTCTGATTCATCAATTATTAGAAACTTTGAGATTTTTTTTTCAGTGCATTATCAATGTAGTTTAGAATAACTGGCTTTTTTTCTTTTTGCATGGGTTTGGCACATGTTGATTAGAGAGAAAACCAACATAAAGGTCAAGTGACTTTTAATTTAATTAATTAATTGATTATTTTTTAAGTGATGGGGATCCACTCAAGTGATCCTCCCACCTGAGCCTCTTGAGTGTCTGGTTCTACCCAAATTCAGTGACACAAACCTGTCAGGTGGCTTTTTAAAATGTTTTTTGGAATAAATTTCTGGGTAGATAAGTATACATACCAGAAATTTAAGTGTATATTACCATAATAATGTCAATAATTAATACCAAAACATCTAATAGAATTGCAATAATTTTCCCCTAGGAAAGCTGCTTTTGAGGACAGAGAGCTTTGGTTTGAATGAACTTAATTACTTATAAAATTACAAGTATAGTAAAATGACTTTTCTATAGTCATTTTAGGGACAGTATAGTATACAGTGCTATATAGCAGAATAGTACAATAAATAGCATCTTTACTTACATTTGCAGTAAAATTTTTGAAATCTCTAAAATCATGCTATGCTATTTTAGCAAAAGCAAAAAAAGTAAAAATATAGAAAAATATAACACAAAAATAAAATCTACCAATAATTAAATAAGGACAGTATAGTATACTGTACTGTCCCTAAAATACATAGTAAAATGACTCACATAGTACAATAAGTTTTGAGATATTAAAATGCATTTTTCCTAATTTGTTGTTGGCTTCCCTTAAGGGACGTACTAGAATTAAATTTGTTTCTCTGGCATTCCAAATATGTCTCACATTGAAGTATCACATTATAGAACTGGAGATAGCACAAAAATAAAGGGGACTTCAATAATGTAGAACAAGTAAGTGCGTATCCTATTTATTTTTAAAAATATTAAATTTCTAATTTAAGCCAGGCATGCAACTAAGTGCTTCCTAGAAATAAATTTTGTCCCTGCTTTCAGTGTGCTTACAATACAATTTTTCAAAATCTCCATTTTTTCCATCTCCTTGACTTACATATAAAACTCAGAGATTTGTGTTAATAAATTTTCACTATTAAAAATGGTGGCTTAGTACAGTATGGAGTTTTTAGTCTTAAAAGGCTTCAGGTGCCCAGGATGATTCTCTTGATCCAGGTCAAGGTTCTAACAGTGATATTAAGTGTGCATTTTGAGATGGATCACCTGACTTTCTCATGTGAAAAACAGAGATAGTAACTACTACCTGTCTGAGAATCTCATGGAAGTGTGATGACCAAAAGAGATGTAATTTATGATAAGCCTTGACTACTGCAAATAGTTGTCCCAGGGAATGGCTTGACTGATGGAAGCACCAATTTATCAATAGCAGTAATTCTCTAAGTGTGGTCATCGGACAGCAATGTCCATATGTCCTAGAACCTTGTTAGAAATGCAAATTATCTACCCTCATTCAAGACTTGTTGAATTAGAACCACTAGGCTTTAATGAGCCCTCCAGGTGATTCTGATACAAGATGAAGTATGATAAGCACAGCTCTAATAGATTGCTAAATGTACTAGTCTCTGCTCTGAGCTCAGAAAATGTTCTGTTAATGATTTTCAACCCAGAAATCTTCAACAGGAGTCTTCATCTTCAAAAGTATCTATGGAGACATTGTCACATGCCAAGAAGTCTACATTTTCATTTTTGATGCTCAAGTTATTTTCTAGCTGTTTTTAGCTCTTAGTTGAGAAAAAGTCCTTATTTAATTATTGGTAGATTTTATTTTTGTGTTATATTTCTCTACATTTTTACTTTTTTTGCTTTTGCGAAAATAGCATAGCATGATTTTAGAGATTTCAAAAGTTTTACTGCAAATGTAAGTAAAGTTGCTATTTATTGAACTATTCTGCTACTATTTTAAACATAGCATCTTATTTAATCATTATTAATTTATTTTACCTGTGACTCAAAGAAATTATATAGTTAGTAAATAGTATACTTAGAATCCAAAGATGGAGCTATTTAATTCCAGGGTAAGAGATTTCATCATTTCTTCATGCTGCCTTCCAAACAGAACAACCTATGGCACGCTTCCCAGTATCCAAAACCAACGCTAATTTTTTATCTTAAACTTTGAACATAAAGTTTCAAGACTATTTTGTAAATAAAGGGTTGAAACAATTTTTCTGATCCAGAATTTTATGAGATATGCTTTGTGATAGTAAAGCTAGAACTTTGGCTAGGAAGAAAAACTTCCCAATTTTTTTTAAGGCAATTTCTCAGGCAGATACAATTCTTGCACCAAATCTTTAGAAGGGAGCTTATAAAATATAACTGCAAACTAAATATATTTACAAATAAATATTCAAAATTCCAAAATTTAAAGATAACAACTAGGAATCAAATTATTTTTATTTTATTATTATTTTTAAAACACAAAACTTTTTATTATGGAAATTTGCAAACATATATAAAAGTAGAGAGAATAGAATAATGAACCCTAAGTTACACATGACCCAGCTTCAACAATTGTCAAAATATGGCCAATTTTGTTCCTTCTGTACTCCCTCATTTCCTCTGGATCTCCACCTATTATTTTAAAGTAAATCCCAATTATCATGTAATTTCCATCTGTAAATATTTCCAAATAGAGACAATAACTCTATTTTTAAAACAGAACCATAATGCCATTATCATATCTTTAAAAATTAACAGTAATTTATCAATTTCTTCTAGATTTTCTAGTTTATTTGTGTAAGGGGTTTATAGTATTCTCGGATCATGGTTTGTATTTCTGTGGGATCGGTGGTGATATTCCCTTTATCATTTTTTATTGCATCTATTTGATTCTTCTCTCTTTTCTTCTTTATTAGTCTTGCTAGCGGTCTATCAATTTTGTTGATCTCTTCAGAAAACCAGCTCCTGGATTCACTGATTTTTTGAAGGCTTTTTTGTGTCTCTATCTCCTTCAGTTCTGCTCTGATCTTAGTTATTTCTTCCCTTCTGCTAGCTTTTGAATGTGTTTGCTATTGCTTCTCTAGTTCTTTTAATTGTGATGTTACGGTGTCAATTTTAGATCTTTCCTACTTTCTCTTGTGGGCATTTAGTGCTATAAATTTCCCTGTACACACTGCTTTAAATGTATCCCAGAGATTCTGGTATGTTGTGTCTTTGTTTTCATTGGTTTCAAAGGACATCTTTATTTCTGCCTTCATTTCGTTATGTACCCAGCAGTCCACATACACCCTCCCAAGACTAAACCAGGAAGAAGTTGAATCCCTGAATAGACCAATAACAGGCTCTGAAATTGAGGAAATAATTAATAGTCTACCAACCAAAAAAAGTCCAGGACCAGATGGATTCACAGCCGAATTCTACCAGAGGTAAAAGGAGGAATTGCTACCATTCTTTCTGAAACTATTCCAATCAATAGAAAAAGAGGGAATCCTCCCTAACTCATTTTATGAGGCCAGCATCATCCTGATACCAAAGCCTGGCAGAGACACAACCAAAAAAGAGAATTTTAGACCAATATCCTTGATGAACATTGATGCAAAAATCCTCAATAAAATACTGGCAAACTGAATCCAGCAGCACATCAAAAAGCTTATCCACCATGATCAAGTGGGCTTCGTCCCTGGGATATAAGGCTGGTTCAACATACGCAAATCAATAAAGATAATCCATCATATAAACAGAACCAAAGACAAAAACCACGTGATTATCTCAATAGATGCAGAAAAGGCCTTTGACAAAATTCAACAGCCCTTCATGCTAAAACCTCTCAATAAATTAGGTATTGATGGGACGTATCTCAAAATAATAACAGCTATTTATGACAGACCCACAGCCAATATCATACTGAATGGGCAAAAACTGGAAGCATTCCCTTTTACAACTGGCACAAGACAGGGATGCCCTCTCTCACCACTCCTATTCAATATAGTGTTGGAAGTTCTGGCAAGGACAATCAGGCAGGAGAAAGAAATAAAGGGTACTCAATTAGGAAAAGAGGAAGTCAAATTGTCCCTGTTTGCAGATGAAATGATTGTATATTTACAAAAACCCATTGTCTCAGCCCAAAATCCCCTTAAGCTGATAAGCAACTTCAGTAAAGTCTCAGCATACAAAATCAACATGCAAAAATCACAAGCATTCTTATACACCAATAACAGACAAACAGAGAGCCAAATCATGAGTGAACTCCCATTCACAATTGCTTCAAAGAGAATAAAATACCTAGGAAGCCAATTTACAAGGGATGTGAAGGACTTCTTCAAGGAGAAGTACAAACCACTGCTCAAAGAAATAAAAGAGGACACAAACAAACGTAAGAATATTCCATGCTCATGGATAGGAAGAATCAATATTGTGAAAATGGCCATAGTATCCAAAGTAATTTACCAAAGATTCAATGCCATCCGCATCAAACTACCAATGACTTTCTTCACAGAATTGGAAAAACTACTTTAAAATTCATATGGAACCAAAAAACAGCATGCATTGCCAAGACAATCCTAAGCCAAAAGAACAAAGCTGCAGGCATCACGCTACCTGACTTCAAACTATACTACAAGGCTACAGTAACCAAAACAGCATGGTACTGGTACCAAAGCAGAAATATAGACCAATGGAACAGAACAGAGACCTCGGAAATAATACCACACATCTACAACCATTTGATCTTTGACAAACCTGACAAAAACAAGAAATGGGGAAAGGATTCCCTATTTAATAAATGGTGCTGGGAAAACTGGCTAGCCATATGTAGAAAGCTGAAACTGGATCCCTTCCTTACACCTTATACAAAAATTAATTCAAGATGGATTAAAAGACTTAAATGTTAGACCTAAAACCATAAAAACCCTAGAAGAAAACCTAGGCAATACCATTCGGGACATAGGCAAGGGCAAGGACTTCATGTCTAAAACACCAAAAGCAATGGCAACAAAAGCTAAAATTGACAAATGGGATCTAATTAAACTAAAGAGCTTCTGCACAGCAAAAGAAACTACCATCAGAGTGAACAGGCAACCTACAGAATGGGAGAAAGTTTTTGCAATCTACTCATCTGACAAAAGGCTAACATCAGAATCTACAAAGAACTCAAACAAACTTACAAGAAAAATACAAACAACCCCATCAAAAAGTGGGCTAAGGATATGAACAGACACTCCTCAAAAGAAGACATTTATGCAGCCAAAAGACACGTGAAAAAATGCTCATCATTATTGGCCATCGGAGAAATGCAAATCAAAACCACAATGTGATACCATCTCACACCAGTTAGAATGGCGTTCATTAAAAAGTCAGGAAACAACTGGTGCTGGAGAGGATGTGGAGAAATAGGAACACTTTTACACTGTTGGTGGGACTGTAAACTAGTTCAACCATTGTGGAAGACAGTGTGGCGATTCCTCAAGAATCTAGAACTAGAAATACCATTTGACCCAGCCATCCCATTACTGGGTATATACCCAAAGGATTATAAATCATGCTGGTATAAAGACACATGCACACATATGTTTATTGCGGCACTATTCACAATAGCAAAGACTTGGAAGCAACCCAAATGTCCATCAATGATAGACTGGATTAAGAAAATGTGGCATATATACATGATGGAATACTATGCAGCCATAAAAAAGGATGATTTCATGTCCTTTATAGGGACATGGATGAAGCTGGAAACCATCATTCTGAGCAAACTATCGCAAGGACAAAAAACCAAACACCGCATGTTCTCACTCATAGTTGGGAATTGAACAATGAGAACACCTGGACACAGGAAGGGGAACACCACACACTGGGGCCTGTCCTGGGGTCGGGGGATGGGGGAGGGATAGCATTAGGAGATAGACCTAATGTAAATGACGAGTTAATGGGTGCAGCACACCAACATGGCACATGTATACATATGTAACAAACCTGCACGTTGTGCACATGTACCATAGAACTTAAAGTATAATTAAAAGAAATTAACAGTAATTTATTACTGTCATCTAATATCCAGCCAATGTTCAATTTTCCCTATTGTCTATACATAGCCATTTTTTCCCCCAGTTGATATGTTTGAATCAAGATCAAAACCAAATCTGTATACCTTAATTTGTTGGTAGGTCTTTTAAGTCTCTTCTAATTTCTAAATTTCTGCTTCCCCCATTCTTCTTACAACTTGATTGTTGTAGAAAATAAGTCCTTTATTTTGTAGAATATCCCAGATTCTGGCTTTGGCTGATTGCATTCTTGTGGCATCATTTAACTTGTTCTTTTCTATACTTCTTTTAAACTGATAGTTGGGTCTAGAGGCTCTATTAGATTAAGTTGATTATTTGGCAAAACTACTTCAAAGGCAACACTGTGAGCTTCCTATTATTAATATATCATATCATAATGAATATACAGTCTGGTTATCTGGTTTTTTTGTGTGTTGTAAGATTGATCTGTGAGTTCAAGTGATATTATCTTCACCCATTTATTATAAATTTGTAAGATTCTGGAGAATATGTTTCTGCAGTTAGGGCTTTCTGAATAAATTTTACAAAAATGTGTTTCCTGGCCTGAGAGCAAGCTTAGAAGGCAATTTATGACTGATCAGATAATGAAAACCTTCCAAAGAGATTGACCTAACTCTGGCAGTAAGAGGCTCAGGGCCTTGTATACATCTCTGAGTTGTCAAACTGGAGACACTGGGCCCATCTTTTTCCTCAGAGGTTTACTTTCATACCAAAGGGTTAGGTTAAGGATCCTTCCATCTGATCTCCAAGGATACTCAGAAGGCGAGGAGGGAGAGTGATGTCTTTGCTTTTTAGAAACAAAAGAAATCCACATTTTGTTGTATGTCACTTATAGAGTGACCCACCACTTGTATAGGGCATTTATTCCATCTGGCACTCACATGGTACTCTGAAGGCAGGCTGGGTGTGGGGACCAATGCTGCAGTGTTACTTCACTTGTTGATCTTTTTGTTGAGTGTAAAAAGAAATCTGCCTCTGATCTTAAAACCTTGTGTGTGTATTCAGAAAACATTAATAGAGATGAATATTAAAAGCCTAACAATCGCAAAGGAAACAATCAACAGATTGAAAAGGGAACCTATGGAACGGGAGAAAATATTTGCAGATGATGTACCTGATAAGAGGTTAACATCTAAAATATATAAGAACTGCAAATAACTTATTAGCAAAGAAAAAAAATCCAAAAATGGGCTAAAGACCTAAACAAATATTTCTTATAAGAAGACATGCAAATGGTCAATGGTTATGTAGAAAAGGTGTTCAATATCACTAATAATCAGGGAAATGCAAATCAAAACCATGGAGATATCACCTCACACCTATCAGAATGCCTACTATCAAAAAGATAAAAGATAAAGTATTGGTAAACTCTTAGAGGAAAGGGAAACCTTGTAAGCTGTTGGTGGGAATGTAAACTGGCGAAGTCACCATGAAAAACACTATGGAAGTTCCTCAAAAAATCAAAAATACCATACTACCATATGGATCCAACAATCCCACTTCTGGGTATATATCCAAAGGAAAGTATTATTATTATTTATTTTATATTTCCATAGATTTTTTGGGAAACAGGTGGCATTTAGTTACATGAATAACTTTTTAGTGATGATTTGTGAGATTTTGGTGCACCCATCACCAGAGCAGTATACACTGAATCCAATTTGTAGTCTTTTATCCTTCATCCTCTTCCCACACTTTCCCCTTGAGTCCCCAAAGTCCATTATGTTGCTTTATGACTTTGCATCCTCATAGCTTAGCTCCCACTTATGAGTGAGAACATACAACGTTTGGTTTTCCATTCCTGAGTAACTTCACTTAGAATAAGTCTCCAATCCCATCCAGGTTGCTGCAAATGCCTTTAATTCATTCTTGTTATGGCTGAGTAGTATTCCATCATATATATATATATATATATATGATGGTATATATATATATATATATATATATATGCACACACCACAGTTTCTTTAACTACTCGTTGATTGATGGGCATTTGGGTTGGTTCCACATTTTTGCAATTGTGAATTGTGCTGCTATAAACATACATGTGTAAGTATCTTTTTTGTATAATGACTTCTTTTCCTCTGGGTAGATACCCAGCAGTGGGATTGCTGGATCAAATGGTAATTCTACTTTTAGTCCCTTAAGGATCCTCCAAACTGTTTTCCACAGTGGCTGCACCAGTTTACATTCCCACCAGCAGTGTAGAAGTGTTCCCCTTTCATCACATCCATGCCAGAGTCTATTATTTTTTAATTTTTTGTTTATTCTGGCTATTTTTGCGGGAGTAAGGTGGTATTGCGTTTTGGTTTTGATTTGCACTTTCCTGATCATCAGTGATGCTGAGCACCTTTTCATATGTTTGTTGGCCATTTGTATATCCTGTTTCGAGAATCATCTATTCATGTCCCTAGCCCACCCTTTGATGTGATTTTTTTCTTGCTGATTTGTGTGAGTTCATTGTAGATTCTGAATATTAATCCTTTGTCAGATGTATACATTTTGAAGATTTTCTTTCACTCTGTTGGTTTACTGTTTACTCTGCTGACTGTTCCTTTTGCCATGCAAAAGCTCTTTAGTTTAATTAAGTCCCACCTATTTATCTTTGTTTTTATTGTATTTGCTTTTGGGTTCTTGGTCATGAAATCCTTGCCTAAGCCCAATGTCTAGAAAGGTTTTTCTGATGTTATCTCCTAGAATTTTTAATAGTTTCAGGTGTTAGATTTAAGTCGTTGATCCATCTTGAGTTTTGTGTACAGTGAGAGATGAGGATGTAGTTTCATTCTCCCACATGTGGCTTGCCAATTATACCAGCACCATTTGTTGAATAGGGTGTCCTTTCCCCACTTTGTTCTTGTTTGCTTTGTCAAAGACCAGTTGGCTGTAAATATTTAGGTTTATTTCTGGGATCTCTATTTTGTTCCACTGGTCTGTGTGCCTGTTTTTATACCAGTACCATGCTGTTTTGGTGACTATAGCCTTATAGTATAGTTTGAAATCAGGTAATGTGATGCCTCCAGATTTGTTCTTTTCACTTAATCTTGCTTTGGCTCTGTGGGCTCTTTTTTTGTTCTATATGAATTTTAGGATTGTCTTTTCTAGTTCTGTGGAGAATGATAGTGGTATTTTTATGAGAATTGCACTGAATTTGTAGATTGCTTTTGGCAGTATGGTCATTTTCACAATATTGATTCTACCCATCTGTGAGCATGGGATGTGTTTCCATTTGTTTGCGTCATTTATGATTTTTTTCAGCAGTGTTTTGTAGTTTTCCTTGTGGAAGTCTTTCACCTCCTTGGTTAGATATATTCCTAAGTATTTTATTTTATTTTTTTTGCAGGTATTGTAAAAGGAGTTGAGTTCTTGATTTGAGTCTCAGCTTGGTCACTGTGGGTGTATAGGAGAGTTACTGATTTGTGTATATTCATTTTGTATTCTGAAACACTGGTGAATTCATTTATCAATTCAAAGAGCTTTTTGGAGGAGTCTTTAGGGTTTTCCAGGTATACAATCACATCATCAGCAAACAGTGACAATCTGACTTCCTCTTTACCGATTTGGACGCTCTTTATTTCTTTCTCTTGTCTGCTCTGGCTAGCACTTCCAGTACTATGTTGAATAGAAGTAGTAAGAGTGGGCATTCTTGTCTCAAGAGTAAATGCTTTCAACTTTTCCCCATTCAATATTATATTGGCTGTAGTTTTGTCATAGATGGCTTTTATTACATTGAGGTATGTCCCTTGTATGCTGATTTTGCGGAGGGTTTTAATTACAAAGGGATGCTGGATTTTGTCAAATGCTTTTTCTGCATCTATTGAAATGACAATGTAATTTTTGTTTTTAATTCTGTTTATATGGTGTATCACATTTATTGACTTGAGTATGTTAAATTATCCCTGCATCTGTGGTATAAAACCCACTTTATCATGGTGGATTATCTTTTTGATATGTTGTTGGATTTGGTTAGCTAATTTTTTAAAGGATTTTTTCATTTATGTATATCAGGGATATTGATCTGTAGTTAAATTCTTTTTTTGTTAGGTTTTTTCGTGGTTTGGGTATTAGGGGATACTGGCTTCATAGGATAATTTAGGGAGGATTCCCTCTTTGCCTATCTTGTGGAATAGTGTCAATAGAATTGATACCAATTCTTGGACTGTCTGGTAGAACTGGTAGAATTCAGCTCTAAATCAGTCTTGTCCTGGACTTTTTTTTGTTGGTGACTTTTTTGTTACCATTTCAATCTCACTGCTTATTATTGGTCTGTTCAGGGTATCTAATTCTTTATTTATGCTAAGAGGGTTGTATCTTTCCAGGAATTTATCCATCTCCTCTAGGTTTTCTAGTTTATGCATGTAAAGGTATTCATAGTAGCTTTGAATAATCTTTTGTATTTCTGGCAGTAAAGTTATTTTAAATAACTAATATGCCATAATCAAGTGAGAATTCAAAAGTTTGACACAAATCTTTTTAACAATTAATCTTATTAATAGTAAAAAGAAAATATAACGTATGTTCTAAATACAGAATGGGGATGAGTGTTTAATAGAACTGAATCTGCCTTTGCAAAAACAATGACAGTGAAAGAAATCTAACATTGATGGCTCCATCTTGTGTCTAACCTCACATGCTAACTGCCTTTGTTAACTACAAAACAAAGATGTAAACAGTCCCTTTCTGAAAATCACCTTCTTTTATTTGAGGGACTGAAACTGTCTTTGTAAGACTAATGAAAGACCAGAAGACTAGGATTATGGGAAAGGCCTAAATTCTAGGATGTAGTTAAACAGCAACCAGCCATTGTTCTCTAGCTTGACTCTCTATAATTCCTTAATGCTTAAGAGTCATGCAGCCAGAAATCACAGGATTTATAACTTCCATAATTCCTCCTATAGATAACAATACATTGTCAAAACACAAGCTTGGTCTTTGAGACATTTTGCAGACTTTCTAATTATGACTGACTCCACCGGGACTAATGACTCATATCAAGGAACTGACTCAACTGGTGACCCCCACCCAGGAACTGACAGCATGCTCAGACAGTATGGACACTCCTGTGATTTCATTGCTAACCAATCAGCAGCACCATTCCTAATTCATGCCTGTCAAATTATCCTTAAAAACCCTGGTTTTCAAGCTCTCAAAGAAGTGGATTTCAGAAATGTCTCCGGTTCTTCCTCTTGGCCATCCCTGTGATAATTAAAGTTTCTTTGCTGCAAACCTGCTGTCCTCAGTGCATTAGCTTTTTCTGGACAGCAGGCAAGAAGAATCCATTGAGCTCTTACAAAATTCAACATTTATTCACAGTTTAAAGAAATCTGTAGAAGAATAATTGCAAAGGAAATACAAATTATGTTATGTCAATAACCAACTCCATGCTTAATCATAATTAATAAAAACTTTCTCACAAATAAACTGTATGTATATATGTCAACATTTTGACAATGCATACAACCCAACTCAACAATTCTACTATGAGATTTCTTCTTAGAAAATTATTAGCTCTCCCCCTCCCTCTCCCCTCTCCCCTCTCCCCTCTCCCCTCTCCCCACGGTCTCCCTCTCCCTCTCTTTCCACGGTCTCCCTCTCATGCTGAGCCAAAGCTGGACTGTACTGCTGCCATCTCGGCTCACTGCAGCCTCCCTGCCTGATTCTCCTGACTCAGCCTGCCGAGTGCCTGCGATTGCAGGCTCGCGCCGCCATGCCTGACTGGTTTTGGTGGAGACAGGGTTTCGCTGTGTTGGCCAGGCCGGTCTCCAGCCCCTAACCGCAAGTGATCCGCCAGCCTCGGCCTCCCGAGGTGCCGGGATTGCAGATGGAGTCTCGTTCACTCAGTGCTCAATGGTGCCCAGGCTGGAGTGCAGTGGTGTGATCTCGGCTCGCTACAACCTCCACCTCCCAGCCGCCTGCCTTGGCCTCCCACAGTGCTGAGATAGCAGCCTCTGCCCGGCTGCCACCCCGTCTGGGAAGTGAGGAGCGTCTCTGCCTGGCCGCCCATCGTCTGGGATGTGAGGAGCCCCTCTGCCTGGCTGCCCAGTCTGGAAAGTGAGGAGTGTCTCCGCCCGGCCGCCATCCCACCTAGGAAGTGAGGAGCACCTCTTCCCGGCCGCCATCACATCTAGGAAGTGAGGAGCATCTCTGCCCGGCCGCCCATCGTCTGAGATATGGGGAGTGACTCTGCCCTGCCGCCCCGTCTGGGATGTGAGGAGCACCTCTGCCCGGCTGCGACCCCGTCTGGGAGGTGAGGAGCATCTCTGCCCGGCCGCCCCGTCTGAGAAGTTAGGAGACCCTCTGCCCGGCAACCGCCCCGTCTGAGAAGTAAGGAGCCCCTCCGCCCGGCAGCCGCCCTGTCTGAGAAGTGAGGAGCCTCTCCGCCCGGCAGCCACCCAGTCTGGGAAGTGAGGAGCATCTCCGCCTGGCAGCCGCCCCATCTGGGAGGGAGGTGGGGGGGTCAGCCCCCTGCCCCGCCAGCCGCCCTGTCCGGGAGGGAGGTGGGGGCATCAGCCCCCCGCCCGGCCAGCCGCCCCGTCCGGGAGGGAGGTGGGGGGGTCAGCCCCCCATCCGGCCAGCCGCCCCGTCCGGGAGGTGAGGGGTGCCTCTACCCGGCCACCCCTACTGGGAAGTGAGGAGCCCCTCTGCCCGGCTGCCCCTACTGGGAAGTGAGGAGCCCCTCTGCCCGGCCAGCCGCCCCCTCCGGGAGGGAGGTGGGGGGGTCAGCCCCCCGCCCGGCCAGCCGCCCCGCCCGGGAGGGAGGTGGGGGGGTCAGCCCCCTGCCTGGCCAGCCGCCCCACCCGGGAGGTGAGGGGCGCCTCTGCCCGGCCTCCCCTACTGGGAAGTGAGGAGCCCCTCTGCCCAGCCACCACCCCATCTGGGAGGTGTGCCCAACAGCTCATTGAGAACTGGCCAGGATGACAATGGCGGCTTTGTGGAATAGAAAGGTGGGAAAGGTGGGGAAAAGATTGAGAAATCGGATGGTTGCCGTGTCTGTGTAGAAAGAAGTAGACATGGGAGACTTTTCATTTTGTTCTGTACTAAGAAAACTTCTTCTGCCATGGGATCCTGTTGATCTGTGACCTTACCCCCAACCCTGTGCTCTCTGAAACATGTGCTGTGTCCACTCAGGGTTAAATGGATTAAGGGCGGTGCAAGATGTGCTTTGTTAAACAGATGCTTGAAGGCAGCATGCTCCTTAAGAGTCATCACCACTCCCTAATCTCAAGTACCCAGGGACACAAACACTGCAGAAGGCCGCAGGGTCCTCTGCCTAGGAAAACCAGAGACCTTTGTTCACTTGTTTATCTGCTGACCTTCCCTCCACTATTGTCCTATGACCCTGCCAAATCCCCCTCTGTGAGAAACACCCAATTATCAATAAAAAATAAATTAAAAAAAAAAAAGAAAATTATTATATAAGGATGCATGTATAACATATTATTTATAATTGTTAATATAAGGTAATAACATTTCTTTTTATTATTATTTTTATTTTATTTTATTTTATTTTATTTGTTTTTATTTATTTATTTATTTATTTATTTATTATTATTATACTTTAAGTTTTAGCGTACATGTGCACAATGTGCAGGTTAGTTACATATGTATACATGTGCCATGCTGGTGCGCTGCACCCACTAACTCGTCATCTAGCATTAGGTATATCTCCCAATGCTATCCCTCCCCCGTCCCCCACCCCACAACAGTCCCCAGAGTGTGATGTTCCCCTTCCTGTGTCCATGTGTTCTCATTGTTCAATTCCCACCTATGAGTGAGAATATGCGGTGTTTGGTTTTTTGTTCTTGCGATAGTTTACTGAGAATGATGATTTCCAATTTCATCCATGTCCCTATAAAGGACATGAACTCATCATTTTTTATGGCTGCATAATATTCCATGGTGTATATGTCCCACATTTTCTTAATCCAGTCTATCATTGTTGGACATTTGGGTTGGTTCCAAGTCTTTGCTATTGTGAATAGTGCCGCAATAAATATACGTGTGCATGTGTCTTTATAGCAGCATGATTTATAGTCCTTTGGGCATATACCCAGTAATGGGATGGCTGGGTCAAATGATATTTCTAGTTCTAGATCCCTGAGGAATCGCCACACTGACTTCCACAATGGTTGAACTAGTTTACAGTCCCACCAACAGTGTAAAAGTGTTCGTATTTCTCCACATCCTCTCCAGCACCTGTTGTTTCCTGACTTTTTAATGATCGCCATTCTAACTGGTGTGAGATGGTATCTCATTATGGTTTTGATTTGCATTTCTCTGATGACCAGTGATGGTGAGCATTTTTTCATGTGTCTTTTGGCTGCATAAATGTCTTCTTTTGAGAAGTGTCTGTTCATGTCCTTCGCCCACTTTTTGATGGGGTTGTTTGTTTTTTTCTTGTAAATTTGTTTGAGTTCATTGTAGATTCTGGATATTAGCCCTTTGTCAGATGAGTAGGTTGTGAAAATTTTCTCCCATTTTGTAGGTTGCCTGTTTACTCTGATGATAGTTTCTTTTGCTGTGCAGAAGCTCTTTAGGTTAATTAGATCCAATTTGTCAATTTTGGCTTTTGTTGCCATTGCTTTTGGTGTTTTAGACATGAAGTCCTTGCCCATGCCTATGTCCTGAATGGTAATGCCTAGGTTTTCTTCTAGGGTTTTTATGGTTTTAGGTCTAACGTTTAAGTCTTTAATCCATCTTGAATTGATTTTTGTGTAAGGTGTAAGGAAGGGATCCAGTTTCAGCTTTCTACATATGGCTAGCCAGTTTTCCCAACACCATTTATTAAATAGGGAATCCTTTCCCCATTGCTTGTTTTTCTCAGGTTTGTCAAAGATCAGATACTTGTAGATATGTGGTGTTATATCTGAGGGCTCTGTTCTGTTCCATTGATCTATATCTCTGTTTTGGTACCAGTACCATGCTGTTTTGGTTACTGTAGCCTTGTAGTATAGTTTGAAGTCAGGTAGTGTGATGCCTCCAGCTTTGTTCTTTTGGCTTAGGATTCACTTGGCAATGCAGGCTCTTTGTTGTTTCCATATGAACTTTAAAGTAGTTTTTTCCAATTCTGTGAAGAAAGTCATTTGTAGCTTGATGGGGATAGTATTGAATCTGTAAATTACCTTGGGCATTATGGCCATTTTCATGATATTGATTCTTCCTACCCATGAGCATGGAATATCCTTACATTTGTTTGTATCCTCTTTTATTTCCTTGAGCAGTGGTTTGTAGTTCTCCTTGAAGAGGTCCTTCACATCCCTTGTAAGTTGAATTCCTAGGTATTTTATTATCTTTGAAGCAATTGTGAATGGGAGTTCACTCATGATTTGGCTCTCTGTTTGTCTGTTGTTGGTGTATAAGAATGCTTGTGATTTTTGTACATTGATTTTGTATCCTGAGATTTCGCTGAAGTTGCTTATCAGCTTAAGGAGATTTTGGGCTGAGACAATGGGGTTTTCTAGATATACAGTCATGTCGTCTGCAAACAGGGACAATTTGACTTCCTCTTTTCCTAATTTAATACCCTTTATTTCCTTCTCCTGCCTTATTGCCCTGGCCAGAACTTCCAACACTATGTTGAATAGGAGTGGTGAGAGAGGGCATCCCTGTCTTGTGCCAGTTTTCAAAGGGAATGCTTCCAGGTTTTGCCCATTCAGTACGACATTGGCTGTGGGTTTGTCATAGATAGCTCTTATTATTTTGAAATACATCCCATCAATACCTAATTTTTTGAGAGTTTTTAGCATGAAGGGCTGTTGAATTTTGTCAAAGGCCTTTTCTGCATCTATTGAGATAATCATGTGTTTTTTGTCTTTGGTTCTGTTTATATGCTGGATTACATTTATTGATTTGCATATATTGAACCAGCCTTGCACCCCAGGGATGAAGCCCACTTGATCATGGTGGATAAGCTTTTTGATGTGCTGCTGGTTTCGGTTTGCCAGTACTTTATTGAGGATTTTTGCATCAATGTTCATTAAGGATATTGGTCTAAAATTCTCTTTTTTTGTTGTGTCTCTGCCAGGCTTTGGTATCAGGATGATGCTGGCCTCATAAAATGAGTTAGGGAGGATTCCCTCTTCTTCTATTGATTGGAATAGTTTCAGACGGAATGGTACCAGTTCCTCCTTGTACCTCTGGTAGAATTCGGCTGTGAATCCATGTGGTCCTGGACTCTTTTTCGTTGGCAAGCTATTGATTATTGCCACAATTTCAGCTCCTGTTATTGGTCTATTCAGAGATTCAGCTTCTTCCTGGTTTAGTCTTGGGAGAGTGTATGTGTCGAGGAATTTATCCATTTCTTCTAGATTTTCTAGTTTATTTGCATAGAGGTGTTTGTTATATTCTCTGATGGTAGTTTGTATTTCTGTGGGATGGGTGGTGATATCCCCCTTATCATTTTTTACTGCGTCTATTTGATTCTTCTCTTTTTCTTTATTAGTCTTGCTAGCGGTCTATCAATTTTGTTGATCCTTTCAAAAAACCAGCTCCTGGATTTGTTAATTTTTTGAAGGGTTTTTTGTGTCTCTATTTCCTTCAGTTCTGCTCTGATTTTAGTTATTTCTTGCCTTCTGCTAGCTTTTGAATGTGTTTGCTCTTGCTTTTCTAGTTTTTTTAATTGTGATGTTAGGGTGTCAATATTGGATCTTTCCTGCTTTCTCTTGTGGGCATTTAGTGCTATAAATTTCCCTCTACACACTGCTTTGAATGTGTCCCAGAGATTCTGATATGTTGTGTCTTTGTTCTCATTCGTTTCAAAGAACATCTTTATTTCTGCCTTCATTTCGTTATGTACCTAGTAGTCATTCAGGAGCAGGTTGTTCAGTTTCCATGTAGTTGAGTGGTTTTGAGTGAGATTCTTAATCCTGAGTTCTAGTTTGATTGCACTGTGGTCTGAGAGATAGTTTGTTATAATTTCTGTTCTTTTACATTTGCTGAGGAGAGCTTTACTTGCAAGTATGTGGTCACTTTTGGAATAGGTGTGGTGTGGTGCTGCAAAGAATGTATATTCTGTTGATTTGGGGTGGAGAGTTCTGTAGATGTCTATTAGGTATGCTTAGTGCAGAGCTGAGTACAATTCCTGGGTATCCTTGTTGACTTTGTGTCTCGTTGATTGGTCTAATGTTGACAGTCGGGTGTTAAAGTCTCTCATTATTAATGTGTGGGAGTCTAAGTCTCTTTGTAGGTCACTCAGGACTTATTTTATGAATCTGGGTGCTCCTGTATTGGGTGCATATATATTTAGGATAGTTAGCTCTTCTTGTTGAATTGATCCCTTTACCATTAAGTAATGGCCTTCTTTGTCTCTTTTGATTTTGTTGGTTTAAAGTCTGTTTTATCAGAGACTAGGATTGCAACTCCTGCCTTTTTTTATTTTCCATTTGCTTGGTAGATATTCCTCCATCCTTTTATTTTGAGCCTATGTGCATCTCTGCACGTGCGACGGGTTTCCTGAATACAGCACACTGATGGGTCTTGACTCTTTATCCAATTTGCCAGTCTGTGTCTTTTAATTGGAGCATTTAATCCATTTACATTTAAAGTTAATATTGTTATGTGTGAATTTGATCTGGTCATTATGATGTTAGCTGGTTATTTTGCTGGTTAGTTGATGCAGTTTCTTCCTAGTCTCGATGCGCTTTACATTTTGGCATGATTTTGCAGGGGCTGGTACCGGTTTTTCCTTTCCATGTTTAGTGCTTCCTTCAGGAGCTCTTGTAAGGCAGGCCTGGTGGTGACAAAATCTCTCAGCATTTGCTTATCTGTAAAGTATTTTATTTCTCCTTCACTTATGAAGCTTAGTTTGGCTGGATATGAAATTCTGGGTTGAAAATTCTTTTCTTTAAGAATGTGGAATATTGGCCCCCGCTCTCTTCTGGCTTGTAGAGTGTCTACTGAGAGATCTGCTGTTAGTCTGATGTGCTTCTCTTTGAGGGTAACCCGACCTTTCTCTCTGGCTGCCCTTAACATTTTTTCCTTCATTTCAACTTTGGTGAATCTGACAATTATGTGTCTTGGAGTTGCTCTTCTCGAGGAGTATCTTTGTGTCATTCTCTGTATTTCCTGAATGTGAATGTTGGCCTGCCTTGCTAGATTGGGGAAGTTCTCCTGGATAATATCCTGCAGAGTGTTTTCCAACTTGGTTCCATTCTCCCTGTCACTTTCAGGTACACCAATCAGACATAGATTTGGTCTTTTCACATAGTCCCATATTTCTTGGAGGCTTTGCTCATTTCTTTTTATTCTTTTTTCTCTAAACTTCCCTTCTCACTTCATTTCATTCATTTCATCTTCCATCGCTGATACCCTTTCTTCCAGTTGATCGCATCGGCTCCTGAGGCTTCTGCATTCTTCACGTAGTTCTCGAGCCTTGGTTTTCAGCTCCATCAGCTCCTTTAAGCACTTCTCTGTATTGGTTATTCTAGTTATACATTCTTCTTAATTTTTTTCAAAGTTTTCAAGTTCTTTGCCTTTGATTTGAATGTCCTCCCATAGCTCGGAGTAATTTGATTGTCTGAAGGCTTCTTCTCTGAGCTTGTCAAAGTCATTCTCCGTCCAGCTTTGTTCCGTTGCTGGTGAGGAACTGTGTTTCTTTGGAGAAGGAGAGGTGCTCTGTAGAGTTTCCAGTTTTTCTGTTCTGTTTTTTTCCCATCTTTGTGGTTTTATCTACTTTTGGTCTTTGATGATGGTGATGTACAGATAGATTTTTGGTGTGGATGTCCTTTCTGTTAGTTTTCCTTCTAACAGACAGGACCCTCAGCTGCAGGTCTTTTGGAGTACCTGGCCGTGTGAGGTGTCAGTCTGCCCCTGCTAGGGGATGCCTCCCAGTTAGGCTGCTCGGGGGTCAGGGGTCAGGGACCCACTTGAGGAGGCAGTCTGCCCATTCTCAGATCTCCAGCTGCATGCTGGGAGAACCACTGCTCTCTTCAAAGCTCAGATGGAAATGCAGAAATCACCCATCTTCTGCCTCGCTCACGCTGGGAGCTGTAGACGGGAGCTGTTCCTATTTGGCCATCTTGGCTGCTCCCCCTAAACTAAAGTTTCTAAAGGTGAAATTAGTATGGTCAATTACTATTTATTACCACAGGCAAGTGCTATATAACCATTAAAATTATGGTTGAGGGATCTAGTTAGAGTTGCTAAATTGAGCACACCCATATTCTTTCAATTTTATGAAATGCTATTGAATGGTAGTACAGAAACAAAACAAAGTTTGCAAACACAAGTACAAAGAGAAAGAGAGTTGATACATATGTGGGAAAGAGACTTCAATGTTTTTGAGGGAGAGAAAGCAGATGGAGGGGAGATAATTGTCTGAATATAATGGATTGGGATATAATTTATTGTACCCAGAGAGGATCTTTGGTTTAGTAGTGAGCATAAACACCTTGCAGAACCCCTAGGGAGTGACAGAAATTAGGTGAACAGTTGGAATTTAAAAGTTTGCATGCAGAGTGATTGGAACCCACTTCCCCTCCTTTACTCTATTTGTCCAAGCAGCTGCCTCCGCCTCATTTTATCTACCTAACCTACTTTCAGGTTATAAGTTTAGCAAAATGCAATTCTAGATGATTATTATTATTATTATTATTATTATTATTATTATTATTATTATTTTACCAGAGAAACTCTGAACTCATTGATGGCAGAAAAATCAATGGGTTGGAACTAAACAAAGGGCACAGAACTAAACATAGAGGGATTACATGAAAGTTTACATAAGTTTGTGCAGCTCATTCAAATGTAAATATTCAGACACATGACCATCAGGTTGAAGTCTGGGTAATTTCGTTCTGACCAATTCTAGGGAATAAACTTATAGTTATAAACATTTGTGAGTCACAAATGCAAAGATGGCCATCATTCATTTTCCTTTGATACATTTAAATTAACAAGTCTTGCAGAGGCACAAAGACCATCCATTTCTATAGGTATTTCACTCTTAAAGGTATAGAGATTTCTAAGGATTAAGAAACATTTTAGGAAACCTCTTCAACATGAAAAAAGAGACCAAAAGAAATAACTCTGAGAAAAACTCTGAAGAAACAGAGTGCTAGAAATAGAAACAAATGAACAAAAACCATTAAAACAAACAAACAAAAAGGCATTTTGATATGAGACAATATTACACTTAAAAAAACAGAATGGGTAAAGAATATGGAGGAGTAGGCAGAGCAAGATGACTGAATAGAATCCTCCAGAGATTGCTCCCCCATCCCTGCCACAGGAACACTAAATTGAACAACTATCAATACAAAAAAGCACCTTTATAAGAATCAAAAATCAAGGAAGTGATCACAGTACCTGGTTTTAACATCACATCAAGGAAAGAGGCACTAGAGGGAAGGAAAGACAGTCTTGAATTGCTGAAACCACCCCTCTTTTATCTGCTGGCAGTAGCTGTGTGACAGAGAATCTGTGTCTTGGGCAAGAGAGAGTGCAATGACTGTGAGACTCTGCATTGAAACTCAGTGCAGCCCTGTCACAGTGGAAAGCAACATGGTACAGAATTTAGCCAGTGCTCATGGAGAGAACATTTAGATCAGCCCTCACCAGAGAGGAGTTATTCATCCCAGTGGATGGAACCTGATTTCTGGCTAGCCCCACTACTGCAGGCTAAAACACTCTGAGGTCCTAAGCAAAATTGAAAGGCAATCCAGGCCATAAGGGCTGCAATTCCTGGAGATGTCTTGGTATTTATTTGGGCTTAGAGACAGTAGTCTTGTGGTGCATGTGACCTAGTGAGACACCAGCCAGGGTGGCCAAGGGAGTGCTTGCATCATCCCTTCTGCAACCCCAGGCAGTGCAGTTTGCAGTTTGGGAGGGACACATTCCTTCCATTTGAGGAGAGGGGAGAGTAAAGAGGACTTTGTCTTGCACCTTAGATACCAGCTCAGCCACAGTAGCATAGGGCGTCAGAGTCCTGGAATCCCATCCCAGGCCCTAGCTCCTGGATGACATTTCTAGACACACCCTGGGGCAGAAGGCAACCCGCTGCCTTGGAAGGAAGGAGCAAGTCCTAGAAGAATTCACCACAAGCTGAATGAAGAGCCTTGGGCCCTGAGTAAACATCAGCAGTACTCAGGCCATAGTTGACACAGGGCCATGCTGGCCTCAGATGTTACACCATGCATTCCCAGCTCTGGTGGTCATAGAGGGAGGCTCCTTATGTTTGGGAAAAGAAGAAGAAAAAATAAAGTGGACTTTGTCTTGCAGTTGAGCATCGACTTGGCCACAGTGGGGTAGAGCACCAAGAAGTCTCCTGAGTTTCCCAGTTCCAGGTCTTGGCTACTAGACAGGATTTCTAGGCCTGCTCTAGTCCAAGGGGAGGCCCCTGCCTTGAAGTCAGAGACCCAGTCCTGGCAGAATTCACCTCAAGCTTACTGAAGAGCTCTTGGGCCTTGAGTGAATGCTGTTGGTAGCCAGGCAGTACTCACTGTGGGCCTGGGGCTGTAGTGACCATGGGGAGAAACTTCATGACGAAGGGAGAAGGAAGAGTGGGAAGGACTTTGTTTTGCAGCTTGGGTGACAGTTGGCCACAGTAGAATGGAGCACCAAGTAGATTCCTAATGTTCCTAAATCCAGGTTCTGGCTACCAGATGGCATTTCTGGACCTACCCTGGGACAGTGAGGGGCTTGCCACCCTGAAAGGAAAGACATGAGGCTGACTTAATTTGACACCTACTGACAGTAGAGCCCTTGAGCCTTGAGTGAGCATCAGTGTTGGCCAAGCAGTGGTCACCGTGGGCCTTGGGTGAGACCTAGTGTTGTGCTGGCTTTGAGTCTGGCCCAGCACAATACCGGTGGTGTTGGCAACAGGAATGCTTGTGTCACACCTCCTCAGTTCCAGGCAGCCCAGCACATAGTGAGAGACTATGTTTGATTGAGGGAAAGTAAGAAGAGAACAAGTGTGTCTACCTGGTAATCTAGAGAACTTTCCAAGATCTTAGCCAAGACCACCAAGGTGGTACCTGTATGAGTCTGCAAGAGTCACAGTGTTACTGGCCTTGGGGTGCCTCCTAATGCAGATATAATTGCAGTGACCAGATTTAAATCACAACACTCAATTCCCTTTTTACACTTGGAAAGCCTTGCCAAGAAGGATGGGTACAAGTAAGTCCAGACAGCAAAGACTACAATAAAAACCTAACTGTTTAATACCTAGATATTGACAAACATCTGCAAGTATCAATACCATACAGGAAGATACGACCTCACCAGATGAACTAAACTAGGAACCAATGACCAATCCCACCTGAGAAAGATATGTGAACTTTCAGACAGAGAATTCAAAATAGCTGTTTTAAGGAAGATCAACAAAATTTAAATAACAAAATGAAGGAATTCATAATCCTACCAGATAACTTTAACAAAGGTTGAAATAATTTAAGCAAAATAAAACAGAAACTCTAGAGCTGAAAACTTCAATTGATATACTGAAGAATACCTCAAGATATCTCAGCAGCAGAACTGATCAAGAAGAAGAAAGAATTAGTTAGCTTAAAGACAGGCTATTTGAAAGTACACAGAGCAGACAAAAGGAAAAATAATAAAAAAGAATAAAGCAGCCAGGCACACTGGCTCATGCCTGTAATCCTACTTCGGGGAGGCTGAGGCAGGCAGGTCACCTGAGGTCAGGAGGTCTAGACCAGCCTGGCCAACATAGTGAAACCCCATCTCTACTAAAAATACAAAAAAGTAGCCAGGTGTGGTGGCGCATGCCTGTAGTCCCAGCTACTCAGAAGGCTGAGGCAGAAGAACCACTTGAATCCGGTAGGTGGAGGTAGCAGTGAGCTGAGATCATGCCACTGCAGTCCAGCCTGGGTGACAGAGCGAGAATCTGTCTCATAAATAAGTAAATAAATAAATAAATAAATAAAATGAATAAAATAAAACATTCCTACAAGATCTAGAAAATGGCCTCCGAAAGGGCAAGACTAAGAGTCATTGGCCTTAAAGGGGAGGTAGAGAAAGAGATCAGATTAGAAAATTAATTTAAAGGCATAATAACCGAGAACTTTCCAAACCTAGAGAAAGATATCCATATTCAAGGGCAAGAAAGTTGTGGATTACCAAGTAGATTTAACCCAAAGAAGACTACCTCATGACACTTAATAATCAAACTCCTAAAGATCCAGGATAAAGAAAGAATCCTAAAAGCAGAAATAGAGAAGAAATAAATAACATACAAGGAACTCCAATACATCCAGCAGCCAACCTGTCAGTGGAAACCTTACAGGTTAGGAGAGAGGGGCATGACATATTTAAAGTACTGAAGGAAAAAAAAGTACTTATATCCTAGAATAGTATATCCAGCAAAAATACCCTTCAAACATGAAGGAGAAATAAAGACTTTCCCAGACAAATAAAAGCTGAGGAATTTCATCAACACCAGATGTGTCCTATAAAAATGCTAAAGGGGTTCTTCAATGTGAAAGAAAAGGAGGTTCATGAGTAATAAGAAATCATCTGAAGGTACAAAACTCACTTGTAGTAGAAAGTACACAGACAAACACAGAATAATAACTGTAATTGTGTGGTGTGAAATATACATGGCTTTAGTAAAAAGACTAAAGATGAACCTATCAAAAATAATACCTATGACGACTTTTCAAGACATAAACAGTATAGTAAGATATAAATAGAGACAACAAAAAGTTACAAGGCAGGAGGAGATGAAGTTAAAGTGAAGACTTTTTATTAGTTTTCTATTTGCTTGTTTGTTAGTGTGTTTCTTTTGGAATCACTGTCATCATCAGTTTAAAATCGGTTAGAAGATATTATTTTCAAGCCAAATGGTAATCTGAAATAAAAAAACCTTCCCTAGATACACAAAAAATACAAAGGAAGAAATGAAAACATAGCATCAGAAAAAATTACCTTCACAAAAAGGAAGACAGGAAGAAAAGAAGACAGAAAGAGAAGACCACAAAGCAACGAGAAAATAAATAACAAAATGAAAGTAGTATTTATTTATCCATAATAACATTGAATGGAAATGGACTGAACTCCCCAATCAAAATACATAAAGTAACTAAATGGATAAAAATAATAAGACACAGCTATCTCTTGCATACAATAAACCTACAAAGACACCCATAGACTGAAAACAAAAGGATTAAAAAAAAGATATTCCATGCAAATGGAAACTGAAAAAGAGCAGGAATAACTATACTTATATCACACAAAATAGATTTCAAGAAAAAGCTATAAAAAGAGACAAAGAAGGTCATTATATAATGATATGAGGTCAGTTCAACAAGAGGATATAATAGTTGTAAATATATACATACCCAAAACTAGAACACTCAGATACATGAAGCAAGTATTATTAGAGCTAAAAAGAAAGATAGACACCAATACAGTAATAGCTGGAGACTTCAACACCCCACATTCAGCTTTGGAGATATCATCCAAACAGAAAATCATTAAAGAAACTTTGGACTTTATCTGCATTATAGATCAAATGTACCTAGTTGACATTTACAGAATATGTCATCGAGTGGCTGAAGAATACACAGTCTTCTCCTGAATACATGGATCATTTGGATCATTCTCAAGGATAGATCATATGTTAGTCCACAAAACAAGGCTTGAAACACTCAAAACAATTGAAATCATATCAAGTATCTTCTCTGACCACAACATAATAAAACTAGAAATCAACAAGAGGAATTTCAGTAACTACACAAACACATGGAAATTAAGCAATATACTTCTAAATGAACAGGAGTCAATGAAGAAATTAAGAGGGAAATTGAAAAATGTATTGCAACAAATGAAAGTGGAGACACAACATACCAAAACCAATGGAATACAGCAAAATAAATACTAAAAGAAAAGTTTATCACCTACAACAAAAAAGTAGAAAAACTTCAGAAAAGCGACCTAATGATGCATCTTAAAGAACTAGAAAAGCAAAAGCAAACCAAACCTCAAATTGATAAAGGACATAATAAAAATCAGAGCAGAAATAAATAAAACATAAACAACAACAACAAACAACACAAAAAAATCAATGAAATAAAAAAAGTTCTTTTTAAAAAATCAACAAAATTGACAAACCTTTAGCCAGACTAACAGGAAAAAAGGCCCAAATAAATAAAATTAGAGTTGAAAAAGGAGACATTACAACGTATACCATAAAAATTCAAAGGATTATTAGAGGCTACTATAAGAAATCATATGCCAATAAATTGGAAAACCTACAAGAAATGGATAAATTCCTAGACAAATATAACCTGTGAAGATTGAGCCA
This sequence comes from Homo sapiens, assembly GCF_000001405.40. NCBI lineage: Eukaryota > Metazoa > Chordata > Mammalia > Primates > Hominidae > Homo > Homo sapiens. Next base: position 76,757,371 of record NC_000006.12, read on the forward strand.
TGAAGAAATTCAAAACCTGAATGGACCAATAGCAAGTAATAACCTGTAAAAAATTCTCCCACCAAAGAAAAGTCCAGGACCCGATGGCTTCATTGCTAAATTTTACCAAACAGTTATAGACTAATACCAATCCTACTCAAACCACTTTGAAAAATAGAGGAAGAGAGAATACAAACCCATTCTAGAGGTCAATATTGCCCTCATACCAAAACCAAAGACATATCAAAAAAAAAAAAAAAAAGAAAAAGAAAACTAGAGGCCAATATCCCCGATAAACATTTATGAAAATCCTCAACAAAATACTAGAAAACCAAGTTCAACAACACATTAAAAAGATAATTCATCCCGGCCAAGAGGGATTAATCTCAGGGATGTGGAGAAAAGGAAAACCTTGTACACTGTTGGTGGGAATGTAAATTAGTACAGACACTATTAAAAATGGTATGGCGGTTCCTCAGAAAACTGAAAATAAAGCTACTACATGATCCAGCAAGCCCACTGCTGGGCATATATCTAAACAAAAGGCAATCTGTAAGTTGAAGAGATATCTGTACTCCTGTTTTTATCACAGCACTATTCACAATAGCAAGACTTTGAAGCAACCTAAGTGTCCATCAACAGATGAATGGATAAAGAAAATGTGGTACATTACTCAATGGAGTACGATTCAGCCATAAAAAAATAAGATTCTGTCATTTGCAACAACATGTATGGAACTGGAATACATAACGTTAAGTGAAATAAGCTAGGCACAGAAAGACAAGCTTCATATGTTTTCACACATTTGTGGAAACTAAAAATTAAAACAATTGAACTTAAGGAGTCAGAGAGTAGAATAATGGCTACCGGAGGTTGGTAAGGGTAGTGAAGAGTGGAGGGAGTGGTGATGGTTAAAGGGTACAAAAATATAGTTAGACTGAATGAATAAAGTCTAGTATTTGATAGCACAAGAGGGTGACTACAGTCAACAGTAATTCATTTCGCATTTAAAAATAACTAAAAGTATAATTGGAAAGTCTGTATCACAAATAAATAATAAATGCTTGAGGTGATGAATATCTCATTTACCATGATTATTACATATTGTATGCCTGTATCAAAATATCTCATATACCCTATTAATACATACACCCACTATGTACCCGTAAAAGTTAAAAATAAAAAATGATTAAAAAAAGCAGAATGGGGATATTTATAGGATACTTACAAAAGACAAAAGAATAAGATTTAGAAATTAAGAATGTAATAGCCAAGATAAAATATTACAAACAGGAGTTGAAATATATGGCCTGGGAAATCTTCCAAGAAGAGGCAGGAAAAGAAAAGATAAAAAAACGGCAAGAAAATATTAACTTAAAGTATAAAAGTGGATGAGCAACAGCTGACTAATAGAAGTTACAAAAAAGTAGTTAAAAGAAAACAAAGAGTAGGTAATTATCTATAATTACCTACATAATATAATAAAATACCTACATAATATAATAAAAATGTCCAAAGCTAAGGTACACATACCTCTTAATTTACAGAGCCCAATGTATGTCCAGCTTGGTGAATGAAGAAAGATACTCCCTGAGGCATGTCAGAAAAAAAAAGTCAGAATCCTGGCTACATAATTGTGAGGCTTAGTGCAAACTGAAAATGAAGGTCCCTTGTTCAAAAAGCAGGCAAAAAGTGTCATTAAAGTAACTAAAATATCAAACAGCATTCTTTATTCTGCAGTGTCTCTCAGCCTATTATGATATATTTTATTGGATATTGATGGTACACTCCCTTGTGCATGATGATACTGACAGCATAAGTGTAGGCCCTCATAGAGGGTTAGGGACTCCCTCCCTTGATTGAGTGAGTTCCCTGTCATCTCAGCTACCAAATTCAGGTCTGTGCTCCAGCCAGTGATGGATATGTCAAGCCAGGCAATCCCCTGTCTCACAAAACTTTTACCCCAGCCCACTACAGATGGGCAACACCAAAGTATTGCAACTCTGCAATGCAAAATGTGCTTGCTACCCAGACACCAAATATCTGTGCCCCTTAGCCTCCACCCAGGCCCCACTGTGGGTGGGGGGCTGCAAGGATCACTGGACAGGATCCGGGGAGAGGAGAAAGCTGGGTAGGGCTTGGTGTGCTAGGGGTCTAGGGAATGGACAGCTGAAGGAATGCAGTAAGATGGCAGGAGGTGCTACCATGTGTGAGCACTTACACGTTCCCTTGTTCCATCAGTCTTCAGTTGTAACACACATTTAGAAACAATTATTAACAATCTTAAGACATAAAACCAAAGCAAAACATTAAACCAAGCTTGGGGCCCTTCAGAACATAGGGCCCTGTGTAACTGAACTGGTTACATGCACATGCAGTTGGCCCTGCCTGTGTGTAAAGATCCTAAAATCTTCCATGGGTCACATATAAAAGACTAGGAATACAATTAATATTTAACTTCAAAAATAATAATAGATTCTAGAAGGAAATAAAGCAATTTTTTCAAACTTTTCAGTGAAAACAATTTTAATTTAGAATTTAATGATCAGCCAAATTATCAATCAAGTGTGAAGATTGTCTTAGTTATTTTTCTGCTGCTATAAACAGACTGTCACAGACTGAATAATTTATAAACAATAGAAGTTCATTTGACTCACGATTCTGGAGGCCCAAGAGCATGGTGCTGGAATCTTGTGAGGGCCTTCATGCTACCTTATCCCATGGCAAAAGGTAGAAGGGCAAGAAAGCAAGAGGTGGCAGAACTCACTTTTTTTGTTACAAGCCCACTTTCTAGGTAACTAACCCTCTCCCATAATAATGACATTCATCCATTCTTGAAAGCAGGGCCCTCATGACCCAATTACTTTGTATTAGGCCCCACTTCCTAACACTGTTGCACTGGGGATTAAGTTTCCAACACATGAACTTTGGGGCTGAGTAGGAAAAAACATTCAGTTTCTTCTACTATACACTCAAAACACATGTCTGACCAGATGTCTGGGGTTTTCTCTCTACCGGCAAGCAAGCAATTAATTCTGCAGTGGACACCAGTTGGGTGTCCTCTAATTCAATTCAATTCTGACACTATGTACCTGAAGACAGCATTATATCCCCCTGGTTGAAAGTTCAGTCTCACAGAGCCCCGTTTCCAATGCTAATTGCACAGCTCAGGTTATTATGTCTATGTTCTGATCCACTGGCTATAAACTGGGGTTCCCACAACCCCTTTTATGGGTTGGATTAATTTGCTGAAGCAGCTCACAGAACTCAGGGAAACACTTTACTTACATTTACTGGCTTACTATAAATGATATTACAAACGATACAGATGAAGAGATGCATAGGGCAAGAGATGTGAGAAATGACGTGGAGCCACCCTCCCCAAATCTCTACATGTTCAGCTATCTGGAAGCTCTCTGAACCCAGTCCTTTTGTTTTTTTATGGAGGCTTCATTACATAGGCATGATTAATGAAATCATTGGCCCACTGGTTACTGGTGATCAACTCAACCTTCAGTACCTGTCTTCTCCTTGGAGGTTGGGGTGGAGCTGAAAATAACAACTCTGCAATCATGCCTGGTCTTTTTGGTGACCAGGCTCCATCCTAAAACTACTTGGGGGCTGCCAGGCATCAGTCAACTCATTGGCATACACAAAGACATTTATTACTTTAGAGATTTCAGGGATTTTTAGGAGGTCTAAGACAAGAAATGAAATAAAGGCCAAATAAATATTTTACATTATCAGAGAAGGACACATTCACACCACAGCAAAAATAGAATAAAAAATGTAAAGTATGAAAGACAGAAAATTTTTCCTTTTCATGCTTTGTAGGAAGATTTAGAGCGTATGCTTCAGCAACACAAGCAGATTAAACAGGAAAGAGACTGAAATAGAACTAGGAAATAGAAATTCCAATTAAAGAAAGCAGTAAAGAGAGGTTGAAGGTTAACATTATTATCAGAATGTATTAGTCCATTCTCCCACTGCTATAAGGACATATACCTGTGACTGGGTAATTTATATAAAGAGAGAAGTTTAATTGACTTACAGTTCTGCAGTGCTGGGTAGGCCTCAGGAAAATTACAATCATGGCAGAAGGGAAGCAAACACATCCTTCTTCTCATGGTGGCAGCAAGAGGAAGAATGAGTGCCCAGTGAAGGGGGAAGCCCCTCATAAAATTATCAGATCTCATGAGAACTAACACACTATCACAAGAATAGGATGGGGAAAACTGTTCCCATGATTCAATCATCTCCGCCTGGTCCCTCCCATGACATATGGGAATTATGGGAACTACAATTCAAGATGAGATTTGGGTAGGGACACAGCCAAACCATATCATTCTGCCCCTGGCCCCTCCCAAATCTCATGTACTTAACAATTCAAAACACAATCATGCCCTTCCAACAGTCCTCCAAAGTCTTAACTCATTCCAGCATTAACTCAAAAGTCCAATTCCAAAGTCTCATCTGAGACAAGGCAAGTCCCTTCTGCCTATAAGCCTATAAAATCAAAAGCAAGTTAGTTACTACCTAGATACAATGGGGGTACAGGCATTAGGTAAATACACCCATTCCAAATGGGAGAAATTGGTCAAAATAAAGGGGTTATAGGCCCCATGCAGGTCTGAAATCCAACAGGGCAGTCAAATCTTAAAGCTCCAAAATGATCTCCTTTTGACTCCATGACTCACATCCAGGTCATGTTGATGCAAGAGGTGGGCTCCCATGGCCTTGGGCAGCTCTGCCCCTGTGGTTTTGCAAAGTAAAGCCCACTCCTGGTACCAATGTACTGTATTAGTCTATTCTCAAACTGCTATGCGGACATGCCCAAGAGTGTGTAATTCATAAAGGAAAGAGGTTTAATTGACTCACATTTCCACAGGGATGGGGCGGACTCAAGAAAATTAAAATCATGGTGGAAGAGGAAGAAAATATGTCTTTCTTCTCATGGCAGCAGGAAGGGGAAGAATGAGTGCCCAGCGAAGGGGAAAGTGCTTTATAAAACCATCAGATCTTGTGAGAACTCACTCTCATGAGAACAGGATAGGGAAACCACCCCCATGATTCAATTGTCTCTACATGGTCCCTCCCACGACTTGGGATTATGGGAACTACAATTCAAGATGAGATTTGGGCGGGAACACAGCCAAAGCATATCAGAGGCCAAAGAGCTTCTAATCCAGATTAGAGCAGAAGGACAGAGGGCTCCAGTAAGAAATGCTCCAGGAAAAAAGTCGAGCTGATGTTACATGTTAGGTGATCGTTTTGGATATAAATATTAACAGATATTGTAACTGATAGGATGGAGTGTGTGGCAAAAATGCTAAGTATTATGCCAGGTAAAGTGTCTTTGTAATATGTAGTTAGGTATTTTTTTATTAGTGTATAAAATAATTATTCTCTATTGTTTTGGAAGGTTTAAATATCCGTGAAAACTTACTCAACGCCTTTTATTATAGAATTTCTGCTGGCTAAAATTTCAAGTCTCCCCATCCCACATCCTTTTGCTTCTAGGTTGGGCTATATGAATCAAAAAAATATGTCACTTTTGGGCCTAGATGAATGAAAAGGCAGGTATGCCTTTCCTACCTTCTCTTTTTCCCTTCCTGTCTGAATTCAGAGGTCACAAACCCAAGGGAATGATGAAGTTATCAGACAGAAGAAATTATATGTGGAAAAGCCATCTGCCAGCTAATAACGTCTGCATTGTCCTGTTAAATAAAGAAAAACTAACTGCTATTGTCATAAGCTATTGCCGTGCTCTGCTGTTACACCAGCTATCCTAGCTAATACCAAATGCAGCTTAGAGATTTTGTGTTAAATTGGGTTTGGTCTGTGATACGGTTTGACTTTGTATCTCCACCCAAATCCCATCTCAAATTGTAATCCCCACATGTCAAGGGAGGGACCTGGTGGGAGGGGATTAGATCATGGGGCAGACCTCCTTTAATAGCAATTAAAGAAGTGCTATTCTTTAATATATAAAGAGGAAAACCTCTCAATTTTTGTGTGAAAATAAACATTTGGATAAACATTTATAAAGTATTGGATGATAAAAATAATAAACCCAGATTGAAACATGAAAAGATTGGAAGCATCTTGAATTCCACTTTGGGGTGTCTCACTAGGGATTTGATAGAACTTTTATGAAAGCTGAGCATTCTCAGGAGCCAGAGGAGCAAGTGGAAAGGAATTGGGAATCCCAACTGCTGATGCAATATCCATATTAATTTAAATATGGAATATTGTCTTTTAAACTTTAAAATGTGGATATATTATTGCAAATATTTAAAAAGTTGATAGATAAATTCATCTCTGAGATGTTCCCCTCTTGAGCTCTAATTCTTGAAGGTCTTTCATGTCACACTCTCTAGAAAAGTGTCAGAATATTATCCCCTAATGAGGTGACTTTGAATATATGCTAGGGTCCAGTTTTATACTACATTTAGGTTACTAGCAAAGTCTTAGTCAAATATACGTGTGAAACATATTGTAAATGGCTAGAGTAAAAGCACTCGAATATTTTAAGCAAGTGTAATTATTTTACATTTTGAGGACGTTTTATATTATTCAAAAAAGAAGGAACTCCAGAGCCTTATCTGCAAATTTTCGATGAGCAAAATAAGTTTAATTAGAGCTAAAGCACCAATATTTAAAATTATTTATATAAAAATATAATTACATATACTGTGCACATAAAAATATAATTATATGTGTATAATTGTCTATATATTTAAAAGATAGTACAGATTGGATTGCAAAAAAAAAACCCCTGTAGATTGCTTGCAGCAATATGTTCACATTTTTAATTACCTAATGTTGGATAATAAAATGTATCTTGTTTTTATGACTCTGGAAAACCTTCCCTCATAATCTGTTTTATATTGTAGGACAATGATAAGACATGTTATGTGAGAGACAGAAAGAGTACGAGGAACACTTAAATGAATAGCTTATCTTGGATGTTAAGGTCAAGATGTAGCTACAGAAACAAAAGTGGAGTTATAGATATACACTAGGAAAGTGAAAATTCTCATGAAGAACTCGTTACTTTTTCTAAAATATTAAAATAATCTCTTTCAGACATTGATATTATTTAGTATCTAGTTTGTTTTGAATCCATGCCAAGATTTTTAGAGACATAATCTGTCTTATTTCTTGTTCTTTGCAATGTTTGACACTCTATTGTTCCTGAGAAGTAATATTAGGTTTTATTTTTATTGCCTTATTTGTTCCTCTGGAAATATAACTCACTTTCTTAAGACATATTGGATATTGAAACAACACCAAGAATGTACCTTACAAAATTTTATAATTTTTTTCTAAATCTAAAAACAATTTAATACTGAGTCTACATCTTCACATATTGTACAGGTACACGTTATTATTATTTTCTCAGATTTTTCTGTTCGTTCTGCTTTGGAAAAATCTCATTGGTTCATTAATTTTAAAATCCTTGACCATTATGTCATTAATAGAATAAAATAGAAAGTTGGTCTCCTAGGACTTTGATATTATCACAGATATATTTGTATTGTTTTTAAAATGTGACAGTAAGTCAATCATTATGACAGCTATGAAAATTTCAAAAGCTAGTACCTGACTCATTCTAAAATGAGACTTTCTTTTTATGACTTTTTGGAATAGTTACATTGATAAAAGGAATCTAAATGTTATAAATAGTGGACACATTTGGGATATAAAATACAGTTGTTAATAAGTTATTAAATAAATGAGTGTCTGTTAATAATTGAACCACTAGCTAACTTTTCTTAATTATATAATGAAAGAAATATCTAAATATGAAGAGCTAAGAATACAAAAAATATTAAAGATAAAATTTAAGAAAATCTTCAAGGCAAAAATCCTAGGGGAAAGAAACAAAGGTGAGATCTGGGATATCTAATGTGTCAATATGAAAATTATTAGAAATGGAGGCAATAAAATATGTATTACAGGGCAGACTAGTCAGGACTTTTTGTTGTTTTCAGATGAGGGAAATCCAGCTTGATCAGTCTAGGCAAGACAGTTAATTTATTTACTTACCTAATTAACACTTGAGGGAGGCAGGCTCACCTCAGGAAAACCACACCAATGACTCCAACTCTGTCAAGCCTCTCTTTTTCCATCTTGCTTGTCAAACTCTATTCATAGCAACTACTTTATCTCAGATAAGTTCCTTCTATGAGGATGGAAGAAAGTCGGCTGATGGCTCTCAACTTCTTCACCAAAAAGTGATTAAGATGAAATGTCACTATTCTCAAATTAAAAAGAAAAATTCTAAGGAAGCTTCCTTACAGATCCAACTTGGATCAGGTGCACATTCCCGAACCACTTATATCTGGCCCTAGGTATGGGTAAAATGATGTAACTCAGCATGGAATAGGAGCTTACTCCTGGGCCACCAAAGAAGGATCAATGGATCTTCTATTGCAAACACAAATGTATAGTGGGGGAAAAGACATTTTTCTGAGAAAGTGGTTGAAGTCATGGCTAGGGAGCTACAGTTATATCTAGAAAAAAATCCTTCAAAATAATGAAGACCAAAGCGAGATGATAATGTAAAAATATTTATACTAACACCAAAAATATATGCCTTTTGGAAACAGGTATTCATTAAGACTATAGAAGATATTAAAGATTTGAATTTGAGGGAAAATAAGTCCATAGCAGATCATGAAATATTTATCAAAAATTTTAAAATGTTTCCATTTTATTATTCAGACATGTATATATGTGTATATTTCTGTTTCAGAAAGATTTAGTGACAATAGATTTTTTGAGAATGGGAGCCAATTTGATGTTAAATAAAAAAATAAGATCTACCTCATGTTTAAAGCACTCTGCAAATGTTACAGAATATTTTAAGATCTTATCTGAATTATTTCTGTCAGTAAATGAAGGAAGAAGCTACTTCAAATTCCCCCAGACATTTCATTTCTTTCATCAAACATATCTTCATACATGTGCCCTAATGTATATTAAAAATTGCCAAGTAGAAAATTGCAGTCACAAACTCATTTTGATTTTTTATAGTTATCTTTTCCAAATGTTTGTATACAAGACATCACTATACACTGCTGAGATAAATGCATACAAGAAAAAATGCATAAAAAATAAATAAAAGCTTAACATAAACTGGAAGAAGTTGGATTCATATAGATAAGGAGGTCACTATTAGATAATACTCTATGAGTATCTGAGACTTTAACACTGCATTATTGAATAGTTAAAACTGATGGTTTTATCTTTATTCTACATGTATGAGATGTAAACTGTGAATGTCACTGATGTTTATGCTATCTAAGGAGCTGCTGTCTTATCTTTTGTTGGTTCTTAGCTCTATATTTTGAGAGGTCTCATAGAATTGGAGCAATTCTCTAAACCTGCTTTCCATGGGGTTCTGCTTCACTGAGAAGGTTTGGTGTTTTAAATTATATGGAAGTTTTTCTAGGAGCTTTATATGCTTGATGGCAGAAAGCTGAAGAGTCTTTGGATGTGATCTGGACAATCTTGCCACCAACATTGGGCTGAATAGTTGATGTGAGGTCAGTTTTCCTGCAGTATGACTGAGGGTTCATGCCATTTTGGTGAATCCAGACCATGTATTTTAGAGTAAAGACCTAAGGTGTGGTTCTAAGTGCTCTCACCTAGCATGCAATTTACACATCCAAGGAGGGTGAAGCTTTATTTTGTAATACTGCACCACGAGGAATGCCTTGATTTGGCAAGCCATTGTTTATGGTCACTCCTTATACTAAGAAGAAAAAGTTTAGCCTTCTTTCTGATAGAAGCCAGAATGTCCTACAGACATTCAAGATCTGAATAGCTGAAGAAGACAAGGCCAGAAAGTAACACAATATTAAGATGGTGATGGTACTCTGTTGTGTTTTACTTTTCAAAATATGGTAGGACCTTATGTGACTGAAGCTATCTCCCTTGATGAAACTAACATGCAAAAGACATTGGGTACATTTTTCATTATACCTTGCCAATCAAATTTCCCATCCTGATTTTTTTTGGTTAAAAATTAATTAATCAAAGTGTGTCATATTTCTCAGAAGGTGAATTTTTTACATTTCTGAGCTTAAAGCCAATAGAAAGCTGGCACTAATAACTTAAAAGTAAGTCAACCCTTTATGTCAGTGACTATTCAGATATTAAAGTCACATAATATGTAGAGGACTTTGAAGAATTCATTTTCTTCAGCAGGAATAGTGGTCCCACAGAGAATCCTCATTTATAACTAGTATCTCAAATCTTGTGGTTGTAAAAATGTTACCTGTCGAATTTTAAAATCAGGCCAGATTTATAGTTGCTGCAGCAGCAAGGCTGGATTTTTCTGGCATAATAAATTTTATCAAATAATTGTTCCATATCTTTTACAAAAATTATTACACTAGTTAAGTTTAGAATTTCTTTAGGCATGCTTGAGGTTATGTTTAATCACATTTAACCTAATTTGGGAAGGCAGTTCTACATTTAAATACATTTTATACAACATACAAATTCCCACATTAGATTATATAAGATTTGAGACATCTATAACCCAATACTGATCTAAATTCCCAAGCAAGAATATACTAAATATACACTTAATTGCTTGTAATTATTTAAGCATATTGAAAACATTAAAAAATTGTGAATATCCTTGAACACTTGGAAAAAATTTTGTATACATGTATATATGAAAATACATATATTTTCACATTTAAATGGGCCTACATGTCTAGAAAATCTTTATAAAAAAGGAGGACATATACATTGGTTACATAGAAAATAGGTGCGTACTAGCTAAATATGTCAGTTAGTCCCCTGTGAATTCTGCATAAGCTGAAGAAACCACAGAGCGCATTACATGTATCATGTACTTAAGCATTATTAATTTTTAAAACTTTCTTGGAAAACGTTTGGGCAATAAAACTAAAAATTAATAACTTCTAAAACCATAAATTATTAAGACGTCCATTTCTTGCTACATCATAGTAGCTTTTATCAAATCAACTATCACACTGAGACAACAAGAAAGCCTAGATTGAAGAACAAAGAAAGAAAACCAGGACCTGAAAAGTCAAGGCTACAGAGAGAGCATAGGCTGACCTTGTCTACTGTGCTTTCCCCTCTGTGTGTTTCCTGAGTGTGTCAGAGAAGCCAAGCAGAAAGTAGAGACTGAACAGTTTTAAAAGTCTCCTGGGAAAAATTATAATCAAGGAATAAAAAAGTCAGCTAGGCCAAGGCCCTGGAAAAAGGGTACCACAGAGAAGTGAAACCAACATTGTATAGACATTTGGTGCTGCAGGTCAGTTGTCTGGGTGGCCTTGGAGTGACCTAGTTCTCTCCCTTTTCTTGCTTGGAGTTCTCAGGAACAGCTGTAGATTGTGATGGGAATGCAACGTCTTGAGTTAGGGAGGAACTACTCTGGTACAGCCTTGGCTTTACTCCACTTTTCCCTGGAAGCCAGATGTCTTTCAAAGATTTGCCTGATGAGTTACGTGCCTCTGATGTATATAATCCAGGGTGGGCTTCCTGTTGGGGTTCCTCAGCTGTAATGCAAGTGGGACATGCTCAGTTGAGACTTCACTTGCCCTGTGCAGCTTTGTTGAGGCATGGAGGGATTGGCTCACAACAGATCCTAAGCTTCTTTTGTCTCTTGCTGCCTATCTGTGAGTAATAAATCTGTTGCACATAACTTGTTGTGTGTATGTTTTGTCTCACCAGACTCAGACAAATGGTAATTAGTAAACCTGCTTTACAAAATTGACATAGTGAGTAGAGGCTGGTCTGAAAGAACCATGGCTTATGGGCAAAGTAGGGGCAGCAAATAACCCCCAGGCTGGCACTGGGGGTTACTGCTCTACCCACTTTGCCAATAAGCATCAGCCTGGGCAAACAGGGGCTGGATGTGCAGCTGGATGTTTGATCAGGAAAGAAGGGTGATAAGGTAGGCATAGGTCACCTCCCCCACCCAGATGTGTGAGCTGGTTGCTGATTGAGGCAGAGAGAGAGGAATGCAGAAACAGGGGAGCACGGCACAGGATCCCCTGGCTTTGGACACTTATGTGACTGTTCATTCCTGGCTAGAGAACTGGGAAAGTGAGTACTCAGAAGAACCCTGAAAGGGAACTAACACGTGTGCTATGTGGGCCTTCACAGAAAGAGAGACTCATTATCTAAAGCATAAATATAGAGAAAGGCCAGAGGAATCTCATGCAGCCTGGTTGATTTTTTTTTTTTTTAAATCAAGGGACATTGCAAATCCAAATGTCTCAGGCAGAATGGTACAGTTAGAAATGGGGCCAGTCAGCCTGAGAAATTAGGTTCTCAACTGGAGGTCAATGCCAATGTCCCTATAATCCTGTTAAAACAAGAGGAGAAAAGAAAGGAACTCGGACTTTTCTGGGGGCTCTTGGATATTAGAGCCCACATAACAATACTTCCAGGTCCCCTTAGGGGAAAAATTAAACTGATGACCTCAGGAGAATTGGGGACAAATATGTGACTCGCAGTACTTATTTGCTTATGCTTGGGGTCCTTTGAGCCATTTCAGGTGCCAGAGACTGTGGTTCCCATAGCTGAGTACATGAGAGTTGTGAGACAAAGTAGCAAGCATCATGCATCCCTTAAATATATACACCTACTATGTGCCCACAAACATAAAAAATAAAAAGAAGCCATGTGTATAAGTCAGGGTTCTGTAGAGGGACAGAACTAATAGGCGATATGTATATATAGCCTATTTTGTATATATATATATCACCTATTATATATATAGGAGTTTATTAAAGAGTATTAAACTAATACGATCACAAGGTCCCACAATAGGCCGTCTGCAAACTGAGGAGCAAGGAAGCCAGCCCGAGTCCCAGAGCTGAAGAACTTTAAGTCCTATGTTTAAGGGCAGGAAGCATTCAGCACAGGAGAAACATGTAGGCTGGGAGGCTAAGACAGTCTAGTCTTTTCACATTCTTCTGCTTGCAATTTATCCTAGTCATGCTGGCAGCTGATTAGATTGTGTCCACCCAGATTAAGGCTGAGTCTGTCTTTTCCAGTTCACTGACTCAAATGTTAGTCTCCCTTGGCAACACCCTCACAGATACACCCAGAATCAATACTTTGCATCCTTCAATCCAATCGAGTTGACACTCAGTAGTAACCATCACACTATGCTCATTTCTGCTTTCCAGCATGATTTCACAAAGCCCCTGACTCTGTGATGATGTGCAGCTCTCAGAAAGACGCTTTAAAGACAAAACAGGATAGACCACTCCCACCCCCATGCCTCTTGCCCTAGTCACTGTATTCCTTAGAAGATAAATAATCCTAGTCCTTTCCTCTTCTACAGATAAGATAATGTCTGACAGGGTTAGTGATTATGCCTCTGTAATCTATAGCCAGATGTACTCTTACACCCAAACCTTGATCTGATTCTGCTCTAATATAACTTCTGAACAAGTTTAATACAATTTTACATGTACTAAACACTTACCATCTCTATATAAGCATTGGGCTAAAATACTGTGCCAAACAGTCTAATAAAAACCCTCCACAGGGCTGCCACCAGGCTATAGGCCTTGGTCTATAGTCCTCAATAAAACTTATAAATAAAACCCACCGTAACTCTTTAAAAGCTTTTTTTTTCTTTAGTTGACATACGCATTGACACTCTGGCTGCTTGTGGAACAGAATATCACCACATCATAGCCAAGAATTCGAGCCTAACAGTGGAACATATCCACTTCAGCCTGCCACCTAAGCTACCCAAGTCCCAAGTTTCTTCCGCAAAAGCAGTACTGCAAGCTAAGTGGAAAATAGGGTATTATTTTGCTAATTCAGGCCTTGCTACACACTACACTATCACAATGTAACAGCCTCTTCTGGCTGGTCAAAAAGGCCTTTGGGGCACAGAGACTAACAATGGACTGTCCAGGCTGAATGCCAGAGTCACTTGGGCAGGATGCCAAAAAGGTATTCCAGAGACAGTGAAATAAATATTTTTAACCCTGGAGGTACTCACTAATAAAAAGGAGGCCTAATAGCTGGCAGGCATCTTTGGGTACTAGAGACAGTATGTACCCCACCTGGGTGTTCTGTTGGTCCCCTTAGTCAGGTGACCAGCAAAGCTACTAACTTTAAGTGGAACCCTTTGCAGCAGCAGGCTTTGGAAGCCATTCAATGAGCTGTGGCCCAGGCACTGACTTTAAAAGCTTTAAAGCCTGCTACCCTGATGAAATGACATGTGTGCATAACCACTCTGCATGTGGATTGGAGTCTGTGGCAACAGAAAATTGCCAATGGGGTGTGCAAGCCTCTTGGAGTTTGGACATGTAAGTTGCCTGAGGCCGCCTGCAGATACACCTCTTTTGAATGACAACTCCTTGCTTGCCATTGGACACTAAAGGAGACTGAGCATCTTGTGACTGAACTGCCACAAAAGACACTGCAACTTGAACTGTCCATTCTCACCTGGGCACTCACAAACCTTGCCAATGAAATTGGACAGGCTCAATACAGCTCAATGATCAAATGGATAGGATACATTCAAAAGATTGGGCTTAGCAGCCAAGAGACCAGTAGGCTCCATGAGCAAGTGGCTAACTTGCCAGAAGGGACTAAACAACATGTAGGGGATGTTTTGGATCCTCCTATGGATACCTGGGGCCCAAGACTGAGACGTGCCTACTGACAGTATGACATGGCTTGTTTACTGATGGCTCTTCCAAATGGCAAGCAGGCAGGGTTCCCTGGGCTGTGGTAGCCATCTAGCCAGTGGATAGGTATCTCATGGCTGAGACTGGACATGGGCATTTTGAACAATGGGCCAAACTACATGCAGTGGTGATAGCCACATAGACTTCCTCTACCACCCTATCTTGCTACATTTTCACTGACTCATCAGCTGTTGCCAACAACCTAGACATCTCGTCAGAAGAAAGGCAACTAAGTGGATGGATTATTAAAGGACAAGTACTATTACAATAACTTGCTGTCTGGAATGGGAAAGTATATATGTCACTCATGTGGAGGATGGGACTAACATAGCTTCTCTTAAAAGGAACACATGTCATGTTTTTGATTACCCCACGGAACTTCACTCTGACCAAGGAATGGTTACTACCCAAATAACACAACAATGTGTGCATTCTCCTAAAATACAATGGACTTTCCATACACTTTGTCATCCTCAGGCCAATGGAGCTGTTGAATGGTGGTGGAGCCAACTCACAAAACAACTGAAGAAATGACATCAAGATGGCCTGCTAATGGAGTGACAACCCCTTCTGACTAGAGCAATGTGGTCACTAAACACTGCACTCTAATCCAAGGGAAACATGGTACTGCAGCTCAAGTTGACAGAGCTTGGTGGAGGTGGAGGTGGACTAAGTAGCTGCCTGGAGGTTGACAGAGATGCAGAGCTTGGTGGAGGTGGAGGTGGACTAAGTAGCTGCCTGATTAGGCTGTGCCTGCAAAATCCCAATTCCAGTGTTCCAAACTATGATTTTTGTTCTTCCCCTTTACAGTGCATGTCCTGGAGGGTGGTTTGCAGTTTAGGCCACCCTAGTACCCCAGACAAGGCTCCCTAACTTCAAGGTGATACTTCTCCTGGGTTCTTCTCCTCTATGGGATTCCACAGAGGTGGAGAACAAGACCAAGGAATACCAGGATGCTAGGGTTCCCCTGGAGGCAGGGAGCGTTTAATCCTTCCAGTATAGTGGATGTTATCAGACATGTCAAGTTAATACAGGATATAACCTCCCTTCCTAGGCTGGATGACACAGGCCCAAAGGTCTGGGTCAAGCAACAAGAATAATGAGTGATCACAAAGGTATTAGCCTTGGGACTGGGGCAGACAGATGGGTTCACTACACCAACTCAGCCCAACCCTTATGCAATAGGTAGGGGATACCTGAGATCCTGGGAGGGTAGAGGGGTGGGAAACTAACTTGTTAATCTGCTTTTTCCACGAGGACAGGGTAGTACAGGCCTAGAAATATAATATCATTTTTAGGCTCTCCCAGACTGTGGCAATGTGGATAATCTGATAAAGTGTTGGATCTTTCATATGGGCCTCATTCTGTCACAGACCACAGTTACCTGCCAGTGATAAAACCACACCAGCATTCCTTAATGCCACAGTGTACACTAACAGAACCTGAGCAGCCCTAGCTTATTGAATGAGGATCTGGTACCTGTTGCATGGGAGAGAGCAGAAGGTTCTCTGTTTTAACTTATAACTGACTGTGTGGCAAAATATCACAACTATAACTAAACAGAATCTTGGTGGGCTTGTGCTCTGATGCACTAAGCTCCTCTGATTACATGGATCAGAAATGTTACAGTGGTAATAAAGAAAACAAGAACTGGACCAGTGCTAGTCCTCTGCATAGGAGTTTCATGAACAATATTATATGAAGGAAATTGGGCTCATGCAACTATGCCATCAATGAGACTTGGCTGGGAAATGTCAATGCCTCTTTACCAATGAGTGGCTCACTGAACAAAGAAACAAAGAAAGGGGTGCTGTGTGTGCCCAAGCGTTGCATCTCTCTCTGCAGGTGGCTGGGGATGGCCTAGATACAGGATAGACAATGCCATGCCTGTAAAGCTGGTAGCTGGTGGGATCCTGCACATTGGGTGTACTAGGGGTGCCCCTAGATATCACCCTGGGAAGGAGATGCTCCATTAGGCCAGTGGCCTTAAGCTTTTACACAGGCTTACTAGGAACCCACCAGGAGGTGGGATTGACTTTGGGTTTATGTCCTTTATTAGATCTTTGATGTCACACATGAGTTGGTACTCATAAAAAAGTAGTAAGAACCCTGCCTCTGACCATGCAGATATTGCTTTTCCACTGCCACTGTCTTGGAAGCCCTAGACATCCCCCAGATTCCTCAGGAAAGTTGTTTTAGACAGTGGAATTGCCCGAGACTTTCTTTTAGCTCAATTGAGAGGAGTGTATGTGTTTGGCAATTCCTACTGCTGTAGCTAGATAAACACCTTAGGTACAGTAGAGACATAAGTAGAGGAGATCTGGAAGCAGGTCCACTGGCTACAAACAGTGGGGCTATCTGATAATCCTTCTTTGCCTTTTTTTTTTAGCAACTTCTTACCTGAGACACTGGTATCCTGGATTAGGTCACTGCCTCAAGCAGGTCTGGCTGTCCTGCTAGTGGTGTAGTCCTTTGGGATCCAGTAAAGGATTTTCTGTCTGTTACTCAACAGTGTTGCACTGAGTTTGGGTCAGTCAAGGTGCTACATCAGTCTGGCTAGATAAACCTCTTCCTCCAGATCCAGAGAGGTTGGTGGGCATTTGAAATGCACTGACTTTGCTACGAGAGATGTCTGGCTAGAGGGGTAGACCTTAGGACAATTCTCCAGGTGGCCTTGGACATACCTAGTTATCCCTGTTTCTTGCTTGTAGTTCTCAAAAATAACTATAGAATGTGCTGGGAATGCAACATCTTGAGTTAGGGAGGAACTGCTCTGGTACAGCCTGGGCTTTACTCCTCCTTCCTGTGGAAGCGAGATATCCTTCAAAGCTTTGCCCAGTGATCATGCGGCCCCTGGGTTATATAACTCAGAACAGGCTGCCAGCTGTGTTTCCTCAGCTGCAGTGCAAGTGGGGCATGCTCCGTTGAGACTTTATTCACTCTGGGCAGTTTGTTGAAGATTAGGTGGTCAGCTCACAATGAATCATAAGCTGCTTTTGTCCCTTGCTGTCTGTAAGTAAAAATCTCCTTCATATATTGTGTGTGTGAGTGTGTTCTGTCTCAACAGAGTCAGGCAAATAGTAATTAGTGAACCTGCTTCACAGATGCTTAGAAGCTAAAAGGTTAAGCAGCGATGTCAGCGCTATCAGGGAGCTGTGGAGACTGGAATTGAAGTTCAGAACCTTTCATGGGAGACAGCTCAGGTAAACATCCAAGCAAAGTGATAAAGGAAGAAAACAATACGAAACTCACTACCCACTGTGGGCTGCTTTCAAGCTTTAACTTCAGATCCTCCTGCTAGTTTTTACTTTTCAGAGTGTTTAAGTGCTTGTTTTTGTTTGTTTGTTTGTTTGTTTTTTGTAGTTTGTTCAGTTTTAGTGGTGAACAGTGCATTAGATAGATTCTAGTTGGCTTATTTCATCTTAGCAATCATCGAAAACTTAGATATTTTATCTTTAAAATTACAAACCAATATGGACTACTACAAACATCTATTAGAGCGTCGCTGCCTTTAAATATGATTCCCTAGGTTGGGTGTGATACTTCTGTATTTTAGAAAGTTCCCCTGCCCCAATAAATCTAAAATGTAAGGTTAAAAACCCTCATTTCTTCTTTATTTGCCTAGTTCAGCCAATTTGACTCTCAGTTGGATTTTGAGAATCTCAGTGATGTTTCAGTTTGGAGGTCAGTTCAGAATAGCTTTTTATTCTAATTTTAATACCTCTATTATCCTGATAAAAGTGTTGTTGATGAAATAATTTTGAATATCTCAATAAAAATCTCAAGTGCCTACCAAATATTCTTTAAGCTTTCAACTTATATATTTTATACATTTTATACATCACGTAGTCTTTGAATGTGAAAAAAAATCAGTTAAAACTATCAGTTGTATTTACTATAAAGATAGTAGCATGAGCCCCACCAGGGTCCTCTTAATCCCTGATTCCCAGTTCTCAGTGCAATGACCAATAGATGAGACAAATTAAAGAAGACCTACATCATGTCTGGGGGACAATGAAGTATACCTTCCACATACCAAATTGTCGAGCGTTTGTGCTTGAGATAGTATTGATAACAACTCAGTACACTGAGTCAACCTGCAACTCTTTCTCCTAACAGATGTCATCATAACTGGCCCGTATTAGCAGAGGAAACCCTTCATATTTTGTAAGAAGATGTTGAGCAACAGGGCAGTTGGTGGAGAGTATGGAAACATATAAATACAGTTAACAGGAAAAAATATTTTAAAATAATATCAAGATCTAATTCTGCATCTCAAAAGTATCCCTTGAATATATGGGAAGTTAATAGAATGATACTAGCTTCTGAGTATTTTCTTCTGAGGTGTCTCCATATTATTTATAAAGAAGGTGACAAGTACTCAGGGTAAACAACAAAACAAGAAAACCAGACCGTCCTCAGACTTTCCAATACTAAAAATCTGAGGGTGGTAAAACAACTGCTTCAGAATTTAGAGGAAAAAAGAAAATTTGTAACCTTAGCTTTTAATATAGCTAAGTTGTCTTTCACTTTGAAGGGAATAGACATACGTTCTTAGATGTTAAAAGATTCAGAACATATACCAACCTCCAACAAAATGGTTGTAAAAGAATTACGTGGTTTCTTAGTTATAGAAATAGACTTTCCTTTGTCTTCAATCTTTAATCAGGGTTTTAGTGCAGTGGTGGAACACATAAAAAGTAAAAGTACTTTCATATTCCAGTGAAATTCATAGACTTTGATAAAGTTTGTTTTCCATTTGGTTTAACCATCACAACTTACATTTTTTGGTCCCTAAATAATATCTTGGTTATGGTTGACTATCTCTGCAGTACAGTAGGTAAGTATTGCTTCTGGTTCATATCTATCGTGGGAGATTTAATGAATCACAAGGAGAAGATTTATTTTTAAGTGTTGACTTAAAAATGACTGTGTCAGGGAATTAACAGGTGCATTAGCATTTGATGTGGAAATCATTTCTGTTCTTTGTTTCCACTCATTGTTTCCAAGTTGTTTTTCTGTCATACCAAGGAGAGTTTTCCTGGGGAAAAACAAAAGCCTTCTGATTGGATCAGGCTTACATGATGACTTATCACTTACATCTCTTCCAACTCAACAGAGAGAAAACAATTTTTTGTGTAGTGAGGTGGTGGCAGGCAAGAGAAGGAGTGTATACAGAGAGAGCATTCATTTTAATTCTGGTGCAGTGCACAGATGAGGAATATCCCACATGGAGTCTCTTCCAGCCTCTGCTTAAACATATAGTGATTTTATTTTCTTGTATGCCTGTTCCCTCTGCCTGTGGGAATAGGGAGAATGAAAAAAGATAATTGAGCTTATTCTTTCATTTGCAGCAAAACCCAAATATATACTTCAAGGGAAACAGGAATAGGTATTGTCATCTCATATATAACTACTCTCATTCTCAGTACTTAGAAAAGGCATGGCTGCTTTTGCCATAAATATTTTAAAGTTTCAGCGAGGCTCAGGGAGACACAGCCTTCCCTGGCATGCAAGTGACAGTATTTGTTTGAAGGACAAAACTGCATCATGCTTTTCTTGTGTGTGATGTGTGTGCATGTGAATAATTTCAAATGATTTCAACAGTAGCAATTTCATTTTATAAATAATTAACATCCTTTCACATTAAATAATTTTTCAATATATGAAGTTTCCGAACGTCTAACATGAGTTAGAAAAGTATAGCATTTTTACCGGAAATAAATATAACTATATATGTCATTGGTACTCTAATTAATAGGATATTAAGGTAGTGTGTGTAGTATAAAGAGAGTAACTATAAATTATTTTGTGGCAAGTAAAAACTGGGGAATGCTAAATATTTAAATACCTGTGAAGATCCAGGCCAAACAACCAGGAAGATAATAAAAAAGTATGAAATTTATCACATGGAAAATGCCTCAAAAATAATATGAAGTAATATTCTACCAAAGCCATGAAATGTTTTTGGTCCCCAAACCTTCCATCTCTGGAATATATGGCATAAATAAAATTCTGATAACAATTATCATAGTGAAGTACATAACTTTGATTTAAATAAGTGATCCATTGAATTAAGTTTATGTAACTGGAACTATTTCAGGATATATAGGTGTAAAAGTTAACGTTCCTGTCTTTAAAATAATTATAATTTTGATGGATAAATAAATTATAAATACACATGTCAAAAGTTAAACAATATTAGCTTCAAATAAGAGTTTAGGTAATCCCTGGAATAGATGACATTTTAGTAAAATAAATTACAAATATGATAGCTATTACAGGAGAGTTCAGAAGATGAAAGAATATCTTCTATTTAAGCATGATTATCTTGAGGAGGTGAAATTAAAAATAAACCTTATAAATATATCCTTGAAGATGAGAACAGAGAAACATTCTAAGTAGAATATTAAAAATGAATCCATGTGGGTGATGTCAGAGTAAGGACCTCCAAAAATTTTCTCTTTCGTTAAAGCAATAAAAACACTGGCAAAAAATGTTCAGTCAACTTTTTCAAAAACCACTCAAATTAAGAAAGACTTGCAGCAACCCAGGAAGTGTTTTTTCAAGAAAAATGGCTGAATCTAAGTAAAAACAGTGAGCTTTGTATCATTTTAACTTGCTCTATCCTATCTCCTTGTACAGCTCCGCAGTAGCTTTGAAAACAAGCAGCCCACAATCATGCTGACAGCCAGAAGTCTGGCAGACACTGGGATTGAAATATAATGTTGGATATTCTACAAAGCCTCATTTCCAGAAAATTGTGATTATTTAAACTGTCTCTCAATTCCTGGAAAACTCCACTTACAAGACTGCCTTTATTTGACCTGATTTGGAGCTTGGGTAGTATTAACAGCTTTATCCTCAGGGGCATTGGTTAAAAAAAGAAAAAAAAAATCCATGGGCAAAGTTTAACATTATGGCTCTGTGAGACAGTAGATAACATTAAATCCAAACTATAGAGTTTGGCAATGATGAACTTAGGCAAAGTAAGACGTTTGCAAGGTAAATCTTAAGAATGAGATGTTTATGAGGAGTTTGGAAAAACTTTGACTTATTTCTAAAAATCTACATGGCTTGCTGCATATGTGTACAGCTCTAGGTATGTCCAGAGTTGTGTGATTGCTCTGGAAATATATGAGAAAGTCCTAAGCTCTCACTTCTAATTAACCTTGAGGCTTTGTGCAAACAAGAAGTAAAGGTGAAGTCAGAGTTGTAAACAAGTGGCTGAGTGTTTAAGATGTTATCTCAATACACATGCTAAGCTCCTTGGCAAAGATTAGTTCCACACATTTAAAAACACCTTTTTCTAACCATTAGCTGACCAAAACACCAACCAAGCAGAAATTTCAGTGGTCATACTTTGTACCATATTTTAAAAATTGACTCAAAATGGAACTAACTAAAAAAAGATTGGAGGCTGTAATGTTGCAGCTAAAACTATACAACTCTTAGAAGAAAATAAGCATAAATCATTTTGACATTGATTAAAACAATGATTTCTTAGATATGACACCAAAAGCAAAAGCAGCCAAGAAATATATATATATATATATATATATATATATATATATATATATATATGGCAAATTGTTCTTTATAAAAATTAAAGCTTTTGTACTTCAAAGAACATTATCAAGAAAGTGGTAAAATCATCCACAGAATAGGACAAAATATTTGCAATCATAACTGGTAAGAGCTAAGTTTTAGAATATATAGGTAACTGAGAATACAACAATAAGACAAATGCCTTTATGAAAAATGAGCAAAAGATTTGAATAGACGTATCTTCAAAGAGATATACAAATATCTAATAAAAGCATTAAAAGATACTAAACATTATTAATCATTAGGGAAATGCAAATCCAAACCACAATGAGATACCACTTCAAACACACTAGAATGTTATCATCAAAGCAGACAGATAATAATAAGTGTCGGCATGGATTTGGGAGAAATGGGAATCCTCATATATTACTGGTGGAACTACAAAATGTTGTAGCTACGTATACTGAAGAGAATCATAAACACATGTCCACACAAAAAATTGTTCACAAATGTTTATAGCTTCATTATTCATGATAGCAATGTAGTGGAAATAGGACATATTTATCAGCTATTGAGCAGATAAACCAAATTATATTCATATAATATATGCATACAATGGAATATTATTCAGCCAAAAAGGTAAGAAAATATTAATACATGCTATAACATTGATGAACTTGAAAACATTACATTAAGTGAAATAGGCCACAAACAAAAGGTCATATATTATGTGAATCCATGTATATGAAATGCGTAGAATAGGCAAATGTGTAGATATAGAAAATTGCTTCCTGGGGCTCAGAATAGGGTAAAATGGGAAATGATTTAATGGCCATTGGGCTTCTTTCTGGGATTATAAAAACATATTGGTATTCGATAGTGTTGATGGTTGCAAAATATTGTGATTCTACTCAAACTCCACTGAGTTCTACACTTTAAATAGATGAATTTTATGGTATGTAAGTTATATCTCAAAAAATAATAAAATGAGTGAACGGAGATCAATATCTGAAATGACTGTATACAGAGCGCAGCAGAGTCTGTCCCAGAGAAATAAGAATTTAATAAAAAATTATAAAAGTTAACCATTTAAAGTCACTAGAGTGTCACTAAAGAATAAGTGGGACATTGTACTTGCTTACATCTCCAGGGCAGTGGGGCAGAGATTCTACAAGGGTGGAGGCAGGCAGTGAGAACAGAAGGTGCTGAAGCTCTTTGTAAGAGAGCTGACTTCATCTGAAACACAATGTGAGGACGTTTATCATCTATAACAATGGAGATATTCATGGTGAACACATAAAGGAGGCAGGTAATTCCATGATATTAATAGCAACAAGTGAAAATGTAGATCAAATAGAAGTTTATCAGAGTGAACTAGAGAAAGAGCATAAAAAAGCCCTCCTAGGGTTGGAGAATCCTCAAAAACTGACAAAACCTAGCTTTTCAAAGAAGCCTGACTTTAATCAGATCACATTTTGGCGCAATTTATGTCTCAGTACTGTCAAAAACAATACAGCAATCAGCTAGCAATGAGTGGATACTAATAGCTGGGCATGATATCCATAGTGCTAGATCAGCCAGAAATGTAACAGGAAGATCACAGAAGGAGACAAAGTGAATGCTGATGAAAACCACAATCATCTCAGAAAGGTTCTGTGTATTCCCAAGGTGTGTTTTCTGAGGAGCAACATCAGAAGCTATATACTGTAGGGGAAATAAACATCAATAGAATAGTTTTGTCAAGTCACCAACCAATGAAAAAGCAAATAGGCAAACAACACAAATCTCACAAACATTTAATAAAGTTATAGTAAAGTTTCTCGAATTTAGCAGTTTTATGGCATGTTGTGATATCCCATCTCAAGTGAAAACAAGATGCTTCATTTTAAGCTACTAGAATGGAAGCAAGCCTTGTTGGCATTTTTTGATTTTTGTAGGTATATGGACATATAGTACACATTATGGTATGTGTTACCTTCTTAACTAGTAGTTCATAGGCTTTGAGAGGACTATAGAGAAAGATAAGTCCCTTTAGCTTGTTGCAGCTTTGGTATAAGTTGCACCACTTGGCTCGTATGAAACAGTAGAGTCAATGTTATTCTAAGTGTCCATGACAAAACAGGATACTGAATGGAGCCTATGGAAAACCCTGATAAGAGAATCAGAGTACAGTTCCCTAGACTTTTCTGTAAAGCTATGCAGTTTTCTGTAAATCACTTATTTTAAGAAAATTCCTGGTTTGCAAATGGACCCTGATTGAGACTAAATGCTTAAAGATGAAACACAATGTGACTAGATGACTTGAGATGGCCATTACAAATTGGATATTATCTGATCCATCAAGCTATAAAATTGGTGTCCCAAGTGGCATTCCATTATCAAATGGAGATAGTACACATGAGGTTGGACTGGAGAACATTATATGATCAGTTGGTTCACACCACAGTGTACCTTCTTCTGCTGCACTGACACATTCACTTCAACTTATACCTATAGACAGCTAAGGACACTCCCATAATGAATTGAATAAGAAAGAACAAATTAGAGTCTGGTTTATAGGTGATTTTATATTACATGTTGACTCTTGCCATAAGGGCATTGCTGTAATACTACAACTCCATTAAAGGGTAGTTATGAAAGACAGAGTAATTACCCCATAGGAAGAATTGGCTATCTCCTTTATCTGGTTCAGATTATCTGATGTTTGGATTTATGCTGCTTCACTAGTGGTATGACCAGATGGTCAGGGGCTTGGGAAGAATAGGATTGGAAGATTGATGGCAAGGTATGAGCAAAAGGGAAGAGGTATGTTGATGGCTGTCTCCAAATGGGAGAATATTTTTTCTCTAAAAATAGTTTATAAATGACATTAACTGCAGATATGGCTCTAAATAATCAGGTGAACAAATACTTTGTGCATATCACTATCTTTTTCTACGACTCTATGCTTTCCCTATGGGCTCATGAAAGAGGGTGGCTATGGTGGCAGAGATTCAAGCCATGCATGGGTTTTGCAACTTGGACTTTCTCTACAATGACTACTGTCATTGCTGAAACATTACTTGACAACAGCAGAGAATAATGCCGAGCTCCAGATATAGAATCTGGAGGGACTAGTCAGCCACCTTGGAGCAGGTCAATTACATGGAGTCCCTTCCATCATGGAGGAAAAAACAATTTATTTTAATGTAATAATTATATATAATTCTGCCCATCATGCTTCTACCAAGACACCATTCTCTGGTTTGCTGAATGCCTTATTCTATGTTATGTATCCCATCTATTATTGCTTCTGATCAAAGAATTTATTTTACAATAACACAAATGAAGTAGTAAGTTAGCTCTCAAGAGACTTAGTAATTTTACACGCAGAAGCAGTTGGCCTTGTAATATAGAGAAAAGAATAATTGACGACATCTATATGCTAATGATTCTAAAATTTTTATCTCCAAAGACCTGAATAGACATTTCTTAAAAGAAAATATACAAATGGCCAATAAGTATATATAAAAAATGATCAACATCACTAATCATCAGGGAAATGCAAATTGAAACCATAATGAGATAGCATTTTACCCCAGTTAAAAGTTATTATCAAAAAGATAAAAAATAACAGATGCCGGTGAGAATACAGAGAAAGCGGAATGCCTGTACACTTTGGTGAGAATGTAAAGTAGTACATCCACTATAGAAAACAGTATGGATGTTCCTCAGAAAACTAAAAAATAGAATTACCTCATGATTTAGCAATCCCACTGCTGGATATGTCTAAAATGAAAGAACTTGGTATATCAAAGAGATATCTGTACTCCAATGTTTATTGCAGCACTATTCACAATAGCCAAGATATGGAATCAATTTAAGTGTCCACGAATGGATGAATAGGTAAAGAAAATGTGGTATATATACAGAGTGGAATATTATTTAGCCAGATAAATGGCACCCCGTCATTTGCAGTGGCATGGATGGAACTGAAGATCATTATGTTAAGTGAAATAATCCAGGCACAGAAAAACAAATATTACATGTTTGCATTCATATATGGGTGCAAAAAAAAAAAAGTGGATCTCATGGAGGTCGAGAGTGGAATGGTAGTTACCAGAGGCTGGAAATGGTAAGGGTGGGAATGAAGAGAAGTTTGGTAGTGGTACAAAAATACAGTAAAATAGAACAAATACATTCTAGTATTCAATAGTACAGTAGGGAGATTATAGTTAGTAATACTTCATTGAATATTTCAAAATAGCTAGAAGAGAAGAATTTGAACATTCCCAGAACAGAAAAAGATAAATATTTGAAGTGATGGAAATCTAAATTGCCACAATTTGCTCATTACACATTGCATACATGTGTAAAAATATCACATGTACCTGCAAAATATGTATGACCACTATATTTCAATAAAAATAGAAAAAATGTATATATCCAGCCCAGATCATCTCCTTGATTCCAGACTCACATATTGAATTGCCTAGCTGATATCTAGATATCTAATGGCTTCTGCTATAGTTTGAATATCATTTTTTTAATCCCTATCAAGTGTCATATTGAAATTTGATCCCCAGTGTGATGGTGCTGGGTGTTGGGGCCCAGTGGGAGGTATTTAAGTCATGGGGGCAGATCCCTTATGACTAGATTAATGTCCTTCCTTGGGGGAGTGAATGACTTCTCACTCTATTAGTTCCTATAAAAGCTGGGTGTTAAAAGACCCTGGCACTTCCCTGCCTCCACCGCCCTTTTCCTTTTCTCTCTTCATGCAATCTGTACACATGCCACTCCCCTTCGCCTTCTTCCATGAGTGGAAGCTGCCTGATGTGGCCCTCAGCTGATGTAGATGTCAAATCTTAAACTTTGCAGCCATCTACAACCCTGAGTCAAATACACCTTTCAGTTTATTTGAGGAATACCTAGCCTCAGATATTCCTTTGTAGCAACACAAAACAGACAGCTTCTTAAAATTAGCAAGTTCAAAACCAGGCACTTGATTTTATGCTCCCTTCCTCTTATAGTCCTTTCCATCTTAATCAGTGGAAACTCTATTCTTTCAGTAGATTCAGCCCAGAATCTTGGAATTGTCCTTGACTTCCCTCTTTCTCTCATATACCACATCTAAATCATCCTCAAAGCCTGTCAACTGTACCTTCAATAAATACCTTAATGCAGTCATTTACTGCTATTTCCTGTGGCCTACATTATTGAATAGTCTCCTAAATACTTTCTCTATTTTGATCTATGAAAGCCACCCCTCTGTCTCTAAATCTAATCTACATAGAGCAACCAGATGAACCTTTAAAAATATGCCAGATCATGTAATTTCTATTTTAAAAATCTTGTAATGGCTTCCCATTTCCACTAAGTCCCACAAGACATAACATATTGTGCTTCTCTCTTTCTTGGTGCTTCTCTGACCTTCTTGTGTCACTGGTCTTGGTGTTTTTCAACAAGTCAAACTGCACACTTCAGAGTATTTGCATTTGCTTTTTCTCTGCCTGGAATACTTTCCTACTACTTATATATTTTTCTTCACTCTTTTAGGTTTCTGTTCAAATGCCTTTTAAAGAAGTATTCTCTGACCACTGCACCCTCCACCCAATCACTTTGTAACTTCATTTTTCTGTTTCTTTTTTATTCTTAAGTACTATAACCACAACCAGCTGACATGGCTGCTGCCTTCTTCTCCTCCCTCTTATTCATCTCCTCTTCCTTCCCCTTTTTTCTCTTCTTTCTTCTCCTATTGTTGTTGTTATTTTGTTTATATCTCTCCACTAGAATGTAGGTTTTCCAAATATAGCTATCTTGTCTATTTCATTCTGCTGTATGCATAGTGCCTAGAATGCATGGGGTCCTAGCACAGGGATAGGTAATCTGTGAGCATTTGGGAAGTAAAATTAATTTTTCATCAGTGATGTGCTAAAACTTTGGATATACATCAGTTGATATAAGGGTGCTAAGAAAGTTTCTCTTTTTATAGGAGTAAAATGGCCAGGTGCAGTGGGTCACACCTGTAATCTCAACACTTTGGGAGGCCAAGGCAGAGGATTGCTTGAGCTCAGAGGTTCAAGACCAACCTGGGCAACATAGCAAGACCTTGTCTCTATAAAAATTACTTTTAAAGACTAAAAATTCTTGATCTAAAAATTGACTTCTGCCCGTTCCATCCTCTGGAAACTTTATCTCAGAGGGGCACCAACCAGATACCAGCTGGAGCTCTCAAAAACAAGCAGTGAGGAAAGGATTCCCTATTTAAAAATTGGTGTTGGGAAAAGTGGCTAGTCATATGCGGTAAACTAAAACTGGCCCCCTTCCTTACACCTTACACAAAAATTAACTCAAGATGAATTAAAGACTTAAATGTAAGACCTAAAATCATAAAAACCCTAGAGGAAAACCTAGAAAATACCATTCAGGACATAGGCGTGGGCAAAGACTTCATGACTAAACCACCAAAAACAATGGCAACAAAGCCAAAATTGACAAATGGGATCTAATTAAACTAAAAAGCTACTGCACAGCAAAAGAAACTATCATCAGAGTGAACAGGCAACCTACAGAATGGGAGAAAATTTTTACAATCTATCCATCTGACAGAGGGCTAATAGCTAATATCCAGAATCTACAAGAAACTTAAACAAATTTACAAGAAAAAACAACCCATTGAAAAGTGGGCAAAGGATATGAACAGACACTTCTCAAAAGAAGACATTTATGCGGCCAAGAAACATAATGAAAAAAAGCTCATCATCACTGGTCATTAGAGAAATGCAAATCAAAACCACAATGAGATACCATCTCACACCAGTTAGAATGGCAATCATGAAAAAGTCAGGAAACAATAGATGCTGGTGAGGCTGTGGAGAAATAGGAATGCGTTTACACTGTTGGTGGGAGTGTAAATTAGTTCAACCATTGTGGAAGACAGTGTGGCAATTCCTCAAGGATCTAGAACCAGAAATACCATTTGACACAGCAATCCCATTATGGGGTATATACCCAAAAGATTATAAATCATGCTACTATAAAGACACATGCACATGTATGTTTATTGCCACACTATTTGCAATAGCAAAGACTTGGAACCAACCCAAATGCCCACAAATGATAGACTAGATAAAGAAAATGTGGCACATATACACCATGGTGTACTATGCAGCCATAAAAAGGATGAGTTCATGTTCTTTGCAGGGCCATGGATGAAGCTGGAAACCATCATTCTCAGCAAACTAACACAGGAACAGAAAACCAAACACCGCATGTTCTCACTCATAAGTGGGAGTTGAACAATGAGAACACATGGACACAGGGAGGGGAACATCACACACAAGGGCCTGTTGGGGGATGGGGGGGAAGGGGAGGGATGGCATTAGGAGAAATACCTAATGTATATGATGGGTTAATGGGTGCACCAGACCACCATGGCACGTGTATACCTATGTAACAAAACTGCACGTTCTGCACGTGTATTCCAGAACTTGAAGTGTAACTTAAAAAAAAATTATAAAATTAATGCTTTGTATAGCTGACATTTCTTATTCTCTGAAAGTCATAGGGTTTCTAACAATTTATATTCCAGAAATCTGCCCAGTGGCCCCCACATTTTATCTGCTGCTTTCATATATGTAAGTCTTAAAGATCCTCTAATCTCTTATCTCGCTTTACTCTTTTCCCCACTATTTAGATTTTTTCAGCCTTACTGGATTTTAAAAAATCTTTGAGTTCTACCCATTTTATTGGTTTCATAATTTCACCCATCTTTTGAATTTATTATTATTATTTCTTATTTTCGTGGCTTCTTTTGGTAAGAAATATTCCCTAGTGCCCAGGAAACTTGAATATCTTTTTTCCCTAGATAAGAAAAATTTGAAGAGTTCTCATATATAACCCATGCAAGTTGAAAGTTAGTAAAATGTACCAGATATCATGTTTCGTTTTGTTGAATATATCTAAGAGATTCATTTTAAATTGAATAAACTTAGTGAGAACTAGTCTACAAAGGCATTGTTTCTCCAAAGTTATGGCATAATCTTTTATATGAAAATACATTATGGAAAGCTTAGAATAATATGCTGGGCTAAAATCCATTTCATGCTGGATCAGAGAATATACAAGATAATCCTGGGCCATCTTTTAGTGCCAGAAAGTAGTAAAGTAATCCAAAAACAACACAATGGGTGTTTGTCAAAGGGAAACGGAAGACAATTGAAAGAGCTCCTAATGACCAAAGCTGGAGCAATTAGAGCAATAAAATAAATATGATAGTACTAGATTGTAATACAAAGTAAAATAAATACCCATTAGTTCATACTATTATAAATAAATGAAGGAATAAAAAACAAATGGAAGTCAAGAGACAAATCTCTTGTATAGAAGAATTCCATATAGTCTATGAACAGACTCTCCCTTCAAGAATGTGAGCATTACCCACTTCTTCTTAAGTGTGAGCTGTGCTTAGTGACTTGCTTCCAAAGAGAATAATATGGAAAATGGGAAAGAAGGACAACTTTACATTGGAGAAATCTGACAAACAGTACTTCACTTAATGAAGGTTAACATAATCAATAATAAGTCCATTTGATAGTATGTACTCTTAATATGATATAATATGAGGTGAAGGACAGTTCTCTTTTATCTCACTCCTCAAAAGTCAAAACCCAGTCTAATCATGAGAGAAACACCAAACAAATTCTTATTGAGGAGATACTCTACAGAGTATTCAACCAGTACTCCATAAAATGTCAAGGTCATCAAAAAACAACAAAAATGAGACACTGACACAGCTGTGAGGAGCCTAAGGTGACATGATGACTAAATATAATATGATGTCCTGTATGAAATCCTGGAACAGAAAAAGGACATTAGTGAACAATATAATGAAAGTATGGACTTTAGTTAACAATAATGCTGCATTATTGGTTCATTAGCTGTGACACAGGTATTGCAGTAGTGTAAGATGTTAACAATAGTCGAAACTGTGTGTACTGTATATGAGTATCTTTGCAATGTATCTGTAAGTCTAAATTTATTTCTGTAAATCTAACTATGTACATCTATTATAACAATTTTATTTATAAGTTATGCATAAGGACGTGTTAGAGAGTATGTCCTCTGACTTTGAGATACTTTATTTCTTTTTTTCTAGTAGGTCTCCTAAAGACTTTAGTTAGACTTAATTCTTTACAGAGTAAAAATAAAATCTATAAGAGTCTATCACTTTGCTAAACCTCATGAATATCTGTTGGTATTGCTCATGGTTTTGTTTCACAGAATGTTTCTAAATGGCATGTTAAAGGATAGTGTGAGATGTTGTATTAGTCTGTTCTCACACTGCTATAAAGAAATACCTGAGACTGGGTAATTTATAAAGAAAAGAGGATTAATTGGCTCACAGTTCTGCAAGCTGTACAGGAATCATGGCATGACTTGCTTTTGGAGAAGCCTCTGGAAACTCAAAATCATGACAGAAGGCAAAGTGAGAACAAGCACATGTTACAAGACTGGAGCAGGAACAAGATGCTACACACTTTTAAACAACCAGATCTCATGAGAACTCTATGATGAGAACAGCACCAAAGGAGCAATCTGCCCCCATCATCCAATCACCTCCTACCAGGTCCCACCTCGAACATTGGGGATTACAATTCAACAGGAGATTTGAGTGGAGACACAAATCCAAACCATATCATTCTGTTCCTGGTTCATACCAAATCTTATGTCCTTCTCACGTTGCAAAATACAATTATACCTTCTCAACATTCCCCTAAGTCTTAACTAATTTCAGCATTAACTCAAATGTCCAAAGTTTCATGTGAAAAAACACCAGTCCCTTCTGCCTATGAGTCTATAAAATAAAAAACAAATTAGTTACTTCCATAATTCAATGGGGATACAGGCATTGGGTAGATACTGCCATTCCAAAAGAGAGAAATTGGCCAAGAGAAAGAGGCTAGAGGCCCCATGCAAGTCCAAAATCCAGCAGGGCTGTTGTTAAGAAAGCCCCAAAATATTCTCCTTTGACTTTATGTCTCACATCCAGAGCATGCTGATGCAAGGGGTGCACTTCAAAGACCTTGGGAAGCTCCCCGTCTCTGTGGCTGTTCTCATGGGCAAGTGTTGAGTGCCTGTGGCTTTTCCAGGCACATAGTGCAAGCTGTCAGTGCCCCTACCATTCTGGAATGTGAAGAATGGTGGCCCTCTTCCCACAGCTCCACTAGGGAGTGCCCCAGTGAGGACTCCGTGTGGGCACCCCAACCCCACATTTTCCCTCTGCACTGGCCTAGTAGAGGTTCTCCATGGGGACTCCACCCCTGCAGCAGGCTTCTGCCTGAACATCCAGGCTTTTCCATTCGCCCTCTGAAATCCAGGCAGAGGCTCTCAAGCTTCAACTTTTGCACTCTGAGCACCCTCAGGCTTAACACCAAGCAGAAATTGCCCAGCCTTATGGCATGCACCTTCTGAAGCACTAGCCTGAGCTGTACCTGGGCACCTTTTAATCAGGACTGGATATGGAGCAGCTAGGATGTGACGAGCAGTGTCTGAGGCTGCACAGGGAAGTAGGGCCCTGGTCCTGGCCCATGAAACCATTTCTTTCCCCTAGGCCTCTGGGCCTGTGATGGGAGGGGCTACCTCAAAGGTCTCTGAAGTGCCTTGGAGGCCTTTTTCCCATTGTCTTGGCTATCAGCATCGTGGTCCTATTTACTTAAGCAAACTACTTCAGCCAGCTTGAATTCCCCTTCCCGGCAAACATGGCCTTTCATTTTCTACCAAATGGCCAGGCTACAAATATTCTATCCTTTTATACTCTGCTTCCCTTTTAAATATAAGTTTCAGGTCCTTTCTTTGTTCATGCGTATGAGAATAGGTTGCTAGAAGCAACAAGGAAACATCTTGAATGCTTGCCTGCTTAGAAACTTCTTCCACCAGATACCCT
The DNA here is from genome assembly GCF_000001405.40 of Homo sapiens. Classification (NCBI taxonomy): domain Eukaryota; kingdom Metazoa; phylum Chordata; class Mammalia; order Primates; family Hominidae; genus Homo; species Homo sapiens. Next base: position 76,790,536 of record NC_000006.12, read on the forward strand.
AAATTATCACTCTCAAGTTCAAAGTTCCACATATCCATAGAGTAGGAGCACAATGCTGCCAAGTTCTTGGCTAATGAATAACAAAAGTGACCTTTGCTCTGGTTCTCAATAACTTCTCTATTTTCATCTGATACCTTCTCAGCTTGGCTTTCACTGTCCATATCACTATCAGCATTTTGGTCACAACAACTTAACAAGTCTCTAGGAAGTTTCAAATTTTTCCTCATCTTCCTGTCTTCTTCTGAGTCCTCCACACTCTTTCAACATATGCCTGTTACCCACTTCAAAAGTTGCTGTCACATTTTCAGGCACCTTTATAGGAATGCCTCATTCCTTGATTCCAATTTTCAGTATGAGTCCATTCTCACACTGCTATAAGAAATACCTGAGAATGGGTAATTTATAAAGAAAAGAGGATTAATTGGCTCACAGTTCCATAGGTTGAACAGGAAGCATGGCAAGATCTGCTCTTGGGGAGGCCTCAGGAAACTCAAAATCTTGGCAGAAAGCAAAAGGAGAGTGAGCATGTCTTACATGACCAGAGAAGGAGTAAGAGGGGAGATTGCTACATAGTTTTAAACAACCAGATTTCATGAGAATGTGTCATGAGAATAGCACCAAAGGAGGAAATCTGCTCCCATGATCCAATCACCTCCTACCAGATCCCACCTGCAATATTGGGGATTACAATTTAACATGAGATTTGGGTGGGGACACAGACCCCAACCATATCAGATGGCACATTGACACCCGGTGCCAAGACGTCAAGGGAAGGCACCTTCTCTCTCTACTCCTCAATGCCATCAGGTTAACTTCTGTTAATTCTGGCTGTGGAAACTTGAGGAAGATATAGAAACACATAGGACTTAGAAAAAGATGACCAATTCGCATTCTTTTTCTTAAAGTAATTCCCTCTGATTCTTTGTGGTACATCAAATATGTTTACACCTTTTTCTAGCTGTCATAAGCTGAAATCTGAGGTGGAATATCAATGTACCTATATGCACCATTCGCCATATCTAAGACCATCTGGAGTTAGTTCTAAAGACTGTTTACTGCTTACACTACTCATGAGAGAATTACCACTTTTACCTGTCCCATGTGTATTAAACTGTTTTTGCATTGCTATAAATAAATACCTTAGACTGGATAATTTATAAGAGAGAGACAGCAGTGGGGAGGAGGCGGCACACATTTATAAATGACCAGATCTCATGAGAACTCATTTGCTATTACAAGATTAGCACCAAGGGGATTGTGCTAAACCATTCACGAGGAATACTCCTCTATGATCCCATCACCTCCCACCAGGCATCACCTGCAACAACGGAGATTACATTTCAACATGTGATTTGGGAAGGGACAAAGATACAAACTTGATTACCATGTTTCTTCAGTACAGGCTTCTAGTACTTTTTGGTGTCCATCACACCCTTGAAACCTTTTAGCCTCACCACTGTATATGCATTGTCAGAATTTATGTGGGTTAGACTAAATAACTTTTGCTAAGCAGATGCTGGTGTACTTGTAAATTTAGGTTTCCACATCTGAATATAGAGATAAATCCCCAGAAGTTACTCTGTTCTGTGGCCAGAGATGTGTTCAGTTGAACATTTAAACCACTGATTTACATCAATTACAGATATGATTTAAAGAAGGGTACACTCACAAGCAGGTCTGCAATTCTGAAGCAAATCTCTTCCTGTGCTGGAGCAGTGCATTAACTTACAGTTTCCACAGTGCTGCTCTGTTCAATTGGTTGCTTCAATCAGGGTCTCTGCATGGGTTTCTGAAACAGAGTTTAATGTCAGGATGAGTTCATTACTTGTGATCCATTTTCTAATCTTCCTGACTACTAACCCATTTCCTCAGGTTAACTTCTTAAAGATTATGTCTCTCCCTGTGTAGGAGTATATCTGTCTGTGGGCAGCCATACAACACCCTGTGTGGTTTCTGAAATGGGAGGATGGTTGCGAAGGGTTCAGCTTCTCTGCCTGAAGGCATCCCTGTGGAATTACATCTTGCAAAAAACATGAGTCTCTGAGGGTCTAGAATACATTTATGTGACACACATCAAAAGAATGATAGCAAGCATTGCATAACAACAGACAGGCATTCACAATGAGACTGTTAGATTGCTGAGGACACTGATTCATTTTTCACATCATCCTTTCAGAAATAATAGTATGAATATTTATAATTGCCAAAATGCTGTTATTTAGGAATTTAAATAAACAACTAGTATTTATTGTTAGCACCAGTACAGTTAGTGTTATAGCAAAACTATTTTACTTAATCCTTGCTACAATTAACAAGTGTTAACATTCCTCATTTATAGATAGGAATCAGTCTCAGCAAGGTTGGGTAGTGTGTCTGTGATCTCACTATTACGGGCAAATATGGGGATTGAACGCAGATACATTTTGACTCCACCCTTACTCTTTAGCTTTGCTTTATTAAAACAAAGTAGCCAGTAACAAACAAATGAGCAAACAAAAAACAAAATAGGAGGGTTAAGCCAGGTGTATTCAGATACCTTATGTGTTTGTAAATATTTCTCTTTCTATATAATTGTCAGATTAGAGGGTCATGAGTAAAATCTTTGATAGAGAGGAAGAAGGACAGAGAACGGAATGAGAAAAGAAATTCTAAAATAAATTCAGATTTAAAAAATAGTTGTTTGCCTAACTCACACATTATAGTGTTAAAGGCAGTATTTTATCAATAAAATATAAATTCATGAAGAAAACTGATGCTGGGAGAAAAGAGTCCAGGAAAACAAAGACATTTAATGCTGAGAATCTAGGTTTAGGGTTCTAGTGCAAATCAAGAGCACTTTTAGGAAAATACCAAGATATCAACACAACCCAGAAGATGGGCCAATTACAATAACTACTTAGGTAACTGCTGTAGGATTAAACCTGGAAAAAATAACCAAAACTAATACTGCTGGATAGTTCAAGCTGAAAACAAAGAACAACTGCGAATTTTTAGTAAGGAAGATACTTTGCAGCATAATCAACAGAAGTTTCTGTTTAGCTGCCTGCAAATAACTGATTTGAAATAACTTGTTTTTCATGGGCTATTGAGACTGAGATGGTTCTGAAAGATGTCTTCTCTGAGGGAGTCCTAATTTGGCTTATTCACAGAACATTTTAAATGGTTTTTGGACATGGATTACAAATGCAATCACCCCACTCTTATAAACAATATCTAGGATTATCTTGGTACTATGTCTGTTATTGAAAGTGTCTCATTTTTTTTTCTTTTGCTTTTTTAGGATGACATTACAATATGGTATGAGATAGGGACATAAAATTTTCTTTCTTAAATTGTTGCCCATTAACTTAATTATCACTTGTTGAGTAATCTGTCTTTTCTCTACTGACATTTATCGTACTTATCAAATACCATACATTGTACATATGTAGACATATTTCTATGTCCGGTGCCTTTGCCACATCTATATTTATTGGGGCCAATGAAACACAGTTTTAATGATAACATTTTACATGTGCCTTTTACCATCCAATAGCGGAAGGCATCTTTTCACAATTGTATTTGTCTATTCCTAATAGTTTATTCTTTGTGATAAATTTCAAAATCATTTGTCATTATGTGAATACATTTTTTTAACATTCATGGTATTCAAAGCCAAAGATATTAAAAGGTATACAGTGAAAATTCCCCCTCCAGACTTGTTTGCCTGGTTTCCATGCCACCTGCCTCCTACAAAAAAGTAAGCCCTAATATTTGCTTCATATGTATCCTTCCAGAATTTCATTTTTATGAAAAAAGGAACTACTTATCAAGATATTTTTATTTAACAATATACTTAGGAATATCTTCATTTTAATGTATTGACAGCATCTTTATTCTTTTTTATTATTTGATTGCATTTTATGGATGTACTGTAATTTATATAACCAGTCTATTATTAGTGGACAGTTAATGTTTTGCCAAATTTCTGCTCTTACAAAGAATACTACAGTGAGAAAACTTGTACCTGCACAAATTAGCATAAGAACAAGTTTGTCAGTAGAACAATTTATCAGAAATACTTGTTGGGTCAAAAAGTACAAGTATTTATAATTTTGATAGTTCTCACCAAATTGCTATATAAGGTCACACAAATTTATAATCTTCACAGCAATGTATGAGGATAGCTGTGCTGTAACAACATTGTGTACTATCAAACTTCTGACTTTTTGCTAATCTGAACATGAAAAATGACATCACATTTATATTTTTCCTACTATGAGTGATAATAATCATCTGTTCACATGTCTAACAGTCATTATACTTCTTTTTTTTAAAGCAAACTATCTATTTATAGTCTATGATCTTTTAAAAATCTAGTTCTTCGATTTTTATTGGAAAATTTTCTAGGAGCTCTGTATAAATATAAAAACAATATACTCTGTGATATGAGTTAAAGATATCTTCCCCCAATTTATTATTTATTTTTGGCTTGACTTTTTTTCAGATTTTAAAATGTAATTAAATTATATCAGTCAATTTTATGGATTCTGAGTTTGACTCATTGTTAGAGAGGCCTTTTCTTCTTTAGTTATAAAGAAATTTTACGTTTATTTTTTATATTTTCATTATTTCATTTTAAAGTATATATTATTGATTCTTTTAGAATTATCCCCCATATGACTTGAAGTATAAGTTCAATATTTTTTTGCTTAATTTTCTATGAAATTAGGGGAAATATGAAATTATAAAATTCTCAATTCCTTTTTTTTTTACTGATTTTATATTCTACTTTGATTATATATTAAATTCCCACTTAGAGTCTATTTCTGGGCTTTCTATTCTAATTTCATTGGTGTAGCTACTTATATGCATTCCTACTGCTTTTACTGTTGAGATTTTATAATACATTTGAGCATCTGGTAGTGTCTGTCCCCCATTGCTCTTTTTCCAGAGACTTTTCTATATATTTTGCTTATTTTTCTATATTTTATGATTATTTACTTCCAAAGAATCCTCTTTAATAAGCTTGAATCATAATAAAGTTATCGATTAGGAATAATGACATAATGTTGCTGTTGGAAGTTTCAAACAAGAGCTTGTTATATTCTTCCACTTGTTCAGGTATTCTACTGTATCCTTTAGTAGTATTTTAAACTTCTCTTCATAAAGGTTTTACACATTCATAGTTAAGTTCCTTTCTTGGTAATTTATATTTTTATGGCTACTGGAAATTGAATGTTTTTTCTACATTAAACTCTAACTGATTATATTAATGACACTAGTCTCTGTATGTCAATTTTATGCCTATCTTACTGAATTCTCTTACAATTTGTCATATTATCTGCGAATAGTGTTAGTTCTATCTCGTTCATTTTTTATAGCTTTAGCTTCTTTCATTTTACTTCCAGTAAATGTCAAATAATAGCAGTGGTATCTGGTATCTTTTTCTTTATTTAATTAGAAAATTTTCTAGTGTTTCTCCCTAAAGAATAATACTGGGAATTGGGCTAAATCAAATACATATTTTCATGTTGGAAAACAATCTATAACTTTTCACTGAGTTTAAAAAATAACAATTACAATATTGAGTGAAACTGAACTAATTTAACTATTAGTCTCAGTAAATTAAATATTTGCATCATGAAATACAGCATACCTTCCTATTGGCTAAGTATTTTATGTTCTTCAGTAAAATTTTCTGGTTTATTTATTTGGAGGTTTCATTAGGATACCAGTAACCTCTTTGTCTTGATATCCAATATCCATACTTAAGTCTTCATTTTACTGGAATGTTAACCAGATTTTGATACTCTTCTAAATTCTCTTTCTTAAAACATTCTTTTCTCTGATCTAAAAATGGCTTTCTCTATTGTTTTTCTTCTAGTGCCTCTGAGTACTACCATGAATTTCTGCTTAGTTTTTTATATTTGTTTTCACTATGGTAAGCAGGATCTTTTTTACTATACTTTTTCAACTGGTTCTAGTGGACAGGTGCTAAAAGAACTGTGATCCTAGTGAAAGATTTTTCTGAGAGTTTTTTGTTTGTTTCATTTTAGTCTTTCAATTGCAAATAATGTTAAACAATGCTTGAGACAATAAGCACACTACTGTTAGTTCTTAAAGTGAGTAATTGCAGTGCTTTACCATCAAATATAATGATGTTGCTGGCCTGTCATTATTATTCTTCTATGTTTTATAAATATAATTTCTTTAATAATGGGATCTATTTCTAGACTTTCTGATATGGAAGATAATTACATCTTTTCTAATGGTGAGATAACCACATATTTCTGTTCTTTTTTTGGTATACTGTATATTTTCTTAACGTTAATTTTTTTTTGTTTCAATGGTTTTTTGGAGAACAGGTAGTGTTTGGTTACATGAATAAGTTCTTCAGTGGTGATTTCTGAGATTTTGGTGCACCCATCACCAGAGCAGTGTACACAGTACCTAACATATAGTCATTTGTCCCTCTCCACCTACCACCCTTTACCCCAAGTCCCCGAAATCCAATCATATCATTCTTATGCCTTTGCATCCTAATAGCTTAGATTTGACATATGAATGAGAACATGCAATGTTTGATTTTCCATTCCTGAGTTACTTAGCTTAGAATAATAGTCTCCAATTCCATCCAGGTTGCTGTGAATGCCAGTATTTCATTCCATTTTATGGCTGAGTAGTATTCCATGGGGTGTGTGTGTGTGTGCATGTGTGTGTGTGTCTGTATATCACATTTGCTTTATCCACTCATTGATTGATAGGCATTTGAGCTGGTTACATATTTTTGCAATTGCAAATTTTGCTGTTATTAACATGAATGTGCAAGTATCTTTTTTATATAATGACTTCTTTTCTTCTGGGTAACACCCAGGAGTGGGATTGCAGGATCAAATGGAAGATCTAGTTTTAGGAATCTCCACACTGTTTTCCATAGTGGTTATACTAGTTTACATTCCCATCAACAGTGTTGCCTGTTCACTGCATCCACACCAACATTTATTATTTTTTGATTTTTTTAATTATGGCCATTCTTGCAGGAGTGAGGTGGTATCGCATTGTGGTTTTGATTTGCATTTTCCTGATAATTAGTGATGTTGAGCATTTATCCACATGCTTGTTGGCCCTTCATATGTCTTCTTTTGAGAATTTTCTAATCATGTCCTTAACCCACTTTTTGATAGGATTGTTTGTTTTTTTCTTGCTGATTTTAGTTCTTTATAGATTCTGGATATTAGTCCTTTTATGGATATACAGATTGTGAAGACTTTCTCCCACTCTGTGGGTTGTCTGTTAACTGCTGATTATTTATTTTGCTGTGCAGAAGCTTTTAGTTTAATTAAGTCCCATCTACTTATCTTTGTTTTTGTTGCATTTGCTTTTGGGTTGTTGGTCATGAAGTCTTTGCCTAAGCCCATGTCTAGAAGGGTTTTTCCAATGTTATCTTTTAAAATCTTTACAGTTGCAGGTGTTAAATTTAAGTCTTTGATCCATCTTGTGTTGATTTTTGTATAAGAGATGAGGATTTAGTTTCATTCTTCTAGATGTGGCTTGCCATTTACCCAGCACCATTTGCTGAATAGGATGTCTTTTTTTTTCCCACTTTGTGTTTCTGTTAGCTTGGTTGAAGATCAGTTTGATGCAAGTATTTGGCTTTATTTCTGGGTTCTCTATTCTGTTCCATTGGTATATGTGCCTATTTTTATACCAGTACTACGCTCTTTGGGTGGGTATGGCCTTATAGTATAGTTTGATGTTGGGTAATGTGATGCCTCCAGATTTACTCTTTTTGCTTAATCTTGCTTTAGCTATGTGGGATTTTTTTTTTGTTCCATATAAATTTTAGAATTATTTTTCTAGTACTGTGAAGAGTGGTGGTAGTATTTTGATGGGAATTGCATTGAATTTATAGATTGCTTTTGTAGTATGGTCATTTTCACAATATTGATTCTACCCATCCATGAGCATGGGATGTGTTTCCATTTGTTTGTGTTGTCTATGACTTCTTTTAGCAGTGTTTTGTAATTTTGCTTGTAGAGGTCTTTCACCTTTTTGGTTAAGTATATGTCTAAGTACTTTTTTTGCAGCTATTGTGAAAGGAGTTGAGCCCTTGATTTGATTCTCAGCTTGGTGGCTGTTGGTGTATAGCACAGCTACTGATTTGTGTACAATTAATTTTTTATCTTGAAACTTTGCTGAATTTATTTACCAGTTCTAGGAGCTTTTTGGAGTCTTTAGGGTTTTCTATGTAGACTATCATATCATCAGCCAACAGTGACAGTTTGACTTCTTCTTTACCAATTTGGATGCCCTTATTTTTTTTTTTCTCTTGTCTGATTGCTCTGGTGAGGACTTCCAGTACTATGGTGAAAGTGAGCATTCTTGTCTTGTTCCAGTTCTCAGGGGGAATGTTTTCAACTTTTCCTCATTTAATATAATGTTGGCTGTGGGTTTGTCATAGACAGCTTTTATTACATTAAGTTATGTCTCTTCTATGCTGATTTTACTGAGCATTTTAATCATAAAGGTATACTGGATTTTTGTCAAATACTTTTTCTGCATCTACTAAGATAATCACGTGATTTTTGTTTTTAATTCTGTTTATGTAATGTATCACATTTATTTTGTCAAACCATCCCTGCATCCCTGTCATGAAACCCACTTGATCATGGTGGATTATCTTTTCGATATTCTGTTGGATTCAGTTGGCTAGTATTTTATTGAGGATTTTCGCATCTATGTTAATCAGGGATATTGTTGTGTAGTTTTATTTTTTTGTTATGTCCTTCCCTGGTTTTGGTATTAGGGTGATACTGGCTTCATAGAATGATTTAGGGAGGATTCCCTCTTTCTCTATCTTTTTGAATAATGTCAATAGTATTGGTACTGATTCTTCTTTGAAAGTCTGATGGAATTCAGCTGTGAATCTGTCTGGTCCTGGACTTTTTTTGTTGGCATTTTTAAAATTACCATTTCAATTTCACTGTTACTGGTCTGCTGAGAGATTCTATATCTTCCTGGTTTAATCTAGAAGGGTTGTATATTTCCAGGAATTTATCCATCTCCTCTAAGTTTTCTAGTTTATGCACATAAAGGTGTTCATAGTAGCCTTGAATAATATTTTGTATTTCTGTGGTATCAGTAGTAATAGCTCCCATTTTGTTTCTAATTGAACTTATTTGGAGCTTCTCTCTTCTTTTCTTGGTTAATCTCATTAATGGTCTATCAATTTTATCTATCTTTTCAAAGAACCAACTTTTTGTTTCATTTATATTTTGTATTTTTTTTGGTTTCAATTTCACTTAGTTCTGCTCTGATCATTATTTCTTTTCTTCTGCTAGGTTTGGGTTTGGAATGTTCTTGTTTCTCCAGTTCCCCGAGGTGTGTCCTTAGATTGTCTATTTGTGCTCTTTCAGACTTTTTAATGTCGGCATTTAATGCTGTGAACTTTCCTCTTAGCTTTTGCTGTATCCCAGAAGTTTTGATAGGTTGCATCACTATTATCTTTCAGTTCAAAGAATTTTTTTGAATTCCCATCTTGATTTCATTGTTGACCCAATGATCATTCAGGAGCAGTTTATTTAATTTTCATGTATTTTCATGGTTTTGAGGGTTCCTTTTGGAGTTGAGTTCCAATTTTATTCTACTGTGGTCTGAGAGAGTACTTGATATAATTTCGATTTTCTGAAAATTTTTGAGACTTGTTTTGTGGCCTACGATATGGTCTGTCTCAGAGATTGTTTCATTTGCTGATGAATAGAATGTATATTCTTTAGTTGTTCAGTAGAATGTTCTGTAAATATCTGTTAAGTCCATTTGTTGTAGGGTATAGTTTAGGTCCATTGTTTCTTTGTTGACTTTCTGTCTTGATGACCTCTCCAGTGTTGTCAGTGGAGTATTTAACTTCCCCCCTATTATTGTGCTGCCATCTATCTCAGTTCTTAGTTCTAGTAGTCATGGTTTTATAAATTTGGGAACTTCAATGTTAGGTCCATATATATTTAGAATTGTGATATTTTCTTGTTCAACTAGTCCTTTTATCAGTATATAATATCCCTCTGTCTTTTTTTCTTTTTTTTAAGACGGAGTCTTGCTCTGTCACCCAAGCTGGAGTGCAGTGGTGCGATCTCAGCTCACTGCAACCTCCGCCTCCAGGGTTCACGCCATTCTCCTGCTTCAGCCTCCCGAGTAGCTGGGACTAGTGGTGCCTGCCACCACACCCAGCTAATTTTTTGTATTTTTAGTAGAGATGGGGTTTTACCGTGTTAGCCACATTGGTCTTGATCTCCTGACCTCGTGATCCACCTGTCTTGGCCTCCCAAAGTGCTGGGATTACAGGTGTGAGCCACCTCACCTGGCCCCCCTCTTTGTCTTTTTTAACTGCTGTTGTTTTAAAGTTTGTTTTGTCTGATATAAGAATAGCTACTCCTGCTTGCTTTTGTTGTCCATTTGCATGGGATATCTTTTTCCACCTCTTTCTTTTTTTTTAGATGGAGTGTGTTGCTCTGTCACCAAGCTGGAGTGCAGTGGTGTGATTCGGCTCACTGCAAACTCTGCCTCCCAGGTTCTAGTGATTTTCATGCCTCAGCCTCCTGAGTAGCTGGGATTACAGGCATGCACCACCACACCCAACTACTTTTTGTAATTTTTGTAGTTGTTATTTTAGCTGGGATTACAGGCATGCACCACCATACCCAACTAAATTTTGTATTTTTGTAAATTTAGTAAAATTTTGTAATTTTAGTATTTTTGTATTTTAGATGTGGTTTCACCATGTTGGCCAGGATGGTCTCAATCTCCTGACCTTGTGATCTGCCCGCCACGGCCTCCCAAAGTGTTGGGATTACAGGCGTGAGCCACCCTGCCCGGCCTCCACCTCTTTACCTTAAGTTTATGTGAGTCCTTATGTGTTAGTTAAGTCTCCTGAAGACAGCAGAAACTTGGCTGTTGAATTCTTATCCATTCTGCCATTCTGTATCTTTTAAGTGGAACATTTAGGCCTTTTACATTCAGTGTTAGTATTGAAATGTGAGGTACTATTGTATTCATCATGCTATTTGTTGCTTGAATACTTTGTTTTTTTTTTTCCGAAGTGTTATTGTTATATAGGTCCTGTGAGATTAATGCCTTAAGGAGGTTCTATTTTAGCATATTTTAAGGATTTGTTTCAAGATTTAGAGCTCCGTTTAGCAGTTCTTGTAGTGCTGGCTTGTTAGTGGCAAATTTTCTCACCATTTTGTCTGGAAAAGACTGTATCTTTCCTTCATTTATGAAGCTTAGTTTCGCTGGATACAAAATTCTTGACTGATAATTGTTTTGTTTAAGGAGGCTGAAGATAGGGCCCCAATCCCTTCTAGCTTATAGGGTTTCTGCTGAGAAATCTGCTGTTAAACTGACAAGTTTTTCTTTACAGTTTACCTAGTGCTTTTCCCTCACAGCTCTTAAGATTCTTTCCATTTTCTTGACTTTAGATAACCTGATGTCTATGTGCCTAGGTGATGATCTTTTTGCAATGAATTTCCCAGGTGTTCTTTGAGCTTCTTGTATGTGGATGTCTGGATCTCTACCAAGGCTGGGGAAGTTTTCCTTGATTATTCCCTCAAACATATTTTTCAAACTTTTAGATTTCTCTTCTTTCTTGGGAACACCAATTATTCTTAGGTTGACATTTAATATAGTCCCAATCTTCTTAGAGGCTTTGCTCCGTTTTAAAAATTATTGTTTCTTTGTCTTTGGTGGATTGGGTTAATTCAAAAACCTTGTCTTTGAGCCCTAAGGTTCTTTTTTTTTCTGTTTGTTCAATTCAGTTGCTGAGACTTTCCAGTGCATTTTGCATTTCTCTAAGTATGACCTTGATTTCCAGAAGTTGTGATTGTTTTTATTAATGCCATCCATTTCACTGAAGAATTTTTTTTTTCATATTTGGTATTATGTTTTTGATTTCTTTAAGTTGGACTTCACCTTTCTCTTGTGCCTCCTTGATTAGCTTAATAATCAGACTTCTGGATTATTTTTCTGGCAACTCAGAGATTTTGTTTTGGTTTGGCTCTATTGCTGGTGAGCTGATATGATCTTTTGTGCATGTTAAATTACTTTGTTTTGTCATATTACCAGAATTGTTTTTTGGGTTCTTTCTCATTTGGGTTGACTATGTCAGAGGGAAGATCTGGGATTCAAGGGCTGCTGGTCAGATTCTTTTGTACCATGGGGTGCTCCCTTGATGTGGTGTCCTTTCCCTTCCCCTAGGAATGGGGCTTCCTGAAAGCCAAATGGTAGTGATTGTCTTTGCTCTTCTGGGTCTAGCCACCCAGTGAATCTACTGGGCCCTGAGCTGGTACTGAGGAGTGTCTGCAAAGAGTCCTTTGATATGATCCATCTTCAGTTCTTGCAGCCATAGATACCAGCAACTGCTCCGGTGGAGGTAGCAGGGGAGGAGGGAAGGGGACTCTGTGAGGATCTTTGGTTGTGTTTTTGTTTAGTGCACTGGTTTTGTGTCGGTTGACCCCCAGCCAGGAGGTAGCACTTTCAAGAGTGTCTCAGCTGTGGCCCTATAATGAGGATGCAAACTTGCCATAGGAATACCTGGTTAAGTATTCAGGCTTATCAGGTGTTGGGCAAGGCCATAGAGCTCCCAAGAGATTATGACCTTTGTCTTCAGCTACCAGGGCAGGTAGAGAAAGTGCACCATGTGGGGACAGGGAACGGTGTGTTTAAGCTCCGCCTCTCCTTGGGCAGGGCTTGCTGTGTGTGTTGTGAGGGAGGGGTATGTGGTTCCCAGGCCAATGGAGTTATATTCCCCAGGGGATTATTCTGCTTCTGCTAAGTCATACAGGTCCCCAGGGAAGTGGGGAAAAGCTGGCAGTCACAGGACTCACCACTCCCATGCAGCCCATAGTCCTAAGGCCAGTCTCACTCCCATCGTGCCCCACCCCCCGAACAGGACCGAGTCTATATTTCCAGGCAGCTGGTAACCAGGGCTGAGAACTTGCCTCAGACTACAAGCCTCTCAGCTGAGAAAGCAAGCAGACTCACAGGTTTTCAGCATCCCAGGAAGCCTCCAGCAGTGATCTAATTCCTTCCTTTGAAGGGTCTGTGGATTCTCTTGGCTTTCCTAGTATGTTCCCACAGTAGTTCTTGTAACAAAAGTTCATGATATGAGTCTCCACATGCTGCTCTGTCTATCCAAGCAGGAACTGCAAGCTAGTCCTGCCCTCTCTCTGCCATCTTAATCCCTGTGTTCATATTTCTTTTTTAATTTCTCATGTTAATTAGATCAATTCTCGTAACAGATGCATTGCAGAAAACAATGTTGCTGAATTGTGGTAAATTTGTTCTTTAATATATAGCTAAATTTTATTTGTAAATATATTATTTAGAATTTTAAAATTCATAACCTTTAAGGTAGGCTTATAATTTGTACTTTTGTGCTAATTAGTTGTAGTGTTTAATTTTGTTATTTTGCAAATACTTAATTGGCACCACTTTGCAGCAGTCATTATGCTGTGTATCAAGAGTACAGTGGATATCAAAACTAATGTGGTTTCTGAGCTCACAGTGTAAGGTACAATTGGAACCACGGCACATTTTACAAAACAGTTTACAATGTCATAAGAGGACAAAATAAGAGAATTTGACATAGTATGGAGTTTCTAAATGTTTAAGATGTCTTTTCTAAGGAAGTGACAATTGAGTGAAAGCTAAAAATTGAGTAGATGTTAATGTGTAAAAGGATTGAAGGGTCAGGAAGAACCCCATGATTACAGATTCTGTGGCAGGAGACACTAGGGCACATAGAATAAGAGAGAAGGTAGTGCATCTGTGGTGCAAGTGGCAAGCTCTGGCAACTCTTTCAGGTGTTACTTTTGATGTTTACCTCCATATCTATGAATCATGTGTTTATCTGGCTGCTTCATTATATTTTTGTTATCTATTAACTTTCCACTCTTCAAGATGAGTATTATTATATTCTCTACCACTCTATTACTCACATGCATAAATCCTGTCTCCTCATGACTCCAAGTTGGTTATATCGTAATAATGTTTGCATTATTTTTATTTTTATATATTTTGACTATATAGAATGAATTCAAAGACGACCTATGTTGCACAATATGATATAGTATAGTTTGAAAACTATACTTTTCTCCTGAATTAATAATTATCCTCATCTATATGTAGTGTGTCCTTTAAATCTCTTCCACTAGCTTAAATTGCCTCTCAATGTCTTTAAACAGAGCAGTATTTTATTAATTTCATTTTCTTCCAGACATCTTTCCCAGGGACTCATGGCCTGATCCAATCAAGACCGGTAGTTTTCTAGCACTCCTGCAAGGCTATTTATTATCTTCTTTTGCCATTATCCATTTTGTTTGTCTCTTTTATGCATAGCGATCTCTTGTTTCCTGAATCCCACGTCTCCCTCTTTCTTGATCTCTCTCAGTTTCTTCCTTAGAACGGCTGCATGGAAGATAAGATTTTGGAGGTATTGTGTGTCGGAAAGTGTTTTCTATTCTGCTCTGCCATTTTTGTATTAGTCAGCCTGCGATAGAATGCTAGGTTCGAAATATTCATCCCTCTAGAATTTTAAAGGCAATATCATGTTGCTGTCGACATTCTGATTCATTATTCTTTGTATGGTGCTTTTTTATTTTTCTTCTATGTCCCTTACATTTTAAAATTTTATGGGGATGTACCTTACATTTTAAATTATTCTGAGAGTGTGTGAATTTATTTTTTCCATTGTGTTGAGTACTCAATGGATCATTTCAAAGTAAAAATTCATAATCCTACTTCTGGGAAATTTCTTTGATGATTCCCTTTCCCAAATTTCTTTATAGTACTCTGATTTGCATATTGGATCTACTGAAGTGAGCTTTAAAAATATTTTTACTACCTTTCTTCATTTTTAAAATTTTGATCTGCTTCCCAGCATATCATCTTAATTTATCTTCCAATCATTCTATTGTTTTCTCATTTCTGCCAACATGTTTATGATTTCTAAATGTTCTTTTTTCTCTAATATTCATTTATTAAAGCACTTTGCTTTTGTTTCATGGATGCAATATTTTAGAAATATTGTGTAGTCTGTTTTACTAAGTATTGTTTTCCTCTTTGCATATTTACTTGTTTGTCTTGGCCTCAATTTCTTACATTGGAGGACTACCTCAGACACACACACACAAGCCTGAAGACCTGTGGCCCTAAATGAGAACAGGCATTTCTTATGTGTGTCTGAGATAGCTTACTTTTTTACATTTGAGAGGACATGGAGCTGATTGACAACTTCTATGCATAATTCTATGCCTAGACACATTCTATGCATAAATGGGCTTTGTAGACTTCATGGTAGGTTCTATCTGTCTCATTAGGTTTCTAGTAGAGAATAAATAAGTGCGACAGAATATTATTTGAGTGACTATTTTCTTATTCTTTCAAAGGAAGCTATATAGCTAGTATCATTCTAAATGGAGAGAAGATAGGCTAATTATTTGTATATGACAGAAGCCCTAGAGAAGTAATGATTAATTCTCCTATGGAACATAGTTTGACAAGGATTACTTTGACCTCAATGTATCTTTATTAGTAGAATGTTTTTCGTGGCCTGGTTAGATTTTCTGAAAAATAATTTTACAATGAGTTATCTAGAGGTATAAAATGCCAACATTATGGCAGCTGTATGTGTGGAAGTCATACCAGATATTTCAATACTTCAGTGAGTAAAGGTTCACTGAGGCCCCTGTTTGCAGTAAGTGCTGGACTCTTAACCCTCAACTGTGCTAGTGATTCCCAGGCCAGAATTCTGTTATTTTCACTAGAAAAAAAAATCCTCAATCCATAGTAAGAGAGATGAATGGGAGGGACTATTCTGCTCAGAATCAACATGAGTACTCAAGGGTGTAACTTGTTAGTTGCAATTTTAACTGATCCATTAGCCCTAATTTTATCCGCACTTCCAGAGCTACATGATGCCATCCATCTTCAGTCTTCAGAAGTTTCTGCAGTGTAATGGAATTTACTCCGGTGCCTGCTTACAGTTCAGTTTTCTGGGGTCTTCTAAGTTATTTACCACTCATTTCCTGCTAAACATCTCAGATTTTGTTTCTATTTTCTCCTCTTCCAGTCTCTTTTCTTTCTGGAATTTTGTGACAAAACAAAACACAACACAACATATTTTACTGTTATTTTAAGGAGTTTAGAAAGAAGCAGAGGAAAATACATATGCTTAGTTCACTATTTATAACCAGAAGCCTGATTTTTTTTCTTTATATTACACTAATATTTTGCAGATATAAGATTGTCTCATTCTTCACTGTTCCAGGAAAAAAAAGTATTTGCTTTTCTGTTTATTCCTTCCTGATAGACTTCAGAGAAATGAAAAGCATGTGTCTATGGGAATGTTATTTGCAAGTACATTACATATTTATAAATATTTGTTAGGAATAATTTGTATAATATCATGCTTTTATTTTCAAGAAAATAAGCCTTTGTTCCCCACTTTATATAAGTCTCCTTTTAAGACTTTGTAGTAAATATTTTAGTTATTTATTTATGTTTCTTATATTTCTTGTTAAGATGGTTACAGATTATTTAAGATAAGTTTGTAGATTTTTAAAATACAATATTTGGCTGGGTGCAGTGGCTCATGGCTGCAATCCCAGCACTTTGGGAGGCGGAGGCGGCTGGATCACTTGAGCCTAGGAGTTTGAGACCAGCTTGGGCAGCATGGCAAAGCCCTATCTCTACAAATAATAAAAAAAATTATCTGGGCATGGTGGTGCGTGCCTGTAGTTCCATCTACTGGGGAGGCTGAGATGGGAGGATCACTGAGCCCAGTGGTGGAGACTGCAATGAGTTGTGATGGAGCTGCTGCACTCCAGCCTGGGTGACAGAGTGAGACCCTGTCTCAAAAAAAAAAAAAAAAAAAAAACTCCCTTTTACACAATATTTTATTTCCATTAAATTTCCTGAGATTATTCAGTGTATAAATAAATTTTACTTTGTGAACATTTATTTTGTAACCAGGGAGATACCTGTATTTTTTCCTTCTAATAAATTTTACTGAATATTGCTCTTGTGCCTTAAAAAGACAAATAGTATTGGGAAATAATTTTCTCACTCTTTACAATAACTATTCTTATTTTTGAAACTCTAAAGCAATCTCATTAATTTCTGCTTTCTTTTATTTGTCTTTTCTGGAAGCATTAACAGCTTCTTTTCTATTGTCTCACAATATTACTTTAGTTTAAAAGTTTTCTTGTGAAGTGATGTATGCAATTTTATATTTGTGTGCAACTCTGACTTTATAAGAAATATTTCTGTGAATAATGTAATCATTTTCATAACTTTATAAATCATCTGCAATTATTTGTATTAGTTTTTTTACCCGTTATTTATAGGAACAGCATTTGCTTTTTAAGTAACTGAAATTACTTGCTTGAACTTTAATTATTACATTTTTAAATTACTCTGTTCAGTAGGTATCACACTGGTGGCCACAAGGCTGCATTCCACCAAGGGACATATTTTGTTTAGAAATTTTGTTATGTCTGTGAATAGTCTTTAAGATGCAATGTTAACTATGCAGGAATTGATTATAACTCTAGAAATTCAGCACCTATTGTTTTATACCTGACCAATTTCACACACCTTATGCAGATAATTGTCCTTTTAAGCTCTAATTTAGGAAATTCAATTTTATTTGTGATTATCTCATATTTAGGCTAATGGTTATTTCATATTTAGGGGAAAGAAAAACTTTAAATTTGTTCATGAGAATCAAAGAATAATTTTCAAAATTGTTTATATGCAGTATGATAAGAGGCAAATACTATGTACTAAGCACAAAATAGTTAACCTGATATTGTCTTCTTTTAATAACTGCATTCGATCATAATTATGATTGTTACTTTTTTTTTCTTTTTTTTTTAAATTATACTTTAAGTTCTGGGGTACATGTGCAGAACATGCAGTTTTGTTACATAGGTATACCCGTGCCATGGTGGTCTGGTGCACCCATCAACCTGTCACCTACATTAGGTATGTGTCCTAATGTTATCCCTTCCCTAGCCCCCCACCCACTGACAGGCTCTGGTGTGTGATGTTCCCCTTCCTGTGTCCATGTGTTCTCATTGTTCAACTCCCACTTATGAGTGAGAACATGTGGTGTTTGGTTTTCCGTTCTTGTGATAGTTTGCTAAGAATGATGGTTTCCAGCTTCATCCATGTCCCTTCAAAGGACATGAACTTATCTGTTTTTATGGCTGCATAGTATTCCATGGTGTATATGTGCCACATTTTCTTTATCCAGTCTGCCACTGGTGGACATTTTGGTTGGTTCCAAGTCTTTGCTATTGTGAATAGTGCTGCAATAAACATACATGTGCATGTGTCTTTATAGTAGACTCTGTCTCCAAAAAATAAAAATAAAATAAAACAATAGCCAAATTCTACCAGGGATATTGTTTTGTTTTATTTTATTTTTATTTTTATTTTTTGGAGACAGAGTCTTACTCTGTTGCCCAAGCTGGAGTGCAGTGGTGTGATCTTGGCTCACTGCAACCTCCACCTCCCGGGTTCAAGCAATTCTTGTCCTTCACCCTCCTGAGTTGCTGGGATTACAGGCACATGCCACTGTGCCTGGCTAATTTTTTTTTTTTTTTTTTTTTGTAGTTTTAGTAAAAAAGGGGTTTCACCATGTTGGCCAGGCTGGTATCAAACTCCTGGCCTCAAGTGATCTGCCTGCCTCAGCCTCCCAAAGTGCTGGGATTACAGGAGTAAGTCACCAAGCCTGGCCCTGATATTGTTTTAATACCTCTAAGTTTTGTCTAACTAAGCAAGATGAAAGAATTGAGCTAATAAATTCAGCGATATTCTAATTAGCAAGCTGTAGAAGTAAATATATCAATAGAAAATATGCCTTCTACTGCAGAGGTAACTAATATAGGGGGACAGAGAAGGAGCTGCCACACTTTTTCTGTAAAGGACCAGATGGTAAATATTTTAACTTTTGCCAGTTGTATTGTCTATATTGCAGCTACTCAACTGTGTTGTAGTGTAAAAGAAGACATAGACAATATGTAAATTAATGTGCATGGCTGTGTTCCAATACAACTGTTTTTTTTTTTTTTTTTTGTGATTGTTGCTTTGTGTTGTTTTAAAACAAGTGTTAAGTTGGATTTGGCCTATGGGCCATATTTTGCCAACTTTTGGGATAGAGCAATTTAGCAGGTCTGACTTATACAGACAGAAGTTGGGGAAAACTCTAAGGATGGCCTGGAAATGATACGGACGGGAGACAGGAAAATACTGGGTAGAAGAGGGCGGTTCTCCAGCAAAGGCCCGACTCTCAAGCCTGAAGACTTGTGGCCCTAAATGAGGACAGGCATTTCTGTTTTCACGCCCCAAAAGTTGCCTTTTGGCCCGCTGCACCCCCATTCTTCCCCCATATAAACCTGAAACCTTAGCGGGCACAAACAGAAGCGGCTGAACATCGGGACCAGCAGACCAAGCCACTGCGGAACAACGCAGCAGAAAAAGAGAGAAGAGTAGGGATTGGACTTGAGGGGAGTTCAGCAGCGGGCAGGCGGAGAAGAGTCCTGCCGCTGGGCGGCCCAACTCCAGGGAAAGACCACCTTCCCACTCCATCCCCCAATTCCAGCTCCGCATCCATCTCACAGAGAGCCACTTCCACCACTCAATAAAACTTTGCATTCATCCTTCCAGCCCACTTGTGATCCGATTCTTCTGGTACACTGGGGAAGGACTCAGGATATAGTAGGCTGTCACACTGGCCCCCTGCCCTTGCGATAAGGCAAAGGGTCCATTGAGCTGGTTAACACACAAACCATCTGCAGACCGCAAGTCTGAAAGAGTTTGGTAACACACGCCCACTTGGGCTTAGGGAGTCGCAGACACCCACTCCTAGACACTGTCTGGGGTTGGAGCCCAAAAGCGCTCCCGTGGGCCTCTGCGCCTGCCTGCGTGCTCCCGCTAGGGGTCTGAGCTGCTGGGCGACCAAGCTGGCGACACCCACCCTTGTCGCACTTCCTGCGAGGGGAATCAGGGAAGTCTCTCCTTTCAGAACCTGGTCATGAGAGTTGCATGATGGCTTTGTCCTTCAGTTTTCCCACTGAGGGAGTAACTGAGAATGGGGAGATCAGTCAAGATATGGTCTTTCATATGTACATGCATTCAGTCTTTTTCTACATACAACACCCAATTTTTTTCTTTATGGTTCTGGTATGAGAGTGACAATGATTTTCATCTAGTTCAATGAGTCTAGCTAAATTAGGAGTAAATTGAAATAATTATGATTAGAGAATGAAGTTCATCTATTTTATTTTCATATTGGAATTTGTCCTTGTGATGATGCTTGCTATCTTCTGTTTGACCTGACGGATCAGATGTGCACATTTTTCTGCATTACATGTCTCACAGGAGGCTGAATTGTATGGCTATAATCCATGGTCTTGTGAGCCCACTGGCTGCTGACTGTCTTTACCCATAGAGGAGGAAAGAGTAAGCTCCTCTGGAGACAAAAGAGAGAGAAGACAATTAAGATATTTATTCCCTCGGCTCCTTCCCTTTTTTGAACGTTACAACATTTTCTGATAGTTCTTTCAGGGTTTTTAGGCTCCCTCCCCTCACATTTTCAGGAATCTGGAGCTAGCTTCTGGATGTTGCATCCTCCCTGTGGTTTCTCTATATCTTGACCTTTTCTTTGTAAATAGCCTATTTTTAAAACTCTTCTCAAATTAGCTATCTTTTGTGTGCAATTTGTTTCCTGCCAAGACTCTAAATGATAGAGTTCACAAACAAATGATCAATACCTTGGTAGCCTAAGGAAATGGAAAATATTTATAGAAAAAAATGTTCATTATATTGATTAATTTTTTTTTTTTTTTCTGAGATGGAGTCTCACTCTGTCACCAGGCTGGAAGGCAGTGGCATGATCTTGGCTCACTGCAACCTCTGTGTCCCGGGTCCAAGCGATTCTCCTGCCTCAGCCTCCCGAATAGCTGGGACTACAGGCATGTGCCACCACACCCAGATAACTTTTGTACTGTTAGTATTTTAGGGTTTCACCATTTTGGCCAGAATGGTATCCATCTGTTGACCTCATGATCCGCCCACCTCGGCCTCTCAAAGTGCTGGGATTACAGGTGGGAGCCACCGTGCCTGGCCTATATTGCTTAATTATTTTACTTAGTTAAATTTTATCTTATTTAAATTTTTATTTTTGTAATCTATAGAGAGTTATATTAAAGTGTTACCTATAACAAATATATTTATATAGCTTTCTTATTTTTTATGTAACGTTATTTAATTGCCCTTAAAATTTGTAGACTTTAGTTTCATTTATGTAAAATGACCTTCCCTTTTCCGTTCAATAATTTTTCATCTTTAATATCTCACTCTCATTTAAATGTAGCTGATCCAGGATTTGCTTACATTAGATTGATAACATTTTGCCTTTTCTTTCATTTTTATCACATATAAAATATTTATTATTACTTAAGTAATCTAATTTCATAACCAAGTGGAGAAAACACCAAATATAATTTAAACAGAGATCACTAATAATCTCAACTTCATAGCCAGCTACTGTTAGTATTTTCATATTTGGCATATTCAGGATGAGTAAGATGAAATAGTTGGTAAAAGCAAAATGTAATAAAAATAAAGTATCCATTTCTAAATTTTAGTTTAACTTAAAACTTATAAAGTGCATTAGAAGGCAGTAGTTTTGTATGTACACCAAATACTTTTCTATATGGAGCCATAAAAATAGGATGATGATGATGATACTCCCTTTCTGAACACTTCATTTTCTCCCTTTGCCTATGAAATTAAATGTCAAAAAACTTGCTTTCAGGTAGTCTTTGTAGTAATCCCCTGCCTCCTTTTAAGGAGCCGATTCCCAGGCCCTGTATTTCAGCAATTCTTACTTATTAGGAATGGAGAGGGATTTGGAAGTTTGGGTGTTTAACAATAACTCAAGGTGCTTTAGGTGCACGTGGCCTTTAGACCACTGTTTCAAGAAAATTGTCTTGATGTAACCAGCAAGGCCCTCATAGCCACTTCTGACTGTCTCCAGCACTCACTCTCAAAGGAACCCTCTCTACTGGCTTCACTTCAGCCATACTTAACTATTTGAAGTCTCTGAATGTTGCCAGGTTTGTTTATGCCGCATAACTTTGTTAGTAGTGCTCTCTTGAGCTTGTCTATCTGTAACATCAGTTTATTTATTGACTCTTATCTCCCATCCTATTTCCAGTCATTGTGAGATACACTGTGTCAGGGAAAGGCTGTCTCATAAGCCATCTTACTGATGCTACCTTACTCTTACTAGTATGAACATCCACTGTCCTCTAAGACACTATCAGGACAAACTCCAACATGGCCCATGCTCATTTAATTTAGGCACTGGTACAATTTTGAGGTTCCATAGTCACCATTATCAGTGGAACTCCTACCTTTACGGTGCACTAATCTGTGCACTCCTCCTGTGCTATCCAAGTCTGTGTTCTTAGAATTGCAAATGAGTGATCAGCCCTGAATCCGCAGTCTCCTTTCTGAATATCTCTTCTACCTTCAAATCTTAACTAAACTTGGCTATCTCATGAAGACTGCATTCTCAAAATGAAGTATTCTAAGATAACAGCTTGGGTCAACAGCTTCTTTGCAAGCTGCATTTTTTGGAAACTATTATTTTTATTTTCTTTGCTAGAAAGAGCCACTACTACATTGAGGCTAACACCATTATAATTTACCATCTTGCTATTCCCTCACCACTGCCATGTGGTTTTCTTCCCATCATTAATTAAAGACATTAGACTCCTTATTGTAAACCAAAAAGTGACTGAGGCAGATCTCAATCAATTTAGAGGTTTATTTTGTCAATATTAAGGACATGCCCAGGAAAAAGAAACACAAGTCAATGTAGGATCTGTGTCCCATGCTTTTTTCAAAGAGGGTTATGAGACCTTCGATATTTAAAGGGAAAGAACATGTGAGAAAGAAAAAAGAAAAAAAAAAGGAAGGGAGGGTAGACAATGAGGCAAGTGGTTATTTTCTTGTGAGGCTCTGATTAGTGCTCAGTGAATCTACATTTTACAAGTGGAAAGAAGTGGGTAGAGGGAAAGTCAATTATGCATTAATCTTGTTCTCAGTAAATCTAGATTTTTTACCTAATACAAGTAACCATGTAAAATTAGAGTCATGGCTTTGGGAACAAAAGGAAGGTACTTTTTGTGTGACTAAGTTACCAAGATTAACTTTTCCCTTCGGCATAGTAAGTTTGGGGTCCTGAGACTTTATTTTCCTTTTACATTATCAATCGAGATATCTATTATGCATTATTCTGGCTTCCTGAAACTTGGTCTAATACAAACACATATGGCATTGGTTATTATTAGGCATGGTAGGCAACAATCTCTTCATATTAATAAGAGTACAAAAATGTTCACCTGCATGTTTGTTTCAATTTATCTCAGTAAGCTTCTAGAGTTTAGTTCTACCTAGTCCTAAATATAATTGCAAATGTATAATTAATATAATTGCAAATCTAAAATTAATATAATTGCAAAATATTTTATATACTGTGGTTACATAGTGTTTATATTCTGTGGTTACATATTCTAAATATAAAGTGTATATATAGTATATATATCATATATGCAAATATATAAATGAATATAAAATATCTATGTATATAATCTATTTATATATCAAGTATTAATATTAAGTAGGCTATTCCCTATTATACTTTGGATGTTAAACTGTTTTCAGAAAAGGGGCCAAGATATTTATTAGAACTTGTTCCCAGATTTTTTCTTTTCCCACAGAGCCCTGACAGATGAGAACCAGGAATTTTTTGTTGAAGAGCTTTCATCCTTTAGTCATGGAATTATTCTGGAGCATTTTTTCCTCTTCTTCCAAGTGTTCAAGTAATAAGAAAGACAGCAGGATCTTTTATTTCAGAACAAACATGAAGTTATTTAAGATTATGTTATTGAATAGTCAAAAGATTACTATGGAGACTAAAGAGTGCTTTCAACCTAGAAAAATGACTTTGAATTAAGAAAAAAATACCTTAAACACTTGTCCTAGATAAGAGCCAGTGTGAATTGCCTAAGCACTGACTATGTGATTTTTCAGAGTGCTATTTCGCAAAGTCATCCCACAGCCAGATTTCTAAACATAGACCTTGTAAATCGGAGGGAAAAATCCAGAAGACATTTTTGTACACTAGGGTCAGATGAAAATTTCCACTCTGTAGTACTTTGTCCTCTAAACAACTTTATCTCTCTGCCCTTTATTTTAAATTTTGGAGAATGGGGGTGGAGGGTTAATTAAGAAAGTCAAACATTTATAGAAACATTTAAGTAATCAAATTGTTATTATGTCTTGACATCTGGTCTTTCCCATCTTACATCTTCGTAAGATGTACTCTCCTCTCTTTTTTTTCCAACATTATTGAACATGTTTCATAAGGTCAAGATCACAAAATGTTTTTCTCCCTTGGGAAAGTGACTATCTAGAAAGCAGCTGAGGTTAGGGGCTACAGTTAACTACTGCAGTCAGTTATGGAATTTTAGGAATAAGAGCAAGAGCACAGAGCATGAGATTAAAGAAAGAATACATTTTTTAAAAAGTCCACAGTATCAGTAGCCTCTAACACAAGCTGCTCCCACGTTAACTACTGAAAGGCAATACAAGCAACTGCTGTTATCTGGCAGAAGGAAAATTACTTGCAGCTACTTTGAGCTACAGGCATGTTCTTAGCTAGGCACACTACGTTGGAAATACGTGGTGAGTTTTGTCAATCCACATGTAGTGAAAGCTTAAGTGATTATTTAAGTAGCTGAAGCAAAGGAGTGTAAAACTAGCATTTATTGAATACAGAATTATAGATTTGGGAGAGTAGTAAAACGATAATCAGCAAGCTTCCATTCTATAAACAGGCTCTTGCAGAGTGACAATTCAAAAGAATGCCTTCTACACTGTCTTGCACAGACATAATTATAAAATATTCTTAGTGGTAGAGAACATTTACCAAATAAATATATGTTTAATAACTACTCAGAATAAAATGTTTCTATGATTTCATAGTTTTAATCTTCTGTGATATGCAGTTCTAATGATTACTGCTTAAAAGAGGGTTTGCATTTGGGTGAAAAACTATGAATCAATCTGTTATTCTGTATTTTAAAATAGATTGAATTTCTGTTTTCAGGAAAGGAAACATTTATGTTCTTATGTACTAAGTATGCAGGGATTTAAGTTTATATTTACTTTTTTTCTGCATCAATAATCTATGTTTCAAAGTATTATTTGTGTAAAACAGTGTAAAAAACATACTGAATTAAATTCTCCCCTGAGTGAGAAACAATTTAGAATTTGTGGTTATGTCATTTGACAAGTGAAGTCTACATCTAAGCAGAAAAAGAAAATGTTAAAACAATGTTTAAAAAAATATTAAAACAACAACAAACTTACAAATTTCCAAAAGAGTACTTTTTAATGAAGTGGATATCTTTGTCTGAAAAAAAAAAGAACCAATTTTGTAGAAAAAATAACTTGTTTTTCATTTTTCATCTGCCATGTTTTTGCCATGTACCTAATTTTTGAGGGGGAGGGATTTTTTTTTTATAAAATAGAAATAATAATATATACCTAAATTTTCATGATGGGTGATATTGTATTTGTTGCTTTTTATTGCATGTATACCAATTTGAAACAGGAAAGGTTTAATAAGTAACACGCTCATCAAATGTCAGATATTTTTATGGATAGGCTCAATTTTAGGTTCAAGGTTTGGTTTATATACTTAACAAATAATCAAGAAGCATTTGCACATCTAACAGCATTTAGTCAAATCTGTTAGAACAGACTTTCTATAATTCATGGAAAAACTAATGCTTCTTTGTGTTGCCTAATATGCCTTCTTATAAATGAATCACACTGGTCTGACAGAAAGTTGATCAGAACACTCTTTTGAAGACTGTACAAACCAGCATAAATAAGATGCATGCAATAAGTATGACACATGGATATATATCTGAAACGTCATTCATATATCAGGCTCCATTTGTATTATGTTAAATTCATTGTGTCAAGAATATGCATAATATGCATATGTGGGATTCATAATCACTCAAATGTAGATTATTATGGAATAAAATGTAGATTTATTCAACTGAAAAATAATGAACTATGATAAAAAGCAAAAACAAAACCCAGAACAAGTCAAAGGCAAAAAGGCAATCTTTCCTTCATTATATTTGCAAAGGAAATACCTGTATGACACCTCAACAAATTTTGTCCAGTATTTTTCTCAAGTGATGAGACACCTGGTCCACTTAATATCAGGAGTCTACAAATTAATAGTCTTAAACAGATCTTCAAGAGACTACATGATTTGTATATTCCTCAATTATATTAGCAGTAAGAAACATCTCTTGTATCATATTTACTCATTGTAATCATGCAATAAAAAAGTTGATAGTGCCTGTTTGCATCCATATGACTCAAATAATTTGAGTATCTTTTTCTCTGTATTTTCTTCCTTTGGTTAATATATTAGAGCTCCTTGCGGATATAAGAGAAACAATAATAATGATATTGCACTTGTTGCCCATCCTTCATCCCCTTCATCCATATAGTGTTATTTTATTTTAGTGATACAAATTTAAACAGGTTAATAAAAAATAGTCTCCTGAATATACTTTGAAACAAATATATAACTTTTATACTTTATTATTGTGAAATTTAACACACATGCCAAAAATGCAACCCCTCAACAAATGGTCACATTTATTATTATAAAATGAGCATCTGTGTAACTACCACTGTTGGCATCTATGGCCTGTCTAAGAGCAGGCTGCCATGATGCTGGCTGCAGTGGGGGAGGCTCTGCCTGGGCTACATGATCCAGGGAGCAAGCAGGAGCTGGGAACAGGTGGAAGCCCTGTCCCCTTGCAGGTTGGAGGGGCGAGAGCCCTACCGTCCCAGGCACAGCTGCAGCCACCCAGCCATGGCTTCAGACCTAGGCATCTCTGCATTCTCGGGGGCCCAGGAAGCCTCCCTGCCCCTGCAGACACAGAAGTACCTACTCCTGCTGCCTGGCCTCTACCCGCTCCCAGTTCCCACTCCAGTTTCAGAGCAAAGTTGTGACTGAGCCTGGGCACTGTCACAACCCAGCCAGGTGTGCATATGCTGAGGGCAGTGCTGACACGCCAGTTCCCTGCCACCTTGGCTGCCTCCAGACTTTGGGCATCTAGAAGCACAAGAGGGACCCCATGGGGGGCTTAAGAGCGGCTCAGTATGGGCCTGCAGACACCCCTCAACATGCACTGGGTGCTGTGGGCACTGTGGATGGCAGGTTAATGGCAGCAGAAGGCAGACAGGCTCCTGGGCAAAAAGGGGAAGGTACTCTATGAAATCCTACCTTCAGGCCAGTGACGGCCTGAGGCCTGGGGGCTGGGCTGCCAGTTTTGTGGACTGGAGTGAGAACTTACGGTGCTTTTTCCAGCCTGCCCATGGCCACTCATGGACCAATCAGCATGCACTTCCTCCCCTCGGAAGCCCATAAAGACTCCAGAGTCTCCTAGACTTGGGCAGAAAATGGGACAAACTGCCTGTGGAGAGGAGCTACCCACTGTGGGTCTCCTCTCTGCTGAGAGCTGCACTTGTTGGGATGACTTGCCTTTGGAGAGGAGCTACCCACTGCAGGTCTCCTCTGTCTGTCACTCAGGAAAGCACCTCTTCACCTTGCTCACCCTCCACTTGTCCAGATGTCTCATTTTTCTTGGACCTGGTACAAGAACTTAGGACTCACTGAATGTTGGGGCTGAAAGAGCTGTAATACAAACAAGGCTGAAACACGTCCCCTACTTGCCACATTGCAGGTGACGAGAAGAGCTGAGGCCCTTTGGGGAGCCCAGACCTAGGAGCTCCCTGAGCCAGGGCTGTGACTCCCTCTTTGGGGCTCTGCGGTTCCTGGTGTCCCCAAGCTTCCAGATGCCACTGCCTTCCCTGGTGCCTGCAGTGGAAACCACTTGCAGTATGCCTGGTCCAGACACAGCCTCACAGGGAGCCAGCACCCATGTCTGCCTGGAGCTGCCTGCCCCACTGCAGCCAACATGCCCGGCTCTGTGCAGTGGCCAGACCCCATGATCACAAGCTCACACGCCCCTCACTGCTCCGCACCTGGCTTGCCCTTGGCAGGTATGGGATGTGGGCTGGTAGTGCCAGCCTAGTGCAGCCTGCCAGGTTGGGTGGGTGGAATGAGCCCAGGGGGCCCAAGTAAAACTTGGGCAAAGGCACCACTGGCCAGGGAGGTTTCTGGCTGAAGAAGTGACACTCCAAGGATCCCGTGACATCACTCTGGTCAAGAGATTGAACATTATCGTACTCCAGAGGCCTGCTTCTCATATTCCCCATCCCCAACCCTATGTCTCCTTCCTTCCCCTTAATTACTATCCTGATTTTTACGTAATCACTTCTTTTATTTTCATAATTCATAACATGTTCGTTGGAAGAGCTTCTACAGAAATTTTAATTTTGCCAATTTAGGTCGTGTGTGCAAATGAAATCATATAGTGTCTAAATATTATTTTGTATATGGGCTCTTTCACTCAATGTTATCCTTATATGATCATATCATGCATGTGGCTGCAGTTCATACTGCATTGTATAAATATATAAATTAATTTCACATTTTACTATTGATCATTTGGGTTGTTTCTATTTTATAACTATTGTGAACAATTTCATTATGAACACTCTTCTAAATAGTTTTTAGTGTCCTGCTGAACAAATAAATATATAATTTTTATATATTTATACAATGCAGTATAGAAGTGGAATTGCTTGGTCATAGGGAATGCACAGTTCAAACTTGTTAAACTTTAGTAAATAATGCCAAGTTTTTTTCCCAACAGTTGTCCCATCATCAGTATATATGAGTTCCTGTAGCTTCAATACTTGACAGCAGTTGGTATTATTGGTCTTTTTTATTGTATCTATTTAGTGGGCAGTGGTTGCTTCTCCCTGCGGTTTTAATGTGCATTTTTTTATTTCTCTTGAGACGGTTACATTTTCATATTTACGAGCTATTAATATCCCTCTATATAAAGTGCCTATTCAAGTCTTCTCTCTCTCTCTCTGTCTTTTAATGGAAAATCTGTCTCTTGTGTTTTTCTTATTGATTTGTACTTCTTTACAAAATCTGGATACAAACTCCTTGTCTGTTACAGGGTTACAAATTTTTACTGATATGTGGCTTGCCTTTTCATACTCTCAGTTGTTCTTTTTAAAAGTTCGTAATTTGAATGTGGCCAAATGGGAAAGGTTTTCCCTTGATTGTTAGTGTGCTTTGTGTCCTAGTTAAGAAATCTTTCTCTAGAATGATGACATGAAGATATTCGCTTATATTATCTTCTAAAAGCATTATGTTCTATGCTTCACATAAGAGTCTATATGCTTCACATAAGAGTCTATAATGTGTGGAATTTATTGTTAAGTGAGTGATGTGATATAGGGTCCAATTCTCTTTTTATCTAGACAGATTTCTAAATGTCTAAGCACAAGTTTTTGAAAACAGTCTACTTGTTCTTCCTCCACTGCTCAGCTGTGCCATCTTTGCTTTAAATCACGTATCATTATACGTGTGGGTATTCTCACTAGGTTTTAAAATTTTGTCT
Organism: Homo sapiens; assembly: GCF_000001405.40. NCBI lineage: Eukaryota > Metazoa > Chordata > Mammalia > Primates > Hominidae > Homo > Homo sapiens. The sequence goes on from NC_000006.12 coordinate 76,820,226, forward strand.
ATTCTTGAATCCATGGCCATAGTTAATTACTCTAGCATTTTTTCTTTGTAAAATTGAACTTAATTTTTACTTTATTTTTGATTCAGGGAGTACATGTACATGTTTCTTACATGGATACAATATGTACTGGTGGGGATTGGGCTTCTAGTGTACCCATTATCCAGACAGTAAACATTGTACATATTAGATAATTTTCCAGCTCTCACTCCACTTCTACACTCCTTAATTTTGGAGTCCCCAGTTCTATTATTTCCATCTTTATGTCCATATGCATCCATTGGTTAGCTCTCCATTTTTGGTATTTACCCAGTAGGCTACTAAGAACTATATAGATGAGTGTTCATAATGGAATTTTTCACAAGTCATAAAATAGAAACAACTCAAATAATCAATGGTAGAATGTGAAAATAATTTTTATATATTTATAGAATGCAGTATGGATGAACTGCAGCCACATCATGGTGTGATCATATAAACCTAACATCGAGTGAAAGATACTACACAGAAAATAATATGTATGCACTATATGATTTCATTGATACACACTACACAAATTCTACATTTTCATACTAGAATGTGAAACAACATTGACTTTTAATTTATTTTTATTTATTTATTTTTTAATTTTCATGAATTTGGGGTACAAGTGCAGTTGTTTTACAAGATATATTGGGTAGTGGTGAAATCTGGGCTTTTAAAGTACATTGTACCCAACAGGTACAATGGAATAATGTACATTGTACCCAGTAGGTAGTATTTCAGTTCTCACCCCCCTCTCATCCTCCCATCTTTTGGAATCTTCAGTATCTATTATTCCACTCTATATGTCTGTGTGCACCCATTGTTTAGCTCCAACTTATAAGTGAGAACAGGCAACTTTTAACTTTCTGCTTCTTAGTCATTTCTCTAAGGATAATGATGACCAGCTCCATCCATGTTGCTGCAAATGACATGATTTTATTTTATTTTTTTTAATTTCCAACTTTTATTTTAAGTTGTGGGGTACATGTGCAGGATGTTCAGGTTTGTTACATAGGTAAATGTGTGCCATTGTTGTTTGCTGCACAGGTCATTCCATCACCTGCATATTAAGTGCAGCTTCCATTAGCTATTTTTCCTAATGCTCTCCCTTCTCCCATTCCCACCATGTGACAGGCCCCAGTGTGTGTTGTTCCTCCTATGTGTCCATATGTTCTCATCATTAACTCCCATTTGTAAGTGAGAACACATGGTATTTGGTTTTCTGTTTCTGCATTAGTTTGCTGAAGATAATGGCTTACAGCTCCATCCATGTCCCTGCAAAGACATGATCACGTTCCCTTTTATGGTTGCATAGTATTTCATAGTGTATATGTACCACATTTTCTTTATCCAGTCTACCATCGATGGGCATTAAGGTTGATTCCATGTCTTTGCTATTGTGAGTAGTGCCACAATAAATATATGCGTGCATGCATCTTTATAACAGAGTGATTTATATTCCTTTGGGTATATACTCAGTAATGGAATTGCTGGGTTAAATGGTATTTCTGCCTCTAGGTCTTTGAGGAATCGCAACACTGTCTTCCACAATGGTCGAACTAATGGTTTTTTCCTTGTAAATTTTTTAAGTTCTTTATAGAGTCTGGTTATTAGACCTTGGACAGATGGATAAATTGCAAAAATTTTCTCTCATTCTGTAGGTTTTCTGTTTACTCTGTTGACAGTTTCTTTTGCTGTGCAGAAGCTCTTTAGTTTAATTAGATCTCATTTGTCAATTTTTGCTTCTGTTGCAATTGCTTCCACTGTCTTCACCATGAAATCTTTGCTCATGCCTATGCCCTGAATGGTTTTGCCATTCATTTCTTCTAGATTTTTATAGTTTTTGGTTTTACATTTAAGTCTTTAATCCATTTTGAGTTTATTTTTGTATATGATATAAGAAAGGGATCCAGTTTCAATTTTCTGCATATGGCTAGCCAGTTCTCCCAACACCACATATTAAACAGGGAATCCTTTTCCCATTGCTTGTTTTTGTTAGGTTTGTTGAAGATCAAATAGTTTAGGTATGCAGTCTTATTTCTGGGTTCTCTATTCTGTTCCCATTGGTCTATGTGTCTGTTTTTGTATGGGTGCCATGCTGTTTTGATTATTGCAGCCCTGTAGTATAGTTTGAAGTTGGGTAGCATGATGCCTCCAGCTTTGTTCTTTTTGCTTAGGATTGCCTTGGCTGTTTGCGGTCTTTTTTGGTACCATATGAATTTTAAAATAGTGTGTTTCTAATTCTGTGAAGAATGCCAATGGTAGTTTAATGGGAATAGCATTGAACCTATAAATTTTGGTGGGCTCTATGGCCATTTTCACAATGCTGATTCTTCCAATCCATGAGCATGGAATGTTTTTTCATTTGTTTGTATCCGCTCTGATTTCCTTGAGCAGTGGTTTGTAGTTCTCCTTGAAGAGGTCCTACACTTTCCTTGTTAGCTGTATTCCTAGGTATTTTATTCTTTTTATGGCAGTTGTGAATGGTTGTTCATTCATGATTTGGCTCTCAGCTTGACTGTTGTTGGTGTATAGAAATGCTAGCCATTTTTGCACATTGATTTTGTATCCTGAAATGTTGCTGAAGTTTCTTACCAGCTTAAGGAGATTTTGGGGACCTGGTGTGGAAACTCACACCTGTAATCCCAGCACTTTGGGAGGCGGGGGTAGGTGCATCACTTGAAGTCAAGAGTTTGAGATCAGCCTGGCCAACATGATGAAACTGAGTCTCTACAAAAATTAGCCAGGTGTGGTGGGTCACACTTGTAATCCCAGCTAGTTGGGAGGCTGATGTGGGAGGATCACTTGAACCCAGGAGACAGAGGTTGCAGTGAGCTAAGTTCATGCCACTGCACTTCAGCCTGGGCAACAGAATGAAACTCCATCTGAAAAAAAAAAAAAAAAAAAGAGAGAGAAGCTGTTGGGCTGAGATAATGGGGTTTTCTAGATATAGGGTCATGTCATCTTGTAGACAAGGATAGTTTGACTTCCTCTCTTCCTATTTAAACACACTTTCTTTCTTTCTTTTAACTGATTTTCCTGGCCAGAACTTTCAATGCTATGTTGAATAGGAGTGGTGAGAGAGGACATCTTTGTCTTGTGCTGGTTTTCTAGGAAGAATGCTTCTAGCTTTTGCTCATTCAATATGATATTGGCTGTGGCTTTTTCATACATGGCTCTTATTATTTTGAGGTATGTTTATCGGGGAACCCACCTCCAATATTTCAACATAGATTCTTTCTATTTTCCCTAAGTGTCAGCTGACTGAGAAATAAAGAGACACAGTACAAAGAGAGGAATTTTATGACTGGGCTGCAGGGGGTGACATCACATATTGGTAGGACAATGATGCCCACCTGAGGCTCGAATCAGCAAGTTTTTTATTAAGGGTTTCAAAAGGGGAGGGGATGTAATAACAGAGAGTAGGTACAAAGATCACATGCTTCAAAGGGCAAAAAGCAGAACTGCTGATAAGAGTCTATGTTCAGTGGTGCACTTATTGTCTTGATGAACATCTTAAATAACAGAAAACAAGGTTCAAGGGCAGAGAACCGGTCTGACCACAGATTTACCAGGGCGGAGTTTTTCCCCACCCTAGTAAGCCTGAGAGTACTGCAGGAGACCAGGGCGTATCTCAGTCCTTATCTCAACGGCATAAGACAGACATTCCCAGAGTGGCCGTTTATAGACCTCCCCACAAGGAATGCATTCCTTTCCCAGGGTATTAATATTAATATTCCTTGCTAGGAAAAGAATTTAGTGATATCCCTCCTACTTGCATGTCCATTTATAGGCTCTCTGCAAGAAGAAAAATATGGCTCTTTTTGCCCACCTCCACAGGCAGTCAGACCTTATGGTTGTCTTCCCTCATTCCCTAAAAAATCACTGTTATTCTGTTCTTTTTCAAGGTGCACTGATTTCATATTGTTCAAACACACATGTTTTACAGTCACTTTGTACAGTTAACACAATTATCACAGTGATCCTGAGGTGACATACATCCTCAGCTTACAAAGATAACAGGATTAAGAGATTAAAGTAAAGACAGGCATAAAAAATTATAAAAGTATTATTTGGGAACTGATACATGTCCATGAAATCTTTACAATTTATGTTCCTCTGCCGTGGCTCCAGCTGGTCCCTCTGTTCGGGGTCCCTGACTTCCCGGAAGATATGTTTCTTTAGTATGTAGTTTATTGAGAGTTAACATGAAGAGATCTTGAATTTTATTGAAGGCCTTTTCTGCATCTATTGAGATACTCATGTGGTTTTGTCTTTAATTCAGTTTATGTGATGAATCACATTTATTGATTTGCGAATGTTGAACCAACTTTGAATACCAAGGAAGAAGCCAATTTGATCGTGGTGGATAAGCTTTTCGATGTGCTGCTGGATTCAGTCTGCCAGTATTTTGTTGAGAATTTTTGCATCAATGTTCATCAAGAATTTTGGCCTGAAGTTTTCTTTTCTTTGTTGTATCTCTGCCAGGTTTTGGTATCAGGATGATGCTGCCCTCATAGAATGAGTTAGAGGGGAGTACCTTCTTTTAAATTTTTTTGGTTAGTTTCAGTAGAAATGGTACCAACTCCTATTTGTACCTCTGGTAGAATTCAGCTGTGAATCCATCTGGTCCTGAGCATTTTTTTTGGTTGGTAGGCTATTAATTACTGCCTCAATTTCAGAGCTCATTATTGGTCTATTCAGGTATATAATTTCTTCCTTTTTCAGTCTTGGGAGGGTGTAGGTTTGCAGGAATTTATCCATTTCTTCTAGATTTTTCTAGTTTATGTGCATAGAGGTGTTTATAGTACTCTCTGATGGTTGCTTGTATTTCTGTGGGGTCAGAGGTGATGTTACCCCTATCACTTCTGATTCTTTATTCTTTTTATAACTGATTAGTATTCAACCGTACATACAATTAGTATATATTTACATGATGTTTAAAAAACTATCATCCTCTGATGGACACTTAGTTTGAATCTGTGACTTCGCTATTGTAAATATTGTTTGCTGTGATAAACATGTGAGTCCACGTGACTTTTTGATAAAATTCTGTTCCTTTGGGAAGACACTCAGTAGTGGAATTGCTGGGTTAAATGGTACTTATATTTTCATTCCTTTGATGAATATCCAAGCTGTTTACAATAGAGGTTGTACTAGTTTACATTCTTCCCAGCAGCATATAAGCCTTCACTTTTCCAACATTCTCTCCAACATCTATTGTTTTTTGACTTTTTCATAATATCCATTCCAACTGGTGTGAGACGGTATCTCGTTGTGGTATTAATTTGAATTATCTGATAATAAGTAATGTTGAGATTTTTTATGTTTGTCAGCTGCTTGTATGTCTTCTTTGGAAAATGTCTATTCATGTTTTTTTTCCCACTTTAAAACAGGGTTATTTAGCTTTTGTTATTAAGTTGTTTGAATTCCTTTTAGATTCTGGATATTATCCCTTTGTCAGATGCATAGTTTGCAAATATTTTCTCCCTTTAAATTATTCTCTTCTGTATGTTATCTGTTTACTCTATTGATTATTTATTTTGCTATGCAGAAGCTTTTTTGGTTTAAGTCCTATTTGTCCATTTTTGTTTTTGTTGTGTCTCTTTTTGAGGACTTAGTCATAAATTCTTTCCATGGACTAATGTCCAAAAGAGTTTTTCCTTGGCTTTCTTCTAGGATTTTTATAGTTTCAGGTCTTATATTTAAGTCTTTAATCCATCTTGAGTTAATTTTGGTATACGGTGAGAGATAGAGGTCCAGTTTCATTCTTCTGCATTTGGGTAGCCAGTTTTCCCAGCACCATTCATTGAATAGCATTGAATAGGATGTCCTTCCCCCATTGTTTCTTTTTGTTGAGTTTTTGAAAATCAGTTGGTTGCAGGTATGTCTTTATTTCTCAGCTGTGCAGTCTGTTCCATTTATCTATGTGTCTGTGTTTTGTACCAGTACCATGCTGTTTTTGTTACCATAGCCTTATAGTATAGCTTGAAGTCAGGTGATGTGATGCTTCTAGCTTTGTTATTTTTGCTTAGGATTGCTTTGGCTATTCAAGCTCTTTTTTGGTTCCATATGAATTTTAGAATTGTTTTTTTTCTAATTATGTGAAAAATTATGTTAGTAATTTGACAGGAATTGTGTTGAATCTGTAGATTGCTTTGGGCAGTATGGTCATTTTAACAATATTGATTTTTCCTATTCGTGAGAAGGGAATATTTTTCCATTTGTTTTTGTCATCTACAATTTCTTTCATCGGTGTTTCTTGTTCACCTTGTAGATATTGTTCACCTCCTTAGTTAAATGTATTCCTAGGTGTGTGTATGTGTGGCTATTGTAAACACAATGAATTCTTGATTTGGTTCTCAACTTGAACATTGTCGATGTATAGAAATGCAGCTAGTATTTGTATGGTAGTTTTGTATCCTGAAACTTTACTCTGATGATCTTTTGAATTTCTGTGATATGTGCTGTGATGTCACATTTATCATTTTTGATTGTGCTCACTTGAAACTTCTCTTTTTATCTTGGTGAATCCAGCTACTTGTCCATCATTTATCCTTTATATTTGAAGCAAGAGAGAATATTATTTATATTTTCTTGAAAAATCTTAAAATAGGTTTATTCATTTTGTCAAGAAGCATCTTTTGGCTTTATTTATTCTCTAGTGTGTATTTATTTTCTATTCATTATGGTCTGTATTTGTCTTTATTATTTTCTTCTTTTTTATATTTAATGTGTCTTTTTACTAAATTTTTTGAAGTGAATGACAAGATCGTTAATTTGAAGACTTTCTTATTTTCTGACACATGTATTTTAAACTACACATTTTTATATAATAACATTTATATAAAATATGTAAAATTATTTTGGTCATTAGATTTATTTTTTCTAGTTTTCATTATTATTATACCTATGACTCATGATTAAACTATAACTTAATTTTCCAAAAGATTGGTATCATCTAATAATTTTATTATTATTAATTTCTAATTTAATTTTACTGTTGTGAGGACATAAACTGTGATTCTAATCCTTTGAACATTCTCAAAGACTTGCTTTAAGTCTCAATAAATTGTTCAACATTTAAATATATTTCATATGTGCTTGAAAATAATGTGGATTCTGTAATTTTCCAACTATGTTCTGTATAGCCTTGGAGCAGTTTTGTAAATCTTTTGTTCAAATATTCTAAAGATTTACTGAGTTATAGTCTTTTCATTTTATGAGTTACAGATAGAAGCATATTAAAAATTCCCAGTTAGATTGTTGATTTAGTTTTTACCTTGCAGTCTGTCAATTTTCAATTGTGAAGTACACACCACACACCTACACACACACTCACAGACATAAAACCATATATATCTTATATTTGTGTCATTTAATTCATGTATAGAAATTTAGAATTTAAAACTCCTGTATTTTCACTGTGAATGGAATCTGTAATGATTTTAATTGTCTCTATTTACTACTGATATTCCTTTCCTTTAAAGTGCCTTTTTTTTTTTTTCAAATATTGCTATAGCTGAACCACCTTTATTTTAGTCAATATTTGCATGGTATGTCTTCTTTATTCTTCAGTTTACTTATGTTTTACATGTGTTTCTTACACATAGAATGGAGCTTTATTTCCAGAATATAACATTATTTGTAAAATTCACCTAATTGTCCAATTACTTTCAGTGTGATTGCTAATATTAGTAACTAGTGAAATACTAATGTTTACCATGTTAGTGAATACTTCATACTTCTCCTGACAGTTCTATAATCCATGTTCATAATGTTCTTAACTTCCTTTAGGATGATTCTATATTTTTTATTATTAACTTGCTTTGCTTTGTCATTTGTAAACTATAAGTGACTTTATTATTATTTTAGTGCTAATTCACATTACATGTCCTTGGTTAATTAAAATCTAACGTTCATTGCCAATACTTTCCTCTTTTCAGCCAACACTAAAACCTTATAATATTTTAGTTTTATTTACTACTTTTATGATTTTTAATTTATTTTTAATAATACTTATGTATACTCTGTTATTAATATGCTATTATAAATATTATTATTTTATCTGGTCAGTATTTATTTATGTTTATCACACATTTACCTTTTGGTTTCTTTTTATTCTTTCCTGAGTCTTTAACCTTCCATAATATTTATGATTTGTTTCAGATGAAAAATGTCTTTATTATAATATTTCTTTCAGTGCAATGTCTGCAGTATAATATTTTGTTTTTGAGTTTTTGAACAGAACATTTCTTTCTTTCACTTTCTTTTTTAAAATTTATTTTTATTAGTATAGCATTTTTTTCTGGTAATGTTTTCTTTCACCACTAGGAATGTGTCATACCACTGTCTTTGGCTTCCATTTTTCACATAGAAGTGACTTGTAAGTTACTCTTTGTAGACTATCTCTTTTTTTCTGGTTAGTTTGACTACATTTTCTTTGTTGTTGTTTTTCTGTACTTTTATTATCATATTTCTAAGTGTGAATTTCTTGAACCTGGAGGTTAAGTTGAATTTCTCGAATATGCTTACCAAATGTGTAGCTTGATGTCTTTTATTAAATTGAGAAAAATCTTAGCCACACTCTGTACGTTGATTCTACTCTATTTCTTGCTTTCCTCTTTTCCTGGGATGCCAATTATATGTATGTTATATCTTTTTACCATGTGCCTCTTTCTTTATTTCATCTTTTCTGCTTGTTCGTGCTTTTACTTCTACTTATTTTCTTCTAACTTTATTTTTTAGTTTCATAATTAACTCATCAGTGCTATGATCTCACTACAACCTTCCTAATTTCAGTTACTATGTTTTTCATTTCTATATTTTTGGCTCCTTTCCCACAGTGCTCTAATTTCAGCTGTGTGCTTTAATTTTCTGTCTAATTTTTATCTCCCTAATGTAGTGATAACCTTATGTTAAAATCTGTCTGATTATTTTTATTTCTGGAGCTACTGCTTCCACCGTTAGTTGTTTTGCTGATTTTATATCATGTTGCTTATTATATTTATGTCTCTTTTAATTTTTCATTTTGTACTGAATAGTTTGTTTGAATAGAATTAGGAAGATTTTCTAGATAAAAACAATATCATTTTGCTCCAGGAAGGATTTTGTTTGTTTGGCACTGACACCACTAACAATGTGGTATCATTATAATTCAATTTCAATAATTAACATTTTGGGGCATATCCAGATGATTTGAAGTTTAGCTATGGTCTGTGCAGAGACTGTTGCATATTAAATTTTTGTTTATTCCCTGAGTGCAGCCTTTTGCCATTATAACTACACATAGTGGGTGGGTTGCTAGACATTCCACTCTTCATGGGCCTTGTGCTTCAACTTCTGTGGCTTAGATCCATGAAACTCAAAAATGCTACCCAATTTATCACTTGGTTTCTCATATCAATAAGTAAATATGTCAGGCCTCTTTCTTGGTCTCCTGTTTCTCACTGCAGTGTCAGTTCTTTGACAACTTCTGGCAAATTCTATTAAATGTCTAGGTTTTCTAATTTTCATTATTAGCTATTTTGGTCCAAATTATCTAAGTTTTCTGTTATCTTAAGTCAGTGTCTTATATATTTTATAATTCAACCTAGATATCTATATGTTTCAATTATCTATTAGAAAAACTGCATAGAACTGAAGTTAAGATTATAGCCTGTGGATCTTGATTGCCTGGGTTCAAATCATACTCTGAGACTTCCTGGCTCTTTGGACTTGAGAAATAACTTCATCTCTCTATGCCTCAGTTTCCTCATCTGTAAAGAAGGGACAAAAGTGTATTTCATTTATATTAATATTTATGAAGCATTAAAAACCATTTGACTTACATGACTTAAAGTATTACAGAATATTATAAAGTTAGTACTTGATCTGTGATGACTGCAACATGTTATTTTATGCATCTTTCCTTCTTAATATTTCTTTTTTGGCCAAACTTCTTTCAAAGTTTTGTAACTAAATCTTGCCTTCCATAACCAAAAAATTACTCACAAAGATGTTTTTCTAAAAGTCAACAAAATGGCTGGAATTTTTATGGCTGGTACTACACCTGAACATATAGATACATATGTGTATATGTGTGCGTGTGTGTGTTTGCTATTAGATATATATAAAATAACATTATATATAATGCTATATAGATATGTGTATATATTGGAATATATATACATATATAATGTAAACGTGTGTGTGTATGCTATTAGATATAATAGCATTATATATAATGCTATATAGATATGTGTAAATATTGGAATATATATACATATATAATGTAAACATGTATATATGTATATATAATGTATACATATGTATATATATTCCAGTATATACACATATCTATATAGCACATATATATGTATATGTGTATATATATTCCAATGGTTTTCCCTTTCTGTTATATATAAAATCATATAATGCTAGAGTTAGAGTTAGAGGGGACATTTCAATTCAGTGATTCCAAAACACTTCTTCAACTATGTCAGGATCCTGTGAATGATTTTCTGAAAATCGGTCTGGGAGCAGGTCATTGAGGACATTAAGATGTATTAAATCTGGAAGAGTTTTCAAGAATTGAACTCTAATACATATTGTTTCCATTCTGCTAAATCAAGCTGCCTTCCCACCTTAATCCATTATGACTTACATTGTTTTAAAGTTTAGATACCAGTTATTTTTAGAAGCAAAATACACATACTTTTTTGTTGAGAAGATAATGTATTGTCATTATCATGCTATCATAGTTTAGTATTTTAAACCTCTGTGTTTAAATTATTTTCACTTCAGTGTCAAAATATGGGAAAAGTTTATTCTGATTAGGGTCTTCTATTTAACTTTGTAGTATGAAGAAGGCCTTGAATGAGTTACTTACTTCTTCCCACGCTCTACAAAAATAAAACCCCACAAGGAATTACTTGATCAATTTTGAATTCTATAAACAACATTCCTATGTACACATTTTAAATACAAGAGCATAAAAATGATAATGTGTTCATTAAGAATGTATTTATTTTTGGCTTAAGTCCTACTTCTTATTACCTTAAAAGCTGATCATGGTTTTCAAATCAGGTTTAGGGAAACACAGTAAAAGAACAAAAATAAATGTATAAATTTTACTCACATCGTATGTCAATCCCCTTAAGCCGGGTTAGAGTTTCTTGAGACAATGTAGCAGAAGCATTTTTTTTTTTTGCTCCCACACTAAGAATGCATTTAATGAAAGAACAGTCTCACTAGCTTTTCCTGACAGGTCCTGTCCTGCCCAACTTGTTCAGTGCTTTCATATCAGGTAATATTTATCCTTCAGGGCACTTATCACAATTGCAGCTGCTCCGCATAATTATGTGCTGTCTTTTCCAAAAGACATTAAACATTAAGAGAATGGAAAACTAATCTTATTTGACCACCACTTATCCTCAGGACCAGTCAAGTGTCAGCATATGGTATGTGCTCAATAAATAGTAATACAATTATTTTTTAAAGCAAGTGCTTGATTCAATCAATTCAATGCACTGGCTCTCCTATATTAGAAAATTTGTATTTGTCTGAAAGAGAGTTATTAGCTAGAGTTCAGGTAAATTATTGTATATCCTGTATGTTTTTACTTCCTATAGACATTTCTAATGAATAAAAGCCAGTATTTAAACTTATCTTTAAATCACAAAGTCTTGGCCTTCTTGTTTATTTATTTTTAAAACCAGTGCATATCTGAGATCTTTTACCATGTTGTTGGTGATAATTATAAAGTAGAACTGGAGTAAAGACAAGGGTCATAATGATTTGGGATAAAAAGCATACCACATCATGTATTGAATAAACAGAGCAATTAAACTGATAGATAAATAGACAGTTCAGTAACATTTATATGCATTGTAACGAACCCAAACTTGTCCTCTCTGCTGATTGTCTCATTTGTCATTTTTGAAATAAAAAATGTAAATTTTGAAGCTTGTAATTAGCCATTAAACTTGAATAATTAAATCTTCTACTATAACGGAGTTTTTCTATGGAGACAGGGTAATGACATTGCTCCATGATTAAAGATTAGAGTTTAATCTAACTTAAGACATTTGTCATTCCTTTTTGAGGCTACTGAATATAGCAAGTTTCATTCACTTAATTATATTCACATCTGCAGCAAGAGATAAGTTTCAGAGAATATTTATGCATGCATATACAGAGAGATACATATACACATGTCCATACACACGTCTATTAAACATGTATTTTCGAAGAGTAAAAACTGTCAATTTACTAAACTCAGTTATATGGTAGATGACAAAGCGACACTTCCAAAGTTCTACTGCTAAAAGGCTAATTATACTTCTTGATGAATTTTTATCCCTCTATGGTGAAAACAATCATCATGGTCCGTATCAGTGTCCCTTTGTGCTCAGCAAGGTTCTGTTTCATATTCGTTAACTCATAATCTCACAGCTTGTGAAGTAGGTGTTATCATTATCTCTACTTAACAGCCTGAAGAAAGGCAGGAGTGAAGAGGTGAAGTAATTTATCCAAGATCACAAAATAAGAAAGCAGTGAAGCCAAGATTCGAATCCAGGCAGGTGGCTCCAAGTCCATTACTCTTTTCTACCAGATCACTGAACATGACTCTGCCATATCCCGCCTTACCAAATGACCTCTTCTTACTGCTTTCCCAAGGCACTTAGTGCCTCTCTCAGATTACTTATCATAACCTTCCCGGTCATCATGGCTACTAGATTGCAATTTTCTGGGAATAAGAAACTTCTACATTTTAATGTCTAAAATATTTTATACATTTAAAAGTAACTGAAATATACAGGTAATAAGGTGTTAAACATCCACACCCCTACCACATTTGTCAATTTTAGTGCTGAGGTGTTTAATAACATAAATTCAATACTACAGAGAAATGAAGTTCTTTATTTTCAACTTTTCCCAGGTTCATTCTCTGGCTTTTCTTCTTCCCTAGAAACAAACACTATTCTGAATTTCATCTCAATTTTTCCAATCTATTTTTAAAAGTTTTCACACAACATACACACATATATATGCTTTATGTGTGTGTGTACGTGTATACACACACTTTGACTTAGCATTATGCGTATGATATTTATCTCTTTCTTTAGTGTGAAACATTTGTTCTGTCAGTAGCATTTCATTGTATGAATGTATTGCAATTTATTGATCCATTCTATTGCTGGTTATATTTGGATTATTTCCAGTTTTCTACTATTGATGGGAATGTAAATTGGCATAATCGCTTTGAAAACTGCTGGGCTGTAATATAATCTGCTAAACTAATCTACTAAAGCAAAACACATTATACTGTCTAAACCAGGAATTTCACTTTCAGGCGAACACCCAACGTACATGTGTATACATGAGTACCAAAAGTATGTGCACAAGAATGTTCAATAGCACATTATTTATAATAGCTAACATTATATATTTTTTCAGTTCTAGGCTGTTGATAGATGGATACAGTTCTTTCATTTTAACTGCTTTAGATATTTTCATTGTGTGACTATTAAGATTTTCTTGTTACTATAAACAGTATTGCAATGTCTCATGATACACTTGTACAGAATTTCTCTAAGGTATACATATACCCAGAAGCTAAATGTCTTGATGTTTTTAAATTAGCACAGTTGAAATAGTCTTGAATATTCACAAATCACTGTGAGAAACAGTTTATCCTGATTTGTTTTTATCAGACACTGTCAGAATTCTTGCATTCTACATGTTTAATAACATTGGGAATTGTCAGGATTGCTTTTGTAAGTATAATATATTCTGTGAGTGAAATTTACTGTTCTTGCTTTAACTTGTGTTTTCCTAATTTAGTAAAGTTGGGTAGCTGAATATATATACTATTTTTGGTGAGGGAAGGGGCATGTGGTGTATCTCTGTTAGGAATCACTTAACACATATCTCAATTGGATTACTGTTTTCTTTTGGATGTGAAAAAGTTCTTCATGTATTTTGTATGTACATTCTGCCTATTATACATATAAACATATTTTCTAAGACTGTTTTGCCTTTATACTTTGTTTATGGAGTCTTTTTACAAGATAGAAAAATTTTGTTCTAATGATGTCACAGATGTCACATATTTTAATTATTTTTTTCTTTCATGTGATTTGTTTGGTATCATCAATAAATATCCCTTGCTATCCCAGTATCATGAAAAACTTCTCCTGTATTATTTCTCATAGTTTTAAAATCTTGTTTTCCAATTTAAGTGTTTAACCTATTTGAATTTTATTTTCCAAGTATAGGGATTTTTTTTTGTATAATTCAGAATGTCACTTGTTCCAACAACATTTATCAAACATTCCATTTTATCTGATTTGATATAGATAGTAATCTTGGCTATATGCCAAGATAATACACACAATGTATTTTCCTCTTTTTCTAGAAAATGAAAAACCCCTATGAGAGGTTTTGCTGTGAAATGGAGCAAAGGAATGAGGAAATACCTGGACTGAAGTATAGAGCCAAGCCATGCCTATTCTAGCTCCAAAAAAAAATCTTGACTATTATAACTTCTCCATGGCCACAATGCCAAGACACTCTAGAAAGCATGTACACAAATTGAAGGCATGTTTCCATTGTCCAACATATCATCTTCTACATGAACAACTAGCTACCTCACTTGCTTGTCTTCCATTTTGCATTTTGACTTGCTTTCTCATCTTCACTCCCACATTCTATTACATTACAGTTTTAATATTTATCATATAATAATAAGATAAACATAATGTTAGATTCAAGGCTGGTTGGTCCAGCTGCTAATGAATGCATCAAGGATCCAGTTTATTTAATGTTGCTCTGAAATCCACCGAGTGTCATTTTTAAGGCTGATTCTCTTTGTGGTCATAAGGTGGCTGCCTGTTTTGGTCAGGTATGCTCCAATAAAAGAAGAAGCAAATTTATTCTTTGCTTAGTAGGCAGAAGAGTTTTCATTCACTTAAACTAGTGATGTTAAGCAGGATGATTGTGCTCTTAACCAACAGGGAGCATTTGGAAGTCGTTGGGAACATTTTGTTTGTTATATCTGAGGAAGGTCTTAATGACATTTGGTGTATAGAGGCCAGGGGTCCTTCTAAAAATCTTAAAATGTGAAGGCTATCTCCCTATAACAAAGAATTATCCGATTCAAAATATCACTAGGTTATACAAATCACATCAGTCTCTCTATAGAGAGTGATGATGTTTTCCCATTGTTCATCAAAGTAAGTTATTCATGCAATGCAATGCAAGCCACTGCATGATCTAGTCTCTATTGACCTCTCCACTTCATCCTTTGTCACTCTCTACTTTGCTCAGTATTTCAGACACAAAGCCCTTTACAATTTTCTCCTCAGGGACATCTCCTCTAATTACCCTATCTACTGCCACCATTTTCCTATGCTTTGGTGCCTTGTTTGTTTCCTCAATAGCAAATCACAATTTGTGACTGTATACTTATGTGTTTGTGACTCATTAATTTTTCCTCCTCTACATCTAATTATATTTAAAAATTCTGAAGTATGACTGTTTTCTTGGCCTCATAACAACTTTATTGTAACTAAAACATAGTAGATCCATGATAATCTTCTTTTGATATATGCATGTATATAAGAACACATAAACATACCTCCACATGCTATTTAAATATGCATACATAGGCAAATAATTTTGTAAATATATAAATAACATTTCTGAATAGTGAGATTGCTAGCAACATTTTTTTAACTTTTTGCTTATAGGTATTTTCTAATTTTTCTACTACAACCGTGTTATTTTTGTACTGAGAAAAAATAAATGTGAAAAAAAGAACAATTTCTCAAATTATTTTGGCCTAAAGTCTTAAAATAAATATAGTGCATAGTAACTTTACAGATTCAAGAAGCTTTAAAATATCCTCTAATATCTTGCTGGAATTGGTCCCATGAAACTATCTGAAATAGCAGATTATGGAAACATTTGTGGTTGTTTAGTACTCAATGGGAATACTTTCTCTTTTGGCAATGAGCAGATTGCTGTTTTGTTGTTGTTGTTTACATGTACTTTTCATGAAATTATACATAAGTACATATAAGTACATGTTTTCTCACAATAACACGCTTTATCTTTTAAAATCACAAAAAGAATGTATTTTTATTATATACATAATTTAATTATGTTATTAAAAATGACTGACACTTTGGTATCAGTTTAAACCAGATTTTAGAAAATTCAATGATTGCTTTTCTAAAGTAAACAGTGTTAGCATAAATCATCATTGGGAACAATTTTATATGTTCACTGAAGTGACACTTACTTTTTAAAAAATACAATTTACAAAGTAAAGCAAAGAAAACTGTATGGAGCACAGTGTTAAGAACTAGAGGGACAAAAAGAGGAAAAGTTCCAATGTTTGGAATAGTAAAGGGACTTCTACAGAGCTATACACACTTGATCTGGGACTTACTGAATCAGGGGTACAGGGTAGGATGAGAGTAGCTCAAACATTGTGAAGGAGGTAATGGTATTGAAAGCAAACATAGTCTATTTAGAAGCTTGTATTAAAGTAATTATAACCTGGAGTCCCATCGTGACTTATACAAGCTCTTGGATACAGATGTGTTTCAGAATTCAGATCTTTTTTATATTTCAGAAACACAGTAAGGCACACATACTCTATAACACTCAATGGGATCTGATAATGTACCCTGTAATCAAATGAATTAATTTTTCCAATAAAATAAATAAATATTTACACTATGTGGAATAAATATAGACTAGATACACTCTAAAGTCAGTCCAAGTCAGGCTTTGCTGTCAGATGTGTTCAGGTCAGGTCAGGGTTTGTTATAAAAGAAACTACACAGAAACATTCAAATTTGTAGCTTTGGAATTGTAGAGAAGGTGTTGTCAGCCTTATGTAACATTTATTGATAAATTATTATGTGCTATGCAAGTGCCTTACATGTTTTAACAACGGACGAGTAACAAGACCACTAAGTCAATACAGCTAGAAGGTCACATAGCTAGAAAGTGATGGGGCAGGGATTTGAATTGAGGCAATTTTTGATATATTACCTCTCTTACAATATACTCTAGCAACTTATCTATAGCTGCATGAAGGATTGAATGAAGGACAGGTTGGAAATGAGGCCAAAGAGATAGGATGCAGAAAAACTTTAAGAGTGAGGAGAGGGACACAGTAGAAATTAAATATCCAATGGTTATCCTCAATGAGGTTTTTCTAATCTATGGATTATCAGTTATTTTCAAACTATTTTCATTTTTGATGTGCAATGCAAATATTTCTTGGAAGATATAGCTGCAGAACAAATAAGCAAGCAAGCAAGCAGTATTTGACTGTTAATCCTTATTATTCTTAAATGAATTTCACTTAACGATTCTTAAATCCTAATCTTTCCACACCCAAAGCAAGCAGTTTAAATCACCTTCATGAAACTAAACCTTCCCAGTGTCCAAAAACAGCTTTTGAAAACGTAAAATGCCCTTGAACAACCAGTGTACTTTTGCCAAGAATATAAGGCAACCTTGGAGGCTCAAGGCGCTGGTGCTCCCGCTTGGTTATTTTTCCACACTTGAAAAGCCATCTCAAGCTTCTGGGAGTTGGAAGCTGCTTCTTATTCTACACTGCTTGTAAGGAGATGCAAAAACAATCGATGCTTGCTTCTGGAAAGCTGTTTACTAGCTTCTTCCATAATTCAGGGTGGCAGGCTATCTGACTCCTCAGGCTAAGATGTGGTATAATGGAAAGATGCAGGACCCAGAAAGAGAGGAAGCCTGATTTCTAACCCCAGGAAAGTCCTTACAGAGTGAGAAGACTAAGCTCTCATTTCTCTTCTCTCACCACAAGGTCCTCAGCTTTTGAGTGAGAGACTTGTCTAGCAGTATGTTTTGGGTTTTTTGTTTGTAGTGTTTATTATAATCATTTGATCATAGTATCTGCTATATTGTAAACATTATAAATATAGAAAATGTAGAAAATCCAGGTTTTGTTATTGTCAGGAATATAATATTTTTCGTCCATTCACATAACAAATATTTCTTGAGTAGCTACTTTTAGGCAATGCTAGATATTATAAAAAAAAAAACAGATAAAAATGTACAGAGTTTCTTTCCTTGTGGAAATCTAACCTAGTGAGAGCCATAGATGATTAAATAGATAATGACAATAGAGGGTAATCTGTACTGTGATGACTCCTGTGGGAGTGAGGAGGAGGCACCTAACTCCAAATCAGAGCACGATTTTTTTTTAACAGAGTGAAAAAAACATTATTTAAAACCCAAAGTGCCTTTGTTCTCCACTGTCTTCTAGTTGAAGCAGAGTAGTTAAGTAGTGGGAAGTTAAATCACTTTAGTATATGATTCTCATCTATCTTGCAACAGAGATTGATAAATAAAAAATAAAAGAAAAAGAAAGCTTTGAATAGGTCTCCTGTGCTAGCAAAGACTCATGTCTGGAGTGGATGGTCCTTTATTTTAGCAGGCAAGAGTGAACTGGGTAGCAGGAGCTAATGTTCTGCATAATAATGTGAAAAGAATTGAAATGCAGAAATTTTGCAGAGGAAAGATTCCTGCACAGCTTGGCAGAAAATGAGCACCGTCTTTTTAAAGAAAGATGGTTAAGTCTTAAAGCCTCATATTTTAGTAACTTTAAAGCTTATCTTTTACTTCAATACTTAATGAAGGCTGCTACATATTCAAAGATAAATATTAATGAAGTCATCTTGGGGTGCTATGATCTTAACATGTCCCCCAAAATTCATGTGTTGGAAACTTAATCACCAATGCCAACGGTGTTGGGAGGTGGTGGGGACTTTCAAGAGATGTTTAGGTCATGAGAGCTCTGCCTTCATTAATAGAGTAATATCAATGTAAAAAAATGGCTTTCAGGAGGGAGTTTTCTCACTCCTCTGCTCCTCTGCCATGTACGGGCATAGCATTTATCCTCTTTTCCCTTTCTGCCTTCTGCCATGTAAGGACACAGCAAGCATGCCCTCACTAGATGGTAGAGCCTTGGCCCTGGACTTCTTAGGTTCCAGAACTGTAAGAAATAAATTTCTGTTGCCTATAAATTACCCAGTCTCAGGTACTCTGTTATAGTAGCACAAGACAAACTAAGACATAGGGGAAATCAAAGAAAAGGAATAGGCATAGAAATTTATGGTGGCCAGGGGAGAGAAGGTGAGAAACAGCAGTAAGAGTTGAAAAATGACTGAAGTCATGGGTTCGGCGAGGGTAGTGGTTCCGGGTCAGAAGGCATCTGGTATATTTAAGTGCCTAGTACATCACAGAACTCTTGATTAGGTCACTGGACTTCCTTTAGAGTGTGGGATAAGAACTTGAACAAATATAATTTAAATCTTTCAGAGAATAGGCAGCCCAACTAGTGTCAGGGTTACAGTATTATAGGGTTACAGTATTATAGAGAAATATGAACACAGAAAACTTGACAGTCAGACATAAGGTCCCAGGGGAGACTGGATTCTGCCTAACGTCAATCTTCCTTTTCTCTATCTCAAAATGATTCACAGAATAGAAGAAAATGACTGTGTTCACAGAAAAAACAAATCAAAGGAATAATTACTTTTTTATCTTCCGTAAAATTCTAAGTATCAGATTCTTAAGCTGACTTAATGTATATTATGTATTGTTTTATATTACATTTGTTTTCTTTCAGTTTATATTCTAGAACTCTTTTTTTTTCCTCATAAGGTAAGCAAGATCATATAAATTAAGTCATCTGTTGGCATAGGCTAAACCAAGATGACTTGGTGCTGAAGTCACCTTATGCTGAGGCCCTAGGTTGAGGCTAAGGTACTTGTACTTTCCTCTACATCATGTTCCTTATGGGAATGTAAATCAAGGAGGACAGGCACAATGTCTATATTGCTTCCCAGCTATGAGTATTCTCAATTCTCAGCACAGTGTCTGTCACATAGTAGAATACTTTTGTTCATGTCTGTATAAAAGTAAGACAGACATTTATGTAATGATTATGAACTCTCACACATGTACTTGTGGTTATGGTTTTACTATGAGTATGCCCTCTATTTGAGATTTTTTTCTCTTATAATGATGAAGTTGCATTAATATGTTTAATATATATTCGTTATCACACAGATTTACTAATATATTGTGAAGGAGTGAGGCTGAGGTGCTAGGGTCACCTAAGATCAGGAATTTGAACAAAGCTAACTGGCCTTGCTGATAACAGGAACCAATAAGCTTTTTTTTTTTTTTTTGAGCAAGTGATCTTAGCAGCAATACAATGAAGTATTTTGAACTATGTAGCAAGATAAGTAATAAATACTGAAATGCGATGACTAATGAGTTTCAGAATTACAGTTCAGCAGTTATCAAGTTTTTTATAATGATTCTACTATGCTTTATGCCCCCAGTTGACACTGCATATAAAAGTACGTGTTAAGACTGAAACTGTCAGTATCTTCACACCTAGTTGTCCAAAAAATTTTTACTGGTTAATATATACCTTAAAATTAAGAGTGTAAACTGTGAGGGGGCTAATGTTGCTAGTTTTATCTTAAATAATCTAAAAATCCTGATGATAGATTTTAATTTTCATTTTTAAAGACATGTTTTTTCCTCAAGGTCTAAATGGGTATTTACATAATTTACAAATATAAATTATTAAATCATTGCTGGTTATGGATGTTCAGCCAAACATCAATGCATTGCTTTTTGACTTTTTGCAGCAGAACATCTCCACGTGAGTCTTTTCACCTCTTTTTTCCCAGCACGTTGGGGTTATAAAGCACCACAGCACCAAATAAGGCCATAATGGAAAAGCATTTTGACAGTTTAAAATGTGTTTTGACAGATCAGGTATTGCTTTTGAAGTGAACTTGAGAAACTTATGAATTTTTTATGGTTCACTGCATGCAACATGGTCTGACTACCAAAGATAAACATACTTGTAGAAAAAACACTAGGTGGATGGAAGGGAAACAAAAAATAAAATGCATAGATATTTATAATCAGTTCAGAACACTTTAAGTTACTCCCGGTGTCATTGCAGCAGGGCAGATACTTGATAAAAATATATAAGAAATGCAGAATCACCTGGATAATAAAACTGTAAATAATCTAATATGGCTTTCAAATTAGCACCAACCATATTATATAGCCTACATCAATTAAATGGATATAAATGTTGCCAGGCATCTCATCTGCTTTAATATTTGATATTGTATGAATATAGCTGTGTACTTATGAATCAAAGTGAATAAATAAATGTAGATAAAATTAAGAAATTGCAATCGATGTGACTAGCAAACCTGATGTTTCTAAAGCTGACTACCTGATTATTCTTATTTCTCTGACTCCCATACTTCTGCATCTGTTGGTGTTTCTTGGTGAGTGGCTAGTGCACACGATGCACATACCTGTTTTTTCAATTGCTCCATCTCTTCTCTGTTTCCAGACCTATCCCCCACAGCAACACATCTTCCTCAGTAGATTCCCAACTATTTTCAGTCAAGACTTGTTTTAACCAATACATAGGGAGAACAGAGAAGTGGGTTTGAGATTTTGATTTAACAGAACTATCTGAGACTTTTAGGATAAATGGTTGTTTTCAAAAATGCCATGGAGGAAAATAAACAAACAAAAATGTTATCTTCTATTTTTATAACTCTCCCAACCTACCTGTACTTTTTTTTAGAATGATAAATTTTCCTAATTGGACAGATTTTCTTTGAGAGCAAAATCCTGTTTCATTCCATTTTGCATCTCATTGCTTAATGAAGAGCCTGCCTCAGAGTAGGAGCTCCCTCCATAAATGTTAAATGAATGATGGGTGGGGAAATGAATGGATGGATGGATGGATGAGTGGATCCATGTATGGAAAGGGGGCTTCAGAAGCATTAAGAGACTGCCTGAGTGTCCACAAAGCAATGTGAAGCTGATCTGAATGTTTTCTTTTGCCTTATTTGCTCTTAGCTAAACAATTGCATTCCTTCTTCTTTTCTTGTCATGTATTAACAAACACAATCTAGCAACACTAGAGCAAAAACAAAAATTTCATTGCTGTTTTAGTTACCCATTGCTATATAACACACCACTTTAAAAGTTAGTGGCTTACAACAATTTATTACTATTTCTTACAGATATTTGGGTTGGCTTTGGGTCAGGCTCAACTGTGATCTTCCTTGGGATCTCTCCTGCAGTTACAGTCAGAAAAATGGTGGTTGGGATTTGAGTAATCTGAAGCCTTGGCTTCACCTGGATATTCAAGACAGTTTCACACAGCTGGCAGTGAACTGGAGCACTTACATAGGGATTCTCCATGAGGTTTACGTGTCTGACTGCACCACAACTGGGGTTTGAAAAAAGGAAAGAAAGAAAAGAATCAGCTGTCACACTTGTTAAGGACTGTGCCTGGAATTGGATCCAGGGTTCATGCATTTTCAAGGAAGTAAAGACATACGCTTCATACATCGCTGTGTGCTGCCTCCTATTGGAGCACGTATGATTAGTATGTCCTTTCACCTACCAGTAGTCCACCTAAGACTGTAAACTGCTCCTCCCTGTTGATTGCTTAGCTCCTATTAGAGTGTCAGGTAGGTAATAGATAATCAGTAAATAATTCATTAAATTAAAAATACTTATTAGAAAAATGATATGCAGCAGAAAATATACTAGATGTGGGAATAGTCTGATAGTTCCCCTATTTCTCTTGTATTTCTTGGAGGGTAGCTAAAAGGCATGATGAAAAAGAGGGAAAAAGCCTCTTTTGTTGGCACGTACAGTCCAATATAGCAAATGGAAAATAACAGCACACAAATAAATACCGAATTTGGAATTGCTAAAGATGAAAATCTGTAGGACCAGCTATATAGAGAATAATGGAGGAGGGCCTTATTTCAGATAGTGTTGTCAGAAAAGGCTTTTCTGGGCAGGAGATCTTTAAGCTGAGAGATGAAACAGGAGATGTTAGCCATGTGAAAAACTGGAAGCATATGCATCCATTTCAAAGTAAATGGAAAGAAGCCAAGGCAAGATGGATGGTTCCAAGAAATGCAAGAAGTCAGTGTGGCTGGAAAAAGTTTATTAGAAACAGGAAATGAAAGGGTAGCCAGACCATGGTCAGATTGTGTCATGCTTTGTAGGATGAAGAGAAATATGAATTTTATTCTAAATTCAATCAGAAGCCAATTAAAAACTTGTAAGTGGGAATAATTTATGCTTTTAAAGTGTCATTCTGGCTGTTTTGTGGAGAATGGTTTTGAAAAGGCAAGAGAGGAAGTAATGAGAAGAGTTACAACACTTTTATGATTGCCCATGGGAGAGATGACAGTGATTTGGAGGGAGTGAAAGTAGATACATATTTTTGAGGTAGAATAAATAGGACTTGAGAATGAATTAGGGAGGAGTAAGATAATTCCTCAGCTTTTGCCTGGAGCACTAAGATAGACATAGTGCCTTTCACTAAGGTAGGACACACTGAGGGAGAAATACATAGGAGAATAGCAAGGGTTCCTTTTCGATGTACCAAATTTGAGGTATTTATGTGATAGCCAAGAGATATCCAGTAATCACTTGGACATACAAACCTGGAATTTGTGAAAGAGGAAACACAAGGAGTCCACAGCATATGCATAATATTTGAATCTTATCCATATGCATTGATGAGATTCCCTGGGGACCAAGATTCTAGATGAAAAGAAAGGAAGGCTTAGGGCTAAGCTTTGAGGCAAAGAGGATTTAGAAGTTAAGACAAAGAGAAGCCAAAACAAACAAACACAACTGAGAAGGAGCAATCAGAAACTTAACAGCGAATCAGAATAGTGTGGTGCTCTAGATGCTGTGAATGGGAGAGCTTCAAGAAGGAATATGCTTTTATTTGGTCAAGAGTTGGGGAGAGAGTTTCTGGGAGATGCAGACACAGACGTATATACAATTTTGGTGAAATAGAGGTGTCTTTGACAGTAGATGCAATAATGCATTGGAAAATAACAGAGTGCAGGTGGGAAAGGGATAATAGGAGTAGAGAAGGGATGAAGTGAACACCTATATATAAACATCCTTTTTGTTATTGCTGTCTTCACTTTTCTTCCAAAGATTTGTTTTTACTTGTTGACGTCATTTATTGTAATTTCATACAAGATCCAAAGAAAATTATGTTTTAAAATGCTGTAAGATAACTTCAATATTTCAATGAAAAACGGATTCCAAACAGTTATATTGTTTTAAAATCAGAAAGAATCATGTGGTTTAACAACTTTTTATTTTTTTCTTTATTATACTTTAAGTTCTGAGGTACGTGTGCAGAACGTGCAGTTTTGCTACACAGGCATACACGTGACATGGCTGGCTACACCCATCAACCCATTACCTACATTAGGTATTTCTCCTACTGTTATCCCTCCCGTAGCCCTACACCCCCCAACAAGTCCCGGTGTGTGATGTTCCCCTTCCTATGTCCATGTGTTCTCATATTTCAGCTCACACTTATGAGTGAGAACATGCAGTGTTTGGTTTTCTGTTCTTGTGATAGTTTGCTGAGAATGATGGTTTCCAGATTCATTCATGACATGAACTCATGCAAAGGACATGAACTCATCCTTTTTATGGCTGCATAGTATTCCACGGTGTATATGTGCCACATTTTCTTTATCCAGTCTATTACTGATGGACATTTGGATTGGTACCAAGTCTCTGCTATTGCGAATAGTAACACAATAAACATATGTGTGCATGTGTCTTTATAGTAGAATGATTTATAATACTTCGGGTATATACCCAGTAATGGGATGGCTGGGTCAAATGGTATTTCTAGTTCTAGATCCTTGAGGAATTGCCACACTGTCTTCCACAATGGTTGAGCTAATTTACACTCCCGCCAAAAGTGTAAAAGCTTCCCTATTTCTCCACATCCTCTCTAGCATCTGTTGTTTCCTGACTTTTTAATGATCGCCATTCTAACTGGCATGAGATGGTATCTCATAGTGGTTTTGATATGCATTTCTCTGATGACCAGTAATAATAAGCATTTTTTCATGTGTCTGTTGGCTGCATAAATATCTTCTTTTGAGAAGTGTCTGTTCATATCCTTTGCCCACTTTTTGATGGGGTTGTTTGTTTTTTTCTTGAAAATTTGTTTAAGTTCTTTGTAGATTCTGGATATTAGCCTTTTGCCAGATGGGTAGATTGCAAAAAATTTCTCCCATTCTGTAGGTTGCCTGTTCACTCTGATGATAGTTTATTTTGCTGTGCAGAAGCTCTTTAGTTTAATTAGATCCCATTTGTCAATTTTGACTTTTGTTGCCATTGCTTTTGGTGTTTTAGACCTGAAGTCCTTGCCCGTGCCTATGTCCTGAATGGTATTGCCCAGGTTTTCTTCTAGGATTTCTATGGTCCTGGGTCTTAGATTTAAGTCTTTGATCCATCTTGAGTTGATTTCTGTATAAGGTGTAAGGAAGGGGTCCAGTTTCAGTTTTCTGCATATGGCTAGCCAGTTTTCCCAACAACATTTATTAAATAGGGAATCTTTTCCCCATTGCTTGTTTGTGTTAAGTTTGTCAAAGATCAGATGGCTGTAGAAGTGTGGTATTATTTCTGAGGCCTCTGTTCTGTTCCATTCGTCTATGTATCAGTTTTGGTACCAGTACCATGCTGTTTTGGTTACTGTAGCCTTATAGTATAGTTTGAAGTCACATAGTGTTATGCCTCCAGCTTTGTTCCTCTTGCCCAGGATTGTCTTGGCTATTCAGGCTGTTTTTTGGTTCCATATGAAGTTTAAAGTAGTTTTTTTCCAATTCTGTGAAGAAAGCCATTGGTAGCTTGATGGGGATAGCATTGAATCTATAAATTACTTTGAGCAGTATGGCCATTTTCACGATATTGATGCTTCCTATACATGAGCATGGAATGTTTTTCCATTTGTTTGTGTCTTATTTCCTTGAGCAGCAGTTTGTAGTTCTCTTTGAAGAGGTCCTTCACATCCCTTGTAAGTTGCATTCCTAGGTATTTTATTCTCTTTGTAGCAATTGTGAATGTGAGTTCACTCATGATTTAGCTCTTTGTCTGTCTATTATTGGTGTATAGAAATGCAATTTTTTCACATTGATTTTGTATCCTGAGACTCTGCTGAAGTTGCTTATCAGTGCAAGGAGATTTTGGGCTGAGACGATGGGGTTTGCTAAATATACAATCATGTCATCTGCACACAGAGACAATTTGACTTCCTCTCTTCCTATTTGAATACCTCTATTTCTTTCTCTTGACTGATTGCCCTGGCCAGAACTTCCAATACTATGTTGAACAGGAGTGGTGAAAGAGGGCATCCTTGTCTTGTGCTGGTTTTCAAAGGGAATGCTTCCACTTTTTGCCCATGCAATATGATATTGGCTGTGGGTTTTTCATAAATAGCTCTTATTATTTTGATATATGTTCCATTGATACCTAGTTTATTGAGAGTTTTTAGCACGAAGGGGTATTGAATTTTGTTGAAGGCCTTTTCTGCATCTATTGAGATAATCATGTGGTTTTTGTCATTGGTTCTGATTATGTGATGGATTACGTTTATTGATTTGCGTATGTTGAACCAGCCTTGCATCCCAGGGATGAAGCCAACTTGATCGTGATGGATAAGCTTTTTGATGTGCTGCTGGATTCGGTTTGCCAGTATTTTATTCAGGATGTTTGCATCGATGTTCATCAGGGATATTGGCCGGAAATTTTCTTTTTTTGTTGTGTCTCTGCTAGGTTTGGTATCGGGATGATGTTGGCCTCATAAAATGAGTTAGGAAGGATTCCATCTTCTTCTATTGTTTGCAATAGTTTCAGAAGGAATAGTACCAGCTCCTCTTTGTACCTCTGGTAGAATTCGCCTGTGAATCCGTCTGGTCCTGGACTTTTTTCGGTTGGTAGGCTATTAATTGCTGCCTCAGTTTCAGAACTTGTTATTGGTTTATTCAGGGATTTGACTTCTTCCTGGTTTAGACTTGGGAGGGTGTATGTGTCCAGGAATTTATCCATTTCTTCTAGATTTTCTAGTTTATTTACATAGGGGTGTCTATAGTATTCTCTGATGGTAGTTCATATTTCTGTGGGATCAGTGGTGATATCCCCTATATCATTTTTTTATGTCTATTTGATTCTTCTTTCTTTTCTTCTTTATTCGTCTGGCTAGTGGTCTATCTGTTTTGTTGATCTTTTCAAAACACCAGCTCCTGGATTCATTGATTTTTTGAAGGGTTTTTCGTGTCTTTATCTCCTTCAGTTCTGCTCTGATATTAGTTATTTCTGGTGTTTTGCTAGATTTTGAATTTGTTTGCTGTTGCTTCTCTAGCTCAATTTTGATGTTAGGGTGTCAATTTTAGATCCTTCCTGCTTTCTCTTGTGGGCATTTAGTGCTATAAATTTCCCTCTACATACTGCTTTAAATGTGTCCCAGAGATTCTGGTACATTGTGTCTTTGTTCTTATTGGTTTCAAAGAACATCTTTATTTCTGCTTTCATTTCATTGTTTACCTAGTAGTCATTCAGGAGCAGGTTGTTCAGTTTACATATCATTGTGCAGCTTTGAGTGAGTTTCTTAATCCTGAGTTCTAATTTGATTGCACTGTGGTGTGAGAGACTTTTTGTTATGATTTCTGTTCTTTTACATTTGCTGAGGACTGTTTCACTTCCAATTATGTTGTTGATTTTAGAATAAGTGCAATGAGGTGCTGAGAAGACTGTATATTCTGTTGATTTGGGGTGGAGAGTCCTATAGAAGTCTATTAGGTCAGCTTGGTCCAGAGCTGACTTCAAGTACTGAATATCCTTGTTAATTTTCTGTCTGTTTGATCTGTCTAATATTGACAATGGGGTGTTAAAGTCTCCCACTATTATTGTGTGGGAGTCTAGGTCTCTTTGTAGGTCTCTAAGAACTTGCTTTATGAATCTGCATGCTCCTGTATTGGATGCATATGTATTTATGACAGTTAGCTCTTTTTGTTGCATTGATCCCTTTACCATTATATAATGCCCTTCTTTGCTTTGCCTCTTTTGATCTTTGTTGGTTTGAAGTCTGTTTTATCAGAGATTAGGATTGCAGCTCCTGCTTTTTATGCTTTCCATTTTCTTGGTAAATATTCCTCCATCCCTTTATTTTGAGCCTATGTGTGTCTTTGCACGTGAGATGTGTCTCCTGAATACAGCATGCTACTGAGTTTTTACTCTTTATCCAATTTGCCAGTCTGTGTCTTTTAATTGAGGCATTTAGTCCTTTTACATTTAAGGTTAATATTGTTATGTGTGAATTTGTTCCTGTCATTATGATGCTAGCTGGTTGTTTTGCCCATTAGTTGATGCAGTTTCTTCACAGTGTTGATGTTCTTTACAATTTGGTATGTTTTTGCAGTGGCTAGTACTGGTTGTTCCTTTCTGTGTTTAGTGCTTCCTTCAGGAGCTCTTGTAAGGCAGGCCTGGTGGTGACAAAATCTCTCAGCATTTGCTTGTCTGCAAAGGATTTTATTTCTCCTTCACTAATGAAGCCTAGTTTGGCTGGATATGAAATTCTGGTTTGAAAATTCTTTTCTTTAAGAATGTTAAATATTGGCCCCCACTCTCTTCTGGCTTGCAGGGTTTCTGCAGAGAGATCTGCTGTTAGTCTGATGGGCTTCCCTTTGAACCTTTTTTCAAGGTTCTTAACTTCCTTACATTGGGTTAGAACATGCTCCTTTAGCTCAGAGGAGTTTGTTATTGCCCACCTTCTGAAGCCTACTTCTGTCAATTCGTCAAACTCATTCTCTGTCCAGTTTTGTTCCCTTTCTGGTGAGGAGTTGTGGTCCTTTGGAGGAGAAGAGGCAATCTGGTTTTTGGAATTTTCAGCCTTTTTGTGCTGGTTTCTCGCCATCTTTGTGGAAGTATCTACTTTTGGTCTTTGATATTGGTGACCTTCGGATGGGGTCTTTGAGTGGATGTGCTATTCCTTTCTGTTTGTTAGTTTTCCTTCTGACAGCCCCCTCTGCTGAAGGTCTGCTGGAATGTGCTGTAGGTCCACTCCTGACCCTGTTTGCCTGGGTATCACCAGCAGAGGCTGCAGAACAGCAAAGATTGCTGCCTGATCTTTCCTCTGGAAGCTTCGTCCCAGAGGGGCACCTGCCAGATGCCAGCCAGAGCTCTCCTGTATGAGATGTCTGTCGGCCCCTACTGGGAGATGTCTCCCAGTCAGGATACACGGGGGTCAGGGACCCACTTGAGCAAGCAGTCTGAACTTTAGCAGAGCTCATACGCTGTGCTGGGAGGTCCACTGCTCTCTTCAGAGCTGTCAGGCAGGGATGTTTAAGTCTGCTGAAGCTGTGCCCACAGCGGCCCCTTTACCCAGGTGCTCTGCCCCAGGGAGATGGAGGTTTTATCTATAAGTTCCTGACTGGGGCTGCTGCCTTTTTTTCAGAGATGACCTACCCATAGAAGAGAAATCTGGCAGTCTGGCCACAGCAGCTTTGCTGACCTGCAGTGGGATCCGACCAGTTGGAACTTCCCAGCGGCTTTGTTTACACTGTGAGCTGTGGAGCATAAAACTGCCTACTCAAGCCTCAGCAATGGTGGACGCCCCTCCCCACACCAAGCTCAAATGTCCTGGGTAGATCTCAGACTGCTGCTGTGCTGGCAGTGAGAATTTCAAGCCAGTGGATCTTAGTTTCCTGGGCTCCGTGGGGTTGGGACCTGCCAAGCCAGACCACTTGGCTCCCTGGCTTCAGCACCCCTTTGCAGGGGAGTGAACGGTTCTGTCTCACTGGCGATCCAGGTGCCACTAGGGTATGGAAAAAAAGAACTCCAGCAGCTAGTTCACTCACTGCCCAAATGGCCGCCCAGTTTTATGCTTGAAACCCAGGGTCCTGGTGGGGTAGGCACTGGAGGGAATCTCCTGGTTTGTGAGTTGTGAAGACCATGGGATAAGCGCAGTATCTGTGCTGGAGTTCCTCAGGCTCAGTCCCTCATGGCTTCCCTTGGGTAGGGGAGAAAAATCTCCCGATCCCTTGCGCTTCCCAGGAGAGGCGATGCTCCGCCCTGCTTCAGCTCACCCTCGGTGGGCTTCACCCACTGTCCTACCAGTCCCAGTGAGATGAACCGGGTACCTCAGTTGGTAATGCAGAAATCACCCACCTTCTGCATCGATCTCACTGGGAGCTGCAGACCGGAGCTGTCCCTGTTTGGCCATCTTGCCACAGGATCATCAAAGATTTTATATGCATACACATACATAAATGTAAAATCTATTTTATCTTCTTTTACACTAAGGCACTTGAATTTGGATTATTTTATACTTAGCAATATAGCTTGAAAGTTTTTTATATTAGCTTATACAGAGTTTTGTTGTTGTTGTTGTTTCTTCAGCTGCATAGTGCAGCATTCCATTGTGTGACTCTATTATACTTTAGCTATTTGGGGTATATCTTATATTATTATACATGATGCTGCAATTATATTTTGGAGTTGCCATATTAAAATGCATTGCTCTTCCTTGACATTTGTCTTAATCAACATTTCTAACAGCAATGTATGAATGTAACTGTTTCTTCACAATTTAGTCCACTTTGTTCATTATCAAGCTTTTGTATTTTTCAAATCTAATAAATTAAAAATGGTATCCCAGCATAGTTTATATATATATGTGTGTATATATACACACATATATACTCATACATATATACACATATACACACATATATACATATATTTGTGTACATATATAAAATAAATAAAATTAGCATAACATAAAATTAAACATTTTAGGATGAAAAATAAAGTGAAATTTAATACATTTACCATGTTGTGGAATCACTACTTTTGTTAAGTTTCAAACATTTTTATCACCCCAAAAGAAAACTTCATACTTATTAATCAGTCAGCTATCATTTTCCCCTCTCCTCAGCTCCTAGCAATCATTAGTCTGCTTTCAGTCTCCATGAATCTATCCAATCTAGATATTTCCTATAAATGGAATTATACAAAATAGTTTTTGTTTGGCTTTCTACACTTAGCAAAATGTTTTGAGGTTCATCCACATTGTAGCATATATCAGTATTTCATTCCTTTTTATGACTGTTTAACATCCCATTTTATGTATATACCACAATTTCTTTATGCATTGATTCATTTGTGAAAAGTTGGATTTTGTTCACCTTTTGCCTATTATGAACTTTTGCTGCTACAGACATTTGTGTATAGATATTTGAGTACCTGTTTTCAATTTTTAGGTTATATATGTAGGAGTGAAATTGCTGAATCATAAAGTAATTCAATGTTTAGTTTTTTGAGGAAATGCCAAACTGTTTTCCATGACAACTAGATCATTTTGCTTTCCAACCAGCAATGTCTGAGGGTTGAAAATTCTTCACATCCTTAACAATACTTAATCCTTTTCCCTCTTTTTAAAAAAATTATAGCCGTTATGGAAAACAGTACAGAGTTTCCTCAAATAATTAAAAATAGAACTTCCATATAATCCAAAAATTTCACTACTGAGTATATATCCTAGGGAAATGAAACCAGTATGTTGAAGAGATATCTGTACTCCCATGTTTATTGCAGCACTGTTAACAACAGTCAAAATGTGGACTCAACTTGTGTCCAACAATGAATGAATGAATAAAAATATGTGGCATATACAACAGAATACCATTCAGCCTTAAAAAAGAGTAAAATCCTGTCATTTGCCACAACTTAGATAAATCTGAAGATCATTATGTTAAGTAAAATAAGCCAGACACAGAAAGATAATACTGCATGTTCTCACTCACTTGCAGATTCTAAAGGAGTTGATATCATAGAAGTAGAAAGTAGAAGAGTGATTACCAGAGACTGGAGAGGGGAGGCTGAAGGGGTATATATGAAAAGAACGGTCAAGCAGTAAAAGTTACAATAGAAAAAATGAATAAATTCTGGGGTTATATTGCACAGTTGCATGACTACAGTCAACAGAAAGTATTGTATACCTCAAAACAACTAGAAAAGAAGATTTTTTTATGCTCCTACCACGAAGAAATAATGAATGTTTGAGGTGATGGATATGCTAATTATCCTGATTTGATCATTACACAATATATACATGTGTTGAAACATCACGTTATACCCTATAAATATGTACAATTATGTGTCAATTAGAAAATAAAAATAAGTGAATATATATTATTGAAAGAATGTTGATTAAACTGGCCCCTTTAACAAAATGAATTTCCATCTTTTTTTTGTTCAAGCCAGCCAACTTAGATGGCTGTAGAAATTATTGCTTCCTCTCACAGGACACACTTGGCATTTCCCTATCTATTTCCCTTTCCTTCTTATATTCGCTATTTTGTGCTCAGTGACACCTAGATCTCTTCATTTTTTCATTCCCTACTATTCTCCCATTTTTTTTCATCCCAAGCATACTGTGCAATTCTATCCAATCATCTACCCTCACTTTAGAAGGTTCATTCTACTTCCACTTCATTATATTCATTCTCAAATGTGAAAATGTGAGGACTGTTGAGAAAATAACTATGGTCTCTCCCAAACTCTAGTCCTTAGGTTGAAAAATTTTTAATGTAATGGTAAAGTGCAAGTACTCTTAATTTATGTGGTCACACAGCACTAACGGGACTGTTGCTCAAAAACAGAATGGAAATTATTTGGCCATCCAAAAAAGGTTATGCTATTTAACAATTGAAAGCTACTGGTTTATGGATATTCACAGCCTCTTCTCTTTCTTACTTTTGCATGACTCACCAGCTGAGCATTCTCTCTTCTTTTCTTAGTGCTTACTTTGCAGATTATAATGTTTCTTTACATGTGTCAAAGTACTTTCACATTTGGTTAGTTTGGGGATGTGGGCAAGAGATACTAAATGGGAGGAGGAAGTATTTGCTTATGAAATGGTTAAGATTCAGTTACCTGAGAAAAAATAAAGAAGAGGAAATAAAGAAGAGAGGAAAGGGAAAGGGGAAAAAAGAAAAGAATCATTATATGGGCAGGAGCTTAGAGAAGGTTTAATAGTAAAAATTTAGAGACAGAGGCTGAAGGATGTGAGCAATATTGAAAGCTAGAGGAACAGGAGAGAGTTTTCAGAAAGCATTATTTTGGATTACAAATGAGATTGATTTCAAGGTCCTTTTGACACGTCAAAAAGGTTAAATGTATTTTAAATTATTTCAGTTGCTATGTTTGTTATGCTAAATGCAACATCCCATGGAAGGTGAAATATAAAAAGTCTCAGCTTATTTTTAGGTTGCTTTTATTTTGTTGTCTTTTTGGGGTAATTATTTAAATGAAAATAGAATATTAACATAAAATTCTGGTAGATAATCTATAAATCCTAAAAATATATTTGCTAACCCCAGTTTGAGAAGTTTATGGACTTTCACACTCAGTGCTCATGACAAAGCTAACTTAGGCCCAACTTTGTGAAATATGAAAACTGTTGAAGGAAAAAAGTGGTTCTCCCATAAAATGTTAATGCATTTTGCTTCATTTTTTTTTTTTTTTGTTATTTCACAAGGCACCTTATATTTTTCTGTAAAGTCTGCATGAAAAATAGAAGAGGTAGGGAAGTAGCCTTCCTTAGTGATTTAGGGTTCTCAGAAACACAGGGGCTCTGAATTCCAAACATAAGTGGAAGTATGGTTGTAAGATAAGTCTTCAGAAATAAAAGGTCAATATCTATTGTGATGAATAAAAATGATCTATTCTTTAAAAAGATTTTTCTCTCTCCTAATATATTTTTTCTTCTCATATTTTCTCTGCTTCCTATCATTGTAAATATAAAAAAAACAAAAATTTTAAATACCAAATGATTTCTCTTTATGGTTCATCTTTTTTTCTGCAAGAACTTCAATTTTGTTTGTTTTTTTGTTTGTGTGCATCTATGTATATATAACATTTCAGTTAAAAACAATCAAATAAAAAACAAGCAAATAAAGTGAACAAAATGTGAAAAGCCCTTGTCCTACACTGACAAATATTTACCCTTCAAGGCGAAATTATTTCTTAATAACTTCCTTGCCCTTCAAAAGTTATGAAAATATCCATTCCTGTTTATTTTTAATGGGTGAAAAAAGAATAAAGAAAGATAGTGCTTGCCAATTAGAGTGTATGTTGAATCCAACTTATCTCAAATAGCCACTTGTGACTGCTATATTTTTTCATTACTCACTTATGAAAGAAATAGTACTTTAAATTATTTTTCCAATTTGTAAAAGTGTGTTTGTTGCCAAGACTTCTGAACATATGACTAGTTCTAATCCATCAAAAATATAATATCTAGTAGCAAACCATAGTATTCATAGCATTAAATCATCTGTCTTTATAACATGAGTTCTACGTTCCCAGCATTAACAGACAAGCCTGTTTTTGCTTGCCATCAAAGTGCTGATTTGGTATTACCCAAATGAAACAACTTCATAGAGCCATACAATGTTTACTCAGTTTGAGAATGCCCTGTAGACCATTTCCTTCATTCATTTTCTTTGTTCACTCTTTTTAGTATATATTTATTGAACCCTCTGTATTCCACTTGGCAAAGAAATAAATACATAGAATTTTCTACAGAAAAGTTTGTAAACATTCAAAGTTTAACAATAACATAACACTTAAATAACAAAGATGGCAATTGTCATATGACAATTTTTTATGAGTGTCTAATACATTTTGGCATATTCTTAGAGGATTGTGAATGAGAATGGTCAAGGAAGCCCTCAAATTAAAGGTACAACTTGAACTGGAAACTTGTAACAGGTGCGGGAAATCAATTTTAAGAGAAAAAATAATATTCCAAGAAAAGGAAGAAAGAACATTCCAAAAAAGGGACCTAAGCAAAAATGCCATGGTAGGTAACAGAAGGTAAATGCCTCTTAATGCACTAATTCACTTGGCAGTATTAGAGGGATCAGACAGGCAATGCAAGAGTGTCACCATAGTAGCTTTAATTTACAAAGTATGAGAGAGCCTAACATTAAAACAATCTACATATATTCCTATTTCTAAATTAATTGAATAGATAAGAAACATTCTTTATTTAAAATAGTGAAATATTTAATTTCCTTTGGAATGTGCTTTGTATTGAAATTCAAATAGAATTTGTTTGATGTGACATTGTGCAGATTGGATTATGGAAGGGCTATGGAGCATTCTCTGACTGTTGGTTCATCTCCATCTAAAAGATGAACAATACTTCCTAGCTATGAATATTGCAAAATCCAAATCACATTGTTTCTCTTAAAATTTCTAGAGTAGACATTCTTCTGAAGCTAGAGTAAATTAGGCATGTTCCAAGATGGCGATGTCTAAAAACAAGTCCACAATCCTGTTGCTTACATTGGATGAAAATACATTGGGCAATAAGTTAAAAAAAACTTTTCTGTAATAAAATTCACTTTAATATTTTGACAGAAAAAGTAGTTGCTAAATTCATTGGAGTATAATTTATTATTACTAATGTCAAATAAAAATATTGTGACAAATCTTTGCTTGTTTTATAAGTGATTTATTTTCACATCCTTCCACTTACAACTGCAACCTTAAAATAAACTGAGAATACTAACAGCATGTTAATTACTGAAGAATTATATAACTATGGTATCAGTCCATAATGAAGTATAATAATCTTCAGCCAAACCTAACTTTAAAATTTTAAATGACTAAAGACTAAATTAAACATATTTTTAAACCATTGCATCATTAACTGGATATTAACAGGAGCCTCATCTTCAAGGTATTTTAAAATTACTGGCCACTCAATGATGTTTGGATTGTATCTTACACAAATTATTTATTCAAAATTAATACAGTTCAGATAATTCAGATCTAAACTTGAAATACATTTCATATCTTAGTTTTCTTTTTCAAATGCACTGGGGCTAATTGTGTGATCTACTGATAGTAAAGTTTTTCCTTTAAAATTTAACCAGAATAAGATATTAGAATATACTCAGTAAAATTTATCACCATCAGAACACATTGAGAATCTATCTTTGTAACATGCTTTATTAGTTGTTGCGCACAGCAAGCGAGACAGACGTAATCTGTCCCTGAGGAATTTACAATCCAACACTGATAATGCTGACACAGGTGCTGCCAAGGCAATTCGGGCAAAGAAATCAGCATTAAACAGATAGATAAATAGGTGAACTTAAATGTAGTAATAATAAATAACTCTAAATGCAATAATTTGTGCTCTGATACTTCGAATATGTTTTCTTTCAAATAACTCACTAGTCTCTCAATACTTGAGTCACAGGAACGTATATGAAGGTACAACGGCATAATAAAGACTGGTCAATGAAGTTGCATGCTTGGCTGGGACAATCACAGAAAAGAGCAAAAAAAACCACAGTGGTGGGAAATTTCAAGAAAGAAAAGGAATTGGCTCAATGTGTCTCAGTGTCAAAAACTGGACTAGGAATGTGAATTTGCTCTTTGGATCCAAATAGAAGGAATATTTAAAGCAAGTACTGATCTTCTCTCAGTTCACTCCTGACTGTCATGTGCTTGAAATAATTCACTAAAATAGTAAAAGAGAAACAAAAACCTCCATGAATTGAATGTAAAAGGGATGAATTACTCCAGCAACCTGATCAGTAATTCCTAGTTTCTGTTGCTGGGCTCAGAAAAATTTATCATGATCTTAGAGTAAAGGAATATCTGTAATATTTACTTTGTTGAAAATAGTCTTTATAAGAAAACAGCAAGTATTTATGTGCTTTGCTTTTGTTTGGTTATAGTACATCTTTTTCCCAAACAATGTAATTCTACATGGTTGAGGAAAACAAGCATATGTTCAGATAAAGCTAAATAAATATATACATTTTGACTGGGGGGAGGACACTGTGGCATGGTACACAGTGTTTAAGGTGACTGAGTTGTGATGACAGTGGGGAGCTATTGAATCTGTTCTACTGTGCCCTATTTTCTTCATGGAAGCCAAATCTGATTCTAGAAGAGAGAAAATGAAGCTAGGTTGCAAGCACTGCTGAAATAATCTGGCAGGATTTTATTCATCCGGTTTAAAGAAAACACTAAAGTTTGAATAAGATTTTTTTTTTTCAGAACAACAAAAAAATTCTCTTTCAAATGTATAAAAGATCAGACTTCTAAAAAATGTACTCAATGTCCTTATTAAATAAAGCTATTTTGGAATATAAAGTTGACATAGTGGCATATTTAATAATTTAAAAAATATTTAGCACAAGGTTCAATGTTTCAAAAAATTAGGTTAACACTGCTTTTTATTTGTATAAATTTATGAGGTACAGGTGTACTTTTGTTTCACGGATATAATGTGTAGTGGTGAAGTCAGGGATTCAAGTGTATTCATCACCAGAATAACCTACTTTGAATTCATTAGTTAATTTCTCATCATCCAGCTCCTCCTATCCTCTCACCCTTTGAGTATTCATTGTTTATCATTCCATACTTTACATTAATGTGTACATATTATTTAGCTCCTACTTATAAGTGAGAACATGTGGTATTTGTTTTTCTGTGTCTGAGTTGTTTCACTTAAGATAATGGCCTTCAGTTCCATCCACGTTGCTGCAAATGACATTATTTCATTCTTTTTATGGCTGCATAGTATTACATGGTATATAAATACCATATTTTCTTTATCCAATCATCCATTGATGAACACTTAGAGTGATTACATATCTTTGCTATTGTGAACAGCGCTGTGAATAAACATACAAGTGCAGGTATCTTTTTGATATAATGATTTCTTTTCCTTTGGATTGATACCTAGTTGTGAGGTTAGTGGATCAAATAATAGCTCTATTTTTAGTTCTTTGAGAAATCTACATCCTGTTTTTCATAGAGGTTGTACTAATTTATGTTCCCACCAACAGTGTGTAAGCATTCCTTTTTCTCTGCATCCTCACCAGCATCTGTTATTTGAATTTGTGTATATTAAGTATACTGTTTTGTATTCCTATATTAATCACAGATTAATAAATATGAAATAATACAAAAGAAAAATTAAGAAAAAAGGCAAAAAGTAATCAAGTATATGATGAATATGATCTAAAATTATTATAGGGAAAGTCTTGAGAAAGAGAGAAACATTTTAATTAATCAAAAGTGACAAAAGGGAAATTCTTACAAACAAATTTTTTAACAATTTGGAGTGCTGGATTTTTCTACATCTGAAAGAGCAGAAGCATTGAACAAATATTTCAAATTATCATCCTCTGGCAGGATTTCTCTAACATAAAAACAAAAACCATTCCCACAGAAAGGAAAATATTTTTCTTCCTTTCTAAATATATTGGAAATCCTGCTCCTCTAAATATGTCAGAGAAAATGGTAAAATAGAAAGAAATCCTCGATTGAAGGAATTTCTTCTAAAATGAAAGCCAGGACATGAAGAAAATCTTCATAGACAGATACGTAGAGAGATACGTAGACTAAATGGAATGAAAAAGAAAAGATTATAATTATGACTAGTATAAGAGATAGGAAGTTAAGCATAGGACCACTCCAGAAGTTAAAATTTTTTTTTTCTGAAACAAATCAGTGGCTTAGAAAAATTAGTGAGAACAGTTACATATTGAAAGACATACAGAGACATAAGTGTTCCACACAAGTGTTAACAATGTGTGGAAATTTGGTAGATCTTGATTCAGACAAAACAAATAGTACAAAAGAGTTTTTTAAAAATCTGGGGAAATTGCTTATGTGCTTGATATTATTTAGTATTAAGGAATTATTGCTAGTTTTGTTATGAATGATAACGACATTGTTTTTATACAAGAAATCGTTCATACTTTTTGGAGATACACACTGAAGTATGTAGAGGCAAATGATGATAGCTGTGATTTGCTTTAAAATAAATTCAACATTGAAAAAAGAAAATAAAATAAGGGATAGATGAAGCAATCTAGGGCAAATCTTAATTGTTAATAGGAACTTGCATGTGTGAAAGTTGAATGGACTTTTCTCTCAATGTATGTTTGAAATTTTTCGTTATAGAAATGTTAATATTTTATGATGATAAAAATAATATACATATGTTTTAGAAATTTTGGAAAATACAGTAAATTATAAGTAAAATAAAATTCAGCTATGGTTCTACCATCAGAAATAACTTATCTTAAAGGTTTGAGATATTTATGTTCTAGAAGTTATTGATAGAGAATTTTTATTATTATTTAGTTTTAATCATAGTAAATATATATGGTGAATTATATAATGATGTCTCGATCCTTTCATTTTTCTTTTGTGTTTTAACTCCTTTCTAAAAGAGTATCATAAAATCCATTTAATATTAAGACTAATCATATTATATATAAACATTTTAAATTTCAGATTTTATAAGTAACATTTTAAAGTTGTTCATGACATTTAAAAATCTACCTATCTTTTTGTTAAGTTTATAAATATTCTGTTTTTAATTCACAACAAGAGGGTCTGCTGTGTTATTTTGTTCACATTGTGTATATATATTCTACATCAGGAAAAAATGATGAGTTCAGTAGAAAGCTTTTTCTAAATAATTCCTGGTACGAAGTTGGTGCAAGGTGAGTCACACGTTGCTGAGAATTCAGTGAACACAAGCTACTCAAATTCTGTCGATTTTAAGAAGTGAAGACATGTATATGCCAGTCCAGAACTCCTAGGGTGAAATGAAGATGAAACCTTCCCTGACCATCAATAAGTAATTTTTACTTACTGAGAGATGGGGAAAGACTAATTCAGGGATGGCAAAATGCAGATTATTATTTGACACACATTATTGCCCCTCTCAATAATTCTTTGACACACAAAGAATAACCTTGACTGTAAGTTGCCTGCTTCTCTATCAAAATTGAAACTTTGAATGGAATAGTATTAATTACCCATCATATTTCCTTATTACTAGATTGTGAGTTCCTTGACGGTAAAGACAGTATCTTTTATTTCTGAAAGGCAAATAAGTAGGCACTCAAAATGTAACTAAAATTTAGATAGAGAAATTATTTTCTTAAAAGTTTATGATGTGGTCATTAAGAATGTCTAAATTAATCAAGATGCAGACAAGATTTTATAAGAATAGAGAAATATAATTCAAAGCAGAAAAAATTATTAACTACTTTTAAGAAAAAAATCAGATGAGAAGATAAATGCTCTGATGATATCTCCATTCCATCTTACATCTTTTCTATTTTTGAGGCTTCAATTCCTATCTTTCCTTCAAGAACCAGGTAAAATTAATCTGCTCCAAATATATACATAATCTCTTTGGTTCAACTGTCACTATGCTTTATCTAAACATACTAAGACCTTTTTTTCTTCTCATCTCAAAACTTAAGCATCTTGGTTTTATGGCTATAATTTTATTTATATTTATTTTTGTTTTACTTAAATTGCTTAAAACATAATACAAACTACGTATTTATGTGTTGAATACCTATATGAGTAAATGGATAAACATCATAATGTACTCTACTATTAATCAAAGCAAGCATAAGATAATAAAAGAGATTCTTATTAAATAAAAACGGAATGAACTACCTATTGTCATGGCAGCATTATTAAACTCTTTAGGAGACTGGTATAAAATGACCAGCTGGATTTTTCTTCACCCTAGAATTATTACCAAGGCCCAAAGCTGGAGACCAGAGGAAGTATTACAATTAGTAGGTTCTGAGAATTACTTGAGATTAGGGCCAGCCACCCCTTCAAAAAGAATTATTGAGAGGGTCCAGCTCAGAGAATAAATTCAACCATGTATGATATTCAAAATAGTTACTAACCAGTTTGGCACAACACTGACTAATTCAAATGGATGCCAGCTGTAAAAAACCAATGTGGCTCTAAAAGCTAATACTATTTTCACTTTTACCCTCTGATAATGTCAGAAGACCAGGAGAACAGCTCTGTAAAATTCAGTTCCTTCTCATCAGGGAGGTTGCTTTCACAAATGGAAGACTGGCAATGATATGCCCATTGACTTGGAAACATCGTGATCTTCTCTTGTGCTATTGGCGGAACATCAAAAAGAAAGGTAGACTGCCTGTAGAAATGGGACAGGTACTGTTCCTCCTTAATTTACAGATTACTAAGAGAAACAGGAGTTAGATTTTTCACCTTCTCATATGTCCAAGATCTGCCAAGGGTCTAGCAAGCTTGTCCAACCCGTGACCTGTGGGTCACATGCAGCCCAGGACGCCTTTGAATACAGCCCAACACAAAATCATAAACTTTCTTAAAACATTATGAGATTTTTTTTTTTTTTTGTAGCTCATCAGCTATCATTAATGTTAGTGTATTTTATGTGTAGCCCAAGACAATTCTTCTTCTTGCAATGTGGCCCACGGAAGCTAAAAAATTGGACACCTCTGGGTAGGGTAGGGTGGTGGAAGGGTGAAAGGGAGATGGAGAATACAGTATTACCAGTACTGCCACCATGTGGTTACAAATAGTCATACACACCAGAGGGTGCCAGCGGGATGTCATCCATTTGAGACTAAAGGAACACCTTGAGCTTAAACAAACTACACATAAATGAACCTCCTTTGCAGTAGGACAAGTTGGCCCTTCACCTGTCCAACTCAAATACCAGAAAAGTAATGCTAACTTTATCAGAGACCTCTACTTCCTACTGCTTCAACCCTCTTTTAGCCTTTCGGTGTTAATATCTTTACTATCTCCTATCTTTGCCCCCTCAGTTGACCTTTCTTTTCCCCCATCATTACATCCTGCATTTTAGCAGCCTAAGAAATGTTACCTTTTTATGCTCTTTTACACCTTATTCCCAGTAAAGGATCCTTTTTCTTGTTCCTTCCTCTCAGTGCCTCATTCTCTATTAATTCCTTATAGCACATCTCTTTTTTTACATTATATTAAATAAATAATTTCTTCCAGTTTGAAAGAGCTCCATAAATTCATAACTTCACAATCAGAACATGGGTTGAAGTTCAGCAACCCTCCTTTCTTCCTGAGAATCTTGCTACAGTAAAATCCCACACAACCATATGTGGCAGGAAAGTATAAAATGCTGTAAAAGAAGATAAAATGAAAAGTCATTAAAATAACCCTCATAAAAAACTTAAAACCCACAGAAATAGCATGCAATATGAAATTGCTATAGAATTTATGTATAGTTAAAAGAAACAAATAGGTTTTTCATCCAATCAACCATTTGGCAATCTGACCATTAGAATAATTGTTTTTTGGTGAACTGATTTCAGCAAATTAATTTCCATGGAATTGACCTTGAGCACTGCCCCAACTTCAGAGGATAAAGTTAGTAAAAGAGAAAAAAAAAGTGCATGGTAGAAGCTCATGTCTCTTTCACTCCATTCCAAGATGGTAAATGAATTTTGGGGAAGGAATGAAAGCATGTTAAATCAGACAAGGTAATGACGTTTAAAATGAGGGGGACCAACTCTCAGCAACTAAAATGAGTTTGTTAAAATACTGAAAGAGATGAAAAAGTCATGAAATATGTTGAGATGTCATTAAAGGAAACATTATTTAGCTGCGTCATGAGGCTCAGAGGGCTCAATTAAAAGCAATGATTGAAAAATGATTCAACCTTTTACTGTTGTATCCACAAAAGCTAAGATTTCTCTATCCTCAAAGAAATCATTTGGAAATGGAAGCAAATGTAATTTGACCAAGTTCAGTAGAGCAAAATGCAATGATTTGTAAGAAAAAAAAATTCATTCTTTTATTTACTAAATTTTCCTACCTTAATATGGTATCATATTTCATTGCAATTTGAGAATTGTTTAAATGTACTTATTAATTTAAGAGATTAAGAGATAGGCTGTTTCTACTTGTTATGCCTTAGAGGTGATGCAGAAAAATCCCTTTTTCCTTGTGCGTTCATTCTCTGCAAGGCCATTTCTCTGGTAGTTCTGCCAGAGTTTTTAAAAAGTGAGATAAAAAGTTATTGTTGGACTGCTTCCCCACTGCAGAGATACACAATGCTCAAGCTAATGTCAGTATTCACTG
This sequence comes from Homo sapiens, assembly GCF_000001405.40. Lineage (NCBI taxonomy): Eukaryota > Metazoa > Chordata > Mammalia > Primates > Hominidae > Homo > Homo sapiens. The sequence goes on from NC_000006.12 coordinate 76,863,159, forward strand.
TTGTCATACATTTCTGCATTACTAAATATGCATAATTGTGGTGAGAGGATCATCTATGTATTTAGGTCTGTTTTTAATTGTGTTATAAAATTCAAGTGGGTGGGCATAGTGTCATTGTGAATTATCATCTAATATCTAACACACTAGCAAATGTATGTACTTACTTAGCTTTATGTTATCCAACTGCTGCCCCAGAATTTAAAATTTTTAAATGTTATGCTTTGTCCTCATTTCCTTAATACAAGTAATTTAGCCAAGAGAAAAGTTTTATAATTTGACTTTCTTTTGGAAACGTACCCAAGGCCAGGGGATCAGTTTTGGCTTAAAGGGTGTCTTTGTAGCTTTCCTGGGGAGTTTTTGTTGGTGTGTAGGAGAGGCAATGATTTTTGGGAGGAAACCTATAACTTTATCTTTGGTTTATTCTCTTCTCTTAATTGATCTTTTGCCACGCTTTCTCCATTAAAGGATTCTCCATCCTTGACATTGACTGCAAAGGACTGGAGAAAATGCATCCCTCTATTTGCCAGTTACAATCTTGATCCCTTTAGTAAATACTCACATACATATATTTCAAAGAAGTTTTAAGCATCTGTTTATTTTAGGTTTCCAGTAGTAAAATTAAAATGGCACTCTGTGAAGGATCTCAGATATGAAAGCCTACTATTGAATAATTACTCTAACCCTCAATCTGTAAATGATTGTACAGCTTCACTGGCTACACTATCATGATGTCTATACACAGATGATTTCTAGGCCAGGGGAGTGTCTTCCACTTGAATAATTCTTTCTTAGGATTGCTTCTGTCTGCCTACATTACCTCTTATCCCTTGCCTTTGACTTTTTAACTTCCTCTCACATCACAAAATCTCCTGCTTTTTAGGCCCACTATTCTTCCAGTTAAAAGTTAACACTATCCAGCCTCTATTTGGAGCCCTTACAGTTTACAACTTGCAGCATCCCAACTTGTGTTGTTAGTCAGAGATATTTTATCTTCCTATGACCTATATCTCTGGGAGAAGGAGTTCATGACAAACTTTGAATGCCAGGAAAGGAGGCAAAGAGAAAAGACAGTGTTTGTAATCCTGCACTATGCATTGCATTTTATGTTATTTGAAAAAAAATTTTTGGTTACCCTGAATGTCTAGATAGATCAAATATATCTTACACAGATCTGATTAGTCTCTACCGGCTTTTCAAATAAGACTCATAATCCCCTTGCTATTATAAAATTGGCCTTATTATGTTCAAAGAGTACTGAAGCCCGTCCCAACCTTGAGCTCTCTTTCAGAGTATTTTCTGTTAACTTGGTTTAAGAATTTGCTGTGTCCAAATCCTAGTTCCCAAATTTCTGCCCTGCCTACCCGGGAGAGAGCAGGTATGAATGTCCTTCTTAAACAGTTAGCTGTATGTGTTATATTTAAAATTCTTCATGTGATTTTAAGACTTTTTCAAGTTTCTTATATTACTGCAGCCAACAGTGGAGGTCATGTTGAAAGAAATGACAGAGGAGGATGTTTTGATTCTTTTCCATTTCTGTTAGCAGCAGCTACAGCACTGGAACATGAGATAGAAGCTCATTGAACCATGCTAATCAACTGAGGAAGGCTTCTTCTTCTATAATTATCTTTCTTATTGGTCAAAATTACCTGCTCTCTCTATAAAAGTCCTAGCATATGAGGAATGGAAAGCCATTCTTTTTTAGTGACAGCATGTTTTATTGTGCTCTTATTTTGAAATATCATCCTTCCTAAAAATAGGTAAAGTATTGAAATTTTTCTGGTTGAGATGATTTTGTAAGCACAAGTGCTTAATAGTCTGCCTTCTAGTTTCCTATGAAAATTTCTAGCAAAATTTGAATAAACAGAAAATATATAAAAATTATAAGAAATACTCAAAATCTTAAAGGCATTTGTCTCTCTAGGGTGAGATTATTGTGAGTTTCACCTTCCTTTTATTTTATTTTGAAAATTTTCTACTTTCATAAAAATAAGACAAGTCCTCTTAATGCTAACACATGGATTTAAAAATCATTAGGAAGTGGAGAAAATAATTGCAACCAATTAGATAGAACCAATATACTCATATTGTTAATACATAAAAATACTAGAACAAATCATCAAAAAGTATGGATACCTTATTCAAAACTGTATAAAAAATAGGACTTCATAGGGAAATAACAACTATAAATGGGTATATTTTCAACCTCAGGTACAATACAATGCTAATTAAAATAAAGTGATGTATTATTTATTATTTTTCAAAAATTATTTTCAAAATTTTAAAAATTTGTACCCAGTATTGTGGGGATGCGACAAATTGTCATACTTGAACTGTAGTATAAATTGATCATAGTTTTTGGGAGGAAAACTAGGCAAACTATCAAAAGACTTAAAAGTGATCATAAACATTGCCCAATAGATAAAACCCTACGATTTTATTCTAAAAAGGTAATTAGAAAAACATACAAGAATAAACCTAGACACATTTGCATTAACTACAAAAATGTACCAACCTTCTTGGTTTTTAAGACATGAGTATTAAATAAAATATAATAATGATTTGATAGATTTATTTAATCAATAAAAATATTGTTTTAAGACACGTGGTGTGGAAAATATTCGCAACATGATAAAAAGTGAAAAAAATAAAAAAGTAAACATTACTATGTATCGTATGATTGAATTTTAGGGGTGTTTATTCAAAGAGACAGAAAAAGAAAAGACTGAAACATTACATACAGTTTTCTATGAGTGATGATATGGATTTACGGATAATTTTGTATATACTATAGAGATAATACAAAGAGTTGCATTGTGAAGTCAGAGGAACATAAAATCAGAAGTTTTACCCAATGTCAAACTCAGGCGGTTGTGAAGCACAGACCAAGCATGAAAAGTCCAGGATTGTCAACACAGATCCCTTTTATCTTGCTGTTCTAGTAGGTGCTCTAATGTAGATTTAATATATGAGGCATTTAAAGGCTATATATGGTCATCACTTACACAAAAGGGAACTGGTTTAATCACGAAAACATCTCCATTTTGTTCTCCAATATTTACAAAGCTTATGTGACATTTTCCAGGGAGCCATACTTCATAAGTCAATAGAATCCAGGATTTTTCCTATAATTAATATTACACAGACCTGGCACATCCTGCCGAAACCATTCCATAAATGTGGACAATCTCCTAGTCACTATGATATTAGTGTGTTTGCCAAAAGATTTGCAGTTGGCTTGCTTACAAGGAGATTCTTCTCGTTTTCTTTTATTTGTTTTATGAGACATTCACCAGTAAAGGACAGGAATAGATTGCATGCCTGCTACAAACTCTTTCTACAATACAAATAATTATTTAAAATTTTTTCCAGTGATAGGCACTGTAATAAGTATTTCATATATAGACTCTCATTTACCGCTCATAATAATCCTGTGGTGGAGGTGCTAGTATTTATCTCTATTGGAGATGAAGAAGCTGATACTTGTAATGATTCATTATTTCTCACATGATCACAAAGCTAAAATGTTTTGGAGCTGGAAGTCAAACACAGTCTGATCCCAAATTGACATTCTTGGCCATTGTGGTCACTGTTCAGTTTATTTATTTGAAAAGATTCCATGGCATATTTCTATTTCTGTGAAGATGAAGTACATGTATGTTTCCTATTCTTCTAGCCAAACACAACTAAAAACTATGGACGTTATATATAAAAGAAATGTTAAGAATCCTCTGAAATTTGGAGAGAAGGCTGATCAGCTAGGGATCTTTGGATTCAAAGAACGACATGATGGTGAATTTTCTCAGTTTTATGTTTGCCCCATATATCCAAGACTGGGTGCTGGAAAAGCCAGCAACCTACATAGGTCAATGGATACAGACAAAAAAAGCCTGAACAATATTTTGCTCTCTAGCTGAGGACCAAAACTTGTAAAAACAGCCACTCTATTCCAGCCAAACATCACAGGAAAAACTGTAGCCTCATTATCGAACACATTAGCAAAGGCTAAGTGGATAGCCACATTTCCACCAGCATCAGATTAAAATAAGGTTGTCCAACGACAATATTGGGGTGGGGTCAGAGAAGCCTGAATAGAGGGCCTGGATTTATCCTCACAAGGATGAAAACCCTCCTCACTTTGGTGTCAGTGGAGACCACATGGAGTTCTTGAATTTCCATCTCTAAAAGGTAGCAACAACTGCCTCTTTCCCTAATGCCCCACAACACAAACACTGTTGGGATGAGGTCAGAGGTGGTCGAATAGAGAATCAGGTATCTCTTCACTATTCAACGATAATAAGACTGCCACTCACTCCACTTCCTCAGAGTCAGTTTAGGCCTTATGAGAAGGAGCAACAAGACACCCTCAGCTATCCCAACCAGGATGGCATTGTGGAAGCCCAGTAGGAAGTTAAAAGACTCCCCACCAGTCTCTCTCTCTCTCTCTCTCTCTCTCTCTCTGTCTCTCTCTCTCTCCTGGTAGCAATTTAAAGCCCCCAACTTGGGTGTAAACAGAGGTCAAGTGTTGAATCTGGACTTATAACTTCACGTGGCAATAACAAGGGGCAATGACAATCCTCTGCCATAATGGTATCAGAAAAGCCAGTTAAAATAGGTTTTAAACTGACCAAGAGTTTCACAATATGCTACCAATAATGTTGAGGTTACCACTGAAAATCCTTTATTATACTAAGAATGAGGAAAACCTAAATCTGAATGAGAAAAAAAAAATCAACTGAAGCTAACACTGAGATGACAAAGACATTAGAATTACCTGAAAAGTATTTTAAAGAAGCTATCATAAAAATGCTTTAGTGAGCAACTAACACATTTTAAAAAACTGAAAAAATAGAAGGTCACAGCAAATATATAAAAGATAGAAAGTCAAATTAAATGGGAAATTTTGCAACTGAAAAATGCAATAAATTAAATTTATAAAGTCAATGGATGGGCTCAAGAGCAGAAAGGAGGGAACAAAGGAGAGAATCAGTAAACTTGAAAACAAAATAATACAAATTATCCAATTCGAACAACACAGAAAGTAGAGTGGAACAAAAAACAAAGTCTCAGGGACCTATGGGTATATAGCAAATATTTAACATTTGTGTCAGTGGAATACTAAAATGAAAGGAAAGAAAAAGGAGGTTAAGGCTGAAAAATCATTCAAATAATTAATGGTTTTAAAGTTCCCAAATTTAGCAAAAGAAATAAACCCAGAGATTCAAGAGACTAAGTGAACCTCAAATAATACAAATGCAAGAATTTCACACCCATGCACATCACAGACAAACTTGTGAAAATAACAAAGAAAAATCTTAAGAGCAGCCAAAGAGTCACAATCTTACCTATAATAAAAAAATAATTTCAATAGCATCAGATTTCCTATCAGGACTCCTGGAGGCCAGAATGAAGTGGCACAACATTTTGCAAGTGCTGAAAGTAAACATCTAACCCAGAATCTTATGTCTAGTAAAATTATATTTAGGAATAAAGGGGATATCAAGACATTCTCAGATGAGAAAAGCTAGATAATTTGTAATCAATCAGGCTTACTATAAAGAAATGATTAAATGAAGTTTTAAAAATGAAAATAACATTATAATAGAAGACATTTTGAAACATTAAGAAAGAAAAGCAACCAATGGAAGGAGAAAAAATAAGAACAAATACATTATCCCTTTTTTCTGAGTCTTATGTTTGGCAGTTGAAACAAAATCTATAACACGGTATGATGTGGTTCTAAATGTATGTAGAAAAATATTTAAGCCAATTACATTATAAAGGGCGGAGGGAAAAGAGACGCAAATGGAGATTTATAAAAGGTTCAAGGGTTATAAAAGGTTTTCACAATTCATTTGAACCGACAAAATGATAAAACCAGTCAACAAGAATGTTATGTAATACCCAAAAAAGACAAAAATGCCATAAAAAGAAATAGCTTAAGTGTACTATAAATAAGTCAAAATGCAATTCTAAAAAAAAGTTCAAGGGATCAGTGGGGAGGCAGGGAAAAACAACAACAACAGAGAAATAAAAACCAGTGAGAACAAACAGAAAACATCCAAAAGAAAAAAAAAATGATGGGGTTAAGCCATAACATATCAAGAAGTATATTACATGTGAATAGTCTAAATAACACCAATTAAAATATGAAGTTAATTACAAAATATGATCTAAATATGTACTATTAGAAGTTCTGTTGAATATAGTGAAATATATAAGTCAACAGTAAAAGAATAAAAAAAAATATATTGTGACCCAGTGCGGTAGCTCTTGCCTGTAATCTCAGTATTTTGGGAGGCCAAGGCAGGAGGATTGCTTGAGGTCAGGAGTTCGAGACCAGCCTGGCCAACACGGCGAAAACCTGTCTTTACTAAAAATACAACAATTAGCTGAGCTTGGTGGCACATGCCTGTAATCCCAGCTACTTGGAAGGCTGAGGCATGAGAATCACTTGAACGTGGGAGGTGGAGGTTGCAGTGAGCCGAAATCACACCACTGTACTCCAGTCTGGGTGAGACAGCCAGACCCTGTCTCAAAAAAATGAAAAAAGATATACTGCCCAAACATTAAACAAAAAGAAAGAGACTATATCAATGTCAGATTAACTAGACTTCAGAACAAAGAAAATAACAAAAGACAGAGAAGGATGTTATATAATGATAAAAGAGTCGATCCTCCCATAGAAATTCAAAATGTTAATGCACCAATTAACAGAGCTTCAAAATATGTGAAGAAAAACTGAATGAACTGAAGGAAAAAGTAGAGGAAACCAACAATTACATTTCAAGACTTCAATACCTTACTTTGTAATTGATAGAACTAGTAGACAGTAAATCTTACTAATATACTTATAGCAGATGTAGATATATTTGTCTTATATATCTCTCATATATATGTATTTTTCATATAATATATCATATGTATCATATATGACATATATCTCATAAAAATATAATATATAATATGTCATATATCATGTATATTTATGATACCTATGAGATATGTGTGACATATTATATAAGGTATATATATAGAAGATATAGATATAAGACAACTCAACAACACTATCAACCAACAGGATCTAATTGATATTTATAGAACACTTCACCCAACAACAGCAGAATAGAGCCTTTCTAGTGTCCACACAATGTGTCAGAAAAACCACCACATTCTGGTGTATAAAAAAAGGCTCAAAAAATTTAAAATAATTGAAATCATTTAGAATTGTATTTTTTTCATTTATTTGCGACTCAAATAAAAATAAACTAGATATCAATAGCAACAACAAAAAAAAAATACAGAAAAATATGTAAAAACTGGAAACTAAACAATATACTTACAAATAATCCACATGTCAAAGAAGTCCCAAGGGAAATCAATTTTAAAATACATTGAAAATGAAATTATTAATGCAATATACCAAATTTGTGTGGCAAAGTTATGGCAGTGCTGAGAGGAAAATGTATAGAATTAAATGCACAGATTAGAAAAAAGAAAATAAACTTAAATCAAGGATCTAAGACTCCATATTAAAAACTTAGAAAAAAAAAGATCAAAATAAAGGCAAAGAAAGAAGAAAGGTAATAAAAATAAAAGCAGAAATCAATAAAATTGAAAACAGATAAATAATAGAGAAAATCAATAAAACAAGAAGTTCGTTATTTGAAAGTAAAGTAAGGTTGACAATTTCTAGAAAGACTGACAAATAAGAGATAAGACACAAATTGCCAATATTAGAAATGAAACGGGATATCTAGAGCCTGCAGACATCAATATGATAAGAAATGATACTACCAAAAAAAAAAACTCTATACCTAAAATTAGAACACTTAGATAAGCATCAATTAGTTCCTTAAAAACACAAATAGCTACAATTCTCCCAATATAGCAATTTGAATAGTTCTAAAACTATTAAAGACCCACAAATGTTACATTTATAATTTAAAACCACTCCCAAAGGAAATATAGCCAAGCTATTTCATTGGAAAATTCAACCAACAGCTTAAAGAAGAATTTCTGTACAATTTCTTTCAGAAAAAAGAAAAGGAGAGAGCATTTTCCAATTCATTTTATGAAGCTATTAATGCACTGATTCCAAAGCAAAGTCAGTACGGAAGAAGAAAATTGCAGACCGATGTCCTTCATAAATATAGACTCAAAACTAACAAAAATAGAAGAAATAGAATTCAGCAATAAATAAAAAGAATTATACACCAAGATCAAGTAGATCTTATTTTAGGGATGCAAAAATGCTTCAATATTTGAAAATCAATGAATATAAGCCACCATATTAATAGGCTAAATATTTTTTTGAAAATCACATTATTGTATCAATTCATGCAGAAACAATACATTTCACTTAATGCAATACTTTTTTAGAAACAAAATAGAAACAAAACTCTCAGAAAAATAAGAATAGAGAAAACCTCTTCAACTTGATAAAAATATGTAAAAAATATTACAGCTAACATTATATTTAATGGTGAAAGAATGTATGCTTTACTTCTAAGATGAGAAGCCAGGAAAAGTATCTGTTCTCACTACCTTTTTCAACATAGTACTGGAAATTCAAGCATGGGAAATAAGGCAATAAAATAAAATAAAATGCATATATCAATAGATTTAAAATGAAGAAAAAATGATCTCTACTTGCAGATGACATGATTGTTTAGGTAGAAAATCCCAAGAAATCTTTAAAATATTTCCGAGAGCTAATAACTAGGTTCAGCAAGACTTCAGGAACACAAGGTAAAAATACAAAAATTAATAGTATTTCTATATTCTAGCAATGAACATGTGGACAGTGAATTTAAAAATAAAAATAGCATTTACAATCTTAAAAATAAAATTAACTCATAAAAATAAATTGAGATTGATGTATTTTTGAAGAGAGAGATACTTGACATTAGATTCAATTTTTTTTTAACTTTTGTTTTAGGTTTGGGGGTACAACTGAAGTGTGCTACATAGGTAAACATGTGTCACGAGGGGGTTGTTGTACATCCTATTTTATCACCCAGGTATAAAGCCCAGTACCAAATAGTTATCTTTTCTGCTCCTTTCCCCCCTTCCACCCTCCACCCTCAAGTAGAACCCAGTGTCCATTGTTTCCTTCTTTGTGTTCATAAGTTCTTATTATTTAGCTCCCACTCGTAAGTGAGAATGTGTGGTGTTTGGTTTTCTGTTCTTGCATTAGTTTGCTGAGCATAATAGCCTCCAGCTCCATCCATGTTCCCACAAAAGACATGATCTGGTTCTTTTTTTATGGCTGCACAGTATTCTATGGTATATATGTATCTTTTCTTTATCTCATCTGTCATCGATGGACACTTAGGTTGACACCACGTCTTTGCTATTGTGAAAAGTGCTGCAATGAACATTTGCATACATGTATCTTTATGGTAGAATGATTTATATTCCTCTGGGTATATACCCAATAAAGGGATTGTTGGATAGAATGGTAGTTCCGTTTTCAGCTCTTTGAGGAATCATCATACTGCTTTTCAATGGTTGAACTAATTTACACTCCCACCAACAGTGTGTGAGTGTTCCCTTTTCTCTGCAATCTTGTGAGCATCTGTTATTTTTTGACGTTTTAATAGCCATTCTGATTGGTGTGGGATGATATCTCATTATGGTTTTGATTTGCATTTCTGTAATGATCAGTGATATTGAGCTTTTTTCATATGCTTATTGGCTGAATGTATGTTTTCTTTTGAAAAATGTCTGTTCATGTTCTTTGCCCATCTTTCAATGGGGTTGTTAGTTTTTCTTTTGTAAATTTTTCTAAGTTCCTTATAGATGTTGGATATTAGATCTTTGTCAGATGCATAGTTTGCAAAAATTTTCTCCCATTCTGTAGGTTGTCTGTTCACTCTGATGATAGTTTCTTTTACTGTGCAGAATCTCTTGGACACAGCTCAGGTATTGTTAGGAAGGAAATTCATAGCACTAAATGCCCACATCAAAAAATTAGAAACAGCTCAAATTAAACCTAACTTCAAAATGGAAAGAATTAGAGAAACAAGAACAAATCAACTCCAAGGCTAGCAGAAGACAATAAATAACACAAATCAGATCTGAACTGGAGGAAATCAAGACCCACAAAAAATTCAAAAGAGCAATGGATTCAGGAGCTGGTTTTTAGAAAAAATTAATAAAATAGACTACTAGCTAGATTAATAAAGAAGAAAAGAGATAAGTCCCAAAGAAACACAACTTCTTAGATGAATTTTATTGGTTCATTCGGCTTTTCTATTACTTCTGGAGTCCATTTCAGAAATTTGCATTTTCTAATACATTTTTCACTTTATATAATTTTAAAATGTGTTTACACAAATATTTTTCAATTTATGATTTTAAAAATTTCTATCCTGTTTTCATCTGTTCCCTTTTGTCAAGTTTTTATTTGTGTAATTTCTCTTATTTTCTTAGTCTTCATTTTTTTATATTGCTAGTTTTATTTTAGGAATATTTATGTCATAGGCTTATGCTTTTTTTTAAGTTTTATATTGCTAAATGCTTGATGCAAAGGAAATGTGCCAAAGCCAAAATTTACAAATTCAAATAAACTAGAAATAATTATTTCTTGATATTTAACATAATTGTTTTTCTACCAAAATACAAACATTTTTTCTTTACCCAAATTCAAACAGACTGTGTAATATATTATTTACTTTTTAAATTAATGTTTTCAAATTTTCAACATTTCTTATTTTGTATAGTGTCTACTCATATTTAATTTTTCTGGTATTTTCTTCAGTAGTATCTCTCTAAAGAATTATTTGTTTACTCATTATGTTTATTTTACAGTAAATCTTTGAGTAGACTTATAATTGATGTTTTAAAATTTTTATCTGGTATTTTCACATCTCTGCCATTTGGGATCTATTCTATTAACTAATTATTTTGTAACTAATGATCATACTTTACTGTTTCTTTGAATGTCTAGTAATTTTTTATTAGATATGGGACATTGTTAATATTACATTGATGAGTATCTTGGTTCTGTTTTCTCTGTGTAGACAGTGTTGAAATTCATTTTAAGAAGGTGTTAAACTACTTGTAGATTATCTTCATCGCATCAAGCCTCATTTGTGAGATTTAATAGAGCAGGCCCAGGGTAGCCTTTGCCTTTGAGTAGGTTAGCCCTACTTACCAGAGTGTGAACCTCTGGTATCATTAGGTGTTACAAGCATTAAACTACATGTTTCCACCTTGGTCCACTAGAAATTAAATATCCACCAGCCCTGTATGAGCTGTAGGGCCCATTTAGCTCACAGGTCCCCAGTCACACCTTGCCTGTCATTATAAACTTTCATTCAATATATATGTGGCACTGTAACCCTTAGGCAGATTTCTAGAGCTTTTTCTCAGCATATATCCCTCCCTTCTGGTGTTGCGCTACATACATCATCTTAGCCTTCAAACACTTTATCTTTGTTTTCTCAAATTAGTGAGGCTAGCATTCTCTGCTTAGATTGCCTCTCTCTATGTTGAGGCCTGAAAAGTGCTTCAAAGGATAAAATCAGTCTTATTTTAGGATTTACATTGTTTTACTTCTCTCAGGTAGGATACTCCAGTGTTGCATGCTGTCCAAAGCCTGAAAAAAATATTTTTATATATTTGGCTTAGTATTCTAGTTGTTTATGGAAGAAGAATCTAATACCAAATCTAATATTATGGCCATATGCAGAATTTCAGAGGTTATTATTTTAATAAAATAAGATTAAATACTAATAAAATTATTAGCAATGTGCTTGCTTCTTATCTCATTAGTGTAAAATTATTAATCAGTGTTTTTATGGCAAGAAAAATTGACTCATTTTTTTCAGTATAAAGATCTTGAAAAGTGAGAAGAGACTTTATGAAGCCTAAATGGAGAGCCCTGAAATTTTACATATAATTTTATTTTTATTCCTAATATGGATATATGCAGATTTAGAGCTACGTATTCTGATATATCAGTCTGAGTTCCTTCAGGAGGTAGAATCTCCATAGTAGATTAAACAGGGAAAAGTTAATATAAATAATTATTTAACTATAATAAAAAATTAACTATATGATATAAGAAAACTCAATATGGTACCCTAGGGATAAGGGAGAGTACCCTAGGAAGTACAAACTTCGAAGATATTCAGAACTTGCTGGAGAAGGTGTAATTCCAAGCACTAGCTAACAGTTTTGCCGGTTTGGCCAGGCTGGAGTTGGTTTCCAGTCTTTGGGTGAGCAGAAAGTAAGCGCAGCTAGGGAGGAGAGGGGTTGGAGCCTTTCCAGAACACAGGCAAGATGTGCAGGCTCTAAGAGGGAGCAAAGTCTCACTGGACACCTCCTGGAGGGAAGAAAGGTCGACTGTGAGTGGGATTGCCCTAGGAATATGGGTGCCGTCATGGGCGAGATGTCCTTGAGTGTGTAGTGGGGAGTAGGTTTGTTAATGGTTTGGATAGGAAGCCTTTGGGTGATGGTTTTGGAATGAGAGGGCAGCTGTAAGGTTATTGCCAAGTTAAATATCAAGGTTACTGACGAACCATGCACTTCGGGACGTCGCTCTGGCGCAGAACTCCACTGAATGTTCTTACACCCATAGGGCTAACCCATGAAGCTCTAAACTTCCCTTCTCGCTTCATTTCATTCATTTCATCTTCCATCACTGATACCCTTTTTTCCAGTTGATCGCATCGGCTCCTGAGGCTTCTGCATTCTTCACGTAGTTCTTGAGCCTTGGTTTTCAGCTCCATCAGCTCCTTTAATCACTTCTCTGTATTGGTTATTCTAGTTATACATTCTTCTAAATTTTTTTCAAAGTTTTCAACTTCTTTGCCTTTGGTTTGAATGTCCTCCCGTAGCTCAGAGTAATTTGATCATCTGAAGCCTTCCTCTCTCAGCTCATCAAAATCATTCTCCATCCAGCTTTGTTCCGTTGCTGGTGAGGAACTGCGTTCCTTTGGAGGAGGAGAGGCGCTCTGCGTTTTAGAGTTTCCAGTTTTTCTGTTCTGTTTTTTCCCCATCTTTGTGGTTTTATCTACTTTTGGTCTTTGATGATGGTGATGTACAGATGGGTTTCTGGTGTGGATGTCCTTTCTGTTTGTTAGTTTTCCTTCTAACAGACAGGACCCTCAGCTGCAGGTCTGTTGGAATACACTGCCGTGTGAGGTGTCAGTCTGCCCCTGCTGGGGGGTGCCTCCCAGTTAGGCTGCTCGGGGGTCAGGGGTCAGGGACCCACTTGAGGAGGCAATCTGCCCGTTCTCAGATCTCCAGCTGCGTGCTGGGAGAACCACTGCTCTCTTCAAAGCTGTCAGACAGGGACATTTAAGTCTGCAGAGGTTACTGCTGTCTTTTTGTTTGTCTGTGCCCTGCCCCCAGAGGTGGAGCCTACAGAGGCAGGCAGGCCTCCTTGAGCTGTGGTGGGCTCCACCCAGTTTGAGCTTCCCGGCTGGCTGCTTTGTTTACCTAAGCAAGCCTGGGCAATGGCGGGCGCCCCTCCCCCAGCCTCGCTGCCGCCTTGCAGTTTGATCGCAGACTGCTGTGCTAGCAATCAGCGAGATTCCGTGGGCGTAGGACCCTCCGAGCCAGGTGTGGGATATAGTCTCGTGGTGCGCCGTTTTTTAAGCCGGTCTGAAAAGCGCAATATTCGGGTGGGAGTGACCCGATTTTCCAGGTGCGTCCATCACCCCTTTCTTTGACTCGGAAAGGGAACTCCCTGACCCCTTGCGCTTCCCAGGTGAGGCAATGCCTCGCCCTGCTTCGGCTTGCGCACGGTGCGTGCACCCACTGGCCTGCGCCCACTGTCTGGCACTCCCTAGTGAGATGAACCCGGTACCTCAGATGGAAATGCAGAAATCACCCGTCTTCTGCGTAGCTCACGCTGGGAGCTGTAGACCGGAGCTGTTCCTATTTGGCCATCTTGGCTCCTCCCCCATGAAGCTGTAGACAAAAAGAGCAGGAGTGTCCCTTCTTCCTGCCATATCCCACCAGCGACCCCTACTGAGAAAGTTTAACATCGCGCATACTGTAAAGAAGAGATGTTTGAGTTTCTTCTATTATTGCAGGACAAATATTGAAAGGTAAATTGGGATCTGAGAGTCAATACACTTATAACTGAAATACCTGGCTATTTATTGAATATGTAGGTCAAAAATATACTCTTTTCATACCAAAATAAATTGCGAGATCTATGACCTTGACTGGTGGTGTTTAGGCTACCACATTAAAAATGAGACCTACATTTACCCACCAGAAGGCTATCATTTCATATTTATCAAGTTTCTATTATAAATTAGGTTATAACATATGATATTTTAAACTATATAATCCTTTAAACAGCAGCTATAAACTTTCAACATAGATTTTTTTCTGTTAAATTCATTAGAGTAGTGTTTTTGTGTGTGTGTGTTTCAGTTCTTTTCTTTTTTAGCTTAAAATTTTCTCACCCTAAAATAAACAAATCAATTTCCAAAATTTCATAGAATTCGATAATTATGTTTGTGGGTCCCAAAATTAATTTGCTTTTTTTAAAAAAATTGAGGATCATGAGAAAGGAATATTATTTTTCATGTCGATGCCTCAAGTTGCCTTTTGAGCCTTTGCCCAAGATCCATTTAAGTAGGATTCAGCAAAGGCACAGAATAAGGTGGTCCAGTTTTGAAACAGGCAATATAAAGAATCATAAGGAACTCCTCAGAATAGGAAATAATTTTTTATGCAACAGATAAAATAGCTTTAAAAAAAGGCATTATTTGGTACATTTAAACTGTGAGTCATGTTTAAGTATCTATATCTTATGTATAAAACATATAATTTTATATTTTGTATAAAATTACTTGAAATCTATATTTCATTTGACATTGCTTGAAGATGTGTTCTTTATGTACTATTTCTACCAAGAGTTTAATTCAACATACTGAAGCTCATGTTTGATATATACTATAACTATTGCTCAGATGATATAAAATTCTAGCAAATTAAAAGAAAAATCACTCTTACAGCCCCAAAACTGTTATTCCAGACTGGACTTCTTTTACCTTCTGTTTTGGTAGTTACATTTCTCACTTGTAACATAAATCTCTAATTCCTTTAGACAGGTCATTAGCTTCAACACAGATAGCATTATTAGGATAATTTATCAACCATCCAAGCCAAAGGGAAGTGAAAATTTGTAAGAAATGGGGCAGAATTAGGGATGAAGAGCAGGTCTGATGAAAATTGATCTGGAGGGTGAAAAACTTCTAGAAATTTTAATTTATCAAATTAAAATTAGATTTGAAGACTTTTCCTAAACCTAAAGAAAATGCAAGGAAAACATAATCACTGGCATTACTGGAAATAACTGAAATTACTCACTGTAGTCATAAAATGAAAGTTTCTTAACACTGACCATCTAAAGCAAATTCCTTTCAATGGAAATGTTCATTGAGATGAATGGAATTTTTCAATAGACTATTTGTAGTCTAAATCTAGTAATTCTTCAGAAATGTATGATCTAATAAGTAAGTGCTGTTTCCTTATAGCCAATAGTTTTCATTTGTTCTATTTGTGTGTGTGTGTGTGTGTGTGTGTGTGTGAGAGAGAGAGAGAGAGAGAGATATTGCATCTAATGTGTAACATTTACTGATGATCCTGCTGTTGTGTGACTTGTGTGGTTTTGGGCTATGAAATCTTAGCAGGACCATCACTGTCCATCCTGTGTGCACACCATTTAGAAAGCCAGTGCCCCATTGGGCACTGTAATCACATTAGAATCACAATTAATTATTTAGCCATGTATGGATAATAAAAAAATACTCCAGGCACTTTTTTTGTGTGTCATATGCTTATATCACTTAAGATTTGACAATTCAGAAGACACTTGGTTTATGTGATATGAAATCTAATTGCTTTTATTGAAGGAAATAAAACTATTGAGTAATGCAAGGGGCAATTGTTTTGGGGCACCATACCTGGAAACATACGTTTAAAATAAAGGCATAAGCTGGGTTTGTTTGCTCATTTTGTCTCGCAGTTGACAAAGGAAATGCTAACTTTGCATCCCATCAGTTCTTCTGGGAAAGAGCTGTTCTTATAAATGCTGTACCTAGATGGACATCAATAAATATGTATGAGTTATGAATGAATGAATGAATATCTCTTTTGAATCATATTTGACTTCTTTCTCCATAGCAGTAGGGATAATTTTATACTGATTCATTTACAATGTCACACATGTCTTGTGACCAATTGTTTACACTTAAATATACAGCAAGGTTTGAGATTTATTCTATTATCTGGATTGCAGTGAATTCAATATCTTGGGGGCCATTTGACCTCATAACAAACTTAAACAAGATTTTTAAAGGCACTTTTTAAACACTCAGGATATCTAGGCATTTCGCAAGGATTAATTTCATTAATCCATACAAAAAAACATGATATAAGTACTGTTATTACTATACACATAAAAACAAATGTACAAAATTGAAGAAGCTTTTGACAACAACACAGCTGGTATTGTGGTGAATCATGTATATGACCTGAATGGTCTGACTCCAGCATCTGCACATTAAATACTCCATGGTATTGCCTTCTTGGAGATTGCTTCAGAGAACAGGCCATGTGCCCTCTTCTGAAAAGAATTGCCTCATAAAGTGCCATATGTCAACATTTGTGGATTTTAATAACAATTTGGTTATCTCTCTACCTTTCATCTGTATTCATTCATCTTTTAAAACTTCGGATTCCATAAATTGTAGCTATGTAACACTTTTGCGGACTTTTAGAAACTCAATGTTCTGTGTGAAGCAAGAATTAAAACATCTCCATTCCTATCTGGGCGAACTCTAGGTAGAAGGTAGAATCTTTGTGACTGGATTATTAGAAGAAACAGTTTTGTTTTTTCTTTTCTTCTTTCCTTTTTTTTTTTTTTTTTTTTTGAGATGGAGTTTCACTCTTGTTGCCCAGGCTGGAGTGCAATGGCATGATCTTGGCTCACCGCAACCCCTGCATCCCTGGTTCAAGCGATTCTCCTGCCTGAGGTTCCCGAGTAGCTAGGATTACAGGCATGCACCACCACGCCTGGCTAATTTTGTATTTTTAGTAGAGACGGGCTTTCTCCATGTTGGTCAGGCTGGTCTCGAACTCCTGACCTCCAGTGATCTGCCGGCCTCGGCCTCCCAAAGTGCTGGGATTACAGGTGTGAGCCACCATGCCCAGCCTGAAGAAACAGTTTTAAGCAACGTCGTGTCTCTGTAATTCAGTGAAATTTGAAATGAATACAGAGAATATTTCTACACTTAAGCAGAAGAAAGAAAGATACCGTTAAAAAACAGAACAACAACCTAAATGGATTCAGATGGGTAAATAGATAGGTAGGCAGATAGATAAATGGAAGTTGAGAGAGAGAAAGGACCCAAGTTTGATAAGTATTTAGGCACAAAGAAAGGAGAATAGAAGGTGGAGGGTGGTTTGTGGCAAGTCAAAAAGGGGAACAAAGTATTTGTGTTCTAAAAATTTTTTCTCTCCAGATTGCTGAACATATTTATTTTTGGTCTTTATTCATGAATTTTAATTCAAGGTGCCCAGATTCCTGGAGCCTTTAAAGAGCATAATGTCTATCCTTCAATAAGAGAAAGCCTGTGGTTTCTATTTCTGGTTGTGAACCTGAGGAAGTTACATTGCTGGCCATGTTTCCGTGTGAAAACTAGTGATTTAGAAACATTCTGAAAACCTCAGCAAGAGTCATCAGAACCACACTAATTACCAGATTGACCCTTCTGATTTTCTTTTGCCTTAAGATCCAACTTATTGCAGTAGAATACCCTCCTACTCCCAGCCTCAGGGAGGAGACTACTTCCCCCAAAACTTAGCATGGTACTTCTGTGCACGGCAGCTTCTTCACATGGGCAGTCACACATTTGGAGAATTACTGGGCTCAGAATTGAAGGGAATTTTAAAGTCCCACTGAACCAACTCACTTTTAAGTACCATACTCAGTCCCTGGCCCATGCTAAAGGCTGTCTTGACATGTCTTGGCTGTCTTCCTCACTCCTGAACTGAGGGAGGACTTTTCGTCTTTGGGAGAGCTCTGATTTCTTGGAAAGATTTTCTCTCATTACATAGAAATCTGTACTGCTGTGAGTTTCACTCACCAGTCCTAGTTTAGTCCTCAGCTACATAAGGTAATCCTAATTTTTCTTCCATTCACCAGGTGTTCAAATATTGAAAAGGAGATATTAGTATCATTTGATAAGCATTAATTGAGGACCTTCCATGCGCCAGACACTGCAGTAAGGACTAAGAGCTTAAAAATAAAGAAAACACAATCCTTTCCTGAAAGGTATCTTGGGGTAAGGTAGGAGGGGGAAAAGTGACCCACAATAAAAATACAGCCTGGGCCTGAGCAAGTGTCACTTGTCAGAGGGCTTCTAAGAAGAAGGAATGCTTGAGTGGAATTGCAGAAAGCAGATGATCTATTTGGACAAAAATGTTAACGTCAGATAAGCTACTCTGAGCAAGAACATGCAGTCATGAGAACATCTGGATTAAAGTGGTTAATTGTAGTTTTCCTCATTGAGAGAAAATAAGTTTAGGGAAAGGTCTGATTATAGGAGAAGGCAATAACTTGACTTTGCTCTATAGGCATGAGCAGTCTTTAAATGGTTAAAAGCAGAGAGAAGTGACACAATGAAATCTGCCTTTAAATTTCATTTAATTTGATCGCATAGCCATGCCTTATCCTTTTTGGATTAGATATACTCAGTTCTTTAACCACTTCCCAAATGACACCATCTGTCCTTTCACCATTTAGCCACTCTTTTTGGAAAAAAAAGTCTTTATATAAATAGTCTGGAAAATCAAATCCCTGCAAGGGGTAGGGAAATATAAGAAATGTGTACAATAGTTGTAAATGAGACACTAGAGAGTGGTCAAGTTCATGGGAAATTGAATGCCTGTATTGCCTAAAGTTATTAATGTTTCCACTTTTTCATTCTCTTTTGGCTGAGTAAATCCAGTGTGGGCTGGATTTCACTGGGCCTGCTATCTAATAATAATTTTTGATATAATTTTTCTAAAGCCAAAGTCTCAGAACTTGACACAATATTCTTATTATGGTCTGTGCAACACAGATTAAAAGCAGAGATCACCTCCTTTACACTCATCTATGTTTCTATTAATCTGGCCCACTGTTTAATGAACACTATACTTTCATGTTGTGCCATGCTATTTTTTCATTTCTCTCGCAGCACCATATCTTCCCATACTCTGCTGGAACAGTTCATTTTCTCGGTTAGAATTCAGTAACCCAGTATTAATGGGGAAAACATCTAACTTGTAGTAAGAAGACCTGGCCTCCAGTTTTGATTCTGCTGTATATAGGCTGTTTGATCCTCAAAAAAAAAAAGGGCGAGTTGCTCTATGAGACGCCTCATTTTTAAAAGGTTATCTGGTGCCTTCCTTGAGTCACCAAATGTAATTGTTGTATGAGTGAAATAATAACATGTTTTGTAAGTGGTTTATAAATTGTGAAGTGGGTCACAAATATTTCTAATTTCACTTATTTTTCCTGGTTAAATCTCCCCTATTTGATTTAGCTAACACTCCTGCTTGCCTTAAAAAAAAAAAAACAAAACCTCCCTCTTCCACCTTTCCCTTAGTGAAACAAAGTAATTTGCTGACCCTGTGAATTGATTTTTTGGCTGCTATCATTTACATACCACACACATTCTGAATCGTCTGGGTATAAAAAGTGATTTTTTTAAACAAGAGGTGCTATTTGTTCATTTTCAGTTTTATTTACAGAAATGTTAACAATTCCTGAATATGAAATGTTGCAAAACAATTTTGCCGATTCATTTCTGACTTAATTGAAATTCTCTTTTTAATTATCTTTATAACGTAAACCTATATATGTTCAGTGTAGAGGATTTGCTTTGTTTTTGTTTTTGTTCTTCATAGGAAATATAAGAAAGAAAAATGCCTTTTGTCATGCAGATATATGGAATTAAGTATAATTACAGAATATTCCAATTGAAGTGAATATACTAACATTATTATGAAATATTCAGCATTGTCTTAGGGTTCTAGCATAAATTTATTTCTTATATCTTTAAGATGAGTTTCCCATTCTTGTCATATCATAAAGAGAATGCTACTAAAGGAATCTAGAATAAATATGATATTTCTCGAAAACATTATTTTATGAGTTTTCTATTCTTACAGTTTCATTTCACGTTAGAATAAAATGGAAATTTATCAAATAAGACTGTCATAAAGGTTCATTTGATACCCAAAATGATATAACACAGTAAAGGGGAAAATATACATTTGATTATTGATGCTAGTATTTTGGATTGTTCCCTGGTTTATACAGACAGCAGTTGTCTTTTATATTATCTTTATTTTAAAATGCCCCATAGGAAATATTGAAGTTGAATCATGAATAATTATATATTTTAAGCATGCAATGTCTAATTTCAAGTCAATTTGAGAGGATAAAAAGTTTAAATCATATAAGTAGGTTAAAATAAATGTTATTCTCGATTTTAAACCACTGAGGATTTAAATAATGCAACTTCCAAGGCCTAAAGAAAGGAATGACTTCCTGGCTACCTTTCTAAATTCACATATTTGTTATACATTTAAGGTAAAAGGTAAGAAAGAGATTTCTGTGCAATTCCTACTTTAAAAAAAAACAACTATTTCTACATAATGCCTCTCAATTATTTATTTACATACTCATTCAACAAAGAATTAACAAACACCTATTATGTGCCAGGCGCTCTGCCAGGCACTGCAGACCTTCCCATGAGCAAGACACACTTTTTTTCCTCATGAGCTTCTTTTCTGGCTAGGGAGATTGGCATTAAACAATCCTCATTTCATTGTGATTGTGATAACGCCATGGAAGAGAATCTAAAGAGTGCTACATAAATGTAAATTAGGCAGACTCGACCTTGTTTGAAGAGACCTTTGAGCTGGAATTAATGAAGGTGAGAGGTGAAGAAGCAATAGTCTTGATGTGGGGATGAACATGATAAATATGAAGAACCAAACAAAGCCAATGTGGCTGAGGTCAGAGTCCACATGGGGAGGATGGCATGAAAATGCATTTGTTTTGCTAATCTAAGTCTTAACTTAGTTCCACTCTGGGTCGGCTCTGCACAAGGTCCTAGAAATAGACTGATTATTAACATAGTCCATGGCAGAAATATGTCAAAACATAAATCATTTTTAAGACAGCAATAACTTCTATTTCTGGCAGTTTGGTGGAATAGATATATTCAGTTACCCTCTTGTGTGAAACAATTAAAATATTGAGCTGACCTGGCACAACAAAATAAGAAAAACTCAAAATTGAAAAAAGATATCAGATTGACAACCTCGGAAGATAAATTAGTCTTTCATTTTGATGGCTTCATGGAGTAAAGACATAAATAAAGACTAGGATGCTGGCATGATTCGGGGTTGGGGATCTAAAAACAAACTCCTGCATAGGTGCTAGCAGGCTATACCCTCAGTGTAAGATGATGTAACCCCTGCCAAGTGGAGAAATAGAGCCTGATATGGCTTTGAGTTGTGCTGAGGAGATCTATATTGAGCATCAATAACACTGAATATCTTTCAAGAGCTGTGTTCTGAATTCACACACCCAGAGTAGACTGATCAGCCTCAAGCTAATAATTTAATTGCAAATTGTTCTGAATCAGAGGTTGCTCCAGAGACTGACTGAAGAAAGCCCAGAGTCTTTCTGAGGAATTCAACTTCAACTCACATCTCAACAAATTCTCATAAACAAGGTTGAAAGAAAAATGCTTCATTTATAGTCAAAAATCACAAAACAGGCTGGGCGCCGTGGCTCACACTTGTAATCCCAGCACTTTGGGAGGCCGAGACGGGTGGATCACCTGAGGTCAGGAGTTCAAGACCAGCCTGACCAACATGGAGAAACCCCGTCTCTACTAAAAATGTAAAATTAGCCAGGCGTGGTGGTGCATACCTGTAATCCCAGCTACTAGGGAGCTTGAGACAGGAGGCGGAGGTTGCGGTGAGCTGAGATCATGCCATTGCACTCCAGCCTGGGCAAAAAGAGCGAAACTCCACCTCAAAAAAAAAAAAAAGAAAATCACAAAACAAGTTCCTAAGAGTGAGATCCAGCAGAAACAACACAGGGCTGAAACAGACCCACAGAGACTTCAGATATTAGAATTACCAGACAAGAAATATAAAATTATTATGCTAAATATTCTTAGAGAACTAAAAAGAATGAAAATGTTACCAGAGAACAAGGGACCACAGAAAGAAACAAAAATGACCAATCAGATTTGAGAAAGGAACAACACAACACTACTAGAAATGATGTATATGGTAATTGAAATTAAAAACCGCATGGACAAATTAAACCAGTAAATAGACCCAACTAAAGGAGGGAGGAGAGGCAGGCCAAAGTGTTGCTACACAGTTTGACATAGGTGTATCTGTCTCTCTCCATCTTTACATGTTTGTCTCTCTTGCCCTTGACCTAGTCTTGCATGGTTCTATCCTGTCTGGCATTGGCTTTTCCTTGGGCCGAGGAAGCTGCTTTTGCACTCAGGCTGAGTTGTTGAAGTAGGGATGGTTCTGCCACAGTTCTGCTCTGCTTTGAGGTGCATGGGTGAGTGCTACCAGTCTCTGGTTACCATCAAGAACGTGAGCCGTTGTTGTCCCTGGGTGACAACTGAGTAGCAGAACTAAACGAGTCCTGTGGAGAGCTGCCCTCCTCTCCTGCTTAAGTAAGAGGAGAATTTTCACCCTATATAACCTGACAGGAATTTTTCCTCACAGGGTTTTGAACAGACAGATCCATGACCCATGGGACAGAGAACTGTGACTGACTGCTGACTCACTGTGATGTTTTTATGTACACAGTGGCCCAAATGCATTTCATGCTCTATTCTGTGCTGAGCTATTTTGAAAATCTGAATAAATAGGGCCTCTGTGGGAGATTTTAGGATCCTAGAAAATAGCATTTTGAATTATTACCTGCTTTTATAATGTTCATGAGTTAATGTTTCCCAAAGGATCTAAATGTTTCTCAATACGTATTTTCTGCCAAGTTGGAAACTGTTCTTGCATTGTTGTATTTTCTTTGGCCAGAAAGATTCTGGAGGCAATTTGAAACCAATGCTTATATCCAGAGACCAGACTAAGACCACCAAGTATTTAAGAAACCTGACTTTAACCAGCAAATGCCCATTTAATCCCTTGAAGATCGTATGGGATTTTTTTCAATTAATTTCTAAGCTAATTTACTAATAATGCTATAATAAAGCCAGCCCATATCCAAAAAGGGGAGAATAATTTGTCAATTTTTTTATTCATGCTCTGTGTGTAGTTTAACTGACCGGTACAATTATAAGTTGCTTATTTTTCAATGTGGATTTTTTTAATATGTAGAATTATTGATAGGCTTGTTTCAAGAGAGCCTAGGCACATGCGATTCTAATCATGAGGGTCTATGCTTGCCTGACTATGGATATGTTTGAAGGTCAAAATGCAGTTAAGCATAAGAAATATCATTAAGTGTTGGTCAATACAAAGCTTAAATCAGGTACTAGCAGTGACTCAAAGAAACACTCCAGCCTTAAATTGCTCAAATAACTGACAATCTAATAATAGAAATATTTAAAATACATGTGATTAGTTGTAGGTTTTAAAATATCATTTTAAGATTTTCTTCATGTATTCAACTTTGTTATATTTAGTTCATCTTTCCATTCTTCTCCTTTCACCATGGGTCCATTGAATATCTGACCACTTCCAGATATTAGCAAGATCACATAAGCAGAAGGTGAGGCAGAATCTCATGTTATTAGGCCAGGAAGAAGTGCATGTGTCTTTACGTTATCTTGTGTTAGGTGCTTTGCCACCCGCCCTCATCCCCAGCCTCCTGAAGGAACCCATGGGAGACCTGCTTATAGGGAATGCAGTCCTTGAAGAGGGGCCAACTGGCAGCTTGTTCACGGAAACAGATAATCTATTCAAGCAGCAAAAATCTTGATTGATCTACTTGCCCTTCATTACACCCTTACACCATCTGCCTCTGCCAAGAGATCAAAGAGTCATGAAAAAAGAAGGAGTTGGAGTGTAAAGTTGTCCTAAGTATTGGGGAGCCTGCTTTCTAAAAGAAGGAATAAGCCTGTTAGACCCACTTGTAGAAGACAAGGAGAGCCAAAGAGGAGTTATAAACAGGGAGACCTGAATTTAAATATAAAAAATTAGACATTTCCCATGATAGAAGCTTTCTATTTAGCCCGCCTAGAAATTAAGTAAACCACATTTGCCTAGAGGTATTGAACTAGGATCTGAGTTATCATATGATAGGAATACTACAGAAGGCATCTTAATACTAGGTAGAAGATGGAACTGGATAAACTTCTAATTTATTAGGTAGAAGATGGGACTGATAAAGTTCTAAATTTAAAGTTCTACGATATTATTTTTTAAAAATAATATTTTTATCTGCCATTATCAAAGTCAAAAACAAAAGACAAGGAAGAAAATAAAAAATGTCCATAAAAATCACATCCCTTAAAAAACAGTATTGTTACAATTGCTGTGTATCATTCTACACTTTTCCCCCTGTGCATTTCACTGATGTAGAAACTCCACATACAAAAACTCATTTCAATAAAAATGGATTTTTATGACATTAAGCTTAATTTTTTACTTAAAATATAATATATGTCTTTCTTGATCAACAAATGAGCTCCACATCAAATAATTTAAATAATGCATAGAATTTCATGTGGTGAAACAAACTATTTATTTGCTGTTTTTAAACTTTGTTTTCTATCTGCATTTTCCTGCAGTTTACAAATAACTATAGGATCAACATTTTTTACAAGAAAATAATCTTGCACATTTTTGTAAGTTGTAAGTGGTTTAATTTGTTTTCCCCAAATCATAAAACATAATTTCATAATTTGGTCCTTATCGAGTAAAATGAAATTCTTTTTTAATGACTAAGGGACACACATGAAGGCAAATAGTACCAACCCATTTCGGGTTGGCAGATGCTATAAAAGGGAAGACTATTTTCTTTACCTTCTAATTAATTGCCTGTGAGTTAGATATTTTTCAGAACCCCATGTTACCTTGTATTTAATACCACCACTATCCCTTTTAGCTAAATGTACTGAAAAGAGAAGAAGATGCAGTGTCTAGGAATTTAGTATTATTCTCAAATGGCATTGAATCTAAAATGGAAAGCTTTTTTTTGAACAGATATATTACATTTCTGTCCCCTTCACTAAATCCTGGCCAATCTGGAGGATGTGTAACAGGAAAGTATATATGTAGCACAAGGAAAAAATCAATAAACTGGGGACTTGGAATTGATTTTACTTTGCTACATTTCTAGGAAAAAGCCAGATCATTGGCAATAGTCCTGAAAGAGAGTGTCTTAGCTCCTTTGTGTTGCTGCAAAGGAATGCCTGAGGCTGGGTAATTTATAAGGAAAAGAGGTTTATTTGGCTCAT
Organism: Homo sapiens; assembly: GCF_000001405.40. Lineage (NCBI taxonomy): Eukaryota > Metazoa > Chordata > Mammalia > Primates > Hominidae > Homo > Homo sapiens. Next base: position 76,888,646 of record NC_000006.12, read on the forward strand.
GATTCTGAAGGCTGTGCAAGAAGCATAGTGCCAGCATCTGTTTCTGGTGAGGGTGTCAGGCTGCTTCCACTCATGAAGCCAGTGCATGCACAGACCACATAGCAAAAAAGAAAGCCAAGAAGGAGAGAAGGGAGGTGACACACTGTTTTTAATAAATAGCTCTCGCAAGAACTAAGAGAGTGAGAACTCATTCATTACCATTAGGATGGCACCAACCCATTCATAAGGGATCCACCCCCATGACGAAAACACCTCCCATTGGGCCCCACCTCTAACACTAGCGATCCAATTACAACATGAGATTTGGGAGAGTCAAACAAACTAAACTATAGCAGAGGGACTTTACATTAAAATATGTATCCTACTAAAATTATATAATATTTGCAATATTCTTAATTCTTGTAAAATAATTCAATGTAAAGGCTTGAAGCAATTTACAAAATCTAAATTCATTCAATGTTTGCTTTGTAAGGATGAACTGAAGAGATATTTGTTATGCTGTTTTTTTTATGCTGCTGTATTTTTTCTAAAATTCTCTCTAGAATACAGCATACTGTTTTTTAAGGATCTTTCCTAGTTTTTCTGTTTTAGTTTTAATTATGTCTTTTATCTATATCTGTATGTTACTTCCCTAAACTGTACCATTCCCTTTTATTCCTTTCAAAAACTGCTTTTTATCTTTCTATAGTCAAAGAATATGATTTTACTTCACAGTTTGATATATTTCCTCTGGCCATTTTTAATAACCTGGTGAAATAATACCTCTTTATAATTAGGACATAAATAATTTATTTATTTAAACATTCTGATAAAAATAGACCTACAGGTAGGTACCAGGTGGACTAAGCAAAATGTTGATAATAAAGACCCAAGAGTGCTTATTTTGGTGACCATAGGCAAGTTTTATACTTTTCAAATGTCAAAGGTGTTAATTAATTTTACTCTTTCCAAGATAGAAAATAATGCTTACGGAAGGTTCATTGCTTGTTACAAATTAATGCTACATAGGAATTAATACCAGGAAAAATGAATACACATAAGGGAAAGAAAAGCTTGATTAACTACACAGATGGATATGTGGAGCACAGAGATGAAATGAGGGTTTAGGAGTTACCACTGCACTAAGAGTTGCCCTTTCCCCTTATGCTTACAACGTTAGCACAGACAAAGCCTTCTCTTGAATTATTTTACCTTAGCAAATTACTACTTTCAATTGTATATGCAAAGCTTGCTTATTGCTTTCTGTTCTGTCTGCACATCTTTGCATTCTGTTCTTGTTCTGTCCCGCAGGATTAGTAGCCAGGTTATTCTTTCAGTCAAATCATGACCCTAGTGTAGGTTTGTTACCATCATGTTAAACAGCCTTCATGTCACGGTATGAAAAATTCTTGATCCAAACTTTGCTTTTCACTCATGCTAGTTGTCATATGAAAAATACCTTCAGCTGCAAATAAGAAAAAAACCTGTAACAGTAGCTTAAACAAATAATGAGTTTGTTGATTTCCACTATTTTCACCATGCATGCTCTTCTTTCACAGGATTGTTGCTTCATAGTCCCAAATGGCTGCTACAGTTTTGGACATCACATCTACATTTTAATCACTAGCCCTTAGATAATTACCCACTATCTTCGTAGAACTCACCTCATTTCATTATTTTTAGTTCTAAATAGCCATTTATTTCATATCATTTATTTCATGCCATTATTTCTGTCATTATGCCAGACTTTGCCCTTCTTCTCAGATTAAAATCATTTCTACATAAACAGGCATAAAAATGTCTGACAACTTTATAACATTTTGTCGTTTATACTTTCTAAATGCTAGACATCATAATTCTAAAGATAGTGCTATTAGTTGATTTTTATTTTTACATAGATACACCTACAGCTTTTTCAAAGTACTGAAATAGTAAAACAGAAAGGATCCCAAAGTAATTATTTCTTCAAGCATGAAGATACAGTTAGGCATCTTAACTGATGTAAGTCTGTGTACATATACATTTTTAGGCATCACTGTTATTACAGTGCTAATTTCTAGGAGGACAAGTTCTTTTCATATTTAACACTTTATCTTCAGCAACTAAAACCTCCTGGCATATTGTAAGTCTTATAAAAATGAATAAATGTATCATTTTTCATTTATGCTTTGCATGATCATTTTTTGCATATTTTATTTGTTTGGTTTACGAATTTATGTATTACATAGTTCAAAGGGCCATTTATTTTTACTTCTGAAGTCCTGATATTCATTAATAGACTTATTTCCTAAAGGGATATCTAACCACTGTGGACAAAAAACATTAAATTTCAAGGTTTTCCTGACTTTGAAACATTATGTCTATACATTTGATATATGAAGGCAAACCTAGTCCCTGTTATTTGGTGGGCACAGCCCACGGATACTGAATTTACCATCATGTATTGAAAATTATTTGAGTTAACAAACAAATTTACAAGAAAAAAACAAACAACCCCATCAAAAAGTGGGCGAAGGACATGAACAGACACTTCTCAAAAGAAGACATTTATGCAGCCAAAAAACACATGAAAAAATGCTCATCATCACTGGCCATCAGAGAAATGCAAATCAAAACCACAATGAGATACCATCTCACACCAGTTAGAATGGCAATCATTAAAAAGTCAGGAAACAACAGGTGCTGGAGAGGATGTGGAGAAATAGGGACACTTTTACACTGTTGGTGGGACTGTAAACTAGTTCAACCATTGTGGAAGTCAGTGTGGCGATTCCTCAGGGATCTAGAACTTGAAATACCATTTGATCCAGCCATCCCATTACTGGGTATATACCCAAAGGACTATAAATCATGCTGCTATAAAGACACATGCACACGTATGTTTATTGCGGCACTATTCACAATAGCAAAGACTTGGAACCAACCCAAATGTCCAACAATGATAGACTGGATTAAGAAAATGTGGCACATATACACCATGGAATACTATGCAGCCATAAAAAATGATGAGTTCATGTCCTTTGTAGGGACATGGATGAAATTGGAAATCATCATTCTCAGTAAACTATCGCAAGAACAAAAAGCCAAACACTGCATATTCTCACTCATAGGTGGGAATTGAACAATGAGAACACATGGACACAGGAAAGGGAACATCACACTCTGGGGACTGTTGTGGGGTGGGGGGAGGGGGGAGGGATAGCATTAGGAGATATACCTAATGCTAAATGATAAGTTAATGGGTGCAGCGCACCAGCATGGCACATGTATACATCTGTAACTAACCTGCACATTGTGTACATGTACCCTAAAACTTAAAGTATAATAATAATAAAATATAAAAAAAGAAAATTATTTGAGTTACAACATAGAAAGGTAAGTATTCATCCTAATTTCAATTTCAAACAAAAGCAGTATGAATATACTATATGTGAAGAAAGAAAATGATTTTTTGCCTACTGCATGGCAGGCTAATTTTCAGATCAAAAAGATCATACACTTAAATATCCTCTTTGAAATCTTCCTAAAAGGTACAGGAAATTGTGTACTTAAAGAAGATATAATTAAAAAAATACTGACTGAGCATGTTGAGACTTTATTCTTCATGCCATTTTTATTTTAGCGTTTTCTACTTATATTCAGCTTGTCCCATTTTCTAGCATTTTCTACTTATATTCAGCTTGTCCCAGTTTGACTTAATAAAATTCCAGTGGAAACCATTTTTTCTTCAGAATAGTGCATTGGAACCATCAAGAGATCTGCTGAGAATCCCTCTAGAGAGAACACTGAATAGATTGAGAAAGAACTGGTGATTCACACTTAAATAATTGTACAAAACATATAAAGTTTTTACTCTTTTAACTGCTGATAAAAGTGACATTCTGCATACTCTCCATGTGTGTTCTCATTTACTGGCAATAACTTCTTATGGAACTATCAAAAGCAAGGCAAAAGAAATAAACAAAAACACTTTTAATAAAAATGCAAGTGAAATATATATTCGGGCTTGAGATTTATTCTACTTGAAGATTAACATAATAGTTTCAGCATTTTCCTCTGCATGAGCATCGGTTTTGCATTGCAAATAATTGGTAGTATATACTTAGGAATTTTGGAAATGAAGTAGCTCGAAGGAGGCATTACTACCATCATCACTGTCTGCTTGTCTGTGATGCCTGGGGACTGACCAGCAGAAAGTTTGGTCTTTTCTTTCCATTTCCCACAGCAAAATATACATAGACTTTCATGAGCAGAAATTTCTTAAGTATGTTTAAAGAACAATTGCTAATATTTTGTGATGGCTTACTGTAATTCAGGAATTGTCTTAGCGAAGGACTTTCCATATAATTATTCTTGCAAAAATCCTAGCGTAAGTATAGCTTTGTCTATATTGTGTGAATAAGAAAACTGAGCTACAAGATGATAAAGCAGCTTGCCTAAGGTCATACAGTCAGTAATCAGAACAGAAATTTGAATATAGCTCTGGGTTCTTAATTTCTATTCTGCAGGAATGGGTGAACCTCACATAACTACTAAATACTTTCAGGAAATTTTAAGATCAAAATATTTCTCTGAGGTTAATCAAAGTAATATATATTTTTAACACTTTTTTCGTGGTACAGATAAAATCTTTATATTTTTATGTATTGTATTAGTTTGTTCTCAAGCTGCTATAAAGAACATACCTGAGACTGGGTAACTTATAAAGGAAAGAGGTTTAATTGACTTACAGTTCCACAGGGATGGGGAGGCCTCAGGAAATTTACAATCATGGTGTAAGGGGAAGCAAACACATTCTTTTTCACAAGGGAGCAGGACAGAGAAGAATGAGTTCCCAGTGAAGGGGGAAGCCCCTTAAAAAACCATCAGATCTCATGAGAACTAACTCACTATCACATGAAGAAAATGGGGAAACCACCCCCATAATTTAATTGTCTCCACCTGTTCCCTCCCACAACACATGGAGATTATAGAAACTACAATTCAAGATGAGATTTGGGTGGGGACACTAAGCCTAACCACATAATTCCTCCCTTGTCCCCTCCCAAATCTCATGTCCTCAAAATTCAAAACACAATCATGCCCTTCCAACAGTCCCCCAAGTACCTTAACTCATTCCAGCATTAACTCAAAAGACCAAGTCCAAAGTCTCATCTGAGACAAGGCAAGTTCCTTCTGCCTATGAGCCTGTAAAATCAAAAGCAAGTTAGTTACTTCCTAATACAATGGTAATACAGGCATTGGGTAAATACAACCATTCCAAATAGGAGAAGTTGGCAAAAACAAAGGGCTACAGGACCCATGCAAGTATGAAATCCAATAGGGCCATCATTAAAGTTCCAAAATTATCTCCTTTGACTCCATGTCTCATATCCAGGTCATGCTGATGCAAGAGGTGGGCACCCACAGCTTTGGGAAGCTCCATCCCTGTGGCTTTCCAAGGCATAGCCCTCCTTCTGGCTGCTTACATGGGCTGGCATTGAGTGTCTGTGGCTTTTCCAGGCACACAATGTAGGCTGTCAGTGAATTTACCATTCTGGGGTCAGAAGGACAATAGGCCTTTTCTCATAACTCCATCAGGCAGTGCCCCAGTGGCAACTCTGTATGGGGGCTTCAATCCCATATTTCTCTTCCGCAGTGCCCTAGCAGAGTTTTTCCATGAAGGCTCTACTCCTGTAGCAAATTTCTGCCTGGTCATCCAGGCATTTCCATACATCCTCTGAAATCTGGGTGGAGGTTCCTAAACCTCAATTCCTGACTTGCATGTGCCCACTGGCCCAATACCACATGTAAGCCACCAAGGTTTGGGGCTTGCACCCACTGAAGCAACGGCCTGAGCTGTACATTGGCCCCTTTTAGCCATGGCTGGAACTGAAGCAGCTGGAATGCAGGGCACCATGTCCTGAGTATGCATAGAGCAGACTTCCCTGGACCCAGCCCAGGAAACCATTTTTCCTTCCTAGGCCTCCAGGCCTGTGATACAAAGGGCTGCTCTGAAAGTCTCTGACATGCCCTGGAGAATTTTCTCTATTGTCTTGCTGACTAACATTTGGCTTCTTGTTACTTCTGCAAATTTCTGCAGCTGGCTTGAATTCGCCCCAGAAAATGGGTTTTTCTTTACTATTGCATTGTCAGGCTGCAAATTTTCCAAACTTTTATGCTCTTCTTCCTCTTAAACACTTGCCCACTTAGAAATTTCTTCTGCCACATACTCTAAATAATGTCTCTCAAGTTCAAGGTTCCCCAGGTCTCTAGGGCAGGGGCAAAATGCCACCAGTGTTTTGCATAGCAAGCGTGACCTTTACTCCTGTTCCCAATAAGTCGCTCATCTCCATCTGAGACCACCTCAGCCTGGACTTTATTGTTCATATCACTATCAGCATTTTAGTCAAAGCCACTAAAAAAGTCTCTAGGAAGTTCCAAACTTTTCCACATCTTCTGTCTTCTGAGCCCTCCAAGTCTCTAGGAAGATTCAAATTTTCCACATTTTTCTGTCTTCTTCTGAGCCCCGCAAACTGTTCCAACCTCAGCCTGTTACCCAGTTCCAAGGTTGCTTCCACATTTCTGGGTATCTTTACAAGAGCACCCCACTCTTTGTGGTACCAATTTACTGTATTAGTGCATTCTCATGCTGCTATAAAGGACATATCTGAGACTGAGTAATTTATAAAGGAAAGATGTTTAATTAGCTCACTGTTAGCATGGCTGGGGAGGCCTCTGGAAACTTACAATCATGGCAGTTGGGGAAGCAAAGATGTCCTCCTTCACAAGGTAGCAGAAGAGAGAAGAATGAGCACCCAGCAAAAGGGGAAACCCTTATAAAGGGTTTTACACAAGAACAGGATGGGGGAACCACCCCATGATTCAATTATTTCCACCTGGTCCCTCCCACAACACATGGGGATTATGGGAACCACAATTCAGGATGAGATTTGAGTGAAGACACAGCCAAATCATATCAATTGTCTATACTAGAAATTATAGTAGAAATTATGCTGATACAGTTTGGATATTTGTCCTCTCCCAAATCTAATGTTGAAATGTCATCCCCAGTGTTGGAGGTGGGGCCTGGTTGGTCATGGGGGTGGATCCCTCATGGCTTGGTGATGTCTTCAAGTTAGTGAATGAGGTCTCATGAGATCTGGTTGCTTAAAAGTGTGGCACTTCTCCCTGTCTCACTGCCACTACTTCCATGTGAAATGTCAGCAGCTTCCTCTTCACCTCTGCCATGATTGTAAACTCCCTGAGGCTTCACCAGAAGCAGATGCCAGCACCATTCTTTCTATACAGACTGCAGAACCATGAGCCAATTAAAGCTCTTTTCTTTATAATTTACCCAGCCTCAGGTATTTTTTATAGCAATGTGACAATGGCCTAACACAAACTGTCAGGCACACTGGAGAAGATAGACATAAAAAAATGATGGAATAACGTGGTAGTTAATAATAATGTCAGGAAGCACCAGGGGGTTCAGCATAGCAGCCTTGTGCAAAAACAGATTAGTGTTGTAAAGAGGACTAGGTTGTGATGTAGAAATCATGCAAACTTCTGTTAAGTGCAATTTTGCTAAGACTGATAAAAATATATGTACTTTAGGTTGTGCCATTGTTAGTCTTCCTCATAAAAGGCTGGAGAATTCTCACTTTCAATTCATATCATTTTACCAAAAGATTTCTGCTATTTACAAATTGAAGCAACTTGCTATGGCTAAAAGTCAGGTTCATTTTTATAGCAATCTGCTTATTTTAACATTTACTGATTTCTTACATGTACGCAGGGATAAGCTATTTTTTTCTTGGAATCTTGTCATATATTAAAATAATAATGTAATATCCATGTTACTTTATATTTTACCTTAGAAAAGACATTACCAGAGCAACCTGGAGGTGATTAGAGTTGACGCTATTTCAGTTGATTCAAAGAGAGAACATATAGAATATCTTTAAATTTTCAGGTTTCCTTCCTCACTTATATCAATCAAAGTGAACACAGTAATAACCCTTTCCTTTTTAAATATTTATACTTCACTTCTAAAGTATCCCAAAGAACAGAGCAAGTTACATGCAAAGTTCAGCATCAGCAGTCTGGAAATACCCAAAAGCGCCTCATTGTCTGCACAGCATGAAGCCTTCCCCTGACCTAAATGGATCAAGAAAAATCAAAACTGCAAATATTTTTTTCAGAGCCAACTATCTACTGGATTTTGCTAAGAAATTTGGTAATTAAAAATATTCTTTAAGCTATAGCCTTTACTTTCAAAGAGCCTGCAATCTAAATATGATCAAAGTTTACTGAAGTGTACACTGACACATAACACCACTTGTTTTTCTTTTTTTATTTAGTTACATGACACCGACCTCTTCCGGTTTTACTATGAAAAAGGACATCCTTGCTGCCTCTTCATGGTGTTGCTCCTCAAAGACCAGTACTCTCCTTTTCCTGTCTTTCACTCTCCCTTGATAATGTTTGAGTGTTGCTCTAAGTCTGTGTGTATGAATGTTAAATGTTAAGCTCAAATCCAGACCTGTCTGCTACCTTCATTCCTAAATGTCTGAGAGCCTCATAGACATCACCACACAGGTATCTAATTGGCTTACCACCACCAGTTTATATAAAATGACTTGTTCCCTGTTGTACCTGATTAAATTGTCCTCAACTTTCCCATGTCTGACAATGTTTCCAACTTCCTTTCAACCTCTTTAGCTCCATCCTTGATTTTCCCTTTGATTTATCCCTTGGCCTCTTCTTCAGTTAAAATATGGAATGTACATTCTACATGCTTTATTCTCTACTTTCTACCACAGCACCCTAACAAAATCAAGTTATCTTCTTTTAAAATATCATTCTAGTCTCCCATCTGATCCCTCTGTCATTGCTTCTCAGATATTTTCATGGACTCCTATTTTCTACTATATTTGTTAGTAATTAAATTTAGCTGTTACAACATGAAGAACAGTGTCTTAAACAAGATAAAAAGGTATTTCCTTGTCTCTTAAGTCTGGAAGCAGGCAGTTTACAGGGAGAGCAGTGGTTCCATGATGTTGTCACTGATCCAATCTCCTTTGCTCCTCCTGCACCACTAACCTTAGAGCATGATTTTTATCCTCCTGGCAGCAAGATGGTGGCTACAGCTCTAGACATTATATTTGATTTCCAAGAAGAAAGAAGGGGAAATGGGGGGAAGATAAATGGCAATATGGGTTAACAAAATTAGTCCCTTTAAGGAGCTTTCTTGGAGGCTTCTCTTAACATCTTTACTTTACATAATATTGGTCACCCAAATCTTCAAGAGAAATGGAAAAATAGTTTTTAGGTGGGTAAATTGACACACTCAAAACAGATTTCTGTTAATGAGGTGAAGCAGAGGATTAGATATTGAGTCAGTGACTTACCATATCTGTTTTTTTTAGCAAAGATAATTCAAGGTGTTTCATAGAATATAAGTTTCACAAGTAGGACAGAAAGGATTGAGGTATTCACTCGCTCTTATTCCCCACCTATCTCATACCACAGTTTATCTTATTTCTGTGGTATCCCCTTTACTGTTCCTATTTTCCTTCTACTTTCCCCCTACCTGTCTGAATTTTATGCAACTTTTAAGATCAGTGCAACCATTTTTTCTCAAAAATTTTCATTTTCTACACTAAATTTGGACTAATCTCTCTTATAAACCTCTCAAACATTTTATTTTTTATTTTAAGATATCATTTACGATATTACAAATGCATGATATGTTTTATTGTTTCCACTAGATTATAAGATATTTGAGCAGAAAAATAGTGTCTTACTCATCTATTTCCCCAGATCCATAAATTATTTCAAGAAGATTGTGGGTAGTCAATAAATGGATGCAAATGATTGAAGACAGCATGATTGCATAAGGTACTGTATCAGGAGGCTCTGTTCTAAGATTTAGCTATTACTGATTCATTTGTTCACTTATTGACCTTGCCAAACAATTCACCTTCTGGTCAGCAACCTGAGAATATAATAAGACTGTATTAGTCTGTTTTCACACTGCTGTTAAAGACACACCAGAAACTGGGACAAAAAGGTCTAATTGGACTTGCAGTTCCACACGGCTGGGGAGGCCTCAGAATCACGGTGAGAGGGGAAAGGCACTTCTGACATGGTGGCGGCAGAGAAAAATCAGGAAGAAGCAAAAGCAGAAACCCCTGATAAACCCATCAGATCTCATAAGACTTATTCACCATCACAAGAATAACATGGGAAAGACCAAACCCCATGATTCAGTTGGCTCCCCCTGGGTCCCTCCCACAACATGTGGGAATTCTGTGAAATACAATTCAAGTGAAAATTGGTGGGAGATGGGTGGGGCAGGGAATACTGTCAAACCATATCAAAGACCATGCTGTTCTTCTTTCCTAAATTCATATACCAGATATTTGTTGAGCTTCCATGCTTTCAATTCAATGTGTTCCCCAAAAGTATGTGTTGGAAACTTAATCTCTAATGCAACAATGTTAAGAGGTAGGACTTTTGACAGGTGATTAGTCCATGAGAGCTTCACCTTCATGAATGAATGAATGTCAGTAATAAAAGAGTTTCAGTCTCTCAGTTGGATCAGAGGCAGAAGCCTCTTGCTATGGGATGATGCAGCAAGAAGGCCTTCACTAGATGTTGGTACCTTGATATTAGACTTCCCAGCCTCTAGAACTGTGAGAAATAAAATTCTTCTCCTTCTAAATTACCCAGTTTGTGACATTCTATTATAGCAATGCAAAACAGATAAAGACAATCCACATATCAATAATTATGCTCAGTTTTGGAAAAGCGAACCTGAATAAAACATGAATTCTACCTTAAGAAGAGTTCAATATGTAGTGGGAAATAGAAGGGAAAGGGGAAAGAAAGAGAGAGATAAAGTGGGGGAGAGAGAGACAGTGAGAAAGAGGGAGGTGAGAGTTCAAAAAGTGGCAAGAGTGGAGTAGAGAAGTTTTTAACAAATTCATACATCTGAAAAAATAAGTAGATTTTTGCTAGATATAGAAAGGAAAAACGCTTTCTTTTTTTTTGCAGGGAAATCAGCATGAACAAAACAGTAGAAATATGAAAGAGCATAGCAGTCTACAAGAATCACTGTACTTTTGCCTGGTGCCTGTGTAGGATAGAGGGAAGATAATGAAGCAGTTTGTCAGAAGTGATAGACAAGTAGACTCATGGATAATACTAAGGGAATTAGAGTTTATCTCAGTAGTAACAGGAGATTTTTTTTCTATCTGTTTGTATGCTTTCTAGCTGAATTTGAGGTACAGGGTGTTGGGATAATTATTCTTGTCAAATCAAGATGGCTTCATCTTCAGGCAGCACTTCTAACTTTCTCCCAGAGCAAGATCCCAACTAAAGATATCAATAGTAATGTAGTATTATTAACTAGAATGTAGCCATATTTTAATTTCTCCAGTTATACCATAAAAACTTGTATAGCTACGTGAATGTGTGTGTGTGTGTTTTCTGATTCAGAGGCCCTTTAAAGTTCATGCAATGCATCCTCATATTCTACTCTTGAAATCCAGAACTATCTTCACACTTTAGTTTTTTATTGTTGTTGTTTATTTATTTATTTATTTATTTATTATACTTTAAGTTTTAGGGTACATGTGCACAATGTGCAGCTTAGTTACATATGTATACATGTGCCATGCTGGTGCGCTGCACCCACTAACTCGTCATCATCATCTAGCATTAGGTATATCTCCTAATGCTATCCCTCCCCCCTCTCCCCACCCCACAACAGTCCCCAGAGTGTGATGTTCCCCTTCCTGTGTCCATGTGTTCTCATTGTTCAGTTCCCACCTATGAGTGAGAATATGCGGTGTTTGGTTTTTTGTTCTTGCGATAGTTTACTGAGAATGATGATTTCCAATTTCATCCATGTCCCTACAAAGGACATGAACTCATCATTTTTTATGGCTGCATAGTATTCCATGGTGTATATGTGCCACATTTTCTTAATCCAGTCTATCATTGTTGGACATTTGGGTTGGTTCCAAGTCTTTGCTATTGTGAATAATGCGGCAATAAACATACGTGTGCATGTGTCTTTATAGCAGCATGATTTATAGTCCTTTGGGTATATACCCAGTAATGGGATGGCTGGGTCAAATGGTATTTCAAGTTCTAGATCCCTGAGGAATCGCCACACTGACTTCCACAATGGTTGAACTAGTTTACAGTCCCACCAACAGTGTAAAAGTGTCCCTATTTCTCCACATCCTCTCCAGCACCTGTTGTTTCCTGACTTTTTAATGATTGCCATTCTAACTGGTGTGAGATGATATCTCATTGTGGTTTTGATTTGCATTTCTCTGATGGCCAGTGATGGTGAGCATTTTTTCATGTGTTTTTTGGCTGCATAAATGTCTTCTTTTGAGAAGTGTCTGTTCATGTCCTTCGCCCACTTTTTGATGGGGTTGTTTGTTTTTTTCTTCTAAATTTGTTTGAGTTCATTGTAGATTCTGTAGCCCTTTGTCAGATGAGTAGGTTGTAAAAATTTTCTCCCATTTTGTAGGTTGCCTGTTCACTCTGATGGTAGTTTCTGTTGCTGTGCAGAAGCTCTTTAGTTTAATTAGATCCCGTTTGTCAATTTTGGCTTTTGTTGCCATTGCTTTTGGTGTTTTAGACATGAAGTCCTTGCCCATTCCTATGTCCTGAATGGTAATGCCTAGGTTTTCTTCTAGGATTTTTATGGTTTTAGGTCTAACGTTTAAGTCTTTAATCCATCTTGAATTAATTTTTGTATAAGGTGTAAGGAAGGGATCCAGTTTCAGCTTTCTACATATGGCTAGCCAGTTTTCCCAGCACCATTTATTAAATAGGGAATCCTTTCCCCATGGCTTGTTTTTCTCAGATTTGTCAAAGATCAGATAGTTGCAGATATGCGGCGTTATTTCTGAGGGCTCTGTTCTGTTCCATTGATCTATATCTCTGTTTTGGTACCAGTAACATGCTGTTTTGGTTACTGTAGCCTTGTAGTACAGTTTGAAGTCAGGGAGTGTGATGCCTCCAGCTTTGTTCTTTTGGCTTAGGATTGACTTGGCGATACGGGCTCTTTTTTGGTTCCATATGAACTTTAAGGTAGTTTTTTCCAATTCTTGAAGAAAGTCATTGGTAGCTTGATGGGGATAGCATTGAATCTGTAAATTACCTTGGGCAGTATGGCCATTTTCACGATACTGATTCTTCCTACCCATGAGCATGGAATGTTTTTCCATTTGTTTGTATCTTCTTTTATTTCCTTGAGCAGTGGTTTGTAGTTCTCCTTGAAGAGGTCCTTCACGTCCCTTGTAAGTTGGATTCCTAGGTATTTTATTCTCTTTGAAGCAATTGTGAATGGGAGTTCACTCATGATTTGGCTCTCTGTTTGTCTGTTGTTGGTGTATAAGAATGCTTGTGATTTTTGTACATTGATTTTGTATCCTGAGATTTTGCTGAAGTTGCTTATCAGCTTAAAGAGATTTGGGGCTGAGACAATGGGGTTTTCTAGATATACAATCATGTCATCTGCAAACAGGGACAATTTGACTTCCTCTTTTCCTAATTGAATACCCTTTATTTCCTTCTCCTGCCTGATTGCCCTGGCCAGAACTTCCAACACTATGTTGAATAGGAGTGGTGAGAGAGGGCATCCCTGTCTTGTGCCAGTTTTCGAAGGGAATGCTTCCAGTTTTTGCCCATTCAGTATGATATTGGCTGTGGGTTTGTCACAGATAGCTCTTATTATTTTGAAATACGTCCCATCAATACCTAATTTATTGAGAGTTTTTAGCATGAAGGGCTGTTGAATTTTGTCAAAGGCCTTTTCTGCATCTATTGAGATAATCATGTGGTTTTTGTCTTTGGTTCTGTTTATATGCTGGATTACATTTACTGATTTGCATATATTGGACCAGCCTTGCATCCCAGGGATGAAGCCCCCTTGATCATGGTGGATAAGCTTTTTGATGTGCTGTTGGATTCGGTTTGCTGGTATTTTATTGAGAATTTTTGCATCAATGTTCATCAAGGATATTGGTCTAAAATTCTCTTTTTTGGTTGTGTCTCTGCCCGGCTTTGGTATCAGGATGATGCTGGCCTCATAAAATGAGTTAGGGAGGATTCCCTCTTTTTCTATTGATTGGAATAGTTTCAGAAGGAATGGTACCAGTTCCTCCTTGTACCTCTGGTAGAATTCGGCTGTGAATCCATCTGGTCCTGGACTCTTTTTGGTTGGTAAGCTATTGATTATTGCCACAATTTCAGAGCCTGTTATTGGTCTATTGAGAGATTCAACTTCTTCCTGGTTTAGTCTTGGGAGAGTGTATGTGTCCAGGAATTTATCCATTTCTTCTAGATTTTCTAGTTAATTTGCGTAGAGGTGTTTGTAGTATTCTCTGATGGTAGTTTGTATTTCTGTGGGATCGGTGGTGATATCCCCTTTATCTTTTTTATTGCATCTATTTGATTCTTCTTTTTTTCTTTATTAGTCTTGCTAGCAGTCTATCAATTTTGTTGATGCTTTCAGAAAGCCAGCTCCTGGATTCATTAATTTTTTGAAGGTTTTTTTGTGTCTCTATTTCCTTCAGTTCTGCTCTGATTTTAGTTATTTCTTGCCTTCTGCTAGCTTTTGAATGTGTTTGCTCTTGCTTTTCTAGTTCTTTTAATTGTGATGTTAGGGTGTCAATTTTGGATCTTTCCTGCTTTCTCTTGTGGGCATACAGTGCTATAAATTTCCCTCTACACACTGCTTTGAATGCGTCCCAGAGATTCTGGTATGTTGTGTCTTTGTTCTCGTTGGTTTCAAAGAACATCTTTATTTCTGCCTTCATTTCGTTATGTATCCAGTAGTCATTCAGGAGCAGGTTGTTCAGTTTCCATGTAGTTGAGCGGTTTTGAGTGAGATTCTTAATCCTGAGTTCTAGTTTGATTGCACTGTGGTCTGAGAGATAGTTTGTTATAATTTCTGTTCTTTTACATTGGTGAGGAGAGCTTTACTTCCAAGTATGTGGTCAATTTTTGAATAGGTGTGGTGTGGTGCTGAAAAAAATGTATATTCTGTTGATTTGGGGTGGAGATTTCTGTAGATGTCTATTAGGTCCTCTTGGTGCAGAGCTGAGTTCAATTCCTGGATATCCTTGTTGAGTTTCTGTCTCGTTGATCTGTCTAATGTTGACAGTGGGGTGTTAAAGTCTCCCATTATTAATGTGTGGGAGTCTAAGTCTCTTTGTAGGTCACTCAGAACTTGCTTTATGAATCTGGGTGCTCCTGTATTGGGTGCATATATATTTAGGATAGTTAGCTCTTCTTGTTGAATTGATCCCTTTACCATTATGTAATGGCCTTCTTTGTCTCTTTTGATCTTTGTTGGTTTAAAGTCTGTTTTATCAGAGACTAGGATTGCAACCCCTGCCTTTTTTTATTTTCCATTTGCTTGGTAGATCTTCCTCCATCCTTTTATTTTGAGCCTATGTGTGTCTCTGCCCGTGAGATGGGTTTCCTGAATACAGCACACTGATGGGTCTTGACTCTTTATCCAATTTGCCAGCCTGTGTCTTTTAATTGGAGCGTTTAGTCCATTTCCATTTAAAGTTAATATTGTTATGTGTGAATTTGAGCCTGCCATTATGATGTTAGCTGGTTATTTTGCTAGTTAGTTGATGCAGTTTCTTCCTAGTCTTGATGGTCTTTACATTTTGGCATGATTTTGCAGCAGCTGGTACCGGTAGTTCCTTTCCATGTTTAGTGCTTCCTTCAGGAGCTCTTTTAGGGCAGGCCTGGTGGTGACAAAATCTGTCAGCATTTGCTTTTCTGTAAAGTATTTTATTTCTCCTTCACTTATGAAGCTTAGTTTGGCTGGATATGAAATTCTGGGTTGAAAATTCTTTTCTTTAAGAATGTCGAATATTGGCCCCCACTCTCTTCTGGCTTGTAGAGTTTCTGCCGAGAGATCCACTGTTAGTCTGATGGGCTTCCCTTTGAGGGTAACCCGACCTTTCTCTCTGGCTGCCCTTATCATTTTTTCCTTCATTTCAACTTTGGTGAATCTGACAATTATGTGTCTTGGAGTTGCTCTTCTCGAGGAGTATCTTTGTGGCATTCTGTATATTTTCTGAATCTGAATGTTGGCCTGCCTTGCTAGATTGGGGAAGTTCTCCTGGATAATATCCTGCAGAGTGTTTTCCAACTTGGTTCCATTCTCCCCGTCACTTTCAGGTACACCATTCAGACGTAGATTTGGTCTTTTCACATAGTCCCATATTTCTTGGAGGCTTTGCTCATTTCTTTTTATTCTTTTTTCTCTAAACTTCCCTTCTCACTTCATTTCATTCATTTCATCTTCCATTGCTGATACCCTTTCTTCCAGTTGTTTGCCTCGGCTCCTGAGGCTTCTGCATTCTTCACGTCGTTCTCAAGCCTTGGTTTTCAGCTCCATCAGGTCCTTTAAGCACTTTTCTGTATTGGTTATTCTAGTTACAAATTCTTCTAAATTTTTTTCAAAGTTTTCAACTTCTTTGCCTTTGGTTTGAATGTCCTCCCGTAGCTTGGAGTAATTTGATCGTCTGAAGCCCTCTTCTCTCAGCTCGTCAAAGTCATTGTCTGTCCAGCTTTGTTCTGTTGCTGTTGAGGAACTGCGTTCCTTTGGATGAGGAGAGGCACTCTGCTTTTTAGAGTTTCCAGTTTTTCTGTTCTGTTTTTTCCCCATCTTTGTGGTTTTATCTACTTTTGGTCTTTGATGATGGTGATGTACAGATGGGTTTTTGGTGTGGATGTCCTTTCTGTTTGTTAGTTTTTCTTCTAACAGACAGGACCCTCAGCTGCAGGTCTGTTGGAGTACCCGGCCTTGTGAGGTGTCAGTCTGCCCCTGCTGGGGGGTGCCTCCCAGTTAGGCTGCTCGGGGGTCAGGGGTCAGGGACCCACTTGAGGAGGCAGTCTGCCCATTCTCAGATCTCCAGCTGGGTGCTGGGAGAGCCACTGCTCTCTTCAAAGCTGTCAGACAGGAACATTTAAGTCTGCAGAGGTTACTGCTTTCTTTTTGTTTGTGTCCTGCCCCCAGAGGTGGAGCCTGCAGAGGCAGGCAGGCCTCCTTGAGCTGTGGTGGGCTCCACCCAGTTTGAGCTTCCTGGCTGCTTTGTTTACCTAAGCAAGCCTGGGCAATGGCGGACGCCCCTCCCCCAGCCTCACTGCTGCCTTGCAATTTGATCTCAGACTGCTGTGCTAGCAATCAGCGAGACTCCGTGGGCATAGGACCCTCTGAGCCAGGTGCAGGATATAATCTCCTGGTGCACCCTTTTTTAAGCCCATCGGAAAAGCGCTGCATTCAGGTGGGAGTTACCCGATTTTCCAGGTGCTGTCTGTCACCCCTTTCTTTGACTAGGAAAGGGAACTCCCTGACCCCTTGCACTTCCCGAGTGAGGCAATGCCTCGCCCTGCTTCAGCTTGTGCACAGTGCGCACACCCACTGACCTGCGCCCACTCTCTGGCACTCCCTAGTTTGATGAACCCGGTACCTCAGATGGAAATGCAGAAATCACCCATCTTCTGCGTCGCTCGTGCTGGGAGCTGTAGACCGGAGCTGTTCCTATTCGGCCATCTTGGCTCCTCCCCCTAATTTTGTTTTTTATAAAATCAAATCTTTGAAGAACACAGGCCATCTGCCTTCTTGAAAGTTCACATACTTAATTTTTTAAATTGTTTTCTCATGATTAAATTTAAACATTTTCCAAGAATATTATATATTTAATATTGTTTTATATGTAATATGCATACATACATATTTTATACATATATATTTATATATATATATCTTGTTCTGTTTCTCACTTGTCTCTTTCAACATAGTATTTATTAAATCCACCATTACCACTCTCTATACCTTGGTTTCCCTATTTCTAACCACAGGACAATAATCTTCAGTGGGCTGTAGCTTTCCACATATCACCTATTCATAGCTCCAGAGATGGAGACTCACACTGCATCAAACTAATGGTGACCAACGACAACACTATGTGAACATTTGTGCTCATATACCAAGAACATAATTTTTGAACAGACTAGTGATGTGATCAGACATGTGTTTTTGAAAGATTACACTATGCTAGTATAGAAGACCAATTAGAGGAGGAGATAGTGGAGACAGAAAGGCAATTAGAAGATAAATAACAAAATTTAAAAGAGAAATGAAGAAAGGCTGGTTTAGGATACCACTAGTACTTGTCATGGTAAAGAGCAGGACAGATGAACATCCAGGAGATAGAATCAATAGAATTATACTTAAAGGTTATTGACATTTGTTAAAGAACATTCCCTTTCCCATATCATCCAGATCCCTTTGTGATGTTGAAAGGGAAATGAATATTGTTAATAGAATTTCAGGAAAAATGAGAATACAAAGTAAACTTTATGAATTATTTACATAGTTAGACCTATTTTAACTCTAAGAGAAAAGAGTGATCATCGCAAGGCAGTAGAGTAGCATGAACAGAGAACTGGAAAATTGAAATCCTTCCTAGGCTAACAGAGCAGCTCGAGCCTTGAGTGTAGGCCACACAGTCCTTGTTGATTTGATTTATTTTGAAAAGTCTGGACAATATTTTTATCCTGTGTATCTCATATATCCAATTATAACAAAGCCAACTGGCTAATTTTGTTCAGGGGAGGAAAAAATACATTGATGGGAAATTGTGGTGTAGTGGTCAAGAATATATTCTCTAAAGAGTAATTTTAGGGAAGATGGCAATGTAGGAAGCACCAGGAATCCAACTCCCCATTTAGTCAGCAATTATAATGGCAGCATCTCTCCAATATAACAGTATTGGTACTGTGGAATATATTAAAAGTTTGTGATTTCTAGAGGAAGGCTTGGATGTTAAATCGCAGTTAATGTCAGCCAGGTACAACTCTTAGTGCAGTAGCAGCTACCTATTCTCCACTTTACAGCTTTATGGGAGCTGACTGTGCATGTGTTTTTAGAAGAACTTACAAGTAGCTTGTGGGAGTCAGGATGGGCAATAAAGACCCTACCCTTTAAATACTAGG
The DNA here is from genome assembly GCF_000001405.40 of Homo sapiens. Classification (NCBI taxonomy): domain Eukaryota; kingdom Metazoa; phylum Chordata; class Mammalia; order Primates; family Hominidae; genus Homo; species Homo sapiens. Next base: position 76,907,660 of record NC_000006.12, read on the forward strand.
GACTTGCTTTCTGATAATTTATTGATGGTTCTGATTGTGGAGGTGCAGACACAAAAGTGGGCAGCCATCATTGCATCCCCTACCACAAATGTTGCAAGCCTCTCTCTTTCTCTTTATGGTTGAAGAGATATCTGGGAGATTTAATGGTCCAGCATTCTTTTCCTCCTTCATTTTCTTTTTTTCTCCTTATGGGAGACAGAAAATTAAGGACTAGAATATTCAAAATCAACCATAGATAAAGGATAATTTAGAAAGTCACATCACATGTCTAGGGAGAGATATACAAGCAGAGAACTGAGAAGACCATAAGTTTACACTCAGGCTTGGCACCAAGAACCCCTACAAGAAATCAAATGACAACTACCAATAAGCCCTGGGAAAGGGGGATACTCTCATATCTGATGTTACTACATTAAAAGATTAATATATCCAATTTTCAATAAAAATTACCAGGAAACATTAAAATAGATCAATTCAAAAAAGATTTAAAAGGTCAACAAAAATCATCCCTGAGAAATACCAGATGGCAGCCTTACTAGAAAAAGATCTAAAAACACTCAAGAGTTAAAAGAAGATTTTTAACAAAGTCAAGAAAATAATAAGTTGACAAAATAAAAATCTAAATAAAAAGAAAATGTAAAAAGGACCTACCATTCCAAATTCTCCAGTTGAAAATTATAACAATTGTTATTAATAATTCACTTAGGAGTCCCAGAAACACAGCAGGCAGGAGAAAGTATCAGTGAATTTGAAGACAGGACTATTAAAATCACCAAGTTTTAGGAACAATTTTTTTAAAAAAGAAAAGTGAACAAAGCTTAGGGGTCTGTGGGACACTGTCAAGAGAAGCAGCATACACATTGTGAGAAGAAAAGAGAAAGGGGCAAAGATTATTTGAAGAAATAATGGTTGAAAAGTTCCCAAATATAATAGAAGACAAAATATAAATATCCAATAAGTTCAACAAATTCCAAGTAGGATAAACTCAAAGAACTCCACACCAAGACACATTATAATCAGTCATAGCCAAAGACAAAGAGAGAACCTTGAAAACAGCAAGAAAGAATTGACTCATTACATAGAAGGGATCCATAATAATATGATCAGGACATTTTTGATGAGAAGCCCTGGAAGCCAGAATGCAGTGGGTTGATATATTTAAAGTGCTGAAGAAAAAAAAAAAAACCCAAAGAATGAGAACTTTGCATCTCAAAAAACTATCTTTTAAAAGTGAGTTTAAAAAAAACTATCTTTTAAAAGTGTTTCCAGACAAACAAAAGCTGAGGGAATTCATTACAACTAGGCATGCCCTTTAAAAAATCATAAGGAATTCTTTCAGGTTGAAATAAAAGGACTGAGACAGTAACTCAAAGCTGTGTGAAAGAATAGGATTTCTGGTCAAAATAAATTCATGGATAATTATAAAGGTAAGTATTGCTTCAACTTAGGTTTATAATTTCATCTTTTTTTACATTATTTAAAATACTAATGCATAAGAACTATTATAAGTAATTTTATGATATCAATAACTGAAAAATGTTATAAAGAAGCTATATTGAAACAGGGCTTTAGTATTTTATTGAAACTAAGCTGATATGAGTTCAAATTAAATTGTTATAACTTAAATATCTCATGGTAACTACAAAGAAAGTAGCTATAGAATATAAATAAAGGAAATGAAAAGGGAATTAAAAAGTTTTAGTACAAAAAGTCAGCTAAATGCAAAAGAAAGTAATATGCAGAAGAAAGCTGGGTAGGGGGAATCCCAATGGGACATATAGAAAACAAATAACATAATGATAGAAGTAAGGCACTTCTCATTAGTAATTATTTTACATGTAAATGAATTCAATTCTCCAATCAAGAGATATTGGAAGAATACATTTTTTAAAAAATGTTTCAATTATATGTTCTCTACTCATTTTAGATCCAAAGACACAAACGTGTTGAAAGTGAAAGATATAAAAAGACATTCATGCAAATAGTAACCAAAAGAGAACTGGTATGACAGTATTAATATCAGACAAAATAGACTTTAAATAAAAAATGTTTACAATTAAAAACGGGCATTACAACAAAAGGCTCAATGCAGCAAGAAATGTTTATAACAATTATAAACATTTGTGCACATAATAATAGACAATCAAAATATTTGAAGCATTGACAGTCAAAAATTTTCTGAAGCAAAAAATGATATAATTGAAGGGAGAGATAGGCAGTTCTACCATAACAGTATTAGAATTCAGTAACTTATTCTCATTAATGTATAGGACAACCACACAGAGGTAAATTAAAACCAAAAGGGTAGGGAGAGGCTTGAATAGCACAATAAAATTAACTATGTGTGACAGATATACACAGAATACTGTACTCAACAACAACAGAACACATATTCTTCTCAAGTGTACATGACATATTTTTCAGAATAGACATGTTAGGTCACAAATTAAGTCTCAATGGGAATAAAAAGATATATACTAAGAAAAGTATGTTTTCCAACCACAATTAAATGAAATTAGAAATCAATAACTAAGAAAAACTGAAAAAAATTATAAATGTGTGGAAATTAAACAAAGCATGCTTAAATAATAATAGGGCCAAGTAATAAATCACAATGAAATAAAAACACAATATACCAAAACTTCTGGGATGAAACAACAGTGATATCAAGGAGAAAATTTATAGTAATAAGCACATTTAAAAAGAAAAATAAATCCCAAATTAACACCTGACTTTACAACTTAGGGAAATACAAAAGGAATAATTATATTATTAATAATATTAATAATAAAAATAAACAACATAAAATCCACAGCTAGCAGAATGAAGAAAATAATGATTAGAGCTGCGATCTATAAAGAACAGAAAACAATAGAGAAAATTCAAGAAATCCAAATTTGATTCTTTAAAAATGATTAGAAAAATGGAAAATCTTTACCTAGATTGACTAAGAGAAAGAGAGAAAACTTAAATTGTCAAAATCAGGAATAAATGTTAGGACATTGCACTTATTCTACAGAGGTCAAAAGGATTATAAGACAGTATTATGAATAACTGTTTGCCAAAAAATTGCATAACCTAGATAAAATGAACAAATTCTTAGCAACATTAAACATAAAAATATGAATCATAAAGAAATAGAAAATCTGAATCAATCTAAAACTAGTAAGGCAACAGAATCAATAATTTAAAAATCTGACAAACAAAATCCCTGGACCTGTTGAATTCACTGATAAATTCTAGCAAACATTTTTTTTTTTTTTGAGACGGAGTCTCGCCCTGTCACCCAGGCTGGAGTGAAGTGGTGCAATCTCGGCTCACTGAAAGCTCTGCCTCCCGGGTTCACGCAATTCTCCTGCCTTAGCCTCCTGAGTAGCTGGGACTACAGGCGTCTGCCACTACGCCCGGCTAATTTTTTGTATTTTTAGTAGAGATGGGGTCTCACCGTGTTAGCAAGGATGGTCTCGATCTCCTGACCTCGTGATCCGCCCACCTCGGCCTCCCAAAGTGCTAGGATTACAGGCGTGAGCCACCGCGCCCGGCCAATTCTAGCAAACATTTAAGGAAGCACCAACATACTAGTTTTTCTGAAAGTCTTCCCAAAAAACTGAAGAGGAGGGGGCATTTTCAGGCTCATTAGATGAGGACAGCATTATGCTGATACAAAAGCCAGATAAAGAACTACAAGAAAAAAATGCCACAGACACATATTACTGATGAATATTGATGGAAAAATTCTAAAAAATACTAGCAAACCAAAATCAACAGCATATTTAAAGGATTATACAACATGACCAGCTGGAGTTTGTTCCTGGAATGCAAGAATGATTCAATTTCCAAATTCAATCTATTTAATATACCACATTAGCAGAATGAAAAAAATAAAACATAACAATGACATGATTATCTCAACAGACACAGAAAAAAATTGACAAAATTTAACACTTTTTCATGATATGAACACTCAACAAACTAGGAATAAAATGAAACTACCTCAACATAATAGAAGCCATTATGAAAACAAACAAACACACAGATAACATCATTCTCAATGGTATAAGTATGAAAGCTGTTCCTTTAAGATAAGAAAAAACACAAGGATGCCTGCTTTTGCCATTTCTATTCAACACAATATTGAAAATATTAGCCAGATAAATTAGAAATGAGAAATTAAATTTATTTAAATTGCGAATGGAATAAAATTATCTATGTTCACAGATAATATAATATTATACATAGAACCCCCTAAAAATTCCACAAAAATAATTGTTACAAATAATAAATTTAGCAAAGTATCAGGATGCAAAATCAACACAGAAAAATCAGCTAATATGTTTCTATACACTAACAAAGAACAATCTGAAAAGAAAATTAGAAAACAGTTCCACTTACAATAACATCCAAAAGAATAGAAATACCTAAGAATTTACCAGGGAGGTGAGAGACTTATACATTGGAAACTACAAAACATTGCTGAAAGAAAATAAAGAAGACACAAATAAATGGAAAAATAAATCTCCTATTTATGAATAGAAAGACTTAATATTGTTATTATATTAATTCCCTCAATGTTTTACAAATTTAATGGAAGTCCTATCAAATCCCAATGATGTTGCTATGATTTAAATATGGTTTGTCTTCTCTGAAACTTATGTTGAAATTCAATTTTCTTTTTCTTTTCTTTTTTTTTTAAATTTTAGACAGGGTGCAGCTCTGATGCCCAAAATGGAGTACAGTGCCCCAATTATGGCTCACAGCAACCTCTGCCTCCCAGGCTCAAGTGATCCTCATGCCTCAGCTCCTCCCAGTAGCAGGGACGACAGGCATGCACCACCTCCCTGGTTTATTTTTGTATTTATTGGTAGAGACAGGGTTTTGCTATGTTGTCCAGGCTAATCTCAAACTCCTGAGCTCAAGTGTGATCTGCCATCTTGTCTTCCCAAATTGCTGGGATTACAAGCATAAACCACCGTGCCAGGCCTGGTCTCAATTTTCAATAAGGTATTGGGAGGTGGGGCCTAGTGGGAGACATTTTTGTCATGACAGCAGATTTCTAATGAATGGATTAATGCCCTCTTGTGGAAGTGAGTTCTTCTTCTCAAGGTACTTGACGAGTTACCCTGGGAGCTAATTGCTATAAAGCAAAGTTCCCCGTAGTGATTTTTCTTTTTGTAAAAGTCTTCCCCTTCTGCTTTCCACTATAAATTTAAGCAGCACCAGGCCCTTACCAGATAAGCTGCCCAGTCTTTGTCAGTCTTCAGAACGTGAGCTAAGTAAATCTCTTTTCTTTATAAATTACCTAGTCTCAAATATTCTGTTTCAGCAACACAAAATGGACCAAGACAGTGTTTTTGTTTTTGTTTTTGTTTTCAGAAATAAACAAATCAATCTTAAAGTTCACGTGGAATCTCAGGAAAACCAAAATAGTCAAAACAATCTTGGAAAAGAAGCATAAAGTTGGAGTCTCAGACTTCTTGTTTCAAAAGTTACTACAAAGCCACAGTAAACAAAATAATGTGGTACTGGCATAAAGACAGACATATAGACCAATGGAATAGAACGGAAAATCCAGAAATAAACCCTTGTATGTGTGATCAAATTATTTTTGATAAAGGTACCAAGTCCACACAATGGAGAGCAGACAATCTTTTCAACAAATGGTTTTGGGATATCTGGACATCAACATGCAAAAGAATAAAGTTGGTCCCTTACCTAACACCACATACAAAAATTAACTCAAAATTGAACAAAAACCTAAATGTAAGGGCCAAATTTATAACAACTCATAGAAGAAAGGCTTAAGGCAAAATAATTAAAAAGTTTCATGACACTGGATCTGGCAATGTTTCGATATATAACACCTAAAACACAGGTTGCAACAAATGGAAAAATAGACAAATTGGACACCAAAATTTAGAGATTTTGTATGCCAAAAGACATTATCAACAGAGTAAAAAGACAACCCATAGAATGGGAGAAAATATTTACAAATCACATATCTGATAAGGAATTAATATCCACAGTACAAAAAGAATTCATGAAACTCAACAACAAAAAGCTAATAATCCTATTAAAAATGGGCATATAACTTAAATAGGAGTTTCTCTAATGAAGCTATGCAAATGGCCATTAAGCACAGATGCAAAGCAAATTCATGAACACATCAGATACATAAAAAAGATACTCAACATCAATAATCATTAGGGAAATGCAATCAAAACCATAATGAGATACCAATTTATATACATTAGAATGACTATTAGTTTAAAAAGCAAACAAAATATAGGCAGTTTTGGTGAGGATTAGGAGAATTTGACAACCTTGGACACTATTGTAGACATGTCAAATTGTGCATCTGCTATAGAAAACAGTATGGCAGTTCCTCAAAAATTAAAAACAGAATGACCGTATGATCCAGCAATTCCGATACCCAAAAGAATTGTAAGCAGCAATCTTAAGAGATATTTGTACACCCATGTTCATAGAAACATTATGTACAATAGCCAAAATTGGAAGAAACTCAAGTATTATTGATGGATAAATAGATAAACAAAATGTGGTATATATATATATACACACTAGGGTCTTATTGAAGACAGTATGTAGCAGAGTCACAGCTGACTTAGAATGTACACTTAATGTTAACAAGAATTAAGGTTTTGAAGATATGAAAGAACAACAAAAAAGTAGAATAGAATAGAAAATAATGGAAAACATCAGGTGATGTCAATATTTGGGGCAAATATTATATTTGTCAATATTTGGGGCAAATATATATATATATCACATTTATATATATATAATGAATATTATGCAACCTTCTAAAGGAAGGCAGTTCTGAAATATGCTACAACATGGATGAACCTTGAAGACATTATGCTATGTGAAATTAGCTAGTCACAAAATAACAAATATTGTATAATTCCTCTTAAATGAGGTATCTAGAATAATCCAGTTTATAGAGATAGAAAGTAGAATGGTATTTCAGCAGAAAGGGGCTGGAGGTAAGAGAGAATAAGGAGTTATTTAACAGATAGAGAATTTCAGTTTTGTAAGGTGAAAAGAGTTCTGGAGATAGATGGTTATGGTTGCACAATAATGTGAGTATACTTAATGCCACTGACTGTACACTTCAAAATGATTAAAACAGTAAATTTTATATTATGTGGTGCATTATCACAATATTTTTAAAAAGAACATAATCTCTAGAGCCTGAGTGTGTGGGTGTGACCCTGGCTCTGCTATTCAGTGGCCGAGTGATCATAAGCACATTAATCTTTCCCTTTCTGTTCTTCTATTTGTCAAATGGAGACAACAGTCTTTGCCTCATAAGTTGTTGTGTAGATTAATTACAATAAAATATGGAAAGCAGTTAGAACAGGGCTTCACCCATTGTAAGTGTTCATAGAGGGCTACGAATTATTATTATTCAAAGGTGTCTTCTAATAAAAATGCAGGAAAACAGAAAATTGCTAACAATTTATTTTAGCAGGGATTTTTTAATTCTACTTTTCCATCATGAATATTTACAGACAGGTATCTTGCATAAAAATTGGCTTTAATTTAGACAAGTCTTTTTCTGAGATAAGATTTAACTACCATTTGTCTGTAGAATTTATTTCAGTGTTAGTTCCAGCACTTCTAGTATCTCATGGCTCTGTAATATTAGTTTCTCAATTCAATATTATTTTTCTGAGAATCAGTCATTATGAAAAACAAAGATGTTTCTCTATATTCTGAATCTCTTTGAACTTCCATAGAATGGTATTTTCCAAATTGTAGACCTGAGTCCTTTACAAGTGATTGTGACAATAAATGTTTTTAAATAACAGGATAAGAAAATCATGTTTATGTTTTTAGTACCACAATTAGTTTTTAAGAGATCTTTGAAAAAAAAAACTTAGTCTATTGGGATCTGATTAAAAACATATGCAGGATACGTTATGAAAATGGGCTATATATATCTTAGAACTGCTCTGAATATAGGCTATGTCATTTAATAGTTCTATGGTCAATGAGCCTCATTTTTTATCATTTAAATAGGGAGAATCAAACTTAATATCAGCATGGCTTTAATACTTATATTAAATTATGTATGTATGTTAAAGCACTGAGTTAGGCTGCACCATTTTTCACAAATATTTGTGATTCATCACTGAAGATGAATTATGTTTCCCCAACTCAATAACATCACACTTAGACATGTGGTTTGCTTTGGCGAATGGTATGTAGGTAGAATGATGTGTTTCATTTCTGAACAAAAGACTTAAGTTATTGGCATATAGTCTTTCCATGACCTCTCATTTTTTTGTGCCACAAGAAAGAATAATGTTTAACATAGAACCTATTCCATCAGCTAGGTTCTTATTGAAGACAGTATGTAGCAGAGTCACAGCTGACTTAGAATGTACACTTAATGTGAACAAGAATTAAGGTTTTGAAGATATGAAAGAACAACAAAAAAGTAGAATAGAATAGAAAATAATGGAAAACATCAGGTGATGTCAATATTTGGGGCAAATATTATTCTGGGATGCTTTTGTTTTCATCTCAGCTGTATGTGTGTATTGTATCAGGATGTGATAAAAAATGTATTTCTTACTGTGTGTCAGTTTTTAAAAAAGTATAATGCAAGATGGAGTTTTAGAAGTAAGGAAGAATTGTTTTTATTTCTAATGTTGTTTTAGAAAGAAAACAGAAAGTGTGATTAATTCTCCCAGTATTAGGCATTAAATAGTACATGTATTTCAGGTAAAGCTGTATATTTTAATTCATCTAATTTGGTCATTGCCTCAATAATTTTTTGCCTTTGTATATTGAAATAGATTTCATTTTTGTCTACCCCTCAAAATGTAATGTTAATACACATATGATCTCTTTGGCTTCAGTTACTACACATAGATTTGGTGAGTTATATTCTAAAGATAAGAGATACTACAGCCTACATTTTCTTCCTTCAATGAACGTGCTCCAGAAAGGCCTGGATGGCCTTTTGCTCTGGCAGTGCAGAAGGGATTGTTCTATGGAAACTAGAAGTTACTAGCTGACTTTTGAAGTCCTTTCTACCTGTCGGATCCTAGAATTCTGTAGGTTTGTAGGCTTCTGGCCTTCAGGAGTGAGCACATTTGGACTTGTTCTCTGCTTGACCTCTAGCTTCCTGTGACTTTACATTATCCACACCGACTTTCAATTTGGTTTCACAACTTGATGGCACACTGTTTCCAGTTGCCTGGCAGAAAATGCCAATTCCTGTGCATCCATTTTCCACTTCTTAGTTATTTAGGACACGACTAAATTGTATGAAGCTCAGGGGAGACAATTTAAGGAAAGCATTCTGTATGAGGCTGACACACAGAAAAACCAGAGGGCTGAGAATCAGGAGAGAGTAGCCACTGAATCCACTCCTTATGTGCAACACACTGAGTAGGGTGCTAGAAAGCATCTCACCAAGGGGCAACATTTATCGGTGCTGAGATGCAGGTCTCCCTGTAGATAACCTAAGTGGTTTCTGTGACCTAGTTCCCTCTCTACCATGTAAATCTGGCCATCCACAGCTGGAAATATAAGCAAATCACTCCTATTTTCTTGGAGAAAAAAACTGAGGTAGACACAGGCAGGAAGTATTCTATTATTTATATAAGCATTCGAATAGCAAATCGAGTATGATCACAGCTTCTATCCTGCAGGGCAAGGTGTAATTCAAGGCAGAAAACATATACTAAAGGTCTTATGATGTGCCAGATCCTTTAATGAGCATAGTAGATATAAAGATGAAGGGATAATACATCCGTATCCATGAAAGAGTTTATATTCCAGATGGGGAATTGGGCTCAGAAATAGACAATTTCAGTAGCATATAGCAAGAACTAAGATACAGATGTACATAAAGTGCTGTTGTAGAATATATAAATAGAATTTGAACATTTTCATGTAAAACAAGTCTGCTTAATCTCCAATTCAACTTAAAAACAATGTTCCTTTGCCTTTTGAAGGCAAAAGAACATGTTACTACATAAAATACCTAAGAGCTGTAAGGAATTAGAGTTAATTAAATTCTTGGCTAATTCAGGTAAGCTAGCTCCAATATTTATGGTTCTTATGAATCTTAATCATTATTTGTAAACTATATTTTAGTTATTGACTGATATATTTCCTGATAAACACAATTGACATTATTGTTCTTTTAAACACAGTACTTAGTGAGCCAAATAATGACATATGTAGTTCTCTATAACTAAAAGACGTTGCAGAAATATAAACAAATTTTGTTAAAATTCAGTGCCTATCACAGACTCAGAAAAACAGAATGTCCAAAGATTAGGTTAAGATATATTCTGAAGCACAAATACTTCGAACTAACGAAACCGTAAGCTCCAGATGGACGAAAATTGTTGTCTATTTTCTTTGCACAAAGAACCGTGCTTGGCATACGTTGTTGCAGAGTAAATAGTTGAATGAATAAACAGCCTGTAATTACAACTCATAGAGTAGCATCATTTAAAATAGATTAACATAGACAGTTTTACTTCATCCCTGGATCCTAAAAGATTGTCTAGAATGATGATATTTAGTGCGTATGAATTTCATGTCCAAAATTCAGGTGTTTATCAAGTGTAGCATTTAATACTTTTCTAACTACAGCTTATGTCACATTATTATTGTAGGTATTCTTATTCACATTCTCACTTCCATTGCTCTTCTTTCTTCCTCAACTTATTTAATGTACTTCAGGTATAAAGTCCAAAGGGAGGAGGAGAGGGAGGACTAAGGAAATATTGTTGATATAGGTTCTTCTGGAAAAGGTTTCAAACAAAATTCAGCTGAACAGATGTTTTGAGGAAACCTCAGCAAAAAATGTAAAAATGCTGCAGAGCATTGAGTATTTAAGCTGAAATACAAGAACAAGTAAAGCTTAAGAGTGACAAAATAAAATAACAGTAATTGCAAAAGCTGCAATTACTTTTGCCCCACCCTAATGTTCTATATTTCCACAAAGAAGAAATAAAAACAAAGGAAGACAGGCTAAGTCAAATTGTACAGTTAATTTCTAAATCTTTAATAACAGTCAAACAGCATCAATTAAACCTAATAAATACAGCAGTAGAAATTTAGAGTGCAATAGAATGAATAACATTATTGAATAAAATTGGGTAATAAAAGAAAAGGAGACAAAAATTTTATTTTTGCTTGTAGTGGGGAATAAATAAGAATTATCTAAATTAAATATCTAATTATCTAAATTAATTGTCTAAATTAAAAAGATGCTAAGATTCCATTCAATAAAAATATTATGGTTACCACCAAGAAAGAAGCCAAGCATACACACACACACAAAGCAATGTAAGCAGACAAGACAATGAAAATCTTAAAACTGTAAAAAAATTATAAATTATATAATGTGTGAGAGAGAGAAAGCCAATGAAATGTGATTCAATACCTGTAAATAGGTTTAATTAACCTATTAAAATAAAAATATTTCATATTGTATCACAAAGCAAGTGACAACTGTGTTGTTTATACAAGTGTCACAGTAAACAAAATTATTTCAAAATGCTAAAATAAAATTTTGGACAGCTGTATTTCAGTAAAATGGAGTAAAACGAAGCAGAGGTCTTTCTCTACCAGACACGGTAAAATTTTGGCTACAACTCATTACATAAGAAAAACACAAATTATTATACCAAAAGGTAAGATTCATAATATAAATGTAACATTTGTAATTATCTTTATGCCAAGTAATTTAACAATAATTTTTATTAAGCAGAAATTACAAGAGATAAAAAAAAATTACACAACACTAATATTAGAAGGTTTGAGTCTGTCACGTTCCAAGACAGATCAAATGAACAAAAAAAGATTATCAAATACTTACACATTCAAATCAATATGATAAATCTGAGGAATATATATTTAATATTTTACTTTTTTTTTTTTTTTGAAATGGAGTCTCGCTCTGTCTCCCAGGCTGGAGTGCAGTGGAGCGATCTCAGCTCACTGCAAGCTCCGCCTCCCAGGTTCACGCCATTCTCCTGCCTCAGCCTCCCCAGTAGCTGGGACTACAGGCGCCTGACTCCGCGCCCGGCTAATTTTTTGTATTTTTAGTAGAGACGGGGTTTCACCGTGTTAGCCAGGATGGTCTCGATCTCCTGACCTCGTGATCCACCAGCTTCGGCCTCCCAAAGTGCTGGGACTACAGGCGTAAAGCCTATACCTTCTTTTTATCTGCCCATAAAACGTACATAAAATGGACCAACTATGAAAAAAAAAAACACACAAGCCAACTTTAACAAATTCCAAATAAATAAAAATAATAAATACAATATTCTTGGATCACAGCTTAATAAAAATAGAAATTAAAGTTTTAAAAGTTAGAAAAAATAGTTTCCCTGACAAGGGATTTTAAAACTTTATCTTAAGAAATTCTTGATACAGGAGAGGTTCAATTAATATCATAAGATTTGCATGTAAGTACAAATGAAAGTACAGATGAAATAATACTAATGGGAACATTCATAATATTAAATTTTCTTATGTATTGTTACAAATTAAACTTGATGTTATCCATACATATGTAAATTAAGCATCTGATTTTGAAATGTTAAAAAACAAAATATACTAAACAAAATATTTTATAAAAATATTATTAGAAAAATGATAGAACAAATTTTTAAAGCTTTATTCTTTGGAAGTCAGTAAAATAGTTAAATCATTAGCTGATTTAACTAAGGAATAAATAAAGGTACTCACAGCACAATAGAAGTGACCAATGGGGAAAACAATCACAGAAACTGAGATAAAAATTTATAATAATAAAACACCACTTTGCACAAATCTGTAAAAATATCTTGAATGAAATGGATAATTTTTGAGAAAAAATGGAATTCATTAAAACAGACTTTGTTTTATAAAACAGATTAAAACTTATAATTTCTGCAATAGAGAAAGGGAAAGTTGCAAAAGAGCTAAATCTCTTTCTTCTAAAGAACTGGATTCTCATGCTTCCACAGCCACTTCTACTAAACTTACAAAGATAAGATTTTGATGTTTGCTAAGCCTTCTCAGAGTATAAAAAAGTAAAAAATAAATTAAAATCCCAACTCCGAGATTGCTTTTATAATACAAATACATTGATATCAAAATTTCTAAAATAAACTATAGATCAATTTATGCAAAAATTCTGTTAGATATTTGCATATATTAATAGAATTCAACATCACATTGTATAATAAAATACCATGGTATGTGGATTTTTTAGAAATGCGAAGATGTTTCATAATTGAAATGCTTAATAATATATTTTTATATTTAATGCAGTGAAATAGAAAATTTTATAATTTGCCTCATATCGAATAAAAATGCACTTAATAAACATTCAATACCCACTCTAGAGAAAAAAACATTTAAAATATTAACAAATATTTCCTTAATATTTATACATAAATTACATATGCATTTGTTAACATAATTTTATATAGGTGTATGAATGTATATGTGTGTATGTTTATATAATATATATAATATATGTGTATATATATATATTTGTATACACTCAAAAACCAGTCAGAAGATATAACAGAAGGCATTCCAATATTTACAATGGCAATCCAAGAAGTCAAAACACCTAGGAGTGAATTTACAAGAAATATGTAAGACTTCTTTGAAAAAAATCTTTATAATATTTATGTTGGACATAATGGTAGATATAAATCAATAGAAAGCTATATCATTACCTTAAGAACAATCAGCTTCTGCAAAGTGCATATTCTTCCCAAGATAACTTCTTTTTAAAATTCAGTAAAAATGCCAACTTTTTTAAATTATAAAAGCTGATTCTGAAGTTTATATTAGAAGTTAAATAATCAGGAAAACTTGGGAAAAGAACATTAGTGAGAAAAGACTAGCCCTATCAAACAATGACCCATACTACCAGCCTCAATAAATAAAGTGGTAACTGGCCAATGAATAGACAGATCAATAGAAAAAAAAGGAAAGTTCCGAAATGGACTCAAATCCTACAGAAATTCAAAATATGATAGATAAGTATACCAAATGAGAGAGATAAAAATTTACTTTTTAAAAGTAATGCTGCCACCTCATACCTATTAGAATGGCTAGTATTAAACAAAACAAAACAGGTTACAGTTTTTGGCAAGGATATGGAGAAATTGGAACCATATACATTGCTGGTGGGAATGTAAAATATTGCAGTCACTGTGGAAAACAATGTGGCAATTCCTTGTAAAATCAAAAATACAATTACCATATAATCTAGGAATTCAACTTCTGGGTATATGCTTTAAGGAACTGAAAGCAGGAACTCAAATAAGTATTTGTACCTTCATGTTCATAGCAGCTTTATTCAAAGTAGCTAAAAAAGGTGGGGAGTCTTGTTCCACAATCAGAGCTTAGAAGCAAGCTGGCTCTACCCTCTCACACAGAAATCCAAAACCAAATGTACAGTGATGGAATTATCACCAGCAATATCTCAGAATTCAAATAGGAGAGTGCACCATTTCCCAGAGCTACAGAGAAGTAAACAATCTTCAAATAGCTTGTCAGAAAACAAGACTTTCCTATCCACAACAACCCTTTTCTCAACAAGCCCAGCATGAAGTACATAGAAAAATTTCTCCCAACTCATGGTTTCTGCACTGGAAAAAGCACAACTGAGGTGGAAAACTAGCTTCCCCACCATCATGGGTTCCCTGGCAGGAGCCCTGTTCCTGCCTGACTCTATGGGAAGAATTGCCAGTGCCTGAATGGAGTAATGTTCCTGATGACAGCCTAAGACAGAGGAGGCAAGTGGCACTACCAACCCTAGTCCTAGAAACTGTGCTCTGCAACTCTTCCAAAGGAGATGCCAAATGTCATTGACTGTTCAGCAGCTACTTGCTATAGGAGGTACGTTCCACAGGTCCTTTTGGCACAAATCTATAGCTAGCCTCCCCACACTGCTAGGAATATCCACCTTGGGAAGACCCCCATTCAGTATGAGCAGTACTCTAATCATTTGCTAGAGGCAAGGCTTCAGTAGCCATCTAGTGCCAAAAAGGAGGCAGTGAACCAATGGAATTTAAAAAAAAAAGAAAGAAAATCAACAGGTAAATTACAAACAATATCTAAGCAAACATACCCAATAAAAACCAAAACAAGACAGAGAAGAATGGAATAAATAACTAATCATTCAATGCAAAGTCATACAGATACGTTCATATGAAACATATACATTCATAGTAGCGAACAGGGAACCGTGACCTCCCCAAATGGACAAAGCAAGAAACCAGTGATAGACTCGAACAAGACAAAGGTATGTAAACTCTCTCACCAAGAATTCAAAATAGAAGTCTTAAGGAAACACAGTATCTCCAAGATAACACAGAAAACCAATTCATAAATTTATCTATGAAATTTAAAAAATAGATTAAAATAATTTTAAATATTAAACAAAAATCCCAGAACTGAAAAATACATTTACTGAATTGAAAAATTTATTAGAGACTCTCAATAGCAGAACAAATCAAGCAGAAAGAAGACTCAGTGAGCTTGACACAGGCTTTTTTTACAGAGGAGAAAAAAGAAAAAGGAACAAGAATCACCTAAAAGATATAGAAAATTACCTCAAAAGACCAGATCTAAGAATTCTTAGTACTCAAGATGGACTTAGGCAAGAACAAGGGGTACAAAGCTTATTCAAAGATATAATAATAGGAACCTTCCCCCAACTTAAGAAGGATAAAAATACCAAGGTAAATGGGGGTCAGAGAATACCAAATGGATTCAAACCAAATAAGACTACACAAAGAAACACAGAAATCAAACTTCCAAAGGTCTTTGAGGATCCAAAGAGAGGATCATTATAAATTGTCCAGTCTCAAGTATTTTTTGATAGCAATGAGCGAGCAGATTAACATAGAAAACTGTTACTAGGGATGGGTATTGCTATTAAGATACCTGAAAATGTGGAAGCAGCTTTGGAATTGGGTAACAGGGAGGATTGGAAGAGTTTGAAGAGTTCAGAAGAAGAGAGGGGAAGATAAGGGAAAATTTGGAACATCTTAGAGACTAGTTAAATGATTATGACCAAAATGCTGATAGTGATGTGGACAGTGAAGTCCAGGCCGAGGAGGTCTCAGAGTGAAATGAGGCAATTATTGAGAATGGCAGCAAAGGTCACTTTTGTTATGCTTTAGGAAAGGGCTTGGCTGTATTGTGCCACTACCCTAGGGACCTGTGGAACCTTGAACTTGAGAGTGATGATTAAGAGAATCTGGCAGAAGAAATTTCTAAGCAGCGAAGTGCTCAATATTGACCTGGATGCTTCTAACAACCTATGCTCATATGCATGAGAAGAGAAATGACCTAAAGTTGGAGCTTATAATTAAAGGGGAAGCAGAGTGTAAAAGTTTGGAAAATTTTCAGCCTGGCTATGTGGTAGAAAAGAAAGCCCATTTTCTGGGGAGAAATTCAAGCAGGCTGCAGAAATTTCCATAAGTAAGAAGGAACCAAGTACTAATAGCCAAGATAATGAAGAAAAGGCCTTGAGGGCATTTCAGAGACCTTTGAGGCAGTGCCTCCCATCACAGGCCCAGAGGCCTAGGAAAGAAGAATGGTTTCCTGGGCCAGGCCCAGAGCCCTGCTACCCTACAAAGCCCAAAGACACTGCTCATGGCATCCCAGCTGCTCTAGCATCAGCTGTAGCTAAAAAGATCACCAGGTACACTTCAGGTTGCTGGTTCAGATGCAAGCTGTAAGCCTTGGCTGCTTCCACATGGTGTTAAGCCTGTAGGTGTACAGAGTGCAAGAGTTGAGGCTTGAGAGCCTCTGCCTAGATTTCAGAGGATATATGGGAAAGCCTGTATGTCCAGGCAGAAGCCTGCTACAAGGGCAAAGCCCTCATGGAGAACCTCTACTAGGGCAGCATGGAGGGGAAATGTGAAGTTAGAGCTGCTTTAGAGTCCCCTCTGGGGCACTGCCTAGTGGAGCTGTAAGAAGAGGACCACTTTCCTCCAGACCACAGAATGGTATATCCACTGGCAGCTTGCACACTGAGCTTGGAAAAGCTGCAGGCACTCAACACCAGCCCTTGATAGTAGCTGAGGGGACAGAATCCTGCAGAGCCCAGAGGTGGAGTTGCCCAAGTTTTTGGGAGCAAAACCTTTGCACCAGTATGGTTTAGATGTGGGACACAGAGTCAAAGGAGATTATTTTGGAGCTTTAAGATTTAATAGCTGCCCTGCTGGGTTTTGGATTTGCATGGGGCCTGTAGCTCCTTTCTTTGGGCTAATTTCTCCCTTTTGGAATGAGAATGTATACCCAGCGCTTGTACCCCCATTGTATCTTGAAAGTAACAAACATTTTTTTTGGATTTTTACAGGCTCATAGGTTGAATAAACTAGCCTTGTCTAAGATGAGACTTGAATTTGGACTTTTGAGTTAATGTTGAGATGTATTAAGATTAGAGGACTATTGAGAAGGCATGATTATATTTTGCAATGTGAGTGGAACGTAAGATTTAGGGGACCAGGGGTGGAAAAATCTGGTTTGGATTTGTGTTCCCACCAAACCTCACTTCAAATTGTAATCCCCAAAGTTGGAGGTGGGGCCTGGTGGAGGGTAATTAGATCATGGGGGCAGATTGCTAATCAGTGGTTTAACACCAACCATCTCTTTGGTACTGTGTTATGATTGTGAGAGTGAGTTCTCATGAGATCTGGTTGTTTAAAAGTGTGCAGCACCTCCTCCCCTTACTCTTGCTCCTGCTATATGAAGTACCTGCCCCCACTTTGTTTTCCACCATGATTGTAAGTTTCTTAAGGCCTCCCTAGAAGTCAAGCAGATGCCAGCATCATGCTTTCTGTATAGCCTGTGGAACCATGAACTAATTATATTTATTTTCATTATAAATTACCCAGTCTCAAGTATTCGTTTATAGCAATGAGAAAATGGACTACACAGATTGCTTTGAATATTTGGGCTCTTTTTTTTTAGTTCGATGTGAATTTTAGAATTTTTTTTCTAATTCTGTGAAGTATGATGTTGGTAGTTTGATAAGCATACTGTTAAATTTGTAGATTGCTTTGGATAGTATGACCATGTTAATGATACTGATCTCTCGTTGAGACCTTTTACTTTCTTGGTTAGCTGTATTCCTAGGTATTTGATTTTACTTGTGGCTATTGTAAAGGGGATTGTGTGCTTGATTTGACTATCAGCCTGGACATTATGAGTGTTATATGGTTTGCTGTGTTCCCACCCAAATCTCATGTTGAACTGTAGTTCCCATAATCCCCACGTGTCACAGGAGGACCTAGTGGAAGGTAATAGAATCATGGGGGCGATTACCTCCATGCTGTTCTCATGACAGTGAGTGAGTTCTCACAAGATCTGATCACTTTATAAGGGGCTTTTCCCCTCCTTCACTCTGCACTTCTCTCTCCTGTCACCATGTAAAGAAGGATGAGTTTGCTTCTTCTTCCACCATGATTGTAAGGCACCTTTGGTCACCTGAAAAGATTTCTTTCTGTTTTATCTAGTTGACTGTGGTAGTTACTGGGTTCCATGCTTTACTCTCCTTCCCAAATTTTTCAGAATTAATTGTGAAAAAATCAGCTCAAGTTAGTTCATCTACTTGAAAGGAATCGAAGTTAACATCTTATATAAATCAATGGGCATTAAATTTTAGTTATCATTGGGATTTCTGCTACCCTACAGTTGTATAAAAGTCACTAAGGTATGAAGGAAACTCCTCTAATGGGGGCTCAATTGCCAAGAATATTCAATACAATGTGTTTGCTTTCTCTGGACCACTACAAGGAACACCCCATCTTTAGTGACCCTGGAAACCCCTAAACTAATGTCTAGGCTTCTTGGTGTCCTACCTTTGCAGGTGCTGGTCCCAAGAGGGGACAGACAGATCTACCCTCTTGAGGCTGAATGAATCTTACCTCTACCTCTCTGCTTCTTAGAGGTACTCTGCCCTTTGTCTTCCTTGTGGTACTCCTAGCACAATCCATGCAAGGACTCAAGCTCTAGAAAAATGAAACTCAGAAATGAAAATATTTTGAAATAAATTCTGCTTTTTGAACAGCAAAATTCTCTAAGACAATGAGTTATAAAATGTCTTATAACATGGGTGATATAGGTAATACACAAAATTAATATATTAATAGATTACCCTATAGATGTTTATCTGATTCTTAGAGAAATTAGTTAAAATTATGTTCAAATAATTTTTGAGCACTTATTTTCTTCCAGAGTCTGAATTTTATGCTTTCAAGTGCTACCTTTATAGGTTTTTATTAATTTTTTTCTTCCCATTCCCATAATTATTTAAGCTTCTTTCTGATAATCCTTTGGTTTCCAGCAAGAAATCTGAGATAATATCTTAAGATGGGGTTGTGCAAAATTGCATTATGGAGGTCATAATGGTCAAATTTAAACTCCACATCTTATATTTTTAGGTACGGGTAATTGAATATAAATATAAAATATGACATTTGTCTTGCTGCTTTAAAAGTTAGAGGTAGGTCATTTTATTGATTTTAGTAAAATTTAGTTGTTTGCTAGAATATGCTGCCATATTCAAGGAAAGGTCATTGTGGAAGGTTGTAAAAGCAAATTAAAATGATGCAGCATTTTCTAGTTCCTTTGTATGCCATTTTTCCCTCATTTAGCTTTTATTCCAGACATTGGATTACTGTATTTTGAATTGTACTTTGACAGAATTTAGGAATAAAGATTTTATGAAAGATAGAGTTACTAAAACATTTTGAATCCTGATTTGTAAAACACAGTTTTAATTGGTTTTGCTTATAGAATCCATCTTTGAAATCTAGTACAGATTTACTTTTACATAGAGATCTCATTTTTATTGCTTCTTACTTGACCTACACTCAATTTTGGAGAACTGGAGAGACCAAGGACTCAGATAGTAATCACAAAATGTACATTAGAAGCTTGGAGAAACAAAATTAAATTAATAAAAATGTACATCTAATTTAGAAAAACTGAAGCCAAAATTTCTATGTTGGAAGTCAAATTATCCAATTTAGTTGTCAACAGTAGTCAATTAATGTGACCTCCAAACCTATACTTTTGGTATTCATGTCAAATGGTCTTAAGTTCACTAATACATAAGGCAATGTCATATCATAGCTATTCTTAAAAGTGATCTTGCTAAAACTGAAGTCAGATCATGTCATTTCTCTGCATAAATCCCCTGAATAGCTCTGCATCATAGAGCAAAAGTCCAAGTCATTAAAATAATCTCTAAGGTTATGCATGGTCATAACCCTATTCACCCCAGGTCTTCTCTGAACTCACCTCTTGCTTGCTCTAGAAAACTAGATGGGCCTTAAACATGCCAGACACACTCTGTTCACAGGGCCTTTGCACATTCTGATCACTCCACCCAGAAGTCCCACCAGAATGCCCAAGTATTCTTATGTGTACGTTTTTTTTTTTTTTCATATTTATCACCCCCACTGGATTGCATATTTTAAGAGGGCAGAGATTTTTGTCTGTTTTCATCATGGCTGAATCATAGTGCTAAAGGTATTCCTAACACAATAGCAACTCAATTTGATGTGTTTGAGCAAATTAATAAAACATTAATTGAAGACTCTATTTCTGCCTTATGACAGGTCAAATGTCCTGAAAATCCTCTCAACTCAAAACTTCGAAATGCTAGAGGTAATATAGCAAATGTTGTTTACATACATAGCCAAACTCAAAAGAAAGTAAGAGATATCTTCAGGAGCTAAAAAAGTGTCTGTAGCCATATATCAATGACAAGCATTTGCCTTTCAAATTAATCAGGAGCCTTCTGTTTTAATTCTTTATAGGACCAGAGACCTAAAGGCAAGTAAGCTAGGGATTCCAAATAGTAAAACAATTGACTATCTAAATGCAGCCACTGGCAAACAAACTTTGTTAATTTTGTTTTTTAAAAACTCAAAGTAACATTGAGAATAAATCAAGTAGAGGAGATTCATAGTCTAAGAGAAGGATAAAAAATATATTCTAGATAGGAATAAACATTCTCTCAGAAAACATGTCAGGACTGATCTCAACTTAAACATGAATACAAGTTTTAATATATTTATCAACTGGCCGGATGAGGTGGCTCATGTCTGTAATCCCAGCACTTTGGGAGGCCAAGGTGGGTGGATCACGAGGTCAGGAGTTTGAGACCAACCTGGCCAACATGGTGAAACCAATCTCTACTAAAAAAACAAAAAACTTAGCTGAGCGTGGTGGCACACACCTGTAATCCCAGCTACTCGGGAGGCTGAGGCAGGAGAATGGCGTGAACCTGGGAGGCGGAGGTTGCAGTGAGCCAAGATCATGCCACTGCACTCCAGCCCTCCGGCCTGGGTGACAGAGCAAGACTCCATCTTGGAAAAAAGAAAAAATATATATATATAGTATATATTTATATATATACTATATATTACATTATATATATAGTATTATATTATATATAACATATACAGTATATATAATATATAATATAATATATAGTATATATATTTTATATATATACTATATGTTACATTATATATAGTATTTATATCAACAAAGAGACATTTGGGTCACAAACAGAAAGCTTAGTACCTTACATTTACAAAGTCTGTCTTTATGTTAGCAAATTACAGATACATTTCTAAATTATTAAATAATGCTTATTTCTCTTAAAATAAGTTCTAGAAATATTGCAACCTTATCACACTGAACTGGATGAATATTTAAAAAAGGAAGGCCAGTCATAATAATGGCACTAACTATTCCAGTTTAGACCTACAGAAAGAGGTAGTTCAGAGAGAGAACAGGGGAAACAAGATAGTGTAGGAGATCACTGTGGATGATAAAGCTTTTCTTTCTGGTACGTTTATTTTCAGAACATTTGTGAAAATCATTTGAATAATATAGGCCTAATAATGAGTAACAAATGGGAGGTGTTTTGTTTCTTCTTACTTCTTGAAATGTAATTAGCTTTATTCTGAATTCTAGCTACATTAATATATTTCATCTTAATCATATAGATGTCAATATCAACACATCCATCAGAGAAACCACATCCAAACCTAATTCAAAGATAATTGCTTCCAAATACCATAGCAATGGGGTTTAGAGCTTCAGCATTTAAATTTTGCAGGGAAACAAATATTCAGTCCATAACAATGGTAATAGAGAATTCCATATCTTATTGTAGTAGTGGAAAGCAGCATGGCAGAAAAGTACGGAGAAAACGGGATATCACTGCAACCATTTTTGGAAAAATATAAACTTTTAAACAAGCGATTTGGACTATTGATCTTCTATAGCTGTCTCCAGAAAATTCCCCAAAAATCACTTGTTTCAAAGATTCCAGCAGCTGTGCTCATCCCTCGTGTTTTTCTGTAGTTTCTGCAATGTGTTAACTAGCTAAACAGTGATGGTTAGTGGCAGCTTCCCTTGACATTGCCTTCTTTAGCTTTTCAAACACTTAAAAATTCCCATCTTACAGTTAAAATGTTTCACCTCATGGAGATACAGTGGAATGACACTGGAAAGTGTATGAAGGTAAGAGGGGAAAATAAAGAGAGGTTAGTGAATGGGTACAAACTTACCAATAGAGAGAAGAAATAAGTTCTAATGTTAGATTGCAGACTAGGTTGACTATAGTTAGCAACAATATATTGTATATTTCAAAGCAACTAGAAGAGAGGACTTGAAATGTTACCAGAACATGGAAATGATAAATACTGAGGGTGATGCACACCTCAAATACTCTGACTTGATCATTATACATCCTATGCATGTGAAATATATTCACATGTACCACCTAAATGTGTGATAAATTGAGAAGAGTTTCGGCTTAATTTTTTGGGGAGACATTACATTAGTATTTGATTTCTATAATTTTGAAAATTGGAAAAAAAATTTAAAAATAATTATTTATCTATTAATCAACAGGGATTTGTGTGTGTGTGTGTGTCTGTGTGTGTGTGTGTATCTGTACCTGTGTGTTTTCAGAGAGAAGAAATTCTCTAAAAGCATTTTTAGCCTTCTTAAAACAGACGTAAAACAAATTAAAGCGCACCCTGGGATGACAAGAACATTAGTGGTATTTACATTCTCTCTAAAATTGTTTAATTAATTCACATTTTTGAGTGTATTTGAATAGACCTTTGCTTGCAAACACATTTTTAGAATTGTTAAAAGTTGCTTAAAAATTAAATTTTTCAGAGTATCTTCTATATCTATGATTTTCCCCTGTAAATCGTATTTCTAAACTTTTTTTTTTGCAATTTACATTTTTTCTTGCATAGGTTGGCAAAAAAAGTATCATATTTCACTTCTGGTGGATTATTTTTTGGATTAATTTACAAATTTTGTTTTTGTTTTTGTTGGTATTATCTTTATTTTGTTCTCCCCATGATCCTTTGTTTTATGTTGTCTAGTCTAACTTCGTGAATTGAATTCTGAGTAATTTCATTTCTTTATATTTATTAATACATGTTTAAATCAGTTTAATAACAAATTTTCTATAGCAATCTCTAGCAGCATTCCATATTTGGATATGTTGCCTTTCCATTAATATTATTTTTGGCTATCTCTGACTGAATTTGATTTCCTTTCCTCACCTAAGAATTGTAAAGAAAGTGTTTTCAAATTCCAGTTGCTTAAGGAATTTTTATTCCTATATTTTCACTAATTTCTACTAGCAACTAATTTTGTCAAAATATTATCTGTATTTAAAATTTAAAATGTATTTTTTGTGTTCTAATACATAATCACTTTGTATATGTAAAGTGAACACATGAAAAATTTGCTATCTATAAAGTTATTAAAATTAAGTTATATTTACTCAGATTTATTGGTTACATATTTCAGATTCCCTACATTTTTATATGATTTGTCTATATGATTTGTTATGATTATATGAATAAATATTACCTATTATTATCTGTTGTCATCTCCTCTCAGTTCACAAAATTTATACTTCGCAAATTTTGTTATTAATA
Source organism: Homo sapiens (assembly GCF_000001405.40). Lineage (NCBI taxonomy): Eukaryota > Metazoa > Chordata > Mammalia > Primates > Hominidae > Homo > Homo sapiens. The sequence continues at coordinate 76,931,668 of NC_000006.12, forward strand.
TTTCCTAATTTATTAATTAGCTGAAGTAGACCTTATTGTGGAATTTTCGTTTGATTTGATACCTTTAATGGACTGAACCTTTCAGCATATTTGTATACTAAATTATCTTTATCTGGTTCCAGTATCACAACCACAGCATTTGATTAATACACCTTAGCTTTTTCTTTTTTCAAAATTTAAGTAGATGAGTTGTCACCATTTATATTTGTTGTTATACTGTACTATTTTGCTTTAATTGTGCAGTTCTTTATACTTGTATAAATTTAAGGGGCAAAAGTGCAATTTTGTTACTTGAATATATTGCATAGTGGTGAAGTCTGGGCTTTTAGAGTGTTCATCACTGAATAATGTACATTGTACTCATTAAGTATTAAGCTCCCACTTTTAGGTGAGAACATGTGGTATTTGTTTTTCTGTTTCTGAGTTGCTTCACTTAAGATAATGGCCTAGAGTTTCATTAAATGTTGCTGCAAAAGACATGCTTTTATTCTTTTTTATGACTAAGTAGTATTCCATTGTGTATGTGTACCACATTTTCTTTATCCAATCTGTTGATAGACAATTAGATTGCTTCTATATCATTGCTGTTGTGAATAGTGCTGCAATAAATATACAAGCACAGGTCTTTTTGATATAATGATTTATTTTCATTTGAGTAAATACTCAATGGTGATATTGCTGATTCGAATGGTAGAAATCTCCATATTTTTCATGTAGGTTGTACTATTGTACATTTCTACCAACAGTGTATAAGTATCATCTGTTATTTTATTTTTATAATAGCCATTTTGACTTGTATAATATGATATCTCATTTTGTTTTTAATTTGCATTTCTCTGATTATTAGTGATGTTAAACATTTTTTCATATGCTCTTTGGTTATTTGTACGTCTTCTTTGAAAAATGTCTATACATATCCTTTACCCAATTTTTAAAGGGGCTATTTGTTCTATTGTTGTTATTTTTATGTTTTTATTTTCTGAGAGTTTTTATACAATAAAAATGATTAGGCTCTTCTTTCCTATGTTTTTGGATGTGTATGCATATATGAGTGTGTGTGTGTTTTAATTCAGGCAATTTGGAAGAGTTGTAATTTTTTTATACTTCTATTTGTTATAACTCTGTGCAACATAATTACCATGAAAATATCTTATTTTTCCTAATCATAATTTCTTCTTTGTGGGTATAACAGAATTCCCTTGTCCTCAATGGGCCACCACTGTCTTACTCTCAGTCTAGGTGGTTTGGGTAAAGCTGACTTCCCCATAAGCTTTAAAAGTGGCATATGATAATAGGTACATGCATTGGAGGGTTTCATTATTTTCCACTTTTCTGTGTAACTTTCTTACTATAATAAAAATGTGAAAGAAAACAAAAGAAATTAAAAGATAAATCAGTTTAAATGTTTTTTTACTATACAATTTATTTTTTTTAGAATCATAAAGCATGCCATGTTGTAGCTATTTTCTTAATTGTGGAACCTGCCTTTGCACTGGTCTTCTTATTTCTTTATCAGCTCTCCTTAGGACTATTCTAGAAAGTTTAGAGATGGTCATCTGCATTGGGTTATGCAACAAAACAAGGATAATTAACTTCATCAGATTTTGGACAGTGCAAAATTGTATAAAATTCTGAAAATATGTATTCTAAATTACTTTTCAAAGAGCATACATGAGATAACAATAAGAATACAATAGGAGGCTGGTTGTTGTGGCACACACCTGTAATCTCAGTGCTTTGAAAGACTAAGGCTGGAGGAGCACTTGAGGCTAGGAATTCAACACCAGCCTGAGCAACACAGTGAGACCATATCTTTACAAAAAGATTTGAAAAATTAGCTGAGCATGGTAGTGCATGCCTGTAGTCCTAGCTACTTAAGAGACTGAAGCAAGAGGATTGTTTGAACCTGGGAGTATGATACTGCAGTGAGCTACGATTGTGTCACTGCATTCTAGCCAAAAAAAAAAAAAAAAAAAAAGTACAGTAGGAGTATGACTCTAGCAAAATAAGTGTGGTGTGGGAAATTCTTTTTTAGGAATTCATAACATATACTTAAAAATAAAATGTATTATTTTAAAATCCAAAGACAAAAAGCCTACTAATTTGATTTAACTCCATTTTGACTGTGATCCAAACATACATTTGGAAATATATCTTAACATCTCTAGGTACATGATTCCATTTAATTCTGATACATAATTTAACAAATGCTGTTATAACTAACTAAGCCAAAAATCATTGTTACTATATAATATTTATTTTAAAATACATAACAAATTAAACATATTTTCAATACACCTTTTATGGAGAGAATTAGAGTATGATTTACTTTTTTATATGATACATCTATAATGTTATTCTAAGGATAGAAGATGTTTTATTATCTTTGTGTTGTGGCTCACCAATTTTGACTGGGAAGCTCCCACTGTTTTCTGGATGACTTTAGAATTCGTTCTTCTTCTTGAATAATATTTACAACTCCATGTCTCTCTCTTAAATGTCTCTCTCTACTTTTATGAAGAAATAGGAAGCATGGAATCAAGACAGTGATTATAAAGACAAATCCTCAGTTCATTCTCTTGGGAGCATGTGTTCATGTCCAGACATCTTCAAATGAGGGGAACAGAAGGATTTGATGCATTTTCATCCAGTTGTAGAGACTGGCTATGAAAACAAATATTGGTATGAGGCTGCTTTTCATAAAATGTTAAGCATTTCAGAAAATGCCTATCATGAGGAAAAATATAGAAAAGCTGTGCTGTAACCTTAACAAATTTTTACTCAAAGGAAAAATTCAAGGAAAGAAGAAAGTATAACTGACAAAATAAGCTATATTGCTTTAATTTAAATTATATTACAAGGGTATCTCAATAAATCTCAAGTTAATATCAGTCACACCAAAGCAATAATTCAGCCAATTTTATTAATTTTTATTACTAATCCAGCCAAGATATTATTTCTTTATCTATATTTTGCAATAAAAATAGGAGTGAAACTTTAAAGCATATCCTTTCCATTACTTAAAAGTAAATTACTAAATGGTTCTTGAGAAAGATAAGAGGATTTTCCAAAGCAGGATTTCATTCTCGTAGTAGAGGGACAATAGTGTATTTTTAGCAGAATGCAAGTACTTTTAGGTGATATCTGGCTATGTATTTGATAGATGATGCATTTGTATTATCCATATTCTTTTTCTGCTACGTCATACAGAAAAATTCTGTCAAAATAGTTGTTTTTGACTTTTTAATGCATATTTGCAATCAACAAATAAAGTAGCTAATCTATTTCAGCCTATAGATTATGAATGTTTATTGTTAGGAATCCATAACACTGATATAGTCAGTATAAATTAGGTATACAAATTATAAGCTGAGGTTTTTAATATGCTAGCTACTGTATATCAAATATAAGCATTTGATATTAGAAGAAAATTGGTTCAAATTATTTCAGTGTCAGTGCCCTTGTACAGTCACCCCTTGAAACATTAAAAATGTTTTCAAAGATTTGGAAATTACCAACAAATGTAACTTTCAACTCATACATTATAAAATAGTTTCTTTTTTGATTAGTAATTTAATATCCTGTTATTACATGCAAAAGATGCCATTAGGAAATACTGGTGAAAAATAAAAATTAGAAATAATTATTTAATGGTGATAAGAGAATAGTATTTATTTATATTTTTTTCATTCATTCATTATCAGTTTAATCGTTCAGGAAGTAGTTATTGAATGCCTGACATATTTCCAAGGCTACATATATTATTATTATCCTATTTCCTAAGAGCTTTTCTTATAATAGAAGAAATATAACAAAATACTAATTCATATAAAGACAAAGAATATAATTGAAAATATTATATTTGTTAAAAATAATTGCTTTAAGAATTTAAAAAAGATAATATTTCTTTCTGAGTTATTAAATAAAATGATCATAGAATAGATAGCATCTTTGCTTGGCCATACAGAGATGGCAGATACAAAGTCCATCCCAGATATACATATCTTTACTTTTCTAAAGAAAACTTTTTTTTAAAGTTTGAAGTAAATAAGTGAATTTTTAGCAGACTGACTGAGAGGGTTAGGTATAATATAAGAAAGAAATATTTAGAATTAAGTTTTTAAGATTGGTTGGAGTCAGAATATTGAAAATTTTGAATATTTAACTAAGGTATTTTGTTCTACTCTATAGGCAGCAGTTGAGCAACTTAAAGCAAGATTTAATTAAGAAAATATTGACAAATATTTAAGGCTGTTATTAAAAATAATCTAAATACAAAAGCACATCTGAAATAAAAAAAAATGAAAACCTCCAATATCTACTCCTCCAAAATAAAAAAAATGAGAGCACTTGCAAAAATTGTTAAAATCAATTTTTTTTTTAGAATTCAATTTCAAAATAAAGAATTCTAGGAATAAGCCAAGGGTTGAAACAATCTGGGGAATAATTATTCAAGACAAATGTGTGTATCTTAGTAAGAACAGTGAGTTTTGTGGTGTTTTACTTTGTCCCATTCTTATTCCCTTCTTTCCAGTTCCACGTAGCCTTGAAAACCATAACTTTGCAAATACAGGAGTTGTGAAAACGAGCATCCTAGAAGTCACTGTAAGGGCAGAATGTGTTTGGAGAAAGTCCCATTCCCAGAAAATTGTCACTATTTAGCCCATCTGAAAGTCGCATAAAAAGCTCTACTGTCGACATTTGTCTTTATTTGAGCTGATTCAGAGCTTGCTTTGTGCAACTAGCACAACCCATCAGAGGCAATTGCTTAATATTGCAGCTGCCTTCAGTGGAGATTCCAGTTGTGACTAACAAGAAGCTGTTTTAGAAAAATAAAATACCCTTAAAAATAAAAACTAATACACTCATGGAAACCTAAAAAAATTATGCATATGATTAGGGTTGTGAATACACTTAGGAAAGACCTAAGAGGGCCCTAATCTCTCACAGCTGGCTGAGGATAAGGCTTGATGTAACCAGGGAGTGAAGGCAAAACTAGAGATGTAAACTGTCCACTGGAGTGTCGAAAGATTCTCCCAATATAAACAGGGGTCCTTTGACAAAGGTTGGGAGATTTATTTGTTCAAGGCACTTAAGGAAATCTTTGTCCAATCATTTGGTGATGAATAAAGTGGCCAAGAAAGACATAAGTGTTCACACATGAAAAAGAATACAACATACTTTACAAAATTAATAAAGTCATTATACAAACAAACAGCAACAACAGTAACAACAACAAATAAAAACAGCACATCTTGGTTTGGTGGAAAACTATTCTGAATTTGCCACTAGATATCCATATTTGAATGTCTAGTTTTTAACACAAAATTATGACGCATGTAAAAAATAGGAAATTAGTATAGCTCATACACAGACAAAAAAGAAGCAATAGATCGTGTATCTGAGGAAATCCAGATGTTAGACTTATCTGAAATACACTTTAAATCAACCATAATAAATATCCTGAAAACAGTAAAGAAAAACACATGTAATTAAACACAAGTATGAGAATAATGTGCCACCAAACATCAATGAGATAGAAATTATTAAAAAAGAACCTAGTTAAAATTCAGAAATTGAAAAGTATAATTACTGAAATGAAAGAGAATTCACTAGAGGCAATCACAACCAGACTTGAACTGCGAAAAGAAAGGCACAGCGCACTAGAAGATAGGTCAGTGGAGATTATTTAGTCTGAGAAACAAATGAAGGACAAAAATATAAATAGAAAGTCAGATTATACATCATGACCTGGTTTGACTTATCAAAATAATCTATGGTTGGATTAATATCTGAAAATCAATTATTGTAAAATAGCATGTTAACAGAATAAAGAACAAAAGCATATGATCATCTGAATAGATGTAAAAAAAATTACTTAATAAAATCCATTATGTGTTTATGATAAAAACACTCAACATACTAGAAGTAGAAAGAAATGATCTCATCATCTTAAGTATATCTATGAAAAACTCACAGCTAACATCATATTTAATGAAGACAATGCTTTCTCCTTATATCAGAAACAAAACAAATACATCTACTGTTTTTTATTTCTATTCAACATTGCACTAGGAGTTCTAGCCAGAGCAATTAGTTAAGATAAAAAATTATAATTGGCATTCTGATAAAAAAGGAAAAAGTAAATTTTTTTCTCCACAGATGAAATGATTATTTATATTAAAAAACCCTAAGTAATTCACACATTTAAAAAGTTAAAATTAAAAAATAGCTAATCAAGGTTGCAGGTCCAAGATCACTATAAAAAGTCAATTTTGCAGACACACATTAGCAATTAACAATTGAAAACTAAAATTAAGAAAGCAACTTATTCACAGAATTATCAAAATGATAATATATTTAAGAATAAATTTGACAAAGTATAAAATTTTAGCATTAAAAACCACAAAATATTACTAAAAGTAATTAAGAAATATCTAAATAACTGGAGGACATCCTATTCCATGAATTGAAAAACTTAATGTTCTTGCGATTAAATACTCTTCAAATTGAACTATAGATTCAACACAAACCCAATCAAAATTCTAGCTGCCTTTTCCCCCCAGAAATGTATAGGCTAATCCTAGAATTCATATGGAAATGCAAAGGATCCAGAATAACCAAAACAACCTTGATAAATAAAAGTTGAAAGTCTTACATTTTCTGATTTCAAAATCTACTACAAAGCTACAATAATAAAAATAACATTTCCTGACATAAGGATAGACATAAAAATCTATGAAATATGACTGATAATTCAGAAATAAACCTTACATTAACAGTCAATTGATTTTTGAGAAAGATGCCAAGACAACACAATTGGGGAAACACAGCCTTTTCCAAAATGATGCTGGGACAAATGAAATGGATATTCACATGGAAAACAACACAACTGAATCTCTATCAAATGTATTATACAAAACATAACTCAAAATGGATCAGAGATGGAAATGTAAACAATAAAACCATACAATTTTTAGAAGAAAATGCAGAAATAAATATTTATAACCTTACATTAGGTTATTGCTTTTTAAATTGAGACAGCAGAAACACAAACAACAACAACAAAAATAGACAATTAGCCTTCTTTAGGATAAAAACAAGGCAAAAATACATGCTCTCTCCACTCTTGTTCAACATTTCACTAAAGTTCTGGGATAATATAATCAGGTAAATAATAATAATTTTATACAAAAATTGAATAGAAAACTTCCTGTTTGCAGGCAAACATAGATTTTTTAGATTGCAAGGAATCTATAAACATCATTTGAGAATAAATAGATGCATCCACTAACATTGGAAGACATACAGAACATAAAATAGATAGACATAAAAAATCAGTTTAATTTCTGTGTATTAGAAAACATGGTCACTGAAATTAAGGATGCAATACTGTGTAAAATAACTAAAAATAAAATGAAATATCTAGGTGCAATTATATCAAAATATGTATAGGTCTCGCATACTGAAAATTAGAATACGCTGATGAAAGAAGTCAAGGAAGATGTAAACAAATGGAAAGATGTACAGTGTTCATGGATTGGAAGGCTCAAAATAATAAAGATGTCAAATATCTTCCAATTCATAAACAGGTTTACTACAATACCTATAAAATCTCAGCAAGAGTTTTTTGTAGATATAGACAAGATTGTTTAAATTTATATGGAAAATCAAATGATTCAAATAGCTAAAACAATTTTGAAAAAATAAAGTGAGATAAATAGTTTAGCCAATATCCAGATTTATTATATATCTATAGCTATCAAGATTCTAGTTGTATTGGCAGATAAATAGACAGGTAGATCAAAAGAAATAGCAAACTCAGAAATAACTCCACTTATTCTGAGTGGAGTATCTGATTTTTGTTAAATGTGCAAAAGCAATTTCTTAGAATATTGAAAGCCATTTCAGCCATGGGTCATTGCTAGGCAAAAGAAAAATACAACAAAACCTTGACTTAAGACTTAAATCTCACACTTCATATAAAAACTCACTCAACATGGATCACAGACTTAATGTAGTATATAAAACTGTAAAGCTTTTAGAAAGAAACAGAAAATCCTCAGAATCTATGGCTAGGCAAAGAGTTCTTAACATCAAAAGTACAATTCACATAAGCAAATTTTTTATAAATTGGACTTCACCAAAGTACTTTTGCTCCATGAAAGACCCTGTTAAGAAAATGAAAAACCAAACTACAGACTGAAAGAAAATAGTTGCAAATTATATAGCTGACAAAGGCCTAGTGTTTATAATATATAAGAAACTATCAAAAGTCAACACTAAGAAACAAAAACAAACAACACATTTTTAAAAATCCCATTAGAAAATGGCAAAATAATGAACAGTTATTTCACTGAAGAGGACATACAGATGACAAATAAGCACATGAATAGGTGTTCAACATCATTAACCATTACAGAAATACGAATAAAAATCACAGTTGTTTATCACTACACACCTATCAGAAAAATTATAGTAAAAAGTAGTGACAACACCAAATGCTGATAAGGAAGTGGTGAAACGGGCACATGTGAAATGGTACAGCTACTCTGAAAAACTGTCAGTTTCTTAAAAAATTAAATATACAATGGAGAAATAAAATTTTATCTTGACAGAAAAACCTATACATAAATGTTGATAGCAGTTTTATTCATAATAGCCCCAAAGTGGAAACAATCCAAATGTCTTCCAGTGGGTGAATAATTAGACAAACTTTGAAACAGCCATGTGATGCAATACTAAGCAACAATACAAAAGACCAAAATGTTGAAATGCACAGAAATTTGGATAAATTCCTAAATAAAATGATGAGTGAAAAAAAGCCAATCTCCAAATATTATATACTACATGAATGCATTTAAATGATATGCTTGAAATTAAAAAAAAATAGTGAATGGAGAACAGATTATTGGTTTTCAAGCTTTAAGTAAGTAGAATGAAGGAGAGGAAAAAGGAAAATTAGCGTGGCTATAAAAAGAAGAAAAAAATGAGTAATCCATATGGTGATGGTAATGTTCTGTCTTTTGATTGTATCAAAGTAAATACCCTGATTGTGACGCTTTACTATTGTTTTGAAAGTTTTACCACTGTGGAAACTGGGCAAAGTGTACATGAAATATTTTTGTACTATCTGTGACAACACCATGATAATCTGTAATTATTAAAAAATAATAAGTGTAATTGAAAAAGATCCTGCTTATTAAAAAGGAAAGGAAGTAAAAGTTCACAGAACTAAAACACTGCAAGACAGAACAAGAGGAATTTGATTGTAGGAAAGATATGGAAAAAGGAAATTTTTGTCATTTTCTGCTATTTTCAGTTAGTCTGTAAAACATTTAAAACATTAAAATACAATAATTATTATGTACTTATTTTCAAGGCACTGACTCTTACTTTAGGAGTACTTTGCTTTATAGTTATATTTAAAACAACAGCATAGAGAGGTGGAGCAAGATGACAGAATAGAAGGCTCTACTGATTGTTCCCACTACAAGGACACCAAGTTAACAACTAGCTATGCAGAAAAAAAACCTTCATAAGAACAAAAAATCAGATGAACACTCTTAGTACCCAGTTTTAACTTCATATCACTGAAAGAGGCACTGAGACATAGAACAGTCCAGAATCACTGAGGCTATCCCTCCCCTACCCCAGCAGTGGCCCTGTGGTGCAGAGAACCTCTCTGGGTGCTGCGAGAGGGAGAACACAGGCTTTCTGAGGCATTGAACTCAGTGCTGTTCTGTTAGAGCAGAAAGGAAAACCAGATCAAATTCAGCTGATGCCTTCCCAGAAAGGGAGCATTTAAACCGGCCTTAGCCAGATGGGAATCACTGATCCTAGTAGTTGATACTTGAGTTCTGTCAATCCTTGCTGTCAAGGTCTACAGTACTCTGTGTCTCCAAGTAAACTTGAAAGGCAGTCTAGGCCTTAGGATCTGCAAATCTTAGGCAACTCCTAGTGCTGAACTAGGCACAGAGACAGTGAACTTGGATGGAAGGGAGGGGCACGTGATCTACTGTGACACAAGCTAAGGCAGCTAAGGGAGTGCTGGCATCACCTCTCCCCTAAGGCAAGGCTGACCAGCTTGTGGTTCCAAAAGAGACCGCTTCCTTCTGCTTGAGGAAAGAAGAGGGAAGAGTAGGGAGGACATTTTCTTGCATCTTGGATACCAGCTCAGCCACAGCAAGATAGGGTACCTGTCAGACTCATGAGGCCTCCATTCCAAAGCCTAGCTTCCAGACAACATTTCTAGGCACACTCTGGGCCAGAAGGGAACCCACTGTCTTGAAGGAAAGACCCTAGTCCTGACAGCATTCATCATCTGCTAACTGAAAAGCCCTTAGGCCCTGAATAACCAGCAGTTATACCCAGGTACTACATTAATGGCCTGGGGTGAGTATCTGAGACTTATTGGCTTCAGATGAGACTCAGGACATTACCAGATGTGGTGCCTATGGGGCAAAATTTCTTCTGCTTGAGAAAAGCAGAGGGAAGAGTAAAGGGGACTTCGTCTTGCATCTTAGGTAGCAGCACAGCTACAGGGGTGAAGAGCAACAAGCAGGCTTTTGGGGGTCGCTAATTCCAGGATTTGAGTCATAGCATTTATGGACCTGCCCTGGGCCAAAGAGAAGCCCACTGTCCTGAAGGGTGTGTCCCAGGCCATGCAGTATTTACCACATGCTGAGTTAAGAGACTTTGGCCCTTATGGGAACATTGGCTAGCCAGTCTGGCAGTAATGCAGAGTGCCTCTCCAGGCACTAGAGGAGGGAGAATGCAGTAATTGTGAGTCATTGAACTCACAGTGGTCTGGGGTGGCAGTGGCTATGGGGTAAGACTCCTCTGCCTTTGGAAAGGGGTGGGAAGAATGGGAAGGACTATGTTTTGTAGTTTGAGTACCACTCAGCTGCAGTACAATAGAATAGCAGGGAGACTTCTAAGGTTCTTGACTATAGTTTCTGGCTCTAGAAAGGCATCTCTGGACCCACCCAGGACCTGGGGACCTTGCTGCCCTGAAGGAAAGGACATAGGCCTGGTTTACTTTGCCACCAGCTGAGGCTAATTGTAGAGCCCCAGGGCCCTCAACAAACATAAGCTGTAGCTAGGGAGTGGTTACAGCAGGCCTTGGGTGAGACCCAGTGCTGCGCTGGCCTCAGGTCTGACTCAGTGCAGTCATAGTGGTGGTGGCCACAGGGGTGCTTGTGTCACTCCACCCCCAGCTTTACATGGCTCAGAGCAGGGAAAGACACTCTGGGAGAAAGTAAGGGAACAGAATAAAAGTTTCTGCCTGGTAATCCAGAGAATTCTCTCAGATCTTGTCCAAGACCATCAAGGCAGTCCCTCTATGAGTCAGCAATAAACAGAGTTGCTGGACTTAGGGTGCCCCCTAAAGCACATACAGCTTAGATCACAACACCCAAGTCCTTTCAAATATCTGGAAAGCCATCCCAAGAAGGATGGGTACAAATAAGCCCAGACAGTGAAGACTACAGTAAATACCTAACTCTTCAGTGCCCAGACACTGACGAATATCCACAATCACCAAGACCATCCAGGAAATCATGACCTCGCCAAATGAACTGAATAAGGCACCAGGAACCAATCCTGGAGAAAGAGATACGTGACCTTTCAGACAGAGAATTCAAAATAGCAGTGTTAAGGAAACTCAAAGAAATTCAAGATAATGCCTAGAAGAAATTCAGAATTCTATCAGATAAATTTACTGAAGAGATTAAAATAATGAAAGTGAATCAAGCAGAAATTTTAGAGCTGAAAAATGTAAGAGGCATACTGAAGAATGCATTAGAGTCCTTTAATAGCAGAATTAATGAAGCAGAAGAAAGAAATAGTGAGCTTGAAGACAGGCTATTTGAAAATACACAGAAGAGACAGAAGAAAAAATAATAAAAATGAAGCATGCTTACAGGATCTGGAAACAGCCTCAAAAGGGCAAATCTAAGAGTTAGTGGCCTTAACATGGAGGTAGAGAAAGAGATAGGGGTAGAAAGTTCATTCAAAGATATAGTAACAGATAATTTCCCAAACCTAGAGAACGATACCAGTATCTAAGTATAAGAAGATTACAGAACAACAAGCAGATGTTGCCCAGAGAAGACTACCTTAAGGCCTTTAATAATCAAATTCCTAAAGATCAATGATAAAGAAAGGATCCCAAAAACAGCAAGAGAAAAGAAACAAACAATGTACAATGGAGCTTCAATAAGTCTGAAACAGACTTTTCAGTGGCAACCTTACAGGCTAGGAGAGAATGGCATGCAATATTTAAAGTGCTGAAAGAAAAACACTTTTACTCTAGAAGAGCATGTCTGCTGAAAATATCTTTCAAGCATGAAGGAGAAGTAAAGACTCTCCCAAAGAAAATCAGAATGATTTCATCTACACCAGAGTTGTCCCACAAAAACTGCTAAAGGGAGTACTTCAATCAGAAAGAAAAGGACATTAATGAACAATAAGTGACCACCTGAAGGTAAAAAACTCACTGGTTCTATTAAGTACACAGAAAACCATAAAATATTACTGTAACTGTGGTGTGTAAACTACTGTTGTCCTAAGTAGAAAGATTAAATGATTAATCAATCAAAAATAATAACTACAATAACTTTTCAAGACATAGTACAATAAGATACAAATAGAAACAACAAAAAGTTAAAGAGTAGGGGGATAAAGTCAAGACATAAAGTTTTTAATCTTTTTTGTTTTTGCTTGCTTGCTTGTTTATGCAAATAGTGTTATCAGGTTAAAATTATGGATTATGAGATAGTATTTAGAAGCCTCATGGTAACCTCAAAGCAAAAAACATACTATGCATACATACAAATAAGCAATAAACTAAATCATATTACCAGAGAAAATCACCTTAACTACAAGAAGACAGGAAGGAAAAAAGGAAGAAAGAGAAGACATAAAACATCCAGAAAACAAATCACAAAATGCCAGGAGTAAGTCCTAACTTATCAATAATAACACTGAATGTAAATGAACTAAACTCTCCAAAAGACATAGACTGGCTGAATGGATGCAAAAACAAGACCCTAATCTGTTGTCAACAAGAAACATACTTCACCTATAAAGACACATATATACTGACAATAAAGGGATGGGAAAAGATATTCCATGATAATGGAAACCAAAAAAGAGAAGAAGCCATCATGCTTATATCAAACAAAATAGATTTCAAAACAAAAACTACAAGAAGACACAAAGAAGTTCACTATATAATGATAAAGGGGTCAATTCAGCAAGAGGATATAACAATTTTAAATATATATGCACCCAACACTAGAACATTCAGATATATAAAGCGAATATAATTAGAGCTAAAGAGAGAGATAGGCCTCAATAAAATAATGACTGGAGAATTCAACAACCCACTTACAGCACTGGACAAATCTTCCAGGCAGAAAATCAGCAAAGAAATGCCAGACTTAATCTGCACTATAGACCAAATGTATCCAGTAGACATTTACAGAACGTTTCATACAGAAGCTACAGGATACACATTCTTTTCCTCAGCACATGGATCATTTTCAAAGATAGACCATATGTTAGGTCACAAAACAAGTCTTAAAATACTGAAAAAATTGAAACAGTATCAAGCAACTTCTCTCACCACAATAGTATGAAACTAGAAATTAATAACAAGAGAAATTTTGGAAACTATACAAATACATGGAAATTAAACAATATGTTCCTGAATGATGAGTGAGTCAATGAAAAAACTAAGAGAAAAATTGAAAAATTTCTCGAAACAAATGATAATGAAAACACAATATACCAAAACCTATGGAATACAGCAAAAGCAGTACTAAGAGGGAAGTTTATAACTGTAAGTGCCCACATCAAAAAAGAGGAAAACCTTCAAATGAACAATCTAATGAGGCATCTTAAAGAACGACAAAAGCAACAAAAACCAAACCCCAAATTAGTAGAGAAGATAAATAATAAAGATCAAAGCAGAAATAAATAAAATTTTTAAAAAAAGCTCAACAAAAGAAAAAGTTGGTTTCTGGTAAAGTTAAATAAAATTGACAAAACTTTAGCCATAAGAAAACAAGAGAGGACAGCAGGGACATGGATGAAGCTGGAAACCAGCATTCTAAGCAAACTATCACACGGACAGAAAACCAAACACCACATGTTCTCACTCATAGGTGGGAGTTGAACAATGAGAATACATGGACAGAGGGAGGGGAACATCACATACTGGGGCCTGTGAGGGGGTAGGGGGCTGGAGGAGGGACAGCATTAGGAGAAATACCTAATGTAAATGACAAGTTGATGGGTGCAGCAAACCAACATGGCACATGTATACCTATGTAACAAACCTGCATGTTGTGCACATGTACCCTAGAACTTAAAGTATAATTTAAAAAAAAGAAAAAAAGAGAGGACATACAAATACATAAAATCAGAAATGAAAAAAAAAAAGACATTGCAACTGTCACTGCAGAAATTCAAAGGATCATTAATGACTACTATGGGCAACTATATGCCAATAAGTTGGATAATCTAGAATAAATGAATAAATTCCTAGACTCATACAAACTACCAAGATTGGACAAGAAAGAAATCCAAGACCTGAACAGACCAATAACAAATAATGAGATCAAAGCTGTAATAAAAACTCTCCTAGTAAAGAAAAGCCTAGAACCCAATGGCTTCACTGCTGAATTCTACTAAACATTCAAAAAACTAACACCAGTCCTACTCAAACTATTCTGGAAAATAGACCACGAGGGAATACTTCAAAACTTATTCTATGAGGCCAGTATTACCTTGATACCAAAACCAGACAAAGATACATTAAAAAAAAAGAAAACTACAGACCAATATCTCTGATGAATACTGATGCAAAAATCCTCAACAAGATATGAGCAAAACAAATTCAGCATTACATCCTTTATGACCAAATGGTATTTGTGTCTGGGATACAAGGACAGTTAAACAAGCCAGTATCTCTGATGAATATTGATGCAGAAAGCCTCAACGAGATATGAGGCAAACAAATTCAACATTATATTAGAAAAAGTATTTATTATGACCAAGTAGGATTTATGCCTGAGATGCAAGGATGTTTCAACATAAATCAATCAATGTGATCCATCTTATCAATAGAATGAAGGTTAGAAACTGTATGATCATTTAAATTGATGCTAAAAAAGCATTCAATGAAATTCTACATTTCTTCATGATAAAAACCCTCAAAAATCCTGGTGATAGAAGGAATATACCTCAACATAATAAAAGTCATATACAACAGACCCACAGCTAGTATCATACTGAATGGGGACAAACTGAAAAGCTTTCCTCTAAGATCAGGAGCACAACAAGAATACCCACTGTCACCACTGTTATTTAACATAGCACTGGAAATCCTAGCTAGAGCAATCAGACAAGAGAAGGATATAAGATATAAAAAGCATCCAAATTGAAAAAGAAGTACAATTATCCTTGTTTGCAGATGATGTGATCTCATATTTGGAAAAACCTAGAATGCACAAGAAAACTATTAGAACCAATAAATTCAGTAAAGTTACAAGATACAAAATCAACATACAAAAATTAGTAGCATTTCTATATGCCAATAGCGTACCATGTGAAAAAGAAATAAAAAAGTAATGCTATTTACAATAGCCACACATAAAATTAAATGCTTAGGAATTAACTTAATAAAAGAAGTGAAAGACGTCTATAATGGAAATTATAAAACTCTGATGAAAGAAATTGAAGAGAACACAAAAAATGGAAAGGTATTTTATATTTATGAATTGGAAGAATCAATATTGTTAAAATGTCCATACTATCCAATGCAATCCTTGTCAAAGTACCAATGGCAATCTTCACAGAAATAGGAAAAAATACTAAAATTTATATGAAACCACAAAAGACTCAGAATAGCCAAACATTTCCTAAGCAAAAAGAATAAAATTGGAGGAATTACATTACCTGACTTTGTATTATATAATGGAGTTATAGTAATCAAAATACCATGACACTGTCAAAAACAGGCACGTAGACCAATAGAAAGGAATAGAGAACCCAGAAACAAATTCACACACCTACAGTGAACTCATTTTTGACAATGGTGCCAAGAACATATACTGGGGAAAAGATGGTCTCTTCATAAATGATTTCTGGGAAAACTGGATATCCATATGCAGTAGAATTAAACTTGAGCCCTATTTCTTACCATATACAAAAATCAAATCAAAATGGATTAAAGAACTAAACCTAAGACCTCAAACTATAAAATTACTACAAAAAAACTTTGGGGAACATCTCCAGGACATTGGTCTGGGCAAAAATTTCTTGAGCAAGACCCCACAAGCATAGGCAAATCAAAGCAAAAATGGACAAATGAGAAGAATCCCATCAACTTAAAATGCATCTGCAGAGCAAAAGATACAATCAACAAAGTGAAGAGACAACCCACAAAATGGGAGGAAATATTTACAAAGTACTCATCTGACAAGGGATTAATAACTGGAATACATAAGAAGCTCGAACAACTCTATAAGAAAAACAATCCAATCAGAAAAATGGGCAAAAAATCTGAATAGACATTTCTCAAAAGAAGACATACTAATGGCAAACAGGCATATGAAAAGGTACTCAATGTCATTGATCATTAGAAAAATGTAAACCAAAACTATAATGAAACATCATATCACTCCAGTTAAAATGGCTTTTATCCAAAAAACAGGCAATTAGAAATGATGGTGAGGATGCGGAGAAAAGGGAGCCCTTCTACACTGTTGGTAGGAATGTAAATTAGCATAACCACTTTGGAAAACAGTTTGGAGGGTCCTCAAAAAACGAAGAATTGAGGTACCAATTCTTATGCTCAGTGATCCAGCAATCCCATTTCTGGGCATATACCCCAAAGAAAGGAAATCAGTATACTGAAGAGTTATCTGTACTCTTATGTTTGTTATGGCATTGTTTACAATAGCTAAGATTTAGAAGCAACCTAAGTGTTCATGAATAGACGAATGATTAAAGAAACTATGGTAGATATACACAATTAAGTACTATTCAGCCACAAAAATGAGTAAGATCCAGTCATTTGCAACAACATGGATGGAACTAGAGATACTCATATTAAGTGAAATAAGTCAAGCACAGAAAAACAAATATCACATGTTATCACTTATTTGTGAGACCTAAAAATCAAAACAATTAAACTCATGGACACAGAGAGTAAAACGATAGCTTCCAGAGGCTGGGAAGGGTAGTTGGAGGGCTCACAGGGGAGGTGGGAATAGCTAATAGGTAAAAAAAAAAAAAAAAAAAAAAAAAATAGAAATAATATATAAAGCATGCTATTTGATAACACAATTGGGTGATTATTGTCAATAATAGCTTAATTGTACATTTTAAAATAATTTAAAGAGTGTAATTGGATTGTTTGTTGTAACTCAAAGGATAAATGCTGGAGGGGATGATTACACCTTTCTCCATTGCATGCCTATACCAAAACATCTCATGTACACCATAAATGTATACACCAACTATATACTCACAAAAATAATAAATAAATAAACAGCACATACATTCCTGGGTTGCTTGAACCATCAAATTTTATTTAGCCCCATCTGAACACTTTCTAAATTTACAAGACATAATATTTTACAACAAAAATTGGCCTTCATTTCAATGACTCTGAACTCCACTAGAATCTGATCAACAAATACAGAATAAAATAAGGTATGATAAGATTAGAATAATGAATATATTGTTTTTTATAATATAATTACTTGAAAATACTTAAATCGAATCATCTCTCTTTTAGTCAATGATATCCATTTCTAGACCATCTTGAATTCATAAACATTGTTATAGTAAATAAACTCTAACACATTTCAGCAGTTTAATTAGCTTTGCTAGGAAGTTCGAATTTTATTTTAGAATATGCTGTTGTCAACTCCTTGATCCAAACTAGGAGACTCCTTTTAGGTGAAACAATCTCTATACATGCTGACCATGGCAATGATTGGGTTGTTACTATGGAAAAAGCAATTGAAAATTAAGGAAGACTAGCAGCCACATTAATTAATTGTCAGAACTCAGGCTCTGTTGCTGGGGAAAAGGTCACAAAAGCACAAGAGTTCAAGAAAAAACAGTGTAGGATGAGAACTGATGTCAACTTGAAACAAGGCTTTTGATTAAACATTTAAGGAATGTCCCAATAGGAAGTAAGTCTGAAAATTGATCCCAAACCAGGAGATCTGTTCTCAGTGAAAAAATACTTACAAAAACCTCAAGTGAGTTCCCAGAACCAAGGTGCCTGGTCAGGCCCTTCACGAGACCAGCAAGCCTTTAAGGAAATTTGTCAGGAGATGACAGTGATATTCTTGAAGTGGAAACTGGTAGCAAGAATGTCACTAATGCCACTTTTTGGCCTTTGAGAAATACAGTGCCTGATAGAATAAAAGAGCTTGAATTTGAAAGGCCTGCAAAGAAAGTGGTGTTTTTAAGGAAAAGTTAATGAAGACAAGGATATTTTTATTTTACTGGAAAATATAACTCAAGTTTCATAGCATGTGGCAGATGTATGGAATGGCAAAGGAAGTGGAGTTTTATAAATCTAGGTAATGATGATGACCAGGGAGGTGAAGCTTCTGAGGATAACCGAGATCAACAGCCATGATCAAAGTATGATGGGGAATAAATGGCAGGTGTATTTTGTACTATCAACTCAGCTACTCCAAGGTTTTGGCAGTTTATTAGATGGTGGTTTCTTGAGGACTGCTTTGAGTAATGACATGACATTGTAAAGAAAGAAAATAGAATTGCTTTTGTATAAATTAATTCACTCAGCTTTATGCAAGACATTGATTACACTAGGCACTGAGGATTCAGTAGTGAGGTAATCGGACAAAATCGTTACCTTCAGAGAGCTTGAATTCTATTAGAAAGGAAATACAGAAAGGGCACAGGTTAGTATCAAGAACTACTTCGTGTCTCTAAGTAAGGTCTGTGCATATTTTATATCAGTATATACTTGTATATGTATTATTACAACAATGAGAGGAGATAGGGAGAGTAACAATGGTGTCTAAAGTGAAACAAGATGAATATTTAACAGCTACAGAAGTCCAAAAGAATTCTGCTTGGACCTAGCAGAATTTTGTTTCTCTCTCTCTCTCTCATCTGTCTATAACTTCATATGATCTAGTCTAATTTCTGACTCCCTGAATTGAATCTAACCCCACACTTGCTGCTGTGCCAGTTAATTCCTGGTACACAATTCAATGTATATTTGTGGTCTAAACTTTTTTATGCTTCTATAACCTTTCTTCTCCTACTTCAGCCTATCTGAAGTTTTATATCTTTATTTATGTCCTAGGCTAAAGTTTTTTCATAATCTGCTCAGTTCTAATTACAAGGTATCTTGCTGCTAGATCTTAATTTTGTCCCAGCTTTTCTAATTTTGGACTGGCTCACATCTATCTATTGAGGACTAATACTAAGCAGCATACAAAAGACAGATACTTATAATAAATAAGCACTTTTAAATTTAGAATCTTCCTCTCTTTGGAACGACACTGGATGGACATAGATTTCCATAGAAAATTACCTTGTGATTTTCCTTTGGATTTAATTAAGTAATTGATTGCTTCAGAATGCACTGTTATTTAAAACACTCTCTCCCAAACTCCCTCAAGGGAAACAATACTAATGATAAATAAATTTAAGGAAATTTGCTTCCTTAAAGCATAAAGACTAATTTGCTGATGGTGGTAAAAACTTTGGAAAATCACATAGAAAAACCAAGTCTCTTGGACAAGTCAGCATCAAGCTATCCTATTATTGACCCTTTCATTATTCTCATTGCCATGGTGTAGAAAAGGGAAGGGTTTCTGCAGGAGTGGAAAAATTCTAATATTATTGCTTATAAATCTGAGTGAATAATTTGAATGCATGTGTCCCTCATAAAATCTCTAAAGATTCTTCCAGTCAGTAACAGTTTCAATTCCTTAAAGTTATACCAAAAACGTCCACAGCTCAAAAATGTCCACAGCTATTAAAATGAGGGTTAGGTGAGGTGTGAATAGAACCTGTATCCATATGCAGGCATTCTATATTAGTCAGGGTTCTCCAGAGAAACAGAAATGATGGATATATATTTAGAGTGGTATGTATTATCATCATCTCTCAGTATACACATGGGAGATTGATTCCAGGACTTCCTGAGTATACAAAAATCTGCACATACTCAAGTCCCACAGTGATCCTGCGGAACTCATATATATTAAAAAAAATTGTCCCTTTGAATACACAGTTTTTGCATCCCTTGAATACCGTATTTCCAATCTTCTTTTGGTTCGAAAATAATATGTGTATAAGTGGATGTGGACAGTTCCAAGCCATGTTCAAGGGTCAACTATATAAGAAATTGACTCATGTGATTATGAAGGCCGAGAAGCCTCACAATCTTCCATCTGAAGTTGGAGATCCAGGAAAGCTGGTAGTGTAAATTCTAGTCTAAGTCCAAAGGCCTGACAACCTGGAGAATCACTGGTATAAGTACCAGTCAAAGGGCAAGAGCAGACTGATATCTCAGTTCAGGCAGTCATACAGAGAGGGAATTCGACCCTCCTCTGTGTTTTTGTTCTATTTGAGCTCTGAAGGGGTTGGATGATGTCCACTCACACTTGGGAGGGCAATCTTCTTTCCTCAGTCCACCAATTTAAATGCTTATCTCTTCTGAAAATATCTTCACAGACATATCCAGAAATACTGTTTTACCAAGTTTCTGGGCATCCCTTTGGCCCAGTAAAGATGATGCATACAATTAATTATCATATGTCCACTTTCACAGTGAATAGCCATCAAACCCTTGTATGTTATTCATCTCGCTGGGCCTTTTATCATGTTTGTTACAAATCCAAAAGCAATAACATGACAGAAGTTTAAGTGATGTCCAAACATAGCAGCATCTGTCAGGAAGAAAAAAAATGTGACAATAGAATGTGTAAAAGGGGATGTGGGATGGGATTAAAATGAGGAAAGAAAGAATAGATAAGAGTCTGGTGAAGGAAAGCTTACACATTGCATCTCAGTTTCTGACCACTGCTGCCAAGGCAGATAGGCAACATCTATTCTCCACCCTGATGTCAAGCATCATTATTTTCAGAGGTTGATAGCAGGTGAGAGATGTGTTCTAATTTGCAGAATAAGAAGGCTATCACACATACAAGTTATACAACAAGTTAGATGCTGGAGAGTCATCAATGTCCTAGTAATACTACATAATTCATGTAATCAGTTTCCTTAATTGGATTCTATTATCTCACTGAATTATGTCAGAAAGTGTTAATGTGGAAAAATCCATCAATAAATCCATCTGAAAACTTTTGATGACTAAGGGATCAGAAAAATATCTAGAGCCATAGTATTTGGTAGCTGTACCATTTCAACAGTGGGAGTTCACATGAGCAATCTGCCAAAGAGGTTGTTAGAAATAAAAACCCAACCCTCATCAGTTTCCTGAATATGGATCTCCATTTTAACAGATCCCCAGCTGAATCATGTATATTAACGATTGAAATGCACTTGTTTAGAACGCTAACTATGGAGTCAGTTTTTTTTTGTGTATGTTTAAATACTAGCTTTGACACTTGTTAAATGGATAACTTTGGGCAAATTCTTAAACTCTGTCTCAGTTTCTTCATATTGCGAATGAGGTACAAATTGGATGTACTTTCAGGGTCATTGTGATGGTTAAATTAGTTAGTGCATATTACAGATTGAGTATCCCTTATTCAACATGCTTAGGACCAGAAGTGTTTTGAATTTTGGACTTTTTTTTTCAGATTTTGAAATACTTGCATATATACAAAATAAGATATCTTGAGGATGGTATCCAAGTATACTCAGGAAACTCATTATGTCTTATATACACCTTGTATGCATAGTCTGAAGCTGATATTATACAATATTTATAATAATTTTGTGGATGAAACAAAGTATGGGTACACTGAACCATTAGGAAGCAAAGGTGTCACTACCCCATCAACACATGTGGATAATCTGTGGCTGTCTGGCATCACCGTCATTCCTGACTCTGAATTGACATGCTACCAATAAGCAATCAATTTTTTTTTTTTGAGACAGGGTCTTGCTCTGTTGCCCAGGCTGGAGTGCAGTGGCACGATCTTGGCTATGCCATTCTCCTGCCTCTGCCTCCCGAGTAGCTGGGACTACAGGCGCCCGCCACCACGCCCAGCTAATTTTTTTTTTTTTTTTTGTATTTTTAGTAGAGACGGGGTTTCACCATCTTAGTCAGGATGGTCTTGATCTCCTGACCTCGTGATCCACCCGCCTCGGCCTCCCAAAGTGCTGGGATTACAGGCGTGGGCCACCGCGCCCGGCCTCAATCAATTTTTTATAATTGGTGGTAAAAATATGACATACCATTAATATAGTGGAAAACAGTATTTTCAGGGCAATGAAGCAGCACAGCAGCATCACCAGAATACCTGTATCAGCTGTTAAACAACAGCAATAACAAGCAATGGTAGTCTTTCAGTCTCCACTTACAATGCTGTGTTTTGACTCAAGGTTAACTATATGCTATATGCTACATTTTACTTTTTTTTTTTTTTTTTGATGAGAAGAAACATCCGAAGCATAGAAGAAGTGAGTCCTTTAGGAATAAGAAGGCATTTTGTTGCATGAATTTTTAAAATGTTTCCTGCAGACTCATCTGCCTCATTAACAATGGCTTTCACTCAGTGGTCTCTCTTTGATTGTATAAACTGACATAATTTCTTGTTGTTACAAATGCATGCTGTTCAACCACACGTTTTCACTGTGTCATTTATAGGCACTTTTTCTGCAGTATTAACATCATCTTCATCATCACTATTATCATAATCAGCTTGATTCAGAATCATTTCAGCTATATTACCATTGGTCAATGAATGAATAACTGGAGCCTCATTAATGATGTTAAAATATTCTTTGATATCTATTTCTTTCAGCTTATTGATGGATTTTGAAGGTATATGTTTTAGATATGTAAGGAGGTCAGATATCATTTCTTTTCACTTGATATACAAAATCCTTCAAAGTCACCACCTTGCTCATCATCATCACTGAACATAGACACAGGCTGGAGGTTGTGCCAGGCACGCACAACTGTGTCTCCAGTCATTGTGTTCTAAGTGTTGGCAACAGCATATTTGGCAAAAATATGCTAAATTTCATGATAAACTCCTTTTGAAAACCTTCCCTATCCATCATCTGTTCACTGCTGCTAGCATGCTGTTCAAAAATTGTTTTTATATTTCTGTTTGTTGCTGTAAGGATACCCTGGTTACATGGATGAATTAATAAAATCACCTTTTGGGGAAAGTACATGAAATAAACCTTTTTTAAATGAGAATTTTAGCTGGAGAATGAGCAGACTGTTTTCAAGGAATAACAAAGTCTTACAGTTGTCACCTAGTCCAGCTTCCCTGCAATGAGCATGAGACAATGGTACAAAATATTTGTGAAACCAATCAGAAAAGATGTTGCTGGTGGTCTATGCCTCTTTGTTACCATAATAATGGACTGATAAAAGTTCACCCCTTGAAAATAGGGAGAATACAAGCTTTTGCCTATCAGAGCAAATTTACATTTATGCATGCCTACTAAATTAGCACATCCCGGCACAGTTATCCTGTCTTTGGCATTCTTAATTACTGTAGGGGCTGTCTAATTAGCTGTAGTTAATGTCTTTCTGGGACAATAATGCCAGAACAGAGATGTGTAATCAGCATTACAGATTTGTTCTGGCATCAGATTTTCATCAGCGATAACCTTGGCAAACTTGTCAATTAATTTCCCCACTGCTTCATGATCAGCAGATGATTTATACCACAAATATTTAAAAATTTAATGTTGTGTCTTTTCAGAAGTTTCTGCAACCAGCCCATTGAATTTTCACAATTTCCATTAATTTTCAGTTCATAGCAACAGATCTTTCTTTGTTTTATGATTAGCGTACCATTGAGTGGCATGTGTTCACTGTGATGTTAACAGGTCAATTCTAGCAATACACAATAGGGATCTTCATTTTTAACTTTAAGTTTATAAAATGTTTTATAAACTTATGTTCATTATTTTCAGCATACACCTTCAAGAGTTTATTCTTCTGTTTCTTCAGGTCATGTTTGGTGATCATTCTACTACCCTACTCTTCTTTTAAGACTCATACCACTGTTCAGGTTCTCCAACAGCTTGACTTTTTAGCTGTAAATAGACATAATCCTTCCCCTTTTCCTAATGACTGTTCCCCATGTGGTGTCTGCAGACCTTTTTGACATTTTCAGCAATATTTTTACACCATAAAGCAGGTAATAAGCAAAAAAAAAAAAAAAAAAAAAAAAAAATCACAGTGAGTAAAGCTCGTAGATCTTGGCTTCATGTAGGGCATTGTTGAAAATCTGCCTTTGATATGTCCATCTTGGACACGTACCATATAATAGCCCTTTTTGGATGGGATGCTTATATGGAAAATTCTGGGCATGTGTAGAAAAGTTACATTGCAACTGAGAGGGCTGAAAGGTCTTTTTTTTTTTTTTTTCCTTTTGAGGATACTGAATAAAATGTGTGTTGTGTCACTGCATTTTGACTGAAACCTGTCAAATGAGATAGGGTGTGGAATTTTCCACTTGTGGCATTACATTGGCACTCAAAAAATTTCAGATTTTGGAGCATTTCAGATTTTGGAGCATTTCAGATTTTTGGATTAAGGATGCTCAACCTGTAAGTAATTTTAAAAGTGCCTGTCATACTGTAAATGCCAAATAAGAATTTATCGTGCTTATCACATATGGTTCACCTATTTTATTCTCAGACATAAAACTGTTTTATCCTTTAGTAAAAACTTACTAAATAACTACAAATTACTTTATTCTGTGGATGGTCAATTTTAATATAAATATATCACTGTTCTTTACTCTGTATTGACTGACTATTTTTATATACACTGGCTCTTAATACCTGTTATAGTATTATTGGAGGATAGAATGATCATCATTGAGATTATGAAGTGTCAAAACATGATAAAATGCTTACCTTAAATAACGTAAAAGGAACATGGTGTCTCTAATGAGTCTGTGACTTTAGGTGAAGAGGTTATAAAACACAATATTAGTAGCATAGGTTAAGTACTATTAGCTACATTTGAAAAAAGGTGTAGTGAAAAAAGGTGATGAAAAAAGCTACATCAGAAAAATAGTAGCCATTTCTCAAGCAGAAATTAAAAGGATAGAGAGAGTCCAGAAATGTAGTATTGGTTGGTCTGGAAAGGAAACTTCTCAACGTGGATTAAAACACGATCTCCATAGAATTGATCAAATCAGGGATGTTGCATTAATCTAGTTACATTCTCTGTGTATAAAGGTGGTGTTCAGTGATGCCCAGAGAGAATCAGCTAATGCTTTAGCTAACTTCTGGAAACCTGAGAGGTTCAAGATACACACAATTAAGTCTAGAAAGGTAGGCATATGACTAAAAGGATTATGAATTTCACTACAGTACATGGAGTTTACTAGAATTAAGTAGATAATTGACACAAAAAATGTTTAAAATACCTAGGAATACAGCTAATTGGGATTCAAAAGATCTCTACAATGAGAATTATAAAACACTGCTCAAAGAAATCAGAGAAGACACAAATGACAAATATCCCATGCTCATGGATAGGAAAACTCAATATAATTAAAATGACCATGCTGCCCAAAGCCATTTACAGATTCAGTGCTATTCCTATCAAACTACCAACAGCATTCTTCACAGAACTAGAAAGAAACTATTTTAAAATTCATATGGAACCAAAAAAAGAGCCCAAATAGCCAAGGCAATCCTAAGCAAAAAGAACAAAGTTGGAGGCATCACGTTACCCTATTTCAAACAATATTACAGGGCTACAGTAACCAAAACATCATGGTACTGGTACAAAAACAGGCACATAGACCAATGGAACAGAATATAGAGCCCAGAGATAAGGCCACAGACCTATGACTACCTGATCTTGACAAAGCTGACAAAAACAAGCAATAGGGAAAATACTTTCTATTTAATCAGTGGTGCTGGGATAACTGGCTAGCCATATGCGGAAGACTGAAGCTGGACCCCTTCCTTACACTATATACAAAAATCAACTCAGGATGGATTAAAGACTTAAATGTTAAACTTAAAACTGTAAAATTCCTGAAGGCAACATAGGCGTAACCATTTTGGACATAGGAATGGGCAAAGATTTCATAATGAAGACACCAAAAGCAAATGCAACAAAAACGAAAACTGACGAGTGGGATCTAATTAAACTTAAGAGCACTTGCACAGCAAAAGAAACCATCAGAGTGAACAGACAACCTACAGAATGGGAGAAAATATTTGAAATCTATCCATCTGACAAAGGTCTAATAGCAAGCATTTATAAGGAACTTAAACAAATTACAATACAAACACCAACAACCTCATTAAAAAGTTGGCAAAGAACTTGAATAGACACTTTTCAAAAGATGGCAAACATGCAGCCAACAAGCATATGAAGAAAAGCTCAATTTCACTTATCATTAGAAAGATGTAAATCAAAACCAGAATGAGATACCATCTCACATCAGTCAGAATTGCTATTAATAAAATGTCAAAAATAGCAGACGCTGGCAAGCTTGTTGAGAAAAGGGAACACTTATACACTGTTGGTGGTAGTGTAAATTAGTTCAACCACTGTAGAAAGCAATATGGTCATCAGATTCCTCAAAGTCAATGTGAAAGAAAAAAATCTTAAAGGCAGGAGGGTGGGGTCACATACAAAGGGAACCCCATCAGACCAAAAGCAGACTTTTCAGCAGAAACCATTCAAGCCACAAGAGATTGGTGGCTTATATTTAGCATCCTTAAAAAAATACAAGCAAGAATTTCACATCCAACCAAACTAAGCTTCATAAAAGAAAGAGAAATAAAATACTTTTCAGGTAAGCAACTGCTAAGGGAATTTGTTACCACCAGATCTGCCTTACAAGATATCATAAAGGGAGTGTTCGACCATAAAAGCAAACGACCAATACTTGTCACGATAAAAACTCACAGGTAAGTAAGTACATAGCACACGGACACTATAACGCAAGTATATGATAATGTCTACATAATAACCAGCTAACAACACAATGACAACATGAAATTCTCACATTTCAATATTAATCTTAAATGTAAATGGCCTAAATGCCCCACTTATAGACACAGAGTGGTAAGTTGGACAAAGAAGCAGCACTCCGAGGAGCCAAGATGGCCAAAAAGGAACAGCTCCGGTCTACAGCTCCCAGCGTGAGCGACGCAGAAGACTGGTGATTTCTGCATTTCCATCTGAGGTACCGGGTTCATCTCACTAGGGAGTGCCAGACAGTGGGCGCAGGTCAGTGGGTGCGCGCACCGTGCACGAGCCGAAGCAGGGCGAGCCATTGCCTCACTCCGGAAGCGCAAGGGGTCAGGGAGTTCCCTTTCCTAGTCAAAGAAAGGGGTGATTGACGGCACCTGGAAAATCGGGTCACTCCTACCCAAATACTGCGCTAATACTGCGCTTTTCCGACGGGATTAAAAAACAGCGCACCACGAGATTATATCCCGCACCTGGCTTGGAGGCTCCTAGGCCCACGGAGTCTCGCTGATTGCTAGCACAGCAGTCTGCGATCAAACTGCAAGGCCACAGCGAGGCTGGGGGAGGGGCGCCCACCATTGCCCAGTCTTGCTTAGGTAAACAAAGCAGCAGGGAAGCTCGAACTGGGTGGAGCCTACCACAGCTCAAGGAGGCCTGCCTGCCTCTGTAGGCTCCACCTCTGGGGGCAGAGCACAGACAAACAAAAAGACAGCAGTAACCTCTGCAGACTTAAATATCCCTGTCTGACAGCTTTGAAGAGAGCAGTGGTTCTCCCAGCACGCAGCTGGAGATCTGAGAACGGGCAGACTGCCTCCTCAAGTGGGTCTCTGACATCTGACCCCCAAGCAGCCTAACTGGGAGGCACCCCCCAGCAGGGGCAGAATGACACCTCACACAGCCGGGTACTCCAACAGACCTGCAGCTGAGGGTCGTGTCTGTTAGAAGGAAAACTAACAAACAGAAAGGACATCCACACCAAAAACCCATCTGTACATCACCATCATCAAAGACCAAAAGTAAATAAAACCACAAAGATGGGGAAAAAACAGAATAGAAAAACTGGAAACTCTAAAAAGCAGAGTGCCTCTCCTCCTCCAAAGGAACGCAGTTCCTCACCAGCAATGGAACAAAGCTGGACAGAGAATGATTTTGACGAGCTGAGAGAAGAAGGCTTCAGATGATCAAATTACTCTGAGCTACGGGAGGACATTAAAACCAAAGGCAAAGAAGTTGAAAACTTTGAAAAAAATTTAGAAGAATGTATAACTAGAATAACCAATACAGAGAAGTGATTAAAGGAGCTGTTGGAGCTGAAAACCAAGGCTCGAGAATTACGTGAAGAATGCAGAAGCCTCAGGAGCTGATGTGATGAACTGGAAGAAAGGGTATCAGCAATGGAAGATGAAATGAATGAAATGAAGCTAGAAGGGAAGTTTAGAGAAAAAAGAAAAAAAAGGAAACGAGCAAAGCCTCCAAGAAATATGGGACTATGTGAAAAGACCAAATCTACGTCTGACTGGTGTACCTGAAAGTGATGGGGAGAATGGAACCAAGTTGGAAAACACTCTGCAGGATATTATCCAGGAGAACTTCCCCATTCTAGCAAGGCAGGCCAACGTTCAGATTCAGGAAATACAGAGAACACCATAAAGATACTCCTCGAGAAGAGCAACTCCAAGACACATAATTGTCAGATTCATTAAAGTTGAAATGAAGGAAAAAATGTTAAAGGCAGCCAGAAAGAAAGGTCGGGTTACCCTCAAAGGGAAGCCCATCAGACTAACAGCAGATTTCTCGGCAGAAACCCTAAAAGCCAGAAGACAGTGGGGGCCAATATTCAACGTTCTTAAAGAATTTTCAACCCAGAATTTCATATCCAGCCAAACTAAGCTTCATAAGTGAAGGAGAAATAAAATACTTTACAGACAAGCAAATGCTGAGAGATTTTGTCACCACCAGGCCTGCCCTAAAAGAGCTCCTGAAGGAAGCGCTAAACATGGAAAGGAACAACGAGTACCAGCTGCTGCAAAATCATGCCAAAATGTAAAGACCATCGAGACTAGGAAGAAACTGCATCAACTAACAAGCAAAATAACCAGCTAACATCATAATGACCAGATCAAATTCACACATAACAATATTAACTTTAAATGTAAATGGACTAAATGCTCCAATTAAAAGACACAGACTGGCAAATTGGATAAAGAGTCAAGACCCATCAGTGTGCTGTATTCAGGAAACCCATCTCACGTGCAGAGACACACATAGGCTCAAAATAAAAGGATGGGGGAAGATATACCAAGCAAATGGAAAACAAAAAAAGGCAGGGGTTGCAATCCTAGTCTCTGATAAAACAGACTTTAAACCAACAAAGATCAAAAGAGACAAAAAAGGCCATTACATAATGGTAAAGGGATCAATTCAACAAGAAGAGCTAACTATCCTAAATATATATGCACCCAATACAGGAGCACCCAGATTCATAAAGCAAGTCCTGAGTGACCTACAAAGAGACTTAGACTCCCACACATTAATAATGGGAGACTTTAACACCCCACTGTCAACATTAGACAGATCATGAGACAGAAAGTTAACAAGGATATCCAGGAATTGAACTCAGCTCTGCACCAAGAGGACCTAATTGACATCTACAGATCTCTCCACCCCAAAACAACAGAATATACATTTTTTTCAGCACCACACCACACCTATTCCAAAATTGACCACATATTTGGAAGTGAAGCTCTCCTCAGCAAATGTAAAAGAACAGAAATTATAACAAACTATCTCTCAGACCACAGTGCAATCAAACTAGAACTCAGGATTAAGAATATCACTCAAAACCGCTCAACTACATGGAAACTGAACAACCTGCTCCTGAATGACTACTGGGTACACAATGAAATGAAGGCAGAAATAAAGATGTTCTCTGAAACCAACGAGAACAAACACACAACATACCAGAATCTCTGGGACACATTCAAAGCAGTGTGTAGAGGGAAATTTATAGCACTAAATGCCCACAAGAGAAAGCAGGAAAGATCCAAAATTGACACCCTAACATCACAATTAAAAGAACTAGAAAAGCAAGAGCAAACACATTCAAAAGCTAGCAGAAGGCAAGAAAGAACTAAAATCAGAGCAGAACTGAAGGAAATAGAGACACAAAAAACCCTTCAAAAAATTAATGAATCCAGGAGCTGGTTTTTTGAAAGGATCAACAAAATAGATAGACTGCTAGCAAGACTAATAAAGAAAAAAAGAGAGAAGAATCAAATAGATGCAATAAAAAATGATAAAGGGGATATCACCACCAATCCCACAGAAATACAAACTACCATCAGAGAATACTACAAACACCTCTACGCAAATTAACTAGAAAATCTAGAAGAAATGGATAAATTCCTGGACACATACACTCTCCCAAGACTAAACCAGGAAGAAGTAGAATCTCTGAATAGACCAATAACAGGATCTGAAATTGTGGCAATAATCAATAGCTTACCAACCAAAAAGAGTCCAGGACCAGATGGATTCACAGCCGAATTCTACCAGAGGTACAAGGAGGAACTGGTACCATTCCTTCTGAAACTATTCCAATCAATAGAAAAAGAGGGAATCCTCCCTAACTCATTTTATGAGACCAGCATCATTCTGATACCAAAGCCAGGCAGAGACACAACCAAAAAAGAGAATTTTAGACCAATATCCTTGATGAACATTGATGCAAAAATCCTCAATAAAATACTGGCAAAATGAATCCAGCAGCACATCAAAAAGCTTATCCACCGTAATCAAGTGGGCTTCATCCCTGGGATGCAAGGCTGGTTCAATATACACAAATCAATAAATGTAATCCAGCATATAAACAGAACCAAAGACAAAAACCACATGATTATCTCAATAGATGCAGAAAAGGCCTTTGACAAAATTCAACAACCTTCATGCTAAAAACTCTCAATAAATTAGGTATTGATGGGACGTATTTCAAAATAATAAGGGCTATCTAGGACAAACCCACAGCCAATATCATACAGAATGGGCAAAAACTGGAAGCATTCCCTTTGAAAACTGGCACAAGGCATGGATGCCCTCTCTCACCACTCCTATTCAACATAGTGTTGGAATTTCTGGCCAGGGCAATAAGGCAGGAGAAGGAAATAAAGGGTATTCAATTAGGAAAAGAGGAAGTCAAATTGTCCCTGTTTGCAGACGACATGATTGTATATCTAGAAAACCCCATCGTCTCAGCCCAAAATCTCCTTAAGCTGATAAGCAACTTCAGCAAAATCTCAGGATACAAAATCAATGTACAAAAATCACAAGCATTCTTATACACCAACAACAGACAAACAGAGAGCCAAATCATGAGTGAACTCCCATTCACAATTGCTTCAAAGAGAATAAAATACCTAGGAATCCAATTTACAAGGGACGTGAAGGACCTCTTCAAGGAGAACTACAAACCACTGCTCAAGGAAATAAAAGAGGATACAAACAAATGGAAGGACATTCCATGCTCATGGGTAAGAAGAATCAATATCGTGAAAATGGCCATACTGCCCAAGGTAATTTACAGATTCAATGCCATCCCCATCAAGCTACCAATGACTTTCTTCACAGAATTGGAAAAAACTACTTTAAAGTTCATATGGAACCAAAAAAGAGCCCGCATCACCAAATCAATCCTAAGCCAAAAGAACAAAGCTGGAGGCATCACACTACCTGACTTCAAACTATATTGCAAGGCTACAGTAACCAAAACAGCATGGTACTGGTACCGAAACAGAGATATAGGTCAACGGAACAGAACAGAGCCCTCAGAAATAACGCCGGATATCTACAACTATCTGATCTTTGACAAACCTGAGAAAAACAAGCAATGGGGAAAGGATTCCCTATTTAATAAATGGTGCTGGGAAAATTGGCTAGCCATATGTAGAAAGCTGAAACTGGATCCCTTCCTTACACCTTATACAAAAATCAATTCAAGATGGATTAAAGACTTAAACCTTAGACCTAAAACCATAAAAACCCTAGAAGAAAACCTAGGCATTACCATTCAGGACATAGGCATGGGCAAGGACTTCATGTCTAAAACACCAAAAGCAATGGCAACAAAAGCCAAAATTGACAAATTGGATCTAATTAACCTAAAGAGCTTCTGCACAGCAAAAGAAACTATCATCAGAGTAAACAGGCAACCTATAAAATGGGAGAAAATTTTCACAACCTACTCATCTGACAAAGGGCTAATATCCAGAATCTACAATGAACTCAAACAAATTTACAAGAAAAAAACAAACAACCCCATCAAAAAGTGGGCGAAGGACATGAACAGACACTTCTCAAAAGAAGACATTTATGCAGCCAAAAAACACATGAAAAAATGCTCATCATCACTGGCCATCAGAGAAATGCAAATCAAAACCACAATGAGATACCATCTCACACCAGTTAGAATGACGATCATTAAAAAGTCAGGAAACAACAGGTGCTGGAGAGGATGTGGAGAAATAGGAACACTTTTACACTGTTGGTGGGACTGTAAACTGGTTCAACCATTGTGGAAGTCAGTGTGGCGATTCCTCAGGGATCTAGAACTAGAAATACCATTTGATCCAGCCATCCCATTACTGGGTATATACCCAAAGGATTATAAATCATGCTGCTATAAAGACACATGCACACGTATGTTTATTGCGGCATTAATCACAGTAGCAAAGACTTGGAACCAACCCAAATGTCCAACAATGATAGACTGGATTAAGAAAATGTGGCACATATACACCATGGAATACTATGCAGCCATAAAAAATGATGAGTTCATGTCCTTTGTAGGGACATGGATGAAATTGGAAATCATCATTCTCAGTAAACTATCGCAAGAACAAAAAACCAAACACCGCATATTCTCACTCATAGGTGGGAATTGAACAATGAGATCACATGGACACAGGAAGGGGAACATCACACTCTGAGGACTGTTGTGGGGTGGGGAGAGGGGGGAGGGATAGCACTGGGAGATATACCTAATGCTAGATGACGAGTTAGTGGGTGCAGCGCACCAACATGGCACATGTATACATATGTAACTAACCTGCACAATGTGCACATGTACCCTAAAACTTAAAGTATAATAAATAAATAAATAAATAAATAAATAAATAAATAAATAAAAAAGAAGCAGCACTCAACTGAATGCTGTCTTCAAGAGAGCCATCTTACATATAATGGAAACCATGAACTTAAAGAAATGGAGAGAGAGATACCAAGCAAACAGAAAACAAAAAAGAGCAGAGGTTTCTATGCTTGTGTAAGAGAAAACAGATTTTAAACCAACAAGGATCCAAAAGGACAAAGAAGGACATCACATGATGATAAAGAGTTTAATTCAACAAGAAGACTTAACTATCCTAAATATATTTACATCCAACACTGGAGCACCCAGATTCATAAAACAAGTTCTCAGAAACCTATGAATAAACTTAGATAATCACATGTAATAAGAGTGCTGGACTTCAAGATTCCACTGATAGTGTTAGACAGAACACTGAGGCAGAGAACTAGCAAACAGATTCAGAACGTAAATAAACACTTGACCCAATGGACTTAACACATATCTACAGAATACTTCACCCAACAACTACAGAATATACTTTATTCCCATCTTCACAATGCACATACTCTAAGATCAACCACATACTCACCCATAAAGCAATTCTCAAACCAAAATTTTTTTAAAAAGTTATACTAGTAAGGTTTGGCTGTATCCCCACCCAAATCTCATCCTGAATTCCCATGTGTTGGGGGAGGGACCCGGTGGGAGGTAATTGAATCATGGGAAGAGGTCTTTCTTGTGCTGTTCTCGTGATAGTGAATAAGTCTCATGAAATCTAATGGTTTTAGAAAAGGGGAATTTCCCTGCACAAGCTCACTCTTTGCCTGCTGCCATCCACATAAAATGTGACTTGCTCCTCCTTGCCTTCCTCCGTGATTGTGAGTCCTCCCCAGCCACGTGGAATTGTGAGTCATAGTAAACCTCTTTCTTTTGTAAATTGCCCAGTCTCAGGTATGTTTTTGCCAGCAGTGTGAAAACAGACTAATGCAGCAAATTGGTACCAGTAGAATAGGGTGTTGCTGAAAAGATACCTGAAAATGTGGAAGTGACTTTGGAACTGGGTAACAGGAAGAGGTTGGAACTGTTTGGAGGGCTCAGAAGAGGACAAGAAAATGTAGGAAAGTTTGAAACTTACTAGAGATTTGTTGAATGGCTTTGAAAAAATGCTGGTAGTGATGTTAACAATAAGGTGCAGGCTCAGGTGGTCTCAGCTGGAGATGAGAAACTTGTTGGGAACAGGAGGAAAGATGATTCTTGTTATGTTTTAGCAAAGGGACTCATGGCATTTTTCCCCTGCCCTAGAGATTTGTGGAACTTTGAACTTGGAAGAGATGATTTGGAGTATCTGGTGGAAGAAATTTCTAAGCAGCAAAGCAGTCAAGATGTGACTTGGGTGCTGTTAAAGGCATTTAGTTTTATAAGGGAAGCAGAGCATAAAGTTTCAGAAAATTTACAGCCTGACAATGCTATAGAAAACAAAATTCCATTTTCTGAGGAGAAATTTAAGCTGGTTGCAGAAATTTTCATAAGAAACATGGAGCAAATATTAATCTTCAAGACAATGGGGAAAATTTCTCCAGGCCATGTCAGAAGTCTGCACGGTAGCTTCTCTCATTATAGGCATGGATGCCTAGTTGGAAAAAGTGGTTTTGTGATCCCGGCCCAGGGTCTCCATGCTGTGTGCAGCCTAGGGACTTGGTGCCCTGCATCCCAGCCACTCTGGCCATGACTGAAAGTGGCCAATATGGAGCTCTGGCC
Organism: Homo sapiens; assembly: GCF_000001405.40. Lineage (NCBI taxonomy): Eukaryota > Metazoa > Chordata > Mammalia > Primates > Hominidae > Homo > Homo sapiens. The sequence goes on from NC_000006.12 coordinate 76,966,725, forward strand.
ATGGCTTCAGTGGGTACAAGCCCTAAGCCTCAGCAGCTCTTTCACATGGTGTTGAGCCTGCAAGTGCACAAAAGTCAAGAATTAGGGTTGGAAAAACTCTTCCCAGATTTCAGAAGATGTATGGAAACTCCTAAATGCCCAAGCAGAAGTTTGCTTCAAGGGCGTGGCCCTCATGGAGAACCTCTGCTAGGGCAGTGCTAAAGGGAAATGTGGGGTTGGAGCCCCCACACAGAGTCCCTATGAGGGCACTGCCTAGTGGAGCTGTGAGAAGAGGGCTATTGTCCTCTAGACCCCAGAATGATAGATCGACTGACAGCTTGCACCATGCACCTGGGAAAGCTGCACTCAATTCCAACCCCTTAAAGGCAGCTGAGATGGAGCCTGTGACCTGCAAAGCTACAAGGGTGGAGCTTCCCAAAAGCATAGGGACCCACCTCTTGCATCAGCATAACCTGGATGTGAGACATGGAGTCAAAGGAGATCATTTTGGACCTTTAAGATTTGACTGCCCTGCTGGATTTTGGACTTGCATGGGGCCTGTAGCCCCTTTGTTTTGGCCAATTTCTCCCATTCGGAGTGGCTGTATTTACCCAATGCCTGTACCTTCATTGTATCTAGGAAGTAACTAACTTGCTTTTGATTTTATAGGCTCATAGGCAGAAGTGACTTGCATTGTCTTGAATGAGACTTCGGACATTGGACTGTGGACCTTTGAGATAACTCTGAAATGAATTAAGGCTTTGGGAGACTGTTGGGAAGGCAAGATTTGCTTGAAATGTGAGGACATGAGATTTGGGAGGGGCCAGGGGCAGAATGATGTGGTTTGGTTGTGTCCCTGCCTGAATCTCATCTTGAATTCTCACATGTTGTGGGAAGAACCCAGTGGGAGGTAACTAAATCATGGTGGCAGGTCTTTCCCATGCTTTTCTAGTGATAAGGACTAAGTCTCATGAGATCTGGTGGTTTTAAAAAAGGGGAGTTTCCCTGCAAAAGCTCTCTTTTTGCCTGCTGCCATCCATGTAAGACGTGACTTGCTCATCCTTGCCTTCTGCCATGATTGTGAGTCCTCCTTAGCCATGTGGAACTGTGAGTCCAATTTAACCTCTTTCTTTTGTAAATTGCCCAGTCTTGGGTATGTCTTTATTGGCAACATGAAAATGGCCTAATACACATACCAAACGCAGTCTCAGACCACAGCACAATGAAAATAGAAAACCAATAGCAGGAAGTTCTCTCAAAACCATGCAATTACATGGAAATTGAACTGTATGACTTTTGGGTAAATAATGAAATTAAAGCAAAAATAAAACTCTAGTTGAAACAAATGAAAACAAGGATATAACTTAACACTATCTCTGGGACACAGCTAGAGCAGTGAAAGGAAGTTTTGTAACTCTAAATGCCTAAATAAAAAAATCAGAAAAATCTCAAATTAACATCTAACATCACACTTACAGAAACTAGAAAAACAAGAGCAAACTAACCCCAAAGCTATAAGAAAATAAATAACCAATATCAGAGCTGAAGGGAATGAAATTGATATCCAAAAATTCATACAAAAGATTAATGAAATCAAAAGTTCATTACTTGAAACAATAAATAAGATGATAGATCAGTAGCTAGATTATTAAAGAAAAAAGAGAAAAAATCCAAATAAACATAATTAGAAACTGCAAAGGGAACATTACCACCAACACCACAGAAATACAGACAACACTCAGAGACTAGTACAAACACCTATATATACAGAAACTAGATAAACTAGAAGAAAAAGATAAATTCCTGGAAAGGAACAACCTCTCAAGATTGAACGAGGAAGGAACTGAAACTCTAAAAAGACCAAGAATAGGTTCCAAAATGTAATCAGTATATAAAAAAAACCTATCAACCAGAAAAAGCCCTGGACCAGATGGATTCACAGCTAAATTTTACCAGATGTGCAAGGAAAAGCTGGTACCAATCCTAGTGAAACTATTCCAAAAAATTGAGAATGAGAGACTCTTCTTTAACTCATTTCATGAGACCAGCATCATTCTGATACCAAAACTTGGCAGACACAATGAAAAAAGAAAACTTTAGGGGATTATCCTTGATGAACATAGATGTAAAAATCCTCAACAAAATGCTAGCAAATCAAATCCAGCAGATTAAAAAGTGAATTCACCATGATCAAGTAAGCTTCATTCCTGAGACACAATGTTGGTCCAACAAACAAATAAAGAAGTATGATTTATCACACGAACAGAACTAAAAACACAAACTGTATGATTATCTCAATAGATGCAGAAAGGTTTTTGATAAAATTCAATATCCCATTAACATTAAAATTCCTCAACAAACTGTACATCAAAGCAACATACCTCAAAATAATAAGTGCCATCTATGACAAACCCACAGCCAACATCATAATGAATGGGCAAAAGCTGGAAGCATTCCCCTTGACAAGTGGAACATAATACTGGAGTACCTAAAACTCCTATTAAACATAATACTGGAAGTCCCAGCCAGAGCAATCAGGCAAGAGAAATAAATGAAAGGTATCCAAATAGGAAGAGAGAACATCGTAAAACAAGTTCTTAGAGACCTATGAATAAACTGATAATCATACATACTGCTAGACTTGAACACCCCAGTGACAGTGTGAGATAGATCACTGAGGCAGAGAACTAACAAACGTTATTACCTATCAAAATATCTCTGTTTGCAGATAATATGATTCTATACATAGAAAAACCCATAGTTTCTGCCCCAAAACTTCTAGATCTGATAAACATTAGAAAAGTTCCAGGATGGAAAGTCAATTTACAAAAATGAGTAGCATTTCTATACACCTACAACATCCAAGATGAGAGCCAAATCAAGAATGCAATTCTATTCACAATAGCCACAAAAATAAAATATTTAGGAATGCAGTTAACCAAGGAGGTGAAAAATCTCTGCAATGGGAATTATAAAACACTGCTGAAACAAATCAGAGATGAAACAAACAAATAAAAGAACATTCCATGCTTATGGATAGGAAGAATCAATGTTGTCTAAATGGCAATATTGCCCAAAGCCATTTATAGATTCAATGCTATTCCTATCAAACTACCAATGACATTCCTCACAGAATTAGAAAAAAAAAAAAAACTATTCTAACGTGCATATGTAACCAAAAAAGAGCCCAAATGGCCAAAGCAAACCTACAAAAAAAGAACAAAGCTGGAGGCATCACATTACCTGACTTCAAGCTATACTACATGTCTACAGTAACCAAAAAAGCATGGTACTGGTACAACATAGACACATGGACCAATGGAACAGAATAGAGAATCCAGTAATAAAGCTGCACACCTACAACCATCTGATCTTTGACAAAGTCAACAAAAACAAGCAATAGGGAAAGAACTCTCTATTCAGTAAATGGTGCTGGGATAACTGGCTAGCCATATGCAGAAGATTGAAACTGACCATTCCCCTTCAAAATATACAAAAATAAACTCAAGATGGATAAATACTTAAATGTAAGATCTAAAACTATATAAACCCTAGAAGAAAACCTAGGATATACCATTTTGGACATTAGCCTTGGCAAAGATTTCATGATGAAGTCCCCAAGAGCAATTGCAGCAAGAACAAAAATAGAGAAGTTGGACTAATTAAAGTAAAGAGCTTCTGCACCAAAAATGTATCTATCTATCAACAGAGTACTCAGACAACCTACAGAATGACAGAAAATATTTACCTACAGAATGAGAGAAAATATTTGCAAGCTATGCATCTGATAAAGGTCTAATATCCTGAATCTATAAGGATCTTAAACAAACCAAGAAACAAAAAACAACCCCATTCACCAATGGGCAAAGGACATGAAAAGGAATTTCTCGAAAGAAGACATACATGCAGCCAACAAGCATATAAAAAATGCTCATTATCTCTGATTACCACATAACTGCAAATCAAAATAATAATAAAATATCATCTCCTATCAGTCAGAATGTCTATTATTAAAGAGTCAGAGAATACAGATATTGGTGAGGTTGCAGAGAAAAGGAAATGCTGATACTGTGAATGGAAATTAGTTCAGCCACAGTGAAAAGCAGTTTGGAGATCTATCAGTGAACTTAAAACAGATCTACCTTTTGACCGAGTAATCTCATTACTGGGTATATACCCAAACAAATATAAATATTTCCACCAAAAAGACAGATGCTCTTGTGTGTTTATTGCAGCGCTATTCACAATAGCAAAGACATGGAATCAACCTGGATTGTCCATCACTGGTGGACTGGATACAGAAAATGTGGTATACATATAACATGGACTAGTATGCAGCCATAATTAAGTCATTTCCTTTGCAGTAACATGGATGCAACTGGTGGCGATTATTCTAAGTGAATTAATACAGGAACAGAAAACCAAATACTGTGTATTGTCACTTATAAGTGGGAGCTAAACACTGAGTTTACATGAACACAAACAGGAGAATAATAGATACCAGGGCCTACTTGAGGGTGGAGAGTGGGAGGAGGGTAAGTATTGGAAAACTTCCTATCAGGTACAATGCTCACTACCTGGGTGATGAAATCATTTGTACACCAATCCCTAGTGACATGCAGTTTGCTCATGTAGCAAACTTGCACATCTACCCCCTGAAACTAATATAAAAGTTGAAAAAAAAATAAGAAAAATGCATCAGGTGACAATATCCTCTTGATTCTCTCACGCAGACACATTTAACATTTAAATATTTACATTTTAGGGCTAAAATTTGGAAAGGCATTTTACATGAACTTTATAAATACATGCAAGGTTTATGCATATTACACTAAGCAGTTTCATCTATAACTTTATGATACCCTTTTTTTTTAATTCTTTGAACCACATTCTCCTGCACAATTCTGACTGATGTGTTTCTGAGCTTACAGTTTCCTTAGGTTTTACCATAGGGCTCAACAAATCTAGGACATGTCATGGATATCAAGGGACTTGTTATGTTTGTAAAGCCTTCCTTTTTCTGTCTCATGATGCCTATTTATTTATTCTTCAAGATTCTACTTACATTCCAACTCACCAAAACCTTTCCTAACATCCCAGGGCAAAATTAACTGATCTTTCTTCAGTGGTTCCACAGAATTTTGTTCACAGCACTCCTATAACTTCACGTGTTATTACACTCCATCTTATACTGTGAGAACTTTGTGGGTAATTACTAAGTTTTTCTTCTCTGTGGTGGGATGGTACCTAAAATAGTACCAGCCTCATGATATAATTCAATTCACGTTTGTCAGATCAATGGATGATTCTATAAATAATGATTTTGTATGTGGCAAAGACTGCTAATTATTCCTCAACATCATTCTTCCCTCTTCCTTTACCAATAGACATTGCTCCCTGAGTTTCAGCTGGGCATATGGCTGCTTGGTTAGAAACAAATTTCCCCATGTACTCAGGGGAATAATGTGAATATATGCGTATAAAGGGTATGTGAGCAAATGTGATGTGTGCAAATTCTGAGTCACTTTCATGGAAAAAAATTATGTTCCTTCTGTTTATTGTCATTACTTGAAAACCTGACAAGGAAGCTTTGGCATGCAGACAAGGGCCACACCCTGAGAGATGGAGGAGCAACAAGTTAGCAATAATCTGGGCACCTAGAAGACCTCATGAAACAAAACCACCTACACACAATCCATATCCTTTTGGTCTGTGATGAGAGGGAAATAAACTTCTCTACCATTTGAGATTCCACCTCTGAGATGTCTGTTAGAGAAGCTAAGCCTATATCCTATATCCCATGTAATCTACCCACTCTGTGCAGGGCAGTTGGTCCCATTGCAGATATATTTAGCAACTTTCAGTTCTGATGAATATTGTCACATCCTCTCTCTAGTTGCAGCAGCTCCATTAGCACACAATGAGCCACAGAACCAGCAACCCAAGCCAGTAACAGTGGCAGCACAACTCCAAACAGTAATAGGAGCTCTAAATAACTTTACAGCCAGAGCCAGCAGCTCCACTAGTTCCCAACAGTTGCTTCTGTCAGCAGTTTCACAGGATTTTTCAAGTTTGTTTCTTTGCCACCAGATAGCTAAGTGTTATCTTCTTAGCATCTAAATGGCTGTATCTACTGATGTGTTGTAAATGTTTGACTCTGTAAAGCAAACAAAATAGCTCGTTTGTTTACTAATTTCCATGCGTAAATACTCCCAGCATGAACAATTTCATGCTATTAATTGCAATGTAAGTTCACTAAACGTGAAGTCAAGAAGAGTTGCACACACATGACTTTTTTGGCCTGTTAGGAGCTGCATCCAACACACCACAAACTTGACAGTATCAGTTTTCTGTTGTGATGTAATGAACTACCCCAACTGATCAGCTTTAAACAACTGATTATTTGCTTAAAATTGTTGGGTGGCATCACTGGGTAGTTCCTATGCTGTTGTGTTTTTTTTTTTTTTTTTCTGTTTTTCTGGGATCACTCACTCATGTGGTGGTAGTCAGTTGAAATCTCAGTAGGGCCTGGATGGACTAAGATGACCTCACTCACATGTCTGGCAATTGGTGCTCACTGTAGGCTGGGATACCTTAAATCTCCTCCACATGAACTCTCATACCATAGCAGGCTAGTGTGTTGTTTTTTTACTTGGCAACTCCAGGGAAGATTTCTAAGAAGGTAATAGAAACAACTTTAACACCTATTGACACTCTGCTCTGAAGTTTCATAATATGCGATTTCTTTTCCATCCTATTAGCGAAGGCACAAGGCTATCTCAAATTTAACAAAACAAAACATTTTGATGAAACAAGAGAGCAGTTTAATGGTGATATTTTCCTCTTGCATCTATCATCCTATTTGTATTTAAGCAGAGCTATGGCATCTTACACTCAATGGGTTGGCTACTATCTAAAACAAAACGAGAAAACAGAAAATACAAGTGTTGTTGGGGATGTGGAGAAATTCAAAGTTTTATACACTGGTGGTAGGAATATAAAATTGTATAGTCACTGTAGAAAATGGTATAATAGTTCTTCAAAATATTAAAAATAGAGTTATTATATGATCCAGCAATTCCACTTTGGGGTATATACCCAAAAGAATTGAAAACAGTGTCTCATAGAGATTATTTGTACACCCGTGTTCATAGCAACATTAACTGCAATAACCAAAACATAGAAGCAAACCGTGTCCATCAATGTATGAATGGATAAAAATATGTGGTATGTACATGCAATTAAATATTATCCAACTTTAACAAAGAAGGAGATTTTGACATGTGCTACAACATGGCAGATCGTGAGGTCATAATACTAAGTATAACAAGCCAGTCACAAAAGGACAAATACTATATTATTCTACTTATATGAGGTACCTAGAAGTAGGCAAATGCATAAAGGCATAATGTAGAATGATGTTTGCCAGCGGCTGGAAGGAGGCAATGTGAAGTTGTTATTTAATGGGTACAGTTTTAGTTTTTTAATATGATATGAATTCTGGAGATTAACAATGTGAATGTACTTATGCAAATGAAGTGTGCACTTAGAAATGGTTAAGATAGCAAATCTTGTATTTATTTTACCACAATAATAAAAAACACAAGCATAAATTATTTGACATTGTTTTAGAGGCAGACTCTGCATCTTCTCCCTTTGAATCTAAGATGAGTTCCTGACTTGCTCAAAACCAATAGAAAGAGGCTGAAGTGTGATGCATAAATTCTGATGCTATGTGGAGAAGACAATATAATTTTGTGTTCCTTGCTGCAACACTTGCTTGTGGAGCACTGAGTTGCCATATAAGAAGTCTGATTGCTGTGTGGCCACCATGCTGTGGTGAGAAAGCCCAGAGCACATGAAGAGGTGATGAGTAAATGCTACCAACAGTCCCAGCTGAAAGTCTCAGAAAACAATCAACATCAACTGACTGACACAAAAGTGATGATGCTTCTAGATGATCCTAGCCTCCAGCCATAGAGCCACATGCAGTCCCTTGAGTCTTTCCAGCAGAAGATCCAGACAATATGAGACAAAGTCAAGCCATTCTGACAATGCCTGGCCCAAAGCACACAGATTCTGCAAGCTTTATAAAATGTTTTAAGTCTTTGTTCTTATAACAGCTTTTTGGAGATATAACTTACATACATACTATAAATTCATCATTTTAAAGTATGTATTCACATAGTTGTGCAACCATCACCTTTATGTATTTTTAACACTTTATCACCAAAATAGAAAGCCCATAACCATTAGCAGTCACTCCCCATTCTACTCTATTCCAATCCTACTGCTATACTAGAAATTTCGCATAAATGGAGTTATACAGTATGTTGCCTTTGTGTCTAGTTTGCTTCACTTAGAATAAGATTTTCGGAGTTCACCCATGTTGTGGTAAGTATCAGTACTTCCTTTCTTTATAAGGCTGAATAGTATTACATAGTATAAATATACCACATTTTGTTTATCCAATCATAGGTTGATGGAAACTTTTGATGTTTTCTACTTTTGAGCTATTAGGAATCATGATGCTATGAACATTCACGTACAAGGTTTTACATGGACACAAATTTTTATTTCTTTTGGATATATATTCATGAATGAAATTTCAGGGTCATATAGTAACTTTTTGTTTAACATTGTGAGGAATTGCCGGTATGTTTTCCAAAGTGGTTTTCCCATTTTTTTCAATCCCACCAGTGATGTATGTGGGTTCTAATTTGTCAGCATTCTTGTCAGCACTTTTTTCTGTCTTTTATTTTAGTTATCCAAGTGGGTGTAAAGTAACATGCAACTTTAGTCTTTATTTGCATTTTGCTAATGAATAACGATGTTGAGCAACTTTTTATGTATTTGCTAATGATATGTGTGTATTCTTTGGAGGAATATTCATGTCCTAAAACTATTCAAATTAGAAAAAGAAAATATGTAGGATGAATAAGTCAAAAGATTTAATGTGCAACATGAGGATTATAGTTAATAATAGTGTATTGCATTGAGAATTTTTGTTAAATGAGTAGATTGTAGTTGCTCTTAACATGGTGGGGGAGATGGGTAACTTTGTGAAATAATAGATATGTTAATTTTTTTCATTATAGCAATGATATTAAGGTATATATATATATATCTTATAACATCATGTTATATACTCCAAATATACACAGTGAATTTTTCAAACAAACAAATATATTGCCCATTTTTAATTGAGCTATTTGTCTTTTTATGATTGAGTTGTAAAACTTCTTTAGCTGTTCTAGGTATAAGTCCCCTATGAAGATACATGACTTTCAAGCATTTTCTCCCACTGTGTGTGTTGTCTTTTCATTTTCTTGATGGTTCCCTTTGAACCATGCAGAGCAAGATTGATTTTCTCGGTATTTCCTCTTATTATTTGCTAATATACCTACTGCTAGCAGGTCATATAGTTAGATTAGAAAATAGTTAGATTAGAAAATAGTTAGATTAGAAAATAGTTAGATTAGAAAAGTAGTTTTTATTCTGAATGCCTTCTTTAGGAGGAGTTACTTTTCTTTCTTTATTTTTTGCCCAAATTGATAAATTTATACTTATTAATACTACCTCTAAACTATTAATAGTTGGCATTCATAAATTAAGAGAAATATAAAATACTAAATCTGCTTTTCTAGCTTTTGAAAAACTGCAATAATAAGGATTTAGGTTAAATATTGTTCCCCTAATGGATTATAAGCTTGTATATGATTCCATAATAATGTAATGTAAAACATTGTTTTATAAAACAAGCTTTTAGAAAACACCTTGTATTAAAAGGCCCAGACTGGGCAGAAACAAAGAGATGAGTTAGTTACTCCCCTCAATCTTCTTTTTATTTTATTTATTTATTTATTTTATTTTTTATTTTATTATTATTATATTTTAAGTTTTAGGATACATGTGCACAACGTGCAGGTTTGTTACATATGTATACATGTGCCATGTTGGTGTGCTGCACCCATTAACTCGTCATTTAGCATTAGGTATATCTCCCAGTGCTATCCCTCCCCCCTCTCCCCACCCCACCACAGTCCTCAGAGTGTGATGTTCCCCTTCCTGTGTCCATGTGATCTCATTGTTCAATTCCCACCTATGAGTGAGAATATGCGGTGTTTGGTTTTTTGTTCTTGCGATAGTTTACTGAGAATGATGATTTCCAATTTCATCCATGTCCCTACAAAGGACATGAACTCATCATTTTTTATGGCTGCATAGTATTCCATGGTGTATATGTGCCACATTTTCTTAATCCAGTCTATCATTGTTGGACATTTGGGTTGGTTCCAAGTCTTTGCTACTGTGATTAATGCCGCAATAAACATACGTGTGCATGTGTCTTTATAGCAGCATGATTTATAATCCTTTGGGTATATACCCAGTAATGGGATGGCTGGATCAAATGGTATTTCTAGTTCTAGATCCCTGAGGAATCGCCACACTGACTTCCACAATGGTTGAACCAGTTTACAGTCCCACCAACAGTGTAAAAGTGTTCCTATTTCTCCACATCCTCTCCAGCACCTGTTGTTTCCTGACTTTTTAATGATCGTCATTCTAACTGGTGTGAGATGGTATCTCATTGTGGTTTTGATTTGCATTTCTCTGATGGCCAGTGATGATGAGCATTTTTTCATGTGTTTTTTGGCTGCATAAATGTCTTCTTTTGAGAAGTGACTGTTCATGTCCTTCACCCACTTTTTGATGGGGTTGTTTGATTTTTTCTTGTAAATTTGTTTGAGTTCATTGTAGATTCTAGATATTAGCCCTTTGTCAGATGAGTAGGTTGTGAAAATTTTCTCCCATTCTGTAGGTTGCCTGTTCACTCTGATGATAGTTTGTTTTGCTGTGCAGAAGCTCTTTAGTTTAATTAGATCCAATTTGTCAATTTTGGCTTTTGTTGCCATTGCTTTTGGTGTTTTAGACATGAAGTCCTTGCCCATGCCTATGTCCTGAATGGTATTGCCTAGGTTTTCTTCTAGGGTTTTTATGGTTTTAGGTCTAACATGTAAGTCTTTAATCCATCTTGAATTGATTTTTGTATAAGGTGTAAGGAAGGGATCCAGTTTCAGCTTTCTACATATGGCTAGCCAGTTTTCCCAGCACCATTTATTAAATAGGGAATCCTTAAGTGGTGAGTTTTTCATATCATCTTTGCAAAGGAGGCACTTATATCAGGACAGATGCTATTCAAATAAAGAAATCTAGCATTTTATAAAAGATAAGTTTTTAACTTTCCACAAGAATTTCCTTTTTAAATGTTTTATGTAAAAGGTAAGTATGCTATATATTGCTATATTATAAATGATAAATAAAAGAATATGATTTTCATTACTATAAATTAATTTGAACATTCAAAAACTTGAAATGTTATATTTTTGCCAAAAATTGAAATTTCCAGGATTAGAAGCCAGTTACTATTTCTTATATAATTATCTAATCTACCTAAAGGCCCACTGCTATGGTTTGAGTATGGTTTGTTTGGCCCCCACCAAGTTTCATGTTAAAATTTGTTCCCCAGTGTTGAAGGTGGGGCCTGGTAGAAGGTGTTTTGAGTCGTTGGGGCAAATCTCTCATGAATAGCTTGGTGCCATTCTCTTTGGTAATAAGTTCTCCCTATTAGTTTCCATGAGAACTTGTTGTTGAAAAGAGCCTGACATCTGCCCACTGCCTCTTGCTTCCTCTCTGGCCATATGATCTCTACACACAGTCTCCCCTTCACCCTCTGCCATAAGTGGAAGCAGCCTGGGACCCTCACCAAATTCAGATGTGGTGCCATGCTTCTAGTACAGCCTACATAACCATGAGCCAGATAAACCTTTTTAAAATATATATATGTATATTTATTTATAAAATTTATTTTATAAAATTATTTATAATATATATAAAATATATATTATATAATATATATTATATATAATATAAATATTTATATTATATATATAAAATATAAATATTTATATTATATATAAAATATATATTTTATATATATAATAAAATAAAATATATATTTATAAAATATATATATAATATATACACAAAATATATATATTATATATACACATATATATATGTATAGTTTGTTTCATATGAAATTTAAGTAGTTTTTTTTAATTCTGTGAAGAAAGTCAGTGGTATCTTGATGGGGATAGCATTAAATCTATAAATTACTTTGGGCAGTATGGCCATTTTCATGATATTGATTCTTCCTATCCATGAGCATGGAATGTTTTTCCATTTGTTTGTGTCCTCTCTTATTTCCTTGAGCAGTGGTTTGTAGTTCTCCTTGAACAGTTCCTTCACATCCCTTGTAAGTTGGATTCCTAGATATTTTATTCTCTTTGAAGCAATTATGAATGGGAGTTCACTCATGATTTGGCTCTCTGTCCGTTATTGGCGTATAAGAATGCTTCTGATTTTTGCACGTTGATTTTGTATCCTGGGACTTTGTTAAAGTTGCTTATCAGCTTAAGGAGATTTGGGGCTGAGACGATGGGGTTTTCTAAATATGCAATCATGTCATCTGCAAACAGAGACAATTTGACTTCCTCTCTTCCTATTTGAATCCCCTTTATTTCTTTATCTTGCCTGATTGCCCTGGCCAGAACTTCCAGCACTATGTTGAATAGGAGTGGTGAGAGAGGACATCCTTGTCTTGTGCCGGTTTTCAAAGGGAATGCTTCCAGCTTTTGCCCATTCAGTATGCTATTGGCTGTGGATTTGTCATAAATAGCTCTTATTATTTTGAGATACATTCCATCAATACCTAGTTTATTGAGATTTTTTAGCATAAAGGGGTGTTGAATTTTATCAAAGCCCTTTTCTGCATCTATTGAGATAATCACGTGATTTTTGTCATTGGTTCTGTTTATGTGATGGGTTACATTTATTGATTTGTATATGTTGAATGAGCCTTGCATCCCAGGGATGAAGCCGACTTGATATGGTGGATAAGCTTTTTGATGTGCTGCTGGATTCGATTTGCCAGTATTTTATTGAGGATTTTCACATTGATGTTCATCGGGGATATTGGCCTGAAATTTTCTTTTTTTGTTGGGTCTCTGCCAGGTTTTGTTATCAGGATAATGCTGACCTCATAAAATGAGTTAGGGAGGAGTCCCTCTTTTTCTGTTGTTTGGAAAAGTTTCAGAAGGAATGGTACCAGCTCCTCTTTGTACCTCTGGTAGAATTCGGCTGTGAATCCATCTGGTCCTGGGCTCTTTTTGGTGGGTAGGCTATTAATTACTGCCTCAATTTCAGAACCTGTTATTGGTCTATTCAGGGATTCGCCTTCTTCCTTGTCTAGTCTTGGGAGGGTGCATGTGTCCAGGAATTTGTACATTTCCTCTAGATTTTCTAGTTTATTTGTGTAGAGGTGTTTATAGTATTTTCTGATGATAGTTTGTGTTTCTGTGGGATCAGTGGTGATATCCCCTTTATCATTTTTGTTGTGTCTATTTGATTCTTCTCTCTTTTCTTCTTTATTAGTCTGGCCTAGTGGTCTACCTATTTTGTTAATTTTTTTCGAAAAACCACCTCCTGCATTCATTGATTTTTTGAAGGGTTTTTCGTGTCTCTATCTCCTTCGGTTCTGCTCTAATCTTAGTTCTTTCTTGTCTTCTGCTAGTTTTTGAATTTGTTTGCCCTTGCTTCTCTAGTTCTTTTAATTGTAATGTTAGGTTGTCAATTTTAGATCTTTCCCACTTTCTCCTGTGGGCATTTAGTGCTATAAAGTTCCCTGTAAACACTGCTTTAGCTGTGTCCCAGAGATTCTGGTACGTTGTGTCTTTGTTCTCATTGGCTTCAAAGAACTTGTTTATTTCTGGCTTAATTTCGTTATTTACCCAGTAGTCATTCAGGGGCATGTTGTTCAGTTTCCACGTAGTTGTGCAGTTTTGGGTGAGTTTCTTAATCCTGAGTTCTAATTTGATTGCACTGTGGCCTGAGAGACTATTTGTTATGATTTCCGTTCTTTTGCATTTGCTGAGGAGTGTTTCACTTCCAATAATGTGGTCAATTTGGGAGTAGAACATTGAGAACACATGGTCACAGGGAGTGGAACATCACACACGGAGGCCTCTCGGGGGTTGGGGGACTAGGGGAAGGATAGAATTAGGAGAAATACTTATTGTAGATGACAGGTTTATGGGTGCAGAAAACCATCATGGCGTGTGTATACCTATGTAATAAACCTGCACGTTCTGCACATGTATCCCAGAACTTAAAGTATAATAAAAAATAATAAAATAAAAATAAAAATAAATAAATTACCCAGCCTCAGATATTCCTTTATAGAAATACAAACAGACTAAGGCACACACATAATTTGTCTTTATCTTGGCATTAAACTTTTCAAAACCTTTAACTTTTACTGGTAGTTCAGTCTAGCCCAAACAAACAATAAAATAAATATAACATAAGTTATAATCCTGATAACATTTTGTATTTATTAGCATTTATAATGTAATAATAATAATCATTCAAGCGTAGAAGGAGATTTTAAGGTATTCCACTTGCTGCAGGAATTGAGGACGTTAAAAAAATCAAATGAGGTTAATTGCTTAAAGATATCAGTAATGAAAGTGGCACTTTTAATTCTAACCATCTATAATATATAGCAACTTTTGACAAGATAAATTAATAATTTACCTAATATCTAACCAAGGCCACAGCATACCTTCAGGTATTTCCCAGCTGCTTACTGACGGATTAGGAGACAGTGTTTCATAACACTTTGTGAGCAACAGTTCCTTAATACTTTTTGTCATGTGTAATGTAATAGCAGTAGTTTCAATCAATAATTCTAACAACCTAATGGAAAATTCTATCCCCCAATAATTCTACTGGGAGTGTATTTCTCTTTACACACATAACAAACCTGATATTAAAGTTTTATTTTGCATAATTTTAATAAACAGCATTAATTCAGTCAGATATGTGTTCAAAATCAAATTTTAAGATAATATTTTTGAATTAATTAAAACAACTATATCATCAAATCAAAGAGATGAATTTTTTTTTTTTTTGAGACGGAGTCTCGCTCTGTCGCCCAGGCTGGAGTGCAGTGGCGCTGTCTTGGCTTACTGCAAGCTCTGCCTCCCAGGTTCATGCCATTCTCCTGCCTCAGCCTCCCAAGTAGCTGGGACTACAGGCCCCCCGCCACCATGCCCGGCTAATTTTTTGTATTTTTTAGTAAAGTCGGGGTTTCACCATGTTAGCCAGGATGGTCTCGATCTCCTGACCTCGTGATCCTCCCATCTCGGCCTCCCAAAGTGCTGGGATTACAGGCATGAGCCACCGCGCCCGGCCCAAATAGATAATTTTAAAGTTTGCGTAACATAAGAAATTTTTTCTTTAATGGCAAATACAGGTAACTTACTAAATGGTGTTATAAATTATAAGAAAACAAAACAAGGTTATTAGAAAACAAAAACAAAGATACAAGTTTTCTAAATGCTATCCTACTTGGTGTCAGCAAAAACAGAGTTTTATTTATTGGGCTTTTTATTATTTGTTCTAGTGTGTGATGTTGTCTATGTAAATTAGGTGCCACTTACTGCTGAGAATGTGAACAAAGATGGGATACGCCATAACTAACAACACAAATATGTCTTCAAGATTTTTTTTTAAAAAACTATAGTCTATAAAAGGGATAAGTAGGGTAATTTGAAATGAAGTGCAGTTTTTCATTAGATGATGATGTCTTTGGATCCACTGAGGTGGTCAGGGAAGATTCTGTTTTACTTACAGGAATTTTCATTTTTAAAATTTAAAAGCTCCCTGTCTTTCTTTCTCCTACTCCCTCTTTCTCTCCTGGCAACAATAGGTCAAGTCTGTTTGGCTGTATCATAATTATTTTCATAAGTTTAACTACCCTGAGGTTGCTTGAGGTTGTTTCATATTCACTCTTTCTTCAGCTGCTGCCCAAATTCTTATCATTGCACAGTGTAAATATACACAAATGAGGAGTTCAGTAACAATAAATCAAGTACCATACATAAATAAATGGAAACACTGTAAGAGTAATAGTCCAGCATATGTAGGAATAAGTAGAAAATGATAGTGGATATTCAGAAAAAAATTTGAATTGCGGATTGTTCTAAATTCATTGCAAATTAACATCTGAGACGCTGAATTTGTAACATAGATGAATGATTACAGAAAGCTTTACGGGGAAATGAATCTTAGATAAAATTTTGCTAGAAAGGGAGATCCCAGGAGTGTGAGATGCAATGGCATGCATAAGAATGTGGAGGAGGTAAGGACTCTTGGTGTGGTGCATATTGGTAGGGGTGGTTTCTTAGCCAGCCTCAGTGGAATACAGTAGGAAATCTCAGCCACAGATGTACAGTGGAACCATCTGGAGAACTTTTCAGCCCCATGTGTTCTTTGCCCAAAACACACTAATAAAATCCATGGGAGCTTGTCAGCCAAATTGGCAAGCTATAGCTGCTGACAGAAGTAGTTGTTCTTGCATTTATCCAAAAAAGCAAGACCAAGTCACCTTCCATATGAGGGGTCCATTGCTTAAAACAATTCTGGTCCTTATGACCGTACCATCAGTGGGGAAGCCTGATGTGGCAGAGAGAGAGATACAACACATGTAATCATTGAACACGTCAGGATTCAGTTGTGAGTCCTTCCTGCTTGTATGTTATTATGAATGTGATAATCCATACATCTTTGTCTCTTTGCTTCTCAGTGTATGTTTAAATTGACTTAATTACCAACCCTTTCAAGAATTTTTGTTTGGTCTGTGAACTTTTCAATTCTGTGACCTCTTAAATAGCTTGCTCAGTGCATACTTGGAGGCCACAACGGCAACAACATAATTTACGACATGATGTAACCTATTTTTAAAATGTTCCACAAGTGGTTTTAATATGCAGCTCAGTTAAAAACTGCTGGGATAAAGAATTTGAAGATCCAAAGGAAAATTACAGATGGTGAAGGACTTTAGATGTGATGTTAAAAAAATATTTCTATTTTGTTACATAGGAAACCAGGAGTCCTTTAAATACAATAATAAAGATATAAAATTTGTGCATCTTTAACATTGAATTGACAGTGGTATGCAAGTAGGACTGGATAAGGGAGATGACTAGATGCCTAACAGGAAATTAGAAGTGTTGAAAAAGACCAGTTTGGTGAAATAAACCTAGAATAAGATGATAGAATCTGAATGGAAAGGAAGAGGACATTTTGGTCGTCTTAGATCCATTCACTTCCCAATTCATATTATGAAGGCAGTATTAACGAAGTATAAAAACCAGACAAAAATATCATAAGAAAATAAAACTATAGACCAATATCCCCTATCAACATACATTCAAAACTCTTTAACACAATTCTTAACAAATTATCAGCAAATACAATCTGGAAACATAAAAAGTCTATACTATATACAATGGTGGTTTATACTAAAAATGCAAGATTAATTTAACTTTGGAGGTTTTTCTCAGTGTTCTACTCCATACTCAATTTTCAGTAGTCCCTGCCTAGCTGATTGGGTCATCAACTGTCCCACTTTGCCTGGGTCTGTTCCAGTTTTTTGTTTGTTTGTTTGTTTTTGAGACGGAGTTTCACTCTTGTTGCCCAGGCTGGAGTCCAATGGCGCTATCTCGGCTCACTGGAACCTCCGCCTCCCGGGTTCAAGCAATTCTCCTGTCTCAGCATCCCGAGTAGCTGGGATTACAGGCATGCACAACTACGCACAGCTAATTTTGTATTTTTAGTAGAGATGGGGTTTCTCCATGTTGGTCAGGCTGGTCTTGAACTCCTGACCTCAGGCGATCCACCTGCCTCAGCCTCCCAAAGTTCTGGGAATACAAGGTGTGAACCACAGAGCCCGGCCGGGTCTGTTCCAGTTTTAACCTACTTTCCAGAAACCCCTCCCTAGGAGGCAGAAAATTTTGGCTTTTTGGTGATGGGGCAAAAAATTGATGGAAATGTACAAAACTCATGCTGTATTTTCCAAAATAGTGGCTGAAAGCACCCATGTTTTTAGTTTCAAGTGAATACTATATGATTTGCAGTTCATGACAATGAATCATCCATGATTCATCACACTGATTGATATGACTTAAATGTGCAATTTAATAATTATGACCTTTAGCAGTTCATCTTTGATTTTGCCCAGGGATTGACTGTTATGCTTAGTGCTACTTTAGCTTTCAACATTGTGAATATTGTGACCATGTTTTCTAAGTACTAAAATTATGAAGCAATTGCAATATGAAAACAAGCATGCAGAAGACATCACTGAAAAAGTAGGATAAATTACTGGGCAATTTGAATAACAAATGAAAGGACACACACGACTGGAATAAGGGGATAAATAATCAAAACAGAGCATAGTGTACAATACATAAAAAAGAATTTGGGCTTAAACACAGGGGAGAAGAGAATAAGAAAGCACACAGGAAGATGGAAGCTTTGAAGTCCAACATGCAATAGGCAGATACTTCAAGCCAAGAAAAAGTTTTTAGCCTCCCCAAAAGAAACCAATGCTCAGATAAAAATAAGGGTGACTGAATTTGTTTGGGGATACTACATGATCAAACATATATTAAAGTACTGTTCCTTTGATTGCTGTATGAAACTCAATAAATATACATTTCCTTATTCAAAACTGGCAATTAAAATGTTCTGTGGAAGTACTGAAGAGAAAATTTTAATAACAGATGTGGTGCTCCCTTCAGTATGGAGATTCCTTAAAATCTTAATGAAGATCATGCTTTCCAGAGTATATAAAGTGATTTTTAAAAACTTTTATTTTAATAAGTTCAGGGTTACATATGCAGGTTTGTTATTACATTTGTAACATGTGCCATGGGGATTTGTTGTAGAGATTATTTCATCTCCAGGTATTAAGCCTAGTACCCACTAGTGATTTTTCCTGATCCTCTCCCTCCTCCCACCATCCACCCTCCAAAATGCCCCATTGTGTGTTGTTCTCCTCTATGTGTCCATGTGTTCGCATCATTTAGTACCCACTTATAACTGAGAACATGCGGTATTTGGTTTTCTGTTACTGCATTAGTTTTTTTGAATCACGGCAACAACAAGAATATTCGTTTCAAACAATTAGAAGGAACATTTATTTGAGTGATAGAGTCTCAAATCACCTTTTTGATTTCTATAAAGGTTTAAATGAAATGTAAGAAAATATAAAACTAAAGATTATGGATATTTTTGTCCAAATACACAGTATACTTTTCTTCTCTATCTGCATATTTGGCAAATAGTAAAAATGTAAATGTTGGCAAATGTAATTAAGTCTATAAACTTCTTCATCAAGGAAACCTGAAAGGTCTTATCTACTAAATGTCCTATACACCTTGTACACGACACTCCAAAAGGGAGTATAACTTGTTTACCTGTGATTTTGAGGTTTTCATAAAATTTTTTGTTTAGTTTTTAGTTTCCTCAAAATGCACAGGAACACTTAATGAGATTTTTTAACTTTATTAAAATGGAAAGAGATAGTCTCCTTAGATATATATTTACAAAATGCTTATTAGTTTCTGCCATAGAAAATATGTCAAAATATTGTTCTGCCATAAAATGACATTTTTAAACTGTGGGACAAGAATAGTGTCTTCCAATTTAAAAATTAATGGATATAAGAATTAAGTAAATGATTACAGAAAAATAGAAATTTACATTTTGTTTCTCCAAACGGATGATTCTAAGGAGGCCATCACTTGCCAAGAAAAGGATGAACTGACTATGCTTGTGTTGTTTAATGTTATGTTTAGGTTGTAATAGAAACTCACACACACACACACAAAGACAACATTTTTGGAAATAAGATTGCTTCAGAACTCAAAAACATGTCACCAGATAAAAGCAGCCAAATTAAGCACAACTTTCACACTTTACTAAAACCGTGACTTTTTTAGAATGCAACTTTTACATTTTTGAATTAACTTTGTGTTTTAAAACCATTTCCCTGAGAAAGAGAGGTTTAACTAATGATAATATTCAATGTGTTTCAGAGTATTTAAAAACTATTGAAAATTTTTGGCATGGGCCACTTATATGATGAATTTATAGATCCAAAGGACCTAATTGACAAATAGCTGGTCTACCAAAACAATCTTGTAGATGCAAAGTGGGTGACCATTTCTGGA
The DNA here is from genome assembly GCF_000001405.40 of Homo sapiens. Classification (NCBI taxonomy): domain Eukaryota; kingdom Metazoa; phylum Chordata; class Mammalia; order Primates; family Hominidae; genus Homo; species Homo sapiens. The sequence goes on from NC_000006.12 coordinate 76,986,848, forward strand.
GAGCTGGAAACTAATGCCTATATGTCTAAAAGTTAGTGAAAATTTTTAGTGTCCAATATTCAAATGCTTTTGTTGAGGGGACATTTTGTTTAATGTCATCATATTGGACTTCATATCAGAAGGGTGTATGATGTAGACTTGATCAAAACAGAGCTGCAAGTCAGAATAAAGTTTATTATTATTTCAACTTTGCCACTATATAAAAGAAAAGAAAGATGTTTTTAAAGTCTGCAGGCTGTTTGGGAAAGTATTATTAGAAAAGGAAAAATAAGTAAAATTATCTTATTGTACTACGTGATAAAAGAAACGTATCACTGCTATTTTTATTGAAGAAACACAATATTTGTGTAATTTATGCTCTCTTTAAAAACGCTTATATATTATAATTTAATTTCTTACTTTATTGAAATGGAAGGGAATAGTCTCCTTAGACATGTGCCTACAAAATTGCTATTACAAAATAACATAGTCTGGAAAATTTAAATATCCCATAGTTTCACAAGTTTAAATGAATTGCTGTATCATATGACATAAACATCATAAAAATATTATATTTTTCTCATACCTAAATGTCTATTCTTTTAGAATTATTCTATTAGTTTTACTATTAATTACTAATTGTCACTGTGGGATAGTCCTATAATGGTTTTGATTAATCAATAGTATTTATGTATCAGAAAAGGAAAAAAAAATGGAACATACATAATTTCAAATAAATACCTGTTTGTCATATTCTTATGTTAAAATATATAATAATTGACTATACATTATATTATTATATATATTTTTGTTGTTGTTCTGGTATGGCATTGTTATGGGTTGACTCTGTAATTTGGTTATCCTACACATGTGCCACAAAGGGAGTCTTGCTTCATGGTCTTACCCTTTTCCCAGCAGTGGACTACTCTAGCTTGTTACTTGGTGCTAGGCTTTTGAAGGAGGCAGAAAGTTTCTATGTGGTTTAGATCCAGTCTCAGACTTAGAGCACTATGTCCTGGTTCTAGTTTTGTTTTTTGTTTTTTCCGTTAGCTTTTCTGCAACTCTATCCATTGCAGCAAATCATGCCTATAATCTGCAGTTGGCTCACCTTTGGCAAGAAAATTTTCCTGCTTTTCACCTAGAGATACAGATGCTTGTTTGGCACTGGGACAGGATCCTAGAAACATAATGATTTTCCACAAGATGATTAGATTGTGATATGTAATAAATGTGAGCCACTGGGATTTGGGTGTTGCTTATTACAGAAAATAACCTGTGTTATCTAACTTTACTTTTATTTTTAATTTTTATTTTTTTAAATCTGCAGTCAATTTATTATCTTTGGTCTTGTTGCTCTAACACTAAGACTTCCAGGAGTGTATTTTATTAGGGTTGTTTTTCTGTTAGGTGATTTTTGCATCAAGATCAATCTTTCTGTTATTTTGATCTCTATGTTTTGTTTGTATCCAGATGTATTTCTGTGCAAAACTTGTCTCCAAGGAAGACTCTAATCTTCTAAACTCTGGATTTATATGATTTCTCAATATGCTATATCAACCTCATTTTGCTAATAATGATACAGGACGGAGGCAGCAAAGTTCTGGATAGAGAAGGATGGGGTCCCTGGTGAGGGCTCCACCCTCAGGCCTGTGCCCATGGACCTAAGTATGGACAAGCACTCCTGTTTTTGCACCCAAATGTTGCATTTTCCAAGACCACTCTGACCCAACACATGCTCCATCCTGTGCTTATAAAAATCCCGAGACCCTAACAGGCACACACAGAAGTGGCTGGACGTTGAGAGGAGCAGAAGAGCACACTGACAGACACCAGCAAATGCTCGCAGGCCATCGAGGGCAGGATGAGGATGACTTGGAATTTGGCAGGGGATGATTAGAGGAGAGTCTGGCCACTGGGCAGCCAACTCCACATTCCCACTTAATCCTCCTTCTGTTCTCCCCATCCATCTTGCTGAGAGCTACCTCCGCTCAATAAAATCTTGCACCCACCCTCAAAGCCTATGTGTGATCCAATTTTTCCGGTACATGAAGGCAAGAACCCAGGATACAGAAAGCCCTCTGTCCTTGTTGAGCTAATTAACAAAAGCCACTTGCAGATGGCAAAACTGAAAGTGCACACTGTAACACATGCCCACTGGGGCCTCAGGAGCTGTAAACACTCAAGCCTAGATACTACCATGGGATTGGAGCCCAAAATGCTTTCCACAGCCTCCCTGACTGCATGCTCCCCACCCGCTTGGGGTTTGAGCAGAGGGGCACCAAAGAAGCCAGTCACACCCCTGTTGCAGTCCCTATGAAGGGGATAAAGGAACTTTTCTTGTTTCAACTGGGGGCTTGTCCGGAATCCCCAAAGGTGAGTGCAAATGTGAAACTGTCAGATCTGCCTCTTTTCCAAAACCCGGCCACCTCTCTCTCTCTTTCCTGTGGGTAAAAAGCTCTGTTTCCCTTCATGGAGTCTTAACTGCCCTAACTGGGCTGGTTAAAATCCCCAGACTTCTTATTTTTTTCTCTCTTTCACTGTTTGAAATGGCTCTTATATCTTTCTTTATAATGTTAAGAGTTTTGCTACAGGCTGCCAAAGGTGCAAATCAGACCAACTGTTCCTAGAGGTACCATCTCTACCCCCACACGGACTGTGGCAGGCGTGTGCTGCTCAGGGCACCTCCCTTCCCCTCTCCTCTCCCAGCTTGAGCACGTGGGCACATTCACTGCATGCAAAGTCCAACAGCCATGAGGTGGGGGTGGGGGAAAACCACAGCTAGTAGCCAGGACCCCACAGGGCCCATGAGCGGATGCTTCTCGCCCACTGGGCCAATGGAACTTTTCTCCCCTAGCCAAGAAATTCAAGCCAGTCCAAACCTGGGGACAGATACAAGGATTAAAGGGGCCCATTTGCACTGAGCAATGGGTTCTTCCCCCAGGGCCTCCCCATTTTTCTCCATAAACTGTTTTTTTCTTTTTTCCTTTTCTAGAGGGCTCCCCTTCCTAGCACTCTGTTTGTGATAGAGAAGTTAATGGAGGAATAGCCCCACTGGCTGATAACAGCAAATTTGGCAGGGTTCATTTGAGACACTCCAGATAGATACAAACAACCTCTGAAATACCTTTTCAGTCCCAAACTAGATTCCAAACTTCAGGCTGAGGTCCTAGAAAGGAAAGCTAGGTCTGATGGATCTAAAGCTAGGCAACAGGCAGAATGTAAATGGACAGGACCAATTCCTGCTGACTGAACCCCCCACCCTATGGAAGGAGGCCATGCTCCATGGCATTGACAGGCCCAGGGAACTCAAAGGTTGTCGATAGCAGGGGAAAATGGAGGCGTAGGTGAGGGTGGTTAATTCCCATTCTCTAGGTTTTTCCCTGCTTCATGGGTACACACTGCATTGTACCTATGGCTGGCACCTGCCAATAACCCTGGGACTCAGGGATAAAAATATGGGAGGGAAAGGAGGGCACTCGCCTTCACTCTCTGTCACACCCTGAGTTTTCACTGAAAGAAAGAAGGGAAATGGGGAATGCCTCTATTCCCTGTCTTTCAGAATGGGCAACCAGCTCACTTCACCACCCCCAGCTTGTACTCCTCTGGAGTGTATCCTGAAACATTGGGTCTGCTTTGACTCTCAGAATCTGGAGGAAAAATGCCTCATAGAGGCATTTGTACACCTCTGTACAAAGGTGTGACCAAATTATAAAGGACTGGTTTAGCCCCAGGAAGGAGCCATTCATTTCAATACCATCCAGCAGTTGGAACTCTTCTGTAGATCTAAGGACAGATGGTCTGAGGCCCCATATGTTCAGGCTTTCTATACCTCACAAGGCAATTCAGACCTTTGCCAAGAGTGTAGAATTGATCCAGCCCTCCTGTTTGCTGTCTCAGGGAATGCTGCAATGGGCAAGCCCAGAGAATTAAAGATACGAATCCAAGAGTCATTCCCAGCAGAGAAGCCAGCCCCCTCAAGCCTTGCTCCTCCAGGTCCACCCTGACTTCCCTACCCAGTTTCAGCCTCTCATTTAACCACTCCTAGAAATCCTCATCCTAAACAAGTCCCAGTCTTACTCTTGTCCCTCCAACAGATGTCCAGTGAATTTGGGCTCAGTAAGGTCTAGGTCCCCTTCTCCCTACAAGACTTAAAAGCAAATTAAAGGAGATCTTGGCAAGTTTTCAGATGACCCTGCGAGATACATAGAGGCTTTCCAGAATTTCACCCAAATATTTGAACTCTCCCCTAGAGCTGTTATGTTACTTTTGAATCAGACCCTGATGGATAATGAGAAGCAGGCCACTCTGCAAGCAGCAGAGAAATTTGGGGATGAGCTTTGCATCATATATAGCACCAGAGAAGGGGTCAAATATTATCCAACTAGAAGAGAAGAAGTACCTTTAAATGACTCTAAATGGGATCACAATGACAAGATGGAAGACTGGAAGAGGAGACACTTTCAAATGTACATAATGGAAGGCTTATGTAGAACTAGGACCACGACTCTCAATTATACTAAGTTGTCCATAACTGACCAGTGGTTTAATAAAAATCCCACTGTATTCCTGGAAAGGCTAAGAGAGGCCTTGGTAAAGCACACCTCTTTATCTCCTGATTCGGTCGAGGGACAGCTAATCCTAAAGAATAAATTTATTACTGAGGCAGCTCCTGATATCAGGAGGAAGTTGCAGAAACGGGCCTCCGGACCAGATAGTACATTAGAGGACCTCCTGAAAGTGGCCACCTTGGTCTTTTACAATGGAGAAAGGGAGACACAAGAAAGAGGCAGAAGCTTTAATAATCACTGTGCAAGCCCACCAACCCCAGAAGCCCCATGGTACACCTGTTAACTGTTAAAGATATGGCAAGAACAGTTATCTCTCTTCTAAAGTTTAACTGCTCACATACAAAGTTTAATTTCTTTCACCAGGGTGAAACAGCTCAGGGTACAATGTTGTTGTTAGTATATTTCACTTCTTATCTCTGTAATCCTTGGCACTAGATTCTTTCCTGGTATAATACACATGTTTAACACATGCATACTAAACCTTATAAAATTTGTTTCTTTTCTCTCACTTACAGGCCATCAAACTCCAAACAGACAGGCAACTGGTGCCTCAGACGATGGCTCTCCTTTGCCAGGAACCCTTAGATAGACCTCTGGGAGGAATCTGACTGCCATTTTCCCCAAAACAAGACCCCCCTGTCAGCAGGAAATAGCTAAGACCGGTTGTCCTCCATATTCTAACAGCAGTTAGATATGTCTCTTCAGAGGAGAGAAATGATACAGGAGAGGGGCAGGGAAGTGCTGGATAGAGAAGGGCAGGGTCCCTGGCAAGGGCTCCACCCTTGGACATGTGCCCATGGACCTAAGTGAGGACAGACACTCCTGTTTTTGTGCCCAAATGTTGCATTTTTCAAGACCGCTCTGGCCCACCAGGGATCCTCCCACCCCTAATTCTGTGCCTATAAAAATCCTGAGACCCTAGTGGGCACACACACAAGTGGTTAGATGTCAAAAGGAGCAGAGGAGCAAAAGGGCAGATGCCAGCAGACGCTGGCAGTCTATCGTCCATCGACAGTGGGAAAATATGGAAGTCAGCCGGGGGATGGTCGGTGGAGAGTTCGGCTGCTGGGCAGCTGACCCCAAGGGAGGACCACCTTCCCACTTCTTCCCCCTTCTTGCCTCCCCATCCACCTCACTGAGAGGTACCTCTACTCCATAGAACCTGCACCCATCTTCCAAGCCCACGTGTGATCTGATTTTTCTGGTACACTAGAGCACGGAAAGCCCTCTGTCCTTGTGATAAGGCAGAACATCCAATTGAGCTGATTAACACAAGCTGCCTGCAGAAGGCAAAACAAAGAGCACACTGTAACCGCATGCCGACTGGGGCTTCGGGAGCTGTAAACACAACCCTAGACGCTGCCTTGGGGCCAGAACCCAAACGTTCCCCACAACATGCCCGACTGCATGCTCCCCCTAGGAGTTTGAGCAGAGGGGCACTGAAGAAGCGAGTCACACCCCTGTTGCACACCCTTCCAGGGGAAAAAAAGAGCTTTTCCCATCTCAATAAAACTAGTACATACAATTCTCATACCTATATCTCATTCCACTTCCACCTTTAACATCTCTCATTCTAATACTTAGTTGCTCTTTGAACTCCATCATGAAGTCTTATTCAACTAAACCATCAAGTTTATCATATCCTCCACTGTTTGATTTTCATTTCACAACACAGGATGACTTGGGTATTTATCTAAAATGCAGATTCATGGTCTTTGCCCCAGTAAATTTTTATCCGAGAGATTTTGAGTAGGGGTTGTGATCTATATTTTTAAAAACCTCCCCGGGTGAGACAGAAACATATTCAAAGACAGTGCTTAGTTTCCCCCTCCACTCCGCTCAGTTAATTTTCTTGTTTTTGGAGATCCAGCCTTGAATGAATTCCCCAAGAGTGGGACCAACCCAGACGTTTAGGATAGTCTCCCAAATGCACAGGGTTTGTCTGCATCAATTACAAAGAAGCCTAGACTGCTTGACATATGTTTATATGTCCCACCATAACATTTTGGATCAACAGTGTTCAAAATATATTCTATTTCAGACCTTTGATGTCTATCCTTTTGCCTTTCTCTTGTGAAGTCCTGCTGGTAGGACATAAAGCCTAGGGCATCCCATCACCTGCCTGAGCCTAGTGGCCTGTTCCTGTCTTGGTCCCATGTTGCTACATCCTGCCCAGAATTAAGAGATTTTCCTAAGCTAATAGACCAAATGAGATATGTCTCAATAAGACTGTATGTGAGAACTCCAATTTCTCCAAAAGAGAATTTTCAATTAGTTCATGTTGTACCATGTTGGAAAGTCAGTTACATTACAAAATTCCCTAGCTCTTCAAAGCCAATTTGAATGATTCTTGTATACTTAGTTTTGAGATTCTTTCTAGAATAATTTCCCCAAATGATGAGTTTATCATTGGATCCACCAACAATGTTAGATTGCTCATTAATTCTCTTGTGCCTTCTAAGTCATTTTGAAGATCTAGTGTTTTTCAGGTGTCGCCTCTTCTTTTTATTCTTTTAAGTCATTTCTAGGACTCAGATGTTTTCCTCAAGAAGATGCATTGTTTTAGTAAAGTTCAGTTTGAATCCTTCTTACTACATTTTTATTTAATCCCCCACTATGTTGTTTTTCTTCTTGAGATATTTTATTTGCTGTCAGTAGGCATTCTAAGCAGAGGTTTAGCTGATAATTAGCCATTTCTTTAGTGACACATCTCACTTGACAAAGAGGGTTAAAAAAGATGATTTCCTTGGATTGTACTTTTTAGTTGTGATGATATATTCCATTATTTACTATGTAAACTGATACACCTTAGCTCAGCACTAGGTTTTGTATCATCAAACTAAAAAAACAAATTTAATAGTTTTTTCTCCTCTTTGAACCAAAACTTAAGAAGTTTGTGGAAATGTGAAAAGCTAGAATAACAAATATGCAATTAAGCACAATCCTCTGAGAAATAGAAAATAGCAATAATTGTTTAGATTATAAGATTCGGGGTTCAATGTTCCATAAAACAAAGGTATTATTTAGATTTATTTTTGTTTCCTTACAACTAAGCTTAACACAGGCTTTTATAGAAATTTAAAAATATTTATATAAAAGGACAAGGGACTATTAAGAAGGAAGATAAATATTTCATGTAGAACTACTACATCAGCTTTCTTGAAATAATTAACTGGTAAGTTCAATTTACCCTCAAATCAATTAAGATTCAATAACAGTTTCAACCTTTTCCCCTTTTGGTTGAAGTTTGACCAAATTGATTTTGTTATTTTGACAGACTATGGTCATAATCAAACCACTCGAAATCCTTTGTGGCATCATAAAGGGACTCTTTCAGAATATTAAGAAAAGCATCCATAGCATTATTATACTTTTTGTCCACACATTATTTGACATGCCATCTTTTTCACATGAATATGTAAAATGATGTAATCCTAATTAGGTTCATCATACAAATTTTTAATAGTGAAAAGGCATGACAAAATGAGGCCTCTCTAAAGTTATTTATGAATTGCAAATTTGAGGATTATATTTGAGAAACAGTTCTTTATGATCATTACAGCCAAGCTACTCCAGATTTTTCATGGAAGTTATTTTAACAATAAAAAAAGACTGATATAATTTAAGATCTCAGTGAGGTGAGGCATGGGTGGATCAGTAACAACAGACATTATATAGATTATATACCAAGTTGAAATTGAAGGTTCATGAAGTATAGTTTCATCTTTTTCATTGATCATCCTAGCAAATACATATGCATTTACCCCTGTTAATTCATGCACATACTCTCAACCACTTCTGTTATTAATATTTAATACATGTGTGGGCCATCTGCCTTCCCTTCCTACCTCTAACACTACCATACATTGCAGGTTGCCTTTCTTACATGCATGCGGCTATCCAGTCACACATCCAAAATCTTTTTACTCACCCTCCCCGAACAACTGGCAGCTCAAAACATCCTCAAGAAATGTGACTTGGGAGAGAGAATGCACCTCTGTTTACAGGTTAGCAAGTTTATTTAAACAGATATTTCTGAAGTTCAAGCTGGGTTGTGAACTCTAGATGGATCCTGATGGATATATCTTAGTGATTCCAGGGACTCCTTCACCTTGGGGTGGAATGCAATTAGAGTGAAACAAAGTGGGACTCTAATGCACAGGGCCTAGATTAGGGTCCTCAAATGCCTGATGTAGTGGATATTTATATCTGTCTAATATATTGCAGTATGTGGAGCAACACAAGGTGGCCACTTTTAGTAAAAGAAAGAATACTAGCCGGGCGCGGTAGCTCACACCTGTAATCCCAGCACTTTGGGAGGCCAAGGTGGGTGGATCACGAGGTCAGGAGATCGGAGACCATCCTGGCTAACACGGTGAAACCCCGTCTCTACTGAAAATACAAAAAATTAGACAGGTATGGTGGCGGGTGCCTGTAATCCCAGCTACTTGAGACGCTGAGGCAGGAGAATGGCATGAACCTGGGAGGCGGAGCTTGCAGTGAGCGGAGATCGCGCCACTGCACTCCATTCAGCCTGCGCGACAGAGCGAGACTCCGTCTCAAAACAAACAAACAAACAAACAAACAAACAAAAGAATATTTCCTATATGAATGGCTCTGTTGATTGAATGGCTCTGAGAATTGTTATTTTTAGAGAGTTTTTTAACCGTAATCTTGAAAAGCCTGCTAACTCTCCCCTTCTTTGGCAATCTGGAAAACCTGCTGCTTAAAATGATATTGTCCAGACTTAGCCTATTAGACATCAAGGAAAAGTCCCAAAATAGAAGACGGTTCCCAGCTGATAAAGAATGATCTTTGGCTGTCCTGACAGTGCATTCAAAAGCTTCATATCTTTTAATAAAGAGTTCTATTGAAACTCTTTTTTGGATCACACTCTTGTTTGGAGACTTAAACCAAAAAACAAAGGTGCACAAATTTTGTTCCATAGTCTACCAGCAATTTTTCCAAAGTTTTAATTTTAATTTTTTAAGTAGTCTAGTGGCATAAACCTGTCATTTAGCTTTTTAATATTAATGCAGGCATATAGAACCAAACAGAACTTACAGTCCAATCTTGGCTCAACTTACCAGTTTTGACATTAGGGACTGAGACTTAATTCCTTTATCTGAAAATCAGAAATAAAGTATCTAGTTCTTATGGTTGTTCATAAAATTAAATGAAAAAATGTATATTTTCTTTCTTCTATAAAATAAGCACTCAATAAATGGCAGTATTATCACCACCTCCATGGTTTCTAGCACTGGTAAAGGATTAGAGCATTGCCATTGGACCATTAATTGATATCATTATCTTCATTGCTTGAATAATTTCTATGTGTAAAAACTATTTAGTCAAATCATTATTAATAAAATTGCCAAGGGCATACTTAACCTACACTATGCCAATCCTAAGTACTAAAATACATGTTCTTTTTAGAAGACTCCCTCTTTAAGAAATGGCATCATGTCAGAATTAAGCTTTTGATATTCAATTTTTAAGTCTCTTTACCAGATAATACTAGAGTTTTTTCTCCTTCTTTCCTCTCATAGCATGAGGAATTTTCCCACATACCTTTTTTGGATAAGTAGGGCCATAACCAAGGCAAGGGTGAGGATTTCTGAGAATCAGTATCACTTTTGGTAAAGGCATAACGTGTCTAAAGGTTTCACTATGTGAAGATGAGGAGAAAGTTGTGACATACTGTCTTAAGGGAAAGCTCAATTAGATGCAAGGTAGACTTTCTTAACAAGTTTTCAACTTAACAGAAGTAATGATCCTTTAAATTTGTTTTTAATACAGTAAGATCTCTGTGGCAGCAATGCCCGTAATTTGAATGTGCTAAAGGTATTTCAGTCTTATTTAATTATAATAAAGTAAATGGTCAAAAGAATTAAAGTAACTGATGGTTGTTGATCACAGGTTTTGGTTCTCTACATGCTTGCAGAAGATTGGTCTCTAAATTCAGCTTAGTCCTTGCAAGAATTAATAAATCATATGTAATGAAGCTATAATCAGACAGACCATGCTCATGAACACCAGTACATTGCTTTAGAAGCTTAGATTAACAACAAAAATTTGCCCAAAGATACCTTGTAGAAAAAAACAATAAGGGATTAAAAAGAGAGTCAAAGTTCCAAGCCTATTTTTAAAGCACTAGGTATTGTAGAGATCTGTGGGCAACTATGGATGCTGCAAAATGTCTAAAATTATTAAAATACTGATTCGTAATCACAGAAAAACAGATATGTTTCAAATGTTAATCTATGTCAAGATACAGAAATAAAAACCCAGACCCTCAGAAGACTTTTAAGAGCTTGGATTAGAATGGTTACAACTTAATAGAAACACAAAATGGACAGCTGATCAACAAAATGATTTCATGGCCCAGCTCTAAGATAATCAAGACAGACTGAAGGAGTGTGCAGCAGCAGTGTATTATGTGTAGAATCATCAGGAAGTAGAATGTGTATTTCTTCAAAATGTGGATAGAATAATGAGATTTATTTTCTACAGCAATGTAGGGTAAGGTTAGAGAAAATGCTTTGGAGCCAAACCAATCTAGATTTGAAGCATCATTCTTCCATCGTTCCAAATTGCCTTGGGCAAATTACTTACTTGTGCAATAAGGTTACTTTCCAGAATTTTTGTGCATTTAAATGAGATTCCATATATAAAGTGCTTAGCTCACATGTGGTGCACAGTAAGCAATAAACAAATAATATGTTTTTCTAATAGTTATTATTACTATTTTTCTTCTGGTTATGGCAAGGGTAACAATGGGGGTTTTATATATGTACTTTGCATAGGACCTTTAGGAAATTAGAGCAAGTCTCCAGGAATTTTACTTTCCAAAAGACTTTAAGACTTCCAAGGAAGGATGTTATTAAGAGAAAAAGGACTGACAGATACACAGGTCATAAACTTCTAAGATTAATGTTTCAAAACATAATGAAACAAAACTGTAAACAAATTTTCTAGGAATATTGCACCAGTAGGAACAAGAAAGGCCTATACTTTTTCTGTTCCTTTTTCTCTTCTTTCTTTTGTGATAATTTAATTTAAAAAATTTATTTAAAATTTTTAAGTAAAATTTAATAATTCTAATATTTTATTTTGTTTCCTATATTAATTATATAATATTTTATAAAATTCCATATTATGTTAGAAATTACAATAAAAATTCTTAACTTACCACAGTCTGCTAGATTCAGCATAGTACTACTTCACGATTAACTCTTCTGAATTGATCATTTAATAATGGCCTTGTGTTATTTAAGCCCAGTTTTCCAGTGGTGTTAGATGTGTTGTTCATTAATATTTGTGGATGTCAAATTGAAATGTAAGAACTTAATAAAAATTGGCTACTCACTTTTATGGCAAAAATAGAAAACAAATAACAGTACAGTAGACTTAAAAATAAACAAATAATTATACTATGTATAAATTAAATAAAATGCAATGATTATCTTAATAGCATTTTAGCCTACATAGGATGTTTGTAAAAATTACACTTTAATTATAAAAACAAAATCCAGTTGAAACTAAAAGTATAGAAAATCATATATGCCATGACTTGCAAATACTAAAAATTAGAAAGCTGATGTGGTCATATTAATATCAGAAAAAGTAGACTTACAAGCCAAATATATTAATAGAGATAAAGAAGTATAATGCTTGCTGATAAAAAGGATAAATTCAATAGGAAGATATAAAAATGTACCTGATAAAAGAGTTTAAAAATACATGAATTAAAAACTGACAGAACTAAATGGAATAAATAGATAAATTCACAATCATAAGTGGAGATTTTAACAACCATGTCTTAGTAATTAATGTAATAAGTAGGAAAAAATTAGTAAGGATATAGATTTAAATAACCCTGTCAATCAAATTGGTCACATTAATATTTACCAAATATGAAGCCCAACACTATTAAATACACATTTTTTTTTAAGTACACATGGAAAATTCACCAAGAAGAGCCATATGCTGGATGTCTAGAAATGTCAATAAATTTCAAAAAACGGAAGTTTTATAAAATATGTCTTCTGACTATAATGAAAATGAAATTCAGTACTAATAAGATATCTGAAAAATCCATAAATAATGGAAATTAAACACACACTTAAATATCTTAAAAATTCAAGAAAAAATTACAGTGAAAATTAGAAAACATTTTAAAGCAATGAAAATAAAAAGACAATACATCAAAATTTGTTGAATGCAAAGTAGTGCTTAGAAGGAAATATATATCATCCAATGCTATTAGAAAAGAACAAAAGTTTAAAATCGTTATCTAAGTTTTCTCAGGTTTGAAAAGAAAAACAAATTAAATCAAATTAATAAGAGAAAGAAGACAACACATATAAGAGCAGTTGTAAATGAAATACCAAACAATAAATAAATTTAACAAAGCCAAAATATTCTTCTTTGAATTAACCTTACATGAATAAATTCTTAGCAAAATTGAATGGGGAAAAAGAGATGAAGCACAAATGATCAATACTGGCTATAAAAGACAGAAATATTGTCAAAACCTCAGCTGTTGAGAGGATAACAAGGGCCAAATATGAACAATTGATAATTTGTTCTAAAAGGCAATTTAATAATACTGGAGAGGTAATAACATGTGACTAGTTCAATAGCTGTTAAAAATTGAATTTATAATATGAATACCAAAAAGAAAACACCATGCCCAAGTCATTTTACAAGATGAGTTCTATCAAATATTAAAAATAAATCAATTTTGCAGGCACTTTCACAATACAGAAGAGGAGAAAATAACTTCTCAGCTTGTCTTATGAGGTTAGCATAACCCTGATAATAAAATCTGAAAAGTAATTAATTACAATAATTCTAATAACCATAAAAAATTAATTACAAGCCAATAATCCTAATAAACATGATGTAACTATCATCATAAAGTATTAGAAATTAGAATTTAGCAATATATAAGGAGCTTAATATATCATGATCAAGTAAGATTTGTCCCTAAAATGCAACATTAGTTCAATATTTGAAAATCAATTAAGTTATTCAACCATATTAATCTAATTAGGGATATAAATTATATGATTAACTCAATATATACAATAAATTATGTGATTAACTCAATAAATACAATAAATTATTTGATAATGTTTAAAATGTTGGAAAGCTGAAATCAAAACTGTCTTTACTGGTATATGACATATTGTCTACATAGGACATATCAAGAAATCAATAAAAGCTCATTAAATTTGTTAAGCAACAAGGTTGAAGAATATAAGCTTCATATAAAAAATAATTTCTATTTTGATAAGCTCACACAAACAATTGGTAAATAAAACTTAACAAATTTTTATTTACAATAGTGTAGAGGGACTCTAGACTGCAAGCTACAAAACATCATTGAGATAAACTAAAATGTGTCAAATAAATGAAGAAATATGACAAATTTATGAACTAGAGATACTAATTTTCCCAATATTGTTACATAGATTAACATAATCACAAACCTAACACCTAGCATGGTTTGACAAACTGATTTTAAAATTATTGGGAATTTCAAGAGACCTTAAACAGCAAAATCAGTGTTGCAAAAAATAAAAATAACAAAGTTTGCGAACTCACCTTATTTGATTTCAAGGCTTCTCATAATTTGGTAATACTCAAGACTGTGTGATAGTGGTATAAAGATAGAAAAAGAAAGTAATGGAACAGTTTATAGAATCAAGCAGTAAATAAACATATGCATAATAATTTTATTTATACTAATAGCCAAAATGATTACAAAGAAAAGAAATAATGTTTTCAACAAATGGTGCTGAATCAGCTAGGTATGGTTGATTAACTATAACTTAACCCTAAAATAACGTCATACACAAAAATTAATTTTAAGTGGATAATAGACAACATAAATCACAATCTGTTAAATTTTTAAGAAAGAAGTTAGAAGAAAACATCATGACCTTGGATTAGGCAAATATTTCTTAACTCATATGCAAATGGAAAAAGTAATAAATTAAACTTCATCAAAATTTTAAAATTCTATTTCAAAACCACCATTAAAAAATGAAATGGTATTCTATAAATTGGAAAAAAAACATATCCGGTATACACATCTGAGAAAGGTCTTGTATCCAGACTACATAAAAAACCTTTTTAACTCAATAAGAGAAACAGAACTATTTTAAAAATGGGCAAAAATCTTAAATTGACACAAAAGAAGACATTTGAATGGACAATAAGTAAATGGAAAGATGCTTAACATTTGTAGCCATCAAGAAAATGCAAATTAAAACTACAATGAGATTCAATTTCACACTCATTTGAATGAATAGCAGTAAAAATATTGGCAATATCAAATGCTAGCTAGGATGTGGAGCAGCTGTTAACTCATATTATTATAGCCAGTGTTAAATGGTACTGTCACTTTGGTAATGTTTTAAGAGTTAAATGTATGCCTAGCCTAATCTTCAACAGTTCTATTTCTAGCTACTTATCCTAGAGAAATGAAAACACAAGCCTTCAAGAAGTTATGCACACTGTTTAGAAAAGCTGTATTTATAATAGAAAAAAAGTGGAAACATCTCAAATGTCCATCAGCAGATGTATTAGAAAACAAATTGTGGCAGGTTCGCACAATGGAATGCTAATCAGGATAAAAATGATTAAATTGCCAATATAGCCAACAGAATAAGTAAACCTGAAAGAAAAAAATTGCTTACTGTATGAATTTATTCGTGTAAGGTTTTAGAAAAGGTAAAACCTACGTTGGATCAATTAGCTTAGGAAGCGGGGAGATATTAATTGTAAAGGGAAATGAGGGAGCTTTTATTCTATATCTTGATTAGTGTGGGGCTACACAGATGAGTTGATTTGTCAAACCAACCCAACTGTACAATTAAACTTTGTAAATGTTATTATCTGTACATTTTACCTCGATATAGTTGATTTTAAATTATTATTTTAAATGGGAAAGAATATTTGCATAAAATTAATTTGTATCTTCAATGAATAAGAATGAAACTAGAAGTGAAACATAGAAGAGATTATCAGCATCAATTTTTAAGTGGCAAACAGTATGTTGTATTAGTCTGTTCAGGCTGCTATAACAAAATACCATAAACCAGGTCACTTATAAACATAAATTTGCTTCTCACAGCTGCGGAGGCTGGGAGTTCAAGATCAAAGCACCTACAATTTCATTGTCTGATGAGAGCTCCGACAGTTTATAGATTGCAATCTTTTTGCTCTAACCTGATGTTGTGGAAGAGGCGAGGGATATCTCTGGGGCTTCTTTTCCATGAGCATTAATCCCATTTATGAGGGCTCTGCCTCATGATCTAATCACCTCCCAAAGGCCTAACCCCTTTTCCTAATATCATTACCTTGGGGATTAGAATTTCAACATATAAATTTGGGGGAATATGAACATTCAGTTCATTGAAGTAGGTGCAATATTAAGATGTAACGATAGCTAAAAGTAAAAGCTCTCTGTAGTAGAAAGATAAAATTGATTTTTTTAAGCCATTGTTAAAAAAACTGTCTTATAACTAAAGAAAGAAAATGGCTTTAAAAAGCAAACATTTTGTATTTTCTGTGCTTGTGTCATTACTCCAAAAGAATACCACTTAGAAAAAATTATCACTCCCTAAACTACTTAGAAGTAATAAAATGACATATAAATTCAGTACATTCTGTAATCCATCACTATCATTTGTGCCCGAATGCCTTGGTACTTCTAGTATGGTAACATGTAAAGCCAATTGGAATGACAAGGTACTAAGAGATAGTCTTATGGAGGTTAGGAGAGATGTCAACACAGATAAAAGCACACAGCAGAGCAAGAGCCAAGCCCATAATTTTGCTTTTACTTTTAGAAGAGTTTATTGTTCACTTAGTCAACCACGTTTTTTATCAAACTCCTTTTATGTGCTGGGATTTAGCATGTATTGATTTGTTTTAAAAAGTACTTACCCTCAGGGTGCTAACAGTCTAAGGAGAGACCAGGCAATGCTTTTCTTTAGAGCTAAGTGAGGGTGTTGTTGAGTAAAAGCTAAACATTAATAATTTTTCCCAGCTGGGCACTGTGGCTAACATCTATAATTCCAGCACTTTGGGAAGCTGAGTTGGGCAGATTTCTTGAGGCCAGGAGTTTGAGACCAGCCTGGCCAACATGGTAAAACCCCATCTCTACTAAAAGTACAAACATTAGCCAGGTATGGTGGCACACGCCTGTAATCCCAGCTACATCAGGAGGCTAAGCCACAAGAATTGCTTGAACCCAGGAGGCAGAGGTTGCAATGAGCCAAGGTCACACCATTGCACTCCAGCCTAGGCCACAGAGTGAGACTCTGTTAAAAAAAAAATCCCACTAAACTTCAATGGCATTATTTATTTTTGACATTTTATTCATTCATTTACTGATATATTGATTACTATAGCAAATATTTCAACATTTCACTCCTATGTTCAGGGCTTATCATTCCAAGATGAAAACCCAGAACCCCTATTCAAGTGGTGGCTCTTGATGGGGTCAATTTGCCCAAGAGCACTTTTGAACAGTGTCTGGGGACATTTTTTATCCCTGTAACTGAAGGACAGAAGATGCTACTGGCATGGAGTAGGTAAAGACTATGATACTGTCAACCTGCTGCAATGAACAGAACAGCCTCTCACAATAATTATCTAGTGTAAAATGACAACAGTGAAAAAGTTGAGAAAACTTATTATAAGGAGCTCATTATCTGTGAAGAAAGACATGAAATAATTTTAATTCAATCTAAGAAAATTATGAAAAGAGGAGTTTGGATGTTGTGATAGTTAATTTTATGTGTCAACTTGGCTGGGTCACAGGTTGTCCACATGTGTGACCAAATCTTACTTTGGTTGCCTTTGTAAGGGTATTTTGGATGAGATGAACATTTAAATTTCATGGACTTCGAATAAAGTACATTGCCCTCCATAATGTGCATGGGCCTCATTCAAACAGTTGAAGACCTGAGTGAAACGAGAAGACCAGCCTCCCCTGAGGAAGAGAGAATTGTCTAGCATGCTTCTTTCAGATATCATTTGCAGCATAGGCCTGTACTGGTTCTATAGAAGACTGCCTTTAGACTCAAACTGGAACATTAGTTCTCCTGGGTCTCCAGCCCACCAGCCTTCATACATTCATACAGCTGCAACATTGGTGTTCCAGGGTCATTAGCCTGCTGGCCAACCCCACAGATTTTGGAATTACTAACCTCCATAGTCACATGAGTCAATTCCCTGTAAATCTTTTCTATATATGTGCACATCCTATTGTTTCTGTTTCTCTGAAGAACTCAGACTAATACAGATGTGACAGAGTTGAAGATTTTGAGAAGTGCTTGAAAGAGAGAAGAAAGTTGTGAATCTAATAATTGTTTGTACATAAATGGTTCCTAAAATAACCATACAAATGAGATTAAAGGCTTATAATAACAGAAAATTTGAGATATAAACTTTAAAAATTAATTTTTATCACTCTTAGTGGTAAAGACTGCTGTGCTCATAAGTACCCAAATCCTTTCTTTTAGTTATTAAGTTTTCTGCTGTATTTTAGTGATAATATAAGGTGAACATAAATAATAGGTGTCACTTTGGAGACAACACATAAAGCGTATGGTCTATCACACTGACACATTCTTTTCCCTGCTCATGTAGCTAAAAGAGAGGTAATTCAAGATGGCAGATCACAAAGTGGAAGAAGCCCAATTCTTGCACTCTTTCAGTAGGAGTGCTACCCAGAAGAGTCAACTAACTCAGTATTGACTTTCAGTGAACAGAAAAAGAACTCTTCTAGTTTGTTAAGCTTTTAAACTTGTAGTTTTATGCATCACCAAGCATTAGTTATTTTGACTAGTAAAATTAGTAAGGAAACCTAAGCCTGCCGAAAATCATAAGAGTATCTAAGGTTCCAACATAATCAGAAATCAGAAACATATTTGATATTCTGACTCTTTCTTCAGGAGTCTTTCCAATATAATGATAACCTGCCAGTAAAACTGTCATATAATTTATTATTTAAACTGTAATTCAAAGAGATACTACCAAAAACTTATGGTATAAAACAAAGACAGTAACAAGAGAGATGTTTAGAGTTATATACCTACATTTACAAAAAAGAACAATATTAAATAAACAACCTAACTTTGTACTTTAAGCAACTAGAGAAAGAACAAACTAAACCCAAAGTTATCAAAATGAAGACAATAATTGAGTTTAGAGCAGAAATTAACATGATAGAGTATAGAAAAATAATAAAAAAGATCAATAAAGCTGAGTTGGTATTTTGAAAAGAACAACATAACTGACAAACTTTTAGTTAAATTAAATAAAGAAAAAAAGACTAATAAATTCAGAAGTGAAAAAGGAGAAGTTAGAACTGATGCCACAGAAATGAAAAGATTATTAGAAACTATTATAAATGTATGTCAGCAAATTGGATAACATAAAAGACATGAATAAATTTCCAGAAACAAACAAGTAAAATTGAATTATGAAGAAAAAGAAAGTCTGAGTAGACCTCTACTTAGCAAGAATATTAAATTAGTAAAAAAAAAAAAAATCCCCAAAATGAAAAGCCTAGGACCAGATGGCTTCATTGGTGAATTCTACTGAACATTCAAAAAGAATTAATGCCAATTTTTCTTAAATTATTTCAAAAAACATTTAAGAGGAGAGAACACATCTAAACTCATTTTATGAAGCAAATATAACCTTAATACCAAAGTCGTAAGACATGAAAAGGAGAAAAAAAAAAGTATGCCATTTCACAAAGGGAAGAAAAAAAATTTTTTAATAAAAAAAAGTTTTAAAAATGAAACAAAAACTACAAGTCAAAATCCCTGATGAATACAAAAAAATACTCAGCAAAATAGTAGCAAACAGAATTTAATATCAAATTAAAAAAATCATACACCATGACCACGTGGGGTTTATTCCTGAGATGCAAGAGTAGTTCAACATATGAAAATCAATTAATTTGATACATCACAATAAAAATAAAGAATCAAAAGAATCACATGATCATCTCAATAGATACAGAAAAGCATGTTACAAAATGCGACATCCTTTCATGATAAAAGACACTCAACAAACTAGCCTTAGGAGGAAATTATATGAACATAATAAAGGCTATATATGAAAAGCCCACCACTTAACATATTCGATGATAAAAATCTGAAAGCTTTTACTCTCAAATCAGGAACAAAGCTTCTATTCTGAAAACAGTATTACTCTATTCGAAACAGTATTACTCCATTCAAAATAGTTATAGAAATACTATTCACAGCAACTAGGTCATAAAAAATAAATAAAAGATATTTAAATTGGAAAGAAGAAGAGAAATTATCTCTATTTGCAGAATATATAATCTCAAATGCAGAAAACACTGAATATTCTGCAAAAATACTGCTGGAACTAATAAATTCAGCAAAGTTGCAGGATACAAAATCAACGTACAAAAATCAGTTGTATTTGTATAAACTTATAGCAAACACACTGAAAAGGAAATTGAGAAAACAATTTCATTTGCAATAGTGCAAAAAGAATAAAAATAGATAGGACTCAATCAAGGAGGTAAAAGAGTTGTACACTAAAAACCGAAAAAAAAATGCAGAAAGAAATTAAAGAAGACAAAAATGAATGAAAAGTCATCTCATGTTCATGGATTAAAATAGTTACTATTGTTGAAATATCCATAATACTCGAAGTGATCTATAGATTCAATGCAGCACCTGCCAAAACTTCAATAACATTTTTATTCTACAGAAATAGAAAAAAATATTAAAATTCATTTGTAGTCATAAAGCACCTAAAATAGCCAAAACCATCTTGAGAAATTAGTTAAAGATAAATACCACATATAGCCTCATTTCAAAACCTATTACACAGCTATAATAATCAAAACAGTATGGTACTGGCATAAGAAAGACATATAGACCAATGGAACAGAATACAGAATCTACAAATAAATCCATTCATACATGGTCAACTAGTTTTCAATAAGGGTACCAAGACTACGCAGTGCAGAAAGGATAGTGTCTTCAACAAATGGTGTAAAGAAACTATACCCCCACACAAAAGAATGTAATTGGACACTTATATTACACCAATACACAAATATCTACTAAAATGGATTAAAAACTTAAGCATAAGACCTGAAACTATAAAACACATTGAAGAAAATACAGGGGAAAATCTTTTTGACACTGGTCGTGGCAATGATTTCTCAGCCATGACACCAAAAACAGAGGCAATAAGAGAAAAAATAGACAAGTGGGACCAATGAAACCAAAAAGTTTCTGCAAAGCAAAGGAAATAATTGACAGCATGAAAACGCAACCTAATAGAATAGGGGAAAATATTTGCAAACCATCTATTTGTTAAAAGGTTAACAACCAAAATATATAACAACCCCTTAAAACTCAATAGCAGAAAACCAAACAACCCTATTACAATATAGATAAAGGACTTTAATAGACACTTCTTCAAAGAAGACATTCAAATGGCAGACAGGTAAATGGAAAGGTAGTGCACATTATTAATCATCAGCGAAATGCAAAGAAAAACTATAATGAGGTATCACTTCACAACGATTCAGATTACCATTACAAAAAACAAAAACAGTCAGGGACAGTGGTTCACGTCTGTAATCCCAGCACTTTAGGAGGCCAAGGCAGGTGGATCACTTGAGATCAGGCGTTCGAGACCAGCCTAGCCAACATGGTGAAACCCCATCTCTACTAAAAATACAAAAATTAGCCGGGTGTGGTGGTGCATGCCTGGAGTTCCAGCTACCTAGGAAGCTGAAGCAGGAGAATGGCTTGAACCTGGGAGGCAGAGGTTGCAGTGAGCCGAGATCGCACCATTACACTCCAGCCTGGGTGACAGAGCAAGATTCCATCTCAGAAAAACAAACAAACAAACAAAAAATCCCCAGAATATAACAAGTGTTGCCAGGGATATGAAGAAATTGAAATACTTGTGTACTACTAGTGGTAATGTAAAATGATGAAGGTGCAGGTGCTATAAAAAACAGTATAGAGGTTCTTCAAAAAATTAAATGTAGAACTACTGTATGACCTAGCAATCCTACTTCTGGGTATGTATATTAACAAATTGAAGACAGTATCTTAAAGAAATATTTGCACTCTGCTGTTCATTGCTCCATCATTCACAATATCTTAGTTAGGAAAACAATTTAAACGTCCATGGATAGATTAATGAATAAAGGAAATGTGGTCTATACATACAATGAAATATTATTCAGCCATAAAAAAGAGAAAATCCTGTTGTATGCTACAACATGAATGAACTTTGAGCACATGATACTAAGTGAAAAAACTTGGGACAGATGTACAAACACTGCATGAAACCACCTATATCAAGTATCTAAAGTAGTCTGACTCATTGCAGGTAGAATGGTTGTTGCCAGCGGCTGAGAAAAAGAATACATTTGAGGTTGCTGTTCAATATTTATAGAATTTCAGTAACGCAAGATGAAAAGTTCTAGAGATCTGTGGAACCACATTGCATTTATAGTTAACATTGCTGTTCTGTATACTTAAACTTTTGTTTAAAAGATATATATTATGTGTGTTTTACCAAAATAAAAATAACCAGAGGTGATAAAATAATTAAAATGAGATAATTATTGAAATTTGTTTATTTTATTTATTTAATGACAGGCCAGTTTATTAGACAGTATTGATATTTTTAGAGGTTAATTTCAAAAAACATTTCTAAAATAATAAGAACTTATCATGTATTAAAACAAACAAATTAAAGCTTCTTTTATTTGATTATTGGAACTTTAAGAAAATAGCACAGCAGAATAGATATTATTATTATATTTTCACATATTTTATTCAGTTACTCAGCCATTTGCAACCTTTCTTTCAGTAATTGAAATTTTTTAAAAACTTGAAAAGTTGGAGTTTGAACATTTTAATTGCTGATTACAGATTTTTAAGTGAGTTTTGAACAATGATCAAATTTTTCAAAGCACTGAAGACACTGGTACTGTATTTAATTTTGTAACATTTTCAAAGCAGTTATTCAAAGTTTCAATTATTTTAAAAAATCATATTCGTGGCAGGTAGCAAACAGAGAAATTTTTGGAATGTTCTTCTGCTAATGGAATCAAAGAATTAAAGCTATTACTTCCCATGATATGCATGTACAAAAATGCTTGGAATAAAAAATATGTGAAATTAGTTAAGGGAAACAGTTATTTTATCTGAATTAAAAATAAAGATTCAAATAGTGATATGAAATACAACTTTTATCACTTCCTTTTTAAATTATTGTAAAGCTCTGGCTACATATACATATACGTGTATATATATATATAGTGAATCAGGGTCTTCTGGTTATTATGTGATAAGAGCTATTACTAAGCCTCCACGTAGAATGTTATTAAGTTACTTTGAAAGAAATCATTATATGAAGTCATTACTTCTAAAACTCTGATTAAAACTAATCATTTTAAAAGGTAACTAGAATTCCTGTTTTTTATTGTGGTGTTCTAGCTCGTATCAGACCTTTCTGTGAATAACAAGAAAATATATATAAAACTATTGCAAATTAAATTCTATTTGAGCATCACCAAGACCTCAAGATTTTGAGGGGTCAAGATTACAAAGCAAAGTTTAAGAGTGATACTGAGATTCAGAGCCATTATTTCTCTTGAGATGTTTGCCAAATTTTAAACAACTGCAACCTAAAGGCTAAAAGTGAACTGTTGAATAAATCTAGTAGCAGAGGATTTAAGTGGCAGCAGAGCCATACAGCAATCAGAGGTCAGGAGGCTGAGAGGTGAGCCATTTTATAGGAATTTGGAGTTGAATTTTCAGAATTGAGCCAATCGTAGTAAAAAGAATCTTATAAACACCATAGGTTTTCAATAGAAACAGGTTGAGTCTAGAACTAGATCCACCATTACAAAGTCTGAAGACTTGTCACAAATTACCACAGTCTCAAACTGGTTGGATGTGAGATTTTCCAAGTCTAACAACTTTCCATTTACAAAAGAATTCTTGGTAGCAAAACAGAACATCTAGATTCTCAAAATATTCCTACAGACTTTCAAACACTATACCCAGCATTTAATTAAAGTTATCTAGCATACAAAAATGACTAAATGCAAAACATTAAGTAACATTGAGAACGCAGGAAAATGAAATACAGATCTTGATATTAATCAAACATGGAATTTAAATCAATATGCTCAAGAGATGGAAATCAAGATAGATAATTTCAGCAGAAAATTTGAATGTCTAAAAGAGAAATCAAATATAATGTATGGAACCAACAAATATAATAATTGTAACTGAGAACTCAATAGTTAAGTTTAATATCAGATTAAATAATTGAAGGAATGATTTGTGAACTGGAATATAGGTCAGTATAATTGAAGAAATGATTTGTGAACTGGAATATAAGTCAGTAGAAAATGATGAGCCATAGTAAAAAGAAAGAAAAAGAATGAAAAATATGGAAAAAAGCATAAGAGATACATGATACATATTTTAAATGGCTATTGATGGCAGTGGAAGCCAGTCTGGAGTGGTCACTGCAACGAAGGGATTATGTGCTCCATGAAGCCGGCAGGGGCCGGAAACAGGTGAGATCCCTGCCCACTGCTGAGTTAAAGTGGTGGGAGCCCTGCCCTTCCAGGGTGCAGCCTCTCAGCAATGGCTCCGAACCCGGGCATCCCTGTGCTCTCCAGGGCCCAGGATGTTTCCCTTCACCTACAGGCACAGAAGTTCCTGCTCCCCCTCCCTAGACTCTTCCCTCTCCTGGCACCCACTTCTATTTCAAAGCAAAGTTGTGGCCAAGCCTGGGTGCTGCCGCAACCTGGCTGGGTGTGCACGTGCTTGGGGAAGTGCTGACATACTAGCCGCGGCCTCCTCAGCCCCTTCTGGACTTTAGGCGCCAGGGAGCATGGGAGGAAGGCCGGCAGGGTGGGGCGGGGGGCGCTGAAGGCAGTTCAGCAGGGGCCTGCAGACGCTCCTTGGCACGAACAGCCGGGGTGTCTGGATGACATGTTGATGGCGGGAGGCAGACAGGTTCCTGGGTGTAAAGGGGCAGGTCCCTGGTGAAACCTCATCTTCAAGCCAAGAACAGCATGAAGCCTAGGGGCCAGACTGCCAGTGCCAGGTAGAGTTTGTAGCCCAAAGTGAGAACATATGGTGCTTTTTCTGGGTACACTTATGGCTGCCTATGGACCACTTAGCACATGTTTCCTTCTTTCTGAGCCCATACAAACCCTGGAATCAGTCAGACTCAAGCAGATGTTGAGCCTACCAGCTGCAGGAAGGAGCTATCTGCTTTGGTCTCCTCGACTAATTGGGATGATCTGCCTGTTGGAAAGGAGCCACCCACTGTGGGTCCCCTCTCCACTGAGAGCTGGACACTCATTGGAAGGAAGCCTGTGGAAAGGAACTACCCACTGCGGACTCCTGAGAGCTGTTTTGGTGCTCAGTGAAGCTGCTCTCCACCTTGCTAACCCTCCAGTTGTCTGCCTACCTCATTCTTCCTGAACATGAGACAAGAACTTGCGACCTGCCAAATGGCGGGACTGGAAGAGCTGTAACATAAACAGGGCTGAAACAAGCCCCCCTGCTCTCCATGTTGCAGTCAATGAGAGAAGAGCTGCTGCCCTTCAGGGAGCCCGGAACTAGGATCTCCCTGAACCACGGCTGTGACACCCTCTGGGCACCACTGTGTTGCCTTCATCCAGGGGCGGATGCCTGCAGTGGAAGCTACATGCAGTACATCTGGTCTAGCTGCAGCCTCACACAGAGCCAGCATCTGGAGCTGTCGGCCCTGCCACAGCAGCCAGCACGCCTGGCTGTGCACAGTGGGGGGACCCTTGCTCACTCACCCACACACCCCTCACCACTCCATACCTGGCTCACCCTTGGCAGGTGTGGGATCCAGGCCAATAGTGCAAACTGAGCACAGCCTGTCAGGCCAAGTGGGCAGAACGTGCCCATCAGGCACAAGCAATACTCGGGCAGAAGGCACCGCCAGCCACAAAGATTTTAGGCTGGTGACACCCCAAGGAGCCTGTGACACTATCATATACATAATTGTAATCCAAGAGTGGGAGAAAAGAAGAATAGGCAGAAGAGATATTTAAAAGTTGAAAGCTAAGAACTTTTTACAATTAGCCAAAAGTATCAAGCTACAAACTCAAGAAGTTCTACAAACAGACAACAGAGTAAACATAAAGAAAACTAGGTCTGGGCAATGTAACAAGTCTGGTAAAAATAAACAATGAACCAAAAAAATTGAAAGCAGTAAGAAAAAAAGACACATTTCCTTCAACAAAGTGACTGTATTAGACAACTGAATTCTCATCTAAGGCAATGAAAGCAAAGTATGTTCACATACTCACATAGTATTGACTCTGCTTCCATCATCACATCCCCTCTGAATTCCCTGCCTCCCTTTTCTACTTATAAAGATCCTGCGATTATAGTAGGCCCATGTCCTTGTGATATAGTAGGCCCATATCTCAAGGGGTATTCCATATCCGTTGAGATAGGAATAATTCAGGATAATTTCCCTATCTCAAGATTCTTAACTATCTAGCTTCAAATTGCCATTTGCCTGGAAAGGTAACACATTTCAAGAATTGCAAATATGCCAACTAAAATGACTATTCTGTGAAACATAGCAAAATTTGCTATCAGTTTTCTGAAAAGAGAAAAGTGCACAGATTGTGAGCATATAGCCCAATAAATAGTTATAATGTCATATATGTACTGTAACTTTTGTGATAAAATTCAAATAAGACTTTATTTGTGGAGGAGACTTTTAAAATTTTCATTCGCCCTGATATCTTGTAGGAAGTTCAGGGGCTGCAATGGAAAAAGAAATGTCTTTTAGGGGTAAATAGAGGGATTGTAGAGGAAAAGATTTGAAGAGAGATATATCAATGTATTGAAAGGAACTGAAGGAAGAACTGAAAGTGGTTAAAAGGAGGAAGGAGATATGGAGGTAAAAAATCGAGGCAAGGGAAAGGGAGGAGTCCTAGATAAGCTAGTTTGGGATGATCTTAAGTTTCCCAAGAAGGCAATGATATTCCATATTATCATTAGTAAAATCATGCCAACAAGAAAGGGAGTGGATAAGTGCCACAGTGGTGGACGATATGGTCAGAGGGGTTAGAGATCGGTGATGTCAGTGCACTGAGAAACTCCCATGTTTTTAACTAATAGTGTGTCCCAAACAAAGAAGCTCAAGACTCTAAACCAGCCTCAGAGTGTATGCTCAGAAACTCTAAATCTGTTATTGCGGAGCTTCAGCAAAATATTATCCAGAGCACTGGACTGGATCCAAAGCAAGACTCACCAACAGATCCCTAATCAATTGCTAAGGAGTAAAGACAAAGGCTTCAAAGATGTGGACTTGGGGGCCTTGGTGAGAGGTCCAGGGGACAATAATGAATCTGATTCTGTATGGGAACCATGCTGATAAAGAAAAAATTATCCTGAAACTTTTTTTAAATGGTAAGGAAATGTTTATTCAAGAGTATTGCAATAGAGATATTGCAATAAGGGAGTGATTGGATTCCTTTCTGAACACAACAAGGACAATATACAATTGTCCAATTGCAGATTTTTTTTTTTTTTGAGTCAGAGTTTTGCTCTTGTCACCCAGGCTGGAGTGCAATGGCACAATCTTGGCTCACCACAGCCTCCACCTTCCAGGTTCAAGCGATTCTCCTGCCTCAGCCTCCCGAGTAGCTGGGATTACAGGCATGTGCCACCACACCTGGCTAATTTTGTATTTTTAGTAGAGATGGGGTTTCTCCATGTTGGTCAGGCTGTCTCTAACTCCCGACCTCAGGTGATCCGCCCGCCTTGGCCTCCAAAATGTTGGGATTACAGGCGTGAGCCCCTGCGCGCCCGGCCCAATTGCAGATTTCTAACCAAGGAACAGGGTGTGGAGGTCAGTGGATGGAAAATTACTAAGCGGAGACATCAAGTATCTTAAATGGAATTTTGCTAAAGACAGGTCAAGGACTTAGACATCAAAGGTGGATGATAAAGAAACTGATCAGATATTAAGAGTAATCAAATATCAAGGATTGGGTGATTCTCACTAAACTGACTTAGCAGGACTCTTTGCTAAAACTGAGCTGGGTAGGCCAAAGACAAAACAGAGGCCGAGGTTGAGGCCTTATTGAGAAGAGAGCTCAGAGGAGTTTTACTAAAGTTTGGCCAAGGACAGAGTTTTTGTCAGACTCAAATGGTGGCTGCTTGGCTTAACAGATTAGTGAATGAAAAATTCCAGAAAACATTGGTCAATAACTCTTTCAGATTGTTGGGGAGAGAAAAGAAAAGAAAACAAAAAGCTTTATTCAAAGCTAATCTGTCAGAATGAAATGTTCATATTACAATTGCCAAAAATAATTATTATGGCAGACAAATATGAAATATCACCCACATAATTTCTGTCAAGAAAAAGTTCCTGTCAAAGCCCCATGAAACATTACAATTAGAGAGGATACGCTTCTATCTAAGCAACTAAAACTAGGGATTGCAGCCATGGGACTTTAAAAGGCATATTTATTAAATAACATTGACACAGAACAGTTAAAAATAGTAACAGCTACTCATTAATTAGAATATGTCATTTGGGATTTTATATTTTAACTACACTCTAATTTGAGGTATAATCTCATGCGCAGTAGAAGAGATTTTTCTCATTTCCCTGCTTTGGATTTGTTTTTTTTTCTACAGCCTCTTTTTGTCCCAAAGAAAGAAAGAGAAAGGAAAAAAGGAAGTAAGAAAGGGAAGAAGCAAATAATAGACTTATTTCAAAAGTATTAAACTTCATTAGTAATCCACAGCATGTGGCTTTTCTCTGGCAGTCAAAATATGGGAATGTAATTATTTTAAAGACCTGCTGGAAGCAGCTGATTAGAATTGCCATTCTAATTATTTGTTTCCATAGTCACCCCTTTTAGCTCATTCATGAAAATTGATTTCTTTTAACAGCCACTTATTATTTGTTTAAACCTACCAACTTGTACATAGTCAATCTGTTCTTTTGCAGCTTCCAGTTTCTTCAATTCGACCCAGTTACATACAGAGCATTCTGAAAGAGCTTGGACTGGTGGCAGTTGTATGACTCACCAGCAGAAATCTCCCTGTAGCTTACTTTCCTAAGTTCTACTTTCTCACATGTCTGAAAGTGGATTTGAAGAGGAAAGATCCTAATCTGGAAGCTGTCTATTCCAAAGGCTTTTAGAAATAAGTACTCCCACTTCCAGTGTCCTTAGCACTGCATTTGTAATGTCAGGTAAAGATGATCTTCATTTCATAGCTCAAAAAGCAATTGAGGGAAGACACTCATGTAGGAAAAAATGGCTTATTTAGAGTTTTATTCTCAACAAAGAATAATAATAACAGGATTATTATTAATAATCCTAGGAACATGTATTAACTTTCAGAATTAAGAAAAAATAATAATCTGCCTACAAAACTATCAGAGAATGATGAGAAAATAATGAAAACAGAAGAAAATTGTTGACCACAAGAAAATGCAGCATATCAAGAAGTGAAAAGAAAATTCTCCTAATTGACGACGTGAAGATAATGACAATAGTTTGCACCTGAATTCACGTCCTGTGATGCAACCATCATCCTCATGCAATAGTTATTAAGTACACATTGTGTACAAGAATGATACTTATAGTAGGAAGGCCATCATCAAACAGAGTACCTAAGAGGAAACATGATTACTTTGGGAAGATCTTAGGTGAAGTGAAGGGACCCAGGAGTATAGTTGTTTAATGACAGGCAGGATGAACTAGGCTCCATAAGATAAGGTGTGAGGTTGGCTTCAAAAAAACAAGAATGTTGGCTTGGTTGAGGGAACCCTAGAATCTCGTGAAGATCTTGAAGATCACTTTCTAAACTAGTGACAGGCATTCCGTGACTAATTTGGCTATGCAATAAATTGACCAAATTTGTATCTATTTTATGCACTCTCCTACAGAATTGAAGATACACAGATGTGAATCTTGTACTAGGTATTAAGTAACAATGTTCTGAGAAATTTAAAACATTTACTTGGAGATACATGTTATTCAAACCAGAATCTCCTAA
This sequence comes from Homo sapiens, assembly GCF_000001405.40. Classification (NCBI taxonomy): domain Eukaryota; kingdom Metazoa; phylum Chordata; class Mammalia; order Primates; family Hominidae; genus Homo; species Homo sapiens. The sequence goes on from NC_000006.12 coordinate 77,016,534, forward strand.
TGCTTATTTTTGTAAATATGACACAGATATTTAGAAAAGTGAATAGCACACTTGTAACACTTTCTCATAAATACTAAATGAATTAATCTACCTATTTAATAATTCAACAAATAGACTGAATTTCTCTTTGTTTCCAGGAACCATGACAGGGTGCCACAGTTGATGCAAAGCCACGACACTTGTAATGCTGTCATTCTAGGGGAATGATAAATTCATGAGCAATTAAATTCAATATGAACAGGGCTATAACAATGAAAGAGGATGTTCTTTAGAAGCACGGGAAATGGAACAAAAATATTTTTAAGAGTGACATTTATTTTCAACAGATCATCCATTTTCATAGCTTTATAGTTTCATTGTAATTTAATTTCATTGATTCAAGAAGTATTTATTAATATCTGGGAATTTGGCAGAGTACCTTCTGACATATTCAGACAGACACATTCTCTGCCCTAATAAAGCTTCCATTCTTGTGAGAAGAAACTGGCAATGAAAATGAAAGCAAATATATAAGATAAATCCAATGGTATTAATTGCTAATTTTTTAAATGAGACAGTAAAAAAGATAATAAAAGATGGAGTGTGCTCTAGGATGGATAGGGAGAGCTTGATGAAGAGAATGAGCAATGAACTAAGAGCTGAAAGATGAGAAGAGACCTCTTCTGTGAATATTTTGGGATAGCACGAGGTAGGCAGAGGAAACAGCAAGAGAAGGGGCCATGAAGCTGAGTGAATTTGATTCACATAAAGCTAGAGTGAATTTGATTCACATAATAATGAGGTTTAGTGCCTACTCTAAGTGGAACCATTGTTAGAAAATGTTCATAACAACATAATAAAAATTAGACAAGGGACATTCGGGGTGTTTTCTACCATAGGCTACCTCTGCTTGGAAGTTTTACAAAGTTGAAGTTTCTTTGTTAGGAAAGTGGAAGAAGCAGCTCTTTAATGGGAATCTTGTTATCTTCCATTCTTTTGGCATTTTCTTATGGCAAATAAACTACACACTGCAGAGATCTTTGTGATTCTATTAATATTCCAAAATAGCTTGCTTGAGGAGCAGCAAGGTTAGTTGGCTAAAATGTCATTGTCAGGCTTCAAACACATGGATTGGGCAATGTGTACAGGTCAGAAAAAAAAATACGGGCCTCAAGAGAAAAGCAAGAAATATCAATAGAATGTGGCAATGCCATGAGGTTGAATTCTGTAATTTTAGGTTCTGAACTTTGGTCAACATTTGGAGACGGGCATAGAGGTCATAAACTACATGAACTGCTGGAGAGATCAGCTCCCAGAAATCTGTCAGCTGTCCCATTTAATGACCTAGTTGGTAAGGATTGCTTGAGGACTGCAATACAGGTAGCTAGTTTTTTTCCATGGCTATTATAAAAGACCCCATAATGTTTATTAAAACTTATAGTGATGGGTAGGCAATGAGGTAGAAGGCATGCCCCTGGAGAATCACAGCATCCCAGGGGCTGAGTGAACAAGTGAGTGATGTGTGGCAGAGATTAGGAATTCAACTTTTCCTAGCTAATTTAGAATTTGTTCAGTAATAGGTAATAGGTAGTAGAAACTATCTAAACAAATGGGATATGTGAATATATAAGGCTACTATTATAGATGGAAATATAGGTGTAACTAGCTAGATCATGGCCATGTAATCTTGCCACTTCCAATAAAATAAGACAATACAAAATAGAATCTAATTTATTCAAACAGATCTGCATCAATGTTGCTCCTATAAAGTGAGGGAGAGGTATTAGATATTCTTGTCATACATATTGGCTTCAAACAAAACAAAACACAACACAACAAAATGGTACATATCATAGTTAATTGCATTAACCTATCCTCTTCATACTTCAAAGTAAGAGTTATGTAATGAAAATGTTAATGTTTCTCCTAAATATTAGGCTATATATTTGATAGCTATGTATGCTAATAACCCAGTAAAATGTGCATTTAATGTCCTTTAGCAATCTGTCACTCATTGTTTGAGCAATATTGTTTTGGCAATTTCTGAAATTGATTTCACTAACATTTTACTTCCTCTTAGGTTTTGTCTTGAAAAAAAATTAATACATATAAAAATATCAATTTTATGATTTTACTTGGAAAAAATAGTTTAGAAACATTTTCTAAATATATTTTGTCACTGGCAAGTTATTAATCAATGATTTGAGCCCTACTATAGAAAAATTTAAACCTAATAATTAAAAAATAAAGTTAGGCTATTATAAACTTTCAAAAATTCTTTAGAAATGTGAAGTTTCATATTATTCTTGAAAGAAAAATATATTTTAGTTAATTATTTGGGGATTTATAGAATATGAATATAAAAAATACAAATTATATTCTCTGCAAGATTATCCAGGAACTTTTTTGAAATGTAAGACAATCAAATTAAAGCTGGAAATATGAAAGAACATAAGCAGGATTCAAAACATAGTTATTGGATATAGTTCAGAGATTTGTAGAGTATAACTTTAAAAAAAGAATCCAAATTATTTTGAGAAATAAATAGATTTAAGTACTAAATATATGGGATAATATGAATAAAGAAAATCATTATAAATCACTGAGAAAATCTCAAGTATCTGGTAGAAAAAGAAATCTATTTAAAATTAGAAAGCTGAAGAAGTCTTCGTATCAAGATTGAGGTCTTGGTTTTCAGGATTGACAACAATTTCCGGCCACAGTGGGCACTGGATAAATTTCTAGACGTAAACAAAAGATGACAGCTGTAGTAAGCATCCATAATTTATGAAAGATAACACAGGAGATTTTAAATGTGGCTACTTTGTTTTTTAATGGTCATCTTTTAATGTATCATAACTTCCTGTCTGAAGTTGATCATGTCATTAAATTCTCAAATTTCTAGTTAAGGAAAATATTTTTTTAAGAAGTGATGCAATGTTTTGTTTACATAATTTATTAGATCTGTGGTTGCATAGTCTAAGTGCAAAGTGCACTGAAAATATATATTTAAAAATTCATTAACTGAATCTACTACTTATCATCTTCTACTTTATAAAATGCCTTTGAAAAGTAGGCATTTCCAGAATGGAAATGTGAAATTTCAAATACCTAATCAAATTAGTTATTATAATCTACTGTCACAAATGCAAATTAATTGATACTGTTTACTAAAATGTTTTGCTCTTGTTCAGGCATTTTAATTTAACTGTGATATATTTATTATTGAAATGTCCATCCTGGTTAGTTAAAAGGTGCTAAAACTGTAATACTATTCACAATTTTCTTCTGTAGATAGTGATAGGTAAATTTTTTTCAATTTGGTTGAGTTGACAGTCAAAAACAAACAAAAAAGCAAAATATACACAGAATTTATGACATTGATTTGACTCCCATATTTCAAACTCAGAATGTATAAACTTTACAATAACCTTATCTTCAATATTAAAATTTGAAGATTATGATTACAAAGAAATGTATTAAAAGAAACCAGTTAATCTACATTTTTCTGATGAATGTCATTGTTCTCATTAAAACATAATGTATTTAGTGGTAATTGCTACCCACTGACTCTTTTTTAGCTAATTATTTTCTTTTGAAGCCATTATCATCAAATAATTTATACAAAGACTACAGAAGGGAAGCTATGACATTGCCTTGGAAGATTTGCTGCCATACTGTACCTGATTGGAAAGAGTAGGAGTTGAAATAGAGGCTGAGCTATCACCACAAATAAGATCTGAGATAAAATAATAGAAAAATGTACTTGTCCTATTACTTGTGAAGTTCAAGATGACAGATTATTGTAGAATATATGACATGGATAAAACATATTCTCAGGTCAGGTCATGTTATGATGGAAAGAGCTTGATTGATTTTCCTTTCAGTAGGACAACTTTTGAATAAAAAAAAAAAACTGGCCTTAACAGTAACCTCACTTGTAAGTTTAAGAGGGAGGGGAGTTGAAGAGTTTAAGAGGGAATGGTGAAGTTTTACTTTTTGGTTACCTATGAAAAGTGTTCAATAATTTGAGTACTATAATCTAGGATAAATTAAATACATTTATTTATGATAATTAGATTCACTTTTTGAATTATGTAACTTTAAATAAGTAAAAGCATTTGAAAACAGTGCAGCTGTTTATTCAAGTTTATCTGTCCACTTTTATAACACCTTACGAGATAAATGAATAAGCACAAGGTAATGAGCAGAGCCATATGGCTTAAGTGCATTTCCTATATGAACTTCAAGGAAGTTGAAAGACACCTTAGACATTTTTATAGTCCAAATTAATCTTCAAAATTGCTCTTTGAAATATGTCAAAAACAATTTCTTTTCAGAAAAATTATTTACAATATTAAATTGAGAACAGTGGATGCAATATATCAGATTCTGAAATCTCTTTTAAGTTAACAGAAAGTGTGCAAGAAGACATCCTATAGAATATCAACTATGCATCTATAATCTAAACTAAATATTCATATTACCACTCAAGTGATTCTTTTTGGACAGCTATTGCACTGAGCCTACTGGCTTGATGGAGAGTATACATGGTGATGAAAAACATACCTCTTATATTCTTTTGAAACTAAAAACCCCCAAATTACAACTATGAGAGAAAATATTTCCAATCCCTTAACGAATATTTATGGAAAATTGATTGGGTGTTAAACAGTATTTGGTAGTTTGGGGAATGATATGATTCAAATTCATGAAATAAATATGGTAATATCTCACTTTGCAAGAAGTTTCTTCTCCAGTAACTTCATTAAGATTGTAGCTAACCAGAAAATAAAAAGTCAGCACCTTCACTGAACTTCATATACTATAGTCAACACAAATCTAAGCATTTCTATCATTAGACAAAACTACAACATGATTTATTAGACAGATCTTCAATTCATTGCAGATTGCAAACAGCTAACTAGATGGTGCTGTTTAGGAAAAGATTATTGTGTTAGATACTGTTCATTCAACATATTTATTTTATGTAGAATTTATGCATGCATAAGAAAACTTTCTGGAATGTTTTAAAACTGAATGTAAAATGCATTCAGAAGTTCTAAAACTTTCTGGAATGATGGAAGTGTTCTAAATTCTAAATTAGATGGAAGTGTTCTAAATTAGTGGTTCAAAATGGATTAAATACTTAAATGTAAGATCTGAAACTATAAAACTACTAGAAGTAAACATAGGAAAAAAACTTCGTGACACTTTTAAGGGCAATAATTATTTTGGATATGACCCAAAAAGCACAGGCAACAGAAGTGAAAATGGGCAAATGGGATTGCATAAAAATAAAAATCTTCCGTATAGCAAAGTAAACAATTGACAGAGTGGAGAGAAAATTTACAAAACGGGAGAAAATTTTACAAACATACATGTGATAAGGGGTTAATGTCCAAAATATGTAAGGAATTCAACACAATAGCACGAAAGCAAATAACCTAATTTTTAAAAGTGGGCAAATAACCTGAGTAGACATTTTTCAAAAGAAGATATTCAAATGGCCAATATAAAATGAAAATGTATGAAAAATGCTCAGCATCACTAATCATCAGGAAAATGCACATTAAAACAACAATTAGACGTCCTCACACGTGTTAGAATGGCTATTATTACAAAGACCAAAGTTAACAAATATCTCTGGGGGTGTTAAGAAAAGTCAACCCTTGTACACTGTTGGTGGGAATAAAAATTGGTACAGTCATCATGAAAAAAAGTATAAAAGTTCCTCAAAAAATTAAAAATAGAAGTAGATGTGATCCAGCAGTGTCACTACTGAGTACATATTCAAAGAAAATAATATCAGTATGTCAAAGATATATTTAGACTTCCATGTTTATTTCAGCATTCACAACAGTTAAGATATGGAATCAACCTAAGTGTCCATCGATAGATAAATGGATAAAGAAGACGTGGTAAATACAATTGTTATTGGCATACAAAAAAGATTTGTTTCAGGACCCCCTGGAATATCAAAATCTGTGGATGCTCAAGTCTCTTATATAAGAGAGTATGGTCATAGAAATGATAGATACTTGAGGTGACGGACACCCCAGTGCCCTGACTTCAACATTACACTGTCTTTGCATGTCACCAAATATCACAAGTACCCTGTATCACATGTATTAATATTATCTATCAATAAAAATGGTGTAATATTTGCATATTACCTAGGGACATTCTCCTTTAAATTATGTGTATATTATTTATAATACCTAACATAATATAAATACTATGTAAATAGTTGTTATACTTGTTTTAATTTGTATTTTGTATTATTTTATTGTTACTTTTAAATGCTTTTTCCTAATATTTTTGATCTGGGGTTGGTTCAATTGTGGACATGGAACCTGAAGATACAGAAGGTTGACTGTATACACGATGAAATGCTATTCAGCCTTTAAAGTGGGCAAAATTTGTTATTTGTGACAACCTAGAAGATGTTATGTTAAGCAAAATACCCAGGCACAGAAAAACAAATACCTCATGATCTCATTTACATGAGAAATCTGAAAAAAATTGAACTCCCAGAAACAGAGATTAGAATGGTGGTTACCAGGGGCTGGATAAGGTGTTGGTCTAAGGATACAAAGTTTTTGATAGATAAGAGGACTAAGTTCAAGAGATCTATTATATAACATGGTGACAATAGTTAACACGATTTATTGTATTCTTAAAAATCATTAGCACAGTAGAATTTAAGTGTTCTTACCAGAAAAAAATGATAAGTATGTGAGGTTATGAATATATTATTTAGCTCGATTTAGCCATTCCATGATATATGCATATGTCAGACATTTTGTACATGATAAAATGTACAATTTTTTGGCAATTAAAAATAATAATAATTAAAACCAGATGGTAGTGATAGCTACATAATTGTATAAATTTGCTAAATTTCAGCAAACTGTACAGTTATAGTGAAGGAATTTTATGTTATGCAAGCTATATGTAAATAAAATTATAAGAACGGATATTTGGGGAGTGTTGATGGATAGATAATGGTATGGTTAGATGATGATATATGCAGTAAAATGTTGATGGCAGAATCTAGATAAAGGGATAATGAATGGTCCCTATATAGTTTATCATTTTTTGTATGCTTGACAAATTTTATAGTGATTTTTTGGGAAAATAAAGCACAATTAGTAGCATTTATTAGGAATAATAACACCATTTTATGGTTTAAACCAAGTGGAAAATCTACATTAAATAAGTTACTTAAAAAAAAATCAGTGTGACTACTCTGGTTGAGTTTCTAAAATAATGTTTCCTATTAAATATCATGAAATATCAGGACATTTTTGAGAATTGTCTGAACCTGGTCTGTGGCAGGAAATGTTAAGGATGAACCTGGAAGATCTATCCCAAATGACAAGGAACCTATTGAAAACTACTACAGACATATCAAAATATCAAAGGGTTACCAAGTCTAGCCAGTTTGAAGAGGGCCCAGTGGCCACATATAGACCAATTTAAGTTTTCACGTGAATAGGAAATTATAATAGGTTGGAACTCAATAAATATGTTTAAACAAATGACTATATATATGTATATATATATAATTGTGTATATATATAATTGTATATATATAATTGTATATACATGTAGTGTGTGTGTGTATTTATATTTACCTGTCTACACACACTTACCTTTTGAAGATGATAAGAAATCAATACATTCTCTTGAAAACTCAGTAAATAAAGGAAAAATAGCAAGATTTATCTTGTGTTTCCTACATGAACTGTACCACATGGTAAGCAAATAATATTGGGGATAAACATATTCTTTCAAAAGTATTTCTTCTATAGTAAAAACACAGTGTTCAAATAAGAATATCACTGATCAAAAATAAGTCATTGAGCTTAAACATAAACTATTTCCTATTATTTTTCTGTAGCATTCTAAATGCTCAGTTCTGTCTTACTTTGCCTTATTCTCAAATTTAAGATCACTCTAACCAGAACATTAAATTTGATATAGTGCTTAAAAGGCACTACTCCATTTTCTCATATGGTTGACTCCCCTCATTTGGGAAAAAAAAGTTTATATTTATCACACGTGAAAATTTTATTATTTTCTGCTATGTGACTGTGATTATAATGTAGTGGTATATGAACCAAATGTATGAATGATAAGAAAAGTTAAATCAGTATGTATTTTAGATATTGGGGCATGTTTTATATTTTAATTCAAATATTAATATTTTTTATACATTCAAAATAGCATTAAGTATTATGTAGACTTTTAACATAAAAGTTTAAAAATGTTTGAAAGTCACGTTTTATTTGTATTTTTCTAGTGGTTCCGTTAAACTTACTTTTTCTAATATTAAAGACTAAAAGTAGTATCTATTCCTATTGTCATCCATTACTTCTCTTCATCCACATTTATTTTACAATAAATATTTGTTTGTATTTAATAATGTCTTTTTTTATTGTGTTTTGTATTCCTAGGTAGACAAATGTGTGTGTGTGTGTGTGTGTGTGTGTGTGTGTGTATTTCTTGATGAGATACATTTGCTGGTCATTCTCTTTTAAAAGGGTTTGGTAGGAGTTATTGTGGACAATTCTCTAGGACTTTTTTATTTGTAATATTCAGAATATGATTGGGGGGCTGCATATAAGATAAAATACAAATAACAATGGCCTAAATAAGGTTTAAAGAGTTACTTTTCTCTCAAATAACATAAAGTACGGCAACACCAGGGTACCCCGGGAGTTCAGGTCTCTTCTGTATATCCAGTTTGTCAACCTTAAAATATTATTATTCTCCTCCCACTAAAAGGTACCTCACGGTCCCAGATGGTTTCTGGAAATACAACTATTACATTTACATTTAAAGCAAGAATTACCGTAGGGGAGGAAGAGCTAAAAAGAGTGCTTATCAGGTATCTTGTCTTCCCACTAATGAATTTCCCTCAGAGTCCTATCTATTAATCTCACCTTATAGCTCCTGGCCCAGAACACAAAGGTATCTGGGAAAAGTTGTGTTTCAGCTATGTATATTGCCACCCTGAATAAAATTGTAGTTTTGTTTCCAAGAAAAGTAATACAATGAATATTATGTGAGCAACATTATAGGAGTTTTACTTTCTCCTGCTTAGGCAAACTTGCTGGCTAGTCCTATCTGTCATTTGAGTATTCTAAAAAGATGACATGAAATACCCCAAAAAACATGCAAAGGAAAAAGATGTTTGCAGGTTTGTGTTAAGGACGTATCGAGCACATTTGCAAATGCCATGTCTTTGTTCAGGAGTCCTGCCTCTATCTATTTGCTCTTCTCTCCTTAGGAAAATGCTTTTGTTGTCATTGCTGTTGCTGTAATATAGCCTGAGCAAGTATTTTTCCCAGCAAGAAATAATGGGATTAAATCCCAGGAGACTGTGAACAAATCTGGTTCTTAAACCACAACATCTATCCCCTCGGGCTCAAAAATAGGCTGTTAGGGCACTTAGTCCAGTTGTCAGGTTCTTAGGATCTGGTACTTCCCCGCAGAATTCAGCCTTAAACTGTGTGCACTGACTCTATCTGTCTGTCCTTAACATGAGCAAGGCAACTCAGAGACTCACAACTGCCTGGATTTCTTTTCTACCTTCAGGAAGGAGTAATATCTGAGTTTTGGGGGGGGGACCTTATGATAATAAGAGAAAGATTTTGTGAAACCCTGTTAGTGGTTTCTTTTTGTGTCCTAATATTTCTATCTAATATAATGACGGAAAAAATCAAAATATACTTTGGCATAGAGTAGAAATTGGCAAATGTTTTTCTGTAAAGGTCAGATAGTAAATATTTTCAGCTTTGCAGGCTATACAATTCTGCTGCAACAACTCAACTCTGCTATTGTTTTGCTTTCCAAAAGCAGTCATAGACAATTCATAAACAATAAGTGTAGCTCTATTACAATAAAACTTTACTTATGAAAACCGTCAGTGGGCCATATTTGGCCTGCAGGCTGTATTTTGCTGACTACTGGCTTAGAAAATTGGTTTATTCCAATGGAGGAATTTGGTATCTTATCTATAACAAAATCTCAGAGACTAAGCTTACGTCACTATACAAGATGTCATGTCTCATCCCATTAGTTATTTGAAGAGCTGTTCTACCACCTTTACTTCAGAAATTGCAACATATGCCACCAAATATTGTTCAGAATTTATTGGTTTTAAAATGGTAATATGTGTCTAATTGCTTTATTTTACCTTGAATTTTCCCTATTATCAGAAATAGTTTCACTTTTGCTTTGTTTGTGTTTTAAATCACCCACTTATCTCAATTTCGTTCTTTTCAGCAATGTGCATGGATCTGTTACCCCTGTAATATCCTATTGCAACTGCCTCTGTACTTCCTGAACTCTGGCTAGCCAGTTCTGATACTTTTCTACAGAAGGTCTGATTACTGAAAATCATTTTCTTTTGTTTGTGATAATACTTCCATAATTGCAGTTATAAATGAAAGGCCAGAGCAAATCCCTTCTCATCTGGAAACTCACAGATTTTATTATCTTCTGCTCAATTGAACTCAATTTTGCTTCCAGTGCTTTTCACACCCCGGGTCACATAAATGAAGCTCATGGTTCTGTGTCTCATTTTTACTCCTCCTTTTTTGATCCTACTTACCTAACGGAGGTGATATTTTTTAAGGCAATCTTTCCTTCTTAGGAAGCAAGATGCAAAACTGGTGACAGTCATGGTCATACATCCAAAGGACGACCACACCATGACTGGAATGTCAAACCTAGACGGCTCAGTGGCCGGCAAAGCAACGTGGCTTCTCTGCAAGCTGAGAGCATTTTTTTTTTTAATCAAGTGGTATTCCCAAAGTCCTATCACTGATCTGATTGCTTCAGAAAGCAGTGCCCTATATTAAAACCTTAATTGAAAGGAAGTCCAAGAAAGAGTTGTGGAGGTAGACATTTAAAAAATCTTGAAGTTAAACACTTAAGACTTTGGCTGTTTTGTTAAACATCTCTATGACAAATTTTTCATGCTATGGGAAAAATATCAACCTACTCTAAAGAGAACACTGTGGCAAATAAATTATTATGAAAGACTTTTTAAATAAAAAATTAAGTATTTTTATGGAAAAATACACCAACTCCCAAAAGTTAGCCTCCATTATCATTCAAAAATTGCAGATTTCATATTTTCTGATGGTATTTTAAGCCTTTGTTTTAGATCGACAAATCTCTCCACTCAGTTCCCCTTGAAGTTTGTTGTCTCAAAACAGACCAAAAAAGAAAAAAATCAGTGTCTTTGTATTCCAAATTTCTACAGTCCTTCTGCTAGGTCAAATGGTTGGGTCTAAGGAGAAAAGAAACCTTAAAAAAAAAAAAAAGAATGACCATCTAGCCTCTTGTATTCAGCTATTTTATTGGCAATGTATTTTATCCGATTACATTTCCAATTATAGCCTTCAAAAGTTTTCCTTACACTGCTTATAAACTGCTATAAATAAAGAAAAGAAAGAAATATCCAAAATAGCCAACAGGTACTTTTAAGGTCATATTATCTTATCAATTTTGTAGTAAATACATATCAGTTTTCTCTCTCACTCTCTCATATATATAATATATATATACACCAATTTTGTAGTGTGTATATATATAATGTTATATATGTAGTGTGTAATATATACACACTACAAAATTGGTATATATTATATATATGATATATAATACATACACTACAAATTTATGTATATAAATATATGTGTTATATATATTATATATACACTATAAAATTGGTACATATATTTTATATATATATATATATAGGTGTGCATATATATATTTATATAAAATCCCTTTCATCAGTTAAGGTTCTAATACAGGGCACTGCTTTATGAAGCAATCAGATCAGAGATAGAATTTTGGGTAGTACTTCTTGATGATAAAAATTATGGCTGTATATTAAATAAAGAGAAAATGAAATTATAAATAATTTTCTGAAAACATTTTATCTTCTGAACTACTGTAATATTTTACAACAACACTCCCCCTTATAAGCAAATTTTTCTGTTTACTGATTCCAGAGCATTACTTCATTCATTTAGTAGTGTGGGTTTTTATTTTGTTTTGTTTTTATTGAGCACCTTTTATGTATGTATTAGAAACTAGGCAAGTCATGGGGAGGGAAAAAAGAATGAGACATACTCTATGCCTTGAAACTCACTGCAAAGTCAAACACATGGACAAACATCCATGAATAAAGGAGACACATAATTTAAAATTAAATAAAGTCTGCACATTAAGAGTACATTTAAGGGGCTAATTAACCATGTTCATTCAATAATAGGGAAATTAGGCAAAGCTCCCTGTTCAGCCCTCAGAAATTTTACAGGTAGAACTGGTGACAAAGGACAGTATTAGCCCTCCATATTGGAAGTGTAGGCTTTCACTCAAAAAAGAGATTTGATCCAATGTACTTAGAACAGCAATATGCTCTGGGATGGAAAGCTTAAGTAATCATGTTGGTAAAGTCAACAATACTAGACCTCACACTATGGGTAAATCTGAAGACTTAATATTTAAGATATAGATATTTCCTATTTGGTACATAAGGAAAATAAAATAGTAGAACAACGGAGTTCTGACACTGATGACATTTGCCATTGAGATTGTGTGTGCGATTCAAACTGAATTATCCAGTTCATGTTTTCCTGATGATTAGATATAGAATCAAGAAGTTCATTTGGATGTAAAAGAATTTTAAAATTGGAGAAACATTCAGTGAGCTGATTTAGAGCTACTTCCCCTTCCCTTTGTAACATATCTTCCTTAACACAGTCTTCCTTAAGAGTATTTTTATCCTTCTGATAGTTTGCTGAGAATGATGGTTTCCAGCTTCATCCATGTCCCTGCAAAGGACATGAACTCATCATTTTTTATGGCTTCATAGTATTCCATGGTGTATATGTGCCACATTTTCTTAATCCAGTCTATCATTGTTGGACTTTTGGGTTGGTTCCAAGTCTTTAATATTGTGAGTAGTGCTTCAATAAACATACATGTGCATGTGTCTTTATAGAAGCATGATTTATAATCCTTTGGGTATATACCCAATAATGGGATGGCTGGGTCAAATGGTATTTCTAGTCATGTACCCTAAAACTTAAAGTATAATAATAATTTTTTAAAAGAGTATTTTTAAGGAAGTGGTCATTTCCTTTGAAATATGTGCTACTGAATATCTTCTACAGATCTCTTACTTCTCCAGAATTAGCTGATAAAAGTGTTTACTGGGTGCTGAGACTGCCCTGTCACTGGACATGCTATTGAGTGCTTTTTCTGTCCCTACATTCTTCAGACACTCTTGAAATAAGAAAGCCTAGTCTTTTAAGTGGCAAGGATTTCTTCTTATTGAGATCCAAGATTATCACAGATTTACCTATGAGTGAAAGCTTGCCATAATTGCAATATGAACACCGTCACTAAAATGTAAACTCTGGACATCAGAGACCATGTTTGTTTTTCTCACCACTGTATTCTTAGTGCCCTGAACAGTGCCCAACTCATAGCAAGTACTCAGTTGATAATTGTTTACTATTGAACAACTGAAGATCAAATATCCCCATAACTGAATAAGTCTAGAAGCCATATTCTTTTAAACTCCTCCACAACTGGGATCAGTTAAGTTGCAGCCAATGTGAGTTTGATTCTCACATATGTTTGGTGCTCATGAACAAATATCTATGAAACACAGAATGGAGTACCAAATGAGAAACAACATACAATAATTTTTGTTTTGTGTGGCTGAAATTTTAGTATAGAAGACAAACTATGAAGATAAAGGTAAAAACAGGCAGATCAAGAAAATGATGAGTGGTGTTCTATAGAGATTGTTTAGGAAAGGATCCTAGACAATATTTCACCTAAACAGAGACTTGCATTAAGTAAAGTAATTTGTGATAACATTGGGAAAGATCACATTAAGCAGAGGGAAGAGATTGAGCAAAGCATTGAGGCAGGAATAAGCTTAGTGAGTCCATGGAACAGCGCATAGATAGGCTAGTATGGTTGGAATGGAGAGAGCCAAAAGGAAAGTGAAAAGAAATGACTTCAAAAAAGAAGTCAGAGGTGAGATTATGCAACACCTTTTTGGTGATAATGAAGAATGGATTTTATTTTGACATTAGACAATTTTGAATATGGAAGTGATGCAGTATCTTTTTTATAGGTAAGAACCTAGTAGCTGTATGGAGACAAATAATAGCAGTAGGTGATGAATGTGAGCAAGATATTTGGGGTACATTTGTAGATACTAAGGTGAACCGTACAGCTGGATTCAAGGCTAAGACAAAGTGAGGCTTCATGAACCAAGCCTTAGAATGGAATATGATTTGGAATTTAGCAGGTGATTTCATTCACTTCAGGCACCTACAGGTTTGGTACTGAAAAAGTCACAGCTATCTGTAGGTTTGTGTTTTTAATAATCTGAACTTGAATTTTTTTGTGTGTATTGCAATAACTTCTCTACCATAGCCAACGGCTACTCGAGAGATTCTTATGGTGAATCTTCTGGGACTTCAGTAGTTGAAAATGAAAGGGAACGTTGCTCTCCCACAGCTGAGAATGAGTGCTGCTGTCAGGATACAGGCATATGAATCATCCACCTGATAACTCTGTGACTACTCTGAACTTTTAATTACGTTTTGCACCAGTCTATGATTGGAAACACCAGTGCAACATGAGCTGCCTAGGTAAAGATTAATAAGCTGCCTGGAGAGTTGATCCTCAGGGATATCCTGAATCTTGTTTTCCTGACTCAATCCTTACAGACCTCTGCCACAATGCAATTAAAGTCATTAAAAAAAATACCAACAAAAAATAAAGGGGCACACTGCAAATGCAGATTTTCAACAAAAAGCGGCATGAGTGTCAAGTGTTCTGTCTTCTTTCCCAGCTCTGTAATGATTAGTGACGTCATGTGTAGAAAATATCTGCAGCGTGCAAAATTTCTGAAGCTGTTGCTAAATCAAAAGTGAATGCAAACAATGTGTGGTTTGCAAAGCTCAGAAGTATGACTATTTGAATTGACATGACAGGATCCACTTTTAAATTGTGATAGCCCAGCCCTGTTAAATTACTAAATAAATTATTCAAGTATATAATATTTAGAAAAATTACCTTAAAGTTAGAATTACAGCATTCAGTCATTCAATTCTATAACCTTCTTTGTATGCAGCCCTTTCCTAATTAATACATGGAATATTTATCTGTTGATTTTGGATATTGTGGTATTTCTTTGTTACACGTCACAATTGATCTCAGGAGAGATATAGCTCTGCATCAATCCTACTAACATTCAAAGTTATTCTTATACAATGTATTTAATTTGACAAAATATTTCCAAATAATTCCCAATCTTATCAGTTCCTGCCACCAGAAGAGAGAGAGACCTGAGACTACTTAGAAAGATGATCTCTAAGGCAAGTTGTATATGAAAGACACATATGAATGATATGGAAGAAGACTTGGATGAATAAGACTACATATTAAAAATATATAGTTATGAGTATGTAATTTCACAAAATAATGTGAAGTGGCGGTTCATGAGGTCAGGAGATCGAGACCATCCTGGCTAACACGATGAAACCCCGTCTCTACTAAAAATACAAAAAATTAGCCGGGCGTGGTAGCGGGTGCCTGTAGTCCCAGCTACTCAGGAGGCTGAGGCAGGAGAATGGCGTGAACCTAGGAGGCAGAGCTTGCAGTGAGCTGAGATTGGGCCACTGCACTCCAGCCTGGGTGACAGAGCAAGACTCTGTCTCACAAAAAAAAAAAAAAAAGTTTCAATGTGATATTTTATTAAAATTGATAAGGTATTCCAATTGTTCATATATAAGAATAAAGAAACAAGAAGGGTCTCTCAAAATGTTGGGAAATAAGAATAATTAGTGGGGCTATTACCCTTCCAAGAATTACATATATTTTTAAACCTCTTATAATTACAAAATGTAATCAACAAACTTTGCCACAGAACAGATAGCAGAAAACAAATAATCCTAGCTCTGTAAGAAGTTGAAATAGGATTTGTATCCCAAATTAGTGAAGAAGCAGCTAAACAAAGATTAACTCATTGCAAAAATATAATCAAAACTTTACCCTTATAACTTAAAATATGAATTCCAGATGTAATGATTGAGTTAAATGTTTAAAAATAAACTTATTAAAAATTAAAAGTATATGTGAATATATGTCTTGAGGATAAGAAAATACATTGTAAGCACAATTTCCATGAATTAAATTCATTACTAATTATCCCATAAATTTAATGCAATTTGATCAATTGCTCAGAAGAATTTTTCTTGAGAAATTTAGCAGACTGATTAAAAACGTGGAAAAAACAATCTGTTAAGATCTAAGGCAGTTTTGCAAATGAAGAGGTAAAGTTTGGGAATGCTTGCCCTTCTAGACATTATAAAGCAGAATTGATTAAAACTGTGTTGTATTAATACATGCGCTTACAAATGGAGCTGTCCAACAAAGTCGTAAGCCTATAAAAGTATAGAATAGCATCGCTAATCGGTGCAGTGTGAATTGACTATATGCCTGATGGTGTAAGGAAAGTTAGATTATGATCTGAAGAAAGATAAAAGTTGGGTTTCTACATCACGCAATAGATAGAAATAAAACCTTTAAATGTATTAAAATTGTAAATATAAATGGAATAATACTAGAAAAAAACTAAATGAAAGAAAATATATTTGTGACCTTGGGGTAGGGAAGAAGTTTTTAAGACCCCAAAAGCATAAGCTACAATGAGGAAGTTTGGTGGATTTCACTGCATCAAAGTCAAAGGTATTTGTTCCATGGATGACACTACACACAACATGAATAAAATGGTGACACATAAGAAGATGTGTTTGTAATATCAAAAAAAAGACAAGAAATAATTATCACCTAGAATATATAGGAGTTTTTGTAAATCAGCAAGAAAAATAGGAAGCTCAGAGGAAACATGGGATTAAGGGTAAAAACACACATTTCACAGAATAGAAACTCATTCAGTTAAGAAGAGTAGAAAAAAATACAACTAACTTTACCAGTAATTAGATTTACACAAATCAAATAGCAATAAAAAACCACTTGGTACCCACATTATGGCAAAAACTGGAAAGTTGCATGATATGAATTCCTGCTAAGGGTGTGGGGGAGAAAGAGAATATATTGTACTTGGGAAGCAATTCTCAAAAGTAATCTGAAGCACAAAGTAAAATTACATATTTATATACTACATGGCTTTGGATAATACACCTGATATCTCTATAATTGACTCATGGGTAATATAACCTACAAAAATTCCTGCATAAGTTCGTGAGAAAATGTACAATTATGTTTATCACAATGTGTTTTGTTAATGGTAACAAAGTATTGGAAACAACTATCAACCAACCACAAAGAGTATAGATAAGAAAAGAGTGACTGCCTTGCTAGGGCTACTTACTAGGGTTTTCTCCAGAAGCAGATTTTAAGACAAGCACTGAGGATACCAAAAGGGTGTCAGCACAGTTTTAATCAATTCTGCTTTATAATGTCTAGAAGGGCAAGTATTCCCAGACTTCCTCAGGGAAGTGGGAAGTTAAAACAGCAAGGGAAAGTAGCCAATAAGTGCTTCGTTCTTAAGCCAGCTACTACAGTGGGCAACTGAAACTTAATCCGCAGGCAGGCTGTGGAAAATTGTGAAAAACACACATCTCAGAACAATCTCAGCCAACGGAGGAGCAAAGGTATTTATACACTCTCACCAAGTAGCAATTGTGAAGAGCTGCCCAGTGGATGTGAATTTCCAAGCACTCTGGAATGCTATGCATTTCAGCAAAGTGAATTCCTGCAGGTCAACGGCAAACCACTGACAGACCTCAAGTACTAGTCATTGGAAATCAATCTGATAAACACAGAAATAGCAAGGAAGTCTGAGGGGATGGGCAGAACACCAACAACATCTGCTACTGTGATTAAAACATGCGATTTAGTGCTACACGGCCATTACCTATTTTCACATGGCATCATAAGTAGATTTCAAAATCAAGATAGAATCAAAATTAATAAAAATAATATTTTAAATAAAACATATATGTGAAATAAAACACTGTATGTTTTAAGCTATGCATACCAAATACATATTAAGGAAGAAAAAGGAGAACATTTTATAGCTTGATAAACACAACATGTAATAAACTTAGGGTTGTAGTCAACATACGTGTAGTGATCTAAAAAAAAAATTCTATATATATCAAAGAAAATAAAAATATAAATGAGAAAGTAGAGAAATACCACAAATGTAAAAGGATTTAATATAATTAACATTAAAAAAGGTTAAATTAAAAAATAGAATAATTTAATTTTAAAAAGGGACAAAGATATAAACAATTTGTAACATATGAAATCATAAATAGATTTATAAAACATAGTGATCATGAAAATTGTGCAGCTCATTAATAAAGTAAAACAGCCCCCACAAAAAAGCAATGAGATTTTCTTTATTTTGCTTCTCAAATTAGCGAACGTTTTAGTAGTAAATACTCATAATACAAATTTTCTAGAAAAAAATAGACAATATTTATCAAGAATCTTAAAAATATATTGACACTTCTACTCAATAGGTCAGAGTTTAATCCAACGATAAAATCAAGACAAAGAAAAATAAACTTGTAAAATGATGTTAATCACACTGTTAATTTTAACAGAAAAAAAAGGAAACAATAAATTCCTTGAAAATCAAATCATAAGGGGATGACGACATAAACTTTGTTGCATAAAAATGTTGTTGCTTCTTCATTATCTATGGTATAGAACAGAATTGGTCAAAGACCCTCTTCTACCCCACCCTGGTCTAGCCCTCTTCGACCTGGATGATTTTGTCTATCATTCATTGAATAGCTATTTATCAATTTTCCAATAAATACCAGATCCTACATTAATTGTGGTGATAAATAAATAAAAGAGATATATTCACTATTCTCAGAAAACTTAAATTGCTGTGTGTTTGTGAGAGGAGAGAGCTTAAAAAATACCTTGACGTGATAATTTTATATAGTTGTTAGTACCATGAGGAAAATAAAGGATAATGTGACAAAGGAACAGCATGGAGGTGAGGGTGGGCTACTGTTTAAACTGGGGCTCATGGACAGCATCCCTAAGATAACTTTGAGTTGAGGACCCAATGATGAGAAATTATTTTTCTTTACATTCATTCAAAGAAGCTTATGATCAAATTAATATTTATGTATCCAGCAAAAAGATAATTTTCCCACTATAGTTTCAGAATGTTCTATTTCATATTTAAATGTGATGTGATGTGAATTTGTCACATTAAACAATGAAAATATAGCATTCTTCAGAAAGCTATTTGAGAACAACTTTTCTGTCTTCTAAAAATAATCCACTGAGTTTGGGGTCTGAGCGAAAGAGTCAAATTCTTAACTCTGTCAATTATTACTTATGTGACCCTGTGAAAATTTTTAAACCCTCTGTCTCTGTTTCCTTATTTGTGAAATGGGGATATAAAATAATTCCTATTGGTGGTCAGCAGAACAGTGTTTCCCAAAGATGTCTATGTCCTAATCTGTGGAACCTGAGAGTATGTTATTTTATATGGCAAGGAGGAATTAAGATTGTAGATGGAATTAAGGTTGATAATTAATCAACCTTAAAATAGGAAGATTATCCTAGATTGTTCAGATAAGCTCAATGCTCACAGGATCTTTAAAAGTGGAAGCGCCTGGTGCAATGTTTTATGACGGTAATTGCAGCACTTTGGGAGGCTGAGGTGGGGAGATTGCTTGGACCCAAGAGATCAAGACCAGCCTGGGCAACACAGAAAGACTCCATTTCTGCTAGCCAGGCATGGCGGCACATGCCTGTAGTCCCAGCTACCATGGCGGCTGAGGGGAGAGGGTCGCTTGAGCCTGGGAAGTCAAGGCTGTAGTGATCTTTAATAGCACTACTACCCTCCAGCCTGGATGACAGTCCTAGACCCTGTCTCTAACAGGGACAGGGTCTGGCTCTGTCAAAAGAGAGAGAAAAAGATGTGACAATGGCAGCAAGATTGAAGTGAAGCAATATGATGATTCACCACACCATTCCTAGCTTTGAAAATGAAAGTGGGCCAGGACCCAAGGAACGCAAGCAGACTCTAGAAACTAGAAAAGGTAAAGGGATGGGTTACCATAGAGGGACTTCAAAAGAGAACCAGCCTAGCTGACTGAAATAGGTTGGATTCGTGTCCCTGCCCAAATCTCATGTTGAATTGTAATCCCTAGTGTTGGAGGTAGGGCCTAGTAGGAGGTAATTAGATCATAAGAGAGGATTTCTCATGTATGGTTTAGTACCATCCCCTTGGTGCTGTTCTCATGATAGCGAGTGGATTCTCATGAGATCTAGTTGTTTAAAAGTGTGTAGCACTTCCTGCCACACTCTCTCCTGCTCTTGTATTTGCCATGTGAAGTGTCTGCTTCCCCTTTGCCTTCTGCCCTTAGTGGAAGCTCCCTGAGGTCTTCCCAGAAGCAAATGCTACCATATTTCCTGATATGGTTTGGCTCTGTGTCCCTACTCAAATCTGAAACTGAATTACAATTCTCAGTGTTGAAGGAGGAGCCTGGTGGAATGTGATTGAAACACAGGGGGACAGACTTGCTCCTTGCTTTTCTCATGATAGAGTTTTCAAGAGATCCGGTTGTTTAAAGTGTGCAGCACCTCCTCCTCTCTCTCCCCCTCTCTCCTGCCATGATGTGAAGACATGCTTGCTTCCCCTTCAGCCTTCGGCCATGATTATAAGTTTCCTGAGGCCTCCCAGCCATGCTTCCTGTACAGACCATGGAACTGTGA
Source organism: Homo sapiens (assembly GCF_000001405.40). NCBI lineage: Eukaryota > Metazoa > Chordata > Mammalia > Primates > Hominidae > Homo > Homo sapiens. The sequence continues at coordinate 77,037,348 of NC_000006.12, forward strand.
GTCATTTAAACCTCTTTTCTTCATAAACTATCCAGTGATATGGTTTGGCTCTGTGACCCCACCCAAATCTCATGTTGAATTGTAATTCCCAGTGTTGGGGGAGGGACCTGGTGGGAGGTGATTGGATCATGCAGATATCCCCCTTGCTGTTCTCATGATAGTGAGTGAGTTCTCATGAGATATGGTTGTTTAAAAGTGAGTAGCACTACCTCCTTCACTCTCGCTCATTCCCACTATGTCATATGAAGAAGGTCCTTACTTCACCTTCACCCTTCTGCCATGATGGTAAATGTCCTGAGGCTTGCCCAGTCATGCTTCCTGTTAAGCCTGCAGAAATGTGAGTCAATTAAGCCTCTTTTCTTCATAGCTTACCCAGTCTCAGGTAGTTCTTTGTAGCAGTTTGAGAATGGACTAATACAAAAAATTGGTACCAGAGAGGTAAGACATTACTATAAAGATACTGAAAATGTGGAAGTGACTTTGGAACTGGGTAACAGGCAGAGTTTGGAACAGCTTGAAGGCTCAAAAGAAGACAGGAAGATGTGGGAAAATTTGGAACTCCTAGAGACTTGTTGAATGGTTTTATATACTGAATGTACAAAAATACTGATAGTGATATGGACAGTGAAGTCCAGGCTGAGGTGGTCTCAGATGGAGATGAGAAACTTATTGGGAACTAGAGTAAATGTCACGCTTTCTATACTTTAACAAAGAGACTGGAAGCATTGTGCCCCTGCTCTAGGCATCTGTAGAACTTTGAACTTGAGATTGATGATTTAGGGTATCTGGTGGAAGAAGTTTCTAAGCAGCAAAGCATTCAAGATGTGGCCTGGCTGCTTCTAAAAGCCTATTCTCATTTGCAAAAGCAAATAAATGACCTGAAACTAGAATTTATATTTAAAAGGGAAGCAGAGCATAAAAGTTTGGAAAATTTTCAGCCTGACCATGTGGTAGAAAAGAAAAACACATTTTTTTGAGGAGGAATTCAGGGCTGCAGAACTTTGCATAAGTAAAGAAGAGTCAAATATTAATAGCCAGGATGATGGGAAAATGCCTCCAGTACATTTCAGAGACCTTTGTGGCAGCTTCTCCCATCACAGGCCTGGAGACCTAAGAGGAAAAAAGTGGTTTCATGGGCCAGGCCCAGGGCCCCACTGCTCTGTGCAGCATCAGGACATGGTGCCCCGAATCTCAGCCACTCCATTTCCAGCCATGATTAAAAGTCCACAGATACATCTCAGTCCACTGCTCCAGAGGATGCAAGCTATAAGAAGCCCTGGAAGCTTCCATGTGGTGTTGGGCCTGCAGGTATACAGAGGGCTAGAGTTAAAGCTTGAGAGCCTCCACCTAGATTTCAGAAGACATGTAGAAATGCCTGGATGTCCAGGCAGAAGTCTGATGTGGGGACAGAGCTCTCATGGAGAACTTCCAGAGCAGTCTGGATGGGAAATAGGAGGTTGGAGCCCCTACATGGAGTCCCCACTGGGGCACTGCCTAGTGGAGCTATGAGAAGAGGCCACCATCCTGCAGACCCCAGAATGGTAGAGAGCTTGCACCAGGCACCTAGAAAAGCCACAGGCACTCAATGCCGCTCAGAAAGCAGGACTGTGACACGGCCTTTCCTCTCTCGGATTTGGATGCTTCAGCTTGAGTTTGTAGGATTTTGTAAGGGTGAGTCACAGTATTTCACTGGATACAGAGAAATCTGACACTCCACAGATTCTAGAATAGGCCAAATTCCATGAATTATGTGAGATATTGAAATACTCTTTTCAAATACCTTGTTTCTTTATACTTAAGGTTATAAGGCCAATCAGAACTTGGAGGAATGGGCTATTCATTCTTTCACAGCTTTCTTATGGTAACACACTGCCTTCAAATGAGATTCAGGAAAATGGAACATGTAGCCTTAAATCTGGCTTCACACCATTTCCCATGTGTCACCTCAAGGCTTGATCCTGATTGACACCATGTAGCATGCCACTGGGCTGTCTGCTTTGGAGTCAGCATAAGAGAGGAAGGGCTGTGGCACAGTCCTGCTTTCTGAGCCGTATTCATGTGGGTTTATATGTTTTAGTTATAGCTAAATGTTTTCCCAGTATGTGAGATTGCTCTTCCTGGGTGTCCTCATCAGTTTATAATAAAGATGTATAGTGTAACTTCCCTGAGTTCAGAGTGCCCAAGAATAAATGCTGGCTCCATCGTTTATTAGATGAGCAACTTCAGGCAAGTTACCTCATCTCTGTTTCTCTATTTGTAAAACTGCTTTACAGGATTCTTGTGAGGACAATATTAGTCGTCATATAGTGCTAGGCTAAAGGTCTGCAATATGTAATTAGCCTGCCATAAATGTTAACTTCTATTATTACCTATTTAGGTGACTTGTGAGTGATAACATTTAAATATGAATGTATGATGCTTTCATGGGTTTGAGAGACAAAGTATGTAACCTCACCATAGGTGAAGGAACCAGAAACATGGAATATCAGCAGCACAAAGCCTAAATCTACAAATGTATGAGTACTTTAGATAGGAGAGACTACGTTGACATTCTACACCAGATTTCGTACAATTTTAGGGTGAAAAAATGTAAAGTCCAAGAATTTCATTTGACATCTACTATATAAAGAACATTACAATATTTACTTACAAAAGACAATGACAGAAATTAAAATTATAGCCTCCAGGGGATTCTTATTGAGTTATAGACTTAAACCTCAAAAGGAAGTATGCCATTGTTTATTGTAATTTTCTTCCTTTAACTTCTTCAGTCTTCACCTTCATTATCACCCTTACATAGGGTTTCTTAGAGTCCCAAGCTAGAGAGATCTTGACTGACCTGCGCTGGCACAGTGTATCTAATGCTATTCTTCTCCTCTAAGCTCAATTCCACTTGTGAACTCAGTTGTATTTGAGACCTCAAATCAGGAGCATGTTTTGTTTAAATTTTGTTGACAAACACCAGCATCGTAAAGATCTTGAGTCCTAAAACCTGGCATTTATGGGACTGTATTAGGGGGTGAGAATCTAGGGAAGAGTGGCGTGGTCCCTCTACTGCAGGAACTCATTCACCTCTAATAAGAAGCAAGCACCAAACACGTGGCATCATTACAGCATAGGCAGTGCTGGACAGAATGAGGGAAAATGTCCTGGGGACTCAGAGAAGAAGCAATTAACTTTTTCTAGAAGGTAGTGGAGGAAGTCCTGGGAGGCTGCAGCAAGAGCAAACATCTCTCCCATGTCAAGGACACATGAAGGTCCACAAAAGAAAAGGTTTAACAGACTGCATAGAAGATTACATTTTCATCAGATTCACAGCCTGCATCCCTGATTCCCTTTCTATGGCCCCAAATTTGGCAAAACCTGAATTAGTCAGAGGGGGTTAGCTCCCCATGAGTGTCTGTTCCAAGAACATTAACAAGTCCTTTCTCAATGAATACAGCCTGTGACTCAGTTCAGACTCAGTTCATGAACTCCACTGACAAAATCGCTTAGGCTATTTACTAAGATATTTCTTTGAACTAAATCTCTTAAACTGCAAATGCGTTTATTCAAGGATATTTTCCTATAAATGCTAGTGCTTGTGCACGTTGACTCTGGAGTTATTTTTTTGTGGCCTAGGGCATTTGGGCAAGTTGTTTAACTTGTTTCTGTCTGAGTACTTCATCTGTAAAATATAGAAAAGATAGAATGTGTCAGTCAGGGTTGATTAAGGATTAAAGGTGTCATACACTGAAAGTAGAGTGCCTGGTACCCAGTGACTGCTCTATAGCTGTTCTATCATAATTCACACAACTTTATGCCATTGAATTTATTCTTTGAAGACAGAGAAAAGGAGAAGGAAGAGTAATCTCATTTCATAATATTGCCTAAGGCCAGCCTGGAAAGAATGTTTTTTTTTTTCTTCCCTGAAAGATGATAATAATTATGACAACAATTGTCACAGTTATTTTAAAATTTTTGCTGCTCTATTGTATATTTAATCAAAATGGGAAATGTTTTGTCACATAATAATTGATCATGAGTCTGATGACAAGTGGTTCTGGGCATCTATCAAATGAACATTAATACATAATACATTTTTTAAGTCACCAGATAAAGGTCTTTATATTACAATTTCTACATTTTCAGATTTGTTTATCTTTGTGTTCTCTCAGGGAATTTGCACCATTTGTTTATCATTTTGTGTCAAAATATCCGTACTGGCATTCTAGGCCTTGTGGGGATAAGAGACATACAAGGAAGGGCCCTGGCTCCAGAGCTTCCAGCCACTGCTCTGTCTTTGCCATATGGGTCTAGTACTACTCGCTACTACTCTCTAGGGTTTCCATGTAGAATGCTTCAATATTTCAATCTAATGGCAGACCTTTCTTCCAACCTAAACAATTTCCAGACATACAGTCTTAGCCAGCCAAATGTCATCTTTTCTGAATAGGTCAGTGTGCAGCTGCAAAGATCTCGAGAGCTATTGCATCCTGGAGTGGCATGACATTTTGTGGATCAATGCAGTTAAATAGAATTCTCAGCTGATGATCAGAAACTCAGTTATTGACCAATCCTGGCTTTACACAAATATTAGCAATTTACACTAAAAAGGCTAATATTACTACTGAGGATTTAGTGTATCTGAGTTGATTCTCAGCACTGTGGCAATTTTGGAAAATAATTCATGGAGAGATACACTTACAAATATAATAAACATAACTTTTAATCATCTTTGTAAATATAAAAGCATATTATAATATATATGTATTATTATAATTAGAGTAGTGTAAACCTAACAAGAAATTATCTTGAGAGGTCAATGCTTTCTCTTTCATTTGCAATTCTATGCTTATTTCCTTGCTTAATATACTTTTCTTTTTGGATTTTCCTTTTGGTAAATACTTTTTATATCTATTTTCTAGCTGTATTTATAACAATTTTACTGTTATAGCTCAGCAAAAAGTTAAATTACATTGTTCGCCCATATTCTTTTACTTAGCCATTCATTTGTTCTCTTATTCAACAAACCTTGGTGCAGTCTTCTACATGTCATGCCCTAATTTAGCACTAGAATTATAAAAATCAAGATAGAGATTTTTTTTCCTTAGTGGGATGGGCTAATGAGAGTGCTGAAAGGGTGTATTTCTAAAATAAATCCCACTCAAAAGGATTTTGTGCTACAACACAGAATATTCAGAAACATTTATCTCTAAAACTAAATCTAATTCTGTAAGTATAATCCCAGGAAGAAGTTCCAGTTAGGAATATACAAACATTATAGCCCTCCAGGGTGATAATTTTGAAATTAGTAGGTAAATGCTGGAATTTTTGCCCCAAAGAAATACTACTTCTTTATACCTGCACTTCACTTTCATACATGCATTATTTCTCCTGAGGTTCATAACTTGAAAGCCCAACATATATTTACACAATTTTGAGGAACAGAGCTGGTAAGTCACATTTCCATTTATGTGGTGGCACAAGTTAAAGAACTCACTGCAAAAAGGATAATAAAGGTAATGATGAAACCACAAACACAGCCTCAATATACACCTACAAAATATGCCTGATTCTTACAACAGAAGCTGCAAGTACTCATGCATGAAATTCTGCTTAAATTCTTCAGAGAGTCAGAGATCACAAGTTAACAATTATTCTTATTATTGAAGTATCGAGCTATCTGTACAAACCAACCAGATCCTCATAAATTTGCTATGTGATGTCACAGATAGATAATATTCTATCAGCTTTATTATTTCAAAAAATGGAAACTAAGATTAATATTTACTAAAAACTAATGTTGCTTCAGACATGTAAGTAAAGACCAACACCATTAGGTTAGAATAATTGCTAATCTTTTTGGAAGAATTTAAACTAAACATTCCAAATAAGATATTCTATCACTTACAAAAAAACTCTGAATCCTTTCCCCATTGCTTGTTTTTCTCAGGTTTGTCAAAGATCAGATAGTTGTAGGTATGCGGCGTTATTTCTGAGAGCTCTGTTCTGTTCCATTGATCTATATCTCTGTTTTGGTACCAGTACCATGCTGTTTTGGTTACTGTAGCCTTGTAGTATAGTTTGAAGTCAGGTAGTGTGATGCCTCCAGCTTTGTTCTTTTGGCTTAGGATTGACTTGGCGATGCGGGCTCTTTTTTGGTTCCATATGAACTTTAAAGTAGTTTTTTCCAATTCTGTGAAGAAAGTCATTGGTAGCTTGATGGGGATGGCATTGAATCTGTAAATTACCTTGGGCAGTATGGCCATTTTCACAATATTGATTCTTCCTACCCATGAGCATGGAATGTTCTTCCATTTGTTTGTATCCTCTTTTATTTTCTTGAGCAGTGGTTTGTAGTTCTCCTTGAAGAGGTCCTTCACATCCCTTGTAAGTTGGATTCCTAGGTATTTTATTCTCTTTGAAGCAATTGTGAATGGGAGTTCACTCATGATTTGGCTCTCTGTTTGTCTGTTGTTGGTGTATAAGAATGCTTGTGATTTTTTTACATTGATTTTGTATCCTGAGACTTTGTTATTTAATAAATGGTGCTGGGAAAACTGGCTAGCCATATGGAGAAAGCTGAAACTGGATCCCTTCCTTACACCTTATACAAAAATCAATTCAAGATGGATTAAAGATTTAAACGTTAGACCTAAAACCATAAAAACCCTAGAAGAAAACCTAGGCATTACCATTCAGGACATAGGCGTGGGCAAGGACTTCATGTCCAAAACACCAAAAGCAATGGCAACAAAAGACAAAATTGACAAATGGGATCTAATTAAACTAAAGAGCTTCTGCACAGCAAAAGAAACTACCATCAGAGTGAACAGGCAACCTACAACATGGGAGAAAATTTTCGCAACCTACTCATCTGACAAAGGGCTAATATCCAGAATCTACAATGAACTCAAACAAATTTACAAGAAAAAAACAAACAACCCCATCAAAAAGTGGGCGAAGGACATGAACAGACACTTCTCAAAAGAAGACATTTATGCAGCCAAAAAATACATGAAAAAATGCTCATCATCACTGGCCATCAGAGAAATGCAAATCAAAACCACTATGAGATATCATCTCACACCAGTTAGAATGGCAATCATTAAAAAGTCAGGAAACAACAGGTGCTGGAGAGGATGTGGAGAAATAGGAACACTCTTACACTGTTGGTGGGACTGTAAACTAGTTCAACCATTGTGGAAGTCAGTGTGGCGATTCCTCAGGGATCTAGAACTAGAAATACCATTTGACCGAGCCATCCCATTACTGGGTATATACCCAAATGACTATAAATCATGCTGCTATAAAGACACATGCACACGTATGTTTATTGCAGCATTATTCACAATAGCAAAGACTTGGAACCAACCCAAATGTCCAACAATGATAGACTGGATTAAGAAAATGTGGCACATATACACCATGGAATACTATGCAGCCATAAAAAATGATGAGTTCATGTCCTTTGTAGGGACATGGATGAAATTGGAAACCATCATTCTCAGTAAACTATCGCAAGAACAAAAAACCAAACACCGCATATTCTCACTCATAGGTGGGAATTGAACAATGAGATCACATGGACACAGGAAGGGGAATATCACATTCTGGGGACTGTGGTGGGGTGGGGGGAGGAGGGAGGGATAGCATTGGGAGATATACCTAATGCTAGATGACGAGTTAGTGGGTGCAGCGCACCAGCATGGCACATGTATACATATGTAACTAACCTGCACAATGTGCACATGTACCCTAAAACTTAAAGTATAATAAAAAAAAACAAAAAACAAAACAAAACAAAAAAAAAACAAAAAAACTCTGAAAGAGAGCTGCTAATATTTGACTGTGCTTGTGAATTGTGGGGTATGGAGAATGAGGGGAAGAAAGTCATTAAACTGAAGATTTTTATTCTGTGGGTGAGCTAGAGACTGTGAGCTCCAAAGCCACTGTTTTGTAAAAAGGCCATAATATGCAAAGTGACCCCCAAACACAGAAGGAGTCTAGAAACCTAATAATTAGTTAGAAAAATTGTTTGTTGACAAAGGGTGATTTATTGGGGGAATTTACAGACAGAAGCATGGTCTTGGACAGTAGCAAGACAGGTAGGTCTCAGCACCATTACTCTCTAGACCCAGGACCTATATACCATGAGTCTATGGGGTCTATACGTGAGACAATTAAAGGCAACCCTCCAGAACAGATAAGAAAGCTATGTGCTTCGTAGCCTATATTTTCTGTGATAACATCAAGATTGCTTCTATCTAAAGGCAAGATTTATACTAAATACATGTTATTACACTAAAGACAGTAAATAAAATAGGAATCAGGAGGCATTCGTGGGACTGGAGTTAATCAGAAGTCCAAATAGCAGACTAGCATCCAAGATGGCATCACTTCTGTCTCCATAGCCTCCCTTCTGTAGTCTGTGTTTTGATGGATGAAGCTAAGGCTTTTCAGTTAACATTTCTGTTTTGCCAAGTTGGTCTGTGTTAGACTCTAACAGTTGAGCACTAGATGAAGACTGCAAGGATGAAGGAAAAGGAAATCTGTTCCTTCCTGTTTGTTTTCTCTGGGCTTCCTGTCTGTTTCATGTGCCTGTGAATGTCATTTTAACAATATTGTTTCATACTGACAGTACAGTTCCTTCCTGCAGCAACAGATGAATTTGGTTTATATTTTCTAACACTTGTGGAAGTAGTCTCATTGCATTTCCCCTCCATCACAGAAAACCAGCACTAGTCCATAAGAGTTCCCCACTCAAAGACTTGATCATCAGATTCATGGAGGCTGCTTCTTTGAGCTGAGATGCCAGTGCCAGTTGGCTCTTATGAAGTGTCCCAGCCCAGTGGAGTCCGTTCTCTATGTTCAGTGTCACCAATATCAGCTACCAGCATCCCTCTTCTGTTGGTCTGGTTATCTCCATGGAGTCTCTTCATGCTCCTAAGATTTAATAATTTAGCCCTTGGAGTGGAGCCGCTTCTTACACTTGTTACATCTATAATACCCTAGTGTTTTCTTTTTGCCTTTAAAAATGTATCTATGTAGCATCTTTAATTCTACTTAATTCTTAATCTTACATTCTATCTGATAAAATGACAGTCTTATCCTTTTCTTCCTGACTGGACGTTGACTGGTGGAGATGTGGGAAGGGCCTTGATATTCTGAATGTCTAACAAGCTCCCAGATGATGCTGATATTGTTGGTCCATGTGTCACAATCTGATGACGTAGAATGGCAGGGAGACTTGTGAAAATTTTTAATATATGGTATTTTCATATAATTCAAATGGTACATGTGAACACTGAACATTTGTAAATGAAGAGATTAATTAAAGATGTAATACTAATAAACGCTTTAAATGAAATAGTTATTCTCCATACAGATATCCTGGCACGAGAACAATATGGGCACCTTGAGGAACATCTTCATATCTTAAGATAAATCCATACCAAATGAGAAACAGGAGTCATTCTGACCTAACACTTGCTTTTTATGTTCTGGCTGGAATGTGTTGGTGAGGGAATGAGTGTTTTAGAAAAGGATATAATTATACCTCATGCTAAATGACGAGTTAATGGGTGCAGCACACCAGCATGGCACATGTATACATATGTAACTAGCTGGCACATTGTGCACATGTACCCTAAAACTTAAAGTATAATAATATAATAATAATATAGTACAATATTAAACTAGAAATTTTCCATTGGTATAAAAAAAAAAGAAAACTGAAAAAAAAAATCCACTGACTGCCTGTCTTAACCTGCTACATTTGATACAACAATGATTTGAAACATCAGCAGCATTTACTTTCTTTCTTTCTGTTTTCTTTTTTTTTTTGATGGAAGTTTCACTCTTGTTGCCCAGGCTGAAGTGCAGTGGTGCAATCTTGGCCTACTGCAACCTCCATCTTTCAGTTTCAAGTGATTCTCCTGCCTCAGCCTCCCCAGTAGCTGGGATTACAGGCACCCGCCACCACGCCCAGCTAATTTTTGTACTTTTAGTAGAGGCGCGGTTTCACCATGTTGCCCAGGCTAGTCTCGAACTCCTGACCTCGTGATCCACCCTCCTTGAACTCCCAAAGTGCTGAGATTACAGGCATGAGCCACCGAGCCCAGCTCTAATTTTTTTTTTTTTTTTTTTTTTTAGATGGGATCTCACTTTGTCTCCCAGCCTGGAGTGCAGTGGCACAATTAGGCTCACTGCAGCCTTAACTTCCTGGGATTAAGGGATCCTTTTACTTCAGCCTCCCAAGTAACTGGGACTACAGGCACACACCACCACACCAAACTAATTTTTTCTGCTTTTTTGTAGAGACACAGGTTTCACTATTTTGCCTAGGCTGGTCTCGAACTCCTGGGCTCAAGTGATCTGCCCACGTTGGCCTCCCAAAATGCTGGGATTATAGACATGAGCCACCGCCTATAGCCAGCATCATTTGCTTCTACATGTCAATAATGTGCTTGGCATAATCCATCAAACCTAATACATATAGATTGAAATAATTAAGATTCCAAAATACATAAACGATGATATATCGAGAAAGAACTGTCCAATTTATAGTGATAGGGTTTTACATATATTTGAAATCTGATCTCAAGAGAGATTGTCAGAATCTAGCAACAGCTATCATTAGCTTCTGCTTCAACCTGGCAAATGAATAAGTTCAAGGATGTGTTATAATGGCTTGCAAAAGCCAAATGTTAACAAGAGGCGTAAGAGGCATAGGTATGAATAATACCATGGCAAAATGCACTAATAACCTAATCTAGTGGATTCATTGTTTGTACCGTTCTGAACCAGGCCTGTAGAAATATATATGAAAGGGATTGCCAAGTACCTCTCCAAACACCCAAGAATGGCCTCGGAAATATAAAAAATAACCACTCCTCCATAAAACAAAATAGATTAAACTTCTCAAAAAAACTGAACAGTACTATTACTCTAATGAGGTGGTTATAGAGATTGGGGATCTATTTCAAATAAGAATAATGCTGCCTTTACAGTTGTAAAAGCTAATTATAAGAATTAATATAATTTATCTGTGACTTTTATCAACTTTACTTCAATCAAGTACAACTGTGGCAACTACACAAAATCCCAAAATTTAGGGATGCTTAGAATTTAAGCATTCATCTGTAGAAACCTATACAAAGTACAATTACATAAATTGCATCTAAATATTTGCCTAGACAATTAGTATAAGGAAATCAGTCACTTTGGAGCTTGTATGCTTTAAAAGGGATAAGAGGTCACTTAACACCTCTTTAACAGTCTGTGAAGATGGTGTTCATCCTGTTTATCAAGACATTGGGCCTGGTGCCTGGAAAATTATAAACATTCAATAACTAAGCTTTTAAAGGTAGTTAAATAGATATTCAATGAGTTTTGTTTGTTTGTGTGTGTTTTTTGGAGACAGAGTCTTGCTTTGGCACACAGGCTGGAGTGCAGTAGTGCAATCTCGGCTCACTGCAACCTCCACCTTCCAGGTTCAAGTGATTCTCTTGCCTCAGCCCCCCAAGTAGCTGGAACTACAGGCACACACCACCATACCCAGCTAATTTTGTTTGTTTGTTTGTTTATATTTTTTGGTAGAGATGGGGTTTCACCATGTTGGTCAGGCTGGTCTCGAACTCCTGATCTCAAGTGATCAGCCCGCCTCAGACTCCCAAAGTGCTGGTATTATAGGAGTGAGACACTTTGCCAAGCTAAGTTTTGAATCATTCTAGTTTAAGGAATAGGTGTTCTGTAAAGTACTTGGATAATCTTAGGGAGTAATCTTAGGGAGTAAGTACATTAGCATAATGGACTCCAGGGAATTATAGTTGTACCTAATTTGCACTGAAATTTATTAGTGATGGTTACCAGGTTGGAAGGATATGGCCATGGGCAAAGGATACTTCTCTTAGAAAAGATGACAGAGAGACTAGATACTAGTAAACATGACTTTAGAAGAAAAATTTCACAGTAAGTTAGAGGAGAAAGGCACTGTATATTTTTTCTTTTTTGATAGAATAATACCTGAAATCCAGATGATTGTCCAGTTTTTCAGAACATTTTGAAATTTGAAATTGCCTATTTCATAAGTAGCTCTTATTATTTTGAGACACGTTCCATCGATACCAAGTTTATTGAGAGTTTTAGCATGAAGGGGTGTTGAATTTTGTCGAAGGCCTTTTCTGCATTTATTGAGATAATCACGTGGTTTTTGTCATTGGTTCTGTTTATGTGATGGATTATGTTTATTGATTTGTGTATGTTGAACCAGCCTTGCATCCCAGGGATGAAGCTGACTTGATCGTGGTGGATAAGCTTTTTGATGTGCTGCTGGATTTGGTTTGCCAGTAGTTTATTGAGGATTTTCACATAGATGTTCATCAGTGATATTGGCCTGAAATTTTTTTGTTGTTGTTCTGTCTCTGCAAGATTTTGGTATCAGGATGATGCTGGTCTCATAAAATGAGTTAGGGAGGATTCCCTCTTTATCTATTGTTTGGAGTAGTTTTTGAAGGAATGGTACCAGCTCCTCTTTGTACCTCTGGTAGAATTCGGCTGTTAATTCATCTGGTCCTGGACTTTTTTGGTTGGTAGGCTATTAATTATTGCCTCAATTTTGGAACTTCTTATTGGTCTATTCAGGGATTCCACTTCTTCCTGGTATACTGAATGGGCAAAAACTGGAAGCATTCCCTTTGAAAACTGGCACAAGACAAGGATGCCATCTCTCACCACTCCTATTCAACATAGTATTGGAAGTTCTGGCCAGGGCAATCAGGCAAGAGAAAGAAATAAAGTGTATTCAAATAGGAAGAGAGGATGTCAAATTGTCTCTGTTTGCAGATGACATGATTTTATATTTAGAAAACCCCATAGTCTCAGCCCAAAATCTCCTTAAGCTGATAAGCAACTTCAGCAAAGTCTCAGGATACAAAATCAATGAGCGAAAATCACAAGCATTCCTATACACAAATAACAGACAAACAGAGAGCCAAATCATCAGTGAACTCCCATTCACAATTGCTACAAACAGAATAAAATGCCTAGGAATACAACTTACAACGGATGTGAAGGACCTCTTCAAGGAGAATTACAAACAACTGCTCAAGGAAATAAGAGAGGACACAAACAAATGGAAAAACATTCCATGCTCATTGATAGGGAGAATCAATATCATGAAAATGGTCATACTGCCCGAAGTAATTTATAGATTCAGTGTTATCCCCATCAAGCTACCACTGACTTTCTTCACAGAATTAGAAAAAATTACTTTAACCTTCATACGGAGCCAAAAAAAAAAAAAAAAAAAAAAAAAAAAAAAAAAAAAAGAGCCCACATACCCAAGACAAACCTGGGCAAGAAGAATAAAGCTGGAGGCATCACGCTACCTGACTTCAAACTATACTACAAGGCTACAGTAACCAAAACAGCTTGGTACTTGTACAAAAACAGATATGTAGACCAATGGAACAGAACAGAGCCCTCAGAAATAACACCATACATCTACAACCATCTGATCTTTGACAAACCTGACACAAACAAGCAATGGGTAAAAGATTCCCTATTTAATAAGTGTTGGGAAAACTGGCTAGCCATATGCAGAAAACTGAGACTGGACCCCTTCCTTACACCTTATACGAAAATAAACTCAAGACAGATCAAAGACTTAAATGTAAGACCTAGGACCATAAAAATCCTAGAAGAAAACCTGGGCAATACCATTCAGGACAAAGGCATGGGCAAACACTTCATGTCTAAAACACAAAAAGCAATGGCAACAAAAGTCATAATTGACAAATAGGATCTAACTAAACTAAAGAGCTTCTGCACAGTAAATGAAACTATCATCAGAGTGAACAGGCAACCTACAGAATGGGAGAAATTTTTTGCAATCTATCCATCTGACAAAGGGCTAATATGCAGAATCTACATAGAACTTAAACAAATTTACAAGAAAAAAAACAAGCAACCCCATCAAAAAGTGGGCAAAGGATATGAACAGACACTTCTCAAAAGAAGACATTTATGCAGCCAACAGACATATGAAAAAATGCTCATCATCACTGGTCATTAGAGAAATGCAAATCAAAACCACAATGCGATGCCATCTCACGTCAGTTAGAATGGCGATCCTTAAAAAGTCAGGAAACAACAGATGCTGGAGAGGATGTGAAGAAACAGGAATACTTTTAGACTATTGATGGGAGTGTAAATTAGTTCAACCATTGTGGAAGACAGTGTGGTGATTCCTCAAGGATCTAGAGCTAAAACTACTATTTGACCCAACAATCCCATTACTGGATATATACCTAAAGGATTATAAATCATGCTGCTATAAAGACACATGCACATGTATGTTTATTGTGGCACTATTCACAATAGCAAAGACTTGGAACCAACCCAAATATCCATCAATAATAGACTGGATAAAGAAAATGTGGCACATATACACCATGGAATACTATGCAGCCATGAAAAGGGATGAGTTCATGTCCTTTGTAGGGACATGGATGAAGCTGGAAACCATTGCTCTCATCAAACTATCACAAGAAAGGACAACCAAACACCACATGTTCTCACTCATAAGTGAAAGGTGAACAATGAGAACACATGGACATAGAGAGGGGAACATCACACACTGGGGCCTGTTGTGGGGTGGGAGGCTAGGAGAGGGATAACATTAGGAGAAATACCTAATGTAGGTGACAGGTTGATAGGTGCAGCAAACCACCATCGCATGTGTATATCTATGTAACAAAACTGCACGTTCTGCACATGTATCCCAGAACTTAAAGTATAATAAAATAAATAAATAAATAAATGAAATAAAAAGAAATTGCCTTTTCATAAAGTGGTCCATTTTGTTGCTAACCACTTCTAATTATTAGAAATTTTTCCCTTAAAGAAGTCAAGGTATGTTTCCTGGTATTCTTTGGTACTAGTTCTGCTTGCTAGAGCAATTCAGAATCAGGTGTATCCCATCGCAAGCATCATGTCAATATTTGAAGACAGCTGTAATGTTCTGAAGAGGGAAACCTTCTCTCCTCCCAGTTACTCACTGCTAGAACCTTCCACCAAAGAACATGCCTTCTGTACCCTTCTCCACGTTGGGCAACAATTTTTACTTTGTTGGTTTGTTTTCTAAATATAGAACCATTCCCAGGCTGAGTAGAACATTGAACCCAACATTATGTTCTACTGAACATTTTAACTGAACATGAGACTGACATATTTTTTTCTTTCTTTTCTTTTTTCTTTCTTTTTTTTTTTTTTTTTTTTTTTTGAGTCTCACTCTGTCACCCAGGCTGGATTGCAGTGATGTGATCTCGGCTCACTGCAACCTCCACCTCTTGGGTTCAAGCAATTCTCCTGCCTCAGCCTCCCATGTAGCTAGCTGTGATTACATGTGTGCTCCACCATGCCCGGTTAATTTTTTCTGTTTTTAGTAGAGACGGAGTTTCACCATGCTGACCAGACTGGTCTCGAACTCCTGACCTCGTGACCTGCCCACCTCAGCCTCCCAAAGTGCTGGGATTACAGGCGTGAGCCACCGCCTCTGGCCTGAGATTGACATATTTCTATAGCATTAAAACTTCATTGCATTCATTTTAATTTTGTCTGTTATTCAATAAATGTATTTTGGAAGAAAAGAAGGGGGTGCATTATAATTTATTATTGTTATACACGTATGGAAGCTGTTGGCTGAACTGGATTTATTTTGTGGAATATAATTGTTCATGTGCAGCTCAGATTCATAATCTACAGACAACATTTGATATGTATTCCAGGTCTTCAGTGTAATTATTCAAAATAAAGAAATGGGAGATGTACACTGAACTCAGAATCCTCTAGAATTTCAAAAGTGAACATTTCAATAAGAAGCTTTCATCTAGGGTTTTTATGGTTTTAGGTCTAACATTTAAATCTTTAATCCATCTTGAATTAATTTTTGTATAAGGCGTAAGGAAGGGATCCAACTTCAGCTTTCTACATATGGCTAGCCAGTTTTCCCAGCACCATTTATTAAATAGGGAATCTTTTCTCCATTGCTCGTTTTTGTCAGGTTTGTCAAAGATCAGATGGTTGTAGAGGTGTGGTATTATTTCTAAGGGCTCTGTTCTGTTCCATTGGCCTATATCTCTGTTTTGGTACCAGTACCATGCTGTTTTGGTTACTGTAGCCTTGTAGTATAGTTTGAAGTCAGGTAGCATGATGCCCTCAGCTTTGTTCTTTTAGCTTAGGATTGTTATTGTGGCACTATTCACAATAGCAAAGACTTGGAACCAACCCAAATGTCCATCAATGATAAACTGGATTAAGAAAATGTGGCACATATACACCATGGGATACTATGCAGCCATAAAAAAGGATGAGTTCATGTCCTTTGTAGGGACATGGATGAAGCTGGAAACCATCATTCTCAGCAAACTATCACAGGGACAAAAAAACCAAACACCGCATGTTGTCAGTCATAGGTGGGAATTGAACAATGAGAACACATGGACACAGGAAGGGGAATATCACACACCGGGGCCTGTCGAGGGGTGAGGGGCGGGGGCAGGGATAGCATTAGGAGATATACCTAATGTAAATGATGAGTTAATGGGTGCAGCACACCAACATGGCACATGTATACAAATGTAACAAACCTGCACATTGTGCACATGTACCCTAGAACGTAAAGTATAATAAAAAAAGAAGCTTTCAGAGAAGAATTGTTATGAAGGTTTTGTACTAGTCAAAGTCTTAGATGTAGAGATGATAATGGACTTTTTAAATTGTAAGTCTGCATGAATGGTGGTCATAAGAAAGTAGCATAAAAACCCCCCAAAGGCATTAAACATAAAGTTAACATCTTCGTCTAAGATTTTACTTTGTTTACTATATTCTAAAGAATAAAATCTTTCTTGAATTTTAAAAAATAATAATAAAAGTGGCCTATCAGACTTGGCTTATTCTAATTCAGTGCATATTTCAAACTCCCATGATTGACTAATATTAGGTTTTTATTTAGTCACGCTGAGTTCCTTCTTTTTTGAACTCATTGAAGTGGGAGACCCATCAAAAGTTCTTACATCTGCCAATCAATTAATTTCCTCAAAGTCTTTTTTATGAATTTTATCAGTGGCTGCTATTTTGCCTTAGGTATAACAGTTTGATTTAGAATATATTGGAATTTAGAAGCCACGAGCCCTTCTTTTGTGCAGTGAGGAAACATCTATGAATCTGTGAAATCAGTGAATATATACTGCTTCCTTTATATTTGTTCCTTCTTGCCAGGACATTTTTTCTCATTACACAGGTTTGGAATGCCTTAAAGCATGATAATAATATAATTTGTACTGCTGTCACATCTTCAAGTGCTTGGCAAAAGGAGGTATGTTTCAGGGACAAACTGAGTTATACCAGAAAGCAACAATACTAGTGGTAAAACCTAGCAACCAAAAATGGATCATTTTTCAAACTTTTATAAAACATTAATGCTGCAAACAGCATTCCAAGGATTTTTAGTATAAACTAATGATAAACCTTAAGGAATCTAAAGTCATACACCAGCCTAAACAAAAGTAATCTCACCCATTCTTAAATCTTTTACAGGAAATATGGAGCTATAACCGTTACATTTTTGTATTTCTGCTCTTCAAATAAAAACAAAAACTCAATCATGGAAGCTTAAATGTCCCTTGAGATGGGAGGGTAGAAAACAGACTTTGCCTCTAGGTCAACTCCTGAAATAGAGGCTTCAAATTGGTGGTCCACTGATCAGACTTAGTCCTTGTCTGTCTTTTTGTTGGGCTTGCAGCAAGACTCCAAGACTCTTAATTACTTGTAAATATTAAAACATTAGGATATTTCACATATAGTAGCAGATTTCTCTTCAAAAATAGAAAGATCTGGCACTGCAAATGCAACCGTCTCCTAAAGTAGCATAGGAATATAGGCTTTAGACTAAATGGGTCATTTAATTGACCATCTTTATTTATTCATCTTACCTCCCTTTCCCTAAAGGGTAAGGTAAGGGAGAAGATGTCAAAGTCAGTTACAGACTACAATGACTATGACTGTAGGGGGAAGTTTTGGTTAGAGTTTTAGGGATGCTGATTCTGGGATGCACTAACCTGTGCATACATTTGATTGAGGGCCATCCATAACCTACATTTATGCCCAAGAACAAGACACTTTGAGCTCACCGCAAATTTTGCAAAATTGATTTCATCTCTCCAGTATTACCTTGGATTATAAAGCCAGGTGAGAGTCTCTCCTACAGAAGGAGGCAGAAAAGGTCCCAGAGGCTTTGGCAAGCCAGGAGGAACAGTCCAAGTATGGTTGGAGATTACGGCCATAGGACAGGGGTATATATAACTATGATGGAGTGAACGCAGAAGGTAATCAGCTATGAGCAGTGTGGAGGTTAAAAGATGATACAGCAGGGGTATTATAGCAAACGCAATGACCAAGACAGATGAGAGTGAAGGAGGGGGTGCGAGTTGAGCTGTTTAGAAACTTGGCTGCAAAAGAAAAATATGTACCGGTGGCAATTTAAGGGATGCCTGGATTAGGTTCCAAATGCCCATCTGTAAACTAAGGAATCTGGCCAGCTGAACAGCTGCACTAGCAGACTGAAACTAGACCAATCTCTTAGGTAGGCAGGAGGAAGGGCAGACAGGATAGGAAATAAGCCATCTATCTTTTCATATTTACAGTTGCACTTTCCACCCAATATTGAAGCAATACAAAAATTAGCATTTTTGTAGCCAATTACAAGTTTTCTGAAATGGTAAAACTCAATCATAACCTGCTGAATTAAACTCACAGATGAAGAAAAACAAATATTTTACTTTAAAATTGGTTTTATTTCTGAGATTTACAAACACAAAAATTACAATATGGACATTTACATTTAAATAAAATATTTTATGCGGGTGGTTGAACTGTGGCAAAGGAAACCGAGAAAAACCTGCAATTAATACTAACAATATTAGTAAAATAAATAATTATATATTATGAATAAGGTGCATAGTGTGCATTATATTATTTTATCCTTGAAACAAATTTTCAAGGCAAACATGTTATCTATAATTTACAGCTGAGGAAGGGAAAGATACGAGAGAGAGCCTGTAGAGCCAGTGAGTATTAAAGCCAGGTCTGCAATCAAAGATGGTCTCATTCCTATTTCTCCACATCCTCTCCAGGATGACTTTTTAATGATCGCCATTATAACTGGCATGAGATGGTATCTCATTGCGGTTTTGATGTGCGTTTTGATGTGCATTTCTCTGATGGCCAGTGATGATGAGCATTTTTTCATGTGTTTTTTGGCTGCATAAATGTCTTCTTTTGAAAAGTGTCTGTTCATATCCTTCGCCCACTTTTTGATGGGGTTGTTTGTTTTTTTCTTGTAAATTTGTTTGAGTTCATTGTAGATTCTGGATATTAGCCCTTTGTCAGATGAGTAGGTTGCAAAAATTTTCTCCCATACTGTAGGTTGCCTGTTCATGTGTAAGTCAGTGTGGCAATTCCTCAGGGATCTAGAACTAGAAATACCATTTGACCCAGCCATCCCATTACGGGGTATATACCCAAAGGATTATAAATCATGCTTCTATAAAGACACAGGCACACGTGTGTTTATTGTGGAACTATTCACAATAGCAAAGACTTGGAACCAATCTAAATGTCCAACAGCGATAGACTGGATTAAGAAAATGTGGCACATATACACCATGGAATACTATGCAGCCATAAAAAATGATGAGTTCATGTCCTTTGTAGGGACATGGATGAAGCTGGAAACCATCATTCTCAGCAAACTATTGCAAGGACAAGAAACCAAACACCGCATGTTCTCACTCATAGGTGGGAACTGAATGAGAACACATGGACACAGGAAGGGGAACATCACACACCAGGGACTGTTGTGGGGTGGGGGGAGGGGGGAGGGATAGCATTAGGAGATATACCTAATGCTAAATGACAAGTTAATGGTGCAGCATACCAGCATGGCACATGTATACATATGTAACAAACCTCCACGTCGTGCACATGTACCCTAAAACTTAAAGTATAATAATAATAAAATTAAAAAAAAAAAAAGATGATCTGATTCTACCACCATACAAATACATGGTGGGTTTGGTACATTAATCTATCTCAGAGGTAGTATTGTTAATTTTCATTGTTTTGTTAATATTATCAGTATATTAACATATTCTTGAATATTTTAGAGCATGTTTTACAATTATTTTGAAATAAGAATCTGTAAGCAATGACTTTTTTTATATTCCTTGCCCAACAAATCTGCCTAGGACTTTCAGTATAATTACAGAGAAAAGTGGTTAAAGGAGGCACCCTTTGTTTCATTTTTGATTTCAGAATTATTTTTTAACATTTAATCTTTAAACAAGATATTTGCTGTAGGTTTTTATGAATACCTTTAAATAGGTTACTAATGTTTTCATTAATATTTTATTAATATTTTGCTATAGATTTTATCATAAGAGGCTATATAACTTTTTTCAATTGCTTTTACTGAAGCTAATAAGATATATAAATTATAGTTTTACTCAGTTAATTTATCATTAAACAACTTTCATTCATATGTTAAACTATTAATATATTGATAATGGTAAATTATGTTTGTTATATATTGTTGCATTCAGTTGATTAAAATGTTGTTCAGTATATTTGTATCTGAATCCATGAGTGAGATTTCCCAGTGAATTTCCTTTTAGAATTCTCCTCATCAGGTTTTTGGAATGAAAGTTATGCAAGTCTTAAAAAAAAATGAGTTAATGAGTTTTCATTCTTTTTCTACATTCAAGAGTAGTTTTATGAGAGTAGAATCATTTGCCAGAAAGGAATTTACTAATAATTATTTAATATTACTCTTTGTGCCTAGAGTTCTCTTTGTGGAAAGAGTTTAATAATTTAATTTCTTCAATAAATATGTCTATCCATATTTTGTTTTCTTATGGTAGTTCTTTGTTATATATGTTAGTTGTATCTCTTTTATTTGTCAATTCCACATAAATATTCAAATATATTGAAGCAATTTTTTTGCTATCTTTTTAATGTTTGCCACATCTGTATTCATGTATAATTTTTAATTCTATTTGATCTCAAGCCCTCTTTTTTATTTTCTTAGTCAATTTTTAGGAAAATTGATAATTTATGAAGCTTTTTAACGAAACTACTTTTTTCATTTTCACTGTTATACATTTGTTTTCTATGTAATTAACCTTTTCAGTTTTAATCATTTTATTACTTCTATTTTATCCATGTTTTCTTTTGGTATTTTTCTGACTCAAAATAGATAATTCAGTCACTGATTTTCTTTTTTTAAGTAAGATTTTAAGACTCCAGACTTCCACTCAGGATACTAATTTAACTGTATCCAATTTTCAATAAGTAGCATTTTAATCACTCAGTTTTGATCATTTTCCCTTTCTAATTTATTCAGAGATTATTTGGAAATAATGTTTCTTAACATGTAAACATACATAAATTTTGTTCTATTTTAATTATGTTACAGCCAAAAAATATATTTATGATACGAAGCTATTGAAATGTATTGACTTTATTATTCAATACAAAACCAATTTTTAAAAGTTATCTGTGACTGAAAACATTGTGAATTACACAGTTGTTGTATATGATTTATTATTTGTGCATGAATATCTAATTGTTCCAGAAACTTTACTTGAAAAGTGTATGATTTCCCAATAAGTTGGCATATATCCTTTGTTGAAAATCAGTAGACCTTAAATATAATGACTTATTTTTGGACTCTCAATTTAATCAGTACAGATATCTTGATCTACATGTCTAGTCTTATGTTAGTACCATACTGTCTAGATAACTACAGCTTTAAAGTGTTGGGTGTGGAGTGGAAGTCCTCCAACATTAATTTTTAAAAATTGATTACTCTAAATTATTATGTATCTTCATATAAGTATTTGGATCAGTTTGTAATTTCTATAAAAATGTCTGCTGGAATTTTGATATTATGTTGAATTTATAGATAAATTTGGGGACAATTGCCATCTTGACATTAATGAGTCCTCCAACCCATGAATACAAAATATTCCTTCATTTATTTAAGTATTCCTTTATTTACTGTGACAATATTCTGTCACTTTCAGTGTATAAGCAATAAATTTCATTTGTACTTTGTGTTAATTTTGTTGCTACATATTTTACTCTTTTCATGCTGTTGTGAATTAAGTTGTATTCTGTATTGTTTTGGGATTGTTAATTGTGTGTAGAAACACAACTGCTAGCTTCGATTAATCGTTTCATTTTGAGATAATTGCATATTCACATGCGATTGTAAGATGTAGTATAGAGAGTTGTTTTGCCCCATCTCCCCAGTTTCCCAAATGGTTTCATTTTGCAAATTATAGTATACTATTACCATCAACATACACTGATACAGTAAAGGTACAGAAGAGTTTCGTCACCAAAAGGTAACTCATGTTGCCCAATTTTAGCCACGTCCACTTCCCTTCTCTTCCTCCTTAGCCACTAGCAACTACTAACTGTTTTCTATTGCTGTAACTTTTTGGTAGAATATTTTTAAATACATAATATTTTGCATATTTATGTGCTACATGTGATTTTTGTTACATGCATAGCATTAGAATGATCAAGTCAGGGTATTTGGGGTATGCATCACCTTCAGTACTTTTTATTTTTATATGTTCAGAACATTTCAAGTTATCTTCTCCAACTACTTTGAAACACACAATATGTTGTTGCTAACTATAGTCACCCTACTCTGTTATCGCACATTGAAACTTTTGTCTTCTACCTAACTGTATGTTTGTACCTATTGATAAACCTCGCTTCATACCCTCACCCCCGCACATACTCTTACCTGCCTCGGATATCTATTTACTCTCTATAGCAACAATTTTTGTATGTTGACTTTGGATCCATTGCAACTTTACTGAGTCATTAGGTTTTTTGCAGATATAAGACCATATTGTCAGTAAAAAGGGAAAGTTTGACTTATTTTCTAAATACAACGCCTTTTTTTTTTTCTTTTGCCTCATTGCTTTGGCTAGGACTTCCAGTACTTTGTTGAATTAAAGTACTGAAAGTGGATATCCTGTCTTGTTCCATTCTCAGGATAAAGACTTTCGGCTCTTCCTCATTTGGTGTCATGTTAACAGTGGATTTGTCCCATATAGGCTTCATTATGTTAAGCTATGTTGCTTCTGTGCCTAGTTTGTTGAGAGTTTTGTAATGAAGGGATGTTAAATTTTATCAAGTGCTTTTTATATGTCTACTGAGATGCTCGTGTTTTTTCTTCTTCATTCTGTTGATGTTATGTATCACATTTATTGATTAAAGTATGAAACTTGAATAAATCCCACTTGATCATGGGGTATTATGTTTGAGTGTGCTCTTGGATTCATTTTTCTAGTATTTTGTTGAGAATTTTGCATCTATATTCATCAAGGATATTGGCTTGCAGTGTTTGTTTTCATTATGTCTTTATTTGGTTTTGGTGTTAAGGTAATTCTGGCATCATAAATTGAGTTAGGGATAATTCTCTCCTCTTCATTTTTTGGAACAATTTGAGGAGATTTTGTGTTAGTCCTTCATTGAAAAACTACTTTAAAGTTCATATGGAACCAAAAAAGAGCCTGCATCGCCAAGGCAATCCTAAGCCAAAAGAACAAAGCTGGAGGCATCACACTACCTGACTTCAAACTATACTAAAAGGCTACAGTAACCAAAACAGCATGGTACTGGTACCAAAACAGAGATATAGATCAATGGAACAGAACAGAGCCCTCAGAAATAACGCCGCATATCTACAACTATCAGATCTTTGACAAACCTGAGAAAAACAAGCAATGGGGAAAGGATTCCCTATTTAATAAATGGTGCTGGGAAAACTGGCTAGCCATATGTAGAAAGCTGAAACTGGATCCCTTCCTTACACCTTATACAAAAATCAATTCAAGATGGATTAAAGCCTTAAACGTTAGACCTAAAACCATAAAAACCCTAGAAGAAAACCTAGGCATTACCATTCAGGACATAGGCATGGGCAAGGACTTCATGTCCAAAACACCAAAAGCAATGGCAACAAAAGACAAAATTGACAAATGGGATCTAATTAAACTAAAGAGCTTCTGCACAGCAAAAGAAACTACCATTAGAGTGAACAGGCAACCTACAACATGGGAGAAAATTTTCGCAACCTACTCATCTGACAAAGGGCTAATATCCAGAATCTACAATGAACTCAAACAAATTTACAAGAAAAAAACAAACAACCCCATCAAAAAGTGGGCGAAGGACATGAACAGACACTTCTCAAAAGAAGACATTTATGCAACCAAAAAACACATGAAAAAATGCTCATCATCACTGGCCATCAGAGAAATGCAACTCAAAACCACAATGAGATACCATCTCACACCAGTTAGAATGGCCATCATTAAAAAGCCAGGAAACAAAAGGTGCTGGAGAGGACGTGGAGAAATAGTAACACTTTTACACTGTTGGTGGGACTGTAAACTAGTTCAACCATTGTGGAAGTCAGTGTGGCGATTCCTCAGGGATCTAGAACTGGAAATACCATTTGACTCAGCCATCCCATTACTGGGTATATACCCAAAGGACTATAAATCATGCTTCTATAAAGACACATGCACACGTATGTTTATTGTGGCATTATTCACAATAGCAGACTTGGAACCAACCCAAATGTCCAACAATGATAGACTGGATTAAGAAAATGTGGCACATATACACCATGGAATACTATGCAGCCATAAAAAATGATGAGTTCATGTGCTTTGTAGGGACATGGATGCAATTGGAAATCATCATTCTCAGTAAACTATCGCAAGAACAAAAAACCAAACACCACATATTCTCACTCATAGATGGGAATTGAACAATGAGATCACATGGACACAGGAAGGGGAATATCACACTCTGGGGACTGTGGTGGGGTGGGGGGAGGGGGGAGGGATAGCATTGGGAGATATACCTAATGCTAGATGACGAGTTAGTGGGTGCAGCACACCAGCATGGCACATGTATACATATGTAACTAACCTGCACAATGTGCACATGTACCCTAAAACTTAAAGTATAATAAAAAAAATTAAAAAATTAAAAAAAAAAACCCCAGCTGAAATTCTAATTAAATCCATGTGGCATATCATAACACAATATGCTATGGTATTCACTTCTGTTATTGATCTATGTCTACACACAGTTCTTTGCTTCAAAGGCCCCAACCATATTAAAAAAAAAAAAAAAAAAAAGTTTGGCACAAATCAGTAGTGAAGCTCTCTGATCCTGGGCTTTTATTTGTTGGAAGACTTTTAATTACTGATTCAATCTCATTACTCATTATTGGTCTGTGCAGGTTTTCTGTTTCTTTCTGATTCAATCTTAGCAGATTGTATATTTCCAGGAATTTATGCATTTATTCTAGGTTTTCCAGTTTGTTAAGTATACAGTTGTTCATCATAGTCTCAGATGTATCAGTCTGTCTTATCAGTTGTAACACCTCCTACTTCATTTCTGATTTTATATGGGTCTTCTCTCTCTCTTTTTTGTTAGCTTATCAAATGGTTTATCCATTTTTTTCATTTTTTTCAAACACCAACATTTAATTTCATTGATCTTTTATTTTGTGTTTTGCCTGGATTTTATTTAGCTCTACTCTGATTTTTATTATTTCCTTACTTCTACTAATTTTGGCTTTGGTTTGTTCTTGCTTTTCTAGTTCCTTTAGGTGCATCATTAAATTGTGTATTTGAAATCTTTCTACTTTTTTGATGTAGGTGTTTATTGCTATAAACTTCCCTCTTAGTACTGCTTTTGCAATATCCCGTAGGTTTTTTGTATGCTGTGTTTTTATTTCAGTTCGCTTCAAGAAAATTTTTTATTTACTTCTTAATTTTTTTCCTTGACCTAATGGATATTCAACAGCATGTTGTTAAATTTCCATGTACTTGTACAGTTTGCAAAGTTCTTGTTATTGATTTCTAGCTTTATTCCATTGCAGTTTGAGAAGATATTTAATATGATTTCAATTTTTAAATATTTGTCCATGTCCCTTGAGACCCAGGTGGTCGTACTGGTGGTGGTGGTGTCTACAGAGGGCTGGGTGCACCAGTCCTCAGGCCCACAGGTGCTGCACATGAGTGGTTTGCAAGCTGTGGTGGTAGTGAAAGGTGGCATGGACCTGATCTCAAATGCTGAAAGGAATGCTCAGGTGCAAACTGTGGGCTGGGCTAGGTGATCCCCAGTTCCTTAGTTGGCATGTTCGGGTACCTGGTGGGGGTGGAGCTGGGCCGAAGAGACTTACCCTCAAGCCTCCCAGTGGTGCGTGTAGGGACTGGCTTTTATAGGCAGGAACAGGGTAGAGCCAGGCCCCCAGTGGAGTGCTCAGTTGGGGGCAGCAGCCACTGTTCTGTGGTTCTATTACTGAGGAAGGCAGAGTTGCTTGCAGTGGGAGCAGCCATCAGCAGATGTCAATGGGGCACACGCTTCATTCATGCCTCAGCTTCACAGAAGTCTGTAGCAGTGGATGTTATAGGCAGTGGAATTTGTCCTCAAGGCATTTGAAAATGCATAGCTGCCCTTATGCTGTAGGTGGGCTAGGTTACTGGCAGTTGGCCCCAGTGGTGGCAGCTGTGGTGAGGGAGCGTCAATGGGGCTCTAGGGATGTAGAGATTCAGCGGCTGTTGTAACCCAGGGCAGGATGCAGTCTAGTGCAGGATGGGCTTTCAAAGTGGCACCATACTTCTTAGGACTTGGGAGTTTGTGGGACCCAGTATGAGCTACCTCTGCAGCAATAACTTCTTTTCGTCTGCAGGCAGCTTCCTATGTTAGTCTCAGGTCCCATGAAGGTCGAGGTGCTCTCTCATGGCTAGGATTGTAGGACTCATATTTGGAATGTGGATCACTGGGTGTCTTTCACTCACCCTTTTCCTGCATTAGGGAGCCCGTCCAGAGTTCCAGCCAATCCTGGCCAAACAGGCTTCCTCCCTTCCCTCTCCTTCCTTGTTTGTGGTGCTTCCCATCATTTCTCTGTTGAATTTCAATGTTCTCTCTTAGATGATCTATTTAAAGTGTGATTGTCTATTCATTGTTTTGGTTCCTCTCTGTGGAAGAGGCAAGTACCAGACACATTTAGTCACCCATCTTAAAGCTCCTATCATTTTCATAATTTTTTTATTTCAAGTATATTATATAAATTGAATTGGATTATACATAATTTGTTGTTATTGACTTTTATCATTCATCATAATTCTGAGATTCAACCTATTTCTTGTGTTTATCAATAGTTTCTTCCTTTTTGTTGCTGAATTCTATTTAATGTTATAGATGTACTATATTTGTTTAAGCATTTCTTATTTGTTTTTAGTTTTTGACTATTACAGGTTTTTGTATAAACATAATCTTTGTTTATCTAGATTAAGCTCAGGAGTTCAATGACTACGTCAAAGGATAGTTACATGTTTTTCTTTAGAATTTGAATTTGCCAAATTGTTTTCCAGAATGGATGTATCGTTTGACTTCCTCACAGCAATGTATAGATGATCCAGTTTCTCTTCATCTCCACCAGCACTTGGTATTGCCAGTATTTTTTGCTTTAGCCATTCTGATAGGTGTACAATGATATCTCATTATGGTTTTGGTTTGGATTTCTCTAATAATGATATTGTGCCATCATTTTATGTGCTTACTAGATAGATAGATTAGAAGATAGATGGATAGATAGATAGATGATAGATAGATAGATAGACTGATGGAAGATAGAGAGATAGACCCTAGTTCTTCATATATCTGGTTTGCAAATACTCTCTCCAAGTCTGTAGCTTGTGTTTTCATTCTCTTAACAAGATCTTTCACAGTGCAAAATTTTTAATTTTGATGAAGTTCAATTAATCAATTTTTTCCTTTAATGAATTTTGCTTTTGGTGTCAAGTCAACAATTCTTTGCTTAGTCCTAGATTCTGAAAGTGTTCTAATTTTTTCTAAAAGATTTTTAGTTTAAATTTACATGTTCATTTTGCATTAATTTTTATACAAGGTGTGAGATGTAGGTCAAGTTTAATTTTTGTTGTTATTGTTGTTGCTTATGAATGTCCAATTGTTCTCTCACAATCTGATGAAAAAGCCACTTTTCAAAGTTCCACTGAATTGCTTTTTCATCTTGCTATGCCTGCATTGGGCAATTTTTGGCTTCTTCTTTCAAAAGTCTTGGTGTTCAAGCTCTGAGATTCTTTACGCTGTTTGATCTAGTCTATTGTTGAAGTTTATAAATATATTTTGTATTTCACTCAATGAATTCCTAAGTGTCAGTATTTGAAACTGTTTCATTAATCTATTATATCTAAATTTCCACCAATACCATACAATATTGACTACTGTAGTTATATAATACATTTTTAAAAACTGGAGAATCATTTCTCCCACTGCATTCTTCATTTTCAAAATTGTTTCACTATTCTAGGAGTTTCTCTTGTTATCTTTTTCATATGAATTTTAGAATAATCTTATTTATACCTAAAAATAATGCTGTCATTTTGACAGAGATTTTTCTTGGATTTTTTAAAATAGGTATACCAGCTAGGGGAGAATTTAAGTCTTTATTATGTTGGGTTTTCCAAAATATAAATAGTGTGATTTTCTTTGATTTATTTCACCAGCTTTTTGTAGTATTTTTCTTTTCTGAAGGTCAGTTATATATATTTTTTGTTAGATTTATACATATTTTATTTTTTCAGTGATTGTAAACTATTGTTAATGTTTTGTATATGTATGTTTAATGCTAGTATATAGTAATAAAATCAATTTCTATATGTTTATCTGAGTTTTTTAAATAAGCAATGATGAATTAATTCAAATTTTTCTGCATTAATATAATCATATATTGTTTCTTTCAACTGTCAAATGGTAGATTACTTTGATTGATTTTCAAATATCAAACCAATGTTGCATCCTTGTAATAAACACCACTTACGCATGGTGTATAATTATTTTTATATATTGCTAAATTCTATTTGCTAGTATTCTTTTGAGAATCTTGAAATTATATTTATGAGAGGTATGTATCTACATTTTTTCATACCATCTTTATGTGGTTTTAGTATCAGGGTAATATTAACTTCATAAAACCTATTGAGAAATCTTTCTTCCTCTTTTGTTTTCTTCAGGATATTGTGTAGAAATGTTAATTCTTCTTTAAATATATAGTAGAATTTTCCAGTAAAACCAACTGAGCCCAGATATTTATCATTTAAGAGATTTAAAGTTAAAAATTCCATGTCCTTATTGGTTATAAAACTATTTGAAGTTTTGTAAGTAGATATTTATTTTGTAATGGATGAGTTTTGGTGGTTTGTGCTTTTGAAAAATGGTCATTAAAAATTCATGTGTAGTGTCATCTGTAGTATTTTCATATTATTTTGATGTCTGCTGGGCCTATAGTATTGTCCTCATTTTATTCTTGTTGTTGGTAATCTATACTTTATGTATTTTTATTTCTCAGTTGTCTTGGAAGTTTGTGTTATTCTTTCCAAAAAATGAAGTTTTTGTTATTTGCTATTGTATTCTGGTTTTTAATTTTATTAATTTCTGCTTTTTATTTTACTTCTGCTTATCTTAATATTGCTTTGCCATTCTAATTTTAGCTCTTAGAGGAAGAAGCTTAGGTTATTGATTTTATACTTTTCCTCTTATCTAATGTATTTGGTTCTATAAATTTATCTCTTGGCACTGCTTTAGTTGAAGTTCACAGATTTTAATATGTATTTCTAATTGAATCTTATTCCCATTTTCATTATGAATTATATTCTTTATTTCATTTTCAGATTATTCATTGCTCATATGTAAAAGATAATTGTTTTGTTTACTTACCTTCTGCCACCTTGTTGTAGTTGCTTATTAATCCTAATAACTTCTTGTGGATTTTTAAAAAATAGTCTACAAACAAGATCACGTCATTTGCCAGTGAACACTGTTTTACTTCTTAATTCTCATTATGGGTGCCTTTTATTTCTTTTGCTTCTTTTTTTTTTTTTTTGAGATGGAGTCTCACTCTGTTGCCCAGGCTGGGTGGAGTGCAGTGGCGCGATCTCAGCTTACTGCAAGCTCCGCCTCCTGGGTTCGCCTTAGCCTCCTGAGTAGCTGGGACTATAGGCACTCGCCACCACGCACGGCTAATTTTTTGTATTTTTAGTAGAGACAGGGTTTCACCGTGTTAGCCAGGATGGTCTCGATCTCCTGACCTCATGATCTGCCTGCCTCGGCCTCTCAAAGTGCTGGGATTACAGGCATGAGCCACCGCGCCTGGCCTCTTTTGCTTCTCTTATTGCATGCAGTGAGTCTTCCAGTACAAAGTTTAATAGGAATGCAGAGAGCAAATATCTTCACCTTTTTTCTGATTTATGGGAAAGGTATTCAATCTTTCACCATTGAGTATATTTGCTTTTTTTTTTTTTGTAAGAGCCCTTTATGTCAAGGAAGTTCTCTTCTATTCCAACTTTGTCAAGAATGTTTTTTAAAAAATTTTGTTTGTTTTTAAATCATGAATTGATATTTCATTTTGTCAAATGCTTTCTCTGTATCTATTGAGATGATTAAAACCATTTTTTTCTTTACTATATTAATATGGTATACTACATAACTCATTTTCTGATGTTAAACTAATCTTGCATTTCTGGGATAAGTCCTAATTAGTCATACTGATAGTCTTTTTGTATATCATTAAATTTTATTCACAGAAATTTTGTTGAATATTTTTGTCTACATTTAATAGAGTTGTCATTTTCTTTTATTGTAACGTTTATCTGCTTTTTGTATAAGGGTAATACTATTGTCACTGAATTAACTGAGAAGTGTATCTCATTTTTATTCTGAAAGAGATTGTGAAGTATTGCAATGTGTGGAGTATTGCATTATTTCTTCTTTAAATGTTTGCTAAAGTTTGCTAGTGAAACCACCTTGGCCTGAGTTTTTCTTGGTGGGAAGTTTTTTGGTTACTAATTCAATTTCTTTACCTCTGTTCTAGCTTTTTAAGGCAGTCTGAAATGTATACTTTGGTATCTCATTGTGGTTTTAATTTGCATTTCTCTAATAGATTATAATGTAGATCATCTGCTCATGTAATTATTTGCCATCACATATGTTCCTGATGCAGTGTCTGTTCATATATTTGGTCCATTGTTTATTTTTCTTATTGATGTGCTTTGATAATTATTTCTATAGTTCAGATACAAGTTCTCTGTCAGAAATATTGTATTAGTACATTTTCGCACTGCTATAACGAAATACCTGAGACTGGGTAATTTATAAAGGGAAGAGATTTAATTGACTCACAGTTCCACATGGCTGGGAGGCCTCAGGAAACTTACAATCATGGAGGAAGGTGAAGGGGAAGCAGGCACCTTTTTCAAAAGGTGGCAGGAGGGAGTGAGAGCAAAGGAATAAAAACTGCCATGTAGAAAACTATCAGATCTCATGAGAACTCACTCATTCTCATGAGAAAAGCATAAGGAAAACCACCCACATGATCCAATTACCTCCCACCAGGTCTCTCCCTCAACACCTGGGGATTATAATTTAAGGTGAGATTTGGGTGGCAACACAAAGCCTAACCATATCATTTCACCCCGGGCCCTCCCAAAATCTCATGTCCCTTTCACATTTCAAAACCAATCATGCCTTCCCAACAGTCCCCCAACATCTTAATTCATTCCAGCATTAACACAAAAGTCCACAGTCCAAAGTCTCATCTGAGAGAAGGCAAGTCCTTGCCACCTATGAGGATGTAAAATTAAAAACAAGTTAGTTGCTTCCTAGATACAATGGGGGTATGGGCATTGGGTAAATTCTTCTATTCCAAATGGGAGAAATTGACCAAAACAAAGGAGCTACAGGCCCCATGAAAATCCAAAATCCAGTGGGGCAGTCATTAAAATTCAAAGCTCCGAAATGATCTCCTTTGACTCCACTTCACATTCGGGGGCATGCTGATGCAAGGGTTGGGCTCCCATGGCCTTGTGCAATTTCTTCACAGGCTGGTATTGAGTGCCTGTGGCTTTTCCAGATGCACAGTGCAAGCTGTCAGTGGATCTACCATTCTGGGGTCTGGAGGATGGTGGCCCTCTCCTCACTGTTCCACTAGGCAGTGCCTCAATGGGAACTGTATATGGGTGCTCCAACCCCACATTCCTTTTCTGCACTGCCCTGACAGAGGTTATCCATGATCATATCAGCAGTAGACTTCTGCCTGGACATCCAGGCATTTCCACACATCCTCTGAAATCTAGGCTGAAGTTTCCCAACCTCAATTCTTGAGTTCTGTGCACCCACAGGCCCAACACTATGTGGAAACCACCAAGACTTGGGGCTTTCACCCTCTGCAGCAATGGCAAGAGCTATACCTTGGCCTCTTTTAGCCATGGCTGGACGTGGAGCAGCTGGGACAGAGAGCACCAAGTCCTGAGGCTGCACAAAGTGGAAGTCCCTGGGCCTGGCCCATGAAATCTTTTTTCCCTTCTAGGCCTCTGGGCCTGTGATGAGAGGAGGGATGCTGTGAAGGTCTCTGACATACCCTGGAGACATTTTTCACATTGCCTTGAAAATTAACATTTGGCTCCTTGTTACTTATCGAAATTTCTGCAGCCAACTTGAATTTCTCCCTAGAAAATGGGTTTTTCTTTAAAACATCATGATTGGGCTGCATATTTTCCAAACTTCTACTCTCTGCTTCCTCTTGAATGCTTTGCCACTTAGGTATTTCTTTTGCAAGATACCCTTAATGATCTCTCTCAAATTTAAAGTTACACAGATCTCTAGGGCAGGGGCAAAATGTCACCAGTCTCCTTGCTAAAGCATAGCAAGAGTGTCCTTTGCTCCAATTTCCAATAAGTTTCTCATCTCCATCTGAGACCACCTCACCCCAGACTTCATTGTCCATGCTATCAACATTTTGGTCAAAAGCATTCAACAAGTCTCTAGGAAGTTCCAAACTTTCCCAAATTTTCTTGTCTTCTGAGCCTTCCAAACTGTTCCAACCTCTGCCCACTACTCAGAGCCAAAATCACTTTCACATTTTTGTGTGTCTTTATAGCAATACCCCACTCTCTGTAGTACCAATTTAATGCATTAATTAGCTTTTGCACTGCTATAAAGAAATACATGAGACTGGGTAATTTATAAAGGAAAGAGGTTTAATTAACTCCCAGTTCTGAATGGCTGGGGGAAACCTCAGGAAAATTAGAATCATGGCAGAAGCTGAGGGGGAAGAAGGCACCTTCTTCACAAGGCCACAGGAGGGAATGAGAGCAAGGGAGGAAAAATTGCCACTGATAAAACCATCAGATCTCATGAGAATTCACGCACTATCATGAGAACAGCATGGGAAAAACCACTCCCATGTTCCAATCACCTCCCACCAGGTCTCACCCTCAACAACCGGGGATAACAATTTATCAAGATGAGATTTGGGTGGGGACACAAAGCCTAACCATATCAACTATAATTTCCAAATATTTTTCTCAGAGTGTGTTTTGCCTTTCTTTCTCTAAACAGTTATCTTTCACTATGCCAAAATTTGTAATTTTAATGAAATCCAATCAATTTTTTTCTTTTATTCATCATGCTTTTGGTGTCATATCTAAAACTCTTTGCCCAACTAAAGTCACACAGATATATCTATATCTAGATACAGATATAGATATAGATATTTTTTGAGATGGAGTCTTGCTCTTTTGCCAGGCTGGAGTGCAATGGCACAATCTCAGCTCACAGCAGCCTCCGCCTCCCGGGTTCATGTGATTCCGCTGCCTCAGCCTCCCAAGTAGCTGGGATTACAGGCATATGCCACCACACCCGGCTAATTTTTTTCTATTTTTAGTAGAGATGAGGTTTCACCGTGTTAGCCAGGATGGTCTCGATCTCCTGACCTCGTGATCCACTCGCCTCAGCCTCCCAAAGTGCTGGGATTACAGGTGCAAGCCACCGTGCCTGGCCCAAAGTCACACATATATATTTCTATCTTTTTTTCTAGAAGTTTTATAGTTTTAGATTTTATATTTAGTCTTATAATCTATTTTAAGGCTTTTTGTCTAAGATGAAAGGTATAGGCTAAGATTCTCTTCATTGGCATTGAGATTATGAATTATTCATTTTTTCTTCATTGAATTGCCTTTTCATGCTTGTTCATGTGAGCTTGCTGTATTTGTACAGGGCAGGTTTTTGTTTCTGTATTCAGTTCCACTGACTGATGTGTCTATTCTTTTTAGTTTTTATTTACTATTTTTTAATATGGGATAGTGCTATGTTGTCCAGGCCAGTCTTAAACTCCTGGGCTCAAGTGATTCTCTCACCTCAGCATCCTGAGTAGCTGGGATTATATGTTCAAGCCACCATGTTTAGCTCAGTGCATACATGCTTCAGCCAATACCTACTGCCATGATTACTATATTTTTATGATAAGTCATGAAATTGGGTAATGTGAGTCCTCCAATTTTGTGGGTTTTTTCTCAAAATTATTTTGTCTACTCTCATTCCTTGTCATTTTTCTAATCCCCTTGCTTTTTCTATATATACATATGTATTATAAATAGTTAAACATCTACCAAAATAATTCTAGAAATTTGATTGTGATTGCGTTAAATCTATGAATTCTTTTGAGGAGGACTGACAATATAAGACTTCCAATCTGGTAATTGAATAATATCTCCTTTTATATATGACTTTCATTTTTTAATCAATATTTTTTACTTTTCAGTATATAGATCCTTCAAATGTTTGTTAGATTATATTGAAGTATTTCATTTTAGATAGTACTATTATAATAGTACTTTTTATAAATTTTAAATTCCAATTATTTATTACTAATATGTAGAAATACAAAGGACTTCTAAATTAGATATTGTAGTCTGTAACCTTTCTAAACATATTTGTTACTTACAGCAAATTCTTCAAAGTTTTCTACTTATACAGCCATGTTTCCTGCAAAAAGAGAAAATATGTTGATTTTTCCCCAATCTTCATCTTTCATTTCTATTTTTCATAGCTGATTTTGGTGGTTAAGACTTCCAGTATAGTGTAAATAGGAGTGGTGACAGTGGACAGACTTGCCTTATTCTGACTTTAGAGAAAAATAATTCATTGTATCATCATTGTTAGTTGTAGGGTTTTTAGATACCTTTTTATAAGATTAAATTTTGATCTTCTTGGCAAAAATTTCACATATTGTGTTAAGAATTTCCACAGAAAAAGGATGGGGGAATGGGGATTAAGGCAGAAAAAAAAAGTCACTTAGGAAAGAAAAATACTTTACCCTGGTATATAGAAATCATTTAACTAAAAAGTGAACTATAGTCATTTCTAAACCAGAGATGCAATCTTAAAGTGTGTTTCCTAGAGCAGCAGCAGAAGCATCACTGGTAACTCAGAAATGTAGTCTTGGACCACACTTCCAAACCCAGTCTCTGAATCAGAAACTGGAGGTGGAAACCAGCAGTCTGCCTTTTAACAAGTCCTCCAGCTGATTCCAATGTACACAACAGTTGGAGTACCACCAATCTAAACCATACGCTGCAACTCATAATCTGTTTAACTACTTAACAAAATGGCAAAGCACATTAGGAGAACTTGTTTGTCAAATAAGAACACATTCTCATCAGCTCTGCAACCAGGAACAGACCTTAATCAGTTTGTGCTTACAAAATCAAAAAACCCACACCCTGGGACCAATCTAATTGGAACATACAGAACGAAGTCAATTCCATTTCATGGTGTTCCAACTAATGAAACTTTACCTCTCTGCCTAGAATGTAGAACTTTATTCTGCTCTAACATTTTATGCCTGCTTTCTCCGTAGCAAAGGATTTCCTATGTGAGTTCCTGATCCCCTTCTGTTCTGACCTGGTAGTCACACCTGTCAACAAGGTCCGCAAGTTCTGGCCTTTGGATTCTGGCAGAACATCAAAACTGGTGAGTAAGTAATCTCCCAATAGTTTATAACTGCAGTTTTCAAAATTTTGGAATCAGCAGAATTACTTCTTCAAATGAAACCTCACAAGAATTTCAATTTATAAAACGAATATATGCTGAGCCATTGTTAAGAAATGGAGGAGCTGAGTGGCAGCTAAGGCAGGAAAGAGGTAATCCTAGGTTCTTTTCCTGTTTTGTGAGCATTTTAGACTTTATGAGATGAGAATTTTAGGCTTCATGAAATTCACTGATTAGGTAATCACTCAGAACTGGGAACTGAAATCTGAAAAATCAGAATACCTGGACACCAGTAACTTTTCAAGTCCAATATTTTAAACCAAACATAATTTGTATTTTTAGTGAAACTCATCAGTTAAATGACCTTCAAATTTTACACTAAATAGGATGTTAAAAAAAGGAAAAGAGTGACAAATTTATTTGGTCACAATCAGTAAATACATTTTCCACTTTCAAGGTTGGATTTATGTTTCCTAGATAGACTCGCTTCTTCAGGGATAAGGGTGGGGTAGATCTTGTTCACTTTATTTTACAAGAACTCTTGCAAGTATGCCATTTATATGTTCACATCAAATAATCTTCATGGATTGCATGAGGGTTAACTACTAGTAAATTACCAAATTATATTAACCTAAAATTAAGTGACCAGAGCTTTTATTCTTCTTTTTTTAAGTTATTTTTCTAAAACTCACTTGAAAAAAATAAGGATAGTGAAATAAGCACGAAAGCTAAAAGAAAACAACTATGGCCAAAAAGATATATGATGATAGTTGATATGATTTGGCTGTGTCCTCACCAAAATCTCAACTTGAATTGTACCTCCCAGAGTTCCCACGTGTTTCAGGAGGGACCTATGGGCAGGTAATTGCATCATGGGGGCCGGTCTTTCTCGTGCTATTCTCATGATAGTAAGTCTCTGATGGGTTTATCAGGGGTTTCCACTTTTCTGCTTTTGCTTCTTTCTCATTTTCTTTTGCCTTTGCCATGTAAGAGTCTTTCACTTCCTACCATGATTCTGAGGCCTCCCCTGCCATGTGGAACTGTAAGTCCAATAAAATCTTTTTTTGTTCCCAGTTTTGGGTACGTCTTTATCAGCAGTGTGAAAACAGACTAATACACTACTGATAATGACAAATCTATTGTCTTTTGCTTAAATATTCAGTGAAAAATGTCTGCACAGTCCTCTCTCAAGCATTTTGATGAAAGCTACTATTTACTTTAGGGAAGTGAAAGTGTATTTATTATGAGGGAGCTTTCTTTTACTTTCACCCTGTTAAAGAAACTGTGTAGAAAATACGCATTTAAAAGATCATTAACAAAGAGCAGAATTACCAAAAGAACAGACTGGCTAGCCACCGAAGTTTAACTGTTTCTTCAGGTACTCGAAAATAAATGCGTAATTAATTTACTTTGATTCCCAAAAGTATTAATGATTATCTTCATCCTCCCTCATTGTCTGGAGGAGAGTAACACAGAAAGCACCAGTAATTTTCTCACTTCTAATTATGTAAGCAAATATGCATTTACAGTTTTGAGAAATATTCCTAAGTAATTGTAAGTATGGATTACATTCTGTTTTAAATTATTCCAAAAGTTAAAATCACAGGATAAAATTTTCCTTAGTATTGCATGAGTCACCACTGTCCTAATACAATTTCTCAGATACATATTCAATGTATTCATGAACCTCTATTTTAGGACAGAATTTATATAACACACAGCATTTATCATCTTACTTGTCTCTTGTAGAACAACAAATGGGCATGTTTTCTAAGTGTTTAAATAATGATTTGAGACAGATTCTTATAGCATCTCTTCGAGGTATATAGTAACACCTTTCTCCTAGCAGTAAGGAAACAAATGAAATCCCAAGATAGATCAAAGACTTGGTAAGAGACTGTAAGAATTTTTCAGGCCTCAGAACTGCATTATCATTATTCACTGAGAAAAATATAGACAGAATATGAACACATTTGGCAATAACACTGAATTGAGCATTCTTGTTCCCCATTCAAAGTTATAAATTAACTTACTTTCTCTAGAAAACTATATATTTACTGCATATCCCACATTTAACTCAAATCAGAACTTGACCTAATAGGCATATAAAAATGACATCAAACAGTTACTTGTTGGAAAGACTTCTGGTTCCAAAATAGTGACAAAGAAGCAAGCTGGCTTAACTCTCCCCCACAGAAAACCAAAAACAAATATATAGCACTGAGATTATCACCAGCAATATCCCAGAATTCAAATAAGAGGATAAGACAGTTCCCAGAGCCAAAGGGAAGTGAAAAGACTCGAAGCACATGGAAAGAGAATCAAACCTCTATATCCATGATGCCCCTGCCCCGAAAATGCCCCACATCAAGTGCATGAGAATTTTATGACTCATGATTTCTAGAGAGGGAAAAATGAAATTAAGATGGACTACCAGCTTCCCAATCATTTTAGATTCCCTGGCAGGAGACCTGTCCTTACTTCAACCCACAGAAATCACCAACAGTGTCTGAAGGGAGGAATATCCCTGAGAATCACCCTAAACAAAGGAGGGAGGTAGGACTACCATCCCCTGCTCTGGAAACTCTGCTCTATAACTCTGCTAAAGGAGTTGCCAAATCAGAGTGGCTGTTCAGAAGCATCACATTGTAGAAAGTTTGTTCCACAGGTCCCCTGAACACACATCTGTAGCCAGCCTTCCCACACTAATGGAATACCCGCTTAGGGACCTTCCCATTCTGACCTTCAGCATTCTGATTGTTTACTAGAACTGAGACAAACCTAGGCTTTAAGGCCATCAAGTGCTGAAAAGGAGACAGTGACCTTGTTGGGGTAAAAATAAAAACATCAACAGGCAAATTACAAAAAAAAAAATCTAAGCAAACATATCCTATAAAAAACAAAACAGACAGCAAACACTAGAAGAAGTAACTAATTATTCAATGCAAATATATAGACATACATCTACAAGGAAAAAAAATGGAATCATGAACTCTTCAAATGAGCAAAGCAAGGAACCAGTGACTGGCTCCACTGGGACGATGACATGTGAATGCTCTTAATAAAATTCTAAATAGTAGTTTTAAGGAACCTCAGTGATTTCCAAGATAACACAGAAAAGCAGTCCAGACATTTACTAGACACATTTAACAAAGAGATTGAAATAATTTTAAAAATCAAACAAAAATCTTCTAACTAAGAAAAACATTTGCTGAACTGAGAAATACATTAGAGGCTCTCATGAGCAGAATGGATCAAGCATGAAAATGATCAGTGAGCTATTCAATAATATATATGATGAGAAAAAAATGAAAAGGAAAGCTTACCTACAAGATATAGAAAACTACCTCAAAAGATCAAATCTAAGAATTATTGCTTTTTAAGAACGAGCTGAGCAAAAACAAGGGATAGAAAACTTACTCAAACAGAAAACTTTCCAAACTCTGAAAAACGGACAAATATTTAAGTACAGGAAGGCTAGAGAACACTACATAACTTGACCCAAATAAGACTACCTCAGGGCAGGAATTAATCAAACTTTCAAAGGTTAAAACAAGGAGAGGGTTCTAAAAAGAGTAAGAGTAAGAAGAAAACAAGTTGTAAAAGAGCTCCAATTCATCAGGGAGCTGACATCTGAATGAATACCACACAGACCAACAAGGTGTGGGAAGGCATTTTCAATGTACTGAAAGAAGTAACTGCCATTTAAGAATATTTTATCCCACAGAGCTATCTTTTACACATGAAAGAGAAAGTATTTCCCGGACAAACAAAAGCTGAAAAAAATTGCCAACGCCAGACCCTTTTATAAGAAATGCAAAAGGGAGTTCTTCCATCTGAAAAAAATCTGATGAAAAAAAAAAAAAACACTAACATTGAAAACATTAGAAGGTATAAAACACACTGGTAAAATTAAGTACATG
This sequence comes from Homo sapiens, assembly GCF_000001405.40. Taxonomy (NCBI): domain Eukaryota; kingdom Metazoa; phylum Chordata; class Mammalia; order Primates; family Hominidae; genus Homo; species Homo sapiens. The sequence continues at coordinate 77,077,268 of NC_000006.12, forward strand.
AACTAACCCAGAATACTCTAATATTGTAATTGTGTTGTGCAATTCACTTGTAACTCTATTATAAAGCCCAAAGATAACTCTATCAAGAATAATAATAGCAATAGCAACCTGTGAAGAGATAGGCAACATTAAAAGACATGAATTGAGACAACGTAAAGTAAATGTGTAGTTAAAAATGAAGTTGGTGTAGCATATTTCTTTCCATTATTTTTCTTTTTGTGATCTAAGATGGAATCTTTATTTAAAATAACTTGTCATATCTATAATATCTATACGATGTTTCTTGTAAGCCACATGGTAACTGCAATGCAAAACTTTTAATAGATTCATTAAAAATCAAAAGCAACACATTAAGACATACTACCAGAGAAAATCACCTAGCCACAGGAAACAGAGTAAGCAAAGAAGAAAGGAAGAGGGGAGTTACAAAACAACCAGTAAACAAAGAACAATATGGCAGTAGTAAGCCCTTACTTATCATTAATAACACTGAATGTAAATGGATTCAATTCTTCAATTAAAAGGCATAGAGTGGCTGAATGAATAAAGAAACAAGACTCAACAACATGATCCATATTCCAAAAAAAAAGAAAGAAAGAAAGAAAGCAACACTTCACATATAAAGACACATTTAGACTGAAATTGAAGGGGTGGAAAAAATATTCCATGCATCCAGAAACCAAAAAATAGCAGGAGTAGCTATTCTTATATCACACAATATAGAATACAAATCAATAACTTTAAAAGCACACAAAAAGATCACTATAAAATGATAAAGGGCTCAGTTTATGAAGAGGACATAACAATTTTAAGTATCCATATGCCTAACACCAGAGTGCCTAAGTATATAAAGCAAATATTAATAGATCTAAAAGAAGAGATAGATTACAATACCTTAATTATAGGAAACTTCAACACTCCACTCTCAGTAATGAGAAGGTAACACAGACAAAAAATCAACAAAGAAACATCAGAATTAAACTACACACTAGATCAAATAGGCCTAGTTGTCATTTATAGAACATTTCACTCAATTGCTGCACAATACACATTATTTTAATCAGGACATGAAACATTTTCTTGAATAGACCATATTGTCAGCCACAAAATAAGTCTTGACAAATTTAAAAAGGTAGAAATCAAGTCGATCATCTTTTCTGACCACAAGTGAATAAATTTAGAAATCATTAACAAGAGGAACTTGGAAAATATACAAACACCTAGAAGTTAAACAATATGCTCCAAAACTAACAATGGGTCAATGAAGACATTAATAAGGTAATTTAAAAAATTTAAACAAATCAAAATGGAAATACAATATAGCAAAGTGTACACAACACAGCAAAAACAGTACTAAGAGGAAAGTTTATAGAAACACACTTCAAAAAAGTTTTCATCAGAGTTTACAAGAAAAAAAGTGAAAAGACTTCAAATAAACAACTGAATGATACACCTCAAGAAACAAGAAAACAAGAACAAAGCAAATTAAAAATTAGTAGGAGACAAATAATAAAGATAAGAGCAGAAACAGCTAAAAGTGGTATCTTATAAAAGAAAATAAAACAGAAACAGAAGAACAACTACATAACTTGGTTTTTTGAAAAGATAAAATCAACAAACCTTTAGCTAGACTAAGGAAAAAAGAGGGAAAATCTAAATAAATAAAATCAATAATGAAAAAGAAGACAACTCAGACCACAGAACACAAAGATCAGTAGATACCATTATGAACATCTACATGTCAACAAACTGGAAAACCTGAAGAGATGGGTAAATTGCTGGACATGTACAACCTACCAAGATTGAACCACAACAAAATAGAAAACCTCAGCAAATAAATAATGTGTAATAAGATTAAAGCTGTAATAAACAGTCTCTCATCAAAGAAAAGCCCAAGACATGATGGCTTCACTGTTTAATTCTACCAAACATTTAAAGGAGAATTAATAACAATTCTTTTCAAACTCTTCAAAAAATTAAGAGAAGGAAACCTTTGCATAACAAGGTTTCAAACTTGTTATGCAAAGTTAGCATTTTCCTGATGCAAAACCAGACAAAGACATAACCAAAAAAGAAAACTACAGGCCAATGTCCTTGATGAATATAGTTCCAAAATCCTCAACAAAATATGAGCAAATATGATTTAACAACACATTAAAAAGATCATTCACCATGAACCAGTGGGATTCATCCTAGGAATGCAAGTGATGAATGCAACATGTGCCAATCAATAAACATGATGCATTACGTTAATAGAAGCAAGAACAAAAATCATACTCTCATCTCAATAGATGCTGAAAGCATTCAATAAAATTCAACATTCCTTTACGATTAAAACCCTTCAACAAAATGGGTATAGAAGGGAAATACCTAAAAATGATACAAGGCTATATATGACAAACCCATGATGAACATTGGACTGAACAGGGTAAAAAACAAAAGTCTTTCCTCAAAGATGAAGAACAAGACAAGGATGGCCACTTTCATCAGTTTTATTCAATATGATACTGGAAGCCCTGGCCAGAGCAATTAAACAAGAGAAAGAAAGAAAAGGCATACAAATTGAAAAGGAAGGAGTCAGATTGGCTTTTAACTCAGATAACAAAATGTAATACTTAGAAATACCTTCCACCAAAAATACTGTTAAATATGATAAGCAAATTCAGTAAAGTTCAGGATACAAAATGAACATCCAGAAATCAGTACCATTTATATACATCAACAGCAAACAATCTGAACAAGAAATCAGAAAAGCAATCCCATTTGCAATAGCTACAAAGAAAATAAAATATTTATGAACCAATTTAACCAAAGAAGTGAAAGAGCTATGTAAGAAAAACAATAAAACTCTGATGAAAGACATTGAAGAGGACACAAAAAATTGAAAAAAATTCCATGCCCATGGATTGAAAGAATTAATATTGTTAAAATGAAAATACTGCCTGAAGAAACTTAGATTCAATACAATTTCTATCAAAATACCAATGTCTTTCTTCATAGAAATATGAAAACAATTCTAAAAATTATATAGAACCACAAAAAACCTCTTATAGACAATGCTGAGCAAAAAGAACAAAGCTGGAGACATCATACTACCTCACTTCAAAATACGCTACAAACCTATAGTAACTAAATCAGCATGGTACAATCATAAAAATAGACACACAAACCAACGGGAAAGGATAGAGAGCCCAGATATAAACCTATGCACTTATGGCCAACTTATTTTTTTGAGAAAAGAACCAAAAACAAACATTGGGGAAAAGACAGTTTCTTCAATAAATGGTTCTGGGAAAACTGAATAATCATATACAGAAGAATGAAACTATACTCCTATCTCTCACCATATACAAAAATTGAATCAAGATGAATTAAAAACTTAAATCTATCACCTGAATCTATGTAACTCTTAGAATAAAACATTGGGAAATGCTTATGAGATTGGTCTGGGCAAGGAATTTTTGTATAAGACCTTATAAGCATAGGCCACCAAAGCAAAAAAGATAAATAATATTATATCAAGTTAACAAGCTTCTTCACAGCAAAGAAAACAGTCAACAAAGTGAAGTGACAACCCACAGAATGGGAGAAAATATTTGCAAATTATTCATCTGACAAAGGATTAGTAACCAGAATATGTAAGGAGCAAACACAACTCTACTTGGGAAAAAAATCCAATTAAAATTGGGCTAAGAATCTGAGTAGATGGTTCTCAACAGAAGACACGCAAGTGACCGTCAAATACAGGAAAAAAAGTTCAATATCACCAGTCATCAGAGAAATGATTACCACATAAAATATCATCTCATGTTGGTTAAAATGGCTTAAAAATACAAGTAATAACAGATGCTGGTGAGGATGTGGAGAAAGGAAAACCCTTGTATACTGTTGATGGAAATGTAAATCAGTACAGCCACTAAGGAAAATCATATGAACGTTCCTCAAAAAAACTAAAAATAGAACTCCCATATGATCCAGTAATTCCACTACTGGGTATATATACAAAAAGAAAAAGAAAATCATATATCAAGGCAATACCTGCTCTCCCATGTTTATTTCAGCACTATTCACAATGGCCAACATATGAAAACAACCTAAGTGTCCATGAATCTATGAATGGGTAAATAAAATGTGATATATATACATAATGGAATATTTTTTAGCCATAAAAAGAATGAAATTCTGTCATTTCCAGCAACATGGATGGAAATGGAAGTCACTAAATAAAATAGGCCAAGCACAGGAAGACAAATATCATATGTTCTCACTCACATGCAAAAGTTAAAAAAGTTATCTCTTAAAGACAGAGACTAGTGGTGATTACCAGAGGCTGTGAAGGGCAATGGTGAGGGACAATGAGGAGAGGTTGATTAATGGGTATAAATATACCGTTTGACTAAAGAATTAAGACCTAGAATTTGATAGATCAATACGGTGACTACAGTTTACAATAATCTCTTGTATATTTTAAAACAGCTAGAGGAGAATAATTTGAAGGGATTTAGCATAAATAAAAGACATATATTTAAGTGGTAGAATCCAAATTACACTAATTTGATCTTTATACATTTTAAGTGTGTATTAAATTATCACCTGTACCCAGAAGATATGTATATCTATTATGTATTAATTAATTTTTTAAAACATTACAGTTACTTGTTGAAATCCACAGAAGCCTTGTGTGAATATAGACAGTGATGAGTACTAAAGATTCAACCATGAAAAATGCATAAAAAAGCATTTTTGTGAAAAAATTTTTTTTTCTCTTTAGGGCAGAAGGGTTTAATCAAAAGGTTTAATTAATGCTTTTGAAATTAGCGTTTAATTTATAATTTACTTAGTGAGTTTACTGCGAACAAGGCCGACTTTGCATATCTAAATAAAATATTTTCCTCAGCAAATTGGCCCTTGAGAGAAGAAAAATTGAAAAATCTGAATTGATTTTTTAATGTACATCTTTCAACTGCTGCTTTTACAGAGAACCTGAATTCCATTCCCATACTCAGTTTCTTCTCCTATTACCTTTACCAGATCCTTGTCAATTTTATTTTATTCACCTGAAAAATTATCAGATCCACACCTCTGTGGAGCCCATGAGGAAGAACACGACGCACGTAAGCAGCAAACCCCAAGCTGGGTTGGCTTAGACCTGAGACAGGCAGCAAGGCATTTTCTTTTTTTTTTTTTTTATTTATTTTTTTTAATTTTAATTTTTTTTTTTTATACTTTAAGTTTTAGGGTACATGTGCACATTGTGCAGGTTAGTTACATATGTATACATGTGCCACGCTGGTGCGCTGCACCCACTAACTCGTCATCTAGCATTAGGTATATCTCCCAATGCTATCCCTCCCTCCTCCCCCCACCCCACCACAGTCCCCAGAGTGTGCTATTCCCCTTCCTGTGTCCATGTGATCTCATTGTTCAATTCCCATCTATGAGTGAGAATATGTGGTGTTTGGTTTTTTGTTCTTGCAATAGTTTACTGAGAATGATGACTTCCAATTTCATCCATGTCCCTACAAAGGACATGAACTCATCATTTTTTATGAATGCATAGTATTCCATGGTGTATATGTGCCACATTTTCTTAATCCAGTCTATCATTGTTGGACATTTGGGTTGGTTCCAAGTCTTTGCTATTGTGAATAATGCCACAATAAACATACGTGTGCATGTGTCTTTATAGCAGCATGATTTATAGTCCTTTGGGTATATACCGAGTAATGGGATGGCTGGGTCAAATGATATTTCCAGTTCTAGATCCCTGAGGAATCGCCACACTGACCTCTACAATGATTGAACTAGTTTACAGTCCCACCAACAGTGTAAAAGTGTTCCTATTTCTCCACATCCTCTCCAGCACCTGTTGTTTACTGACTTTTTAATGATTGCCATTCTAACTGGTGTGAGATGGTATCTCATTGTGGTTTTGAGTTGCATTTCTCTGATGGCCAGTGATGATGAGCATTTTTTCATGTGTTTTTTGGCTGCATAAATGTCTTCTTTTGAGAAGTGTCTGTTCATGTCCTTCGCCCACTTTTTGATGGGGTTGTTTGTTTTTTTCTTCTAAATTTGTTTGAGTTCATTGTAGATTCTGGATATTAGCCCTTTGTCAGATGAGTAGGTTGAGAAAATTTTCTCCCATTTTGTAGGTTGCCTGTTCACTCTGATGGTAGTTTCTTTTGCTGTGCAGAAGCTCTTTAGTTTAATTGGATCCCATTTGTCAATTTTGTCTTTTGTTGCCATTGCTTTTGGTGTTTTGGACATGAAGTCCTTGCCCATGCCTATGTCCTGAATGGTAATGCCTAGGTTTTCTTCTAGGGTTTTTATGGTTTTAGGTCTAACGTTTAAGTCTTTAATCCATCTTGAATTGATTTTTGTATAAGGTGTAAGGAAGGGATCCGGTTTCAGCTTTCTACATATGGCTAGCCAGTTTTCCCAGCACCATTTATTAAATAGGGAATCCTTTCCCCATTGCTTGTTTTTCTCAGGTTTGTCAAAGATCAGATAGTTGTAGATATGCAGCATTATTTCTGAGGGCTCTGTTCTGTTCCATTGATCTATATCTCTGTTTTGGTACCAGTACCATGCTGTTTTGGTTACTATAGCATTGTAGTATAGTTTGAAGTCATGTAGTGTGATGCTTCCAGCTTTGTTCTTTTGGCTTAGGATTGACTTGGCGATGCGGGCTCTTTTTTGGTTCCATATGAACTTTAAAGTAGTTTTTTCCAATTCTGTGAAGAAAGTCATTGGTAGCTTGATGGGGATGGCATTGAATCTGTAAATTACCTTGGGCAATATGGCCATTTTCATGATATTGATTCTTCCTACCCATGAGCATGGAATGTTCTTCCATTTGTTTGTATCCTCTTTTATTTCATTGAGCAGTGGTTTGTAGTTCTCCTTGAAGAGATCCTTCACATCCCTTGTAAGTTGGATTCCTAGGTATTTTATTCTCTTTGAAGCAATTGTGAATGGGAGTTCACTCATGATTTGGCTCTGTTTGTCTGTTATTGGTGTATAAGAATGCTTGTGATTTTTGTACATTGATTTTGTATCCTGAGACTTTGCTGAAGTTGCTTATCAGCTTAAGGAGATTTTGGGCTGAGACAATGGGGTTTTCTAGATATACAATCATGTCGTCTGCAAACAGGGACAATTTGACTTCCTCTTTTCCTAATTCAATACCCTTTATTTCCTTCTCCTGCCTAATTGCCCTGGCCAGAACTTCCAACACTATGTTGAATAGGAGTGGTGAGAGAGGACATCCCTGTCTTGTGCCAGTTTTCAAAGGGAATGCTTCCAGTTTTTGCCCATTCAGTATGATATTGGTTGTGGGTTTGTCATAGATAGCTCTTATTATTTTGAAATACATCCCATGAATACCTAGCTTATTGAGAGTTTTTAGCATGAAGGGTTGTTGAATTTTGTCAAAGGCTTTTTCTGCATCTATTGAGATAATCATGTGGTTTTTGTCTTTGGCTCTGTTTATATGCTGGATTACATTTATTGAGCTGTGTATGTTGAACCAGCCTTGCATCCCAGAGATGAAGCCCACTTGATCATGGTGGATAAGCTTTTTGATGTGCTGCTGGATTCGATTTGCCAGTATTTTATTGAGGATTTTTGTATCAATGTTCATCAAGGATATTGGTCTAAAATTCTCTTTTTTGGTTGTGTCTCTGCCCGGCTTTGGTATCAGAATGATGCTGGCCTCATAAAATGAGTTAGGGAGGATTCCCTCTTTTTCTATTGATTGGAATAGTTTCAGAAGGAATGGTACCAGTTCCTCCTTGTACCTCTGATAGAATTCGGCTGTGAATCCATCTGGTCCTGGACTCTTTTTGGTTGGTAAACTATTGATTATTGCCACAATTTCAGCTCCTGTTATTGGTCTATTCAGAGATTCAACTTCTTCCTGGTTTAGTCTTGGGAGAGTGTATGTGTCCAGGAATTTAACCATTTCTTCTAGATTTTCTAGTTTATTTGTGTAGAGATGTTTGTAGTATTCTCTGATGGTAGTTTGTATTTCTGTGGGATTGGTGGTGATATCCCCTTTATCATTTTTTATTGTGTCTATTTGATTCTTCTCTCTTTTTTTCTTTATTAGTCTTGCTAGCTCTCTATCAATTTTGTTGATCCTTTCAAAAAGCCAGCTCCTGGATTCATTAATTTTTTGAAGGGTTTTTTGTGTCTCTATTTCCTTCAGTTCTGCTCTGATTTTGGTTATTTCTTGCCTTCTGCTAGCTTTTGAATGTGTTTGCTCTTGCTTTTCTAGTTCTTTTAATTGTGATGTTAGGGTGTCAATTTTGGATCTTTCCTGCTTTCTCTTGTGGGCATTTAGTGCTATAAATTTCCCTCTACACACTGTTTTGAATGTGTCCCAGAGATTCTGGTATGTTGTGTCTTTGTTCTCGTTGGTTTCAAAGAACATCTTTATTTCTGCCTTCATTTCATTATGTACCTAGTAGTCATTCAGGAGCAGGTTGTTCAGTTTCCATGTAGTTGAGTGGTTTTGAGTGAGATTCTTAATCCTGAGTTCTAGTTTGATTGCACTGTGGTCTGAGAGATAGTTTGTTATAATCTCTGTTCTTTTACATTTGCTGAGGAGAGCTTTACTTCCAAGTATGTGGTCAATTTTGGAATAGGTGTGGTGTGGTGCTGAAAAAAATGTATATTCTGTTGATTTGGGGTGGAGAGTTCTGTAGATGTCTATTAGGTCCGCTTGGTGCAGAGCTGAGTTCAATTCCTGGGTATCCTTGTTGACTTTCCGTCTTGTTGATCTGTCTAATGTTGACAGTGGGGTGTTAAATTCTCCCATTATTAATGTGTGGGAGTCTAAGTCTCTTTGTAGGTCACTCAGGACTTGCTTTATGAATCTGGGTGCTCCTGTATTGGGTGCATATATATTTAGGATAGTTAGCTCTTCTTGTTGAATTGATCCCTTTACCATTAAGTAATGGCCTTCTTTGTCTCTTTTGATCTTTGTTGGTTTAAAGTCTGTTTTATCAGAGACTAGGATTGCAACCCCTGCCTTTTTTTGTTTTCCATTTGCTTGGTAGATCTTCCTCCATCCTTTTATTTTGAGCCTATGTGTGTCTCTGCACGTGAGATGGGTTTTCTGAATACAACACACTGGTGGGTCTTGACTCTTTATCCAATTTGCCAGTCTGTGTCTTTTAATTGGAGCATTTAGTCCATTTACATTTAAAGTTAATATTGTTATGTGTGAATTTGATCCTGTCATTATGATGTTAGCTGGTGATTTTGCTCGTTAGTTGATGCAGTTTCTTCCTAGTCTCGATGGTCTTTACATTTTGGCATGATTTTGCAGCCGCTGGTACCGGTTGTTCCTTTCTATGTTTAGTGCTTCCTTCAGGAGCTCTTTTAGGGCAGGCCTGGTGGTGACAAAATCTCTCAGCATTTGCTTGTCTGTAAAGTATTTTATTTCTCCTTCACTTATGAAGCTTAGTTTGGCTGGATATGAAATTCTGGGTTGAAAATTCTTTTCTTGAAGAATGTTGAATACTGGCCCCCATTCTCTTCTGGCTGGTAGGGTTTCTGCCGAGAGATCTGCTGTTAGTCTGATGGGCTTCCCTTTGAGGGTAACCCGACCTTTCTCTCTGGCTGCCCTTAACATTTTTTCCTTCATTTCAACTTTGGTGAATCTGACAATTATGTGTCTTGGAGTTGCTCTTCTCGAGGAGTATCTTTGTGGCGTTCTCTGTATTTCCTGAATCTGAACGTTGGCCTGCCTTGCTAGATTGGGAAGTTCTCCCGGATAATATCCTGCAGAGTGTTTTCCAACTTGGTTCCATTCTCCCCGTCACTTTCAGGCACATCAATCAGACGTAGATTTGGTCTTTTCACATAGTCCCATACTTCTTGGAGGCTTTGCTCATTTCTTTTTATTCTTTTTTCTCTAAACTTCCCTTCTCACTTCATTTCATTCATTTCATCTTCCATTGCTGATACCCTTTCTTCCAGTTGATCTCATCGGCTCCTGAGGCTTCTGCATTCCTCACGTAGTTCTTGAGCCTTGGTTTTCAGCTCCATCAGCTCCTTTAAGCACTTCTCTGTATTGGTTATTCTAGTTATACATTCTTCTAAATTTTTTTCAAAGTTTTCAACTTCTTTGCCTTTGGTTTGAATGTCCTCCCGTAGCTCAGAGTAATTTCATCATCTGAAGCCTTCTTCTCTCAGCTCGTCAAAGTCATTCTCCATCCAGCTTTGTTCCGTTGCTGGTGAGGAACTGTGTTCCTTTGGAGGAGGAGAGGCGCTCTGCGTTTTAGAGTTTCCAGTTTTTCTGTTCTGTTTTTTCCCCATCTTTGTGGTTTTATCTACTTTTGGTCTTTGATGATGGTGATGTACAGATGGGTTTCTGGTGTGGATGTCCTTTCTGTTAGTTTTCCTTCTAACAGACAGGACCCTCAGCTGCAGGTCTGTTGGAATACCCTGCCGTGTGAGGTGTCAGTGTGCCCCTGCTGGGGGGTGCCTCCCAGTTAGGCTGCTCGGGGGTCAGGGGTCAGGGACCCACTTGAGGAGGCAGTCTGCCCGTTCTCAGATCTCCAGCTGCGTGCTGGGAGAACCACTGCTCTCTTCAAAGCTGTCAGACAGGGACATTGAAGTCTGCACAGGTTACTGCTGTCTTTTTGTTTGTCTGTGCCCTGCCCCCAGAGGTGGAGCCTACAGAGGCAGGCAGGCCTCCTTGAGCTGTGGTGGGCTCCACCCAGTTTGAGCTTCCCTGGCTGGCTTTGTTTACCTAATCAAGCCTGGGCAATGGTGGGCGCCCCTCCCCCAGCCTCGCTGCCGCCTTGCAGTTTGATCGCAGACTGCTGTGCTAGCAATCAGCGAGACTCCGTGGGGTAGGACCCTCCGAGCCAGGTGCGGGGTATAATCTCGTGGTGTGCCGTTTTTTAAGCCAGTCCGAAAAGCGCAATATTCGGGTGGGAGTGACCTGATTTTCCAGGTGCGTCTGTCACCCCTTTCTTTGACTCGGAAAGGGAACTCCCTGACCCCTTGCGCTTCCCAAGTGAGGCAATGCCTCGCCCTGCTTTGGCTGGCGCAGGGTGCGTGCACCCACTGACCTGCGCCCACTGTCTGGCACTCCCTAGTGAGATGAACCCGGTACCTCAGATGGAAATGCAGAAATCACCCGTCTTCTGCGTCACTCACGCTGGGAGCTGTAGACCGGAGCTGTTCCTATTCGGCCATCTTGGCTTCTCCAGGCATTTTCAATTGACAGTAGAAAACAACAATGGGAATGGAGGCTTTTTGTGAAAAAAAGGTTCTCATAAACTCATGGGCAGCCATAAGCTTTTAAAGGGAGCCACACCATAGACTTTGATTTCCATCACCTGTAATTGTCAAATAATAATGTTACTATTATTAAAAACAGATAATGTTCAGTAAGTTCTTGCCATGAGCCACACAGGAACAACTATATAAACCATAAAGGTAGTAAAATCAAAAATGAAAAGCTTTGGTAACATAACTAGAAAACCTACTTTTTAAAATAGGATTTTTACTAAGTCTAGGTAAGAAGACTTTTTGTACTTCACAAAAGGCACCCAAAAGAGAACAGTTTAAGTGGAATACAAAGGGATGCAGGCTTTAATGAGTTTTTTGGCTGACAGTGAAACATGATACAAGTACCATCCAGACTACCAGTACTAGCACATGATCAGGGATCAGAAGTTAGGAGAAAGATGAGCAGAGAATGAGAATCAGCAGTTATTAGAGTATGTATGCATCTCATTCAATGATAATTTAAAAAAACAGAGGAAGTAATATTATATGCCTTATCTTATAGATGAAAGCCTCAAGATGAGTTTAAAGGGCCAGAACTAAAATTCAAACTTACCTGGGCCTCATTCCAAAGCCAGTGTTTTGCTCTTAGAATTATCTACCTCTGCACACCAGTCAAAGCAAGATGCTGCTCTAGCCGTTCCTGGATGGTGTACTCAGCCCAGTGTTAGTGTAGATGGATTCTGGCAAATATGCACACCTATATTATAGTTACAGGTGTCACATTAGGATGTTAGTGGGTCATTTTTCTAGGTGCTATAGACTGGCTTTGGGTCTTTGGGTGAAATTTAACCAAAAGATTATACAACTGGAATCAGGTTTTCTAAACTGTTACAAAATTGGATTAAAGCAGTTCATGCTAGTTGTCACCAAAGCACAACCTCCTTAATTGGATATCACATTAATTGGGAATTCAGGAATATGAAACTCCACCATGCAAATAGTATTTCAGTTTCTCAGGCCACAGACCTTGGAATTATGATCAACAATTCTCTTTCTCTCACACCCTTTGTTCAATTTCTCTGGAAATCCTTTTGTCTCTACCTTCAAAACATATCCAGAATCTGGCCCTTTCACACCATCTTCACAGCTACCACTCTGTTTTAAGCCACCATTATTTTTCACTTGAATGTTTCAATAGCATCCTAATGGTCATTTGCTTACATTCTTGTCCTTACCTACTGTTCTTCACAGAGAATCCAACTGATCCTTTTAAAACTCATTTGCTCCTCAGTTCAAAATCCTCCATTGGCATTCTATTTCACTCAGGATAAAAGTCAAAGTTCTTGTGAGATTTACAAGGCCTGACTTGATCTCCACCTCCACTCCCTTTGCTCTCCAGCCCCATCTCCAATTATTCTCATCTTTGCTCATTCTGTTCCAGTCATCCTTGCTATTTCTTAATACCTGAGTCATGCTCCTTCCTTGGAGACTTTGTAAGAGCTGTTTCCTCTGCCTGGAATTTTCTTCCCCCAGAATCAATGTGGTTGCCTCCTGTACCTTCTTCCAACCTTTGTTCAAATGTCACCTTTTCAATAAGTTTTACCCTCCCCACCCTATTTATAATGACAACATCCTTTAGTTAACATCCTCCTTATGCTGTAGTTACTTTTTCTTTTTCAATCTCGGATCTCTAAAGGAAATTTTTACAGAGATCCAAGAGCATACTTCAAGCATTTTTAGAGAGATGTAAACCAGATCAACCCAGCCATACCCCCTGTTCTGCTACATTTTTTTTTGCTATAGCAGGGAAGCATTCCCTTTGAAAAACAGCACCATAAGTGGAATTGTTCCTTATACTACCATTGAGAAGCCAGTGATCTCATTCTTCATTAAAAAACACCAATTTTCCATCCAACAAATTCATTTTTATTTCAGAGCATTCTTGTGGAAATGTACGAGATTCTCATAACTGAGTATATTGATTCACCACTAAGATAATAGCACTTTCAAAATAGTCTCTGAGAATCAGAAAAAGAAAATATTTTAACACTTAGGAATTCTGTAGGTGTTGAAAATATATCATTGCTTTGTGGATTTGTTCAAAATCCTCTTGACTGAGAGGGAAAATTTTTTAAAGAGGCCAAAATATTTTATCTGAGAATGTAAATGAAACAAACTTGTTCTGGTTGTTTTCAGGAGTTCTAGAAGCTTTACAAGGTTTAGTGAAAAAATTAAGTATTAACAAAAATGAAGAGGTTCAGGTAGCTTTTATTCTATGAGACTACATTTTCATTCTGTATAGCAGTAGATGAGCTCTTATCAGTGGGTGCTTCCTAAACAGGCCTCAACATTGTAAGATAGTGTCTCTGACAACAGGTTTATAATTACATGAGAAACACTTCAAGTATATGGTTACTTCTCTCACAGACTTAAATTTAGTTCCCTTAGATTTGAAGCTAATCAGGGAAAACTTCTACACTAAATATGTTTATCCAGTCACTGCAGCCCAACTAGGCTTTTACAGTAAAGTATAGTATAGCAAACTCCACAAAATTGCACAAACTCTTTGTCACAGCCATAAAATGGGTCCTAAGTAGTTACTTCCATAAGGGGAGAATTAGAGTGACCAACTGAACAATCATCAGTGCAATTAATAGATTTCAGTCAGATCAATACAGTTTGATATTGATTGTTCTCTTCCCATCCCTCATCACCGTCGTCTTCATCCCCACTCTGGTTTCAACCATTAGGGGGCTAGGCTTGGGGTTTCATAGGTAGGCTCCCCCCCATCCATTCCACTCCTCTCCCCACTGGAATCCTCCAGACTTTACTCCATCAGGATTTTTCCCTGAGATAAAATTTCTTTCAATTTAGCTCAATTTAATTTTAGGTTTCTTCTTTTAGGATTTATTGACAGGAATGTTTCACCTTATTTGTGACATAGACTGATTCTATTTCACATTAGAATTTTAGAATCTGTCTCTTGAGTAGTAATTTGGCAGAAATATTTTATTTGGATTAATCAGCAACCCACAATTTGCTCTTGCTATTATTTTTAAGTCACAAACTCCCTGATCAGTGTTAAACAAATTGTTTTTCAAAAATACAACTTTGTGACCAACTATCTAAAAAGTGAAGGGAGGGAGATTTTGTGTGCTTTAGTTTGAATTCCTTGATGGGGCATTAGTTACCTCCTGTGGATAAGATGTGGCACTCCAGCCTGATGTGAAACAATATTCACCCCCTTGGCATTAAGCAAACTTTCCCCACAAACCAAAATAATAATGATTTAAAAAAAATACAAATAGGATTTTAATAGATGTAATGCCACAGTAAGTTCTGTGGACAAACATGTTTGGGAAATCTTGGCTTAAGTCAAATTAATGGTTTTATTTCGGTCTTCTATTTTGTTTTGTTTTATTCATATGCTTGATGAATCTATAAAAGGTGATATAGTATAATTTCCAGAATTATTTAAACTAGAGAGTATTTTAGACTAATATGAAAGAATAATTTAAAAAATACTATCTTAAAGGACCAGTAATATAAATATTCCTTTTAAAATATACATTTAGTTTTTTTAATTTCCCGATTAAATGATTAATTAAAATGTCAGAATTCTAAGAAAAATTTGTTTACAACATTAGGAAGGGTAAGTAAGTACATTCAGATGTCAGTAATACTATCCTTTGTCATTAAAAAAATGGAAGTTTAAAATATCCACCAGAGAATAAATTGAATTTTTATAAGATTTTCAATGTTAAACCTGTTAAATTGACTGACTCAAGTTAAAAAGGAAACCCTTTCTTAATTTTTTTGTTCTAATTCCATCTTTTAAAAGTAAAATTTTAAAGAATAACTTTATTGTTACTATTCATATTATCAGTATGGTAGACAGAACTTCTTTGAGCTAAGGTAAAAAGGCAAATTCAAGTATCAACTATGACTTTTATCAGCTAGGATATTGGTCCAGCAGAGTTTCTATGTCATCCTTCAAAGGAAAAATAATAGTAATACAATTTAATGACACTGAATATTCATTACTGAGAATTTACAATGGTCCAGGCCTTATGCTACATGGCAGGTACATAAAACAATGAACTCCAAAGTTTGCAGCAATCTAGTAGGGGGAAATAAACATAATTTTTAAAAAGACAACATAAAATAGAAAAAATATGGACCAAAATACAAATGTAACAGAGTTGTTACGAAGAAATTGGCATTCCGTAATTAGTGTCAGGGCATTGAAAAGGAACTTAGCTAAGGCAGGAGAATCAGCCTCTGCAAAGGTAAGGTAATGTGGAAGAGTATGGCAAGTTTTGGAAACCATGGGTATCATGGATCTTTTCCATGATAGACAAAGGCCACATCATGGAAACTCTCACTCATAAGCTAAGAAACTCAAACTTATTTTACCCAGGCAGGAGGGACGTTTACAGGGTTTCAGCAGTGTGGTGACCTGAGCATGCATATGCTTTTGTTAGGGAAAAAGGACCATAGGAGAGCCAGGGCAACATCATTTTAAAATCAACATCATCTTAAAACTAGCAAAGCATATTCCTTGATAGTCATGAGCAATGGTCATGAGATGTTTACAACTACTGAAGCAGTTTAGTAATGCTTTCCCACAAGGACAAATTCCTACGACAGTGGAATGTTCAGATGTCCTGATATCACATAACAACACATGCTTTTAAGATAGTAATAGTCATGTCTGATGTACTTAGGCACTATAATACCAAATATAACTTTCTTTAAATCAACAAAGTACTAAATTTTGTCATGTTGTCAGCTCACCCACAAGTAGAGCTAATTTAGCTTAGCTTTTACACAGATGAGGCCCCTATGTAAGAAGAGTTTAAAACAAAGATGACGTGTTCCTCCTCTTGCTTTCTGAGAACACCCTACTCTGTAGCTGAGTAGCTTTCAATAAACTATCTTTCTCACCGAACTCTGTGACTTGCCTTGCATTCCTTCCTGTGCAAGATCAAAGAACCCTATCTCAGGGTCTGGATCAAGACCCCTTTGTCCAGCAACACTGAACAAGTTATACTGCCCAGGACAGGAAAAAGGTGATCATCTACTCTACTTCTCCATAAATTTGTTTGGAGGATCAGTTTCTTTTTAGAACATTCTGTCATACAAACACAAGGTATTTGTAAGGTGCTCCTCTCAGAGTAAGGCTTTTACCAGGTTTTACGACATAAACTGTACATTTAACTTTTTTTTTTAATTTTCTGTCCTAAATGGTGGATTCCCTCTAGATTTCCTGTCACGAAAAGGAATTCTAGACAAATGCCACAAAGTCATACAGCAAGATTTAGGGGTAGACCTCGTTTGGAAATTTTACAAAACCCAAGGATAAGCAAGCGTAGGGATGATACAGTTACACAATCTTTAATTCCCTTATTGTCCCCCAGAGGTGAGTGCTGCTACCCAGATGCTACAGCGCCTACAGTGTGGACACCTATTTCCTCCTCCCAGCTTTTCCCCCTTTTTAAAGGTCAGCTGGGGGAAAGTAGACTTGCCAATGAGGAGATTAGAGGCTGTCAAAGCAGAAGAGTCTGGATCAGTGTGCCAGCTCTTTGTAGGCATTATCTGCAATATAGGCTGCCCAGCATCCAGAGACCTGAAGGCCTGTGGAATATTGCAAGGCCTTGTCATAGGGATAGAGTCATTAGTTTGATGAAAGCCTGAACCTGGGGGCATATCCTGTCTCTGAGGAAAATTGGACCTTACAGTCCAAGCTATCTTGTCCAGAAAACCCTAGTAAGTTCCCAGGGTCATTTTTAGATTATCCTGCTTATTTCTCTGTAGCTCTATATTGATGATTTAGATGCTTTAGAAAGTTTATGCATTTCAGAGATGCTCATTGTAATGTGCTGTAGTCCCTATAGTACCAATCGCATGCAATAATATCTCCAACTTTTTTTTTTTTTTTTTCCTTTTCAAGGCTTCCCAGGCTGGGAAACACTAAATTAAGCATTAAATTGTAGTCTGATTTTTAAAATTGCTAAATTTTATGAAACTACTTTGCATCATTATTTAATAAAATACCACGGTGTGTGGCTCAGATAATTAAATCACAGAAAAATGTCCAGAGAGACAGCAGACAGCCAAGGGTCCCAGGTGAAACCCTGCCTTCAAGCCTAAAACAGTCTGAAGGCTGAAAAACCAGACTGCTGGTCGCAAATGAAACCCGCCCTTTCCCAATTGATTCTTTCTGAATAATGCCCACCTGTACACTAGGAGGAGGGGGTAGAGTTCAGGAAGTTTGCACCGTTTTGCGGGGGAGGGGAGTGGAGAGGAGCCTGGCCCCTCCTGTTCCTGTGCTGTGAACTGGGATTCAACCTGTGAGGCAGGAAACCTAACAGGACTCTCTCTTGCTTTGCTGAGAGTTATTTTTTCTTTTCCCTTTTCACGCAGTAAATTCCATTTTCCTCACCTTTCTATGTGTCTGTGAGCCTAACCTTTCCTGGTCATGTGACAAAAGCCCTGTTTTAGCTGAACTAAGGACAAAGTTCTGCAATACTTTTGGCATCCAGACATGGGGCTTGAAGAAGGATGGTAACATATAAACTAAAACATCTTTTTTTCTTTGACTTCTAAGCTGTTTTTGTCCTCACCCTTTTTCTGAGGGTGGAGAAAATTATGCCTCACCAGACCACATTACTCCTGGGGGTCAGAATTGTTGGCCATTTCATTCTCTTTTCAGGATGGACTGGTGAACTGGTGGTTCCCCAGCAACCCCTCTTAAGTTTAGGAACCCATTGGCATAAGAATTAGAGGTTCTTCCTCCAGGCATCTTTCCAACCCTGCACTTTAACTATTTTTTCCTTTTCTCTACCTGTCAGAAGTTAACTTTTATGTGAGAGGCTTTTTTTTTTCTTTTTAGAAAACATTTTACAGGGCAGGACCCCAGCTATCACTGTTTATATTCTCTGTAAAATTTTAATTATGAAAAAGGATTTGTGGGGTTGGTCTTAAACTGAAGCAAATCCAGTGTGCTTTGCCTAACTTTCTGTATGTTCAGTAGCAAACTTTGCTGCAGGCCTCCATCTTGTTTTACCATGATCTGAAACCACATGGCGATGTTTTGTTCTAGCCTCCACCATTTTACAATGGCACCTAGGTTCAATTCCGGCTTAGAGAATGAGTACTTTAGGTTGATATCTGTATAGCTATTGCCATTTGCTGATTCTCTTCACCTCTATGAACAACTTCTAGCCTTTTTCTTAAATCTTCTTTTCTCTGGGTTATCTTGAAAGGTTCTAAATTTTGTAAGAACTGCTCACACCGCTTGGAAATACCTCATATACTCACAGTTAAATCATAACCTTAATTGAGGCTTGTTGGTTTAACCTGTGAGGTTACCATTAGTAAAGTTTAAAAGACAAAAATATTGGGTTCCTGGTTCAGTTAAAGTCGGGTAGTAAGAGAGTTAAAAGGATTTTCTTAGAGAGTGTTCAGCTTAATTGCAAGTAAATATTCAAGTTATAGGTATATTTAAAAGGCCTTTATGTTTTTCTCTTCTGGGATCTTGTTTTGTTGGAACAAGTTTTTTCCAGTTGACTGATTCTTTTTCAGTTGACTGAATTCTTTTTCTCCACCTTGTCTTGCCACTCTTAATGTATGCATGAGAGGATAATAATCCAATTAGGAGATTAGCAAATGAAAAATCTTATAGCCACTGGGTTTTCTTCTGCCAGTCTATGTAGTTACATATGGGTTGTGTGTGATGTCTATAAAAGAGAGCTGTAATTAATTGGCATAAAGAAAAATAAGTGCTTGGACCAAATATTTTTTAAGGGAAGATAAAAGCTGCGGTGCCTTATAGTTCATGTGACTTTAATCTTTGAAAAATAAAAACAGCCTTAAAAATTATTAGTAAAATGCAGAGGTCATCAAAATGTAAATAGGTGAACTAAATTATGCAGGTTAGGTACTAGGTTTGCTAAATGTTTTGGGGTTATTAACTACTTTTTTGGTTTTTGAGAACTGTTTGACTTCCTGCCTAACAACTGGTAAGACCTGGGAACATATGGAACTAATCACACCCTTAATTATGCTTAAAGGAGTCAAACATTCAAACCGTGGCTGCACCTAGAACACAATTAAAACAACTTACCAGGCTTTACATTAAAGTTAAAAATTGCTAGGAGTTGCCGTTATAACATGTAATAGAAACTGCTGGAAATATATTTACATACAAGGTGTGTAAAAACAGTAAAATTTGTTTTTAATAAAAGATTATTAAAAGGCAAAAAAATAAATTCTTGCCTAGGGTTAAATAATTGTTTTAAATTAGATAAGATAAAGCTATAAATTCAAACAACTGGTGGAAAGATTGTAAAAATTAATATTGCAAAATAAATTCCACGTATGAGCATATTGACTAAATTCAGTAGGGGTTTTCTGTACATTGAGCATTGAAATAAAAGCACAACAAGGTATTCTTAAGGTGCTAATCTGCTTTTTAGCAAAATTTGTAAGGGGTTATAAAAGGTTTTTGCTTTTTAAAATTTCTGAGTCATCATTTTGGCAAAATAAATAACTTATGGTAATCTGAAATTCTATTTAATAACATGAAGTGTTTTAAACCTCTAACACATCTATCAGACTTCCCAAAATCAAACTTCAGTTTCAAAATTGTCTTTTCTGATGCCAAGCTTTGGCTGCTACAGAGGGCCCCTGTAGTATTCACAAGAGAGGTAAACAGGATTATTTGACATGTTTAGTTACATGGACTTGCCAAAGTGGTGTTCAATATTCTTTAGGTTATATTTTGGTGAATAATATTAATATATGTTCTAAAACTGTAGGAGATTTCTAGAATTTTAATGTCTAAAGTATATGGTATCAATCATAATTAAGGTTGTTATGCTAAGTTATTGTGAACCACAGAGATAACCAAACTTATTTGTCAATTGTGTTTCTAACTGTAACTGCCTTGGACATTTTGTTGTTCACAGACAATTGTTTCCTTGTTTTGATCCTTTTCAAAAGATGGTTTATAATCAGCCATAGAACTCTGACACGTGCTCTCAAATACAGGTTTCTGATAACTTTGGAGATTGGGACATTGGAATAAAGGAAAAATGTACAGGACTCATGAAGAGCTTAAATGTTCACGAATATCAAGCTAAACAAGAGTTAACTAAATGGACTAAACTCACAGAAAAATGAAGCCATCTTTTTTACTTTTGTTTGGAATATTGCTGATTCTTGTTTTGTTTTTTAGAGTCAATAAAATTTATTTTGAACTATTTATGGCCTTTAATTATTGAGTAATGTATACTCCTGTGAACAAAATTTGAAGCATATTTGTCTCTGCCTGGCTTTTCCAGAATTTGGAAACTAGTTGTGAGTATTCTTAACTTATAGCAATATAGTTGTTTGCATCAGTGAAATAAGATCCATTTTGTTTTGCAACAGGGCACAATTGGAGAAACTGGTTGTTTTATCAGGGCTTTGACTAGAAGGGAGTGCCTCCCTTTAAGGAGTCAATTTCGACTTGCAGAGCTGATAAAAAGTCTTTGAGAAAACTGGCATCATACTCTTGTCTATGCGGTCTTGTACAGGGTTCCTGACCTAGGGTTAGTAAAGAGTGTCACTTTCTGACAGGCACAGGAGCTCCAAGTTTATTTTGGGACCTTAATAGGAGAGGATTATGCAACTCACAGGTATTTGAGGCTACAAACCCATGGCTGGGCTTGGATTTAAATGGTCTTATCTGAGATTCCTTGTGGAACAGAGTTTCATCCAAGCCAATCTAAAAGGCTTATGTATAAATAATTATTCCTGCTGCACTTTACACAAATAATCAGGTCAATTATAAGACTAAAATTTATTTTGCAAACATTCAGTCCTATTATGATTTTTTTAACAGAATGAGGACTGGAGAGAGAGAAATTATGTTTCAAAATGTATTATACATTTGTCATTTGATTCTAGACTCATTAGCTGTTTTTAAGCTTTTGCCCACATTAGACTAACCCTGCTTTTTCCTGTGAACCAACCAGCAATCT
Organism: Homo sapiens; assembly: GCF_000001405.40. Classification (NCBI taxonomy): domain Eukaryota; kingdom Metazoa; phylum Chordata; class Mammalia; order Primates; family Hominidae; genus Homo; species Homo sapiens. The sequence continues at coordinate 77,098,549 of NC_000006.12, forward strand.
CTGACTGCAGCTCAGAAGGAAAAAAAGGGATGGGTGATATAAAACTCTGGATCAATTATTCTGGTTCTGAGCAATTGTCCTGCAAATCCTGCTGGGTAATGGGAATAAATAGGATGCCCATCACCTGGAGGATGCCTTTTTGCAAAAGTAAGACCAAGGGAGCCAACGAAAGCCAAGCCCCATGCACCAAAATCTTAGCAAGTATAACTATAGCCACCAGTTATCTGGGCATGTCACAAGACATCTTTTTCTCTCCCCTGTTGGAGGAGGACTCAATTCCACAGCTTCACCTTAGCGTTTGGTTTATGATAAGGAGTTCTTGCAATCCCTGAAACACATTTTTTTGTCTCAAACTTAATTCCAAGCTTTGCATCCAAAAAACTGGATCTGAGAGATTCAGAGGTAGATGATAATGAGAGTTAAAAGGCATAGTGCAGGTGAGCATAACTGATTCCTGTCAATTAAGCCAAGTTTCCCATTTCATGGATAAAGATCATGCTAGTAACCATGGCATAAATGAGGTCCAGGGAATTCAAAGGTACTGAGCAGGGGAGATAGGGCATATGTGGGTAAGAGCAGATATTCTTACCACCTAAACCCCCTGTTAACATCATTTTGACACTACTGGGTGGCACCTTGTCACAGTTATTAGGACTCAGAGATACAAGGACGGAATAAAGAATGAGAGATGCCTTGATTTCTCTCCCTCATGTACCCCGGGTATTTGCTAGGAAAAGAAGGGAACCAGGGAGGCCTGCTCCTCTCTTTCTAGATGAGTAGCCATTTGTCTTCAGTATGTACACCTTTTGAATTCATCCTGCACCCCGGGACTCCTTTGAAAAAAAATGCCTTTTTCCCCCTTTTTTCTCCTCTGTCCTCCTTCATGGATAGGTAATTATGTCTTTATACTACAGCACACTCCCCTAGGATGCATCCTCCAAACTGGAAAGAGTTAATTTGCCAAACCTTAGACTGGTTGGCTTAGGACTGGGCTCAAGGAAAGGGAAACCAGAAGACTGGCATGCCTAAAGAACAGTAAAAGTTTTTTTTTTTTTTTCCAACCACACTTTTGGGCTTCCTCTACCCATGCAAATTAGTAAAAAGTCTTGGGATTTTTGAGCTGTCATTAACCTCCCCCACCACCTTGTTTTGTTTTAAGACTTGTTTTCTAATAACCCAGTTTGTCTCTTCTTGCCTTCTGGCCATCAATCTCCAAATGGTCATGCAACCGGAGCCTGGTTCAATTGTTCCTTTTGCTGGGAACCCTTAGATAGGCCTCTAAGGGAGATCTGACTGCTCTTTTCCCAAAACAGTGCTACCTGTCAGCAGGAAGCAGTTAAGATCAGTCTTCATCCTTTTCCTTATCTTTATTCTAATGGCAATCAGGTGTACTTTTCAGAGGGGGGAATGATAGAGACAGGAGACAGCCAAGGGTCCCTGGCGAAACCCTGCCTTCAAGCCTAAAACACCCTGAAGGCTGAAAAGCTGGATTTCTGGTCCCAGATAATGCCTGCCCTTTCCTGACTGATTCTTTCTGAATAATGCCCACCTGTGCACTGGACAGTGCGGAGCTTGGGAAGTTCATGCTGTTTGCAGTGGGGAGAAGCCTAGCCTCTCCTGTTCCTGTGTGATGACCTGGGCTTCAGTCTGTGAGGCTGGAAATCTGCTAGCAGACCTCTCTCTCACTTTGCTGAAAGTTATTTTTTCTATTTCCTTTACGCCCAGTAACTTCTATTTTCCTCATGCTTCTAGGTGTCTGTTAGCCTAATCTTTCCTAGCTGTGTGACAAGAGCCCGGTTTTTGCTGAACTAAGGAGAAAGTTCTGCAACAATAATATAAAAACTTCCACTTCAGAAGGAGATGAAGCCTTTGGAAAAGTTTCATGGGGAAGGATTTGAGGTATTTTGAAAGAAATGGAATATTCTGATACACAAAGACAAGGATGAGTACAATCTAAATGTGTAGGCAGGAGAGGAAAACAAAAATAATAGCACAGCCACACAGCTGGGAGTGAGCATGAAATCAGTGGATAGGCTTTGTAGGGTTGACATGGGTCAATGATAAGGTTCTTGGTCAATCTCCATACTAAGTAGAAAAAGAAATCTTCAAGAGGTAAAATGGACTTTATTTTAAATATAGATACACATATATATATATATACATACATATATGTTTGTGTATATTAAAGTATAAAATAGTGCTGTCACTCTATTGCTTGCAAGCCCTTTTTTATTAGTGAATTCAAGTACAAAATCCTTAAGAAGGCTTTTAATAATTTAACATTATAAGTTCATGAAGAGCTACAAAATTATTTTGCTGAGGACTTTATTTGCAAAGAACTCATGTTTTTTTGTTGCTCTTAATAACAGAGCAATGGAGAATCTAGATTTTTTTCATCATCTAGTGGTATATAATACTAATAATATATTCAGTATATATCCCTAAAGTAGCATTTCAGAGAAGTTCATCAAAGTTTTAATGCTGAGCATATAAAAACATCTGTCTAGTGATAACAAAGGAAGAGTCGAGAACACAGAGAAGTGGGACACATAGAGAAATGGTGGATCACCGCTTCTCAAATTTCCATTGTGAAGGGACAAATGAGATGAGCATAAACAGTTAACATGTTTAAAGATTCAATTCTGCCCACACCTGTTCCATCAAGGCCTACAAATCACATGTGGAGGCCTGGATGCCAACTCAGGCTTCTCAGGGGAATTGGATGCATCAGGAATTCCAGGGGGTTGGAGAGAAAAACACTGAGTTATTTATTTAGCAAGGTATTATTTGACAATTTTAATAGCTTCAAATGGATGATAATTCCCAAATCTCACAGGATCAGAAAAGTGCTAATGAGAATAGAAGTCTATCCACTTTCCTATGCCATCTCCTTTTTAAGAAGCTACTCACACTGTCTTTTATTTTTATCTCCATTTATATTCCTGAGTTAAATATGGTATGCAAAATATACAAGATGGATTTGATAGTGAATGCTGAGAACTAGAGAAAGCTACGATATTGCTGACTTCTAGCTCATCTTGTCCTGCTTAGTGGTTATTTAATTATTTCATTTTAAAGGTCTGCAGTGAGATTTGAGAATGAGGTAGGAAAGTTATCAAAATGGGTATTTACAACATAGGCAATGAGAAAAAGATTGACATAGTCAAACAACCTGAGTTTAACTCCTATAACCATCATTTCCAATGAAGATTTTGCATTGTTTTTTAAAGTATTCTGCAAATGTGCTGAATATTCTGTTTGCCTAGTTCTTATATCTGCTCTACTCGATCTTACTTTGCTATATGTTCCAGACATATAAACTACATCAACAGGCTCCTTGCCACACAACTTCAATTTGGATCTGGGCCATTAAAATCACAAGCATAAATTTGGAAGTCAGGAAAAGAGCAGGTTCAGAAAAAGAGGCTAGATTTCCTTCCTTCCAGGTCTTGGGTTGGCACTGTCAAGGCTTTCCCTTGCAAAGATTGGAAGCCCAGCTTTGACTGTGCACATATTTGAGAAGTACATGGATAACTCCCTTGCCAGGGGAAAATAAGAAAGTGTTAATACTTAGCATAAAGTGAGATATCACAGATTATCATGGATTATCACAGGTAGTGGTTTGATATGATGTACAAGTGGAAGGGCAGACATTGGTAGAGCAAGTAGCTGTGATTCTTAGTCACTATTGCAACAGCAGTCACTAAAACAAATTATTGCAATGGATTGCTGCTTTTGATGGATCTAGAAATTATACAGAGAAAAAAATGACAAACTAATAACCTGAATGCCTAATTCAGAACATGGGTAGAATAGCAAATATATATATATATGCTAATATATATATACATATGCTAATATATGTATGCTAATATATATATATGCGCTAAACCTAGCAAATATATATATATATATATATATATATATATATATATATATATATATATATATATGCTAGGTTTGAAGGAGTGGTTTATTTTCTATAGCCCAAGGATAGACATAGTTGAGGCTGAAGTTTAGGGTCTGATTGTAAAGGTATAATTTCAGCTACAATCACCTGAAGAACAATGCCAAGTCTTTTATAATAAGGTAAAGACACTAGAGGGGAAGAAATGGAGCCTGAAGTGTGAGACAGGGATAGATGAATATACCCAAGGAAAGTTAAGAACGCTGTATTCCAAAATTCTTTCTTACTGTGAGTGAAGTCTCTTTCCTGCTGCTCTAAGCTGAGAGAACATGTTTTCTACCAGATGAAGGCCTTTCAATGATTTCACAACTGCCTCACAAAGAGATGGTTTTTTCCTTAGGACCTCATTGCTCCCAGGCTTATAGTGAGAATTGGGAAGAGTTAAATATAGGCAGATGCAGAGGTACAAGACTTGGCCCAGAAGCAGATAGCTTATGAGCTAAAAGAATTAAAGAAGTAGATACTGACTTACCTTCACTGCTCACAACACTTCTGCTAATGTCAGAATTTATTGACTTATGTGATGGTTAATACTGAGTGTCAACTTGATTGGACTGAAGAATACAAAGTATTGATCCTGGGTGTGTCTGTGAGGGTGTTGCCAGAAAAAGATCAACATCTGAGTCATTGGGCTGGGGAAGGCAGATCCACCCTTAATCTGGTAGGCACAATCTAATCAGCTGCCAGTGAATATAAAGCAGACAGAAAAATGTGAAAAGGAGAGACCGGTCTAGCCTCCCAGCCTACATCTTTCTCTCGTGATGGATGCTTCCCGCCCTTGAACATCAGACTCCAAGTTCTTCAGTCTGGGGACTCAGACTGGCTCTTCTTGCTCCTCAGCTTTCAGACAGCCTATTGTGGGACCTTGTGATTATGGAAGTTAATACTAAATAAACTCCCATCTGTCCCCCTAGAGAACCCTGACTAATACAATTTACAACATTCTTTTTTATTTCCATGGAAAAGTTTTATACCAATACAAAATTGCCCCAAATAGAGAATTCATTTATGGCAAATAAAGTGTTTAGAGGGTTCCCACCTGTGAAATAAAGACTTACATGTGTGCCATCACCCAAAAGAAGTTACCAGATAGAGTGGTGGAATAACAATATGAATGTTCACTTAAAGAACCAGATGGGAGAGAACACCCTGTACAGTTGGGGCACTATCCTATAGAAAAGGGTGGATTTCTTAAACTAGCAGCCTCCGTTATAGGTAGCAGTAGATCCCATATAAGAGATTCATTTTTTGAAACTTCCCCTTCCTGAAATTCAGGGCTTGGTTCATTTGGAGGGTGTACAAGGAAGGAATTGTTTCCACCAGGAATCATACTTATTGTATTAATTTGAAATTTGATGATTTCTCTTGGTAATTTGTGAGTAGGATGTTCCTGCCACTGAACCAACAGGCAGAGAGAGGGTCACCAGCCATGGAAATTAACTTGAATGACTTTCTTAGGACTCTTTTTCTTAGTGAAGAACTGCAGTGACCCAATAAAGAAAGAGAAGCAAGGACTCAGATCATATAGCAATAAAATATTCGGTCTCCCCAGCTTGTCCAACTATGATACTAGCAAACAGAACATAAAGAGAACATGGCATGGGTGTGGAAGAGTGAAGCTGTTCTTGTTAAAGCATTTTGACCACCTACATAAGTGGGACCTATAGCAACAGTGAATTGTGTTAATTAGTTCCTCCATCCATTTTTGCTCATTGACTACGTCTTAGGTGTGATTTTTTTACTGAATTGACTTCACCTCATGATGACATTGTAGCTGATAAGACTTGCATACTCCCTGAAGTGAGATTTTTAATCTGGGCAAAGGATAAGTGTGGCTATGGAGGGACAGGAGTAAAAGACTTTGAACTGCTGCTCCATATCTGCTCTCCACCTCCTGTGCCAAGTCTGTGCCCTGGGATGCAGACCTTTCCTGATGAATCAATATGATATCTTGCCCTCTAGCTTCTTGTTGGATTGGGTTTGTGGAAGTCACCAGCAGAAGATCAGAGAGCTGGAAGAGTGTTAGGATATTTATTTCACCATCTTTTTTCATGATAAGCCTACATGATAAGCTGAATGTATCTACCAAAAACCTTAGCTCCTATGAGTAGCACTACACACAGCTACAACTACTTTCTGAATGCTTGTAACTGCTCTCATTTCTTAATCATTCTGAAATAGTCAAGTAAGTGCTCCCTTCCAGCACCAGAGAGCTTCACCATCTTTGGTTAGTTTTCCCTAATCCTGTTCACTTCTTTGGTAATTTGCCTCTCCATTCAAATTTCTCAACTATCCTCCCTTGAATGCACCATGTTTTTTTTACTGGAACAGTTAATCACATTATTTTTACTTGTAAAATACATTTTTATCAGGAAGAATTTGCCTTCAGCTAATATCCCTAATGTTAACAGTTTCTGCACAGTTCTTTTATACCAATATAGTTAATTGGAACAATTTTAGTTAGGTCATAATGAGCTAATTATCAAGACCGGTAGGCAAACTTAACCTCTGTGACAAAGACAGTTTACAACTTTAAGTGAATAGTTTCCTTCAGCAAACATTCATACAAATGCAGTTTTCTACACCAAATATTTTCCAGTTTAAGGTTACAAGTCAGTAAGCCTTAAAACAGGTAAAACAATCACTTAATAGTAAAGAATAGCTCTCTTATCCGTTACTCAAACAGGCTTAGAAACACAACTTTATGATAATAAAGTAGACAATAGTATATATTTAACTTTATGGTAATAGGCATGTAAATATTTGCTAACGTACTATCTCTCTGGCAAGATTCAATGCTTAGCTAAGTGCTTGTCTTTTCAATGCTCCTAAGCCTACATACTCATATTTTCTTTCACTTGGCTGACACCTGTAACTTCTGTTTCATTCTCATTTATCCCCAAGATATAAATTTTTCAAAATATAGCTTATAACTTTCTGTTTTGACCATCACCATGTACCATACACAAAATATTTACCAGTTTATCTCCAATATATTTTTCTACAAAATGAGAGTGATAACATCTATTTTATAAGATTTAGAAAAGGAATATTTAGTTAAGATATGCAAAAACACTTTGGAAAGTAGTATGCAAAAATGTACAAAAGAACATGTTTTGGGGGAACAAACCAGGATTAGAATCCTAACCTTCCTACATATTAATCTATATCTATACATATCTACCTAATAAATTAATTTCTCTTCAGCTCATTTCTCATTTGCAAAAAAATAGGATGACTACAGCTTCCTAACAGGATTAAATAGTATAACAGCTAAATGAGATTATGAATAAAAGTATTTAGTGTAGCTCTTTGTACATAATAGGTGCTCAAGTAATAAGTCCCTCTTCAATGATAACCCAGGATAATACCATTACCCTCATCTATGTTATTCTCTTTCAGTGTCAAATAACAATTGCACTGGACAAAGTTAGACAAGAAAGACTTATTCAAGACTATTACAACATTACAATAGAGGAGAGAGATTAAATATAACTCCACTGAAACAAGAGGCAGAAGGCTTTTTAAGCTCTGGAGTGAGCTAGTGGAAAAGTGCTGAAGGATATTGGGTGTGGTGAGGTTGATCAATAGGATATGTGGAGTATATGGAATTATCTCTGAGTTTGTGAATATTTCATTCTGTAATTAAACCATCTGTGTTTGCTAATTTGTGTCCATGGAAGTTATGTTCATACCTTCCCACAGAGACTAGGCAATAGAAGCACATTTGCCTTCATGATTACGTTTCAACAAGATGACTCCCAGGTCCTTAAGAAAGACACCCTTGGGTTCTAAAATTAACAAGAGGCTGGAAGATTTATGTACATTACAAAAGAGACAGAGAAAAAAATTCAAATTACAAGTTTTCTAAAGTAGTTCTAACAAAAGGGAAATCAGGGGACTAGTGTCAGGAAGAAATTTCTCTGAAGTTTAGGCAAGCTGAAGGGAAATTAAAACTGTCTTGGTCAGCGGTACTAAGGTTGCACATTCGAGGCAATATTATTTTTCTGAATTTGGACTTATGTTAATTGAAAACAGTTTTATTGTTAGGTAAATGTTGGTGAAATCTTCACAGAGAAAATTAGGGCCAAGCATGGCTTTATGAATATGATTTTACCAGACAGAAAGGGTAGAGCCATTTATTGGAAAGGAAATGTATGAAAAGTCAGGAGCATAAAGCCACCGGATATATGAATGTGAGCAGATTGTTTTTTACCTTGCAGATTTTCTCATCTATAAAACATGTTTAGTAAATCCACCTCACAGATGTTGTTTGTGAATATACCACACATATTCACAGAGGCCCTAGAATGTGTGAGATAGACAATTCTTTTTATTTCCACCCATTCATCCTTCCTCCCTTTCCTATTGGTCATGAAGCTTCATCTTTTATGTTTCTTTCTCCGGTTTCTTTTATCTCATTTTATTTATTTATTTTTTTTTTACTCTGTGGAAAAAATTACTCATTGCTAGAGAACAGAGCTAATTTCATCATATAATTCATGGCGATTACTGCCAATGTGTCTGTGTTTAAACCAACCAATGAAATATTTCACTTTTTTTTATTGCCACTGACAATATAACCTAGAACGAAAGCAAAACAAAACATAACACCTAGTTCAGACCTAGTTACAAGAGAGGTGCAGATCCTTTCAGCTCAGGAGGTAGAATTTCAGTGGCTAGGCCTTGGCTGCTCTGAGTCACACAACCTAGAAATAGTTTCTGCCACCCTCCTAGTTGGGTGTGAAAATGAATGACCTCCCCTCACCCTTGTTTGTTGTTTTCTAGGAGCCCAGAGGTAAACACATCCTGCTGAAATAACGTGAACATTGTCTTTTCCGTCACCCAAGTTTTATTCCCCAATTATTACTCATCTTTCCTTGTTACTTCTTTGTAAATATAGAAGTTGTCACCCTCCATGTAGTTGTTCTAGGCCATTTTATTTTTTCCTTGAATCTCCTGCTTTTTCTTTCTTCCCACAAGACATATTTAGACTCCTTTGGTACACTTTTGGACTTCTCACTTTCTCCTTCTTTCCTAAGGCAATGAATACCTTGGGGCTTAATTCTTTAAAATGGAAAGAAAACTCTCAAGATACTCTCATAATACTTTTTCTTACCACCTCCTTTGTACAGGAAATTTCTCTTTACAAGACTCTCAAACTCTCTAGCAAATTTAATTGTTTCTAGGTTGTAGAGCCTTCATTAATCTGCCTCATTGCCATGACATGCAGATATTCCATAATATGCCCACATTCCTGTTTATGCTTCACTAATAAAAGCTTTGCTCATGGCTACATTTACTCCCTCCTACTCTCCTTCCTGGACCTTCTAGATGGCTCATTCTTCACTTCTTTTTATTGTTGTCTCTTTTCACATGCTTGAAGCCAATTCCACTCTCTCTTATACATTCATGTGCCTAACTCACGTGAGATGGGTGTAACTCTGAACATTACCTTATGCCAACAAACAAGTGAAACAATATATAGAAGAGCAAATCTATTTGCCAGTTTTATCCAGCTCATTTTTCAAAAGAAGAGAGGAATCTGTGTAATGGTTATGCCTTACTGAGATGAAAATGCCTTAAAGGAGAAAGGAGACTGTTTTTTTGCTGTATCACATTTAATATGGTGCTGAGGACAAAGTGGGTGTTATACAGAAAATAGTATTGTTCATAGGCATTGTGAATTCTTTTGAATTATAACTTTTAAAATTCAGAGAGAATTTTTTCACTTCCATTTTAAAGCATTCAGCCTATTATAAAATTATACTGCCCACAGGTTTATGAATAAGTTGTTTTCCCTGTCAAATTGCAGGTTATCAGAAGTATGTGTCAATTACAAGTGTAAATCATTTCCACCTGTGACATCAATTTTGCTTATTTGCTAGTTTTCATAACCCAGCAATAGGATACAAAATTATATCTATAGTTAATACTAATCCTGGTTAAGCCCATGAAAAGCAGTCCCTGAAACTGAATTCTAGATCTCTCCCCTACTTACAGACACATAGCACTGCCTTTTTCCAATGTAGAAACTTCACATATATTATTTCATTTATTCTCAAAATATTTCTGAGGCATAGAAATATACTAAATGCTGCTTTTACTGAATAATTTAGAGCAAGGCGGTAGCCCTGATAAATCTCCTTTTAAGACTCTCCCTAGGATAGCCCAACTCCATTCTTAACTCGTTCCATGTGTTACCCCAAATTACAAAATTACAATTACAATTTCATTAAAAAAATTAAGGGCAAACACTTAAATATTTCTCTTCAGACATATATATTCACTGCTACATTAAGCTTCCAAAAGACAGAAATATTTTTCTCATTACTGAGTCTCCCTTCTGACCAAAATATATGTGCAATAAAATATTGTGGAACTCAACCAAAAATGAGGTATGATCCCACAGCAGCGTCTCAAATTAACCTGTCTATCTAATAAATCTTGGGGCTCCAAAATCACTAAGCTAAAGGGAAAAGTCAAGCTGGTAACTGCTTAGGGCAAACCTGCCTCCCGTTCTATTCAAAGTCATTCCTCTTCTCAGTGTGGTAAATGCATATCGGATTGCCTCCTTTGGAAAGGCTAATCAGAAACTCAGAAGAGAGCAACCATTTTTCTCTTATACACCTATGATCTGGAAGCCCCTTCCCTACTTTGAGTTGTCCCACCTTTGCTTCCAGTTGCCCCACCTTTAAGGACTGAACCAACATTCATCCTATATATGCTGATTGATGTCTTAGGTCTCCCGAAAATGTATAAAACCAAGCTGTGCTCCAACCACCTTGGGCACATGTCATCAGAACCTCCTGAGGCTGTGTCACAGGCATGCTTCCTTAACTCTGGCAAAATAAACATCCTAAATTGAAACCTGTCTCAGATTTTGGGAGTTCACTCTCTGTCTCTCTCTCTCTCTCTCTAATCTGTCTATAGTATTAGGAATATATATTGAGTTTTCCATTTAGTTTCTGAAAAATTTATTCTATTAATTTTTCCAATATGAAAACATTTTGTTTCTACTTGAAGGAGAACTAGGAAATACCTCAGTTATGACTATTTGAATTGTAAATAACAGAAAGAAGCTGTTACCCGAAAAGGGTCCAGATCCAGACCCCAAGAAAAAGTTCTTGGATCTACTGCAAGAAGTAATTCTTGAGCTAGTCTGTAGAATAAACTAAAAGCAAATTTATTAAGAAAGTAAAGGAAGAAAGCATGGCTATTTTATGGGCAGGGCAGCCCCGAGGGCTGCTGGTTGCCCATTTTTATGGTTATTTCTTGATTATATGCTAAACAAGGGGTGGATTATTCATGCCTCTCCTTTTAGACATATAGGGTAAATTCCTGACATGGCCATGACATTTTAAACAGTCACGGTGCTGGTGGGAGCCTAGCAGTAGGACGATCAGGGGTTACTGTGGTCGCCATCTGGCTTCTTTACTGCACACTGTTTTATCAGCAAGGTCTTTACGACCTGTATCTTGTGCCAACCTCCTAACTCATCCTGTGACTTAGAATGTCTAACCATTTGCGGAGGCAGCCCAGTAGGTCTCACCCTTATTTTACCCAGCCCCTATTCAACATGGAGTTGCACTGGTTGAAACGCCTCTGACCAAACTGAAGTGAGCTTAAGCAAAATAAGTAAATGCATTTGATGAAGCTTTTGCCATTTCATGGAAATCAAAAGCAGTTGATCCTTATAACTGTGGCCATGATTGGAACTAATAAGTAGAAAGCCATCAGAAACCTAAACAGCACACCTTCTTCACTCTCTCATCCTTTTATCTTTCCATTGTCTGATTCATTCTTCTTTCCTTGCATGCTTGTTCTCTGTGATTCTTCATATACAAATGAAAAACCTTGGTTTCCTGAGTTTAGTTTCTTTATTTTCTTGATCTAACCAGATTAAATACAAATTTTCTTAGTCTTTATACCAAATTTCAAATTGAAAAATAATTGGTCTAGCTAGGAGTAGACATCCTTAACTGGTTCAATCAACTGTAGGCATGATGGTGGGAAAAACGATGGAATAGAATCATGACAGTTGGGGTGTATAATTCTTACAGAAAGAGATTTATGGAAAACTTAACAGGTATTTCATTGTTTTCTAAATCACAAAGCCAGTTGATTACATAGTTAATATGAGGCAAAAAGATATGTAGTGAAATGTTACTCAGATGAAGGACCAGAAACAAAGATTCTTTGTATGTTTTTCTCACCGAAAAAAAATCACACCTGGAGTCCTTCTAAGGAGTATTCTTCTAAAAGAGGCTGACAAATAAGGAAGTGCATCTATTGACAAGTATCATTTTCTAATAATTTTCTTTAAATGCTTAAAGAAACATATGATTTTAAATTGTGCTTTATTAATGCACCAGGGTAAAATGTATAAACATTGTAATTCAAGTCTTCCTATGAATTTGTTGAATGTATTGCTTAAAAAGGTAATTCCTCAAAATTTGAATTATAAATAGTGTATATTGATTAAAAAACCACCAAAATGTTAACCATAAAAAGTAAACATTATTTCATTTTCTATAGTTTTAAATTTCAAATAGTTTTGTTCTTCAAGACTAAGACACTTCCACAGATAAAAGATTTTCTCACTTTTTTTTTTTTTTTGAGATGGAGTCCCTCTCTGTTGCCCAGGGCAGAGTGCAGTGGCACAACCTCAGCTCACTGCAAACTGTGCCCCCAGGGGTCAAGCAATTCTCCTGCCTCAGCCTCCCAAGTAGCTGGGACTACAGTCGCCTGCCACCATGTCCAACTACTTTTGGTATTTTTAGTAGTGACAGGGTTTCACCATGTTGGCCAGGCTGGTCTCTAACTCCTGACCTCAAGTGATCTGCCCACCTTGGCCTTCCAAAGTGCTGGGATTACGGATGTGAGCCACCGAGCCTGGCCTTCTCACTCTTTACTCATGAAATAAACATAAGTCAAAGAAATCAATTTTTTCCCATAACCTGAAGTTTATTATTGGCTTGATAGCCATGGTTGCTATCAAGAAGAGAACATTAAAAAGAAAAGTAACCCCTGCAATCAAGAAGAAAAGTAACCCCTCTGTAAGTGAAAATTTGCATTATACAAGGTTTACGTATGGAAACAAAACTCTAAAAAGAAAAAGAAATGTGAATAAATGACACTAATTCATTAACATTATAGAGGTTCAATTGAAGACCTTTTAATAAAAGCTTACAGAATAGTCTTTCTCATTGTCAATCTAATAAGGTCTTCCACCATTGCTTTTCTTAATAAAGCTGTTAAAATGTTAAAAATATATAAATATAAACATATTGATAAGAAGACTAGGAAATATTTTCTAATTAGTTACCAGTGCTTGACTTTCTAATTTCTATAGAATGAGTCCAATCTTCCAGAAACTGAGGAAGAGACATTCCCATCTGACACCTATCTCTTGTCACAATTCCCAAGTGTTGCATACTCCACCTGTCCCAGGCATTATAATAGCTCCCTGGAAAACTGATACTTTATATTCTTCTACACATTCAAAAGAGTAGAGGAAAGCCAGTGTGTTTCTAAATCACAAAGCCAGTTGTTACTGTGCTTGTGTGTATGTGCTCACACACATATGAATGTTTGCTAGTTGGGAGATGTACAGGAGAGCTGAGGAAGAGAGACAAACAATGAAAAAATGTGCCTAATGCTGACCTAATGAAATGGTACTCTTCATGAGGTACAATTTTGCATTCCCTGCTGCCACAAGTGTTCTTCCAAAGACACCACTTTGCTTACTGATTGGTTTTCCTTTTCCATACATAAGAGAAATTGATCTCACATCAGTCCATTTTCATTTGACTTATACCCCTAAGTTCCTTCTCATCCTTCTTTTTCCATTTGTTCTTTATTTATTCCTCAAGATCTATCTTATCTTTGAAGGCATCCTTAATTTCTCCAAATAAAATAATTTTTTCTGCTGTTTACTTTCCTCAACAGATCTTTGCACCAACTAATTTTATAATTTGTATTGTTTTAAATTATTTGCATAACAAGGAAGTGAGAAGTCCCTTACATTATATAATATTTGCTTAATTCTATACCTTTAGCACAGTGTCAAAACATAGTTAATATCACCATATTAGTTCCCTATTACTGCATAACAGTATTGCCACACATTTAACAGTTTAAAACAATTCACATTTATTATCTCACAGTTTCTGTGGATCAGGAGCCCAGGCATAGCTTAGTTGGGTCTTCTCCAAGGTTACCATCATAGTGATAGAAAGGGCTGAGTTCTCATCTGAAGGTCTGAACGGGGAAAGATTTATTTCTAAGTTCATGTGGTTGTTGGCAGAATTTAATTCCTGAAAGGCTGTTAGATTGAGGGCCTCACTTTCTTTCTGCCTACTACCTGGAGGCTACTCTCAGTTTCTTGCCATGCGGAACTCCTCAACATTGTCACCTGCTTTAGCCAAGCCAGCAAGGGAGGGAATCTCTTTGCAAGACAGTTACTATTTCTTATATAATGTAACTGTATAAGTGACATCTCATTACTTTTGCCATGTCCCACTGGTTGGAAGCAAGTTACAGGTCCCACTCATGCTCAAAGGAAGGGGAATACACAAGAATATGAATACAAAAAGGTGAGTATAATTGAAGGCCCTTTTAGAGTCTGTTCATTACAAGCACATACGTTTTTCTTTTATTTATTTTATGTTTTGATGGAGTGAGAAGGCATAACACAGCTGGGTATTGACAGGATAGACAGGAGCAGCTCCAGCAGTTGGAGTGCCAGCTCGACTGTCTTTCTATTACACTGTTCCTTTGATTTTTCTTTCACACGACCATCCTTGTTGTTCTATGTATATGTTACTCTGTCTCACTCTCTTCCTCAGGTAGAAGACAAAATCTAAAAGACAATATTTACAAGTCAGTCCTGCAGAAAATTTTAAAGATAAAACAATAATTTACTAAATGCAGACTATAAAATCTTAGCTATAGTGTGTTTATAGCTCTTTAAAAACTCAAATATTTATTATATGAAAATATTAGAATATAAATGTATTTATATTGGGTATCCCTGTACTGTGGGGCTATGGGTGATTTTTTAGTGATGTTGCTGCTATTTTTGCATAATTTCTATTATATGTATGTATAATTGTTAAAATGAGAAAATAAAAGATGAAATTGATTTCAAAGTAAAAACAGTTTTTCATATTATATACCAGCTATTACCATTAGTCTGATGAAAATAAGGTAAAATTTAATCAAGATTTTTTCCTGGTAGCATCTTGTTTTGGATGTGGTGATGCAGAACATTGACTAAAAATTACTAGAATTTCTAATGCCTTTATTTTGAATATGAGTTTGAACATAGCCTATATTCATGGGGGCTATTATTCTAGGGTCATTTACACTGTAAGGATGCATATGTTCTTTTAAACCTCAGGGAAAAAGAAACAGAACACATAATTCAGGGCCATTGTTAACTGAGTTGAATTTTGAAAAAAATAAAGTTGCCCCAAATATCTTCTTATCATAAAAGAGGAAAATCTAAGGAGAGATTCAGTTCTTGAAAAGTTTCAACGTTTTTTACAAAAACACCTTGAATGCTACAATAATTATCTGAAGTAAAAGATTACATCTGGTAATAGAAATGTGGCACTGTGGCTCACGCCTGTAATCCCAGCACTGTGGGAGGCTGAGGCAGGTGGATCACGAGGTCAAGAGATTGAGACCATCATGTCCAACATGGTGAGACCCTGTCTTTACTAAAAATACAAAAAAATTAGCTGGGCATGGTGGCATATGCCTATAGTCCCAGCTACTTGGGAGGTTGAGGCAGGAGAATCACTTGAACCTGGGAGGTGGAAGTTGCAGTAAGCCGAGATCATGCCACTGCACTCCAGCCTGGCAACAGAGCAAGACTCCATCTCAAAAAAACAAACAAACAGAAAATGTCAATAAATCACGGGCACACTGTCATTTATTCTGTGGAAGCCTTTGGCCCTAGAACATATCTATAGAGTTTGTTGTTGCTTTAAGCAACAAGAAATGAAGCTGTGGTTGTTATCATACACTCCTAGAATGGTTGCAGGAAACCAATGCCTTGACAAAAGGTTACTGACGTGTCTTTTGTAGGTCTTGGAAAAGATCAGAAGTGAAGAATAAAATAGTGATGGTTTCCTAAAAAATATAGTAATATCCTGATATCACAGCTTAATTGACCTCAAATATCCTGAAAGTTTAAAAGCTTTGGTCTTTGATGGAAATCTTAATGTGAATTAATCGATATGTATTCTGCACCATTTTGGTACTGAAGGTTTGCATATCACAGGTTTTATTTAGCACTTTTTATTCATTGTGTTTTGTGCACTATTTTTAGCACTGAGCCAACGAACATTTCTCTAATTCAGTACATTGAATTTAGGCCAGAACAGTTGTACCATTTTTATGAACTAGAAAGAGGGCCTAGAAACTTGAGCTTGTCATGGGCTCAAGAAAGGTAAAAATAGGAAAAAAAATATACTCACGTTTTATTTGTATAAAATATATTTATATAACTATATATAGTATGTGTATGTGCATGTATACATGTATGTATGCACTTATATACATATGTGATTTAAAATGCTAAAGGAAAACCATAAAATTTAAATTAATGGATATTCCACTAAACATCTGCAAAATGTGTATCAACATTTTGTCAACTACACTAATTGGTTAGTATTCATGAATATTTAACTATACTTGAAAAGAATTCTATTCACTAGAATTGAAACATAACGAGGGAAGAGATTTATGTCTGCTCTGTTCTTTATTCTGCCCCAAGTTTCCTGAATAACACATGCACAGAGTAGAATCTCAATAAAATTTTTGAATGAACAAATGAATTTGTAGGAATAACTTTTCTTGTTGACATGTGTCCCTGCTTAGACACAGTGATTTTTGAGGAATCATAAGCAGTGGTACATTAACGGTGGGTACTTGCAGCCCAACAATTACCAGAGCAACACCTAAAAAAATGGTCTCAAAATATTTCCAGCAAAAACAAAAAACAAGCAAACAACAAACAGTAAATGAACATGATAATGCAACCTCTTATATTAGTGTACCTAAAGTTCAAGGTTTCCTCCCCAGGGTCCCTGTGTTGCTATGTTCCTCCTAGCAAGCTATTCAGCACTTTTATAGTAGTGTTCATTAGTACTGAAAGGAATATCTCTCCAGTCTTTCTCAAGATGCAGAGGAAACCAGCCTAGTATCTATTGTAGCCCAGTGAAAGATGATGCCTTATAGGTTTTTTTTTTGTATAATACACAATGTAGAATTATATATGATCAAACTAATGCTTCTTGGGTGCCTTCAATGTGTTCAGCATTATATAAGCACTACCTATTACACACATAGAGTAAAGCATGCCTCCTGTCTTCACAGTCCCTGCATTCTATTGGAGAAGATAAGAAAAGTATGTTCAAATATTTTTCTCCTGCAATTGCTTTGTCTTCTTTTGAAATACTACATAGAAAATCCTTTAAAAGATGTCCTGATAAATATGTAACTAATTATCATTACCTCATGCTATATTTAAAGATATAAAATTTAAAATATTGTAATTTGTGTCCATACTTTGGTGATTGTGTGAGCTTCTGTTGTAGCTGATTGAGCCTGGATTTGTGAGCAATTTACCTTCAGTGGGCATAGAAGAACCACAAATCAAACAGACAAAATTTCCTTCCTATCCTTTTCAGATCCCTATTAGAGAGAGAGTGGAAATAAAAATGACCACTGGGGCCGGGCACGGTGGCTCACGCCTGTAACCCCAGCACTTTGGTAGGCTGAGGCAGGCGGATCACAAGGTCAAGAGATAGAGACCATCCTGGCCAGTATGGTGAAACCCTGTCTGTACTAAAAATACAAAAATTAGCCAGCCATGGTGGCGTGTGCCTGTAGGCCCAGCTACTTGGGAGGCTGAGGCAGGAGAATCGCCTGAACCCAGGAAGAGGAGGTTGCAGTGAGCCGAGATTGCACCACCGCACTCCAGCCTGGCAACAGAGTGAGACTCCATCTCAACAACAACAACAACAACAACAACAACAAAAAAGCCCACTGGCAAAAATTAATGGAACCCTTGGGAAAGGCAATGGAAAATTTTCAGTGTGTCTTTAGGTAGCAGCCAATGAAAGCTATTGGGCTTCACAGTGGTTCTGTGTATTATTCCCCACAGAACTAAGGGAGCACAATTTATAAGTACAAGAAGATGTGGATTTAAAAAAATAAAGAAACGAACACTTCTGTAGCTAATAACATGTTAGACAAACTCCAAAAAAAAAATCTACTGTTTTGGGGGGTTTTTTGTGTGAATATGACACTTTCTTTCTGGTCATTATGGGTGTCCCCACTCCTTACTGCTTTACACAGATTCAATTCTGAAGTGCGTATTATATGCCTGGCTCTCAAAGCATTCTAGTGTTTACCAATTGGAAGACCTAAATAATATGAAAATTTGCTTGTAATCCTTGCTGACTGGTATCTATGGCTTGTTGAAAGAGCTCAGAAGGTTTTTGTTTGGTATCCTATGTATAAGATGAACTGTACGGTGTTGCCTACAGCATCAAAATCCCTCCCTTATCTCAGGAATTGTACTGCCAAAAGTAACTACCACTTACTATATTGTTAGGCCTATCATCCAGCTCTGTCTCAGTCCCAAGTAATTTTTTGTCACTTGTGAATTTGGAGCCCAAACTGGGAGGAGTCACAATGAGTGGAGCGGGTTTTCAGAAACAGTGGATGGAGAATACTACACAGCAATTAGGGCCATGTTTCTCAACCTGGTTGTACTTAGAATCACCTGACAAGTTTTTTTTTTTTTAAACTACAATTATTTGGTCTACCTCCTCAAAGATATTAATTTCACTTGTCCGATGACAAGTCAGACATTTGCATTTAACAAAACAAACAATCAAACAAACAACTTTAGTGATTCTAATGGGAAACCAGAAATGATAATCATTAGGTTTTAAAATAGGACTTGAAGCCAGGACATTTCCATAAAAGAATGCTTCAAGTGTGCTTCATTTTCGGATACATTTTTCTTAATTGAACAATGGAGAAAGGGACAAATATGTGGTTTTAACCTTCCTCCTATGTTGTAATTGACTTTTTCACCCCAGCGATGCATATTGAAACACCTGTGCAGGTTTGTGTTTTGAAGTTGGAGGCCCACAGCAGCATGTTCTGCATTCACAGACTTCAGGCACTTACATAGAGGATGTGGCTACTACAAAAAGAACTGTGTTCAGAAGTTCTAGAGAGTAACTCTCAAAGAGTAAAGGAAGGCCCAGGAAAAGCTACAATTGCTGCAGATTCATAAACATAATCCTAGAGAGAAAGGACTTGGTGGAAAATTTTGGAGTAATATTAGTTTAATTGCTTTGTTCCTAATAGATAGAGAAATATAATCCTTCTTGGTGGAACACATGTGTGATACTTATCAGAGCCATAATATTTTGGAAAAAAAAATTGTTCCAAAATAAATACTATATAGAAAGAGGAAGAATCCTTGTTCTGTGATCAAATTTCCTAATGCCTAATTAATATTTCCCACCAGACATCTTACTAGAAACTCAAATTTCATTTGTTCAATTATGAATGAGCTTTCTTTTCCCATATCTTCTCTTTCAAGCCTCAGCAACTGGAGATCCAATTTCTCATCTGTGAAAAAAGATGTTTGAACTAAATAGCTCTCAAAAGGCCCTTCCAGCTCTGAAGCTATAAGGTGCGGGGTAATTTTCAGTTTATTACGAAGAGCTTTACAATTATCTAGAACTTAATTCTTTCAAATCATTTACAATCATTATTTTTACAGTTAAAAATTGTATATTGTCCCTCTCTTTTTTCAATCTAATCAAACAAAGGAAATTCAGCATAGCTGCAAATTACCACAGACCAGAGAATGAGGAGTGGTAAGGCAAGCTCAGAGAGTGGGTTACCACTTCAGGCCATGCTTAGACCTCCAAACATTGCTGTCCTGCCTAATTCCACTAAGAATGGCAACAGCAGTCCATAGAACTTCCGTTCTAAGCATTCCATTCCACATTATACTTCCTACTATCTTTCTAAGAGCACTAGCTAAAGCAGTTTATCTGTTGAAGACTGTTTGCAGAGCTCTTAGTTTAGGAGAAGGTAATAGTCTCACAGAAGTACAGCTCCATGTAGTGTATCTCAGTGCACAGCAGACTGGCCTACTAAGGGCAAGCTAAATACAGGGAGAATGAAGAAATGGCCCAGTCCATGCTCAGCTGCTGGGAAGCTTTCCCCAAAACTCCCATCTCCTACTCTCTCTGTGATCACAGAGAACCCAAGGCTTTATTTGTATATTTGAACTTGAAATAAACCTTGAATACAGGTCTAATGGGAATACTGGGAGGAATTTTAGTGTTCTAATACGTTTGCTATCCAAACATCTCCTGGAACAGACATCAAAGTAAGAATCCATAGCTTTTATGTCCTATGTTTACTCCTTCCTAGGTATAGTACCTCTTTACTACTAGAACGTTTTCTCCTCATCTCTCTAGTTAACACAAGTAGTACCAAAATGAGTTGTGGTTTCTTTGAGGTGGTGTTCAGCTTGCCATTTTTGTGGCCTTTTGCTCAAATGCTTCAAAAAGTTATTCTTTTAAGAAACATAAATTATAATTTTTTCTATATGTCTATCATTGAACTGTAACTGTCTTGAAGTTAGCACTTCATGGGATATGAAATATTCCCGAAGAACAGAACAAAAAGCAAAAAATATTCCTTCTTTAATACTTTACAATGAGACAAATAACTGTCCAGAAACATCACTATCTCATAGTGACTTGGCTGAGAATATTTTTTAAAGGCAGCTCATGGGAATTCAAATTAAAAGAAGCATTCTTAATAAGTGCGGAACAAGAACAAAGAAGGTCACTTGCATATTTTAAATGTTTAATGTCATTAGTCTCTTAAAGCTTGCTTTCTGTGATGGGGGCAGACATACATAACACACTTAAAAATTCTTTGGTTGCTCCCTGGACTATTTTTGTTGACCATTATCTCTTCTACTCTTCCACTTATCTGAGTTCATATACTTTTCATCCATTCAGTTGTCCTCAAGGATCAAAACATATTTTCCCTTTTGGTAATGTTCACGATTTCTTCTCATCTTGTATGCTTATTTTACCTTTTAAGGAAAAATATAATTTCCTTCATTGCCAAATTCTTAGGCTGCCGCCATCTTTTGCTTATATTTTATTAAATCCTTCTATTAATATTTCAAATACATAAATAAAATCATTATGATAGATGAACAGCTTATGTCTTCAATCTGAATGGGTAATGGAGATATTTTGTGTTTTCTTAAGTAAAACAAATTCAAGCCCAACATTTTTCTCTAAATAGTCTCTAGTTTTCTATTGTATCTTTTATTTAAATTTCTTATTTCAGTCAAATATACAACATGAAATAATTTCTCAAGAAGAAATCCTCTATTCCAAAAAGCAGGGTCTTCAGAGGGCCCCGAATTTTAAGATCCTATTTTAGTGTGAGGTGTCTACAAGGTCATGTCCTCACTGGAAGACTGCACTATGGCAGCAATCATTTTTGTTCTTTATTGTTCTCAATTCTTTATTATTTTAGTGATTAGTGTAATGAGAGTCTAAGAGTTGTGTATTAAATTGTTGGACAATGAACTGAGAGCATAAAACCTTGCTCTTTTATCTGTTCCTATCTTCTTCCCCTCATGCCACCTTGTAACCAGACCTTGTAATCAAAACAGAGATGTAGGAATACATCGCTGTATTCCTAGTAGTGAATACCAGGCTCTATTAGAGTGCTGATTACACTTGGTCTTTGTGTTCTTTCCCTGCCTGTGTGCTCCTCAAATATGATGCCCAGATGTTTTCCATCTCTGAGTACTCGATGTTCAAAGAGGTTTGTTTTTGAACTGATTTCATTTGATTTTTTAATTTTGGTATCTATAAAACTTAAACTAAAAGTATTCTGAAATTTCTTCTGATTTTCAGAAACATTCCAGAGAAGAATTTATTTGTTTTGGGAAATTCTGATATAGTCTGAAAGGATTGTGTTAGAACAAATACCATTCCATTACTTTTTCCAGGCTCAGTTTTTGTTGTTTCATTTATTCTTCAGGAGCTTTCAGATTCCAGCTGTCTAGTAGGAATCAATGTATGTATTATTTTGTCTTTTCAATGTCAAACCTCATAGTGACTTGAGTGAGAGTCTCTTTTTATGACAATGAAAATGTGAAACTATATTTAATACAAAATATTATTTGAGCAAAACATATAAGTTTCCACTGAGACTTTATCAAATACAATTTAAGATAATTTCAAGCGATTACACATTCTCCAGGGGTATCGATAGGTGAACTTTTCTGAGCAACTATTTCTACGATGTAATTTAAATATAAAATGTCCTAGTTATGTACATAATGATGGTTGTGTGTGTGTGTAAAATCTCTTTTTATTTTGCCTAAATGTATCCACTTCAAAATTATTGTCACCAGTTTATGAGCTCTAGTTTAGCCATTTCCATTTTCAACTGCATCTGACAGTCTTCCACCAGAATGAAATTACTCCCCTGGAATTCTCCTAAATTGACAAATAGGCTCTACCCTTTCAGAGTGCTAAATCTAGGTGCTAAAAACAACAAAAAATTATCCCCCCAAAAATATCCCTTATTTCTACTAGCAGGTATTTTCTCTTTCAATACCATTAAATTGTCATTACAAAACTTGTCATTTATTTCCAGAATCACTCAATATACCCAGAATTACAACCACTCAACTATAAATGCCATTTAATTTAATAGCAATAACAATAAAAGGTTATGTATAATGTGTGATTTTTTAAGCTAAAATTGAAACAGAACATTTCAAAGTGGCTGAATGCTAACATAAATTGCCATTTATTATCTATTACATAAACAAAAGCAAGACAAAAAATTTATACTTTTTGCTTCCCCTTAGGGTAAGAGATTGCTGAAAGGTCACCTGGGATTTCACTCACCACCTTCAGCCTGGAAGTATCACTGTCACTCCCTGCCTGACTGTAAAGGTGCTGGGACATGTAGACTTTTCAGAGGCTCCAAAGGAGTGGAGGATAGGAAATTTTTACTTAACATAGGGAGAAGTCAATGACAAGAGGCATTATCCTAGGTGAGAGCAGAATATATTCAACTTATTCTTAGAAAAGCTCTATTTATAGGTCATTTTAAAGATATGTGAAATGAAATTCTCTAATTATTTTCTTTTGAATGCAGACTATATGCCTCAGTTTTTATATTTGTTAAATGACAGATTTTTAAATAAATGCTCACAAACTTCCCTTTCAATCACCCTATATTGAAGTACAAAAAACAGTTCTATAATATGATTATACACTTTAATAATTAGTTTTATAAAAGCTCAGATAAGTAAGGGGTGAAAACCTGTATGATTCATGAAGCAGTTAATTAGTTGGAGATATCAGTGTAATCAGTATAATACAAACACAGAAGAAATACAGAGGAATACATATGTAAATATTTATAGATATAGGTATATATAAAACTTATTATACACACATATATTCCCTTCCTTTGTTAGTTGAGAGGGCCTAGAAGCAAGGGTTCCTCAGTGGCAATGAATGCTCCAAGTGCCCAGATCTTTCTTTCCAACATCATTCTCCAATAAAATGAACCAGGACTTCTTGGAGATATGATTGATTCTACGGCTAAGGCAGGGAATGTACAAGATGCCTGTGGAACATCTTATAATGCCAGAAAGAGAGAAAGTGCTTCAACAAACACACACACACACATACACACACACACACACACACACACACAGAGTCACACACATTAATGGGGGTATGTCAATGGGACACAGGAGTCAACTGAAAAAGCTCTCAATGGCCAAAGCTGGAAATAATTTAGCAATAAGTAAAGGAGTACCGGTTTATAACACAAAATGCAAAACAAATAGCCATAAGTTCATATTAATATAACTAAATGATTAAATAAATAAATGGGCAGTTTAAACAAATATCACATACAGAAGAATCCAGAGTAATTTATGTACATGCATTTATGGTGCAACAGAACTCCCCACTCCTTAATTTTAGGCTGCGCATAGTGATCTTCTCCCAGAGGTGCAGTATGAAAAAGAAGTATTGAAAAAAACACCTTACAGTTAAAAAAGAGGAACTTGAGTAAAAGAGTAACTTTACAGAAATCTGACAAGCAATATCTCAGTCAGGTATGTGAAGTTAGCATCATCCGTGATAATTCAAGTTGATAGTATCTGCCTGGTGATAGAGCAGAGGGCCCCCCACACAAAGACACACACACACACACACACACCAGGATCTCTGCACAGGAAGAGTGGGGTGGGTCAGGCTGCTGGTTCGGGCAAGCATGTGCTCTGAATGCCTGGAGATCTGCTTGGAGGTGGGGTAGTTGTACTTTTGAATGCAGCTTAAAATTAAGGAGAAGAGAATGTCAGTTTACCTCTGTGTTCTTCTTCTCTAAAACCCATGAACCCAATCTGCTACTGAGAAAAACATCAGACAAATTCCAGCCAATTACCTTTCCATAAAATACCTGACCAGTACCCCTCAAAATTGTCAAGGTCATAAAAAAAACCAAGGAAGATCTGTGAAACTCAGTCTAGAGGAGCCTAAGGAACTAAGACACTAAATATAACATGTTATCTGGATGAGATCCTAGAGGAAAAAGAGAACATTAGGTAACACTGAAAAATTTGAATAATGTATAAACTTTTGTTAATCCTAATGTATTATGATTTATTCATTATTTGTGAAAAATATACCATAGTAATAAAAAGTAGGGGAAACTATAGGGAGAACTAGGTATGGTCCACAGGGGAAATCTTTGTACTATAATTGCAACTTTTCTGTAAATTTAAAGTGTTTGTGTTTTTTTTTTTTCCCCTAAGATGGTGGATTAGAGGTTTTTAGTGTGCCTCGGCTACTTGGAAATAGCGAGACAATGCATAAACATCAACTCTGTGAGCTTTAATTCAAAAAGGAAAATAGGAACACACTAAAATTATGGACACTCCAGATCCCAGGGAGGATAACATAGCCAAACAGCCCCCATGACAGCAACTAGCTGATAAAAGTGAGTGAAACCCCAGTATGTGAAAGAGACAGAGAGCCTCCTTCTGTGACTCACCTTTCCACCGAAGAGTGAAGCATCCCAGGCTGAGGGAGAGTACTTTCTCCCAAGTGCTGGTGCTAACTTGGGGAGAGGCTTGGAGGCACTGAAAGGGAATGACACCAGAAGCTGCAGGCATTTTTCCAGATCTAGGACTGAGAGCAAGATGCCATTTTTTATCTGGGCTCATACAAACTCATCTGTTCATTGGCAACCCGACAGCGTGGCTGTATGGACATTTCTGTCTTGGGCAAGAGATTGGGGCCCTTGTTCTGGAGTGAGTGAGGGGACTTAACAGACAGAATTTTGAAAAGCAGCTGAGTAGTAAACTCTGGAATTGTGCTCTGCCCTCTCACAGACCTGGGGTGGTAGGAAAGCTGCTACTGCCGTGGTTTCTTCTGAGTGACAAGTGGCCTTGAAGACAAGGCCAACTTGATGACCTGGAGCCACTCTGCATGTGTCATTGCTAGGTACCCCAGACTACTCCACTGAGATCATGGTGCAGTGGAGCCCTCTCTGCTCTATGACCAGGAAGAATTCCAGGCATTTGGAGCACTCACTTGCCTGAACCTGCAGCTTAAGCTACCCCAACCTTCATGGAAGCAGATTGTGGTGCAGTGGGACCCTCTCTGCCCCAACCCCAAGCAGATCTTCAGGCATTCAGAGCACATGCTTGCCTGAATCACCAGCCTGACCCACCCCACCCTTCTTGTGCCGAGATCCTGGGGTGAGTGTGTGTGTGTGTGTGTGTGTGTGTGTGTGTGTGTGTTGGAGCACAGGGGTCCTCTTTGCTTCATGGCCAGGCAGATATCCATAAATCTGGAGCACTCACTATCCTGGATTAAGAATTCAGGTTGCCCCACTTTCTGTAAAGAGAACTTGGGGCCTAGGAAGTTTCCTAGGTCCATGTCTAGGCTCGCCTCTGGTTGCTTAGTGTCTGTCCTCTGGATTCTCCTTCAGCACTGGTGATTGTGCCTGCCATTGGAGGACCTGCAGGTTGGCCTGCCTAATCTGACCACATTTATTTTGCTTTTCAAACCTCCCAGGGTAGAGCAGGGAGCTCAGACCACTGTGCACTCCATGAATCAGCCCATTGCCTGAGGTAACAGAGAGCTTCTGAGACCCAGTAAACAAAGATTAAGTATACACCTAGCTATGTTGGCTGCAGATAGCTGTTACCCATAAGCACCCTCTACTGCCTTGTAAGTCAAACTGCACAGCCCAATACAAAGTCTGATAAAAGAACTGCATAGGGTTATAGAAGCAAAGCCAATATATCCTACCCAGCATTCTCTACAGTCACGCCACCTTGGGAAAAGGAAAAAGAAAAAAGGAAAGTAAAAGGCAACAATAATATTATAGGGAAAGGAGGGAAAAAATCCTACGTGCATGAAAATAATTACAAAAATGAGACGTGCCGGTGTCTTTAGATGAAAAGGAGTAAGCACAAGAATTCTGGCACCATGAAAGATCTGAATGTGGGATTCACCAAAGGATCTCACTATCTCTCCAGTAATGATTCCTAACCAAAATGGAAACTCAGAAATAACAGATACCCTAAAACTTAAAGTATAATAATAACAAAATTAAAAAAAAAAAGAAACTCAAGCCAAAAAAAAAAAGAATTCAAAGCATGGATTGCAAGGAAGCGTAATGAGATCTAAAACAAGGTAGAAAATCAACACAAATAAACTTCTACCCCAATCCAGGAAATGAAGGAAGAAATAAAAATCCTAAAAAGGAGTCAAGCAGAGCTTCTAGAATTGAAAAAAAAAAAAAAAAAAAAACTTAAGTAATTTCAAAGTACAACTGAAAGATTTATCATTAGTCTGAACAAAGCAGAAAAATTTTAGAACTTGAAAATCAATCTTTTACAGTCAGACAAAAATAAATAAAAAACACTTTAAACAAACATAATATTTGAGAAATTTGAAATTCTGTAAAGTAACCAAGCCTATGAATTATTGAAATTCCTGAGAGGGGAAAAAAGGTAAACAAATAGGAAAACATATTTGAGGAAATTGGTAAAAATCTCTCTAATCTTGCAAGAGAGATAGCCATCCAGATACAGGAAATTCAGAAAACATCTGAGAGACAATATATGAAATGAACATCACTAACTCATATAGTCATCAGACTGTCCAAGGTTGACACTAAAGGAAAAATCCTTAAGGCAGATAGAGAAAAAGTCAGATTACATACAAAGGAAACCCCACCAGGCTAAGAGCAGACTTCTTAGCGGAAACTTTAGAAGCCTGGAGATACTATGGGTCTATTTCAGCATTTTTAAACAGAACATCCAAGCAAGAATTTTATATCCTACCAAACTAAGGTTCATCCGTGAAAAAAGAAATAAAATCTTCCAGGCGAACAAGCACAAAGAAAATTTGTTACCACTAGACCAGCCTTACAAGAGATACAAGGTTCTAAAAATGGGAATGAAAGAATGATACTGGCTACCATAAAACCACATTTAAGTACATAGCCAACAGACCCTATAAAGCAACCATATGATAGAAACTACAAAGCAACCAGCTAAAAACATCACAATAGGATCAAAGCCATACATATCAGTATTAACCTTGAATGTAAACAGTTTAAATGCCCCATGTGAAAGGCAAAGAGTTGCCAGTTAAATAAACAAGACCCATCCATCTGCTGTTGTCAAAAAATTCACCTCACACATAACAACACTCATAGTTTCAAATAATGAATTGGAGAAAGATCTATCATGCAAATGGGAAAAAAAGAGCAGAGATTGCTTCTGTTATATTAGATAAAATAGACTTTAAAGGATCACTAACAAAAAAGGACAAGGAGGTCATTACATAATGATAAAATTTTCAATTTAACAAGGAGATTTAACTATTCTAAATATATATACACTCAACATTACAGCACCCAAATTTGTGAAACCACTACTTCCAGATACATGAAAAGACTTGGATGGCCAGGCAGTAATACTGGGGGACTTCAATATCCTACTGACAGTGTTAGATAGATCATTGAGGCAAAAAACTAACAAATAAATTGTGGAGTTAAATTTGACACTTGACCAATTGGACCTAATAGACATCTACAGAACGCTCCACCCATCAACCTCAGAATACACATTTTTCTTATCCGCACTCAGAACATAGTCCAAGATTAACCACATGCTCAGCCATAAATCAAATCTCAATAATTTCAAAAAAAAAAAAAACCGGCCAGGTGCGGTGGCTCACGCCTGTAATCCCAGCACTTTGGGAGGCCGAGGCGGGCGGATCACGAGGTCAGGAGATCGAGACCATCCCGGCTAAAACGGTGAAACCCCGTCTCTACTAAAAATACAAAAAATTAGCCGGGCGTAGTGGCGGGCGCCTGTAGTCCCAGCTACTTGGGAGGCTAAGGCAGGGGAATGGCATGAACCCGGGAGGCGGAGCTTGCAGTGAGCCGAGATCCCGCCACTGCACTCCAGCCTGGGCGACAGAGCGAGACTCCGTCTCAAAAAAAAAAAAAAAAAAAAAAAAAACCAAAATCATACAAACCACACTCTTGGATCACAGTGGAATAAAAATAGAAATCAATACCAAGAAGATCTCCCTGAACTGCACAGTTACATGGAAATTAAACAAATTCTTCCTGATTGACATTTGGATAGACAACAAAATTAAGGCAGAAATCCAAAAATTCTTTGAAATAAATGAAACAGAGACGCAACATACCAAAATCTCTAGGACATAGCAAAGCAGTGGTAAGAGGTTAGTTTATAGTGCTAAATTCCTACCTGGACATCTCAGATTAACAATCTACCATCAAATCTAGAGGGACTAGAAAAACAAGCACAACCTAACCTTAAAACTAGCACAAAAAGAAATAACTAAAATCAGAGCAAAACTGAACCAAATTAAGATGCAAAAAATCCATTAAAAATCAATGAAACCAAACTTAGTTTATTGAAAGGATGAAAAAGATTAATAGACCACTAGCTAGATTAATAAAGAAAAAAAAAGATCCAAATAAGCACAATCAGAAATGACAAAGGAGGCATTACAACTGATCCCACAGAAATACAAAAACCCTCAGACACTATTATGAACACTTCTATGCATATAAATCAGAAAATCTAGAGGAATTGCATAAATTCCTGGAAACACACAACCTCCCAAGATTGAATCGGAAGAAATTCAAACCCTGAACAGACAAATAACAAGCTCCTAATTGAATCATTAATTAAAAAAAAAAAACTAGCAACCAAAAAAACCCTAGACCATATGGATTCATAGCAGAATTCTATGAGATGTACAAGTAAGAGCTGGTACCATTTCTACTGAAACTATTCCAAAAAAAATGAAGAGGAAGGACTCTCCATAACTCACTCTATGAAGCCAGCATTATCCTGGTACCGAAACCTGGCAAACACAAAATGAATAACAATAATAATAAAACTATAGGCCAATATCCCTGAAGACAATAGACACAAAAATCCTCAACAAAATGCCATCAAACCAAACTCAGCTGCACGTCAAAAAGTTAATTCATCATGATCAAGTAAGCTTGATCCCTGGGATGCAAGGTTGTTTCAACATATGTGTACGCATATGAATGGATGACATTCACCACATAAGCAGAATTCAAAACAAAAACCTTATGATCATTTCAACAGATGCAGAGAAAGCCTTCAATAAAATCCAACATCCCTTTATGATAAAGCTGTCAACAAATTAGTCACTGAAGGAACATACCTCAGAAAAATAGAGCAATCTCTGAAAAACCCACAGCCAACATCACACAGAATGGGCAAAAATTGGAAATATTTCTGTTGAGAATTGGAACAAGACAAGTATGTCCACTCTCACTACTCTTATTCAACATAGTGCTGGAAGTCCCAGCCAGGTTATCAGGCAAGAGAGGGTAATGAAGGGCATCCAAATAGGAAAAGATGAAGTCAAACTATCTATCTTTGCTGACAATATGAT
This sequence comes from Homo sapiens, assembly GCF_000001405.40. NCBI lineage: Eukaryota > Metazoa > Chordata > Mammalia > Primates > Hominidae > Homo > Homo sapiens. Next base: position 77,128,627 of record NC_000006.12, read on the forward strand.
TCTATAGATCAAATACCATAAAGATTCTGCCCAAAGTCTCCTGGAACTGATAAATAGTTTCAGTAGAGTTTCAAAATACAAAGACAATATACAAGAATCAGTAGCATTGGTATACACTAATAATATTCAAGCTGAGAGCCAAATCAAGAACTCAATCCCATTGACAATGGCCACAGGAAAAATAAAATACCTATGAATCCATCTAACCAAGGAGATGAAAGGTCTGTAAAAGGAGAACTACAAAGCACTGCTGAAATAAACCAGAGATGGCACAAATAAATGGAAAAATATTCCATGGCCATGGTTGAAAGAAACAATATTGTTAAAATGGCCATACTGCCCAATGCAATCTACAGATTCAATGTTATTCCTATCAAACTATCAATGTCATTTTTTACAGAATTATAAAAGTCTCTTCTACAATTCATATGTAACCAAAAAAGAGGCCAAAGTCATCCTAAGCAAAAGGAACAAAGCCAGAGGCATCACATTACCTGACTTTAAACCATACTACAAGGCTACAGTAGCCAAAACAGCATGGTACTGGTACAAAAGCAGACACATGGACCAATAGAACAGAATAGACAACTCACACATAAAGCTGCACACTTGCAGCCTTCTGATCTTTGACAAAGTTGACAAAACTAAGCAATGAGAAAGGACTTTCTATTCAGTAAATTGTGCTGGCATGACTGTCCAGCCATATGCAGAAGAATGAAACAGAGCCCCTATTTTTCAGTATATATGAACATTAACTCAGTTTGCATTAAAGATTTAAATGTAGGCTGGGTGCGGTGGCTCACACCTGTAATCCCAGCACTTTGGGAGGCTGAGGCAGGCAGATCACCTGAGGTTGGGAGTTCAAGACCAGTCTGACCAACATGGAGAAACCCCGTCTCTACTAAAAATACAAAATTAGCTGGGCGTGGTGGCACATGCCTGTAATCTCAGTTACTCAGGAGGTTGAGGCAGGAGAATCACTTGAACCCAGGAAGCAGAGGTTGTGGTGAGCCGAGATTGTGCCATTGCACTCCAGCCTGGGCAACAAGAGTGAAACTCCATCTCAAAAAAATAAAAAATAAATGTAAAACATTTAAATGTAAGACATCAAAATACAAGAATCCTGGAAGAAAGCCTAAGTAACATCATTATGGACATCTGCTTTGGGAAAGAATTTATAACCTAGTCCTCCAAAGCAATTGCAATAAGAACAAAACTTGACAAGGGGAGCCTAATTAATCTAAAGAGATTTTGCTTATCAAAAGAAACTATCAACCTGGTAAACAGACAACACACAGAAAGGGAGAAAATACTTCTAAACTATGCATGCAACAAAGTTCTAACATCCAGAATCTGTAAGGAACTTAAACAATTCAACAAGAAAAAAACAACCTCACGAAAAAGTAGGCAAAGGACATGAACCAACAAAAGGAGACATACAAGTGACCAAGAAACAAATGAAAAAATTCTCAACATCACAAATCATCAGAGAAATGAAAATCAAATTCATGAGATACCATCTCATACGAATCAAAACGGCCATTATTAAAAAGTCAAAAAACAAATGATGCTGGCAGAGAAAAAGGAAGGCTTATACACTGTTGGTGAGAATGTAAATCAGTTCAGCCACTGTGGAAACCAGTTTGAAGATTTCTCAAAAAACTTAAAACAGAATTACAATTTTCCCCAGCAATCCTGTTACTAGACATATATGAAAAAAAAATCATTCTACCAAAAAGGCCTATGCACTTGTATGTTTATCACAACACTTTTCACAGTAGCAAAGACATGGAATCCACCTAGCTGTCCATCACTGGTGGATTGGATGAAGAAAATGTGTCACGTATAAAACATGGAATGTTATGCAGCCATACAAAGAATAAAATCATGTCCCTTACAGCAACATGAATACAGCTGGAGGCCATTAGTCTAAGTGAATAAATACGGGAACAGAAAACCAAATGCCACAAATTCTCACTTATAAATGGAAGCTAAATATTGGGTATTCACAGAATTAAAGATGGTAATAATAGATACTGGAGATTACCAAAGGGGAAAGGGAGGTGAGGGTGGGAGGGCAAGTGTTGAAAAACTAACTGTTGGGTACTATGCTCACTTCCTGGGTGATGGGTTCAATCATACCCAAAACCTAAGCATCACACAATATACTCATGTAGCAGATGTGCACATGGACCCCCTGAATCCTAAACAAAAGTTGAAATTATATAAAAAAAGTAAATAAAATAAAACTATTATAAATAAAAATTATATTAAAAATTGATAAATAGTCCAGGCGCAGTGGCGCATGCCTGTAAACCTAGCACTTCAGGAGGGTGAGGTGGGCAGACCACCTGAGGTCAGGAGTTTGAGACCAGCCTGACCAACATGGTAAAACCCTATCTCTACTAAAAATACAAAAATTAGCTGGGCATGGTGGCAGACGCTTGTAATTCCAGGTACTCGGGAGGCTGAGGCAGGAGAATTGCTTGAACCTGGGAGGCGGAGGTTGCAGTGAGCCAAAATCACTCCATTGCACTCCAGCCTGGGTGACAAGAGGGAGACTTCATCTCAAAACAAACAAAAATGATAAGCAAATTCATATTAGAGATATGCTTCTCAAGATTAAAACCACTTACTAGTTGTATGTTGCAGTAATTTTAAATCTGTGTACATCAGTTTCCTAGTCTGTAAAATGCAGATGATAATACTTAACTAATAAGCTTGTTGAGAATATAACGCAACTTTAAACAGAAAGTTTTATAGCAATGTCTGACGCTTAAAAAGCACTACATGTGTTAGTTATTGTTTTGTTCTATTGTACCTGTTACTACTCTGTGCCCTTCTGCTTTGCCATTCTGCTGTTGCGGACATATCTTCTCTAGCAACATTTTCTCTATTGCGAGCTAGATCATTTGGTCTAGCACACACACAAAACCCTCTCCCATGCCAGGGAACATTTGGCAATGTCCGGAAATGTATTTGATTGTCACACTAGGGTGGAAAATATGAAGTAGCTGGAAGGTGGGAATGCTGCTAAATGGCCAGTGATGCGAAGGATAGCCTATCACAACAGGTAATAATTATCTCACCCAAAATGTCAATAGTGGTGAGGTTGAGAAACTCTGAGTAGCATCTTGCTTCCCAGACTTATCTTTAATATAAACAAAGAAATATGAAACACTGTCATTTGTATGCTTCCAAGATAGACTGAGACTTATACAGCAGGTCATATGTTTTTTATAGATTATGAAAACTAAGACCTTCTAAATACTCTAAGATATGTGGTAAAAGCTTTAAAAACAATAACAAAAATCAACACATCTTCAGTAAAATCAGATTAAGGCTGAATTAATTGGAGGTTTTTTTTTAAGTTTTCATATTCTTTGGAACCAGAAATTGTTTATCTGGATTAAGACTTTCTCCACATAAAAACATCAGAAGCATTATAAAATTCATTTCAAATAGTTTAGGATATTAAAACCACCTTATGAACAATCTAGGGATGACCGTAATTCTATTAATTTGTGAGCAATTTACTTAAACTTTAAATAAGAAATCCCCTGCTTTTGGAAATTATAGATAAAGAAAAAGTTCTTATTTTACTTATGACATTCTGGGATATACTACACAACTTTTTGAAAGGTCATTTAAAAAATACTTATTTGTAATGAGAATAAAAATTCTACACAGTCTAATTTCACCTACATCAACTGACTAAATAAGGGTCTGCAGATAATGGAAGGTTTTAGAAAATTTTCTGCTAAACTCCTTGATATGTTAAAAAATACTAACATTAGCTGTTTACAGAAAAATACTAATATACTAATTTTTTGTTTAGTATTTTATCTACATGTAAATGTGTAATATATGTGCTTGTTTCTGCAGAGATAGATACTTTGGCAAAATTCTTCACTCTACATTTCTGTTTGAAAATAACTGCATCATTCTATGGTCATAAATCTCAAAATGTATATATAACTAAAGATATAATGCACATTGATATATGTATTATATTTTTAAAGAAGAAAGCATGCTATATTTAAAGTTTTCATCAATATTTTAATGACCATCTTCAAAGATTGATAATTTATGCCAGTAAGTTAGGGCCATATATCTCAATTATATCTTCTTGTCAAAGGTATTCTGTGGAGACTCGTGGGGAAAGAAACCTAAGATACATGAAGAGTTTTAAAGATTTTAAAAATCAATTTTGGAGTGCTTTATGAGACTATAAATTCCTTGCCAGACACAAAATGCTATATGTCTCTAGTTGTGTGCATTCTCCATGAAAACATGGGTATTGAAAGCAGAGCCTGTTATTTTGCACAACATCGAATTCTCAGAAACTAACTCAGTCTTGCGATAAATAATTTTGAGTAATTAAATGACAATGGGCCTTTAGGTTCTGGCCATGAATGCCTTACCCTCCACGACTACAATATATATATATATATATCAAAATAAAAAATATAAAATGTTAAAAAGAACTTTCTGCAGGCACTAGACAGCAACTAATACTGGGCTATGATTTTCAAGAGACGGATGGCACACTAAGTGAGCCCATGTTTACACCGTATTTACTCCTTGAGGGCACATTCTGAACTACAGTGCAAACGGAGAGCCACAGAGTGGGAAGAAACAGATTGGCTTCAATACTGCTAAGGCAGCAAAGATGGAGGAAGAGTCAGATTACTGGAAAGAAGGTATCTACAGAATAGAAGCCCTAGATATCTATGAAACATTTCCATCCGATCTTTGGCCACCTTCTAAACTGTAAAGGCAAGGACTGTGACTATTGCAAGTGAGAGAGAGAGAGAGAGAGAGAGAGAACAAGGACAAGAAATTGACAGGAAGCTAAAGATATTTCAAAAGTTGCTGAGTGTTGGAGCAATGTTGACTTTGATATTCAGGCCCAGCCAGAGTGGAGGAGCCTTAATGCATACCTTGGCTGTTGAATGAAGATTCCAGAAAAATACATATCCTATCTGTAAAGCCTATGAAGAAGAACTATACCCTTGGAGAAAGAGAAAAATTAAAATAGAACTATCCCAATCAAGCCTAAAACCATGCCTCAGGAAGATTAGTAAAATCAGCAGGTAATTTGGCTACAAGACAGAACTAAATCCACTACTCTTTGGGGGAAAATAACATAGTCCAGAGCTCCTATATTATGTCATCTTCAATATGTTTCATTAATCAAAATTTACTAGATACATTGAGAAGAATTTGACTGATAATGAAGAGTGAAGGCAGCCAATAGAAGTAAACCCAGAGATTATAGCGATCCTGATCAGCAACAAGAACTTAACTACATCTAACATGTGAAAGGAAACAGAACTAAATGTGGGTAAATTGGATGAATCAATAGAATATTTCAATTGAAAACAGAATCTAGAAAAATAATCCCATGACCATTCTAGAGCTATAAAAATAAATATATGGAATATAGAAAGGCTTAGTAAATTAGTGGGCAGAAAATTATCCAGAAGGAAACTGAAAGACAAAAAAGAATGAAAAACAACTTAACTAAACAGGATGTAGCAGAGATAGATATATTAAAGGATGTCCCATGTATGCAGTTTGTATCACAAAAAGCAGAGATAAAACAATGGTAGTTAAACTATAGTAAGATTTTATATTGTGGAAGATGGTAAAAGTACTAACATAAAGAAAATTGTTTTAAGCTAAGCTTGCATTTTGTAATTTCTAGAATAATCAATAAATTAATTATACTGAAAGCATCACAAAAATGAAATTAAAAAGCAAGCAGGAGACAAAATGGAAAAATTTAAAAATACATATTTTGGAATAATACAAAAGAAATAAAGAAAGAACAAATAAAGGAACAAGTCAAAAAGACAAAAACATATCAGGATGACAGACTTACAGGCAATAATAACAGTAATAGGTTAAATGTAGATACAGTAAAAATAAGATTTTAGATCGGATTAAAAGATAGAACTCAAATAGTTCTGAAAGACATTAGGATTGAGAAAATAAAAGAATATAACTTTAAAGGAAATAGGAGAAATAAAATGATAAAAATAAGAACAGAACTAATGCAATTTAAAACATGCATTCATTAAAGAAAATAAACAGATGCAAAGGATTCTTTTTTTGTAATGATTACTAAAACCACTAAATAGCTATTAAAAATTATGATAAAAGGAGTCAGAAATTACTATTCACTAATATCAGGAATAAAAAATTTCATATCATAAGAGATTCTATAAACATAAAAAGGATAATAACACAATATTATTTGTCAATAAAGAGCAAAGAAAATGAGGAAATATGAATTACTTTATGACACTAAAATCGGCAATTTTGACAAAACGCACAAATTCCTTAAAAATACAATTTATCAAAATAAACATGAAATGCATAATTATTAAATGTAATTATCAATATATAAATATACTTAGTATTGCTATTAAAATACTACACATTAAGTATTTTTATTAAGTGCATTTAATAAAACAGTTATGTAATCATTAAACTAATTGAAATGTATCTAATAAATTTTAAAAATTGATTAGACCAAAAACTTCTTATGAAGAAAACTCCAGGCCTCTGGAGCTCTTCTCTGATGAATTATATCATACTCTGAAGGAAGAAATAATACATATGTTACATATTTTTAATTTTGAAAGTACACAAGAATTAAACACTTACCAAGTTATTATATGAGGCCAGGGACATTATATCAAAAGGAAATTACATACCGATACTACTCTTGATAAGACAAGCAAAATCATTGTCAAAAATCAACAATGTAAATCCAGAAATATATTTTAAATGCAATAATGGTTGATTCATCATTAACTAATTCACATAATGCATCACATAAGCATAATAAAAATGTGTGAGTCTACAGTAGATATAGAGAAAACATTTGTTAGACTTCATCAATCATTCATAATAAAAAAAAAATCTTAGCAAATTTGCAATAAATGATGGTTTCTTCCATCCAATAAAGGGCATTTACTAACAAAATACTTTAATCATATTTAATGGTGAAATATTAAGATGAGGAATAATACAAGCTTGACTTCTCTTACTACTTCTATTCGACATTATATTGCAAATCTTAGTCTGTGCTCTAAGGCAAGAAAAAGTCACAAAAATTAGAAAGAAAAAATTAAAGCTGTTTATTTGTGGATATTATGGATATAAACATAGTAATTGTTAAGGTATCTGCATAGATGTGAACATGAATGAGGAGCTCTGGGTACTGAAGTTAAAGTGATTTAGTTTTCACTATCCAAAAATAAGATATATTAAAACAGTTCAGAATAGACCTATGAAATTTTTAAAATATACGGCCTGAGATTCTTGTACTCTTTCCTCAGCACCCAAAAGAAGCAGCTCAATTTTCCTACAACAACTTCTGTCAATAAATGTTTTCCTCACTGAAAAGGCAATGTGTAAAAATTCATCTTAGAATTTTCTACAATTTATATTATCCATGGTTTGTAGGGTCCATTTTGCTTGATGACTTTGTTTTGCCACATGTGCTGAATAAGTGAAAAGAAACAGTTCTTAGAAGAAAGTTAACAAAAGTCTATCTTGTTAGTAATAATAGAACACTAAACTCTTACTCACACCTAAGAGTTGTTAAGTCATCATACTTGTATTTGCTTAAATGTTCAAATGACTCAACTGAAATAATATTTTCTTTCTTTTCTTCTTTCTGACTAAAATGGAGATAAGGTGTGTTCACCTTGTCAAGAATTCTCAATGATTCATATTATTCAGATAATTTTTTTCTGCTTTTTACTGAAATGACTTGGTATTTTCTTCAATTTCCAAAATGTTTTTCATAAGAATTGATATATTAATCCTCATGATCTGAAGGAGTTTAAAAAAATTAATTGCTCATATATTTGAAGAGTTGAACTTAATTACCTAATACTGTAAGCTTTTCTACATTACATTTCCCTGTTTTATCATGTTCTTCTTCAACAAGATAATTTTTATAATCCAAATTTTTTTCCCATGGTGCTCCCTTCCAATACAAACCTTTCAGCTAGCCCAATAAAATCAACATCATGTTGATCAATGCATGGATTACTAAAAACTCTCTAATTGCTCTTCCACAGCAGTGCTCTTCCCTGCTTACTCGGTGTTGCTTAGATGATTGTTAAATGTCTCTTCTTTTATTGTTAGTATTATCACTATTTAATGAATGGCTTTCTAAACTATATAGGCTCAAGAAGACATCATTGTTACATACAAGGTGATCCTGGAGTTGGACTACTTTCATTTGAATTCTATACTAGTTGCATGATCTCGGACAAGTTGCTTAGTCTCCAAATGCCTTTGTTTCCTAACTTGCAAAATGAGGATAATAACAATATCCTATTCATAAAAACATTTTGAACGCTTGTAAATGAGAAAACACAGGCAGAGCACTTAGTAGAGAACATAGAATATTCTAGGTATAAAAGAAATGTTGATTATTAGTGCTATGCTATTGCTGCAGCTAATGCTATGAAAACTTTCAGACTGTGAGCCTCTCAAGACAAGAAATTGTTTCTTACTCATCTTTGTATTCCCAGCAAAAAACAGAGTGCCTAGCATAAATAACTGTTGGCTTAGTAAGTGAATGTGTGAATAAATGTGATTACTAGGTCTATTCTCTACTAGCACTTTTGTGTATATACCTTTTTTGTATCATTTGACAATAAGGTTTCTTTACCATCATCATCATCATGATTATTATTTCCATTTTGCTTGTTTAAAGACAACAACCCATTCCTTTTTAGATTCCCATTTGCTGACTTTTAAATGGTTTATAATATGTAAAATAAAGTGGGATATCAGAAAAAGGTGAAGATATTTTAGAAACATACATTTTAAACTCCCCTCTCTTCTAACACCTACCAAAAAAGTACTCACAAAATAAAATAAGTATGATGGATGAATGGATGAGAGAAATCTTCGTGCATTACAGGCCTAGCAACTTTCCAGAGAAAATTGTCTGGGATGCCTGATGAGCCCAGGGCTTCTAAGTTAACAGTAGCATCTGGGGAAATATCCACGGAATACTTGGCTGTTGGAGGTGTCAGAGCATTGCTTTGACAGTTTTAAGAGCTGTCTGTTATATACCTACTCTGCTAGTGGATTCTGAGTTGACGATGGAACTTAAATTGCTTCATTATGTCTTGCAGGATCACACCATCCTCCCTTGTACATGAAGAAACCTGGAAGCAGAGAAGCCATCCACTCTCCCCATGTCAGTCAGCCAGTGATCCACTGCAAAGGTAAGTTCATGTTCTGCAACTGGTTTATCACTTCCTGTCAGTGAACAATTTCCCTACTTTGGAAACAATATCCGCAAAGATAAAAGTAAATATGCTTATTTACAAGGAGTTGTGGATGTAAGGGAGGACAAAAAAAGCTAGATGTTAAAATTGTTAGCTCCTATGGAGGCAGTAGAAAACATTTAGGAGTGATACTAAGGACTCTCAAGGAGAAAAACATAAGATACAAAACAATGTAAAGAAATAAGATCATAATTTCTAAATGTAATAATTCAATGGATAAACTGGAAGAAAAATCTGATACACATGTTCTAAAACTAAGCGGTAGGCTTCACAAACTTAAAAAAAATTCCCATAATGTTTAACAAAAAAATTAATGTAAATAATAAGAAAACATACTAATGCCTTCAAGGGCAGATTCAAAAGCACTAACATGCAAGTAATGTTTTTCCAGGAAGAAAAATAATAAAAGATAGATACAATAATTAATGAAATTATGAAAAGAATCTTACATTAATAGGAATGCTGGGTCTCCTAATGAAAATAAATTAAAAATTTTATTCAGGGTTAATAACTAAAACGTAAAAAGACACACATTTAGATTTTACCTAGACAGATACTGATAACAATTCTATGTCCTAAAAGTAAAAAAAAATTATCAGCTTCCATACAGAAATATAAGTTTTTGAATTAGGAAAAAAATATACTAGTGTTACACTTCTTGAGTACAAAATTAGAAACCAGAATATAGGAAAAAATCTTTATAGAAAATGAGAAAGGGAAAATAATATTTACACACACACAGAGAGAGAAAGAGAAAGGGAGAGAAGGGGAATTTTAAATATCTAATAAGACCCTACTGAATGGAAAATAGAATAATACCTGTTTTATTTTTATTTATTATTATAATAAAATGGAAATCAAATATTTTAATATATGATAAAACATGGTTTTAGTCTAGTAATAATAGGAAAATAACATTCAAGATGGAGAAACAAACTAAGCATTTATATGGACCTACTTCATAAAAAGTAGGCAATAACAAAAGTGTTCAAGTCAGAAAAACAACAGAAAGTCAGAGGAAAATTTTGGCATCTGTTATTTTCCTCCTGGGCATGTGTGTATTTGGTCACTAACTGCACTTATACAGCAGGTGTAAAATAAGGCTGTTCAAAGATATATGAGTATCTTAGTTATAAAATATAAAATTAGAACAAAATGGAGATCATAATTTAAAAATTATAAAATACAATGAATAGTATCATGTAAAGTGGACCTGAAGGACAAAACCACTGACAAAGTGATTGTCTACTGAAGAAGGTAAAATAACTAGCAGAGAAGCACATCAAGGAAAGAACTACTGTAAATGTAATGAGAAATTCATGTGATCGAAATACTCATCTTTAAGAATTTATCAGGCTGGGCACGGTGGCTCATGTCTGTAATCCTAGCACTTTGGGAGGCCGAGGCAGGAGGATCACTTGAGGTCAGGAGTTCAAGACCAGCCTGGCCAACATAGTGAAACCCCATCTCTACTAAAAATACAAAAATTAGCTAGGCGTGGTGGCGTGGGCCTGTAATACCAGCTACTTGAGAGGCTGAGGCACAAGAATCACTTGAATCCGGGAGGCGGAGGTTGCAGCGAGCTAAGATTACCCCATTGCAATCCAGCCTGGGTGACAGAGTGAGACTCCATCTCAGAAAAAATAAATAAAGAATTTATCAGATCAAGTAAACAAGAATAATCATAGATTTTAAAGATTTTCAATAGTTAATAAAATTTAATATATAAATATATTTATGTATATGCATGTACATATTTGTGTGCCATATATACTACACATATATGTAATACCTATGCTATACATATAGATGTAGCATATACAAATATGTGGTATACACACACGCCCAAGTGTTCATTATAGTCTTACGATATGGAATATCTTGGTAAATATGTCTTACATTTGTCAATATATTTACAAAGTAATGGATATTTTAGGTCACAATCTAATTGCCCTAAAATAAAACTAGGTCAGCACAGAAAAGATGGCCAAATAATTTGAAGTTTCTGGGAACTAAGAAACAAAGTTGCTATACCAATAGAATGTTGTCAAATTTCACGGAAACCCCTTCCCAGGCCAACCCCAACTCAATTTCAAGTGCTAATATTCAAAACCACTAAGGATTTCCAGTATATTATTTTAGGGTTCTTTTATCTCTATGATTTTAGTAGATATTTGAAGTCAAGTTAACCCAAAACCTGGCATGATTTTCTACCAAACAGTAAAAGAGCAAAGCCCCAGGGGACTCAATTAAATTCAATATCAAGATAGAATATGGTGAACATATCTGTTATGAAAAAAATTATCATCAGCTAAGGATGAGCATTTAAAGAATAGTACAGAAGAACTTTATGGGAAGTGTCCAATATATAAAATAGAATATTTCACAATGCACTTTTTATATATAGTCATAGGCAATAATTCAGGCCAGCGTACATCTACCTTCCAAAGGAATTATACCAGAAGATTTCCCTTCCTGGAATGCATGATGTAGCACGGTTTCATGTAAGTAAAATTAGAAACCAAAACAGAACTTGCAAGAACAATAGAAATAGAGTTGTTGAGCTCTTTTAGAAACAGAACAGATGGCCTCTAAGGTAAAGAAACTAATAATTCTTGCATGAGCAGGAATCTTTGATATTAGTAATAGGTCAGAGCAATGAGATGGTGAAAAAGGAGAATGGAAATCAAAGCCACAGAAACATGATGAAAAAAGATGATCAAGTTTGTGAACAGGACCACAATTCTCTTTTTTCCTAACTATAAAAGGCTTCAGCCCCCAAGTAATCCATACTAGGAAATGATTGATTAGTAGTAAAATACTACTGCTAAAGTTATCCCAGGACATTATTCCTAATTTTATTGTTACATATCTGAACACTTCTTTGAATTGTTTTCTTCATTTATTTAAAACTTTTTTGTTGCATTTTACTGATATTTTGTGTTATATCATAAAAATAGAAATAAATAGGAAGTCACACATAAAAACATCACCCATAACAAAGCCCACACCAAAATAACATTTTGATTTTATCTACCATCTATCTATCTATCATCTATCTTTTAGCTTAATGTGTTTTGCAAATTTTCTACATCATTAGTCACCTCTATATAGAATGACATATAGCAACATATTGTAATGACAACATATAATTTAGCTATATTTATTCAAAAACAAATACTTAATGAATACTTGCAATGTATCAGGTAGTAAATTAAGTCATATGAGAATTACCAGGTAGCAAATGGTGTCCAATACAGAGAATACAATAAAATAATAAAGCAGGTTAAGGATAAAAGGGGCAGGATTAGTGTAACTTTTCCATGTAAGGAATAAGAGACCTCACTAAGGTTTCACTTGAGTTGGTACCTGAAGGGAGTGAGAAAGTGAGCCAAGTGAATACATGAGGCAAAAATTGCAGACAGTAAGAAGCGCAAGGCAGGGATGGTGAGGCATGGATGTGTCTGGCATTTGAGAAAAAACAAGGAATTCAAAGACGTTGGGGGGATGGTTGGTAGAAGACATCAGAGAGTGCGACAGGAAAAGCATATTTCAGATGTAGGGTCATGGAGAGGACTTTGAATATGAATTCTGGGTGAGACATTATGCCACCGGAAGATTTTAAGCAAAGAAGTGACATGATCTAACGTATTTTGAAAGTGTCACTGTAGCTACTGTGTTGAGAGTAGGCATTGAGAGAAGGTAAGCCAAAGGACAGAAAAAGGGAGACCAATAGAATAATTAGAATAATTCTGGACTCAGAGATGGGAGCTAGGATCAGATAGAAATGGAGATGATAAGTATTTAGGATCTGCATATACTTTGGAGGTAAAGTCAGTAAGATTTACTAGTAAATTCAATCTTGGGAAAGAGCAAGCATGAATTTAAAAAATATATTTAGCAATAATTTTATATTAGACAATTTGATTGAGATATATTTGTTCTAGATGCAGAAGATGTGACTGGTTTGGCTCATTCAATATCTACGAAGTCCAGTAAAATACCAGACCTGTAACAGATACTCAAGAAATATGTGCTGAATTAGTGAATAAATGTAGGAAACTGTATATTTCTATTCATTGTTTTATAAAGTGAATACATTCCTATTCACTGTTTTATAAAGTGAATAGAATTCACATAGTCAGTCTAATATCACATATTGTAAAAGTTCCTGCAAATATCTTTAAGAAATGGTATCTAATCAAAACCCTACGAATATTGCTGTCAGCATTCTGAGGTCCGGGCAGGATGGATAAGATAATTAAGATAACCTTGTCATAGAATAAAGCTGGAACTGGGATAAGCCTGTTAATCTCATTTTATTTAAAAATATCTGCATATTTTGTTTTCTGTCATAGATCCTTAGTTATTTTATAATGTGTACCTCACAGAGTGATGTTTTCCTTACAAATTAAAATATATGTGGATATGAATATGTAAATAAAGTATCTTTTCCTTACATAGATTATAAAAGAGTCATTTAAGGCCATTTAATGCTTCTCTTTGTAGTAGCTCTTATCTCACGCAGTATTATCTTTCTCCCATATGAATGTTGTATTAGCAATAGTGAATCTAGATAACCCTTATAATTAATTTTTCCAGACATCAAAAATTTCCAAAAAGTAAAAAATCCAAACATATTTATCTTTTCTTTAGTTATACTATTTAAGTCATACCCCAAATCTTCTGATCATAAAGGATTTTATAATTAGATGAAAAATAGGATTAATAGTGGTATTATTTTAAAGTTACAATGCAGAATGAGCTAGCTATGCTTTATATGAGGGCAAAATTTTCCTGAGTTATTTTGCCTTTGTAAATGCCTTCCTTGTGCTTGAGTTACCAAATGCATGTACTCCAGCCTACCATATTGTTACACAAATTGGTTTGGTAAGAAGACCATAGGTTTTTTGTAAGGCAGACTGACGTATCTAAAAGTTTGGCTCATTTTAACTAGCCAGGTAATCCTGGGCACATTATTCAATCTCTCTGAGCATCAGTGTTTTCAGAGATGATAAAATGTGCTATTCATGAAGTTTTCCATTCATTCACTTATTTATTTAAAATATTTTAAAGGCCCTAATATCTAATTATTTAAAATAGTTTAAAGGCCCTAATATCTAATAATATCTAATAAAGGCCCTAATATCTAATAATGAATATACCAGAAATCTAGCAGCATCTAAAATATTTGATGTAAGGACACACAAAATAAATAGTTTTCCCTTTCATTTGAAGAATATATAAATATATATATACATACACATTTATATATTTAACACTTCACCATTATATAATTATTTTATTTAAATTATTTTTAAGTAAACATATACTTTACCATATTTTAAATATTTTTTGAAAAATATAAAATATTAATATTTTATATTTATTAAAATATATTAAAATATAGTAAATATAAAATATTTATAAAATATAAATATATTTTTCAAAAAATATTTTGAAAAATATATAAAATATATAAAAATATATTTATAATATATAAAATATATAAAAATATATAAATATTTTATATTTATAAAATATAAATATATACCATATAATATAAAATTATAAATATATAATATATATTTAAATGCTTATACATTCTATTTTTCTTGTTTGAGATAAGAGCTACTAAAAAGAGAAGCACAAAATGGTATTTAAATGACTTCTCTTACATATATATGAAATTAAAATTTTCATTGGAAAGAAGGTCATGCAAAGAGCAAAACAGAGTTGTTATGTAAGGGACAAGTTTGAGAAAATCAAAACAAAATTTTCAAGTACAAGTAACATTTGCTGGGTATTAAAACTCTCAAAATGTGGCAAGCCAGGTTTCCATCAGCAACCAGAGCAGTCGGCCTTCACCAACACCTTAATGTAACTCTGATGAATGTGTAAGTTAAACATTAAAAGAAGAAACTGGTACCTTGGTACAAAGGCTAGAACGTAAAAACAAGTCCATTAAGACCACACCTATGCTTTCTCAGAACCTTAGAGTTTAATTAAAGTAATGGATAAGGTCTTACACACCTTGTACCAGAACCCACTTTAGATAGATAATTTTTCCAAGGGTCTGAAGTAATTGTCTAGGCCCAGTACCCTAATTAAAGATTAGATAGAGTAAAACACTTTGGTTTTCAGTTTGTAGGTGCATTGAATGTATACAAGCACTAGAGAACACTTTTAACTTTGAGTTGGTCTGGTGAGTTACTCCGATCTTCTCACTGTAACCAGTTGTAGAAATAAACTCCCTTCTTTCCCAGTCTGCCTGTATCTTGTTATTGGACCGTGAGAACAGACAGCTGGACACCACTCGGTCTGAACTCAGAAATGCTTGGCAAATTTCAGGTGACATTTTGGCTTTAGAAAGAAGTATAATTTCTAGTAAATTTGGTTTTACTATAAAACATATGTAGATTTAGGAAAATCAATAAAATTACTTGAAAGGGCAAAGCCAAGTTATGGTAATATATCTAATTGTGCATTTTAATTTTGTTTTGTATTTTTTATTACTTTTCTTATCAGAATGCTGAATGAACAAAATTATGACATACTAATCACAATGCTAGAGAAAAAGAGATAACTCATTAGTAAATGGTAGTATATATTCAGAAAAATGATCGTTTTTAACTTCTTTAAAAATTCATTTTAGAAAGTAGGGGTAGAGTATTCTGTAACCTAACTCAGATAATCAAAATATAGAGAAAAATTAAATGCAAGATAGCATTTGTTTATTGTCATGATTTTAAAACAGTATACCAGCATTGGTAATTTCTTTCATGATTAAGGAATTGTTCTTTATGAAATGGAATCAATAAAGCTTAAGCAAACTTAAAATAAGCTTAAAATTATAAAATAACATTTCTAGAAGTATTTATTTTGGTAATAACCAAGAAGATCTTTCACGAAAAATTCTTCCTCCTTTCTCTTAATACTGTACACTGAAACTAGTTAAATTATCATATTAAGTAAGGCCTTTGTGTTGCAGAATGGAGGAGTGGGTTAAGAAGAGAAAATCATCTCTTAATGGCAAAATTAGCAAATCTTATGCAATTTCCCATCAAAATGTCATGCTAATCTGTCTAGGCCTAGTTAGAAGCAGACAGGGCATAAAAGTTAACCAAACCTATGGAAAAGAACCAAAGTTTGCAGAAGAGGCAGGCAGCCCACCCTGACACACACCCACTCATTGACTCTCCTCTGCCCCCTCACAAGAAACACTCATGGACCTATGAACAGAAGATATTTGAATAAAAATCTGGTTTGATTTATTCTAATCAGATTTTAGAAATATCAGGTTATTATTACACTTATGAATCACTCTAATTTTTACTATATATATCTTAAAATGCACTGTAATAGGTAATTTTAATATTATTCAAAGACCATAGACTCTAAATACTTGATGTTTTAATGCATTTTTTAAAAAGAAAAGGGTTTAGATTCTAAATCTACTCACTTGGGAATTGTCACGTGATGAATATTTGAAAGCTTCTTAGGCCTGTGACCTCTTTTCTAGACTGCAAAATGAAACCTTAGGATCCTAGGAGTGCTTGTGAAACTTCAGCTTTTACACTAGAATTTTAGAGTGTCCAGATTTGTAGGAAAAAGATCATTTTTGTGAGAAAATAAGGCATCTGTGATTGTGTGTGTATATGTGTGTGTGCTTGTGTGCTGGAGTTTAAGCACTGTGGTGGATCAGCAGCCATTAGTGTGAAAAATATGTGGTATAAAGGAGAAACTTTGTGTTAAAACTATTGAGGAATTAAGGAGCATCATCAGAAGAGAAGAGACTGGCAGGGCAGCAGGAAGAGGAGCATCATGACAAGAGTCTGGAAGAATTCTTTAATTCTGACATGAATAATGAAAGAAAGCCAGTCACAATAAATCTGGATTTTGATGCCTCATCTAATGTCCAAGAGTTGCTACAATTACTTCAGAGTTTGCGAACCACACATACCACTTAACTCATGGATATCATATTACTGAGGCATATAAGCATATTTGTTTGTGTAAACTGAGATGCAAATTAAATTAGCAATGATAAACCACCTTTTACCTATTAAATTGTCAAGCATAAAAAACAATATTCAGGACCTGGATGTGTATGATAAGATGGGGCTTGTGATTCCATTCTGATAAGGATAAAATCGGCATGAAATATCATGAAAGAAGTTTGGGATCATATATCAATACATTTGAAAATTTTAACATTCTTACTATTTAATGTGGAACCCACTTCCCTAGTATCTCTCAAGAGAATAATAAAATGTGTCAAAGTTTTACAAAAAAAGATAATTAACTGCTGGAACAGTCTGGTGCCTATGAACTTGAAAAACTGGCCCTCCAGCTCTCCACTGGGGGACAAGGCCTCAGATTAAAGAAAAACTTCTGAGAGAAGAATCAAAATTGAGGAGGACAGGGGCAGTAGAGACAAATAAAAAAAGATCTAAACCAAAGTGGGTGAGGAGTCTAGATGCAGAATATCTCAGAAAGTAAGCTGCCAGCATTTGAGCATTACAGAGAACAGCAGAGGGGAGCCATGTGAAGTTATCAAAGCTTTCTTGAAATGTCCCTTCATCCTAAAAGTGTATGGAGCCTAATTTTACATAAAAATGTACAATATAAAATTATTACAAGAAAAAGAATAAGAAGAATATACCCCAACAATGAAAGCATATCATAAAGATACACCCATAAGAAAGCTAAATGACACTAAGGAAATGATACAAGACATAAAAGAACAATATAACATAAATAAAAATTTAAAAAAATTCAGAAATAATATGTCAGTCTTCAGGAAACAAAAATAAAAATAATTATTTAGAAAATAATACTAAAGTAAGAAGAAAATTATAATGAATAAATGTAGATAATCTTTAAGAGAAATAGAATGTATAAAAGAGTACATTTTAAAAGTAGTATTAAAAATTAGAAGAGATGAAAATAATTTTAAAAAATGACAAATATCAAAGATAGGCAGAAAAGGTTTAAAGTATTTAATAGAAGTTACAGAAATGAAAGCCAAAGCGAGATAATAAAATAACTTCCCTGAAATAATAATGTAAAAGACTTGAAATATATACTGACATAGCAAACCATAAATCTAAGAGTGTTGCCCCAGAGTCACCAATACCATTACACATTCCAGTAAAATTATTAGAAAAGGACAAATTATTTATGCACCTAGAAAATATAGTATTTGACTTATATGGGAAAGTATATTAAATTATCATGACAATTTCCAGAGCCACATTTTAAGAAAGAAGAAAATTGAGAAAAATGTTTAATTTACTCAAGAAAAAAAAATGTATAAGCCAATGGTTTTATATCCAAAACTGACAAAGTGCACAGATAAGCTTTTAACAACATGAAAGCACTCAAAAAATAATGTTCCCATGAGCATTTCCTCCAAAATATACCATAGAATAACATATAGATAACCACAATGACCAGAGAGACCCAGACATAAGGACTGATGTGAGCATTAACCATATGGTTGCCCATAGAATTAAGATGACATGAGAGCTAAGACGAAGACAGTATACAATGACTATGCATTCTGACCATTTGTTTATGAAGGGATTGTGGTAAACAATGGAGAAAGATAAAAAGTAAAATGATCAATAGTCATTTAAGTGCTAATACTTGTACTGTTATTCTAAAAGTAATATATAACAAATGAGAAATTATTGAATATCCAAATTTTATCATCTTCTTCTTTAGAACCAAGAGATAACAAAAACATCAAAGTTCTGTAGTCTTGAGTTTTACATAAAAATATCAATATACATTTTTAAGGTGTTATATCTTGGGTGAATTAAACTACAAAGAGATAGTATTCCATACCAACTAAAATAAAATGATAAATTAAAAAGAACTCTGACTACTCTTAAGTGTAAGTGTGGGAGAAGATGCAGGCCAACTGAAGCATCAATTTTCTTCTAGTGGGACTATGTATTGATCTAACCTCTGGCAAAAACCCTGTTTGATAGTATCTTTTGAATCTGTTACAAGTTTTACTCTTTTGTATAACTACAACAGAATTACATATCTATTTTCACCAAAATATAGGTGTAAACATGTTATTGCTGCATTATTGATAACAGTAAAAAATTAGAAACAACTAAAACGTCAATCAAACTTAGAATAACACATTGTAATATATTCATACAAAAATATATTTAATGAACAACTGATGTATATAATCACTCCAGTGAATTCCCAAATCATAATATTGAAAGAAGAATGTTAGACACGAAAATCCCACTGCTTTGATTCAATTTATGCAAAGTTTGAAAACAAGCTAAACTAAGCTATGGTGCTAAAAGTTAGGTAATTTATTTTTATTGTGGAAATGGGGTTAATAACTAAGTAGGCCCTGTAAAGGTTTCTGCAGTTTAAAGGTGTTACATTTCTTGAACTGTATAGTGGCTATATGTGTATGCTTTCTATATAATAATTTATCAAATACAGGTGTACACATACACTTGTAAATTTTTCCGTGTGTATGCTATAATAGATAATTGACACTCTGGTAAACCTTGTATACCCCAGCTACTGAGGATGTCTGAGACTGATAGCTCAGAGGTGACTTCCTCCCTTGAAATTGCCCTTGGCCACAGAGAACTCTATTCTAAAAGTATTCTCCTACTAGGGAGACACCATACTCCGTCACTGGATCATGCAATGATATAAAGGCCTAGACACTATATTTCATGTCAGAAAAACACTGAAGAGCCATTCCAGTTCTAAAGCTTTATTGAAACTGTGTTATGGGTTGACTTCTCTTTCTGCTCAATCCTGCTTTTTTTGGTTCATCACAGATAACATCTACCAAGAGCATTCCCCAATAAATCCTCTCTGCATAAAACTCTCCATCTTAGAGACTATGTCTAGGGAACTTCATATGATTCTGTTGTTACTAGAAGGGGTCCTAGAAAACAAACTGTAGAATAATATTCCAAAGCTGGATCAAAATGTTCAGGCCATCTAGCAATGAGGGCTGCATTGCTGGTGGTAAATGGAGGATGAGTAGACTTCACCTTTCACAGTTGATAAAATTGTTGCAAGTAGTGAACTCAGAACTCAAGTGCAGTACTGGTAGAAGAAGACACACTGGCTATGTAATTACTTCTGGAACTTAATGTCATATAGAAAATAGTAAGTATAAGGGCTACAAAGTAAATAGACTTTATTGAGAATCATTTTATTTTAATTTAAGCATCGATAATGATGAGCTCAGGTGATTAATTAGTTATCATTCCAAGGTAAAATGTGAAAGCCAGAAGGATTCTTGGCAGAATCTAAGGAGACTCTAATCATCTGCCACTGGTGGGCAGTCACTAGAGGACTAAATTCAAAAGTTAATAATACAACTAGTGGAGCTTCAGAGATAGTTGGATTCTCAGCCTCAGCAGGTTTTGTAAGCCAATGTCAAGATACTAACAAGAAAGAAATATTCCCCTTAGATTTGGAATGAAGATAATTGATTAGACGTAGCTGAAAACCTTGAAGTTCTATTTTCCCCCCAAATGCTCTTTTTTGGTGGAAGCATCTTCTAATTCCTTTGATACAAGACAGTGGTATTATTTTAAAGAAAGCATTGCTTGGAGATAATACAGAAATTTCAAATGACTTAGGTCCTTTAAAAGACAATGCTTCCGTCTAAGACCCCCACACACTAAGGAACTATCCTTTTTCCCTTCCAGGCAAATATTCCAATAATAAGGGTTAATTACCAGCACATTCCAATGAGACAAGTGCTGAACTAGTTAAGGGAAGAAAGAGACTATATGTAAAGGAATTGTAGCAGCTGTCTAATAGGTACCATGGGAGCCAGGAGAACATGAATGAAACTGGATCTGAAGGTGATGTAAAAAGGAGCATAGAACTTAGAGTTGGATATGAGATACTTTATCAATATGGAGCACTCTCTCATGATATGTAATTTAACACACTGGCAAGGACACCAGGAAACACTGATATATCAGCAGAAAGGCACTAGGGAAGTTTGAAAAAGTAATGGCCCATATAAATGTAGCAGAAGTGCCAGAATTGTGTGACAGATAGAAGACGAAGGCATTAAATGTGCATGCTACAGTGGCATACTATGTAAGATCAGAATAACCATCAGTAAACTATATTGCAAGAAAGATTAGAAGCACAGCTAATTCACTAAAGCAACACGCATTACACTGGTGAAAAAGGCACCGTCATTTCTGAACTCAGTATGGTTCTCCTCTGTAGGCCAGGGAATACTGTGACAGGACTGGCCTCCCTGAAAGAAACAGGTATGAGAGTATCCTGAAATAAAAAGAAGCCAGATAGTGGCTCTTAACTGTCAAAGCAAGAAGGACACATTTACCACCCTGGGAACCAAAGCTGAAGTGGCAGGCAGAGGAGGCATGCACCTCAGAGATGTTATATATATGATTATATATATGCATGATATATGACTAGTGATATGATTATACATATGATTAATATAACACAATATTTTCAAAGACAACTTAGGAAACCATCAAATATGTTTCTAAATTTACATAATTAAAATAAATAAAGAATGGATAATTAGGAGACTGAATGCAACTATACTAATAAAATATTGTTTTCCCTTTCCCAGTCCTAAGACCTGAGTACAGTTCTCAGATCCAGAATCAGCGGCGTGAGAAAGGATGAGGCAACACCACAAGTATATTAAAAAGTAATTCCTCCTATTCTTTCTGAAAATAACTGACAATTACGTAGTAAATAAGGACATTTGAAGGAAAGGACGTAGCCACACCTTTTGGGGATTATTGGATATGGATCTGAATTGGCATTGATATCTGTGGACCCAAAGCACCACCATTTTCCTCTTGTTAGAGTGACATTATTAATGAAGTTCTGGAACATGTCTGGTTCACTATGGATCTAATGGATCTATGAACTGTCCAGTGGGCATGTTCCTGATTTCTAAATATAACCTGAATAAAGAGACTTGGTAGTTGGCAGAATCCCAACATTGATTTGTTGGTTTGTGTGGTAAGAGGTATTATAGTGGGGAAGGCCCATTGGAAACTTCTTAAACTATTCATTTCCCCAGAAAAAAAAAAGAAACAATATTATATATTTGAAAAAAATTGATTAGTGTCACCTTAAAATATTAAAAGATAACTGGTGTCTTGCCTGCTTTGTGCTGCTATAACTGCATAGCTGAGACTGGGTAATTTATAATGAACAGAAATTGGTTTGGCTCACTGTTCTGAAGGCTGGGCACTCCAATGGCATGTTTCTGGCATCTGGTCAGCCACTGATGAGAACCTTCTTGCTGGGTCATCCTAGCAGAAGACAGAAAGACAAGAGAGCAAATGAGAGCTAGAGGGGGCCTAACTAGTTTTTATAGCAAATGCATTATTTTGATAACAAACCCATACCTGAGATAACTAACCCACTCCAGTGATAATGGTATTAATCCACTCATGACGTCAGAGCCCTTATAACCTAATCGACTCTTTAAAGGTCTCACCTCTAAACACTGTTGCATTGGGGATTAACTTTCCAACGCATTGATGTTGCGGGACACATTTCATCCATAGCAACAGGTGTGATTGTCCCCACCAGATTCCCATATAATTCAGTGCTCTAGTCCCTAAAAAAATAGATTATATGGATCACAGTGGCCTCATATAAACTTTACTTAGTAGTAGCTCTAATTACAGCTATTATGCCAAATACGGTATCTTTGCTAGAGCAGATTAATTTAGCTTATGGCACATGTAGCTATTGACCTGGCTAACAGCTTATTTTCCGTATCATATTTAAAGGAGCATAACAAATAGTTAGCGCCACATGAGATGAACAACAGTATATACTTACGATTTAGTCTCAAAGCTGTTAATTTTCTGAAGGTAAACACCCTCTGGACATTCCCCAGATAATTACTTTGGTCTATTTTGGTGTTTATATCACGTTGATAGGAGGATGAACAGGAAGTGGCAACTCACAAGGAGGGCGAAGTAAGATACACAGGCCCTAGAGGGTGGGAGATAAACTCTATAAAGATTCAAGAATGTGCCATGTAGGTGAAGTTTTGTGGCTCCAGAAATCCAGGTCATATTGGTACACCCAATCGAATGTATAGGACGAATAATCAAATTTTGCATATCCCACAAGTAAGAAACACAGGACCTCATAAGATGCTGATTTCTGGAGGCAGCATATTCTTGGGAAACTTGGTCCTAATTCATTTCCTCAGTGATTTGAAAGACTGTCAGCTTTCAGTGATACCTAAAGCAAGAAAGGCCTCAAAAGGGACCAGGCTATGGTAAAAGGAGACATTCCACCTAGGTGCTATGACCTGGGAGTCCTTATGGCTCTGCACCATTTTTTACAAAATTTTCAATAATAATGAAATTATTTCATATTTTCACTGTCCAATATAATAACTAATGGTCATAAGTCTGAAATAAAGCTTTCAGCAGGTCCATGGCCACTCTGGAGATTTTGGGGAGAATCCTTTCTTGCCTGTCCTAGATTCTGGTGACTGCTGGTATGCCTTGGCATCCCTCATTGTATGTCTCAAAACTCCTTCTGCCCCACTCACACAGATTGTCTACGATAAGCTGCTTCTCTCAAGATCTTTTACTTTATCACATCCTTTGCTATATCCGGTAATATTCACAGGTTATTGATATTAGGATATGAGCATATTTTTTTTTCAGAGCCAAATTCAACCCACTACAGGAAGCCTGTGTTATCTGTCAGCTCTTATGAAGCTTATAGATGGGTGCAGATGCAAGAGAGACTACAAATGAACAACAACAACAACAAAAATCAGCCAGCAACTGGTACCTGCAGATAATTGAAGCTATATTATAGAAAGTCATTAGGTAACTGTTTAAGATTAATTTTTCTGGAAAGTCTCTAGGAATTAGTGGTATTTCAACAATAATCCAAATCACAAGAAAAAATTAGGAGTTCAAATACCTTGAGGAAGAGCTTCCTAGGCAAAGGGAAAAGTTAATGTAGAGACAAAAGCTACAACAGGTATGGCATATTAAATAAATGAAAAACAAAACCATATAGCTAGAAAATAGTAGATAAACTTGGAGGTGTAGACATGGACCAAATCATATAGTACCTTGTAAACCAGAGTAAGGAATTTATCGATTAGTAACACTTACGTTCTGTAGCCTCACATAGCTTCCAAATTTCTTAACACAGTAAACATTATGTGTTGCTCCTTAGACACTTGTTGCAATCTGATATCCTTAAAGCAATTTCTTCCTAACCTCTGTTTGTTATCAATGTTGGGATGACGCTTTGCATAAATAATTTATTTCAAATTACTATGTCACCTGAATCGTTATATTAGCACAAGATGTGAAGTGTCTGATTCCAATCATAATTATAAAAATGATTGGTCCATGTTATGTATCTCAAAATCCTTGCTAGTTGATTAATTTGCTGAGTGAAACTTTTTATATTAAAAACTAACAAGTACAAATAAGAAGGTATGCTTTTATTTATATAGCATTTCTCATAAATCAATCAACAAGGGCAGGATAAATTGTTTTGATTGAATAAACAGAGAATTTCCAAAGGTCACTTTCGCTTTGTGTTAGAGTAACATATCTGTTTAATTTTTATCTTTGTGGGTACATAGTAGTTGTATATATTTATGGGGTACATTAGATGTTTTGATACAGACATGAAATGCATAATAATCATATCATAGACAATGGGATATTCATCCTTTCAAGCATTTATTCTTTGTGTTACAAACAATTCAATTATATTATTTTATTTATTTCAAAGTGTACATATTGACTATGGTCACATTTATGCTATCAAATAGTAGGTCTTATTCATTCTTTTTAATTTTTTGTACCCATTAACCATCCCCACCTCCACCCAGCATCCCCCCTACCCTTCCAAGCCTCTGGTAACCATCATTCTATTCTCTATGTCCATAAGTTCGATTGTTTTGATTTTAGAACCCACAAATAAGAGAACATGTGATATTTGTCTTTATTTGCCTGGCTTATTTCACTTAACATAATGATCTCCAGTTCCATTCAGACTGATGCAAATGACAGGCTCTCATTCCTTTTTATAGCAGAATAGTACTCCATTGTGAACATGTACTACAGTTTATTTATTCACTCATCTGTAGATGGACACTTAAGTTGCTTCCAAATCTTGGCCATTTTGAACAATGCTACAACAAACATAGTAGTGCAGATATCTCTTTGATATATTGATTTCCTTTCTTTTCAGTATATACTCAGCAGTGGGATGGCTGGGTCATGTGGTAACTTTAATTTTACTTTTTTCAAGAACCTCTAAACTGTTTTTCATAGTGACTATACTAATTTACCTTCCCACCAACATTGTACAAGGCTTCCCTTTCCTCCACATCCTCACCATCATTTGTTATTGCCTGTCTTTTGGATATAAGCCATTTTAACTAAGGTGAGATGATATCTCATTGTAGTTTTGATTTGTAGTTCTCTGATGAACAATGATGTAGAGCATCTTTTCATATACTTGCTTGCCATTTTTATGTCTTATTTCGAGAAATATCTATTAATATCTTTTGCCCATTTTCAAATCAGATTATTAGATTTTTTTCCTATAGAATTGTGTTAGCCCCTTATATATTCTGATTTTTAATCTCTTGTCCGATGTATGGATAGTTTGCAAGTATTTTCTTCTACTCTGTGGGTGTTTTTCTTCACTTTCTTCATGTCTTATTTGCTGTGCACCTAGAAAATATAGCATTTGACTTATATGGGAAAATATATTAAATTATTATGACAATTTCCAGAGCCACGCTTTAAGAAAGAAGAAAATTGAGAAAAACGTTTAATGTATTCAAGAAAAAAAATGTACAAGCCAATGATTTTATATCCAAAACAACTGACAAAGTGCACAGATAAGCTGTTAACTTTTTAACTTGCTGTGATCCCAATTGTGCATTTTTGCTTTGGTTGCTTGCACTTGTGGGGTATTCCTCAAGAAATTTTTTGCTCAGACTAATTTCCTGGAGATTTTCCCCAGTGTTTTCTTGTAGTAATTTCACTGTTTGAGGTCTTAAATTTAAGTTTTTAATCCATTTTGTTTTGATTTTTGTGTATGGCAAGAGATAGGAATCTAGTTTCATTCTTTTGCATATAGATATTCAGTTTTCTCAGCACCATTTATTGAAGAGATTATCTTTTTCTCAATGTATGCTCTTGGTAACTTTGTCAAAAATGAGTTCACTGTAGGTGTGTGGATTTGTTTCTGAGTTCTCATTGGTCTATATGTGTGGGGTTTTTTGTTTGGTTGGTTGGTTGGTTGGTTGGTTGGTTGTTTTTTTGTTTGTTTGTTTTTTGTTTTTCGTTTTTTTGCCAGTACCATGCTGTTTTGTTACTATAGCTCTGCAGAATAATTTGAAATCAGATATTGTGATTCCTTTAGTTTTTTTTGTTTTTTGTTTTTTGTTTTGTTTGTTTGTTTTGGATAGCTTTTGCTGTTCTGGGTCGTTTGTAGTGGCCTATTAATTTTAAGATTTTTCTCTATTTCTGCAAGGAATGTCATTAGTATTTTGATAGAGATTGCATTGAACCTGTAGATTACTTTGAGTAGTATGGACATTTTACCATATCCATATGGTAAAATTTAACAATTTAAAATATTGTTTTTTTCCAATCCATAAACATGAAATTTTTTTTCACTTTTTGGTATCTTCTTCAGCTTCTTTCATCAATGTTTTATAATTTTCACTACAGAGATCTTACACTTCTTTGGTTAATTCCTAGGTATTTAATTATTTTTGGCTATTGTAAATGGGATTACTTTTTTGATATTTTTTCAGATTGTTCACTGTTGGCATATTGGAACGCTACTGAATTTTGTATGTTGATTTTGTGTCTGGCAATTTTAATGAACTTGTTGATCACACATAAAAATGGCAATAGTTTCTAATGGTTTTCTTGTGGAGTCTCTAGGTTTTCCTGAATATAAGATCCTATCATCTACAAACATGGATTATTTGATTTCTTCCTTTCCAATTTTGATGCCTTTATTTCTTTCTCTTGTCTGATTGCTCCAGCTAGGACTTCCAGGATTACATTGAATAACAGTGGTCACAGTGAGCATCCTCATCATGTTCCAGGTCTCAGAGAAAAGGCTTTCAGTTTTTCTCCATTCTGCATGATATTAGGGTGTGGGTTGGTCATGTGGCTTTTATTATGTTGTTATTCTTCTATAACCAGTTTTTATATTTTTTTATCATGAAGGAATGTTAAACTTTATCAATTGCTTTATAGGCATCAGTTGAAATGATCATATGGGTTTTGTCCTTCATTCTGTTGATATGATGTATCACATTGATTGATTTGCATATGTTAAACCATTCTTGCATCCTGGGATAAACCCTACTTGGTCATGATGAATAATCCTTCTAATGTATTGTTGAATTTGATTTACTAGTATTGTGTTGAGTATTTTTACATCAATACACATCGGAGTTATTTACCAGTAGTTTTCTTTTTTGGATGTGTCTTTGTCTGGTATTGGTATTAGAGTAATACTGGCTCATAGAACGAGTTTGGAAGTATTCCCGCCACCTCAACTTTTAAGAATAGTTCAAGTAGTATTGGTTTTAGTTCTTTAAATGTTTGGTAGAATTCAGCAACAAAGACATTGGGTTCTGGGCTTTTCTTTACTGGGAAACTTTTTATTATGGCTTTGATCCCATTACTTGTTGCCGGTCTGTTCAGGTTTTGGGTTTCATCATGGTTCAATCTTGGTAGGTTGAATTTGTCTATTTATTTTAGATTTTCCAATTTACTGGCATATAATTGCTCATCATAGCCTCTAATGATCCTTTGAAATTCTGAAGTATCAACTGTAATGTTTCTTTCATCTCTGATTTTATTTATTTTGGTCGTCTTTCTTTTTTCTTAGTCAGTCTTGCTAAAGGTTTGCCAAATTTGTTAAATGTTTTAATAAAACCAGCTTTTTAATTCATTGATCTTTTGTATTTTTAATTTTAATTTTATTTATTTCTGCTCTAATCTTTATTTTTTTCTTCTACTAATTTTGGGTTCGATTTGCTCTAGCTTTTCTAGTTCCTTTAGATGCATCACTAGGTGATATATTTGAAGTTTTTCTGCTTTTTTAATGTAAGCACTTAATAGCTATAAAATTTCCTCTTAGTACAGCTTTTCTTGTATCCCATAGGTTTTAGTATGTTGTGTTTCCATTATCATTTGTTTCAAGAAATTTTCAATTTCCTTCTTAATTGCTTCATTGAATCACTGGTCATTCAGCAGCATGTTGTTTAATCTCAATGTATCTTTGTGGTTTCCAAATTTCTATTGTCATTGATTCCTAATTTTACCTTGTTGTGGTCAGAAAAGATGCTTGATTTTATTTTATTTTATTTTTTTATTTTTTATTATTATTATACTTTGAGTTTTAGGGTACATGTGCACAATGTGCAGGTTAGTTACATATGTATACATGTGCCATGCTGGTGAGCTGCACCCATTAACTCGTCATTTAGCATTAGGTATATCTCTTAAAGCTATCCCTCCCCCCTCCCCCCACCCCGCAACAGTCCCCAGAGTGTGATGTTCCCCTTCCTGTGTCCATGTGTTCTCACTGTTCAATTCCCATCTATGAGTGAGAATATGCAGTGTTTGGTTTTTTGTTCTTGTGACAGTTTACTGAGAATGATGATTTCCAATTTCATCCATGTCCCTACAAAGGACATGAACTCATCATTTTTTATGGCTGCATAATATTCCATGGTATATATGTGCCACATTTTCTTAATCCAGTCTATCACTGATGGACATTTGGGTTGGTTCCAAGTCTTTGCTACTGTGAATAGTGCCGCAATAAACATACGTGTGCATGCGTCTTTATAGCAGCATGATTTATAGTCCTTTGGGTATGTACCCAGTAATGGGATGGCTGAGTCAAATGGTATTTCTAGTTCTAGATCCCTGAGGAATCGCCACACTGACTTCCACAATGGTTGAACTAGTTTACAGTCCCACCAACAGTGTAAAAGTGTTCCTATTTCTCCACATCCTCTCCAGCACCTGTTGTTTCCTGACTTTTTAATGATTGCCATTCTAACTGGTGTGAGATGGTATCTCATTGTGGTTTTGATTTGCATTTCTCTGATGGCCAGTGATGATGAGCATTTTTTCATGTGTCTTTTGGCTGCATAAATGTCTTCTTTTGAGAAGTGTCTGTTCATATCCTTCGCCCACTTTTTGATGGGGTTGTTTTTTTCTCGTAAATTTGTTTGAGTTCATTGTAGATTCTGGATATTAGCCCTTTGTCAGATGAGTAGGTTGAAAAAATTTTCTCCCATTTTGTAGGTCGCCTGTTCACTCTGATAGTCATTTCTTTTGCTGTGCAGAAGCTCTTTAGTTTAATTAGATCCCATTTATCCACCATGATCAAGTGGGCTTCATCCCTGGGATGCACGACTGGTTCAATATATGCAAATCAATAAATGTAATCCAGCATATAAACAGAACCAAAGACAAAAACCACATGGTTATCTCAATAGATTCAGAAAATGACTTTGACAAAATTCAACAACCCTTCATGCTAAAAACTCTCAATAAATTAGGTATTGATGGGACGTATCTCAAAATAATAAGAGCTATCTATGACAAATCCACAGCCAATAGCATACTGAATGGGCAAAAACTGGAAGCATTCCCTTTGAAAACTGGCACAAGACAGGGATGCCCTCTCTCACCACTCCTATTCAACATAGTGTTGGAAGTTCTGGCCAGGGCAATTAGGCAGGAGAAGGAAATAAAGGGTATTCAATTAGGAAAAGAGGAAGTCAAATTGTCCCTGTTTGCAGATGACATGATTGTATATCTAGAAAACCCCACTGTCTCAGCCCAAAATCTCCTTAAGCTGATAAGCAACTTAAGCAAAGTATCAGGATACAAAATCAATGTACAAAAATCACAAGCATTCTTATAAACCAATAATAGACAAACAGAGAGCGAAATCATGAGTGAACTCCCATTCACAATTGCTTCAAAGAGAATAAAATACCTAGGAATCCAACTTACAAGGGATGTGAAGGACCTCTTCAAGGAGAACTACAAACCACTGCTCAATGAAATAAAAGAAGATACAAAGAAATGGAAGAACATTCCATGCTCATGGGTAGGAAGAATCAATATCGTGAAAATGGCCATACTGCCCAAGGTAATTTATAGATTCAATGCCATCCCCATCAAGCTACCAATGGAATTGGAAAAAACTACTTTAAAGTTCATATGGAACCAAAAAAGAGCCCGCATCACCAAGTCAATCCTAAGCCAAAAGAACAAAGCTGGAGGCATCACGCTACCTGACTTCAAACTATACTACAAGGCTACAGTAACCAAAACAGCATGGTACTGGTACCAAAACAGAGATATAGAGCAATGGAACAGAACAGAGCCCTCAGAAATAACGCCGCATATGTACAACTATCTGATCTTTGACAAACCTGAGAAAAACAAGCCATGGGGAAAGGATTCCCTATTTAATAAATGGTGCTGGGAAAATTGGCTAGCCATATGTAGAAAGCTGAAACTGGATCCCTTCCTTACACCTTATACAAAAATTAATTCAAGTGGATTAAAGACTTAAACATTAGACTGAAAACCATAAAAACCCTAGAAGAAAACCTAGGCATTACCATTCAGGACATAGGCATGGGCAAGGACTTCATGTCTAAAACACCATGATGCTTGATTTTATTTCAACTTTTTTGAATGCTTTCAGACTTGTTTTGTGACCTAATCTAAGATCTATCCTTGAGAATAATCCATGTGCTGAGGAAAAGAATGTGTATTTCACAGATCTTTGATGAAATGTTCTCTAAATATCTACTAGATCCATTTGTTCTATAGTGCAGATTAAGTTGGATGTTTGTTTGTTAATTTTCTTTCTGAAAGATCTGTCCAGTGCTGAAAGTGGGGTGCTGAAGTCTCCATCTATTATTTTATTGGAGCTTATCTCTCCATTTAGCTCTAATAATATTTGCTTTACATATCTGAGTGCTCCAGTGTTGGGTGCATATATGTTTAAAATTGTTGTGTCCCCTTGCTGAATTAACCTCCTTATCATTATATAGTTACCTTCTTTGTCTCTTCCTAATGTTTTTGTCTTGAAATCTATTTTGTCTAAGTATAGCAACTCCTGCTCTTTTTTGGTTTCCATTGGCATGAACTGTGTTTTTCCATCCCTTTATTTTCAGTCTATGTGTGTCTTTATAGGTGAAGTGCATTTCTTACAGGCAACAGATCAATGGTTCTTGCTTTTTTATTCATCCAGCCACTCTATACGTTTTGATTGGTGAATCTATTTACATTCAATGCTATTTTTGATAAGTAAGGATTTAATCCTGCCATTTTTTAACTTTGTTTTCTAGTTGTTTTGTGGTCTCTTTCTTGTGAGACATACCTTTTAAACAATGGTCAGTTTTTCACATGACTTGTTTTTTGTAGTGTAATTTAGAAGGCATTGCTTAAATAAATCTCCTATAATACCTTACGGTGTTTCTGTGAAATTTCCATGGGGTAAAAATACTGCATCTTACAAAATTCTTTTCCAAAATGTATATAGCTGAAAAAGGTAACATATTAAGCCATTGATGTGCCATTGTTTAATAAGAGATTAGAAAACAAGTCAATTAATTTACCCAAACACAGGTTGCAAACCAGCTGCTCTTAGCAGAATCTGGCTGCAATCTTGTTTTGTTTGGCTAACAAAAAAGTGTTTGTGCAATGCTTGAATTTTAATGACTTTAAACAAGTGTTTAAATGCTTCTTCCCATTTTCCAGTGGCCCTTCTGAATTTCTATCTTGTTTATACCAGGCTCAAATTATGTATTTATGTTATTTTTTAGCATTTGTGTTTGTGACCTCCATCAAAGTACCAATATGTTTATGGAGTGAGAGAAGGCACCACCTCAAGCTAGTGTAGTTGTGCAGCTCACAGAGAACATGTCTAGCAATTATTAGAGTGCCTTTCTAGGTCCTCTTTTATTAACATATCCCCACTCTATGCTGATAATCTCACCCTATGTTGATGACTCTCAAACATACATAGTTGTCCTTTCTTCTGAACTACGATTATATACAATCTTCTCTTGTACTTGGCACTTAGATTTCTGCAGACATCGCCAAAATTTCACTTTCTAGCTTGCCTCTTATGTTTTCCATTTCAGTTAAAGGCCCAGTATTGCTTTAATGCGAGCTACTTGGGGGCAAAGATACCCCTATATCTCTAGCAAAAGAGACCTATTCTTGGTCATAGTGGGTGCTCCATTTTTGTTTTTAATTTTTTATTTGGAGATAAAACTCACAAGAAGTTGCAAAAATAGTAGTTTTCATGTAACCTTCACTCAACTTTTTCCCCAATAACAACATATTATATAGTCATAGTACATTTTTTAAAGCTAGAAAATTGATATTGGTATAAATATTATTAGTCAAACTATAATTTTTTTCAGATTTTACCAAATTTTACACACACTTGTATTCTTTTTGGGGTATAGTGTGACAAAATTTTATCACATGTATAGATTGGTTTAACAACCACTGCAAACATTACACAAATATGCTACATTGCCGGAAAGAAACACCCTCTTGCTTCCTCTTCATAGTCAGACTCTACTCTATCCCTAAACCCTAGATACTTATTCTCCATCAATACAGTTTTGTCATTTTGGAAGTGTTGTATAAATGAAATCGTATAATATGTAACCCTTTGAGATGGGCTTTTATTTTCATTCAGCATTATACCCTTTCAATCCATCCTACTTGGTGGGTGCCTGTATAAAAATAATTTATTTCTTTATATAGGTAGGTAATATTTCATAGTGTGTATGTATGTATGTACCACAGCTTGTTCATACATTTGCCTATTCAATAACATTTTACTTGTTTTCAGTTTTATCTATTACAAATAAAGCCGCTCTGAACTGTTATGCACAGGTTTTTGAATAGACACAAAATTTTATTTCTTGAGTATAAATATATACACAGAAGTGATCACTAGATCATACAGTAAGTGAATGTTTAACTTCATAAGAAATGGACAAAGAGGTGACAAATACCTCTTCAAGGTGGCTATACCGTTTTACATTCCTACCAGCAAAGTCAGAGAGTTCTAGTAGCTCTGCATCATTGCTAGCACTTGATATTATCAGTATTCTTTTTTTTATTTTAGTCATTCTCATTGCTGTGTGTGGTATAGGTATCTCATTATGACTCTAATTTGTTCTCTAATCTGGCTTATGATGTGAACATTTTTTATATATTTAGTTGACATCTGCATATGCTTTTTGGCGAAACATCTTTCTCTATATATTGTAGAAGGGATTTGACTGACTTCTTCTGTGCTTTGCAAATGTTATCTCCCAGTCTGTGGCTTAACTTTTTATCCTCTTCACTAGGTGTTTGACGGAAAAATGCTAATTTTGATGAAGTTTCAATTTATCCTTTTTTTCTGGATCACCTTTTTGGTGTCATGTTTAAGAACACTGAAACTAGCCTTTTGTTACAAAGATTTTCTCCTAAAAGATTTATAGTTCAATGTTTTAAATTTGTATCTATTATCCATTTTAAGTAAATTTATGTGTGATATGAAGTTTGGGTTAGATTCATACTATTTCAAATAATGTATTGAAAAGGCTACTCTTTCCTCATCGAATTGCTTTTGCTATATATTTGTGGGTCAATTTATACATTTTCTATTCTGCTCCATTGATTTACATGTCTGTCCCTCCTCCAACACCACACTGACTTAGTTACGGTGGTTATATAGTTTTAAAATTGGGGAATATAATTCCTTAAACTTTAGTCTTCTTTTTCAATATTATATTTAGCTAGTCTACTTTCTTCATCTTTCATGTAAGTTTTAGAATTAGCTTGTCTATATCTGAAAAACATAGCTACTTAAATTTTGATAACATTGCATTAAAATTATAGATCAATTTAGGGATAATTAATATCTTTACTATGTTGACTTCTAATTCATAAATATATGCCTTTCTATTTATGTAGGCCTACTTTAATTTTTCCATCTGTATTTTATAATTGTCAGTCTATGGATATCAGGCATTTTTAAAGTATATAACTATTTCATTTTTTGGAGTAATTTTAAATTGTATTGAATTTAATTTTTATGTTCAACACTGATACAGTCATATGCCACTTAACAATCTTTTGGTCAACATTGAGCCACATCTCTGAAAATCATTCTATAAGTTGTGACATAACAGAACTAAAACATTACTATTACTTATCTACATCATAGCCTTCCTAACATCATAACAATGCATTACTCACATGTTTGTGGGATTCTGATGTAAACAAACCCTCTCAGCTATCAGTTGTATAAAAGTATAGCAATACAATTATGTAACATACATAATACTTGATAATGATAATAAATTACCATGTTACAGGTTTATGTATTTACTATACTACACATTTTGTCATTTTAGAGTTTACTCTTTCCGCTTGTTAAAAAAGGTATACTGTAAAAAAGCTTCAGGCAGGTCCTTCAGGAGGTATCCCAAAAGAAGGTATTGTTATCATAGGAGATGACTGCTCCAAGCAGGTCAGAGACCTTCCAGTGAGACAAGATGTGGAGGTGGAAGGCAGTAATATTGATGATTCTTAACCTGTGTGGTGTAGGCTAATGATTGGGTTTGTGTCTTAGCTTTTAACAAAGACATTTAAAAAGTGAAAGAAAAATAAAGAAACAATGTAAAAATAGAAAAAAGGTTAAATAATGACATAAGGAAAGATAATATTTTTGTATAGCTGTACAATGTTTATGTTTAAGTATTACTACAAAGAGTTATGAATTACTGAATTATAAAGAGTCAAAAAGTTAAAAAATTAAGTTTATAGGGAGGCCGAGGCGGGCGGATCAGAAGGTCAGGAGATCGAGACCATCCTGGCTAACATGGTGAAACCCCGTCTCTACTAAATATACACAAAATTAGCCGGGCACGGTGGCAGGCGCCTGTAGTCCCAGCTACGCAGGAGGCTGAGGCAGGAGAATGGGGTGAACCCGGGAGATGGAACTTGCAGTGAGCCGAGATCGCGCCACTGCACTCCAGCCTGGGTGACAGAGCGAGACTCCGCCTCAAAAAAAAAAATAAATAAATAAATAATAAAAAAAATTAAGTTTAGAAAGTAAAAAAGTTAACAGTAAGCTAAGATTAATTGAATATTGATGGTATTTTATTTTTTAATTTAGTGTAGACTAAGTTTATAGTGCTTATAAATTCTATAACAGTGTACAGTAAACTCCTAGGCCCTCACATTCATTTGCCACTCACTCACTGACTCACCCAGAGCAGCTCCCATTTCTGCAAGCTTCATTCATGGTAAGCTCTATTTATATATGTGACATTTTCTTTATTCAATCATCCACTGATGTAAACTTGATACCATATCTCTGCTATTGTGAGTAGTGCTGTACATGTATCTTTTCAAAATGATGATTTCTTTTCCTTAGGTAGATACCCAGTAGTGGGATTACTGGATGAAATAGTAGTACTATTTTTAGTTCTTAGAGAAATCTTCTAGCGTTTTACGTAGAGATTGTAAAAATTTACATTCTCACCAAAAATTGTATAACCATTCCTTTTCTCTGCATCTTCACCAACATCTGTTATTTTTTGGCTTTTTAATAACACCCATTCTGACTGGCATAAGATGGCATCTCATCGTGGTTTTAATTTGCATTTCTGTAATGATTAGTGATGATGAGCATTTTTTCATATGCTTCTTGGCCATTTTTATGTCTTCTTTTGCAAAATGTCTATTCATGTCCTTTGCCTACTTTTTAATGGGATTGTTTGTTTTCTTCTTGTTGAGTTGTTTGAATTCCTTGTAGATTCTGGATATTTACCTCATTGGATGCATACTTTGAAAATATTTTCTTTTCCTGTACGTCTTTTTTTTTTTAACTGTTGATTATTTCTTTTGCTGTGAATAAGCTTTTTAGTTGAATTAAGTCCCATTTATCTATTGTGATTTTTGTTACATTTGCCTTTGAGGCCTTAGTCATAAGTTATATGCCCAA
This sequence comes from Homo sapiens, assembly GCF_000001405.40. Classification (NCBI taxonomy): domain Eukaryota; kingdom Metazoa; phylum Chordata; class Mammalia; order Primates; family Hominidae; genus Homo; species Homo sapiens. The sequence goes on from NC_000006.12 coordinate 77,165,073, forward strand.
GCCAATATCCAAAAGAGTTTTTCCTAGCTTATTTTGGAGGATTTTTATAGTTTTTGGTCTTATGTTTAAGTCTTTGTATATGGTGAGGGAGAGGGCTACAGCTTTATTCTTTTATATATGGCAGTCCAGTTTTCCAAGCACCATATCTTGAATAGGGAGTTCTTTCCCCAGGTTATGTTTTTGTCAACTTTGTCAAAGATCAGTTGGATATAATTATGTTGCTCTATTGGTTCTCTATTCTGTTCCATTGATCAATGTATTTATTTTTGTGCTAGTAGCGTGATGTTTTGGTTACCATAGCCTTGTAGTCTAATTTGGAGTCAGGTACTGTAACGCCTCCAGCTTGTCGTTATTATTTCAGCTTAGAATTGCTCTGGCTATTCGGCCTGTTTTATTGGTTTCATCTAAATTTGAATTTTAGATTTTTTTCTAATTCTATGAAAAGTGAATTTGGTATTTTCATAGGAATTTCAATGAATCTGTAGATTGCTTTGGGCAGTTTGGTCATTTTAATGACGTTGCTTCTTTCAATCCATGAACATGGAATGCTTTTACTTCTTTGGTTAAATATATTTCTAGGAATGTCTTAATGATTGTAAATAGGATTCACTACTTGATTTGGTTCTTAGCTTTATCATTATTGGTGTTTAGAAATGCGACTAATTTTTGTATATTTATGTTGTAGCTTGTAACTTTACTAAATTGCTTCATTAAATCTAGCAATCATTTGGAGGCACCTTTAGGGTTTTCTAGATGTAAGATCACATCATCAGCAAATAGAAATAATTTTACTACCTCTTTTTCCAATTCAGATGCATTTTATTTCTTTCTCGTTCTTGATTGCTCTGGCTAGGACTTCCAGTACTATGTTAAGGAATAGTGAAAGTGGGTATCCTTGCCTTGTTCAAGATCTCAGGAAAAGTGCTTTCAGCTTTTTCTTGTTAGGAATGATATTTACTCTGGATTTGTTATAAATAGCTTTTAAGTTTTTTTAAACAGGGTCTCACTTTGTTGCCCAGGCTGGAGTGCAGTGGTGCAATCATGGCTCTCTATAGCCTTGACTTCCAAGGCTCAAGTGATCCTCCTACCTCAGCCTCCTGAGTAGATGGGACTACAGGTGTATGCCACCACACTCAGCTAATTTTTGTATTTTCTCTAGAGATGAGGTCTCACTGTGTTGCCCAGGCTAATCTAAAACTCCTTGGCTCAAGTGATCCTCCTGCCTCTCAAAGTGCTGGGATTACAGGTGTGAGCCATCACACCTGGCCATGAATGACTTATTATTTTAAGGAATGTGCCTTTGATGCTTAGTTTGTTGATGGTTTTCATTTGTTGAAGGTTCTCATCATGAAGGGATTCTAACTTTTATTAGGTGCTTTTTTTAATCTATTGAGATGATCATATGGTTTCTGTTTTTAATTCTGTTTATGTGATAAATCACGTATATTGAGTTGTGTATTTGAGCCATCCTTGTTTCCCTGGAATAAAACCCACCTGATCACAGTGTATTATCTTTGTGATTTGCTGTTGGATTCCGTTTCCTCATATTTTGTTAAGGATTTTTCATCTATGTTTATTAGAAATATTAGTCTTAAGTTTTCCTTTTCTGTTGTGCTCTTGCCTGGCTTTGATTTCAGGTTAACACTGGCTTTGTAAAGTGAGTTAGAAAGCTTCTTCCTTGATTTTTTTGAAAGCATTTTAGGAGGATTGGTAATAGTTCTTCCTTGCACAGTTGGTAGAGTTTGGCTGTGAATTCATTTGGTCTTCACTTTTTTCTAGGGGTACTAGGGAGATATTATTGATTCATTCTCACTACTTGTTATTGATATGTTCAGGATTTCTACTTCTTGCTGGTTCAATCTTGGGAAGTTTCCAGGAATGTATTCATTTCCTCCTGTTTGTGGACATACAGTTTTCCATAGTAGTCTGATAATTTTTTGTATTTCTGTCATATCAGTTGCAATGTTTCTTTTTAAATTTTTGATTATATCTGCTTGAGTCTTTTTTAAAATTTTATTATTATTATACTTTAAGTTTTAGGGTACGTGTGCACAACGTGCAGGTTTGTTACGTATGTGTACATGTGCCATGTTGCTGTGCTGCACCCATTAACTCGTCATTTAGCATTAGGTATATCTCCTAATGCTATCCCTCCCCGCTTCCCCCACCCCACAACAGTCCCTGGTGTGTGATGTTCCCCTTCCTGTGTCCATGTGTTCTCATTGTTCAATTCCCACCTATGAGTGAGAACATGCAGTGTTTGGTTTTTTGTCCTTGCGATACTTTGCTGAGAATGATGGTTTCCAGCTTCACCCATGTCCCTACAAAGGACATGAACTCATCATTTTTTATGGCTGCATAGTATTCTCTTAACTTGGTTAATATAGCTATTGTTCAATCAATTTTTTGTATCTTTTCAAAGAACAAAAAGAGCAAACTTTTTGTTTTTTTGGTCCTTTGTATGATTTTTTCATTCTCAGTTTCATTTAGTTCTTCTCTGATCTTTGTTATTTCCTTTCTTTTGTTAGCTTTGGGTTTGGTTTGTTCTTGTTTTACTTCTTAATTGAGGTAAATGAGATGTTTGGTTGCTAATTTGTGATATTTTGATCTAGGCATTTAATACTGTAAACTTCCCTCTTGCACTGCTGTGCTTTATCTCAGAGTTTTTTGTATGTTGTGTTTCCCTTTTTGTTTCAATAAAATTTTCAAAATATGTCTTAATTTTGTTGTTGACCTAAATATTGTTCAGGAGTATGTTGTTTAATTTTTTTATATTTGTATAATTTCAAGTGTTTGTCTTTAATTTATTTTTTAGTTTTATTCCTCTGTGGTCTGACAAAATACTTGGCATAATTTATATTTTTTACATTAATTGAGACTTGTTTTGTAGCATAACATATGGTCTATCTTGGAGAATGTGTCATGTACTGATGAAAAGAATGTGTATTATGCAGTTCTTGGGCAGAAATCTCTACAAATTAAGTTTATTTGGTCTAAAGTTCAATTTAAGTCTACTGTTCTTTCTTGATTTTCTGTTTCAATTATCTTTCTAGTGTTGTCAATGGGGTGTTGAAGTCCTCCACTATTATTGTATTGTTGTCTGTCTCTTTTAGGTCTGGTAATATTTGTTTCATGAATCTGGGTGCTCCAGTGTTAAGTGCATGTATATTTGGAATTTTCATATCTTCTTGTGAATTGGTCCCTTTACCATGATATGAGTTTCTTTTTCTTTTTTTTTTTTAACTGTTGATGATTTAAAGTATGTTTGATTTGATATAATGGTAGCTACTCCTGCTTGCTTTTTCTTTCCATTTGCATAAAATATCCTTTTCCACCCATTTGCCTTCGGACTGTAACTGTCTTTACCAGTAAGTTGAAGTTTTTTATAAGTAACATATAGTTGGTTTGTATTTTTAATCCATTTCACCACTTTATTTCTAAGTGGAGCATTAAATTTATTTATGTTCAAGGTTAATCTGAGTGTTTTGTTCCTGTCATGATGTTAATTGTTGTCTAGTTGCTGTGTAGATTCATTGTTTTTTTTTCTCTTTTTGTCTTTTAGTTTGCTTGAATTCTGTCATATTGGTGTTTGATTTCTTTCTCTTCTTCACTTGTGAAATTGTTTTTTATACTTGTGAGTTTTATAGTTTTGTGTGATTTTATGAAGGTGAGTATCAGTCTTTTGTTTCCATGTTTACAACTTCACTGAACATTGCTTGGAGGTCTGGTCTAGTGGTGATAAAGTCCCTCAGCATCTGCTTGTCAGGGAAAGACTTTATTTCCTCATTTATAAAACTTATTCTAGTAGGACACAAAAATCAGGATTGACATTTTTTTTTCTTTATGCACTTTGAAAATAGAATCCTAATCTTTGCTGGCTTGTAATGCTTCTGCTGAGAAGTTTGCTGTTAGTCTGATGGAGTTACCTTTATAGGTGATAGATGCTTTTCTCCTCCTGATTTTAATATTTATTTCCTTCACATTGGCCTTAGAAAGTCTGATGACTGTATTTCATGATGAAGCCTTTCCTGCAATGTATTTTTCTGGGTTTTGTTGTGACTTTTGTATCTGGATACCTAAATCTTTTGCTAGACTAGGGAATTTTTTACTAATTACTTTCCTAAATAAGTTTTCCAAATTTTTTGCTTGACTTATATGTTTGGCCATATTTTGTACTCCTTTTTCATTATTTTTAATTCATTTTTAAAAAATGTTTTTGTCTTACTGGATTAATCCAAAAGACTTTTCTTCAAGTTCTGAGATTTATTTTCTTCTGCTTCATCTAGTCTGTTGCTGAAGACTTTATCTATTTTTTGTAATTTCTTCAAGAGATTTTTCATTTTCAGAAGTTCTTTTTGATGTTTTAAACATCTGTTTATCTGGTAAATTTGTCATTCATGTTCTAGATTGATTTTCTGATTTATTTGTAACCATTTTCAGTTTGCTCTTTATCCTAATTGAGCTTCTTTAAAAATCAGTATTTTGAATTCTGTATCTGGTATTTCAATAACTTCATTTTGCTTAGGACCCATTGCTGGAAAGTTAGTGTGATCCTTTAGGAGTTTCATAAAACAGTTTTTTAAAATAGTTTTAGAATTGTTATTTTGGTTTCTTTTCATCTGCAGTGACTGTCACTTCTTATTTTTGAGTGTACTTTTAAAAATATTATTTTTAACTTTTAAGTTCAGAGGTATATGTGCTGGTTTGTTACATAGGTAAACTTGTATCATGGAGGTTTGTTGTACAGATTATTTCATCACCCAGGTATTAAGTCTAGTACCCATTATTTATTTTTTTCTGATCATCTCCCTCTTCCCAACCTCTACCCTCTTATAAGTCCCAATGTGATTTGTTTCCCTCTGTAAGTCCCTGTGTTCTCATCATTTAGTTCCCATGTATAAGTGAGAGAATGTGGTGTTTGGTTTTCTGTTCCTGCATTAGTTTGTTAGAAGGTAACGGCCTCCAGCTTTATCCATGTCCCGCAAACAACTTAATCTCATTCTTTTTTTATATCTGCATAGTATTCCATGATGTATATTTACCACATTTTCTTTATCCAGTCTGTCATTGATGGGCATTTAGGTTAACTCTATTCTGTCTTTGCTATTCTGAATAGCGCAGTAATGAACATATGTATGTGTCTTTTTTTTTTTTTTTTTTTTTTTTTTTTGGGAAATGGAGTTTCGCTCTGTTGCCCAGGCTGGAGTGCAGTGGCACTATCTCAGCTCACTGAAACCTCCACCTCCCAGGCTCAAGCAATTCTCCCTCAGCCTCCCAAGTAGCTGGGATTACAGGCGTGTGCCACAATGTGCAGCTTTTTTTTTTTTTTTTTTTTTGGATTTTTAGTACAGACAGGGTTTTGCCACGTTGATCAGGCTGGTCTCGAACTCCTGATCTCAAGTGATTCACCCACCTCAGCCTCCCAAAATGCTGGGATTATAGGCATGAGCCACCTCACCTGGCCAGCATGTGTCTTTATAACATAAAAATATATATTCCTTTGGGTATAAACACAGTAATAAGATTGCTGGGTCAAATGGTATTTCTGTATGTTGGTCTTTGAGGAATTTCCACACTATCTTCCACAGTAGTTGAACTAATAGACATTCCCACCAACAGTGTATAAGTACATCTTTTCCTCCACAACCTTACTGGCATCTGTTATTTTTTGACTATTTAGTAATAGCCACTCGGTTGGTTTGAGATGGTATCTCATTGTGGTTTTTGTTTGCATTTCTCTGATCATCAGTGATGTTGAGTTTTTATCTTTTCATATGATTATTGGTCACATATATGTTTTCTTAGGAAGTGTCTCTCCATGTCCTTTGCCCATTTTTTATTTTTTTGTGAGTTTGCTTAAGTTCCTTATAGATGCTGGATGTTAGACCTTTGTCAGATGAAGAGTTTGCAAATTTTTTTTCCCATTTTTTAGATTGTCTGTTTGCTCTATTGACAGTTGGCTGGGCAGAAGCTCTTGAGTTTAATTAGATCCCATTTGTCAATTTTTGCTTTTTATGTAATTGCTTTTGGTGTCTTTTCATAAATTTTTTGTCTGTTCCTATGTCCAGAACGTTATTGCCTAAGTTATCTTCCAGGTTTTTTAAAGTTTTGGGTTGGTTTTACATTTAAGTCTTTAATTTATCTTGAGCTAATTTTTGTATATGGTATACAAAACGAGTGAGTTTCAGTCTTCTGTATGTGGCTAGCCAGTTATCCCACCACCATTTATCGAATAGGGAATCCTTTCCCCATTGCTTGTTTTTGTCAGATTCAATGAAGATCAGATACTTGTTGGTATGCAGTCTTATGTCTGGGTTCTCTATTCTTTTCCATTGGTCTATGTGTCTGTTTTTGTATCAGTACCATGCTGTTTTGGTTACTCTTGCCCTGTAGTATAGTTTGAAGTCAGGTAGCACAATGCCTCCAGCCATGTTCTTTTTGCTTAGGATTTCTCTGGATATTCGGGCTCTTTTGGTTCCATATGAATTTTAAAACAGTTTTTTTTTTCTAGTTCTGTGAAGAATTTCATGGTGGCTTAATAGGAGTAGCATTGAATCTGTAAGCTGTTTTAAGCAGTATGACATTTTAATGATATTGATTATTCCTATCCCATAAGCATAAAATATTTTAACATTTCTTTGTGCTGTCTCTGATTTCTTTGGGCAGTGTTTTGTAGTTCTCCGTGCAGGGCTCTTTCACCTCCCTAGTTAGCGGTATTCCTAGGTATTCTTTATTTTCATGGCAATTGTGAATGGGAGTATGTTCCTCATTTGGCTCTTACATTGACTGTAGGAATGCTAGTAATTTTATTCACATTTATTTAGTATCCTCAGATTTTGCTGAAGTTGTTTATCAGCTTAAGAATCTTTTGGGCTGAGGCTATGGGGTTTTCTAGATATAGAATCATGTCATCTGCAGACAGGGATAGTTTGACTTCCTCTTTTATTTGGATGACTTTTATTTATTTCTCTTGCCTGACTGTCCTGGCCAGAACTTCCAATACTATGTTAAATAGGAGTGGTGAGAGAGGGCGTACTTCTCTTATACTGGTTTTCAAGGAAAATATTTCCAGCTTTTGCACATTTAGTATGATGTTGGCTGTGTGTTTTTCATACATGCGTCTTATTATTTTGAGGTATGTTCTTTCAATACGAAGTTTATTCAGGGTTGTTAATATGAAGAGATGTTGACATTTGTTGAAAGACCTTTCTGCTTCTATTGAGATAATCATGTTGTTTTTGTCTTTGGTCCTGTTTATGTGATGAATTACATTTAATGATTTGTGTATGTTGAACCAAGTTTGCATCCAGGGATAAAGCCTACTTGACTGTGGTGGATAAACTTTTTGAGGCACTACTGGATTTGGCTAGCCTCACAAGCAGGAATGATTGTTCAGGGTATGGGAGGATCCACTGTTCTCTGCACAGTGTTAGTGCAGGGTTGGGGCACTGGTGGGGATGGGGCTGGCTGGCTCTGTGCTCACCAAGGCTTGCTCTGCAAAGGTGGCAAGCATGGAGAGAGGTGATGGACTGCACTCTCATTTGCTAGTGGTGCAAGTAAAGTAAAACGCACCCATGCAGACACATACCAGTCCCATTGCCATGGGCTCAGGGGATGCTGCAGTATAGGAAGAGAGCATGCAGGCTAGTGTGCGGCCATAGGGGTCACCTCACTGGAGCTCTCTACTGGTCAGGCACAGAAGCTATGGTGTGGGCCCGCAGGGCAACCAAGACTGCCCTGTAAGCAGATGTGGGCAGGCTGGGCCCCTGGGAGAGGCCAGCAGACCAACGGGTGCTCAGGTCCGACCAGCACCGTCTGATGTGCAAGACCATCCTGCAAAGATCACATCAAATAGTGCCCCTGGGGCTAAAGTCTCTTATGGGAGAAAGTTGAGCCTAGAAGAATGGCTGTCCCTGGCCATGCTCCACTACAGGTGCTCCAGCACCAACCCTCTGGGCTCCACATCAGCTGGTTGCTGCCCCACCCCACTTCTTTAAGCAACTCTCCCAGTCATCTCAAGTGTCTGTGGTGGTCAAGGGGTCCCTTCCTGGTGGGGTTTCAGAGCCCATGGTGAGAGTGGGTTGCTCCTTGCCAGTTCAACTCACCCATTGCCTCAGAGCTATTGTGGTTAAAAACGAATCCTGGTGCACAATAGCCCATGCGGGTTCCCAACTTTCTCTCCCTTCATCCCAGCTTCTGTGTCTTTCTTCCGTCCACTCTCCGAGTTTATTTTCACTGGGACAGGACTTTGTTTTCCTTGAGGATGTGACTATAATGTATGTTGATTATTTGGCTTTGCTTCTGTATGTTTTCATGGATTATTTGGCTTTGCTTCTGTATGTTTTCAATGGTGACGCACCGTATGAATTCCTTGGTTATAGATAGCCTTATTGTGGTGGCTCAAATGCTGGTTGTAGAAGTGGTACACTGTGCATGTGAGCAGTCTCACAGCCTCCTGTGAAGCTGAGGTGGCAGGATTTTTAAGAACTGTATGTTTTTCCCAAGTGCCATACAGTTGTGTCAGCAGATTATGTATTGGGTTGTTCAGGCCTACCTCTAGGCCAGTAGGTGACGCTAGCAGGCAAAAGCTGGATGTGGAAGTAACAGTAGGCCTTCTGCTTGATCTTTGTTTACCAGGAGTTCTCCAGTGTCTCAGGCAATGGGCAGGGCCATGGAATGTACCGTCACCCGGGCTCCATACTTAGCTCCAGAGTGGGGGAAATGAAGCTGGGCAGAGCTGGACTGGACAAGATGACACGTGAGTCCCCCAATGGCTGGTGCAAGCACCAGCTTCAGTGGGAGTCCAAGGGGCAGCCACCAAATGCCCAGAGATATGCCCAGGCAAGGAGTTGAGAAACCACTGATGCACCAAGTTCCCCGCACAGGAAGGGAGGGGTGGCCCACGCTTTCAATCCAGGCAAGTAGGATTGGGATCAGCCTCCCTCCCACTCCTCGGAATCAGCAGAGTTCAGTCTCTTTCCTAAGAGAGCAAGATGAGGTACCCTGCAATGTCACACATAGACTGGTCCCCAGGTACAAAGCTGTTGCTGTCTGCAATCTTGCCACCCAGGCAAAACTGTGGCTCCAGCAAAATCTCCTCCTGCTCTAGTCCCATGAGGGAGAGAGCCCAATTCCAGTGCCTGCAGCTGGAGTACATTCCACACTTGCCTCTCAGTTCTGCTGATGGGCGCCCTTCCCATACTCCAAACCAAGTGCTTCAATCTCCAGCCCAAGACTTAAATGTACTCAGTGGCCACTGCAGCCAGATTGCCAAATATTACCTGGCTTGGTATGTGCCTGGATAGAGAATGGCATCCTCCTGGGAAAATGCCTGAAGTCTTTTCTAGCGCCTTTCCTTTTCACAGTCACTCAGCCACTCCCCAAGTCAGATCCAGCACTTGGGAGGGACAAGGTGCTCTTCCATGGCCTGGTTGTATGGTTCCCCCATTGAAAGGTAGATCACAGAGGTACACTCTCTGTCCTTCTCCCATATTGGGGTTACACTCACAGTTCTCAGCCAAATGTGATCATAAAGGCTGCTTGCCCAACTTCTCTTTCCCGGAATCTGAAGTGTACTTCACTTTTCCAATGAATTCTCATTTTCCTTCTTGAATAAAAGATCACTGTGAAATTCCACACACTATTTTGCTATTTACAAGTAGATGAGGCATGCTAACAAAGCCTCTAATCCACCATCTTGGGGAAAAAAATAAGTTCAACCTTTAATCTCAATAGGTGTTGGATTTTTGTTCAAATATTTTTACATCCATTGATAAGAAAATGCGACTTTTCTTCCTTAGACTACTGATGTGGTGGGTGACATTGACTGATTTTCTAATATTAAACCATCCTTGTATGCCTGGACTAAATCCCACTTGGTCATGGTACATTAGTGTTTTAGTATGTTTTAATATATTCATGGGCATTATTTGCTAACATATTTTTGAGAATTTTTGCATCCATATTCATGATGGAAATAGGTTTGTATTTTCTTTTCTTTTTTATTATCTGTATAATTTTGATACAAGGCTAATCCTGACTTTATAACATGAGTTAGGACGTGTAATCTTCTCTTCTATTCTTTGGCACAGATTGTGCAGATTTGGTATTATTTCTCCACTAAGTGTTTGGTAGACTTTATAGTGGATATATCTGAGCCTAGAAATTTATTTTTCAGAAGGCTGTAACTACAAATTCAATTTCCCTAACAGTCATATAGCTATTCAGGTTTTCTAATCTATCTTGTGTAACAAATGAATCACATGCCTATGATTTCAATTGGCTATCCTGGAAACAATGGTGAAATATGGTTTGTTTACTTGCTTTTTCCTTGTATACTTTAGTAATTATTTGGCACTCTTGTATTGGTAAGTGCTATGGTTTGTGAGAGGATGCTTTGATCATTCAGTTCTTCATGGTACTAAAGGGATCACACAAAGATCTACAGGAAGAACATTTCAAGTAGAAGCTAGAGCTGTTGCAAATGCTCTGGCATATTAGAGGAACAACAACAATAAAAAAGATTAATGCCACTACAGCTTAGTGAATGACAGAGTAAATGACATGAGGAGAGGAAAGAGAGGTAGGACCTTCTATTTTAATTGTGATAAAAATTATTCTAAATCTTTTTTTTCTTTTTCAGATAGAGTCTCACTCCGTTGCCCAGGCTGGAGTGCAGTGACTCTATCTTGGCTCACTGCAACCTCCACCTCCCAGGTTCAGGTGATTCTCCTACCTCAGCCTCCAGAGTAGCTGGGATTACAGGCATGCAACATCATGCCTGGTTAATTTTGTATTTTTAGTAGAGACAGGATTTTTTCATGTTAGCCAGACTGGTCTGGAACTCCTGAACTCAGGTGATCTGCCCGCCTCGGCCTCCCAAAGTGCTGGGATTACAGGTGTGAGCCATGGTGCCCGGCCTCTCTAATTCTGACAGAAACCATTGGAGAGTTGTAAACAAGAAAAGTATATCACCTGATTTGTATTCCTAAAATATTACTTTTGTTAATGTGGAGTGGATGGATTATAGGGAAAAATAATTAAGTAGGAAGACTAGATAGTAGGGTACCACAGTAGTCCAGGTGAAAGACTATGGAGAACTGGATTAGAGTTTTGACAGTAGAAATATGATAAATAATTATATTCAGGGTATGTTTTCAAATAGCACCAACAATTCCTGTTAAAGAATGCTGCAAATACGTGGCCACAAAAATTGTCTTGTCCAATATGTATTGTATTATAATATTATATGTATTATGTTACATATGGTAAGTTTTGTGTAAATATACATTATTAGTTAAAATCATTTTTCAGTTAAAGCAAGGCTCTGTTTTAATTACAGCTACAAGAAGGGATTACAGATGTTTTATTAATATATTGGACAATATGTGGTTAGACAAGTACAAATATTAAAATATAATAATTTAAATATTCAATTAATTATTGCATAGTTTAATAGTGTGATATTGGTGTGCTTTCTCACCAATTCTAAGTCAATGTTAAACTACACATTTTAGAATTAACTTTCTTTTATGTGATATTCAGAATGACTACGTCAATGATTATTTTATGTTCATGTATTTCTTTGCATTAAGTTGGCAGAAAATGGTATGGTATGGCATTTCACATAATTATTAGTAAACAAATACCTATTGAATTACTTGAATTATTTTGTCTTGGTTGAATATTAAACAATTTGGTAAGGAAAAACAATATTTTAAAACTAAAACAAATGAATGAGTGAGCAATTCCCTGTTAAGGGTATTGTTTTTAGCAAATGGAATAAAGCCAACTATGATTATAGAACCAACTTCTTTGCAGAAAGACTAAATAAACTCTCAAAGACATTCTATTTTCTTTGAGTGAAAAAGGTTTAAGGTAGGGCTAAACAATCATTTAAGATAATTTAACATATCTAACAATTATAAGTAAGTAAATGGGGGGTCCCATTACAGAGATTCTTAATCCTATCTAATTATCTATCTATGGATTTTCAAAAGTATTAATGCCTGGTCTCAACCTCAGGACAATTACATCAAAATTGCTAGGAATGCCTAACATCAGGTTTTGAAGCCCCTTGGATAATTCTGATATGCAAACAAAGTTTAAGCTGTGATTCTTAACTTCAGTATATTGAAATTATCTTGGGAGTTTTAAATAACATTGATGCCCCCCTGCCTTCCCAGGAGTTTCTGATTTAGTTGGTTTGAAAGGTGTCCTGGGAATTGAAAGTTGCAAAAGCTCCTCCAGGTGATTGTAATGGGATTCCCAGGCAGTAACTACTGTCATTAAACCACTGCATGGTTCGCCCCTACTAGGCAGGTGAAGAGAATGGACCTATTGAAAAAATCCTCACCTGCTCATATAAATACAACATAGAAAACATACTTATGATGATAAGACTCTTCTCTAAATTCTGGATGAAATTAATGTCCACTTCATTAGGTTTTGTGAGAACTTAATGTAATGTATTAGTACCTTACTCATTAAAAACACTTAATAATGTTGGCTACTATTATTCATACATCAACATCACTAAACTTTAAATGTCTTGTGTGATTTAAGTAAGTCAGTCTGACCTACTCAAAATTGTATGACATCATCCATCCCAGTGTGTGGAACATTAAGTAATAAGTATGTGTTGAAAAAACATATTTATGAATGAGTGAGTGAGTGAATGAATGAATTGCTATTGCCATTAGAAATGAGAAATAAGGGCAAAGCTCAAAGGTGGAATTTTTGGGAATATTCATAATAATGGAGAAACAAGAAGAAAGGAAGCCAGAGAATAGTACTATCAGGGAGGGAGAAAGCTGGACTATAAAATGTTTTGTAAGGCAAGACAGAGAGATTTAATCAGGAAGATAACTCTACTGTGTCAAATACGGCAGAAAGACTGACGTTAGCATTTCTCACTAATTCTTATAAAAATGGTATCAATTCAAATTAGCAAAAGACTAGAGGTTTTATGCTCAAAATAAATTAGTCTACAAACTAAGTTACTAGTAAACAATGATTTTAATTAAAATATAAAACAAATCACATTATAAGTAATATACTTTATCAGGCTACTAAAACTCACTGACATCAAGGGCATTGTCATTAGGCTTCCAGCATGTGCTATCCTGACTATTCTGTCTGATTGTGAGAAATTATCTGTAGTAAGGTTAAATTTAGAAAACTAGACAGAGAAAGTATTGATCTACAGTTCCTTAAAGAGTAGTCTGTATAAACTGGTTTATAACTTGCTTTGGCTCATTTAACAATATAAGGAAAAGTTTTTTATGTTATCAGTTAATCTTTCACATCATTATTTTTAATGATTTTATCACCCCCCGCCTTCAAAACGAAATACTAGTCCTTTCTAGGACAAACAGTAGCTTCAAATGTATTGCAATTATAAACCATTCTGGATCTGAAATCACTAAAGATAAAGATTTGCAAGTATCATGAATATGTTCTCAGAACACTTTTTCTTGAAGTTTAACGGTTGCGTCAATAGGGAAGCGCCGTTTTAAAGCTTGTGATATAAATTCTACTAGAAGCAGTGAAAAGGAGTACTGACTTCCACACATCTTCATCAACACTGTGTTTTGTAATTTTTTTTTCTTTCTTTTAATGTCACAAAAAATTGTCACATCATGGTTTTAATTTGCATTCATATGCCTAATGCTGGGTGAATCTTTTGGGAGCTGGTTTGAGAATTTTCACACCCAAAGCTGGAGAGAGTGCTGAACCTGGATGGGTGGGTAGTGCCAGGGACTCAGTTGGAATCTGTTTCTACAAAGAAAGAGAAGGCAGTTTAAACTCAGGAGACCAAAAGTAGACATGATAATCTAAAAATGGAAAGAAAAATATCCAAGAATTAGGCCGTAGACAGTGAGCAGCCAGAGAATGAGACTTTGTGGGAAAGTCTTGCCAAATTGCTTTGAGGAAGATTGTTGACTCACAGTGAGTCTCATGGATCTTCAACAGTGTAGCGCATGAGTGAGAAATCTGTACTTCAAATAGAGGTGTAGGCCAAATACTTTCTAAGAATAGAAAACTTAAAGGAACTCCAGTGCACTGATAACATGAGAAGTGATGCAGGAGTAGAATTGATGCTTGGTTCAGAGCAGCTATGTTAGAACAGTCTTGGTTCAGAGCAGCTATGTTAGAACAGTAAAACTTAAAGACAATCTAAATACACACCAATAGGGAAGTGGCTTAATGTCTGGCATATTCATAATTAGTACACTGGTAATTAACAAGATGACTTAGATCTAAATGTATTAACACACAAGGATCACTGTGGCATTCCAGGCTGTAAAAATCATGTTGCAAAACAGATTTCTATTACAGACCAATTTATGTTAAACATTTTCCAGTATGTGTATATGTAGAAAAAAAGTCTTGAACAATATTTACCAAATAATATAGGAAAATTGGCTAAGAAGAGGGGATCAGTTATGAGATAGTGAGTAGAGGAATGAAAGGGAATTATAGGCTTTTAACCAAATTCCTTGGTAGTATGATTTTATAAGCACGTGTTCATGAATAATAAATATATTAAAAATAAAATATTTTGTTTCTCCTTTATGAATATACTAACATTGCACATTCTTATTACATTGTTATTTTGAAGGAAATATCAAATATGTAATTTGGCATAGACATAAAAGTGAAAACATTCCCAATAATTGTCTTTGACTAGTATAATCATAACAACTTCCTATTTTCTTGAATTTTGCATTTTTATGATAAGTATTAGAATAATGCATATATTGAAGCAGTTCTCTTATTCTGTCTTAGCTGAGGTCTCAAAGACCAAAATCCCTTTCCAAGTGCTGCACTACTTATGCGGGATATGCTGAGATTACAAAATCCATTTCAGCCAATATTAATCCATCTTCCATATTGAAGTTATAAAATAGTAGAGGTGAAATAAAACAATGCTCTTAAACTTTAATTTGTGTACAAATCACTTGGGGATCTTGCTAAAATGCATTAGATCTGAGGGGAGACCTGAGATTGTATAATTTCAACAATTTCTTAGGTCATACTGCGGCTCCACAGACCATACTTCAAGAGTGAAAGGGAAATTTAAGAATAATTTTTGGTGTGCTCTGTGGAGAATAAGAAGAGTGCTTCCTTTTTATATTAAGTCCAGGGACAGAGGCTGCAAGATGATCACTAAAACAGCATGACATAGATCTCATGGAGTTAAGGGACGAAAGCACAGGACTCTGACCTATATCTTAAAAGTCTGAAGAGAGAGGCTCTGACTATATTGCTTTAGGCTGCCAAGACACGGCTGCATGAACAGCAAGTGGCACTTTCATTAACTTGGAAAATGTTTGTTTTCTGGTGTCTAGCTGTGATACCTGTCAATCAGAGCTGGCCTGGAGTTATCTTAAAGACCCTCCTCCAAGAGGGCCACGTGGATGAGCTAAGCAATGAGTCATAAGCAATCAACCAGAAGGATTCTTCAATCATGTTCTCATAACAGAAAAATTAGTTTTCAAATATGCCACTTCTCAGGCATTCCAATGCCCCAGAACAACTCTATCAGTGACATGAATCTGTGCCTTTTAACCTAAATCTTCTTTCTTAAGGGCAGAAACAAGGGCTGGTGAATTGGAAGGAGGTCAAATGAGGGACGGGGAACTACCCATCTACTTTTTTACCTGAGGTAAACTCAAGCTCAGAGATGAGAAAAAATTTAACTTGGATGTTACAAATTTCAGTTATCACACTAAAACGTATTCTTTAAGATTTTTGAAGTGACCAGACAACTTTCATTATTTAGATGGACTGGGAAAGCAATGGGACTTACACAAAATTTCATTCCAGGGGAGAAAGGAATTGTTAAGCAAACTTAATAGAAAAAAAAGAGTTTCTGTTGTTATCCTCATGTGTGTTGTGCCTTCAAAATAACAGGTCATAATATATATTACATTTATAAATCTTTATGTAAAATAGTTATGTTAGAATACTATAAAATATTTCCAAGTGTATGTTCTAGGGGTCTTGATAACATATTAACAGTTGTACTTTGTGAAAGATGTATTAAAATACAGTATTATCAAGGCCATTTTTAAATTGAGTATTTGAGAAAAATTATCTGCAAAATTGCAAACTTTTTAGAATGTTCTCCCACCTCAACTCAACCCCTTTACTCCCAGCCACTTCCTTTTCCCAGATCAAGAGGCATCCACAGAAGCCATCTTCATTTATAACCAATCATTCTGATTGTGGCTAATTGCACAAGGGATGGAAACTTGATCCTAACTGGTTTAATCAGAGTCCCTTCCACTGGAATTTAGAATTTAGTCAATGAGAAAAAGAGAGAGAAAGAGAGAGAGACAAAGGGGGGCTGGTAAATGGATCTATAATATGTAAACTTGATGGCAGTCACATTTCACTAAGTCATTTGAGAGAAATGACACATAGAGAAGGCAGAAGAGAGAGATGGACACAGAAAGTATGCAATCTGGTTTCTCAACAATTAATGCGTCCTCCGCAAGAGCAGTGGCTTTTGCTTATGCTACCGCAGTTAATTTATATGAATTATAACCAAAATAGTCTTAACTAATGCATAGAGATAATGGATACATTGAAATTAAAGGAAGTGCGAGGTCTCAAAGACCAAGGATTATATATGCAAAATGAAAGCTATTTGTAAAATGAAAGTACTCATTCTTAATTTAAAGGTGTGAGCTATATAGTTTTAAAGAAAATGTTTTTTGGTTCAAAACTGTAATATTGGGGTGTAAGAATATTACGTAAAAGAATCCATAAGGTATAGAAAAACTCCAGTTTTCAGCAATACACTCGATCTCCCAGAGCAATTGTTCACTTTCTGAAGCACATCTTCCAGTTTCAGAAGGAAACAGACACTGTTGCAGCTCAACCTGACATGAGACCTGCATAGTTTCATTTTCCTAATTTGGCGGGACCTTTGAAGAAGATTTAATTTCTCATTTAGCTATAGACTTTTATTTTCTAAATAAGTGTCACTTCATCCACTCCTCTTCATTTCACCTGTCTCCACCATGATCCATGATAATTTAACTCATCCTAACTATGCTAAATCCCTCAGCAACTGCCCAGTGTTCTTAGGATAAAAATAAAAATTCCTTGCATAATCCATAGAGACATGGCATCATCTGGCCCTACCAATTGCATCTAATATTCTCCTGCTCACTTTATAGAGTTACAGCTTCTTTAATAATCTTTCAGTTTCTTAGGCATTTCAGCTGCTTAGGACACAAGGGTTTTACATAAGCATTTCCCCTTCTTTATGACACTCCTACCTCTCTCCTTCAAACTGTCATTCTCACTAATACTTCCAAACTCATCTCAAAAATTACCATTGCTAGAAAGCCTTCTCAGACCACCACTCCCTCATCAACATAACTGTTTTCCCTATTCCTGCATGCTTCCATTAAATATTTTTATTCTATTAGATTATTTATTGCATTTATAAACTCCTCTTCCATAATGTGAATATTTGAATGTTATGTGCTACCACTTCCTCCCATAATAGAAGGAGAAAATGTATGTTTTCTGCTCTTACTCTTCATTGCTCATTTTTGTATCCCCAGTGTTCTAACATAGTACCTAGAGTTAAATTTATTAATAGATTAATACAAAAACTAAACAAATGTGGGTTCAGTATTTAGAAAAATCAATTTTATTGAGATACAATTTATATACAATAAAAAGCACTCTTTCTAGGAGTTGGTTCCACATTTTCTAGATGTTAATTATATTGAACTGAGATTTAAAAGGGAAAATAGTACTTTAAAATTTCTTCACAGAATTTCATCATAAAACCACAGGTACTCTGATTAGAGATCAGGATTTTACAATCAATGATATTGGCCTAGAATAGAAAAATTAGGACAAAGCAATTTCATATGATGTAGATTCCTATGGTAAACTGCCATGTTTCCTATCAACAGATTTATTAGGTAATATGACAGATTATGTAAAACAAAAGCTATTTATAAAACTAAAATACTCAATTTTTCATTTAAAACCTCAAAATAAAAGTGAATAATATTTGTGAATAAGAAATGAATACGTCTACCGAGCATGCAAAATCATAGATAAATGATAAAATATTATAGATAATAAAGTGCCTAAGAAAAGGACCATGGTATTCACTCTAGTTTTTTATAATTATTATTCCTAAAAGTTTTTAACTATAAAATATGTCTGGAAATAAACCAAAATAGTGTAATCATTTTGTAAAAATGGAAGTCCTTGTAGGTAATATGATTACATGCTTAGGACATGCATTAAAACTAGTTTATATGTTGTTACAATAAATAAAGTGATTAAACAAATGTGCTATATATTATATCAGTGTACAAAAATTAATAGTATCATTATGTATACTAGTAATAACCATTGGGAAAATAAAAAATAATAACCCATTCACAATAACAACACACCTGTGAAACACCCAGCAATACCTGTGTGAATTAAGAGAACATTGGCAGTAGCCTGACAGTACTTCCTGTGGGCCTGTGATGGTGGTAGCCATAGGGTGTGGCTGTTCTACCTTTGGAAAGGGTAAGACGGAATTGAAAGTACTGCATTTCATGGTTTGCATCAGCACACCCACAGTACAGTAGAACACAGGGTAGACTTCTAAGGTTTTGACTGCATCCCTGGCTCCTAGACAGCACCTCTGGACTCACCTAGGGCCTGGGGGAACTTGCCAACCTGAAGGGAAGAACGAAGCCCCGCTGGCTTCTCCACATGCTGATTGTAAAGCCCCAGGGCCTTGAGGAAACATAAGCAATAGCTAGGTAGTAGTTACAGCAGGCCTTGGGTGAGGCCTGGTGCAGTCCTGGCTTCAGGTCTGTCCGACCAAGCACAGACCCAGTGGTGGTGGCCACAGGGTGCTCGGGTCACTTCACCCCCAGCTCCAGGTAGTTCATAATGAGAGAGAGATTCTATTAGTTTGAGAGAAAGTACGGAAAGAAAACAAGTTTCTGCCTGGTAATCCAGAGAATTCTTCCAGATATTATCCAAGGTCAACAAGGTGGTGCCTCTACAAGTCTGCAAGAGCCACAGTGTTAGTAGGCTTGGGTAACCACATGTTAGTAGGCTTGCCCCTTAATGCAGATATGACTTAGATCACAATACTCAAGATCTTTCAAATATCTAGAAAGTCTTCCCAAAAAGGATTGGTACAAACAAGCTCACACTGCAAAGATCACAATAAACACCTAACTGTTCAATGTCCAGAAACTGACAAACATCCACAAGCATTAAGACTGTCTAGAAAAACATGACCTCTTGAAATGAACTACATCAGGCACCAGAGGCCAATCCCAGAGAGACAGAGATATTTGACCTTTCAGACAGATAATTCAAAACAGCTGTTTTGAGGAAACTCAGTGACATTCAAGACAACGGAGAAGGAATTCAGATAGGAAGTGCACAGAAAAACAAAGAATATTATAAAACTGTAAATGTTGTGTGTAAACTACTCTTAAGTAGAAAGACTAAAAGATTATTCAATCAAGAATAATAACTACAACTTTTCAAGACATAGGCAGTACAATAAGATATAAATAGAAACAACAAAAAGTTAAAAAGTAGGGGGATAAAGATAAGGTGTAGAGTTTTAAAATTAGTTTTCTAATGGTTTATTTATGCAAATAGTATTAAGTTGTTATCAGCTTAAAATAATGTGTTGTAAGATACTATTTGCAAGCCTCGTGGTAACTTGAAATAAAAAAAATACAATGAATATATAAAAAATGAAAAAGTAAGAAATTAAATCATAGTAGGGAAAATTGCCTTCACTAAAAGATATAGGAAAGAAGAAAGAGAAGACCAGAAAACAAATGACAAAATGGCAGGAGTAAGTTCTTACTTAACAACATTGAATGCAGATGAACTAAACTCTCCAATCAAGGATGCAGACTGGCTGAATGGATATAAAAAGAAAAGTCAATGATATGTTGCCTTCAAGAAACACACTTCACCTATAAAGACACATAGACTGAAAATAAACAGATTGAAAAAGATAGTTCATGTCAATAGAAACCAAAAAAGAACAGGAGTAGCTATACTTAAGGCAGATGAAATAGATTTCAAGACAAAAACTATAAGAAGAGACAAAAAAAGGTCATTATAAATGATAAAGGGGTCAATTCAGCAATAGAATATAACAATTTTAAAAATATATGTGCCCAGCACTGGAGCGCTGAGATAATAAAGATAATATTATTAGAGCTAAAGAAAGAGATAGGCTGGTTGCGGTGGCTCACGCCTGTAATTCCAGCACTTTGGGAGGCCGAGGCAGGCAGATCACAAGGTCAGGAGATCGAGACCATCCTGGCTAACACAGTGAAACCCTGTCTCTACTAAAAATACAAAAAAATTAGCCGGGCATGGTGGCAGGCGCCTGTAGTCCCAGCTACTCGGGAGGCTGAGGCAGGAGAATGATGTGAACCCGGGAGGCGGAGCTTACAGTGAGCTGAGATCACACCACTGCACTCCAGCCTGGGCGACAAAGTGAGACTCTGTCAAAAAAAAAAAAAAAAAAAAAAAAAGAAAGGTAAGACTTCAGTACAATAATAGCTACAGACTTCAACACCCACTTTAAGCAGCATTGGATGGATCTTCTAAACAGAAAATCAACAAAGAAACACTGCACTTAATCTTATATATAGGATAATCAACCAAGAAACATTGGACCTAATCTTAATATAGACCAAATGGACCTAACAGATATTTACAGAACATTCCATTCAATGGCTGCAGAATACACATTCTTTTCCACAGCACATGGACCATTCTCAAGGACAGACCATATGTTAGGTCACAAAACAAGTCTTAAGACATTCAAAAAAACTGAAATTATATCAAATATCTTCTCTGACTATGATAAAATAAAACTAGAAATCAATAACAAGAGGAATTTGGGAAACAATACAAACACATGGAAATTAAACAGTATGCATCTGAATGATCAGTAGGCCAACGAAAAAATTAAGAATGTAATTGAAAATTTTCTTGAAACAAATGATAATGGAAACACAACATACCAAAAAATAACAAGGGTTTTAATGATATGAAAAACTCATTTAAGAAGTAGAAAACCTAGGCAAGGCAGGTGGATCACTTGAGGTCAAGAGTTTGAGCCCAGCCAGACCAACATGGAGAAACCCCATCTCTATTAATAATACAGTTAGCCAGGTGTGGTGGTGCATGCCTGTAGTACATCTACTCAGGAGGCTGAGGCACAAGAATCACTTGAACCCGGGAGATGGAGATTGCAGTGAGCCGAGATTGTGCCACTGCACTCCAGCCTTGGCAACAGAGTAAAACTGTGACACACACACACACACACACACACACGCACACACATAGAAAACCTAATTACTGGAAAAAATAAATGTCATTGAAGGATAATATTTTTCTTTTACTATATATGACAATTTCATATAAAAACAAATCTCAAACATAAAATGCAAATATTGCACATTGTTAAACATACTCAACTTGAAGATACTGAACAGAAAAAAACAGTTTTGGGCCAGGTGTGATGGTTCGCACCTGTAAGGCAAACACTTTGGAGGCTGAGGTGGGAGGATTGCTTAAGCCCAGGAGTTCAAAGCCAGCCTAAACAACATAGTGAGACCTTGTCTACAAAAAAAAAATTAAAAAAAAAAAAACCCTGAAACCCTAAGTGACACAGCAAAAGCAGTATAAGAAGGAAGTTTATAGCTATACGTGCCTACATCAAAAAAGAAGAAAAACATCACATAAACAAACTAATGATGCATTTTAAAGAACTACGATAGCAAGAGCCAACCAGACTCAAAATTAGTAGAAGAAAAGAAATAATCAAGATTAAAGCAGAAATAAATCTGAAATGAAGAAAATAATATATGAAATCAACAAAACAAAAAGCTGATATTTTGAAAAGATAAAGAAAATTGATAAAGCTTTAGTTAGACTGATTAAGACAAAAAGAGAGAAGACCCAAATAAATAAAATCAGAGATGAAAAAGGAGACACTACAACTAATACTGCAGAAATTCAAAAGATTATTAGAGGCTACTATGAACAACGTATATGCCAATACATAGGAAAATCAAGAAGAAATGGATAAATACCTAGACACATACAACTGACAAAGATTAAACCATGAAGAAATCCAAGGCTTTATCAGACCAATAACAAGTAATAAAATTGAAGCTGTAATAATAAGTCTCCCATCAAAGAAAAACCCACGCCCGATGGTTTCACTGCTGAATTGTAGCAAACATTTAAAGAACAATTAATATCAATTTTACTCAAACTATTATGAAAAATAAAGATGGAGGGAAAACTTCCAAGCTCATTCTCTGAGGCCAGTATTATGCTGATACCAAATCCAGACAGAGACACAACAGAAAAAGATTATAGGCCAATATCACTGATAAATATTGATGCAAGGATCCTCAACAAAGTACTAGCAAACGAAATTTAACAACACATTAAAAAGATTATCCAACTTGACCAAATGGGATTTACTCCAAGTATGCAAAAATGATGAACATATGCACATCTATCAATGTGACACATCATATCAACAGAATGAAGGACAAAAACCGTATGAGCATTTAAATTGATGCTGGAAAAGCATATGATAAAATTCAAATGATTTCATTTAAAAAACTCTCAAAAGACTGGGTATAGAAGTTATTAATACATTTCTCAACATAATAAAAGACACATAGCTAGTATCATACCAAATGGGGAAAAACAAAAGCCTTTTCTCTAAGGTCAGGAACATGACAGCATGTCCAGTTTCACCACTGTTATTCAACATAGTACTGGAAGTCCTGGCCAAAGCAATCAGGCAACAGGAAAAAATAAAGGCATCAAAATTATTCTTGTTTGAAGATGGTGTAATTCTCTTATATTTGGAAACAACTAAATACTCCACACAAAAAAACTATTCGAATGGATAAATGAATTCAGCGTGGTTGCAAGGTACAAGATAAAAATTAAAAAATTAATAGCAGTTTGATATGTCAGAGAGATAACAATTTGAAAAATAAATAATTCTACTTACTTTGCAATAGTTACAAAGAAAATAAAATACCTAGGAATTAACTAACCAAACAAGTGAAAAGTCTCTAAAATGAAAACTATAAAATATTGGTTCAGGAAATTGAAGAGGACACAAAAAAAAGGGAAAATATTTTCCAATAGAATAAGTAGTACTGGTAAAACATGCACATTTCCAAAAGCAGTCTACAGAGTCAATGCAATCCCTATCAAAATAGCAATGACATTCTTCACAAAAATAGAAAAATATCCTAAAATTTATATAGAACCACCAAAATTCAAGAATAGCCACAGCTATCCTAAGCAAGCCAAACAAAACTGAAGAAATCACTTTATCTGACTATAAATTATACTGCCAAGCTATAGTAACAAAAACTGCATGGTATTTCTATAAAGACAGACATATAAATCAATGGAACAGAATAGAGAACCCAAAGCTAAATCCATACATCTCATTTTTGACAAAGATTCCAATAACATATATTAGGAAATGGACATCTTTACCAAATGGTCTGGGAACACTGGATATCCATATGCAGAAAAATGAAACTAGACTCTTATCTCTAACCATGTATAAAAATCCAATCAAATGTATTAAAGACATAAATGTAAGACCTCAAACTATGAAACTACTATTATACAAGAAAGCATCAAGGAAACTCTCCGGGGCATCTGTCTGGGCAAAATTTCTTGAGTAATTCTCTACAAGCAAAAGAAACCAAAGCAAAAAAGGGACAAATCGAATCATATCAAGTTAAAGAACTTTTGTATGGCAAAAGTAACAATCAACAAAGTGAAGAGACAACCCACAGAATGGGAGAAAATATTTGCAAACTACCCCTCTGACAAGAAATTAATAACCAGAATACATAAGGAGCTCAAACAACTATATAGAAAAATGTCTAATAATCCAATTAGAAAATGGGCAAAAGATCTGAATAGACAATTCTCAGAAGATGTACAAATGGAAAACAGGTATGTGAAAAGGTGTGCAACATAATTGATAATCAGAGAAATGCAAATCAAAACTAAAATGAGATATCATCTCACCCCAGTTAAAATGGCATGTATCCAAAAGACAGTCAATAACAAATGCTGGTGAGGGTGTGGTGAAAGGAAACCCTTGAACACTGTTGGTGGAAATGTACCTAAGTAAAACCACTACAGAGGAACCACAGTTTAGAGGTTCCTCAAAAATCTAAAAATAGAGCTACCATATGATCCAGCAATCCCCCTTTTAGCTATATACCCCAAAGAAAGGAAATCAATATATTAAAGAGATATCTGCACTCCCATGTTTAGTGCAGCACTATTCACAATATTCAAGATTTAGAAGCAATCTAAGTGCCCATCAATCAACGAATGGACAAAGAAAATGTGGTACATATATACAATAAAGTAATGTTCAGCCATAAAAAAGAATGAGATCCAGTCACTTGCAACAACGTGGATGGAACTGGAGGACATTATGTTAAGTGAAATAAGCCAGGCACAGAATGACAAGCATCACATATTCTCATTTATTTGTGGAATCTGAAAATCAAAACAATTCAACTCACGGAGACAGAATAGCAGGATAGGTACCAGAGGCTGGGAAAGGTAGGGGAGGGGGATGTAAGGAGGAAGTGGGAATGGTTAGTGGGTACAAAAATAGAAAGAATGTGTAAGACCTACTATTTGATATCACAACAGGGTGACTATAGTACAAAACTATTTAGTTGTTCATTTTAAAATAACTAAAAGTGTATAACTGGGTTGTTTATAACATAAAGGATAAATGCTTGAGGTGATGGACAGCCCATTTATCCTGATATGATTCTTAAACATTGCATGCTGATATCAAAATATCTCATGCAACCCATGAATATATACACCTACTACGTACCCACAAAAATTAAAAAATAACCTGCTCAAGCATTCTGACAGTATTTTATGAAGAAAAGTATAAAACCATGTGAGCATATATAAAAGAAAAAAATAGAGAAATATACCATGCTCCTAAACAGAAAAAAAACTTGAAAAATATTAATTTTTTCCTGATTAAATTATAGATTTAGCAGATGTGGGAAGAAAAATATTCTGAAACCCATCTGTAAATAAAAATGAGAATAAGATATTTTTAAAAGTTGATATATGAAGGCTGATTGTATTATACAAATAAAACAGTATGAAACTATAATTATTAAATCAGTGCACTTTACAATACAGATATTGATCAATAAAATAAAGTAAAACATGTTTTTTTTAAGTAAACATTAGTGTTATTGGTTGAATTGCATCCCTCTCAAAGGACATTGCAATTCTTATCCTCAATAACTATGAATGTGACCCCATTTGGAAATAGGGTATTTAAAGAGGTAATCAAGTTAAGCTGCATTTATTAGAGCAGGCCCTAATCCAATATGATTAGTGTCCTTATAAAACGTGAAAATTTGGACACAGGAAAATGATGCAAAGACACAGTGAAAATGCCACCTGAAGGTGAAAGATTGAGTGATGTATCTACAAGCCAAGAAATGCCAAAGACTACAGGCAAAACACCAGAAAAAAAGGAAAAAGCAAAGAAGAACACTAATGTTTACTTTAAAAAAAACACTACCTAGTAATGGGATCTCTAGGTTGAATGGTATTTCTGTTTTTAGGTCTTTGAGGAATCATCACACTGTATTCCACAAAGGTTGAACTAATTTAAACTCCCACCAATGTATAAGTGTTCCTTTTTCTCCACAACCTTTCCAGCATCTATTTTTTGTCTTTTTATTAATAGCCATTCTGACTGGTGTGAGATGGTATCTCATTGTGGTTTTGATCTGCATTTCTGTAATCATCAATAATGCTGAGCTTTTCTTATGTGCTTGTTGGCTGCATGTATCTCTTCTTTTGAAAAGCATCTGTCCCTGTCCATGGCTCACTTTTTTAAACTTTATTTTAAGTTCATGGGAACATAGGCAGGTTTGCTAAATGGGTAAACTTGTGTCATGGTGGTTTGTTGTACAGATTATGTATGGGTTGTTACTCTCTATGTGCCCATGTGTTCTCATCATTTAGCTCCCACGTGTAAGTGAGAACATGCAATACTTGGTTTTCTGTTTCTGCATTAGTTTGCTAAGGATAATGGCATCCAGCTACATCCATGTCTCTGCAAAGGATATAATCTTGTGTTTTTTTTATGTCGGCATAGTATTCCATAGTGTATATGTACCACATTTTATTTTGCTCACTTTCTAATGGGGTTGTTTTTTCTTGTAAATTTGTTTTAGTTGCTTATAGATGCTGGATATTAGACCTGTATGAGATTCATAGTTTGCAAAATTTTCTCCCATTCTGCAGGTTGTCTGTTTATTCTGTTGACTGTCTCCTTTGCTGTGTAGAAGCTCTTGAGTTTAATTAGATCCCATTTGTCAATGTTTGCTTTTGCTGCAATTGCTTTAGGTGTCTTTGTCATGAATCTTTTGCCCATTCCTATGTCCAGAATGATATTGCTTAGGTTGTCTTCCAGGGTTTTTATAGTTTTGGGTTTTACATTTAAGTCCTTAATCCATTTTGAGTTAATCTTTGTATATGGTATAAGGAAGGAGTCCAGTTTCAATCTTCTGCATCTGGCTAGCCAGTTATCCCAGCAACATTTATTGAATAGAGAGTCCTTTCCCCATTGCTTGTTTTAGTCAGGTTCATGGAAGATCCGATTTTTGTATCTGATCTGATAGTGTGCAGCCTTATTTCTGGGTTCTCTATTCTTTTCCATTGGTCTATATGTCCGTTTTTGTACCTGTACCATGCTGTGTTGGTTACTGTAGCCCTGTGGTATAGTTTGAAAAAACTTATTTTAAATATGCTAATTATTTCACTATTTAATGAAGCACTGCCCAACCATACAGTTAAATGAAATAAGATATATATATGAAATTGAATATTTAAAACCAATAACTTATTCATTCAACAATTATTTATTATATATGTGGCCGGGCACAGTGGCTCATGCCTGTAATCCCAGCACTTTGGGAGGCTGAAGTGGGCAGATCACTTGAGATCAGGAGTTGGAGACCAGCCTGGCCAACATGGTGAAACCCCATCTCTACTAAAAATACAAAAATTAGCCGGGCGTGGTGCCACATGCCTGTAATCCATACTGGGGAGGCTGAGTCAGGAGAATTGTCTGAACCTGGGAGATGGAGGTTGCAGTGAGCCAAGATCGCAACACTGCACTCCAACCTGGGTGACAGAGCAAGACTCTGTCTCAAAAAAATAATGCTAAAATAAAAAAATTATTATGTACTATGCATCAAACATTGGTCTAGGTTCTCTTAATTGAGCAGTCAATAAAACAAGACTCTACTAGAATTTTGGGGGGTGTGTGTGTCTAAAATCAGGGAAAAAAGTAGACTATAGGAAAAGAAATACTTATCATAGGTAATATGAAGAAAACCAAGTAAACTAGGAATATACACAGTGATGGAATGAGAAACTTTATTTAGATAAAGCTTCTTAAAGGATAGGCTTTCTTATGAGCTGTTATTAGAACAGACACTCGAATTAAGAGGGAGAGCAAGCCATATATACACTAAGAGAAAGGGCACTGTGAGCAGAGGGGATGGCAAAGGGAAAGACCCCAAAAGAAAGAGGTGTTCTTGGCATGGTCGAGAAAGAACAAGTAGGTATTGGCTGGCTGGTGTGGAGTGAGTGAGAAGAGAGTGGGAGAAAATAAAGTCCCATGGTAAGCCAGGATCATTTATCTCATTGCCAGTAAGATGAAAACCCACTGCTTAATAAGTTTTAATAACAGGGGTGATTTGCTACTAAGGGTAAAACTTGGAGATATAAAATCAAATAAAAATAATTAAAATACATATAAACAAAATTGTCTCAACTATGTTTACAAATACAGAAAAGGGCTTCGAAGTAAATATGCCAAACAGAATCAAGGGTTTGAATGATAATGAGAGATTGGGTGCTTTTTTCTTTTCACATGCTGCTAAATTTTCCAGAAGTTTTATAGTGAGAACAATTTTTATAAACACAAAAAGATGTTTAAAAAGAAATGTATACACATGCATAGTTATACACTTTACCACATTTAGAAAAAAATTCTATTAATTTGAATCTTTGTATAAACCATTTACCTTTCAACTCTCAAAAATTGTTTTAAATTGTTACATCTTTTCATTATTTGTCATTATTTTTCTCTTATTTTTATGTATTTATATTTTCTTTATTTCTATGCACGGATTAATGAAATGAAGTCAGGTAACATTACACCAATTGTGGACTGAAAAGTAGATTTGTTTCTAGAACAGAGTAAAATTATTAATGGAAGTGCTGTTTATTAATATAGCTTCCTTTCTTTGAGACTCAAAAATATTAACTGCAACCTAATTGATTTACGGCATCCATTCTACAGACATATTCTAATATTAACTCTAATTTAAGTAGTCCTGTAAAACATTGTGTGGCCTAGCCTACACAATTTGCTAATATGGGTATTGATCAGAATAATCTATACAATAAAAATAAAAGCTCATTTTATTTGTTTATGTCTAGGATAGAAAGTGTCTGGAAGATAGAGACTACAGCTGTGCATTTATATGCCTTTGGTACAATACTATTCCTATTCTTTGTCTCCTTTATTAAAGCACTTTGATGTTGAAAAATGTCTATGACTGACAAAATTCCAGGCAATTATAATTCACTGATTAAAATACATTGAGAAGAAAACGTATATAATACAAACATTAAGTATGCAGCTCCTGCAGCTCCAGTATAAGGGCATATGTGATCTTTATAATCAAACTATTTTACAATTCTGAGTTGTATCCCAGAAAATAAAGCATAACATAAAATACAAGGAATGTTTTCCTATTCATAATGGAATTTTGCAGTTCTGCATTTTGCAAAGTATACTTCAAACCTACACCTTTTGCATTATGGCACAATACCTTTATCAGGAGGGAAGACGTGCCTACTCAATTAGTGTTAGGAATTTCTTTCTTTATTTTTTCTCAGTTAAGATTGTACAAGGACAAGGGCCCAAGGCAGGAAGACAGAGGAAAAAGAAAACCAGAGGTATCCACATATACAGTGGAAAGAATCTTGGTGCCCTTAGGCATGGAGTTCACAAACTATAATAAAAGATTTCTTAACATTGCTGGGCATCTAGGTTTATTCCGTCTTTGCTGTTGTGAATCGTGCTGTGGTGAAAATTACAGTAGAAGACTTGTGTATATCCAGTTCTTATATGTTTTCTTTCCTTTGACCACAAAATTTCACAAACGACTCAATTATTCTCTTATTAATGGTGGATATACACAGGCCTAATTGTCATTATTTCTATATACACTTGCTAGTAGCACCTGAAACATTCTCCTTCTCTCTTGGTGAATTCATCTATAAGCAAAACACGTCAGCACAACAATAAAAGGCTTTGCAGACATAACAATATAATTCACCTTTGATCCTGTACTTTAACTTTCCTCAAACAACAAAAGCTCAGCTAAAAACCTATCTTTCCATAGGAAACTTGCTCTTGATTCACTAAGGGATGAAATTCAGAGCTTGGAGTGTGATTGCTTTCCTGTAGCTAGCAAAATGTATTAAGTTATCTCTAACATTATCTAACGAAGTGCTTATATTCAGTGGAGACACTCTCATGAGAACCACGTTGTAAAATGAAAATGCAGCCCTGAGAAATTGCAACTACTCTGAGCCAAAAAAGAGGGTCCTTCATGAATAGTGTTTACAAGTAGAATAAAACATAAAAATTTCCCCAAAAGTAGCTTTCATTATCATCCAACAGAAAATTTTTTTAAAAAATCATGGGAAAACAACAGACAATAAACAACTCAGCTGTCCTATGTGCTAAGGATACAAAGTTGAAAATGTAGCCCTGGGGTAAGGGAACTTACTAGTATTGGGATAGGTGCACTGAGTTGTCAAAAGCATGTAGTTATCATTATAGCTTTATTATTTAAAAGAAAAACATTTCCAAAAAATTCAGATTACTTTAATAGAATATTTCATTACTATTTCATAGCATATTATATTACTATAAAAATGATAACTTTGAAATGTGGTGAGATGGAGATACACTGTTAAGGAAAATAAGAAATATAAAAACTAGATAGATATATAGACAGATATATAGGATAATACTATTTTAAATAACTATATTTTATATCTATCCATGTACCAATTAAGAGTGAGAGAAAGAAATACACCAAAATATTGCCATTTTACAAGACCACTGGACCTTTCATTCCAATTTTCAATACAGACAGTGTTAAAGAAATTATAGTCCTTTTTAATGTATGATCATAGAGGCACATATTTTTAAAAATACCATTTAAATCCAACAGATTGCTATATGTGATTACAATACCTAATAATCAAGTATTGTTTATCTCAAGAATGCAAGGATGATTCCATATCAGAAAATATATCCATGTAATTGGCCACAGATAAAAGTAGCAACTCATGATTACTTAAGAGATATAGAAACAGCATCTGGTATAAATCAACACATAGCATGAGGAAGGAAACCAAATAATAAACAGAAGAGAGTTTCATTGATATGGTCAAGTTTCTAATCCAAAACACTGACAGTGAATATTTCATTTAAAATAGACATTTTAGATATAGTCTCCTGTTAAAATAAGGAACAAGACAAGAATGTCCAAAATGTCAGTTATAATTTTTATTGTTTCACAATAATAAGAATACTGGGGTTCTGAAAAAATACAATAGGAAAAGACACATAAGAAGTATTAACTTTGCAAATGAAGAAATTAACTGTTATTGTTTAAAGATAATAAAATAATTTACCAATTATTACCAATAAATTATCAAAAACCAATAGAATGAATAAGGTATCAGAATTTAGTATGTTTTCTGGAACAAGATCAACATATGAAAATAAATGCTGTTTCTGTATATCAGCCATAACAAACTACAAAATATTACCAGTAGTAAAATATAATTTGTAATATCAGTTAAAAATTAAAATACCTAAGAATCAACAAAGAATACACCAAAAATGTGGAAAATAATCTAAAACTCTAATAATATATAAAACCTTTCAAAATGGAGAGAAATGCCATGCTACTCCATTGGAATATTAATATTATGAACATTTCAAGTGTTACAAAAGTATTACCAAAAGTCCTAATCATATATCTGCTAGATTTTTAAAATAAATCTAGCAAACATGTTTTATAATTTATGTAAATATATAAAGGCACATGGTTAAGGACTTAAATTATATCACATTCATATATTCTTCTTCAATTAAGGACACTATGAGAAAAGTTAGCAGATGATTGATGGGCTGAAAAGAGATGCCTGTAGTATCTGAAACTGATACAAATATAATATCTAAAGTATACCCAAATGCTTGCAAATCAAAAAGAGAAACAAAATTTTATAATAAATTAACAAAAACTATAATCAGGCAAATTATACAAGGTGCTTCAAATGTCCAACCAATTTTTGAAGAGATCTTCAAATTCATTAATTAGAAATGCAAAATTAAGATGAGTTATCCATTTACACTGAAATGTTTGCAAAAGTTAAAATACTAGCTGTTGCCAAGTATTGTTAGAGATATAATGATAGAAGAGCTCTCCTGTTCCTGTTGTTACTCTTGGGAATAGTCTGATAGTTATTTACATTAAAATCACATATATTCCAGGACTCAGTAATTCAACAGCTGAAAAACTGTATCAATTATGACTCTATGTGAATATATTCAAGAATATACATTACAGCAGTCTTTGTGTTAACTCCAAGTTGAAGTAAAATGTAGAGAAAGCACACCAGGGATATTATGAAGTTCTTAAAAGCAACAGATTAAAATGTGCAATACAACCTAGATGTCTACATATACTATACAGATATATAAAATATCTATATCTATAACATATATGTATACGTATATCTATAATAATATATAATACAGGTATACTATCTATGGATATATATGTCTATGAATATATTTATTTTATATATATATCCATAGATATAGATATACTACTTATGGATATATAGTGAGATATATAGGTCTATATACTATATAGCACATATGAATATATATCATATATATGGATATATATGATATATAAGATATATATTCATATGTACTATATAGTGTATAGATATATAGCCTATACATCTATGAATATATGATCCTATATGTAGATATATACACACACTATATATAGGTACTATATATATAGTATCTATATCTATATATAGCCTATATATCCACAGATATATAGGCTATATATCTATATATCCATGTATGATATACATATGCATATATATACTATATAGTATATATATCTATGAATGTACATATCATATATGGATATATACTATACAGTATATATACCTCTATATATATCTCTATATACTATAATATATAGTATACTATATTTTGTGTATATACATATACTATATATACTACACATATAAATACTATACACGCTATATATTGTGTATGTACATATACACATACACTGTATATGTATGAGTATACAGCTATAGACAGATACTATAGATATATTCCCATACATATGGATAGATACCTATATACCATACATATATACCCATATATCAATGGATTCTATATCTATCTATCTATGTCTAGATCTATATATAGATGTCTATCTCTTTTTTCGACCAAAAAAGAAGAAACACTTTTAAGGTACATTCTTTATACCATACTTTTATGACAATAAATAACAGATACATGAGTATGTTACCTATGGATGGGGGAGAAGAATGCAAATGGGAAAAGAATGATGATGTACCATGAACTAAAGAACATAATTAATTCTCTGTACCTGAGAGTCAATAAGAAAAAATACAACAACTATGTTCTATTAAAAGTAAATAAATAAATGCAATCTACAATGAAAGAGAATAAATGATTAGAGGAAAATATGATAAATTAGGTTAAAAAAAACCTGTAGGGTAGGAAAGATAAGTGAGACAACACACGTAGAAGTCAAGTAAAGTTTTATGGGCATGCTACCTAGGAATTGGGTATTGAAGGTTAAGCAGCAATGTGAAGGAAGAACATTTAAGATGAAGAAAAAGGGATATTCATAAGGGCTTCTATAATGACAGAATGTTAGATTTTGTGGAAAGCTTTTTCCACATCCACTGAGATGATCATACAGTTACTGTTTTTAATTCTGTTTATGTGGTTAATCACATTTATTGGTTTGCACATGTTGAAAAAGCCTCACATTCTAGGAATGAAGCCTACTTGATCACAGTGGATTAACATTGTGATATGTTGCTGGATTCAATTTCCTAGTATTTGGCTGAGTATGTTTTGTCTCTAGGTTCATCCTAGCAATTGGCCTGTACTTTTGTTGTTTCCTTGTGTCTTTGTCAGGTTTCAGAATGTGTTAGGGAGGATTCTTTCCTCCTCAATATTTTGGAATAGTTTCAGAAGGATTGATACCAACTGTTCTTTGTATATCTGGAAGCACTCTGCTGTGAATTCACTGGGTCTGGGCTTTTATTGGTTGGTAGGTTTTTTATTACTGAATCAATTTAGGAATTTGATATTGGTCTATGCTGGGTTTAAATTTCTTCCTGATTCAATTTTAGAAGGTTGTGTGTTTTAAGAAATTTGTCAATTTCATCTAGATTGTCTAGTTTGTGTGCACAGAAGTGTTCATAATAGTCTGAGGATCTTTTGTATTTGTGTGGGATCAGTTATAATGCCACCCTTTTTATTTCTGACTGTGCTTATTTGGATCTTCACTCTTTTTTTATTAGTCAAACTACTCAGTCTATCGATCTTGTTTATTCTTTCAATTAACCAATTTTTTGTTTTGTTGGTACTTGGTATAAATTTTTGTGTCTCAATTTCATTCAGTACTTTTCTGATTTTAGTTATTTCTTTTATTCTGCTATCTTTAGAGTTACTTCATTATTGTTTTTCTAGCTCCTATAGGTGAGATGTTAGATCTTTAATTTGATATCTTTCTAACTTTTTGAGGTAGGCATTTAACTCTAAAATTTTACCTTAAAACTGCTTTTGCTGCATCCCAGAGATTTTGGTATGTTGCATTTCTGTTTAATTTAAATGATTTTTACATTTATTATTTATTATTTAATTTTATTGTTTACCTAAAAGTCATTCATGAGTAAATTGTTTAATTTCCAGGTAATATGTGGTTTTGAGAGATACTCTTGATATTGATATTGATTTCTATTTTTTTTCCACTAAGAAAGCGGTTGGTATTCCTTTGATTTTTTTTTAATTTATTGAGACTGGCTTAATGGCCAAGCAAGTGATCAATCTTAGAGTATGTTCTATGTGTATATGTGAAGAATGTATATTCTGTATTTGATGGGTGGAGTATTCTGGAGAAACTAGGCATCAAAGAAACATACCTAAAAATAATAAGAGCCATCTATGACAAACACACAGCCAAAATCATACTTAACGGAGAAAAACTGGAAGCATTCTCCTTGAGAACTGGAACAAGACAAGTATCTTCACTCTCACCACTCCTGTTCAATATAATCATGGAATCTTTGCCAGAGCAATTAGGCAAGAGAAAGAATTAAAATAGATCCAAATAGGAACAGATAAAGCCAAACTCTCTCTTCATTGATGAGATAATTCAATAAATAGAAAACCCCAAAGGCTTGG
The DNA here is from genome assembly GCF_000001405.40 of Homo sapiens. Taxonomy (NCBI): domain Eukaryota; kingdom Metazoa; phylum Chordata; class Mammalia; order Primates; family Hominidae; genus Homo; species Homo sapiens. The sequence continues at coordinate 77,199,805 of NC_000006.12, forward strand.
CCAAAAGGCTCCTGCAACTGATAAATGGCTTCAGTAAACTTTCAGGATACAAAATTATGTACAAAAGTTAGAAGCATTTCTACACCAATCACATTGAAGCTGACAGCCAAATCAAGACTGCAATAACATTTACAGTAGCCTCAAAATACAAATAAACAAAAAATACCTAAAAATATATCTAACCGAGAAAGTGAAAGTTCTCTACAAGTGTAACTACAAAACACTGCTGAAAAAGGTCAGAGATGACACCACAAACAAATGGAAAAACATATCATGCTCCTGGATTTGAAGAGTCAATATCATTAAAAGGGCCACACTGTCCAAAGCAAACTACATATTTAACATCATTTCTATTACATTACCAAGGTCATTTTTCACATAACTAGACAAAATTATTCTAAAATTCATATAGAACCAAAAAAAGCCTGAATAGCCAACTAAATCCTAAGCAAAAAGAATACAGCCAGAGGCATCACATTACCCAACTTCAAACTATACTATAAGGCTACTAACATGGTTTGGCTGTGTCCCCACCCAAATCTCATCTTGACTTGTAACTCCTACAACTCCCACATGTCATGGGAGGAACCCAGTGGGAGGTGATTGCATTATGGATGCAGGTGTTTCCTATGCTGTTCTCATGATAGTGAATGAGTCCCATGAGACCTTTAAAAATGGCTTTAAAAATGGGAGTTTTCCTCCACGAGGTCTCTCTTTGCCTGCTGCTATCCATGTAAAATGTGACTTTCTCCTCCTTGCCTTCCACCATGGGAACTAGAGCAAAGGTAACTCTTGTTATGTTTTAGCAAACAGACTGGTGCCATTTTGCCTCTGCCTAGAAATTTGTGAAACTTTGAACTTGAGAGGCATGATTTAGGGTATCTGGCAGAATAGATTTCTAAGCAGCAAAGCATTCAAGAGATAACTTTGGTGCTGGTAAAGGTATTCAGTTTTACAAGAGAAGCAGAGCATAAAAGTTTGGAAAATTTGAAGCCTGACAATGTGATAGAAAAGAAAATCTCATTTTTTGAGGAAAACTTCAAGCTGGCTGTAGAAATTTGCATAAGTAATGAGGAACCAAATGTTAATCTCCAAGACAATGGGAAATATATCTCCAGGGTATGGCAGAAGTCTTCATGGCAGCCTCTCCCATCGCAGGCCTGTAGCCCTAGGAGGAAAAATGATTTCATGATCCAGACTGAGGGTCAGCATGCTGTGTGCAGTCTAGGGACTTGGTGCCCTGTGTCCTAGACACTCCACCCATGACTAAAAGGGGCCAAGGTACAGCTTGCACCATGGCATCAGAGGGTGCCAGCTTCAAGCCTTGGCAGCTTCCATGTTGCATTGAGCCTATGGATGCACAGAAGTCAAGAATTTAGATTTGGTAACCTCCCCCTAGATTTCAGAAGATATACAGAAACACCTGGATGTCCAGGCAGAAGTTTGCTACAAGGGCAGGGCTCTCATGGAGAACCTCTGCCAGGGCAGTGTAGAAGGGAAATGTGGGGTTGGACCCCCCACATAGAGTCCCTACTGGGGCATCACTTAATGGAGCTGTGTGAAGAGGACCACCATCCTCCAGACCCCGGAATGGTAGATCCATGGACAGTTTGTACTGTGTGCTTGGAAAAGCCACAGACACTCAATGCCAGCCCATTAAAGCAGCAAGGAGAGAGGCTGAACCCTGCAGAGCTACAGGGTTGGAGCTGCCCAAGACCATAGAAACCCACTTCTTACATCAGCATGACCTGGATGTGAGACACGGAATCAAAAGAGATCATTTGGACTTTAAGATTTGACTCCCCTGCTGGATTTCAGACTTACATGGGGCCTGTAGTCCCTTTGATTTGGCCAATTTATCCCATTTGGAATGGATGTATTTACCCAATGTCTGAACCTTCATTGTATCTAGGAAGTAACTAACTTGCTTTTGATTTTACAGGCTCATAACCAGAAGTGACTTGCCTTGTCTCAGATGAGACATTGGACTGTGGGCTTCTGAGTTAATGCTAAAATGAGTTAAGACTTTGGGGGACTGTTGGAAAGGCATGATTCGTTTTGAAATGTGAGGACATGAGTTTTGGGAGGAGCCAGGGGCAGAATGATATAGTTTGGCTGTGTCCCTACCAAAATCTCATCTTGAATTGTAACTCCCACAATTCCCACATGTCATGAGAGGAACCCAGTGGGAGGTGATTGAATTATGGGGGCAAGTCTTTCCTGTACTGTTCTCGTGATAGTGAATGAGTCTCATGAGATCTGATGGTTTTAAAAACAGGTGCTTCCCTGTACAAGCTCTCTCTTTGACTGCCATTATCCATGTAAGACAGGACTTGCTTCTCCTTGCCTTCCACCATGATTGTGAGGCCTCCCCAGCCACATGGAACTGTAAGTCTATTAAATCTCTTCTTCTTTCCAGTCTCAGGTACGACTTTATCAGCAGCATGAAAATGGACAAATACAGCTATAGTAACAAAAATAGCATGGTCCTGGTACAAAAGCAGACACATAGACTAATGGAAAAGAAAAGGGAACACTTAAATCAAGCCACACACCTACAGCCATCTGATCTTCAACAAAGTTGACAAAATTAAGCAACAGGGAAATAATTCTCTACTTAATAAGTGGTGCCAGAATAGCTGGCTAGCCATGTGCAGAAGAATGAAACTGGGATCTTACCTATTTCTATATACAAAATTAGTTCAAGATGAATTAAAGATTAAAATGTAAGACCTCAAACTGTAAGAATTCTAGAAGAAAACCTAGGAAACACCATTCTGTACAATGGCATTGGGAAAGAATGTATAGCTAAGTTCTCAGAAGCAATTGCAATGAAAACAAAAATTGACAATAGGACCTAATTAAACTAAAGAGCTTCTGCACAGCAAAAGAAACTATCAACAGAATAAACATACAACCTACAGAATGAAAGAAAATATTCACAAACTGATCATCCAACAAAGGTCTAATGTTTAGAATCTGTAAGGAACTTAAACATTTCAACAAGCAAAAACCAAATAGCCTCATTAAAAATGGGGAAGGCATGAACAGACGATTCTCAAAAGAAGACATGCTAGTGACCAAAAAACATGAAAAAATGTTCAGCATCACTAATCATCAGAGAAATACAAATCAAAACTATAATGAGATACCATTTCACACCCATCAGAATGGCTATTATTTAAAAGTCAAAAAACAATACTAGTGAGACTCTGGAGAAAAGGGACCACTTATACACACTATTGGTGGGAATGTAAATTAGTTCAGCCACCATGGACAGATGTTTCCAGATTTTTCAAAACACTTAAAATAGGACTATCATTTGACCCAGCAATCCTCTTACTGGGTATATATCCAAAAGAAAATAAATCTTTCTACCAAAAACACACATGCACACATAAGTTCTTCACAGCAGTATTCACAATAGCAAAGACATGGAATCCACCTACATACCCATCAATGGTGAATTATATAAAGAAAATGTCATATATATGCATTATGAAATACTACATAGCCATAAAAAAGAATAAACTCATGTATTTTGCAACAACTGGATGCATCTGGAGGTCATTATTATAAGTAAATTAACAGGGAAATGGAAAAACAAATACTAAACATACTCACTTATAGGAAGGTGCTAAATAATGAGTACTCACGGACATAAAGGTGACAGCAATAGACACTGGGGACTACTAGAGGGGTGAGCGAGAGAGGGAGGTAAGGGTTGAGAAACTTACTATTAAGTACTATGCTCACTACTGCAGTGACAGGATCAACCATACCCTAAACCGCAGCATCACACAGTACACCTAGGTAACCAACCTGTATGTATACCCCTTGGATCTAAAATAAAAGTTGAAATTATTTTAAACAATATAATCAAAGGCTCAAAAAAGTAAAAGAATGGCCTATTTTTATTGTCTGAGATAAAACAATAAATTTTCTAATTTTTTCATACATATTTTCCTGAGGGTATGATAAAGTAAAATATTAATTTAGATGGAGTTATTTTTAATTTATCTGAACCAATTTTGGCCAATGTTTTGCAAAATGAAATGCATAAATTCACATGTATTTAGCTATTTTAATTCCAACATTTATTCTAAGGTCATTATTCTTTGTAATATAGAAAAAAATTACATTTCTACCAATTCTTTAGGATGAAATTTTTTTCACACCTCATGATGCCATCTTGAATAGCAGATGCTTTCAAAAATTGAAAAATATCACTATCTATTAGTCATCATTTCATATCACTATGAATCACCATTTCATTTCACCATTCCCTTAAAAAATCACATTACAAAGTTTTTATCAGATAAAGTGTTTTGTATTTGTTTTCCTGGCACATGTATATTCTTAATATTTTGGGGCATTCTTGGTCCTGCATGTGTTATCTGATACTATTACTCTTTATGCTTTCATAGCCCCTCCACTTATACCTGTTCTGATTCTCAAATCAATATGTTTATCTAGACTTCTCCTCTGAGCCTCATATTCCAGCTCTTTTCTGTTTATCTTCACCTAAAAAGGGATTTGAGTATCTCAAACTCAACATGGTTACAACTGTACTGGTCATAAATTACCCACAAACCTTCCCTAGTTTTATTATCTATTGCAATTAATGTTTAAATGGTCGTCTACGTTAAAAACTGTGGAGGCATCCTTCATTTCTCTTTTTCTTTCACACTCCTCATTCAATCAATCGCCAGGTTCGGCTTATTTTACCTGATCATTATTTATCTGTTCAGTCTTTTCCTCTCAGTCCCCATTATCATCCCCTCTAGAGCAAACCCTCACTACCTGAAGAGAAGAAGTTATTGACTGCTTAAACTGCTTTTCAGTGTCATCCCCACCCCTGTATTCCAGTGAATTTTCAGAATGAGCTCTCTGAAAAACAATCTGACTTTGTAATTTCCATATTTAAATTCCTTCATCTGATTTTCAGCTTCTCAGGGAAACCACCTAATATCCCTACCAGACAGTCATCTTTCATCTACTGAATAATTCAGTTGACTGAAGCAATGATCTTTAAAATCTTATGTTGCACAATTCTATTCGCAAATATTTTAAATACACCTTCATAAGTATATAATTGCTTCATAGCATATAATTGCTATGTTATGCATATCTTAAAATATTTTCCAAAACAAATAAATAAGAACATAAATAAACATGCCAATATTTTTTTTTCTGACAGTGGCCTCATAGATCACATTGTATACTCCTGAGGAGTTTGCAGACCCAATTTGGTGATCACTATACTAAATATTGTTGTCAGCAAATTGAAGGTCATAGCTTTGATAGTTCTTACGGCCATTTAATATCTTTTTATATATACAGACTATGTCCTTCCTCTCAGTCAGGCATGTTAAAAATGTGCAATTGGATCAGAGTACCTTGAGATTTGAAAGGACTTCAATTGTCCTACTGTATTACTTTCAAGAAGTAGTATAGAAAAAATATGGAAAGATCAGTATAAATTTATCCCTACAGCCACCAAACCAGACAATGCATAGAGTCTCAGAAATGCATGCATCATCTTAAAACATGATTCATTACCCTATGGCCCAAAACGGACTTTGAGCCTTTATGTCTTCCTTCAAAAACCCTCCCTTTGAGCTAGCTTTTTAAGTTACTATTTTCAAGCACATCATAAGCTTATTCCTGGCTTCAAACTTTTCCTTGAACCAGTTCCCCTACCTGTATGTCTCTCATGTCCCTTTTCTGACTAGATGAGCATTTATATGTGATTATGATTCTCATTCCTCCCTAATGACTTTTGGATAACTCTTTCACTCAGTCCTCTCTTCTGATTTCAGTATTGTATGTCCAGTCTCTGACAGTCTCTCTTTGTCTTAGCCAGCTTGGGCTGCCATACAAAATACCCTAGACTAGGTGGATTAAACAACAGAAATTAACTTTCTCACAGGTCTGGAGTCAGAAAGACCAAGATCAAGATGTCAGCATGTTTGACTTCTGGTGAGGGCTCTGTTCTTGGCTTACAGATAGCTGCTTTCTTGCTGGTTCCTCACATGGCAGAGAGAGACAGACTGAGCAAGCCCTCTGGTGTCTCTTCTATATATGCAATTATTTCTTAAGGACCTCAACCTAAATACCGGTACATTTGGGGTTAGGGCTACAACACATACCACTGTATCCCTGGCCTTCCAAAATCCATGTCCTTATCACATACAAAATGCATTCATTCCATCCATTAGCTCTAATAATATTAACTTGTCCCAGCATGAACTCTAAAGTCTAAAGTGCAAAGTCTCATCAAAACATCATCTAAACCAGAAACAGATGAGACTCAAGGAATGTTTCATCCTAAGGCAAAATTCCTCTCATGTGAACTTGTGAAACCAGACAACTTATGTCTGGCTTCCAAAATACAATGGTGGGGCAGACATAAGATAGACATTTTCATTCCAAAAAAAATAAATTGAAATAAAGAAAGTTTGATGTGTCCCAAGCAAATCCAAAATTTAGCAAAGCAATTGCCATTATAGATCTTAAGGCTCAAGAATCATCCTCTTTGACTCAATGCCTTGCCATCTAGCTCCATAAGAGTGGCAGAATCATCCCAGGTTGAGGCCATCTGGCTGCTGAAACTTAGCCAGTGGCCGGGATATATGAATCTCTTTCAGGGTCATTTTTTTCTCTTCTTTAAGAAGAGGATACATTTGCAGCCAAATACCTCTATCGCCTTGTCCTGTCAAATTCAAGAAGTCTGATAGTGTTTTTTCCTTTTGTCCCATCTTCATCCTCTTCAGTTTGAACTGGCAGTGTTTCTACCTTCATAATCCTATTAAATCTCTATCAATTAATAGTCTAGCCACACCCATGACGTTCTCTTTAGAACACTGTTTTCTAATTTATTGAATATGGATAGGCTACGGATTATCCATATCTTCAAGTTCTAGTTTCTTTTTTCTTTTTAACAAATCCTTCAATTTGACTTTCTCCTTTTACATTTTAATACAGTCAGGAGGATCCAAGCTGCTTCTTCAATAATATTGCTTAGAAATTTCCTCAGCTAAATATCCAGCTTTATTACTCACAAGTTCAACTTTCCACAAAACACTAGAGCACAGTTCAGCCAAGTTATTTGCCACTGTAAAAGAATCTCCTTTTCTCCAATTTTCAGTAATATATTCTTCATTTTCATCTGAGACTCACCAAAATCACTCTTAACATCCATATTTCTATGTACCTCAAAACTTTTTCATCCTCTAGCCATCACCTAGTTCTAAAGTCCCTTCCTTATGTTTAGGCAATTGTTATAGCAGCACCCCACTTCTTGGTACCAAAAGAACTGCATTAGTGTTCTCCAGAGAAACAGAACCAAAGAGAGATTCAGAAAATCTTTATCTATTCAATCTATATTTATATCTACATTCAATCTATATTTATATCTTTATAGATATCAACCTATCTATAAAGAAAGAGATTTACTGATTTATTACAAGAAACTGGCTCACATGATTTTGGAGGCTGAGACATCTCATGATCTGCAGTTGGCAAACTGGAGATCCAGGAAAGCCAATATGTTGTCCCAATCATAGTCCAAAAGCTAGGAAGACCAGTGTTCCTACTCAAGCAGTCAGGCAAAAGTTCCTCGTTATTCAAACTTTTGGTTCTACTTGTGTTTCTAATTGACTAGATTAAGCCAACTCACATTAGAAAGAACAATCCCCTTTATACTCACTCTACCTAATCAAATATTACTATCATCCAGAAACACCCTCAGAGACACACTCAAAATAATCTCTGACCAAATGTCTGGACATTCTGTGACCCAGTTAATTTAACACATAAAATTAATCATCACATACCTGATGCTCCAAGTAGTCAGGACAAAACTGAACTCAACTGCATAGATGGGAAGGTTATAGTTTCGACTGAAGGCTGATGAGAAAATCTAGAGCATGAATATGATGAGTCCTTCCCAGTTCACTCGAATACAATTTCTTTCCCTCAGCATTTTAATATTGACCAGCTGTTTCAATTCTAATCTCTCTTATAGATTGTCATTCTCAGCCTCATTATTCAAAAGTTCATCTTTGGCTTTTCCCTCACTGTTCCTGTGGCAGGCCAAGAAACTAGCTTTTGGCTTGGTCCATGTCATCCCTTCCTTAGCAAAATGTCTGCCTGTTAAGCACTGGCTGCTGGTGAGTATGCTGTGGTACTGGCTTATGTAAGCACTCTCTAGATGGCCTCATCTGCTGCTATACTATGAATGTTTGTGCCCTCTCAAAATTTATATGTTGAAGTTGTAACCTCCAAGGTGATGGTATTGAGAGGTGGGGTTCAGAAGGTGATTAGATCATGAGGGCTTCAAACTCATGAATGGAATTTATGCCCTACAAAAGGGGCCTGAGGGAGACTGTTGGCCTCCTCCTCCATGCGAGGACACAGCAAGAAGGCATTGTTCTGTGAACCAGGAAGTGGGAACTTGCTGGATCTGTTGGTGCTTTGATCTTGTACTTCACAGACTCCACAACTGTGAGAAATATATTTCTGTTTCTTTATGAGCTACTCAGTTTATGCTATTTTATTACAGCATCCCTAAAAGAATATGACACCTACCACCTGCAAGAAGGGTTGAACAGCATTGCATTGACAAAAGATAGAAATATTTTATTGATTTGTTACTTTTACTCCCAGCATTATAGACAGTATCATATACTTATGCATTTCCCAATCAATTATATTAAACTGGTGATTTTACTTCTCAAGTATTTTTTTCATGACACACATTATTTGCCACCTTGTTTATTCACAAATTGAATTCAGTCTTCTAATATCTGGGAAGCCCCGTCTAAAATAGCACCTCAGTTTTGTCACTATTTCCAATATCTCATCAGTTTTGAGTGATGAGAAATTCTGTTTTATCAATGCATTGAGAATTAATCAGTCTCTCTGGGATAGATTCAAGCTAACCAATCTCAAGGGGCTAATGCATAAAATTGAAATTAAAATGTATTCATTTATATAAAAAGACTCTTCCAAGTAGAATGAATATCTACATTTAATGGTTAGTTTATTCTTTCCCTGTGGAACAGCCACATGGATAGTCAAATTAAAATCTGAAGGTTGTTTGATAAGTATCGTATCAGAACACCAGGAAACAGGCAATCTAGCTGTGTCCTTGGTAAAAATAATTAGAGGTTTTCTCTTCTACTCTGTTTATATATGCCCCTTGGATAGCAAATATTCATCTTTTTGAGGGAGAGTATTCTTTTTCATGAATAATAATATGGCAGAATGACCAATTTAGCCCCAATTTAGCCTCCCAGAAATGTGTTATATTTTAAATAGTGTTCACCTTCTTTTGCTCACACATTTTATATAGTTAATACAATAAGCTAGACTACAATATTTTTTAGTTAATTGAATTAGACCTGTACTTATAACAACTCATTTAATCTAAAATTGAAATATTACTAGAAGGAGGGACAAGGTATTTTAAAGAACAATGGTTAAAACCACAGTAAAACAAAAATCTCATAATTGTTCATGGTTTGCAGATGGAATTATATATAATTTAATTTTTAAAATAATTTTATTTTTAATTTTTATGGGTACATAGTAGGTGTATATATTTATTGGGTACAGAAGATACTTTGATACAGGTATAAAATATGTAATAATCACATCAAGGTAAATGGGCTATTCATCACCTCATTTAGACGGGGCTTCCCAGATAAATAATTCCCAGATAAATAAATTCATCACTTTTTTTATGTTTCCAATGCTGTGTGAAAGCTTTTTCACTTGATATGATTCCATTTGTCCATTTTTGCTTTGGTTGCCTGTGCTTGTGGAGAATTACTCAAGAAATCTTTGCCCAAACTAATGTCCTGGAGAGTTTATCAATGTGTTCTTTTAGTAGTTTCACAGTATGAGGTTTTAGATATAAGTCTTTAATCAATTTGAATTTGATTTTTGTATATAGTGAGAGATAGGGGTCTAGTTTCTTTCTTCTGTGTCTGGATATCCAGTTTTTCCAGCACTATTTATTGAAGAGACTATCCTTTTCCTAATATATGTTATTGGCACCTTTGTTGAAAATGAGTTCACTATAGATGTATGGATTTGGATTTGTTTTTGGATTTTCTATTCTGTTCCATTGGTCTCTGTGTCTATTTTTATGCCAGTACCATGATGTTCTGTAGTATAACTGGAAGTCAGGTAATGTGATTACTCCAGTATTGTTCCTTTTGCTCAGGATGGCTTTGGATATTCTGGGTCTTTTGTAGTTCCACTTAAATTTTAGGATTTTTTTCTATGTCTGTGAAAAATGTCATTGATATTTGGAAGGGATTGCATTGAGTCTGTAGATTACTTTGGGTAATGTAGACATTTTACCAATGTTGATTCTTCCAATCCACAAACATAGAATAGTTTTCCATTTTTTCGTGTCTGCTTCAATTTCTGGTATCAACTTTATAGTTTTCATTGTAGATAACTTTCCCTCCTTTGATTTAGTTTATCGCTAGGTATGTGTTTTTTTTACTTTGTAAATGGAATTACTTTCTTAATTCCTTTTTGGGTTGTTTGCTGCTGGAACATAAAAATGCTACTGATTTTTGTGGCTCACGCCTGTAATCCCAGCACTTTGGGAGGCCGAGGCGGGCGGATCACGAGGTCAGGAGATCGAGACCATCCCGGCTAAAACGGTGAAACCCCGTCTCTACTAAAAATACAAAAAAATTAGCCGGGCGTAGTGGCGGGCGCCTGTAGTCCCAGCTACTTGGGAGGCTGAGGCAGGAGAATGGCATGAACCCGGGAGGCGGAGCTTGCAGTGAGCCGAGATCCCGCCACTGCACTCCAGCCTGGGCGACAGAGCGAGACTCCGTCTCAAAAAAAAAAAAAAAAAAAAAAAAAATGCTACTGATTTTTGTATGCTGATTTTGTATCCTGCATTTTTATTGAATTTGTTTACCAGTCCAAATACTTTTTTGGTGGAGTCTTTAGATTTTTCAGCAGTAACATTTTTGTGTGTATATTTCTATCCCAAATCAATTTATTACTACGACGTTATGCTTTTTGGTATTTCTTTTTTAAAAGAGCAGTTAATGGATGTTGTAGAAAAGCAAAGCTCAATTTCACCTTCCATTTTTAAAATAAAGGCATAAAATCATTGTCCTGTGATTGATTGTTCACACCTTTTAGTTTCAACTTTTAGTTTTCTTAAAATTTTTGATACAAGATATTTAATTGCAACATAGTTGAAACATTTAGCATGGCACCAAGAAGTTTATTTGTTTATTTTTTCATTTGTTTATTTACATTAAGTAAGTTCATAAAATGAAGTTTCAGTGAGCTGAAGGAAATGAATAGGTATATTGGGATAGGAAAGAGAATGTCCCATATCCTTTTTATGGGCCTAAAATGTATATTCTTTGCACATTTTTCACTTTAAAAATAGGTATTTTGTTTATTTGTTTGAAGCAAATTTTTACTGCTATGCTTAACTTATATGTGCACCATTACCTTAGAAGAGTATAAATTATAACCAACAATGAAAACAAATTTATAGCACCTATGCCCAGCCTACGGCAGGAGGTAATAACTATGGGACTCTTTATATAGACCCCAAACCCTGGCCACACAGCAGTAGAATGGTGGCAATTTGGACTAAAAATTTTTGACAGGGTGCAGTGGTTCACACCTGTAATCCCAGCACTTTGGGAGGTCGAGGCAGGCAGATCACGAGGTCCAGAGTTCGAGATCAGCCTGGCCAACATGGCAAAACCCTGTCTCTACTAAAAATACAAAAATTAGCTTGGAGTGGTGGCAAATGCCTGTAATCCCAGCTACCCAGGAGGCTGAGGCAGGAGAATTGCTTGAACCCAGGAGGCAGAGGTTGCAGTGAGCCAAGATCGTGCCACTGTGCTCCGGCCTGGGCAACAGAGTGAGACTCCGTCTCCCCCCACCCCCCAAATAGTAATCATAATAATAATAGTAATAATTTCAAGCTAAACCTCTATGTGACAGCCATGATTGTAAACATTAAAATAGTTGGTAATCAGATAATTATATGACTTATCTTTGATTTGTAGCCCTAGACTTGCCATATTTGTAAGATGAACAAAAAATAGGTAAACAAGGGAAATACAATATTTATTTGGCCTAATTTAGTTTATGAGAGAAGGAAAAGAACTCACTTTTCCTTAATAGCAAGATGCTGGGCTCAATCTTCGTTATTCTTTGTCTTCAAAGCAATAGCCACATAAAGACCTAATAGAGTGATAAGAACAAGGGATAAAAAAGATACGAGTAATGGAAAGGATTCTTAACACTTCTAATTTCATTTCACTGTCTCCCTCTTTTTCTTTCTGCACTAGCCATCTGAGTACGTGAGTTGCTACGTTTAATCATCACAGATTGGGGCAAATGGTAGTTGTGCTGTCATTTTTTAAACCTTGAAGGCGAGTCATTTAAAAATGAAAGGATAATTTGAATACTTGGAATTTAGGCAGCTTGGAGATGGATGAAACTAAGCAAACAGGCAAGGTGAAGCATGTAGTTTAACTCATTGACTGAGATTATTTGACTTTCTATTTTGGAAGTGTTATTAGATAAGCCCTATATCCATTCAGAAAGATAATGCTGACTTGGACTCAACTAAAACAACTGACAAGGAAACTAAACACTTATCAAACATGGCTTTAGTTAGCATATCCTCTTTACCAGAGTGCATTTAGTTCCCGACATTACTGGAAGACATTGATTTTTAAAAATAAACAATTAGAATTCATTTTACCCTACTGCCCCCAGTCAGCAAAATTCATCAAGCTATCATCTAGTGCAATCCATTCCAAACTAAATTATTAAAAAAGAAAAGAAAAAAAGATCCCTAAACACACACTTTCAGAATATATTAGGAAACTATATTCCTCCATGATTTTTCATATACTGCATTTCCTTCGTTATTATAAATGCAACCAGCAGTTCAGTTTTCATTGGTTAGTTTGTGGTTTATGGGCACTAATGTCCCTTAATGGCATGTAACAATTTAGAGGCTGGAAGGCCTAATTCAAAGGCCTCCTTCATGTTTCTGCTGAAGCAACAGTAAAATACTAAGTAGCTAAAAACTGAGTCACCATAGAAATATACATTTATCAAAGAGGAGGAAACAAGAGAGAGAATGGAGAAATAAGATCCTGAGGGCCGTGGTACTGAGCCCACAGGCTTTTAACCAGAGAGAAATGATGTTCTTTAAGAGCTAAATTTGTGAAAAATGACAGAGCCTAGTATTTATACTATTTCTTTTATTTAAGTTAAATAAAAGGATGGCAAAAAGACAGGCTATCTAGATTTTTTTTTTAATTTTGTTCTGTTTTCGTCCAAATATGACAAATCCCTGCTGTTCTAAGCAGTGTATTACAGATTCTCAAATTTAATTAGCAAGCACACAGCAGACACCTGGAAAAAAAGATAGAAGAATAATCTTTTGCAGTAGCCAACTATTTCTCAGTTCAGAGCATTTTAAAAAAAAAGACTCCCCAACTAATCCACTAGTCCTCATGCCCGTTGTGTATCGACCAAATTGAGCACTGACCCAGCACTATAGCCTCAGACTCCTCAAGCCTTCAAACTTCCAAAGCTAGGGATCTTGCTTTCAATGCAATCGCCCAAAACCTAAGTAGAAATCAGTCATGATAGTTATATTACTTCAAACTAGTTGTCATGATGATGGCCCCAAACAGCATTGCTTAAGTTAGCAGTTCTCAAAGAGCTTCAGCATCACTTTGGAACTTGTTAGAAATGCAAATGCTTACATCCCACCCCAAACCTACTAAATCGGAAACTCTGAGTTTTGACAAACCTCCAGGTGATTCTGATGCAGGCTTAAATGTGGGAACTACTGACGCACATTTAGAGGTTGATAATAAATGGCTATTTAATATGAAAGACAATTGACTTTGAAAACAGTTTCAAAAGAAAAGTTTTAAAAATAACAACGAGCAAATTGAGGACGATATTAGAGATTCAGTCCAGAATACAAATGGTAAAGAGAGGTCATCAGAGGATAAAGCGAAGAAAGAAATGAGATAGCAATGGAGGTGACTCAAGACTGCTTGGAAAAAAAGGGAAAAAGTGAGATAAAAATGAGTATTGATTTTCCTTTCTTCCTTGTTAAATCTTGGATGTTTTCAGCCACATGCGAGCCTTAGGTAGAGAGTCTATTTATGGCCTATGGATACGCCACAGTTGAAGACCAGAAATGACACTTGAGCTGAGACATATTCAAGAGTTTGCCTGTCTGCCTCTAAGACTTTGTCTGTGTTCTTTGGCAGGGCTCGATAGTCCTGAAAGTATGTGTTTACTCTTAATATATAGGTCAAGAACTTGAAGAAATTTTCAGAAGAAATAAATGCATATCTTTAATTGAGAGGCAAATGCACCTCATGGGTTTGCAGGCCAAGCCAAGATGAATTGAGTATTCCTGGTTGCAGGTGAGGTGAATGGGCTTTTAGACACAGGGGCTTCCCAGGAATAGTCATTGCCTATAAGCAAGCCACAGAGTGTTTAGAAAAGGTGTTAGACAGAATTTTCTCTTAATTGAACATTTAAACATGAATCCAGGGCAAGTGGGTCCCTAATATATATGGTATTTATGGAAGAATTTGAAAAGAAGAATGCATCAACTTGACAAAATTATCTGAAAATCAGTACTTGAAGGAAATTTGCATAAAATATACTTACACAGGTTGCTACTAAATATGAAAGTAAAAACAGAGACTACCTTGACACATACAGTGTACACTTGTGCATAGGTGCTTTGGTATGTTTGTTGCATACTTACTCAACTTCTTTACTTTCTTCTCCACAGATTGTCTACCTTTCAGAATCTTTTTCTACCAGATGATGAAGTTAATCATGTATTTCTTCTTTTAAAGATATTAGGCAAGTTTCCATTCAGCCAAAATGTCTAATCAAATATTTAAACATTCAAAACATAATTGAATAGTAAAATAATACAGCTTCCTATAAAACAAGACAAATAAAATACTTATAATATTTACTGTGAATAAAATAGTTTCAAAATCCCCCTTATTGGTGGATATAGATATTGCCAGATTTTACAAGTGAGAAAATTAGAGCTCATGAGGTTAAGCCACTTGCCAAAGACAACAAACAGAAGCCTAAATTGTCAAAGCAGCATTAGAACTCAAAACAGTGAGCATGAAACAAAGGCATACTCTCTTTATACTCCTTCAGAAAGAGGGACATCAATGGGTATAATAATCATTAGGCAAAAAGAATTAAATGTTTTGCATAGCTATTTTATTGATTACTTATTGTTTTTAATCCTCTAAGTCAGTGTTTTCCAGGAGAAATATAATGTGAATTGCATATGTACTTGTAAATTTCTCTACTGGCCACATTAAATACATAAAAACAAATAAGTGACATTTTAAAAATGTATTTTAGCTAGTTGCAGTGCTGCACTCCTGTAATCCCAGCTACTGGGAGGGTGAAAAGGGAAGATCACTTGAGGCCAAGAATTCAAGACCAGCATGGGCAACATAGCCAGACCCCATCTCAAAAAAAAGTATTTTATTTAACATACTATATAGAAAATATTATCATTTCAAAATGCAATCAATATAAAAAGTATTCATAGTATATTTTACATTCTTTTTTATACATTGTGTCTTGGAATCAGTGTGCATTTAACACATAACACATCTCAATTTGAACTAGCCACCTAAGTTAGTGATTACCATATTAGACATTTCAGCTCTTTGTGTTTTTTGAACACCAGGATCTATACAACATGGAGTTATGTTCTAAGATGAACTGATAATAAGACCATGGTTTTTGTTCTTATGGCTCCTTTACTATTCTTGGAAATAAAATAACCTGCCATGTTTGTTAAGCACTCTCCCCACCCACCAAAAAAATAATAATAATAACAAACTACTCTTCAGTGATTTCTTTTCTGAAGGTTTTTCTTTTTCCAGCAAAAGACATGACTCCTCCATAAATAATGATGTTCTTATTAAGAAAAAATGGGGGAAAAAACAACAAACTAAAACAAGAAAATAAAATAATAATAAAAAAACTTATGTGATATATGTCCAATGCCCAAAAGGTGAAATGTTGCAGGTTTAAGAAAAACATACAGAAAGATTATGCTAGAATTGATACTCAGTTAATGAACTGTGAAGACTTCCTTAGTAGAGAAAATTGAAGAAGTGATGGTATTAAAAGACTTCCTAGAGTCCTGACGAGAGAGTTTCTAGCAGTAGTTAATTGCCAAGCTCCAGAGGAGAGTAAAGCAGGCAGCTCAAATGGCTGCTAGAAAGACGGGCAGTTGGCTTCTTGCCTTTTAGAAAAAATGTGAAGTTGGCCAAAAAAAAAAAAAAGCTATCTTGAAAAGAAAAATGAGTTTTCCCTTGGAATTTTGTGGTGTAGAGCATCACTCTCTCAGATATAAAGGTCAGAACTTTCATCTCTGATAATAGGGTCAGGACCGAGACCTGCATCAAGAGACTATTGACTCTCTCCATCAACCTGTTAGTGGATTTTGTGGTCTGATATTCCAACCCAAGCCCCATTCCCAGATGGATCTGCACATTTCTGTAAGAAGTTAGCCTCAAGTCATTAATTAAATCATACAGTGGAGATTTATTGAGTGTCTAATGGGAGTTAGGCACTGCTAGGTCATGAGGGGTCACAACTGAACTTAGATATGTAAAAAAGTCTGAGAGAAAGACAATGGTAGCTGTCTCTTCTGACCCTTAAGGGCATAATGGCATCCTCAGAGGTCTCAGGAAGGAAGTGAAGTAGGAGGAGAGTCTTGAAGCATAAACAGAAGCATAAAATATTGGTGGAGTGGGGCAATCCTGACACAGGAGGAAGCTTCTTGCCTGAATTCCCAACCAGCTTCACTTATCAATAGGATAACTATGCCTCATGGATTGCCTAAGAAAATCCAAGTTTGCTTGTATCCTAAAGAAATTATCAACTATATCTTTGATTCTCAAGGTGCTGTTCTCTAGGTTCCTTTGAATAGTAAACTTTATAGTCACTCTACTTATCAAATATCAGAGGCCTTGTTGAATGATAAACTCATTTTTGTAAAACTGTAAATGAGGACATAATCATCAACTGCTTCCTAATAAATGTCACCTGATCAAATGCACATACAAAGGAGATTTTTAGATGTTCATATACATGGCAGATGAAGTAACCTGGAAGTGGCTATGTGTGCATGTGTGTGCACTTACATGTCATGTGTACATGTGTACATATATTATGTCATGTGGCATTAAGTATAATTTTTAAAAAGAATAAAAAATAGAATAGAGAGTGGCAGTTGGCAAATAAGTGCTATTTTATAGATGGAGGTCAGAAAGTCTTTCTTAAAGAGAAAAATTTAACAACAAAAACAAAAACCCCAGAAGATAAGTAATCAAGCCCGAAGGATGTATAGTGGGGAAGCACCCCAGACAGGGAAAACAGCAAGTACAAAGACTCCAAGATGAGAGAAATCTTGGCATGTATGATGAATAGCAAGGTGGCCAGAGTGGCTGGAGATGAGAAAATGAGTGGAAGAATGATCACTGTTGAAGCCAGAGGGATAGTAAGCAACCAAGTCATAGTGGGCTTTATATGTCATGGAGAGTAAATTTGGGTTTAGTTTTGAAAACTCTAGGAATGCACAGGAAGAATTTTGAGCAGTAGACTGATAGGACGTGGCTTAGATTTTAGAGGAATTATTCTAGCTGCTATATGGAAAATGGACTGAAAGTGGAAGGGGGATGGGAATAGTTAGAAGGCCTGAGTATTTTCTTTACTGTTTATTCACTTGTTACTGCAGCATAGAAGCATATTTCATTATTTTCTTTGATGACTTTACTTGATTTCAATATTCTCTTCATTTAAAAGAGTGTTTTCTCATTTTAGCACAATTTATTTCATCTCTCCAGGGACACAAATTGACAATAGGACTTTCCCTTTTCATATTCTAGGGTCATTGAGACTGAACATAAGCCCTACCTTCTCCTCATGCTAAAGACTTAAAAGGCATTAGATTGTTAATTTCAAAAAGTAAAATGGATCATTGTCTCTTACAAAGTCCCTTCATTCTTCTCTGAAATTATCCTCTCTTCTTCAAACATTTTCCCTTGAGATTCCAGTACCCCTCACTTTCTACATATTTCTGCATCCAGATAACACATGTGTACTTATTCTCCATAGACTACCCACATTCTGGATCTATCCCTTTCTTCACTTTCCCAACACAGTGTTATCTCCTTTGTGGCCTGTCAAGAATGCTGAATGGTTTGTGATAGCATCCTACTTGTAAGCTAATGAGTTAGCCTGCTTCAGTTTCATGGATGCAGGTAGAAAATATGAAACACTTGTTCAGAGAAAAAAGTCTTCATTACTCACAGCACAGCAAGCAGCATGAGTTTACTGGTTACATTTGTTCCTTTTGGCACTCAAGTCACATGGAAATGATATATAGAAATCTAGATGGATGCTCCACACAGTGGGTTTTGTTAAGGAATTTCAAGCTTAGGAAAAAGTCTTTTATAATGGGCTGCAAGAAACCTACCTAAACTTGGCTTTGGTGAAAGACATTAATTTATTATACTAGGCAGAAAACAATTTCTTGCTCTGGAAAGAGATACCATTTCTATCTTCCAAGGTAGTTTGGAATTGAAAAAAATCTTTGAAAAGAACAAAGGGCACTCTGTGATCTTACTGTCAAGACATGCAGAAACATAAAAGACTCATAGACAATTATTTCCCAGTATGGTCTCCTGAAGAGCGCAGCTAGATGAATGCAGTTAATATGATAGCCAATGCTATGATGATAATAGATAATTGATAGTTATTAGCTAATGCCAGGGGTACCTACATTTTAACAAGTGATTCCTAGACCTCTATCAGAAAAGATTACAGTGAAAATGATCTCAAGTTCTGGGAATTCTAACCCTATTAACAGATTACCTAGTAATAATGATGTAGATAAAGTGGCTTTATTCAACATACTTTTATTCCAAATAAGTAAAGGGTCACCATGTCAGTTAAAAACTACCAATAAATTTCTGTTAGAAAGCTCATTATATGAAAATATCCCATTTATATCCAGGAAGCAAAGTAGCTTTCCTAGTGTTACTCATTTTACATGAATAATTATTAATTATTGAGACAACTAACTGGTGTATAATTAAAGAACAGATTTTTCCATAATTGTAAATATTTCTGTGCATGTTTTTGTTGAAAATCATGTGTCAATATATATTTATTTGCAAATGTGTAAGTGTTGGCTCTGGCTGCTTACCTGCTGCAGTATGATTTATTTTAACAATGTTTACAAATTATTCATGCATAATAAAAATATTTTTTCTAGTTTATCAGTAAACACCTCATTTCCAAATAGTGGTTGTTTTAAAGAAAATAAAATCTAAGGGTAAAGAATTTTATGCTCTTTAAAAAAACTTACTGACATAAAGGATACTATTTACAAGCAAGTTGATGTAAGTTCAGAGATATCCTTATACTGTAATCTTACACAAGCAGTACAATTCAGCAACTAATTATCAAAGAAATTGAAAAGAATCTTCTAGGACTCCACTTATGGAGACTGGATAATATTAACATATTCTCTAAATATTGACTCTCCAAGGAAAGCAGAATTTGAAAATAGTCTCTTATTTAATGCATCATCTCCCAAAAATTAGTGTTAATTAATATTTTTTCTTATTTCCCTTATACTTCTATCATATTACATAAACTCTTTAAAGAGCCTGAATAGCCAAGGCAATCCTAAGCAAAAAGACCAAAGCTGGAGATATTATGTTACCTGTCTTCAAACTATACTACCAGGCTATTGTAACCAAAACAGCATGGTACTGGTACAAAAACAGAGACACAGACCAACAGAACAGATTAGAGAACCCACAAATAAAGCCACACACAACCATTTGCTCTTTAACAAAACCAACAATAACAAGCAATAGGAAAAGGACTCCTTATTCAATAAATAGTGCTGAAATAAAAGGCTAGTAATATGCAAAAGAGTAAAATTGGACGCCTTCCTTACACCATATGCAAAAATCAACTCAAGATGGATTAAAGACTTAAATGTAAAACCTAAAATTATAGCTTTTACATTTAATTATAGGTAAAACCCTGGAAGAAAACTTAAGAACTATCATTCTGGACATAAGACCTAGAAAAAAATTCACAGTGAAGATGCCAAAAGCAATTGCAACAAAAGCAAAAGTTGACAAATAGGACCTAATCAAACTAAAGAACTTCTGTACAGCAAAACAAAGTGTCAACAGAGTAAACAGATAACCTACAGAATGGGAGAAAATATTTGTAAACTGTGCATTTGACAGTGGTCTAACATCCAGAATGTGTAAGGAACTTAAACAAATTTATAAGCAAAGAACATGCAACCCCATTAAAAATTGGGCACAGGGCATAAACAAACACTTCTCAAAAGAAGACATACATGCTGCCAACAAGCATATAAAAACTGCTCAACATCATTGATTATTAGAGAGATGCAAATCAAAACCACAATGAGATACCATCTCACACCAGTCAGAATGGCTACTATGAAAACATCAAAAAATATCAGATGCTGGCAAGGTTGCAGAGAAAAAGGAATGCTTACACACTGTTGGTGAGAGTGTAAATTAGTTCAGCCATTGCAAAAAGCAGTGTGTCAATTCCTCAAAAATCTTGAAGCAGAAATACCAGTCCATTTAGCAATCCCATAACTGGGTATATACCCAAAGGGATATAAATTTTTCTACCATAAAGACATATCCATGCATATGTTCACTGAAGCACTATTCACAGTAGCAAAAACATGGAATCAACCTAAATTCCCATCAGTGGTAGGCTAGATACAAAAAATATGGTACATATGGTACATATACACCATGGAATGCTATGAAGCCATAAAAAAAGAATGAGATCATGTCCTTTCTAGGGACGTGGTTGGAGATGGAGGCCACTCTCCTAAGCAAACTAATGCAGGAACAGAAAACCAAATACTGCATGTTCTCACTTATAAGTGGGAGCTAAACAATGAGAATGCATGGACACAAAGTTGGAAACAACAGACACTGGAGTCTACTTAGGGTGGTGGGTGGGAGGAAGGCAAGGATCAGAAAAGGTACTTAGTCAATACTATACTTATTGCCTGAGTTAAAAAATAATCTATACACCAAAGCCCTGTGAACACACAGTTTACCTATATAAGAAAACTTCAGATGTACCCCCGAACCTAAAATAAAAGTTGTTTTTTTTTTTTCTTGAGATGGAGTTTTGCTCTTTTGCCCAGGCTGGAGTGCAATGGCATGATCTCGGCTCACTGCAAGCTCCGCCTCCCCAGTTCAAGTGATTCTCCTGTCTCAGCCTCCTGAGTAGCTGGGATTACAGGCACCTGCCACTATGCCTGGCTAATTTTTGGTATTTTTAATAGAGACAAGGTTTCACCATGTTGACCAGGGTGGTCACAAACTCCTGACCTCAGGTAATCTACCTGCCTCGGCCTCCCAAAGTGCTGGGATTACAGGCGTGAGCCACTGTGCCTGTCCTAAAATAAAATTAAAAAAAAAAAAAAAACAATATACACATTGAGACACTAAGGGCAAAGAAAAAAATTAAATATTGATATGGTTTGGCTCTTTGTCCCCACCCAAATCTCATTTTGTAGCTCCCATAATTCCCACATGTTGTGGGACAGACCCAGTGGTAGATTATTGAATTATGGGGGCAGGTTGTTCCTGTGCTGTTCTCGTGATAGCAAATAAATCTCATGAGATGTGACAGTATTATAAGGGGGAGTATCCCAGCACAAGCTCTCTTTGCCTGCCACCATCCACATAAAATGTGATTTGCTCCTCCTTGCCTTCAACCATGATTGTGAGGTCTCCCCAAGCATGTGGAACTATGAATCCAATTAAAACTCTTTCTTTTGTAAATTGCCCAGTCTCTGGTATGTCTTTATCGGCAGCATGAAACAGACCAATAAAGTAAATTGGTACCAATAGAGTGGGACATTGCTGAAAAGATACTCAAAAATGTGGAAGCAACTTTAGAACTGGGTAACAGGCAGAGGTTGGAAGAGTTTGGAAGGCTCAGAAGACAGACAGATGTGGGAAAGTTTTGAATTTCCTAGAGACTTGTTGAATGGCTTTGACAAAATTGCTGATAGTGATATGAACAATAAGGTCCAGTCGGGGGTGGTCTCAGATGGAAAGGAACTTGTTAACTGGAGTAAAGGTGACTCTTGTTATGTTTTAGTAAATAAACAGGTGGCATTTTGCCCCGCCCCAGATATTTGTGGAACTTTGAACTTGAGAGAGATTATTTAGGGTAACTGGCGGAAGAAATTTCTAAGCAGCAAAGAACTCAAGAGCTTACTTGGGGGCTGTTAAAGACATTCAGTTTCAAAAGGGAAACACAGCATAAAGGTTTGTAAAATTTGCAGCCTGACAATGCGATAGCAAAGAAAATTCCATTTTCTGAGAAGAAATTCAAGCTGGCTGCAGAAATTTGCATGAGTAACGAGGAGACAAATGTTAATCCCCAAGACAATGGAGAAAATGTCTCCAGGGCATGGCAGAGGTCTTCAAGGCAGCCTCTCCAATCACAGGCCCAGAAGCCTAGGAGGAAAAAATGGTTTTGTGGGCTGGGCCCAGGGTCCCCATGCTGTGTTCATCCTAGGCACTTGGTGCCCTGTGTCCCAGCTGCTCCACCTGTGACTAAAAGGGGCCAATGTACAGGTTAGGCTGTTGCTTCAGAGGGTGGAAGCCCTAAGGCTTGGCAGCTGCCACATGGTGTTGAGCCTGTGGGTGCACAGAAGTCAAGGATTGAGGTTTGGGAACCTCCACCTTGATTTAAGAAGATGTATGGAAATGCCTGGATGCCAATGCAGAAGTTTGATACAGGGGTGGGGCCCTCATGAAAAATCCCTAGAAGGGAAATGTGGGCTTGGAGCCCCCACACAGGGTCCTTACTGGGGCAACACCTAGTGGAGCTGTGAGAAGAGGGCCACTGTCCTCCAGACCCCAGAATGGTAGATCCACCAACAGCTTGCACTGTGTGCCTGGAAAAGCTGCAGACATTCAATGCCAGCCCATGAAAGCAGCCAGGATGGACACTGTACCCTGCAAAACCACAAGAGTGGAGCTGCCCAAGACCATGGGAACCCACCTCTTGCATCAGCATGACCCGGATACGAGACATGGAGTCAAAGGAGATCATTTCGGAACTTTAAGATTTGACTGCCCGGCTCGATTCTGGAATTGCATGGTGTCTGTAGCCCCTTCATTTTGGCCAATTTCTCATATTTGGAATGACTATATTTATCCAATGCCTGTACTCACATTGTATCTAGGAAGTAACTAACTTGCATTTGATTTTATGGGCTCATAGGCAGAAGGGACTTGCATTGTTTCAGATGAGACCTTGGACTTGGACTTTTGGGTTAATGCTGAAGTGAGTTGAGACTTTGGGGGGCTGTTGGGAAGGCATGATTGGTTTTGAAATGTGAAGATATGAGGTTTGGGAGGGGCCAGGGGCAGAATGATATGGTTTGCTTCTGTGTGCCCACCCAAATCTCATCTTGTAGCTCCCATAATTCCTACCTTCTGTGGGATGGACCTGGTGGGAGATGACTGAATTATGGTTATGGGGGTGGGTCTTTCCATTGCTGTTCTCAAATAAGTCTCAAGAGATCTAATGGAATTATAAGGGGGAGTTTCCCTGCACAAGCTCTCTTTGCCTGCCAACATCCACGTAAGATGTGACTTGCTCCTCCTTGTCTTCTACCATGATTGTGAGGCCTCCCCAGCCATGTGGAACTGTAAGTCCAATTAAACCTCTTTCTTTTATAAATTGCCCAGTCTCAGGTATGTCTTTATCAACAGCATGGAAACACACTAATTCAAATATCATATTATATATTTTACCGCACACACTTGTCAAGTGTTACATGTGGTGAATAACTATTTTATGCATTATTTTATTTAATCTTTCAAGCAAACTTGGGCC
This sequence comes from Homo sapiens, assembly GCF_000001405.40. Lineage (NCBI taxonomy): Eukaryota > Metazoa > Chordata > Mammalia > Primates > Hominidae > Homo > Homo sapiens. The sequence continues at coordinate 77,223,859 of NC_000006.12, forward strand.
TGAAAATTGAAGTTTGTTTCTCTAAGTAACGCAGCTAGTTTGCTTTAGAGCTTAGACACAAATCTTTGCTTGTCTAGATGACTGATCTTAATCAAGTAAACTTTCCTCTAACTTACAAAGTAAGAAAAGAGGGCAAGATTTATATTGTAGTAAATGTTATGGGATTTGTTTGCTAATACCTCATTTTCAAACTTCTGGCTTTCTCTTATTTTATTGACAGAAAAAAAGTGTTGGCATGCATTTGCATTAAGATATGAAAGATAAGAGATAAAAGTTTCTTTTCCTTTTTTTCCTTCATTGGAATTCAGAGCAAAGCATGGCACTTCAAATTAAGGACTACCATCTTTTATTGAGATTATTTGGATACCCTGCATCCAGTTCTCAAAATACATCATTTAAAAACAACTAAGACAACATTAACAGAGATTAGAAATAGCTATCTACATTGGGACAGTTTCTGTATAGAAATGCCCTTACATCTAATTCCATGTCAATGAAGATAGATAAATATATAATTAAGTACTGTTGCACATGCAAATCCAAAAAGCTCACATGGATCTTTAATGGTTGGCAGAGTTGGAGGACTTGTATTTTTACTGTAAAGGGGTAGAAGTCATTAGCTCCATGCCCAAAAGAACCTGGTTTGTCATCAACAAAACAAAACCATACAGATTTTGTCATCCTAAAGTCATGTGAAGATAATAATACCAATAGATAAATGTCAAAGGAGGTCAATATAAAAGCTCACTCCTCCTTTCACGCAGGATTGGAAATGAACAATAAAATTATTCCAGGCAGAGAGAAAATTAAAGTCTCTGTTAGGCAAACCCCAGAGGTTCTTTCAACTGGGACTTCTTAATTATCACTTCAGTTGAATTGCAAGAATTCAGGCATGTGATAGGAAATCTTCTTTCTTGGTTATTTCTTGAGAGTACAAAAAGAGAGAATACACAATATTTTTAGAAGACAAAGCTCAAAAATAATTTTTCTCCATGGTAAGAGAAAGGAAAGAGAGAGAGAGACTGAAAGAGAGTGTGCTTCTGTCATTAACACATTAAACTAATTGAATTAAAAAGAGTTGATGCTCACTATGAGTCTGTGGTAGGGGAAGGGGTAGCATTCAAAGATATGGGTTGTGATAATCATACTCCTCATTTCACAATATGTTATCATCATCAGTCCATACAGTCCCTCTACTGTTTTATTTTATTTCAGCTTCCCACCCTGTTTGCAAATCCGTATTCCCATTTCCCTCTATAGCTATAAGAACCCATCTGGTAGCTTGATAATTACTTAAATATGCATATGTCTTCATCAAATAAGTGCATTGTTTTGTTTTAAATGGCATTATGCTATAAATTGCATTCTGTTTCTTCTTTCACTCCACACTAGAGATCTAGTCATGCTACCATATACACATTTAGAGTGTCTATGTGTTGATTGTAGCTGCTACAGAGAACACTACAGTATGCAGTGGCTGCATTTTATTTATCCTTCCCTGAAAGTATACCTAGTTTGCTTCCAGCTCTCTACTATCCAGAACATAACAAGAATAATTGTCCTTGTTTATGTTTCTTACAATCTGTTTGTGAACTAATTGGTTTATATATCCAGGAGTGCTACCTATAGTGACACTGAAGATACACATTCTTAATTCTGTTAAATACTGCCAGATTTATTTTTTTAAAAAAACAATTTTCAAAAAACATTAGACTTGTACCAGCACATAGTGCCATAATTTTGGCATGAGAATTTTTACCCCAAAACTTATTGTCAACAATTGTTATTATTGTTTTTCTAGTTTTTGTGATTCAGATGAATATGCATGTTATTTCAATTTGCATTTTTCAAATTTGCTACTGAGTTTTAGCATCTCCATATGCTTGTTATATACGTGAGTTTCCGAATCTATGAATTGCCTATTAAAATCTTCTTATCTTTTAGCCATCTTTTTAACTGGGTATTCTGCCATATATTCCTTGGTTTTGAAATATTTCACTTTACAGTAAATATATAAATCCCTATTGTGGTTTTAAGAATTGAAAATATCTTTTCCTAAACAGTCATCTATTATCTATCAATTTTGTTCATGTAATCTCATTGACCTCAGAGCTATTATCTTAATATCAACAAATCAATCAAGTTTTTTGACATATGATCTATGCTGTTTGGACCTTTTAAAAAAATCTACCCACTTTTAAGTGACAAAAATATTCTCATAAATGTTGTTTTATTAGCCTTATACTTTTGTTTTTTACATTTACAGTTTTTACGTATGGTATAAGCTAAGTATCTTGCTTTGAATTTGTTTATATTTGAGACAGCTTCCTAACCCTACCTCATTTTTTTGTTGTACTGGTTTTACCACCAATCGATTTTCTATATTTATGTAGTTCTTCTCCTGATATCACTATTCTGCTCTACTGCTCTATTTTTCTATTCCTGAACCAGTTCCATTTGTGTTATTATCATAAATTTTAAGTAGATTTTTAAAATATTGTTGGGCAAGTTCTTACTTGGCTTTTCTTTTTTAAAATTGACTTGCCTATCTTTTACTTATTATTCTTGCACATATATTTTAGAATATGCTTGTCCAAAATTATTTAGTTCTGAAATCATCTAGTTGGAATTTTTATTCTAATTGCTTAATAGTTTTGGGAGAGGTTGAAAATCTTTGTACTCGAGTGAATTCAACAATGATTAGGCCAGGCGCAGTGGCTCACACCTGTAATCCCAGCACTTTGAGAGGCCGAGGTGGGTGGATAACTTGATGTCAGGAGTTTGAGACCAGCCTGACCAACATGGTGAAACCCATCAGTACTGAAAATACAACAACAACAAAAAAAAAATAGCCAGATGTGGTGGTGCAGATCTGTAATCCCAGCTACTTGGGAGGCTGACGCAGGAGAATTGCTTGAACCCGGGAGGCAGAGGTTGCTGTGAGCTGAGATTGCACCACTGCACTCCAGCCTGGGCAACAAGAGCAAAACTCCATCTCAAAACAAACAACAACAAAAACGATGATAGTAGTATATCTCTCCAATTATTGTGATTTCATGTTCTTTAATAAAGTTTTTTAAAATTATTATAAATTCTCTCTTGCTTTTACTATGTTTACTATTAATTTACTGCTTGCATAGAGGAATACTACAACCAAACCACATTAAAGTCCTACATTAGAATTCACCATCTGTTTCTTCTAAGACACATTAATACCTATGTTGGCCTATGTATTAGTCAGTTTTCATGCTGTTGATAAAGACATACTCGAGACTGAGTAATTTACAAAGAAAGAGATTTAATGGACTCACAGTTCCAAGTGGCTGGGGAGGCTTCACAATCATGGCAGAAGGCCATGAGAACAGCATGGGGGAAACTGTCCCATGATTCAATTATCTCCCACTGGGTCCCTCCCACAACACATAGGAATTATGGAAGCCACAATTCAAGATGAGGTTTGGGTGGGGACACAGCTAAACCATAACAGCCTATAATACATAATTTTCAGAAAACATTTTAATATATTTGTGTTATAATACTTAATATATTTGCTTTATATTCGTGACGGAAGTATTAAAGTGATAAAATTATTTAGAAAAGTAAAGTAATGTTTTGGAAAAAAGGTTGTGCAAGGGAATCTAGGCTTTAGAAATTGATCTCCACATTGAAAAAAATAAAGAAATAAAATTAAAGAAAAATAAATCTATATTACAAAAGTTATCTTCCAGTTAGTCAATTTATGGTGGAAAATTAACTATTTTCTTCAGATATTTACTATATTTGCAAAGGTTATTCTGTATCTTAGACATAGGCACTATGAAAGTCAGGAATACTGGTGGATTTTTAGGAAGTCAATCCGTAACTTACAGAAAAGTCTCAAAGCTAATTTATTTGGGAGACCAGAAGTATACAGGGTTACCATGTATTTTTTGTTTATTTCAGTTTTAAAGGTGCCATTTTCACTCTATGATTGTGGTTTGTGATGTGCACACTATCTTATAGAGGCAAGACAAGGTGTCAGATTTGGTTCCATATTGAATGCCACAAAGAATACAGATTGCTTTAAACAAGTCATTCTTGATTAAAGATTTTTCTTAAATCTGACAGTTTTTAAAAAAATTTCTAAAGTAGCAACAGTTTTACTTTTTCTTATACAATGATACATTTTTCAGAGGTCTTCTTACTGTGAAGTAAATTACTTCTTTTAAGCTAGGTGGATCTCTTCACCTAAATTCACCTTCCCACGCCCCACAACAACATTCTTAGAAATCTTGCAGACTTTCAAGTTAAATGTGACTCTCAGGAGGACAATAAAACCATGCTCTTAGGATATAAACTATTCATTAATTTGTTCAACAAACATTTACTGAATGCCTACCAAGTGTTTGGTACTGTTTTAGGCAGGGAGAGTCAGCTGTTGCCAAGTAAAAACAAATCAGCCTCTTTTGTTCTCTTAATAACTTCTTTAGACTTCAAATCAGATTGAACTGACATCTGAGAAGAGAGTGAGAAATTATTCTCAGAGAAAACACAAGTCTTAACTTTTGAAATAAGCAAAGAGTGTTTGTGTTATCCTGTATCACCAACCACTCTACCTCTCTGGGTCATTCCACTCCAAGAAGCTCTCTCACTGATAGTTTCACTTCTGTAGTGAATTTCACTTTCCCTATCCATAGGCCTAATCAATCTGTGCCTCAGGCTTTCTATTCCATTTCCATCCCTTCTCTGCTGCTGGAATATAATAACTAAATAAATTAAATAAATAAATAAATTTTTCTCACATTAATAGGATCAATGTACTGTACCTGAGCATAGATGACCAAAGTCTATTAGTCCAGGCACAATTATTGACACAGAAACTTACCTGACCCTAACCCCCAAAGGCAAATAGAGTACTCTACTTAGACTGACAATGTTTTATTATGTTTTTAAATGTCTAAATGCAGAGAAAATCCAAAGGTTCTAATTATTTTCCCTGTCTAGATATGAACATGTTAGATTGGTAGAGATATATATATATATGTGTGTGTGTGTGTGTATGTATATCTTCCTATCTATGTCTATGTTATATACCCATCTTATAGATTATATATAGATATAATCTATAAAATCATACAAAATATATTATTGCAGATTTATAGATTATTATATAATCTATAAGATTATATAATAAATATAATATATATTTATTATATCTATATAATCTATAAGATAGGTAGATTATATATATATGGATAGACAGACATAATCTCTCTATAGATAGCTTATATACATATAGCTGGAAATTCTTAGATGTCTTCTAGTTTTTCTCTCCTTTGTCAGGATGCAAATTTGTACTACTATTTAATTAAATTATTTTACTCAATAGTGACATAATAACAATAATCATTCATTATTTTCTGGCTTCAAGAGATCTCCTCAACTGGGATCCAGTAACTCAACCTAATTTAAAATCTCTAATATAAATAATATCTTCTATTTATTGTCCTGTTTGAGAAGATTTGCATAATTATTTTCCATTTTACTCTCCTAACAACCTCATCAAATAGATATCATCATCATCTTAAAGCAGGAGCAGGGAAGATTAAATAGTTTGAGTATTTTGCCTAAATTAATGCAGCTAGTGTGTATTTTGCCAAAACTGGAAACAAAGTTTCTGATTTCAAAAACCATGATTTTTAATAAGATGCTGGAAAATCTCTTGGCCTGTAAACTTTAGAATTTAGGTACTGTGTTAATAGCCAGATCACAATTCTTGACAAATAGTTTACCATAATTGAACTCACTAAACATTTAGATGAAAAAAAATAATATGTAAAAGGTAAAGTTCACATCTTCCAAAATTAAAGACCAACCTATTATATAGTCTGTTTTGTTCTCAATAAATTATGGAATTGGGTTATCTAATAGATAACTTAGATGAAAAGCAAGAAAATGTAGGGTACAATTATATGTATCAGTTATGACCAGGCCACAGATCTAGTAGCACATTTGTACCTAGTCTTAAAAAACAAACAAACAAAGAAACAAAACAAAAAAACTTTCATCTGTTTCAAACGGCAAGGGGCAAAACACACTTTTAAACCAAAGACCTCATTTTGCTTAAAGCAAATGATCATTTCCCTCAAACCCTTCTCTCAGAAGGAAAAGAGGGTGGATCTCTAGTGGAAGGCATCTCCTATATTTTCATGCAAAAGTTACCACCCTCAAATGGAGAGAAAGGAATGTAAGAGCTCATCTCAGCAAATTTGGTTCCAATACGATACTAAGTCAGCTTCTTCTAGTCACCATACCCGACCATGGAGTCCAGCAGTAACTGCAGTGGGCACGGCTGCAAAGTGAAGACTTCTGTATAGAGCCTCTCAGGAAAGGAGCCTTGAGATATCCCATTTTTTATAAGGCTGAGTACAAATGTGGCCCCATCAGTCACTCTGGTGAAACCTGCTATTTGGAGAGCTTGTCCAAATGGCCCCAACCAATCACTCAATTATGCTGATTCAAAATTCCGACAAACATTTATATCAACATAATAAAACTCTTTACAGATGGTGGGGGGCATTAGATGCTTCTATCAATTTAGTCAATAATGTGAAAATCAATTCCAGAAAGTCACAAAATAGGATGAATTACATAGAGAAAAACAGAACAACAATGTGTAACTGAAAGCTACATAAAGGCTAATGAGTCCTTTTAATTTATATTTACCAAACTGTAAATCTTTTTTCCCCTCTACTTTGAAATATATGAAAGGACATAAGTATATATATATATAAAATAACATCAATACTTAAAATTATCCAACTTAAGAGCAAAAATCTGCTAACAACACTAAATCAGTTATACCCTTTTAGCTCATGGTGAAGGGAGTGGAACCTATGTCATCAAAGTCATTTGAGCCAATTGATGAGTCATTTAAGGGTGAACCACATTGTCAGTATGGATTCTTCCATAGATCGTTAATGACTCTTTAAGCCTTTATCAGAATTTTGGCTTTTGCAGAAGTGCATTCACATTTTGGATAGCCATTTAGTACCTGCTATAACAGTTATATTCAAGAAAAATCAAATGCTCTTGATTTTAAAATACTTTATCAGACTAGAGATTTGCCTTCAACAAAAGACAGAAAATATGAATGATTATTTATTCAAAAAATATTTACTGAGTGCCTGCTTATTGAGGCATTGGAGATACAACAGTACACAAAATAGATGAAGACTTTTCTTTGATAAAGCACACATTCTAATGTTTGTGTGTTGGGGAGAGGGCTGATACGGTTTGGCTCTGTGTCCCAATCCAAATCTCATCTCAAATTGTAATCCTCACATGTCAAGGGAGGGACCTGGTGGGAGGTGACTGGATCATGGGAGCCATTTCACCCATGCTGTTCTTGTGATAGTGAGTTATCACAAGATCTGATGGTTTTAAAGTATGATACTTCTCACCTCTCTCTCTCCTGCCACCACGTAAGACACACCTTGCTTCCCCTTCACCATCCACCATGATTATAAGTTTCCTGAGGCATTCCCAGCCATGTGGTACTGTGAGTCAATTAAACCTCTTTGCTTCATAAATTACCCAGTCTCAGGTAGTATCTTTAAGGCAGTGTGTGAATGAACTAATACAAGGGCTCAGTTTACAAAATAATTAAATCAATAAATAAGCAAAATCACATGAGATTATATAAATAAAATGCTGTAAGATGGTGTGCTAGGGAATGAATAGGGCTACATTAGAGATGGAGAGAAAACAATAACTTCTGCAAAAATTGATTGGCCAGATGAGTCATCCATGGGAAGATCTGGCAGCAGATCTGGAGCAAAGCATTCCAGGCAGAGAAGAAAGCCAGAGAAGACCCTGATGCAGGAAGGGAGCTTGGCATGATGAAGTCAACAAATGAAAGCCAGTGTATCTGGAGAAATAAGCTGTGGCAATCGGCTGAAACTGGGCATTGTGGGCATGGGCAATGGCAATGTTGTAAGAGGAAATAAGAAATAACTACTGAAGTCTTTCAAGTGCACTCAGGAGCAAGTCACTGAGGTCTGAGTGCTTTTTATCAGTTTGCCAGCTTGCACCAAGTTGGTGCTGCCTTTCTCTACCTCTGCTGAACTTCTAGCTGCAGTGTGTTGTTCCCTGGAAAAACAGCTTTCATTATCACTACATTGTTAAGTAGGTGGTAATGTCATTATGTCAGCCTTTATGAAAGAAATTACCACCAAAAGGCACAGAGTGCAGGGTCTGGGAAATTCCTCCTTCAACCAGCCCAGTAGGAATGAGGAATGCTTTTCTGCTGACTGTTCAGCTCAGAAAAGACCCAAACCCCAGGGCTTTAATCCCTCTCTATTCTGATTTAGTCTCAGGAATAGTCTTAAAGACTCTGGCTCCTTCTCATTGGCAAACCAGGACACAAATCTCTGTTCAGAAACTAATGATTACAGAACTCACATTCAAGGTGTAAATAATCTTCCATTTGATCTGCATCAACTGAAATAGTTCTTTGGTAACATTTGGGGAAGGGGTAGAACCTAATTCTGAGTGCAGACAACAACATGTTATAAAAAATTTCTTCCAAAATGGATTTATTTGTCTCCTTCCCAGATTTGCAATACAGAGGCAAAGGCAGAGATAGAGGTAAAGACAAACTTTTACTTCATGATTTTCCCCCAATCAGTGTCTCATACATATAGCACAAGACAGCCTTCAAACAGCACACATGGTAGGGTAAAACTCCACAAATATATTCTTTATAGTCACAGATATCTTTTACTCCCTGTTACCTGCTGTTTATGTAGAACTAAAAAATTTGAAAAGAACAATCTCTCATATAGGAAAGAAGATATATTTTGAGTATTTGCCACCAGAAATCAGCTTTCCCCCTTTTATTTTTTCTAATAAGGTAATCACACTGCTAGGAGCAAATAATTGTAACTCAACCCAGAGCACAAATGTAATTCCAGAATTCAACAGAAGCATGGGAGACTTTGGGATGAATCTCTTCCACAGCACAAATGCTGGGTCTAAAATTCAAGGATCCAGAGAGGGGTTTACCCAGAGCAAAAGCTATACTTCATTACTGAAGGGATTTGGTTGGGAAAATACACAAGCTGTACCCCCACTGCCATCAGTGCAATGATTGTTTTATAACTTCTTCCTCAGAGACCCCTCAACCTGCTATCCACAGTTACTGAATGCATCAAAGTGGAGCTATCCATTATTTTCTAGGGTAGTTGTTTTTTATCCAATGTAAAATTTTACAAATTATAAAAGGCATACAGAGTTCAAAGTTATTATTGAGTATGTCTAAAACCCTTTTGAGTTATAGACATGAGTACTTATGAGTACTTTGTAATTGCTTTTTGTTAATTACGAAATTAACTTTTTTTAAGAAAAGGACTAAAGGCAAAGTAACCTGGACTACATTTGACAAATACCAAATGTGTAGAACTTTTCACAGCATTTTAACATTTAGAGAATAGCAATTACACGGCAATTTGTAATGTTAAGGTTTGAATCTGATGAACATTTACTTTTTGAACATTTAGAATCCACAAACTTCTTTACTTTCTATTTTGAACATAACATATTTTAAATTACTTCCCTTTGTGTTGGAAATATTGTAAGAGAAAAAGTTAAATAATACATTTCAGCTCTTTATTTCCCATGGTAAATTCCCAATAATGTCCTTCAATGGAAATAGAAAAGTAAGTTTTATATTAGTGTACTAACTGGAAAGACAGAGACAGAAGCTACATGCTTCTTAGATCTACCTGAACCTTTCAATAAAAAAAGCCAAAAATCAAAGGACCACATGTCAAATGGTACTATGAAAAGGAGGAAAAACAAAAGATGGGAAAACATAAGCTACTAGTTAAATGCAATATTAATTATCAAAGTGAACCAAAAGATAATAACCAAAAAAGAGAAAACTACAAATATTATAAGAGTACTACCATAAAGATAACCATTAAAATCAATATAGAATATTTCTTTAAACAAAACAACTAGATAAATAACAAATAAAGTAGAAACCCTAGGGAAAGCCTACTAATATAATATTTAGCTAAGAAGAGAAAAAAGTAAATATATGCACATATGTGTATGCAAATATACACATATTTTATATATGTATATATGATACATACATGGAGATATATGTAAATATATGCAATATTAAGAAATGGTAAACTCTAACATATGTTCTAATGATTATCTCTATGGGATACATACACTGTATATATTATGGGATTAAGTAATTGAGTGTGCAATTTTCAGGTTCTATCATTCACAGAGTGGTCAGGATTATTATTGTGGGAGAAAGGAGAGACATATATAAATTAGAAGAAAGTATGATCTAAATGTTTGTCCCCACAAAATGCACATGTTGAAATTGAATCCCCAGTGTGACAGTATTAAAAGATGTGGCCTTTGGGAGGTGATCAAATCATGAGGGCAGCCCTCATGAATAAAATCTATGCCCTTATAAAAGAGGCTTGAGGGAACTTCTCAGTTTTTGCCCCTTCCACCACTTGAGGACAGAGCAAGAAGATGCCATCTTTGAAACAGAAAACAGCAGGCTCTCCCAGACACTGAATCTGCTGGCATTCTTATGACCTATCATCTCTTAAACGGCTAGCTCTTCCACCTTGGGAAGGCACAGCAAGAAGAATCCATCTATGAGGATCAGGAATGGGCTCTTACTAGACAATTAATCTGCTGGCACATTGATCTTAGACTTTCCAAACTCCAGAACTGAAGAGCAATGAAATCTGTTGTAAATTTCCCAATCCCTTAAGTATTTTGTTATGGCAGCATGAATGAACTAAGACATTAAGAACTCTGTATTCTACATTTTAATGAAAACTATCAATATTTATTTATTATTTAGTATTTAATCTTTAAAAAATAAGCATTCAAATTTATTTCCTAGGTTCACTGAAGATGCCTGTAAATAGTAATAATCTAATAGGAATCAATACCTCTAATATGTAGATTCAGTTTTTCAAATATCCTTTCCTACTAAAATAAACACGAATTCTTTGGAGTAATGGATAATTCCATACTTAAGGCTTAAAATATGCTAGATCCACATGTTTTACTAAACAATAAGAAGTCCACCAAAGTAGAGTACATGTGATGGTAAATACTGAGTGTCAACTTGATTGGATTGAAGGATGCCAATTATTAATCTTGGGTGTGTCTGTGAGGTTGTTGCTAAAAGAGATTAACATTTGAGTCGGTGGGCTGGGAAAGGCAGACCCACTCTTAATCTGGGTGGATACAATCTAATCAGCTATCAGAATGGCTAGAATATAAAGAAGGCAGAAAAACAGGAAAAAACTAGACTGGTCTAGCTTTCCAGCCTACATGTTTCTCTTGTGCTGGGTGCTTCCTGCCCTCCAACATCAGACTCCAGACTCCTCAGTTTTGGAACTGAGACTGGCTTCCTTTCTCCTCAGCTTGCAAGTGGCTTATTGTGGGACCCTGTGATTGTGTGAGTTAATACTACTTAATAAACTCATAAAAAAAATATATATATATATATATGTATCTCCTATTAGTTCTGTTCCTCTAGAGAACTCTGACTAATACAGATTTTGGTACCAAGAGTGGTTCTAGAGGAACAGAATATTAAGGACGGAGTTCTTTCATTGGTTTTGAGGTTGCTGGTTTTGGCAGCTTAATATGAGTAGACCCAAAAATGCTAAGGATTATACTTCTAATATTATGGAGAATATTGATAGTCCTTGGCATGAACTGTTTGATAGTTATGCAAAATAAATGCATTTGACACTGCTGATGCACTGTTCATGAGAGAAAAGGTGTTTAGTGCCTCTATACAAAATACTTTTGACTATATGTGGAGAACTAAGGATCATAATTAAGTTGGTTGGTTGTTCCTAAGTTCACTGGACAAAGTGATGAAAGAAAATTATGAATTCAGGGATTCTAACTCCTGGCTTCAGAAGCAGATACTGAGCCTCAAATCTGTTAAGATTACCCTGAGTGAGAGTCTTATCTCCTTTAGAGAAAGAGCTGAAATTGTGGAAAAACAGACACAAGTTCTTATCATGTAAGTGGCTGACCTGCAACAAAAGGTGCATGCACAGCTTTGCCAAGTGTCTACTGTTAAAGTGAGGGAATTGATTGGAAAAAAATGGGACCCTATAACTTGGAATGGTGATTTGTGGGAGGACCCTGATGAAGCTGGGGACACTGAGCTTGTAAACGCTGATGAACCTTTTTTGCTAGAAGAAACAGCTTCCCCATCCCCAGTAGTGGCAACATCCCCTCCCGGACCCATGCTGCCATCAACCTTTCCACTTTTGTCTGAGGAGATAAACCCTGTGCTGCCTGAAGCAACAGTGATGGCCTCCCCTGAGGCAGTTGCCAGGCAAGATAATGTTGATTCTCCTCAGGAGCCACCCTCAACACCCCTGTCTGCTTCTAGACCTATAATTAAAGTCCTGGTGGGCCCCTAAAGGTGAAGTTCATAGTGTGACCCATGAGGAGGTGTGCTACACTTGAAAAGAACTGCTTGAGTTTTCTAATTTATATAAGCAGAAATCTGGAGAACTGGCATGGAAATGGATATTAAGAGCGTGGGATAATGGTGGAAGGAACACCATTGAATCAGGCTGAATTTATTGATTTGGGCCCACGAAGTAGGGATCCTGCATTTAATGTTGCAGCTCAGGGAGTTAAAGAAGGTTCTAATAGTTCTTTGGCTAACTGAAATATGGATTAAAATATGGCCCACTGTGAGAGAGCTGGAAATGTCTGATCTCTTTTGGTTTAATGCAGAGGAAGGGATCCAAAGGCTTAGGGAGATTAGGATGGTGGAGCAGATTAGTCACTTTAGACCTACTCATCCCAGCTAGGAGGGTCCAGAAGATATATCTTTGACAAATGCTTTGTGAAATAGATTTGTGAAGGCAGCACCTGCATCTTTGAAGAGTCCTGCAATTACTCTTCTCTGGATATCACATCTAACAGTGGAAACCATAGTCACTCAACTATAAAATTTAAATAAAATGGGAATAATTGGATCCCGAGGTAGCAGGGGCCAAGTGGCAGCACTCAACCATCAAAGATAAGGTGGACATAGCTACCATAATGGACAGCAGAGGCAAAGCAGCAATCAGAATAGTCTGACTTGTGTAGAACTCTGGCATTGGCTAATTAATCACGGTGTTCCTAGAAGTGAAATTGATAGGAGGCCTACTGCATTCCTACTTAATTTATATAAGCAGAAACTTTAAGGTTGAATGGATAAAAGACTAATTTGTATTATAAAAACAGAGAATCACAGCCCCTCAATCAATATCCTCATTTGGGTGTGTTACTCCAGCCCATTTATTGAGTGACCCGGACTATCAGGAATGGACAAAAGACTAATTTGAATTATAAAAACAGAGAATCACAGCCTCTCAATCAATTTCCAGACTTGAGCAAGTTTACAGACCCAGAACTCATTAAGTGAAGGGGAGGCTGGGTCCCCTTAAGGAAGGACCCCACTGTACTACCAACAATTTATGATGTTAATCTTTCTCCTGTCTTTCCCCAAGGAGATCCCCAGCATTCTACCAGGATAACTGCATTGAGGAAAGGGAAATGATGAGAAATTTAAGGGACTACTCGACCCTGGAGCTAAGCTGATATTGATTCCAGGGGACCCAAAACATTATTGTGGGCTTCCAGTTAATGTAGGGGCTTATGGAGGTCAGCAAGTAATGGAGTTTTAGCTCAGGTCTAATGTCCAGTGGGTCCAGTGGGTCCTGGGACTCATCCTGTGGTCATTTCCCTAGTGCCAGAATGCGTAATTGACATAGACATACTTAGCAGCTGGCAGAACCCCCACGTAGGCTCTATGATTGGTAGAGTGAGGGCTATTATAGTGGGAAAGGCCAAATGGAAGCTATCAGAGCTGCCTCTACCTAGAAAAATAGTAAGTCAAATACAATATAGTATCACTGGAGGGATTGCAGAGATTAGTGCCACCATCAAGGACTTGAATGATGCACGGGTGGTATTCCCACCACATCTGCATTCAACTCTCCTATTTGGCCTGTGCAGAAGACAGATGGATCTTGGAGAATGACAGTAGATTATCATAAGCTTAACCAAGTGGTGACTCCAATTATAGCTCCTATACCAGATGTGATTTCATTGCTTGAGCAAATCAACACAGCTCCTAGTACCTGGTATGCAGCCATTGAGTTGGCAAATGTCTTTTTCTCCATTCATATCCATAAAGCCCACCAGAAGCAATTTGCCTTCAGCTAGCCAGGTCAGCAATATATTTTTACTGTCCTACCTCAGGGGTATTATCACCTCTCCGGCTTTGTGTCATAATCTTATTCACTTTTCACTTCCATAAGATATCAAACTGGTCCAATACATTGATGACATTATGCTGACTGGATCTAGTGAGCAAGAAGTAGCAAACATACTAGACTTATTGGTGAGACATTTTTGTGCCAGAAGGTAGGAAATAAATCCCACTAAATTCCAGGGAACTTCTACTTCAATAAAATTTTTAGGGGTCCAGTGGTGTGGGGACTGTTGAGATATTCCTTTTATGGTGAAGGATAAGTTGCTGCATTTGACCCCTCCTACAATCAAGAAAGAGGCACAATGGCTAGTGGGCCTGTCTGGATTTTGGAAGCAACACACTCCTCATTTGGGTGTGTTACTCCAGCCCCTTTATTGAGTGACTTGGACTATCCAGATGAAATCAGTCTACTACTCCACAACAGAAGTAAAGAGTATGCATGGAATACAGGAGATCCATTAGGACATCTCTAAGTATTACTATGCCCTGTGATTAAGGTCAATGGGAAACTACAACAGCCCAATCCAGGCAAGACCACAAATGGCACAGACCATTCCGGAATGAAGGTTTGGGCCACTCTACCGGGAAAAAAAAAAAAAAAAAAAAAAAACAGAACCGGCTGAGGTGCTTGCTGAAGGCAAAGGGAATACAGAATGGGTAGTAGAAGAAGGTAGTCAGCAATACCAGGTATGACCACATGACCATCTGCAGAAATGAGGACCATAATTGTCATGAGTATTTCCTCCTTTTCTTAAAAACGTGTTTGTGCATGTATACACTTGTATTAACAAAATATACTTTATTTCCTTTTCCCTTTTTCATGTGATGCAAGATTTATTGACTTCATGTCAGCATTTAAGTATTGTTAACTTTATGTAATAGTATTTGGGTTGGGTATTGGTGTGTTTCCAGTTGTACAAAGTATAGTTGTATTATGTTAGGCATAATAATGACCTTATTATTGTCTTTATTAGAAGATTATGTATGATCTCCGGAGATGCATGTGGGTTCAAGTTGACAAGGGGTGGACTTGTGATGGTTAAAACTGAATGTCAACTTGATTGGATTGAAGGATACAAAGTATTGAAGGATACAAAGTATTGTTCCTGGGTGTGTCTGTGAGGGTGTTGCCAGAGGAGATTAACATTTGAGTCAGTGGGCTGGCAAAGGCAGACCACCCTTAATCTGGGTGGGCAACATCTAATCAGCTCCAGTGTGACTAGAATATAAAGCAGACAGAAAAATGTGAAAAGGCTAGACTGGCCTAGTCTCACAGCCTACATCTTTCTCTTGTGCTGGATGCTTCAAACCCTCAAACATCGAACTCAAAGTTCTGCTTTGGAACTTGGACTGGCTTCCTTGCTCCTCAGCTTGCAGATGACCTATTGTGGGGCCTTGTGATCATGTGAGTTAATACTACTTAAAAAACTCCCATATATATATACACATATATGCACACACACACATATGTGTGCATATATGTGTATATATATGTGTATGTATATTAGGATATTATATAATAGGATATATATATATATATATATACACACTTATATATCTCCTATTATTTCTGTCCCTCTAGAGAACCCCAACTAATACAGTAGGGTTCTATCTAAAGATTCAAGTGCAATTTGAACCATTTCCAACTGGCCAAAGTTGGGACACTTTGAGTAATAATGATAATAATTGCAATGCATTGAAGTATCAAATATATTTTAACTCTTTAATTCATTATAATAATCAAAAAGAAAAGTCATTGTTAATGGATATCAATAAAATAATTCATTAGTTTGAAAAGTAGAAAATTAAGGACAGAATTTAGGTATTTATTTTGACTCCTCTATACTAATTGTACATAGCCAAGGAAGGAAATTATTTTATAGAAATATTTCAGTAATAAATAAAGCAAGGCCAGTTTTAGGATATCACTTTTTCACAGGTACTAATAAATGAATTGATATAGAAACTGAGTATCAATTATCACAAAAATGATACTGACATATGATACTTGTCATATGACAGAAAATCAAATCTCCATTTTTGATAATTTTTTGACAAAAATGTTGAATCTAAATTTTATTACTATTTGAGATCCAACCACTAACTTATAAGAAATACACAGGATGGAAGAACATGCAGTAAGATACTACAGGGATAAAATCAGCAAAATCCAGACTTTGCAACACTCTTCAGAACAGAAGAAGATGTAATACGATACTACAGGGATAAAATCAGCAAAATCCAGACTTTGCAACACTCTTCAGAACAAAAGACAAATAATCTTTAACAATATATTGAAAACGAAAAAATTACAGAAGATAAGACCTACAATATAAAAGAAAATTAAGGGTTATATTAACCAATTTCAATACATGTAATTTGTTTGTATCTTGACTCAACAAGAAAAATAATGATGTATATGTAACAACTGAAAATATGAACACTGAAATTAAGAAATTATTGTTAAAATTTTTAGGATGACATTTGTGATTTTGTTAAAATAGTAATTTAGTACCTATATTTAATGATATATATAGAAATATTTAGAGATGAATTCATATACTTACTTCAAGACAATATGCAGGGTGGAGGTGGAATGGGAAAGAGAAATTGGTAAAGGTATAGCTCAAATAAGATTGACCAAGAGTTGACAATTATTGAAGCAGAGTTGTTGGTTCTTGGGAATTCCCCATTCTGCTGAATGTATTTTTTATATTTTTGTATGTTTGCTATTTTTCATTAAAAACATGACGAACTGATAAATTGAAGGCAAATGATAAGGTGCATTTTGATAAATGTTCATAGATAACTTCATTACATACTATATAAAAACATGTTACGGTATTTATGGCATGCCTATCTTCCCAGCTACTCAGGGGACTGAGGCAGGAGGACTGCTTGAGCCCATGAGTTGGAGACTGCAGTGAGCTATGATCACGAGACTGCATCATGTTAGCCAATGTGAGTGATTATGACCAATGCACCTACTGAAAAGCAATTTTGCAGGGGAAAAATGATAGTGGAGATTGTGACATTCAGGCTACAGGATATTAAATAGGTAGGAAAGTTCTGAAATAAATATTTTTTGTCATGAAATGTGTCTGCCTTGTGTATTTCTCACTATGGCCCTAGCACAGTGACTGTTGTATATTAAACCCTAAGTAAATATTTTTTAAACTACACAATTGACTGTATCCTAAATCAAACAAAATAGAAATCCCAACAAAAATAATTTAGTAAACCTAAAGGGGATCAATCATAATGAGAATAATATTATCCCCATATTACTGGTAATGTAAATTCTAACAGGCTCTATAGAAATTAAATTAATTTGCAGAAATAGAGATTTAGAGTACATTAAGGGGGTAGATATATTGCATTAAGGGGATACAGATTTTCAGGGTATCTTTTTTCTCCCTATCACTTACAAATTAGAGGCATCAACCTCTGGGGCAGAGAAGCTCAAATTTCTCATATATAAGTGAGGGCAACAATTATAAGAAAACTCGGAAGATAAAAGTTCACTTCGCAGATTAAATTTGTATTTACTGAATATGATTAAAATATTAAAGAATGACCATATCAAATTTCAACTTTTTCTATAATTTTATAGAGTGCTAAAATTGTATCATCTATTCAAGCATTGTTTCACATACATGTATTGTCAGAGAGTGTTTTCAGTGTCAGAGATTCAGTAATTACTAAAGAACACACTTTATTTTGAATAGCTGGTACTGAAAGGGAGAAGGCTAATAAATACGCAGAAAATTACAGAACAATGTGGTGATTTATGATAAAGATATGCAGATAGCAGCAGACAAGAGAAAATGAGCCTCATTCAGGAAGGGAGTTGAGGGAATACAGGGCATTCCAGGCATAGAACTTAATGAGGAAAAGGTCTGGAGTGGAGGTAAGGTAGGGTGGCTAGAGAGGGGGAGGAGGATAATAATATGACAATACACAATCCTTTTATCACCAGTAGATAAAATATGATACAAGTAATCATATCCAATTCAACCTACAGAGTTATTGTATTGATATTAAAAATTTATGTCATTTCCACTAGCTATAAACGCTCCTTCAGAACAAGGACTGACGATTTTGCTCACCATTATACTCTTGGCATCTAACACATTTTCTAGCCCATAATATGTGGAAGGGGAAAATTTGTTAAATAGAGAAACAGACAGATAAACAGATGAATGAATGAATGGCTTGTTATTTTCAATGAGATTTCAGCAAGCATTTATGGATATTAAAGTTTACCCTTCTTTTGGATTAACCCTTAGCATAGAGCCCTTGAAGTTTAAATATTTCAAAATGGCTTTGAAAACATTCACAAACATTTTAAGGCATAGCCAAGTGGTAGCAGCTGCAAACAAGCAGCTGTAACTAAGTAGAACTTTTTCAGCGACTGCCCAGTCATGGCTTGCCTCTGCAAGCCTGGCCTCCTTTGTAGACCAGGAGGACTTTCGTGTGTGTGTTCACGCATTTATTCCGTAAGTACCTATTCAGTGCCTGCTATGTGCTGGCACTATTCTAAACACTGGAGATATGGAAACAATTTGTACACACATGCACATGTAAACCTGCCCTCACAGAGCATTCATCTGAGTCGGGGAGACAGATAATTAGTAAAACATAAAGTATTTCAGCTGGCAATAAGAGCTATGGACAAAAATTAAGGAAAGAAGGGACAGGGAGAGTGACGGTGAACCACAGGCCATTGAGCTACATTGGGAGGAGATGCCCTGTGAGGGAAGGGACGACCTGCTGCACTTTTTGAATACTGACATAAACATGAACTAAGGGCATGAGATTTACCCTTTTGGCTCAAGGCAGTTTTGGCAAGGCAAGGTGAAGGTGGAGAGACAGGGTTGCTTGGACCATGTGGTACACACTCCGGGTGTTGAAGTGAGAGGGACAATCTTACCTGGAACCCTTCACGACTTCAGCCACATTCCAACTGCTTCCATGCTTTTTTGGAGGGGTGGGTGAGCAGGCAGACTCCAGACACATGCCTGCCTAGTAATTATATTAAGCTCAATATTCTAATCATATATCCTTTTTCAAATAGTTATAAGACATCAATACATCCAAAGACAATGATTTTAACAAGAACTATTTTGAGATACACTAATAGGGACCACTGCCTTTCAGATCAATGAATTAATTACATTGATTAAAATCTTACAGGCCAGGCGCAGTGGCTCACGCCTGTAATCCCAGCACTTTGGGAAGCCGAGGCGGGCAGATCACGAGGTCAGGAGTTCGAGACCAGTCTGGCCAACATAGTGAAACCCTGTCTCTACTAAAAATACGCAAAAAATTAGCCAAGTGTGGTGGTGTGCGCCTGTAATCCCAGCTACTCAGGAGGCTGAGGCCGGAGAATCGCGTGAACCCGGGAGACGGAGGTTGCAGTGAGCCAAGATCGTGCCACTGCACTCCAGCCTGGGTGACAGAATAAGACTCTGTCTCAAAAAAAAAAAAAATCTTACAGACTCACTTTAATTTTCATTATCCCAAAGCCCTATTAGTTAATTAATGTGATTCTGTTTTGATCTCTAACATCTTCTTATAAATTTTAGGGTAAATACCACATCTTTATTAAAAAGAGACATACATGTACTCTGAGCATATGAGTCAATACAGAACTAAAGATGAAGCAAAAAGTGATTTCGCAGATTCCCAATAGTGTCAGGATTCTAGGGGATGTCAGCTTTTATATGGACACTGTAGAAGCAAATTAAGCAACAAATTAGAGTATCTGTCTTATTCTTCTTGACTCTTTGACAAGCAGACAATAAAGATGCAGTTTATAAAAAGAAATTTCAGAATAAAATAATAAGCGTCCATTTCAAAAGGAAAAAGAAATGCTGAGAAACTTCCTTGTATAAAGCAGAATAAATGGTACCCTGAAACCTACAATCTGGATTAGAAGAAAAGATTTCACTCTATGCAATTTAATAGCATTGCAAAACAACAACCTCAGACCTGTCCCTTGAGGCAGTACATGATTAAGTGTCAAATGAGAGGCGCAAGTAACTCAAGTATCAGTTTACAGATAAAGAAGAGCTTATTTGGATTTACAATGTTTAGGGTAGGTTTGAGAAGAAGGTTAGATACTTGAACAAGGATGGATGGAGAGAAATGGAAGAGGGAATTCCAAGTGGGGTGAACATATTGTGAAGAAATAGGAAAGTGAAAAATTAGTCTTCTTTCAAATTTATTCTCAAAGTGGGGGCAGGGTTGGAGGTATTGCAGCAAGAACACAGTAGGATAGGAACAAGGCATTAAATTTGTGTGAGTATAGCTACAGAATTCTTAGTGATCTTAAAAGATGGAAAGGAACCATTCTGTGTTAGTCCATTCTCGCACTGCTATAAAGAACTACCTGAGACTGGTAGTTCTCCAAGCTTTATAGGAAGCATGGCTGAGGAGGCCTCAGGAAACTTTAAATCATGGCAGAAGGCAAAGGGGAAGAAGGCACATCTCACATGGCTGAAGCAGGGGGAAGCCAGCAAGAGGGGAGGTGCTACACACTTTTAAACAACCAGATCTCATGAGAACTCTATCATGAGAACAGCACCAAAGGGGAAAATTTACCTCCATGATCCAATCACCTCTCACCAGGCCCCACCTCAAACACTGGGGATTACAACTTGACATGAGATTTGGGTGGGGACACAAATCCAAGCCATATCACATTCCTTACCTAAAATAAGTTTCCTTCCTTCCTTCTTTTTTTTTTCTTTCTGTTTTTCAACATGACCAAATCAAGCTTTGTACAAGGAATAGGCACAATGTCTCTGCCGCACTGAGAAAAACCAATACCCTTTCTGTTCTTTATAATTTTAAATACAGCCAGAAGAAAGAGTCATGCTCTCAGGTCTTGCTAACAGGCCACTGTATAAGCCTTCTTGGAAGTACATTGTACTTCCAGAGCTGCAGAGCTACTAAGCCTGTGAAGTACTCAAGGACTTTTTTTTTCTCCCTGAACTGTGCTTATGAATGAGGAAAGTGTGGCTCACATGCCGTACTTGTCTTCATCCTCCCAAGAGAGAAGCTAAGGTCTTAAATAACAATTAAAAACATAGAACTTACTCATTTCTTCAGGAAAATGAGAAACCACAGACTGTACTCTGACTTATCAAAGAATCTTTTTGAAGACTAAAAGTCTCTGAGCGGGAAGAGGATAAAAGGAAGCTGTAGCATTATTCAGACTTCTCTTTTGTTCAAGTTTTATGTAACAACTAGAAGCACCCAACAAATTTTAGATCCAGCTTGTGTATAGTATAATTTTAGCTGAAAATCATATTTTGAGCTATTTGTAAGGTTAAAAATTTCCAATTTGTTTTGATAATTGAAAGACATAGTTATTAAAACTTATC
Organism: Homo sapiens; assembly: GCF_000001405.40. Taxonomy (NCBI): domain Eukaryota; kingdom Metazoa; phylum Chordata; class Mammalia; order Primates; family Hominidae; genus Homo; species Homo sapiens. The sequence goes on from NC_000006.12 coordinate 77,245,579, forward strand.
AAGAATTATGCCGAGACACATGAAAATTTACTACGCCAGCAATGGTTAAGCTGGTTTTCATGAAAAACAAGATATTATAATATTAATATGAGTTTTTACTGTGTATTACAACTTTGCATATATTATCTCTCTTGAAGTTCACAACTTCTACTTTTTGAAGTAGGAGTCATTGTAGGGAAAGTGAGGCTTAAAGAGGCTGAACTAAGTTGCCCAAGGACACCGGGGCTAATCAGTGGTTGAGGAAGAATCCAGACCTAAGTGGTTTTGCTCCAGCATTGTTCCCCACTAAACTCCACTGCCTTCCTTCCCATTAGGAGCTCTTATACGAATGGGAACGTTCCTAATTCTCTTAATTTGTATTTCTTGACACTGTTGCTTTGTGCCTTCTCCCATCAAGTAATATTGGTGTCCATCTGCTTGAGATAACAGAATAGAGTCTAGGAATCGGTCACCATAAAAGGTTATGGAAACAAGTCCCAGAGCCAATGCAAGGAGCTCTTTCTGGAGGAGGCTGAGTGTGGAGATGAGGGGTCGTTCCTCAGGACCTGACCAACACACCAGAGGGCGCATCTGTAAGGCTTCAATCTGGTATAAGCTGATATAAATATTAGGATGATGCTTCTGATGCTGCACCAGAGGTACATTTAACTTGAAGACAGGCATCATTGGGAAGGATAGTACAGAATTCTCCCTGCAGTCTCCAGCCTAATGCATGGGCCTTAGCACAGAATAAAATACTAACTGCTTAATAGAACAACGTTAATCCCGAACAAACTATTTTCTCTCGTTCCCCTACCCAAATAGACAATAACAACAACAAAAAAATACAATTTAATAATAAGAATGACTCCCTGCTATTCTATGCTCCTGTTGCAGAATACTTTGACATAGTCTTGTCAGACTATGAGTCTGACAAACTGAAAATGTGAAAGTAGATAAAAATTTCTAGAGAGAGAATAGTAAGTACTATTTTGTATTTCTATATATATTTTACCTGTATCATTATAGTTGATGTTCCAATATGACACTAAATAGAGAAATTATAGAAGGGTGGGGAGAAATTATTGATTCTTGCCACAAAGTAATATTTATTGAGCAGCAATATTCATACGCCTGCTACTATAATTTGTATTATAGAAAATAAGAAAGCAGTTTCCACAGATACACTAGGTATTGACTTAAAATAATTAAAGTCTCACATATAATATGACATACCAAGGGGAATATTCCTATTGTTTCCATACTCTACATTTTCGCAATTTGGAAATTGCTCAGTCTAAATTTAGGATAAGCCAAATAACCTGAGGAACATATTATCATTTCTTTTATTTCTCCATAAACTTTTCATTTTCTTCCCTCAGTAAGTGAATACAAGGCTGACATTTAAAGCAATGACTCCCCTTTCCCTAGGTTATGCACTAGTGTTTATAAATCCCTGAAGGAATTAGATTCACGGGCAGATTCGTTAAATTACATACATAATACATTTAGATTCCCTCTGCTCTGTGGCTTGTCTTTGTATGATTACCTCTGCTACTACCTCCACATGATGAATCTTTTCATTATGTTACATAGATTTATCGTGAAGTGAACGAACTTGACATCCTGATGACTCTATACTCTTCTTTCTCAAGGTTCTACTTTGAACCTTAATAAATCTGTAATTGAAGCAGCTCCATTTAAAAACTATTCCTTTAAGTCCAAAATATAATCATATTGAGTAGCTCTTATTACCCAGAAAGACACCCTAAGAGTAACACTAAACACTTTAAAGTAATATTAATAAATGTGTCTGTGTAGTCACAAACTCAGTTTCCCGGACTGGTCAGAAATGCAGATTGAACAGGCGCAGCCTGCACCGCCATGACAGAGGGGCCAGCAAGGATCTGACGGCTTCATTAGTAAATTCTATACTTGCTGTCACTTACCTGAAATTAAACCAGTGGGACTCCTTTTTCATTTTTCTTTTTATTGTATTGAGTTTATATGTTCATCCTCATAAAAAAATTTAAAATCAGGGTGTATGTGCATCACCTGATACGTATAATCACAAAAATTAAAAAGAAAAAAGCATGTGCTTGATTTGGGAGCCATAAAGTGAAAATGAAAAGAAGGACCATAGGGAAATGGACACTTAAACTGAGTAAAAAGGGGGTGTCTCCAAGGGGCTCAAGTGCATTGGGGGCCAAATGCAAACTTCAGCTAATTCAGAGGTACACTCATGGCTAACTGAGTTGCACCAAAATGAAGTAAATTCTGAACAACAACGTCCTATCACAGTACTGATAATTCATCTCCATACTCTGATGCCCCAACTTCCTATAACTTAATATTCTTTCAAAATTTTACTCATTCATTCAACAAATATTTATTAAGAAGAGAAATACTTATTAAGAATATGTCTAACATATTATGATCCAGTGTTCTAAGTGCTAGGGTTATAGCTATGAATTTGATGGGCAAAAGTCACTCAGGGGACTTACATTCTAGCTTTAAAATTTATCCTCTAAATTTAATTTCACTACACTATTTCCTATTAGGTAGATCTATCATAGATCTCTCTAAAAGCCACGGGGCACTTTTGCTTACAGATTACAAGTCGGGTATTTTCTCAAATAATGAAATAAATTAAATCTTTTTTATTATCTACAAAAGTGTCTTTGCTCTGAATGAGCAAGTAAATTAATTTATCTGTGCCAGGACATCTGCTTCTCTTGTTAAGAAAGTACAGTACCTACTCTCTGCATGATGCCACTCCCCAAAATAGACATTTAATGACTTTAAGAATATTATTCTCATTTTGGACCCTACAAAGTTAAACAAAAATATTAGAGTTATTCTTCTCATGTTTCTTCCTAATACCCCACATTTTACCCAAAGCAGATTATTTGTAATTCATTGAAATAGTCAGAATTAGGGCTTAGCTGCCATGTGTGGACATAATGAGAGATGGGGAAAAGCCTCCAGAACAGACCTACAAACTAGAATGAGATAAGAACTCTGGTTCCATTCACGGCAGTATAGATGAAATGCTAGCCAGGCAGGTGTTCCTATTCAGGGTAGTCCGAGGTATAGAGGTCAAGTTCAAGTTCAGATTGTCCACTTACTAGACATACATCTGCCCTTCTGCAATTTACTTAATATCTCTAAGTCTTAGTTTCCTCACTTGTAAAACAAACATTGTAATTATGTTGATGCCAGAAATTGTTATGACTATCAGAGGAAACATTCTCCTGTTCTTATATTGGCAATTGTGGACAATCACTCTATCTCCAAGAGAGGACACTGCTAAACGTCACTGCCTCCTCTCTAGCATTTTTTTTCCCTTGCTTACTGAAATGTAAAGAAGAGGAATGACATTCTAATTAGACCTAAGCAAAGCCCGATATATGCAATCACATTAACCCTGAGTGGTGTCACAGCATGAAACAAAAGAAGAGGGCCTGGGCTTATCTCTCTATTGCTATTCTAATTACTAATGAGGGTTTTTATCTCTCTGACCCAGGTAGTAAAACAGACTGTCTAAAGGTCTACCTGGAGGACTACCTGGCTGTCTTCCTCCTTTGTTTCTGGAATTCTTCATCCTTTGATAATTAAATTTCTGATGAGGTTTTGTGGCATCTCCAAGTAAAAATGCCATGTCTGTGTGCCAACTTTATGAACAAATGTCTCAAGATATAGCTTTGAGAATAGGGAGAGGTCTTCTTTCCAGTAAAACCATAAACATGGTCTCCAGTCCAACTTTACTCGAAATAGGACTAATGCTGTGCTTTGCTTTCAGTTGGCACTATACATCTACTTCTCAAATTGTTAAAGAACTTAGATAATTAGGGATTCCTAAATCCCATAAAGGAAGAGTATATAAACTGTATGTATATGAGTTCAAAGGCAATAATCTGGTCCCTATAAGAATTGGTAAGAACAGATGGGCCATCAATACTGGAATTACTGAAAAGGCCAGGAAGAGAAAGGCTTGTTACTTAAATGGAGCTGCAAGCTGTGGTCTTGGCCACAGCCACAATGAAAGATCCTAGCTCTTAGAACTTGGGATGGAAAGGAAGAGCAGAATTAGCTGTAAGATTGAGATTTTTGACAAGAGCCCTTTTTGAAGACTGATAATGCTGGGTCCATATCCTAAAGAAGTATTGTTTCCTTAGCCAGAGATGTTTTTAACCTTTGCTGTAGCCATTTAGAGGACAGACAGGAGGTGAGTCATAAGGAAAACCGTAAGTTTGATGAATAGATAATTAACTATAATACTTGTCCCAATTGATCTAAATTTGAAATCCCTTTTACCCCATGCAGATATTCTAGAAAGGTTCAACTCAATGCAGTAGCTCTACTTAAGAAGATCTAATATATCCTACAAAAATATTGCTTTGGGTAAATCAGTGTTACGATGTCACATACCTCCAGGGGTCAACCATGAGGTGCACATGGGCAAATGCAGCCAGATGCAGGGAATCTGAAAAGGAACAATGAGGGAAAAGAAGGGAAAATCTCTAGAGCACACAGGGCAGCTGATAATAAGCCAGCAACAGGGACCTCTTCAGGATATTATTTCCTAAGAAGAGCCAGAAATCCAAGTTTTTAGAGTTTTTAACGTATGGCATTAAGCAATTTTTATGTTGATAACTAAATTTAATTTTAAAAAGATATACATGTTTGTGGGAATATCATGGCTTCAGAATGAAGCACTGGAGTTGTTATAGGGCTGAGAAATATTATTTTTAAATTCATGATTCACAAGTCAATTTGATTATGACGTAGATCAACTACAACTTTGCCTACACATTTTTTAATATAAACTAAATGACTTAATCTGCTTTGTAAGTATCAAGGATACATACACCACTTAAGTATTGAATATATAGGATATAATGTATCTTATGATAAGTTATGAAGATGGTAACTAAAAATGGATATGAGTGGGAGAGTGAGCAGAAGAGGCAGGTTTGAAGACAGAAAAAAAGAGAGCGAGTGGTAAGGACAGAGTTAAAAAGCCGAGGGGAAAAAATTATGCTGAAAAGAAACACGCCAAGGAAGAAAGAAGCAATTCATGCAGTGGAAAAGCGTACAGAAAGCAGTTAAAGAAATTTTGAGTTGACATTAATTCAGTTTTACTTTGCTATGTACTTTATTTACTCTCTAATTAATGCAAATTAATAAAAATATGTCAAGTATCTTCAGATGTCTGGCATTAAGTGAAAGAGATGCGGTAGTGGAAAAAATAGGACCATGGACTCAAGATTACCTTTTAGTGAGAAAACATAAGATGAGCAGATTAGAAAATGCATATATAACATGTCAACTGACAAATGTTGTAGAAGAAAGATACCATAGCAGGACTGGGAGAGCTCACACTTAAAGGACTGTTTCTTTGGCTAGGTGGTCAGGGAAGACCTCTGACGAATTAATGTTTTAGCATAAATCTTAAGGAAGTAAAGGGGCTGTGCATAAAATTAATTTAATATATATTAACTCAGCTCTATGAGGGTAAGACATGGGTCTATCTTGTTCACCATTGACTCCTCCTTGCTTTGCATACTGCTTAACATACAATAATGAACTCTGGGATGGATAACCAAAATAGCCTTTATTAGCCTCTGGACAGACAGAAGAGGGGACAGAGTTATACCCCTTCAAACCCTGAAAGAGCTCAAGGCAATCGTATTAGTTTTCTAGGGCTGCCATAAATATTAATTAATGGTATTAACTAATAAATACCATAGAATGGGTGACTTGAACAAAAGAAATTTATTTTCTCATAGTTCTAGAGGCCACAAATTCAAAATTAAGGTAACATCAAGGCTAGTTTCTTGTGAAGCCTCTCCTGACTTGTACACAGCCACCTTCTTGCTGTGTTCTCATATGGCCTTTACTCTGTGTGTATGTGGACAGAGAGAGAGTCTTTCTGGTGTCTTTTTTCTCTTCTTAAAAAGACACGAGTGTAGAAGATGGCCTAATAGGAACAGCTCCAGTCTACAGCTCCCAGCATGAGCGACACGCAAGATGGGTGATTTCTGCATTTCCAACTGAGGTACCGGGTTCATCTCACTGGGGCTTGTCAGACAGTGGGGGCAGGACAGTGGGTGCAGCCCACTGAGTGTGAGCCCATGTAGGGCAAGGAATTGCCTCACCCGGGAAGCGCAAGGGGTCAGGGAATTCCCTTTCCTAGCCAAGGGAAGCAGTGACAGATGGCACCTGGAAAATCAGGTCACTCCCACCATAATACTGCGCTTTTCCAACAGTCTTAGCAAACAGCACACCAGGAGGTTATATATCGCGCCAGGCTCAGAGCATCCCACACCCTCAGAGCCTCGCTGATTGCTAGTACAGCAGTCTGAGATCGATCTGCAAGGTGGCAGCAAGGCTGGGGGAGGTGCCCCTGCCATTGCTGAGGCGTGAGTAGGTAAACAAAGCAGCCAGGAAGCTTGAAATGGGTGGAGCCCACCACAGCTCAAGGAGGCCTGCCTGGCTATGTAGACTCCACCTCTGGGGGCAGGGCATAGCTAAACAAAAGGCAGCAGAAACCTCTGCAGACTTAAATGTCCCTGTCTGACAGCTTTGAAGTGAGTAGTGGTTCTCCCAGCACGAAGTATGAGATCTGAGAATGGACAGACTGCCTCCTCAAGTGGGTCCCTGACTCCCGAGTAGCCTAACTGGGAGGCAACCTCCAGTAGGGGCAGACTGACACCTCACATGGCAGGGTACCCCTCTGAGATGAAGCTTCCAGAGGAACAATCAGGCAGCAACATTTGATGTTCAGCAATATTCACTGTTCTGCAGCCTCTGCTGCTGATACCCAGGCAAACAGGGTCGGGAGTGGACCTCCGGCAAACTCCAACAGACCTGCAGCTGAGGGTCTTGACTGTTAGAAGGAAAACTAACAAACAGAAAGGACATCCACACCAAAAACCCATCTGTACATCACCATCATCAAAGACCAAAGGTAGATAAAACCACAAAGATGGGGAAAAAATGGAGCAGAAAAGCTGAAAACTCTAAAAATCAGAGCGCCTCTCCCCCTCTGAAGGAATGCAGCTCCTCACCAGCAATGGAACAAAACTGGACAAAGAATGACTTTGAAGAGTTGAGAGTAGAAGGCTTCAGAAGATCAAACTTCTCCAAGGTAAAGGAGGAAGTTCGAACCCATCGCAAAGAAGCTAAAAACCTTGAACAAAGATTAGATGAATGGCTAACTAAAATAACCAATGTAGAGAAGTCCTTAAATGACCTGATGGAGCTGAAAAACATGCCATCAGAACTACGTGATGAATGCACAAGCCTCAGTAGCTGATTCAATCAACTGGAAGAAAGGGTATGAGTGATTGAAGATCAAATGAATGAAATGAAGCGAGAAGAGAAGTTTAGAGAAAAAAGAGTAAAAAGAAACGAACAAAGCCTCCAAGAAATATGGGACTATGTGAAAAGACCAAATCTACATCTGATTGGTATACCTGAAGTGGTGGGGAGAACAGAACCAAATTGGAAAACACTCTGCAGGATATTATCCAGGAGAACTTCCCCAACCTAGCAAGGCAGGCCAACATTCAAATTCAGGAAATACAGAGAATTCCACAAAGATACTCCTCAAGAAGAGCAACTCCAAGACACAAAATTATCAGATTCACCAAAGTTGAAATGAAGGAAAAAATGTTAAGGGCAGCCAGAGAGAAAGGTCAGGTTACCCACAAAGGGAAGCCCATCAGACTAACAGCGGATCTCTCAGCAGAAACTCTACAAGCCAGATGAGAGTGGGGGCCAACATTCAACACTCTTCAAGAAAAGAATTTTCAACCCAGAATTTCATATGCAGCCAAACTAAGCTTCACAAGTGAAGGAGAAATAAAATAGTTTACAGACAAGCAAATGCTGAGAGATTTTGCTACCACTAGGCCCGCCCTACAAGAGCTCATGAAGGAAGCACTAAACATGGAAAGGAACAACCGGTACCAGCCACTGCAAAAACATGCCAAATTGTAAAGACCATCAATGCTAGGAAGAAACTGCATCAACTAACGAGCAAAATAACCAGAGAACATCATAATGACAGGATCAAATTCACACATAACAATATTAACCTTAAATGTAAATGGGCTAAATGTTCCAATTCAAAGACACAGACTGGCAAATTGGATAAAGAGTCAAGACCCATCAGTGTGCTGTATTCAGGAGACCCATCTCACGTGGAGAGACACACATAGGCTCAAAATAAAGGGATGGAGGAAGATCTACCAAGCAAATGGAAAACAAAAAAAGGCAGGGGTTGCAATCCTAGTCTCTGACAAAACAGACTTTAAACCAACAAAGATCAAAAGAGACAAAGAAGACCATTACATAATGGTAAAGGGATCAATTCAACAAGAAGAGCTAGCTATCCTAAACATATTTGCACCCAATACAGGAGCACCCAGATTCATAAAGCAAGTCCTTAGAGACCTACAAGAGACTTAGACTCCCACACAATAGTAATGGGAGACTTTAACACCCCACTGTCAACATTAGACAGATCCACAGCACAGAAAGTTAACAAGGATATCCAGGAATTGAACTCAGCTCTGCACCAAGTGGACCTAATAGACATCTACAGAACTCTCCACCCCACATCAACAGAATATACATTCTTCTCAGCACCACATCACACATATTACAAAATTGACCACATAGTTGGAAGTAAAGCACTCCTCAGCAAATGTAAAAGAACAGAAATTATAACAAACTGTCTCTCAGACCACAGTGTAATCAAACTAGAACTCAGGATTAAGAAACTCACTCAAAACCGCTCAGCTACATGTAAACTGAACAACTTACTCCTGAATGACCACTGGGTACATAACAAAATGAAGGCAGAAATAAAGATGTTCTTTGAAACCAATGAGGACAAAGACACAACATACCAGCATCTCTGGGACATATTTAAAGCAGTGTGTACAGGGAAATTTATAGCACTAAATGCCCACAAGAGAAAGCAGGAAAGATCTAAAATTGACACCCTAACATAACAATTAAAAGAACTAGAGAAGCAAGAGCAAACACATTCAAAAGCTAGCAGAAGGCAAGAAATAACTAAGATCAGAGCAGAATTGAAGGAGATAGAGACACAAAAAACCCTTCAAAAAAATCAATGAATCCAGGAGCTGGTTTTTTGAAAAGATCAACAAAATTGATAGACGCTAGCAAGACTAATAAAGAAGAAAAGAGAGAAGAATCAAATAGATGCAATAATAAATGATAAAGGGGATATCACCACCAATCCCACAGAAATACAAACTACTATCAGAGAATACTATAAACACCTCTACGCAAATAAACTAGAAAATCTAGAAGAAATGGATGAATTCCTGGACACATACACCCTCCCAAGACTAAACCAGGAAGAAGTTGAATCCCTGAATAGACCAATAACAGGCTCTGAAATTGAGGCAATAATTAATAGACTACCAAACAAAAAAAGTCCAGGACCAGATGGATTCACAGCCGAATTCTATCAGAGATACAAGGAGGAGCTGGTGCCATTCCTTCTAAAACGATTCCAATCAATAGAAAAAGAGAGAATCCTCCCTAAATCATTTTATGAGGCCAGCATCATCCTGATACCAAAGCCTGACAGAGACACACCAAAAAAAAAGAGAATTTTAGACCAATATCCCTGAGGAACATCGATGCAAAAATCCTCAATAAAATACTGGAAAACCGAATCCAGCAGCACATCAAAAAGCTTATCTACCATGATCAAGTGGGCTTCATCCCTGGGATGCAAAGCTGGTTCAACATATGCAAATCAATAAACTTTATCCAGCATATAAACGGAACCAAAGACAAAAACCACAGGATTATCTCAATAGATGCAGAAAAGGCCTTTGACAAAATTCAACAGCCCTTCATGCTAAAAACTCAATAAATTAGGTATTGATGGGACGTATCTCAAAATAATAAGAGCTATTTATGACAAACCCACAGCCAATATCACACTGAATGTGCAAAAACTGGAAGCATTCCCTTTGAAAACTGGCACAAGACAGGGATGCCCTCTCTCACCACTCCTATTCAACAGAGTGTTGGAAGTTCTGGCCAGGGCAATCAGGCAGGAGAAAGAAATGAAGGTTATCAATTAGGAAAAGAGGAAGTCAAATTGTCCCTGTTTGCAGATGACATGATTGCATATTTAGAACACCCAAGTCTCAGCCCAAAATCTCCTTAAGCTGATAAGCAACTTCAGCAAAGTCTCAGGATACAAAATCAATGTGCAAAAATAACAAGCATTCTTATATACCAACAGCAGACAAACAGAGAGCTAAATCATGAGTGAACTCCCATTCACAATTGCTTCAAAGAGAATAAAATACTTAGGAATCCAACTTACAAGGGATGTGAAGGACCTCTTCAAGGAGAACTACAAACCACTGCCCAACGAAATAAAACAGGACACAAACAAATGGAAGAACATTCCATGCTCATGGATAGAAAGAATCAAGATCATGAAAATGGCCATACTGCCCAAGGTAATTTATAGATTCAATGCCACCCCCATCAAGCTACCAATGACTTTCTTCACAGAATTGGAAAAAACTACTTTAAAGTTCATATGGAACCAAAAAAGGGCCCGCATTGCCAAGACAATCCTAAGCCAAAAGAACAAAGCTGGAGACATCATGCTACCTGACTTCAAACTATATTACAAGGCTACAGTAACCAAAACAGCATGGTACTGGTACCAAAGCAGAGATATAGACCAATGGAACAGAACACAGACCTCAGAAATAATACCATACATCTACAACCATCTGATCTTTGACAAACCTGACAAAAACAAGAAATGGGGAAAGGATTCCCTATTTAATAAATGGTGCTGGGAAAACTGGCTAGCCATACGTAGAAAGCTGAAACTGGATCCCTTCCTTACACCCTATACAAAAATTAATTCAAGTTCGATTAGAGACTTAAACGTTAGACCTAAAACCATAAAAACCCTAGAAGAAAACCTAGGCAATACCATTCAGGACATAGGCATGGGCAAGGACTTCATGTCTAAAACACGAAAAGCAATGGCAACAAAAGCCAAAATTGACAAATGGGATCTAATTAAACTGAAGAGCTTCTGCACAGCAAAAGAAACTACCATCAGAGTGAACAGGCAGCCTACAGAATGGGAGAAAATGTTTGCAATCTACTCATCTGACAAAGGGCTAATATCCAGAATCTACAAAGGACTCAAACAAATTTACAAGAAAAAAACAAACAACCCCATCAACACGTGGGTGAAGGATACGAACAGAGACTTCTCAAAAGAAGACATTTATGCAGCCAACAGACACATGAAAAAATGCTCATCATCACTGGCCATCAGAGAAATGCAAATCAAAACCACAATGAGATACCATCTCAAACCAGTTAGAATGGCGATCATTAAAAAGTCAGGAAACAACAGGTACTGGTGCTGGAGAGGATGTGGAGAAATAGGAACACTTTTACACTGTCAGTGGGACTGTAAACTAGTTCAACCATTGTGGAAGACAGTGTGGTGATGCCTCAAGGATCTAGAACTAGAAGTACCATTTGACCCAGCCATCCCACTACTGGGTATATACCCAAAGGATTATAAATCAAGCTGCTATAAAGACACATGCACACGTATGTTTATTGCAGCACTATTCATAATAGCAAAGACTTGGAACCAACCCAAATGTCCATCAATGATAGACTGGATTAAGAAAATGTGGCACATATACACCATGGAATACTATGCAGCCATAAAAAAGGATGAGTTCATGTCCTTTGTAGGGACATGGATGAAGCTGGAAACCATCATTCTCAGCAAACTATCGCAAGGACAAAAAGCCAAACACTGCATGTTCTCATTCATAGGTGGGAATTGAACAATGTAAACACTTGGACACAGGGTGGGGAACATCACACACTGGGGCCTGTCATGGGGTGGGGGGAGCAGGGAGGGATAGCATTAGGAGATATACCTAATGTAAATGACGAGTTAATGGGTGCAGCACACTGACATGGTGCATGTATACATATGTAACAAACCTGCACATTGTGCACATGTACCCTAGAACTTAAAGTATAAAAAAAAAAAAAAGACACCAGTCCTGTTGGATTAGGGTGCTACTCTAATGACCTTATTTAATCTTAATTACCTTCTTAAAGGCTCTACCTCCAAATGCAGTCACACTGGGGGTTCAGGCTTTAATATATGAATGGGGAGGGGGCACCACTCAGTTCATAGCACATTTCTCTGCTTCCTACCCTAATTCATGTCCTTACCACATGCAAAATACATTCCCCTCATACCAACAGCCACAAAAGCCTTAACGAATTCAAGCATCAATTCCAAGTTCAAAGTCTCATCTAAATATTATCTAAGTCAGGTATGGGTGAGACTTTAGGTATGATTCATTCTGAGGCAAAATTACAGTTTCTATCTCTAAACTTTTTAACTAGACACATTATATGATTCCAAAATACGGTGACAGGACAGGTGTAGGATATATATTGTCATTTCAAAAGGAAGAAATCAGAAAAAAGAAAGGGATGACCGGTCCCAAGAAAGTCCAAAATCTAGAAAGGCAAATTATTCTAGATCTTAAAGCTCAATAATATTCCTCTTTGTCTTGATGCTCTTCCTGCAGGCCCAGTCCAGTGGCAACATCCCTCCCACAGCCCAAGACTGCAGCCTTGCCCCCTCAGTTCTGGGCAGAGGTCTTGCTCTTGGGGCACTGGGCAGATATGGCTTGGCCTGCTAAAACCAAGTAGGAGGTCCCACCCTATGAAACTGAGACTTGCCCTCCAGGAGTGTAGTGAGAGTGGTAGCTCTGATAACCACTGGGGATTCCGTTTTCTTGAACGATAAAGCATGTTGGAGCCCAATAGCTCTATTGTCCAGTCCTGTGGAATCTCAGAAGCCTGAAAGCCTTTTTTTATTTCTTCTTTTTATCTTCCCTTCAGTCCAAACTGGCAGTGTCTCAGCTAATGTAATTCCACCTCTATTGCTGGTGCTGCTTAGATGGCTGATTAACTCCATGGATAATCTCCCTATGGACTGATTGTCCAGCCATCTTTGATGTTCTCTCTGGAAAACATTTTCTCATTTTTTTGCAATATGAATAGAATGATAGATTTTCCAAATCTTCAAGTTCTGGTTCCACTTTAACAGTTTTTTTTTTCATTTTCTTCCTTTCTTTCTTTCTCTTTCTTTCTTTCTCTTTTCTTTCTCCTTCCTTCCTTCCTCTCTTTCTTTCTCTCTCTTTCCTTCCTTCCTTCCTCTCTCTCTTTCTTTCTCTCTCTCTTTCCTTCCTTCCTTCTTTCTATCTCTCTTTTTCTTTCTTCTAAATTGAGACAGCATCTTGGTTTGTCACCCAAGCTGGAGTACAGTGGCTCAGCTCACTGCAATCTCGATCTTCTGGGCTCAAGTGATCCTTCTGCCTCAGCCTCCCAAGTAGCTGGGACCACAAGTGCATGCTACCAACAGGCCTGACTATTTTTTTTCTATTTTTCTGTAGATACAGGGCCTTGCTATGCTGCCCAGGCTGGTCTCAAACTCCCGAGTTCAAGCGATCTTGCCTTGGCCTCCCAAAGTCCTGAGAGTACAAGAGTGAGCCACCACACCCAGCCAAGAAATTTTTCAGTTTCTCTCTCTCCTTTTGCATTTTACTCTAAGAACTAAAGAGAAATAAGGCCAGATTATCAACACGTCTAGAAAACATGTTCTCTCTTCTCCAAAATAATAAAAAACAAATAGTTCATCCAAATTCTTTGCCACTTTATGAAAAGAATGTCTTTCCTTCAGCTTCTAATAACATGTTTTTCACTTCCACCTGAGACCTCACTAGAATCACCCTTAGCATTTATATTTCTGCGAAGAGTCCCTTCAAAGCACCATAGGCTTTTTCTAGCATGCACCTCAAAACTCTTTCAGCCTGCACTCAGCACCTAGTTCCAAAGTCACTCCACATTTTTAGACATTTATTACAGTAGCACGACACTTTGTGGTGCCAACATTCATGGGTTTCTGGGAATACCGTAACAAAATACCATAGACCAGGTGGTTTAAACAGCAGAAGTTTGTTTTCTCACAATTATGAAGTCCAAGTTCAAGATGCTTGGTCAGAGTGGGTTTCTGTTGAAGCCTCTTTTCCTGACTTGTATACAGCCACCTTCTTGCTATGTCCTCATATGGCCTTTCCTCTGAGTGTGTACAAAAGACAGAGAGAGAGAGATATTTCTAGTGTCTCTTCCTCTTCTTATGAGAACAAGAGTCCTATTGGATTGCAGCCCCACCCTTATGACCTCATGTAACCTTTATTACCTCCCTGAAGGCTGATTCTGCACGTACAATCACTTTGGGGATTAAGGCTCTAATGCATACACACTTTAGTCCATAACAGCCACTGTATCCTGGAACACTAATTAGGGTTCGTTAATTGCAAGCAATAGATACTGATTGCAACTCATTTCACCCAAAAGTAGTGTGCTGATAGGATGTGAGGGTCAAGGCTGCCTTTGCCCGAGGCTCGTACCCTCTGCAGTTGGGCAGTGCATAACCCATATGATCATAATCCACAGGCTTACTCCAGAGCCTCACAGAACTGAAGAAAATGATAAAAACCATACTTTGGAAGTTCAAAACTCAGAGATGCTTTAGAGACTTAAAAGCAGGAACTAACGGAAAGTCTCTTCGGGTTGTGGCCTTCATGGTGAATCAACTCCAATCATTTTCAGTCTTTGTTTCTGCAATCTAGATAAAAGTTTTGGAAAGAAAGAGTGTGATTGCTCTTGGGTCACACACAAATCTCTTCGTAAAGAGAGGTCAGGAAGCCTGATGGATAGACCTACTGAGTCTTTCATCAATGGGTCTGGGGTGGTGCCCAAAGCTAAATCAAGTTGCTCTTAACAGAAACAGAAAGACTGAACTCTGGACAGCCAAAATTATAAAAGCTAAAAATTCTAGTAGAGAAGAAAATGAGCCCAGCAGCCCACATATGGGAATTGGAATCCCAGTTCTGCCATGTGTTCACCAGCTCTGTGATGTAGCATAACTTCTTCAACTGATTTGTACCCCAAATTATTTATCTGTAAATGAATGAAAATTCTCAAATTGATTCATAAAAATGTTTAATTTATAAAATCACCTAAAGCAATACCTGACAATCTGCAATATTCAAAAAATATTAGCTAATATTATTTTACTTGAGACTGAACATCCTCATTCATAATCTAACATATATTCTGCTTTTGAAAAAAGTTTCCCTTGAGATGATTTTATCACATGATTAGTATTAAACATAAGACATTCAACACAATTAAGATTTACATGACCCTCTCTCTCTCTCCCTCTCTCTCTCTCTCACACACACACACTCACATATACAAACACACACACACACACACACACCTACAGTGGTAGGCCTCATAAATTTTTCCCTAAGAATGTTCCCGAAAAATGTTTTAAAAATTGCCTGTGATAAAATTCTAATTGTGAAAATTCAAACTTGCTCAAAGGCCAGAGATCAAAGCAAATAATGAAATGTGTTTAACAGGCTAGGAAGGACAGTTGTTGAATGAGTGTGGGTCTCAGTAACTGTTGTATGAAATTATTTTTATTCAATGTCAGGCAGAGGAAATAAACACCAAGTTAATGAAATTTTTACATGATACAAAATAAGGAGACACTGCAAGTGTTGGAAAAGCCTAAGAACCAAAAACAATGATGCCATAACAGGAAAAATTAAAAGGGAAGAAAATAAAATTTAGATAAACAATAATAGAATAGCTGAAGAAACAAAATTAAATCGAGAAGAAGACACCTAAGTTATAGCACTTGTTGCAGTGCACTTCATAAAATTGTTTACATAATCATCTCCATTGCTCAGCTGAAAGCATGATGAGACATTAAGTCATTTAATTAAAAAAAAACTATTGAGTAAGGACTATGCACCAGGTGCAGTGTTAGTCAGTAGGAACACCAATGAACAAGTTCAAGTCCTAGCTAGTGAATGCACATTCAATTTAATTCATTTCTATACCACCAGCATCCAACATAGAAACCTACCACATGAAGAAAGAAAGGAATACACAGCCATTTTTCCAGTGATAGATGGATAAGTCCAGGAATGCTCATAGTCAAATGTATCTAAAAGGATATTTAGGAATAGCACATATTTATTGAGACTAAATATGTGCCAGACATTGTTTTCATGGCTTGGCTTGCATTCTCCTTCAATCTTCACCCAGATGATGACACATTGTGCTCATGTTATAGTTGAGGAAACTGACAGTGGAAATTAAATGACTCTTCCAACCACATGTAAGCTAGTAAGCAGTGGAGCTGAGATTCAAACCAGGTCTATCTGATTGAGTACTTTTATTTTTTTAATTAATCTATATTTTTAGAAATGGAGTCTCCCTCTGTCGCCCAGGCTGGAGTGTGATCTCGGCTCACTGCAACCTCCACCTCCCAGGTTCAAGTGATTCTCCTGCCTCAGCCCCCCAAGTAGCTGGGACTGTAGGCACCTGTCATTATGCCCAGCTAATTTTTGTATTTTTGTAGAGAAGGGGTTTCACCAGTTGGCCAGGCTGATCTTGAACTCCTGATATCAGGTGATCAGCCCAACTCAGCCTCCCAGAATGCTGGTATTACAGGGGTGAGCCACCAAGCCCGGCCTGATTGAGTACTTTTAAATTCTTATAGATGTTTTTAATTTTTAGGAGATAGGACACATCTAAGAGCAACCTCAGTGAATAGCATCCCCTTTTAGTGAACATGCAGGTGACTATGATGCAGGCACAATTGGAAAACTGTAAACAAACAAACAAAAACAAAACTTCAACCAGCAGTCGGCATTAGTGATTATTTCATTTAATTCATTGTTAACTCTTCTTAACATTTAACTTAAATTATATTGAACATGATCACTGCTTCTTTATCCTGAACTAAACTCACCTTTGTGAAGTCTTTGTAAAATATTTATAGCCAATATTTCAATTGATCCTTATAACAAGTATATGAAATAGGTTGTGGATAAGGATTTTAAGAAGCCTTTTTTTACCTTCTATACAAATTTGCAAGATGAGATTTTAGAAAGTCAATTGACTTGTCCAAGGGCATATAAAGAGGTCAACGAGATTTTTGTAATCATCATCTCCACCCCAGCTTCCCTAGTGCATTTTCCTAATTTAGTTTGCACAGAAAATTCATTCATCTTAGAGAGGTTTGTTGTACATTTCTGTTACTTGTGGTGAAATGAAAAGAGCTGTTAATATTTCAAAGATGTGAGACTTATCCTAAAGTGAGTGTATATAAGACTGAATGCTAACTTCTAAAATTCTCCATAAATGCTGAAGAGAACAAACAAGAATAGACCTCAGGAAAATAGTCTGAAGTCAAAGAGCAGAATTGCTCCAGAAATCAGTATCACCAAAGGAGACAAATGGCTGAAAACTGAAGACAAATTAGAATTGCACACAATGTAATACGGTACCCAGACAGGCAGTGATTTTCAAGGCTGCATATGAAGAGACATTAGATCCTAGGATGGGAAAGTAATAGCCTTTTCCTACAAAACTCTGGGGAGACTGCATCAGATAACAGTGTCTGAGGTAATACAGCCTCATCAAGAGTGCGAGAGACAGGCAACAGAAATGACTAGGGAGGGGAAACATCAATTTCCAAGTTAGGCCTAAGGAGCTAAATGTGTATAGATTGGTGATGTAATGACAATGAGGCCCATGAGTCTGAACAGTAATACCATTTTTCCACAGAAAGAAAGATGTTATTTAGTCTAATTTATGTGAGTTTATAAAAAGAAACTGACCACCGAGACTTAGGACAAAAGGAAACAAAGAGGTTATTTCCATGTTTCTAAGAATGATATTGAAAGTACATAAAAATATAATTGTTCCTTAATTTATTTTTTAAATTTAATTTGACAGATAACATTGTCAGATGTTAAAAATAAAATTGTTCCTTAATTTATTTTTTAAATTTAATTTGACAGATAACACATACAAATAACATATTTCTGTGTGTGTGTGTGTATATATATACATATATATAATATATATATAGTGGAATGGTTAAACCTAGCTAATGAACAAATGCATTGTCTCGCATAGTTATAATTTTTGTGATAAGAGCACTCAATGTTTCCTAATTTTATATTTTTCAAGAATATATTATCATTAACTATTATCACCTTGCTGTACAATAGATCTCTCAAAATTCAATCCTCCTATTTTACCGTAATTACGTATCCTTTGATCAAGCTCTCTAGATCCTCCCCTCCCTGATAGCCAACCCAGCCTCTGGTAACCATCATTCTACTCTCTATTTCTATGAGATCAACTCTTTGATTCCACTTATGAGTGAGATGGTGTGGCATGTGTCTTTCTGTGACTGATTTATTTCACTTAACATAATGCTTTCCAGGTTTATTCATGTTGATGATAATGACTAGATTTTGTTCTTTTCTGTGGCTGAATAGTATTCCACTGTGTATATATACTACATTTTCTTTATCCATTCTTTTATTTATTTATTTATTTATTTATTTATTTATTTTTTGAGACGGAGTCTCACTCTGTTGCCCAGGCTGGAGTGCAGTGGTGCGATCTCCGCTCACTGCAAGCTCCGCCTCGCCAGTTCACGCCATTCTCCTGCCTCAGCCTCGCGAGTAGCTGGGACTACAGGCGCCCACTACGACGCCCGGCTAATTTTTTTGTATTTTTAGTAGAGACGGGGTTTCACCGTGTTAGCCAGGATGGTCTCGATCTCCTGACCTAGTGATCCGCCTGCCTCGGCCTCCCAAAGTGCTAGGATTACAGGTGTGAGCCACCGCACCCGGCCTATCTATTCTTTTGTTGATGGACACTCAGGTTAATTCCATATCTCAATGGCAAACATTTTTGCTCATTTATTTATTCACTCAGTAAACTTTCATTGGATAACTGCTATATGTGAGGCACTGTATTAGGGCTTGGCGTAGAAAAATAAGTGAGATTTTATATCTGCCCTTGAGGAATTTATTTCTAATTTAAAATGCCATTTTTAAAAAAGCAATATGTGACTCAAAATGTACTTATCTGTATGGTGATGAAAATAGGCACATACAAGAGAGGTGAGTTTATCATTTTTTCAAGAGTGGAGTAAGAAATAAAAAATAATACTGTTTTAGAAAACTTCATACTTTCTCTCACTTGGTTTATAACATAAAGTTCCCATATTGTTATACACTCTTCAAAAACATTTTAATGGCAACAGAATGTCATGGAGTGAAAGTGTTCATAACCTACTGGCAGTGGGGTTGGGGACTGGACATAGTACCACGCTACACTACATGGTGACGGTAAAACAGGCCACTCTGTGTATGGGCATCCTAGGATGTAAGCCCCACCATGAGGAATGTCACACTTTTCCAGGGGCTGTGAAGAAGATTCGAGGCCAGATTGTCTCCCATTGGTAGACAGGCAAGATTGCCTCTATATCATGTTTAAGGGTTCAGGATAGTTTTTACAGCCAAACTTTGGAGCAGTCACACATCTGTCGTAAAACGAAAGCAGGTGTTCATTGAGATGGGCATAGCAGGTGCTGCCTCCTGCTGGAGCCTTGCCACAAAGGTCAACCGGGTACCCATTGTTCTTGTTCAACTTTTCACTAGCATTAGTGCCATCATCTCACCATTTCCTTTAGTACCTAGGGTGGTGATGTGTTCACTGCTCACAAATCCTGTGGGTTGCCATGACCGTTTCCACACACACTCTAAAAGGCGTGCAGGGCTAATAAGTTAATTCCACAAAGAATATCAAGTATTTATTTAATAGTAACAGTGAGTAACCCATATGTAAAGCCCTATTTCCCATCCATGAATTCATTTTATCTTCAGAATACCTTCAGAGGAAAATATAATTATCCTCCATTTTATAGATGAGAAAACCAAGCAGATTATTTGATGGCTTAGGTACCCTATCCGAGGTCACTGAGCAGGGCTGTGAAGGAGTCAGTATTGGCATCTAAGCCATCTGGTTATGGAGACTGGCTGCTTAATCACTATGTTGCCTGCACTTCAGGACTACGATTATGCCTGCCTACTTACTAGTGAGTGCCATGAGACAACATCCCTGCTAGCGGAGTGTACACACTATTGGAGCCAAAGGTGCTCCAGTAAAAGTTCATTAAACCAACAACCCTCTTTACTAGAGCCCTATGTTCTTATTAAGAAAGGGAATAAGGAATTCCAGTTCTAATCAGGACACTTGGCCTCCAAGTGGGAATAATCTTTGACCCTCATCTGTTTTCATTAATGTTCTGCCTGTTGGGTCAGCTAAATGCCAGCTCTCCCAAGCATCTGAAGTGGATACATTACAAAGTGAGTACAATTTAGAAGATATGAGGTAGATACAAGAAAAGTCCTTGATGAGGAATTGTCTTAGTCTGTTTAGGGTGCTATAACAAAAACACCAGAAAGTTGGTAGCTTATAAACAAATATTTATTTTTCAGTTATGGAAGCTGGGAAGTCCAGGCCCCGGCACAGCAGATCTGGTGTCTGGCGAGGGCCCTTGTATTAGGTGCCTCTCACTATGTCCTCACATGGTGGAAAGGCGAGATAGCTCTTTTGGGTCTCTTTTATAAAGGCACTAATCCCATTCATGAGGGATCTGACTTAATGACTAATCACTACCCAAATGCCCTGACTTCTAATACACATTGAGGATCCTATCACACTGAGGATTAGGTTTTGATGTATAAATTGGGGGTGGAGACGCACTAACATTCAGACCATACCAGGAATCAAAAGAGGAATCACAGAAGCAAAAAGCAAATTCTGACAGCAGTACCAACAGATTGAGATAATAAAAAAATAAATAAACTGAGATACAGGCTGGGAATTAAATTGGACTTTAATCAAGGAAGGTATTCAGGAGCTGTTGCAAAAATTTCTAGTTATGATTCAAGGAGGCACCGTTTAAAACCCAAAAGCTTATTCTTGCCCCCCGTTCTTATCAACATGACAGTAAAACATTCCTTTGTGCTTGCTCTCCCACAGACAGTGCTCTTAGTGCCATAATACATTGAACATGAATATTTATATGTATTAATTTCACCAACAACCCTGTATGGTTAAGTATAGTATCACCTTCATTTTAAAATGAGAAAACTGATACCCAAAGTAATAAAATGATGTTGCCAAGATCACTCAGCTGGTATGTGACAGAGACAGAATTTAAAGCTAAGTGGTTTTGTTCCAGAGTATATGTCATTAACTATTATATTACACTTCTTCTCAAGGGATAGATAGAATTTATCCATTGTGTTTGCCCAGAGTCATTTCACTGGTGCACATTGGTGTCTGGTACATATGATAAGAGAAAAATGGTTCATATACTTACTACAGCAAAATTAGTATGGAATATTCCAACATACTTTACCAAAAACACAGCTTTACAGGGTAATTTTATGTTCTCTCTATGCCTGCAGCTTTAAAAAAGAAAATCCCAACCAATGGCCTGTATTAGCAATATCTGAGGTCACCTTTCAACATACTAAATAGCACTACAAGGCATGTGGGGACAGATCTTGTTTTATAAATGAGATTCCTCTTAAAAATCTCATCTAAGCACATTATCGCCAAGTAATGGTAGCTATGCCAAAAATTGAAAGACTTATTCTTGGTTCTATTTGTAATTACTGGCAATCAACTCCACTAAATTTTACCATATTTACCAAAATGATGCAAATTTACTCCCTCTTTTATTACTTTCAGTTTTTCTGGGGACTCTAAATATTTTCTCCATACAAAGCTTTCAGATCCAACCTTACATCCTTAACAAGTGGCTACTCTATCCAGTCAATGCAACATTTGAATGGCAACCAATATTGATTCCATGAAATTGGTATAAGCCAGTAGAGTCATCAAGGGAGAAATCATCTTATGTCAAGAGCACCCCAAGGCCTGCCTCTAAGTCTTTAATCAGTGCTATAGATTGGATGTTTGACCCTCCAAACTTCATGCCAAAATTTGATCCACAGTGCTTGAGGCGGGGCCTAACTGGAGGTGTTTGGTCATGGGGTCAGATACCCCATAAATATTAGATTAATGCCATCCCTCAAGAGTGAGTGAGTTGTCCTATCAGTTTCCTTGGAAACTAAAGTTATAAAGAGCTCAGTATCTCCCTCCCCTCTCTCCTACTTCCTTTATCACCATGTGGTCTCTGCACACCCTTCCTTTCCGCAATGAGTGGAAGCAGCCCGAGGCCCTCATCAGAAGCAGGTGCTGGCACCATGCTTTTTGTGCAGCCTGCAGAACCATGAGCCAAATAAACCTCTTTTCTTTATAAATTACCCAGCCTCAGGTATTCCTTTATAGAAACAGAAAACAAAGACAATCAGACTAAGACAATCAGCTAAACTTAGTGGTCTCAGGATCAAGAGGATCAAGGAGAGGTGCTATCTGTTATAACACTACGTTTTAAACAACACACTCATAACACCAATATACTCTCAGTAGTTGCAAAATCATCTCAAATTCTCTTCATTTGTTTTCAACACATTCCTATCTTGGAGCCCAGACCCTAAGCTTGCCTCACTTAGAAATTTAAACATTCTTAGCTGAGAAAAATAAATCATTCCAAGTTACGGAAATTTTAAACACAATTTTGGGTGTAAATGTTGCTCATAACATAGAAGGCAAAGCCATTTAAAAATTATCTGAATAAAGTTAGGAAATTTTTGTTGCAGAATGTCATCAAACTTTTTCATAATAAGTGATTCCTCAGCCCAGTACCAGAAGATTTTAACATTCATTAAAATTTCAAGTGTGCAGAGTTGCATTCCAGAAAGGACTCCTTAAGTTTAAGAATGTGTGGTGGTGGCTAATTTTATGTGTCAACTTGATTGAGCTAAAGAATACCCAGATAGTTGGTGAAAACATTTCTCAGTGTGTCTGCAAGGGTGTTCCTGTAAGACATTAGAATTTGAGTCAGTAGATTGAGTAAAGAAGATCCATCCACTATCACTAATGTGGATGGACATCATCCAATCTGTGAGGAAGGGCAAATTCTCTCTCTCTCTCTTCTTGAGCTGGTGCATCCATCTTTTCCTGTGTAAGAGAGTATCAGGACTCCAGGTTCCGGAGCCTTTGGTTTCAGGGACTTACACCAGCAGTCCTTTTACCCACTGGGTTCTCAGGCCTTTAACCTCAGGCTAAATTACACCACCGACTTTCTTCGTTCTCCAGCTTGAAGACAGCATATTGTGGGACATCTTGGCCATCATAATTTTGTGAACAGATTTCTATAATAAATTTCCTCATACACAGACACACACACACACACACACACACACACACATATATATACTATATATCCTATTGGTTATGTTTCTATGGATAACCCTGAATAATACAATTATTTAGTACAATTTTCATAATTGTTACACAAAATATACTTCTCTGTCTTTAAATTCTGAGTCACTCCTTTGTCCACTTCACTAAGAGAAAAAATGACAAATTCCCTTCTATTTCCCAAGGTTAACTTGTACATCTGCCCTAAATACTATACTCTGCCACTTCCTCTGAGATACTTGACCCTAAATAATTTCTCTCTCTTTACTATTTCCTACCATGTTTTCCAATATATTAGATCGGTACTACAAGAAAAAAAAATTAAAATCTTTCAATGATCGCTTCTTCATGCTAACAACCAGTTTCTCTCAAATTACTTAAATTTCTTAAATATATTTTATTAACCCTTCACTCTCCCAAGACTTGTTTTACCACTTCTCTGTAATCTGTTTCTCTCTGCACAAGTAAAATTGCTGCTTTAAAGTTTGATGATGACTTTTTAAACATAAACACCAACAGATTTTTAAAATATATAAACTCCTGTTTCTCTCTCTGTAGCACTGTATGTTGGCCAGAGTGTAAGGTGTTTTGGCTATATCAATAAATTATTTTTTCTTCATTGAAACTCTAATCACTTCTTAGCTCAATAACTCTTTTGGTTTTATTTGTCCCATCCCAAACTCATCTATTCTAATGATTCTTACCTAAGACTGTATAACATACCCACTTGAGGATTTTTTTTTTAATATAACTGTTCCTATGCCTCACCAAGGCCAGTTAAATCAGAATTACTTATGCCAAGATTGGAAATGATAAATAAATATGTATACTGAATGAATGGAAGAACTGTAGAATGAGAATTGTGGGAATATTATCAATAGAAAACAGAAATATTTGAAGGCAAAGTAGAATGTAAAATTGTTAGATAAGTTGTTCCCTGAAAGAATTACATGTTAAAATCACCCATGGAGTACCTTTATCCTGAGTCAATCACCCTTTATTGTTTTTATTTGTCCCATCCCATCTATGAATTAGGAGAGATGAGTTTGGGATGGGACAAATAAAATCAATAAAGAGTTATTGAGCTAAGAAGTGATCAGAGTTTCAATAAAGAAAGAAAATAATTTATTGTTCCTATGCCTCACCAAGACCAGTTAAATAAAAAATTTCTTATGACAAGATTTGAGTATGTTGTCATATAGGTATCTTGTCATAACTGTTGGGAATCGATTTTTTTAAATTACTTCAACAGCTGCCCCCTGAGCAATTTTAATGTGGGGAACCACTTATCCAACAATTTCACATTCTGCTTTGCCTTCAAATCTTTCTATTTTCTATTGATAATATTCATACAATTATCATTCTACATTCCCTCCATTCATGCAACATACATATATATATATATATATATATATATATATATATATATATATATATATATTTATATTTATATATATTTACCATTTGGTACCTATTAATAGATGTATGTTATATGCTAGATACAAAGTGTCAAGATGAAATATGGCTCATAGCCCATTGGCTAATTGGGTAATAGAGGTTAGAATTATAGATGCTTAGGAGATAGAAAATGCAAAGTTACAAAAACTTAACTAAATGATACATTCACTTTTCTCTGACAAAAGACAAATTTCACAGGAAAAACAATTTCATAGGTAGAATCATCCTCTGTGAGTCATTGAGTGTGAAGGATAAAGGAGAAAAATTAAAGATAAACAGATTTTAGAGTGTGTGTGAATGACTAATAGATTTTAATGCCTTTAATCAATATATCATAGGAGAGGGAAATTAATTAATTCAGCCTGATGCACTCAGTAGTTCAGAAGCCAATAAAAAATCTAAATGGAGATATGCATTATGCCATTGTAAATGCAAATATGAATTTAAAAAATTATAGATTTGAGCCCCTTACTTCTGCCACAGAGCTCATGACCTTTCTTCTTGTTTTCTCCGTCTAAGGCACACCAACCCTCTTTCTTATTTGACTGTGTCATACTGTTGTCTCTGCACAGAACTCTGCTGTCTCTTAACCTAGCCAATTCCTTCTCACCTTTTTAGTTCCAACTTTCTTGTTTCTTCCAACTACTCACAGTACAAAGGCAACCCCATTATGTGCTCTCATATAATTATAAACTTCTCTTCATTACCTCTTATTATAAATGTAATTATCTAATTATGTAACCATTTGTTTAATCTATCTCCACACTGAAAGCTATATGCTATGTGAGAGTGAGCAGGGGTCATACCTGCTTCACTATCCCCCGCCCTTTTTCTCATCATTCACAAAAGCAGATCACAGGATTTTGAACATATAATGAACATATAAAGAAATTAAGAAATATTAATTAAATAAATGAATTAAGGAAAGAATAAAACAAAGAGATTATTTGTTACCTTGGTACAGCTATGTTTAGTTTTCACTGTTACTGCTGTCATTTTGAGATGGAGGGGACTTGAGAGTATTTTAGACCTTCTATATTATGTTCAGCGAGAGGTCTTTCAATCTTTCATCTCCATATGTGATCACTCTCAAGTTTCACTATTAGTCCTAAAATAAAACACATTCAAACTTTAACCCATCTTCTCCCTAAAAAACTTACATTATACATTTAAATTTCTTTCAATAGCACCACCATACTACCATATCTTAACACTTAAAATAATAAAATAAAACTAAAATCCAGATTTTTATTTTTTAATTATAATACCATCTCCAGGTAATACATAAGCACTGTTTATCTATACTTTATAAGACCTTTCAAATCTATCTCAACCTTCTATTACCCAAATTACGCCTCTGATTTCAGTCCATGGCACTGCATGTTCAAAATTATTTTAGTAGTATAATTTCTTGTTTTATTTTTCTTCCATTCCTTCAATGTATTTCTTATGACTTTGCCAGATTAATCTTTCTGCAATAGTATTTTTTAACCATTATTAAATTTCTTCCTTTATGGGCTCTTTCACATTAATCCCACTGATGTCCAAATATCAGTTGATAGCAAACCCAGAAACTTTGTCTTAGCCCCATGTAATATTTTATCTCTCTCTTATCTCTATCTCTACCTCTACCTCTGTCTCTGTCTCTCTATCTCTATCTCTCTCAGCTAGTGATCTTATTTTGTGTGCTATTGAGGGATTAAAACCCACTCAAAGTATATCCCTAATCTCATTAATAGCAAACATAAAAAGCTATCATAATTTTCATCTTTCATCCCTTTCTTAGATTGAAGATGAGTCCTCTTTTTAAGAGCTAAACCCCCTCCATTTTTGCTCTGGATCTCATTTTTTTCTGTCTTTTCAGGAACTATTTCCCTTCTATTATTATTTTCATTCTACATTATTAGGTTCTCCTTCTCTACTAAGTTGTTTGCATTAATGTAAGACTGTACTCTTTTCCCTTTATTCTTAAAAAAATTACATAAAAATATCCCAGCTACCACCCACTTACTTTCTAGCTAAACCTCAAAAGACCCATCTGTCTTACGCACACTTTCTCTTCTTCCTCCTCTATATTTTACTCTTAAATCTACTGCCATCTGGCACTGCCCCTACTTCACAAAGGCTTATGTAAAGTTTATGTTGCTTATCTCAAAGAACCTCTACATTACCATAGGAAAATGGACGTTTTTCTAATACTACTACACTTGTCTGCCATATTCATCACAGTTGATTACCTCTTCCTACTTGAAACATTTATCTTTATCAGCTGTTGTAACAGCACCCTCTCATGATTTTTTTTCTACCTCACTGTCACCTTTTTTCATGTTTTTTCATTGACTCCTTCTCTACACAACCACTAAATGATGCTTTCAATTAGAACTAGATCCTATGTCTCTTCTCTTTTTCTCCTCATGCTGTCCCATGCCTTTATCTCCAACTTGTTAGTGAATTCTAATGTCGTTGATTCAGCCTTGTCTTCTGAAGTTCTAGCTAAGAAGTATATTCCACCACTCTACTTGCCATCTCTATTTGCTTACTGCTTAGGGAATCTCAGGCTTAACATGACCAAAATCAAATTCCTAAATTCCTCACAAATATCCCCCCCATTCTTCACCATAAAAACAAATTGCATAATTACCCAATCTATTCAAGCCATAATCTTGGAGATGTCTCTTTTTCTCCCAAAACATAAAATCTAATATATTAGAATTTCTTGCTGAGTCTACATCAAAAACATGTCTCCATGTATTCGCATTGCTCCATCTTCATAGCCTCCACCTTGGTCGAAGTTATTATCATCTCTTCTTAATTGTAGTAAATATTTCTTAATTGGTTCCTCTACTTTCCTTCTTCTTATACCCAATGCATTATCCCCTTGGCAATCAGCAAAATATGTATGTCTTCTTGCAAGGCTCATACCTAAAACAAAAACTGTAATGTCTTACCTTAGCATTTAGAATAAAATACCCATCCTTTATTATGACATCACACATGCTTTTCCCAGTCCCACATGATATTCCAGTTAACACCTGGAATAACTAATAGATTTATTTCACAGTGAGATCTTGCCACTCTCCCTTTCATTCACTAACCTCCAACCTCATTTACCTTCCGTTCATTTCTCAAGAATACTAAGTAGCTCTTCATCTTACATTTTTGAGAGTTTTCTCTCCCTGAAATATTCCCATTCTTTGGTCTTCTAAAACTTGTATCTTCTAAAACACTATTAATCACTATTTGAAATCAACCTCATTTATCTATTTGTCAATCATTCTTATATTTCTTCCCATTAAATTTGTATTCCATGAAGGCAGGATAAACGTTGAACTGATTGATATATAGTATCTGATATGGTTTGGCTGTGTCCCCACCCAAATCTCATCTTGAATTGTAACTTCCACAATTCCCATGTGTTATGGGAGGAACCTGGTGGGAGGTAATTGAGTTATGGGGGTGGGTCTTTCCCATGCTGTTCCCATGGTAGTGAATATGTCTCATGAGATCTGATAGTTTTAAAAAAGGGAATTTTCCTGCACAAGCTCTCTCTTTTTGCCTGCTGCCATCCATGTAAGATGTGACTTGCTCCTCCTTGCCTTCTACCATGACTGTGAGGCCTCCCCAACCATGTGTAACTGTAAGTTCATTAAACCCTTTTCCTTCATAAATTATCCAGTATCAATGTGTCTTTATTAACAGCATGAAAACAGACTAATACAGTAAATTAGTATCAGGAGTGGGGTGCTACTGAAAAGACACACAAAAGTGTGGAACTGACTTTGGAACTGGGTAACAGGCAGAGGTTGGAACAGTTTGGAGGGCTCAGAAGAAGACAGACAAATGTGGGAAAAGATACTCAAAAAATGTGGAAGCGACTTTAGAACGGGGTAACAGGCAGAGGTTGGAACAGTTTGGCAGGCCCAGAAGAAGACAGACAAATGTGGGAAAGTTTGGAACTTCCTACAGACTTGTTGAATGGCTTTGACAAAAATGCTGATAGTGATATGAACAATAAGGTCCAGTCTGAGGTGGTCTCAGATGGAGATGAGGAACTTGTTAACTGGAGTAAAGTGACTCTTGTTATGTTTTAGCAAAGAGACTGATGGCATTTTGGCCCTTTCCTAGAAATTTTTGGAACTTTGAACTTGAGAGAGATGAGTTACAGTATCTGGCTGAAGAAATTTCTAAACAGCAAAGTATTCAAGAGGTGACTTGTGTTCTGTTAAAGGCATTCAGTTTTATAAGGAAAGAAGAGAATAAAAGTTCAGAAAATGTGCAGCCTGACAATGCGATAGAAAAGAAAATCCCATTTTCTGAGGAGAAATTCAAGCTGGCTGCAGAAATTTGCATAAGTAACAAAGAGCCGAATATTAATCTCCAGGACAACAGGGAAAATGTCTCCAGGACATGTCAGAGGTCTTCACAGCAGGCCTTCCCAACACAGACCTGAAGGCCTAGGAGGAAAAAGTGGTTTCATGGGGTGGGCTCAGGGTCCCTGTGCTGTGTGCAGCCTAGAGACTTGGTGCCCTGAATCCAAACTGCTACAGCCATGGCTGAAAGGGGCCAATGTAGAGCTCAGGTCATGGCTTCAGAGGGTGCCAGCCCCAAGACTTGGCAACTTCCATGTGGTGTTGAGCCTGCAAGTACACAGAAGTCAAGAATTGGAGTTGGGGAACCTCTGTTTAGGTTTCAAAAAATGTATGGAAATGCCTGGATGTCCAGGCAGAAGTTTGCTGCAAGGGTGGGGCCCTCATGGAGAACCTCTGCTTGGGCAGTATAAAAGGGAAATGTGAGGCCGGAGCACCCACACAGAGTCCCTACTGGGGCACCACTTAGTGGAGCCATGAGAAGAGGGCCTCCGTCCTTCAGACCCCAGAATGGCAGATCCACTGACACCTTGCACTGTGCACTTGGAAAAGCTGCAGATACTCAACACCAGCCCATGAAAGCAGCTGGGAGGGAAGCCGTACCCTGCAGAGTCACAGCAGTGGAACTGCCCAAGACCATGGGAAACCACCTCTTGCATCAGCATGACCTAGATGTGAGACATGGAGCCAAAGGAGATCACTTTGGAGCTTTAAGATTTGACTGCCCCACTGGATTTTGAACTTGCAAGGGACCTGTAGTCCCTTTGTTTTGGCCAATTTCTCCCATTTGGAATGGCTGTATTTACCTAATGCCTATACCCCCATTGTATCTAGGAAGTAACTAACTTGCTTTTGATTTTACAGGCTCATTGACGGAAGAGACTTGCCTTGCTCAGATGAGATGTTGGACTGTGGACTTTTGAGTTAATGCTGAAATGAGTTAAGAGTTTGAGGGACTGTTGGGAAGGCATGATTGGTTTTGAAATGTGAGGACATGAGATTTGGGAGAGGCCAGGGGTGGAATGATATGGTTTGGTTGTGTCTCCACCCAAATTTCATCTTAAATTGTAACTCCCACAATTCCCACATGTCATAGGAGGAACCTAGTGGGAGGTGACTGAATCATGAGGGCAGGTCTTTTCTTTGCTGTCCTCATGGCAGTGAATAAGTTTCATGAGATCTGATGATTTTATAAACTAGTTTCCCTGCACAAGCTCTCATTATTTGCCTGCTGCCATCATGTAAAATGTGACTTGCTCTTCCTTGCCTTCTGCCATACTTGTGTGGCCTCCCCAGCTATGTGGAACTGTAAGTCAATTAAACCTTTTTCCTGTATAAATTACCCAGTCTCGGGTATGTCTTTATTAGCAGCATGAAAACAAACTAATACAGTATCCATCAACCAAATGTTTTTCAACTGTCAATTAGTGATACTAAATTAAAGCATAAATCACTAAATACTTCCATCCAAAGTCATTTGAACAAAAAAACTAGGATAATACATAAACTTTCATGTTTTATAGTAAAACAAATTAGTTAGTATTTTCTATAGTGAAATGTTGCCCAAAAACTCTATAGACACTATGATATTAAAATTTTTTTATTTTGAGGAAAGGAAGAAACATAATGGTAGACAGAAAAAAAATCTTCCAAGTTTTATGCCATTCACATTGAAAGAGGTGTTTTTATGAGCAAATGTTACAAAAAATAATGTAGTTCTTATCACTGTTTAATCCAAATATTAACACCTAGAATAACTGATGAATGTATTTAAAGAATAAGATGTGGTGACATTTTTATGATTCAGCAGGATATTACAGTTCAGCTAGAATAGAGCACAGTCATTGTGTTCATCTCTTTTTTGCTGATTTTTATGCAGTTTTTATACTAGTGAATACAATGAAAATAAAATAATTTCAAAACACTTGACACATATATAACAAAGGTGCCCTAAAGTATTTCCATCAGTTTTTAGCATCTCATCATATTAATTTATAGCAGAACAGTGGCTTCTAAGTTTATTAGGCAAAATAAATTTTAATAATTGCTCCAGGAACAGATTCTTTTATAAAATGAAGATTTATTGTGTTAAATCTGTCATTCCAAGTTGCCCAGGAAAGCACAAGTCACCAATGAAGATGCCAAGATCTTTCAAACAGTATTGGCAAATGAAGTGCATTAGACAATTTTATTTAAATAATTAGTGTTGGATTGAAGATGTTTCAGAGTTATTTTTCTTTTTGTAAAAAAAAGAAAAACTTTTTCTTGAAATAATTTAAATTTAATGAAAAGTTATAAGGATAAAACAGATAACTATATATTTTACACAGATTCATGAATTATTAACTTCTTGCTACATTTTAACATTCTCTCTATATCTATATCTATATTTAGATCTATCTATCTATATACATATAATTACTCTTTATGGACTATTTCAGTATAACCTGCATACAATATGTTGCTTTACCATTTGATACTTAAGGAATTTTTCCAAAAGTAAGAATGGGAATTTTCAGTACCATTCAAAATGGAATAAGATAGCAAGGGCCTGGTCACAAGTGTAAATTCTGAAATGAATAAACTCATCAACTACCCGAGGACTCTGAAAAGGTAAAGAAGAACAGAAAGATAAAGGGGCAATTTAAAACTTGAAGAAGGACCAGCAACAGCACATTTCATAAGTTGTTTGTTTTGTTTTGTTTTCTCTATTTATTTCTAAGCCTGCACCCAAGAAAGATCTAGTAGCTCAGGTTATGAAACTGTGCAGTGAACACTGGAAGGAAAACATTTTCTACCCTGAGGCCAGGAAAAGTGGGGAGTACTGGGTGAATTTTTTTTTTTTTTTTTTTTTTTGCAGCCCTGCTGCAAAGCAAACCCTATTGCAGAGATGAATCAGTCTTGCAGTAGCAGAGGTGGAGCCATAGGTATATAAAATTTCAATGTGAAACCTGTGTCTATGGCTAGATGAGCCAAGAAAAGGAGTGAATGCTGTCTAAAAAGTGCATGGCATGAATTTTCTAATTTTTTTTCTCTCCTTTCTCTCACAACTTCGCCGTGTGGGTAATAATCCCCAGTCAGTGAGATTTGCCAACTCGGCCAGATAAAACTATGAAAGAAGCTAATTTTTCTGGCCAAAGAAACTGGGAAAGAGGATCCTTGGTAGCCAGAGGTTAGAGGTAAATTCAGAGAGGATAGAACTTGAGAAGGAATTCGATAATTATGTATATAAACCAAGACAACTACTGGACTTACCCACAACCTGGGTATGTGTGAAAAAGGCCCCCAACAGCATAGTGAAGGTTTTGAGAACCACTACCAACTCCTGGAAATCAAAGAGTGGCATGGTAACATTCAAACACTATAACAGAGGCTTCAAAAACTTAATTGATAATGGAATCATTGCTGGCAGAAGGCAAGAAAGAACTTGCGGTTAGGCCTAACCAGGTTGATTACCAAGAAAAACAACATCAGCAATAGCAGCAACAAATCAATATTATCTGGAGGATTTAAATAGGATCCAAATTTTCATAACAAAATGATCTATACATTGAGGATACAATCTAAAATTACATGGCATAAATACATCATAGAGAATATGATCTATGACTATACCTAATTCTCAAGGAAAAAGACAACCAACTGATGATAAACCTGATTTGACTCACATGTAGGAATTATCGCACAAAGACTTTGAAGAAGCTATGATAACCATGAGGCAAGGTAGACATTAAGCTTGCTTAAAATGAATGGAGAGAGAGTTCTGAGCAGACAAATAGAAACTTTAAAACAACTAACTGGAAATTTCAGAAATAAAAATATATTATCTAAAGTAGAAAATTCACTAAATAGGCTCAGTAGCAGAATGGCAACAACAGAGAAAAAAAGTTAGTGACCTTGAATATAGAACAAAAGAAATTATCTAATTCGTGGAATCAACAGATACAATACTTTTTAAAAAATATCAAAGCCTCCAGAGCTTATGATACAATAACAAAAGGCTAACGATTTATGTATTTGAAGTTTCAGAAGCAGAGGAGAAAGACAATGCAGAAAAAATACCAACTTTTATTTTAAGTTCAGGGGTACATGTGCCGGTTTGTTACACAGATAAACCTGTGTGGTGGAAGACTGTTGTACAGATTATTTTATCACCCAGGTATTAAGCCTAGTAACCATTAGTTGTTTATCCTGATCTTCTCCCTCTTAACACCTTCCATATATATGCACCAACACAGATGAACCAAGATTTACAAAGCAAGTTTTTAGAAACCTTCAAAGAGACTTAGAATCCCACACAATAACAGTGGGAGTCTTTAACACCCCACTGAAAATATTAGATAGATCACTGAGACAGAAAATTAACAAAGATATTCAGGACCTGAACTCAGCACTGGATCAAATGGACCTGAAGGAAATCTACAGAATTCTTCATCCCAAAACAATAGAACATACACTCTTCTCATTGACACATGGCACTTACTTTAAAATTGATCATATAATTGAAAGTAAGACACTCCTCACCAAATGCAAAAAACTAAAATCATAACAAACTGTTAGAACAAAGTGCAATTAAATTAGACCTCAAGACTAACAAATTCAGACAAAACCAACAATTACATGGAAATTGAATAAGCTGTTCCCAAATGACTTTTGGGTAAATAATGAAATTAAGGCAGAAATCAAAAACTTCTTTAAAACTAATGAGAACAAAAATACAAAGTACCAGAATTTGAGACACAGCTAAGGCAATGTTAAGAGGGAAATGCATAGCACTAAATGCCTATATTAAAAATTTAGAAAGATTTCAAGGTAACAACCTAACATCACAACTAAAAAAACTAGAGAACCAAGAGCAAAGAAATACCAAAGCACACAGAAGACAAGAAATAACCAAAATCAGAGATAAACTGAAGGAACCAGAGACATGAAAAACTATTCAACTGATCAACAAATCAAGCAGCTGTTTTTTTGAAAAAATAAAATAGATTACTAGCTAGATTAATAATGAAGAAAAGAGAGAAGATTCAAATAAACACAATCAGAAACAATAAAGGGGATATTACAACTGGCCCCACAGAAATACAAACAACCATTAGAGAATATTATAAACATCTCTGTGCCCACAAACTAGAAAATCTAGAAGAAATGCATAAAATCCTTGACACAGACACCATGCCAAGACTGAACCAGGAAGAGATTAAATCCCTGAACAGACCAATAATGTGTTCTGAAATTGAGGCAATAATAGCCTACCAACAAAAAGAAGCCCAGAACCAAACAGATTCACAGCTGAATTCTACCAGATGTACAAAGAAGAGCTGGTACCATTCCTACTGAAACTATGTCAAAAAACTGAGGAAGAAAAACTCCTCGCTAATGCATTCTGAGGCCAGCATCATCCTAATACCAAAACCTGGAAGAGATACAAAAAAACAAAAACCTTCAGGCCAGTATCCTTCATGTACATTGATGTAAAAATCCTCAACTAGATACTGGCAAATTGAATCTAGGAGCACATTTTATCCCCCACGATAAAACAGTTTATCCCCCACGATCAAGTAGGCTTCATCCCAAGAATGCAAGGTTGGTTCAACACATGCAAATCAATAAATGTGATTCATCACATAAACAAAGCTAAAGACCAAAACAACATGATAATCTCAAAAGATGTAGAAAGGGATTTCAATAAAATTCAACATCCCATGTTAAAAACTCTCAATAAACTAGGTGTTAAAGAAACATACCTCAAAATAATAAAAGCCAAATGCACAGCCAACATTATACTGAAGGGGCAAAAGCTGGAAGCATTCCCCTTGAAAACTGGCACAAGACAAGGATGCCTTCTCTCACCATGTCTATTCAACATAGTATTGGAAGTTCTGGCCAGGGCAATCAGGTAAGAGAATGAAATAAAACGTATTTAAATAGAAAGAGAGACAGTCAAAGTATCTTTGTTTGCAGATGACATGATTTTATATCTAGAAAACCCCATCATCTCAGCCCAAAAGCTTATTAAAGCTGATAAGCAACTTCAGCAAAGTCTCAGGATATAAAAT
Organism: Homo sapiens; assembly: GCF_000001405.40. Taxonomy (NCBI): domain Eukaryota; kingdom Metazoa; phylum Chordata; class Mammalia; order Primates; family Hominidae; genus Homo; species Homo sapiens. Next base: position 77,280,812 of record NC_000006.12, read on the forward strand.
AAATGTGCAAAAATGGCTAGCATTCCTATACACCAACGACAGGCAAGCCAAGGACCAAAGAATAAAATACCTAGAAACATAGCTAACTAGGAAGGCAAAAGATCTCCACAAGGAGAACTACAAACCATTGCTCAAAGAAAGCAGTGATGCACACACAAATAAAAAAACATTCCATGCTATGGATAGGAAGAATCAATATCATTAAAATGGCCATACTGCCCAAAGTAATTTATAGATTCAATGGTATTCTCATTAAACTACCACTGACATTCTTCAGAGAACTAGGAAAAGAAAACTATTTTACAACTTAGATGGAACCAAAAAAAGACTAAATAGCCAAGGCACTGCAATCCTAAGCAAAAGGAACATAGCTGGAGGCATCATGCTATCCAACTTCAAACTATACTACAGGGCTGTAGTAACCAAAACAGCATGAAACTGGTACAATAACAGACACCTAGACCAATGGAACAGAATAGAGAACCCAGAAATTAGACCACACACCTACAACTATCTGATCTACAACAAACCTGACAAAACAAGCAATGGGGAAAGGATACCCTCTTCAATAAATGGTGCTGGGACAATTTGCTCACCACATGTAGAAGATTGAAACTAGATCCCTTCCTCATACCATATACAAAAAAAAACTCAAGATGGATTAAAGACTTAAATGTAAAAGCCCCACACTCTAAATGATGCAGGATTTTCCTCAGCCTCTTCATCAGACTTGCAACAGTGGTGCCCTGTTTACTTGGCACACCACACTCAATCCCTTGCAGGAGGGAGCATGTGAGCAAGTTAGTGAGGGATCCATCTTGCTGCCAACAGAAACAAGCTCCATGCAGGGCCAGTGGCAGTGCCCCAGTAGGGGTGCCTGTGACCCTGAAGCCCCAGAGAACATGTTACAATGCTCCTTTAGCTCCACTGTGTGTATCAGTTCACTTGGCTCCTTGCCTTATTGTGTGGGGGTGGCTGTTTTTCACCAGCAATGGCAAAGGGCCAGCGTGACATCATTTTTTGGGTATCCACAGCGGTGGATCCCAGGCTCTTGTCCGGCATCCAAGAAGAATAAGGTCATGTGGACACTTGAAGGATGATGAAGGCAGAGAATTTTATTTAGCAACAGAAATGGCTCTCAGTGGAGAGGGGAGCTGGAGAGGGGACAAGATGGGCAGGTATTCTTCCCCTGAAGTCCTGTCAGCTCTTCCCTGAAGTCAAGACATCTCTCCAAAGTCAAGTCACCTTTTTCATCTGAAGTACAGCCATCTCTCTAAAGTCAAGTTGCCTCTCTCCAGTCAAGCTGCCTCTCTCTCCCCTACCAACTGAGCCTGGGGTCTTTACAGGCACAGGATGGGGGAGCAGGGCTGGCCATAGTAGTTTTGGAAAAGGCAACATTAGACTGGCAAAAAGGCATTATTCAAAAAGAACCAATCAGGAGAGAGTGGGCAAACAAAATAGAAGTTCTCATTTTGGGCTGTGGGTTTCAGGCTTTTTGGCTTGAAGGTGGGGTTTCACCAAGGACTTGTCCCTGTCAGCCTCCTGCCTCTATCATAAAAACTCTAGAAATCAACCTGGGCGATGCCATTCAGAACATAGGAATGGGAAAAGATTTCATGACAAAGACACCAAAAGCAACTGAAACAACAGCAAAAATTGACAAATAAGATCTAATTAAACTAAAGAACTTCTGCACAGCAAAAGAAACTATCAACAGAGTAAACAGAAAAAAACATTTTTTGAGAAAACAGAAATCTTTCCAAGTTTGGTGAAAGATATAAATAAGTGATTGGAAAAACTCATCAAATCAAAATAAAATAAAGTCAAAGAAAACTATGTCCAGGTAATTCATAAATTAAACTACTGAAAATATAAGCTAAAGAAAAAAACTTAATTCAATATATATAAAAGAAAATGGGATATTAATGGGACAGCTGTGGAGGCTAGTAGACCATGTGTGAAACATCTTTAAAACAACCCAGTATTCTTCATCCAACAAAACATTTTGCAGTAATGAAGTGAACTATGTATAACTTTAGACGAAGGAAAACCAAGAGAACTTGTTGCCAGCAGTCCTGCTCTAAAACAATGCTAAAGAAAGTTGTTCAGGCTGAAGGATAATGAAACTTGAGGCCAGCCACGGTGGCTCACACCTGAAATCCCAGCACTTTGGGCCAAGGCGGGCAGATCACCTGAGGTTGGGAGTTTGAGATCAGGCTGGCCAACGTGGTGAAACCCTGTCTCTACTAAAAATACAAAAATTAGCCAGGTGTGGTGGCACTCGTCTGTAATCCCAGCTACTTGGGAGGCTGAGGCACGAGAATTTCTTGAACCTGGGAGGCAGAGGTTGCAGTTAACTACACCACTGCACTCCAGCCTGGGCACAGAGTGACACTCCGTCAAAAAAAAAAAAAAAAGAAAACTAGAGGTAAACTGTAAACTTCAAGAATAAAAGATACATGGTAAATATGTTGGTAAAAATAAAAATCATTTTTCCTCTTATGTTTTAAAAATATGTATGACAAATAAAATGAAAATTTACACCTTTTTTGCTGTGATTTTCTGTGTATGTAGATAAATACATAAACCTATAAGGAGGAGAGTAAAGAAAGCTACAAATAAGAATATTTTTATACCCATAGTAATGTTGCAAATTCAGAAAAATTAAGATTGTTAAAATCATTTAATTTAGTATACAGTATATATTCTAATTTCATTACCTATCACAACAATTTATTTTATGGCACTTTTCCCTACAGGACAATATCTACTTTAGGATTACATGTTGCAATTACTCAGGTTTCTTTAATCTCCTGTAATCTGGAAGAATGCCTTTGCTTTTCTTTGTGTTTCATAACATTAACAGCTTAAAAGATACTGGATAATTCTTTATTATCATTATTATTATTATTATTTTGAGAAGGAGACTTGCTCTGTCACCCAGGCTGGAGTGCAGTGGCATGATCTTGGCTCACTGCAACCTCTGCCTCCTGGGTTCAAGCGATTCTCCTGCATCAGCCTCCCGAGTAGCTGGGATTACAGGCGCATGCCACCATGCCTGGCTAATTTTTGTATTTTTAGTAGAGATGGGGTTTCACCATGTTGGCCAGGCTGGTCTCGAACTCCTGACCTTAGGTGATCCACCCGCCTCGGCCTCCCAAAGTGTTGGGATAACAGGCATGAGGCACCGCACCCGGCCCTGGATAATTATTTTATAGAATATTCCTGTTTGGTTTTGTCTGATGTCTCTTCATAATCAGTTCAAGTAATGTATTCCCACCTCTAGGTATACTGTGTAAAAAATATTTTGATCTTTACAGAATATCCCATTTGGAGGCACACGGCATCTACCTACCCTTTATTGGTGATGTTAATTTTGATCACAAGGTCAGAATGTTCTCTAGTTTCCTCACTGAATAGCTACTATTTTTGCTTTGCAACTAATAAGCAATCTATGGGTAGACAATGAAATTATGCAGATATCCTAATCTCCATCAAATTTTGCTCCCCTAGATTTAATACTGATTCATGATTCTTGAAATATTTAAAATGCTAATTGCAAAATAATAATTCTCCAACTCTATTACTCCACGTATATTTATCAATCTGCATTTTTCTATAAGAGATACTTATCTAATCTATCTAGCTAATAAACTATTTTTTACAAAAAGTTATAATTTATTATTGAACACATTTCATTTGATATTCAAAGTGAACCAAATTTGGTCAGTGGGAATCTCGTTAATCTTTCTCCTGCATCCCCTTCAGTTTTTTTTACACTACTTATTTTGCAGCATAACAATAAATTCTGGGCTCACCTTGGACCTTTTCTGCCCCAGGCATGGAATGAGCCATTTTTCCAAGGAGGTCTAATCCTTTATAGTGGGAAATGGTATTTATAAACCAAAATTTCGGCAGCTAGGTATACTTATTACTACTAGATCATCATCACTTTTAGGTCGTTTAGTGGACAGAGATAAGATATAGGTACAGATTTTTAGTTTAGTTCAGTTTAATTTCCCTAATTTGAGTCAAATTGTTTTCCTAATATTTCCCTAATTAGTCAAAGTCTTATTGTCTAGTGGTTATTTAGCTATTTTCTTTACTGGTTCATTGTGGTTGTTATTCACTTACAATAATAGTTGGGTTCTTTTCCTTCTGTTTGCAGTTCATTTTAGAATTCTTTTTATCTTTGTTGATTTAATTTTGAATGATTAGAATATGAATGTGCTTCCAAAACTAATAAAAAAGTATACTCAAAAGAAGTGTTATTCTATCCCTTTTCGCCTAGCCTGACACCATAACTCGCCAATTTCACAGCGTTCTAGTTATCCATCCTGTGTTTTTCTCTAACAAAAATAAGCAAATTCATGTAGCTTTTCTTGTTCCTTCATCTTTCTTATGCAATGGAAAAAATAATTTACTTTTCTAATATATTACATATTATAAAATATATCACAATACTTTTTTAAATAAATTCAATCGGTTTATAGATGTCTTTTTCATTTTTTGTCACAGCTGAACAGTATCTATTTGGTTGTGTGCACCATACCTAATTTAAACATTTCCCTGTATTTGGACATTTAAATTAATATTTTATAATTACAAACAATTTTTAATAAATAACATTGACACAAGCTATTTTTGTACGGTTGGAGGTGTATCTTCAGAGTTAATTCCCAAAATATAGATTGGTGAGTCAAAGGATAAACACATATGTAGAATTTTAGGCTTTGCCAAATTCCCCTCTGTAGTGGTTGTATCGTTTTAGTCTCACCAATAACGTCTGAGATGGACAGTTTCCCGAGAGTTTCACCAACATAGACCTAGTAAAATATACTGTCAAGCTTTTGAATTTTGTCCAGTGTTTCAGTTATGAGTAAAGCTGAACATCTGTTCATATATTTAAAAATTTAAAAATTCTATGTATGTGTCTACAGATGTATATGTCTATTCATGCCATTTGCCTATTTTTCTGTAAGATTTTTTCTTCCTCAAAATTATTAAAATTTCTTTATATATTGGGAATATTAACTTCATATCTGTGTTAGATGTTGAAAATATTTTCTTCCAGTTTGTCATTTGCCTTTTGATTTTGCTTATGATGTTCTTATGATGAAAAGTTTGTATTTTCCATACAAATTTTAATGAATGTACAATATTTATTATAAATATATAATCATTTATTGACATAAGTATGTATAAGCATTTATACACACTTACGTATATCTAAATAAATATTTATAAAACAAATACATATAAAGTCTGAAGTAATTATGCTTATTTGTACTGTATCCAAATTTTGTGATATGTAGCTAGAAAGCCTTTCCCTACACTGTCATAAAGAAATTCATTCAAGTTTACCTCTAGTACTTCAACAGTTTTATATTTTATAATCAGAACTCTGATTTATTTGAAATATATTCTGTGTATGTTTTGAAGGAAATGTCTAATTTTATTTTTCAAAAATGTATCTAAATGTTCCAACATCATTTGCTTAAAAACTGAACTTTGCCCTATTTGAGATGTTTCTTTACCATGTGCTATATTTGCATATGTACTTGGGTTTATTTCTGGAATTATTTGTTTAGTCATGTGCCAATCATACATATTTTCATTATAAAGACTTTGTAGTATATTAACATATTGTAAAAGATGATTTCTACACAAAGCTCTACCTTTCCAGTAGTGTCTTATCTATTTTTAGCTTTAAAATGCACAAGTTGAGTTTATATAGGCATGAATTATGAATTAATTATCACAATCAAGATAATTAACATTCATCATTTCACATAGTTACAATCTTCTTGTGTGTGGATGTATCTGTGTGTGTGTGCGTGTGGTGAGAATATTTCAGCAAATTTAAAACATATAATATGGTATTATTAACCATAGTCACAGTGCTGTACATTATATTTTGAGAACTTTTGTATATTGCGTAACTAAAACTTTATACCCCTTCACTAACATTTTTCCTTTTTCCCTCCCTTCGCCTCTGGCAACCACCATTCTATTCTCTTTTCCTAATAGTTTGACTATTTTATGTTTCACATATTATTGAGAAGAAGGAACATTTTCAGCCTCTTTTTACAAGGCCAGCATCACTCTAAAACCAAAGCCCAACAAACATGTCAAAAAAAGAAAAACTACAGCCCATATCCTTAATAAACATAGATGAAAAATCCCCAATAAAATACTAGCAAACAGAATTCAACAGCACATTGAAAGGACCATACACCTTTGGTATCCCAAATACGTAGAAACTAAATAATATAGCTGTGAACAACCATCGGATCAAAAAGGAAATCAAAAGGGAATTTAAAAAGTATCTAGCAACAAATGAAGTGAGAACACATCATACCGGAAATTATAACCCATAAGTAAAAGCAGTGCTTTTGGAGCAAGATGGAGCAAGAAATTCCTACCTTTAGAAAGAAGAAAGATCTCAAATACATAACCTAGGTTTACATCTTAATAAACTAGGACAAGAAGGACAAACAAATCTCAAAGCCAGAAGAAGAAAATAAATAATAAAGATTAGAGAAAAACTAAAATAGTAAAAAGTAAAGAAAAAACTACAAAACTAAGTTGTTTTTTGAAAAGATAAACAAAATTGACAAATTCTTAGCTAGACTAAGACAAAGGACTCACAATCAGAAATGAAGGAGGAGACACTACAATAGATGCCTCAGAAATAAAAATATTCATAAGGGGCTATTATGAACAATTATATGCCAACAAACTGAATAGCCTAGAAGGAATAAACACATTCCTAAACACATACAATCTGCCAAGACTGAATTAAGAAGAAATTGAAAGCCTGAACAGATCAATAACAAATAAGGAGATAGAATCAGTAATCAAAAACCTCCCAACAAAGAAAATCCCAGGACCAGATGGTTGCATGGGTAAATTTTACCAAATATTCAAAGAAGAATTAATATCAACCCTTTCAAACTCTTCCAAAAATACACAAGCAAAGGAAGCACTTTAAACCCATTTTATGAGGCTAGCATCACTCTGATGCCAAAACCTAGCTATATTTATGTGTAAATTTTCCTAGTCAACTTGATTAGCTCCGGAGAAAACTCTATGGTATTTTTATTCATATCACATTAAGTCTATAAATTAATTTAGGGAGAATTTATATCTTGATGCTGTTTCGATATCCTAAAGAGCTATTTTTTTCAATATTACTTTTGTAAAATTCCAGAGTATTTGATATTTTTATGTGTTCCAACATTTATGTTAAATTTATTTCTAAGTATTTTATCATATTTGTTGTTATCACAATTAAACTCTTCGTTTTGTTCAATATTCTATAGACTTGGTTTTGATATCCTTGACAGTTTTGATAAGTGCTGGCTAGGTATTTTGTAGAATGCTCCTCTGTGGGAATTTGTTTGATGTTTTTCTTTTGTTTAAATTGGATTTGTGGGCGTTTTCTTCAGTGAAGGGTAGAGATCACAGAGATCAAGCGTCATTTTTATTACCTCACTCACACAAGATCATATCAACATGAATTATTATTTACAGCATTAACTTTTAATTCCCTGGCTGAACTAGTACCGATCAGGATTCTCCACTGTAGGTGACTCTTTTCTTGCCCTTTCCATATTCTGTTTATTCACTTTCTATAGCATACTTTTTGAAAGACAATCACTTAAGAAGTGGGGATTTATGTTACTCCTCCTTTAGAGAAGAATATCAATATAAATTATTTGAAATTATTCGACATAGGAGATTTGTATATTTTCCTCTATTTATTTATTTATTTATTCAATCATTTGCATATGTGTCTATGGATTTATGAATATTTAATTTATACTTTGGGCTATAGTCCAACACTACATTATTTATCTTGTTACTCAAATTCTGCCAGCTTTGACAATCACGGACTATTTCAGTTTGCTCCTGTGTACTTTTGATATACCCACTCATTGTGGGGTTTGATTTTTTAGTTCACCATATTCACCATACTGTCTGGCTCTAAAAGATGCTCTAGACTTATCTCATAAATTTTCTTCTCCAGTGCTAGACCACTCATTTGTTTAAGAAGCCATGACATCTTTTATTGGAGAATAGTATTAAAAATAAAGATCTGTTCCATAAAAACACATCGCCTTTGGAGTAACATTGCTTCTTTGCTGACAGAGCAAGAACATGTCAGTTTCTGTAATTCAATTTCAAAAAACTTTTGAGATAAAAATTGTGCCCTGTGTCAGTTTGCTTGAAGAATACTCTGAGATTGCAAGGTATTATATCTTAACTTTTTTCATTTTCAAAAAAAAACATGTACCTGGTTGACTCAGCCTTTTCATAATTTTATTTAACCAAAAAATGTAAAGCATAACTATATACTGTGATTAATATAATTCTGAAACTATAATCCATAACCATGAATTTAAAATGGCTACATTCATTAAATTATTTTTACTGATTCGCTTACTTTAAAAATCATAATTATCCTGAACTTTAATTTTAGAAAATAAATGAATACAAATTTCACTGATATCTTTTCATAATCATATTTTTGCATAAGATTTATTTGACAATGGGTATGATCTAAAAAAAAGTTTGAAAACACACAAATGATCAAGAGAATATCCTAGGCTATTTTGGACTCAGAGTAAATTTTTATTAACACTTTACTTTGTTTATAATCTTCTCTCCCTGAGGAGAACATTAAACCTCTATACCTACAGTTGTGGAATCTTGAATTGGCTAGATGCACTAAATGTGAGTGTGATTTAAACTATTTTATTTTTGTATAAGTTTGTCTTGTGTAACTAAACCAAAATCTCTGTGAAAGTTGAAATATATTATATTTCTATTTTGTGTGTGTGATCCATTGTTCTTGTCACTCAATTCAATTGAAGAATGAAGAAGAGTCCATATGTATACATTGTATAGAATTGTCCTAGAAGTAAACATATCTTAAAATAGATTTCATAGTAGGAAATAAATGGGAGCAAGAAAATCTCATTTTTTTTCTTTCTCTATGTCAACTTGCACAAAGTTGACTATTGTTTCTGGAAACAATAAATAATAACATTTACAAGTCTAACACATCCTCATGTAACCAAAGATAAAGACACATATTTCTCTTAACATCCCCAGATAGCTACATTAGCAGACTCAAGCTATGGTAGAATATGAACCCTTGGAAACACCTTATTCCATGAAGACATTCAGTACTTGTGTCGCTAATTTACCAGCGCTCAAGTATAAATGACAACGCAAGTAGGCCGCTCAGAAATTTTAAAAACAAATAAATTAGAGTCTAAAGTTTCAGACACAGTAGCTATATCATAGTCTGGGGAGAAACCCAAAATAGAGAAGAACCAGTGACAGAGATCAGAGTGTAGAAAATCTGGATATGGTAAATTACAGACCCTCGCACTATCACTGAAATTTTTCCCTCCAATGGAGATATATTTTCTCAGCTATTCATCTTGCCACATACGTACTCCTTTCCTCTCACTCCCTCTCCAAATATAAAAAAAAAAAAAAGAAGACCACACAAGGTCAAAATTATTTGCCTGTTTTTCCTGATTTCTGCCTAACATTCTCTTCTTCTTTTTCCTAGGAAACAAAGGGGAAATGGGGAAGGTGAAATCTCATTTTCCTGGAAAGTGGACGATTCTTTCAGATTATTGCACTGAAGACAGAAAGTAACTCAGATGCTATTTCTGCTTTCTAAGCAGCATTTGCAAAATGAAATGGAGGATGTAAAGTGGGATACTTTCAGATTCTCTCTTTAATGTGTTCAGGGTCCCAAAGGATTCTGACTCACCTGAATCCATTGAGTATGTTTTCTTTGATTAAGGAGATCCAGAGCCACACTTATTAAAAAGCCTCTGCCATTATCCTTGCCAAGTACTTTTATTCCTTTGCCATCAGTTTAGGGACCAGGAGTTTCTTGTCCCCAAAGACAGTTTTAGAGACACCAAACTTCTGTTTTATACAGTTATCTCTTTAAAGTGTCTTCAACACAGTATATGTCTTCTGATTATAGTATTAAATAATGTTTACTTTTATTGTGTAGAGATATAAAATTACAAGCAATGCCTAATAGGCATACTGAACAGAGAGTTCTCTAACTGAATGGCTATCACATGTATTTACTTCCTACCAATGTGCACAGTAATCTAGTAATCATTGTAATCAGTGGACACAGTCATCCATTTCCCCCTCTTAACAGGAAGTCCAGTTCAGGCTGTTGGTACTCCCTAGAATTCTCTTTTCTCTTTTTCCTGTTGTTTTCTCTCTTTCTATCACATTACCCTCTGTTATAAAGGAAGCGAGATCATTTCTGACCTAATCTCCAGGTGTAAATTTGCTAATACTATGACAATCTTTTCATTTTGTTCAGGGGAATGTGAAATGTAGAGAACGTTAACATTTTGCCAAATCATATATATATATACATATATATATACACACACACACACACACAGACACACATCATATATGTATATATGATATATATATGATATATGTATATATGATATAGGTATATGTTAGATGATATATGAATATATATACACATATATGTATATATATATTAGTTACTAGAAAATTATCAGATTAGATTTTTTTAATATAATTTTTAAATTATAACTAATGAAACTAAAAGTAAATAATATAGAGCTGATGAGAATAAAGACTGGAATGAATTATATTGCACAAATAGTAAATAAAATCCAGTTTCATTGGACAAAATATACTTCAAGGAAAAGTTATTGATGGGAAATCAGAGATACAAATAACATTAATAAAAAGAAACAAGAATGATATAAAATACTCACTATACATTTATTAGATCACAAACAAAATCTCATGAATTTTCTCCAAAAAATCAGTATCATAGAGTCCATGTTCACTGCCTGCAATTCAGTGTGATTAGAATTCAAAACAAAATGTTTGCTAAAATATAACATTCAAAAGCTAAAATGTTAACTTTAAATAATTCATAAGCTAAAGTGGAAATCAGGAAGACATTACAAAATATTTAAGCTTGAAATAAACCAAAAGTACAATAAAATGCTTGAGTATTACAAAATTAGGTAAGAACAATATTTGAATGTTAAAAGGCATTTGAAGAACAAAATTTTCAATTCTAGTGATTAGACATAAAATCAGCAATAAAATAAGCCCATTTAATCACAATAAGGATATAATTATAAAGAAGAGTAGTGATTGAAATATGAAAATATATTTTAAAAAGAAATAAAGTTAATTAAAAAACGAGATGGAGAAAACAGTAACTGCAAAAACTCCTGGCAAATATGATTAAATAGAGTCAATCTATCCAGCTTCGTAGAACCTACATTGTAAGTGAAGTAAAATAAAATATCTAGTAAATAAGCCCTTGATTTAACTGTTCTTTGTATTCAAACCACAGCCTTTGCCCTTGGCAGGGCATGAGGTGAGACAGAAGAGCAAGTTCATTGCCTCTGTTTCTAACCAATTTTGTGTAAAGTTCACTGGACGTTATTTTACAAGTGACTGTATTGATAGATGCTTGCTTTTTAAATTCTTTCTACAGGTATTTCAGAAGGCAGTCTAACTAAGTGGAGATATAAACTCCCTGTTTCATACTCCATTTGGTTTCCAACACCTGCTCTCAGAAAAGAAGCTGATATTAACCATAGTGTTAAAAAATTTTATTCTACTCAAGGATAGCTCATGCAAAATTTGACTTCTATCAGTGGCATAAAAGGTTCAGATATAGTGAGGTTCAGGACAAGGCGGGGAGGTGTGCCTCACTCAAGGGAAATTATAATATACATGCAGACACTGGTTTATCTGGGCTAAGCCCAGAGTCACTGCCTCCTTCCCTAAAATGTGTCTCCAGGCACTCTCCACAAACTCAAAGACTATGGCCTTAAACTTGTCATGGTCTATCTCATCAGTTAAGAGTCTAATTAGTATTTGGCCTTTCTAAAGTCTATTAGGCAATTCTCTTAGAACACTCTTACACAAAGTCATTTTTGTTCTAGTTATCATCGGTTTTTGTTTCCGTTAACATCTTAGGAAGACCTTATGCTCATAACATTCCAGGAAATACTTTATGCCTCCCAGCAAAATTTGTTCTTTTATGGTTATTGAAGGACCTCTTAGCAAAGAAAATAAAGTAGATGACTAAGTGCAAAACATTCATTAAAGTGTTCTTCAAACATGTTTTGTATGAAAAAAATGATTTGGCTATAGAGAATGATTGGTATGTCAAGAATTTCATTTCAGGCAACAATTTTGTTATTAGAACAAGCTTCAGTTGTCTACACGTTGGTTTTGTTCAGAAGATGTAAAGCAAGATAAATAGAAAAGAGAACTTCGAATGCTGTTATCTGCCATGCAGGTCTTCCTTTGTAAGTACAGATAACAACAGTGCTAATATTTTTTTTCATTTCCTTGGGTGCTAAATCTCCTTCTCACTGCCCACGATGCCCTTTACACCGTAGCCACTGCTCCAGCAGCTCCAGAGACCTGAACAAATAATCAAGCCATTTGTCTCTTGGGAGGAAAAAATATACTCTTATCTTTAAACTCAGTTTCTTGCATGTCTTGCAAGGAATGACTGAAGTCTAAAGTGTTTCTTATAGTCCAGGATGCCTCAAGAATGAGTCATTTAAAATAGAGGCATTTTATCCTGCAGCCAGTTCTCTAGATAGGTGATTGCTTAAGAAACAATAGAAGGGGGAATGTTGGGAGTAGCTAAGTTCACATGTGTGCAGCAATACACTGCTGTCCCTAAGTGAAGACCCAGAGCTGGATTTCATGTGATGCTCCTGCAGCCCCACAAGATAAATGTAACTTCTGCATGCAGATTACAGTTTTACAGGCATGTATATGTATTCCATCAACAACTCTGGAATTTTCACAAGTGAAGCATTTCTTGCTCTCCTTACATAATTGCCAAGTATCATTTAAAAATACATCCCAGCATTTGAAATACAGAATTTCCATGACAGAAGAGACAGGTCATCATGGTTAAATGATATGATAAAAAGTGTCCCAATTCAAAAGTGAGAAAACCTGAATGTTAATTATAACCTTCTTAGGGTCTCCCATCTACAAAGAAGAGATAGCATCTGCACACCATGGGTGTTATAAAAATATAAGGAGTGGGTATAGGAAAGGGCACTTTGAAAAACATGGACTGTTATAAAAGCAGTGACACCCAAACTTCAGTGTGCATCAAGATTTGTTAAAACATAGATTTCTGGGTTCTAGTCCCAGGATTTCTGACTCAGTGGGTGTGGGTTAGGGCTGAAAATGTGCATTTCTAAAGTACCAGGTGATGCAGATGTTGCAGGTCTGGGTAGCACACTTTGAAAATAACTGATATAAATCAATTGCTTTCAAGCTACATTCAACAAAGCCTGAGAACCCTAGGGGGTATCTAGAGGGTCTCACATAAGGGTCAGCCAAGAAATGTTTCAATGGGCAAGGCTGGAGTCTCCTGGTTCAGCGTTTCACTCTCAGCCTGGACCCCCACGAATCTCTGCTTCAAACACAGTAGCTAGTCATGCTTTTTTTTTATATTTGCCATTATTGGGGCTATAGGTAATACTCTATTTAAAAGAAGTGTTAAAATAATGGATTTGAAAAAAGTTTATCAAAGTGATAACACAATGAACTGTACATCTTTTATATCTTATCAAAATTGTAATGGTGTTTATAAATTATCTGAGTAATTTGATCAAACAGAATACCCGAATTAAATATTATGACCTCAAAATCTGAAAGTTTTGAGTTTGCCTCATTTATCTTTCTTTCCCTAAGTATTTAGGACATTCTAAATTGTTTTAAGTAGGGATGTTGAGGCACTTCTGCAGAAATGGCTATTTCCATATTTGGGGCAAGAAATGTACAAGACAAGCCTGGGAAATCTTAGTTTACCAGGAAGAAGAGTTTTCAAATGACTAGTCAGAGTCATGACATGCAACCTAGGAACCAACATGAAGGGCCTGCTACTAGTAATGTTGGACTAATTTTGTTATTAAAATAATATTGATTGCAATTGATTAAAATAAATCATATATAAAATTACTGTATTGTTAAATTATTTTTTAAAAGTCCCTATTGGACAGCATTGCTGACTACTAGTGCACCAATTCATTAACATTAACATTGAAAAATAAAGGAAAATGTTCAAGCATTTATTCTATAATTACTAAATGGCTTGATTTTCAGAATAACCAATAGAAAGTGAGGAAAAATTGTTCTTTATAGAAAAGGTTCAGCTTAAAAAATGCAAGAAGCATGATAGAATTAGAAAATCACCCAAAGTAAGCTAATGGCCCCAAGACATAATTATTAAATGGATTCTAAAGGTATTAAGTGAAATGTTAATGAGAAACTTTGTGGTATAAATTAGGTTAACCCCACCTGTACCCACTGATCAACTTCAGCATTCACTAAAAACACAAGAACAAGACATTGTGTTTCAAGATATCCTTCAAGGGGAAGTTGAAAGCATCCACCCATATGGGACGTATTTTTGCCAAATAATGTGTCTGAATCTAATCACTCCTCCACATCTAACTACAAGTTCACGGAGAATAGAAGAAAAATTAATTACATCAAAGGAAATGCTCATCCAAACGTGGAAATTGAAGCATTCCATTGAATAAGAGAACTGGTTTCTCCAACATAGCAATGGCATCAAAAGTAGGGTGTGGGCTGCACATTTGGAGTTGAAACAGAAACAAATCACAACAATGAGAACTTAATTTGATTCTAATTTGACAAACAATTATCTATAATCATATGTTTGTGGAAAATTGGAAATATTTTAATATAGACAAGATGTTGGGTATTAGTAATGGAATATTATTAATATATGTGATGATGGCATAGGAATTATATATACTCTTAGAAACCATTACGGGCCCCAAAGAGCGGAGTTGTTAAATTTTTTTAATTGACAGATGAAATTGTATGCATTTATTGTGTCCAATAGGATGTTTTGAAGTATAGGTACATTGTGGAATAGTTAATTCTAGGTAATTAGCAAATGTATTGCCTCACATAGGTATTACTTTTGTAATGAGAAAACTTACATTCATTCTCTTTGCATTTTTTAAGAATAAAATATATCATCATTAACTATAATCACCATGCTTTCATAATAGAGCTCCTGGCCTTATTTCTCCTACTTTACTGTAATTATCCATCTTATGACCAACTTCTCTCCATTGTCTCCTTCCTGCCAACCACCCCAGCCTCTGGTAAATTCCATTCTATTTTCCTACTTTTATGAGATGAACTTTTTAAGACTCTGTGTATAAGTGAGATCATGTGGTATTTGTCTTTCTGTGCCTGGCTTATTTCACTTAACGTAATACCCTCCAGATTCTTCCATATTGTTGTAAATGACTGGACTTTATTCTTTTTTATGGCTGAATAGCATTCCATTCTGTACACATACCACATTTTCTTTACTCATCTGTTGATGGACATTTAGGTTGATTCCCTATCTTAGCCATGGAGAATAGTGCTGCAATAAACTGAATGTGCATGTATCTCTTTGACAACTGATTTTATTTCCTTTGAATAATACCCAGTAGTGAGATTGCTGGGTCACATGGAAGTTCTATTTTTACTTTTTTGAGGAACCTCCACACAGTTTTCCATAATGGCATAATAGTAATTTCTGTACTAATTTACATTTCCACCCACAGTGTGTAAAGGGTTCCTTTTTATCCACATCCTTGCCAATACTGGCTATCTTCTGTCTTTCCACTAACAGCCACTCTACCCGGGGTAAGGTGATATCTCATTATGGTTTTGATTGGCATTTTCTTCATAATTAGTGATGTTGAACATCTCTTCATATGCCTGTAGGCTATTTGTATCTTCGTTGGAGAAACGTCAAAGAGCTTTTTTATAACATATGAGTTATATCTATCAATATTCACCATATTAGAATTAATATACACATTTAAACATATTTACTTATAAATTGTTTTTAAAATAACAGGCTGGACTCAATGGCTCATAACTGTAATCCTAGCACATTGGGAGGCTGAGGCAAGAGCATTGCTTGAGACCAGAACTTTGAAACCAACCCGGGAAACACAGCAAGACCAAGTCTCTACAAAAATTTAAAAATTGATGTGGCAATGGACTCCTGTAGTCCTAGCTGCTCAGGAGGCTGAGGCAAGAGTATCGCTTGAGCCCAGGTGTTCAAGGCTGCAGTGAGCTACGATCGTGTCACTGTACCCCAGCATAGGTGTCAGAGTGAGACCCTTTCTCAAAAATAATAATAGTGCTAATAATAATAAAGACATTATATGTTAATATAAATAACATAGATTTTGTTCTAAAAAACTATTTTCTATAAAATTGTTCAGGAGAGTAACATTGCTTTATTAATGCATTTGAAAATTTCTTTCATTTTTCTTAAGAGAAGAAAGTTAGATTCTTATATCTGTTTCTTTATCCAATGTACTGCAATATCTTGTTTTGGTTGAAATATATGAAGAAAATGCAGCCTTACAAAAACAACTACTTAGAAAAGGAAGGAGTATTTAATAACCTTTTCAAATAACTTTGAATATTCTTCTTTGATGTGACACCAAGATTTTATAAGTATTATTCCTTAAATATTAGTTGCAGTATAGAATCTGAATCTATATGATCATTTTTTATACTCCCTTTCATATTCTATTATAATAAAATCCATTGGTTCATCTTGCATTATAATTTTATTTTAAAATTTTTAATTATTACAGGTATATAGTAGGTGCATATACTTATAGATGAACTATTTTGAAATAGGCATACAAATCGTAATAATCACATAAGGGTAAATGGGTATCTATCACCTCAAGCATTTATAATTTCTTTGTGTTATTAACATTCCAATTATACTCTTTAGTTACCAGCTTATAATTTAAATGGTTATATTTTCCATGTCTGATTTTATAAAATCAGACATTGGCCATTTGAGAAATGTTGGTTCACCAAATTACATGGTTCATCTAAATGTTGGCATGTTTCATCATATAATTTCAAAATATCACATTTTAAATATTACAACATATATTAGAAAAGTCTTTACATATTGGAAAGCCATGAAGCTCATGATGGTGGATAAAAATTTTCCAAAATTCTGATTTTTGCTTGAAAATTTAAATTTTATAATTGGCAATAAATATTGTCTGTTTTTTCTTGACCTGATGAGCTCTTTTGTTTGTTTCCCAGAAAATTTGGCCTAATATCCAAATGTTTCAAAGCACGTTTGTCTGTCTATCATTCTTTCAAGTAAAGGTAATGTCCAATTTTTTATAAAGTTGCTAATTTCAGCTCACAGATCAAAAAATTATACAAACGCTTCTTTTTTTTCTGAAACAACCATTCCGTTTTGCCAACTGACAGAAGCGCTCTATTCAAATCACCTCTTTTGTCACACAAAATATTAAAGAATAGTGTATATAAAGTCAGAGATTTAACACAATTAATGTATTATGGCTCCACTATGAGCATTTTTAAGTGAAACTATTTTTATGTTTTTAAAAATATTTAACTATGAGTGGATGACAGTAAAGAAAACAATGATTACAGGAACAGTTTAGTACTAGTGATTTGACTCTAGGCCAAGACATTCTCAGTTTTATTTACCATTGCTTCTGCAACATCAGTGAAAACGTCAACACAGTGAAAAAGGCAAATAACTTAGTATTATTATCAAAGCAATGTTTGACCTCATTGTCTGCATGGGAAGCACTAGTCTTGTTTAAACTTCTCTTGATTATCTAGCAAATATATGAATAAATGTCATCAGTGGAAAATGCTATTGTAATCAAAAGTTTTTTTTTTTTTTTTCTAAACAACCCTTCCCTACACTCAATAGTTTTCATAAAAAGTAGTTAGGTTTATACAGAAATTGTTAAAACAGAACTTTGATCTAGAATTTTAAGCTTGAAAAGAGCTTCTTAGAAGTTTTATTAACATGCAAAATTAATTATTATGAGGCTTCTTTGACAAAAATAATAAAAAGCTGTGAGCACAACAGGGTTTTTCTTTGTATAAGATTTGCTAGGTGGGAAACATGCTATGAAGGTATAAGTTGCTTCAAAGTATCAGTTACATGTTTCCCACCTAGCAAATCTTATACAGAGAAAAGCTGATATGCTCACAACTTGCACATCAATGAATTCAATATTATCTGAGATACATACAAAGCTAGCCCAAAAATGTAACCTGTATCTCAGTAGCAACATGTAGAGAAAGTGAGTGTTTGTAGATACAGAAGCATTTTTTCTTCTTCCTTTGAGTCTATTTTCCTCTTTATAGAGAACATCACTGAGCATTACTGAAACTGTCTACTGTTTTTAATTTTCTTCTTTATCAACTTCTCACCAGCTCTGCAGACCCAAATCTAAATACTACTTTTATATCATTATTTCCTCTATTTTTTCACATATGGATTTTTATTCACCTACTCCTTCAGAAATTGACAGGTTAAGAAAAATAATTGAAGAAACATGTTAAATGAAATTTAATATAGAAAAGTAGCAATGGAGAGATTTCATCTATTTTATGAATTTCTAGGAATTAGAGACAGGAAGTTTCTGATAACCCAAGTCCTTTATTTACCTCTAAAAGTTTCACAATAGAGGCTGGGTGCGGTGGCTCATGCCTGTAAATCCAGCACTTTGGGAGGCCAAGGCGGGTGGATCATGAGGTCAGGAGATCGAGACCATCCTGGCTAACACAGTGAAACCCCATCTCTACTAAAAATACAAAAAATTAGCTGGGTGTGGTGGCGGGCGCCTGTAGTGCTAGCTACTCGGGAGGCTGAGGCAGGGGAATTGCGTGAACCCCGGAGGTGGAACTTGCAGTGAGCCGAGATTGCGCCACTGCACTCCAGCCTGGGGGACAGAGCCAGACTCCGTCTCAAAAAAAAAAAAAAAAAAGTTTCACAATACAAAGAGAGGTAAAGAACTGACACAAGATAGACAGATGTGCAAGATATAAAATAAATACCCTATGTCAAGTGTTTACAAGCATTTATAAAGTTTATACTTATATAATTAAATTAAATAAGTCTTATTTTTTAGAAATATGTGTATTGAACCCAAACACCTAATTCCAAATCCTCTTTTCTCTACTTTGTTTCACTCACTCATTCACTTTGAAGAATTTCTACCCAAAGCTTTAGGTTTCCTTGGTAATATAATTAACATAGTAAACATAATGCATTTGTATTATGGAATGAAACATATTTCCTTGCATACTAATTAAGGATTCATTTATTATTTCTAGTCACAACAGAATGAAAAAAGATTTGGCCTCTCAGACCCCACACCATCTGCATTCCTAATGACAACAGAAATCATGTTGGCACATTCAGAAGGGCAAATCCTTTTAGAAATATGTTTTATTTTGGCAGGCAGCAATGTGATTAAATAAAATATCTAAAAGTATATGTGCCCTCGCAGAAACACTTTTTCTAACACTATTTATAAAGGCATAAATAACTGGATAGTAAATACAAGTGCATTGTATAGTCAATGTGTTCTGTTTCTTTATGTTAACTTAAAAGAATTAAGCATAAACTCCAAGAAGTTTTTCAGTTGGATAGAATAATTTGATAAGAGATTATACTTCTCTTAGTTATATACTTAATAAAACTTACTGGGGGATAATTTTTTCTAGCATTTTCTACATTGTCACTGATCTTTAGTGGCCACTCTATTTTTTTTCTTTTCTTTTCTCGAGTTATTGGGAAACAAAAGGAAACAATTCAAATACACCAGGTACTATCACCTAATACCTTTCCCTTGACTCTTTCGAATTCACACCTGTAATCCCAGCTACTAGAGATATATTACTATGTCAAGAACTGAACTCCTTTAGTCCTTTGCTCAAGTATTTAAATCCATAGAATAAGTGGAAGAAATTTTCTCTTGATTCTACTGGTCCATTTACCTCAGGCATTAACCACTTCAGAAGTTGCACACTAAGGATCACTAACAGTTAAAAAGCATCCTTCACTTGAGTCACTGAATATTGCTTAGCCTCTTATTGGTTAATGTATTTAATCACTACATGTCTATCTTTGTTTTGCCTTTTAAAATATTATTACAATTAGTGAGGCATGTAGGCTACCTGCCTCTCTGATAAGGATTTTCAACATCATAACAGTTCTTAGATATGAGATAAGATCACTTGAGAAATATTTAAAATAGAAATGCCTCCCAAAGAGGAACCTCTAGAAATGAGACTTGGCATAGGTATTATTAAAATTTCCCCATATAATCCTGATGCACATCTCTAGTTAAGAAACAGTATGTTCATTCTTCAGTAAAACATTCAAATGCTTTATTGTGTCTCGTATTTCAATTAACAATTGTTTGTGAATATTGCTAGAGGAATCTAGAATTATTAATTTGAATAGTGCACTTAGCTCTTTAAGCAGATGTTCTATCCCATTATGTTTTCCAGACTGCATTTCAACATTTACTTTGGATACCTTTTATGGTCAATGGTTACTACACATGAGACAATATAAGGTATAACAGCAGGAAATAAGTTTTGTTTTGTTTGTTTTTAATTTTAATTTTTGTGGTTATATAGTAAGTATATATATTTATGAAGTACATGGGATATTTTGATACAGACATACAATAAGTAATAATCACATCAAGGCAAATCAGGTATTCAACACCTCAAGCATTTATCCTTTATGTTAAATTCAATTACACTCTTTCAGTTAAGTTTTAAATGGACAACTAACTATAATTGACTATAGTCACTCTATTGTGCTATCAAATACTAGGTCTTACTCATCCTTTCTATTTTTTGTACCCATTAAACACCCACACTCAACTCCCCCACTATCCTTCCCAGTCTCGTAACCATCTTTCGACTCTCTATCTCCATGAGTTTAATAGTTTTGATTTTAGGTCCCACTAGTAAGTGAGAACAACATGTGAAGTTTGTCTTTTTGTCCCTGGCTTATTTCACTTAAATTAATGACCTTCCATTCCATCCATGATGTTACAAATGACAGGATCTCATTCTTCTTTAGAACTGAACAGTACTCCATTGCATATTAGTACCACATTTGCTTTATTCATTCATCTGCTGGTGGACACTTAGATTGCTTCCAAATCTTGACTATTGTAAATAGTGCTGCAACAAACATAAGAGTGCAGATATGTCTTGGATATACTCATTTCCTTTCTTTTGCATATATAGCAGTGGAACTGCTGACTCATATAGTACCTATTATTTAGGGTTTTTTGTTTGTTTGTTTGTTTGGGAGATGGAGTCTCACTCTGTCACCCAGGTTGGAATGCAGTGGCACAATCTCGGCTCACTGCAACCTCTGTCTCCTGGGTTCAAGCGATTCTCCCACGTCAGCCTCCTGAGTAGCTGGGATTACAGGCGTGTTCCACCATGCCTGGATAATTTTTTATTTTTAGTAGAGACAGGGTTTTGCAATGTTGGCCAGGCTGATCTTGAACTCCTGACCTCAGGAGATCCACCCACCTTGGCCTCCCAAATTGCTGGCATTACTGGTGTGAGCCACCATGCCTGGCCTCTTTTTTAGTTTTTTAGGAACTTCCAAACTTCTCCATACTGGTTGTTCTGATTTACACTCTCACCAACAGTATACAGGGTTCTCTTTTCTTCACATCCTCGCCAGCTGCTGCTCTTGCCTGACTTTTGGTTAAAAGCCACTTTTACTAGGATGAGATGATACTTCCTTGTAGTTTTGATTTGCCTTTTTGTGATGATCAATGATGTTGAACACCTTTTCATATGCCTATTTGCCATTAGTATGTCTTCTTTTGAGAAATGTCTATTCAGATCTTTTACCCATTTTAAAATCTGATTATTATTTTTCCTATCATTTGTGCTTCTTATATAGGCTGATTATTAATCTCTTGTCAGATGGGTAGTTTGCCAATATTTTCTCCCATTTTGTTGGTTGTTTCTTCATGTTGTTTGTTCATGTTGTTGATATTTTTTCTTTGCTGTGCAGAATCTTTTTAACCTGATGTGATCCCATTTTTCCATTTTTGCTTTGATTGCCTGTGCTTATGGTGTATTACTCAAGAATTATGTTTGCCCATTTAACTGACCTGGAGAGTTTCTTCAACATTTTCTTGTGGTAGTTTCACATTTTGAGCTCTTAGGTCTTTAATCCGCTATGATTTGATTTTTGTATATGGTGAGAGATAAGTGTCTAGTTTCATTCTTCTGCGTATGGACACCCAGTTTTCCCAGCACCATATATTGAAGAGACTGTCCTTTCCCCGATGTATGTTTTTGGCACCTCTGTCAAAAATGCATTGACTGTAGATATATAGATTTGTTTCTGGGTTCTCTATTCTGTTTTGTTGGTCTACGTGTTTATGCCAGTACCATGCTACTTTGCTTACTGTAGCTCTGTGGTATATTTAGAAGTAAGGTAATGTGATTCCTCCAGTTTTGTTCTTTTTGCTCAGGATAGCTTTGGCTATTCTGGGTCTTTTGTGGCTCCATATAAATTTTAGAACTGTTGTTTCTATTTCTTTAAAAAATGTCACTGGTATTTTGATAGGCATTGCATTGAATCTGTAGATCGCTTTGGGTACTGTGGACATTTTAACTATATTGATTCTTCTAATCTATGAACACGAAATATGTTTTCATTTTTTTCTATCCTCTTTAATTTATTTCACCAGTGTTTTATAGTTTTCATTTTAGAGATCTTTCACTTCTTTGGCTAAGTTAATTCTAGGTACTTAATTTTATTTGTGGCTATTGTAAATGGAAATACTTTCTTGATTTCTCTTCAGATTTTTCACTGGTGGCATATGGAAATGCTATCGATTTTTGTATGTTGATTTTGTATCCTGCACCTTTGTTGAATTTATCAATTGTAATAATTTTTCAGTGGAGTCTTTAGGTTTTTTCAAATATAAGATTATATCATCAGCAAGGATAATTTGACTTCTACCTTTCCAATATGGATGCCCTTTATTACCTTCTCTTGTCTGATTCCTGTAGTTAGGACTTCCAGTACTATGTTGCATAACAGTAGTGACAGTGGGCATCCTCATCATGTGCCAGATCTTAAAGAAAAGGCTTTCATTTTTTCCCCATTCAGTAGGATACTAGTTGTGAGTCTGTTATATATGGTTGTGTTATAATAAGGTGTGTTCTATACATCCAGCCTTTTTTAGAGTTTTTATCATGACCGAATGCTCAATTTTGTCAAATGTTTTTTTCATGAACCATTTAAATGATCATGTGGTTTTTGTCCTTCATTCTCTTGATGTGACTGTATTGAACCATCCTTGTATCTCTGGGATAAATCACATTTGGTCATGATGAATGAACTTTTTAATGTGTTCTTGAATTAGATTTTCTAGTATTTTGTTAAGGATTTTTGCATCAGTGTTCATCAGATATATTGTCCTGTAGTGTTGTTTTTTTTTTGACATGTGTTTATTTGGTTTTGATATTTTGATATCAGGGAAATACTGGCCTCATAGAATGAGTTTGGAAGTTATTCTCTTTGCCTCTATCTTAAATAATAATTTGAATAGGTTTGGTATTTATTCTTCTTTAAATGTTTGATAAAATTCAGCAGGGATGCCATTGGCTCTCAATATTTTATTTGCTGAGAGACTTTATTATGGCTTTGATCTCATTACTTGTTATTTGTTTGTTCAGATTTTAAATTTCTTCATGGTTCAATCTTGGTAGGTTGCATGTGTCAAGGAATTTATGCATTTCTTCTAGGTTTTCCCATTTATTGACATATAGTTGCACTTACTAACCTCTAATGATCCTTTGAATTTCTGCTGTATTGGTGTCTTCTTTCTCGTCTCTGATCTTGTTTGTGTGGGTCTTCTCTGTATTTTTCTTAGTTAATCTGCCTATTGGTTTGTCAATTTTATCTTTTTTTATAAAAAATTTATTTCATTGACCTTTTGTATTGTTTTTTCATTTCAATTTCATTTATTTCTGCTCTGATCTTTATTATTTCTTTTATTCTACTCACTTTATTATTTATTTTCTTCTGATCTTCCTTTTCTACTTCTTTAACATATGTCAATAGGTTACTAATTCAGCTTTTCTTCTTTTTTGAAGTAGGCACTTATAGCTATAAACTTTCCTCATAGTATCCCTTTTGTTGTATCCCATAGGTTTTGGTATGTTGTGTTTCTATTATAATTTGTTTCAAAAAATTTTTCAATTTTCTTCTTTGTCTTTGCATTGACCCATTGGTGATTTAGCAGCATATTGTTTAATTTTCATGTGTTTGTCTAGTTTCCAAAATTTCTCTTCTTATTGATTTCTAGTTTTATTCCATTGTGGTCAGAAAAGATACTTGATATTATTTCAATTATTTTGAACGTTTTAGGGCTTGCTTTGTGTCCTAGCCTATGGTCTGTCCTTGAGAATAATCCATGTGCTGAGAAGAATTTTTATTCAGCAGCCATTGGATGAAATGTTCTTTAAATATCTGTTAGGTCCATTGGGTCTATAGGGTAGACTAGATTTCATGTTTCTTTGCTGGTTTACTGTTTAGATAATCTGTCTAATGCTGAAAGTGGTGTGTCGAAGTGCCTGGATATTATTGGACGTAGTTCTCTCTCTCCATTTAGCTCTGTTTAGCTCTAATATTTGCTTGATATATCTGGGTGCTCCAGTGTTGGGTGTACACATATTTATAATCATTATATCCTCTTGCTGAATTGAACCCCGAATCATGACATAGAGTTCTTCTTTTCTTCTTTTTCTTGTCTTATATATAATTTTTGTCTTGAAAGCTATTGTGTCTGCTATAAGCATAGCTACTCCTGCTCCTATTTTTTTTTTTTTTTGGTATCCATTGGCATGGAAGATCTTTTTCCATATCTTATTTTCAGTCTATGTGTATCTTTATAGGGGAAGTGTGTTTCTTGTAGGCAACAGATCACTGGGCCTTGTTTTTTATCCATTCAGCCACTCTCTCTTTTGATGAGACAGTTTAGTCCATTTACATTCAATATTATCATTGATAAGTAAGAACGTACTGCTGTCATTTTGTTATTTATTTTCTGGTTGTTTTATGGTCTTCTCTTCCCTCTTTTTTTCCTTCCTCTCTTTCTTTCAGTGAAGGGAATTTTCACCAGTGATATGATTTAATTTCTTAATTTTTATTTTGTGTGTATCTGTTGTATGTTTTTACATTTGAGATTACTATGAGGCTTGCAAATACCATATTATAAGACATTATTTTATACTGATGACAACATAACACTGATTGCAAAAACAAACAAGCAAAAAGAAAATAAATAAAAATTCAAAATATCTTATTGTACTCCCCACTTCTCTCCTCAAGCCAAAGGAAGGTGTCTCTTTTGGAGCCGTGAGCTTTGCTGCCTCGGTTTGGGGAAGGGGTAATATAAGCACTCCCTTGACTGCCCCACTGGTGTCTCACCAAGTCATGTGTCCCCCAGTTTCACTGGCTCCCAGCCCAGCACAGCACTAGCACTTGTCCATGAATTGCAGACTTTGTAGTCTAGATAACCTTTTATGTTTATTTAGAACCCCAAAGCACTGTAGCCTGCATGTTGAATCTTGCTAAAATTCAAGTTCCAATTGCTGGGATGGGTGATTCCCCTCTAGTTAGGGTTGGGCTAAATGCTCTCTCTGTGGGGAATGGCTGATTTCTGCACAATGTTGGCAGCACGGTGTTCCAATGCAAAGTCCCACAATTCCTGCACTCTCACTGCCCATGTGCCCAGATTATTTATCCATGCCATGCAACTGCTACTGGGGATGTTGGAGGAGAGGTGACCTTGGTGATTCAAGACTGTCTTTTCTACTCTCTCCAGTACCTCTTTCAGAGACATAAAGTGAAAATCAAGTACTGTGATCACTTGCCTGAATTGGTTCTTGGCTTTCTATATTTGGATAGTTGTTAAATTTGGTGTTACTGTGGGATGAGTAGAGGCTTCCATTCAGCCATCTTGCTTTACCTCCTCAGAAATGAGTTTGTCTTGCTAATTACTGGATCCACATTTCTTAGCCCAGTGTAAACTTATAAAGGAAGCTCAATAAATGCCGATAAATGAATCATAAACTTTCGTATAACAGGCCATCCACCTTTTGGTAAGGGTACGCCTCAATTCAGCAAGAAAATATACTATTTCTAAAACACATTCTATATGTTATGATTTGCACAATGGCTTGTGACTTGCATAAATGACATCCTTTGTAACTATTCAAATCATCATTGAAATACAGGTTATCAGACTTGCCCTACTTGTGTAGCAAATCCACAGTTTATGTAAATTATAGGAAAGGCAAGATTCAGTCACTCATTAAGTCTTTCAATTTAAATCCCCCTCTCATGTTTGTGAAGTTTAAACCAACCTATTGCTGTAATTATGGATGCTCTCTTGAAGCAATAGCATGAAGGTTTTGCAATTGGCCTTAGGAACCTCCAAGGAAACTGCTTGGAATTTTTGTTGCTTGTTTTGTTTTGTTTGAGACAAAGTGACTTACTCCGTCACCCAGGCTGAGTGCAATGGCATGATCGCGGCTCACTGCAACCTCAAAATCTTGGGCCCAAGTGATCCTCCTATCTCAGCCTCCTGAGTGGCTGGGACTACAGGTGCACATCACAATGCTGGCTAAGCCTTGGAATTTTCATCATCCAACATCATCCACGAGAGAGTATTAAAATGGCCAACATGGTTTCTCATCTGTATGGGTATGTGATTTTATTTAAATATATTCTTCTGGATTCTGAGAATCAAATCAACCCTTTATGTTTATAATGCCATTACTTGTAAAATCAATAAGTAATATTCATTTTGCAGGTTAACAAGGACAGTCCCTTTGCTTTTAAAGTATACATTTAGTATGTATTTCCATCTTAATAATAAAGATTTTCTTTGCATGTTGGAAAGTCATAGATTTGTTTTTTGTTTTTTTAATGTAATGAGATTCCTTAGTTACTTAGAAACGTTTTTCATATCTATATCATGATAAAATAGTGTACAAGCTGGAAGATATATTTATAATAAGTATAGATATTACTATTAAAACATATAGCTGGACATGATGGCTCACATCTGCACTCCTAGCACTTTGGAGGCCAAGGCAGGTGGATCACTTGAGGCCAGGAGTTCGAGACCAACCTAGACAACATGGTGAGACCCTGTCTCTTCCAAAAAGACAAAAAAAAATTTGGCTGGACATGGTGGTGCATGCCTATAATCCCAACTCCTTGGGAGGCTGAGGCACAAGAATCACTTGAACCTGGGAGGCAGATGTTGCAGTGAGCCAAGATCTTGCCACCGTACTTCAGCCTGGATGAAAGAGCAAGACTCTGTCTCAAACAACAACAACAACAACAAAAACAGACCAAGGGGACATAATGTGTGAGAGCTATCCATTTAGCCAATTAAACAGAATGAGTTGTTGGTGGTTCAGATGTTATAACATGTCTAACATATAATATTCCTTGATTAAGATACAAGACCTCAACAAATAATATTCTATCAGGATTTCTAGGAGGAACATCTGTAAAGTTAGTAGAGCACATGCTTATAGCATAAAGAAATGTTAAACAGTCATGAAATTCACCTTTAACAAAAGAATGATGTAAAATAGTTTAATTCAGACCGGATTAGCATTTGGAGGTTTTATGGAAAGGAGACTATAAAAGAACTTTGGAGAGTGTAACTCAGCTGGCCAAAAGTTGTTGAGCTTTTTGTTACTTTGTTTTGTTTTGTTTTTTGTTCCCCCAAAGATTGTAAGGTTCCTATAGCATACAGATCTTATATACTAAAAGGCCAAGCTTGAAAAATGCTGATAAGAATTACATTAATTAGGCTGACACAATTACAGGTTATAAACAAGATGAATATGCTTAAATAAGATTAAAACAAATTGTAAGATATGTAATGAGTTTATCATGATTTTCCAGTTTCTGGGTAAACTTTTTTTTTTTTTTTTTTGAGATGGAGTTTCGCTCTGTCGCCCAGGCTGGAGTGCAGTGGCACGATCTCAGCTCACTGCAAGCTCCACCTCCCTGGTTCATGCCATTCTCCTGCCTCGGCCTCCCGAGTAGCTGGGACTACAGGCACTCACCACCACGCCCGGCTAATTTTTTGTATTTTTAGTAGTGACGGGGTTTCACCGTGTTAGGCAGGATGGTCTCGATTTTCTGACCACGTGATCCATCTGCCTTGGCCTCCCAAAGTGCTGCGATTACAGGCTTTATGCACAAAAGTGAGTACAGTTTAACATAGCTAGGCTATCCCAGATTTAGAGGATTTCTCTTATGTTTCATTAATGAAGAAGAAGGCAACTTCCACTTCCAGCCATGACAGAGTAACAGGGACTGATATATTGTCCAACTCTAAACTGGTAAAATATATGAGATAATTTTCAGACATTGGACTACAGTCAACATAGAGTTGTGATACTCAGAGGATTTTGGATTCATAATCCTTCATTTAAGGAGTTAGGAAAGAGTAACAATAGTTACAAGAAAGATGAAATAACTATTTAAAATATGTTTCCCTAAAATTTTCTGTGTTACTATGCTGGGTGTAATGTCAGTGTTTGATATTTGTGCTATATGTTCCCTGTTAATTAAAAACCAATGAAAACTTATGGTAAATGTACAACTCTAAAACTTCAGACATTCTTAGGATAGTGGGAAAGATGGTGTGTATTATAAGAAAATCTGTTGATGAACTGAGAACTTTCCTCAGAAGATTCACATTTTAATAATGAAAACTAGTTATAAGCGTCCAAATACCTTTAGTGTAATAAGCACTATAATAAAACGATGTACAAAGTTTTATGAAAGCCAAGAACAGGCAGAAAAAAAGCTATGTCTGACCTATGACCTTACAGATTTTGATGTTTTAGATGGAGACTGAAATATAAGTGGGAAATTCCTTAACAGAGAAAAATTTTTGTTTATTTTGTATGCTTCTATTAAACAAATGTCTAGCAAATGAGTATTATTTGTTGAATAAAGAAATAGATGTTGTGGAATGAAAATAGGTAAAATAACATGGAAAGAAATAGGTATTATTTCACTAATAATACCTAAGGGAAGATTATGTCTGAAAGGCAGGCTAATCTAGTTGATTAAGTAATATTAATAGTTAAGTAATACTGTCTTTTAAAGTAATTCACTGACTACCAGAAGAGTGTCTTTTAGGGCAGCCAACATAGTTCACATGTAGGAAAATAATAGCCCACAAATAAAATTTTCACACTTTCTGCTAAAATTAGGCCATAGCAGAAAAGTCTCACACTCTTTCATTTGAAAAATTATTTCAGAAGCAATGATTCTCTAAGCTAAATCTTCCGTTAGTATCCATGACAACCTTATTTTCATCCAAATAAAAATGGACATTCATTATCATCATGGAAAATGGGTATAATAGCAACAATGCTAGGATAGAAATTGGGATAATTGGGATTTAGTTTAACCTATACATTAATAATTAACATGGCTTTGAACAAACCCAGGTCTCATCTTTTCATCTATAGCATGAGAAGGACTACACAGTCTTTATGGCCTCTCTCCAAATCAGATATGCTGTGACCTTGGTAAACATAGAATAGATCATTTTTTCTTGATGTTTCAGATGTGCATTTTCAGGTTTTTTATATGTGTTATTGTGTGCACTTGCACGCCTGTAAATGTGTGTTTGTGTGTGCATAGTATACCATACTTCTTGTCTCAGAAACAAGAATATAACCAGTTTAGGTAGGAACTTCTTTGACAGGCATGTATTTTCCTTTAATAAATAAACCACACTTCAGGGTATTAAACTAACTCCCAGGTTTCGTGTACCTAGGCCAATAAATATGTCAGCTCTATCTTGCTGTTGATGTCAGTTATACTTTTATTTTCTAGTTCTTTCTAGTTAATAGACTAGTAAGTCAGTGAAAGAATAAATAAAACCAAGACCAATCACCTGAAAGAAGAATAGTTTTCAGAATTTTGTCTGTGTGAGTCTTAAATTTATAATTGCATTTTTTTTCTGCTAAGACCTATTAGAAGTTCAAAAAATACATGATGAATAGGTAGGTATTTCAATGAAAATATGTTAAGTTTGATGTTGATAGAAAGAAGCAGTCTTAGTATCAAAATGCAATTGCTTTGACCAATGGCAGATGAAATTTTCTTAGTACATAACTTTCTCTTGCTTTAAAAAATTTTTAATCACATTAAAACATTCTCTTTAGAAAAGGTTAAGTGGTATAGAAATAGACAAAGCAAAATAGGAGCCTCTCCACTACCAACTATTGCTACCACTTCCTTTACACAGGTAAGCCACTGCCAGAGATCCAGTATGCTTTCTGCTTTCTGTCAGGCCTCTCTATGTGTACAGATTTATTTTTATACATAGATTTCACATGTAAATTAAAATCATTGTATGTATGCTATGCTTCCTATGTAATTATTATAACTTACATGTCTTTTTGTGTTGGTACATTTAGGTTCCTCTCATTGTCTCTAACAGATACAAGAGTGTGACTATGCCCATATTTCTGTGTTCTCAACAAAACGTGACATTTTCAAACTTAAAATATGTATTAATGTTATAGATGAAAACAATCTCACTTTTTTAAATTCTCAAATACAACTGTGATTCAGCACTTTTTATATGTTTATTAGACAGTCGTATTCTCTTTGTGAATGACTGATGAAAGCCTTTCCACATTTTTTAATTGAGATCCTTGTCCTTTTAGTCTCTATATATTCTGCATAGAAATCCTTTTCAGTTAAATGTATTGCACAGATTTTCTTCTAGTTTGCTAATTGTCTTTTAACTTTGTATGTAAAATCCTTATTGATCTACTGTGAACTTGCATGTCATCTGATCTAGCATTCTTTCCTGTGGCTGCTAGGTTATGTCTTACTCAGGGAAGCATTTCTCATTTTAAGATTATTTTTCAGATTAATGTTTTCTTTAATTTTGTTTTAGTTTGTTTTTTGTGTGTTTTACACTTGGTCTTAATTCACCTGGAGTTATGTTTTGTCAGGGAATGAGGTAGCATTGCGTCTAACCTGTTTTTTCCTCCAGATGAATAACCCATTTTTCTAATTTAAAATAATGTATTTTCTCTGACCCACCTGGCAAGCCTAGTTTAAAATTCTATATATATCATCAACCAAATTCTTATGTAAAAATATCTCTTTATGAATGCTATTTAAAGCAATGTTTTTCTACTTGTCTTTTAATGTCTCAATATAATTTTTAAAATTACTATAGCTTTTAGGTATAATTAAGTATATGGTAATGTAGGTCACAGCACACTGGGATTTTTTTCAAAATATTAGCATTATTTTGCAATTTTTCCTTATAGAGTGATTTTAAATTTTGTCAAATTTTATAAATTATCCTCCTTGCATCCAGTAGAAATGACATTGAATTCATAGAATTTACATTAATAGTAAGGCTCTTTAATTGATTGATTTGCATACCTCCCTCGGAAAAGTTTTTTTAATAAAGGAACAATTCTTAGACTTATTCCTATGTGTTTTATTTTCTTGCAATAGTAAAATAGATTGATTTCTTCTGTTCCTGAATAAATTCTGATGTATTTTTAAGCAGAAGAAGTTCTATTTATTTTGGATGTTGATCTTTTTTTAGCTACCTTAATAGACTATCTTATGAGTTATAATTTTTTAATTGATTTACTTAGATTTTATAAATAAACAGTAATAGTGCCTTCAAATAGTTACAAGTGCTTTTCTTTTTTTTCTCTTGTTAATCTCCAGTGAAATACTGAATAGTAGCAGTGACAATGGGCAATCTTTTCTTACTGTACAGTCTTTGTTGAGAATATAATTAATTTTTTACTATCACATATGTTGCTTAGTGTAGTTTTGTTTTTACCTTTATACTGAAATAGAGACTGTGCTTGTGCCCTTTGCTTACTGAAGTTTAAATCTGTTTAATTATAACTAGGTGTGAATATTATCTAAAGCTCTTTATATTAAGCCTTTTTGCAATCCTGGACCAAACTCTACTGTGTCATAATGTTCTCTCTCAATTTCTCTTTGCAAACACACTAGTTTGCACTATCCTTGGAATAAACTAGTCTTGAAGTGGGATAGTACTGCAAGGACCTAGAACCTTAATCTAATCTGTTTGAAGGGCCAAAAAAAATTGTATTCATGTCTCTTAGTCTCTAAACTTCAACTCTATTAAAAGATGCTTGTGGTGGAAAGTCATCATTTTGCTGTTGAAATACAAAAACAAGTGTAACGAGACAGTTATCTAAAACAATCAGATGCTTTTGTCTTATATGTCAAATGTAAGTGCACTAGTTTTGGGAATCTAACTTTCAACTAACTCAAATATCAGGGAGGCTTTTGCTAAAAGATTTTTGCTTTTTCATAAGGGGCAAATAAAACAATATAATAATTTTTTTCCTCTTTTTCTATGTTTCTTTAAGATTTATTTAACCCTTATCTATAGGTTCAGACTTTTACACACCATTAGTTTGTGAGTAATAGTCCTAAGAAGATGAATTAAAGAAATTCTACACTAGCAGCTCATCATCATTATTTCGCCTCATTGCAAGTTGCAAGTCCCTTATCCTCAATTACACTTCTCTCCTTTCAGTAGATGAAGGGCTGCCCTAAAATAAAGACCCTCTAGTTTGGTCCCCAGTGATTTTATTCCCTCATTGTAATTCATCCATTTTGTCATTGGGTACATATTTATTGAGCAACTATTAGTTATCCAGTACTGTCCTCAGTGCTGGGGACAGAGTGGGGACTAAGGCAAGGTGCTCATCCTTATGACATTTGCATTATAGTGGGAGGAATGAGTGGGGGTGAATTGACAATAAGAAAATATATAAATGATAAAGATTGAAACATGCTTATAGAAAATAAAAAGAAATGATTTGAAAGACGGAGGAAGGCCCATCTGAAGAGGTAAAATTTGAAATGAGACCTGAATGGTAAGAAGGAGCTGTCCATGGTAAAATTCTTATGAAAGATGATTACCAGTAGAGGTGAAAGTATCAGCTATAGACCCAGGGAAGGAATGAGGTTGATAGATTCAAGGAATAGAAATAAGGCAAAGCCTCAGGAACCATATTTACTTCCTACTGAGCTCTGCCTATTCCCTTCCAATAGACACTTTGGAAATCATAACTTATTACAAGGCCAGACTACCCACTGGGAAGTGTCATGGAACACTAATCATAATTAAATGCAGCCTTCTTTCTGTTTTGTCATATTTTCATCATTATCTTAGCATATTCCTCATGATGCTAATTAGGGTCTGTTTTTTAGCTCTTTGTCTCCAGCACTGCACTGAGAAATCCTTAATCCTTAACTGAAGAGTCTGTCTTATTTAGTTGTGCCTTAGGCTCCTATTGGCTAACAAAGTATTTTTAACATAGTATTAGATACTAAAGAAACTCTTACATTATCCATTATTTTCTAATATACTCATATGAATAATGGTATAAAAATGTCGTGGAGGAAAATTAGGTAGTGTCAGAAAATATAAATGAGCCAAATGCAAAGATTATAGGATAAATATAATTTCTATAAAAATTTATATATTACAAAATCTCCATCCTTTAGTTAAATATATCTAGATTTCAGTAACTATGACGGGTGATCAAGAATAATAGAAAATACCACATTTGGGAAAGTATTTGCTCATTTGAGTGCAGCAAACATTTTGTAAGGCATTGCTAAATTTATAAGGTACATTTTGGTACAGAACATATTTTTGGGACCCATTGCAGAAAAATTCGTAGAATGGCAAGGGAAAATTCTAAAGGCGAACAAAATGTTTGAAAATATGTTCGAAAAAGAAATGTGGTTTATGAAAAAAAATAAATAATTATCTGGAAAAGAGACAGCAATCCCTCTCTTTTAACAAGAAAGAAGTAGTGGAATTTTGCCCCTTTTTGAGTTTTGTTGACTAGGTTTTATTGATTGACTTCAAGTAACATGTCTCAGATTGTAATTGACTTTGTTTATGTATATGCAGGGCAAATTGTAGTACTATTTGAATAAATAACATGGATTTTGTTTTAACCAAAAATTACTCATTAAAGTTATATCTCTCCAAGTGATTCTCAAAATTGCCATGACCCTTTCCTCCACCTTTCATATTTTTCTATATATTGCTACTTGTGGCCAGTAGGCTGAAACTATGCTTATTTTGAAATCAAATAACAATAGATGTCTGCATAGTATTCCATGGTGTATATGTGCCACATTTTCTTAATCCAGTCTATCATTGTTGGACATTTGCTTGGTTCCAAGTATTTGCTATTGTGAATAGTGCCACAATAAACATACATGTCCATGTGTCTTTATAACCACATGATTTATAATCCTTTGGGTATATACCCAGTAATGGGATGGCTGGGTCAAATGGTATGTCTAGTTCTAGATCCCTGAGGAATCGCCACACTGACTTCCACAATGGTTGAACTAGTTTACAGTCCCACCAACAGTGTAAAAGTGTTCCTGTTTCTCCACATCCTCTCCAGCACCTGCTGTTTCCTGACTTTTTAATGATCGCCATTCTAACTGGTGTGAGATGGTATCTCATTGTGGTTTTGATTTGCATTTCTCTGATGGCCAGTGATGATGAGCATCTTTTCATGTGTCTTTTGACTGCATAAATGTCTTCTTTTGAGAAGTGTCTGTTCATATCCTTTGCCCACTTTTTGATGGGGTTGTTTGTTTTTTTCTTGTAAATTTGTTTGACACGGATGAAGCTGGAAACCATCATTCTCAGCAAACTATCACAAGGACAAAAAACCAAACACCGCATGTTCTCACTCACAGGTGGGAATCGAACAATGAGAACACATGGACACAGGAAGTGGAACATCACACACTGGGGCCTGTTGTGGGGTGGGGGGAGGGGGGAGGGATAGCATTAGGAGGTATACCTAATGTTAAATGACAAGTTAATGGGTGCAGCACACCAACACGGCACATGTATACATATGTAAGAAACCTGAACGTTGTGCACATGTACCCTAAAACTTAAAGTATAATAAAAAAATAAAATTAAATAAAATAAATAAAATAAAATAAAAATAAAATATAAAAAAATAAAATAGATGTCTTACTTCAACTAAACCATGTAAAACCCAGTAAATACTTTGCGTAAACTGACAAGTCTTTAAAAAGAAAGTTTGTTTAAGTATGCCAGGCTGGTGGAAAGAACTTTGATTTCTATCAGAAGGACTAGATTTTACTTCCAAATCAGTTAAGAATAACATTATATGATCTTACAAATATTCTATCAGTTATCTTTAATCCACAGTAAAGTAAAATACACTTTATGTTTCCCTTTTATTTTATAATATAAATGATATCATTAACAACCTACTAAAGTTGCTATTTGCACTAACTTAGTAAAGCGCATCATAATGGCAACTAATGAAGATTGAATGCTTACAGTAAGTGAGGTACGGTAATAACAGTTTCACATACATAAAAATACATAATACATAGTTCCTTTTTTATCTTTAAGATTTACAACTGAGGATATTAAGGCTTAAAGTACGTTATTAATTTGCCCAAGGTCATGGAGCTAGTAAATGGCTGAGCCAAATTTCAGTTTAGAGTGTTCAATTAAAAAATATGCCCTTAAATGCTGTAATATGATTATCTTCGCTTTATGCTCTTTTATCTAATCTCCCATGTAATACATTGCACACATTTGCAGGAGAGTTTATATGATTTGAGAGTATAATAAGTGGCCACAAAACAGAATGCTTCTCTGTGCGTGGCTAACTGATCTATTCAGAAATAAAAAATGTAACATCCTCTATTCACCTGAGTTTACTGGTCTTGACTGCAGGAACAGATGGCACGCCAGGGACTATGCAATAGCACATAAACATTCTGGAATGGAGTAAATGAGAACATATGACTAAAAGCAACATTGCCACAGCTTTAGAACCAACTCTACGTTTTTCCTTCTCTTTCAGCAATTTATTTGCTAAGTGATTATATTATGCATGATATTTACAGACACATTTGGCATATTTTGACCATAATCATCATCATGAAAGAATGCATGCTTAGATCAACTGAATTATTAATATATCAAACTATTACTAATATTACCATTACAAATAATATTACATTAAGAATTTCATAAACATGGCAAATGTATTTCAACAATATTATTGTGTTTGGTACTTAAAAAGATTTGAAACAGCTCTTGTAATTATGATTAAGTCAATTATCCCCCAATTATTTGATAAATTTAATGTTATTACAATCAAGTTCTCAGGGCATTCTTTTTCTTGTAACAATTTGGTATATCAATATTTAGTTTCATCTAAAGAATAAAGAAGTAGGGGATTTCCCTACTACATATAAAATATATTAAAATCATAGTAATAAAATGTATGGTACTAGTATTTGAATAGATGTATTTCAAAGAGAATAGAAAATCTAGAAATAGATACTTAGATATATGGACAATTCATTATTATGATGGCTAAACTTGATTTCAGTGAGAATAGAATAAATTATTCACTAAAATATGCTGGGACAAATTGGGACAAATTGTTACAATAGATGAGTCAATACTGAATGAGAGTTGCTGTTGTCCCACAGTCTTGTCAGCATTTGATGTTAACAGTGTTTGGGATTTTAGCCATCCTAATAGGTGTGCAGCAGTTTTTTTTTTTTTTTTTTTTTTTTTTTTTGAGACAGAGCCTTACTCTGTCGCCCAGGCTGGAGTGCAGTGGCGCAATCTCTGCTCACTGCAAGTTCCGCCTTCTGGGTTCACGCCATTCTCCTGCCTCAGCCTCCCGAGTAGATAGGACTACAGGCGCCCGCCACCACGCCCAGCTAATTTTTTGTATTTTTAGTACAGACAGGGTTTCACCATGTTAGCCAGGAATGATGGTTTTCTTATGCCCATATTAGCCACCTGGCACAGCACATACTGAAACATATTTTATTCTTAAAGGGACAAAATCTCACACAGTACAGTTTTTTTCTTCCAAGAAGGGACTCCAACCAGATCTTCCTGCTTTCAGTCACTCTCCAGTGCTCTCAGATAGTTATTTTAATTTCGTGTCTAGAGTTTGTGGTTGTTATTTGTCCCAATAGGAGCTATTCCACCATTGCAAAAACTGAAAATTTTGAAGCAATGTTTTCGGTAGCAAAAAACTGCATATAACCCAGTGTCCACCGGCAGTGGTACGGTTACATAAATTGTGTTATAATCACAAAAAGGAGTGTTAAGCAACCCTAAAAATGAATGAGTTATAGCTATATCCCACAGCATAAGTGAATGTTATATAATATTTGGTGTTAGACATATTATGCCACTTCAGAAACAATATATGATAATCTTTATGACTAAAGAGAACACCGGCTTAATACTACACATTCTAACACTGCCATCGGTCCAAAGCAGGGATCAGCAAACTCTTTTTGTAAGGAGCTAGATGACAAATATTTCAGACTTTGCAGGCTACAGAGTCTTTGTTGCAACTGCTTACCTTCATCAAAATATGAAATCAACCATAGACAATACACCAATAAATGATTGTATTGGGCATGGCTGTGTTCCAATAAATTTTTATCTTCAAAAACAGGCAGGGGGTTGGATTTAGTCCATGATCATAGTTGCCGATCCTTGTTCTGGATGATTTCCAAGAGCACCTCTGAGCTACTACAGAAAAGCTTTCTGCAGTTTTTAGATATATTTTAAAAATATACTAAAATATACCACAGAAAAGCTTTTTGTAGTAGTCAGAGACTCAGTCTGCTTTGATCCTTTGGCACCTCAGAATCAGGGCTTCTCCAAGATCACAATATCATTTTAAAAAGAGCACTGGAGGCAATTTTATACCAACAATTGTTGCAGTCCAGAATTTATACACACTACTTCTGCTCAGGGTCTGTTTCTCAAAATTGACCCTGTGTTCCAAACCAAGTATGAGAAAGCTGAGAAAGAGAGGAGAACACTTGTGAACATTAGAATTGTGTAACTTAATGCTGAGGGGAAAAGACGTCCCACATGATTATACACAGCGTAAGCAGTATATTATAGTGTAAAATCCAGCAAAAAAATCAATAACATTGGTGTGTATTTAAAGATACGTTATGATAACAAAAGGTCAAAAACGCAAATAAGTGATCAACTCAAAATTAAGCATGCTAATTTGCTGTAGAAAGCAGTAATAGACTAATATAATGGAAGAGCACACAGGTACAATTAAACTAGTCGTGTTAATTCTTAGACTAAGCAATGTGTTTAAGAATGTTTATTAGAAAAGAAAATATTTGTGTTATGAGAATTATACAGTCAGAGATTATATATTACTTCTCCCACAAAATAAAACTTTAGGACAAGTTATATCTTTATATTACATGCTTACATTGCACATTACCTGTCCTCACTGTAATTTTAGAAGTTTTTATATATTTGTTGAATAATCATTGCTTCCATTACATGGAAAGCTCTATGAGAAAATGGCTATGTCTGTCTTTTTCTTCTTATCTTTCCAATGCCCATGATGATTTCTACATCATTATAGGTATTTTTAAAATATTTGAATAAGTGAACTTGAAAGCACAGAAAATAAAATGAAAAAATTGCTTAAATATCTCATACTTAAAACAACTCAATATAAAATATAGGTTACTTAATTTTAGATTCTTTGCTATTATTTTTTTTTCATTTGTATTACATAGTTATGATCACACATTTTCATTTTGCTTTTTTTACTTAACATGACAACGTAAGTCATTTCCATATTAATATAATCACTAATGTAATAATTTTATAGGACTTTATTTCTGAATGTTCCATTCAGAAATGTTTCTACAGTCAGCTTACCGATTTCTCTAGTAAATAGTAGAGATATAGTTTTGTCACTGTTGGGGTTACCATGATTAAAAAATATGAGAATAAACATCTTTGAGAGTTTTTATGACTGGTTTTTTATCTTAGGTGATATATTCATAATACAAATTCTGGTGAAATTTTAAGATAATTTTACAGATTTTTAATGATTATTGAAAAGTCAACATTTACCTCTGACTTTATTTAATAAAAATTCAACTGTGATCTGATAACTAGATTAATGGCCTGCTAAATTAACGGATTTAGGTATTTGTTATTGTTATTTAGTATTGGATGATATATTTTTTCCAGTAGTGGACACTGTAAATACTATAGAAAAATAAATTGTTAGAACTTAAGTATCTTTAGACAGAAAGCATGCCAGAGAAGAAAGAATCTTGATTCTTCTGGAGGGTAGTTTCGAAAAGCACAGCAGTTTCAGCTAGCCAAGCAATTCCCTTGAGGACAAATGTAGAGTATAACGGCAAGAAAGAGTTGTTCCAAGAATTCTTATGGAAGATGAAATTATAAAGATAACTGCAAGCTATATGAATTGCATTTACTGTTCTCCTAATTGAGAAGGGGCATTCAAAATCCAGGTATTAAGGACTCAGTAATATGTAATATGTGCATCCAGGAGTATCTCCATGAACTCCAAACCTCTCACTTTAGCCTAGTCCTGCTTATTTCCAGAAAAGATAACCAAATCAATTTTACTTAAATGCTAAATGAATGAAAAAAAACTTAGTGTGTAAGAGTAGCCATAAAATGCTATAAAATGCTTGACAAAGTGGGTTGCTTTCTTTTTAAAGATGCAAGAATGATGACACAGATTTTGAATGTTGGATAATCATTAGCTATCATTTTTGGAACTGACAGAAGAAGAATGGAGAAACAACTTTGCATACTTTTTCTGAGGCATATATGACCATATTGTACTTAAGTGACCAAATATCTTTGGTCCAACTGACTCATGATTTTCACTTTCCTATGACATGGATATAAATTTAGAAAAAAATATTCAGAATTGTTTTTTCACCTGAAACTAATTTTTAGATTTTTCAGAGGCCTCTGAAAAAAAAATACTGTTTTACCTTATGAAAAATGAATGCAAGAAATAATTAGTTATTTGGTAACTCCATATTTATTAATTAGCTCAGCACTATTAGAAGAGCTTTTTGGGAACAGTGGTCAAACCAGAAGAGAAACTTTGTCCTTTCTATGTTAATTTTGCACATTTAAAATATTACTAATATAAATATTTTAGAGACAGTAATGTACATAAAGGCCCTAGAGACTTGTCAATGTGCTTACTTTCCATAATACGTTCTTACCCTCAGAGAAAATGCTGATTAATTTCTTATAAAATGGTGAGATATTGTACCTCAGTAAAGAATATGACTTTCCTCCAGTCTG
The DNA here is from genome assembly GCF_000001405.40 of Homo sapiens. Lineage (NCBI taxonomy): Eukaryota > Metazoa > Chordata > Mammalia > Primates > Hominidae > Homo > Homo sapiens. The sequence goes on from NC_000006.12 coordinate 77,321,089, forward strand.
ATATTGTTGGTTACTGTAATAAATTAATCACAACCATTTAGTCTTAAAAAGGGAAAATTATATTAAAATTTTTGAAATAAGATAATATTTATGTTTTTAATTATGAGAGTTAGAATATTTTACTTCACTTCACTATAAAGGGACATGCTAGAACAAAAACTAAATTTCCTTTTATAGGGACATAAAAACACAAGACACATTTACTGTGGCTTTGTGCTTGTCTATCATTACGGAAAGATAAAGTATGTGTTTAATGAAGAAACAGAAGATAACATTCATCTGGCACTTGTTTGTGTTTTCACTAACGTCTATTATTCTCAAAGGCCGTGAAGATATGGTCTAGGCTAGTTTTCAAAAAATAGGCAGCATATAATCAATTCTTCAGATTAAATCTTACTTCCAAGGTCAACATTTAAAATGGTTACCAATATTGTCCCTCTGGTTAAAGCTATTTTGTGACTCCTTGGCCTTGTACTCCTGGACTTATTTACCTCAATATTCCACAATTGCTAAGAACCAACCCCCACAAGCCTAGTATGAATTAGGCCCCAGCATGCACAGTCATTAGTAAGGACTGACTGAAATGGAAGTAGAATGTGAAAGAAGAGATCTTGCTGTCACACACCTCTGTAAAGATCCATATGAATGTCACCCATATGAATGACAACCTTCTCTCTCTTTTTAAGGGTATTTATTCAGAATACTCTTTCATGAAATAATGATCTCATAATTTGTATCTTTTACATCCTATACTCAATGGCTACTATTTAATTGCTATGCACCAAACTCTGGCTATGTGCTTTTTAAACATTATTGCTGAATAAGAAAGGTAGATAGTTCTATTTCCAATAGAAAATTCACAAGTTAGTGCTTAGAAAAGTTAAATCCCTTGTCTAAATTAAATATATATAATATATATGATAATTATATATAATATATAATAATTATCATATATTATGTGTGTGTGTGTGTGTGTGTGTGTGTGTGTGTGTGTGTGTGTGTGTATCTGGTAGCATATCCACTATGCAAACTTAGGTATCTTAGATATTTTTTTAAAATGTTATTTTCTTTATGACATTTTGCCTTCTAGTAAAATTTTAAGTGTAGAATAATTTTGGAAACATGCCTTGTCACCTTTAATCTTGAACAAACTGTCTTATCTAGTGCAAATACATTCAAAGGCAGCTTTTTCTTCATTTAAGCATTTGATCAATGTGATGAACATGTTTACAGTGTCTAAATGCTAAAGTATAATATAAACTTAATTTATGTCTTTATGAAAAGTGATATTTCTTTTTTCAATTCAGTATCACTAATGAAAGTCCCATTCAGTAGTTAATCATGGTCAAACAGCAAGTTCTAGAGGCCAGGAATGGAACCCTGTTAGAGATAATTGGTAAATCAACATTAACAAGTGACTGCTTTGCTGTTTGTCAACCCTGTCAAAACACTGAATAGAATTTTTTAAAATGTTTTCTGTGTATTATGACCGTTGAAAAGAAAGTTTGTATTTTCTTATGACCACATGAAGGAAAGTTTAAATTTTCTTAATCCCATTTGAAATCACTTTTAATAAATTATGTGATACCAGTAGTTGAACATAAATATCTCATTGCAGTGTATTCTAACTAACTCTTTGGAATTCAAACAAGTTTTTTGTAGTAGATGAAAAATAATATTGGTGTGAGGCATGTTTATTAAAACTTTGCTGATCTTGCAATAAATTTTGTCTTGCGTAGGATGTTTGTCTTCTTAGTGAAGCATAGAGAAGAGGACAACAGACATAATACAGTGAACACACTTGAAAAAGACCTTGCGATATCAGAAGCATGTGCTATAAATTTATTCTGTCTTTCCCCAAAGGGATTTGCAGCTATTTACAAGAGCACGAACACATGAGGAAATGGAAAAATCCTGATATTTCTTGGACTATTTGGGTTCTACTGTTTTTATCCTAATCTAACACTTGGGAATCCAGAACACTTTAGTAGACAGATCCAAGTGGTAGTTTATTGAAATTGGTAATAAGTGACTAATTAACTAACTCTTTTCATGTGGTCCAGTGAATCTTTGAACCAAACAAGTTGTCACCTTGATTCCCAAATTAAGACAAGAATAAATATAATCGGAACCTGAGACAGTATCCATAATAACTCTCTGTTCTCTGGTCTAAAAGATAATATGGATGGAAGAGCCAATAGGAAGATTCTGATCATCATTCTTCCTCTCAAAAAAGTAAAACATTTGTAAAATCTCACGGGTGAGTGAAATTAGTGCCACTGATAAAAGCAAGAGATATAGCAGTGTTAGTTGCAATCATATCATGATTTCACATGTCTATTGTTCCATGCAGAAGGTTGGTGGATCTTGGAGAATGAGTAAATTACCATAAATTCAATAAGTTAGTGATTCAAGTTACTGATATTATTTCACATTTTATTCATTATCACATTGTAATCATGTGGTGTCTTCTTGGGCATATCAACATAACTCCTAGCAAGTTATATGCAAGTATTAACCTTGAATATGTTTTCTTCCTCTATCCCAAAAGTTATCAAAATAATCAGGATTCATTTATTTAGTAAGGGTAGCACTGTATCTTTATTAAGTTGCTTGCATGGATCTGTGTCACTCAAGACATTTTAATCTTCAATCTTCTCACCAAGGCTGTACACTACTCTACTACCTTGATAATATCAGGTTCCCAAGATCTGATGAACAGAAAACAACAGGTCTGCCAGGTGGCTGGGAAAACACTATTTCTAGAGGATAGGAAATAAATAAATAAATATTATGAAAACACAGGAGCAGGATTCCTGAGTGAAACTCTGGAGAATTTAGAAGTCTACAAATATTGGGATATTCCTTTCAAAATGAAAGATAGTTTGCTTCACCTTGCACTCTATAGCACAAAGAATGAAAAATAACACATAGTACATTCTTTTGGATTTTTCCGGGAAAAATATAATTTATTTGTGTGTGTTGCTCTAATTCATTTACAGAGTAGCCCAAAATGATACCAGTATTGAGAGAAAAATAAAAAAGAAAAGATAGCCAAACTGATTTGGGCTTTATGCCAGTAGCCTCTCACTGAAACCTTATGACCTAAGGAATCCAATATTGTTCAAAGTGTCTGTGGCATACCTGGATAATATATGGCATTTGTGGTAAGCCCACACTCAGAGAATCACAGCAAAGTTTCTATGTTTTTAAAGTAAAGTCAGACCTTCACTGACAAGTAATTATTCTCCTTTAGAGAAATAATTATTGGCTTACTCCTGAGTCCTGGTAGAGACTGAATGCCTAATTATAAAACTCGGTAGGCAGGTAACCTGAGCTGCCTATCATGTCTGGATGTTATCAGATTGTATGAGCCTGAGAAATCAAGCATGTTCTTCAGCCCTAAATCATGAAGCAAAAATGTGAACAGAATCTGAAAGCACATGTATGTTACTTTAATAAATAACTAATGCCTCCACTGAATTTACACCTGACATAATTCTACCCCTCCCTCAATACATAACTGCAGAAGGAGGAGCATGCTGTAAACAAGAGCCAAAAGATTTCCTGAAGACCTTCCATAGTACGCTGGAAATAGGAAAAGAAGAGTTGTAGCGTTTCAGTCCGACTCACGAGTTGAATTATGTAGCATCTAATTCTTCTGGCAAAAGATAGAACGGCTGGATAAAACAAAGATAAAAATCTACATAAGTAGGGGGTGGACAATTGTTTGGACAGAGAAGAACTTGGAAAAAAACTGGTATGTTGGGATTGGTTACTAGGATGTTTTAGAAAGAAGTATATAGATGGAACTTTTGAAATGGATTCAGAGTGTGAGGATATTATGCAACATGTAAAATGTGAATGTTCACTAAAACTACTTGGGACTCTCAATTCTCTAGTGGTTCTCAGTTGGCCTCTCTTCCAAGCTTCCTTACTGCTTGGCCAATGAACTCCACAATCTTGCTGGCAGAGTCAGATGCTATGTGGCAACAAATACTTCCCTACTCCACAGCTTACTGGCTTTCGCCTCTGCTCAATATTTAAATTGCCAGAACCAGTGAAAGAGACCAAATCTAAATGTGTTAATCTCTGATGATCCAGCCAACCACAGATTTTGGATTAAAATATTGGGCCTCTTCCATCATGAAGGGGATAATAGTTTTTTCCAACTAGACTAGGCATTTACTCTGGATTAGGATTTTTCTTCCATTCCTGCCAGCAACTCCATCTCTGGGCTTACATAATGCTTTATTTATAATGTTGCTTCTGACCAAATTACTAATTTTATGTGGACACAACTGAGATAATGGCCTAAAAATCATAGAATTTACTGTCTTACCATGTACCTTATCCCACAGAATCACGTGGCCTTACGGAGAGTTGAAATTGTCTGAAAACCGAATGGAAGTAAGACCATAGGTAACATCTAATAAATTAGACTGCTATCCAATGTGAAGTGTGTGTATTCTCTGAATCAGGCCAGAGTGTGTGTTACAACTGTCACTCTCATACCTAATGAAACCTTCACAAGGTGTTTCCATTCTTCCATTTCTGGGTCCTGCTAGCCTGTATTAGGGCCTTGATGAGAAGTTTTAGAACACAAGGATAAGCTACTCCATCAGAAGACCCTACAATGGTCTCGCTGAATTGGAGTCTCAAATTGCCATTTGTCCATTTCAAGTTCTTCATACTGCAGGTCAAAGATGCAAAATAGAAGGTATCGATCTTGATTATCAAGGAGAAACAGGTTTGCTGGGGATACGGTTGTAGTATATTTAGACCCCAAGGTCTTATCTTGGGTGCCTCCTAGTCTGACACATACAGGAGTAAAATTTATTGGAAGACTCCGGAAACCTCAGAGACTGCAGAAACATCACACAGGTAGGACCACCAATAAATTCTATTCTTCAGAAATCATAGTTGGATTTACTTCATCATGGAAAAAGCCTCAACTGCCTGCAGTGTTGGCTGATGAAGGAAAATAAAATATTAAATGATTAATGGAGAATGAAAGCATAAATATCAGAAGTAGCCTTCTGACAACAGCAGAAAAATAATGTCTTAATTCGGGTTCTCTAGAAAGTATAGCTTAAGGCACAGTTTATATAGTAATGTTTTAGGGATGAGTGTTCAATTCCAGGAAAGCAATAGTGAAAGGAAAAAAAAAGAAATGACTCAGAAAGAAGGAGAAGCAAAAAAAGAGTAGTGCATTTTATACTTTCCGAGTTTCTTAAAAGAACCCAGTGATTTCTAGGTCAAGGGAGTTTTTAGAGAAACCATATAAAACCATTACCTCTAGGAATGGTCCGTTATAGGCAGGAAGGGGATGCAATGAATCTACTGGATACTTCACACTCTCTTTCACTGGTCAAAGTTCAACCAATGGGTAGATAAGAGCCCCTCTCTTCCAGCTTGTGTTAATCAGCCCCTCTTACTAACTTTGGAAAAGTCAGAGATTTAGTGGTTTTATTTGTAATGAACCTGGGCACTGGGGCCGATAGACTATGTGGGGCCTGGCAAAAGCCCAGACCTTGAACTGAAGGAGGCTGACACTATCTGTAATGTTAGGAGGTGAAGTGAAGTCCATAATAGACAGGGCTTAGTGACTGTTGGGAGCTATTCTATCCTAATGTAAGGTAAGTCCTTGTATTAAATGGTTCTCACGCTGCTGATAAAGACATAACCAAGACTGGGAACTTTACAAAGAAAAAGAGGTTTAATGGACTCACAGTTCCACGTGGCTGAAGAGGCCTCACAATCATGGAGGGAGGTGAAAGGCACATCTTAGGTGGCAACAGGCAAGAAAGAATGAGATCCAACTGGACGGGGTTTCCCTTATATAACCACCAAATCTCATGAGACTTATTTACTACCATGAGAACAGAATGGGGGAAACTGCCCCCATGATTCAATTATCTCCCACTGCTTTCTCCCACAACCTGAGGGAATTATGGGAGCTACAATCCAAGATGAGATTTGGGTGGGGACACAGCCAAACTGTATCAGTCCTGAAGGCCTAGAGTACAGGTAGGTCCTCAGAATGTACTAGCACATAGACTTGATTGTGAACTCATGAGCTGTGGTATCTACTCATATCTGTACCCTTTCAGTGTCACGATCTGATTTAAGTGATTTTAACTTGTTTATATTTGTTCCCTTTCTCTGTTCCTTTCTTCTTAGATGCAGGGTATGTAGGTAGTGGCTAGTTTTAACAGTTTTTAGTTCATAGTTTAGAGAATATCCAAAAGCAATAACTAGAGGAGGAATAAAAACAATATGAGAATTTGACCTTGAAGAAGATGGCATTAACTGTTGAAATTTTTGTTAACAACATTTGGAGACAAAGAAAAGCAAAATTGTACTTGTATAAGTGATATTTGCATTGTTTTAGCTACATGCATATTGTTGTAATTGTTATTGTTTGGAAGTTTGAGGTTGGAAGAAGGAGTCTTTTGAATTGGAACAGATGAAGCATTGGCTCATATTTCCCAATATCTTGTGAGCTTTACATATATTAATTTTAAGGATGACATGGTATTTGCATTTATTTTATAAATAGATATAACAACTTCAGACATTTCAAATTAATTTTTCACTTTGTCAAAACTACAAATACACACATGCATGCACATACACACATACATATATATAGTTAACAAAAAACTCACTCAAGAATGTCATAAAGTATAGCAAAACTAAGATATGCTGAACAATACAATCAGCTAAACCTTTGTTTACATTGGAATTTAAATTGCATATTTTGGAGTATACCCAAACTTGAAAACAGAGAAAATTACAGATTATGCCAAAATAACCACATTTAAAGAAATTTTGGAATTTTTAATAAGTGAATCTCACTAAAAGAGAAATATAATTAGAATTTTATGTAAAGAGATCCTAGTTTGTATCCTCTCCAACTTCCTTGATAGAAATCTTGAACTTTATTTTTGCTTAAATAAAATATTAATTCATAGTATTTTCAACTTTCAGAAAGATTGGAGGTGGCAAACTGTCTTTTAATATGTTAAAAGAGGAAAACTGGTCATTTAAATATGATTTTTATCTACCAGAAATTTATATTTTTTTCTATCCACAGCCAAATGTCATTTCAAAATCATTCCAATTTCTTGTCAGAAAGCCACTGGACCAACTAGAGCACTTCAGCCAAGTGGCAGAAAAATATTGCTCATAACAGGTGCACTGTATTCTCTAACCATCCTGTGATAGGCCAAATCATTTTCTGCAAAGTTAATGCCATATTGGAAAGAGAATAATAGCCACAAGCATAAAAACAAGCAATATCATATAACATTTTCTGATTATAAAAGTAATATATTAATGTAGAAAATTCCCAAAGTTGAGATAATTTTAACAAGAAAATAATATAGTTTATTATATTATTCACAGCTAATGTATGATACTCTAATAAGGTAAACTTCTGGTTACATGTAAATATAAATATGTATGTATACATTTTTGAGATAATAGATAATTTTGAGGATTATATTTGATGTGTATAAATGTATATAAAATTTTTGCATTATAGTGTTTATCCTTCCTTACTGTTTTAAAGACTATGATCTATAATATGTACCTCACATTTCATGTGGATACACTATAATTTTCTGATTGAACATTTTATTGCTTATCTGTATTATGACAAATAATATAGGATAAAGATCCTGTTATATTATTTTCTTTCTTTTTTATTTTTTTATTTTTAGGATAAGATTCAAATGCTCAGAAAAGATATGAACAATTTTACATTTTTGATAACTGGATATTGTATTTCTTACCTGAAAGGTTCTAGTAGTTTACATTTCTAAGAGCAGGGTACTATATTTTCAGTTTCAGTGCAACTACACCAAAACTATAATTTTTCTTTTTAATTTAAAAAAATACAAACTATGTTTAATTTATATGTTTGTATAATAGTAATTTTAAAATCAAAGTTTAGCAATTTTTACTTTTCCCTTATGAATTGCCTTTCACAATCTCTATCTGGATTTTCATAATTTTCTTATTAATTTGTAATAACAGTTCCTTATGTATTAAATATACTAAGTATATATAACACAATTTTTTCTAGATTTTTAGTTTCTTAAAATAATTTGTATTACATCTTAAAGAGAACATTTCCAAGTTTGAACTAGATTTACCTATCAATTTTTATTTATTTATTTTCTTACCCAGTAAGCTGAGAAAGTTAGCTAAAAAATTAATCATACTTATCTCTACTTTCTTATGGTTTTACCTTCTGCTCTTAAGTATTTTATCCATCTGGACTATATTTTGGTGCTCAGGTAATTTTTTAAAAAATAAATAATTACTCCAGCTCCATGTATTGATGAATCCTTCTTTATAAATATTAGTTTTATGTATAAATAAAGAATATTTTAAGGCTTTCTGGCCTATTCCAATACTTTGTCTATTTGTTCAGAAACATCACATCATTTTAGTTATTTTTTCCTCTATAAAAATATGTAACTGTCTAAAAGAAACACAAATCTCCTTTTTAGTTTTTCAGAATTGTCTTGTCCCCTCTATCCATGTATTTTCTCAGATAATTTGTAAAAGTCCCTTGTCCAAGTTCATATTTTTACTGAATGGTCCATTCTATTGAATTCTACTGAAATCCCATTGAAATGTTTCTGCAAATAGTCAAGCTCACTTTGATGAGTTTATAATATTTTGTAACTTTTTAGTCATTCGCCTTTCAAATTTAGCACATACTATGTATATATAAGGTGTTATATGTATATAGCTTTACATTGTGTATATATGTATATATATGTGTGTATGTATTTTTGGATTACATATAAGAATATGTGTGTGTATGTGTGTATAAAAGAAATATATGTAAAAGAATATATATGTATGTATGTGTGTAACTATCAGTCTACTTCCCATTCTTGCATTAAAATATTTTTAGCATCTATGGATGTAAAATTTTTAACTATCCATTTTGTGGACAGTAAAGAAGTTTTTCTCTAATAAAATACTGATATTTTGCATTATAATTCATTCTGAAGTATGCAGTTGGATTTCATTTTATTTGCATATTTTTCTTTAATTTTTATAAAAGATTATCTCTAGTTTTGTTTTTGTTTCAAGCTCTCAAATCTACTTTATAATGGTAAAAATATTTTCTACATCTTTCTATCATTTTATACTCTAGATGAGTTTACATATTATAAGAAGTATCTTTCACATCAATTTTTGTTTGTTTTTAACTCACTGAAAAAATCTGGTTCCTGCATTATTTCTGGTAGTAATTTTGTTATAGCTTTTTTTTCTCTATCTCTGTTTTCTATGCTTGTTGGTTAACTCATCTTTTGGGTAATTTTTAAAAATTTTACTTAATAGGAAATCTTTCTTTTGACCTTGTATAAATATTTTGAAACATATTTTGTTGTGTATGTTTTAAATTTATTCTACTTTGTAATATTCTCTGATATGTTTAACTTCACTTGTTTCTCAATGATTTAATGATTCAAATACAAAATACAAAACAAAACAACAGTCCACTAATTTACTAAGAATGTCCCTCAAAAGCATATTTCTACAAAATCTCATCACAGTATTTCAGATTAGAGTCCATAGAATATTTGGATTACATCTTGCTATGGCTGCTTTTGATTTTTTAAACACACGCTTTTGCTTTTCTTTCAGACCATTTATTTTGAAAAGACAACTTTGCTTCTTATGTACCTTTCATAACATGCTATTGTCTTTTTAAAAATTGTCTTAAATCACTCACAAAGGAAATTTCACTCTTTGGAATGACATTATTTCACTTTTAAAGTAATAGCAGCATATAGATTTTCATTTGGAAGTTTTTGGTATTTACGAAGAAATAGATTAGGAGAACAATAACAACTACAAAATCTTTGCTAACTGCCATCTAAATAAGAAGGAAGGCAAGGACAAAACGCTATTGACCCATTCCTGATTAAAGCAAAAATGTGAGGACAAAAAATCTATTTTAAGGCAACCAAAGAATATGGAAAGCGACTTCTATGATTCACCTGTCAAAGGTGAATACCCTTGTTTCTGAAGACAAGCCAGCTGAGAGATTATAAATGCTTTGTAGTTTCTTTCTGCAAGCATTGGAACAGAAAAATCTAATTGTTAACAAAAAGCACACTGAGATTTTACACTTCCTTGAGTCAGCTTTTGCCGATTTCTGCTGTTGCATATTTTCTTACCAATAAAATAGTACCACTGTTGCATAAATTGCTTATTCTGCTTACCATGGAAATTTTCTATTAATCTGTAAACATGATAAAACTATATTATAAAATAGTTTTTAGGGGTCTATTTTTTAAAAGGTTTCCCCAAGTTTTATATGATGAACTCTTGCAACCCTATTCTATAGTTTTACAAAGAAATTTTTTTATTCATATACAATCCTCATATTCTCCTGTTTGGGTAAGAACTTGTTTCACATGCATTAAGAAAAGTCAATGTTGGATGGCTTTTTAGATGTTTAAATAATATCCCAATGTGAATAACAGTCTATATTCTACTGCATGGCCTTTTTGTTTATTCAAGATTTTAGATTATGATTATTGTGTGGATTATATTAAACTAGAAAAAAGAAGATAGGACAGGGTAAGGCAATGAATATTTCTGTTCCACTTAAGAGGGCTTTTAATTAATCATAGAAACTTACTGAAAATACTCCATTGTTTTCCAATATTTTGAGTACCAAAGAAACTGACATCTTGACACTTGCGAGTTTAAAAGAAAATATCAAAGAAAATTTTATTTGGTTGTTTTCCTGCATTTAACCAATAAAAGAAACTGGGAAAGTGAAAAAAATGAAAGAAAACTAAATATTCTATTTATTCTTCCTTCATATTATAATAAATTAATGTCAAACTTTCTTATGTGTTTAGAAACATACCATGCCACATACATATATCATTTATAATCAACCTGAGACTGTTTTGAGAGTGAAAAAGAATACTTTAATAATTGTTCTAGGAAAGCAGGCTAAAACAGGACTCTCCCAGGCAAACTAGAAAGCATAGCTAAAATACTATTATGGCTTGTCTTTAAGACATTAATTTACTTCTATTTTCATGAAATATTAAAATATAATTTTTCTTCTAGTAGTTTCATATCTTAGATTTCTCTTTAATTCATTTTGGTTTGATTTTTGTATATGAAGAAAGATAGGGACCTTGTTTTATTCTTCTGCAGGTGGATATCCAGTTTCCCAGCACCAATTATTGAAGAGATTGTCCTTTCTCTAATGTATATTTTTGGTGCCTTTAACACAAATGAGTTGACTGTAAATGCAGGGATTTATTTCTGGGTTCTCTATTCTGTTCCATTGGTCTACGGGTCTGTTTCAATGCCAGTACCATGCTGCCTTGGTTACTATAGGTTTGTAGTGTAACTTGAATACAGGCAATGTGAATACTCTAACTTTATTCTTTTTCTTGATTTTTAATTTTTGTGGGTATATAATGGGTGTATATATTTATAAGGTAAATGAGATATTTTAATACAAGCATGCATTGCATAATATAAAGTCATGTAAAACAGGGTATCCTTCCACTTAAGAATTTATTCTTTGTGTTATAAACAATCCAATTATATTCTTTTAGTTATTTTAGAATGTATAGTTAAATTATTATTGACTAGAGCCACCCTTTTGTGATATCAAATAATACTAGGTCCTACTGATTCTTTTTTTTCTGTACCAGTTAACAATCCCATCTCCTTCCCACTTTCCCATTACCCTTCCCAGCCTCTGGTAACCATTCTTCTACTCTCTATGTTCACGAATTCAACTGTTTCGATTTTTGAATCCCGCAAGTAAGTGAGAACATGCGATGTTCGTCTTTCTGTGCCTAGCTCATTTCATTTAACATAATGACCTCCAGTTCTGATGGCAGTGGTGGCCCATCTGGAGTGGCTGCTGCAAGGACTCCAGTTGCAGTGGGGGAGGTACCGCCTGGGCTGCACGCTCCGCAGAGCCAGCAGGGGCTGGGAATAGGTGATCCCAGTGGGAGCCCCACACTCTACCGAGTTGGCGGAGCAGGAGAACATGCTCTTGGGCACAGCTGTAAGTGCCCAGGCACATCTCCAGACCCAGGCATTCCTGCACTCTCGGGGGTCTGAGAAGCCGCTTGCCCCTGCAGGCTTGTAAGTGCCTGCTCCTGCTATCTGGCCTCTCTCAACTCCCAGCATCCAAACTGGTGTGAAACAAAGTTGCGGCACCCAATCAGGTGTGGAGCAAAGCTGTGGTCGAGACCGGGCACTGCTGTGACATAGCCAGGTGTAAGTGCACTCAGGGCAGTGCTGACACACTAGCCCCCTACCGCTCTGCCCCCCTCTGAACTTTGGGTGCCAAGGAGTGGAGAATGGAAGCAAGGGGTGCTGGGGGTGGCTTGGCATGTGCTTGACGGTACCCTTTGGTGCAGACAAGCCTGGGCATCATGGATGGCATGTTGATGGTGGTGGGAGGCAGAAAGATTCCTAGGCAGGAAGGGGTGGGTCCCTGGTGAAACCCAACCTTTAATCCAGGGATGGCCTGAAGCTTGGAGGCCAGCCTGCCAGTTTCGTGTGGAGTCGGGACTGGAGCCAGAACTTCACTGATGCCTTTAGGCCAATCAGATGGTGCTTTTTCCAGGCCCGCCTATGGCTGCCCATGAATCAACCAGCACACACTTCCTCCATTCTGAGCACATAAAGAGACCACATTCAGCCAGATTTAGACCCTTTGGGATGACCTGCCTAAGGAAAGGAGCTACCCACTTCAGGTCTCCTGAGAACTGTTCTGTTGCTCAATAAAGCACCTCTCCACCTTGCTCACCCACCAATTGTCTGCATAACCTCATTCTTCTTGGACATGGGACAACTTGAGACCTGCTGAATGGCGGGAGTGGAAGGAGTTGTAACATGTACCAGGCCGGCTCATTGAGCTGCAGGCAGTGACACACTCCCAGACTGTGGGAGTGAAGAGTGGCAACCCTTCCAGGGGCCCAGACCTCAGGGTTCCCTGAGCAAAAGCTGCTATAATACTATAGCCCTCCTGCCCTCCCCTGGTGCCTGAGAAGCAGTGACAGGGCTGGGCCAGCCCAGGAGCCACAGGTTGGAGTTGGGTGGTGGGATTAAAAGAGCTATAACAAAAATGGGCTGAAACACGCCCCCCTGAAACATGCCCTTCAGCTCACTGTGCTCCAGGCAGCAAGAAGGAGAGAAGAGCTTTGGCCCTTCTGGGGTTCCAGACCTTGGGGCTTCCCAAGCCTGGGCTGTGACATACTGTAACACTGTCTTTGGGGGTCTACCATCCTGGAGTCTTCGAGCTTTGGGGCATGAGCAAACCCAAGCAGAGGTGCCGCCAGCCACAGAAGTTTCTGGCTGGTGAAGCCATACCCTAAGGATCCTGTGACAGTTCCATTCATGTTATTGTGAAACAGGATCTCATTCTTTTTTATGGCTGAATAATAATCCATTGTGTATAGGTACCACATTTGCTTTATCCATTCATCTGTTGGTGGACTCAGCTTGCTTCCAAATCTTGGCTATTGTGAACAGTGCTGCAAAAAACATGTGAATGCAGGTATCTTTTTAAGGTACTGTTTTCCTTCATTTTGGGGATATATATATGCAGCAGTGGGATTGCTGGATCACATGGTGGCTCTACTTTTAAGTTTTTGAGGGAAATTCACACTGATCTCCATAATGGTTTTAATAATTCATATTCTCACCAACAGTGTACAAGGATTCTCATTTTTCCACTTGCCCATTTTGCTTTGGTTGCCTGTGCTTATGGGATATTACTCAAGAAATCTTTGCCCAGTACAATGCACTGAAGTTTCCCCAAAGTTTTCTTGTAGTAGTTTCATAGCTTGAGGTCTTAGATTTATGTCTTTAACCCATTTTGATTTTATTTTTGTATATTGTGAGAGACAGACATCTAGTTTCATTTTTCTCCACATGGATATACAGTGTTCCCAGGATCATTTACTGAGGAGATTGTTTTTTCCCCAGTATATACTGTTGGCACCTCAGTCAAAAATTAGTTCATTGTCAGTATGCAGATTTGTTTCTGGGTTCTCTATTTTGTTCCATTGGTTTATGTGTCTGTTTTTATGTCACTACTGTGCTGCTTTGGTTACTATAGCTCTGTAATATAATTTGAAGTCAAGTAATGTGATTCTTCCAGTTTCGTTCTCTTTGCTCAGGATAGCTTTTGATACTCTGAGTCTTTTGTGGTTCCATATAAATTTTAGGATTACTTTTTCTATTTCACTGAAGAATGTCATTGGCATATTGATAGGGATTGCATTGAATTTATAGATTGCTTTGGGTACTATGGACATTTTAACAATATTGATTCTTCCAAATTATGAACATAAAATATATTTCCAATCTTTTGTGTTGTCTTGTTTCTTTCATCATTGTTTTATAGTTTTAGTTGTAGAAATCTTTCAATATTTGGTTAACTCCTAGGTATTTAATTTTATTTATGACTATTGTAAATGGGGATACTTTTTAATGTCTTTTTCAGATTGTTCAATGTTGATATATAGAAATGAAACTAATTTTTGTGTGTTGATTTTGTATCTGGCAACATTACAGAATTTGTTTATCAGTTCTAATAGTTTTTTATGGAGTCTTAACGGCTTTTTAACATAGATTATATCATTTCCAAACACGGATAATTTGACTTCTTCCTTTTCAATTTGGATGTCCTGTCTTTCTCTTGTCAGTTTGCTCCAGCTAAGTCTTCCATTATTATGTTGAATATTGAGTTTTGAATGTGGGCATCTTTGTTGTGTTTTGAATCTTAAAGGAAAGGCTATCAGTGTTCTCCTTCAGAATGCTACTACTGTGGGTCTGTCATACGTGGCATTTTTATGTTAAGATAAATTCCTTCTACACTCATTTTTTGAGGGTTTGTATCATGAAGAAATGTTGAATTTTACCAAGTGCTTTTTCAGCATCAATTGAAATGATTATGTGGTTTTTGTCCTTTATTTTGTTCATATGATATATCACACTGATAGATTTGCATATATTGAACCATCCTGGCATCCCTGGGATAAATCACCCTTGGATCTGATAAACAATCTTTTTAATGCATTGTTGAATTTGTTTTGCTAGTATTTTTTTAGTACTTTTGCATTAGTATGCATCAGAGATATTGGCCTATAGTTTTCTTTTTTTTAATGTGTCTTTATCTGGTTTTGGTATCATAGTAATGCTGGCCTTGTAGAATGAGTTTCCAAGTATTCCCTCCTTCTCTATTTTTAGGAATAGTCTGAGTAGGATTGGCATTAGTTCTTCAAATGTTTGGTAGAATTCAGTAGTGAAGCCATTGGGTCCTGACCTTTTTATTTCCTGGGAGAAATTTTATCACAGAATAAATCTCATTACTTGTTATTGGTCTGTTCAGGTTTTGGATTTCCTCATTGTTTAATCTTGGTAGGTTGTATGTTTCCATGAATTTATTTCTTCTAGGCCTTTCAATTTATTGGTATATAGTTACTCATAGTAGCCCATAATGATCCTTTGAATTTCTCAGAATCAGTTGTAATGTCTCATTTTTAATATCTGATTTTATTTACTTGAGTCTTTTCACTTTTTATTAGTCTAGATAAAGATTTGTCAGTTTTGATTGTTTTTTCAGAAAATAACTTTTTGTTTTGTTGATCTTGTATAGTGTTTTCTTCACTTCATTTCCATGTATTTCTGCTCTGGTCTTTATTATCTCTTTTTTTTTACTAATTTTGGGTTTGGATTGCTCTTTCATTTTTAGTTTCTTAAGATGCATCATTAGATTATTTATTGGAAGTTTTTATTCTTTTTTATTTATATTATAATATTTATATTATTTATTTATAACTAATAGTTATAAATTTGCCTCTTAGGACTTTTCCCCTGTATCTCATAGGTTTTGAAATGATATGTTTGCATTATAATTTGTTTCAATAAATTTTTAAATTTTCTTCTTAATTTTTTTTGTTGACACACTTGTCATTCACAAACATATTGTTTAATTTTCATGTTTGTATAGTTTCCCAAATTCCTTTTGTTGTTGATTTCTAGTTTTATTCCATTGTGGTCAAAGAAGATGCTTGATATTATTTCAATTTTTTGAAAGTTTTAAGATTTGTTTTTTGACTGAACATATGGTCTATCCTTGAGAGTAATTATGTGCTGATGAAAAGAAACTGTAAGTCTGTATACAGCTATAAAGTCCATTTCTTTTATAGTGAAGATTAAGTCTGATGTTTCTTTGTTGATTTTCTGTGTGGAAAATCTGTCCAATTCTGAAAGTGAGGTGTTGAAGGCTCCAACTATTATTGTATTGATTTTGTGAAAGGAAAATATCTTGGGGCCCCAAAATCACTAAGCTAAAGGGAAAAGTCAAGCTGGGAACTGCTTAGGGCAGATCTGCCTCTCATTCTATTCAAAGTCTCCCTTTTGCTCACTGAGATAAATGCATATCTGGCTGCCTTTGGAGAGGCTAATCAGAAACTCAAAAGAATGCAAACATTTGTCTCTGTTCTACCTACAACCTGTAAGCCCCCTCCTGCTTCCAGTTGTCTTGCCTTTCCAGACTGAACCAATGATCATCTTACATGTTTACTGATGTCTCATTTCCTCCTAAAATGTATAAAACTAAGTTCTGTTCTGAACATGTTGGGTACATGTCATCAGGACCTCCTGACACTGTGTCATGGGCATGTGTGCCCTCAACCTTGGAAAAATAAATTTTCTAAATTAATTGTGACCTGTCTCAAATTCTTGGGGCTCATAAGATTTCTCTCTTTTTAACTCTAATAATATTATATTTATCTGAGTGCTCCAGTGTTGGGTGCATATATATTAATAATTTTTGTATCCTCTTGCTCAATTGACCCCTTTATCACTATATGGTGAATTTCTTTGTCTCTTCTTACAAATTTGTCTTGAAATTTATTTTGTCTGATATTAATATAGCTACTCTTGCTTTTCTTTTGTTTCCATTGACATGAACTATCTTTTTTTTTTGAGACTGAGTTTCACTCTGTTGCCCAGGCTGGAGTGCAGTGGTGCGATCTGGGCTCACTGCAAGCTCCACCTCCCAGGGCATGAACTATCTTTTTACATCCCTTTAATTTTATTCTATGTGTATCTTTTTAGGTGCAGTGTGTTTTTGTAGGCAACAAATCACTGGGTCTTGTTTTTTTATCCACTCCATGTCTTCTGATTGGAGAGTTCAGTCCAATTAAACTCAGTGTTATTACTGATAAGTAAGGAGTTACTCCTGCCATTCTGTTACTTGTTTTCTGGTTGTTTTGCGGCCTTTTTTTCTTTCCTTCCTCCATGTCTTCCTTTAAGAAAAGGTAATTTTTCTCTCGTGGCATGATTTAATTTCTTCATTTCTATTTTTTTATATCCATGGTATGTTTTTTGATTTGTGGTTATCATTAGGCTTGCAAATAATATCTTATGACTCATTATTTTAAACTGATAATTTAACACTGATTGCATAAACAAATATATGAAAATAATAGTAATAAGAACTCCACACTTTAACTTTGTCCCCCCTTTTTAATTTTTATTGATTTTCTTTAGCTTTATTGTATTGTGTCTAAAAAAGTTGTTGTAGTTATTATTTTTTATGGATTTATCATTTAGTCTTTCTGCCTAAGAGTAGTTTACATATAACAATTACAATGTTATAATATTCTATGGTTTTCTGTGTGCTTACTACTACCAGTGAGTTTTGTAGCTTCTGATGATTTCTTCTTACCCATTAGCAACCTTTTCTTTCATACTGAAGAACTCCCATTAGCATTTCTTTTAGTACAAGTCTCCTGTTAATGAAAGCCCTCGACTTTTGTCTTCTGGGAAAGTCTTTATTTCTCCTTTATGGTTGAAGGATATTTTCATCAGATATGCTATTCTAGGGTAAACATTGTTTTCTTTCAGCACTTTATGTCATGCCACTCTCTCCTGGTCTGCAGGGTTGCCACTTAAAAGTCTGCTGCCAGACATATTGGAGCTCCATTGCAGGTTGTTTCATTTTTCTTGATATTTTTAGGATCCTTTCTTTATCCTTGATCTTCAGGAGTTTTATTATTAAACACCATCAGATAGCCTTCTTTTGGTTAAATCTGCTTGATGTTCTATAACCTTCTTGTACTTGCATACTGATATTGTTGTCTAGTTTTGGGAGGTTCTTTGTTACTATCCCTTTAAATAAACTTTCTACACCAATCTCTTTCTCTACCTCCTCTTAAAGGCCAGTAACTCTTAGATTTGCCTTTTTGAGGCTATTTTCTAGATCTCAGAGGTGTATTTTATCATTTTTTTCTTTTGTCTCCTTTATCTGTGTATTTTCAGATGCCCCGTCTTCAAGCTCACTAACTCTTTCTTCTGCTTGATTAATGCTGCTATTAAAGAACTGTCATGCATTCTTTAGTATGCCAATTGCATTTGAAATGCCAGAATTTCTGCTTGATTTTGTAAAATTATTCCAATCTCTTTGTTAAATTTATCAGATAAAATCCTGAAGTTCTTATCTGTGTTATCTTTAATTTCTTCGAGTTTCCTCAAGACATCTATTTTTACTTCTCTCTGTGAAAGGTCACATATCTCTGTTTCCTTGACATTGGTCCCTTGTGCCTTATTTAGCTCATCTGGTGAGGTCATGTTTTCCTGGATGATCTTAATGCTTGTGGATGCTCATATGTCCAGGCATTAAAGAGTTTGGTATTTATTGTAGTCTTCACAGTCTGGGCTGTTTTGTGTCTTTTCTTCTTGAGAAGGCTTCCCAGGCATTCAAAGGGACTTGGGCCCCAAGCTCAGTAACAGTGTGGCTTTTGCAGACTCATGGAGGAACAGCCTTCTTGGTGTTGGATAAGACCCAGAAGAATTCTCTTGATTATTAGGAAGAAATTATTTTTCTTTTCCATTACTTTCTCCCAAACAAACAGTCTCTCTTTCTGTGCTGAGCTGCCTCCAACTGGTGGTGTCATGATGCAAGCGCCCCTGTGGCCACCACCAATAGGATTAAGCTGATTCAGAACTGAAGCCAGCACAGCACTAGGTGTCACACAAGGCTCGCTGTAACCACTACCTAACTACTACTTATGTTCACTCAAGGCCCTAGAGCTCTATGATTAGCAGGTAATGAAGCCAGCTATGTTTGTGTTCTCCCCTTCAGGGCAGCAAGCTTCCTCTGGCCCCAGTCAAGTCCAGAGATGATGACTGGCAGCCAAGGATTAGAATCAAAAACCTTAGAAATTTACCTGATATTCTACGTTACTGTGGCTAAACTGGCATTCAAACCACAATACAAGGTCCTTCTTGCCCTTCCCTTCCCTTTCCACAGGCAGAGGAACCTCTCCCTGTGGCCACCACGACCAGCAGCCCATGGGAGCTTCTGCCATGACACTGCCGAGGTTCTTCAGTCAGCTCGTGGTGAATGCCACCAGGCCTGTGATTCACCCTTCAGGGAAGTGAAATCCCCTCTGGTCCAGGGCAGGTCCAGAAGTACTCTCTAAGAGGCTATGCCTGGACTCAGGGACACCAAGAGCCTGCCTGTTGCTCTACCCCACTGTGGCTTAGCTGGTACCTAAGGTTCAAGACAAAGTCCCCTTTACCTCTGCAATTGTCAAATAGGAGTCTTTCACAATCACCACAGTTGGGAATGTGATGGGTCATACCTGAAATAAGCATGTCTCAGAGTCCAAGGTCTATGGTGTACTAGGTCTATGACGTCCAAGACCTATGGTGTATAGTCCAAGGTCTATGGTGTATCCCTTAAAGTTTATTTAAAGGGATAATAACAAAGAACTTCCCAAAACTAGACAGCAATATCAATATCGAAGTACAAGAAGGTTATAGAACATCAAGCAGATTTAACCAAAAGAAGGCTATCTGATGGTGTTTAATAATAAAACTCCTGAAGATCAAGGATAAAGAAAGGATCCTAAAAATAGCAAGAAAAAAGAAACAACCTGCAAGGGAGCTCCAATATGTCTGGCAGCAGACTTTTAAGCGGCAACCTTACAGACCAGGAGAGAGTGGCATGACATAAAGTGCTGAAAGAAAACAATGTTTACCCTATCTGGTATTGCTGCTGGTTATTCAGGGCCCAAGGGCTCTTTAATCAGCAGGCGATGAATCCTGCCAGAACTATTCATAGTTCCTGTCCTTCAAGGTAGCAGATACCCTTTTGGCTTTTGGCCCAGGGTATATCTAGAAATGTTGTCCATGAGCCAGACCCTGGAATGGGGGCCTCACGACCCTGCCCAGTGCCCTTATCCTACTGTGTCTGAGCTAGTATCAAAGATACATACAAAGTCCTCTTTACTGTTCACTCTCCTCTCCTTAAACAGAAGGAAGAAGTCACTTTCTTTGCTGTTAGCTGCACTGCATGCAGTAAGGGGTGAAATGGCACAAGCACTCCCTTAACCATGTCAGCTTGTTATCTCCCTAGGTCACATGCCAGCCTAGTTCACTGGCTCTGAGCCCAGCTCAGTACTAAAAGTTGCCTAGGAATTACAGTCCTAGTGTTCTATACTGCCTTTCAAGTTTACATAGGACCCAAGAGCACTTTGGCGTGCAGTGGCAAGGCTTGCTGAGAAACTCAAGTTTTGACCACTGGGATGGGCACTTCCCCTCTGGCTAGGTCTGGTCCTAATGCTCCCTCCCTGTGTGGGCACTGGCTAAGCCCAGAGCAGCTTTCCTCTCTGCTATGACAAGGAAGCACTAAGTCCAATGTAAAGTCTCCCAGTTGCTATGCTTTCCCTCTCCCAAGTGCACAAACTCTCCATGCCACATGGCTGCTGCCAGGAGATGGGGAAGTAGTGGCAATTGAAAACTGTCTACCCTGTCCTAAATACCCCTTTTAGAGATTTTCAGTTAAAACTAGATACTGTGATTTTTTTTTACCTGATTTTTGGTTATTGCAATGGTGCTTTTCTATGTGCAGATAGTTGTTAAAATCTGGTGTTCCTGCAGGGTGATAAATGATGTAGGCTTCCATTCCACCATCCTGCTGCAACCTCCCAGCTTTATTCGTTTTGCTTAGGATCGTTTTGGCTATTCTGGGTCTTTTTTTGGTTTCATGTAAATTTTATTATTTTCTATTTCTGTGAAGAATGTAATTGGTATTTTGATAGGCATTGCATTGAATACATAGATTGCTTTAGGAAATATAAACATTTTAACAATATTCATTCTTCCAATCCATGATCATGGGATGTCTTTCCAATTTTGTGTCCTTTTCAATTTCTTTCATCAATATTTTATTGTTTTCATTGTAGAGATTTTATTTTACTTTTTTGGTTCAGTTTATTCTTTGGTATTTTATTTTATTTGTAACTATTGTAAATGGGATTGCTTTCTTGATTTCTTTTTCAGATTGTTCACTGTTGGCATATAGAAATATTACTAATTTTGTATGGTTTTTTTTATTCTGCAACTTTACTGAACTTATCACTTCTAACTCTTTTTTTTGCAGATTCTTTAGGTTTTTCTAAATATAAGATTATGTCATGGACAGACAAGAATAATTTGACTTGTTCCTTTCCAATTTGAATGTGTTTTATTTATTTATTTTGTCTAATTGTTCTAGCTAAGATTTCCAATACTATGTTGAACAAAAGTAGTAAAAGTGAGTGTCTGTCTTAGAGGAAAGGCTGTCTGACCATTTTACCCAATTAAGTATGATACTAGCTGTGGGCTTGTTGTGTATGGATTTTATCGTGTTGGGGTATGTTCCTTTTCTACTCTGTTTTTTGAGAGTTTTTATCACAAAGGGATGTTGAATTTTATCAAAATAGATTTTGCAACATCTATTAAAACGATCACATGGATTTTGTCCTTGAATCTCTTGATGAAACTACTAAATGAAAACATTAGAGAAGCACTCTGGAAAAACGGTCTAGGCAACAATTTCTTGAATAAGACTTCAAAAGCACAGGCAACAGAAGCAAAATTAGAAGTATGGGATCACATCAACCTAAAAAACTTCTGTGAGCAAAGAGAACAATCAGCCAAGTGAAGAGACAACCCATGGAATGAGATAAAATATTTACCAACTACCCAATTGACAATGGATTAAAAGTCAAAATATATACAGATGTCAAACAACTCAATAGGGAAAAACAAATAATCTGATTTTTAAAATGGGCAAAAGATATGAATAGACACTTCTCAAAAGAAGACATACAAATGACAAACAGGCATATGAAAAGGTGCTCAACATCACTGGTCATCGGAGAAATGCAAATCAAAACCACAAATGAGACATCATCCCATCCTAGTTATAATGGCTTTTATCGAAAAGATAGTCAAGGGGCCAGGGAAGATGTTGCATCTTGTGTTATGGTGGCTATGCTTTGACCTATGCAGCCTCTTGGAGCAGGCAGACGCCCTGAGCCCTGTGGGTCCTCCAGAGCAGAGTTGGACATACGAAGTGCTGCGCATGCAGAACCTGGTGTTGATAGGAAGCAATTTTAGCATCCTCCTTGTAACAGCCATCCTTATGGCATTTTAGGTCTATAAGTCCATTCAGCATCAGTAACAGCCAAGCAAATAAGTTCTTCCATAATCATTTGGGAATAGGTTAAGTTATGTTGCACAAGTGCCAGTGCAGAAGCTGGATAAAGAGCTTTCCTATTGGAAATGACTTTTGGTCTGAACAGTTGGTAAATGCTAAACCCTGAATTATTTAGAAAAAAAAATCCACTAGCAATTATTTTTTCCTAACACTGTAATGCAAATATTAGGTTGATGCAAAAGTAATTGCAATTTTTGCCATTAAAAACAATGATAGAAACACAATTACTTTTGCATCACCTTAATAATTTACCACTGAGTCGGCTTCTTGGTATTTCTTTTCCAACTGTACTTGTTAAAAGTAAGACCTGAAGTTTCCAAAGTTCATTGTTAAAGATGGAGTGCTTACAAGAAAGAAAACATGGTTAGCTTGTGAGTATCTGTAAGAATCACACTGGAAAGAACTAATTATTAATGCTTGAAAATACTAATAAAAGGGAGACTTACAGTGTAGACATTCTGTATTTAAGAGCTATTTGGTCATAGCGGGCTAAGAATCACAAATGGTTGTGTGTGTGTGTGTGTGTGTGTGTGCGCGCGCACGCGTGTGTATTCCATCTGGGTTGGCCTAGAATTCTCTGGTTGAAAAGTGGTGTCAGCTGTGGGGAGCTTGGGCCATCAATCAATCCTCATCTGTATCTGGTCCTGCACTCAGGTCTCTCCTTGAAGTCAGGGTCACATCAGGTAGACGACCTGTTACTATGTGCACCCTTGGCTTGGAAGACCCTAGGTATGCATTGGAAATGTTACTAGTCGGCCCATCACAAAAAGGGCTCCAACCTGCTCAGACACATTAATCTCCTTTTGCTGCACTTAAGTGTTTCCAGCCTGTGGTCTGCAACCTGAGGCAGATTTTCTCATATTTGGAATCTAAGAGAGGGCCAGCAGGATCTCCTTTCAGCCCTACATCGGGAGGGCCCAAGGAACAGAAGGACATGTTCACTGTATGAGCCAATGTGTGTTTACACAAATTTCATCTCAGCTTTGAAAATGCTGTTATTAGTTTGTACCCTTGGTGATCTGTGTCCCCCTATTGAAATGATACTTTCATAAAGTGGTTATTGATATTTATTTTAACATGCTAGATTCAATTTTATTTGTTATTAAATTGACGTGTTTATCTTGTGCTTCATTCAAGCACTGATTTTTTTAATCAGGTATTTAATGTGAAATAATTGATGTAGAATACTGTAACTGTTTAAGAATTTTGTAATCTTGTAACATTAAACCATTGAAATAGTTACCGTTCTGTGCTTTTGGGCAAAATGTCAATTAAAACTAAAGTAAAATCCTACAGGAAAAAAAAAGGCAATAATGGATGCTGGTGAAGATGTGGAAAAAAAGGAACCTTCATGCACTGTTGGTGGGAATGTAAATTAATAAAGCCACTGTGGAGAACAGCATGTAGTTTTCTCAAAAAAAAAAACTAAAAATAGAACTACCATGGATCGACCACTGGGTATGTATCCAAAAGAAAGAAAATCAGTATTATCAAAGAGATGTCTGCACTCTCAAATATATTGCAGCACTATTAACAGTAGCCAGGATAATGGAATCAACATAAGTGTCCATCATTAGATGAATGGATAAAGAAAATGTAGTACATATACACAATGGAATATTATCCAACCATAAAACAGAATGAAATCCTGTCATTCATGGCAACATGAATGAACCTGGAGGATATTATGTTAAGTGAAATAAACCATGCACAGATAGACAAATATCACATGTTCTCACTCCCATGTGGGAGTTAAAATGTAATTTAATTCACAGAAATAGAAAGTAGAATGATGGTTACCAGAGGCTGGGAAGAGTAGTGGGGAGGGGAGGAAAGGGGGATGATTAATGGGTACAAAAATACAGTTAGATGGAATGAATAAGATCTAGTGTTTAGTAGCACATGAGGTGATGATAGCTAACAATAACTTACTGTATATTTTGAAATAACTAAGAGTGGAATTAGAATTTTGCTAATAAAAAGAAATGATAAATACTTAAGGTGATGAATATTGCAATTATCCTGATTTTTATCATTACATATTATATACTTGGGTCAAAATATTACAGGTGCCCTATAAATATGTCTAAGTATTATGTATTCACAGTAATTGAAAGTTTTAAAAAGAGTTTTGAGTTATGCTCTAATTTATGCAAAATATCTGGTCTTATGAAAATGGAATGTAATTTTGCAATTAGATCGATGTAGAAATACCATAAATGTATGTTTTATTTTTATTGATACATAATAATTGTATATATTTATGGGATACGTGTGATGTTTTGATATATGCATACAATGTGTAATGACCAAATCAGCATAATTGAGATACCCATCAACTCAAACATCTGTCATTTAATTCTGCTGAAAATATCATCTTCAATTGGTAGAAACATTAAATACATTAGTTTGAAGTTTTAATAAACATTCCCTTATTTAATGAGATTTAAATAAGAAATTATACAAAAAGAACACATTTTAAAAACTTTTCAGAATATGCTTTTGTAATCAGGCCTGAAGTACCTATTATGAACACTGTAATTTTTAATGTTGAATTTTCATAAAGTTGTGCACATCTACAGTGCATTTTTTAAACAGACTTTTAAAATTGATTATGTATAAATGTTTTATCATGCAGTCACTGCCAAATAAAATGTATCTATAAGTGTAAAACACTAAATATTGTTTTGAGTGTTTTTGCTTTTATTGATGAATTTTAACTTCTATTGGTAAATGCAAGGTCCATGAGTAGTTTGTTAATCTTAACTTTTCTTAACTAATCTTACTTATAGAATGTATTATGTAAATCATGGTATGTAACTAATGTATTTGTGTTCTATTTCTAATAAAAATATAAACATTTTTGAAGTAAAAATAGCAATATGTTCATAAAAAATAAAAATAAAATGAAATGGTCCTTGAAAAATATCTTTTATTCTTCCTTTTTCTTACTTTTTTCATTTTTCATGAGTTTGCAACAAGAGTTCTTAATCTTTTGTTATGACCATGGCGCATATATATATATATATATATATATATATATATATATACACACACCATATATATGACATATATACAGAGTTCTCTATATATATTACATATAATTAATTTAATTAATATATTATATATTATAATATATAATATACATTATTATATATAGTACAATAGATATATAATATATAAACTATAATATAATACATATTACATATAGCTCTCTCTCTCTCTCTCTCTCTCTCTCTCTCTCTCTCTATATATATATATATATATATATATATATTTTTGAGTTGGAGTCTCAACTCTTGCCCAGGCTGGAGTACAGTAATGTGATCTCGGCTTACTGCAGCCTGGACCTCGCTGGGCTCAGTTGATTCTCCCACCTAAGCCTCCCAAGTAACTGAGACTACAGATGTACACTACCACATCTGGCTAATTTTTTTATTTTTGTAGACATGAGGATTCACCATGTTGCGCATGCTGGTCTCAAACTTGTGGGCTCAAGCCATCTGCCCACCTTTGCCTCCCAAACTGCTAGGATTACAGATGTGTGCCACCATACCAGACCATAATGTTTTTAAATGCATAAAATAACATATAAATTATAAATACAGGCCGGACGTAGTGCCTCACTCCTGTAATCCCAGCACTTCGGGAGGCTGAGGCAGGCGGATCACTTGAGGCCAGGAGTTCGAGACCAGCCTGGCCAACAGGGTGAAACCCAATCTCTACTAAAAATAATACAAAATTAGCCAGGCGTAGTGGTGGGCACCTGTAATCCCAGCTACTGGGGAGGCTGAGGCAGGAGACTCGCTTGAACCTGGGAGATGGAGGTTGCAGTGAGCTGAGATCGCACCATTGCATGGCAGCCTGGGCGACAGAGCAAGACTCTGTTTCAAAAAAATATATATGTAAATACAAACAGTAATTTTGAAGTGCAGGTATCAAAATATTCAAAATGTATTTGCATTTGCGGTATGATAATATATATGCTTCTTTATTAAAGCACAAAATTGCAAGACATTGGAGATGGTCTAATAACTACTATAACTCTGAAGTGACTATAAATGTAAATAGTACTTTCTGTTCTATGTTATGGAGAAATATAATTTCTATTGATGACAAATTACAGACTCTGATAATATTACTATTATTATTATTTTATAATTTCAACCTTAGTTTAGATACAGAATATACATACACAGGTTTGTTACATAGGTATATTGCATGATGCTGAGGTTTAGGGTATAAATCCTGTCATCCAGGTCATGAGCATAGTACCCAAGAGGCAATTTTTCAACTCTCCTTTCCTCCCTTTCCTGCTAGTAGTCCACTGGGTCTATTGATTTCATCCTTGCATCCATGAATACTCAATGTTTAGCTCCCACTTATAAGTGAGAATATGCGATATTTGGTTTTCTGTTCTGGCATATATTCAGTTAAGATAATGGCCTCCAGCTGTATCCATGTCACTGCAAAGGGCATGATTGTATTGCTTTTTATGGCTGCATAGAATTCCATGGTATACCACATTTTCTTTATCCATTCATCCAATGATGAACACTCAGGTTCATTCCATGTTTTTGCTTAGTACTATTAGTAATATTACTTAAATATTTTACCTAAATTGTTTAAAAAATCTAAATTTCAATTAGAAATTAGTGAAAATAAAGATGCATTTATTCCTTTCCAAATACAAGGACTTTCTAAATGATTGAATCCAATTTAAGGATACCTGGCTTAACATAATTATAAGAAAGCCAAAATAGTAAAAGCTCAACAAGGTTCTAAAAATTATAGTTGTCTTATAAATTGACCTTTCTATAATTTGTGTCTTTGCTTTTCATAATCACAGAAAAATTAACTATATATATATAAATTTTCTGTAATACTTTACTAAGATATTGGACTCACAGCTGTGGAAAAACTACATAATTCTGGAAATTAATTATCAAAGCTGCCCAAATTACTCAATTACGACCTGCTTAGAGATAAAAATCCTCATTTACTATGCTACAGTGAAGTAGATACTGCTTTTTTATTTTTTTTTTAATGAGCTGCAGTTATTAGACAAGCAGTAAGTAATAGCATTCAGATCTAGGCCAATCAGCATTTAAGTCCTGAAAATATGGCACATTTTTCTGAATTAAAATGAAACAAGTTAAACTTTTCACTAATTAGTGAAACTGCATCATTTATGTAAAATGGTGATGAACTACAATGGATCAACTTTAGAAAAGGTCATATTTCAAATAAAAGTACTCTGCCACTTTTATTAAGATTCCATTAAGATCAGAAGTGGTGTTACTCATTTTCAGAAATGTTTTCAGAATTATTAAGGGATGAACAAATTTTTGTTCACCTAATAAAGTTCCTTAGTATAAGTTCAAATCAATCCAAATTAAACTTCTTCAACCCATCAGCTTTTTATTTTTTTTAATCATACAGAGGAAGAATTATCTGAATGATTTTTTACACAATGCAATGAATGGAGGAACAATTAAACTGTGTACCCTGTGCATATATACATACATATATATATCTGTGTGTGTGTGTGTATACATATATATCTGTGTGTGTATATGTATATATATATATATATATAAAATGAGAGATAGGAAGTGTGAGCTAACACAAATTTATGAACAAACAAAATGTATCCATAATAAAAAGAATGCATATGATAGTATCTTGTTGTAAATGTCTTATCTTAAATTACCTTTAATATATGCTAAGAATTTGGCCAAAGTGCTCTAAGATGCTAGAAACAAAAGTGTGCTTGTTTAACAGAAAGTATGTGTGCATGTGTGTATATTTATATATGTTATATATACATGTTATATATATCATATACGTGTGTGTATATATAGAGAGAGATAATACAAACACACACATATATGTATGTATATGCGTAAAGGCATATATATACCTTTTTTCCTGAATTTGCCTGTGTTTGCTATTGGGTTTAGTTACATAAGGCTTTAATCAAGAGGTTATCCTTAAGGCTTCTGAATTATTTAGAGAGCTATCCAGACTCCACTGGCCTGGATCAGAAGCCATTGGCCCCATCAGAAGCCATCTTTTCATGTTAAGTCTGGGGAATTGACTGGATGGTTAACACAACAACAGGAAAGACAAACAACTGGAGCTCAAGAATGTTAGAAGTTTGGGGTTCAAACAACAACACGACCACATCTCTATCTCTATCTCTGTTTCTCTTTGATTATTATTCCATTTCTTCTCTTAGACTGGCATCTTCCCAAAGGTCTAGAATCAGAATCATAAGCCCTTGCACTTCCCATACTTCATAATTCACATTTTTGCTCCATAATATATTTTATATATTACATGTTAAATATAGTTTAACATGATCTTTTGACACACTTCTAAAATTTGTGAAGAAGAATTCAGGTTAGCCTGTCTTTGCTTAGGGACCAGCCACAGTGCAAATTAACCATGGCCACCTAGACAATACACTACAAACAACATTCCTGTTGGAAAGATATATCTGCAGGGTAGAAAGGAGTAATTGGCCAAGATAAGAGACTACTCTTTAATAAGGAAGCAGTGCTTAAAAGATAAAACAATATATGTCCACTGCAAGATATGCAATGTAAAAATAAAAATAATAATTTAAGAGTGGTAATATGAGATTTTAAGTATACAGACTATATTATAAATTTTTTATATTTTCTTTGGCATAGTGAAATAAATAAAAAATAATGTAATTACTGGAACAGCATAGATAAGACTTTTAAGTAAGAGAAAAAACTTTAAAGGTAAGAAAAAGTTTTGGCCGGGCATAGTGGTTCACACCTGTAATCCCAGCACTTTGGGAGGCCGACGCGGGCGAATTACCTGAGGTCAGGAGTTCAAGACCAGCCCAGCCAACATGGTGAAACCCTGTCTCTACTAAAAATACAAA
The DNA here is from genome assembly GCF_000001405.40 of Homo sapiens. Classification (NCBI taxonomy): domain Eukaryota; kingdom Metazoa; phylum Chordata; class Mammalia; order Primates; family Hominidae; genus Homo; species Homo sapiens. The sequence continues at coordinate 77,350,596 of NC_000006.12, forward strand.
AATCAACCGGCCGTGGTGGCACATACCTGTAATCCCAGCTACTCTGGAGGCTGAGGCAGGAGAATTGCTTGAGCCCGGGAGACGGAGGTTGCAGTGAGCCAAGATCATGCCACTCCAGCCTGGCTGACACAGTGAGACTCTGTCTCAAAAAAAAAAAAAAAGAGCTTTAATGAACAACATTTTATTTCTAATCTTTCTGGCTGATAAAAAACATAACTACAATAAAATGACAATTGTTAAAAGTAAAATCATAAAGCATTCTCAAATGCATACCAACGTAAAGAAAATTACATTGGTATGTAATTACCAATTCAAATTCAAGGGAAAATATAATCAATGATTCAGTGCATTTTTAAGGACAACTGTATACAATAAAAGGGTGGGATTCTTCATATAATATTTAAGAAATTTCATACAAAGATACTAATGGATCAAATTATGCACAATAAAAACTCAGTAAACACATAAGCTATTAATGGAAGCACAGTTTTGTGATGAATTTAACTGTATTCAAACAACTTTGACATAACAAACACACAATAAATAAAGATATAAAGAATGAAGATAATATGTTAAACTTGAAAATTTGTATCTTACAAAACTAAAACTTTTCAAGTATCCCCATTCTGAAATGAATGGATGCTATATTAGGCCACAGGGTCAGTATCCGTAACTTCTTTTTTTTTTTTTTTTTTTTTTTTTTGTTGAGATGGAGTCTCGCTCTGTCGCCCAGGCTGGAGTGCAGTGGCGTGATCCGATCTCAGCTCACTGCAAGCTCCACCTCGCAGGTTCACGGCCATTCTCCTACCTCAGCCTCCTGAGTAGCTGGGACTACATGCGCCCACCACCATGCCCGGCTAATTTTTTTTTTTTTGCATTTTCTTAAAATATTATGTGAACTATAATAGTTGCCCACAATGCAATAAACCAGAAACCAATCATAGAAGGATAAAACAATGAGCGATTAAAACTTAGAAATACTGCTGGGCGCAGTGGCTCACGCCTGTAATCCCGGCACTTTGGGAGGCTGAGGCCGGCCAATCACGAGGTCACAAGTTTGAGACCAGCCTGACCAACATGGTGAAACCCCATCTCTATTAAAAGTAAAAAAAAAAAAAAAATTAGCCCGGCACGGTGGTGCGTGTTTGTAATCCCAGCTACTCAGGAGGCTGAGGCAGAAGAATCGCTTGAACCCAGGAGGTGGAGGTTGCATGCAGTGAGCCGAGATCACACCATTGCACTCCAGCCTGGGCGACAGAGTGAGACTCCGTCTAAAAAAACCAAAACAAAACAAAACTTAGAAATACAATATCTGAAATTCTACTGTATTAAACTGTATTATGTTTACTGTATTAACACCACATTAATGGAATATTCATAAAATAACATGGGCCTTGATAGTGAAATGTGATGATCATGTAAGAGAAGAAAATATATAATTTTTATTTATTGCATCAATGTATTGATCAATAATATTCATAAATTGGTAACAATTAATGACAATACATGTCAAAAGCCAATAAAATCAGAATTGATTCTTAAAAGGAATCTGATAAAACTGGAACTAAACTATTATTTAAATTTGGTAAATATTATCTCTTTTTAAAAAGTGTCTATAGTTTATTTTTTAATTTTTAAAATTTTAATTTTTGTGGAAACATAGTAGGTGTACATATTTATGGAGTACAAGAGATGTTTTGACACAGGGATGCAATGTGAAATAAGCATATCATGAAAAATAGAGTATCCATCCCCTCCAGCATTTATCCATTGACTTGCAAACTATCTAATTACACTATTATTTTAAAATGTGCAGTTACTACTGACCATAGTCACCTGGCAGTGATATCAAATAGTAGGTCTTATTAATTCTTTCGATATTTTGTATCCATAACCATCCGCAACTACCCCAAAACCCCCCACTACCCTTCATATTCTCTGGTAACCATTCTTCTATTCTTTATCTTCATGAGTTCAATTGTTTTGTTTTTTAGATCACACAAATAAGTGAGAGGATGAGATGTTTGTCTTTCTGTGTCTGGCTTATTTCACTTAACATAATGATCTCCAGTTCCATCTACGTTGTTGCAAGTGGCTGGATCTCATTCTTTTATATGGCTGAATAATACACATTGTGTCTATGTACCACAGTTTCTTTATCCATTCATCTGTTGACGGACACTTAGGTTGCTTCCAGTTGATAGCTATGGAGTGTAGATATCTCTTGGATATACTGAATTTCTTTCTTTTGGGCGTATACCCAGCAGTGGGATTGCTGGATCATATGTTTGCAATGTTTAGTTTCCTGAGTAATTTCCAAACTGTTCTCCGTAGTGGTTGTACTAATTTACATTCCCACCAACAGTTCCCTTTTGTCCACATACTTTTCAGCATTTGTTATTGCCTGTCTTTTGGATACAAACCATTTGTTTTAAGAAGGCTTTTTAGATACTTGAAATCACTAGGGTGTTGCAATCTAAGCTGTTTCTGCTTTAGGGAACACCCCAACCTCAGTAACACTGTTGTTCTTGCAGACTTGTAGAGGTATTTCTTTGATGATCTTGTACAAGATAGAGAAGAAGTCTCTGGATTACCAGGCAGAGCCACTTGTTCTCTTCCCTTACTTTTCCCAAAACATACAGTCTCTCTCTCTGTTCTGAGCCACCTAAAGCTGGGGTTGGAGTGACACAAGCACCCTTGTGGCCATCACAACTATGACTGAGCTGGGTCAGACCTGAAGCTAGCACAGTGCTAGGTCTTGCCCAGGGCCTGCTGTGGGTGAGCATCAGCTGAGTTTAGTCTGGGTCTTCTTTCTGCTCTAACAGAACAGCTCTCAATTCAATGCCTCTGCACCAAGCTGCTGTTGCTGGGGATGAAGGAGGGATGGCATCAGCAATTTTGGTGGAGTTTTCTATTCTGCCATCTTGCTCTGCCTCCAGTACTACCTTTTTTTAAATAACAGAAAAATAATAAAACACTAAATAAATTCCAGTTAATATCAACATTCACATAAAAAATTCTTCATGATTATTATTTGATGACTTTTTCTGAAAGATCTAGATAAAACCAAACATAAACATGGAGAGTAGCCATTGGAGAAAAGGTGATGAAATTAATGTAAAACACGGGTATATTGAAAACACCCCCAAAAACCTGATAAAGTCCTAGAATTAACAAGTGAGTTGAGCAGAAAGTCTTGAATGTGTCATAAATATTGAAAACCCAGTCACTTTTCTATGCCAGTCATAATCAATTTTGTTTTTATGGAACACAGAATCCATTTACAGTAACAAAAACGAACTTTAAAAGATGCTAAAATACGTAGAAAGAAATTCAACAAAATATTTGTGACAGACTTGTAGTTATGAACATTTTATTAATTACTAAAAGCAGTGATTTACATAAGTAGACATTTCTTATTTCTCAGTATTAAAATTACAACAATTCCAATTAGTTTATAGACTCAATCCTCAGATAATTAAAATTTCAATCTAATTATAGGGAAGTGTAATATAGCAAATTAAGTACATAGTATTCCAAGAAAAATTAAGAGATGAAATAATTGTAAAAGTTTTGAAAAAATAAATGTCTTGACAGAGAATTACTTTATCAACACTTGAAATACAATAAAATTGTAATATATAAAATAGTATGAGTACAAAATCGAATACACATAACAGTAGAAGAATGACACTCTTGTAATTATCATTCCATTTTTACTTATTTGTACTTTCAATAAATCTGATAATCGATGTTGAGCACTTTTTCATATGCCTGTTTCCCATTTATATGTCTTCTTTTGAGGAATGTCTATCCAAATTGTCTGCCTATTTTTTTTGTTTAGATTATTAGGTCTTTTCCTATAAGTTGTTTGAGCTACTTCTATATTCTGGTTATTAATCCCTTGTCAGATGGGTAGTTTGCAAATATTTTCTCCCATTCTGTGGATTGTCTCTTCACTTTGTTAATGGTTTTCTTTGCTGTGTAGAAGCTTTTTAACTTGAAATGATCACATGTGATCATCAAGGAAGTGCAAATAAAAGCTACAATGACATGTTATCTCACCCTAGTTAAAATGGCTTTTATCCAAAAGACAGGCAATAACAAATGCTGGTGAGCATGTGGGCAAAAGGGAACTCTGGTACACTGTTAGTGGAAATGTAAATTAGTACAACTATTGACAACCATTTGGAAATTCCTCAAAAAAACAAAACTAGAGTTACCACATGATCCAGTAATTCCACTGCTGGGTATACACCTAAAATAAAGGAAATTAGTATATCAAAGAGAGACCTGCACTCTCATACTTGTTTCAGCACTGCTCACAATAAATAAGATTTGGAAGCAACCCAAGTGTCCATCAACAGATGAATGGATAAAGAAAATGCAGTACATATACACAATGTAGCATTTTTCAGCCTTAAAAACAAATGAGATCCTTTCATTTGCAACAACATGGAAGGAATTGGAAATCATTATGTTAAGTGAAATAAGCCAGGCACAGAAAGACAAGCATCACATGTTCTCATTAATTTGTGGAATCTAAAAATCAAAACAATTTAAACTCATGGACATACAGAGTAGGGCTGGGAAGGGTATTGAGCGGTTGGTGGGGAGGTAGGGATGCTTAATGGGTAAAAAAAAAAAAAATAGAAACAATGACTAAGATCTACTATTTGATAGTACAAATAGGGTGACTATAGTAAATAATAACTTAATTGTACATTTTTTAAATAACTAAAAGAATGTAATTGGATTGTAACAAAAAGAATAAATCATTGAGGGGATGCATATCCCATTCTCCATGATGTAATACTCATACACTGTACGCCTGTATCAAAACACCTCAAGTACCCCATAAATATATATACCTGCTATGTACCCACTAAAAGTTAAAATTAAAAAATAAACAAATATAAATTTTAAAATAAATAAATAATAAAAAAAATCTGAGGCATACAATAAAATATTTATCATTGGTTATGGGAAAATTGGGAAATTTGGGGCAAAGAACATAGCTATAACTGCAATTTGTACCATGTACTCTAATAATAAATCCACCTTGACTAAATTGCTGATTGAAACAAGTCAAAACTATTTTAAACAAAATGAACAAAAATTTAATTAGTTTGGAATTAGGAAAGATTTGCTCAGAATAAAATCAATGGAAGATATTATCAAGTAAATGAAGGATGGATTTAACTATATTTAATCAAAAATAGATAATCCCAAAGAACTGGGGGGATATACATTTATTGCAGATATGACAAGAAAAGTTTTTATTCTCAATAAGTAAACAAATATTTTATGAATAAAGAATGCAGGCAACACTACAACTGAAAATTTAGTGGGAGAAAAAAGCATAAATATTCCTACAGAAAAATTTAAATGGGAGATTGATATATAACAACCTCTCAATATTCACAGTAATCAAAATAGTGAATATTTTTTAAAAGATACCATATGTCAACAAAGCTGCTAAAACATGAAAACTAGTAAACACTATTACTATCTAGCTGATGGAGATTATAGTGATTATGAAGCGGTAATAATCTGTGATGATAGAGGGGCTTCCTTAACGAACCCAAATACCACAAACTTGAAACAAGTCTATCAACATTATGAAACAGCATTTGGTCATGGTGTCAATATTTTATCAGACAAACTCATGTAAGACCTCAGCTAAGAAGCAGTCACCTGTAAATGGTTACACTGTGGAATTCATTATCAAGAACTGTGATGGTGGAACTTTGGCATGCTGTCCCTATACTCACTGGGGCCTGCTAATGTACCTGTAATGTGCTCAGCTGCAGCTGTGGCGGCTTCCTTGCTGCAGCAACCCCTATGGTATAACTGGGGGATTGATCCTCTTCTCATGTTCTCTGAGATTAATCTTGGTTATTACTTTTTATTTGAAATGACCTTGAGAGAATTGTTTGTTATAACTAAGTATACTGATTATTTCAGAAGTTGGTGCTAGTTTAGTTGCATACAACTGTTTCTTAAATAAATAAATCTAAATCTGGGATTATTTTTCTTGCTTCATTGGATCTGAGGTAGTAAGATTATAACTTCTAATACAAATTGAGACTCCATGCTATAACATGCTCTGGCTAGATAGATTTCTCATTTATTATCACCTGTGGTCACTTGGCACTAAGTGACATTCATGGCAAGAGTTTGAAAGACTCAATGTGTAATTATATAAAACCATATAATGAGCATGAGGACTATGAAATGGATTAATGGCTTCCTAACAGCACTGGAGAAGTATAGAGAAAGGATGGCAAACTCAAATTTTTTAATTCAAAGCAGAGTCAGAAAATCAGGGATTTTTGGTGACTGTGCTAAATGAATTTTTTATCACTTGCAGCCATAGGAATAAGAATGCAAAAAAAGAAGCTGGCATACAACTCTATGGTTGTCAATTTATAACATCAGTTGAATTACAACTTTGCCAAATCTCTTATGTAAATGTTAAAAATGACATACTGGGAATGATATATTATCCAAGAAATGAAATCAGAATTTGTGGAAAGATACACACAGTTTAAAGTAATGGTTTACAACTGCAAGTACTGCCAGACCCAGAGGGCTCCTATAGTATGTGGAGATTCTTCTAATTAGGCATGCTACTGGCCTTTAGCACTTGGATACTAGGGTTTTTTTGTTTTTGTTTTTGTTTTTTTGAGACAGAGTCTCGCTCTGTCGCCCAGGCTGGAGTGCTGTGGCGCATCTCGGCACTGCAAGCTCCGCCTCCAGGTTCATGCCATTCTCCTGCCTCAGCCTCCCCAGTAGCTGGGACTACAGGATCCTGCCACCACGCCCGGCTAATTTTTTTCTATTTTTAGTAGAGATGAGGTTTCACCGTGTTAGCCAGGATGGTCTCGATCTCCTGACCTCGTGATCCGCCCGCCTCGGCCTCCCAAAGTGCTGGGATTACAGGCGTAAGCCACCGCGCCCAGCTGGTACTAGGGATTTTAAATGCCCTAAAATATGGGGGGGCGGGGGGCGGGGGGAGGGGAATCTTGCCCAAAAAAGAATCGCTCCGTCTAAAATGCCTGTAGCACTCCTATTGAAATCACTAGCTTTGAGTAATAATAACTCCCCAGTTTGACTGAGCTTCCCTTTACTGCAGAACCATCCTCTGGACTCCTGGTAGATGTGGCTGTTTCGGTCTTGCTTGAAGACACTTTGATAACCTTATCCAAACAGTTAGTTTGAAAAGTGAAACCATTAGAATTAAGTCTAGCTTCATTATCAGAAAACATCTTAAATTACTTAATCAAATTAGAATTGTTTTTCCCCTTACCTAAAAGTAGTCTAAAAACAGATAGTCAAGAACTTGGAATGGATTTTTCATGGTCACTAGCATCCCAGGATCCAATTATCTTTCTATTTCTCATCTTTAGTGTACTGTCACATTGTCCAAGATGACACTTTAAGCTCCAGTCCTAGTTCTAATAAAAGACTGCATGAGAGGAAGAGGGATAAAGAAGGATGAACTCCCCCACCTTTGAGGAAGCTTCTCAGAAAGACCATATAATGTCTATATTGCTCTCATAGACAAGACTTGGTCATACAGAAAGTCTAGGTGCAAAGGTTGGTGAAATGAAATATTTGCCTTAGGACATATGGCTGTCCATCTAAAAAGTGGGGTCTGAGATCAATGTAGAAAAGTAAAAATGTTGTGATATACAATTAATAGCTTCTGCCACACAAAATCAATCCAATTTCTCCTTGCCCTCTCATAAGCCATCCTTGCTTCTAGACTCTGGGATGAAAAGATTTATGCACTAAGATTCAATATGTTACTAAAATGGTTTGACTGTGTTTCCACCCAAAATCTCATCTTGAATTGCAATCCCCATAATCTCCATAATCCCCATGTTTCAAGGGTGGGACCAGGTGGAGGAAATTGGGTCATGGGGGCAGTTTCCCTCATGCTGTTCTCATGGTAGTAACTGAGTTCTCACAAGATCTGCTGGTTTTATAAGTGTCTGTAATTTCCCCTGCTTGTACTCACTCCATTCCTCCACACTGTGAAGAAGGTACCTGCTTCCCCTTTGCCTTCCACCATGATTGTAAGTTTCCTGAGCCCTCTTCAACAATTCAGAACTGTGAGTCAATTAAACTTCTTTCCTTTATAAGTTAACCAGTCTCTAGTATTTCTTCGTAGCAGTGTGAGAACTGACTAATACAGTTGCTAATTGATATCATTTAATATTTGGAAACTATGTGGTGCGAATGGATTTTAAGAGTCACCACTCTTAAATAAAGAAGGAGACTAAAGAAGGAAAAACACTTACATCTGATTGAATTTACTGATAGAGACATTTATAAAAAATTTCAAATTCAGTGTACTAGCTGAGGTAGGTGAAAGTAGCTTTAATTTTCTCCACTGTTTTACTGAAAAATGTACTTCCTAGTAGTTCACTTCCTAGTGAACTAAAGTTTGAGATGCTAGAAATTTAAAGAGTTAAAGTAATCCAATGGTATATGGAGAAATAAAGGTTCTGTAAATTTATTATGTAAAACTTACTATGATTTTACAACTAAGAATATTGATTCATATTGAAATTGGTCCCAGTAGTAAGACAGAAGGTGATCTTTCCACCATAATACTGAGAAATACACTGGAGATGGAAGGGCTTAAATCTTTGAAAAATGTTACAGTGGATAATTTTTGTAAGATAAGTATACCGGTAGAAGATTCTGATATTAATGGGCTTCTTAATTTTTTTTTTTTTTTGAAACAGAGTTTCACTCTTGTTGCCCAGGCTGGAGTGCAGTGGTGCAATCTCAGCTCACTGCACCCTCCACCTCCCAGGTTCCGGCGATTCTCCCGCCTCAGCCTCCCAAGTAGCTGGGATTACAGGCACCCACTACCACACCCAGCTAAATTTTTTTTGTATTTTTAGTAGAGAGGGGGTTTTACCATGTTGGCCAGGCTGGTCTCGAACTCCGGGCCTCAGGTGATCTGCCCACCTCAGCCTCCCAAAGTGCTGGGATTACAGGTGTGAGCCACTGCGCCCGGCCAGCCTTCTTAATTTTAAAGAATATGAAGGAATTATTGGCTGGCAGAGGCCAAATTGTGCTACTTAATTCATAGGCAGAAGTAACCACGACTCCTGTAATACTCAGTAGGGGTGGTGTGGCAATCAAAATAATACTACCTATAGAGATGACTGAAATCATTATTTGCCATGAAATCGACATGTTCAAATACATGCAAAGCCAATTAAGGTCTATGCACTTGCCATAAGTAAATACATTCTCAGTCTGATGACAGAGATGTAACATTAATACCGTTACAATAGTCACAGCCCCTTGACTAATCCCAGATTTGAGTCAGTTCAGGACTGAGAGTTCCTTGGATACATGAAGGATAAGATAAACCTAAAGAAAGACTTGCAGTAACAATCTGTATAGTACATTTTTCTCCTAGCACTTTTCAATATAACTTTCATCTTACAGTGGCATAACTGTGGACTGGGTAAAAGGAAAAAAAAAAACACCATTCCAAATTGATTGGGTTGTATGGTCACTGCTCAGAGTAGGGACTGATATAACTTGTGTGGTCTATCTATTCAGTTATGTATGTGAATCGTATTATGAGAAAAATCTACCAAACTGGTGAAATGACATGTCAGAGGCTACCCTTTCCCATGTGTTTCATGTAATGAGCAGTTTAGAAGGAGGTTGATCAGGGATCTGTACTTCTGTGCACTGCATCTGCATTTAGGCAGGAAAAAGAAAGTGAGGCAAAAGACAAAGTCAAATATTTTCTTCACATGACTTTGCCAGCTTTATTCTGGAAGTACAGTCCTCTTCAGGTGCTTCTGAAATCCCCTTAGCCAGAACTGTCACATAATCGTAGCTGGAGAAAGGACAGGCATTCAAGTACTGTTTTGGCATTGGCAGAAAAGAGCAATACTGAAGCAGGAACAAATCATGCTTCAGGTGGAAAATAGAGCTTAAACAAATTTCATCTCATTTGGGGCCCAATGGGATCCCAAGCCCAACTTGTGTTAAAATCTTGCTTTTTTCAAGAATGTAGATAAAAAGATAAACTTCTGAACCAGCATTCACTAATGGAGTTAAGAATATTTTGATAAAGCTAAGAAAAGCCTCTTGAGCACCCCGTATCAAAATAATAAACAAAAATACTATACATCTCTGTGGGAGTCACCACTAAAGACTGGAAAAAATAGGCATGATGATTGCTAACATATCACCATTTAACTTGACTGGCATGTGCAGACAGAGGACTCTTGGAAATTTTATGTAATCAACATAAACTTAATCAGGTAGTGATTCCAATCACAGCTGCTATCCCAGAAGGGGACTATTTCCTAGGAAATCACCACAGTTCTGGATACCTGATATGTATTTATTGATCTGACTCTTTTTTTTCCACTTCCATCTGAGTTAGAAAATCCTAGAAGCTATTTATTTTCACCTGACAGGTACAGCTGCACACACCCAGCATACTACAGCAGGTTTTTACTAGCTCTTCATAACTGGACCACAATTTAGTCCACAGGATGCTTGATCATCCCACAGTCTCCAAGGCATCATTCTGATCTTCTTTGGTCATTACATCATGCTCAGAAAATGTAGCGAAACAGAAAATGAAACTACAGATGCCTTTGTAAGACAGGTGTCAGAAAGTAGGTGATACATGGCACTAGCCAACTTAAGTAAAGCTAATGGCCAAGGAGTCCAAGGCATGTTTCCCATTTTTCTTAGCCTGTGTCATTTCATAAAGCAGAGTCTGATGCATGCAGGTAGTTTATTTAGGAAGTGATCCAAGGAAACAGAAGTGAAGGACTTGGAAAAGTAAAACAAGAAAGGAAAGAGAACCATTTTATTGAGTCAGTCAATTCACCTTAGACCTTCTAAGTTGTAGAGAATGTGCCTCTGAACTCTTTCCCTAAGGAATAGAAAGAGAACAATTTATTCACCAGCTCCATTTCCCTTTGGTCAACGTATGTAGTTGTGAAGTCATGAAATTGTGAAGTCATGAAATCTGAGTATGTTTCCACTGGGTTCCATGCCATATGGTGAGAGTTGCCACAGGACAGGAAGTAAGAAATATATGGTACTGTCCTGCTTTCTGTGGAGCTCTGAAATATACCTCAAAATTATCTGCTTGGGCATATATTGAGCATTGTCCAGCCCCAATTATTTACAGACTGCCCATAAGGCGTGCTATAGTTTCAGTGTTTTTCCCCTTCAAATCTTATGTTGAAACTTGATTCCCAATGTCAGAGATGAGGCCTACTGGGAGGTGTGTCTATCATAAGGGTGGATCCCTCACGAAAAGACTAATACCTCCCTTTGGGTTTGAGTTCTCACTATATTAGTTCCCTCAAAAGCTGGCTGTAAAGAAAGCCTGGAATCTTCCTCCTCTCTTTTGCTTCCTCTCTTCTCATGTGATCTTCACACATCAGTAGGCCTCTCACCTTGTACCATGCATGGAAGCAACTTGAGGCCCTCACTTAAAGCAGATGCTGGTGCCATGCTCATTGTACATCCTGAAGAATCATGTGCCGAATAAACACCTTGTCCTTACTTGTCCTTATGATGTCCCAGCCTCATGAATTCCTTTATAGCAAAACAAAATAGACCGACAGAAAATTGGTACTAGGAGTGGGGTTTCACACTGCCAGTGGCTCTATAATTATGGGGTCTAGAGTACACTGGCCCTGCTCTCACAGCTCCACTAGGTACTTCCCTAGCAGAGGCTCTCTGGAGTGGCTCTGCCATGTGAAGCTTTTCAATGCATCTTTTAAAATCTAGACTGAAGATGCCAATCATCCACCACTCTTGCATTCTGGGTGCTTGCAAATGTAACACCACATGGATGCCACTAAATCTTATGGCTTGTACCCTCTGGAGTGGCAGCCTGATCAGTACCTGGAGTCATCTGCAGATAGAGCCAATGTGACCAGGATGCAGGTAGCAGCATCCTGAGGTGGTGCAGAGGGCAACAGAGCTACAGGCAGCATCCTGAGGTGGTGCAGGGCAACAGAGCTACAGGCCTCTTTCTTGAAACACTTCTATTCTCCTAGACCTCTGGGTCTTTGATGGGAAGCACATCCTCAAAGATTTCTGAAATGCCTTTGGGGTCTTTTGCTCATTGCCTTGACTGGTAGCACCTGGCTCCATTTTATCTGTGCTATCTAGCAAGTGGTTGCTTTATAGCACCCTTGGATTCCTTTCCTGAAAACTTTCTTTTCTTCTCTACCACACGACCATATTGTAAACTTTTTTTTTTTTAATTTATACACTCTACCTCTCTTTTAATTATAAGTTCCACCTTTAGGTCATTGCTTTGCTGCCCTTTCTTATCATAAGCTGTTATAAGTAATCTCACCACTTCTTAAACGTTTTAGTGCTTAAAAATTTCTTCCAGATACCCTGGATCATCACTCTTAAGTTCAGCTTTCCACAAAACCCTAAGGCATGAACACAATGCAGTGAACTTCTTTTCTATGGTATAACAAGGGTTACCTTTTTTGGGGGTGGGGGTGGGGGCAGGATGGAGTTTCGCTCTTACTGCCCAGGCTGGAGTGCAGTGGCACGATCTTGGCTCACTGCAACCTCCACCTTCCGGTTTCAAGCGATTCTCCTGCCTCAGCCTCCCGAGTAGCTGGGACCACAGGCATGTGCCACCACGCCCAGCTAATTTTTGTATTTTTAGTAGAGACGGGGTTTCATCATGTTGGTCAGAATGGTTTCAATCTCTTGACCTCGTGATCCACCTGCCTCGGCCTCCCAAAGTACTGGGATTACAGGCGTGAGCCACTGTGCCAGGCCAAGGTTTACCTTTTCTACAGTTCCCCAAAAGTTTCTCATTTCCATCTGAGACCTCATCAGCATGACCTTTACTACGTTTCTATAAGCATTTTGTCACAACCACTCAACCAGTTTCTAAGATGCTCCAAACTTTGCTCATCTTTTAGTCCTCTTTTGAACACACCAAACTCTTCCAACCTCTGCCCATTACCCAGTTCTAAAGCTGCTTATACATTTGCAGGTATCTTTATAGCAACACCTCACTTCTTAGTACCAATATTTTGTTTCTATATGAGACGTTTTATTTAAAATTTTATATAAAGCTTCCAGAAAGCATTTACCTTGCAAATTCTAACTCAAAGTAGAAGATACAGTATTTGGTGAAACTCTTTCCATTTTCAAGATAACAAATGGCACATTTGGATATGTTGTTACAACCCATTTGTTGAATGACCCAAAGGCTGCCAGCTTTGAATGGGTCTTGAACAAAAGACGGCTCTCTGCTATGACTGATATGACTAGACCACAGATGCAATGTTCTTGAAATATCTATGCCAGATTGTGATGCTGAATAATGACTCTTGCATTTTGGTAAAAAATTTACAGCAGATGTCCCTAAAGTTTGAAAGTAAATATTCTTTTGATAGGCAGCTTTTGCCTTGCTTCTAAGCTCCAATAAAAATGGAATGCTTAACTTCTAGGAGAGAATCATGAACCTGAACTACCTTTATTAACTGGGTATTATCTTATCAAGCCTCACAACTGTGATGTCCTCAGCAGCATACAAAGTGAATGTAGTGTATATGAGAGTGAGTATAGGTAGGTGCTAAATGCACAAGGGAGTTTCATAAGCAGGTTTCTCCTGTGAATGTTGTGCCTAAACTTCCACTGCCAACCCAGTCTTGACCCCTACTTTGGGTTTGATGGGGTTCCCTATGATCAGATAATTGAGAAGAAAACATTTTAGCCAGTTATTCAGGTTTCTTGGCAGGACACAGTGGCACTTGATAGAAGTAGATTTATGTGGCGGTCCCGCTTATGTGACCATGAAGGGCACACTGATGTCAGAAAATATTAATGGTAACCAGAAATTCCAATAGTCATTGTTGTGATTCATTGATTCCTGGGAAATAGTCTGGTAGATAACCAAGAACTTGGAAGGAATAAGACTGGATGATTGAAGACAAGGTGGTTTGAGAACAAGATATGTAGTAGACTGGGTCTTAAATGTAGGAATATTTTTATACTATGTGAATGTTTTCTAAAAATGTTTCTACTGCAAATGAGGCTTTCGATAATCAAATGGATATAATGATCTGCTCTGTGGATATTAATCCACCTCATTGTACAGCCAACTCAGTGAGTGTTCATTAAGCTTATTAGCAAGCGGTCCATGTTGAAAAGAACAGATGTTATGCATGGGCTCAATAGATTTTCCCTCTCCAAGACTGACCTGGCGACTAGTACAGTTGAATGTTCAATTTGCCAATAGCTGTGTCTGACCTGATCCTTTAATAAGTAACAAACCCTAGGGGATCAGTCAGCCAGCTAGTGGAAGGTTAATTATACTAGACTTTTTTTTTTCATAAATGAGATAGCAATTTGTCCTCGCTGGAATAGATACTTCATACAAATTTTGATTTTTTTTTCTCAGTTTGCTAATCTTCTGATAGTAATACCATCTGCAGGCTTTATTCAATTCCATATGAAGCATCATGATATCACACTCAAAATTTTTATGACCTAGGAATTTATTTTTCAGCGAAATAAGTAACTAATCTTCTAACTTTAATATGCTTTTTATGCTCATTTTATTGCTTTCAATGCTCAAATTTTATTTTCTTTCTGCAAAGCATCTTTGCTATCTCTTCAAGAGATATTTTCTGGAATCAAATATGCTATTTAGCCAAATAAATATAGAAATATGATAAAGGCAACAAGCATGTTAAAACATGCATTAAGTTTCCTTGGCTCATTGAACATTTGTCCTTATAAAGGTAATGAAATGTACAGTGAAAAGCTTGTAGAAAGTCTCAGAAAAATTTTAGCTATCTTCAAATACCAGGGTATGGCAAATTCCCCACTGGGATTCTGATGCATAGGCATGAGTCTTCCCAGAGGTCACAAGAATATTTTGAACATCATTTCCTTAAGATGTTTGCTATGGTAATAAAATGAATAGAACTACTGAGAGATCCAGAAGCTATTAAAAATATGATTTTTTATGCAGATGGTATATCATAGACTATTAATATCAATATATAGTTTCACCATCATTTCCTAAAGAAGCACAAAACTTAGCAACAATAGTTTAGAATTCTTGTGAACATACATGTAGCTAAATTGTAAACCACAGGATACATATGTTAACAGAAATCTTATTTTATTATCAAATAAAATGCACTAACCATAATTTTTTAAAAAGGAAAAAAACAGTTTTTCTCAACTGCCCATTATTTGTAAAACTCATAAAACAAGTTATCTTCTCTTTTCTCTGTCTTGCTATGGGGAGTTGGAAAACATGATACATTAAAACCATGAAAATTTGTGCCATATATTGCTAAAATGTATTCATTTGATTGCTGAAATGGTTTGGATGTCTTGTCCCCTCCAAATCTCATGTTGAAATGTGACCTCCAATGTTGGAGGTGGGGCTTAATGGGAGGTATTTAGGTCATGAGTGTAGTAGGTCCCTCATGAATATCTTGGTGCTGTCCTCAACATAATGAGTGAGTTCTCAGTCTGAGTTCATACACAATCTGGTTGTTTAAAAGACTGGCACCTCCTTCCTCTCTCTCTTGCTCCCTCTCTCTTGCTCCTTCCCTTGCCATGTGACATGATGGCTCCTCTTCACCTTCCACCACGACTGTAAATGCCCTGATGCCCTCATCAGAAGCAGATATCAGCACTATCCTTCATGTACAGCCTGCAGAACTGTGAGCCAAATAAACCTCTTTTCTTTATAAATTACCCAGCCTCAGGTCTTTCTTTCTAGCAGTGCAAATGGACTAATATAATTGCACAGAACTATTCTTTTTATCGAACTTCCCATAAAAAAGCTTGTAATTGCTCAATTATTCTCTTATAATGATTTCACACTTCTGTAAGTATACATACCATCCATGTGCTTTAACTGTGAACTTTCTGTACTATTTCTAAAACAACCATATGCATTTGAAGCATATGTTAATTTAAAAAGATTAGCAATATGTATATTATGCATTAAACAACCAAATTCCATTACTGCTCTGTCACTGTTTCTTCATGAAGCCAAACACACAGTTGATTCAATATATTATACACATATAAACGTTTACCTATACAAGTGGCTGGTATTACCTAGGCCTTTTTTGGATTGTTTCATTAGTTTGGTATGTTAATAGAATAAAAACAGAACTTTTTTCACTTTATCACTTTAGGCAAAACATGCTCTCAGATTGTTACGGTTCACTGAATGAATTATTATATTTTTCTTTCCCTAGGACATCCATAGTGCAACAATGAAAGCAGATATTCTGAAAGAAGTCACAGCTGAAGGTAGGCTGGTTAGGAATGGGAAAGGAGTAGCTGGGAGGTTGGAGGGATAACAGAGAAAGTTCCAAAGGTTGATTATAAACTACCAAGATAACGGGCAATTATGTGTCAGATTGGGGTTTTAATATTAGCTCTGACATAATTTACCACCTTGAGGTTAGGGAAATGTTTAATCTTTGAATAATTAGAATGTATCATTACATCAAATGTAACAAATCTCAGTCCACCAACTATAGCAAGCAAAAAGTGGCATACATTTAAGACAACAAATGCCCTAGTTTGTGGAAGAAAAACCACTGGACCCAAATTCTACATGTTTATGTTAAAGTTGATATATCGTTATATCAGTCCCTTTGACAGTAATCTAGCAATCTAAGAACTAATTGAATCTTCTGTCATTAGACTCCAGATCTGTTGACACTTTGGGCCATATAATTCTTTGTTGTAGGGGACCATCCTCTGCATTGTAGACAGCTTAACAGCATATTTGGCTGACATGCACTGGATGCCAGCAGGATCCCCCTCCTTGCCCTTGTGAAAAGAAAAAGTGTCTCCAAACTTTACCAAGTATCCCCTGGGGGCAAAACTTCTCATTGTTGAAAATCACTGCATTAGACATATTGAGACAATCTTAATCTGGTCAATTGTGTTGACACAAACTGTTAGAGGAAGAATAATTATTAACATTTGTGTCTAGTCAACTGATCTGGTCACATAAATTCTGTATGTGAATTCATTTTGTTTACCACCAAAGCACAAAGACTTTTCAGATAACTTTAAATAATATTGTACAAGTATAGGGGTTCAGAGGAGCAAGTGAATAATTAAATTTACCTAGAATGTGGAGAAATTGGGTTTGGAATATTCATGACACTAGTTCTATTTCTAATGTTTAGTGACTACCATTGAATAATTTATGTCTTATTATTAGAACACCAGGAGTTATGACACATATTTTTTGTGAAGTTTGCCAACTTTGGACTTTTCAAGCATCAAAATTCAACTCTGTATATTTATAGCTAAACTAGGAACCAGGAAATTTAGATGATTTGGCCATGTCCATAAAGTCACTTCACTGCAAAACAGGAATTGTGGTCTGATATTCTGGCAAATACTTTGATCTTATTTCCATGTACAATAATATTTCTCAAAGATTAGACAGTGGTAGGGTAATGAGAAGCCATTGATGAAGTATAAATTGATCCCCAATTCAACACTTTTATTTCATTCTTTGGAGCAAGTGATATTCACTTCCTAATATTTCCTTTTTGTCTTAGGTCTGAAATGGTTACTTGCTTTTAATACTTAAAATTGGCATAAAGAACCACTAAATTAGGTATTCATTTTTAAAAAGTGTTGTGTACTACTAGAGTTTATTGAAAACTTCAATTTAGCAACCTACTAAACTGTCCTCATAAATATAATATTTGTTAATGTTGCAAACTCCTAATTATGCAAGTTTTTAAATTCTTACAATTTGGAGAAAGAGTACTTTGTTCTCAAGGCACCCTGTTTTTCCCCCTGAATTCAGCAAATGAAATGAACAAAATATTACAGAAAAGGAACATTAAGTGACCCTAACATAGGAAAAGATGTTTAAAACATTAAAGTTATGAGATATATTTTGAATCTGTCAGATTAAAAAAGATCAAAACATCTGATAACACCTTGTGTTAGTAAGGATGTGTACTCACAGGTAATCTTATACAGTGCTAGTGAAAAACTTGAATTGCTATTTCTGAAACGGGTGTGGTTTGCTTCTTCAGTGCCCCGCTGCTCAAACCTCTAGGGGAGCTTACAGACGGGCAGGCTGTGGGGCTCCAAGCCCATGGTAGTGTCTAGGGGTGAATGTTTAGGCCTCCTGAAGCCCCAGTGGGCGTGTGTTACAGGGCGCTCTCTTAGTTTGCAGTCTATAGGCGGCTTGTGTTAACCAGCTCAATTAGACTCTTTACCTTGTTGCAAGTACAGAGGGCTTTCCGTATCCTGGGATTTCTTCGCTGTGCTCTTTTGCCGGCGCTCGTCAAAAAGTCCTCTCCATGACCAGCCACTTGCATCTTCTTCCCCTATGAATTCCTCACGAAGTCCAGCCACTTGTGCGTGTGTGCCTTCTAGGGCCTGGAGTTTTTACAGGCACAGGACGGGGGAATGGCGGGCCAAGGTGTCTCGGGAAATGCAAAATTTAGGTGGAAGGCAGGAGTGCCTGTCCTCAGCTAGGTCCATGGGGGTGGAGCCCTAGCCAGGGACCACGCCCTCCTCTACCCAGCACTTCCCTTCCCCGCTTCCGTATCATTTAAAGGGACTACACTCTTCCCTTCCCAGCAATCCTGTGTTACTCTATGGAGAGTTTGGCAAAAATTTTAAACGCATATAACATTTGTCCCAGAAATTTCACTTCTAGCACTTTATCTTACAAATATATTCACATAGGAGGAAATGATATAGATACAAGAATATTCACTGAAGCATTGTAGGCAATATCAAGGATTGGAAATGTCCTAATATTCACCAATAGATAACAGGAAAATAAATTAGGATTATTTCTAACCCATTTTAAAAGAATGAGGCAGAACTTTATGTAATGACAAAGAATAATCTCCACAAAAATGTTGCTAAATACAAAGAAATTATTACAAGTCATGCTGCCATTTATTATTACTAAAGGAAATATATGGTCTGTGCTTATATGCATTGAATATCTCTAGGACATCACACAGATAAATAAAATGAAATGAAAACTTAAAGATGATACAGGCTTGGGCAGAGAAGTAGGTGGCTGGGGAGATATGGAGAGCAGAATTCTTCTTTTCATGATACCCTTTTTGTACTGTTTGAATTCAAGCTATGCATTTCAAAGTATATTAATAATCCTCCCAGAACTGTGGCCCCATTCCCAGGCTTTTCCGATCCTTCAATGATACATGAAGTTTCTACTCTCTGGGAAATTATTGGATCCCAGTAACAGAAGGCTGGCCAATATTGCAAAAACAACAGCTAATCCAGACTTCCCTTATCCTACAGAGCTCAGCAAATACTTGATGTCACTACTCTTCCCTTTGCTTGCTAACAACTGAAGGGGTATTTTACAAAAGCAAACTAGCAGGCTAATGAGTGTCAACCTCAGTTGCACAGGGACTATAAAACTGACCCCTAAATACAAAGATAATGAATTATTTGATGTCTCTTGAGTCTAGACTTTGCCCAGAACCAGGCTCTAGTTTTTTATTATTAGTTGTTCCTTAAAGGCTAAATGGCTGTGTAGAATAAATAGAACAGGGGAAGCTGAAAATAATCTGATGCTCTCCAGACTGGGAATTATCATGACACATAGAATTTCTTTCTACCAAGTATAAAGCACTTGTCATTTAACAAGAAGAAACTGGCGTGTTAATGCAACCCCCATTTTCTGGAATGGAGAGAACAAGTTAAATATTAAGAGAGAGATGTAGTGCGTTAGGAGTCACTAAGAGTTATGGCTGCCCATGCTTTGAATGTAGACCCTTCTCTGGGCCATAGTGAAATATAAAGATCATTCACTATTAGCCCCCGTAAAATTACTTGTGATGATCCTGATTTTGAATGACAGAAGATATCCAGCCAGTTGAAACAGATATCAGAATGTCAAGTGTTTCTTTTTGTTGTTCTTTTGCTTGTTTTTTAAGGAATTCTTCCTGGAAGCCAGAAACACAATATTGTAGTCTCATATGTTCTTGACATCACTGATGGGAGATTATTTGCTTAAAAAGTATATTCAAGCCCATCCTCTGCCAAACATCTTGCCATCCCCAATATTCTGTTTATTCTCAGCCTGCCCATAATACAGATTGTATTTCTGCTCTTCCTCTCAAAACACTGTTTGTATCAATAAGTTCCGACTATTCTTGGAACTCTCATTTCCATCCAACAATCTTCATCACTTCCTATGTTATTTTCCACTGTGATTTGCCCCTCAAAGCCCTGTATATGCTAGATCTATGATAGACAAATTTCCACCTGTCTGCTCTAAAATTTTTCTCAACATCTATCATCTTCTTGAACTTCACAAAGTTTGAATATTTTTCAAAAATTCACTATTTCAACCCCTTCTCTTACTCTTGCTCAAGAGAGTCTCAAGTTTTTTCCTGGGCTCTAACTCCCTGAGAGATAAGAAAGCACGTTATTTTTTGTCCCAGTAAATCCTCCAGATAAGAAATCTATCTAATTGCACAGAGATGCTAGAGAAAGGCACAGAAAAATGTTGATCTCGTCTATTTTTTATTTCCATCTGTGCTCTCTCTGTTGCTAAATAAACCTTTTACCTACCACCTACTTATTCTTCATTGCATTCTCTACTGTGTCTCTTATACACTTTCTTTTCTCTTCTATCCACTCATATTTTGTTATCTTCTTAATCTCAATAAATGATCTCATTTTATTCTTTCTACAAGACTGTTTATCCAGTGATATAACACTAAATGTTTATTTCAATCATCAAACCTTGAGATATACATTTTTAAAAAACTCAGATAACCAATTTCTCAACAAAATATGTAGTATTGAAACCAGTTTATTAAAACATCTTTAACAGTTAGTTGGCACAGGTCCTAGAATAGAGTGTGTTACGGGTGAAAGAGATCTGAGTTACTCTGAGTTACTGGCGGTGTGTCCATATGAGTCCATAGCAACTTCAGTCCTTACCTCCTCAGAAGAAAGACTTTGACTGAAGAGCATAAAGCAGAAAAAGAGACCCAGGTGAGTTCCAGAGCAGGGGTGGAAGTTTTTTTTAAAAGGCTTTAGAACAGGAAAGAAAGGGAGGTGTGCCTGGAAGAAATCCAAATGGCCACTGAGGTCGAAGAGAGAAAAGAGAAGAGAAGGGCCTTTAACCTTGATCCTGGGACTTTATAGGTTCACCTCTTGGTCATGATTCTTCCCTTAGGGTGGGCTTCCTGCATGCAGTGTCCTCCTTACCCTAAGGAACTGAGCACGCCCAGTGTGTTTAGGGAGTTACATGCATGCCCATCTGAGTCTTTCTTCCTTTTTCCGGTGGGTGTACCCAGATCATACTTCCTTATTTTTTGTTTCTTAATTTGCATGCCCAGGACGTTTCTTCTCCCTGGGGCCTGCATTCAGTTAACATTTTGATGTTAATAGGTGTGGACTATCAGGAAATGCCCTCTCCCTGGCGCTGGCAAATTATCATTTTTAGAAAGCCAATGAAATAATTGTTGAACCATAAGAAAACCAGTAAGTGTTTTAGTCTTCAATGTGCTAATTCATTTTCAAAAATATCATCAGCTTTATAGTTCCTAGGAAGTTAGGATTCTGTACATCTTCAAGAGAAAAGAAAATGGGCAAAGAACCAACTTTCAGGGAGGGCTTCTTAGAAAATATTAAGTTTCAGGCCACTGCTCGAACAAGCAGCTATATCCCAATGCATCACATCATATTTATCTCCATCTCCAGATAGATACATATTATATCATTGCTTGCTCATAACTATGACCATGATTCATCAATAAAATAAGTTATTATGTTGAGTGTGATGTGTTTACCATGGGACAAGTTAGGATAGGTATCCAACATTCACACATACTCTCTATCTTAATACTTAAGAAGTTCATCTCATTTCTCCAGAAAAACCTATTTTTTGAGTTAGATTAAAAAGTTGAAAATTGTATTTGCTGAATGAGGCTAATTCCCCAAAAATAAAGCAAATGAACTACTAAATGAAAGAGTCAACAAGGAGAATGACCATCTATTGCTGTCGCATTGTGGGTGGCTTTGACTTGAGAGTTGTAAAAGAACTGGGTGTGCCTCACTGAAGTTTTCCAGGCTCTCACTTAGATGTTTGGGTCTACAATTGTATGACTATCTTCATAGCAAAATCATGTGTTAAGAAAAGTGCAGCAACAACAATATTAAATTTTGTTTTTGCAAATAAAGATTTTTATTAGTGCTAATGGTAGCTAAAATGTGTAAATATTATTTTACATGTAAATATTCAACAAACGTTTTGAAGTATGTATTAAGTGGTAGGTGGTAAAGGTGCCATAGTCAATAAGACAAATGAAATTCCTGCTTTCGTTTTAGTTTGGGAAGTCGACTAATCTTCAAATAGATAACCATAAGCATTTGTCAGCTAATAAAAGATACTATGGGGAAAAAAAGCCAAGAGTTAGAATGTGATTATGAGTATAATTTGTATTTTGGAGCACAGACTTATTGCAATTAGAATTTCCCAAAAGAGATCTGCCTTTGCTCTCTTTTAATATTATTTTTCTATTTCATTTTAAGCTTATTTCATCCACTTAAAACAGTTAAAATGCCAACATTACATATTTCAAAGTACAGAAATTAGGAAATTGCAGACATTATGCCAGTAAAATACTAAGATCCAATGTAAATTAGAAATTATCTAAGCTATGCTCTCTCTTAAACTTTGCAGTTTCACCCCAGACTAGATTCAAATTGTCATTAATTGCATTCTGTCAACTTTTGAGTTAGATCAGGTAGTCTTTAATTTGCAAGCCAGGATGCTATTTTGTGATGCTGCACAGTGCTTACTGCTTGCTACCTTCTACCCTGAAGGGAACTGCAGTTTCAGGAATGGGTTGACATATCAATTAGTTTGTAATCAGTGTATAACGTCCTTTGAGCATTTGATGCCAGATTCTACTGTTATTTAGAAAGTCAATAGAAAGTCCTCCTGGAATACAGGTCTGTAGGACACAGAACAAGATGAGAAACTTCAACTTATTGTAAGCTGCAAAATGACTATTGCCTCCAAGCCAGACCTTCCTGACTGATTATTTTCCCAGAGGAAAGGATCCTCGTTGCTTCCTGTGGGCAAGTCTGTAAGCAGAAGCATTAGTAGTCCTGGCCGATCCCACCAAAGAAAGACCATGCCATCCCTGCTTGCACATGTGTGGCAAGTATATTCTGGCCCAACAATTGCCAAGCAAGCAACTTACTGATTCTCAAATTAGAAGATAAGCCTGGAAAGGATCTTAAGTTCATCTAATTTAACTTCTGTAATACAACTTTTTGTGTGCTGACTTGACCCAGCTTTGAGGTCCTGGCTAGAGGCCAGTTGTTACCTTTTTTGAGTAGCCAATTAAGTTCACATCTCAACCACTTCCCTTATCTGACTCTCACACTCCAGGCCACTGTGCACCTGCCCTAATTGCCCCACGGCCAGGTACCAGATAACCAGAGGCAAACCTTATGACCAGAGCCAGCTGATATTATGCAAATTAGCCAATACCGAACTTGTTTACCCTGCATCACCCTTTTCTTCCTGCAGAAACCACAAAAAACGTGCTTGTTCACAGTGTCCCATTCTTCCTCTGCCTCATGCTTCCCTCATTCCCAGTGTGGCAAGGCTGTGTTTTTCCCAGGGAAATGTGAGTAACAAAACTGTGAAACTCTTTCTGGTTTCTCTCTTTTGATGTGCCTCCGGCCTCACCATACCTCACTCAGGGTAACATGGTTAACACTACCTCTTCATCTTCTCAAAGAGAAAAGGAATATACAGACAAGACAGGTGAATTGCCTAAGGTCTCATAGGTAGTTCTTGGCACAGGTGGGTCCAGAACTCAGGTTTCTGATTGCAACCTCCTAGTTTACTGTTCTTTTCTTTAAGTTTCACATGAAAAGTAGTGATCACCAGAGAATTAAAAACATAATAAAATAGTTATAATATCCCTAATTTACTGAGCAACTACTGGAACTTTTTTATTGTGTTTGCCACTGTATATACACAATAATTCTCCAAGGTGTATATTATAAAACTTTTTTGTACTTTAGAAAGCTGAGACAGAAAGGGGAATCACCTTTTGATCATGATGCCACTTTCTACTTCATCATATAAAAAGCGATTCACAGAGTCACAATTCAAATACTGAAGCTTCCAAATCAGTACAACAGCCATCACCTTCCTCAAATGATATGAAGCCCATTGCTAAAAAATAAAAATAAAAGTACAGGCTACAGTTCAGATATATTTAAAGGCCAACCACTCATAACCGTATAATAAAAATTTGACTTGTCCTGATTCCCCCCAAATGCTAGCTCTAATCATAAATGAAACAGAAAATGTAAGCTTTATATCCTTGTCAGCATGATTCAGTGAAATTAAACCAATCAGCTATAGACAGATCAGCTTAAACAGCTCTACTTGCCCTAAAAAAGAATATTAATATGTAACAGCCAATCGCAGAAAAGGTCAAAATACCTCCTCCTTCTTGCTTTATAAATTGTGCTGTAACTGCTGTGAGCAGGGCTTCTTATCACTTTTGGCTTGAGATCTCCTGGTTCATGAACCAAGAGTATGCACAAGAAACTTTTAAAATTTTTCTACCTTGCTCTGAATGTATTTTTGACATCATAAAAATCAAAGATTCTTCTTTGTACACTGGAGAAAGAGAAAAAATCAAAGAGAGAGAAAATAAATGATATAATACTTATGAACTATTTAATTTTAATGGATCCACAGAGGAAAACTAGCATAACTTTACATGAGAATATGTACTATCTATTCCTCCCTCTTTTCCTTTATTTATATGTGTCTTAGACCTCTTTTTTCTTATATTTATTGAATTTTTCTGATATGCCAGGCACTGTTCCAAGTACTTTATCTGTAATCCTCACAACAATCCAATGATGTATTATAATTATCCCCATTTTACAGATTAGGAAATGGAGGGACTCAGCTACTAAGCCAAGCAGTGTGGCTCCAGAACCTGCCCTCTGAGCCACTATACTTGTCCTTTTATGTGATGCATGCTCAGAAATCTGATGTATCTGGCATTTTATCCAGTGAAGACATCCAACTAAAATGTTCAGGGAAGACTAGAGATTATAAATAATTTCACCACATTTGTTCAAAATTGTCTCTATAATATCCCCAAGGTATGTTTCTGCTTTCTGAAAGTCAGAATGGAGAGAAAGCTCTTACTGAACTGTTATTTGAATCTGAGCTACAGATAAAGTGGAAACCAAAGGATTCTCTTAGGAACCAAATTCCCTAGTTATCCGAGGAAGGTGGAGTTGGACTTTGGAAGAATACATTTTCTCTGCCGTGACACTGGAAACACTATTGCTCATTTCAAAGCTGACAGTAAAGTCATGCTCAATATTGATGCAGATTGGATTGTAGCAGATTTGTGGGTATGGATTTTTCATTGGGAATGTAGGAGGAAAGTGTAGTATCATGGAAAGACAGCTGTCTTTGGAGTAAGGAGCCAATTTCACTTGTGCCTACTTACTTGGGCTGTGGTTTTCTCCTCTGAGTTTTTAAATTGTTAAGATTCAATAAATTATAGAAGATGCTGGAAAACTGAAATATAAAGAACCAAATAGAGGACCCAATGGCTATGGGAAGTATCTCTTTGGCCTAGAGGTGATATCGAATTGTGACAGAAAGGGAAACAAGGTGATAAACACCAAGGAGAGAGGAATACATTCTCAGGCAGCATCAAAGAGGCTTTCCAGGTACAATTGCTTTGATCCAGCTGCATGCAATGCCTGAGCTGTTAAGTGTGGAGCTTCTCAGGAAGCAAACTTGCCTCTAACTGCTCTTGCTTTGCTCCTCTTTCAGCTTTTGCAAGACTTGAGGATAACTGGGCAATTTAATAGCCAATGAGAGTTCTCTTCACAAAAAAAGAAGTAAATAGTTTTCTACAAAAATACTGTAGCTCTGCCTATGTTCATATTCTCTCTAGGGTAGGAGTCAGCAAACTACAGCCCAGAGACCAAACCAGTCCTCTTCTTGTTTTGGTAAATAAAAAGTTTTATTGGAAGACAGTCATACCTATTTGTTTACCAATGGCTCAATGCCATTTACCAATGCTGTTTCAACAACAGCAGGGTTGTGAAGGTGAGACAGAAACCGTATGGGCCACAGAGCAAAAGTACTTACTGTGGAGCTCTTTTTAGAATAAGTTTGCTGACTCCTGCTTTAGAAGATCTTAAAGGTAACTCTGGCTCAAGGGATTCCTCTATTACTTGTCCTCCTAAACTGCAGAGGCACCAACATGGTCAGTGGCATCCTCTCAATACTTATTCACTCATAGTCCAAGGGTATTCTCAAGATCAAACAAGTCTCAGGGGAATATATGTTCTTTCCACTACATAAGGCCTCTAACTACCATATCACCTGATTATTCTTCTTTCTGCAGTTTGCTACACAGTGTTCACATCTCTGATATTACCTCAGTTCTGACAAGAGATGCAGGGATGTGATTTATAGCAAAGCAAGCAATCATAAAAAATACCCCAAATGAGCCTCAGTGTAGCTCAAATATTTATGCAAACTTTCATGATAACTCATGTTAACCAGTTTGGTGAAATATTATTAGATAGAAAGTAACCTACTTTTCCTTCACTCAGCAAGCAGTCTTGTTACAAAATTACATAACGTGCCTTAATTAGCAGAAATTATTCTATAACAATATAGCAAACTTTAAGTAGGTAGACTAAATTTAGACATTAAAAATTTATAGGGAACCATCATTAGGAAACCCATACATGGTATCCACAGCTGTTGACTGATACTCTATTCCCTTTTCTTAGAATAAAGTCACTTCTTGCTGCTTGCACCTTCTGTTTCCCAGGCCTCTTCCTCAGACACAAGATCTTACAAGATACTAGGAACTCTTTCAATTCTTCCTTAAACAAATATTCATTACTCCTCTGCTCTTCAGACACGGCTTTCAATTTATTTCCTCCCCTTATTTCTGTCTTTGATAAGATTTTGCTAGGAAGCAACTGGCCTAGTCTTCTATGTTGCCTGTCCAGTTTCCTCCTCACAGGTGGGCTTTTAAACCCCAGGAAAAGGAGCACTCCATGAATTCACCATCAGATCCTTGATGAAATGCACAAAATCCCTTTTATTGTATATAGTTACACTCTTGTCTTTTCTATCTTTTTGTTTAACTTTTTATCTTCTCTAGAATGCCGTGCCATAGTCAAGTTCTGGGTTACCGCCCCATTGGTTAGATAATTTCATTGATCAAAATAAGAAGATAAGCTTTCATTTTAATGGAATGAAATGCAATATATCTAAAAAGAGCAGATATGAAAATATTAGAGTGTCCCACTTACTAGAGTACACACAATTTTAGATATCATTGCACGTGTATTATACTGTATATTTTATACATACACACGTATATAATGGCTATAATGTAAAATAATATTTTTTTTGGCTAACATCAAATATATTTAGAAGCTACAGTTCAGGTGTCTTTCCTCCCCTTCCTACTTTATTTTTAAAAGTTCTTTCATTTCATCATTACATTAGGAGTTATATTAGATGAGTCAGGCTTTAAGACTCCAGATAATATTTGAGAGCCAAAAATCACCCTTAAAGATTACTTTGTTATTTTAACTGTTCCTTTAGATCAATTTAGTTGAACAACTGTTATATCTGTTTTTGGCCCAAACACAGGAGGAAACTTCTACAATGTGAAATAAAATGCCACCGAAGGGCTAGAAATTTAATTACTAATTAAGGTCTTTATATTTATAAATTAATCATGTAATGGCTACCTCAGTATAATTCTAAAATGAACATTGATTTAACATTTGTAACTCTCTTACTCATAATGCACAGGCTTAATTAGATCATTGTTTTTAAGCAACTAAGTAAATTATTCTTTGAAACTGAAGTAATATATTTTAGAAGGAAGTTTAAACAAATAATATTTCCAAATAATTGAAAAAAGCATTATTTCCACTGATGTAGAAATCCACAGTCTCTCTCAACTATTGTAGATAATGGCAATGACAATCCAGTCAAATGAACTTAATTACATTCTGATACTATAGTAATTTGTGGTTCATGAGACAATGCACAGCTAAGACTCTGGCTTTTATGAATACCTTTTATCATTTCCTCCTAAAACTCCAATTAACTGACTTGGTAAAACTGTATTTTTAAAAAAATTTGTCAATAAGGTAAAGAGTTTTCTATCACTTAAAAAATCCTTTGTTTTCTTTTTCAAATAGATCACAGTACAATCCTGACTTTTATCTTCACATTTTCAAGACCCACATTTGTCATTCATCAGTGACATTATTGAATCTTGTTCTCTTTGTCTGAATGTAACTTGAATTAGATGATTTCTGGGGACCCTTTCAATTTTTAAAATGCTTACTCTAACTCATAAGACACTATGACCTGGATCTGCCTGTCTCTGTAAACTGCCTAATGCCACTCGCTACCTGAGTCATGAGGCCCCAGTCATGGGTTGGCCAACATCCCCAACAGACATCAAGCTGCTCCCCAGGTGATGCCCTTGCCCAGGTTCTTCCATTCATCTTGAGCACTCTTTCCTTGGTCCACCTTGCTAGATCCTGCATATGAACCAGACCTCACCTAAATGCACGCTCTTCAGGAAAGCTTTCATCGATCTTCCTTACTTAAGTAGGCCCCACCCTACTCTCTATCCTAAGACCTTGTCTCCTACTTTCCTTCCATACATCAGAATATGCCCCCTATTCCCCAACAATGTAATTTTGTCTTACTAGGATGTAAGTTCCATGAGAACAAAAAACTTTTCTATATTATTTTATCATTATTTTCTCATCAGAGAGCATAGTTTTTGGTATGTAGGATAGCAATAAATTTTTGTTTAAATAAGTTGTTGAAGTAATAATTGAATTATGTAAGTTAACGATGTTAATGCCTTTGAAAGTTAAATGCCTTTGAAAAATCTTTTTAAAGGTATTCCCTCTATGATGCCTATCTCCTGCTCTCAGATCCAGGTTGGAGGACAGGATTTTACAATTGTCTCTTTATCCTATAATATTCAGTGACCAAATGTTAAATCAAGATGCTGGCTATTTCCTTATTCATTTTGCAGTTGTCTAGACATGGACTTTCTTCTTTCTTTATTGTTTCATTTTCAAAGTAGCCTCCTAATTAATTTATTTATTAATATTGGCAGTAAGCTCTTATTATGTATTAAGCATTATTCTAAATGCAAGAACAATAGCAATTAATAAAACAGACAAAAATCTTTGCTTTCATGAAGTTTCCACTCGAGTTTCTAAACATAAACTTCCTTAAAGAGTAAGAATACATGTTATTAGCCTTTATTTCCCTAGAAGCATCTGGTATGATGTCTTGCACATAATGAACAATCAAAAAATGTTTTTTGAAATAAATGAGATGTTAGCCAGAGTAATTATGCAAGTTAAAAAAAAAAGCACACAAATTGGAAAGAAAAAAGTAAAATTACCCTTGTGAAAAATGGATATAATATTGTATGTAGAAAATTCACTGAGATTCTACACACACACACCCTCACAAAATTGTTAGAACTAACATAAAAATTTAACAAAGCAACATAATATAAAGTCAACACATAATAATAATCAGTTGTATTGCTGGACACTAACAATAAGCAATCTGAAAAGGTAATTACAAAAGCACATTTATTTACAACAGGATCAAAAAGAATAAGATACTTAGGAATTAACCTAGAAGGGGAAAGACTTCTACAGTAAAAATTATAAAAGCATTGTCAAAGGAAATTAAAGAAGATATAAATAAATATAGACACATCTCATGTTCATGGGTTGGAAGACTTAATAAGCTGTTCATACTACTTAAAACAATCTATGGATTCAGTGCAATTTCTATTAAAATGCCAATGATTTTTTTTTTGCAGAAATAAAGAAATAGAAAAGCTCATCCTAAAATGCATATGCAATCTCAAGGAACCCTGATCAGCCTAAACAATCTTGAAAAACAAGAATAAAGCTGGAGGATTCACCCTCAGTGATTTCAAAACTTACTACAAAGCTACAGTAACCCAAACAGTGAGGTACTGGCATAAAGACAGATACATAGTCCAATGGAATAGAATAGAGCCCAGAAGTAAACTCTCACATATATGGTCCAATAATCTTTGGCAGAATGTCAACTTATTCAATGGAGAAAGGTCATCTTTTTTAACAAATAGTCCTAGGAAAACTGGATATCTATGTACAAATCAATAAAGTTGAATCCTTATATAACACTGTATTTAAAAAATAATTAAAAATGGATCAGAGACCTAAATTTAACACCTAAAACTATCAAATTATAAGAAAAAAACATAGGGCAAAGGGTTCACAGCATTCAATTTAGAAGTGATTTCTAATGTAGATGATGGGTTGATGCATGCAGCAAACCACCATGGTGCACGTACACCTATGTAACAAACCTGCACGTTCTGCACATGTATCCCAGAACTTAAAGTATAATTTAAAATAAATAAAATAAAATAAAAATAATGAAATAAAATACAAAAGAGTTGACATCAAAAAAATAAAAGTGATTTCTTAGTTATCACTTTTAAGATATTATTTTAAAGATATACTTTTAAAAAATCTTTTTAAAAAGGCATAGGCGGGCCAGGCGCGGTGGCTCATGCCTGTAATCCCAGCACTTTGGGAGGCCAAGGTGGGCAGATCACGAGGTCGGGAGTTCAAGACCAGCCTGGGCAACGCAGTGAAACCCCGGCTCTATTAAAATACAAAAAAAAAATTAGCCAGGCATGGTGGCGTGTGCCTGTAATTCCAGCTACTCAGGAGGCTGAGGCAAGAGAATCGCTTGAACCCAGGAGATGGAGGTTGCTGTCAGCGGAGATCATGCCATTGCACTCCAGCCTGGGTGACAGAGCAAGACTCTGTCTCAAAAAAATAAATAAAGTAAAATAAAATAAAAAGGAATAGGCAACAAAAGAAAAAATTAAACTTCATGAAATTTTTGAAATTTGTGTACATTAAAATACACTATCGACAGAGTGAAGAGGCAAAAAACAATGGAATAAAATATTGCAAATCATATATTTTATAAAAAAAAACTAGAATATATAGAGTACTCCTAAAACTCAACAGTGAAAAGCAAACAACCTGATTAAAAAATCAGCAAAGAACTTGAATAAACATTTCTCCAAAGATGACATACAAATGGCCAATGAGCACATGAAAAGATGCTCAACAATATAAATCATTAGAAAAATGCAAATAAAAGGAGACACTGGCAACCAAAGTAAACATGGCCAAAAGGGATCACATCAGATTTAAAAGCTTCTGCACAGCAAAGGTTACAACCAACAAAGTGAAGAGATAACCCACAGAATGAGGGAAAATATTTGCAAAGTACTCCTGTGACAAGGGATTAATAACCAGAATATATAAAGATTTCAAACAACTCTATAGGAAAAACATTTAATAATCTGACCAAAAAAATGGGCAAAATATTTGAATGGACATTTCTCAAAAGAAGATATAAAAATGTCAAACAGACATATAAAAATGTGCTCAACATCACTGATCATCAGAGAAATGCAAATCAAAACTACAATGAGATATAATCCCACCCCAGTTAAAATGGTTTGTATTCAAAAGACAGACAATAACAAATGCTGGTGAGGATGTGGAGAAAAGGAAACCCTGATACCCTGTTGGTGGGAATGTAAATTAGTACAACCACTGTGGAAAAAGTTTGGAAGTTTCTCAAAAAATTAAAAATTGAGCTACCATATGATCCAGCAATCCCAGTGCTGGGTATATACCCAAAACAAAGGAAATCAGTATACCAAAGAGATATCTGCACTCCTATGTTTGTTGCAGCATTGTTTAAAATAGCTAAGATTTGGAAGCAAATTATGTGTTCATCAGCAGATAAATGGATAAAGAAAATATTGTACATCTACACAATAGAGTACTATTTAATCATATAAAAGAATGAGATCCAGTCATTTGCAACAACATGGATGGAACTGAAGATAACTACGTCAAGTAAGTCAGGTGCAGAAAGGCAAATATCACGTTCTCACTTATTTGTGGGATTTAAAAATAAATCATTTGAACTCAAGGACGTAGAAAGTAGAAGTATTGTACCAGAGGCTGGGAAGAGTAGTGGGGGTTGTAGGGGAGTTGGGGATGGTTAATGGGTACAAAAAAAAAAAGAAAAAATAAATAAGACCTAGTATTAGGGTGACTATAATCAATACTAATTGTATTTTTAAAATAACTTTAAAATATAAGTGGATTATTTGTAACACAAAGGATAAATGCTTGAGAGGATGGATACCCTACTCTCAATGATGTGCTTATTTTAAGAGTTAAAGAATGAGGAAAGAAACACAAAAAGTGGCTCAACAGTGAAATACTGTTTAGGATTTCTGGCCGATTTCAGTCAGGAGCACTCTCTTATAGACTAAGAGTATTTATTGGTTTCAGGGTGAGAGAGTTATCTTGCAACCCAGGCCTGGAATGTTTCGTGTGGGGGAGAAGTTGATGGTGGAGTTGGAATGTCTGAGGGGAGGTTATCTTGGGGCTGACATCTCTCTGACCAGAGAGGAGGTTATCTTAGGGCAGGCCTGTCTCTGGTAGGGGAGGGGTTTATCTTATGTTTGGAATGTTTCTGGTCATAGATGTTATTTGTGACTTATGGTCAAGCTGACCTTAGCCATTAGGCTGATGCCCTTTGGATTTAGGCAGTTTTTGATCAAGGTGAACTTTAAAATGGCAGCGCTTGTCCAAGATGGTGACGCTCCTCGCTCCTGCTCTGTAAATCCATCCCTATAGTTATAAAAAGGACCAGGGGGCGTGTTCTTTCTGGCTACTTCCTGCTGATGAGGGAATGGAGAGTTTCCACTGTTGGTGGAAATGTAAAAATAGTATAGCCACTGTGGAAAGTAGTACAGAAGTTCCTCAAAACATTAAAAATAGAATTACTATATTATGCAGCAAGTTCACATCTGGATATATACAAAAAGATGGAAGCAATAGAAGTATCCATTGAAAGATGAATAGATAACAAAATGTTATATATACATACAATGGACTATTATTCAGCCTTAAAAAGGAAGGAAATTTTGACATATGCTACAAGATGGATGAACTTTGAGGACATCATGCTAAGTGAAATAAGCCAGCCGCAAAAAGACAAATACTATATTATTCCACTTATATGAGTGTATTCATTAAGTTTCTCCGGAGGAACAGAACTAATAGCATACATGTGTATATTAAAGGGCATTTATTAAGGAAAATTGACTCACAGGATCACAAGGTGAAGTCCCACAATACACCGTCTGCAAGCTGAGGAGGTAGGAAAGCAGTAGTGGCTCAGTCTGAGTCCAAAAGCCTCAAAAGTAGGGAAGCCAACAGTGCAGCCTTCAGTTTATGGCCACAGGCCTGAGAGCCCCCGGCAAACCATGGGTGTAAGTCCAAGAGTCTAAAGGCCAAAGAACCTGGAGTCTGCTGTCCAAGGGTAGGAAGCATCCAGCATGGGAGAAAGATGAAAGACAGAACTCAGCAAGCCAGTTTATCCCTTCTTCCTCTGTCTGATTTGTTCTAGCCACACTGGCAGCTGATTGGATGGTGCCCACCCACACTAAGGGTGGGTCTTCCTCTCCCAGTCCACTGACTCAGATGATAATCTCCTCTGGCAATACCCTCACGGATACACCCAGAAACCACATTTTACCAGCTATCTAGGCATCCTTCATCCTTCAAATCCAATCAAGTTGACACCTAATATTAACCATCACAATGAGGTAGCTAAAGTAGTCAAAAATCATACAGACAGAAAGTAGAATGGTGGTCTCCAAGGGCTGGAAGGGGACGGGAAATGGGGAGTTATTGTTTCATGGGTTCAGAGTTTTAATGTTATAAGAAGAAAAGAATTATAAAGATGAATGGTAATAATGGTTGCAGGAATATTCTGAATGTATTTAATACCACTGAACTATATACTTAAAAATAAGATGTAAATTTTGTATTATGTGTATTTTACCACAATAAAAAATAAATTATGGAAAATAACATAATAAAACATAACAAAATCAAATTGAAACTGCTAGTCTTGCAAACGGAGATCAAACAGCTTCAAATGAGGTTTGGAAAGCCATGGCTCAGATTAACATATAGGATATTGTTTTTCACTTTTCTCATCACCACCTCCCTCCGTTCATCCCCTTCCAGCACATATAAAAACACTGAATATCGGGCCAGGCGCGGTGGCTCATGCCTGAAATCCCAGCACTTTGGGAGACCAAGGCGGGGGGGCGGGGGGATCACCTGAGATTGGGAGTTCGAGACCAGCCTGACCAACATGGCAAAACCCCGTCGCTACTAAAAATACAAAATTAGCTGGATGTGGTGGCGCATGCCTGTAATCCCAGCTACTTGGGAGGCTGAGGCAGGAGAATCTCTTGAACCCAGGAGGCGGATGTTGCAGTGAGCTGAGATTGCGCCATTGCACTCCAGCCTGGGCAACAAGAGCGAAACTGTCTCAAAAAAATTTAAAAAAATAAAAAAAATTAAAAAATAAAAACATTGAATATCTCATTAAGTACAGGGCCCTGTACATTCTGCTTCCACCATGGCTTTATTTCTGTTCTTACTGCCACAACTCAATCCAAATTCTAGACCCCTTTGGCTCATTCTCAATCTCTATAGCAAAATAACTTTCAATGTGTCCAGCTCTTCCAATCCATTTTATACTGTGTTGCCAGATTAATGTTTCTGATTCCTAGTTTTCATCACTTTAGTAGTCTTCCCAATGTCTTCAGTATCTTTCTACTGCTTGTCTAATTCTGTGTAACTCTTAATCTATTGATCAAGAGTCCCCAAAGTATAATCTGAAATTATTTTTTTCTTTGGTTTTAGAGACAGAGTTTCACTCTGTTGCTAAGGCTGGAGTGCAGTGGTACAATCATAGCTCTCTGTAACCTAGAACTCCCGGGTCAAGCGGTTCTCCCACCTCAGCCTTCCAAGTAGCTAGGACTATTAGCACACACCACCATGCCCAGCGAATTTTTAAAAAATCGTTTCCTAGAGAAAGGATCTCACTATGTTGCCCAGGCAGGTCTCTAAGTCCTGGACTCAAGTGATCCTCCCATCTTGGCCTCCTAAGGTGCCAGGATTACATGTGCAAGCCATGGCCACAGTACCTGGCCTGAAATTACTTTTTAAGCTTACATTTTACCATTTTTCTTTGAATTTTTTTATAATCTATCTAATTAGAACTACATTACCCAATCCTCTTCTGACTGACCTCTCATAACACACACTCATGTACACATACACATTTTTAAAATTCCCATTGGAAAAATAATAACTGTATTTATTAAAGACACAGGTACCACACTGCTTGCCTCAGAGAGTTGTTACTAGAATTAAATGACTTGGTACATGCAAAGTTCCTATAACAGTGAGTGGCTGAAAATATACTATCAAGAAACATTACATAGTGTCAAAATTCTACTGATTTTTCAGAAATGGGAAGCCTTTTTAACCTCCCCAAATGGATGTGATCATTTCTTTGAATCTTTCTGGTATTTTGTGGGCCATTTTATGGCATTTAATATGTTCTCTCTCATTTTTTCTCAAACCTGTGATTCCCTTTTCTTATACTATTAAGTCCCTTAAAATTAGATAATCCGAGTAACTAATCTTTATATACAGCTTCTAAAATAATAGCTGGTACATACTTAGAGGTTAATACTAAATTTTTAAATAAAGAGAACCATACTGTTACTGGAAAAAGAACTTGTTTTACATATTTATAAACTTTCTATGTTCTATATCTTACCTACATGTATTTTAAATCAGTGGTTCTCAATGGCAGATTGGAGATCCTTTATATAAAAATTATTTTCATAATAATACTAAGACATTGTTTGTCTTTTTCATTCTTATTCTCTCACAACTATTCAGTGAAGTTTTCCAGAGACTACATGTTATGTGACAATGTTGATAATGTGATAATAGAACAGATTGAATGCAAAAGCAAGTAAGAGAATTTAACTGTCTTCTCTTAAACATTTAAAGAAGCATTTATATCTTTAGAAACACCACACTTCAGAAGAGATGCTTTAATTTGTTTAATTTAATTTCAGACTGCTTAGTTTGGTTAATTCCATGGGCTTAAAACCCACTGTCTGGTTATTAGTGTCCACAAAACAAGTGCTGAAGACAAAGATAAGCAGGAGTACCACCATAAGAATTCATTTAGGAGAGGTGCACTTTGGTCATGAAAAAAAGGAAAAGGATATTTGGAAGAAGCAAAAAATTGTGAAAAATAATCAGTGTTATATCAAAATGCTTGGGTTATACTCTGATTTTCTACCTCTAGGTCATTTCAATCCTACAATTTTCTAAGGCATTATGTGCAATTGGATTAACAATGAGTTTGAAATCAGAGAAGGTATAAGTTGGAATTGTGGCTATTTATATTTGGCCAAGTTCTTTAGAATCTTCAATTCTCTGTTTCATTAGTAATTGGAAATAATAATAATAATTGCTAACACACATTATTTACTTCTGCTAAAAGCTTTAGTCTTCATTTAATTTTTAAAACATAATAAAAAGTAAGACAGGCTTTACTATTATTGTTCTCAATTTACAAGTAAGAAAATTTAATTTTAGAAAGAAAAAGTAACAATGCAAAGGAACACAGATGATTAGTCTCTTAGCAGAGATTTAAATCTGTGCAATCTGGGTGGTCTAACTTAAGAACCCTCACTCAAACAGTTAATTGTAAAAAGTAAAAACATATTAATATTTACAAAGCTCATATAAATAAATAAATGAACTGTATCTGTTTTGGAGAAAATCCTTTGTAAACTTAAAAAAATGCCTGAATGATAATTATTATGACTTTAAGTTTTCTGTTTATTTCCTGTGATGTCATTTTCTTCTAAAATGTAAGTTTATTGATATTTATGCCAGTGATTTTTGTTAATAAAATGCATGGTATATAAGGGGCTTTGAGAAACCTTCCAGAAAAGGAACATTAAGTGTGTCTGTGTGTGTTGGGGCGGGGGGGTGTGGTGTGTATGTGTTTGTGTAATTAATCCAGTTTCTCAAAATGATTCAATAATGGCAACCTTTATATCTATAACATTAATTTCTAAACCAAAGCATTACTATTCAGCAGAATGCATAAACTGACCTAAGCATTTACCCCATATTATTAAAAGCTGTCATAAACAATGTTTTTAATTAATGTATACCTTTCCATTAGGTAGATATAACATGATTCTCACAGTTTTTCTCCTTTACCGGAGTATAGTTTGATCTTAATTTTCAGCTTTTATAAATAACGCTAATATGAACATCCTTGAGTAGTTTTCCTCTGTATGGGGCATAAACCTTTTATAATAGTTTTTCAGCTCCACCTCAAACCGATTTGTAACAGTAGATGAGAATGTTCATTGTGCTATGTCCTAATTTTCCAGTGCTCATTAACCTTACTTAAAAACACACAATTTTGTTTGTTTGATAGGCCTCAGAAATTTGAATTCACTGTTTTTTATCATTTGAGCTTTCTGGTTATAAATGAAGTTAATTTTTTTTTTAGTTTTATCAATTTGCATTTCCTCTTATGTAGTCTGCCTTTTTTGTATATGTTTATTGACACTGTAGTTTTCTAATTATTTTTTATGAGAGATTTATATATATAAATACATCTAGTCCCTTTTAGTCATATATATTTGTATTTACTGCTTTGTAAAACGTTCCTTGTCTATTGATTCTTTGACAGATAATAATTGTGTATATTTATGGGATACAATGTGATGTTTTGATGTACACATACAGTATTGGAAGATACAATTAAGACAATTAATATATTCATCACCATATCAATTTATCCACTTTTGTGGTAATGTTAAGAATCTCTTCTTTTAGCGATTTTGAAATATAAAATTCATTATTGTTAACTATGAACATCATGCAGTGCAACTAGAACATATTCCTCCAGTCTAACTGAAACTTTGTACCCTTTCATCAATGAAGAGTACAACTTAGTACCCTTTGATCCTCCTTTCCCCCACCTCATCCCAAGCCTCTGGTAACTACCTTTTTACTCTCTGCTTCTGTGAGTTCCTCTGTTTTTAGATTTGCCATGTAAATCAGATCATATAAATGAGGTCATACAGACCATATTCGTCTTTCTGTGCTTGGCCTATTTAACTTAACATAATGTTGTCCAGTTTTATTCATGTTTCCTGAATGGCAGAATATCCTTATTGTCTAAGGTTGTATGGTATTCCATCATGCATATATACCACGTTTTTCTTTATCCATTCATTTGTTAATGGACACTTAGATTGCTTCCATATCTTGGCTATAGTGAATAATGCTGAAATCAATATGAGAGTGTAGATATCTCTTCAATATACCAGTTTCAATTCCTTTGGATATATACACAGAAGTGAAATCTGCTAGATCAAATGGTAATTCTATTTTTAGTTTTTGAGTAAACACTATACCATCTTCCAAAATGGCTATTCTTACTAATAGTGTACAAGTGTTCCCCTTTTTGTTCACATTCTCACCAACACATGTTACCTTTCATCTTTTTGATAACAGCCATTCTGAAAGGTATAGAGTCATATCTCACTGTGGTTTTAATTTGTATTTCCCTGATAGTTAGAGACTTTTAAGCATTTTAACATATTTTTGGCCCTTCATATTGCTTATTTGGAGAAATGCCTGTTAAGATCTTTTGTCCATCTTTTAATTATTTGATTTTTTTGATATTGACTTGTTTGAGCACCTTACACAGACACCTTATCAGATGTATGGTTTGCACATATTTTCCCTCAATACTTGGTTTGTCTCTTCAATCTCTTGTTTCCTTTGCTGTGCAGAAGCATTTTTTATTATGATGTAATCCCATTTGTCTGTTTTTGCTTTTGTTGCCTTTGCTTTTAGAACCCTATCAAAGAAATAATTTCCAAGACCAATGTCATGGAGTTTTTTTGTGTGTGTATGTTCTCTTCTAGTAGTTTTACAATTTCAGGTCTTAAATGTAAATATGTTATCTGTTTTAAGTTTATTTTTGTATATGTTGTGAAATAAAGGTCCAGTTTTATTTTTATTCATGTGAATATCATGTTTTCACAACACTATTTATTGAAAAGACTGCCATTCCCCCATTGTATGTTTTTGAAACCTTTAATAAAAATCAATTGACTGTGAATAATTAAGTTTATTTCTGGGCTTCCTTTCCTTTCCATTAGTCTATGTCTTTTCCATTAGTCTGCTTTTATGCCGGTGCAATGCTGTTTTGATTACAATAGCTTTATAATATATTATGAAATAAGAAAATGTGATGCCTCCAGTTTTGTTCTTTTAGCTCAAGATTTCTTTAGCTATTCACGATCTTTTCTGGTTTTAACCCAATTTTAGATTTTTTTTTCTATTTCTGTGAAAAAAATGACACTAGCATTTTGAGAGAAATTTTATTGAATTTGTAGATCATGTTGGGTATTAGGGACATCATATTAATTATTTCAATCCATAAACATGGATAGCTTTCCATTTATTTGTGACTTCTTCAATTTCTTTCATCAATGTTTTATACTTTTCAGTGTATAGATCTTTTATCTTCTTTGTTAAATTTACTCCTAAGTGGTTTTTATGCTACTTGTGAAAGAAAAATAAATCCTGAGGCCCCCAAATCACTAAGCTAAAGGGAAAAGTCAACCTGGGAACTGCTTAGGACCAACCTACCTCCCATTCTATTCAAAGTCACCTCTCTGCTCACTGAGATAAATGAATATCAGATTGTCTCCTTCTGAGAGGCCAATCAGAAATTCAAAATAATGCAATCATTGGTCTCTTATCTACCTATGACCTGGAAGTCCTTTCCCCACTTTTACTTAGAGTTGTCTTCCCACTTTTACTTAGAGTTGTCAAGTCTTCCCACTTTTACTTAGAGTTGTCTCACCTTTCCAGACCAAACCAATGTTCAGCTTGCATATGTTGATTGATGTTTCATGTCTCCCTAGAATATACAAAAGTAAACTGCGCTCTGCCTACAGAGGGCAATCGGGGTGGTTTAACTTAAGAACCCTCACTCAAACAGTTAATTATTAAAAGAATAAAATTCTTGGATTGTTTATACATTGTTCTCCTTACATCGATAAGCATCTTTATAACTGTTTTTTTTTTTGAGTTTTCTGTAAGATGAATCATTTTTCCATTTTATTAGGTTTGGATTTCAGAGATTTATCATGTTCTTTTATACGTGACATATTTCTCTGTTTCATTTTCCTTGATTCTCTGTGTTGGTTTCTGCACATTATGTAAAAGGACCAACTCTTCCAAATTTGTTAGGCTGTGCTTGTGTAGAAGGTTATCCTCCCTAATCACCCCAGCCAGAGATTCTAAGTGCCTCAAACACTCTTTGCTTGTCCAACCTAATGCCTTTGTTCTTGGTGACACCCAAGAAATTAGAGAATGAAAAGTTGTGCTATTACCTTGAGTGTAGTGTGATAGAAGCCAGTATCTTGAAATGCAG
Organism: Homo sapiens; assembly: GCF_000001405.40. Taxonomy (NCBI): domain Eukaryota; kingdom Metazoa; phylum Chordata; class Mammalia; order Primates; family Hominidae; genus Homo; species Homo sapiens. The sequence continues at coordinate 77,391,229 of NC_000006.12, forward strand.
CTGCAGACGTTGGGGTATGGGATGTGCATTCCACTTTCTCCTCTCCTTGCAGAGAAGCTGAGAGGAAGAGTTTGTCTTCTACTTATTCTGCCCTACACTAAGGAGAGAATCTGAAGCAGATATCTATACTTTTTATCAGACTTCTCATTTTCAACCTGGGGAGATAGCTGCTTAGTGTTTGAAAGTTTATTTGTCACCATTGTGTTATTTGTGGTCTAGGAGACTCAGGAGTGCAGAGCTCTGACAAATCCCAGAGCCAGGTGACTTAGGAGCCAGTCCTTTGGATGAAGGATGTAAAAGTTGGGGCACTGCATGCAGGCAGAAACTAATTCCAGAGAAAGTCTGCAGATCTTGAGGTATTTCTGGGACAAGCCAGGGAAAAAAGTGCTGGGAGTGCCCACTCTCTGGTTCAAGCAATTATAAGTCTTACACCCTCCTAGCCGGAGGATATTCCTCGTCTGGAGTTATCACTGAAGCCAGGAGAAAAGGCACAAGAAGTGTCTCCTTTCTCCTTCAGGCACATGTAGATTCCTCAGCCTCCCTAAATGAGAAATTGGAGAACTTTATCTCAATAATTTATTTAAGGTGGAAGCCAGAGAAGAGGATGCAGAGATGTCCTCCCTCCTATTCTTGCTGTATGAGACCTCCAGTCACTCTTCATGGAGAGTTTCTAGAGCTGGAATTATCATTGGAGCAAGCCAGGGAAGAAGGTGTGAGGAATAGCATCCCTCCCGTTTATGCTCAAAGGGCTTTATTCTTTATTAGCTAGGTAAGCTTCCAAATAGTGCTCATTGGAGGCAAGAACAATAGGGAACTAATAGGAAAGCACGTGGTCAAAACTTTTTCAGAAGAAAAGTAGAAGCTAGGCTGATCCCAGGGTCTGCAGCAGCTGGGAGTGCTCATATGGTTCAAAACCCCTTTGTTCTTTGTGATTGAAGGAAATCTTTCAATGTCCTATTCTTGCCTATCCTCAAGCATAATGATTTAAGATCCAAGCCCTTTGGCAGGGACTTTAAAAGTTGGGTACTACATGTTCCTTCACCCTTCAACAGAAAGGTGGGAGTTGGGGTTTCCTTCTCAATTATGAGGTGCTGTGCTCAGGGTGGAGTTTCATGTATGAGTGTTTCTTCACTTTTTCTGTTCATTTTGATATGGATATTTTCTCAGGCTTTTTTTGTGTAGGAGTCTTTCAACTGCATTCTGACTTTCTCTCTGAGAGAACTGATCCATGTGTAGGTGTTTACTTGATGTGTCTGTGGGAAGAGAAATGGTCAGGAGCCTCCTATTCTGCCGTTTTCTGAATTCTCTCTCCTCTTGTCAATTAATTTTGTACTGTGTGTTTTAATTTGTAGAACTGCATGTGAGTTAAATTGCTCTGCATTTCTCACTACATTTTTTTCTATTGCTCTTATAAAGTTGACCCTATAGTCACTAGTCACTTCCCTTTTCTAGTACAATTTTTAAATCTCATCATTTAGTTCATAATTCTAAAACTAGTATAAAAAATAAAATAAGGCAAAACTCCAACAGAAAGCAATAATACTAGCCACTAACTGGGTTCCTTATATGTGCCAGACACTCTTCAGGATCTGGGGTTGTAGCATTAAATCTGATATTATCTGTCCTCAGGCCATGTAAATTCTAAAGAAAGAAAAGAACAAAGTATTTAATAACATCAAAATGATTTTAAATTCATTGTTATATTAGTATATCTGTGTTGCTATTTTCACTTGAATATTTTTATATTGTACTTCCAAACCTGCTATTAGCCATAGATGATGTGGGTTTTGATATATAGGTGATTATCATTATTCACAGTACCTATGTTCTTTAAGGTCACTGTGAACAGTGAATTCGCAAATATTGAGTCTGTGACTCTAGGAAAAATATAGGGTTAGGTTTCTGAAAACTTCTGGTACCATATTTTCATCAGTCAGTTTATAACCTTGTTTCATGTGTTTTTATGTTTAAAGACACCTTATTTAGCATATATTATTGATTCATCAACATTAAACTCACGGCCAATGGCACTATAACTTATACCTGAACAAATCTGATCTAACATATGTATTTCCTCTATAAGGTACATCACAGCCTTCTTGTGCCTAGCAACAGTAGACTATACTTCAGCACTACACTTTGGGATCATTTTAATTAATGAAATCACTAAGAAAAAACCACAAAAATGAAAAAAAAAGGTATTAAATACCTCACAAAAGGCACACTTGTTTACAATATGAGAGCTGAAACAAGAAGGCAGAGGCTTGCCTTGTTTAACCTCAGCCAGGAATGTGCCACCCAAAATTTGAATGTGCCACTCAAAATTTTTGCCACCCTGTGCACATCTGCAAATTAACACAAAACATGGCAAGCATTGATTTGGGGGTTACAAATAAATTTGAGTTAATAGGCAGATTTGCAAAGACAGAATCAAGAATAATGACAATTGACTCCACTCAGGTTTTATCCAGCCAATTTATTGGACTTTTTTTTTTTTTTTTTGAGACAGGATCTCCTTTTGTCACCCATGCTGGAGTGCAGTGGTACAATCATGGCTAACCACAACCTCAAATTGCTAGACTTAAGCCATCTTACCACCTCAGCCTCCTGAGAAGCCGGGACTACAGGCACAAACCACCATATGCAGGTGATTTAAAAAAATTTTTTTTTCTAGAGATCGGGTCTCATTATGTTGCCAAGGCTGGGACATTCTTGTTAATTTATCATCAACATTTTCAATTGATTCTTTTATTTTCTGTGTATCTAATCACATATTATAGAAAGAACAGTGATCTCATCTCATCATTCCCATTGACATTTCAAATTAGGTTCCATTCTGTTATCAAAAGTAATATATTTATTCACTATTATTTCAATCTTGTCAATTACATTTTATAACTTCACTGTGTCTTTTTTATTAGCTTTAAAAAGGCCTACTTGTGTTTCTGTCAGTTTTTGACTTATTTTTCAGAAATATGATCTTAATGTGATCAGCACATTCTGCTTTTCCTTTTACCCAATGTAGTGTTCTATCAAGGAGATAGACTGCTAGCATTGATGCAATGCTTGTTCAGTTTTGTGCATGACTTGACAAGATTTCTATATTTATCATCCATGCTCAAACAGCAATCCTCGAGACTATGACAAATTAAAAGGAAAAAACGAGTGGATTCTAATGTTGTCAGCATCAATGTTTTAAAGTAAAATATGCCTGTGAGGAACTTACCCATGCAACTGTACTGGGGATGGCTAACTTGATCTGAGATGGCACCACCAAGGTTGCTATCATATTACTAGGATAATATTCATTGCTTGTGGCAGGTATTGTTGAAACTGATGGATGTGTTCAAGCCACCCTGTCAGATGCAGGTTCCTTTTCCCCTAATGTCTGCCATTTACATTTTCATCATTGTTACCATAAGTCCCTTCCTTGATTGCCTTTGTCCATTACCCTCATGGCCAACCCCAAGGTTTTACTCACAACTAATTAAAGAACTCCAGAGCTTTTTATCTCACTTTTTATAAGCTAAAAAAAATTCCATTGCACTCCTTTCTTAAATTGGGAATCTTTTCATGGAAAATATTACACTTCTTATGGTAAGTTTAAAAGAATTGAGAAATAACTTTTTAGTAACTTGGTGTTGAGATTTAAAACCTTGATGATTAGGAATAAGTGATATGCAAAAAAAAAGAAATAATTAGTATATGTTGTTTAATTTTTTAAGATATAAACATCATTTTATATCTCAGAATTTTGTTGCAACAATTTTAGAAAATGCTATATTTTTACATGAATAAAAATCAAGACTGGTAAGAACACTGTGAAAATTCAGGTGATTTACTTAGAATGGCCCTCTAAAATCAGGCTGTCTCATTGTTTGAAAGCCTGAGTTTTTCCTCATTGTCTCCATAGGGTGCTTTCTCATACTTCTATTCAGAGATCATTCATGTATAAAGAATACCAAATAACTTCAGAACTCATATTAACTTGCTGATGTGCAGGTAAAAAAAAATGAATGATAAGCCCTTGGTGCAAATCAAGTGGTTCTGAATTAAATAATATTTGCACCACAGTTATACAAAAAATACATATATAATAGCTAACGTAAATTATTTAAGCCATATCATGTGTCTAAATGGAGTTAGCAGCGTGAAGTTGGTGAGATGATGTATTTTATGGTTTAAATTATTAATCCAAAAGAGTATTCAGTGCTCAAGTAATCAATTGGATACTATTACTTATATTTCTTCCAAGAAACACACACACACACACACACACACAGCACACTACACACATTGAATCATCCAGAATCAGCAGTCTCAAAATATCTTTCTTCTGATATTTTGAAGGGCTGATCCTTTTTCTGCAAAATGACACTGCGATAATCTACTCCCATTTCTTTTTTCCTGGCTTTCTCTGATTCATGTGAGCTAGAAATGTGCTGCTCTTGCCACCATCATGCAGTTTCCCTGTGGTCTCAGCCCTCATTGGATTGCTGCTTAGTCAACTCCCTTCTCATTTTTTTTTTTTTTTTGCTAACCTCATTCTCATTTAATCAGGTGAATATCCCTTCTGTTCTCTACAAAATTGTTCTTTCAACAACTTTCTTGCCTTTGAATACAACAATACTATAATTAATGTATTTGCTTCCCACATCTTTGCCAATTTATAACTCTAATTTCTTCTCAAATTCAGGTGCCAATTTACCGTTTCCAATCATTCCTCCATTCTTAAAGCTTTACTGATTGACTTTGTTCCTCAAGCCAACAAGTTGTCCACACATTTGAGTTCGATGAGAAATATTTATATTTATATTTATTACTATTTGGAGCTGTACTAGCATTCTTCAGATATTTCAACTCTGTACTTCTGATCCAACTATACTGTAACTTATTTGAGGGGAAAGACCAGTTTTTCTATTATTTTCTGGTTCTTATAGCATTTATCACAAGTATTATACAAAAGATATTCTGCATGTCTACTGAATGAATGATGTGTTAAAATATCCAATGATGTATTTGTAAATATCCCATTTTTTTCAAAGCAGCACTTGAGATGGCACTCGTACTAAGTGGAATCCTAGGTGGGTATTTGGAAATATGTGTCTCTTTATACATATGTTGTTATATTTATTTTAACAGTGTATTATAATTAATTTTAGCAATATCCAGCCACTTTTGCATCAGAAATAATTAAGTCAAGAGGATAAAAAATAATCAATCAATGTCACCATAAGATTAAGACTAAAGATAATTGTGCAACTATTTATAGCTTAAGTTGTGTGGCCTGTTTTTTTTGTTTGTTTTTATTTTACTTTAAGTTCTGGGATACATGTGCAGAACATGAAGGTGTCTTACATAGGTATACATGTGCCATGGTGGTTTGCTGCACCTATCAACCCGTCATCTAGGTTTTAAGTCCCTGCATGGATTAGGTATTTGTCCTAATGCTCTCCCTCCCCTTGACCCTGCTACCTGACAGGCCCTGGTATGTGATGTTCCCTTCCCTGTGTCCATGTGTTCTCATTGTTCAACTCCTATTTATGAGTGAGAACATGCGATGTTTGGTTTTCTGATCCTGTGTTAGTTTGCTGAGAATGATGGTTTCCAGCTTCGTCCATGTCCCTGCAAAGGACATGAACTCATTCTTTTTTGTGGCTGCATAGTATTCCAGGGTATATGTGTGATGTGGCCTGTTTCAAAAGATCTTTTTTCTTCCCTTTAATCTTTCAAAGTTTTTTTCACTAACCGATTTGTTTCACTTAACATTAATTAAGTAATTACTTAAGCTCTCTGACTCTGGTTTCCTCAACTGTAAGATGTGTTAGGCAATGAGGATAATACATGAGTAAAACAGAGCACTGCCTTCAAGATGTTTATCTACTAAGGAATTCAAGATGAGGTGGGAATATGCATACTTTTTTTCATCTATAAATTCACTTTCTTGGTATTTATTTTAAGTAAATAATCCCTAATGCATGCAAATATTTTCATTTCATGGTTGCAAACATATTCACTTAAACTTCTTTTGAATGTTAGAATAGCAATCTTGACTATTCAGAGTAATAATTAAATGTTAACTGAGCAATAAATTGTAGAAGGAAAGATATTTCTTAGATTTAATGTCTTTTCTTGTATTCATTCTGAAAGACATTAAGCATTTTGATCCAACCCAATGGCTTCAATTTCCAGGCTCATACCAAAGTAATGCATACAATTTGCTCCAAGCTGCACAAAAGCCCATTTCATCCTCACCAAAGCTGTTAGCCTATGCTTAAGTTTGGAAGTTCGCCCTCTCATCATTTCTGTCTCTCATTTGCTTCTTATAATGAATATTATTTTTATGATAATAAAAATCTTACATTTAGAATAACAGGCCTGATGTTAGTAATTAAATTTAAAAATAAAATTTCCTCTTTATCAGTCATGACCAGGCATGATACAAAACACAATACCATTCCTCATGGTCAGCTACCACTATTGTAGCTGACTCATATTAATGCCATATGAACACTTAAAACTTTATGTCAGACCAAATTATCTGTTCACAAAATAGCAGAAGCATGACATGTATGTTTCATGTCTACCACCTAAGCAATTTGCTTGCTGCCACGTTTCACCTTATCTTGTTGGAGTTTAACTCAGTATTATTACTGCACTAATATAAGGCCCTAGGCTTACAGTAATTCAACACAGTGAATACTACACATATTTATTAGATAGCCTATATTTTCAAAATTGAAAACTAGAGGCCCTTAGGTATGCTACCTAAGTGTGTGAAAAAGGTACGCTACTTAGTGTGCAAAAACAATTGTTTGTACGTTATGTGGATAGGATGAGAAAATACAAGGAAACTTTCAGGTTTAGGGTAGGGATAGTTATTCTCAGCAAAGGCTTAGCTGAGTCTATAGTATACTCTTTGTTAGCCTAAGATAGGTACTCTTCCTATTCCAGGAAGAGTATTCTGAAATTCCACTCAACTTTAATTAACTGTGTCCTGTTTTAACATCATCGTAATTGAAAGAATATGTTTAGCTATTTGAGGCAAAAAGAAAAGAAAATGAAAAATGAAACAAAAGAATTGATTAAATATTTAAAATTTGTAAAGCCAAAAAAGAGCAAATTATATAAATGAACAATTAAATCAACAGGAATTTCAAATTTTAAAAAAGTAGAAAATATATTAAAACATATTTTGAAATACTCAAGTTCATTGGCAATCAGAAAAATGCAATTCAAAACAAAAACATAAAATGTGAATCTACAAATGTAAAACATTCAGTGCTAATAAAAGTGCAGAAAATCAGGGCCTCTCAATGACTAGAAGGAGCATAAACTAGTAAAATCTTCTGGAGAGTAATTTAGCAATATTCAATAATGGATTTGAAAATATAAAGACCTTCTGACCTGTAAGTTTTATTTATAATCATGTATAATGAGGAAATAATCATAGATTTGTAAACATATCTACTTAGCTTCAAATATATTTATCATGAGGCTATTTGTAGTAATGAAAAATGCCCAAAAATGGTTAAATGGTTTAATCAACAATGTAAATTTGTACAATGCCACATAGGCATTAATTATGTTGTAGGAGATTACATGGTTACATGATAGACTTCAAGATATATTGTGAAATAAAAAATACACGTTTTAGAGCTCTGACACTAAACATCTTAAAAGCTGACACTCTTATCCTTAAAACAAGAAAAAGCTGAGCTGGTGTCAATCAGAGAACTATGGTCACAGGTCATATTGGCAACTTGAAACCTGGAGACTTGGGAATGCTTAGTGAAATACAACAGTTGAGAACTGGAGTAGAAGTTAATGGAGCTATAAACTGGCAGGAACACTGAAATGGTAATGTTAATGAATTGGGGGAGGCAAAGTGTGAATTAGCTTGAGAATGAAAAACTCCTAGGGCTACCATTTTAGGAGACCTCACCACACTTTTGTGGAATTTCCCTCTAGGAATTCTACCAGGTTCTCATAGTTAGGATTTGAGAAAAATCCCTTGGTTTTGGGAAAATAGCCATTTTGAAATAGGCCTAGACCCTCTGTACAATCAATGCCTACTCTCCAAGGATTTTGCCAGAACTCAATTTTGAAACTTCACCTCAGCAGGCACAGAAAGTTTCTCCCAACTGGATCATCCTCAAGCATTCCTGTGTCACCTAAGCCTAAGTGGGGGTGGGGCGGGGAGTGGGAAACATAGTCATCAGGAGCCAAAGCTTTAAGGAAACAGATTGAGAATATTGTAGCCAGGGAAGGGTTAAAGGAAGTAGGGAATGGTCAAAAGCTACATGATTGGATTTGGAAAATTACAGTCCCAACACATCAACCCACTGAAAGACTACAATTTAATCAGATTATAGAACAGCACTCCTCTCCCCTGCCTTACCACCACACCAACCGGGCTTCAATATAATAATTGTATTATAGCGGAAGGATTTGCAAGACATAGACTCTTCCTAAGTAGTACTCAGGGGAGCCCAAAATCAAGAGGAAAGACAAAAACAAGGACTATAGAGGAATTTGAAGCCTGTGATACCTATAACTACATCAAACAATAAACACAGCCCAACTCCTAGCCAGATTAACAGAAATCCTCACACTACATGCCTATTACCCCATTTCCTATTACCCTAAGCAATGTGGTCAGCTTTCAACAAAAAATTACAAGACATGATAAAGGCAAGATAAAATACTGTAAAGATAAAATGCAGTTATCAAAACTAGAGTATATAAAACAGATGTTGAAATAACCAGAGAATTTAAAATAATTGATATGCTAATTGATAATTGATATGCTTTTTCTGATGGAAAAAGTAGATAATATGAAGAAAAAGATGAATAATTTAAGTACAGAGATGAAGACTCTCAGAATTAAAAGGAAATGCAGAAATCAAAACACAATAACAGGAATGAATAATGCTCTCAATTGGCTCATCAGTAGACTGGACATGTAACTGAGAATTTTAGCTTTGAAATGTATTTTAAAATGCATTTTTCTCCTTTCTCTTTAGTCTTAAGATGCAACTTTGAAACAAACTTGCTTTGTTTCAAACAAAAACCTTGTTTTCCCTTATCCTTACAATATAGCCTTAAAACATATTTTGAAACTCTGTCCCTTTCCCACCAAACACCTCTCTGCACCGTGCACACTCATCTAACTGCGGCTTGTTAAGAAATTCCAGGTTAAGTTTAAACACACCTGGTGTAGAAACCCAGCTAGTTCTCCTTCACCTAGAATTTACCTCAGTACGGATAATCTACAGCCTGGCTGCAATTGACATAGCACCAGCCAGCACTCCAGGTGGACAATAACTCAAAATGACTATCAGAGCAAGACACACAGACCTGCACCCTGCCTCACTCCTACGTATTTCCTATACCAAGGTTCCCCTTTTTAAATCCCTGCCTTCAGCTCAAAACTGGAAATGGTTTATTTGAGGAGTGAGCCTGGCCATCTCTCACCTGCTAGAATTTGATTAATAAAGCTGATTTCTTTTCACCACATCTCATGTATTGTGTTTTGGCTTCCAAGCAGCAAGCAGCGTGACTTGCATTCGGTTACACTATGGCCTCTTGCACTTGGTTTGAGTTTCTGCGAAAAAGAAATAAGGGGCCGGGCACAGTGGCGCACGCATGTAATCCCAGCACTTTGGGAGGCCTAGGCGGGCAGATCACCAGGTCAGGAGATCGAGACCATCCTGGCTAACACGGTGAAACCCCGCCTCTACTAAGAATATAAAAAATTAGCCAGGCGTGGTGGTGGGCGCCTGTAGTCCCAGCTACTCAGGAGGCTGAGGCAGGAGAATGGCCTGAACCCGGGAGGCGGAGCTTTCAGTGAGCCGAGATCGCGCCACTGCACTCCAGCCTGGGTGACAGAGCGAGACTCCGTCTCAAAAAAAAAAAAAAAAAAGAAAAGAAAAGAAAAGAAATAAAGGGTGAGAAGATGTTGCAATTGTTCATTTTATAAAAATATACACGTGCATAGGTATTTTAGGGGCTCATATTACTAAATGCAGCATGAGCTGGAATAGAGGCTTCCAGTCATGGAGTGATAATCCAGTTATGGCTAAGAATTAGAAACATGACAAATACTTGGAGACTGCATACCTTAATATAAGTGCAAAAGCTATTTCAAATGACTCAGTTTGTCACAAGTGGGAACATGTGGCACGTGGAACAGTAGGGGAATAGCAGGTTTGCTGTGGAACTTCAACAGTAAGAGCATCAGCTCTAGAGTCAGCCTGTCAGGAATCTAAACTTGGCTTTGCCACGTAATGGCTATAAAATCTTGAGCTGCACTGTGCTTCAGTTTCCTCACCTGTCAAATGAGAGAGCTAATAGTACCTGTGGTATATGGTACCATATATTATACCATATATGGTACCAATATTAAAAAGATATTCATGAAAATAACCCATAACAAGCATACATCATAATGCTTCACACATAAGTGATCAATAAATAATCATTCCTCATTTCCATCATTTATTGAGTACTTATGTGTGAAGTATTATGATCATTTACTGTGTACTTATGTGTGAAGCATTATGATATATGCTTGTTATGGGTTATTTTCATTTACAGAGACTGTACCTGACAAAATACATAAGTGCATATGTAAGTGCTAGCCCTTTTAGGGCATCATAAAATAGCTGAAGGATACTTAAAAAATGAGACTGAGCTCCTGCTTTCTTGTAATCAAGGACTGAGAAGCCAGTAGATATCTGAGTTACCTTTAAAAAAAGTCAGCAGGGGAAATTCATTAAACACAAATAACTCAAGGTTGAACAATTCAAGAAACTGGCCCAAATTTTTAGTACCAAAGTATTGTGAAATTCTAATGCTTTCACTTTTTCTTTCCTATAATGTTTATTCTTCAAAATACAATGGAGGAAGAATGAGGATTTGCTCTGAATCTGGATGATATAAGAAGACAGAGCACCAGGATAAAAGTCAGGAAATATGGATGCCAGTCTCCATTCCAAGGTCCTCCTGGGGGTAAGTCATTTTACATCTCTGAGCCTCAGTTACTTTAGCTTAAAAATAAAAATATTCTGATACTTATTATTCTATAATGGAAAGCATTATGCTATGAACATCTCTGGTCTGGCTGTCAGGAGTAGATCTGAATCCTAGCTTTATACTTTCAGGCTATGTGATCTTGAGGTCACTTCACATTTTGGTCATTTCTTTCCATAGATGCACTTTACTTCTCTGATGGTTCACTGTCATAGTGCTAAGGAATGTCAGAAATTTAATGTCTTTAGATTATTATTTAACATGCTACATTAAGACAAATTAAAATGTAATATACAAAGAGGAAATCAAAGGTCATTTTGCAGATTATCTTTGGTTTCACTGAATTTCCCATATTGGATAAATCTCCTTTAATGCATTTAGTTCCATTCCTACATTAAAGATGAAAAAGATTTTGAGTTAAATATGACCTTTGAAACTGTGCTAACCCTGGCTATTTTGTATTTATACTAGAAAAACCAACCTAAGAAGATATGTTTAGGAAGTTGAGATAATTGTATTCTTTTTCATCTCAGCTCTGCCTAATATGATCAAATTTATCTTTTCAAGACCCATTTATTTTATGTAATCTAAATTAGTTCTTCCAAAGTACTAAGTTACTAATTTGAAATAGATGAACAGGATTTTGATTGAAGGCTTAGAAAAATTTACATATCATACATTCTTTATTCCTATAGCTCAAACAGTCTTACTCATTTTATGTATCAATATCATAATATAGTTAGAAAGAGAAATAGTCTCACAAAATCTAGCACTGGCATCAAAACAAAACATTTTTTAAAAGTCAATTTTCAGTAAATACTTATATACCATCCTAATAGTTGGAGGCTTCTTGAACTAGTCAGACTACTGTCAAAACCTTTAAATTAGCAAAGGATTCTCACCAGCTTTTCCTGTGTTCACTAAAGTCAAGACTCTAACATATCTGATGATCAAATGATCAGGACTATCCTCTGATAAATAGAAAATGTGATAGAAGCTTTTACAAAACATAGTGTATTTTATATGAGAACTGTTGCTGAAATCACAAAGTTACTTTAACTACCCCAGTGGTGGTGAGTTTCCGCTGGGTGTGAAAATTAACTACGTTTTTAAAGTGATGAAACTTCTGAGCTTATGATGACTTCTCTTTCAAAAGTATATCCTCCAAATTCTGAGGCTTATGTAGCCTTACTTCCTCAGTCTTTTAATCATCTTTCTGTCCCACAATTCTCTTATTTACTCTTTTTCTACTGTAGAAACAGCAGGTCCATATTTCTGACTGTGCAGGAATTGGAGGCCCACACCAAGCAGTGTGACATACTTGAATGACAAAATAATGGAGTGATCCCAGGGACTCAGGAGTCATGGCAGAGGAATTTATTGCTTAGCAACCCAGACAAATGTCAAGAGTCTTACCAAATGCAGATGGTGAGTAGGACTGTTGAAAATCAAAATTGCTTTGCTATAATTCTTTTAAATTGGTTTCAACAAAAATATTAATTAATTCACCCATTTATTTGTTTGATTGATTGACATAACAGCTTTCTGGCCAATCACTAAGTGGCAATTACAGTCAGCTGGTCACACTAAAGGGACATAGAAATATAAAACTCAGGAGAAATATAAAACTTCTACTGGAGAATAATCATCTGCTATTCTGAATTGACATTCAGATGCATTTCTATCATCATTTTTTTTCTCAGAGAGGAAAGTGACACATGATGGCATAGTTTTGAAAGTAAAATAAAAATAATGATATAAAACTAAAAAAACTAGATTAATGAACTGCATATATCTAGTCCAGGCACCATATTTAAAATTTTGGCTTTGGGGCCTTTATTTGAAGGAAATGTGAGTAACTGATCATGTTCTCATTAGCACTAGGTAGAGTTTCACGAGCACTTGAATTAATTTCAAATATGCTGTAAGGAGCCAAATAGAAACTATACAGTATGTATTTAAATTGGAAGAAGTACTCAGCTTATGTCATAATAAAAATCACTCCTGCTACCATAAGGAGTTACTACCATGATGACATATTTATCAGTTTCTACACAGTAAGTACCTACCATAAAAACTAAAAAGAAGAGTTTATTGTTGGTGTTTTTAATATAATACCTGAAAATGAAATAATATGAAGGTGATATCCCTTTTCTAATCATAAATACGGGTATGTTGTTCCTAGCTAGCACGATACCAACATTCAAAAAATATTAGAAAACTTTTTGAGTAGTCATTCATATGGTCCAGACTAGCAATAAAGGGAGACATTTTATCCCATAAACTAGCTTGATCCCAACTAACCAGACCATTCAATTTACCAACATGATTTTAAAACAAAAATTATACACAGTATATTTAGAGAAAGAAACAAATGAAAATAAAATAAGACCAGGTTTTTAGAATTTTTTCTTCTTTTTAATTCCGTTGTCTAATTTAATCAAATTTTTAATTTCTTCTTGAGTCAGTTTCAGTAATTTGGATGTCTTTCTAGGAATGTATTCATTTCATCTAGTTTATCTACTTGGCTGATATACAATTGTTCCAGTATTCCTTAATCTTTCTTACTTCAATGAGGTCATTGTAACATTTCTTCTCTCATTCTTGACTTCGCTTTTTTTCTCTCTCTCTTTTTCTGCCTCCCTCTGTCTCTCGCTTTTTCTTGGTCATTCTACCTAAAGGTTTGTCAATTTTATTGATCTCTTTAAATAACTGGATTTTGATTTTGTTGGCTTTCTATATTGTTCTATTATTTATTTCCTGTATTCCTACTGTAGTCTTCAATTTTTAATATTTGCTTTGTTTCAGGGTTAATTTTCTCTTATTTTTAGTGTTTGAAGGTGGAAATTTAAGTTGTTGAATTGACATCTTTATTTTCATTGGACTACTCATAGCTACAAATTTCCTTAGCACTTTTTTCTGCTTTCCATAAGCCTTAGTATGTTGTGTTTTTATTTACAGCAAAGTGTTTTAAAATTTCCCTGTGATTTCTTCTTTGCTGTACTGATTATTTAGGAGTGTGTCATTTAATTTCCACATATATGTGAATTTCTCATACTTCCTTCATCATTGAGTTCTAATTTTATTCCACTGTGGTCAGAGAACATACTTTGTGTTATTTTCATCCTTTGACATTTACTTAGACTTGTCTTACAGACTAAATATGGTCTATCATGGACAGCATTTTATGGACTTGAAAAGAATGTGTATTCTTCTGTTGGATGGAACCTTCTATTAGATAACTATTAAATGTAGTTAGTTTACAGTGTTGTTCAAGTCTCCTATTTCTGTCTAGTTACTTTATATAATATCAAAAGTGAGGTATTGAAGTCTCCAACTATTATTGTTGAATTGTTCATTTCCCCTTTAGCTCTGTCAGTTTTGCTTCCTATATTTTGGACTTTGATACTAGGTGCAAGACATAATTATTATATCTTCTCAATGCCATCTCAGGCAGTCAAAATATGTAACAGTTTTCTCTGATTGTTTTTGACAGATGCTCTGTGGAAGAGACCTGCTTCAAGTCAGGTCAAGTAAAAACAACCTTGCCAGCAAGATCCATCAGTGAGGTAACATAGTGATAATTAGGAATGGGTATCTGGAGGAACTCTAACTCCATTGTACCCTGCTAACAGCTGCCAAATTGCTGTTTCCACTGTGATTGTGGGCTGTTTGCTTTTAAGACTCCCATAGAACTGGGCAATAGGGTATGGAAATAAGAAAAGTTAAACTGCTATAAAGCTTACTCTTCTTACTTAGATTCAGCTGTTTTTACAGATTTTGGCAAGGCTTTGGTTAACTTCCAGAGTTCTAAAAAAGATTCTGAAAATTTTTGCCACTCTTATCACTTTTATGTGGGAAGAATATTTGGAGGTCCTTTCCATTTTTACTGACATAATCTTTTTATTGAGTTTAGTATATTTTGCAATGTTTTAATGCATGGCCTCAAATTACACAAACTTCAGCCCACTTTATTGCTGGATCTATTCTGATCTATAGCTGAACACTAAGAACAATAATGATTTTTCACAACAGCTAATATTATTGAGTTTTTTGTATGTAACATGCATACGGGTAAATTGTCTATATGCAATGGTTCTTTTAAAACAGCAGTCTAATAGGTTAAAGTATTCCTCAGTCTCTCTTTTTACAAATATAGAAACAAATACCTAGGTAGCTTCTCCATCACCACAGAGTTAATGGTAGCCAGGAACTAAACCCAAGAAAGCCTTTACTCTCATGTGCATATTCTTATGCATGCACTCTAAAAACTAAAATTTGAAGCTGCGTAATAATGTCAATAAAGATTTGGCTTCTCTATATAGGATGCTTCATCAAAGAGTCACATAAAGGTGGAGGAAATATTTACTTTTAATTTAGAAGTTGGTTTGGATAGCTACTCTCAGAAATATCTATTTTGAAAGATTTCTAGGAATACCTTTAAGAAAACAATGTCTCGGCAGGACAGTTAGAACAATGGGTTAGGGCATTCCTGGTTACTAAGACAGTGTGTAACATCACTTTGTCTATGAATGCAACAGTATTTGGAAGTAGCTACAAAAGAAGGAAAATATAACCCCCATTTTGTAGGTTGCTAATTGTTTGCTTTTAGATTTTTAATTTGATTCTTTACTGTTGTTAAATGTTTTGGCTTTAAAATTAGGGTGAGCCCATATACACCATGGAATACTATGCAGCCACAAAAAGGATGAGTTCATGTCCTTTGCAGGGACATAGATGAAGCTGGAAAACATCATTCTCAGCAAACTAACACAGGAACAGAAAACCAAACACCACATGTTCTCACTCATAAGTGGGAGTTGAACAATGAGAGCACATGGACACAGGGAGGGAAACATCATACACTGGGGCCTATCGTGGGGTGGATAGCATTAGGAGAAATACCTAATGTAGATGACAAGTTGATGGGTGCAGGAACCCACCATGGCACGTGCATACCTATGTAACAAACCTACACGTTCTACACATGTATCCCAGAACTTAAAGTATAATAGTAATAAAAAAAATTAGAGTGAGCCTTATTTCTTATTTTCCACTTTCCTATTATTTTATGTACTTGAAACCTCCTATTCCCCTTCTGTTGCCATTTTGAACATCCATTTAAATTATGAAATATTTATAAATTATGAGATATTGATATACTTTTGGTCTAAATTAAAGATGTCAGAAGACTTTCATCATTAATTCTACAAAATTCTGATGTGAATTTCATCTCAACTTAGCCCTTAGAGTCTCAGTTAAATAAATATTAACTGATATTATTTCAATTTGACTTCATAAGTAATTTTAATCATTTCATGTAAGTATCTTCAGAATTCTATTTTGATTTTTTAATGACTTTCCATATGATTCCTTTGAGTAGAAAGCTCTTTTAACTATTGCTTATCCAAATTACCCAACCTTTAAATTTCAGTATAAAAGTTGATTCTCCTATGATACATTCCTGACTTTCCACCTTCTGTACATCACTGGACTTTGTTTGCCCCTTTGTAACTGCATTTATCACACTGGTTTATAATTGTTTATTTACCTGTCATATGTCAAACCAGACAAAAATTTCTTTGAGAGAAAGGGCTGAGCTCCATTCAACACATATATACAGGATCTGATGAATATGAAAAGCATCATAAATATTTTAGAATTAATAAAAGTAAAATTAATTTAAAAACTCATTAATTTGAAATAACAGGGTTGTTGGCTAGTCTGACTCTGTGAAAATTCTGAATTATATAAGATTTTATAAAACAGCAACTATATTTAAGGAAATAGTTTCTGTTACTTTCAAACATGGAATATATCATAAGATAAAAGGCTAATTCACCAGTGATATCTGGTCAAATTAATTTCCAATAAGTTACAGTTCATATACTTTAAAAACTACCAGGTCATTAATGCAATAGTTTTTTTTTATATACAAAAAAAAGGTCATTGATTCCTAATGGTAGATACACAAAATAGGACCTTAATTTCCAAGTCAGGCAACCTACAGAATGGGAGAAAATTTTTGCAATCTACTCATCTGACAAAGGGCTAATATCCAGAATCTACAATGAACTCAAACAAATTTACAGGGAAAAAACAAACAACCCCATCAAAAAGTGGGCGAAAGATAGGAACAGACACTTCTCAAAAGAAGACATTTATGCAGCCAAAAGACACATGAAAAAATGCTCATCATCACTGGCCATCAGAGAAGTGCAAATCAAAACCACAATGAGATACCATCTCGCACCAGTTAGAATGGCAATCATTAAAAAGTCAGGAAACAACAGGTGCTGGAGAGGATATGGAGAAATAGGAACACTTTTACACTGTTGGTGGGACTGTAAACTAGTTCAACCATTGTGGAAGTCAGTATGGCGATTCCTCAGGGATCTAGAACTAAAAATACCATTTGACCCAGCCATCCCATTACTGGGTATATACCCAAAGGATTATAAAACATGCTGCTATAAAGACACATGCACATGTATGTTTATTGCAGCACTATTCACAATAGCAAAGACTTGGAACCAACCCAAATGTCCAATAATGATAGACTGGATTAAGAAAATGTGGCACATATACACCATGGAATACTACACAGCCATAAAAAATGATGAGTTCATGTCCTTTGTAGGGACATGGATGAAGCTGGAAACCATCATTCTCAGCAAACTATCGCAAGAACAAAAAGCCAAACACCACATGTTGTCACTCATAGGTGGGAATTGAACAATGAGAACACATGGACACAGGAAGGGGAACATCACACACCGGGGCCTGTTGTGGGGTGGGGGGAGGGGGGAGGGTTAACATTAGGAGATATATCTAATGTAAATGCCAAGTTAATGGGTGCAGCACCCCAACATGGCACATGTATACATATGTAACAAACCTGCATGTTGTGCACATGTACCCTAAAACTTAAAGTATAATAAAAAAAATTGTTTTAAAAGTTTGCAAAAAATATGGCAAAGGATTTATATACTTAATATAGAAAGAATTTTTATAAACAAAAATAAGTGTAATGGCAAATATAAGCTAATGATAAAAATAGGCAATTCATATAAAATATATACATAAAAATTTTAACCAACTAGTAATTACAGATAGGCAAATTTTTAAAAATAAGACTTTTTGCCAATCAAATTGACAAAGTGTACTTTGTTTTCTAAATAATACTCCACACTGGGGAATGTGGTGTGAGAAGAGAGTCCTTATCATTGCTAGTGGGAGTATCAATTATTACATTTCTGGAAAACAAACAAACAAAAAAAAGAAGCTATTCATTTTAATTGCATTCTAAAGCCATAATAGTAAGGAAGCAATTATTAAATATTTTTATTCAAGATATGTTATTAATTTTTGCAAAAAAGAACAGAAATATCTCAACAGAAATTTTTCATATAAAAGGAATTTTATTACAGTTACTTTCCATTATTCCATATGGCCTCATGTACTCTGTATGCTGTGTATTTATAAAATGAGAGAAAAGCAAAAGGTTAGTTGTAAACACATTTGACTCCATAAATGATTTTTTACATTTTTTTGGTGTCAGCTGCAATTGTGTTTGAAGTGTCTATTTTAAAATCAGTTCCAGTATGGGATTAAAGAAAAAAAACAAAGTAATGTGTGAAATAATTTATTTCTATTACTAATTTGAGGCTTGTCAGGTCACTGGCAAAGTTGCCCAAGCATTTGAAGAGCTTTAACCTAACAAGTAAAATTACATTGTTCTGAAATAAACTGTCATCTGATATGATGTTAACTTGCACCTTTGGGGTGTCTGGATATTGCTATTCAGGTCACTGAGAGAAGAGGAAACATACACAAAGCTGCATGAAAAAGATAATTCACCTTATGTAAGTGAATATTTTATAGATTTTGTAGATAAAATAGATTTTTCATCTTTTCACTAAATAATAGTTACTATATCTTCCTTACATATTTTTTCAGTAGCGTGGTTCTCAGCCCATGAAAAAATACATGGTATTATCTCATTCTATTTATAGAATATAAATATATTCTATAAATATATTTTGAACATATTTATAGTATATGTTCAAAATAACCCATCAGAATACCTCTGGGCATATGTAAAAAGGAAAAACTCAAAATCACTTATGAAAAGGGAGAAAAAGCTTAGATATTTTTTCTTTCTTGGGAATAGTGGAAGCTTAATTAATATATTTTTGAAATTATGTAACATCATATACCATCCAATCTGGTTTTCTTAGTACCTAGTGTGCTAAGGGAATTTAGGATATTTTTGTACTATGTATTTGTCTTCTGTCCATATTTATTACATTCTTATAGCATTTATATTTTAACTTAAAATTATAGTTTTTATATTTTTACACATGCACATAAGCTGTTGCAATAGGCATATTTTAATGAGTGCAATGAATAAATAAAATGTGATTTTTACTTCTGCTGCCTCTACTGATCTTATTTTCTGCAATCACAACTGTTTTTTATTACTAATATTAATAATAATAATTGCTTTTTCCTTCCCTCCAAAAATGCAATAATAATGTGAGTGCTGTATCACATTTTTAAAAATCCAGAAACATAGTTGAAATAAGTAAGCAGTTTACATATAATTTTGATGAACATTTCCTCAAAGTCTAAAAGCTCTTTGGAAATAATGATGAGCTATGTGTCATTTAGAAACAGTCATTGTCAATTTTTCTATATCCTCCAGAATCTTTGAATATAAACTGAATCCTTTTCTTGTTCTTTGTTATGAAGGCATAGATTTTATCTACACACAAAAGGAATAGGGCAATAGCACACTATATTTGTAACTTATTGCACATTATTAAACTCTGCTCAAATCCCGCCTTTTTCATATGATCTTTCCATTTAACATGTCATTATTAATTTATATAACTTTCGTAATAGTTTAACCTGTATATGCCTCTCTCTCTCTCTCTGTATATATACACACATGTATATAATATATTTATAATTTCTGTAGTTTTCATTAGAACTTAGGACTAAGGGCATGAGGAGTCTTTCACATTTCTAATATTGATGTCATTCTTAACATAGCCCCTATGAATTTGTCTTATTAATGTATTTATGAATTCTTAATATAGAAAAATAGCTTCTTTCCAGATTCCTTTCCAACATTTTTAAGACTTCATTTATTTGCTTTTGTTCATCTTTGCCTCACCTAGCAGGCAGAGACAATACCTAATGCAGAAGGTCCCTAATTTATGATGGTTTAACTTACTACTTTTAGACTTTACAATGGTGCAGAAACAACACATATTTAATAGAAACCGTACCTCAACTACCCATATGACCCTTTTGTTTTTCACTTTCAGTACAGTATTTAATAAATTTTGTGAGTTACTCAACACTTGATTATAAAATAGGCTTTGTGTTAGATGATTTTGCCCAATTGTAGACTAATGTATGTGTTCTAAACATGTTTAAGGTAGGCTAGGCTAAACAATGACGTTTGGTAGATTAGGTGTGTTAAACAGATTTTCAACTTATGAAATTTTTAATTTACAATGGGTTTATCTGAATGTAACTCCCATTATAAGTTGAGGAGGTACAATTATGAAATGCTAACCCTACCTGGGGGCTGCTTAACATGAGCTCTCTGCATGGAGATATTTATCTACTCAGTAGGGGAGTTTCCATAAGCAGAGCAGCTTCACTTCTGTAAATGAGGAATTCTGCCATTTGGGTGGACGGGAGCAATGAGCAGTGAAAAAATGAAAATGGTTGGTGGCAAACATTGGATGCCACTGGTAAAGAAGCCCTGAGATAAATACTTAATTTCCTTCCGCTGGACAACAGCTAGACAATGGCCTGTAAAGAAGGGAGAAATTGTGACAACTGATTCTCTCCAGTGTCAGTCAAAATTTTGCAGTCACTCTCAAAACCATGAGTGTGCAAAATAATATTTATCAGCTTCATATTCTAAACCATATAAAATAAATTAACTCTCTCCTCCCTTATAATGTAAATGCTTCTGCAATGTAAACAGCAGTTTACATATCATATGAATAAAAAATAATCTTAGTAAAGCTCCACAGCACAATATTTAATACAGATGGTTCCCAAGTTACAATGATTTAACACAATTTTTAGACCCCATCCTAATTTTTTAATGTTAGCTGTTCTCTTCTCTTAATTTCCAGTTTTTAAAATGTTAATTATTCATCAACATTTGTGAATCCTATAATCTAATATGTGTATAGAAAGAAACACAAAATTGGAGAGAATTGATTTATGGCAAAGACCAGAGAAGGTCTCAGAGGCCAGCCATAGGTACAGCAAATAGCAGCTTTGAGGCTTCACATTGCAAAAGTTTGTTGCAAGTCAATACATAAAGTGTCTACGCACAGACACACAGAACATTGGCATTCAAACATCTACTCCTAGACAAGATGAGATCTGAGGTGTATTTTCTGAACTATTTAAACTGAAGATGGTCCTAGTAAAAATGTGGCCTCGGGCTGATTATAGGAATTAATTGATGGTGTCAAAAGACAAAACTAAAATAAATTTAGTTTAAAAATCGAATTGTCTTTTATTAGCAATTCTAAAATCAGTCAACTTCTCATTCTATGAAATAGAATGGGTTTTCCACTGGACATTATAGAATGGTTGGTTTTTTTAAGGAAACCTCAATTTTTTAAAGTGGGGTTGGTTAACAGGTCACTGTTGGTCACTTTCTTTGTAAGGGTTAAAATGGAGCTGGTTTTCTTATTATGCTGACTTAAGTAGAATAAGTTCTTTCTGATTGTTTGGTGTCAACGTCCTGCTTTCAGGAAAAACTGAAAGGTCTGTTTTGGGACCTCCTTCCACTTAGCATTAGTGACTCCACTTTGGTTTGCTCTGGTCTGCTGGGACCAAGTGCAGGAGGCTAGTCCAAAACAATGACTTCCCATAAACTGTCTTTCATAATAGCCAATAAGATGGTCAAATGCTCAGACTTCCTTGGCCATCTCACAAGTGGAATTCTAGTAGCCAGTCATTAGCACTTAGCCAGAGCTCAAACATATCTCTGTTGGAGAAATTCAATAGGAACAGGGAAAAGATCTCCATACATCTGCTTCTGCCTACCCAAATGGAAACTTACTTGTCACAAGCATCATTTGGGTACCTGATCTCTTTTTTAGTGTCTCACATCTAAATTTAAGAAAGACAAAGAATTACCTCTATTTGAAGAGAGCTTTTAACTCAAGAAATAGCCTAAATTAATAAAAGAACCAATGAAAGTAATGGAGGGCAACAAAAGAAAACTCTTGTTAGTATCTTCAGAGGGGGATGATGAGGAAGACATTCCATCCACAAAATAAGAACAAGTTGCTATGTGTATTAGCCTTCTATTGCTGTGTAATAAATTACCTCAAACTTGTGGCTTAGTACAACATACATTTGTTATCCCACAATATTTCTGCTCGGGTCTCACAGCACTGCAGTCAGGTGTGGTCTTCTGAGTAATAGGAATGAAATAAAAATAGTTCTTTCTGATTATCAGCCTTCTGTTATTATTTGATTTATTATAATAATGTGCTTGTGGTTTTAAATTTTAAACTTGTTAACCATATAGAAGCATCTCCTACTATAGCTGTTTTGGGGACATAATTGAATATAATTCAGATATAGGCATACATTGGTGATACTGTATGTTCAGCTCCAGACCACCACAATAAGGCAAGTATTGAAACAAAGCAACTCACACATTTTTTAGCTTCCTAGTGCATATAAAAGTTATGTTTACACTACACTGTAGTCTATTAAGTATGCAATAACATTATATCTAAAAAGCAATGCATTTACCTTAATTAAAAATTATCTTATTACTAAAAAATGCTAATAATCATCTGAGCCTTCAGAGAGTTGTAATCTTTTTGCTGGTGAAGGGTCTTGTCTTGATGTTGATGGCTGCTGACTGATCAGAATGGTCGTTGCTGAAGGCTGTAGTGGCTGCGGAAATTTTTAAAAAGAAGACAAGATGAAGTTTTCAGTATCAACTGTCTCTTCCTTTAATAAAAGATTTATCTATAGAATGTGATGTTCTTTGATAGCATTTTACCCACAGCAGAACTTCTTTCAAAAATCAAGTCAATCCTGTCACTGCTTTATCAACTAAGTTTATGTAATATTCTGCATCTTTTGTTGTAATTTCTAAAATGTTCACAGCATATTTACCAGAAGTAGATTCCATCTCAACAAACAACTTTCTTTGCCCATTTATTAAAAAAGATCCTCACAAAAATCCTCATGCATTTACGTTTATCATGAAAAAGTTTGCAGCAATTCAGTCACATCTTCAGTCTCTACTTCTAATTCTAGTTATCTTGCTATTTCCACCATATCTGCAGTGACTTCTTCCCCCTTGAACCCCGAAATTCATCCATGAGGGTTGGAATCAACTTCTTCCAAACTCCTGTTACTGTTCACATTTTGACCTTCTCCAATGAATTAAAAATGTATTTAATAGCATCTAGAATGGTGAATTCTTTCTAGGAGATTTTCAATTGACTTCGCCCACATCCATCAGAGGAATCACTATCTGTGGCAGCTATAGTCTTACATAATGTATTTTGTATGTAATAAAACTAGAATATCAAAATTGCCCCTTGACCCATGAGCTACAGAATGGATGTTGTGTTAAAAGGCATAGAAAAAAAACATTAATTTCCTTGTACATTTCTACCACAGCTCTTGGGTGACCAGGTACATTGTCAATGAAAAGTAATATTTTGAAAGAAATCTTTTCTTCTGAGCAGCAGGTCTCAACAGTGGGCTTAAAATATCCAGTAACTCATGCTGTAAACAAATGCACTGTCATCCAGGTTGTTGTTCCATTGTTAGAGGAACACAGGCAGAAGAAATGTAGCATAATTCTTAAGGGTCCTAGAATTTTCAGGATGGTAAATTAAAACTGTCTTCAGTTAAAATCACCAATGGCATTAGTCCCTAACAATAGAGTAAACCTGTCCTCGAAAACTTTGAAGCCAGGCATTGACTTCTCTCTAGCTAGATGGCATCTTCTTTCAATAGAAGGTTTTTTCAAAAAAATCTACCGTGAATATCTGTTGTTTAATGTAGTCATCTTCATCCATTATCTTAGCTAGATCTTCAGATAACTTGCTGCAGTTTCTCCATGTGCACTTGCTGCTTCACCTTGCTATTTTATCTTATAAAGACAGCTTCTTTTCTTAAACTTCATGAACCAACCCCTGCTAGCTCCAAACTTTGTCTGCAACTTCCTCACCTCTCTCAGCCTTCATAGAATTGAAAATAGCTAGGACCTGGCTCTGGATTATACTCTGGCTTAAGGGAATATTGTGGCTGGTTTGATTTTCTATTCAGATCCCACAAACTTTATCCATATTAGCAATAAGGCTGTTTCACTCTCTTATCATTCTTGTGTTCATTCAAGTAGCATTTTTAATTTCCTTCAAGAACTTTTGCTTTGCATTCACAACTTCGCTGTCTTGTACAAGAGGCCTAGCTTTCAGCCTGTCTCACCTTTCAACATGCCCACTTCACTAAGTGTAATCATTTTTACCTTTTAATTTAAAGTGAGAGGCATGCGACTCTCTCTTTCACTTGAACACTTAGAGGCCAGTGTAGGGTTAATAATTAGCTTAACTCTAATGTTGCTGTGTCTCAGGAAATAGGAACATTCAGGCATGACCAGTCAGTTGGTGGAGCAGCAGTCAGAACACACACAACATTTACCAATGAAGTTCATAATCTTATATGGACACAGTTTGTGTATTACATGCCTCTTAAAGAAGATACAAACACTAAAGGGACCCACACATGACAATCAAGAAAAGAGGAGGCAAACACCAGCAGACTGGTCATTCCTTCACTCTTTCCATGCTCTACTTCAGAAGCCTCCCACGTCCCTCAGGGTATTTCAGAAGACCTGTTCTGGGAGTTACTGTTACTGCCTTTAGAGAGCTGCCAGACTTGAGGTATCCCTTAGGATCATTTTATCTTCTCAAAAAAGCCAATCCAGGAGTTAAAGAGGAGGTGAAATGGGAAGTAGTCTCTAGTAATGGAAATAAAAGATGAGGACTTCAGCAGAAAGGAAAAGTAGTTCACCCCTTCTCCAGCAAAATCATGAGGGTTTGGGATGGTCATAAAAGCATCCTAGCATCATGCAGGCAGCCAAACTGCGAGCACTTAGTGATTCCAAAATGGATCCCAGAAGGACAATTCCATTTATCACATAAGAACTTAGGGAGGCAGAACATTTAGAAAATCTGTCCAGGAAGCTCTCCCACACCTTCAGGCTCTGTAAACTAGTTTCTAGATACAAAATACATATATATCCAAAATTTGGCAAAATGGGAAGAGTGGGCTTGCCAATTTCATAAAGAAGAAATGAATTAATGTTGTTTTAATTAAATCTATTTAATATAACTCTGGCAATAATTCCTGTCCAGTATCTCAGCTATTTCCAAGAGTGCTGAGAAAAGTGAAATATGCCAACACAGCCATATTCTACGAGCTGATTACTTGAAAAATAGTTGCATATAACAAATACAAATTGCAGTAATACAAACGCTCTCTCTCTCTCTCTCTATATATATATATATACACACACACACAAAGAAAAAAGCTTTAACTTCCTTTTTGACAGCCATTTACTGTGTAGCTAAGAAGTTTCAGGCCTACACCTGATACCAAGCATAATGTCTGACCTTAAGAAGTTAGCTAGTGAAGAAGACAGAATCATAAATTAAACACTGCATTCAGATGAGGCACAAAGGTGGGCGGCACTTGGCTAGGGCAGCTGAAGAGAACTTCTCTTTTATGGTAAGAACATGAGAGTCATCCTTGTGGAAGTGGCCTTGAGATGAAGGTGAAATGAAAGTTAGCTTGATTCCAAAATCAGGTGAAAGACAGCAGAGTGGATAACTGTCAGGATGCTGTTTAGTGAGCACAACAAAAGTCAGCTGGCATAGAGCACAGAACTAGCGTAGCTTAAAAGAACAGAATTTTGTTTTGCTTTGTTTTCTTCTTACATAATAAACTCTCCTTAGGTAGAAAGCTTGACGCTAACACAGCTGTAAAAGGAGTTGATGGAGGACACAGTCTCCTTTTAGCTTCCTGCTCCACCAATCTTAGCATGCAGTTTGCTCTCTTGGCTGTTAAACCTCCAAGCATCATTACCCATTTCAGACAGAAAGAAGCAGGGAAAGGTGAAGAAGAGAAAAGAAACATGGCCCTCCATCTTTCTGTTTTTACTAGAAGAATAATAGTTTTTCCAGATGTCTTACCCAGTAGATTGTGGGTATTTTATCATGGGCCAAAGCTTGATTTCATGGCCATCTTTAAAGGCAAGGAAATCCAGGGACATGAGTATTTCTAACTTGGCATATTGCCTCCCCCACCAAAATGGGGTTTTCCCAGTGAGAAGGAGAAAGCAGATACTGTATTGGAAACTACCACCAGGAGTGCCACTTCAGAGAAGATAGAGTAGATTATTGTTTCTTATACTTCCCACTAACTGCAACTAAAACGTTTGGAGAGTATGTGTAAAACAAACATAAGATTGCAAAAGGTAAAGAAAACATAGACTTGCTAGGGACCTTGAGACTTAAGGGACAATATGGTGGTGAGTCCTCCGAGTTTTGCCTCACATATCACAAATGTGGAGCTGAGGAAGCTTGCAAACCAGATATGTCAACAAGTTCAGACGAAAAAAAAAAGGTCCCAACAAAACCCTTTAGGCAAATGACCAGGAAAGGAGCATCCTAGCAAGAGAAAATTTTCAGATGATAACTACTCTACTACAGCTAAACACTGAAAAAAATAAAAAATTAAAAAATAAAAAAATAAAAACTGTGGCCTCACCCATATGCCAGAAAAAGCTGAGTGGGGAGCCAAGATTTCCAATGTAGTGAAGCTGTGAGGAGGTACTACAAAACCCCTACTGGGCAATGTAAAGAGGGCCAACTAGGAAGCTGAAACTTTTTTCCCTGCTGTCCAGGACATCCCCTCACCTTCCCACTCCTCCGTCACTACCATCAGTGGAAAGCCTGAATTTGCAACATCACCTCGTAACATTACCTGCTGGGAAAGTGTTGCAGGAGGCCTAGTGGAAAGTAGAGACTTGCAGCAGCACCCAGGGTTAACAAGACCACCTACTCCCACTTAGAAAGAAGAGTACTCCCTTTCTCTTGTGTGTTAATTAAGGGCAATAGGAAATGAGAATTCTACCTTGACCAGCTGTAATAAAATAGCCCCAACTTTCTCCTTCTGCATTGGTATCAGAGAAAGCTAAGAAGTTTTAAATAAGATCCATCATCTTATAATATGAAAATGTCCAAATTTCAACAAAAGAAATCATTCATTATACCAAGAACCAGGAAGATCTCAACCTGAATTTTTTAAAGGCAATCAAAAGATGGCAGTACCACTGCCAAAAACACACAATGGAAAAAGGAGAGCCTCATAAATAAATGGTATTGGAAGAACTAGATATACATATACAGAAGAATGAAATTAGGCCCTTATCTCATATATGTACACAAACTAACTTAAAATGAAAAAAAAGACATAAGTGTAGAATCAGAAACTACAAAATTAGTAGAATAAAACATATGAGGAAAGCTCCATGACATTGGTCTGGACAAGGACTCTTTGGATAGGATCCCCAAAGCACAGGTGAAAAAACTGAAAAAAAAAAAAAAAAAAAAAAAAAAAAAAAGCCAGACAGATGGGAATACACCAAACTGAGAACATTCTGCATAGCAAAGGAAAACAACCAACAAAATGAAGAGACAACATATCAAATAACAGAAAATATTTGCAAACCATACATCCTGATAAGAAGTTAATATCAAAAATACATAAGAAACTCAAACAACTTGACAGTAAGAAAACAAGAGACATGACTTAAAAATGAGCAAAGATCCTAAATAGACATTTCTCAAAAATAGAGTGACTATATTTTACAACTTATTGTATATTTCAAAATAGGTAAAAGAGATTTGAAATATTCACAACACAAAGAAATGATAAATGTTTGAACTGATGGATACACTAATTACCCTGATTTGATCATTATACTTGGTATGCATGCATCAAAATATCATGTTCCCCATAAATATGTACAATTTTTATGTATCAATAAAAACATACATGAACAGGAAAAAATTGTATAGGTGTAACTATGAACACCACTAGTCATTCTGACTTCAGAGACCATGCTCTTGACCACTGTAATTTTTGCTAACTTTTACTCAAAAAAGAACCATTCATTTCATAAAATAAAAATAAAAAAGACATATAAATGGCCAACAGGTGTATTTTAAAATGCTCAATATCACTAATCATCAGGGAAATGTAAATTAAAACCACAATGAGATGTCATCTCATACCTGTTAGAACACCTATTATCAAAAAGACAAAGATAATAGGTATTGGTGAGAATGTATTGAAAGGGAACCCTGTCATACTGTTGGTGGAAATGTAAATTAAGACAGTCATTATGGAAACCAGTATAAAAGTCCCTCAAAAAATTAAAACTAGAACTACAATATGATCCAGCAATCTCAGTGCTGGATATGGATCTAAAGGAAATGCAATCAGTATAATGAAGAGATACGTATACTCTTATGTTCATTTGCAGCATTATTGATAATAACCAAGATATGTAATCAATCTGTCTATCAGTGAATCAATGTTGCTATGCTTAAAACCTTGGTGTCCTTTCAAACTTGAGTTGTACCTAGGCATCCCTGTGAGCTGGGGCTTTGGTAGCAACCAGCAAAGCTTTGAAGATATGGCTGCTGGCCTGTGCTTCTCCCTCTTTTGTATTCTGGAAGCACCTAACTCAGTTGATCTCACAGGCTCAAAGCTGGAGGGGAATTTGCCTCCAGATAAATCATACTTTGAATCTCATCCATAACTGATTTAGTGATGTTTAGACAAGACTGCATTTTAGACTTTTGAGTTGACACTTGAACAAGTTAAGACTTGGGGCTACTGGGGTGAAATTACTGTATTTTGCATGTCAGAAGAACATGAATTTGTGGAGGCCATGGGAAGAATGCTGTGGTCTGAATGTTGGTGTCTCCCCAAAATTCAGATGTTGTCCCCTGATAATTGAATAGTTTTAAGAGGTGAAGGCTTTTGGAAAGTGATTAAGTTGTGAGGGCTCTGTCCTCATTGATGGGATGAGTGCCTTTATAAAAGAGGTTGAAAAAAGCTGTCTTTCTTCTGCCATGTGACGACACATCCACCAAGTGCCAACTATGAGGAACAGGACCTCAGCAGATACCAAATCTGCTGGTGCCTTGACCTTAGACTTCACAGCCTCCAGAACTGTAAGCAATAAATTTCTGTTGTTTGTAAATTACCCAGTATGAGGTTATTTGTTATAGCCTTCTGAGTGGGCTAAGAAAAATGAATAAATAAAATGTAACATATAAACACAATGGAATACTATTTATCCCTAAAAAATAATCTCACTTAAATGTAAAAATTTAAGAAACTGGAATTCATAGAAGCAGAGAGTAGAGTGGGGCCGAAGTGTGATGTGTGTGTTGCGGGAGGGGATGGAGAGATATTGGTCAAAGGAGACAAAAATTAAATTATGTATGAGAAGTAAGTTCAAGAGATCTTTTGTACAACATGGTGTGTATAGTTAATAACACCTTATCATATACTTGATAATTGTCAATAGAGATTTTAAGTGATCTCACCACAAAAAGAAGATAAGCATGTGAGGTAATGCATATATTAATTAACTTGATTTAACCATTCCATAATGTGTATGTATAGATAATGTGTGTGTGTTTATGTATGTGTGTGTATATATATGTATACATCATTTGTTGTACACCATAAATATATACAATCTTCATTTTTCAATTAAATATATATGCAACAAAATAAATAAATTTTAAAATAAAACAGATGTCAGTACTGAGATGACAAAGAGGTTACAATAATCTGAGAAATTTTAAAGCAGCCACAGTAAAAATGATTAAATGAGCAATTACAAAAATACTTGAAACAACAACAACAAAAAACTAGAAAAGCTCAGCAAAAAAAAAAAAAAAGATATAAAGAAGAACAAAATGGGGAATTTGGAAATGAAAACGCTGTAACTGTAACATATATTTCAGTAAATGGAATCAAAAGCACCAATTAAAAGAGATTTATTTTAAAACATTGCCAAATTATATGCTGTCTACAAGAAACCCACTTCAAATAAAACAACATAAGCAGATCAGCAGTAAAAATATGGAAAAAGATATTTAAACATTTATTGGAGGGAAGCAGGAGTAGTAATATTAGCATAAGATAAAGTAGACTTTGGAAAAAAATAAAGTTTACTAGTGACAGAAAGGGACATTATATAATGATAAAACAGTTAAACTAACAAGAAAAAAATATCAATCCTAAATGCATATGCACCAAACAATACAGATGCAAACTAGATGAAGCAAAAACTGATAGAACTAGAAGGAGAAAGAGGCAAATCTGGAATTATAGTTAAGAACTTCAACCCCCTTTCTCAACAATTGATACAACAACTAAAGAGAAAAATCAGTGATGAGAACTTACAGACAACTAAATCAACAAGATCTAATCACCATTTACAGAACATTTCACTCAACAATAGCAGAAAACCTATTCAACTATCTATAGAACATAAAGTAAAATAGATAACATAGCCACAAAACACATTTCCACAAATTTAAAACAAGAGTATATTCTCTGACCACAGTGAAATAAAACTGGAAAGACAACAAGAAAATTTCAAAATATTTGAAAATGCTGGAAGACAGGAAGATATTACTCAATTTCCAATTCATTTTCAACTTCTGTTTTTGCAGGAGAATAATCTCTGCACTAGAAAATTAGAACAAATATCTAGTATGTCATTAATGGTCCCAGTGTATGACTGATGGATAGATGGTGTATAGATGTATTTTACTTTTTACACTGCACCACTACCTTGTGATTTTATGTCTTTTATCCCCAGTTGATTATGAGTTACTTGGAGAAGGGCCTATAATGACAAATCTTCTCTCTTTTTTCTTTGTACCAGTGCTTTGAACATGGTAATTATTCAGAAATTATAGTTGAGTTTAATGACTGCTTAATTGACTGATCATTTGAATGAGTTATAGACATAGAGAATCCACTTATGAATGGACCAATGAGGTTGACCTTTGAAGCACTTATATAAATGTTTCATTAGTTCTCAACTAATCTCTTTTTATAAAGGAAACACATGTGAAAGGAGTGGAAAATAAGAACAAAGGCAAAGAAGCCAACAAATATGCCAAGCACAGGAATTTGTAATTAAACTTGAATCTTCCACACAGTCTGGTTGCACATGGAAAAATATGGTCAGTTAATCATATTTTAATGTTTACCAAAAGGGTATCCAGGACTTCAGATTTAATATAAATAAATCAAATGATGTTACTCTCAAATAAAAGTATATACTCAGAATATGATGATAGAAGCTTATAGTTAGGTCACAGGAAGTGATAGTCTCAGTAGGTTCTGCTGGTCAGAGTACATGTGGAACATGGTGACCAATTTTGTTCCTTCATTTAAAGATGCAAATTATAAACTCTAGTATGTTTCAGGGAAATGTGACCTGCTTGGTAAAAGGTTTGAACTATATTATTTAAGTAATAGTTGTAAGAATTCATGAGGGGAAAGTACAAAAATTGTCATTTAGTATTTGGAAGGCAGTCATGTAAATAAGGGAGAAAATTCTGCAGGAATTAAATTGTAAGGATATGCTAGGAAGACAGTTTATTTTATTTTATTTTTTATTTTTGTTTTGTTTGTGTTTTGAGGCAGAGTCTTTCTCTTGTCGCTCAGGCTGGAGTGCAATGGCACAATCTCCGCTCACTGCAACCTCCGCCTCCCAGGTTCAAGCAATTCTCCTGCCTCAGCCTCCCTAGTAGCTGGGATTACAGGTGCCTGCCACCACGCCTAGCTAATTTTTGTATTTTTAGTAAAGACAGGGTTTCACCATGTTGGCCAGGCTGGTCTCGAACTCCTGACCTCATGATCTTCTCGCCTCGGCCTCCCAAAGTGCTGGGATTACAGGCATGAGCCACCGTGCCCAGCCAACAGTTTATTTTAATATTTAACTCAAAAAGAGTTTCTTATTGCTATGGCATCTCAATAATAGGGCATGCTTTCCATGAGAAGTAACCACTCGTTCATAGAAGAATTTATGAGGCTTTGGGTGAGTGTTCGCCAGGGGTGTTAAAGAAGAGATTCCTAGAGAAATTGGATCAGATGAATTCTGAAACCAACTTCGATTCTCCAATTCTATAACTCTATGCTTCTAAAGCAAAAATACGGATGGATTTTCACAAAATCGACTGTATGGTTTTATTGAATCTTACATGCCAGCAATAATTTACATATAGTCTAAATTAAGATTAAAATCTAAAACTTTTCTTTTGAGCAAAATTAATTGGATCACTTCAGATTCGAATCTACATCCTGAGTTTTATAAAAACAGTGTTCCAAATAACTCTACCAGTGAAGCCATATTTATTACTCAATATTAATTGGCAACTATGGTTCTAGTTTCAATAATAGTTGTCTACAAAATTCCTGACAACTCTGGCCTATTTGTATTCACTAAGTATAATTCTCTTTGATAGTATGTTTTAGGAATAAAAGTGTTGAACGATTCATGGCTATTTATATAAAGACAGTTTATTTTTTAATGAAAATGGCAATGATATACACATGAGTCAAGATAGAAAGTGAATGAATCTTTTCAAATAATTCTTAGGCTGTATATGACAAATTATCAAATAAAAGACAACTGTATTTTTATATAGCTTATGCTCCCCAGCAGAAAACTGCTTGCCTTCATTTTAAAAATTAGGTATTTTTGGCTAAGCGTGGTGGCTCACGCCTGTAATCCCAGCACTTTGGGAGGCCGAGGCGGGCAGATCACCTGACGTCAGGAGTTCAAGACCAGCTTGACCAACGTGGTGAAACCCCATCTCTACTAAAAATACAAAAATTAGCTGGGTGTAGTGGCAGGCGCCTGTAATCCCAGCTACCTGGGAGGCTGAGGCAGGAGAATTGCTTGAGCCAGGGAGGCAGAGTTTGCAGTGAGCAGAGATCGTGCCATTGCACTCCAGCTTGGGCAACAGAGTGACACTCTGTCTCAGAAAAAAAAACAAAAAACAAAAAACAAAAATATAAGTGTTTTGAGAAAAGTAATTATACCAGTAATTATGAATAACAATATGATTTGCAGTATTAACAAAAATAAAAATGTGAATCTTGAACTTTCAGGGCTGACTGTCCAATAACTGGCATCACACAGGGCAACAATATCTGCTATATAATCACTGACATGAAATCTCACACACACAAATTGTGTGACACTCAATAGAGTTCCAGTTTTCACTCCATTAAATCTTATTTCCAAGTTTGGATTCTGGAATAACCGAGCTTAAAGACCAGGACCTCTGAGTGAACATTACTATTTGTGCCTTGATGATAAAGAAATGTTAAATTGTCTCTCATGATGCATACATAATGTGAAAAGAGACAATTGTGAAGATAAGTAGCTTTAGGAGTTATCACTTTTCTTAACATTTTTGCAGGGAAAACACTTAAGAAAAGGACTGAAGTAGGTGGCATTTAACTTCAAGAAAGTCATGATTCTTGACATTTTATTATTGCGAAACTCTGAAACTTGGATAACCATTCTCTGGTAAAGGAGTTATGTTCCTTTAGAGGCCCTGGAGATAGATTATCAAGCTTCTCTAAGATTTGTGAGGTATTTCGGGAAGTGTGTAAGTAAACCAATATTTTCCTCTTAAATCTTCAAAGTAAAAGAAAGAAATATGCATAATGAGGTTCTTTTTGATGTACAAGCAAAAGATTTAAGAAATACATCAGAAAAGCAATATATGCTCACGAAATCACTTTAAAAGAAAAGATTTCTGAAGAAGCATATGACTACAGAATTTCTTCCACCCACTTTCTTGAGGAAATTGCTTCATGCACTGCTGACACATTGATTAGGTAAAGATGGAGGGAGACAAAAAGAAAAGCCTTATTGCATTTGATGAAGCTCACTGAAATAACTGAACTCAGAGACAAGACACTTTAAAACTCAAGGCAATCTGGCTTGATGAAAAAGAACTAGTTTGAAGGGGAATGTCTATGGTATTGTTGCCTAATACTCAACACATGGGCAACTTTGAGAACGGTCACTAAATATCTCCATGACCAGAACTTTGCTCAGCTAGAAGTAATCATAATGATTGCTACTACTGAGTTTGTCATTGCTGTGATAGATGCTTTACCCAACTTTATTAATTTGGTGAATTTAGGCACATCCCTTACCTCTAATCTTCAATTTTCTCAGCTGAAGCAAGATTAATGTTAGTTCTGCAATTTGTGAGGATTAAATGGGATGAGGTATTTAGTACATACCATAGTGTCTGATATATAGTGAGGATTTTATGAATGTTTGCTTGTTATTATTAACTCCTCAATTATACCCTAAAGATAGATATTATTTAAGGATGGAAACCACAATGAACTAATGGAACTGGGTTAGATGCCAGAGTCCTCATACTCTTACATAAATTGTGTAAACTGGCTGACATGTTATGTTTGGCAGACTATATTTAGCCCACAGAATGTTTTCATTTTTGGATTTTGGTTGTTTCTCAATGTATAAAAATAGATTTCACAAATGAATTTTGATTTCCAGCTTTCATGAAAAATATGATGCCTCCAGCTTTGTTCTTGTTACTTAGGATTGTCTTGGCTATACAGGCTCTTTTTTGGTTCCATATGAAATTTAAAGTAGTTTTTTCTAGTTCTGTGAAGAAAGTCAATAGTAGCTTGATGGGAATAGCATTGAATCTATAAATTACTTTGGGCAGTATGGCCATTTTCATGGTATTGATTCTTCCTATCCATGAGCATGGAATGTTTTTCCATTTGTTTGTGTCCTCTTTTATTTTGTTGAGCAGTGGTTTGTAGTTCTCCTTGAAGAGGTCCTTCACATCCCTTGTAAGTTGTATTCCTAGGTATTTTATTCTCGTTGTAGCAATTGTGAATGGGAGTTCACTCATGATTTGACTCTCTGCTTGTCTATTATTGGTGTATAGGAATGCTTGTAATTTTTGCACATTGATTTTGTATCCTGAGACTTTGCTGAAGTTGCTTATCAGCTTAAGGAGTTGTAGGAGTTGAACAATGAGAACACATGGACACAGCGGGGAGCATCACACACTGGGGCCTGTCGAGGGGTAGGGGGCAAGGGGAGGAAGAGCATTAGGACAAATACCTAATGCATGTGGGGCTTAAAATCTAGATGACAGGTTGAAAGGTGCAGCAAACCACCATGGCACATGTATACCAATGTAACAAACCAGCACATTCTGCACATGTATCTCAGAACTTAAAGTGAAATTAAAAAAAAAAGAAAAAGAAAAATATGAACTATCTGGTAATATTAGGCTTGCCAACCCAAATGGTAATCATCAGGGCTAAGTCAGAACTGGTCTTTTTGTTAGAGATTCTCAGGTTTAGTTTTTACTTTTACTATTATCTCCCCAACAATGATAGCAAATAATTGCAATTTGTCATGGTGTATGCAAAGTATGAAAACATAATTCTTTTCTTAAATTTTTTCCATAATGTTTGTGAACCTGGTGGTGCCCTCACTTTGTTCGAAGTACACGGGCTTCCTTCTTTTGATTGAACTACCCAGGTAAATGAAATGAAAATTGTTTCCAAGCATGGTCATTTCTTTGGATGCCATATTTTGTTGCTCCTCTCTGAGTCTATTTCCTCTGCAAATGTAAAATAATAAATAAAGCATACTTGCATACATGTATACATATTTTAACCAGTGGAATGCTGTGCTTAGTGAATCCTAAATAGAAATGCTAGTAGGTCTCAAAATATCATGCTGTTGAAATGTGTCCAGCTTAGAAAGATGTCCTAAGCAAATCATTTTTAATGATCAAAAATGTTTGACATTTCTTGTTTATTTGAACAAAATGTGTCATTCTTTATATTTTTTTAATTATACAAATAATTTCTAAGGTAACCTTCTGTTTCCTTCACGAATAGACTATATTCATTGGGTTCTGTGCATCTTGCAGAAATAAATAATTTATTAGGTTGTGCAACATTTTCCATTTGGGCAGTATGTTAGCTCATTTTATTCAGCTTATATTTCTGAAATTTTACATTAGGGAGTCAGGTGTAAACAACACAGACACACATACACACATACACACACATACACACAGGGAAAGAGAGACAGAAGAAATAGATTAAATCACTCAAGACAATGGCAGCTTATTGTGTAAGCAGAGCACAGTAAAACATACTAGATAACAGGCACACAACTCAGATATAATGTATAAATCTTTATTGAAGTCTTTAATGCTATAAACACAAATCCAGAGATACCTTATTCTATTTACAATAAATCTACCCAACTTGACATTCTTTGTAGTATATAAAATCTCAAAGAAAGCAAAAATGTTAAAAAGATAATAGGAGGATGGGCACGATGAGTCACGTCTGTAATCCCAGCACTTTGGGAGGCCAAGGCAGGAGGATCACTTTAGGCCAGAAGTTCAAAACCAGCCTGGGCAACATAGCAAGATCCTGCCTGTACAAAAATAAAAAGAAACAACTTTAGCTAGACATGGTGACATGCACTTGTAGTCGTAGCTACTTGGGATGATGAGATGGGAGAATTGCTTGAGCCCAGAAGTTTGAGGCTGCCACGAGCCATGATAGAACCACTGCATTCCAGCCTGAGAGACAGAGAGAGATCCCAACTCACACACACACACACACACACACACACACACACTCACGATAATACCAGTCTTAAGCAAGTTTTTCATAATGATATTTATTCTTTAAATATATTTATCTTTCAATATGAAATATCTTTCATGCACATGTCTAGCCATGGTATAGACAAAACTACAGAAAGAATTTGGCACAGCAGTTACAAATGATTATTTCTCCAATTGTGATCATTAATTTTATGGGTTCATTTGACTGGGCAATGGGGTTCCCAACATTTGGTCAAACATTATTCTGGGCGTTTTTGTGAGGATGTTTCTGGGTGATAGTAACACTTGAATTGGTAAATTGAGTAAAGTGGCTTGCCTTCTCCAATGAGTGTGGGTCTCATTTAATCAACTGAATATCAGAATAGAGCAAAATGGTTGCGTTAAGAGGATACTTAGCCTGCCTGACAGCTTGAGCTGAGACATTGATCTTCTCTAGCCCTCAGGCTGGAACTTAATCATTGACTCTGAGTTCTCAGCCCTTCCAACTTGGACTAAATCTTATACCATGACTTCCCCTGTATTTTCAGCTTGCCCACTGCAGATCTTGGGACTCCAGCCTCCACAATAATGTGAACCACTTTTTTACTTTCTCTGTGTGTGTGTGCACACGCATGTGTGGGTGCGTGTGTGTGTTTGCATGTACAATATAGATTTACATAGAAGTATATATTTTATATACATATATAGACATATTTAGTTCTGTTTCTCTGGAGAATCCTAATACTCTTGCCTACTTAAGAGTTGCTTAAAGTAAAACTAAATGATTTCCTTTGCATTGGAATCTCACAAAATTCTGATTTTCTACAAGTCTTCCAAGGCAGGTGGAGGGACAACAAAAACTCCAAAACATAAGCGAAGTCAATTACATCAAAATGTGAAACACATCGCAAAAGTTAGAGAAACAGTATGTCCTTTTTTTTTTTTTTTTAAGATGGAGTCTCACCCTGTTGCCCAGGCTGGAGTGCAGTGGCGCGATCTCAGCTCACTGCAAGCTCCACCTCCTGGGTTCAAGCAATTCTCCTGCCTCAGCCTCCCAAGTAGCTAGGATTACAGGTGCATGCCGCCACACCCAGGTAATTTTTTTTGTAATTTAATAGAGACAGGGTCTCACCATGTTGACCAGGCTAGTCTCGAACCCTTGAGCTCAGGCAATCTGCCTGCCTGTGCCTCCCAAAGTGCTAGGATTACAGGCGTGAGCCACCATGCCCAGCCCGAAACAGTATGTCTTTACCCATGTTTTGTGCTCTCTATATTCCTTAAATAGTTAGACTATTTGCATGGAAAAAAATGAGTTCTCAAAGATGCTACATAAGATGTTACTTGAACTAAAAATAGTTGTGGCTCCTAAAACAATATTACTATTGCTCATTTTGTAATGGGAGGTAAATTTATAGAGGTAGAATCTCATATCTACTTTCTTGACTAGAAACTTGAAACTGATTTCAAAGATCATTTACCTGAAATGAACAGGATCTGATCTGTTTCAAGAGTAACAGTATTTCTGGAGTTAGATACATTTATTCCCAAAGGGCCTTTTGCTTCTACCACTTAATGTGATGTAGCCCTGCCATCTCCCAAATTTTAGCTCTTGGATTTTCCATCTCCTACAGAGTAACAAAGTGTGTGTGTGTGTTTGTGTGTGTGTGTGTGTGTGTGTAATTTTAATGTTTCAAAGCATTAAATTACTTTTAGGAAAATATCTATTTTTAGATACATAGAAAAATCAAGAGTTAAAATATCTGTTAGTGAAATTTTCTGCCTATCTATTAAAAATTAGATATCTGCCTATTAGTAATTCAACACATTGAAACACTTTTTTTACCTGCTAAGATATAACAACTAGGAACCATCATTTCTGATTTCTCAAATATTATTAGTTACAGTGTTGCTTGTCTTAAAGTCCATACTTGGATTCTATATCCCATGACTTAGGTGAACTTGCCATCACAAACCAAGTTTTTAGGGACCACTGTTTCTGCATCACACCATTACTTAGCCTCAGTACTCCAGCAAATCATTTTTAAACAGTACATTGGTATGACTTCTTTTTTAATGGATGACCACACATAATCCTTTTATAACAATTGCTTTATTTGAATGCTTTTGCTGTTCAGATTTCCAGATAAATGCCCTTCTACTAGCCTTCTGTGATCCTCCCCAAGAGTAGCCTTATTTTGTTTTTCTCCTTCTCTTTTACTTTCATTTCTCTCCAAAGCCCCTTCCAAATCTTTCACCACTATTACTTCTTGCCTTCTCTCATTTATAGCATCATCAATTCCAGGCCAATTCCTCTCTTACTACTTTTTGCCCAGCCCTCTCCTCTGTCCCATAAACACCCTTCAGAAATTTTTTTCAAACACTCTTTTGACATCTTTCATTCATATGAAACCTGATAACATGGTATTTTTCACAAATGGACTCTATGTAACTCACTTTTACTCCAGCGAATATTGTTACCCCCATCCTTCAACAACTTCTCCTTTTGGAATTCATATAATTCGAATAATCCACTCCCTTTATTTAATTTATGCTTCACCCTCTGGGACACTCTGCTAAATTTCCTAGTGCTTTACACATGTGGCAAACAGATTGTGTTCTTGCTGTTAGTGTTGGTGGTGATGAGTGGTAGCGGTGGTGGTGGTGTGCTGGAGATGATATTTAATTTTGCTTTTGTTTTACTCACAATTCTATTCCTGAACAACCTGTTAAAGTCTTGGCTTCACAACATATTTTTTTACATTCACCAGTGACTTTGATCTTAATTACACTTCAACCTCTCTGTAAAATCACCCCCAACTGTTATTTCTTTAAAACCTTGAACTCAAACCAAATCATTTGGCTCTCATTATCTTCCTCCCCTGCTGCTTTGTTTCTTGTGTGATAGTCACAACATTGAAAGATGTCTCTACCACCTCTAGTATCCCTAGGACTTTTTATCTTCTGCTATTCCCACATGGCATCTCCCAGGTCAGGGTACAACTCAGTGTCATTTTTCTCTGCTCCTACTTTTAGACTGTCCAGCTTTTCTAGAGGAATAAAGAAATCTCTACTGAAGACACTGTACTCACCCATCCTGGGTCTTCAACTATTGTTGAGTAGAGTTGTATTAATATGTTGAATCTCATAATTTCCCTCAGCCTGTCATTCCAAGCCTTTTTTTTAAGTTTCCTGGGCCCTCTAACACTACTCTGTCCTCTTAATTAAAAGCAAATTACCTCCAATCCTCCTCCACTGAGAAGATTGAAGCCATCTTATGTGAGCTCCCCCATCTTTCCTCTTCTGCAACTTAACATTTTCGTGTATCTATATCTTCCTTTATGTTCAATGTACTATCATCATAAAAGAGTTCCTGGAGGGAGTCCCATGGCATCTAGAGGTTAAAACAACATAGGGCTAAGAAGCCACCTTAAGGGGCCTCTATTAGAGGGCTTGAGCCTCACACTGGTTTGCATACATAGAAGTTAAGAGATCTGGCATAAATCAACCAACAGAGGCTGCAAGTAGGGGAAGGACAGAGTTGGGAGCAGAGGTGAGGGGGAGTAGAGACTTCCCTCAGTCTCTGTAACAAGGACATCTTTCAGAACCTGCAGTGGGATGTAGTGAGGACGCTCCCAGAGATAAATTTACTCCCTTCTTAGCACCCTGGAAACTGTAGGCCTCAGAATTAAGGCCTTCCTGGAACTCCAAGAATGAAGTGGGTAGTTTCCCCATCTCCTGTGACTTACAGGAGCTTAAGGGATTTGGGTATTGTGAAGCTTTTGCCCACAATCCTGTGCCACAGATGCACATCTGTAGGAGTCCTGGACCTGACCATCAGGCCCTGTGTATCAGGTGGAAACAGAGCCAATGTCCCAAGTTGGATGGAAGAGAGTGGGTCAATTGGGAGTCTTTCTCACTTAGCAAGGGGAGCTCCCAATATTAGAAAGCTAGGGCACTGCACCCCAAGACCTCTGACTTTATCCCTGACTTCTTAAGACTCACCTCAGGCCTGATAACAGGTCTCAGAGTGGCTGGATAATGGCAAACCTGGCCGTTGCCAGGGAATGGCCAGCGTCGTCTGGGAGTCTGTTTCTCTGAGAACTTTGTCGAAGCCCATGGCTGGAAGGAGAAACTGAGAAGCTGAAGAATTCTTCTTCCATATGAAGTTACCATGCTTTGTCTACATCTTCCATATTCTTCAAGGTCCTATAGTAATATGTTCTCAAATTCTCATCCTCTGTACCACTGACTCACACTTTCCCTTCTGCCTACCAGATTCCATCCTCTTAAAAAATAACCTATACTTCTTGACTTTTGAATGTCCATTCTTTACTTCAGCTGCTTCCATTTAACCAGAATGTTTAAAGTGATAGCATGTGTGTGTGTGCACATATGTGCACCCATTTGTATTGGGTATATCTGTATGTGATATCTATATCTTAGAAAGGAAAAAGAAATCTCAGAACCCCCAAACAGATTATGCCAAAGGGAAAGTTAAGCCTACAGATGGAGTCACTTAAAACTGCCATCTTTTTTCCAAATTAATAGCTGCTACTTCACAACCTTTGTCAAAGCTTTGTATACATCAGCCAGACTCCCATGAAACAGACAATCAGGCATCTCCAGATGCTTTCTGGCCTCAAAATCTTTCAATATGCATATCTTCTCATAAAACAAGAATGTGTCAATTTAAAGATCTGTGATCCAAGTCTAGCTCCTAAAACTAAAGCCTTAGATTTCACATTGATTGATACTTCTCTTCCTAGGTACAGAACAAAGACAAGATCAGTCATTCTTCTGCCTATCTGCCACTACATGCCTTTCCCACATTAAGGAAATGTGTAAATACTAAATCTCTTGAAAACCCCTTCAGCTAACATTGGCCACAGAGGCATCTGCGACTCCTATTTTTTTCCAGGCACACCCTCAAGCTCTGACTTAATGAACCTCCATAGATTGAGACTCTTGCCTTATCACTCATTTCAGTTAACAATATATCTATATTTGTTTAATCTACTTCTTCAGCTGTAATCTACTTTATATCTAACCCTCTTTCTTATTTCCTCTTCTTATCTTTCCCACTGCCCTCAATTTCAGGCCCTTATTGCCACTGTCTTAAACTATTTAGTATTTCCTTCAGCTTCTGTTTTCTCTAATATGTTTCACATAATGCTGACAGAATTATTTTCTAAAACAAAATAATTGTGTTAATTGGTTTGCAAGTGACAAAAACACAACTCAAACTAGTTTAAACAAAATTTAGGAATTTATGAATCATAGAGTGTGTTGTTGGACCAAAAACAGGAATATATCTGAGCCTCCAAAAATCATTAAAATTAAAATATTTTAAAACATCAGAATACCTTGACTATATTTCATCTGTTTTCTCCTTCCCATGTTGGCTTGATTAATGTATTACTTCTTCATATGATGCTTCACTTTTCCTGTTCCTTGTGGCATCAAACATGGTTTTGTACATTTCTTGAGCTTTGTTGCTTTACTGTGTAATTTTCTAAGTT
Source organism: Homo sapiens (assembly GCF_000001405.40). Classification (NCBI taxonomy): domain Eukaryota; kingdom Metazoa; phylum Chordata; class Mammalia; order Primates; family Hominidae; genus Homo; species Homo sapiens. Next base: position 77,433,617 of record NC_000006.12, read on the forward strand.
TCAAGTCCAATATAGGAAGAGATTCATTGGCCACCTAAGTGTCCACCCTTTGAATGAACCAAGAGTGATCAGGAATTGAGTCAGTTTATAACATGGTTGCTACAACAACAATAATATATAGTTTTTACCAACAAGAGAGAAGAGATGGGGACAGGTGATCTCAGAGGAAGGAAAGGGCCATTTCCAAAGGAGAAAGTTCAGAAGAAAAACAATAGATCTTCGATACATTTGTATTTACAAGCACTTTTTACAGCAATTGACGCACAATAAGTATTCCATACGACTCCTGTTTCTTCTGTTCAATTGTCTTTAGTAGCTTCAAATTACCTTCTCAGCGCACCACATTTTCCTAAATTTTATGTAAGCTAGTCAGCTAGAATAATGGCTAAACCAATGTAATACATATTAACATAGCCTTTATATCCTGCCCCTTCCGTTCTCCACTCCTGCTGAGCAAACACAGGTACTTTCCTGTGTTAACATTAAGCTTCACAGTCAATGCAGTTTTCCCTAAGATGGCTGTGTGGTATGCTGGAAGGATTATGAGGACTGGAGCCTCAACTCTAAGATTTGTAATCAAGTTCTACTAAACCGTAAAACCAGGCAAGCCAGGGCTCCCCACAGTACAGTGGCATCTGCTTTACAGGATTACTTCAGATATTGAGATAACTGTGAAAGGACATTGTAAATGTTCAAGCAGTTTCAAATATTAGCAAGAGGCAGCAAGTTCCTAAGGTGAAATATGGCATAATGGGAAAAGCCTCAAAGGTTTGAAAAAGGAACTATAGAAGAAAAATACAAAAAATGCTAGACAGAATACATATAATTCCAAATACAATGAGAAAAAATGAGATTGTTTTTGTTCTGGGAAAAATAGATAGGATTTTTAAAATAAATATAATTCTTCATCTTTTTTAAAAATGTAAGAAATGCGAAAATAACATTGCCAGGAGAAGACCAAGAAATGGTAATAAAAATATCCTGCCTCTTCAGCTATGGTTGTACAGAAGATGATAGCTTTCCTCCCATTTAACTTAGGCAAGACTGAAGGACTCAATTAGTAATGAGTAATTATGAGTTATCCCATAGAGAAATCACAATACTAGTAGCTGGAAGATTCAAGGCAAATCACTTATTATCTCAAGTCTTGCGTTCCTCACATGGGTTAAGAAAGAAGGGACTCAATAACCCATGATATTTCCTCAAGATCTAAATCACTATTACATAGAAACCAAGTATTACAAGTAAAACTGAGAATTCAATATCTACACTATGATAGTCACAATTATACTATGCACAATAGACAATGCAGTTAAAATATTTAACCTCAGGGTTTTAATAATTCATCAGATTATTATAAAATAGTAGAGATTTTTTAGAGTTTTGTTTTCTTTTGTCTCAGATTTTTTCTTCCTTTTTACTGAGCTGCAGTTTTATTGAGATCAAATTTCCTATTTATTTATTCAATGTTGTTCCCTCTAAAAAAGTATTTTATTTTGAAAAAGCAAGGGATGCTTTAAAGATTTGTAATCTAAAATATAGCATTCCATTTCAACTATTAAGTTTAGAAATAAACATAAATTAAATTTAACTTATACTTTTGAATTACTATATTCCATTTTCAATTAACATTTTTTCAAAATTTCTTTTCTGGAATTATCATTTCATACAGTTTTTATATCCATGATATTTTCATTTTAGTTACCATGTTTTCTTTTCACATAATAAATGAGATGAGTACAGAAGAAAAGTAATATTTTCATAAAATATCTCAGAAAATATACTATTACAAATACCAAATATCACTATCATAATGACTCATACCTCAAATCTGTTTATTTAACCTCTGTAAAATTAAAGTTTCCATATTTTTATGGTTTGATATTTGTGCTTTCTAAATGGAGGTTATCTTAATTTCAGAGGAGAAATATTGGTCCGTGAATTTTTTAAGAAATAGCAAAGTGGGAACATACAACATATAATATAAATGTAGGTTGTTTTCTGTTTAATAAGGTATTATAGCTGGGCTTCTTTACCTTTTTTTCCAGATATTTTTGAGAAACTACCCAGAGTTACTTCAGAAAACCACATTGTCTTTCAAATGCCTTTATATAAATAAGGCTTATGTAGGAAAGCCTTTTGTATTCTCAAAACAAACAGACATATTTGCTTCACCTTGTCCTGGAGTACCAGTAGGCAGACTACATATATTTGGAGCACAAAGAGAACAGGGGTAGCAAAAAATGTGTATATAAAAATGTATGTCTCTATTTATAAAGAAATTTAATATTTAATGTTTCAAAAATGGAAAAAATTAAACCTCTGCTCTCCTTTCTCACAGCTCTGTTATCACCAGTATTGAACATATATGTGCATGTGCATGGTAGAGAGGAAAACGAGACAGAAACACTTTCTGTGCTATGTTTCAGGAACCTACTGACATTATTCTTAACCATCCTTCCTTTGAAGCATTCTTGTTTCTTGTCTCATTTGCTTCCTTTTCTTTGTTCCTTGAAATTTGAAAACAAGATTTTCATAAAATAAACTGTCAGAAAGAAAACCTGTACATTATGGTAGTTTTCAAAAGCTATTCAACACCATGTAAATACAGTAAGTGCACTTATAATCAACAAGAAGCAGCAGAAAATTTTCTCAGTGATCTGTAGAGATGACTTTTATTTTTCACAGATAAAAGAAGGGAAAATAAGTGATTTCTCTACCTGACATCATAGTACTTACAGAACTATTAGGTGAAAAGAATCCAATTCCAATAATATTTGAAAGGCAACTAGACAAGCTCTATTTAATGTGTCTAATAAATGTACATTTTGAGTGGTTATTGATATAGGAACTTCTGGTTCACCCATGTTTCCCTTAAAAAATTAAAGGTTTTGGGTTTTTTTTTTTTTTTTACTCAAAGCCTATACCAATATTCTTAGTAATGATTTCTTGCAGAATTGGCCTCTTCCCATCCAAGGGGTACAACAGTTTAAGAGATTAAAATGTATTATTTGGACAGATTTAGTTAAAGTAACAATAACAACATACACACACACACACACACACACACACACACACACACAAACCCTCCTAATGCTATCCAAGTATCTGTTGAAAAATTCATTAGGGTTTTTGGCAGCAAGAAAGACACTAATAAATATTAAACATCTGATAGGACCAAACACTGGGAACAGCTTTCCTCATGTAGTCTTTGCAACCACCCTGTGATATGGTTATAATGGTCCATATTTTATATCTAAAGAAACCATGGCTCGATAATAAGTTGTCCAGCACAAGTAAGTTGCATAAACAGTAAGTGATAAAGCAGAATTGCAATTCAGATTTCTCTAGCTATAAAATTTGGATTTGTTAACCAACACTACTGGTTTTCTAGTGTTCGAATTTGTAGCGCTAACATTTAAAAAAGAGGGACAGGGAGAGAATGGGAGAGAGAAAGAGCTACATAGGATTGCCACACTCTCCTTTTACCAAGTGTATTTAGCCATTAAAAATCAAATGAGTGGTTTGTTTCTCTTCTTAAGCTGAAAAATTATAGAAAAGCAACAGATAATTTTTTAAATGTTCATTTTCTGCAAAAGAAAGAGATAATCTTGTATGATCTGCGGATTCCAAATTAAGTATGACTGCTAATATTAAATAGAAAGTGAAAAGAACAGAAGAACATAGGATAAAGTACCAATACAACTCAGAAAATATCAGCAAAAATTGCATGGAGAGATTCACCATGAAAAAGAAAAGCTGCATTGCCTACTTATTCCAATACAGGCACTGGTGTTACCAGGACTGTTGAAAGAAATCCTTTACACTAATTAGCTCTGGGGAACAAAAATTAAGGTCTGTATAAAAATCACATAGTTCATCCAGAGCCATATTTTATGACAACAAATGTAGTCATTGGAGTATAAAGTTTTGAAAACTTATTTAGCCCTTCCTTCTCCTTCAACACTACAAAGTGTGGTACAGGACAATACAATCTGAAGAGGCTATGGACAAAATGCAGTTTAAGAAGAAACTGAAAAATGCACAAATGTCTTTTATAGTGAAAGCCTTAATGCTTTATTCTAAGATCAGGGAGAAGACAAGGCTATAAGAAGAAATATGGAACACTAATTCTGAAACCAATTTATCTGTATACTAGGGTTGAACAAGTAAGTAAATATATTATACATAATGAGAGGCAGGAATCTCACCAAGAGAGAAATAAGTTACAAATAAGAAAAAGGAGATGCTAGAATAAACATGATGACATTGGATTAAAGTCAGAAGTATCAATACAGACTAATTTTTAAAATATATTTTCTGATAAGGAGGTACAAAATAAATATAGATGTATGTATGTAGAAATAAATACACCATTCTCCAATAAAATGAACCAAAGCTCCTTAGAAAAGTGGTTGATTCTAGGGCTGGGGAAGAGAATATACGAGGTTAGCCAGGAAAGTCTCATGATGCCAGAAAGTATGAATGACCTCCCTACCCCCACAAAAATAATGAAGAAATATCAAAAAGGCACACGAACAAATGTGAAGGAGCTCTAGATGGCCAAAGCTGGAACAACTTGAGCAAAACAGTAAATGTCAGTAGCTGTTTTATAATCCAAATAATAAAATAAATATTATGAATTTATATAAATGAATAAATAAAATAGGAGAAAAGTAATATCATATCTTCACAGAAGAATTCAAATTAATAAATGTAGAAAGAATGTTAAAAGGGTAGATCTTATATTAAGTGTCATTACCACAAAAAACAAACTAACAAAAAATCAAAAACAAAAACAAGATGGCACAAAGAAGTTTTGGAAGGTGTTGGGTATGTCTATTACTTGATTGTAGTGATGGTAATACAGGTGTATGCATATATTCAAACTCAAATTGTACACATTAAATAAGCATAGTTCCTTCTACATCAATTAGAACCACAATACAGCTCTTAAAAAATAAAAGCACAAGTATTTATTTTATAAGAAAGAACAAGGAAGGGAGGAAGGAAAAAAGGAAAGAGGAAAAGAAATAAAGAAATAGGAAAATAGAAAAAATTACTATAAGAACACCACAGTAATAATTGCCACAGGCAAGATTCTCTAATAGATACTAAAATTAGCAGGCAAAGTTTAAGAGAAAACAGGATATTTGCATAGTCTCAAGTACGTTCCTTCCAATATGTATAAATTATAAAGGAAATAAAACAGTAACTTCATGATAGAGAATCCTAGAAGACATCACTTTAGCCAAATGGTCAAGGTTAACATTAACAGTAGCACAAACGGATACTATGTATCCCTTAATATAATGCACTGAGAAGGGCACATGGTCACGTCTCCTTCATGGCATTTTTCCCAAAAATGTGTAGCCTCAATCTAATAATGAGAAAACATCACACAAAACCAAACTGAGAGACACTCTGCAAACTAACAGGTCAATATTCTTTGAACATGTCAAGGTCATGAAAGACAAGGAAAGACTGAGGAAATGCCCCAGATGGGAAGAAACTAAGGAGATGTGGAAGCCGAATATGACCTAGGATTCTGTATAGAATCCTGAAAGTGAAAAAGGACATTAATGCAAAAATTTGTAAAATCCAAGCAAGTTCTGTGCTTTAGTTAATAGTATTTGACCAAGGGTAATATTTTAGTTTTGATACATTTTCTATGGTTATATAACATGTTCACATAAGTGCAAACTAGGCAAATGATATATTAGAACTTTCTTAACTGCATTTGCAAATGTTCTGTAATCCTAAAATTATCTCAAAATAAAAATAAATCTTAGAATTAAAATAAGTGAAACAAACATATTCATTATTTAGTTGGTGGCACAATCACATAAATAGGGACCAATACAAGTGAATTTAAGATGCTGGATAAATATATCAAAGACAACAATAAAATAGATGTTTAAGTAATCATTTAGCAATATAATAGTTGCTACTCTGAGACTGTTGCATTGTTAATATAGGATAAACCAAATGACAAATTATTTGAAATTCTATCAACCCCAATGTTCCTGAGAGCTAGGCTTTTCAGCGTGAGATAACAGAGAAAAGAAAGAAGGTAAGTACTTAGCCCTGTTGTCCGAATTTGAATTAAAAATAGCAGTATGAACTCGCCGGGCGCTGTGACTCACGCCTGTAATCCCAGCACTTTGGGAGGCCGAGGCGGGCGGATCATGAGGTCAGGAGCTCGAGACCATCCTGGCTAACACGGTGAAACCCCGTCTCTACTAAAAATACAAAAAATTAGCCGGGCGTGATGGCGGGCGCCTGTAGTCCCAGCTACTCAGGAGGCTGAGGCAGGAGAATGGCGTGAACCTGGGAGGCGGAGCTTGCAGTGAGCCAAGATGGCCACTGCACTCCAGGCTGGGAGACAGAGCGAGACTCCGTCTCAAAAAAAAAAAAAACAGTATGAACTCATGACAATTTAAACATTTTTCCTCTACTTATGTCCTGTAAAATCTCTAGAAACTAATTAACCCAGCAATAAAGAACACTCGAAGCAAATAGATAGGGGTCTCCAAATATTATTTCCCACTGAAAGGAATCAGGGTTCTTTGGAGAAATAAATGATTTCAGGTCTGGCATAGGACATGTATAAGATACAATTAGAATAGATAGTCATGCTAGATAGCAAGATGGGACAATGTGAATATCAGTTGGAATAATAACTTCAACTTTGTAGCAGTGCAACAGAAGTTTCATAACAACGTAACTCCAGCAGGACACCTCCATATGAATGGCTTTCCATAGCACCATACTGGGCAGATTGCCAGCAAGTTCTACCAGCTTAGCACCACAGTGACTTCTCTGTCATCTGGTGAGCCTATGATCGCCAATAAAGGTCTGGATCTCAGCCTGGGCTCTCTTCCTTGGGTATGTATCTCAGCCCAAGGGGTAGAGACTGGTGTTTATATCTATTACAACTACATTCTTTAAAGTAGTGTTTACTTCTTACTATCTCATGGCTCATTATTACAATGCCTTGTTATAATTAACAACTGTTCATATTAATATTTTCCTATGCAAGTTCATGTGTGGTTTCTGTTTCCTGACTGAGCATAAGAGGAAGTGAATGATAGTATGAATGGGGCCAGATTGGTCATGAGTTGATAGATGTTAGGACTGCGTGATAGCTCCATGTGGCTCTTCTACTTATGTGTATATTCAAAATTCTCCATAATAGAAAGACAGCTAAAAGCAGCTTTACATTTTTTCTGTAATGAGCCATATAAATATTTATACTGAGTCATAGAAAAAAGACTGTAATGAGTTCTACTCAAGTTTTGCCTACCAAGTGAGTTGTACCAAATTTACAAAAAAAAAAAAATAGCTTTTAGAAATCTTTACACATCAGAATTGTGGATAAGGTATGGAAAATGTAAATATACATATATAGTAATTGAATTATTTAGAGACCTAGGAAGAAATGAACTGCATAGTCAAATTAGCGTCATTCAAGGGAGGCTTAATTAAAGAGAATATTGTCAAAGGTACAAGCATTGTGAAGATACTAAAAGCAGTTGTTACCAAGCCTATGGCCCATAGGTAGAGGTGAGAACTGTTATCAGAAACAGTTGTAGAAAAGGATATCCTGAAAGATTGTAGAGTACAACAGTCTGAGGTGACACCATAGAAAGTTCTTGACTCCACTCTCCTCCCTCTTTCAGATCTATGCTGAACCTAACTGGAAACTGGGTGGCAAGAGTTGATACAGTCCACACAGGTCGGCCTCCTGGGCAGAGATCAGAGTAGGACAGGATGAAGAACACATCTGGAGGGTCAAAGAGAAGCTATGACACAGGGTAAATACTTAAAAAGTACAAATAATGAATGATATTGGGTTACAAAGGAAATGATGAGGACAGAGAATAAGAAACACTATATTGTTGTGCATAGTAGCAAACTAAGAAATTAATATCCAATGTAGTAGAATGTGAGAAATATTATGTAAATTTATGAAGATGACGACCAAACCAAAAACACAATCTTTGTCAAATATCAGAAAAAAACACATCTCTCCAAGCCAAAAAAAAAAAAAAAAAAAAAAAATTGCCAATGGCGTTTCACAAATGTCGTAGTCACCTAAATACCTACCAGCAAAATTTGAGGGACTGTTTTTCCCATAGTCTTACAGAATGTGCTATATAGCTTGGATTTTTTGCTAAGCTTATATGTAAAAAATGATGTCTTAATGTAGCATAATCCATTTTCTCTTTATTAATTTAGGATACAGCTATCTGTGAACATTCTACTCCATTTTATTGGTCTATTCATTTGTAAGCATTATCACATTATAATTATACAAGACTTTCAATATGTTTTCATACCTGGTAGGACTAGTTTCCCCATACTTTTTATAGTTTGAAGAACTTTCCAAAATATTACTTTTTGTTTATTTTTTCATATGAACTTTAGCTCACTCAGTTAAAAAAGAAGCATGTTGGATTGTTTTGTTTTGTTTTGTTTTTTGAGACTGAGTCTTGCTCTTGTCGCCCAGGCTGAAGCGCAATGGCACAATCTCGGCTCACTGCAACCTCTGCCTCCCAGATTCAAGCAATTTTAATGCCTCAGCCTCCCTAGTAGCGAGGATTACAGGTGCCTGCCACCACGCACGGCTAATTTTTTTGTATTTTTTAGTAGAGACGGAGTTTCACCATGTTGGCCAGGCTCCAGGCTGGTCTTGAACTCCTGACTTCAGGTGATCCACCTGCCTCCACCTCTCAAAGTGCTGGGATTACAAGCGTGAGCCACCACACCCGGTCGCATGTTGGTTTTTATTAATGACACTAGGTTAAATTACAAAATAACTTAGAAAAAAAATGACATCTTATGATTGCTATGTCTTCAGAACATTGTTACAAACATCTGTATATGCAAAAAATTCCACGACTGAGAATTCATCCTGCAGATATGGCACACATGTGTGAAATGCTATAAGTACGCAACTATTCACTGTGACATTGTTTGCTATAGCATGCCCAAAACCAACATAAACAAAGTCAAAAGGCTAATGACACCATGAGAAAAATATTGACAACTGCTGGTGCAGACAAAGGGTTAAACTCTCCAACATACAGTGAGATTTCTATACTGCCATGAGAAATCTCAATAACCCAATTTAAAAAAAAAAAAGAGTAAAAGACATGAAGCAACAGCCTCCCTTCACACCAACTGTATTTATTATTCAGGGTTCTTCAGGGAAACAAAATAGGATAAATATAGATATATAAGAGGAAATTTATTATGGGAATTGGCTCATGCAATTACTGAGGCTGAGAAGTCCCACAATATGTGGTTTGAAGTTGGAGAATCAGGAAAACTGGTCGTGTAATACAGTCTGAACCTGAAAGCTCAAGAACCAGGGGAGCTGATGCTGTAACTCTCAGTTTGATTTCAAAGACCTGAGAACCTGGGGGGCCACTAGTATAAGTACCGGAGTCTAAAGGCCCAAGCACATAAAGTTCTGATGCCTGAGGGCAGGAGAAGATGGATGTTCTAGCTCCAGAAGAGAGAGAAAATATACTCATCCTCTGTCTTTTTCTTCTGTCTGGGCCTTCAGTGAAGCAAATGATGCCCATCTTCACTGATGAAGACAGACTTTTACTCAGTCTACTGGTTCAAATACTAATCTCTTTAAGAAACACCCTTACAGAGACACTCAAATAAAATGTTTTACCAGCTTTCTGTATATCCTTTAACCCAGTCAAATTATAACCTAAAACTAACCATCACATCAACCAAAAGCAAAAAAACAAGCAAACACAAATAGCCATTTAACAAATGAAAACTTGCTTATACTGACTCATAATAAGATAAATGCTAATTAAAACTACACTGTATGAGAGTATCAGAAAGACTGATATCAGACTGTATTGGTGAGGCTACCATTGCTCTCATATATTGTTGGTAGTAGTACAAATTCTGTGGGGGACAGTGTTGAAATATGTTTCAAAATTATAAATCAAATACCCTTTGATTTAATGATCCCACTTATGGGGATGTATTATAAAGATATATGTGTACCATAAACATATACATATATTATCATATATCACATATTATATATAATTTTTTAAAAAATATCATAGCAAGAAATTAGAAATCGTCTAAGTATCTATCTGTAGATCATTACTTAATTAAAATATGGCACTTATCCATAATGCCATATTATGAAGCTATAAAAAGAAATGAAGAATCTCTCTATAAAGTGAACTAAGTTTTTATTAAAAAAAGGTAGCTATGTACAATTATTGCTCCAAAGAAAATAAAATAGTTATAGATATAACAAAATATGTCCGTATACTATACATTACAAAATGCTGATGGTAGAAAAAAATCTAAATAAATATGAAACATACTATGTTCATGGATTGAAAGATTTAATTTAGTAAAGATGCAACTCTCCCCAATGTGATCCATAGATTTAATGCAATTCCTGTCAGAAACTGGTAGACATAAACAAGCTTATTTAAGCTTATTCGAGCTTGTCTTGTATGCAAAGACAAAGGACCTAAAATAGCTAAAACTATTTGATAAATAGTAATAAAGTAGAAATAATCACTCTACTCAATATCAAGGCTTACAATAAAGCTACAGTATTCAAGTATTCAATAGAACAGAACAGAGGGCTCAGAAATCATGTGATAGAAGTATAGCCAATTGATAGCTTTTTAATTTTTTCCTGCTCTGTTGCCCAGGCTGGAGTGCAATGGCACTATCTCAGCTCACTGCAACCTCTGCCTCCTGGGTTCAAGCAATTCTCCTGCCTCAGCCTCCCAAGTAGCTGGGACTACAGTCATGCATCACCACACTGGCTAATTTTTGCATTTTCAATAGAGACAGTGTTCTGCCCTCCCAAAGTGCTGGGATTACAGGTGTGAGCCACCGTGCCTGGCCACCAACTGATTTCTTATACAGGCACACAAGTGATTCAATAAAAGAAGGCTAAATAGCTTTTTCAACAAATGGTGTTTGATAAATTGGACATTCATAGGCAAAAAATTGAACCCTGATCTAAACCTCACACCTTAGGCAAAAATTACTTAAATTTGGCCATGAAATTAAATATAAACCATAAAAGTATATTTTTTTCAAACAAATCATCTGAAGAAAATTTTCAGAACTTATAAATGGAAGAGTTTTAGACATAACACCAAAAACATAATCTGTGAAAGAAAAAATTGATAAAATGGAACTAATCAAAATTAAAACTTTTATCCTGTGAAACCTCATATAAAAATGATTTTTAAAAGATCAGCTACAAACAAGGATGAAATATTTGCAAGCCATATACCAAACAAATGTCGTATATCTACTATATATATAAATATATATTTATCAAAATTCTGTAGTAGAAAAACACATTATTAGCTGGGCAAAAGAAATGAACAGACATTTTACCAAAGACAACATGTAAATGGCAAATAAGCACATGTTAACGTTACTAGCCATTAGAAAAATTTAAAGTACAATAAAATATTACTACATGCCTATTAAAATAGCTAGAAGAAAAAGTGGTGACACCAAATGCTGTGGTCACACACTGTGGTAGGAATGTAAAATGGTACAGCCACTCTGGGCAGTTTTTCATAAATCAAAAAGGGCACATATCATATGACCTAGTAATTGTACTGTTAGGTATTTACCCCAGAACTCTGTACACAAATGTTCATAGATGTTTTATTTCTAATAGTCAAAAAATTTAAATGACCCAAATGTCCATTAACAGGCAAATGATTAAACAAACTGATACATCCATGTTGTGGAATACTATGCAGCAATGAAAAATAATTATTGATTGATATGTGTAACAACCTGATGAATCTCAAGAGCGTTATGCTGAGTAGAAAAAGCAATCTTAAAAGGTTACAAACGATATGATTTCATATATAAAACATTTTTGAAATAAAAGTTTTAAAATGGAGAACAGATCAATGGTTGCCAGATTTCACCAATTTTACACAAGTACATGCAAAACTGGTGAAATCTGAATAAACTTTGTAGAATGTATAAATGTCAATTTTCTAGTTTTGAAATTGTACTGTAGTTACACAAGATGTTACCCTTGGGAAAACTGGGTATAGGGTACAAGAAATCTCCTCGTGCTTAGTTTTTAAACTACTTCCACTACGTTTATAATTCTTTTAAAATAAAAGTTAGTAAAAAGCATTGTGTGGAATTGTATATGTATTATGTTAATACTTTGTGGGAAGGGGGAAGGAGGGAAAAATATCATATTTGTTTTTGCTTACGTGTGTACAAAGGAACTCCAAACAGATACTAATAACAGTAATTACCTGAATGTGTGGGTCAGGGGAAACACAGCATATGGGAGACAGATGTTGAAAGGGATATTTTTTAAAATATTTGAGTCACATTAATGTATTTCTTATTCAAAAAATAAAAATTATTATTGTAGGCATAAAAATAATTACAGTTATTATGCACTATCTCCATCAATCATACAAAAGACAATTTAACACCAAAAAACTAAAATGCCATATCCTTGAATTTAGAGTAGACATGCAAATTTAATTTGTTCTACCTTATAAGAAATTTAATTCATCAGTATTATTTCTCTTACTTCTTGTGGATTTAGAGAAAACTGACCACTGATAAACACCAGTCTTGAAAAATGACACAGAAAAGACTGCATTAGCTCACACCAATTTTACCTAGGTGCCAAGATGAATTTCACACTTTTTGATTTGCAATCTTGAAGTTTAAGCATATGCAAAGCATTGTTCTCTTGGACTTTAGAAAGAGAAAACAACAAAGGGATCCTTTAAATAACTTCCACAAATTGGAATAGAATATTCCTTTCTGTGCTTTAGCATTTCTTGGGAAATAGAATTGTGTGGTGCTATATGTACATTTCTCAAAAAAGAAAACAAAGAACAAGGAAAATGCAAATGCCACAACTCAGAAGAATTTTTGAAAATAGTCAAGAGGAAATGAGGGCCCGCAATTAAAGTGCACAGGCATCATTCAACCACAATTTATTAATGCAGCATATAGAAGTAAAATGCCAACCACCTCAAATACTAATGGAAATCAATAAATGCCAATATATGTAGTGCTGTTATGAAGGAAATATCTACTTTTTTATTTATCTGCTAGAACAGAGCAAAATGAAAGTTGGTACCTTAGACAAATAAAATATTAAAGATACTCTGAGATTATTCACATTCAAAACTGCCATATTTTGCTAACTTAAAAAGCCTTTTCTCTATGCATCTAAACTTTATATAGCAAAGCTCATTTTAGCATTAGTTGTCTATACATTTACTTTTCTCATTTTCTTTCAGTGTATTTCCAAAGAAGTAATTGGTTTAGCCAATATATATAGGAGAAAGGCACTACCTTTAAGGAAAAATGATAGCAAATTTAGAAACTCTAAATTAATAATTTTTTAAATAAAATACACATGGGAACACACAGATATGTTAGCAATTCAACAATCTACCATTATTGGGGAAAGTCAACTGTCTTTAATTTCAATGAAAGCAACCCAGTGAAGACAGACTCTTCAGGCACTGTAGAAAGGAGATGATGTCTCAAAACCAATTTTACATTATACCCCCTTTGCTTCCATTGATACTATTGTCATTGCTGATATGTCTTACACTTTTACACTTTTCAGAACGTTCAAAGCAGTTATTGAAAGAAAGATAATAGCTGACCTCTGCCTGGAACACTCTTCCCCCATACCAATTTGGCTCACTCCCTCCCACAGCTGCATATCACTGGCAGTTTTCTTCATGGTACTTTTCACCACCACATGATCTGTATTTCCTTGGTTATTGTATGAGTTCCCCCTCAGGAATTTTAGTTTCATGAGGATAAGGACTGGGAAATTTGATTCATTCTGTATTTCCAGTATCATGGAAAGAGCAGTGACTCAATAAGTTTCCTATTTAAACCTCATAATGATTCCATAAGTAAAAAGGTGCTGATAAAAGTTAAGTGAGTTTTCCCAATATTACCAGGCTAATTAGTGGAAACAATTATGACTCAATTTCATGTATTTGAATTCTAAATCTTGTGCTTTCCCCAGCATATCACATTTTTGATAATGTGAGTGAATATAAATCTGAAAAATTTCATCAGAATTTTGTGGAAATGGGACATTGTATATGTTAATTGTGCACCTACAAGAGCATGTATATTTATTATTTTGGTATATGATATAATTCTAATGTGCACAAGCAAAAACCTTTTTTTTTTCATAAATATACTAAAGTACTTAGGCATACTTATCAGGAAGAATAAAGAAACAAGTAACTTGACATTGCTTGTGATAAGGCTAGATGCTAATGCAGAGGCATTAATAAGTCTATGAAATTAACCATAATAATTTAACAACTTAGCAAACATTTATTGAGTATCTTTAATGGGTCAGCACCTAGACTCTGCACTAAGGCCATGAAGAGATGAATAAATGATAGTGCACACTCTTAAAAGAGCTCAAGTCACTTAAAAATATTAACATAAAAGTATAATTGCAATATAGTGGAGTTAGAAGATGTTATAAAGTGTTATAAGAACAAAGGGAATCAGGGGCCAACCCTGCCTAGGAAAGTCAAGAAGAGTTGTAATTTGAGCTGCATCTCAGAAGATGACTCCTCATTCTCAGGTCCAATTGCAATAGAAGGAGTAGCAGGTATGTGGAGCTGGGAAATGGCACAAATATTCAAAGGGCTAGTTTGTTTAATGTGTCTTGGGAGAGGGTGCACAAGAAGGCCTAGCTGGAGATAGGACTGTCAATGAGCATAGTAGTACTATCTACATGTTGTTGAGAAGGTTCAAGGAGATGAGGCATAGAAGAATATTGGTCTGATGCTGCATTAAGCATTGAGTAAATGCTGGCACTTGTTTTGGAACAGAGGATTTGAGATTTTTTATATATCTATAAATCCAAAAGAAGAAAAATGTCTCCTAGTACGAAAATAAATCCACTGTTTATCAAATAAAATTTTTCATTTGGGTAGCCATGTAATAGAAATGGCATGCATATTATACAAAGCTGTTTTCGACACCAGAGACTCCAGGCAGCATTATCATCTGACGTTTTCAGTGAGAACCAATATACATGACAAGGAGCTTCAGAAGTAGTGAAGCAATCCAGTAATTCATTAGAACCAGTCATTATATGAAATTCACTTGCATAGATAGATGTCAGTTTTACAGGGAAGGGGTGTGAGTTTGGCTCCTTCTTTCATTACTCATGACCTCAATCCTTAGGGAAATGACAAGATAATTTAATTCTCAAACACTCATTTGGGAGTGTCAATGATAAATGATCAGAAATATTGCTGTTGCCGTTGTACTGTTTTTCCTATTAGTTCTTTCCTTTTCTTTCCTGTACTTGCTTTGCCTTCTCTCCACTCAGCCCAAGAAAATAACTTGATATTGGAGCAATAAGGCCTGTCACAATAAACCTAATCTTCTGTCACAATCTTTCTCCTTTTTTCCTTGTCTTTTGTTTTCCCTTAAAAAAATTCTCCAGTTTAGTACTTGCATGGCACTTCATATTTCTGCATAATTAAAAGCCAGAACTAATTGATCCAATTGTGTGTACCAGTCAGCCCAAGAAAATGGTAATTTTCTTCTTCTTTGCATCTTGCAATCACCTAATAAGCAGCTCTAATGCTGGCTGTTGAATTACATAATAAACAAAAATTTCCCAACATTTAACATTTGTTCAAAGGTTTAATGCTGTGGGTTCACAAGAGCAGAAAGAATAGAAATGTGCACTTATCCAGTGAAATCAATCAATCAATGTAAACTGCAAATCTAAATTAATTATTCAGGCTACCAAAATCTTATGCTTTCGTTGTTTGTTGTTGTATAAATGCCAAAATTGTTTGAAAAAAAATTAGTCTAACTTTACTTGGAAGTTAGGCCTTTGTTGAAACATATGTGCCCAATAAGAATCCTTTTGTATTCTAATTCAAATATTAATTATTTTGCAAACAAGTAAAGGAAGACATTTAGTGTAGTTATGTTTGTCACTCAAATCTGAGTATGTAAAGTCTTGATTGAGTAGAACAGGAATCACAGACCACCATCATTGGGCCAGAGTGAGGTCTTATGCCTGTTGGATTTTACTGCTTCTATCCATGGACCTATGAACCCACCACCCACATGCGTGCATCCCCACCAGCTCTTCCCCACTAAACTTTTCACCACACTGTGTGTCACTCAGAGTGAATCATAGAACAGCCAAGAAACAGAAAAATGCCTTCCTTCTGGCAGGCACTGCGCTCCCGGCCCGGACCCCAGAGCCGGCCAAGCATCCCTCCTGACTGCTTTAGGCTTCCCTCCATACTCAATGAGTTCACCAAAGTCTCATCCCTTTAGAAAATCTTCCCTTGACACCCTTTGTAGAAGTACAGAAGGCATTTCTATGACTACTGTAGGGTTCAATAACCCTACATTTCTATGACTAAAAACGTGATCCCATGAGAGACCAATGTATGAAAATTTGTATTTAAAACATTTAATGACAATAAGACCGCAATTGTCTGAAAGCTTAGAAAATGAGGCTGTCCTTTTAACTTTGCTTTCTGTTGCTAAGTGAGACATATTTGGCTCTAAAGTATCATGATCCTCAATTGTGACACTTGCTACTTACTGAAAATCTTCTTAGAATGTATTAGTGCACTGTTCTCCCTAAGTAAAATCATTTAGTCTTTTCTGATGATTCAACATCTTGTAATACCTGATTAGAAGCAAATAGTTTCTCTTTTATGGTAACACATTGTTTTCACTTGTATACTTTTAACTAAAAGAATTTTAGGAAACCATATGATTGAAAAATATTTTATTGAAAATTATTATGCAAGATAAAATGTTCACTCATTCATTCCCACATTAATGTACTGAACACGTATGGATCTCCTACAAAGTATGAGGCACTCTGCCAGGCCCTGCAATGCAGTGGCAAATAACACTAGAACCACTTAGAAAGGGAGAACTTGCAGGCTAAGTTCTCCTTTATTTTGTGCTAAGATACTATTGAATTCTCTTAAAAACTCATTTGTAGGCCTTTAGCATCACAGCCCACATGGTATATGGGAGAAAGACTGCAAAAGCAGCATATAAGAGGAACCAAATATCTCAATATGGAAAATCAGAAAGGGTTTTCCAGAGGTGGAGGCAAGTAAACTGGGACCTACATGATTAGGAGTAGGTTTTGGCATTCAACAACATTGTTCAATTACCCTACATTTTGGTGCTCTCTATTAACAATAATTTTTTAACATTTTTTGGACAAGAGGCCTCATAAAGAATCTAATAAAAGGTTTGTCCATTATATTTAGAAATTATTAAAATGATAAACTTTATGTTATTTGTATTTTACTACAAATTAAAAATCCTCCTATCCAAGAAAAATATGTAAATGCACATAGACACAAATAATGTCAATGTTGTGAAATATATTTGGTTTTCTGCTGGAGAGAGGAGTCACTACTGACATCTAGAGAGTAGAGAACAGAAATGCTGTTAAACATCTTATACAGAATAAGCCTCCACAACAAAGAATTCTCTGACCAAAATGTCAATAGTGCTGAGCTTGAGAAACCTCTGTGTATGCTAATCAAGTTGCTCAATTAATTTTCTATAGGAAATGATTTGATCACCTTCAAAATTGAATATGCAAAGAAACAAGAAAAATGTAGAGATGCATCCATTATTTATATAAAAGTAAACAACATGTTTTTTGTGTGTGCTGGGAGAGGGAGTTGAAGTGGATAATCACCTTGGTGTACTTTAGTTTTATACTTACCCAGTATACTTATTATTGTTCTTTGCAGGAACGGTCAGATTTAAATAAAATAAATAAGAAAATTAAAATGTTATATAATGCAGTGTTTAAACTCTTATTTTTGTTCTACTTTTGATCTAAAATAGGTCATAGACATCATTTCATAAAGGCAGGTGTATCTCCTTTGTGGAATGAAAATAATCTTCCCAGTCTATCTGCCCTATGGTGTTAGCCTGCAGCAGTTGCTATAGCAAATATCTGTGTTTTATGAATACCACTGAGTAACTCAAGCAGTCAAAAATGAAAACAGACTTGATTAAATGCAGACTAAGTGACCTTTAAAATTATTTCACTGCTTCTGGACAGTGTTTGGGTTATTGTGGACAAATATCTACTCCGTATGCACTTGTGGTACCTGAGACCGCTTCTATACGAGGTCAGGAAAGCACACCGCCATGTTTCTGTCAGACGCTTCCCTGTTAGAAGTTCACAGTGGACAGCCACCTTTAACATGGTAAAATCCACAGTGATCATTAAGAAACACAGCAGGACAGATTATATGTGCTGGGTTCTATTTTTCTAGCTGAGTGTAGTGACATATTTACCATCCCAAATTAATTTTTCTCCCTGAAGACTTGAATGCTCATAGTATCTAAAAAATATTAAAAATCTTACAGAAACAGACAGTATAACATACAAGCATACATTTACCAAATAAACTACAAAGGGGCTAAGTTTTTTTTCAATAGCCTCTTAAATTTCATTCTTTCTCCAGGTCCCTCACATGGCTGTATGACAAACTACTCATTTTTGCCTATCTAGAAATATGTTGTAGCTCAAAATAAGTCCTACCTTATCTTTTTATATACAAACCCCACACTGTTTTAGTGTTCTGCATAAATATGTTATTTTTATTTATTTATTTGTTTATTTATTTTGAGACAGTCTTACTCTATTGTCCAGGCTGGAGTGCAGTGGTGTGATCTCAGCTCCCGGCATCCTCAGCCTCCTGGGTTCAAGTGATTCTCATGCCTCAGTCACCCAAGTAGCTGGAATTATAGGCGTGCTATATCCAGCTAATTTTTGTATTTTCAGTAGAGACCTTATGTTGGCCAGGTTGGTCTCGAACTCCTGGCCTCAAGTGATCGCCTGCCTCAGCCTCCCAAAGTGCTGGGATTACAGGCGTGAGTCACCACACCCAGCCTATGAGTAAACATTATTTTAATGTTCTCAAGTAATCTATAGCATGAACAAACTAATTCACAATAAGGTGTAAATGGATAATGTGCTAAAACCTCAAAATGTATTTGTGATTTAAAATATTCAAAACGATGATTCTAATTAATACATATTAGGCAGGAAATGGGGTAATTTTTCTAGCACCCCTTGAATCACGGCATATAAGCAATTTCCAAACAGTATCAGTAAAACTGGTTCCAATCTCACAAAGTTACACAGATCTCACTTTCAATAATAAATGGAATTTTAACCAACATTGAAGCATAGAATACGATATCAGGCCTTAACTTCCAAAGATGGGAAAGAAAGTTGAAAAAGAAGAAAACTAAGGTCTACTGAGCAATTGCCTTGCTGCAAGAACTGTCTCAGGTGTCTACGCTTACTATATAATAATAATATAATCCCCTTATTCTTTCAAGATAGATCATATTAGTCTTATTTTAGAGACAGGAAAACTGAGACTTAACAGAGATTAAATACTTTTTCTGAAATCACATACTGGTAAGAAAAAAACCCAACATTTTAAACAGCTGTGCTGACTCCAAATTTCATAATCTTTGGATAGACACCTGGCTTATTTTGTCTGAACAGAATGAAGCCAGTATCTGGTAAACACCTATAATGTTTAGAGACTATTTAGACTAAGAAATGCCACACAGTAGCTTGTTTTGTTTTGTTTTGTTTTGAGACGGAGTCTCGCTCTGTCACCCAGGCTGGAGTGCAGTGGTGCAATCTTGGCTCACTGCAACCTCCACCTTCTGGTTTCAAGCGATTCTCCTGCCTCAGCCTACCGCACAGTAGCTTGTTTAATCCTCTTAATAAGCTTATGGATAAGGCACTATTTTCCCCACATTAACAGATAAAGAAACTAATGCTTACTGAGGTTAAGGTCACACAACGGGTAAGTGACAAATCTAGAATTTGAATCCAGGTCAGCCTGGGCTTTAATTCTATTTCCAAATTTACTAAAATTTCTGTGTATTTTTTTGTTCCACCTAAAAATGAATGAAAATAATCAAAGACATAGGACAAAAAGTATTTCGAGTAAAATTTTCTCCCAAAGGCGAGTCTACAACTTTGCACACTCGCTATTATAATGTTTGCTCCTTAATTTCTTTTACAACTAGTCTAAATATTTGGGTTTTAAGTCAGTTTTGTAGTTTTGTGAATACTGGTAAGTTTCTATCCCTGAGATTTATTTGTTTTGTTGTTTATGGTGTTGTTTTGGGGTTTGGGGGTGGATTATGAGGGGAGAGGAAAGCAATTTAAAGCTCTTAGCAGGAGGGACTCTGCTAATAAGGAATATGATTATAAAAAAAGATAAAGACATTAATTTAGAAGTTTTATTTATGTAATGCAAAAACAACCGTAACATTTGAAAACATTTTGCTATTTGCCTGAGTTTACTTTTCACCCAGAAATTTGACTCCATGTAAAAACGGGATATAAATCTCGAACTAACGTTCTATAAATGGTAAACGCCTCCTCCTGTCATGCATTACTCATCATAGCAAAAGCATCTATATTTAATAGTACCATATCCAGGAGTTAAAATCTATATTTTTATACATACCAACTTCCCTAGAAGAGGTCAGGAGGCAAGGTATGTGCCCTGGTTGGTTAGGGTTGGAGTCAGACAGGGAGGGGGAGATGTTTGGGAGCAGCCCAAGAGGAAACTCATGTTCCCTAGATACAACGTTGTACTTAGAAATATATCCCTAAAGTTCTATTCTACTTTAATGCTTCAGAATAGCATTTTTAAAAAAACCACTATTCTCAAAGACTGAGTGAAACAGACATAATAATGTAGTTTCCTTTTAAAATCTGAATACAAAGTATTCAAATGGGGCTGTCATCATAACTCTGTAACCTGAAAAACTGGATCAAATTGTCATACTACCTGATTGGTGAGGATGCTAATATAATACCTGCCCCCTGATAGTGTTACGATGATTAAATGGGGTGGGTGGATATTTAAGTATGTGACACACAGTAAGTGCTCAGTCATGCCAGTTCCATCCCCAGCTGCTGCTCCTTTGAAATAAAACAGTTGAATTTCCAGCAATGTGTCTTTTCTGGAATCAAACTTGAAGCATCATAATTGTTCACGGAAGAGATGAAAGACCTTTAACTTTGTTTTGTAACGCTGAATAAAGACCTACTTGGCCACAACTTCAAACACAAGTAAAAATAAAATAAAATAATGGATCTTTTCTGAAGTGAGATCCTTTGATTCTTTATTCCCAACCTAGGCTTAGGAAACAACAGTTTTTGGTTTTATGGGCAGATGCCAAGAAGTTGACAAACATTTCCCATTAAATAGTTTAAATTACTTTCCATGAAAAATACTCACAAAATATTTTGGAGATTTAAAATGAGGAGGGGCTTTCTATAAAATCAAAAAGTTGCTGGATCACTGCTCTGAGTATTACGTCTCTAAAAGACAGTAATAATAAAATTAATGGATGAAAGCACACCTCTTGCAGCTTTGATTAAATTGTTGCTTTTGTTCACAAAACATAAATATCTATATAACATATAAATGTGTATGTGGGAGTATGCATGCATATGTATTAACAAAAGGAAGCCTAGTGGGTTTATTAAGTGAAATAGAGCACCAAAGAAGTTGTGCCTTTTGCCATATGTTAGCAATTGTTATTTCTTTGTTGTTTTATCATTTGCTTTCATTTTTAAATGAATTTCCTTTTTTTAACAAAAGGCAAAGTCCTTAGTTAGAAATTATGTAAAAACAGAGGCCTGAATGTGAGGGTCATGCTTTGCTGATTCAGACCCAGAAGTGAATAGTTTGTTTTAGGGTAGATTGAGGATTTAAAGCATCTGGGAGAAAGCATTTAAGGAGAAACATTTAACAGCTGCTGAAACTGAGATATGAATACCATGTAAACAAGCTGAGAAAACACAACCTTTGTACATTAAAAAGCACAATTTTTTCATCTGCAAGTTATGTGTTGTTTTTGTTTTGGTTGAGATATATATATAGTCAATGACCAATGCTGCATAACTAAGATATATTTTCCTGTAGATCCTTATTAATCAAAGTGTGATCCATTGACCACCATCATCAGCATCTGCTGGAGCCTATTAGGAATGCAGAATACCAGGCCCCATCACAGACCAGTTACTGAATTGGAATCTGCATTGTAACAAACTTCTCAGGTGACTTATGGGCCCATTGTAAATTTTGAGAAGCCCCATTGTGAAAAACCAAAACTATTTGACTTCCCATTTCATTCAAGGTCCCCCTTCACACCTATACATCCTGTTTGAGGTAAGTATTATACTAAGAGCTTTACCTAGGGAGAAGTTTTAAAATAAGAATATGAGACCCTACTGTAAATAATGTAATGTAATTCATCTCATACAGGGTCTGAGCAAGTTTTTTTTAAAATCTCCCCTGATAAATCAAATGTGACACCAAGGTTGAAAACAATTACATTATCTTACTTAATTCTTAACTTCAAACATCAAGGTGTGCATTATTACATCACAGAGGAACTTGCTCATGATAGCAAAACCTAGATTTAAAGTTGGGTCTGTCTGACTTCAAAGATTTTCTCTTGCGTTTTATACCCATCAATATGTTGGAGGGTTTTAGACCAGTAGCTACTTCCCAACTTCCCATTGTGTGATTACCCCAACATGCAGCATTGTATGGGAAAGCCTAGAGGGGCAGGGCAGAAGAGTGAACATCAAGAACCTTAAGGCTAGGCAAGACTGGGATGGAAAGATGAAGAGTGGTGAAACTGTTTCTCCAGAAAATCAGATCAGCCCCTCTCCTGAGCCAATTGCGATTATAAATGAGCAAATGGACTGATGAACCACAGGGGGATCTGCATGTCAACAGACTCTGTCACAAACTGAATTAAGCAAATGGGCTTAGAAGAGACATGCAAGAGTGTTTACAATAGTACTGTGGGCACAGCTCTCAGGCCAAGGAACCTAACCTTTGTGGACTGCTCTATCACTACTGTCCCATCACCACATATGGTCACCATACTTGTAAGCAGGAGATATCCTGAAATCTGGTTCTCCCTACATAGGATGACCAGCCAGAGGCCGATGGGTGGAATGTTCCCACAGAGTCAGAGAGGATGTGAGTCATGCCTTCTTACATCATTTAAGCAAGGCTTGTGTAGATTTTTAAAGCATTTACCATAAATGGATCCCCTCATCACCATCTGTTCACTTTTGGTACAGGAAATATTATAAGACCATTCTTGTCATATGGATTTTCATTTAGTAGTTTTGAAAAGGATTTCTCTGATCTTTTGAGATATATACAAATAAGTAAAAAGAAGTGGACATTTTCTTTTACAAATTATACTCGGAATAGTGTTAAGTTACTCTCTTTGACAGATGGCTCAATTCCAGGGACTAGCTCTCCCTCAGGGAGCACTGAAAATCCTAGTATAATCCTAAGATATGAGTGTTGACTTTAAAATTCTGATTTAACTGACAGATGTATGAAATGGCACATAGAAAACTCCCCATTGGGGATAATGAAAATGCTAGAGTAACAGTTACGTTATAGGAGAATGGCAATGATATAATCTCACTCGTTTTCTCGTTTTATGTGATCCATTTTCTGATGCTGAAATTTATTTTTGTGAAACATAAGATTGTACTCACATTTCTATATGCCTGTTTTTAAAATGTCAAAATTACACAGACTTCAGGGTCTGTCTTTTGGGAAAAACTGACATATAAATAAACCTTACTTCTGTGCAAAAAAAACAAACAAAAAAAAAAAAAAACAGACATTTCTTTCAATCATAAATGGCAAGTGTTCTACCTTTGAACTATGGATATATCAACCTTAAATCAAAACAATTTTTGAAAAGAAAAACACAGTGATGAGAAAAATCATAATGGTTAAACATGTTTATGTAAATAATTAGCTCCTTTTATTTTGAAATAGGTACATTGTCTCCTAACTTCTGATTCGCTCAGTGCCACATTAATAAAAGGTCACAATGTTTTAAAATGCTAAGATTTTAGCATTATATCAGGACTAGAGATGAATTTAAAAAACTGAGTTTGCATATATGAAGAAAAACTTTAGGTTTGATTTGGAGACTCTCTGCCTGAATTTACAGCTCTGAAAAATCTGCTATTTCTAATCAGCGATAAACCTCCTCTCCCTTGACTCATGGAACTTTGTTTTCACTGAGTCTAGAGGCGTTAGTATCAGTTGCAAAATGTCCTGGAAGAGGGATTTAGAGATCCTGAATGGTCTGCGCCTGCTTCTGCTAAACATCTCAGAGACACTCTGCCCCCTGGTGGATTGTTCCAGGGTGGGTTTCGATTAACAGTGCAGACTTCCCTTCTCCCACCCTTTCTCTACCTCGAGTAGATGCCCCAGTTGAAAGCCTTTATCCCCACCAATTACACATTCCTTTGGTTCAACAATTCCCTTTTAGATAATGTGAAAACCCTTAATTACTTAATCAGCCCTTCACAGTTAAAACAAGAACCATAAACATCATTATTGGTTATCATGATTTGATACAGGTAAGAAAAAAGTAGAGAAGTGAAAAATGAGGTGCTGCAAATTAAAAATGTGGATGTGGCCAGGGACTTTGGATTCTAGAAAGACAGCCAGAAATCTCTAGACAAGGAAGAGGAAGAGGGTTTAAAAGTGAATAAAAGGACGCTATAAGAAATAATTAAACATTTGGCAATTTCTTCTTGGCCGATAGAGCCACCGCAAACCATCCTTCATGTTCCCTTTTGTTCTTTGGGGTGTATGTCACCTGCATAGGGGATTAGTTGTAAAAGGCTGTAAAGCTCAGTCGCTTCTAGTTTTTGCCAAGTTTTTCCCATTCAGGCTAGTTTGATCTTCTCCAGTCCAACTTCTCCCAAGTACCCCTGTTCTGTGCTACAGGCACTCTGCATCCACAAAGGAGACAATGGGAAATAATGGCTAAGAGGAAGTCCTGTCTGCTGAGAGCCAAAAAAGTGTCAGGCATCTCAATAAGTGCTTTACATGTATAGGTTCTAGGCCTTCACATCAACTTGTAAGTAGACAGTATTTGAGAAAAAGAACCACATATTTCTAACATACTTTATTTGCAATTCAAACCTAGGACTGACTACAAAAGCTACCTTTCTGCCTACTTCACTGGTCTTAAGATAGGTCAGTCTACTCCTCTTAAGTCTTCTTCTAACCCAGTTCCTCCTGTATTTTAAGCACCATACAGTCCTTGGAATCTCACTACCTAGCCTAGAGACTAAAGGTCCCCTCTAAAAACTAATCTGGAAAACTCTTGTGATAGTGGATCTAACCCTCTCTCTTTGCAGAATAGGAAAGCACAACCCATTTCTTTCCTTTCAAATTCTTCCTTCAGATATAAACTAAATCCCCCAAGTCATGGCAGCACATATCAGGCAGCCACAGTATCATTTACTATTAGTCATTCTCTCATGAAGGGTCAAACTCCTAAACACAACCCCAGAATCCAAGGAACCAATCTTTCCATAATAATAGAACTACTACCCGACGCTTTTTAGAACACAAAAGGACTTTTATTTATTTTCCTAAATTTCATTTCCAATGATACATTTCCTGAAAGATGGAATACCAAAGGCAATTTTCAGTCACAGCAACTCCATCAAATACACATAATCTGATATTTTACTGCTTCAGTGAATTATAATCTTCTCAGGGTTTCCTGGTTAAAGAAGACAAAACTAAGATAATAGAGAGGAAAAGTTAAGAATATTGTTCTTTAGAAAATTTGTTGAACTCAATAAACATTCATTCATGGGTGTAGTGTCCATTTTTAAAAGGAAACTCTAAAATTCCTAGAAACACAAGACAATACTGGTAATATTGAGTGAGTATACATTCATATATTTCTGTGAAAATTTGTGCAATTAAACAATATGGAAAATGTTGTTTATTACCACAGCCAATGAAAATATATTTCCATTGCTATGTAAGTTAAACATTTCCATCTCCCGCTTCATGTTCTGCAAAAAAGCCATGTGCCTAGTTTATGAAATAAACTATGCTATAGGCAACAGTAACTGAAAAGGAGCTTAACAGTCTTAACTACATACCCCTGGGATGAATACTACACTTTGCATAATCATGTGCAATGCTGAATGATGATTCTATATCTCTTATAACTATAAGGGTTTGCAAGCTTCTATTTCATACAATATGCCCCAAATCCAGGCAATACAGCCAAATAGTCAAGCAATAATTTAGGTGGTTAATCTACAAAATGGCAAACAACCCATTCGACTAAACTGATTGTGTTTTGTTAATGTGAGGACACCATCATTGCAGGTACCCTATAAAGAAATCATTTGAAAGTGGCTATTTGTTTCAATTAATGTTTCCCCCTAAGGCTCTTAGAAGTTGACTTAATTGCCTCTTAGGACCAAAGAAAATACAACTGTATAAACAGAAGACCACAGTATTAATAACATAAAAACAAACACCACGCTCTATGCACATTCCTCCATAGGAGAAATATCACAAAAAGCAAACAAAGAAACTTGGGATCCAGCAGAAGTATAGGCAAATCTAATGCCTAAAATTTTCTCTCACACCAGTGACAGGTATAAATATTGATCAAAACTCCCCTTTTTAGTTAGCTTATGTGTGAATCTTTGAATAGTATATTTTCAAGAGTGATTACTCAAGGTGAAGGTCTGCACAGTAGGCAAGCAGTGTACTTCAGCTCAATGTATTTATTGTCTGACAAACAGGACTGGGGAGTTTCAAGCAAGGAGTGAATCCATTTCACAAAGACAACTTGCTTCTGCAGACAAAAGGTATCAACTGCAGAATGCCCTCTGAGGAAAGGAGTGTGAATTTTCTTTGGCATGTTAAATGCTGTACATATACATTTTTTTCCGTGCAGATAATCCCTCAGGGCTACTTCTTATTAAAATATACATTTTTTTCATATTTTATTTCATGACTTTATCCTGTATTAGGGAGCTCTCAGAGGAAATTTGAAATAACTAAGTATTCTTGAAATTTGAAAAGACTGATAAATTTAAAGTATTCCAGATATTATATTAATTGAGATATCAGGTTGGTAACAAATTTACAAAGGTCAAAAGCTTGCCAGTTTCCTGATTGTTAGTAAGTCTGAGGTTTGGTTCTGCAATTTTTTCTTTTTTAAACAAACAAAAAACAAGACAAAAACAGGCTCAATTTTAGTTTCTCTAAGCTTTTCTAAAGTTCTTATATGTCATTTTCTAGCAATCTTTTCTCCTGCCCAAACTTCAATAACAACAACAACAAAAAAGAAACAAGTTTATTTTCTTTTCAATATCGTTTTTAGGGCCCTTAACTGTATTTTTAAGGTTTCTGGAGAAGGAAGATAGTTCTCTTGGTTTCTTTATATGTTAGCACACAAGGAATCACAGATGGGAAGGAGAGTGCAAATGACTATCAGATAAAAGTTTCATGCATTTTAAGATTTTTTTACAAGTCAAAATATACATCCTCCTATTGCCCCCACCCCATTCCTCAATTGTGTAAGAACTATCCCCATGTCATCAGTCTCCTTCACATCTCACTAAATTGGATAAGAAATAAAGACACTTTTCTTGTTAAGAAACAGTATATTTCCAATACTAATCGGTTTTACCAATTGCATTAGTAAGAAATATAGCAGCAGTGTGGGCTGAGTCACCCATCATACCCTTCATTTATGGGGATTTAAATGTGTAAAGTGACAGGTACATGAAATTAAGAGAAAAAATAAAGCAGTCTGCAGACTTCGGCACTAGCACACATAATGGTTTGTTTGTTAGAGTTGTGGCTTGACAATCGCTAAACAGGAATTACAAAATTGTAAATCTGCAGAAAACAAACAATCATAGGTGTTGATTCTCAGTTTAACACTCCTCATCTCCCATTCCCACCCACCCACCCCCATATAGTTTCAAGTATAATAAAAATAGAGATCTCAGCATCAGAATTTTGCTGTTAACTCTTCAAGGTTTCTCTGCGCCATCCAAGCCACACATAGGGTTTGAAGCACCAAATCCACAAGTTTCTCCAACCAAGTTTAAATAGACAAAAAGTGAAGACTGAATGATGCCAAAGTAACTGTTCTTAAATTAAGCTGTAACACAAAGTTCTCCCCCCAAAAACACAGGGCATTAAGCGTCTAGTTCAAGTACTGCCAGGCTGTATGTAGATCTGTCTCAGACAGGCTTCAGACAACAATTACAAGTACACTGCTTCTAGTGGGCATTATCCACGATACCAAAGCAGGGCAGGGATTCCCTTCCATTATCAATTTTTAAAAGTTGCAACCCCCTTTGGGATTGGCTGCCGCAGGGTCAGTGCTGAGCCCGGGGCTTGAGGGGAGGAAGTGAGCCTCCTCCTGGGCAGGGAAGCTCTACATTTAGTTTCAACACTTCTCCTTTCAGAGCTCTCTCTCAGGACTATTCTGGCTTCTCAGGATCCATTGCCCTTGCCCAGGAGAGAGAGCCTCGCTGGGACCCAGAAACCGCGAAAGAAGATTCGACCTACCTGTGGAACCAGACACAACTTGGTCCCCAAAGGTCGCTTAGGCGACCCCACTGCAAACGGCAAGTCAACTTGTGCACTTAAAACGTATCAGTTTATGGAATGCTTGTTTAAAGTCCTCATTGGACATGGTATAGATTATGGGGTTGATGAGGGAGTTGAGATAGCCCAGCCATGTGAAGAAGTCAAAGATGGCTAGGTGGAACCAGCAGGCATCTTTGCAGATAGGCATCACTAGGGAGATGATGAAGAAGGGTAGCCAACACACAATAAAGGCTCCCAAAATGATCCCTAGGGTCTTGGTGGCTTTGCGCTCCCTAGCGGCCATGAGTTTCTTCTTTTCCAGCAGGGCGTCGGAGACTCGCACTTTGACTTGGTTCACATACACAGGAGATCCGGATTCGCTGGGCACGTCGGGAACCCGCGAGTTAATAGAGGTGACCGAGGACGTGGACCCGGGGGAGTCGGTTATCAGCTGGGCTCGGGTCAAGCGCTTGCCGGTCCTGTTGGGCGTCTGTTTCAAAATCCGGGAGCGGGCTTCTACGTAGATGCGGCCATAGAGGGCGATGAGGAGCAGGGTGGGGAAGTAGAAAGCACCCACCGTGGAGTAGACCGTGTAGAGGATGTGGTCGGTGTTCACCACGCATTCCGACACCTCCTCTTCGGCCTTAGCCTGACGCCAGAAGAAGGGCGGCAGCGAGATAGAGATGGAGAAGACCCACACCAGCGCGATCATGACCGCCGCCCTCTTGGGAGTCCTTTTAGCTGAGTACTCCACGGCGTCCGTGATGGCCCAGTAGCGGTCCAGGGCGATGACACAGAGGTGCAGGATGGAGGCAGTGCAACAAGTGATGTCCGACGACAGCCAGAAGTCACAGACCACCTGGCCCAGTGTCCAGCGGCCGGTGACAGTGTACATGGTGCTGATGGGCATCACCAGGATGGACACAAGCAGGTCGGTGACCGCCAGAGAGGCGATCAGGTAGTTAGCCGGGGTGTGCAGTTTCCGGGTCCGGTACACTGTGGCAATCACAAAGGCATTGGAGAGCGTGGTGGCCAAGGTGATGAGCGCCAATAGCATAACCAGCAGTACTTTCCAGGGTAGGGAGATGGAGTCCTGGTAAATGTAGTCCTTGGCGCTGCAGTTTTGGGAGGGAGCAGAGGATAAGTTGGCTTGAGGAACCCAGGTCTCGGAGCCCGCGGGCGGCGGTGGAGCGCACTGAGCACCCGGTTCCTCCATGGCTCTCCTCGCCCCAGCTCCGGAGCGCAGCTCTTGGGCATGGAGCGGACGAAGGAGAGGGCGGAAGGACCGTGGCGATCGCAGGTTTGTCCCCAGTTGATAGTTCCGTGAGTTCCTCAATTATTCCTCCGCCCAGGTTCACAGCTGAAACTAGAGGTCATGGGTGCGGCAGCCAAGGCAGGCGGGCGCCTCCCCTGCACTTCCAGAGCGCCTAGCTAAGCCGCCGCGTCTGTGGTTGTTCCTCTCCACACCGGGTCTTAGACCTGGGTTGCTAAGAGCTGGCCCACCGAGCCCTGCTCCGCTCCAGCTCCCTGGAGGCGTCTAGTGCAGGAGGGTGAAGTACTGCTTGAGGAGAAGGCTTTGACCAAATGGGATCTCTTACCCCAGTTGCTTGAGGCTGAGCGTCTCCTAACCTGGACGCTTTTGGATCTGCAGACTTTGCCCACAGGAGTTTCCTAGGTGTAGAGACCAAAGCTTGCAGGCCAGCGAGAGGTCCCGAGATCTTGCATTCCCACCCCTCGCCCCAAGCTGGGGCACTTTTGGGGGGCTGCAGCGGCCGCCAGAGCTGGGTGGGGTGAAGTCTAGGAGCAGCGCTGCGCCGCGCCTCGCGCCGGAGCTCTGCCCTCCCTCTCTTTTCACTCTCTGGCCACTCGGACGAGCTGCCCCGCGGAGACGGAGCCATAAAAGGGGGGACACGGGGGCTGGAGTTGCGGCTGCTCGGGCCGCGCCGCCGCCACCGCCACCCTGGTCCCACGGGAGCCACTCGGAGCCATGCCACTGGGTGCGCGGGTCTGGAGGACCTGGCGCGGCACACTGGGAAGGGGCAGGTGTCTGGGGGAGCTGGAGGGACGCGGCGTGCACCAGCCCGGGAGAAGCGTGCGAGCTACGGAGCAGATGGGCTCTTTATATAGAGTCCAGGTCCGGTCCGCCAGAGCAGTGCAACTCGTGCGGCGCGGCGGGTGCGGACGCCCGCTCCCCATCACCTTCCCTTTTTCTCTCTCCCTCCCTCTTTTCCCCCCGCCCTGTTCCTTTCCTGGCCAAGGAAGCTCCCGCCGGGTCCTACCGCCCTATCTCCCCGCTTCCCACCCTGGGCCATCCTCCCAGCCCTGACAACCTGGAGCTGCATTTCTGGTCAGGGGAAGAAGGCGTCCTGTTCTCGCCTCTACGGACATCAGAGCTTGCTGCGCTGACCTCCAGTGAGACCCATGTCCTTAGCCATGGTCACAGGTTTAGTCCAGCAGTCTGGCCCTAGGCTCCTGCCTACCACTCCCACCCTAGGAGGCCAGTGTTAGGCGGGGAAGCCCTGGTCTCTGACCTCTCCGCTCTAAAATCATATCCAGCCCTGATGGCCACACCCAGGTTAGGAGGCACCAGTAATATCGCTGTAGAGGGCCCAATGTTTGCATTTTGTACTTTGCCGTCCTTAACTCTTGATACAATAAAAACTATTTTTTCATCTAGTTTTAGAAATTTGTGTTTTTCACTCAACTATGAGTCAACAGGGAAAAAGACAAGCTATCTGCGAAAATGTAAAAGTTATCACAAACAGAAGCCAACTGTATGTGAAATTAAACCTTCTGCTCCACCATCCTCTTCCAGCTGCTCAGTGCTTCAGTGCCTCTGGAAAACAGTTGCCAGTAAGCGTGTTCCTTCCAACAGCCTACCTAGAAAGGAGGTCATCAGAATTCAAGAAAAAAGGGGGATGGTGGGGCGGGGAGGACTGGAACCATCATCAGCACCATCTTGTGTGTCTCCTTTGCCTTCAACTAATATGTGGGAATGTCAGCCATAAGCTGCAGCATGCAATACCAGTACCTAGGTCTCATGACCAGGGACGGATCCCCTGTCCTCAGTTTCTCCTCTGACCTCAACAGAAACAAATGTAGGGTAGAGATGCAAATCAGAAAGTATGAAGAAAAGCTCCAGGAAAGGACAAGGTATTTTCAGCTCGAAGGATTAAATGATCCCCACTACGAATTCCTAGAGCCTAGATCCATGTTTGGCACCTAGAGTGTATCTAATAAAAACTGCATTGTAAATGAATTCATCTGTTTAAGCGCACATATATTTTAAAGAGAATCATTCTGTGTCAGAACCTAAGGCTATCTGATCTGATCCCTCCACCCAGTTTTAGAGGAAGAGTAATTGAGATCCTTTGAAAGAAGAGCTTTTTACCCAAGGCAATAAAGCACAAACCCAAGTTCCCTTAATTCCCGGTTCTCTAAACCAGGCAAGCAGGCAAAAAATAGAGTGCCTACTCTATGCTGAGTATTTTTCTAGGCATCCGAGGTATGGAGGCCAGTGGGAGTAGACTCAGACCCTCTTTTCCAGCAGTTTACATTCTAGAAGAGACAGACAATAACTACATGAACAAGTAAATAATTAATACTTATACTTTTCTGTAGTGTTAAGTGTTTTGAAGAAAAACACACATACACACATGCATGCATTGAGAGTGAGGGTACTCCTTTAACTAAGGTGGCAGCTCTTCAAGGACGTCCTCTAGATGCGGTCTGGGCTGCAGCAGCCACCCTGAGGATAAAAGCACAGCCTTCTCTCTTTTTCTCCTCCAGTCCTAGCACCTAGCATTTTGCCACCAACCTTAAGCCTCATTTTCACCACATTTTAAGGGATCCTTCCCATTCTCCCACCCCATCCACCTAGATAAACAATTATTTTTGTCAACTGCAGCGCTCACTTAGAAACCATAGAAGAGGGAAGCAAAGCCGGCGAGTTTAAACCGCTAGGTGGGGGCATTGGCCAGGACGGATCAAAAGTGTGTGCGATTGCGGGTGTGTCCTGTGGGAGTGCGGGGTGCCAGGAAACAATTTTCCCGTTATCCTAGGAGAACTGGAAACGATTAGAGACAAGTGTTAAAGGGATGGGAAGCGGGGGAAGGCCGACAGGAATGTAACCAGCTCCATGCGACCTTTCCTCTTTTAATTTCTGCTCGGGAGCATGGGACGGAGAAAAAACAAAGCAAAATTTGTTCCCCACACGGTTTTTGGCTTTAGCGGTTTGGGGACCTGTGGCTTTCTCCAGCCATGCCTCCACTGCTTCGCAGAGTCCCAGACTCCCAGAGGAATCCGCCCCTTGTAGGCAGTTTGATTTTACCCTCTTTGGTAAAGAGCTGCTTAAACACACACCGCCATCATATTGACCGGATGTTGGCAGAGTTCAGTGAAGAACCCCATTTCCTTAACCTGACTTCCGCATTTCAAGTATTCCTTTCTCACTTTAAAACACATAAAACATAGGTGTTTGCACAGAGGCGCATGTGTGTGAAACACCCAAGAGAGAAAGAGACCCTGTAAAGTCGCCTGTGCCTGGGTCACCCCTTCGGAGTAGGGGTCGCTGGGTAAGGTCCAAGTGCCAGCTCTGCAGTCCCCAGCGGCGCTAGAAGGAACCTCCAGGCAAGTTTTGGGGGAAATTCACCTGACAGGGGAGGAGCAGAGAGGGAATCAGTAGCGGAAGGGAAAGGGTGGAGATGGATTACCTGAGCGCAGCAAAACTTAGTTGAGTAGAAATAAGCTCCCGTATGAACACCGGGCACTAAAACTGCGAATTAATGTGGTTCCCTTATTATCAATTCCACGCACGTGTACGTTTGGCAGAAGCTGAGTAAGTGGAGAATAACTCTGGAACTGAAATGAAGTCAGTGAACCGACACAAAACCAGATCCTAGCGGTGAGCTGGCTGCGGAGGAACCAAAGAAAAATGAATCCTCGAGGAACCCTCTCCCATGCTAGGAAGATGTAGTTCTACAGCTGCAGCACCAAATTCGAGGCGCAGGCTGGGAAGTTTAAAGCGCAGCGCTAACCAGACTGGACACTGTCAAGGGAAGCATACTCTGCCTACAGCAACCACAAGAGATATCTCACGGAATTTATTGCAACTCAACTCTATGTAAGCTGGCAGTCAGCTAACCTTAGTCAGCCCTAGCCAGCTCTCTTGCCTGCGGCGACTGAGTCTTGCTTTCAGCATCCCTAGAGTCTTCCATCCAGAGAGTAACTATTGAAAGAGGTCCAGGCCCAGGAGCAAAGAAAGTCCTGATTTTATCTTTGCTTTGCTGAAAGAAAAACGTTAGAACACTCATGCGCCTGTCACTTTTCTCCTTTGATACAGGAAAATACAACCCCGCACTCACCATCCCACTGCTTGAGAAATCTGGTGTGGAGGCCTGTCTTGCTGCTTCTTTCAAATTCTGCTTCCTCCATCTATGGCCAGCATATATATATATATTTTCACTTCAGAAACGGGCAGCAGGAGACCACCAGCTCATGTGTGCACCATCCTAATGTGTGCTGGCAGCCCATTTCTAGGTTTATCTTATACTTCCTCCAGTAACTATTCCTTAAAGAACTGACTGATGGCAATGAAACTATCAGGTCCACCCAGTGACTTGGTTCTTACCATCCTTTGTGACTTCCTTGATGAAAACTATGAAAATGTTCAGATAAATGACCATATACATACATAGATATACATGTAATTTTTGCGGACAAATTCTGAGGATTTCCAAACCATATGAGGCCCAGATCCCTTTCCATATTCATTGGCCCTCACATTAGGCCTTTGACCTGATATTTGTGTCATGGTATTTACATTCCATCTGTTTTATTAGAAATTTTGAGGTCTTTCTTACCAAATAATGAAGGCAGGTGCTTTATTCCCTAAATGTTAGTTTGGTGTAACTTAATCCCTAAAAATTGGTAATTCTCCTATGTGTCTATATATGGATACAAATATCATGTAAGCCATATTTCTATTTAAGGAAGAATGCAAACAAAACTTAGAGCAAATATATATAACTTAGACATTTTTAATACCTATCTCCATATGAATAAACACTTTGCTACTTTGAACAGATACTTGCAACAAGTAACTTACTACTGGTTCAAAGATAGCCCAGATCCAACTAGAAGAGCCAGCTCCCAATTAAGATCTAATCACATATTTCCTGGCTGAAGACGTAGGTCTTCAAAAAAAAATTCTATTTTACAGCTACTATTAAGTAATGTAAGTAAGGTTACATAGAGTATGGTGTGCTGAATTTTTTTTTTCTTGGACAGAGTGAGATTTGGCAATGAGAAATATCTGAATGAAAAAACAATGCCAATAAATCCACCAAACTTACAAACAACTTGCTTTTTTAAGTTGGCAGTGTAATTAAGCAGCTCTGTTCAAGATGAAGTCTCTCTTGAAAAACCAAACCAAACAATTTGATGGTGAAGTTATCTTTCAGCCTAAGTGACGAAGCAATAGAAATGCAAAGTCTTTATTTTCAAACAAATAAAGAAAAGTCAAAACACTTATTTTGCCGAAGAAAAGCAAAATTCTTAATTTCAAACAGGAAAAATGACATCACTCTCTGGTGCTTTATTGCTTCTTTACCTGTCATTCATGAATAAGAATCATTATCCTTTATTGAACACAATATACTAAGCCATATGCTATGTATTCTACATACATTCTTACACTTATTTCTTATAACACTGAGAGTTGTCATTATCATTCTCATTTTCGGGATAAAGAAGTTGAGGCTTAGAGAATTGAAGTAATTTTGCCAATGTCAGACAGCTGGTAAGTGATAGAATCAATTTTCAAGTTCAAGTCTCTAATTTCAAGTTACAACCATTGACCAGTATTCTACACTGGATCGGCCATGCAGCTCAGCGTAGCCACCCATTTTGCTCACCTGACCATGACTTCGTTTCCTTCTGCCTGTGAGATGACGTCATTGCTCATAGCTATTTAAGTCTCCATAGTAATATTCGTTTAGACGCCTTCAAATTTTTATGTGGGGGTGAAGGTAGGGATTGGAGGTTGGGGGTGATTGTGGTAAAAATCAGGTAGAAAACTGGGCACTGTGATTATGTGTAGCTAGCTATCATTTCAAAAGTACTGTTGATAGGTGATCATATACTACATAGTTTGATGTGCACAGCCCAAATAGAAATCAAGCTAAGCTGTTCCAGATTAGTTTTGGCATAATTATATTCAGGGTGTGCTTTAATTTTTGCTGTTATCTTCCATTCTTTTTTTTTCTCTCTTCCTTCTCATTATCTTTTTCTTTATCATTAACACTTTCCCTAGGCCCATAAATATACACATTGAAATAAATAATTAATTAAAGCTTTTTAAAAATTGTAAGGATGGAATGTATTAAATACAGCGATATCCCCTGTTCTCCATATTTAACCATGTTAGTTTGAATATCAGTTACAAAAATAACCGATACAAATTAAATTGCTTTTCTTTTTTCCTAGTGTGTTGAACTTAACTGACTTTTTCCCCTTATGGATCAGGAACTCATCAAAGATAAAAAGACCTATCCCTGGTGATACACTTATTTGAATAAAGTTATTTAAAGAACATATTAGCCAAAAATCCCTGGTGTAGCATGTTCAGTTACTAAGAACAAGGCAAACACCAAAAATGTAAGCAAAAACAAATCTAAGTGCCAATGTTCTAAAACTTTTGCACTTTATGTATGGCAGAGCTCCTCCTAGCCTCATTCAGATCTTATTTCTTCTTGCCAAATATACAGTTCTAATATGTTTAGCTATATGTTTTCCAAGGCCCCTGAAGATATAAGAAATGGATGAGAAACTATGTCAGATAAGCATGTTGAATGCAGCAAGATGCCACATTTATCATCTTTATTGCAAATTGAGCCAGGAAATCTAGAGTAAAGATTAAGAAGCAAAAGCCTAAAAGAATGACAATAACAACATTATGATTTGTGTTGACCTATTTAATAATATGATATATTAACTAAGACTTTTATTACAAGTGATGGAAAACCAATTTAATCAACCTAAAAACAAAAGACAGGAATTTATTTCAAGGAGATTGGGGCTCCCTAGAGTCAAAAAAGGAATTGAACCACCAAGTTTTGGACAAAGTAGGAATGCAGCTGCATCTTGGGAAAAACCAGCATTCTGGAACGCAAGCAGAACTCTTCTTTTTCTGTTGGTTGCTGTCTGCAGGTAGATTTCTTTCATCTATTTCACTGTAGATGGGCTTTTCTCATGTTGTTAAAACATAGCCATTAACACCTTTTGACTTTACATCTTGCAGCTTCAATTATATTTTAGAAACTAATCTGAATCAGATCCACTTTAAGAAATCCTCAGAAATGGGTTCTGTTTCTGAGTAAAATGCAGGATGTCATGAAAGGTGAACATTACCAAAGTAACAACTGAAAAAGCTATAAATATAAAAAAACCATATTTTAAAAACTTTGAAGAGTGTGGAAGCAAGAATAATTAGATAAACTAAAATTCTGCAAAAGGAAATGTATTTTTTAGGTGAGTAAATGATTACTGCCTGTTTTATTTCCTTAAGGTATTTGCTGATTCTGGGAACAGATTGTGGATTGGACATGGTCCAGGCAAAGAGATTGTACTGGGGAAAAGGGAAAGAAGCAGAGCTTTCAATGATTATTGGGGTCAGGGTGATATGTGGACATTTGCTCTGTGTTGCAACTAAACAGGAGACTAGGGGATTGGGTAAGGAAATTCTAATAGGCAAATCAAATCTTTCACAGTCTTGGAGTGGTTAGAAGAAAAAGTTCCCCTATAGAGAAGGAGTCTATGTCAAATATATGACTGGTCTTCCCTTCAAGCAATTTGCAAGATTTTGAAGCTCAGTGGGGGAAATGTACAAGAGTAAAGCTCAAATTTCTGAAAGCAGTGAAGAATCTTCTGCAGTATTTCAGGACTGAGGAGAGAGAGACCTTCCAGGCTGTCAATCAAAAGCAAGGCCCAAAGAACAGGATGAATCACAGATGGACTGAGTCTAATTACAAATCAGCTTTGACTCAGCTCAGTCTCTGACCGGTTGATATAGTCAGCTCTTCATGCATTCTTCCTGACAGAGGAAACATTGAATTCTGTCTGGGCAAAATAATATTTGAAGCCTCTACAGCCCTTGTATGTACAATATCTGATTGCAATAAAAAGTATAATATATACATTGTGGAAGTAAAATTGATCAATAATTTAAAAAACCTAACAATAGGAATAAATCCATACATAATATGGATATTAGAGTTAGCATGAAAGGACTTTAAAATACAGACAGTCCCTGACTTATAATTTTTCAACTTTAAAATGGTGCGAAAGTTATACCCATTCAGTAGAAACTGTACTTTGAACAGTCAACACATAATTTTTCAACTTTAAAATGGTGTGAAAGTTATACCCATTCAGTAGAAACTGTACTTTGAATTTTGAATTTTGATCTTTTCCTGAGCTAGCAACATGTGGTACGGTAAGTGTTCCGAGCATGTTTAATGTGGGTAGGCTAGGCTAAGCTACAAGGTTTGGTAGGTTAGGTGTATTAAATGAATTTTCAAGTTATGATATTTTATCAGTTTGTAACTCCATCATAAGTCAGGAAGCATCTATAACTATTATTAATATGCTAAGGAAAATAAAGAAAAATAGTCTAAATGGACAGAAAGGTAGAACAGTTCAACAATGAATGGAAATCTTTAAAAACAAAGTCAAATAAGCACTCTAGAAATAAACATATAGTATCTGATATTAAGTACTTATTGGATGGATGCATTAGCTCACCAGACAAAGAAAAAGATAAGATTAGCAACCTCACAAAGTAATGAAAATAATTACAAAATAATTTTTAAAAGTATAAACTGAAGCATTGAGAGAAGAAAAGTGGAAAGAAAAAAACAGAATGTAAGAGTCAGACTGAGTCAGATAATCTAAAATACATGCACAGCAAGAGAATGGGAAAGAAAAAGTACTTGGAGAGATAATATCCAAAAATGTACAGACATAGTGAATACATCAAACAAACAGCACTGAAGAAACTCCAAGAACTCTAGCCAGAATAAACACTCAGAAAGCCATAGCTAAGAACATAATGATAAAACTGGTAAAAAAAATTAAAAATAAAAAAAAATCTAATGACAAATTTAAAAATTCATAAAACTGCTAGAGAAAGAGATACTTACTTTCAAAGGAGCACCAGAAAGCCTGCGGTTGACTTATTGACAGAAACTATGGAAGTCAGGAGGTAATATAATGACATCTTATCATAGCTAAAAGTTTTTTTAATCTGGCAACCTATAATTCTATACCATGAATTAATATCCTAAAAATTGGTGGTGAAATGCAGATGCTGTCAGCCAAACAACAGGTGGGGAATTTGTTGACAGCAGAACAGGACCATAAGAAATAATAAAGGAAGTTGTTCAGGCTAAATGAAAATGATACTACATGAAAGCAGAGATTTCAAGAAGGGATGAAAAGCAAAGGAGAGTGTAAACCTATGAAAAGATACAAAAATAATGTTTTCCCGGTCCTATAAAATATGCATAATTAAAATATATGCCCACAATAGCACAAAGGGCTGCTGTCCAGTATAAACAGAGTGAACGCTAGAAAATTCTTACATTGCTAAATAAGTGATAAAGGTATTTAAGTTCAGCAGAAAGACGTAAGAATCTTAGGACCATAGCTTCAAACTACACAAAACAAAATTTGATAGGACTAAAAGGAATACTAGACAAGGCCATAATCGATTTAGTTTTGAACATAATTTTCTTGTTAGCTAATAAAATAGTAAAATAGACAAAAATTTAATGAGGCTATGAAAGATTTGAACAATATACTTAATCAAGGTCAACTAAATGGCATAGAAAACATTCTATTTCTACCACTGTACAACATATATTTCTTCAAAAGCAGTTGGAACACTTACAAATATAGAATATATGCCAGACACAAAGCACATCTCAAGTGATTGATTCTTCATCAAAAAAGGTAAATAGATGACATGAAAGCATATGAAACAATGTCAGTGTAACTAA
This sequence comes from Homo sapiens, assembly GCF_000001405.40. Lineage (NCBI taxonomy): Eukaryota > Metazoa > Chordata > Mammalia > Primates > Hominidae > Homo > Homo sapiens. Next base: position 77,473,245 of record NC_000006.12, read on the forward strand.
CCATCACGTAAATGCAAATTAAGTCACTATAAGATACCACTATGCACCCATTATAATGCCTGCCCCAAATACTGTCAATATTAAATGCTGACAAATATGCAGAGCAACTGGAAATCTTGTTGGTTGGAATGTAAAATGGCACAGCCACTTTGCTAAACAGTTTAGCAGGTTTATTATAAAATAAAATGTACATCTACAATCCAGCAATTCTATTCCAAGTTATCTACCCAAGAGAAATGAAACTTATGTTCACACAGAAAACTGCACATGGCTTATAGTAGCTATATTTATAATTTCCAAAATTTAGAAACAACACAGATGGCTTTCAACCAATGAATGAAAAACAAACTGTAGTACATTCATACAATGGAGTACTACTCAGCAATAAGAAAGAATGAACTATTGATTCATGCAACAATGTGGATCAAACTTGAATGCATTTTTCTAAGTCAAAGAAGGCAGATCCAAAACTGTACAATTCCATTGATATGACACTGTGAAAAAGGCAAGACTACAGAGAGCAAAACAGTTGACAGTCATTACCAGCGATTGGGGTTGGGGTGAAGTCATCTGTGGAATTGCACAGAACTTCTGGTATGATGGAATGGCTTTCTATGGTACTATGGCGATGCATTTTAATATATAAAATATATATATAAAAATTTAAAGTAATCAATCAAGATATTGAGAGCAGCATGAAGCAGTTAATTGCCTAGGGAGATAGGGACGGGTCCTCAGAGAAACCTCACCTCCAAGCTGGAGACAGTTTAAAGCCTGAAAGCCAAGCTGCAAGTTAAATCCTCAGACTGGATTGTGAACTTGCCTTCCCGTTTGGCACAATTTCCTCCGATTGGCCCCCACCCTTCACTTATTTTACATATACCTACCCTTTCCCAATTGGTTTTTCTACATTGTTCTGCTCACCTTTGAGTGGTATCTTCACTTTAATCTTTTTTGCATATTCACAAACCAATCAGCATGCACCCCATTCTGAGTTTATAAAAGGCCCCAGAACCGGCCACATGGGGGACTTTCCTGCTTTTGGGTAGGGGAACCATCCCCCATGTCCCCTTTTTGCTGAGAACTTTCCTTTTGCTTAATAAATTCTACTCCACTAACTCCCCAGTGTCGAGGCACCTAATTCTTCCTAGTTGTGAGACAAGAACTCGGATCTAGCTGATCTAAGGAGCAGAAAAACCACAACATTTTGGTGGCTTGTACAGGGATACCTGGAGGGTTAGTAAATACGGACCCAAACTCTCTTTCACTTTCATTTTCAAGGCTTCTCATCCTCAGACTTTTTTCTGAAGGCAGATGAAGCACCAAACCTCGGGTGAGCCAATTAAGAACAAATGGCGCAGTTACAGAAGACAGGATGCAACCCTGCCACCTATCTCTCTCTTTCAGGTAAAAGGGATGTCGGTTTTGTTTCCCTTCAGGGAGGTCTAGCTGTTGCGTGGGACCAGAATACAGTCTTGGGGCAACTGAAAGCATCTGGCTGAGTCCACTTCTCAGTGTTGCCACAAGGCCCTTAGACTTGGCTTCCTTCCTGATCACTCATTAGGGCATTGACCAAGACTCCCAGACTTTTCTAAGGTATTTTTTCTTCCTTCTTTCATGGTTTGAAATGGCTTCTATCTCTTCTTTTATAATGTTAAGGGTGTTGCTGCAAATTGCAGAGATACTACTCCATAGAAGGAGCATTTGGCCCAGCCATCACACATGCGATTCAGAAAAATGTGATATCTGTCTGTTCCTAGAGGTGCATCCCTCCTCCCACCCTAATGGCCACAGGCACACGAGGCAGATGGATGGGTGAGCAGTGGCTGCCCACTTACCCCCCCACTCCCAGCTGGGGCGCATGGTCATGTCCGCCGTGTGCACATGCTACATCCAATGACCATGCAGGGCAGGAGTGTATCGCAGCCACTGCCCAGGCCCCAGGGTGGTCTCAGGGGCCAGAGGCCCCACGCAGCTTACTGGCAGTGTTTCCCGGTCACCACCGCCTCCTGCCACGCACCCGTGGAGTCTTTCCTAACCTAGTCCAGCTCATTCTGAACTAGAAAAAGGGCACAGTAATTAAGAACTCCTCTTCCTGTTGGAGGAACCAATTTGGACAGTGCAAGAGAGTTTCTTCCCCAGGCACCTTACCCGTCCTGCACTTAAGCTGTTTTTTTTGTTTTTTTCCTTCTCCACCATGTCGAGAGTTAACACAGCCCTGCAAATACAGGGAGCTTTTCTATGTGAGAGTTTTTTTTTTTCTTTTGAACGGTGTTTTACTAGGCCAGGGCCCCAATTCATGGGACTCTCTTTTTTCTCTTTCGTTTGAGGAGGACCGGCCTCCACAGCTTTACATTAGCATTTGAATTATGATAAGGAAGCAGGGAAGGAGCAGCCCTGCCGGCTGCTGGATGCAATCTGGCAAGGGTCACCTGGGACTTAATGAGTTCATGAACGCTTCTGAGTTACCTTCTTGCCCCAAACTCAATTCCATGCTTTGGGTTGAAGCCCTAGTAAGGAAAACTGGATCTGAGGGATCCAGAGGAAGATGACAGCAGAAGTCAAGGGGCACAGCGTAGGTGAGCAGGACTAATTCCTGTTGATTAAGCCAAGTGCCTGTTTCATGGATAGAGGTCATGCTAGTATCCATCGGATAAATGAGCTCTGGGGACCTCTACGGTTATCTACAGCAGGGGGGAAAGGCAGCATGTGGGTGAGTGTGGATAATTCCCACCTCCTAGGCCACCCTGTTAACATTGAGTGAAAGCTGCATTGGCACCCATGGGCAGCACCCTGCCGAGGTCACCAGGACTCTGGGATATAAGGACGCAAGAAAGAAAGGGGGACACCTCTTCTTTCTCTCCCTCACATACTCCAGGAAGAGAAAGGAACTAGGGACACCTTGTTCCCCTCTTTCCATATGGGTAACCAATCATCTTCAGTCTGTACTTCTCTTAAATGCCTCCTGAATCACTGGCACTCCTTTGAAAAAAACACCTTTCTCCTTTTCCTCCCCTGTCCTCTCTTTGCAGATGGTAATCGTGTACCCATACCACAGGACACTCCCCTTGGGTGCATCTGCCAAACTGGGAAAAGGTAATTTTCCCAAACCTTAAACTGCTTGGCTTAAAATTGAGCTTGGGGGAAGGGAACCTAGAAGCCTGACATGCCAGCAAAAGGGTAAAAGCTTTTTACCAGTCAGACTTCTGGCCTCCCTTTCCCTGTGCAAATCAGTTCAATGGGTGACAAAATCACTGTTTATATTCTCTGTAAAGTTTTGATTAATGGAAAAAAAAATTGTGAGGCTAGTCTTAAGCTACAGTCAATCTGGTGTGCTTTGTGTGTCTTTCTGTATGGTTCTGTCATAAAGAGGGGTACCTTAGGATAGAATGCGGGCCTAGGACCTCATAAGCCTGCTGTTCAAGCCAGCCTGACAAACTGGTCAGTAACAAACTTTGCTGCAGGTCTCCATCTTGTTTTAAATTTTTGGGAGCTTAACCTTGTTACCACGTAGCAGTACTTTCTTTTGGTCTCTGCCATTTTACAATGGTGCCCCAGGTCCAATCCTAGCTTAGGGAATGAATACTTTCTGTTTAATATCTGTGTAACTTTTACCATTTGCTGATTCTCTTCCCCTCCATGAACAACTTCTAGCTTCCTTTCTTTTTTTTTTTTTTTTTTTGAGACGGAGTCTCACTTTGTCGCTAGGCTGGAGTGCAGTGGCATGATCTCAGTTTACTGCAACCTCTGCCTCCTGGGTAAAAGCAATTCTCCTGCCTCAGCCTCCTGATTGGCTGAGACTACAGGCATGCTCCACCACTCTTGGCTAATTTTTTTTTTTTTTTGTACTTTTAGTAGAGACAGGGTTTCACCACGTTGGCCAGGATGGTCTCGATCTCCTGACCTCGTGATCTGCCCACCTCAGCCTCCTAAAATGCTGGGATTACAGGCGTGAGCCACGGAGCCCAGCCTCTAGCTTCCTTTTGTAAATCTTCCTTTCTCTGAGCTACCATTAAAGAGTCTAGGTTTTGTGAAAACTGCTTACCCCCTCTTTGAAAATACCTTATGCATTCCCAGTTAAGTCATAACCTTAGTTGAGGCTTGTTGGTTTCATCTGTGAGGTTACTTTTGATAAAGTTCGAAAGCCAGAAATACTGACCACTGGTCATGACTAAAGTTGGGTAAAAAGGGATTTAAAAGGATTTTTCTTAAAGAGGGCTCAGCCTAATTAAAAGTAAACATCTAAGCTATACGTATATTTAAAAGGCCTTTATATTTTTCTCTTCATGGATCTTGTTCTTCTGGAAAAGGTTTTTTTCTCAGTCGACTGAATTATTTTTCTCCATTTTGTCTTGCCATTCTTGGTGCAAACATGAGAGGCCCTAAGATAATTTCTGAGATCATGGGACTCCTTGAGAAAAATAGAAAAGGTGCTACGGACCCCATCTTAAGATAAAACGTCTGTTTTCCTCATGGAACCCCAGGTATTAAAAGTGGATAAATCTCTGTCAAATCTGTTTTTGTCTTCCATCTATTACTGTTTATTAGGCCCTGGAAACTGCGTGCTTTCCTAGCCCTGCTTCTTGAAGGGCTCCACCCTGAGGCCAATAATCCATTTAAGAGATGGGCGAATGAAAAATCTTATAAATACTGGATCTTCTTCTGTCTGTACATGTATTATGTATGTGACGGTTATATAAAAAAGCTTTAATTAATTGGTTTAAAGAAAATAAGCACTTAGAAGAAATATTCTTGGAAGGAAAAATAAAGGCCATAGTGTCTTTTAGTTCATGTGACTTTAATCTTTGAAAAATAAAAGTAGTTTGAAAGATAACTGGTAAAATACAAACGTCTTCAAAATGTAAATATGTGGTCTAAATTATGTGGGTCACAAAACAGTGCACCCTGTCAGCAGAAAGCAGTTAAGATCAGTCTTTATCCCTATTCTAATGACAGTTAGATGTACCTCTTCAGAGGGGGGAAATGAGAGCGGCAGGAGGCAGCCAAATGCCTACAGAGATAGGGGAGGGTCCTCAGTGGAACCCGACCTCCAAGCCAAAGACAGTTTAAAGCCTGAAAACCAAGCTACAGGTTAAATCCTCAGATCGGATTAAGAACTTGTCTTCCCATTTGGCGTATTTTCCTCTGATTGGTCTCCACCCTTCTCCTATTTTACATATACCTACCCTTTCCTAATTGGTTTTTCTACACTGTCATGCCCACCTTTGAGTGGTATCTTCACTTTAATCTTTTTTGCATATTCACAAACCAATCAGCATGCACCCCATTCTGAGTTTATAAAAGGCCCCAGAAATAGCCACATGGGGGACTTTCCTGCTTTTGGGTAGGGGAACCATCCCCCATGTCCCCTCTTTGCTGAGAACTTTCCTTTTGCTTAATAAATTCTACTCCATTCTCTCTTCAGTGTCCGTGTGCCTAATTCTTCCTGGTTGTGTGACAAGACCTCGGACTGAGCTGAGCTAAGGAGCAGAAAAACTGCAACAATATGAGGGAAAAGACAGAAGGCAGACTGTGACAAATGAATTTAACTGTACTACAGATGAATTAGATAACCACAATGAAGAAGATGGAAAGAAAGTTGATGATCTCCATAACTTTAGAAAATGCTTTGGCTTAATAATGCAAGGCTAAGGACAAAAAATAAGTATATATAGACATAAACTTTAGTTGATACATTTGTTTCTCAGAGGGGAAGGAGCCAGAAATTCTGAAACTACTTTATTTGTATATTAGGGTTGAGCAAGCAAGTAAATATGTTAGAATATAATGAGAACCAGGTTTCTCGCTGTCAATGAAAGAAGCTACAAACAACAAAAAAAGGAAGGATAAAATGAACCGTGGTGTTGTATAGGAGTTCTAGTTACCAATGTGGAATCGTGGTTTCTTTAAAACACATCTATCTACATAAGTAGACATAGAAACAAATACAGATGTGTATAAGCATGACTTTTTATACATATGTATTTTTTATCTCTATCTACTGAGAAAGCCAAAAGCAGCAGCACCCCAGTAGTCACAAATATCAGTGGCATCCAGATTTAGATCTATGAATATAATTTTTCAATTAAAAAGACAGGGCTCCTTGGAGGTCTACTTGACTCCAGGGTGAGGGTAAGAAAAATTTAGGAGAAGTCTGAAGTATCTGTGATGACAGAAAAAAGAAAGCACTTAAAAAATAAGGGATAGAAGAGGGGAAACAAAGAAAAGAATGGAGCATATAAAAAACACACAGGAACCAACCTATCTGGGCACAATGGTGTGCACCTGTAGTCCCAGGCACTTAGAAGGCTAAAGTGGGAAGATCCCTTAAGCCCAGGAGTTCAAGCCCAGCTTGGGCAACAAAGCGAGACCCCATCTCTTAAAAACAAAGAAGCCAATATGAATGGTCAAAGTTGAAAAATATTGAATAAGAAAATAAATAATGATATTGTTAGATTATAATGAAAATAATCAGATAATATCCATGAGCTTACACTAATGCAAATAAATTAATGGATTAATAAAATAAATAGAGGAAAATACCAACTCTTCAGAAAAAAATACAATTAATAAAGATAGAAGGAATGATAGAAATATGATATTATTACTAGAATCTCAAAGGGATAATTGCTCCAGGTAAGATCCAGCAGTGAATGTTCAAATTAGTGGATAAAAAAATATTTTCCGAAACAGGATATTTGCATAGTCTCTAAGTGCCTCTCTCAAAATAATTAGGAACCACAAAGAGATAAATAGTAAATATACCATGGAGAGGCTAGCAGATACAACCTTAGTCAAGTGATCAAGGTGAGCCTCACCAGCAATGACTTATGTGATATGCCTCCTTCCCCTATATGATATTACCAAAGAGTACTTCACTTCTGTACTATTCTTACCACATAATCCATAACCACTGCCTGAACATGGGAAAACATCACACAAATCATTTGGTGGACACTCTACAAAATAAATAATCAGTATTCTTCCAAATATCAGCGTCATGGATAAGGGAGCCTAAGGAATTGTCATAGAGTACCTAAAACCAAAGAGACATGTCACATAAATGCAATGTGGGATCCTGAACTGAATTCTGAAACAAAGGAAAGGTCATTAGTGAAAGACAGTATTTTACCAATGTTAATTTCTTAGTTGTGATCAATATTCCATGTTAGATGTTAATGTAAGGGGAAACTAGGTAAGAGTATATAGGAATTATGTGTAGCATTTTTGCAACTCTTCTGTAATTCTGAAATTATTTCAATTTTTAAAGGTTTTACCTATGAAAGGGATAAAGGATTTAGGATTATGGGTCAGGGACAGCCATTAGATTTTTTTAATGAATACGTTTTGTGTAATTATGATTTTTGAACTATATGAAGCTATTAATAATTTAGAACTAAATTTAATGTTTTAAAATAAATACAAATAAAAGGAGGTTTTTAAAAAAATTTATACTTTAGTTTCTAAATTGTATACAGGTTTTTCACATGGAATATGATAAAATAATATGCACTATTAGAAAGAAAATATGTAAAAAGTATAACAAAATTAAAAGATTTATGTAGAGTTGGTGGCAGAAAGTATTCAAGCTTTGAGACCTCATAACATCAAAATGAAGTTTCCATTGCTATTGTTTGTGAAGTACAAAAGTACATTACCAGCTATGTCAGAAATAATTTAGAGATAATAGGAATACCCTGCCTTAATTAAACTCTTAGTAAATGTTCAATGAATGAGTCACTGTCATGTTTCTCTGTCTCTTCTACAGACCTCAGTGGACTTGTTCCAAGGAAAAGGAAAGAGGGATGGAGCATGGTTTTATGGCAGCCTTTCCCCAGAATGAAATATACTTTGAGCACATGAGCTCATGAGCAGGAGAAAACTGATCGGAAGGACATGATGGCCATACAAACCTTGTCCTGTATATTTTCTAAAATTATATATCCATGTTCAGCTGAAAATTCAATTTCGAATACTGGGTTTGGTGCTGCAGTTTTTCAGTTATTTAATTGTATGGAATATTTAAATATTCCTTAAATTTGCTGGTGTCATTGCATACTAATTGCACTCTATTGTGTAAATTCTAATTTTAAAATTTGACTAGATTTTTTAGTGAGGCTTTGCTATTGTCAAAGATGCTAAAGTGATTATATGCCTGGTGTCTCATCTGTGATGACAGCTGCTCTATAGCCCTGCCATCTAGTAGGCAATGATACCTTTAGGTTATATTATGCTTACTCTGATAATCTTAATTTACATGAATTAAAAATCAATTTGCCTCCAAACTCTAAAACAATGAACTAGGACACATTTTTCCCATTGTATGCAGTTACTCCATGTGCTTAGGGAAATGTAGTACAGTCAGCACTTCATATCTATGGGTTCCTCATCCATGGATACAACCAATCATGGATTGAAAATATTTGAAAACAAAAAAAATTAAAAATAAGAATATAACAATAAACAATACAAATTAAAAACAATACAGTATGACAATTATTTACATAGCATATAAATTCTTACATATAATTAGGAATTATAAGAAACATAGAGATGATTTAAAGTATACTGAAGGATATGCATAGGTTATATGTAAATACTATGCCATTTTATATAAGGGACTTGAGTTTCCACAAATTTTGAATGCTGAGGGGTGACTATATTCTCAAGAAAGGCTAAATTATATATTCTTTAGTGCCAGGGTACTTTATAGTTACGGCATATAGTGATTTGCTCCACCTATTTGCCAATTCCCAAATCTAACTCTGCTCTCCCCATTAAGTTCGAGAATAGAGCTCTATCAGCTCTTTATAAAACTTGTCCAGCCTTCCTTCCACATAGTTATAAAGAATAAAGGATGATTTCTGACACAAAGGCTAGGGAAATATCTAAGTGCTTCTTCTTGATCAGTATTTCTTACACAGTCAAGGATATTTGGTTGGATTATTCCCTCTGATATGTCCTTTTTCTCAATCTGAATGAAAATTCCAGTTTAAAGTGATTTCTCTTGTTGGAAAACTGTACTCCTCTGCCAAATTTTTGTCCTATCCTCAAACTCCTACTTTGTGTTAAAGTACATTTTCATCATGTCTTGGTCTCTTTATGTCCTATGAAGAGGCTTTTTTGCTCGTGAATGTTTTTGCATGGTGGTGTTATTGTTACTGTTATCGTGTTTTCCTTTGTGTGTGTTAAATTCTTTGGTTCAATGAATAAGGATTTACAGATTAAGAATTCCTGAGTATGTTGAATCCCATATGCAAACTTGGTTGCCTTTTTGAAATGGCATTTTATTAAGCTAATAGTAAGATCAAGCTATAACTGTAGGATTTGCAACAGAATCCCTACAGAGGCATATTTTTTTTTTTTTGAGACAGAGTCTCACTCTGTTGCCCAGACTGGAGTGTTGCGGTGCAATCTCGGCTCACTGCAGCCTCCGCCTCCCAGGTTCAAGTAATTCTCCTGCCTCAGCCTCCTGAGTAACTGGGACTACAGGCATGAGCTACCATGCCGGGCTAATTTTTTTTATTTTTAGTAGAGATGGGGTTTCACCATGTTGGCCAGGATGGTCTCTATCTCCTGACCTCATGATCTGCCCGCCTCAGCCTCCCAAAGTGCTGGGATTACAGGCGTGAGCCACCACATTCCATTTTATATATTTGGGATGGAACAATGTGTTACTACTATTTGATCTAGAGTCAGTGTTTAATGGAGTTCCAGGAGTTCTGTTCCTACAGAGCCATCCAAGGGCTGAAGGATCACTGTCTTATATCACATCCCTTCCCTACACAGCTGTAACCCTACCACAGCACACCTTCTCTGATGCTCTGCTCCTGTATCCCTATTAGTTAATTTTCAAACACTCATGGAGGTTAGATATTACTATTTTCCCTGTTAAACATCTCAGGTTCACTTCAGAGGCAGGAAACAGCCCCAATGAATCAGAGCAGGAAATCTTTTTGGAGCAAGTCTTGCAGACTCACTGCTGCAATGTGGAGAGATCTCAGGAGGCTCTAGATGAGGTGTGAGTGGCTGTGGTAGGAAAGAGGATCCCACTGAGTGGTTTTAGGTGAGAACTACCAATGAATGAGGAAGTATTAATATATCATATTTCATTCAATCTCAAAAGGCATCAATCGTAGAATGAATCATTATTTTGCTTACTCCTGGTAAAATGTCACCAACTACATTGTCACAGTTTTTCTCATCACTGAGAATTGTTAGGTTATTCCATTGAAAGAACTGCTTTCAGACATTGAAATATATATTTCTATCATGTATCATTTTTGTGCATATACAGAATAAGAAAATTAATTGGTTAAGGTATTTCTAAAATTTCTTTACATTAAGAATCTCAGTCTTCTGAATCACTTTTCAACATAGTCATTAATTTCTGTATTTTTCCATACAACATTATTATCTATCATCAAGACATAGCTAATATAATGTTTTCTAAAAGAGTGCTTCACTATTAACTCTGGTATTTTTTTCCCAAGGCAATATTCTGCCAGCTTTTTCTCAAGATGCATAGAAACGTGAAGCAAGTGACAGCCACATCACCAATTTTATCCATAATTACAAAATGCAGCCCTATTTCAGTGATGTTCAAAGGTAACAAAGAAAAGTTTATCTTAGACCTGATAAAATATGATAAATTCAATATGCTTAACAGCTTGTATGACAGGTCTGCTGATGATCAGCTTTGCCTGCATATTCATTATAGCTTGTGTTTACATAGTTCATTTTGTGTGAGGATATCAGAATATTTTTAAAATATTAATAATGCATAGTCTATTCATAAATATTTAAAACCTATAAGTGATATTATGTTCATCTCAGAAATTTGGCAAAGATTAAAATTTCATTGTTTATCTACTAAGAGCCAGAATGAATATTACTAATCAATAGAATTTAAGATTAATTTGTGAATAAAGTTTGTGAGTCTAATTCTGGTAATCTGACTGGATATGGTAAATGAAAAAAAATCAAAATTATAGCCAAAAGTTTAAAAACTATAACAAAGGAAAATAAAGCTGTTGTTGTAAAAACTAATACAATAGCACAAAGTTGGTTTTTTTAAAGAGAAAAAATTTGAGAAATGTTAGATACATTTAAAAAGTCGTGTAAGGGCATGAAACTAAGGGGTCAATGGAAGGAACTGTTTCATGTGGGACAGCATTCTAAAGCAATCCAAATGATAAAACAATTCAAGGAAGTATTAAAATATCAATATGTAAGTACATTCCAGAAATAAGAAAAAGCAATAATGATACAGAATTTTGAATCAGTAATAGAAAGTACAATATTAAGAATATCATGGAATGTGGGGAAAGAGAAGCAAGTGATTAAGTTGAAAGAGATAAACATGACAGATACATGGAGAAAGAAACAAGAAGACACAGAATCACCAATGATATTAATAAAGATGCTATACTGCATTGAGGAAAATATGTTTACTTACTGAAAATGTTTACAAATTCAAGACCAATTAATAAGAAAAGATATATATCATATATATCATATATGTATCATATATATCAATCATATATACCATGTATATATCATATATATCATATATACCATGTATATATCATATATATCATGTATATATCATGTATATCATATATCATGTATATATCATGTATATCATATATCATGTATATATCATGTATATCATATATATCATGTATATATCATATATATCATATATATCATGTATATATCATATATATCATATATATCATGTATGTATCATATATATCATATATATGATGTATGTATCATATATATCATATATATCATGTATGTATCATATATATCATATATATCATGTATGTATCATATATATCATATATATCATATATATCATGTATGTATCATATATATCATATATATCATATATATCATGTATGTATCATATATATCATATATATCATGTATGTATCATATATATCATATATATCATGTATGTATCATATATATCATATATATCATGTATATATCATATATATCATATATATCATATATATCATGTATATATCATATATATCATATATATCATATATATCATGTATATATCATATATATATCATATATATCATGTATATCATGTATATATCATATATATCATGTATATCATGTATATATCATATATATCATGTATATCATGTATATATCATATATATCATATATATCATGTATATATCATATATATCATATATATCATGTCTATATCATATATATCATATATATCATGTCTATATCATATATATCATATATATCATGTCTATATCATATATATCATATATATCATGTATATATCATATATATCATATATATCATGTATATATCATATATATCATGTATATCATGTATATCATGTATATATCATATATATCATGTATATCATGTATATATCATATATATCATATATATCATGTATATATCATATATATCATGTATATATCATATATATCATCTATATATCATATATATCATCTATATATCATATATATCATATATATCATACAGCCTATCATGTTTGCTTGTTTTATTTCCAGGATAATTTGAAAAAATCTTATAAAAACTGATGCAGAAAAAAATAAAATAGATTGCCTTTAACAAAGGGACTGAAGTCAGTTAAATGTTTCTTTCATCAGTACTCTATTACCAGATGATGGAGAAATGTTTGCTGAGTTTCAAGAAAATAAAGGTTGCAAAATCAGATTCCTATATCTAGCCTATTTGTTATTTAGGTGTAAGGTAAACAGGAAGATAGTCTTAGATGTGCAAGAATCTGTACATTAAAAAATACCAAAATTCTATTCAACTAAAAAGTTGGGAAGGATGTGTGCTAACAGGTTTACCATTGATATTCTTTGGGTGGAGGGATTATAGATAATTGTAGCTTCTTTATTCTGTTTTGAATTGTTATTTTCATTTGAAATTAAGTATGGATTGCTTTTATTTTAATAAATAAAAATAAAACTATTTTTATTTGTAGAAGAAATAAATTAGGTGCCCTAAGCAATGTAAAAATTATGATACTACACAGTTCTAAACTCAGAATTTATTTAATATTGCATAATATCTCTATTATTCACAAGGGAAACCAATTAGTTCAAATTTAGCAGCTATTGAGATTGTACTCTATCTCTTAAAAATAAGAATCATCCTAGATAAGACCTGCATGCCAAAACATAACTGAAGGCCTATTTAAATAAAGATATCTCATGTAGAGATTATGCTGAAGTATCTGATTTATAAGCTCTTTAACTGTCTCAAGGAAGTTTCCTCAATATCTGGAAATTATAGCAAGTTAATGGGCATAGACAAGAAAAATTAGGTCGAACTTATCCTCAAATTTGGAAAATGTACCAAAATGACAACATGTATTTTAGCCCTTAAAATAATGTTTACACATATTTTAATATGCTAGATAATATGCTGATTTATAACCTGGCTCAAATTTTAATCTTTAGTAATTTATGTTGTACATCTATGGCTTTGTGATACTTGTTTTAAAAAATTGTATTTAGTAATAGGAACAAATCTCCTATGCGCAGCCTAGAAAATGTTTCCAGATAGAGTGAAATAATTTACATACTACAAATTTCTCCAAAATTTTATGTTCATATTGACTACACATTTGAGAAAATTGTGCTATTATCTCACAATAAAGACTAATACTTCTTAAAAATGAAATATCAGCTTAATTTGAAATTCCAGTTTTCTGAATACTGTATTTTAAAATTATAACATTATTGTATCTATATTTAAATGTCATATTTCAACACAAATATTTCATACTTTGTTCAGTCATGAACCTGAAAAATATTATTGTTTACATGAAGATTTTTTCTCCAGGTCACACTCTTAGCATGTTCTGGCCAATTTTACTGATTTAATAATGTAGTTTGAACATCAGCAAAACTGTATTATTCAATAGATAAATTTAATATTTACAAAGAAAATAAAGCAGAAATTATCATGCTCTATGGCTTTCTGAGGATGGGATCATAATAGTTTATTTTCACACAATAGATTTGGGGCCAAGCACTGTGCTGGATTCATAGTAGGAAGCTCAATAACTATTTGTACCATGAGTCAACAATAGCTATTCCAAAACAGAGCTGGGAGCATAAAATAAATACATCATTGCTAGTCTGAAGATCTTTATGAAGGTGCTTTAAAACTTAATATAACCTGCCTCAGTGCAGTAAGCAACATGTCAGTCTCATAAAATTTATAAAATATTCCTCAACAGTCATTACAAATTTCATCTGATATATAAAATTCATACATTACTTACTTTTTGAAGATCATTTTTAATGTTTTCATATAATGTTTCCACATAAGTCTAAAGTTTTCCTATAAAAATCTTTTTCTATAACTCATTGAAATTATTTTGGTCTTATTTTTAAAATCATTGTTTTTATTCTTCAGTTTAGATCAAAATATGCAGCTTTAATTGCCATTTAGTAATGCCATTTATTCTCTTCAAGGGGACAGGTAGAATGGCAGTTATGAAAGCCAGAGGAAATCAAGATATTTGGCTTCTATGTGATCTTAGGTATATATAATTTATTACCTACTATCAGTTGATTGCCTGCATAATATCCATTCTTTCTTTTTCCTTATTAAGATAAAACTTGGGTGATTTGCCCACCTCAAAAAGTACATTTATTCATCTTCTTTGTAGGGAAATAGAGTAATATAAAAGCAGAAGTTCTTGGGCAGATCCTGTTTTGCAATTAAAATGGCTGGTGTTCCTGCAGCCATCTTGCACAACAAGGAAGACTTGAGCATGGCAGCTCTCATGCTCAGGATGTTGAAGCAGAAAGACTGAAAGAGTCTGTGAAACTGTCATTCTAAATCTGTACTGCCTACCTCCAGACTTCTTTAACTCTAGTAGGTCACTGCAATTTCCAGACTATGAGTTAGCAGCCAAACACTGTTCCTAACTTTCTTAAAAGATAATATTGACACTTAGTGAGTACAGTATGATTATAGCCTAGTCATAAAATGCTTCCATTACCTTATTTTAAACATTAGTCATAAATGCTAACTGATATCCAAGGCTTGATTAAGAAGTAACTGTGTACACAGTTTCCTTCATTCTCCAAATAGCTTTGGAGCAGCAACGCATTAGGGCTTAGAAATCAGCAGTATATATTTCAAAACATTTATATTGAGCTAACCTACTAAACAATGTTTGATTAACCATGACGGATAAATCAATAACTTTTTTAAATGCAATTTGAAACTTACATGTTTAATTTAATTACGTGGTAAAATAAGTGCAGTAGAGTTATCTAGAATTTTCCTCTTTTCAATAAAAAATGCATATTTGAGTGATTTTTTTTATCATAATACACATTGTGTATTTTCTTTTTTTTTTACTTTGGAGAAAGTTATAAGATTATCTCATCAATAAAATCTTTTTTGTTCTTGATTAAATAAGTGTTTATTAAGAACCTCCACACAGACAAAAGATGTAAAAGGCCTGATCCTAGACTGAGGGAATTCATGATATTGTCTCCAAATTGTGTGAGAAAAGTGCATAAGATCTTTTCTAATTATGTTATACTTTTGTTAATGCTGTCAACTTTTTTTCTAAGAAATGCCATTATAGATTGTGTCTATTACTTTCTACCTGTAAAAAATTTGTGAAAATTGAAAACATGAGCTGATATTTTGGTGCTGTAGGCAATGCATCAACTAGAATCTTAGCTTTCACTAGACACTAGTCAAAAGCACTATTGGCTGGGATTTTCTTTTTAGGATTGAAAACAAAAATGTGAACACCAACTCCTTTCTCCTACTTCAATTCAAAACTTTGCCTAGAATTGAGTCTATTAAAAAGTGAGAGAGTAGTTTTGAATAAATAGTCAAGAATTATTTATTTTTGAGATCTTATTGGGAATAAGTAACTTTTAAACTTTTGGCATAAAAGACAAGACAGTATTTCTTTCTAGCACATCCAGACATCTAAATCAATACATCACATTTTTCTTGTTTTAAAAATATAGTCCAAAATAACACATGCATTAGTGTTTTATACTTCCTCTCTTGAAAAAAAATTCAAGATGTTAAGGTCAAAATCATCTTCCAAAATGTATCAGTTTGTTATTTCTACAACAGAAAATGGTCTTTGGATTGGTGTGACATCTGTCCTTTAAGTTTGCAGTAATTTTAGTCTTCTACAATAAGCACACCATCACTTTGCGTTAGAAAAATTTTCAATTTCAGGTGATCAGGGTGATTGAATCGTCTGGATTGAATAGGTTACCTATTGTCAAAAATGATAGACTGGATTAAGAAAATGTGGCCCATATACACCATGGAATACTATGCAGCCATAAAAAGGATGAGTTCATGTCCTTTGTAGGGACATGGATGATGCTGGAAACCATCATTCTCAGCAAACTATTGCAAGGACAAAAAACCAAACACTGCATGTTCTCACTCATAGGTGGGAATTGAACAATGAAAACACATGGACACAGGAAAGGGAACATCACACACCAGGGCCTGTTGTGGGGTGGGGGGAGGGGGGAGGGATAGCATTAGGAGATATACCTAAATGTAAATGACGAGTTGATGGATGCAGCACACCAACATGGCACATGTATACATATGTAACAAACCTGCATGTTGTGCACATGTACCCTAAAACGTAAAGTATGATAAAAAAAATCATTGCTTTAATAACACATTTTATTCTTAAGTCTTTTTGGTTTCAAATAAATATATAAGATATGTTCTGTGGACAATATTAAATAGCTGCTAGTAAACATTTCAAAGTATGAAGACATGTTGACATTTTAAAAAAGGAAAAAAAATCTACCTCTTTTGGTTTTCAGTAGACTCTTGCCTAGTGCTCTGTAGATTCATATTTATTTCTGTTGCATTTAACAGTGTTCACTAGGATACTTTAACATATTCAGTTCTTGTTTTATAAAAAAAGCACTCTTTGTACAAATAGCAAAGACATGTTGGTCAGATCAATTGACCAAAATAAAACGTACATTTACATATTATCAGTTCTTAAAAGAAAACAATCAAGCATCAGTTAAAAATAAATATCAAAGAATAGAGGTAATTCCTGATATTTTTCTCTAAATTGTGTGATAAAAGCATATGAAATCTGTTTCAATCATAAGTTTCAACTTGGTTCATTGTATCAATTTTTTCTCTAAGAGATGCCATTATAGATTGTACTTATTACTTTCTACCTGGGAAACCTATTTGAAAATTCTTTAAGTTTTAACTATAGAATAAAAATAAAGGTAAAAGTTTAAAAATTTGCTGATTATTTCATTTTTTATGGAAATTTATAGTCAGTATAATCCCAGAGCAATGTGCAAATATTTTCTTTTTGCTTATTCTTGGAAATATGTATGTTCATGCTTTCTGAGGAAAACTTATTTTTCCCATATGAAACTGCTCAATTTATCTGGAGAATAGTTTTTACCTGACTGCTTTGCTCATCTTCATACACACTGCACTTCCTTCTTTATTGACAGGCTGAATTCACCTGAACATAAAATTAAGTTTATAATTAAATGATTGTATTTTTCTCTCTCATCTTCTAGTATTGGATTTAAAAGCTGTCATTGATCTTGTCTCCCTAAGCTATGAACAAAATTGTTAACCTACTTTTCAAAAACACCATTGGTTCTACTCTGTGTGGCTTTGGTTTTTAAAACTATTCACTGTGCAAACTGGGGTGGATATAGTCCTTCAGAATTCAGCTGAGCTATTACTACAAAAACGTAAATGGGAAGTGAATATTTGGGTTAGCAATCAGATTTTCAAGAAACTTTTACACCTAATAAGTAACCATGTCTCAGCTACTTTTTTTTTACGGGAGCATGTGTTTCATTTTTACTCTTTCTACTAAGGCTTCTGCAGATTTTTCAATATTCCTATATAAATTTATTTTCTTATACTTCAGATGTCATCCCAAAACAATACAAATCCCATACTTATTTGTGAGAATAGTTTAGTTTTTAGCTTGTTGAATTTTTTTTTTTTTGCTCTGCTCTGTCTCATTTGGAATAAAATTAAGAAGAAAGAAAATCCCAAATACTATCTATTCCCTTTTCTTTCATTTATATAATCTCAGGTTGTTTGTTTGTTTGTTTGTTTATCTTCTCAATGATAAGAAACTGGTTTTTATTAAGACTGTATTTTATGTGCCATTTTCCAATAATGTGTGAAGTTAACATTTTCTTCTTCTATCGTCAACAGATTTGTGATCCATTCAAGTCCATTTATTTGACTTAGCCTCACAGATACTTCCTCAATTTTCCCTTCCACCAAGTTAGGATCAATAGCATCTCCTGGGCATGGAGCTGTCTTGGCAGTCTCTGATCACTGAGCTTTCTCAGGAAGTACTCTGTCTTTTTGAGCAGAAGGATTTTTATATTAAGGTGAGTAGTCTAACCAGGATAAATCATTCTTTACTCACTTTTGAGGAAGTGTATTTTGGAGGTGTTTTTTGGTCTTTACTTTTTTAAGTTTTTCAGATATTCTGCTTTATACACAAGAATATGTGTTTCCCAGATTCTCTTCTTAAGTAGGAGAAAAAAGAATGTGAGCAACATGTTGTAATAATTAGGAATCTGTGTGTTGTCTACTGGCTAGCTTGTTACAAGGCTTAGGATACCACTACTTAATAGTTCTTATTTTTTAATTCCTTCTTCAGCATTCATTCATGATTATTGACCCTTACCTCTTATGCTTAAGAAGGAGTGTGCCAGCTGGCCAGGTGGGGTGGTTCATGCCTGTAATTCCAACATTTAGGGAGGCCAAGGCCAGTGGATCACTTGAGGTCAGGAGTTCAAGACCAGCCTGGCCAACATGGCGAAGCCCCATCTCTACTTAAAAAAAAAAAAAAAAAATTACCTGGATGTGGTGGTGGGTGCCTATAATCTCAGCTACTCAGCAGGCTGAGGCATGAGAATTGCTTGAACCTGCGAGGCAGAGAGATTGCAGTGAACCGAAATCGGGCCACTACACTCCAGCCCAGGCAAGAAGAGCAAAACTCCATCACACACACACACACACACAAAAACATGCCAATGGGAAAATTGATTAAAGTCCCAAAAGTCATTATCAATTCTACCAATGTCTACGTCAGAGATTGGCCAACTGTAACTCATAGGTCGATTCTAGCCCACTGACTGTTCTGTGAAAAAGTTTTATTGGAACACAACTATGCTATATACAAGATTGTATATAGCTACTTTTGTGCTAGTGTCAGAGTTGAGTAGGTGTGACTGAGAATGCAAAGACTTGAAAAGCCTAAAATATTTATCATCTGAACTTTTAGGGAAAAAAAATGTTTGCTGACCCCTAGTCTACAAAATAAGATTGGTGAATGTTCCCTTTATAAGGTACCCGGAAATACAGAAGGCCTTTATCTGTTTTTGAATCCCCTCCTGGAAATAGCTGGCACTGTGGACTTCAAAGCTCCGGGGTGTGGTAGTGTTGACAGATCTGGGTGTATGAGCAAGTCACTCAGCCTCACCAAACAGTTCCACATAGTGAGCAATCAGTAAATATGACTTTTCTTCTTTTCTCTACAAGGAAGCTTTATGTTGAAAATATTAATGTGTAAACCCTGCTGATGAGGGAAATTAGGTGCTTAAGATCTTAGAGAAAGATCTTTACCTAGACTCAAATAAACCATTTTCATAAAGTTTAGTGCTAATGTACCAGAGTAGTTAACCAGTCTTCAGACATTTCCTCAATGCTTAGCATCCTGATGTTGCTCCAGCTAAATTTGAAGTGTCAAGTTTTCTTTCCTACTTCTTCATCATCCATTGTTACCCTGAAATACTTGTTACCTTCTGTCTGTTTCTTGCTACCTTTATTGCATGTTTTCTATGCAATATAATTTTCATATAAAACAGACCTCCATGTACAAAATTAGAACACTGCCTCTTGAATTCATATTTCTTCACTAACTCTAGCTTCATTTTTGTCCTAAGGCAATATAGATAAATGAAAAATAAATAAGCTGTCACCAAAAATTTTGAATTTCATGGTTTCCCTTTTCTAAAACAAATTGGCTTGAAAAATACTGAAATTGTCAATTAATTCCTTAACTCAAACATATGTTTCTATGCTTTTAATTCTGAATTCAACTTGTAAAATAGACCTCTTCTCTGATGTATTTGGGTACAATATTTAACTTTGTAGATTCAAAGAGGTGTATCTATCAATTTAACTGATAAAATGTTGACTAACTGAGGGAATTTTCCTATATATGAATCCTAAAATTTAGAAAAAAATAGGAGAACACAGTTTTTAAAGAAAGCTGTTTGTTTTTTGTCTTTCCCTCGTAAAAAGATGAATGAGCCAATAGATAGTGACTATCCTTATTACACATGCTAGATGAAGGGCACAGTCACGTTCCAGTGGTATTCTCTACCCCAGGGAATGCACCTGAGCCATTTCTAATCTCTTTGATAAATGCTACTGCAGTTCAAGTTTCAGAATCAATTGGGAAAAAATTTGAAGTGGGACTTCTCCTGAAGCAGTGGCAGGTCTGTTCTAGACAAGCATACATAGTAAATCAGAGTTTTCATATTTCATTGCCTGAAACTAACTCAAACTGTCAGTATTTGGCCAGGTGTAAATCATGCAGTTAAGATAGAGGATAGCAAACAACCTGAGCTTCAATATTAGATACTGGAAAAGAATTTGAAGATCAGGCTCTTTGAGAAATAATCAATTGAGAAAAATCAAAGTTAATGCCACTATTAAGAAGGTTATAATGCCAAGTATACAAATTATAATATTAAAATAGAGCCAAATAGTAATTAGGTTGCATAAAAAATAATTATTATTATGAGTGAATCTCTTTTAATGTATTAATTTGATTAAAAGAGTTGCTGAGTATGTGAGTTACAAAGGCTTACATTTAGAGATAAAAATAATAAATATTTATATGAACATAAAATAATCTGAATATCTACTGGTAGTTATAGGTCCTCTTTTATTGCCACTGATTTTTAATAGATAGAAAATTTACATTGGTACTAGCAATACAGAGGTCTCTGCAGTCTAGTGCAGGATCCCTATTTATGTTCTTTCTTAAGGGAAGGCTTATGAGTCCACCTGAGGGTAAGGACACACACATTTCTTTTCTCTCACCTAGATAGTGCTGAATATTTACAAACTAAGGGACATTTAGAGCTATAATGAGCCTTAGAATTCATCAGTTCAAGCTTTTCACTTTAGAGATGAAGAAACTGAGGCTGAATAATGATTTTAATGACTTACTGAGGATGCAGCATGACATCTCAAAAACTTCGGGATGGAATTCAGAGAGCTATGAGTTTGACTCCTACTCTACAAACTCCATTTTATTAATCTCCCTGTGCCTCAGTTTCTTCCTTTATATGTGGAAAAATAATATGAAATGTTCTCTCTCTCTTTTTTTTTTTTGAGAGAGCTTTCCATTGTTTTAGCCCTGGACTCACCTCTTCATAATTTAAACCTTGGAACCTCCATTTGTCCTGGAGTTAGTTATCATATTAGACCAAGTAACAGATTCCTAGCTTTTCAGCTCAACAGGTAAGGTCTAAATACAAGACTGAAAAAGATAAAAGTAGAATTAGTTGGAGGATAAGTTGTTTCCTGGTTCTTCTCTAGTACTTCCCCCCATATCCTGCCCATTTGATAAAGACCATATGATCTGAGGAGTGAAAAGAGAATTGGGGAGTAAGGAGTCCAGCAAGGAAGTTGGCCTGTCTCTTCATTCTGTCATCTTGCTATTTTAGAGATACTTGGAGGACTTCTTCTGTCCTCTCTGAACTGAAGTGGCTAACAAACTTGCTGGTGTTCCTCTAGCCTTAATAGTGATAGAACAGAGATAGAGTAGGAATGTTAGGGGCAGAGTCAATGCTCATCAAGAGCCCCAGGTCTCCCACGGCCAATATAGCAGAACAAGAGAACAACTAAACATTTCTTTGCCTTTGAAAAAGGATCAAAGGCCTGAAGAAGGGCTGTGCATAGGCCAGCACAACCAATGGAGACTAGAGATCAAAATCAGGAAGAACTACCTGAACTATCTCCTGGCATGATGTCCCAAGGTCAGGCAGGAGATCTGACACCTCTGTAGAAGTAGCAGGGTTAGAAGCTAAAGACCAAAATAATTAAAATCCCATCAATTGATGGTTCTATATCTCTGTGAGGTCCAGTAGAAACAAGGTCACTCATGTACTCTTTGCCAGTGCTTAGTGATATTTCTTAAAGACCCTTTCACATCTTGGGTGAACATTAGAGCTAGTGGCTTGCAATGGGCAGGAGAACAAATTAAAATGCATGAAAAGTTACAGAATTTCACTACGCTTACCTGAAAAATGACTAGGTTATGTTTACTTTATGTGACTGATTAAGAACTTTGAATCAGAAATTAGACTGATTAATAAAAAATAAAGTTACCTGTAATCTCAGCACTTTGGGAGGCTGAGATGGGCAGATCACCTGAGGTAGGAGTTCAAGACAAGACTGGCCAACGTGATGAAACCCCTTCTCTACTAAAAATAGAAAAATTAGCTAGGCATAGTGGCAGGAGCCTGTAATCCCAGCTACTCAGGGGACTGAGGCAGGAGAATCACTTCAACCTGGGAGGTGGAGGTTGTAGTGAGCCAAGATCGCGCCACTGCACTCCAGCCTGAGCAACAGAGTGAGACTCTGCCTAAAAAAGAAAAAAACAGAGTTTTGCCCATGTGAGTATTTGAGTGTAAAATAGTTACCTGTATTAATTTCCCAGTCCTGCTGCAAATAAATTATCACAACTTAGTGGCTTAAAAACAATATAAATACATTATTTTATAGATGCTCTGGGTGAAGAATGAAAGGGTTATGTTGTCCACATCAGTGGTGGGAACCACAAATAAGATTTCCCCTTGAAGCAGGGTATCTTGACCCAAGGCTGTATCTGCCTGTGACTAAGGGGTATTCCTGTTTTAGACCAAAGAGAACTGAAGAAAGAAAATGCAAATCTGTTTAGGGTTGCATTATGGATGCCAATCTGAGCATTCTTAACACCGTTTTTGTAAAAGAGAGAGAGAGAGAGAGAAGGATATTCCTGGACTGACTGATACTATGGTGCCTCATTGCCTGAGGCCCAAAAGAGCTAGCAGAGTCTGCAAACTTTTCAATCTGTCTGAAAAAGATGATGTCTGCCAATATGTTGTAAAAAAAAATTTTTAAAAAAAATTTAAAAAAAGCCCTCAAAAAAAGAAAGTAAGAAACCTGGGGCCAAAGCACCTGAGATTTTTACTACATGTCCTGAAGCATAAATGCTGGCATATTTCTCTGAAGAAACAGCTTACTAAGAAAAGTAAGGAAGAGGTTGTAGAATATGCTAAGCTTTTGGCCAAGTAAATGAAAGAGGCTAAAAACAAAAATAAAACCATAGCAAAACAAAAACCCACCAGGAACACAGACTGCCCTCTCTGTGAGCTTCTACTTGTCTGAGTCTAGTCAAAAGCCAGTTTTTTTTTTTTTTGAGTAACAAATAAATAGATCAGTCTCCCTCACAAAATTGCTAAATTAAATTAAATCAAGGTGTTGGCCAGCTGCATTCTTTCTGAGGTTCCAGGAAAGAATAGGTTTTCGGAGATTCCTGCATTCCTTGGCAGATGATGCCTTTCTCCATCTTCAGAGACAGCAGTCTAACAACTTCAAAGCTCTCTCTCTGATCTTTTCCCTGCCTTTTCCATCTTTCCATGCACCCTTGACATTATGGTGGGTCCACCTGGATAACGTAGGATAACCTCCTCAGGATCCTTAATTTAATCACACCTGCAAAGTCCCCTTTGCCATGTAAGGTGACATCTTCACAGTTTCTTGTAATTAATTAAGATGTGGATATTTTGAGGAGCCATTGTTCTGCCTACCCAATATTTCTCTGTGTGTGTGTGTATGAGAGAGAGAGAAAAAAATAGTGTGTATCACAAACAAGTGGTCAATTTAAATATTCAAGCTTCTATCCTCCAGATTAGCAGTTGGTTATTAAAACCATTTATTAAGCCATGAGAATCCTGATTACTTTCAACTGCATAAAAGAAGCCTACCTTGGCTAGAAAAATGAATGTAGAATAGCTTCGTTTGATCAAATACAAGAATTAGAGTATTATTCCTAAGAAAAATTTTGTTAGATATTTATAGCTACTGAATCTTTTTTAAACATAAAACGAAAAACCAAGATTCATCATCTCATTAAAAAGAAATGCTTTTCCTCTCCAGACTGACAGTTTCCTTCACTGCCTGGTCCTAGCCTGTTTACCTACCCTTCCAATCCATACCTTTCTTTCATTTCTCCAGTTCAAAGCAACATTTAGCTTTATTAACTCACCTGTCATTCTCCGAAAAACATCTCTTTTGGCTTTGTTTATGCCCTGCACTCCACTTGCAAAGAACATTAAAAGTTCTTAAAACCTGGCCATACAACACTATCCTCATCTTTTAAGACTATAGCAAGTTAGCCATACATTTTAATGAACAGAGTATGTAAATATGATAGTTCTCCTATTTATTAATACAGAAATTATTGGAGAGAAGGATTTTCAACAGAAGTCACCTCTTTTTCAATCCTTCAGTTCTCAAGAAGTGGAGCAAATACTATCTTTATATGCTGGGAGATCCCAAATAAATAACTAAAACACCTCTATAGTTCTGATGAAGACTTTTACTCCATGCTTCAAAAATTCATTTATATTGTTTCTCGAGTCGCTATGCTCACAGTTTTGTATTAAAGGATGCAATTTAAAAGGAAACCAAAATACAAATAAACCAATAACCCTACAATCAGCATGTAACCGGAGACAGATTAAAAAAAGAATTTGCATTAGAGCTCCTGCTGGTATATATGTGCACAAAAGAGGAAAAATACTTTGAACTATAGGGCAGAGCACTTATAGCAAATGTTATGTCTCCCATGACAGTTTCTAAGTTGCATTATACCACAGGTTGAATTAATTTCTCCTTCCCCAGGTCACTCTCTGCAGTTTTTGTGCCCCTACTTTGGAATTTTTCTTTATATACCTTGATTCTGTGTATCACTTCCTTCTAAAGTTGTGAGTCTTGGGAAGCCAGAAATACAGATTCAATCATCATGATATCCCTTACTGTGGGAGTGGGTGATGTGAATAATTAAGACACATATTAGGTGCTCAATAAATATTTCTTAAATTGAGATGGAAGAGGATGATCTTAGGTTACAAAAAGAAAGTCAGAAGAAATGCAAATTTCCTTGAAAATTTAAAGTCAATACATTTTAATGAACAGAGTATGTAAATATGACAGTTCTCCTATTTATTAATACAAAAATTATTAGAGAGAAAGATTTTCAACAGAAGTCACCTCTTTTCCAATCCTTCAGTTCTCAAGAAGCGGAGTAAATGCTATTTTTATATGCTGGGAGATCCCAAATAAATAACTAAAACACCAGTATAGTTCTGATGAAGATTTTTACTCCATGCTTCAAAAATTCATTTATATTGTTTCTGGAGTCACTATGCTCACAGTTTTGTATTGAAGGATGCAATTTAAAAGGAAACCAAAATACAACTAAACCAATAAGCCTACAATCAGCATGTAACAGAAGACAGATTAAAAAAGAATTTGCATTAGAGCTCCTGCTGGTATATATGTGCATAAAAGAGGAAAAATATTTTGAACTAGAGGGCAGAGAAACACAACAGTAGGTATTTAAGGGGTGCATAGCATGATCTCAACCACCCCTGGTTGCTGATGATTGTCGCCTAGCCTATTCAATGAGATTCTGTCTAATACACGGGAAAAATTAGGCCCCTCACCCACCCTGGAACCATAGTCAAACATTAAAAATAACAGAAATAAAACAGATAGTGAAAATTACCTTTTTGAGAACATAATAAGTAAGCTTTATGCCAGTTTCTGCAAATTAGCTTCTTGATTCTGTGTGTTGGAGAGAATCCTGGAGCCACATACAGGGTCAGTAAAAAAATGTAGTATGGGAAAAGCTCATGTTGGTAGGTGTATTAGTCTGTTCTCACACTGCTATAGAGAGATACCTGAGACAGGGTAATTTATAAAAAATTTAAAAAGAGATTCAATTAACTAACAGTTCTGCAGTCTGTACAGGCTTCTGCTTCTGGGGAGGCCTCAGGAAACTTACAATCATGGCCAAAGGGGAAAAGGAAGCCAGCACATCTTACATGGCAGAAGGAGGAGGAAGGGAGAGTGAAGGGGGAGGTGCTACACACTTTCAAACAACCAGATATCCTGAGAACTCTATCACAAGACAGCACTAGAGGATGGTGCTAAACCATTAGAAACCATCCCCATGATTAAAACACCTCCCACCAGGCCCCATCTCCAACACTGGGGATCACAATTCAACAGGAGATTTTGGTGAGGACAGAGAGCCAAACCCTATCAGTAGGAGTGAGGGTAACAGCACACAGGCCATCTATTTACTTGTGAGGATCTAGGAACCTGCAGATGGTCACATGGGTGTTTACATTCAGCTCAAGGCACTCATTTCTTAACTCCCACTATGAAATTTTGATACCTACACTATGTTGAATCCAGGAACCACTAGGCAGCTGAATAGCAATTCATGATAGTGAGGCCTCAAAATATTCCATTCTAATCTGTGTCAAGGAGTTTATATCTCTGCTTTCCAAATAGAAACTCTGGCCTAGGGTGTGCAACTACTTACATGGTGCGAGGTACTACCTCCAAATGTGGCCTCTATGCAAACATTCAACAGCTTTTCATAGCTCTTTCTGCATTTTTCAATGACAGATAACAATAGCAGTTTAATTTTGGAGTTACAAGTTGTCATTTTAATATGCGTTATGATACACTCTCAAATTTTATTCCCCTAAATTGTTTTCATTTATGTTATAAAAATAATTCTTCTGTCCCGCTCTATAAACCTCACTAAGTTCTATTCAAGCCTGCCTCCTCACACCACCATAGACAACCCCAACACACAAAGCTATTAAAATAATTAGTCGATAAGTTATTCCTTTATTAAAAGGGATTTTACAGTCTTCATTTTCAAATATTTCACTAAGTAAAAGGTTATCTAGATGGCTAATAAGGCTGATTCTCAAAGATGGCATATATAACCACAAGTTAAAATATTTGGTTTCATATTTGTTATAGTAAAGACAAAAATTTATGCTAAAGAAAATAAGTAAATTATTATAAGACTACTAAGGTCTAGGACATATTAAGTTTAAAAAGAGATCATTAATGGTTAGGAACTAACCCAGCACATTCTTTTGTGAACTTAATATATGTTATAATAAATACATCTTAATTTTTTGACAATGAGATTTTCAACTTAGGAGTGGGGAAAAAATTGATCAGACTTAGTCATGACTGCCATGACAAGAAGAGTTGTGAAAGTACATTTTATATAATCAGTTCATATATATTCTTTTTCTATTTCATTGGCACAGAGGAGAAAAAGCCCTAATTAGTAATATTGTACTTCCCCAGGAGACAATATGTTGAGGTCAATGATTAATTACATTTGGGAACAAATTGGCAAACCCTTTATTGCTTTCATGTTTATCAAATAATGGATATTGAAAAGACTGTACATCAATGTCCATTTAAAACTACTAAATATCTGGGAAATAATTCTGTGTGAAAAACATAAGTATAAGCTATTGATTTCCCTCAAAGACATAATGCATTGGGGTAAAATAGAAAAGTGAAGACAATAGAATGTATACAATATTACAGCTAATTTTATTTGGATAACAAAATTGGTAATGTCCACTGAAACTCTAGATCCCCAAAGAATAGTTCCGAGATTCCATCTTATTGACTAGAGATTTGCGGCATATCTTAGAGCAAGTCAATAGTATTCTTGGATATAAATGCATTGACTTAGGCATTATTTACCATAGTACCTAAAACTTTAAAAGAATATTTAGGATCTTTGTGGCACCCAAGAACCTGTCTCTCTCTTTCACTCCAAGCTGCTCTGTTTGGGACAACAAAAAGAGCCTCTAGCATGCTTAACATAAAAAATGACAATTTATTGTTGAAAGTCAATCAAACTGCTCATGTTAAAACTGAGCCTGGCACAGCTACATATCCCGCACCCCATCCACATTTAAATGTTCAAACTATCAATATGACGCATCCAACTTACAGATCATGATTGGACTTGAAAAGTAACATCAGCATCCAGAGGCACAAGGACGAAAAGACAGGTGGCAAGATCAGCCTAACCTGGCTGGAAAGAGGATTTTGTCACTGACATTATGTAAAACTGCTGGTACATGGTATTCTTGGAAAGCATTCTGATATGTTGTTAGTTTTATTATTGTTTTTGTACTCTCTGTGGATACTGTAGCTCATTGTTGCATACCCTGGTGGACTGCTCCCACTGCCACACTCCCACCTCTTCAATCACTTAGCTTGCTATTGTCAGCATCTATGTTCCAGAAGCAGCATTCCTATTCTCAATACAGTTATGCTACATACCTATCTTAATCTTAACTACTAGGGGAAAGGTGGCTTGTACATAGCCATGAAGCATAAGGAAAGGAGAAAAGCTAATATAAAAATGTATTGTTGAGATCACTGCTAGGGCAACAGAGGCTCAATTCCATTGACATGCTGAGAAGTATACAGAAGGCCTCCCAGAATTGTTCAACTTAATGGTAGGAGCTGTAGTTTTATTCACCAGCTTCCATACTGATTTGCAGAACTTTGCCCCAGGACAGTCTAATGGATTTCTCCTGCTTTCCTCTCTTCATTTTCTTCAAATTTGATATTAGTTATCATATTAGCAGTAGTAGTTGTTTGCCATTTTTATTCATGCAGCTAGAACCAGACTCAGGATAAGGTGGTGTTATGTAAGCCACCACTTATCAGACATCACTTTGATTTCACAATATTCACAATGCATTACAGTTTTGTAGTGACTTCTCAAATGTATTTATATTTAATTTTTACAATCACACTATGTTTTTTTCTATCATTATTGTCATCATAATTCTCACTTTAGAGATGAGAACTCCTTGCCTAAAATCAACACAATTAATAATTTGTACGGCAATAACTGAAACTCATTTGTATTACATTATTTGTATTTTCTTCTTTCTACATTATATTTTCTTTTTTAAAAGAAATAAGTCACATATCTACCCATTTGATATTTTCACAATCTATAAAGCATACTGATTGGATTTTTTAAAATTTTATTGTGTTGAGATGGAGTCTCACTATATTGCACAGGCTGGAGGTGCAGTGGCACTACCTCGTCTCACTGCAACCTCTGCCTCCTGGGTTCAAGTGATTCTCCTGCCTCAGCCTCCCAAGTAGCTGGGATTACAGGTGCCCGCCACCACGCCTGGCTAATTTTTGTATTTTTTAGTAGAGACAGGGTTTCACCATGTTGGTCAGGCTGGTCTCGAACTCCTGACCTGAAATGATCCACCCACCTCGTTCTCCTAAAATGCTGGATTATAGACATGAGCCACTGCTCCTGGCCAGAATATATATATACATATATATCCTGAAGAAACTAGGGTTGTATGAGTTCTGGGCATTAATTGTAATAAAAATGGAGGCAGAGAACATTTACATCATGATAGGAGCTTCAGCTAGGGCTAAACCATTCACCTGATTTGATTCCCATGGTCTATATAGCCCGTTCAAGGGTGATGTGGTAGCCAGCCTTTAAAATAGGCCTCAAAGATTTTTGCATCCTGGTATTTAGTGCTTCCCTCTCACACTGACTAGTCTGGTCCAGGTAACTAATAGAATATTGTGGAAAAAGCAGAGTATGACTCCTGAGGCAGTATCGTAGAAACACATTGCCTTGCTCTCTATTACATTAGTCATCTGGAGCAAGTCATTGCCATGTGGTGAGGATACTCAACAAGCTCTGTGGCTAAGTTCTCATGGCAAGGAAATTGCATTCCCAGCCAAGTTAGTGCTGGCCAGCAACAGGCACTAACTTGGCTGGGAATGCAAGACAGCTTGGAAATAAATCCCCCAGGCTCATTGATGCCTTGAGATGACTGCAGCTTAATGAGAGATCCTGAACCAGAACCAACCAACAAAGCCAATTCTGGATTCCTGACCTACAGAAACAGTGTGGGACAATAAATATGTATTGTCCTTTTAAGCTGCTAAGTTTTTAGTTAATTTGTTATATAGCAACAGATAGCTAAAATAAGGCCAGAATCTGGAAATACTAGTTCTGCACTGGTTTTCATTACTTTGGGAGTACTCAACTGTGCTGTGTTCTTAGAACTAACAAATAGAAGTAAGATTCATGATGAATTCTGTCTTCTAAGATCCATTCTGTGAAACTCTTTCAGGTGAAATTTCCTAATAAGGATGTACATTGAGTATTAAAAAATTAAATGCATTTTTCTTATAGTTCATAATGAAACTGCTCTATATAAATCCCAATCTATTTGATAACAAATAGCACAAGTTTCCAATAACCTATATTTCTTTGTCTCCCTTTGTCATCCCAGCTCAAATACAGCACTTCAATAACAATTTGAGTGACCTAGGCTTGCAGCTGACATAGTGTCCAGGTGATTGCCAGCTAATCAAAGTGATGAAATTTATCAATCTGAAATAATTCACCTGAAGATGTACAGCTATAGTACATATTATGAAATTATTGGGAAGGTGCAAATTATATATTGTGGAAGTGAGTGATCTAAATAAAAAACTGCAAAGTAAGTTAACTAATACATGAAGCATTTTAAATCAAGCAATTTTAAGATGTTGAGTGAGAAATAAACTATCTATAAAAATAAAAGTAAGGGAATCTATGAAGACAGTTGCAACACATTATAAAATACAATTATACTATAATAATTTTGGGAAAGATTATTATACAAAATACTAATACCTAGTTTCTATGTGGTATTCTATGTATTGTGCTAAGTGCTTTACACACATTATCAGAATTAATTCTCAAAGTTAATTCTTAATTTATTCTCTTACTATTGAAGTGGCCACATTGTCTGGTGTATACACCCTGGGGTTAGTCATCTCATGCTGGGAAAATTTAGGACAGGGACACACACGAGGAGTTTAGGAGTGGAGGTTTAATAGGCAGAAGAGAAGAGAAAGAAAAACAGCTCTCTCTATAGAGAGAGAGGGGTCTTCCAAGTGGAAAAGGTTGGCTGGCAGCGGAGGCACTGGATTTCATAGTTCAGCTTGAGGAGTCGCTGTGTGATTTATGTGGAGCTCACAGATTGGTTCGATCAGGTGTGACATTTACATAGTGCGAAGGAAAGCTGGTTGCCCCACCCTAATCTTATTATGCAAATGAATTATCCTTGGCCACCGTCATCTTGTCTGCCCCTTACTGTACAGGTGACTGGCAAATAAGGGATGGTGGAGCCCCCATCTTGAACATGTCTAGTGCTTAGTTCCTGCTGACATTCACCTGTGCAAGCTTGCAGCTTGCTTGTGTATGTCTGCAGCTAGACTTTACAGTCTGCTCTTTGTTAGAAAATGATTTAGGGCTGCTTTTCATTAAGAAGAAAAGCCTTACCCAGGACTCTCATACGTTTACTATCTATCTAAGTGATTTCTTCTTAACTCCTATATCATTCCACCCTCTGGAGTGGTCACCCTAACTGTTGTTAGGGGTTATTGGGCAATGACTCTTTCTGGCTACTTCCTGCTGAAAAGGGGCATCATGCAGGGAACAACAGCAGCTGGGGCTCCTCTTGGGGTCAATCCAAGGGTCCTCAGAAAAAAGGTGTGTCCATGCATGGTTCAGTCTGCAGCACCATTTTAAGTTTCATTGCTTCTAGGTAAGAGGAAACAATTTGAGTTATAATATTGAGTAGACAGGGTTCAAACATTAATATAGAACATATGAGCAAGAGAGGACTTAATAATGGAGCTAATCAGTTCCACAAAAAAGACTAAAATTCATTAAAGAGCAATTGTAGCCATCCAGGGCTGGAGCCTGCATTTTTTCTTAACCTGTTAATGATTTTAACTTGATCTTTAAGCACTTGTGGGTTTTCTTCTACTTGACTAGAGGTGTTGATCTAGAAGCAGCATGTTTCATTTAAGACTGAACAGGCACCCCCTACCTCGGCTGTAAGAACATCCAGGGCTCATCTATTCTGTGCTACTAGTGAGGCTAAAGAGTCTATGGATTAGACTTCTATGGATCCTACTGTTGCCTTCCATCCTCAATACATCATAATGAATATATTAAGTACTGACCTTTCAGAAAGAGGAATACCAGCAAACCAGAAGAAGTATTCCTCTTATTATAGAATTTCCCATCCATGATCTTTCTAAAATGGGATTGTCATGTGCATGCCCTCCCCAATTTTCTCTTTTGGTTAAATCTCCATATGAGGGCATGGAAATGATAGATCTCTTTGTTTCGTGTATCTGAGATGGTGCACTTTCTAAAAAGGAACTTAGATTAGGGTTGTCCCTAGATGATGCATCCTTGTCAGGGGAATTTAAAAGTAACAGGTTGGGGACCACTGCTACTATAGTATAGGTTCCTTTCTAGTGCCTAGGGAGGATTAAGGAGCCACAATGGAAATATAATCCTGTCTCTTGAAGGGATGGTTTAAGTTGTGACCTGTGAGGGACACAGGCAGATCTTTCTCATATCTTAGAAGCTTTTCCCCCTTATATATAATAGGGGCATCTTTGGGATGGGGATATCCATACTCAGAATAGTCATTCACAATGCGATTTGGAATCTTACATGCAAAATTAGAAGGGTCCACCCAACAAATGAAGTTTCAAAAAATTAACATTATATGCCCTGGCCAGTATCTCAGATGATCTTTGTGGCAAGGGCTGTTGGTACAGATGTCTCCAGTTTGCCCACAAATTCGTAGGCCATTACTATTAGCAAACATCATACAAGGATCTGGAATTCCATGAGGGGACATGTTTGGAAAGGCCCATGTGTTATTATTTACATCATAATCAAGGTGGTTACTTAGAGCATGCCATTCTCATTGGGACTTCCAACCAGATGGAGCGGCTAGATTCTGAAAGCCCCCCATAGGGCTTCTGATCCTTTTAGATCATGCTTATGGCACCTTCTTCCTCAAATCTTAGAACTATCAGCAATTACAAGTGTGATATTACAATATTTGAGATCTCTAAAGTATGGTTCTTCCCCACTGCCTTTAAAGCAATGGGAGACATTTGCCATTACCCAGTCAACTTTCCCAGCCTGAGGTTGTGAGGCTTATATTTGGGGAGAGTATTCCTTGGCACTAGGGGTGGAGTGCTTTCCTGAGCAGAGTTAGTTATTCAGTTGAAATTGCTCCTATACCGTGTCCCATTTATACCTCATAAATCTTTTAGGATTAAAGGTAAGGCTAACAAAAGGAATCCTAAGACAGTAAGTTCTGGGTGATCAGGAGGTTTCTTAGTGTTATTAAACTGAGCAAACTACTTGGGACAGACCCAGCAATTAGTCTTACTGTACAAATGGGCCATAGCTGATATTGCAGGAGCTAACGGGTGTGATGTATCACTAAACCCAATAAAAAGTCCTAGCAGACTCAGTGATAGTAAACCTTTCATGTTCCCTTCTTGTTGGTAACTATTATCCCTGTAATTATGAGTCAAAAAGAACCTCCGATATTTGACAGCAAATCTCAAGAGAAAAAGTAGAAGTGACTGAATGGTAGAGGTGGAATTGAGTAGGACAAGTTGCCCTTGCTCATTTACTTATCTGTTATGATTTTCAGCTTAAGGTCTCCTATTCCTCCACATTGGTATCCAGGATGTTCCTCTGGGCTGTCAGAGGTTGCTCTCTCAGCTTTCCAGGCTTTGACTTGAGTGTAATGTATCCAGGAATAGATACCTGTACATTTTACTGCCTAGGGGGTTGAAAGGAGAATGGTATAAGATCCTTCCCAGCTTAGGCTTAGGGAAGGAGAAAGTGAAGGGAGAGATTTTATCAATGCCAAATCTCCTGGGTTAAATAAAAGGTGGTCCTACTTCTTGGGATTGGGCTTCTGCTAGTTGTGTTAATTCCTGTTGAAAGCAAGCCAGAGAGGCAACATGCTTAACCAATTCAGAGGTCTCTTGGTTTAATGAGAAATTATTGGTGAGAAAAGCCCATCTGTACAGCATCTCAAAAGGGCTTAGACTTAACTTTGAAGGGTGTTTTTTATAGGCAGGAAAGCCATGGGAAGAAAAGTTACCCAAGGAGGGTGAGTTTCATGGGCCAGTTTCCTGAGATGTCTTTTGATGGTATCATTTGTCTTATCTACCTTTCATGAGGACTGGGATCTCCAAGTGCAATGGAGATGATACCATATGTCTAGTGCCCTTGAGACCCCCTGTGTGACAGCTGCCTTAAGTGAGGGGTCATTGTCACTTTGGAGGTACTTAGGTAGACCAAAATGGGGAGTAATTTCATTAGTTAACACCTTTCCTACCTCAGAGGCCTTTTCTGTACAGCATGGAAATGCTTCTACCCAGTTAATAAAAGTATCTACCCATACAGGAGGTATTGGATGCTTCATCTTTGGCATGTGGGTAAAGTCTATCTGCCAGTCCTCCCCTGGATAGCTTCCCATCCTTTGGGTTTGAGGAGGAATAAGCCGTCTGTTCAGGGGATTATTTTTAAGACAGACTTCACAAGCATTAACAATCTATTTTACTATTTTTAGTAAGTTATCTCTTGAAAACAATCTATGGACACATTGATAAGTTTTATCCTTTCCCAAGTGAAAAGCTTGATGAAAGAATTTAAGGACTTTCCACTGGCTGGTAAGTGAAGCTTGCCATGTTCTGACTAAGTCATCCTGAGGGCTGAAAAGTGTACCCTCGAGAAGTGGCCCATTCTATTTCTGCAGGGGAGTACTTGATTTCTCTTATGAAGCCTTCCCCGATTAGAGGTGCTTCAAGTGTGTTGATATCATGAGGCTTCCTTGTTGCTGACTTGGCCACCTAATCAGCTAGCTTGTTTCCTTCAGCTATTTCTGAATCTACTCCCTTCTGATGTCCCTTACAATGCATCACTGCTACCTCTCATGGAAGGAAAACTCAGGGTAATAACCTGTTAAATTCCTGAGGGTATTTTATAGCAGATCCATTGGTGGTAGGAAAGTGTCTTTCCTTCCAAATGGCAGCATGAGTATGGAGAACCAAGAAAGCATACTTGGCATCATTGTAAATGTTAGCTACCTTTCCCTTGCTTAACTCAAGTGCTCTTGTAAGAGCTCTCAGTTCAGCTAGTTGAGCGCTTGTGCCTGGAGAGAGAGAGATGCACTTTCAATAAAATTATTCAGAGTGACTACTGCACATCCTGCCTTTAGACTCCTTGCTCTACAAAGGAGCTTCCATCTGTGAAGAGGGTCCAATCTGGATTTTCTAGAAAGTTTCCCTGAGATCTTTCCTGGCTGCTTAGGTCTGTACCACAACTTGTTCACAGTCATGTTCAGGTTCACCAGTTCCCTTGGGGAGAAAAGTGGCTGAGTTTAAGTGAGAACCAGTTTTTAACTGGATGGTGGAACCCTCTAACAATAGAGCTTGATACTTAAGGAGGCTGCTGTCTGTTTACCAAAGGCTTCCCTTAGAGGACTGTAATCCTGCCACATTATGTGGGGTATAAACAGTTAAGTCATTTCCCAGGTTAATTTGGAGGCTTCTGGGACCATTAAGTCCACTGCAGCAATGGCTCAGAGGCATGCTGGCCATACTTTAGCCACCAAATTAAGTTCCTTACTCAGATAACCCACTGGTTGTTGAGCTGGTCCTTGGGCCTGCATTAAGACTCCCAGGGCCATTCCCTTCCTTTCTGATACATACAGATTGAAGGCTCTTCCAACGGGAAGGCTGAGAGCTATTGCCTTAAGTAGGGCCTGCTTTAGCTGCTTAAAGGCCTTTTGAGCTTCAGTTTCCCAGGTTAGGATATGAGTTTTAGCTGCTTGAGTTTCTCTTATGAGGTGATATAGAGGATGAGCTATCTCACTGTACCAGGTTTCCATAGCCTGCAAAATCCTGGAATGTCCCCAAATCCTCTTAGTTGCTTGACGGTTTTGTGGAAGGGGAAGGAGAAAATGGACTAATCCTTTCTTCCCCTAATGCTCTGGTCCCATTAGACAGCACTAAATCCAGATACTTCACTGAGGTTTTGTAAAGCTGGGTCTTAGATTTTGAAAGCTTATAGCCTCTGCTGGCTAAGAAATTAAGAAGAGCTTCAGTGCCTTCCTGAGAAGCTGCCTCAGTTGGGGTACAGAGCAACATATCATCCACGTATTGAAAACCTTCCCCTGAAGATGGGAAAACTTGGAGAGTTCTTTTGACAATGCATGTCCAAAGAAATGAGGGTTATCTCAAAATCCCTGAGGCAGCACCATCCACGTAAACTGGGTGGTTTGGCCAGACAGATTGTCAAAGGCAAACAGGTATTGAGAGTCAGGATATAACAGTATACAGAAGAAAGTATCTTTTAAATCTAGGACTGTAAACCATTTAGTTCCCTCAGGTATTTCGGTCAGCAAGGTATAGGGATTAGGTACTACCAGATAGATTGGGTTTATGAACTCATTAATGAGGTGGAGGTCCTGAAAAGTCTCCATTCCCCGTTGGTTTTGCACTGTTAATATTGGAGTGTTGCAGGGGCTCTTACAGCGTTTGAGGAGGCCCTGCATCTTCAGGTTATTAATAATAGCTTCTGGCCCTTTCCTAGCATCTTGCTTCAGGGGATATTGTTTCTGGTTAGGAAAAATGGTGGGATCCTTAAGATGGATCTGGACTAGTCTAGTGGTTACAGCTCGACCTATTCTTCCTTGAGCTGCCCACACTTCTGGATTGATATTAGCTTCCACCAGGGGAAGACAAAGAGATTGTCCTGGGGCCATAAGGATGCTGGCCCCCATGTGAGTTAACTCTCTCTACATAATAAAGGAGTGGGGCTTTCTGGCATGACTAAAAATGCATGTGTGAATAGTAGGTTTCCCCATCTGCAACTAAGGGGTTGAGAAAAATATCGAATTAGAGTTTTTTCCTGAGACGCCCCTCACAGTCATGCTATGGGAAAGGGGGAGGCGTGGATGAGAGAGGAGAAGAGAGAGGCTGGTCCCAGGGTCCAGAAGATCTACCTTTCTTCCTTCAATTTCCAGAATCACCTGGAGCTCCTGTGCTGTAATGGCAGTTTGAGCTGCTGGAGCCAGGGGTTTGAACACCACCTGTGAGATTGTTCTGAACCCAGTCACCTTCATCTCCAGGGGCAGTCCGATTTCCAGTGGTCCCTGCCACATTCTGAACAGGGTCATGTTGGTTTCTTCTTGCTTTCTGGGCACTCCCTTCTTAAAGTGCCCTAATTTGCCACACCAATAGCAACTAGTAAATGCATCTCAGGGATCCTGGACTTTGCAAGCCTGCAAAGAAGCTGCTAGAGCCTATGTCCTTCTCTTTTGCTTCCTCTCTTTCACCTGGTCCTCCTCCTGGTATATATTATAAAAGACTGAGGTGGCCACCTTCAGGAGGTTCTCTAAGGTGCTCTCTGGTCCTACAGTCTGATTCTGTAGTTTTCATCTAATATTGGGAGCTGCCTGTGTAATAAATTGTCCTTTAGGATGAGCTGTCCCTCCACTGACTCAGGATAGGGAGGCATGCTTTATTAGTACCTCTCTTAGTCTTTCCATAAAGGCTGCAGAATTCTCAGCTGGGTTTTGCTTTATCATTGACAGTTTAGAGTATTTAAGAGGTTTGGCTCAATTTCTTCATTCTTCATAGGCTCTCCAATATGCACATTAATATGTGCATATTCCTTTTCCATTCATCTGCAACATTATTGGTGTTCCAACTAGGATTGTCAAGAGTAACTGCTTTCCTTCGTATTGGGAATGGTGTTTCCATTATCTCTTCACCTTCCCTATTTTCTCTTTTCCTTTTAGGCCTAATATAGGAGACATATTTCTCATCTCTGAATTTCTCTGCTGGCTGCTTCTCAGCTGTGGTTAGGGTTTGGCTTAGGAGCAGCATAACATCCCTCCATAAGAGGTCAAATACCCGAGTTAAATTTTGAAAGGCTTCTATATATCTATCAAGGTTATTGGAAAATTGGCCTAAGTCTCCCTTTACTTGCCTAAGTTCCTGCAATAAGAAGGGAACTTGAACCCTAGTGGCATCACCCCCATTTGGGCATTTTCTGTAGGGGTGAAAGCTAAGGTGGGGAAGTGAGAAATTTTGGCAATGGTGGAGGTGGAAGAGCTGGTGGCATGGACTTGAAGGGCTGGACACACAATAGCTGCCTCAGATGGTTTTTGGGGAAGTTGCTTTTGTAGCCTTGGGGGATTATTCCCTTTGGGCCTGCCTGATATGATTGCTAAAAGGGCTGGGTCAATTGTGCCTTGTCTGCAAAGGTATGGGTTGTCTCACAGGGCAAAGAAAGCCTGTACATAAGGTACCTCCGACCATTTGCCCTCCTGTCTGTAGAAAAGATCTAATTGTTGGATAA
The DNA here is from genome assembly GCF_000001405.40 of Homo sapiens. Taxonomy (NCBI): domain Eukaryota; kingdom Metazoa; phylum Chordata; class Mammalia; order Primates; family Hominidae; genus Homo; species Homo sapiens. Next base: position 77,511,730 of record NC_000006.12, read on the forward strand.
TATTAACAATTAAGGCTTTCTTCCACAGGCCAGGCTGGTTCAAGAGGGTAAGAAGGCCATGCTCTTGTGAAAAAGAAAATGAGCCACTTTTTCTTCAAAGTCTCTGGGTTAAAGGAGTCCAAGTGCTTCAGAATGCACTCTATAGGAGTACAGGCTAAGATGATCTGTTACCCATCTAGAAAGAGAAGTGAGAAAAAGGCAACTCTTTAGTCTCCTTCCTTGTGTTGTGACTCAGGGTGGATTGGGAGATAGTGGGGGCACACCCCACTGCTGTTTTCCCTCTGTGGTTCCTGAGTCATGGCACCTTGTTGAATGTGCCACCCATGGCTGCACATGTGATCCCCAGCCCTGAAACCAGAGGAACTAAGTGACTGGGATTAGTCACACTCACCCATGCAATTCTAGTCCTCTGCCTGTGATTTCCCTTTGACTTCCTAGACTTGTGTGACCTGCCTGGCTCCCCGAAAAAAAAATGGATCTCAGAAAAGACTATGTGACAGTTGCATTTGGGCAACTGTTACACTTCCCTTTTGAATAGAGGAAGTGTTCTGGTTGGAGCTCTATATCCTGCTATTATGGCCTGTGCTAAAGCATTTACCCTTAGAGAATGATTCCAGTTAACTTCCAAACTTAAAATCCGCTTACTAATTAAGTGACATTTTAATTGGAGACACAATAGTGCTTTAAAAGAATTTAGGGACCAAATGGTCATTTTCCTGCAGATGGAACAGTATTGAGACTAAAATTTGGCTTCAGAGGATATTTTACCATTAGTTGTTGAAGGCAGAAGTTTCCTGTTTACAGAAGCAGCAGGAAGCCTGGTTTCTAGTAGAGAGGTGCAAAAAAAGAAAATTGGGAAGCTAGGGTGTTTCAGTAAAGGACCCACAATGTGTCTCATGGACAGGATCTCTATTCCACTAGGCAGCACTGTTGACTTTGAAATGCCATGTACTCTCAAGACCAAGGGCAGAGTGACCTTGATATGCCATGTGCTCTCCAGACTAAGGGCCAAGAGAGAACTGGAAATGCCATGTGCTCTCTAGACCAAGGGCAGAGAGTGACCTGAAAGTGCCATGTGCTCTCCAGACCAAGGGCAGAGAGAGGCCTGGAAGTGCCAAGTGCTCTCCAGAGCAAGGGCAGAGAGTGACCCTTACTCTGTAGGGGACCCTCTGTTTCTAGAAAATTACAAAGACACCATCCCTTGAGCCATATCTCCATTTACTTGCCAAACAGGATTACTTCCCTGAACTGTAAAATTTCCCACACATTGCATATACAGAGAGGAGAGGAGAGATAATGATTACAGACAGGAAAGGAAGAAATTATGATAGAAAAGTTGGAGATCTTGTTGCTGACACCCTATCAGGTGGTTGGAGACTGGGGTCAGTCCAGAAGCCTTTGGATAACACCAGGGGTTGGCTCCAGCCAGAAATCCTCAGTTGCTCCAAAACTTCTTCCAGCCCCATGTGACAGCTAAGTCCTTCATGAAAGAAAGCTGGTTCAAACATGGTCAATATGCCCAGCAACCCGTGGGTGCTGGGTGATTCTCCATGTTCTCCCCAGCAAGCCTGTCTTCCAAGTCTTGTAAGGCTGACAGTCACACTAATCCTTTTTAAATGGCTGAAGGGAGCCCAGTGTTTGGTTTGATTTCATTCTAAAATGGAGACTGAAAGGCTTGAAATGAAAGGATAGAGTTAGAGTCTGCTCCTCTACTGGGATTAGCCACATTTTGATTAATGTTATACCTTTGTATCCCAGATGAGGTCTCCAATATGAAGTGGCTATGTTGTCTGGGTTATATACCCTAGGGTTTCCCATCTCATGCCGGGAAAACTTAGGACACAGACACACATGAGTTTAGGAGCAGAGGTTTAATAGGCAGAAGAGAAGAGAAAGAAAAACAGCTCTCTTTCTATAGATAGAGGGGTCTTCTGAGCAGAAAAGACTGGCTGATGGCAGATGCACTGGATTTTACAGTCCAGCTCGAGGAGGCAGTGTCTGATTTATGTAGGGCTTACAGATTGGTTTGATCAGGTATGAAGTTTACATAATGTACAGGCAGGATTGGTTGCCCCACTGTAATCTTATCATGCAAATGAATTCTCCTTGGCTGGTGCCATCTTGTCTGCCCCTTACTATACACATGGCTGGTAGAGAAGGGATGATTGAGCCATCATCTTGAACATGTCTAGTCCCTCCTAGTTCCTGCCAGCATTCACCTATGCAAGCTCCTAGCTTGCTTGCCTATGTCTGCAGCTCAACCTTACCGGTTGCTCTTTGTTAAAAAATGATTTGGGACTGTTTTTCATTAAAAAGAAAAGCCTTACCAAGGACTCCCATACACTTACTATCTGCCTACATGATTTCTTCTTAACTCCTATATCACTACTAAATCATTCTCAGCAACATACAAATATCTTATAATTTATTTTATTTTAAAAACAAACAAAAATACCTTTTTGGACAACATATTCCCCAGCTACTACTTCATTTCTCAGTTTGCCCTTATATCAAATTTCTAGAAAATTACCTATTTTTAAATTCCATTATCTGGTCTCTCTCTCTCTGTCTCTTTCTCTATCTCTCCTGACACATTTTAAAAAGGGTTTCACCTTTACCACTCTGCCTGAACTGCTCATCAAGTCACTCATGCCTCTTAATTGCCAAAATCCCTTACTAAATTCTCAGTAATCATCTTATATTTCAAAAGTAGTTGATACAGCTGACCTCCCTCTCCTTCTTGAAACACTTTGTTCACTTGGTTCTGAAACCACCATTGCAAAATTATAACAAAGACAGTGAAAGAGATCTGACCTAACCAACTCTATCTTGCTTCTAACCTCCAACCTGTCCTTGTTTTTTCCTGGGCAGAGGCTGAACTAACTTTGGGATAAACTTAGTTTATAGTTTGAAACAAAAAATGATAACAGCCCTTTCCCAAAACAAATCCCCTTTTTGCCTGGGGGCAAGACTGCTTTTGTAGAACTAACAAATGAGCCACAAAATTAACAATTATGTTTTAGAAGTCATGCAGCTGGAGGATACAAAATTCGGACCCCGCCCAAATTACTCCTGGGGATAAAATCACTGTTGTAAAACCTAACACTAGTGCTTGAGATGTTTTGTAGACCCTGTAATTGATGGCTCAACTGGTACCACCCAGACTGATAAACACTCATCTGATCTTGTGGACCCCACCCAGGAACTGACTTAGTGCAAGAAGACAGCTTCAACTCCCTATGGTCTCATTTCTAAGCTGACCAATCAGCACTCCAAGCTCACTGGCTTCCTCTCACTCACCAAGTTGTCTTTAAAAACTAATCCCCAATGAGACTGATTTGAGTAATAATAAAATTCTGGTCTCCTGGATAGCGGGCTCTGCGAGAATTACTTTCTCTATTGCGGTTTCTTTGTCTTGATAAATAGGCTCTATCTAGGCAGCAGGCAAGGTGAACCATGAGTGGTTACAGTTCCAGGATGCTTCACACTCTGGTTCCACTCTAGTCCTAAGGACTTCCCTCTATCTCAATATCCTTAGTTGGCTCTTCCACAGTTTTCCAGCATCTAAATACTGGAGTATCCCTGAACTCACTCATTGAGTATCCTCTTTTCTGTCTATACCCACAATCTTGGTGATTTCATCTACTCTTCTTTCTATAAACACTATTTTTACACTGAGGACTCCCAAATTCATGCTTGCAGTTCAGACCTCACCTGTGAATTCCAGACTCTTATATCTAATTCTTACTTGATATCTTCTCTTAAATGTCTAATAAGCATCTCAGTCTTAATATATTCAAAACTGAGTTCCTAATCCCTGACAAATATAGCCCTTCCCATTTCAGTTAATGACAACTGATTCGGTTGCTTAGCTCAGAAACTTTGAAGTGATTGTTGACTCTTGTTTTTTGTTTTTGTTTGTTTATTTGTTTGTTCATTTTAGACAGGGTCTTACTCCCTTCAGCCAGGCTGGAGTGCAATGGTGCAGTCACAGCTCACTGCAGCCTCTATTTCCTGAGCTCTGGTGATTTTCACACTTTAGCCTCTCAAGTAGCTGGGACTACAGGCGCACACCACCCAGCCTTGCTAATTTTTTGTATTTTCATAAAGACAGGGTTTTGCCCTGTTGCCTATGCTGGTCTCAAACGCCTGAGCTCAAGTGATCTACCTGCCTCAGCTTCTCAAAGTGCTGAGATGCTGATTCTTTTCTTTCTCTCATATACTTTATTCAATGTGTAAGCGTATCCCGTTGATGCCACCTTCAAAATATATGCAAAATCTGACCTTTTTTTATAATTGCAAACTTTATTTATGACAAAACTACTACTTGGGAGGCTGAGGTAGGAGGATCACTTGAGCATAGGAGTACAAGGCTGCACTCCAGCCAGGGTAACAGGACAAGACCCTGTCACTAACAAAACATTTTTAAAAGAAATAATGAAAATACAACAGAGCTAATCTTGCAGTTGATTGAAGACAGAAGTTTTAAAATCATGCTGAAATGATTATGCAAGTAAAAATATCAAAATTGAAGTGCTACCTCACATACACATTACTTGTTGCTGTGGAACAAGTCACTCCAAAACTTAGGGTTCCAAACAATAATAAATATCTACTTCACATAATTTCTGTGGGTCAGGAATTCAAGAGTAGCTTATCTGGGCAGTTCTGACTCTGAGTAGCAATGACGAGGGTGCCTCATGACTATTTTCCATCACTCTATTGCCACCACCCTGGTCCATGCAACTATTATCTCTCATCTAGATTTTTGCAATAGCTTCTTAACCATGTACCTTTGTCCACTCTACAGTTTATTCCAACAGGATAACCTGCTTTTTCTTCTATATATAGGTGAGATCATGTTGCTCTTTTGCTCAAAATACTCAAAAAAGAGAAATGGAAAAGAAAATGGCTTTTGAGGCTGGCATGATCTGGCCATTAATTACCTCCTTGCCTCATCTGCTACTTTTCTCTCCCTCCTATAGAGCACTGCAGCCACATTGTCCTCCTTGTTCTGGGAACATGCCAGCCCAGGCATGCCTCAGGGGATTTGCCCTTTCTGTGGCCTCTTTTTGGACAACTCTTCTGTCATCTATCTGCCTGGTTCACTCCCTCATCCCTTCAGACCTTTGCTTGAATGTCTCTTTCTTAGTGAGGAATTTCTTGATTATAATATTTAAAAGTGGAAATAACAGTTGCACTGCTTAGTATTGAAATACGTTTTCTAGCTTTCATTTTCTCCATTATATTTCTCATTATCTGATGACTGAATAGGTTACTTATCACTTTCCAGTAGAACATAACCTCTATGAAGGCAGAAAAAAAAAAAAGCTTTAATGTTTTGTTTGCTATTGTCTCCCCTTGGCCTTACTTGGTGTCTTATGTACCATAAACACCCATTAAATAAATAATTGAGTTAGGCATTACTAATAGCCGCATTTTAGTAGCTGAATTTTAGAGGAGAGGAAACGGAATTAATTAGTTAGATAGTAAGTTAGGTCAGTAAGGAACCTTCCTAAGGTCTTACAACTAGTCTGTTACAGAGCTAGCTATGTCTTGATTCTAGAACCCACATTTTTTACCATTTTGCAGACACTACTCCATCAAGGTGAGGAGCAGGCATGACATTTGGAATCAGGCAGAGCTGAGTTCAAATGACGATTTTCCTACTTATTTTCTGTATGATTTAAAACAAGTTTCTTAACCTCTACACTTTATTTTTCTTAGCTAAAAATAGAATAGCAATAAAACCTACTTCTTTGGGTTTCTGTGAAGACCAAGTCAGCTAGAGCTTGTCTATCAATCAGGGATTACATTTTATGTCAGCACATTTGACATAAAATTCAAATACAGTGGTTTAAAGGAGTTTATTTTTCTCCTATAACAAGCAAGATGAGCTTATATTTATCACAGACCTAATTAATTACTTTCACAAGAAAAACAGCCCAAACTGTGCATGTAACCAGAAAAGCACTCTTTGCTTCCACAACTTCTCAATTGAAGTGATAACTGCACACTCCAGAAGCTGTTTTCACCATCAGGCTTGGGATCTCATGCAAGCTCCCCAAAAGAGGCATTCAGTTCACATCCTGCCCTTTCTATAAATGATTTTATCTACTTCCATGGTATTACTGGCTGATGACCTTTAAACCAATGACATTGACCTTGTTTCAAGCACTAGTCTCCTATCAACAACTGCCTATGCAATCCTTCTCTCAGAATGTCCCCTGAGACTTAGAATTACCATGTCCCAATCCAATGAACTGATTATTTGCCCCCTACTCTCACCTTCCCCACCAACGCATCCTGCTTTTCTCTGTTAATAGCATCATCCATCCTCAGTTTATTCCAATAAGCTTGTACAAATATTTCTTAGGTGTTTATGTCCCAAGAACTGTTCTATGTACTTCATACAAAACCCTCAAGGCCCTTGGTCTAGAGGGATAAACAGAGAACAATTTATTTCAATAACATGACATGGATTCCCTGGCAAGATGGCCGAATAGGAACAGCTCCAGTCTGCAGCTCCCAGCGAGACCAATGCAGAAGGTGGGTGATTTCTGCATTTCCAACTGAGGTAACTGGTTCTTCTCACTGGGACTGGTTAGACAGTGGGTACAGACCACAGAGGGTGAGCAGAAGCAGGGTGGTGTGTCTCCTCACCCGGGAAGCACAAGGGGTCAGGGAACTCCTTCTCATAGCCAAGGGAAGCAGTGAGGGACTGTGCTGAAAGAGACAGTGCTATCTGGCCCAGATACTATGCTTTTCCCACTGTCTTCACAACCCACAGGCCAGGATATTCCCTTGGGTGCCTACATCACAATGGCCTTGGGTTTCAAGCAAAAACCTGGGCAGCTGTTTGGGCAGACACCGAGCTAGCTGCAGGAGTTTTTCTCATACCCCAGTGGCACCTGGAATGCCAGCAAGAGAGAACTATTCACTCCCCTGGAAAGGGGGCTGAAGCTAAGGAGACAAGTGGTCTTGTTCCATGGAGCCCACCCCTATGGAGCCCAGCAAGCTAACATCCACTGGCTTGAAATTCTCGCTGCCAGCGCAGCAGTCTGAAGTTAACCTGAAATGCTCAAGCTTGGTCGGGGGTTGTGGGGGTGTCTGCCATTATTGAGGCTTGAGTAGGCAGTTTTCCCCTCACAGTGTAAACAAAGCCACTTGGAAGTTTTGACTGAGCAGAGCCCACCACCACACCACAAAGTCATGGTAGCCGGACTGGCTCTCTAGATTCCTCCTTTCCGCGCAGGACATCTCTGAAAGAAAGGCAGCAGCCCCAGTCAGCAGCTTATAGACAAAACTTTCATCTCCCTGGGGATGAAAAAAGAGCACCTGGGGGAAGGGGCAGCTGTGGGTGCAGCTTCAGCAGACTTAAACGTTCCTGCCTGCCATCTCTGAAGAGAGCAGCAGATCTCCCAGCACAGTACTCGAGCTCAGCTAAGGGACAGACTGCCTCCTCAAGTTGGTCCCTGATCCCCGTACATCCTGACAGGAAAACACCTCCCAACAGGGGTCAACAATCACCTTATACAGGAAAGCTCTGGCTGGCATCTGGCAGGTGCCCCTCTGGGACAAAGCTTCCAGAGGAAGGAGCAAGCAGCAGTCTTTGCTGTTCTGCAGCCTTTGCTACAGCAGTAGCATCGACATCAACAAAAAGGAGACCATGCAAAAACTCCATCGAAAGGTCACCAACAGCAAAGACCAAAGGTAGATAAATCCATGAAGATGAGGAAAAACCAGCACAAAAAGGCTGAAAATTCCAGAAACCATAACACCTCTTCTCCTCCAAAGGATTATAAATCCTTACTGGCAAGGGAAGAAAACTGGATGGAGAATGAGTTTGATGAATTAACAGAAGTAGGCTTCAGAAAGTGGGTAATAACAGACTCCTCCGAGCAAAAGAGCATGCTCTAATCCAATGCAAGGAAGCTAAGAAACTTGATTAAAGGTTAGAGGAATTGCTAACTAGATTAACCAGTTTAGAGAAGAATATAAATGACCTGATGGAGCTGAAAAACTCAGCACAAGAACTTCATGAAGCATACACAAGTATCAATAGCCAAATCAATCAAGCAGAAGAAGAGCTATCAGAGACGGAAGATCAACTTAATGAAATAAAGTGTGAAGACAAGATTAGAGAAAAAAGAATGAAAGGAAACAAACAAAGCCTCCAAGAAATATGAGACTATGTAAAAAGACCAAACCTATGTTTGATTGATGTACCTCAAATTGATGGGGAGAATGGAACCAAGTTGGAAAACACACTTCAGGATATTATCCAGGAGAGCTTCCCTAACCTAGCAAGACAGGCCAACATTCAAATTCAGGAAATACAGAGAACACCACAAAGATACTCCTCGAGAAGAGCAACTCTAAGACACATAATCGTCAGATTCACCAAGGTTGAAATGAAGGAAAAAATGTTAAAGTCAACCAGAGAGAAGGGTCAGGTTACCCCCAAAGGGAAGCCCACCAGACTAACAGTGGATCTCTCTGCAGAAACCCTACAAGCCAGAAGAGAGTGGGGATCAATATTCAACATTCTTAAAGCAAAGAGTTTTCAACCCAGAATTCCATATCCAGCCAAACTAAACTTCATAAATGAAGGAGAAATAAAATCCTTTACAGACAAACAAATGCTGAGGATTTGGTCACCACCAGGCCTGCCTTAGAAGAGCTCTTGAAAAAAGCACTAAATATGAAAAGGAAAAACTGATTCCAGCCACTATATAAACAAACCAAAATATAAAGACCATCGACACTATGAAGAAACTGCATCAACTAATGGGCAAAATAACCAGCTAGCATCATAATGACAGGATCAAATTCATACATAACAATATTTTCATTAAATGTAAAAGGGCTAAATGCCCCAATTAAAAGGCACAGACTGGCAAATTGGATGAACAGTCAAGACCCATTGGTGTGCTGTATTCAGGAGACCCATCTCACACACAAAGACACATGTAGGCTCAAAATGAAGAGATGGAGGAAGATTTACCAAGCAAATAGAAAGAAAAAAAAAAAACAGGGGTTGCAACCCTAGTCCCTGATAAAACAAATTTTAAACCAACAAAGATCAAAAAAGGCAAAGAAGGACATTACCTAATGGTAAAGGGATCAATGCAGCAAGAAGAGCTAACTAACCTAAATATATATGCACCCAATACACGAGCATCCAGATTCATAAAGCAAGTTCTTAGAGACTACAAAGAGTCTTGGATTCGCACACAATAACAGTGGGAGACTTTAACACCTCACTGTCAATATTAGACAGATCAATGAGACAGAAAATTAACAAAGATATTCAGGACTTGAAATCAGCTCTGAACCAAGTGGACCTAATAGACATCTACAGAACTCTCCATCCAAAATCAACAGAATATACATTCTTCTCAGACCACATAGTACTTATTCTAAAATCAACCACATAATTGGAAATAAAACACTTCTTAGCAAATGCAAAAGAACAAAAATCATAACAAACAGTCCCTCAGACCACAGTGCAATCAAATTAGAAGTCAGGATTAAGAAACTCACTCAAAACCCCACAACTACATGGAAACTGAACAACCTGTTCCTGAATGACTACTGGGTAAATAACAAAATTAAGGAAGAAATAAATAAGTTCTTTGAAAACAAAGAGAACAAAGACACAACGTACCAGAATCTCTTGGACACAGTTAAAGCAGTGTTTAGAGGAAAATTTACAGTACCAATTTATGCCCATAGGAGAAAGTGGGAAAGATCTAAAATCGATATCCTAACATCACAATTAAAAGAACTAAAGAAGAAAGAACAAACAAATTCAAAAGCTAGCAGAAGACAAGAAATAACGAAGATCAGAGCAGAACTGAAGGAGATAGAGACATGAAAAACCCTTTGAAACATCAATGAATCCAAGAGCTGATTTTTGCAAAGATTAACAAAATAGATAGACTGCTAGCCAGACTAATAAAGGAGAAAAGAGAGAAGAATCAAATAGACACAATAAAAAATGACAAAGGGGAGATTACCACCAATCCCACAGAAATACAAACTACCATCAGAGAATACTATCAACATCTCTATGCAAATAAACCAGAAAGTCTTGAAGAAATGCATAAATTTTTGGAAATATACACCCTCCCAAGACTAAACCAGGAAAAAGTCAACACCCTGAATAGACCAATAACAATTTCTGAAATTGATACAGCAGTTAATAACCTACCAACAAAAAAAGCCCAGGACCAGCTGGATTCACAGCCAAATTTTGCCAGAGGTACAAAGAGGAGTTGGTACCATTCTTTCTGAAACTATTCCAAACAATAGAAAAAGAAGAACTCCTCTCTGCCTCTTTTTATGAGGCCAGCATCACCTTGATACCAAAACCTGGCAGAGACACATATAAAAATTAATTCAGGCCAATATCCCTGATGAATATTGATGCGAAAATCCTCAATAAAATACTGGCAAACCAAATCCAGCAGCATATTGAAAAGCTTATCCACTGTGATCAAGTTGGCTTCATCACAGGGATGCAAGTCTGGTTCAACATATGCAAATCAATAAATATAATCCATCTTATAAACAGAACCAATGACAAAAACCACATGATTATCTCAATAGATGCAGAAAAGACCATTGATAAAATTCAACACCCATTCATGCTAAAAACACTCAATAAACTAGGTATTGATGGAACATATCTCAAAATTGTAAGAGCCATTTATGACAAACCCACAGCCATTATCACACTGAATGGGCAAAAGCTGGAAGCATTCCCTTTGAAAACTGGCACAAGACAAGGATGCCCTCTCTCACTACTCCTACTCAACATAGTACTGGAAGTTCTGGCCAGGGCAATCAGGCAAGAGAAATAAAGCGTATTCAAATAGGGAGAGAGGAAGTCAAATTATCTCTGTTTGCAGATGACATGATTGTATATTTAGAAAACCCCATCATCTCAGCCCAAAAACTCCTTAAGCTGATAAGCAACTTCAGCAAAGTCTCAGGACAAAAAATCAATGTGCAAAAATCACAAGCATTCCTATACACAAATAATAGAGAGCCAAATCATGAGCAAACTCCCATTCACAATTACTACTCAGGGAATAAAATACCTAGGTATACAACTTACAAGGGATGTGAAGAACCTCTTCAAGGAGAACTACAAACCACTGCTGGAGGAAATAATAGAGGACAGTAACAAATGGAAAAACATTCTATGCTCATGGATAGGAAGAATCAATATTGTGAAAATGGTCATATTGGCCCAAGTAATTTACAGATTCAACGCTATTCCCATCAAGCTACCATTGACTTTCTTCACAGAATTAGAAAAAACTACTTTAAATTTCACATGGAATCAAAAAAGTCAACACCCTGAGCAACATCCTAAGCAAAAAGAACAAACCTGGAGGCATCATGCTACCTGACTTCAAACTATACTACAAGCCTACAATAACCAAAACAGCATGGTACTGGTACCAAAACAGATATATAGACCAATGGAACAGAACAGAGGCCTCAGAAATAACACCACACATCCACAAGTATCTGATCTTTGACAAACCTCACAAGAACAAGCAGTGTGGAAAGGATTCCCTATTCAATAAATGGTGCTAGGAAAACTGACTAGCCATATGCAGAACACTGAAACTGGATCCCTTCCTTACAACTTATACAAAAATTAACTTAAGATGGATTAAATATTTAAATGTAAGACCTAAAAATCATAAAAACCCTAGAAGAAAATCTAGGCAATACCATTCAGGACATAGGCATGGGCAAAGACATCATGGCTAATACACCAAAAGCAATTGCAACAAAAAGTGAAATTGACAAATGAGATCTAATTAAACTAAAGACCTTCTGCACAGCAAAAGAAACTATCATCAGAGTGAACGGACAACCTACAGAATGGGAGAAAATTTTTGCAATCTATTCATCTAGAAAAGGGCTAATATCCAGATTCTAAAAGGAACTTAAAAAAATTTACAAGAAAAAAACAACCCCATCAAAAAGTGGGTGAAGGATATGAACAGACACTTCTCAAAAGAAGACATTTAAGCGGCCAACAAACATGAAAAAAAGCTCATCATCACTGCTCATTAGAGAAAAGCAAATTAAAACTACAATGAGATACCATCTCACCCCAATTAGAATGGTGATCATTAAAAAGTCAGGAAACAACAGATGCTGGACAGGATGTGGAGAAATAGGAATGCTTTTACACTGTTGGTGGGAATGTAAATTAGTTTAACTATTGTGGAAGACAGTGTGGCTATTCCTCAAGGATCTAGAACTAGAAATACCATTTGACCTAGCAATCCCATTACTGGGTATATGCTCAAAGATTGTAAATCATTCTTCTATAAAGGCACATATACACATGTGTTTGTTGCAGCACTATTCACAATAGCAAAGACTTGGAACCAAGCCAAATGCCCATCAATGGCAGATTGGATAAAGAAAATGTGGCACATATACACCATGGAATACTATGCAGCCATAAAAAGAATGAGCCCATGTCCTTTGCAGGGACATGGATGAAGCTGGAAATCATCATTCTCAGCAAACTAACACAGAAACAGAAAACCAAACACAACACAGTGGGCCTGTTGAGGGGTGGGAGGCAAGGGGAGGGAGCATTAGGAGAAATACCTAATGTAGATGATGGGTTGATGGGTGGAGCAAACCACCATGTCACATGTATACCTATGTAACAACCCTGCACCTTCTGCACATGTATCCCAGAGCTTAAAGTATAATAAAAAAAAAACATGATATAAGTTATGGCTTGAATAAATTAAAGAAAAATAGATATTCATGTGTACAAATGAGAAATATCTGAAGCACTGCCCTTCTAAATGTACATAGTCTGCATGGCTCTATAAATCAGGCCAAAGGAACTCAGCACTTGGAGACATATTTTTTCAGCATTTTACACAGAATAAACATTTCTGGGAGGCCTAGATCACTACACCTGTGCTTGAATAACTTTATTCAAAACAAAAGTATATATATATAATGCATCTTGGGGATGGACAGGAGAGGTCAAGACAAGCAGCCAAAACTTTTTGACAATTTTAATGAACAGATTCAAATATCGTTGGGTGCTGAGAGGCTGAAAATAATGAAAAATGTATAAGTTTCTCACAAATGGCTTTGGGATTTATCAAGGTGACCTGGAAACTCCTATGCAAATAGCCTTAGCTTAGTGTTAAGGTGAAAGCTGCCATGTATTTATGGATATTAACTATATGTCCGGATCTGGACCACATGCTCCGGGGATGCTATGTAGAAGATAATGACAAGCTTTTAATTTTTGAAAATGACCCATTCATTCACATAAACCTGCAAGATGTTATGCAATCTGCTATATTGTGACATATCTGCATATATGTCAGAAATAAAGTTAAAAAAACTACTGAGAGAAATAAAATACAAAGTATTTTAATAAAATACAATACAAAATAAATACAAAATAAAATACAAAGTATTTTATTTCTTTATAAAGCAATTTCTAATAAGTAAAATGCAATTTTCTAATAAGTAAAATGCAATACTCTGTGGGATATAGGTTTTAGAGCTGATCTGAAAGTTTAATGTGATGAGATCTATTCAAGTGCTTTTTTTAAAATGAGGAGGCCCTGCAAACACAAGGTCACAGCAATGGAGGCAATAGCACATTTCTCTTAATCCTGTGTCCTTGATAATGCTTTTAACATCTCTAACCCTTTTAATTCGTATTTTATATTTCTAACCTTTTGTTGCTATCCTAGGTCTGCTATAAGTTAAATGGAGAAAGGAGGATATAAGAAATAGGGAAGATAAAAAGGGAAAAGCAATGCTAACAGAGAGACTCTGAAAATGTGGATATGAGGGCATTTAGCAGAAGGCAGTAGTGGTTTTAGAAAAGTGACATGGGTAGTGACTTCTCTAAACACATCCTTTAGCTGTGTGTCCACAGAACTGTGGTCTGACAAAAGACAGTCAATGGCTTAGAAGGTCCCAAAGATATGAGGAAGTCTTTGGAATTTCATTAGATCACATCTTACCAGAGGTTGCCTTTCCCAAGCAACCATTAGACCCAGACTCAGCCAGAAGATGCTCATTGACAGGTTGCTCTGCCCTTGGCATCATAAACAGAGACTGAAACTCAGTAATAGGAGAAAATGGGGGCAGGACAAAACATACATGGTCATCAGGCCAATAAACTTTCCTAAAGCAAACTAAAACATATTATTTGCAATACTCAGCATGTGTTAAAATGCACAGGACTATTAATCCAAGCACTCAGAGCTGTCACAAGAGTGCTTTAATTACACCAGTGTCTGACAGGCTAGTTTCATTGATTCCCAAGACCTCTCTTATTTCCTAAACAACAGGGCTTCTAAAATTAATAGTTGGCTGAAAAAAAATCAAAATAAAATTTTGATGTAAGGTATGACAGAAACTCTGTAAGAGCCACTCTTGCAAAGTCACACGATAGTTCCTCAGAAAGGAGTGGGAGGATATATTTTTCTTTGGGTCCTTATGAGTGAATGATAAACCACACAAATTCGGTCTTCTGCTAGTCTCATTTTGCTTCCCTCTTTGGAGCTGTATTCCCCTAGACTGCTGTTTGTAACTCAAGACAATCTCTTATTTTTTTTTGTATGTTAAAAACCTCCCAAAGGTTCAGGTCAGATTTAGGGGGTAGGAAGATTCCATGATGCTAAGGTTGCCACTCATGCCATGCTCCTCAAAATAAATTATATTTCTAAAGTATCTCATATTCTGTTTTACTGTTTTTCTTCAGAGACCTGTCTCCAAATTACCAGAGTATTTTTAGAAATTCAACCAAAAACACTTAAATGTCACAATATTCTGCTAATTAGAGGTCATGTGTTAATTAGTCATGTGTTAGTAGCATCCATTTTTGTCATGTTCATTTCCCTTCTTCTCCCTGTCAGCGAACATCATCAATCCACTTTTTATCTAAGCTCATGCTTTATATTTTGAAACATTTCATAACAAAGGCCCACCAGCAACTTCATTAACCACTGAAATATTAATAAACCATTTGATTCTATCTGATATGGACAGTCCCTTTAGTTTGGTTATTTTTGTTGAGGATTTTGAACAAACGTCAAATCACTCTACATTCAGTATTTTGACAGTAAGTTCACACGAATATTCTCAGTTGGAAAAGGCACATGTGAAAACCCAGTATGGAACTCCAGCCTGGTCTTGTCCCACAATGGTCACAAGGCATCTCAAACTCATTCTTATTTTCTCCTTAGAAAAACTGACACAAGAATTCACAGATGTCCATTGTCCTATTATGTCTCAGGAGTGAAGTTCCAGCAGCACTGGGATGCATGTAGGAGGGTGAAGGTAGAGCCAAGGGGAGGCAGAGTATCCCAGGGCCTTCAGTATCTAACCAGAGCAGCCCATGGAGCCACAGCCAGAGTCCAGAGCAGTGAACCAGATACTGCAATGAACGTCACCCAAATCTGAGCAGAATAAGAGCCTTGGAAGAGTTCAGAAGAAAAATCCAAGATTCAAGGTATCATGAAGACAAAGATAGAACTGATATGCCTTTGAGACATTCAAGAGTATATTACATAGCTGGGCCTATGCAATGGATGAAGTCTAAGAAGAGAAGTCTGAGCTGAAAGTATAAACAAATAGGACCTCTCTGCACGTGGATCCTATCTGAAGCAATGGGTATAGTTGAGAAAGTTAGAAGGAAGTGTCTGCAACAAGGAAATAATGTAGGGCTGAGCCCCCTCTCTTATATACACTGGCACACGTTTGCACTTGGCTGATTCAAAGAACACTGAATGCCCATGGCACACCAAATGCTGCCTTCTGTATGAAACACCAGCCAGTGGTTAATCACAGAACATAAAACATCAACTTCTCCTCCTTGAAAATGAGCCTTCTGCCTCCCCTTGTTCCTTATGTCTGTTTTAATGAGATTGTTTATTATCTTTTGACTTACGTTTTGAGACTTTTCATCACAGGTTTATTGAAGAGTGAGCATCACAGTATGCTTTCTGTGTTGTCCTTTGTAGTGACAGCATCTGGCAGCATGACCTGGCTCACCAGGATTCCCAAGAAAAAGATTCCAAATAGATATCCCCACTATAACTAGAAAATGGTCGGGTTTCTAATCTTTGCAGAATAGAACAAGAGAAACAAAAGCTGAAAAAGTTGAACAACTCACTGATTTTTTTTAAAAAAAGAAAGTTTGTTCAATTGTACAACTGTACAGTTGTACAATTTACAGCTACTGGAGCATTTTCAAGATCAGTGCCAAGAATTATGAGGGAGAATGTATGGTTATAAGCTAAAAGAGGGTGTCTAAGGGTAAACCAAAGCCAAATGTTAGGGTGCGCACCCAAAAGCCTGAGAGGGAAAGATGGTCAGTGGGTCTAAAGTATTCAGCGAAGGCCTCCTAGAAGTGTGGTTTAGACTGCACTTTGAAAAATATGTGTAAGTGCAAAAATAATGGAGACTGTTTTAAATGAAAGGAATTGCATGAGATAGGAACGACCACAATATTTGTGACTGAGTTACAAAACAAAACAAAACAACCCACCCCTATTCTAATAGAAGTGATCTGAATTAATAAATAGGGGTTAAGTTCTCCATAGATTAGAGCAGATTTAACTTCTTTAAATACAAAAAGTGTCAAAGGAAAATAAAAAATGTCAATGACAAGCAAATTTCATTTTTTTCTTACAGATGGCAGATATATCCTTGGACATATCTCAGTATTTATTCAAAATATTTACATACAAATAGAGCTCATACAACTATCAGGCACCCGAGGAAAGGGTACTCCACCAGACTGCAGTGGAAAACACCAAATCCTTACCCCTGGCAGCCCCCAGAAAGTTCTATCCAGAATAAAGAGACAACCTAACTCTCAGGAACTTACTCAGGTGTCAGCTGGAGAGGAGAGGAGCTTTTTTTTTTATCAAAAGTAAACAGGTCTGAGAATATTGTAGATAATGGAAAATTTAGATGTTCAGAAATAAGCCACAAATAGCTTCCATTGTTTCTCTATAAGAAGTAAAAGGCATGCCAGGATTTGGTAGAAAGCATGCTACACAAAACCATTCCATCTAAAGAAGATGATAAGTCTTCTAGTCAGAAGAAAAGGAGTCAATAACTGTGCTTCATGTCACTCTAATGATTTTTTTATTTCCTTTTTTTTATTTACAGCTTGAATATGTGAGACTCAGATGGTAGAGACTCTACTAGATCTCATATTTTGATCTTTCTTTGCATTTATTTTAAAAATGGAAAGCTCCCAGTTGTTATAACTCCCTGGATTTTGTAATTTAAATGACAAACACTGAAAATAAGGACTTCCTAAGTCTAGACCGCCGTCATAGTTATTTAATTGAGCTTTTTCTCATGCTTTGTAAGCTATACTATTACACTTAGCAAAAACCTTAGTAGCATAATTACAATGCTATAAAAGATTTTCTGTCTTTTTTTCTAAACATCCTCATCTGGTACATTTCAAGATACATCAGTAAATCACATAACCTGATGACTACTAGGGCTTTTGCCATATTTCAGAAAATTTGAAAAAAATATGCATGATTTTTAGAATACACTACTTTGATTTTTCTAATGCTTAAAGGCAATATCTCTAAAATCTTTGAAGATGTTGAAATTATTTTGTAAAATCAGTTTTGAGATAATTGTGAATTACACATAGATATTATATTACACATAATACATATATAATGAAGAACAACTAAAATTATAACCGTCATTTTCTGATACAAAACAAAAAGATTTACCAAATTCAAAATTTATATCTGGCTCTTTGTATACAAAACTACAACCAAAAAATGCTCTACTGAAATATCACCAGATAATTACTTTTTATATTTTATTTTTATGTTTCTAAAAAGTAAACTCTCTTAAGGTTTCTTCTCTCCTTCTAACAGATATGTTGTCAACAATTTTAAGCTGCTTTTTGTTGTTATTGTTTAATCTCTTAAAAAGTATCTTCTCTCAAAATCTAACCGCTAAATTTGTCTTCTGTGTACCACCTATCACATCCTTCTCCCTTCAATACCAAACACAAAATAGAGAGAATCTTTCCCAAGTATCCACTCATCTTCTTACTCTTCTACACACATATTTTAGACTCAATTATCTTTTAACTTCCTCAAATGTAAGAGAACCTGCAAAACTAATTATACCAGATATTTGTTTTCAATGCAAAATTATAAGATTCTCTGTTATATCTATCATAGTACCTCCTGAACAAGTAACTTTTAATATTAATAGTTCAAAGAAGCTATCACTGAAAATAACTGTATTAGTTACATAGCCACTAGCCATAATAAAAAGTATATGCAATGATAAAATATTTTAACTTTTTACAGCATTAGATGAATTCACTAGAAATCAAGAACAAGTGGTTGAGATTGGTTTCCTAGAACAATAGAACTTGAGAGGGCTGAAAATATGATAATATTTAACAGACTGTTTTAATTCATGATAAAGGTCCCAAATTGTAATTTACAATCAAAACAGTTGGTGGCACCTTTGAAGCAATTTTTTGTTTCACTGTATCTATGCTGCCTTCAAATTGGTAGACAATTACATTAATATACAAAGCCTTCATAATTACATTGGTTTAGATAGAACTTTCTGACATTCATATGACTATATTTTAATATAAATTCTATTTATTATACACTGTGAGAGAAAAAAAAAAACAAAATGAAACAAAATCAGAATTCGTCCCCAAATAATAGTATTTATTACTCAGATATTTTGGCAAGAGTTTTAGCCTGATGAAAATTTTACTTTCTTCTAAAGGCAAATCAGGAGTGCCTTGGAAACAGCATTATTTACCCAGACACAAGATCAGACTCAATGGAGTTGACACAGCAGTGTGGGAAGGGTTGAGGAGTCTATTAACAGCTTTTTAAATGTCTCCAATCCTCTTAGGTCCACTTTCCCATTAGGCTATTAAGATGGCTTAAGTTTCTTACCAAAGAGAGTTACTCTTTCAGTTAAAATATTACAAACTCAGTGTAATTCCTTTAAAGGACAAATGTCCTTGAAAAGTGCAACACATTGAGGTTTATTCACTATTAGCATCAAGACAGAAAGGGACTGAAATTTAGTTAGAATATAACCAGTGATTGATTATATAAATAGACTTTGGTACAAGATTTTATAGTTTTTGTTGGTGCTGTTGAGGAATAATTAATATCACTACTTTTCTGAATGTGAATCCAAATGAGAGGTATATGCAAGGATCACACAGATGAAGAACAGACTTGATAAATTTGGATTGAGAATGCAGCTTTGACCAGCAGCCAAGTGTATTTCCAAATGCTTTACACCAGGATTTTACCTACCCACTCTCAATTGTTCTGGAAGTTAAAACTAGGAGGAGTAGAAGGGAATGTAAGTTTCCCTTAAACTGTGCAATGTCAAAATAAACAAAGCCAGACACTAGTGAAAGTGATAAGGATAGATTTTAATCAGTAATATACTATTGCAGTTGGGAAGAGAGTCCAGTGTGAACTAAACTCAACTTGAATTTGTACAGAGGTGACGGGGCATTTTAGAGGGAGAATGAGAGAATAAGAGAAAGGAGGGGGATTAACAGGGGCTTGAGCAGTGACAGGGAAGTTAAGAAGTATAAAGTGTTGGTCAATGTAAATGCTAATTAGGCCAGCTGTATATTTTACCTGGCAGTTATTTTAAGTTATGATTCTGTCTCCTCCAACCACCACCACCACCAGACTGGGGGACAGAGGCTCTGTCCTTCCTGATGATTACATTTCTAAGAATGGCTTCCTGGTCCTTGAGGACTCCTGAGATGTAGGAGATATGTATATATCTTAAAGAACAGAAACATATTTGCAATTATAAGCACTTTTTAGAAAATGCTCTAAATAAAGGAGGTCGGGGCCTATCTCAGATGCTGGCTAGAACACAATAAATTGCTTTGACAGTCTTGAGCTTTCCCAGACAAAAACTGGATGGGTCTTCCCAGGGATTAAATCTTTGGTTGCCAGAAGGTATGTTACAGTTTCATCAAGTCTCTTAGTGCAGGATTTTGAAGAAAGTTTATGAACCAAGAGTTTGGCAGTTCTCAGTGGCCTACATACAAAAAAAGCTCCGAAAGGTCAAGGTTTGTGTATGCCCTGTTACTAAGAGTTACCTTGCCAACACAACCAGGAGGGCAAATGCTTCTGTTCTTTGGTGCTGCACAGGGCTACTAGGAGAGGAGTTGGAATGGATCCTCCCAAAGCAGTGGTTCTCAACCAGGAGATTTTGCCCGTGAGAGAATATTTGGCAATACCAAGAGACATTTTTGCTTGTCACATCTACAGGAAGGAGGTACTGATAGTGGCATCTAGTAGGAAGATGTTAGGGATGCTGCTCAACATTCTATAATGCACAAGACAGCCTTCTACAACAAAGAATTATCCAACCTGAAATGCAAGCCAGTAGTGACAAATGACAAAGACCCTTCGCTTGACCAAACTTTAGTCAGGTTCCTGAACCTTCTTCTAACCCCATCTGTACACTATGTACACTGCTCTGTAAAATCCAGTTTTGGCAAGGACACTGCTAAGTCATTTTAGCAAGAACCCTTCACCCTCAATATCTTATTCGTTCCTCATCCTCTATCAAACCGCCAGTGTCTGATCATCCTGACCTGTCTTCAGCAAAAATCCTGTTAGGTTGGTTTAGCCAAAATTCCCCTTCCCCTTGAGGTTTCCTCCAAGTAATTTTCTATCCACTGACCCCCAGGCTACTCCTTGGCTATAAATTACCACCTGGCAATGCTGTATGCAGAGTTGAACCCAATCTAATGCCCTCACCACAAAATCCCACTGTCATCGTCCTTATACCAATCACAGTGGTCCTGAATAAGGTTTTTCTTACTTGAATAAGAATCACTGAATAATTTTTTTAACAATAGATTAGGATTTTTTAAATCAGGAAAAAGCTATAATTTGTTTATATTCAATAGAAATGGAAAAGAACATGTGACTAATTTGTGGATCAATGTGAATTATATGCCATTGTTATTACAAGTAGAGAACTGAGCTGGAATTGAGAAGACAAATAAGTAATAACAGTGTTCTAAATGAGTGGTGCTGTGGTAGACCAGGTCATAAAAAACAGCAAAATTAAGTCCCTGAGGACTCCTCAGTTTAATTGGGCAGAGAGACATATAAACAATTGACTATAATAAAATATGATGAGAGCTATATATCAATATAGTGGTGTAATATGAAACATGAAAAGAAGAAAGGAACAATGCTTGGAATATGAGGGGATTCGAAAAAATGTATTTCTCATACGGAGTCTGGCTCTGTCGCCCAGGCTGGAGTACAGTGGCACAATCTTAACTCACTGCAACCTCCACCTCCTGGGTTCAAGCAATTCTCCTGCCTCAGCCTCCCGAGTAGCTGGGATTACAGGTGCACACCACCATGCCTGGCTAATTTTTTTGTATTTTTAGTAAAGACAGAGTTTCACCATGTTGGCCAGGCTGGTCTTGAACTCCTGACTTCAGGTGATCACCCACCTTGGCCTCCCAAAGTGCTGGGATTACAAGTGCGAGCCACTGTGCCCAGCCTGTTTCAGATAAATCTTAAGTCAGATATACATTATGTTTTTAAAAGGTGAAAGAGGTAACTGGAGGATAGAAAAGCATAAACAAAGGCATGGGAATCCTACTTGAGAATGAGGTATATATATTCCTACAAAAGTAGCCTAACCTAAAAGGATGAGGACAGAGAAGGTCTGAAGATATAGGGTGGGCCCTTTGCAATCTTCGAAGTTTGGACTCTAAGTGAGGAAGAAAGTTGACACCAGAGAAACACATTATACAACCTGAACCAGCACAGTAAAGGAGAAAGAAGGAATATGATCAAGTGTGATTCACAAAGCAGAATGATGGAATTTGTGAAGCAACTGGTTACGGAAAAAGAAATTTGAAAAATCAAAGGTATCCCTGGAAATTTCTTGTTGAGTACCTGGTGGATGAATAGCAGTATAGTTAAAAGATTCTGATCTTAAAGGACGAGAAAGAGATTGAATAAATGAAGAAATGACATAGTATATAATAAATTATTTTGTGTACATGTTAATCAAGTACCTATGCACAAACATCCAGTAGTACTTCAATATACAGATCTGAATTTTAAGAGAACACTAATGACTGAAAATGTTTATTTATTAAATATCTGTATGTTGGTGATTTATTGAGCATTTCTCAGCCAAGAATTGGAACTCCTGTTTTAAAGTCTAGAAAGTATTGCCTAAAGGAGATTGCATTTAATGGGGACCTAAGACAAGTACACAGTTTTACAGTAAGCAATGCATATGAAATGCATCATTAAGTACCAAGATGTACACAACACTGAGTGCATAGTCAGAGAAGATCAGAAGGAAAGAAAAATTGAGTAGTGTAAAAAGACTTTACAGAGCTGGTGGAAGTAGGTTAGGCCTGGAAGGCTGTGTAGAACTTAAATAAGCAGAGAAAAATAAAGGTATTCCACTCAAGGAAAAAAAAAAAAAAACACAGGCAACAGCACAGTTGAACATGATGTATTCTCTGGACAGTGGGGAGACCAGTGTTTTTTTTTTTTTTAAAAAAGGAAGTTTCATATTGAAGGCAGTGGAAAATTAAGTTGGCTAAGTGCAAAGAGGACAAAATCATAAAGAGATGACTATATACATACATATGTATGTGTGTATGTATATATATGTATATGTGTACATAGATGTGCACAAACATACATATTTATTTTGTGCAGCAGAATAATAATAGAAGGGATTTAATTTTTCAAATGAGTAGATAATTAAATCAATGTTTAAGTAAGATTTGCTGGGCAGTAGAATACAAAAAAAGAGAATTCAGTTTTTACTCTAAGTATAAACTAATGATAACTAATTTTCATTCCTTTCTTCACCATGTATTTACTGAAGGATAAATATTTGTGTGCCATGCCATGTTCTTCACCTTGGGATACAGAAGTATACAACCCAGATCTCACATCCAACAGTTAGGAATCTAGCTGGGAGAGACAGGAAACAGGCCAGAGAGTTTCCTAGTGCCATGACAGATCAAGGAGCTGACTTTAGACTGAGAAAAGGGCGCTAGGAATAAAATGAAGGCACAATAGATGACTACCAGTGGAAGAAAAAGAAAAAAATTTCTAACTTTATAAATGAACAAATACTTCCACCGTTGACAAAGAAGGAAAAGTGAGAAACCAGTCTGGTTCGAAATGAAAAATAAGTTCATCTTAGGACATATTTAATATGATGTGATAGCAACACAATTAATTCAGTGGAAAAAAAGATAAAAATAAGAAATAAGAAAAAAGCAATGGAAGAAAATTTTACCAGGACATATGCATGAGCTTCTGTGAGAAAAATGTAAAAACTTACCTTCAGTGAATAGATTCTCAGCTATAAAATAAGCAAGCTAAGGTATTAAATAGATTTGAATTTGTACTATAGCATAACTATAGATAGCAAGTTATTAAAGCCCACAAATTATACTTAAGAATGAGAAAATATTGTCTGTTCTATATGACTCATTTTAAATCAACCAAATGATCACCTGCTAACAAGACAGAATAAACCTGAATCAACAATCTGTAGCAACAAACATACAAAAAAACCATTGTAATAGTGAATGGGTTTACCAGGGAGGTTTTATGATTAAACCAAAGCCAGATGTTGTGAAGCCTCCTTGTTTTCATGAGTTAAAAGAAGTAATTTTCTTCCAGTTAGCTGACTTCTTACTGTAAGGAAGGAGAACTTGAAAGTCAAGGAGAGTATTACTGTTAAGCCATATAAGATGTTCCTGCCCTCTAAAGGCTGGTGTTCCTTCCAATGCCTTTTTCTAACATCCAACACAAGGAAATGTTGGGCTCCATTCAGAGTTTTATAAATATTATCCAGTTCTCATGCTGAGGTTGACTGCTAAAATCTCCACAGTACCATCCTGGGTGATTACATAAGACGGGCTACATATTAGAGTTGCCTATTACAAGTGACTGAATAAACTAATAGCAAAACCATATCTATTTTCTTTACTACCAAACAGGGTGTGTGTGTGTGTGTGTGTGTGTGTGTGTGTGTGTGTTTTAGTTTGCACTTATTGCTCCATTCATAATCTTCTGCTGCTAATCTTATCATAGTTTCCTGCATGACGAGCATCTTTCTATTAGCTATATGTCTGATGAATTTACTTTATAATTATTCCTGTTAGGATTGGATTAACCTATAAGGTAACTAACCACCTATCTATAGAGTTTTGAGAAGTAATATTCTGGGCTTTTTTAAGTGAGAAAGATAGATAAGTAACACAATGGGAGCATATAATAATCTGCTTCCTGGCTTCAGGTCACTTGCCTGATCTCCTCTTTGGAGGAAGAACAATACCATAGCCATATAGTGTTGTTGGAAGTCAATGTCACTTTAAAAAACCTACATGTTGTCTATGAAGAAATTCAACAGCAAGGAAGCCAAATATTCTTCATAATTGGTAAATAGAAACAGAAAAAGAAGTCTACTATTAACCGTGTTAACATCTGCCAGAATTTTGTCCTGAAAGGTTGTCTCACTAGAGGCAAAACAGCTATTGCTATCAGCTTTCAGCTAATTAATTTAAGGAGACAACTTGCAGTTAGTCATACAAATTGCAACAGTGTGGGGATTTGGGTACATCTTCTAGATACTACCAAGAAAGCCTCCATTTCTTTACAATCTAAAACATGAAAAACATAAAATGTACATTTTAAATTATCAAAAGATATACAATGCTTAAAACACAATGGTACACAAAAATATCAATTCTTCTCATCTCTTACAAATATATTTAACTAGTCAAAAAACTATTGTTTCCTCAAATTCACTTTAGCATTATCAGAGAAATATAACAATATCCAATGATCCATATTTATCATATTTTTAAAAACATCAACAAGTAGTTATTATATATCATTAGGCGGCAAGTTTTACCTTGAGTTGACGTTACAAAAATAATCTTCTAAAACAAGTCAAGAACGACAATGGGTTTCAAATCTCATCTCAACTCAAATTGATTGGTAGTGGATTCTAGAACACTGTTTTTAAAAAGAATTTCCCTGTTGCTGCTGTGCTTAGTCAGCAATAGTGCCATAATTGATAAATGATGAGTACTGTGGGATGGGTGGGGCAATTACTGCTCTAATGTCATCAGTTCGACACACCAAGTTAAGGTAGTGGCTGACAAGTTTAGTAATTAGAGCGGTGTAATGGTAACATGAATGAGCAGCGATTACCAACAAAATATCAAAGTTCTAGAAGATTGCTTCGTGACATGCACCCACCTCTCTACTTCTGGCACAAAACTATATGTCATATGAAGCTTCTCAGAAACAGCTTAATGGGACAGTTTTACTCTGGTGGAAAGTTTGTGATGTTTATTGAGTACCTACCATGAATCAAGTATTCAGCTAGATACTGGAGACACACACACACACACCACACACACACATTCTAGCTTTCATAGTCAGTAGCTCACATACTGCTTCGTTCAGTGGGTTAGAAATATTTCCATAATTTTGGGGTGATGAGATTAGATCATGTGAGGTAAAAATTCAGAAAAAAAGCAATATGTAAACTAATTAGGAGTCTGAATACAGAGTATACTTCTACTCAACTCATCAATGTCCTTCAAATGGGAAGCCAGTGTCTATATCTAAAGATATGGGGTTACTAGTACAGAAGCAGACAGCATGGCACATCAGAGGAGGGGGTTTTATGTTGGGAAACAGCTGCCGCTGATTTCTTAAACCTTCAAAGAAACATGAACTAAACCATCCCATGATATTAAGAATATGTCCAAGTTGCTCTGGTGCACAAATTAGAACTCAGGATTAAAACTCACTCAAAACCACACAATTACATGGAAATTGAACAACCTACTCCTGAATAACTCCTGGGTAAATAACAAAATTAAGGCAAAAAAATCTTTGAAAAAATTTCTTTGAAACCAATGAGAAGAAAGAGGCAACATACCAGAATCTCTAGGACACCGCTAAAGCAGTGTTAAGAGGGAGATGTATAGCACTAAATGCCCATATCAGAAAGCAAGAAAGATCTCAAATTGACACACTAACATCACAATTAAAATAACTAAAGAAGAAAGAGCAAGCAAATCCAAAAGCTAGCAGAAGACGAGAAATAACTATTATCAGAACAGTGTTGAAGGAGACAGAAACATGAAAAACCCTCCAAAAATTAATGAATCCAGGAGCTGTTATTTTGAAAAAATTAATAAAATAGATAGACTGCTAGCTAGACTAATAAGGAAGAAAAGAGAGAAGAATCAAATAGACACAATAAACAGTGATAAAGGGGATATCACCACTGACCCCACAGAAATACAAACTACCATCAGAGACTACTATAAACAACTCTGTGCAAATAAACTAGAAAATCTAAAAAGAAAGGGATAAATTCTTGGACACATACACCCTCCCAAGACTAAACCATGAAGAAATTGAATTTCTGAATACACCAATAACAAGTTCTGAAATTGAGGCAGTAATTAATAGCCTACCAACCAAAAAAAAAAAAAAAAAAAACACACACAGGACCAGATGGATTCCTAGCTGAATTCTACAAGAGTTACAAAGAGGAGCTGGTACCATTCCTTCTGGAACTATTTCAAACAGTTAAAAGGAGGGACTCCTCCCTAACTCATTTTATGAAGACAGCATCATCCTCATACCAAAACTTGGCAGAGACACAACAAAAAAGAAAATGACAGGCCAATATCCCTAATGAACATCTATGTGAAAATCCTCGATAATATGCTGGGAAACCGAATTCAGCAGCACATCAAAAAGCTTATCCACCACAATCAAGTCGGCTTCATCTCTGGGATGCAAGGCTGGTTCAACATATGCAACTCAATAAACGTAATTCATCACATAAACAGAACCAAAGACAAAAACCACATGATTATCCCAATAGATGCAGAAAAGGCCTTTGATAAAATTCAACATTGCTTCATGTTAAAAACTCTCAATATACTAGGTATTGATGGAACATATCTCAAAATAATAAGAGCTATTTATGACAAACCCACAGCCAATATCATACTGAATGGGCAAAAGCTGGAAGCATTCCCTTTGAAAACCTGCACAAGACAAGGATGCCCTCTCTCACCACTCCTATTCAACATAGTATTGGAAGTTCTGGCCAGGGCAATCAGGCAAGGGAAAGAAATAAAGTATATTTAAATAGGGAGAGAGGAAGTCAAATAGCCTCTGTTTGCAGATAACATGACTGCATATTTAGAAAACCCCATTGTCTCAGCCCAAAAACTCCTTAAGCTGATAAGTAACTTCAGCAAAGTCTCCGGACACAAAATCAATGTGCAAAAATCACAAGCATTCCTATACACCAGCAATAGACAAGCAGAGAGTCAAATCATGAGTGAACTCCCATTCACAATTGCTACAAAGAGGATAAAATACCTAGAAATATAGCTAACAAGGGATATGAAGGACCTCTTCAAGGAGAACTACAAACCACTGTCCAGGGAAATAATAGAGGACACTAACAAATGGAAAAACATTCCATGCTCATGGATAGGAAGAATAAATATTGTGAAACTGGGCATACTGCCCAAAGTAATTTAAAGACTCAGTGCTATTCCCATCAAACTATCATTGACATTCTTCACAAAATTAGAAAAAAACTACTTTAAATTTCATATGGAATCAAAGAAGACCCCATATAGCCAAGACAAGCCTAAGCAAAAGAACAAAGCTGGAGGCATCATGCTACCTGACTTCTAACTATACTACAAGTCTACAGTAACCAAAACAGTATGGTACTGGTACCTAAACAGACATATAGGCCAATAGAGTAGAACAAAGACCTCAGAAATAATACCACACATCTACAACCATCTGATCTTCAACAAACCTGACAAAAACAAGCAATGGGGAATGGATCTCCCATTCAATAAATGGTGCTGGGAAAATTGGCTAGCCAAACGCAGAAAACTGAAACTGGACCTCTTCCTTACACCTTATACAAAAACATAACTGAAAATGGATTAAAGATTTAAATGTAAAACCCCAAGCCATAAAAACCCTAGAAGAAAACCAAGGCGTACCTTTCAGGACGTAGGCATGGGAAAAGTCTTCATGAAGAAAACGCCAAAAGCAATTGCAACAAAAGCCAAAATTGACAAATGGAATCTAAATAAATGAAAGAGCCTGTGCACGGCAAAAGAAACTATCATAAGAGTGAACAGGAATCCTACAGAAGAGGAGAAAATTTTTGCAATCTACCCATCTGACAAAGGTCTAATATCCAGAATTTACAGGAAACTTAAACAAATTTACAAGAAAAAAATTCCATCAAAAAGTGGGCAAAGGATATAATAGATACTTTTCAAAAGAAGACATTTATGTGGCTAAAAAACATATGAAAATAAGCTCAACATCACTGATTATTAGAGAAATGCAAATCAAAACCACAATGAGATACCATCTCATAACAATCAGAATGACAAACATTAAAAAGTGAAGAAACAATAGATGTAGGAGAAGATGTGGAGAAATGTGAACACTCTTACACTGTTGGTGGGAATGTAAATTAGTTCAACCATTGTGGAAAACAGTATGGTGATTCCTCAAGGATTTGACCCAGCTATCCCATTACTGGTTATATACCCAAAGGAATATAAACCATTCTACTATAAAGACACATGCATACATATGTTTATTGCAGCACTATTTACAAGAGCAAAGACATAGAAGTAACCCAAATGCCCATGAATGATAGACTGAATAAAGAAAATGTGGTACATATATACCATGGAATACTATGCAGCCATAAAAAGAAATGAGATCATGTCCTTTGCAGGGGCATGGATGAAGCTGGAAGCCATCATGCTCAGCAAACTAACATGGGAACAGAAAACCAAACACTGCATGTTCTCACTCATAGGTGGGAGGTGAACAATGAGAACATGTGGACATAGGGAGGGTGTCCACAAACCAGTGCCTGTTGAGAGGTGGGGGGCGAGGGGAGGGAACTTATAGGATGGGTCAATAGGTGCAGCAAACCACCATGGCACATATATACATACGTAACAAACCTGCACATTCTGCACACGTATCCTGGAACTTAAAATTTAAAAAAAAGGATAATATATGGGGCCAGGCATGGTGGCTCATGCCTATAATCCCAGCACTTTGGGATGCCAAGGTGGGTGGATTGCTTGAGCCCAGGAGTTCGAGACCAGCCTGGGTAACATGGGGAAACACAGTCTCTACAAAAAATACAAAAATTAGCTGGGTGTGGTTGCACACTCCTGTGGTTCCAGCTACTCAGAAGGCTGAGGGGAGAGGATAGCTTGAGCTCAGGAGATTGGGGTTTGGATGACCCAAGATCACATCACTGCACTACAACCTGGGTGACAGAGTGAGACCCTGTCTTACAAAAAAAAAAAAAAAAACAAAAAACAAAGAAAGAAAAGAAAAGAGAAGAAAATACACGTATATGGAGAGAAACTGTGAGTATAATGGTAGAAATGGTTTCATCATTAGGTTTATCAATCAAATGTAAAATGATATTTATATTGGCTAAGTAGATAAGTGGTTAATTTATAGACACTTTAGTGTTAGCCTAATTTCCTTGTAACAAAAATATTTATGAAACATCTCTAGTAGAATATTGGCACTGATGACAGCAATAATTTTTTCTAGTCATGCACCCTCTTTGAAATGTGGCTTTGTTGGCTCTGTAAGTAAGAGGCAGAGCTCATTTCCTCACCCCTGGAATCTGGACAGGCCTCTTATTTTGAATTAACCAATAGAATATGGTAGAAGATCTATTAGGGAGTTCTAAACCAAGGCCTCAGGAGGCATTGCAGCCTCTGTTCTCATCCCAAAGTGCTACTATTACCATGAGAAGTTTTCCAGCCTTATTATGAATGCAAGACAGCAAGGAATGGCCTAGCTGTCAGCCAGCAACAATTTCCAAGCATATGACAAAGACCACCTTAGACCATTCTGTCCCAGTGGAGTGGCTAGATAATTCACTGCCTAAGTGATTCCAGATGAGACCAGCAGAATCACCTAGTTGAGCCAGCCCAAAGTAATGATCCAAAGAAATGTGAGCAAATAAAATGTTTTGCTGTATTAACTCACTAAATTTTAGGGTGACTTGTTACTGAGAGGGTGGTGCTTCCATAGGAAAAAATCTACGACTGGTGGCATTAACAAAAGAACTGTTAGTAGAGGGTGGAGATGCAGTGAAGAGGCTGCTATATGTATCTCAAAAAAGAGTGAGTTATATAGTGCCAGAAACTTCGGCAAAGCTGTCACTTGGAGTAATTTGGAAGATAGAAAATGTAACCAATGTAGACTTAATATGGTTAAAATGGGCTTTTTCCACAAATTGAGCTACAGAGTCATTGCAATATCAGTAAAAATTCTAGCAGGTGTTTTGAAGAAATTGGCAAGCTAATTCTGAAATTGTGAGTAAAGGCAAAAGAACTAAAATAATCAAATCATTTCAAAAAGAATAACAAGATTGGAAGATTTCAAGACATTTTATACAACTACATAGCAGGGTGGTGAGCTATTGGAATAATGACAGTCATTTAGATCAATGGAAAGTCAAGGAATAGACCCACCCTTATAAGGTCACCTGATTTGGCATAGGGATGTCAAGGTAACTCAATGGAAATCTGGAAATGCTGGAGATAATAGAGAGAAAGAGAATCTGTGTGTGTGTGTGTGTGTGTGTAATATATGTTATACATTTTACATATATATTACATATATGAAAAATTTATCCTTGACTATTAACTAATACCATGTACACAAATTAAATAAAAATGGATCATGGACCTGATGGTTATAGCTAAAATTATAAAACTTCTGGAAGAAAACATGAAAAATCTTTGTGACACTGGGATAGGGCAAGATTTCTTAAATAGGAAAGAGGAAATCATGAAGCAAAAATGGATAAAATGGACTTCATCAAAGTTAAAGACTTTCGTTCTTTTAGAGACCTGGTTAAAACATGGATAGATAAGACACCAACTGGGAAAAAATGTCTGTCACACATTTATCTGACAAAATACTTGCATGGAGAATACATAAAGAACTCTTATACTACTATAATATCAAGAAAAACAGCCCAGTTTTTTAAAAAGGCAAAATATTTTAACACATATTTTACAAAAAAAATGTGCAAACAAACAATAAATCCATAAAGAGATGTTCAACATTGCTCATCAGGGAAGTACAAATTACAATCACAGTGACATATCACTACATACTCACTACAATGTCTCAAATTAAAAAGACCAGTACTACCAAGTGTTGAAAACTATGTGAGCAACTGCAACTCTCATACATTTCTGATGGGATTGAAAAATGGAGAGGGAGGAAAGTTGGTAGTTTCTTATGAAGCTAAACATGTACTTGTCATTGACCAGGAATCTCACTCCTAGGTATGCACTCAAGAGGAATAAAAATATATGTCCACACATGCCTACTTGCAAATGTTCATAAGAGTTTCAGTGTTAGTAGCCGAACATTAAAATATGAAATGTACAACAGCTAGTGAATAAACACATAATACCACAGAGTAGATTATGGTATAGATATACTGTGAAATGTTAACAATAGAAAGAAATGAACTATTGATACATGCAAAAATATGGATAAATATCTAAAGTATTATGATAAATGAAAGAAGCCACAAACAAAATAATATAATCTATGATAACATTAATACAAAGTCTAGAAAAGACAAAAGTACAGTAACAGAAAGCAGATCAATGGCTGCTTAAGCCCAGGAATTGGGAGAGAAATTTGTCTGCAAAGGATTATAAGAAATCATTTTTGAATGTGTGTGGGTTGGGGAAGGGGAGAGTATAATTTGACGTTTTAGTCCCCTTGTCTCTGGATTAAAAGAAGTCACACAGAAGAAGCTACAGCCTTATCTATGAGGAGTTTGGCTTCCGGTTAAAATCTATGTGCGATTTTTCAGGTCTGGCTGTGGTCAATTACAAAGGCTTTAACTGATAGGTCTTGTGGAAAAAAGCTGCCCTCTCCACATCATACTTAGTGCAGACTAGTGCATTACATCACTAAGGAGAGTTGCAGTCAAGGACTCGGGATCCTCTGTTCAGTCATGCTTTTACATACTTTAGCATTTTTAGCCAAGGAACCTTCATTCCTACAAGTCTTTCTGGGGTCTTCAGCCAAGGTTGTCTTCAAGTACGTCTACCAAGGCCTGTTTATCGGGGGAAGGAGCGGGAAACTTTGAAGACATTTTTCCTCAGTCCAACTCAGTGCTCATTTTTTTTTTCCACTCCTAGCCTGACTTCCTCCTCCAAGCCCCTGAGTCCATAAAACTACAGAATCCTTCTGTTCAGGATGCTCTCAACAGTGAGATGACCCCACATTTGTGCATATCCACCTGACCCTTGACCAGTGCACCATTCCATGGGAGAAAATGGAAAAGGGGAAGTTGGCACTCCTTCCACTTTAGACTCTTGCTTTATGGTTACCTTCATTTTTGGCTTTTTGCTTTATTCAGCTGCTCCAAAACATGGCAGCTCATTCCTCCCCCTCTCTCTCTAGCTCAGCTGAGCTCCTGACAATCCACATCCAGGCCAAATTCAGTTTTCATATCCCTCAATTTTGGGCCTGATGTATTAGAAGGAAGAGACTTATGAGAAGGGATAAATGTATTTGCCTGTGAGAAGGATAAGAAAAATTGTAGACAGAGGGAAGGCTGTTTGCAAAGACAGAAATAATAATGCTTCACATCCCTGTATCTCTGTAATGTGACTTTGCCACTCTTTCCACCAAAGGTTGGATTTAATATTTTGTCTTGGAATCTGATCTAGCTTTGTGTCTTGTTTTGAGCAACAGAATTCAGCAGAAGATGGAGTTGTGAGCCTAGGCCTCAAAAGACCTTGCAGCTGGCACTTCTGCCCTCCTGAATTTTTGACAACTGATCTGAGGCTCTATTCTAAGTCTAATAAGGGAAATTTCCTGGTCTTTCCTGGTAGAGACTGAGCAGGGAGAAGTGAAAGGGGGAAAAGTAGCAAAGAGAAAGGGAAAAACTGGGTCATTCGACAATCACAATGAACTTGAAGATGTTTTAGTTAATGTGGATGCAAAGGATGCTGGGCTGAGGATGACTGATCAGAGCTCAGGCTTGCAAGACGTAAGGTAATACTGGTCATAATTTATGGCCCAGAAATCCAAGGCAGGTAAATAGAAGAACAGATGGTAGGACAAGGACCAAAGCAGGAACCTATAAAATAATCAAACTCAAGCTTCATTACTGGAGCTGATAGCCAAATGCAGTCGTGTCCTTGGTGATTGTGGGCTAGGAGTTGAGCAATCTGTAAGTGGAGGCTAATGACCCAGGAAGCCAAGGAGTGCTGCAGTTGATGTGGTGCTGTTCACTTCAGCAATAGCAAAATCGCTTTCCTGCAAGCCATGTTGTACTGATAATACTTGTGAGTGATTCCATCCTTTTAACCAGGCTACACAGTCATGTGACCTCAAAGAGAGCAAGCCAATGTATAATTAGTCTTTCCACTATGGAATGCCCATGAACCAGACAATAAATCATGGAGAAACATTAAAAAACCCAAAGACCAGTTGAAAACATGAAAATTTAATATCCTGGCAAGTAAATATATTGACTTCATGTATATACTACAATAATCCCTGACTAAATGTTTTTTAAACTGAAAATATATTACATATAATATGCAATACATTCAGTTTTTATTTAATTAGGGATTATTATTATTATGTATTTATATTATAATAATCTCATATTAAATTAAAATTCTGAAAATATTTGGGAGAAAGATGGATATAGTTATAGATCTATGGATACATATATTGGAGAAATATATTGTTTTATTCATTAGGTATTATAGTTATTTTGCTTCTTAGGGATTATTAATGAAGATAGATATAGAGATAGAGATATTAATATATATTCATATGCATTATTTAATCTATAAGTATTCTTGATACCAGTGCAAAAAAAGAGTGAGAATGATAATTGAGAAGAGCTTGAATTTTTCTCAGAGGGGACTTGGCATCTCTAGTGATCCAGCTGCTTCAGACTGTAAAGAGCAGTGAACTGTCACTTTTCATTTCTAGTCATTCAAAGGACCAGTCACTTGCAGGGCTGCCCAGCATCTTTTCCTCACCAAATTCTTAGTGATTGCCAAATGAACCTTGACTCTGAAAGAAGAGGGAAAATATTTTAACTCAAATCTATGCCACTGAGATTTACTGTCTGCTTAAAACATCAAACTGTTTTTCATGTCATTTGCAAGGACCGAATCAAACACGGGAAGTGTAGAGATGTGTACTCTTAGGACCATATGAATATGAAAGACACAACGAATGAAGTTGTCCTTTCCCAAGAGAAATAATATACTGAAGAATGAGAAGTGGCATCCCTTCAACATACAGGGAAGGAACAGTAATGTGTTATATCTAGAGTCTTCTAAAAGAGCACAGGCTGAATAGCACTGTTTTTCAGGGAGCAGCAGAAGTTAAATGCACAGCAGAACTGTGATGAAATAGTACTGCAGTTGTTTTTAATTTTAGTAGCTAAAAAATGTCTTACGGAGACACGCACATTTTTGTCTATTACAAACCAGAGCCATTTTTAACAGAAAACTTACTTTGTTGAAAATCTGCATAAACTGTCAGGGAAAAAGTCTCTCTTTTACAAGGTAGAAGTAGCTTGAAATATAAGAACTTCTCTTAATATGGTCACTTGGGCTGACTATTACTACTGAGTCAACTTCTGGTTAAGCCTTAGGCATAAATAGCAAAAATACAGCAGCCCACAGAGAATTGTGGGGAAATTCTATTTTATCAATATACATATTTTTTTTACCCAGACACTTCATTTACTTCTCTGTCTCTCCTGATAACTTCCTTGAGTGCATGGAACATAACTCAGCTTTTTTTATAACCTGAGTGCCCAGCACAATGTTTGGCCACAAAGAGCAGATGTGTAGTAAAATTTTAATAAAAGAATCTCTTAATTCTCTGATTTTCCAGTGCATATTGACTGATGATTATTGAACAGAAGGTATAATGCAACAACTAATTTTGATAGTTTTAATAGAGCTTGAAAAATATTTTGTAATCAAGGAGACTGAAATGAATGGCTCTCTAATGTGGTTACACATTGCATTTTCCCAGGTACCCTTTCTCTCTTATTAACATGAATACTGGTATAATTCAAATGAACTGGTTCAAGCAGAACATTGTTCTTGAGACCACAGTAATGGCCAATACAGTTTTGAATGAAGATACGGCTTTTTGTGGAAGAAGGAATTGAAAAGTTTTTTTTTTAATTAGCAGACTAGGCAATTCATATGAAGATAGGGTCCTATTAAGTTTTCTCATCAGTGTCTCCCTGATACTTAACACAATGCTTAGTAAATAGTAGGTATTCAACGTATCTATGTGGAACAACTTTATTTGCCAGGAAAACATAAACATAACCAAGAATGAACTGGCAAATTGTAAACATAAGACACTGATCTAGATTTGTGTGGACAGAATGACTTATTGGGTAAGCTATTGGCTCCTAGAGAGCTAGGTGCAGATCTTATACATTTTGTAACTCTAGAATATAACACAGAGCCTAGCACTCAGAACCTTACTTAAAAATTTAAGGAATTATTAAATAAGTCACTATTTCAGATAGTATGAAGGCATAGTGTGACAATTTTTCTTCTCACGGTGCCCAAGGTGTTGTTGCTACTATTAAAATATGTGGACAAAGAAGATAACACATATTTTCTATCTCACTCCGTTGAAGTTCTATTCTATTTTTCTGCTCTTTTTCTTTGAGACTACCACTGTGCATGACTTATTTAGAACCAAAAGTTTTGAACATAAAGGCATCCGACAAAGAAATCCAATTTCAAAGGTGTTTTGACCTTAAAATTCTGTCCCCTAATATTTATTCCAAGGATATGTGTTGTTGCAGTGGTTGTAAGATGCCACCAACATTGAAAGTCAAGAGGGCCAACCAGAATGGAATAAAATGAATGAGCTGAAATAAAAAGAAACTCAGATTTCTCCACTAGTTTTTACCTTTCACCTTCTGATGCTTTATGCTTAGAAGTATTCCGTCTGCCAAGTAAGGTATGTTAGCCACCATTTCAAAACTATGACCTCAAGAGTCAAAGTGATTTGATCTAAGTGACTTAGTTGAAAAGGTTGAAGGAATATCGAACTGATATCCATTACTGTGTGACTTTACCACAGTGTCTGCATTCAAAAATAGAGATAATAAGTACTTCACTGGGTGTTCATGAGAAACAAAAGAACCAAGAGTCAGGATTCTGGTCACAAGTTAATTCTCCAGGTCAAAGATTGTTTCTTTATTTCAAAAAATACACAGATAGCAATGAATAGTCTTACATGTTCTGTCCTAAAAATTGGTTATTCTTACTATTTCCAAGTAATGACCCATGACAGGACAGAGGTCAAGCTTCTATATAATTACTCACAGCTGTGGTCTACACAGCTTGAATAATAGCAGCTCAATACGTTTGAAACTCTGGAGGAATGAGTCCCTTTTGCAGCCACAAGACAAATCTGTCAGAATGATGTCTTTTTTCTAGGTATATTACCCTGGGCAACATCTGACCAGTAGTAGTGTGGGCTCCTTGGGGGGCTGGGAAGCTGGAACAAGTGTCAACTGGCATTTAACGCTTATTTCTGAAGACAGAATGTTTCAGACACGAACACATGTATATATTGAATTGACAGTTTTCCTTTCAGGTTAAGTTTATTAACAAAGTTGAGGTCAGTGGCACTAAATGCAATCCTGTGTGAAGTCCATTAAAACTACCTTTTGTTCTGCTTATCACAATGTGTTTTTTCCTTATTTTGCTAAGTTTTACAATGTTTTAATCATAGAAACTGATGTACATAGGTTTTTTTTTAAAGCAAATACTGCTGAAAGCAACAAAAAACACTATTGCACCTGTCTTATCACGCCCCTTTCCTACCTCAATGTGAATTCTGTAGTCACAGTTTCTACTTTCAGTTCTTATAGCTATTTCTTCACACGCTCGAAATTGTCAAAGCTTCTAACAATGCCTGCCAATGATGCCAATGTCTGGCAAACTAAGGCAATACTTAGTTTTCACTTTGGACATAAGCTAGCCCAGCTAGATAGGCTTCTGTGAATTTTCTGGGCTTCAGTATGTTTTAGCAGAGCTTTCAAGTGGGAAAAGTATCTTTACTTTCTTTCTTTTTTTTTTTTTTTTAGATGGGGTCTGGGTGACAGAGTGCAGTGCCTCTTATTGCAACTTCCAGCTCCCAGGCTCAAGCCATCTTCCCACCTCAGCTACCAGAGTAGCTGGGACTACAGGACCGTGCCACCATACCTGGCTAATTTTTGTATTTTTTGTAGAGACGGGGTTTCGCCATGTTGCCAAGGCTGGTCTTGAACTCCTGGGCTCAAGTGATCCTCCTCACTGGCTTCCCAAAGTGCTAGGATTACAGAAGTGATCCACCACATCTGGCCACCTTTACTTTCTTTTCAGGTAAGGATCAATTAGGTCAAGGTTTATTATGTGCCATCTGACTTCCTAAGGAGGTAGTTGGCCCCTGGTAGAGCATCATGAGAACCAGCTACAGTCTAGTGCTTAAGTCAGTCTACCCTTATCTAGTGTGGTGATAGGTCAGGGCTGGGAGCCACTGGACCACCATATAGTTGCAAATGT
The DNA here is from genome assembly GCF_000001405.40 of Homo sapiens. NCBI lineage: Eukaryota > Metazoa > Chordata > Mammalia > Primates > Hominidae > Homo > Homo sapiens. The sequence continues at coordinate 77,549,561 of NC_000006.12, forward strand.
AAGGCTTGGAACTCTGTCTTCTGATCACTCTAGCGGGAGATTTTTCACTCCAACCAAGAAAGGCAAAGAGCCAAACAGGGAGAGAAGTCAAGATCCTGCCATGTCTTTCTTATGGGGATGGGGAAAACGTGTATAGCTTTTGTCTAACTATCACCTGTTCTCTGCAAATATTATAAGGTTTCCCTATGCCATTCTTTTTTCTATTTAGACTGCTTCTCCAGACTGACATATTATTTCCAGGAGCCAAAACTCCACTGTTTTTTTCAAAGTCCAGCTATAATACCAGCATGATCATTGCCTTCCCTGTATAACCAGTAACATTGTCTTTTTCTCGCTCTGAATTGTCATAGGATTGCCTTATAGCAGTTAAAACTTTCTAACTTTTAATATAATAATTTTTTAATGTAATCATAATTAACATAATACTCTGTATACATTTCTTATCTCCTACATAAGCAGAAAACCATATGATGGCACAGACTTTTTTTATAGGCACATAATAATCATGTAGCTATAGTAAGTATTTCCATCTTTTGCCTTTTCAACAGTGTAATTATCTTTGTGATTTTTTATTTAATGCCAATCTACTCCATAGGCTATTACTTGTATTTCAGCAGAGACAATACACACCTTATCCTCAAGTGTATTCTTATAACTTAGCAAAATGCCAGGTATATAGTAGAAATTCATGAATATGTGATGAGTGGATGAATAACAAAAAACATAAGGCATTGAAAGATTCTGACATTCCTTTTGAAGTTGAAATTAAGTGAAGTTTAGTATGGCTTTAGAATCACGAACATATTTTATATGTTAATTACTTGAAAAATGATGAACTCATTATATGTGTAACTGGGATATTAAGCAAGCAAAATTTGTATTTGTAGAGCATAAGAATCAAAAAGTATTTTTATTTTCATCTTCCACTATCTCTTTAAAATTTATTTATATGAGGGTGGGAGAGATTTTACCCTGATCCATGATGAAAATTCTGGCAATCTCATTATTTTTAAAAGCTAACACAAAGACTTCTGCTCTTTTAAGTAGTAAAATTTAACCACCCTCCTTCAGAAATTAAAATTAGAATATCTAGTCAAACATATTAATCAACACTTCAATCTTCAACCACAGGTAAGACTTTTCCCCACTTCCCCAGGTCTGGCCATCTGCAGGCAAATTGCATGCCACCTGGATAGGGTTTGGCCTTTTCTGTTTCCCTCCTTATTTTTCTACCCTTTCTCCCCCATCTAGCTCCCACTCCCAGATTAAATCTGGGGAAGGAAAAATGGAAAAGGGAGCCAGAAGATTCTGGCTTGAAGGCACTGTACATTTTAGTCTGGCAAATGTTTCCAGATGTATTTATTCATTTGCTTATTCATTGCTCATGAGTGTTTTTAAGGATTCTGCGGTGATTCCTCACTGAAAATATTCAGTGGTGCTACCCCTGACAAGGGAATGGTGACAAAGAAATTGCTGCAAGCTGTGTTTTCCTCTGACTGACACTCCCATTACTATCCTTGTTTTGAGGAATATACTATAGGTTCTCTCAGTATGGGCCTCATCACCCTTCCAGAGATCTTTGGAAAGTATACAAAATAGCTCCAAGATGGCCTACACCTAGTCCATGAGAGAAACATACATACTTTGCCTCTGCTAGCAATGGGAGTATAGCTGGTTTCCAATTGGCATGCCTTTTGCTCTGATAACTCAGAACAGTAGACAAAGTCTCTCTCATAAATTTCCAAGTGTAAGTCAGACTCTAGTCTGCTGAGTTTATAAAATCAAGGAGATAGCTGTCACATTTAATTCATGATCCCTATCAAGCCTGTCTCTGTAGGCTTGAGGGGAAGGGAAAGCACATCTTCACCCCTGTATTGAACAGAATAGATTGAGACACATAGCACAGATTTCTTCATAGAAATAATCTTTCTCAAATCTCTTCTATATATTTTGTATGTCATTTATTTATCATCCCAATAATGTTGTACAATATTTTGCATGTTGTCCAACATGCTGTAATTCAATAATCTGGTTTGTACTTGGTTGAACTATCCACTCATATGTTAGCTAGATTTATTCATCTGTCTGCACTCAGCTGTGAGTTGGCCAATCTAGAATGGCCTCTGCTGAGGTGAACCAGATGTGTTAGTACTACTACTCAGGTATCATCCTCTAGCCAGCTAGTTTTGCCATGTTCTCATAGTAATGGCAGAGGAGGAAAAGAGAACATGCCCACGCATCACATTTTCCAACACCGTATACACCAAAGCAAGTCACTTGGCCAAGTGCAGAACCAGAGTAGAAAAGAATTACAAAGCTATATGTCAAAGTACATGGAAGCAGAAAAGAGAAAGCATTAGGGCCATTAATTCAAGCAGTCTCCTGCATTCATACAGTAAAGTCATCTAACCATTTCTTGGCTATCATATGTTGAAAAACTAACTTGGGAATATAGGCTTTGATGAATTGAGGCCTCAGTTGAAACTGAACCAGGAAAGGTCCACTTTAATTTACTGTTACAAATACATGCTTTCAATTTAGAAAATTAAATAGCCAATTTCTAAAGAATATAATTGGGAGATTTTTAAAAGAATTAACGAACTTATTGAGCTTAGCAATAGAATGCACAGTAAAAACTAAATCACTCTACCAATGTATAAATGGTTGATGAAACTAATTACAACATATGGATGAGGATACATGCAGTTTTATAGTATCATTGCAGTAAATTACATAATTGTGGCACTGTTAGAGTATTTAGCTGCATTCAAGAGAAATCATGAATTTTTTGGAACGACATCAGAGGGCTTACAGATCTGTGGCAAGAGTAGGAAGCCAGGGTCAGAATTTGGGCAGAAAAATAATCAAGTCAATGTCCCAGGAACATTCTGGCTAGGATTCTACCATCAGAACTGGACTCTCAAAAATATAACCACAGTGATTAATTTCACCATTTCCCTTCAAATTTGCATCAGTCCAAGTTTCAAAGTCCTAGTTGAAACCATGCAATGGCTGCATCTAAATCACATGTCTACATACAGGGTGTCAGAATTGGACAAGGGAATAGCTCAGCCCTTAGACTCCTGTACTAGGAGGACTGACAGAAAAGATATTCAAATGGTTAGAAGTTGTAAAAGGAAAAAAGTAAATGCTCACTATTGAATCTTACAAAAAAGTAAGCTTGAGATTCAATAGTCAGTCCAGGAAGGTGAAAGCAGGTATAAACCAGGGTGTACAGGGTGAGAAGAAAAACTGTTCAGGAAAGTATATAAAACATAAAAACACTTAGGGTCAAGCTAAAGAGATCTCAACTTAAAAATGAGTATTGTCATGTAATAAAACCACACACTAAAATTCTGGCTCAGTATTTACCAAATCTTAAACTCAGCCACTAGATATGAAACAATGAACCCTTTTTCATACCTTTTGAATAATTGATTTGTTGGCATATCCCAATTGAGAAATGCTGGCACCGGTAAATATAAGAAAGCAAAAACCAAAACCATGATATTTACAAGAGCATACACTTTAATTGGCTATAATAATGCCAAATTGTGATAACGCCTTTATGAATCTGCCACTCATTAGGTCAAAGAAATGAAGTATTCAAGATTAGCGTTTGTTTTCTTCTAATAAGCTAAGGCTCTTTAAGTATCTGGATTAGGAAAAAGAATAAAATAAGCAAAGAAATGAACTCTGGATCTGCCCCACTGATATTCCTTTCTCACTTTGTCCCTGCCCCAAGGTCTGAAAAATTAATAGATATAGCAGAGAAAGCATTAAAGCGGGAAAATGGCAAAATATAATTATTTAATGACTTTGAGCATTGCTCCGTGACTGTCTGTTCATAATTCAGCTTATGTCTCTCATACCCATATGGGGAAAAATTGGGTATGATGCCATTTATTTAAACATTGTGTGGACTGCAATGTGTTCTATTCTAATTCACATAGTTTCTTTGAGTTTATATGTGGAGGTATGCATAGGATGGGCAATAAGCTTACTTTGAGGTATGGGAAATCAGGTATTTTGCTTTTAAACAATGGTCTGTGAGAATATACTCTCTGGAGTGGGATAATGGGTAGTACTACTTAAATCTACTCTGACCCAAAAGTTTTAAACACATAAAAAGTGTGAGGAGAAAAGGGAGAGAGGGAGGAGAAGAATAAGAGGCAAAAACAGGAGAAACACTAGCAGCAGGGAAACTATAAACAGAAAGGACTGACCTATCCTTCATAAATGAGAACTACAAGTGGTTTTGGTAGGATGAAGGAGGATAACATAAAGGATTTAAAAAAAAAAACAGCTCAAAGCAACTGTGTGGTGGAGCAAGCATATATCAGCTTGCAAAGCTAACTGTGTGCATTTCTTTCCATCTCTGCCTTCTGAGGTATCATATTGGTAGCTTGAAACTGGCCATGATGGGAGTATTTATATCATAAAAATTGGGAAATGCTACAGATCAGCGCTTTTTTCTCCTCCCTTCAGAGAATCAGTAGTTAAACATTTATCAGAATATTGCTAGCTAGAAACCACAAAGTCAGAAGACCCCAAGAACAAGAATATTGGGAACAGTGAGGACACACACACCATCTGCTAGTTGAGGCCTTTTTGTAGCATAGAAGCAAATGGAACCAGCCGGTGGCAGCATCCAGAAATTGTGAGGCCAGTAATGGAGCCTGAGGTGCTCAGGTTCATGTTTAAACCACATCAGTAATTATGATCCCATATATGGTTTAGAATTTCAGTGAAATTTTGGTCAAACTGCTCTAAAGTGATGCAGAAGCTGGGCCTGCTTTTTGAATATTTTCTAAGAGGACCAAGATGCCATGTGCTGCTCCCAGTGATGTGTCTTGCCTCTCTGCATTTGAGAAGCCTCAGTGAACAGCGCTATTGTGCTGCGTTGCCACCAGAAGTCAAATATCATTTGGAGGTGAACAGAGGTAATGATGCTGTGTTGTGACAAATCCAAAATCCAGACAAATATTGCTACAGAATAAAAGTAATAAAAAGCCACTGTAGTGGCCTTGGTTTACCTCTAGAGATTATTTACAATAGGTACACATATGAAATTCTTTATGAATGAATCACCATTCTTACTCTTTAGATCCATTTCTATTTATTTTGCTCACTCAGTAAAATATCTTTTAGAAAATAATTTTAGGACTTACCCCCTAATCAACATAATTTTAATCAATTTCCTCATATTTTTTCATTACTACATGGTTAATTTATTAAACACTATCATAGTCAAAGTTATAGGGATAATTGCATTTGCATTAAATAATGTTAAGGAAATTATACAATTAGAACTATGTTAAGCTTTATTTTTAGTGCATTAGAGAGTCAGCGTGCTTTAACTATCACAAGTAGTTGGTTTCATCCATCTCTTTTATTTTCCCTGATTCACTATTAGAGAACAAATTTTATGTGTCCTTGCTGAAACGCCTGCAGAAGAAATTAACCATGGCATGTATCACAGACAGCTTTAATGTTTTCTGACATTTACCCACTATTGTTGGGAAATTCCTGTATTTCTATACATAATTTAGATATGTTAATAAAATTTTTTTCACCATATACAGGGAAAACTAATAAATGTTTTAGGCAAAAACATAATGCATGTGGTGGAATCATATATGCATAGTACAGGTATTCTAAATTAGGTTTTAAGTCCATATCATTAAACCTGTATTCTCAGTTAGGTTTAAAGTCCCTATAATTAAATATATATTTTCTATTATATTCAAATGATTCTAAAATTTTAGCTATATAAGGCACTATGAATGTTATAAAACCCAAACTCCTTATACTAAAGATAAAGAAACTGAGTTCCAGAGAAAATGAGGACCACAGAAACACAAGTCATAGAAATATGAGTCATATGTTCCCATTCTACAGAAAACATGAGCATTACATTTGGAAGATATAATACAAACCTAAAACTGTTCATACAATATCATTATTGTATGCTTAACAAATAAAGTCAGTCCCCTGACACAAACCTATAATTGACCTCAAATTCCTGGGCTCAAGCAATCCTTCTGCCTCGGCCTCCCAAGTAGCTGGGACTAGAAGCACATACCATCATGCACATAGTTCAAACTATATTTTTAAATTTTCATTCTGATTTATTCTTTGACGTATACATTACATAGAAGTGCACTGTATTGTGGTTAGAGAATTGTTTCTTAAGGAAATTGAGATTCCAGTTTAATTGTGCCAATTGTGTTAAGAGAAATATATTGCAAATTTTAAGGCTTTATCACATTCTTCCTAAGACTTTTAGACTATATGTTTCCAAGTTTTGTGGTTAGTTGCATCAAGGTTCGTGGTTATTACACCTTATTTATGCAGTGGAATTTTATTAATATGAAATGTCTTTTTTTTCATTTGATACTTTTTGTGTTGAATCTATTTTGTCTAGTTTGGTGTACTAATACTTTTTAGCTCTTTAGGTATTGTATTATAATTTTTAAACATTTTGCTAAATGAGCCTTTTTCTATTCTGTAATTTGCAATTTCTCTGTGTCAGCAGTGTATGATGGAATTTTTTAGTTTAGCAATCTGAAGTTTGAGATATTTAATAGAAAAATAAGTACATTGATGTTTAGTTTTGCTATTGATGTTTTGTCATAATTCTATCTTATTTTGTTTTCTACTTTCAATTTATTTTTGTTTTCTTTCTTGATATCTTTCTGATCACATTTGATATGCTAGAATATTTGTTTTGCTAGAATATTATATACTTTTAGTAGTATATAAGATAAAAATAAATTTTTTTATTATAGATATTTAGTCCAGTGATGAGTCCTAAGTAATATGCATATTTACAATTATTATTTTTTATGAATGGCTAAAACCAATTGATATATATACACCCTTACTTTGATTCCTTCTTCCCATTTGGCTGGAGCTTACCTTTTCATAAGTACTTCAAAAATGTCATAAATGTTCTCAGTTCTTACTTAAGGATTAATATCATTGTTTTGTGATTCTAAATTCAAATTTATTTTCTGTCAGAACATTGAAAATATTAATTAATTGTCTTCCATTCTATAATGTTGCTGAAATAGTCATGTGGTTTTAGCTTTTTTTTGTTTCCAGTTAACTTTTATTCTCTCTTCTCAGTTTTGTCTTCTTTATATTCTTAGAGCTCTGAAATGTGAAATACACCATGATGGATTTATGTAGATCACTTTTTTTTTTTTTTGACAGAGTCTTACTCTGTCACCCAGGCTGGATTGCAGTGATCTTGGCTCACTGCAACCTCTGCCTCTCTGTTTTAAGGGATTCTCCTACCTTAGTCTCTTGAGTAGCAGAGACTACAGATGTCCACCACCACACCCAGCTAAGTTTTATATTTTTAGTAGAGACAGGGTTTCGTCACATTGGCCAGGCTGGTCTTGAACTCTTGACCTCGAGTGATCCGCCAGCCTGGGCCTCCCAAAGTACTGGGCTTAAAGGCATAAGCCACCATGCCTGGGCTTATGTATATCCTTTTAAATTTATCTTATTCATCTTTTGGAATCTTTCAATCCAAGATTTTAGAATTATTTCAGCCCTGGAATATTGTTTTCTATTTTTCTTTGCTTCCAATACCCCATTAAACACATACCCATATATTATTTACTTGCAGTACTTCTTTTAGCAATTTCAGGAATATTTTATTATATTAACAATATCTTTTTAAATATAATTTTCTTTTATTTTAGATCAGGACAATCTTTCCACTCACTCTTCTAACTAATGTATTCATTCTTTAGTTAAGCCTATTCTTTATTCCATTATATCTTACATTTTCATATTTTGAAGATCGGTTTTTATGTCATCTGTTTCCTAATCTTTTGTGAATAGGATATAATCTTTCAAAGCATATTAATCACATTTACTTTAAAACTTTCTTTTTGCTTACTTTACTTCACTTGCCAAGTTGTTGATTTATTGCTTGGTTTGTTGTCTTTCATACATAAATTTTTCAAAGTCTGGTAATTCTTGTTTTTCTTCGTATCTTTGTATCTCATACTTCCTATTTGTCTGCTTGTGGATGCAAATTACAAACACTAGATCTTTTTTTTTTCTTTTATAGCAGCAGAAGTATAAGGTGTGCAGAAGGAAAGATATGTAATTAACTTGATTTCTATTTTTGTGGGTTCTATTTGCCTACTGAAGCTTGTAAATTGCCTTGGCTACTGTTCTGCATTTCAGGTTCTATCTCCTACTTAGCATGGACCAAACATTTCTGTTGTCTGCTTCTTTGCAAGAGAGTGAAAGTCCAGTGTGAAGGCATCAAAGACATATTCCACTCTCAGCATCATATAGGTCTTTTAGGGAGCTTAATTTTTAATTTGTTTACCCATCTAGCCAATCCCAATTATTATTATTATTATTATTATTATTATTATTGTCAAAATGTGTTTTTACATTTTGTCTTCCAGTATGCTTACACATGCTTATAAAATTTTTTTTTTTGTAATTTCAAGCTATTGAGGTGAGTGGGAGATATAGAATATGTGCTCAGCCAGCCATCCTGATTGAAACCAAACCACAAAAAAGGGACAAAGTTGTGAGTCTAACACAGATATCTGACACAAACATTATTCTTGCCTCACTATGCTATATAATAACACTTATTAAAAGGCAGGATAAACATAAATTTGGTAACCAGATGATAACATGACCCTCCTGTTCTCACTGGATTGATTAACTTTTTTAAGTTCACCCTTAGGCATGTGAAAAGAGAACTTTTTAAACCCTATGGGCAGGAGCTCCTTATGTAAAATCAGATCAATTATGAATTCACTTGATTCCTGCAAAGCTCCCTGGAGGCGGGATGGCTTAGTTGCTAGCTTTGCCTTTTAAGGTAAATAATAGAACCAATTAGCAATATTCTTGTTCAACATGGATAACAAAATTTGTTTACTATACATAAAGCTTACTCAATATAAAATGAACTTCTTTTTATTTGGTGATTGAATTATTACCTGCATTTGCAGAGCAAAATTCCTATGCCATCAAAGTTTTTATGAAGTACACAACATTCTTATTTCCATCTGAAGTCATTTATACTGATATCATTTATTATTAGAATTATTGAGTAGGTCAAAATTAGGAAAAACTTACAATTTAAATCTTTCTGTTTAATTTTATTCCCTCTTCTGGCTTCTCTTTACCACCTGCCAAGGCTTACTAAGTAAAACCACCACTATGTTCATAGAATTAATTGTTCATACACCAACATTTGTGACATTTGGCTACTTTAGCTAACAAGATAGACTTATTTGTGTATTTCTCCTTGCTTGAATTCGCTCACACAAACACTTAACAGGCCTCTTTCTGAGAACAGTCCGATTCATTAGTATTAATATGTACCGGGCTATCATGTTTCCTTGAGCAGTCATTTCTACTAACTTAAAATATATGAATATGAAAACATTTTCTTCTCAAATTAGTACTAGGTCACCCATAGAGATGTCATCTGTTACCTGAAAATTGCTTCTAGTGTGCTTTCATTCCTCTGCTTTCTCTGCTACTTTTTAGAAGTCAATGTCTAATAAAAATGACTAATTTTTCCTAGGGAACAACTGGAACCAAATTTCCCTTGTAACACTTCTAGCCAACAAAATGAAACAATCACATTGAGATTCTTTGTGTGCTCCATTATGGTGCTTGTGGCCAAATATTCAAGTCTTTAAAAGTATTTTAACCATGCAGCTTCTCAAACAGTTTTAAAATACCCCTGAGAGCAATTGGATAATTATGCCACTATTCAACTTTCCAGGGGATCAGTTTGTCTACTTAAGAACTTTGTTATGATTTGGCAGCAAGAAAATTTGCTCTGTAATTATTATTCAAGTTATACGATCCTGATCTGAACCAAATAAATGTGAGAAATGTTCATCAAAACAAATCAAGCTTTGCCTAACCAGTAGCATGCTCTAGGTAAAAGCTTTCTGATACTCGTGTGCTAGAGATCGCATGAGTGGTAATACATCGATTTCCTCAGCCTTTGGGGCTTTCAAGGCTAGCTTAAGAACCTAAAGAACTTATGCATTTAACCTGCAGTCATAACATTCTTATACTTCATCATGCCTTACAAGTTGTTTTAATCCATGGGTTCATGACTGGGAAAACACAGAATTACTCCTCTGCATAACTACTAACGGGCAGAAATCAACTCAAATAACTTTCAGAAAATAATTTATTCGCTTCTCAATGTCAAAAATAACCACCAGGCTGGGTGCAGTGGCTCACACCTGTAATCTCAGCACTTTGGGAGGCCCAGGCGGGCAGATCACCTGAGGTCAGGAGTTCAAGACCAGCCTGGCCAACATGGCGAAACCCCGTCTCTACTAAAAATACAAAAAAATTAGCCGGGCATGGTGGCACGTGCCTGTAGTCCCAGCAACTTAGGAGGCCGAGGCACGAGAATCACTTGAACCCAGGCAGCAGAGGTTGTAGTGAGCATAGATTGCACCACTGCACTCCAGCCTGGGCGACAGAGTGACACTCGGCCTCAATAAAAGAAAAAATCCCACCAATCTGGCCACAGAGGCTCTGCATCTTCAGATGGTGATACTGTGTTACAGTAAAACAATTCAAGTATTACTGAGAGAACTACATTATTTTTTCTGACACTTTTCAGATGAAAAATCATTAAATATACTAAACAGTTACTCAAGTGAAAAATTCTTTATAAACAAGCTATCAATTTTCAAAAAAAGTTTAGTAAAACTGGCTCCATTCTTACTAATACTTAACTTTTTAATTATCAGCTTTTTTATATTTTTTTATTATACTTTAAGTTCTAGGGTACATGCTTTTAAACATATAATCTTATGTATTCTTATTAGAATTTTCCTTTATTACTTAATCTGCCTGTAAATTGAATTCAGCACCCCATGGTTTGCCATTTATATCTTCTTTTTCACTCATCATTAAAAACCTCCATTACATTTTGCTTGTCTACCGAGGGTAGATTAGGGAGCAAACTACACTGCCTAGAACACAGTAGGGATTCAATAAATTAATTGATTCACTGACTAATGTTAGTTTATTTTTTGCTTGTTCTCTTGGAGACTCATTTATTCTCTCTTCAAAACAGAAAAAGAACTAAACAACAAAGAAATAAAAACTCTCTACTAGAGAACTGACAGATAATTTCCTTCTAGTCCAGCGTCCTTTCTAGGATACCTTTTTACCCAATAAAAAAACAACTTCTTTTTTAGTAGGGTTTTTTTTTTTTGGCCTAATGTTATACGACCAGAAGTTTGTTGGTCCATCAACTTGCCACTGAAGCAATGGGTATAAATAGAAACTGCCTGAAATAAAGGGAACACATCTCTTACAACAAAGCAAAACGTAACAAAGCAGAAGATGTTCAAATAGAAAATTGATGTAGGATTTCAAATTATTTCATTGCAAGCTTCAGCAGAGAATTTCTTTGTGGTCAAGCTAGGTCACAACTGGGCTGTGAGGATTTATAAGGTGGAATCATCAGAGAAAGGAAGAACTAAGATGTAATTGAGTGGATACCCACCCTAAGGTAAATTACAATTCATTAACTCGGTCTCCAGCAATTTCAAGTGTTAAGAATTTTGAGCATACTTTGAAAATTTAGGAGACTGCTTTGAAAAGAGCCAAGAGAAACACAATGTATAGGTCTGAATATAAAATTAGTAATTAACCATAATGAATACCCTCAGTCTTTTAAGATAATAGAAAGTTATTATTACTGGATACACATAAGCTGACTTATTGTTCCCCTCAGCATCCTACCAATTGGAAGCAGGTGGAACATATAGAAGAACTAGGTCTTACTACAGCAATCTGCAATGATATCAAGGTGAAGGAAAAAATGAAAGTACCCTCTTCTAAAGGTGCGAGTAAAAACAACAAAATACAGCTGCCTTTGCACCTGTTCGTGAAACTCTTTAAAAGAGGGATACTGTTAATATAGATGCCTTCCTTCTCCACATTTTTCTCAAGATCCTACAAACAGTGGAGCTAGTATTTCATGTAGAGAAGGAGGTCTGCTTACACAGCTCAGTAGTGTCATTAACATCCATTGTGAGAACTAGACTGAGCCTTCTCACTACCCTTGGTGGCCCTGCCCAGTATCAGAGGATGATATTTGGGTCTGTGAACAAGAGTTGGGAGTCACTGCTTGGTGTCAGAGAGAAAATGGGCCATGTCAGAATGCAGCTTCCCAGGTATACACAGCATCTGAGAGGGTTGGCTTTCCTAAGGTCAGGGGTCAGACAGGATGTGATTTTTAAATATTTCCATAGTGTAGGAGTAGTGCTTCTGTATTAGTCCGTTTTCATGCTGCTGATTAGGACATTCCTAAGACTGGTGATGTATAAAGAAAAAGAGGTTTAATGGACTCACATTTCCACATGGCTGGGGAGGCCTCACAATCATGGCGGAAGGTGAAAGGCATGTCTTACACAGCAGCAGGCAGGACAGAATGAGAGCTAAGCAAAAGGGGAAACCCCTTATAAAATCATCAGCTCTCATGGGAATTATTCACTACCACGAGAACAATATGGGGGAAAACACTCCCATGATTCAATTATTTCCCACCGGGGCCCTCCACAACAGGTGGTAATTATGGGAGCTACAATTCAAGATGAGATTTGTGTTGGGACACAGCCAAACCATATCAGCTGCTTGTAAAACAGAAGCCTGAACTAGAGGAACTTTTGAGGACTGTTTTCAGTCTTCCTGCTTTTCTCTACTGAGTAAACATGAAAAAGACATAAATGTCTGTCACATTAAAAAAGCAAACGAACAAGAAAAAGTGGTTAAAATATAGAGAGAAGGAGAAAAACATCCTAAGGGATGATTTTCCTGGGACACTTTGCCTGTTAAAATCCATGAGGCCAATTTTGATATAAAAGGTATGGATGGAATTGTGTCAAGATCTTTTAAAAGAAGTTCCGCAAAGGAAAATAGGTCAGTTAATATATGAAAAGGAAGATGTAATTAATCATGACTAAAGTAAGAAGAGATAAAATATAAAATTTTAATAAGAAAAGTTTCTGGAACGATCTAAAGCAATAAATTACTCAGAGGGAAAAAATGCAATCAATTTAAAAAACATATTTAAAGTATGCAAGCATATAGAAGTGATTCAGACAGCACATATCTAAGTGTGTTAACTGAATTAGTTGTAAAATAACTTTAATAACATGCTGGTGAAAAGAGAATACAAGTAGTTTTCAAGTTAAAATGTGACAAATTATGCAAATACAAATATAATCAGGAAGTAAATATAGAGAAAAAATGATGAAAATTAAATATAATAAAATGAAAATTAAATATAAAGAAATACTTTTAAAGGTCACATAATAGGAAAAAATTAAGATAATGGGCTCAAAAGCAGTCATATTTATAGAAGTGGGTACTAGAGATGACACTCAAAAGAAGTAGCTCTTCTGGAACTCTTAAAACTGAGTATACATTTTGTCAGGCTTCCCACCTTTCCCTCTTTGTTTCTAGCTTACCCTTTCTTCTTCAAAGAACTCTTGGATAGTAGTTGAGAATATTTGATTCAGGTAAAGAGAGAGGAGCCACAAATACTGAGAAAATCTTTGCGAAAACATTTTTAAAAGTATGTGTACATTAAAAAACATTTTAAAAGTATAATCAAACAAGCAGATATATATGTCTCAGATTCCTGGCATTCTGATCCTATAACCATCATTACCAGCTGTGTAATGTGAGCAAATCTATTTGCCTCTGTGTGTTTCAGGTTTTGTTTTGTTTTGTTTTATTTTGTGGTTTTTGTCTTATAAAATGACTGGAGTTGGCAAGATACTCTCTCATGTCATGTGTTCCATGTTATGTGTAGTATTATAATTTTAAAATCAACCTTGTCACACAAACCTTTGTTGAGCCATTTAGAGAGGCATTATAAGGCATTTGCTAAAGCTTGAATGTATAACAAAAAGCTAGAAAATTAAGTTGAAGAGTCTCACTTTCTAAATGTACTTTTAAAATGCTGAAATAAGTGCTAAAATCATTCATTGTCAGAAGTAACTCTGCCAGTGGCCACAGAACATGTAATGTCTTGAATGTTTTCCACTTCTAGCTTTTATAATAAGACACCAATGTTACATTTGGAAGAGAGCAGATCTGGAAGAGAGTTATAAGTATTGAAATCCTATCTGTCCTGAGAAATAAGTAATCTGAAAAGGAAGAAAGAAAAGGACTTAAAACTAGCTATTGTCAGGCAGTTAACATTGTGATTTATTATTTGTATTGGTCATTATGTAACTATTAACATGCTGCCTTTTCTTCAAAGTGTCTCCTACATAATAAAAGCTGGAGAGTTAGAAATAATGAACATTTATTTCTGCATAAAGGAATATGCTGCAGGCTTGAGCTAAAGCTTTTAGAAATCTACATAAGAATTATTATTGAAGTTGTAAAGTTGATGAGATTTCAGAGAGACAAAGAAAGCAAGGAGAACATAAGACTGATCCTGGTGATACCTATCTTTAGAGCACAGGAAGGCATAGTTAGGTAAAAGGAATATCAAGGTGCCTAAATCTAGAGAAGCAGAAGGACTTTAACAAGGGAATGGTTAAGAAAATGAAGAACAGTGGCCGGGAGCTGGCCAGGTGCGGTGGCTCACACCTGTTATCCCAGCACTTTGGGAGGCTGAGGCCAGAGGATCACCTGACCTCAGAAGTTTGAGACTAGCCTAGCCAACATGGTGAAACCCTGTCTCTACTAAAAATACAAAAATTAGCAGAGGCAGGATAATTGCTTGAGCCTGGGAGATGGAGGCTGCAGTAAGCCGAGGTTGAGCCACTGCACTCCAGCCTGGGCGACAGAGTGAGACCCTGTCTCAAAAAAAAAAAAAAAAAAGCAGCACAAAGATAAAAGGAAAATTATCCACAGTATTTTCATGGATATAATATACATAGTTTTAGAGAGACAGGGTCTCTCTATGTTGCTAGGCTGGTCTCAAACTCTGGGCCTCATGTGATCCTCCTGTCTTGGCCTCCCAGACTGGGATTATGGGCATAATCCACAACTCCCAGGTGATTTTCATGGATATAGACAGAGATTTTCTTGCAGCCAAACCATTACTGACAAAGAACTCCCTCTTGTCTAGTAGAGGAAGGGTGAGGGAGCTGCAGCCCACACTTGACCTTCTCCCACATTCTCTCTAAACTATACCCATCACTCTCTTTCCTTGCTTTTTAAAAATCCAGAGAACTGATTTCAAAGCGTGAGACGTGTGAGGGTCACTTTTACACAAAGTTTCATCAGCGGAAATAGCAGCATTTACTAACCCAGAAAAGAGAGTTCATGTAGAGGCTTTATGACACATCAGGCAGAAAGCAGCGGCACCAGAACAGAGGTCATGCTTCAGAGCCTAGATGAATGCTGGGTGCTCTGTGAGACCCAGCTTGTTTCTCAGAACTTCACTGGCAGCACTGCCTTTACTTTTTCTGATTTCCCCCCTTTTATGTAGCTTAGCCGGATCTCTCTGTCTCTGTTTCTCAACTTCTCCCTTTCTTTCTCTCCCTACAATACCCTTCTGTGTCCCTGTCTCTCTCTCTCTTTCTCAAACACACACACACACACACACACACACACACACACACACACACACACAAAGCATCCTCATAAAAAAATGCCTTTTCTTTTCCGAGGAAGGGTTATAAGTGAACCTCCACTTTTGATCGCTCTTGTGGGTCACCAACATTAATTAAAACTCATACATAAAGAAAAGTCCTAAAACTTTTTACCTACCTCAGAGAAGTATCAAAATGTTGACAATTTCAAGGATCAAGCAAAGGCTTTAATAGTAACAAAATTCACATTTAAACTTTAATAATTTTTAAATAACCACAAGGCTCATCTTTAAAGCAAAGAGTATACCAGATGGTTCTTTGCTGGCACAAATTGTTCTCCATGTTTATAATAGGTTTCTGTAAGTGCCTTTGATAGACAGCAACCAGTTGTGTTACAAAACAGTGTGACATCAGGTCAATCATGATGAAACTTGATAATGCCACATCAATAATGTGACATTTTAAGCTGCAGTTTGGAACAAATTGCTGGAAGGGAAGAAAGTGATATCTAGTAATGAATGAATATTCTAAACAAATGTCAGCTCATCATATTGTGGTCTTTGTTCATGAAGTTCAAGGCCAAAGACATGATAACATTGACCCTCAGAATCCCTAATGCCTCTTAAATCGAGAAATAAATACATCTCCTGATGTTGCAAATAACATGTCCTGTTGTTCTCATGAAAAAAAATTGCACTATATAATTTATCTAATTTCACGTCAAATTATTAGGCACATTTGGATACATATTTCAGCGGAATATACAACTCCTAAAGTACTACAGGCCCTAAAGCCACAATCATAGGATTAGCAGGGTAGGAACAATTGGTTGATCTTCTGTAGGGCAGATTATTCAAATCAGCAAATCACCACATAAAATAAACAGAGCTGACCCACCTCTATCCATTAGTAAAGCCACTGTGCTCTGCTCCCCCTGTTTGTGATGGTCATGCCAGCCTGAGCATAGTGGGTACCGATGGTTTAGCTTAGCTTCAGGAAATTGAAGCAGATAAACAAATCATAAATGGCCTAGAGTGATGTAGGAACTATCTGGCTTGCAGGAAACTTGATCCAGAAGGAGTGGAGTGGGGTGATGCAGGGAGCAGAAGAAATAAGGTGGTGTCAACTGATAAGAGATGAACTATGACGGGAAACTCAGAAATACCTATTGGGGAATTTGATCACTTCTCTGACTTGTGTGCTATGAAGACTCTTCTGCATCTACCCACTAAATCTTTACATAATTTCATATTTTTAGTTCATGTGTTAATGGGTGGATCTGTTTGAAGGAGGGGACATTGTGTGGTTTTGAGACATATGAAAGTAAGAAGTAAATCATTAATAGAAGCTTCATGTAACCTAGTCTCCTGCATCTTTGTAGGACTAGTTGACTTGCTATTCTCTAAATATATTTAGAAAGGTTCTATGCTTGATCAAATTTTAGTCAGGTTCCTTAAACCTTCTAGGCTCATCTGTGCCCTTCCTATAAAATCCAGTTGTAGTAAGAAGTCTGCTAAGTCAGTTTAGCCAAAATGGTCCACGCTTAATATTTCATAGAGTTTCTCATCCTTTACCATCCCTCAGGTAATATCTCATCTTTCTGGCCTGTTTTCAGCAAGAATCCTGTTAGGTTGGTTTACCCAGAATCCTCCTCACCCCTGATGTTTCTTCTCAGGAATTTTTCATCCATTAACTCCCACCCTTCTCCCTGGCTATAAATTCCCACTTGCCTATGCTTGACTAAAATCCCATTGCAGTGGTCCCTAGACCTATCTTGATGGTCCTTAATAAAGTCTTTCTTACCATGCATTCAATGGTAAAACCTCAATTACTTTTGCACCAACTTAATAAGTGTCATTGAGGCCGGGTGCGTTGGCTCACACATGTAATCCCAGCACTTTGGGAGGCTGAGGCGGGCAGATCATGAGGTCAGGAGATCGAGACCATCCTGGCTAACATGGTGAAACCCTGTCTCTACTAAAAATACAAAAAATTAGCCAGGAGTGGTGGCGGGCGCCTGTAGTCGCAGCTACTCAGGAGGCTGAGGCAGGAGAATGGCGTGAACCTGGGAGGCAGAGCTTGCAGTGAGCAAAGATGGCGCCACTGCACTCCAGCCTGGATGACAGAGCCAGACTCTGTATCAAAAAAAAAAAAAACAGTGTCATTGCATTTTTTTCCATCCTGATTTAGTGTCATGGCTCTTTCCCTTCTCTTTCTATGAACTATATTCAGGATTTCTTCAAGATTCATCCCAAGTGCTGTATCCTTGATAAAGTAGGTTCTAATTTCCTAATTGAATTTTCACTCTTCCTCCTTAAAATATACATAGCATTTTGTAAATATATTTCTTACGATACTTAAAATAATCTGGTTGTATTCTAGCTGCTGTGGAAATTAGCTTGAAATGAGGAATTGTGTTTTACTTATCTTCATGGCCACTGAGGTGGCCAGTCCAGTACTCAACAAATGTTAGTTAAAGTACATTGAACAAAAATGCTAAATTGTCAATAATAATAAAATTAGTGTCTTTTTATCTGTCCTGGTCCAAATTTAAATATTTTAATATCTTAATTTAAATATTTAATTCAGGTGGGTTCTCACACATCCTTGCAAGGTAAATTTATTTTGATAATCCCTTTTAACTATGGTACATAAGCAGACCCTTTTTTCAAAAGAAGAGTGTGACCTTTAGCTCTAATCTGCCATCTTTGAGATGTCAGTAAGTGAAGTTCCCTGAAAACCTTGTATTGGAAGGCAGAATTGATTATATACAGCAGACAGTATGTGTGGCTGTATTCTGTGTTATATTTTTGTTGGAATGCAGGTTGCTTTACTCAGCAATTGATCAGAGAAATATATTCAAAAGATATATTGTCTTTGACAAATGTTTTCTAAAAGAAGACTCTTTATGCTTTGTCTATTTTTGTTCTTTTAATTCTTTCCTTTGGAAACAGTTAATTGAGAACTACATTAAACTTGCCCCAATATCATTTATTTTGTAGTTCACTGTCTTGACAGAGACACAAAAAATGTATCTCACATGGTGTCCTATATATCATCCAGTGTCTTTTTCAGTCTCAGGTATCAGCAGGAGTCAAAAGTGATTGATTAGAGCCACAAAAGCGCTTGTATTCTTCTTTCACAAAATTAATCTTTTTCTTTGCATGTGCAAACTCTGACTTATATTATTAATACATCCTTACTACTACGTGAAGGAAAAAAAGGCAGCCAAACAAGACTAGTTAAAATACCATATGCTGTGGACCAGGGCAAGAAAGCTTATGCCTTTCAGTTTGGGCTGTTTATTATGAAGATAGCAAAATGTAGCAGCCATTCACAAAGAAAGCACAATGGAAAAAAGATCATTTAAATTTAACATGCTTGGAATTGACTGCTTTTGCATACAAATAGAAAAAGGAGTATTGTCTACTTCTAAATAAAACTATTACTACATCTTCATTGCCACAGTCCTTCAGATTTTGTTTACTGGTAGCTGTTGGAGATATTCTGACTTCCTGTAAATAGAATTCCAAGTATTCTGAGAGACAAAATAGAATGAAAGTGCACTGCTAAAGATGTGGATTTATTTCCTTAACACATTAAATTCATAGTCAGCAGTAATGTATATCCAGGTGTTTTATCTCAAACACAATATGGCAAATATTTAAACGCCTTCCAATTTTTGAAAATTTCTCCTTTTCATAAGGTTTGTTAGATTATTTTGGCCTTCAGAATTCCCTATTTCATGGTACCTGGTCAAAAATGTCATAGCCATTCATTGAACATACATATACTGAGCATCAGTTGTATGTCAGATAGTGTCCTAGGAACAAAAATAAATAAGAAAAAACTCTGTCACTCAAGGTGTTCAGAAAAAGAAAAAGAAGAAATAAAACATACTATTGAGTCCAGTAATGGTGAAGTAGCATATATTAGATGTGTACTCTTACGTATATGAAATATTAACTATTTTTGAAAAATTTTTATTTACTTTATATGTTACATATATTTTTATATATGTATGTATATTTATATATATAATTTCAATAGCTTTGGGGGTACAAGTGGCTTTTGGTTACATGGATAAATTGTATAGCAGTGAAGTCTGATGTTTTACTGTATCCTTCATCTGAGTAATGTACATTGTACCCAAAATAAAGTTTTATATCCCTCCTCCCTTCTCCTCCCTTCTGAGTCTCCAATATCCATTATACCACCCTGTATGCCTTTGCATACCCATAGCTTATCTCCCACTTATAAATGAGAACACGTGGTAGCAAATATTAACTCTTGATAAAATAGAAAAAGAACTGTTGATGACAGCATAGGTAAAAAAAACAGCAGGAAAAATTGAGGGGAGTCCATACTCGAATGAAGAGAACCATGCTGTGTTCTAGCTAGATTTATATTACCAGAGTAGCTGGAAATTGAAGGGGAAAAAACTCAGAAAGGAGGCCGGGCACAGTGGCTCACACCTGTAGTCCCAGCTATCCAGGAGGCTGAGGCAGGAGAATCCCTTAAACCTGGGAGGCGGAGGTTGCAGAGAGCCAAGATTGTGCCACTGTACTGCAGCCTGGGCAACAGAGTGAGACTCCGTCTCAAAAAAACAAACAAAAAAATGAGAAAGGAGGCTCCACAGACTAGAAAGCCCAAAATCTGCATACACACTTTCTTCAATTCTTGTCCAATTGTTAACCTGTACATAGAAGAAAGAAACTACAGAAGCCCAGGAAGGAAATAAGAACTGGAAGGCTGAAAGAACTTAGCAGAGATTTCAGTACCAGTTGCAAAAGAGAAAAAGTCTGGCGTTCAAATTTCAATATACAGGTAGTCCCTGAATTATGATGGTTGGCTTTACAATTTTCTATTTTATGATGCTGTAAAAGTGATATACATTAAGAAAAAAACATATTTTAAATTTTGAATCATGATTCAAAATTCTTTAAAATGTCTTTATTGTAAAATAGGCTTTTTGTTAGATTATTTTGCCCAAATGTAGGCTAGTATAGGTTTAGGAGTACATTTAAGGTAGCTTAGGCTAAGCAATGCTGTTTGGTAGATTAAGTATACCAAATGCATTTTCAATTTATGATATTTTCAAATTGTGATGGTTAATTGGGACATAAATGCATTGTAAATTGATGAGCATCTGCATTAGAATAGCTCACATATTTTATTGAAATGCCAGAAAAACACGGCTTAGGAGTAAGAAATATGTTCCAGAACTAAGAAATTTGCCATAGACCTATTGACAAGACTGAAATAAGTCCACTTAAAGCCAAAAGCAAGTGTCCAAAAGCTCTAAATGATCCATGAGTAATATAATAACATACTAGAGAAAAAGAAATAATTTTTGAAGATTTTACACACATCATCCACAATGTCTAGTATACAAACAAGAAAAGCTAGCAGAGGACAAGAGATATTAATAACTAAAATCAGAGAAGAATTAAATGAAACTGAGATGCAAAAATCAACACTAAAGATTAATGAAACCAAAAGCTGGTTCTTTGAAAGAATGAATAAGATTTATAGACTGCTAAATAGATTATCTAAGAAAAAAAAGTGAAGTTCCAAATAAGCACAAATCAGAAATGACAAAGATTACAAGTGATCCCACAGAAATATAAAATATCCTCAGAGACAATTATGAGCACCTCTATGCACAAAAATTAGAAAATCTAGAGGAAATTGATAAATTTTTGGAAACACACAACCTCCGAAGTTTGAGCCAGGAAGAAAGTGAAAACCTAAGCAGACCAATAACAAGTTCCGAAATTGAATCAGTAATAAAAAACCTACCAAGTTAAAAAAACAAACCAAAAAAAGATGAATTTACAACAGAATTCTGTCAGAAATACAAAGAAGAACCTTTACTAATCCTAGTAAAACTATTCCAAAAAGTCAATAGTATAGTTCTAAAAATTGATAGCATGATATCATACTGCACATATTATATCTCAAAACAGAAAGAGGATACGCCTCATTCTGCCTGAAGGACCAAGTGGAACAGAAAATGCTTCATTGAAGAAATAATACTCGAGCTGAGGGTTGAATAGGAATTTGCCAATAATGTAATTTGGGAATGAAAATTGCAAAAAAAAAGGCATAAAGCTATGTGAGATCCTGGTCCATTTGGGAAACACATCTTGGTGTAAAAGAGAATAGCATGGGCTAGAGGCAGAAGATGAGTCTAAAAGAGCCGAAGTTGAGATTAGAAACCTCTCTGGGAAAGGAAGATATAGTTGAAGAGGACATTCTAAGATTTAAGAAGATATTCAAGAGGGAATTAACATTTAACACTCTGAAAAGTAGCCAGGAAACCTGGATAGTACTCTAGCACCTCAGAAACATAGAGTAAGAGAAGTATCCAGTTAAGTACTATGTGACAATGAATAAATCTTATAGAAAAAACCTTGAGTTTCTTCCCTGCAACTGAGAAAGTTTCATCATCCTTAAGAATTTTCTTCTGATTTTATCACTGCTGCTTCCCTTATTCTTCTTTCTTTCTTTACATTTCAGGAGATTTTTCACAGTTTAAAAGGTTCTGCTGCTTACAATTTCTCAGCTCAACAATGACTTTGCAATCCAGGCAGGACAGGTAGTATTCATCTCATTTTATAATGAAAGAACAGATTATACCATAAATTTCATACTTCATCACATAATCATATCAGTTATAATTAAACTTTTTAAGCTTTTTAATTTTTAAATCTCACCTTACCGTACTTTGAACAAAATTGATGTTCCAGAAAGATGCTATATGTTTATTCTTTAACTTCCAGCCCACTTGGAACATTGGTGCCTGTGCCAAAGAGTGAACAGCGGGCCAGTGGAATCCAGTGTTCCTACGTCCTTCTGCTCTGACTCCTCCTGACTTGTCCAGTCTTATTAACTGCCACGCTCATGCGGCCATGTACACTCCCCGAATTCAGCACTACTTGTATCATCTTAAGCCAAGAGATTGATAAACTCCAGAAATAATCTCAGAAATAAATGTTGAATATTTCTAAATCTGACTGATTTTGTTGGTATCTGACTGTTATGGAATTGTCATCTATGTTCCCAAGCAGACTCAGGAAATAAAAATTAAAATTAAAAAAAACAGAAATAGTTTAATTGCCCATAGTAAAAATCTTCTAATGAACAGTCAACATCATAAATGGAACATGTGACTAAAATAACATGACAGGGGCTTCTATTATTAAAATTCTCTTAGCAATACAATAGGAGCTTCTATTAGGAAAACTCTCTTAGAACTCTCACTCATAATTTCATTTTGATTTATTCTCCTACTCTTTCTTTTCCTCCTCCTCTTCCTTCTCTTGTTTTCCTCTCCTACACCCCCCTCTTTGTTTTAAATATTTTTAACAACTGTTATTGATTTCACAAAGTAAACATATGTTTTGATGAAATATTTGGCATCATGTTTATGTTGGTTGTCAAAATTCAGAGAGACTTAAAATTCAATTTTCCTGTTGCTTTGTCTGCTCTTTTATGAGTCTATATACATTAGTATCAAATTCACATTTAGTTATTGGGATAAAGTTTCATCAGGCTTATTACTGAGTTCATTATTCCATAGGACTTCTAGAAAATGTTCTCCCCAAACACCTTTCCACAATGTCTCATATCAGAAAACAGCTAAAAGCTACTTTACATTAGTAAAATATTCTCAAATTTTTAAAGCTACCCAAAGTGCTCTAAGGGCATATTTCAGTGTTGAAAGAGAATCAGCTGGGCATGGTTTCCCACGCCTGTAATCCCAGCATTTTGGGAGGCCAAAGTGGGTGAATCTCCTGAGCTCAGGACTTCGCAACCAGCCTGTGCAACATGGTGAAACCCCATGTGTACCAAAAACACACACACAAAAAAATTAGCCAGTCATGGTGGTGTGCGCTTGTCATTCCAGCTACATGGGAGGCTGAGGTGGGAGTATGGCTTGAGCTCAAAAGGTGGAGGTTGCAGTGAGTTGAGATCACACCATTGCATTCTAGCCTGGGTGATAGAGCCAGACCTTGTCTCCAAGGAAAAAAAAAAAAAAACAAAGGAAAAAAAAAGAGAGAGAGAATAAAAAGCCTTTGACAGATTTTGCAATTATATTCTGTTAAAAGCCAAACTTGTGGCAACCCATAAGTTCCTTAGTATAAAGACAGTCCGCTACCAGAATTCACAGCTGACACCCTTTAGGGTAAAAATCACCTACTTTCCATTACCAATAATTCTTCTAGTTTCTCAGGGCTCCCCGCTTGAAAAGCAAAGAATCCTTAATGAATGTTTTCTTTAGCAGAAAATACCACACGTTGTTATTATGTTTGCATAAACAATAATCTTTTAAAGAGATGTGAACAATAATTTTAAAATGTTATATCTTTACCATGTAGTTATCATTTCCAGAGGTCTTTATTTTTTTTTCTGCAAATCCATATTTCCAGGTGTTAGCATTTTCCTTCTGCATGAAGGATGAATTTTAACATTTCTTGTAGTGCACTGCTATCTGCAATCATTTCAGGTGTTCTTTTCTCCAGCCTTCAATAGTTTCTTCACACATATGAGCTGATCAGTATTCAGCTGAATACTCAAGGGGGATGTGTGCAGATTTTCAGGGTTTTCTCTTCATTCAGCTCTCTCCTCTTCAGTATTCTTTCCTGTAAACTCCAGCCATATTTGTCTCCCCAAACTCACGCCCTTCCCCATGTCTCGCAGATGTATATCCTCATTAACTTTCCCCTTTTTGATTTGTTTCTGAGCTCTATGAGGAGAGGGCCCCTACCTGCAAGCCCTATCCTCATAGAGCTCAGAAACAAATCAAAATGCTAAGCTGAGTGACTAATATCTGAGACTGACAACAAGCTATTTTCCTATATGGCAAATGCACCTGACAGCAGTAACTTAACCATACCCTGAGAATGACCCTGTATGGCAGACACATCTGACAGCAATAACTTCAGCATACTCTGAAGATGACCCTATGTTCTAAAAATAATGTGTGTTCAGAGTTCTGGGCTAAAAATCTGAGAGTGGCATATCTGAATCCCTGACCCATCCCACGTAATGTGGGCCATGCAGGGGATCAAGGCCCTTTGTTTTGGGTTAAGTGAAAGTTTCTGGGTGGAGTTTGCTAAGGGGATAGTACTATATGAAAATGCTATTAAGAACTGCATGCTTTTTATAAATGGTAGCAGTTCTCTTGCCCAGCCTGCTGCCAATGGACTGCCCTATATGTAAGTCCCTCAATAAACAGTTTGTCTTTTTCACTGGCTCCAGATCTCTTCTTTGGCTTCTCTAATATGGTAAGTCAATAGGGGTCTGACACACATTCTACATTTAGATTTTGACCCAGACTCTGTAACAAAACATACCTTTTCTTTTCTGCTTGTTATGAATGGAATTGCATCCCCTCAAAAAGACATGCCAAAGTTTCAATCCCCATTATCTTAGAATATGACCTTATCTGGAAATAAGGTTGTCACCAATATAACTATTTAAGGTAAGATTGCATTGAAATGGAGTAATCTATTAATCCAATATGACTGCTATTCTTATAAGGAGATGACATGAAGACAAAGAAAGAACTTACTATGTGAAGAGGCAGAAAGACACAGGGAGACCATCATGTCATGAAGGAGAGAAGCAGAGATAGGAGTAATAAAAGTTGTCAGAGCTCAGTAACTGAGACCCTAAAATACAGTACTTTGACATGCTGAACTGAAGAAGAGGCTTCAAGGTCTGTCTGACCTTCCCCACCTCCGCCCTCCTGTCTCTCAATCCTCTATCTCTCCCAAAGCACAGGATGGAGTTTTCTCTGAAGTTCTCTTATCTGCCTAAAGTCCAGATCTACCGAAGAAGAAAACCTCTGTCCTTATCCTGGGTTTTAAACAATTGAACGCATATTGCAGAAAGAAAGACTGAAGCTGTCAACATACCTGGGCTGACTTTTGTCACAAATCAGTGTCTGCTCTGCACATCCAACAGACTTTGTTCCAGGCCATTATATGTTCTTCCCCTAAAGAATTATAAGATGTTCAATCTGGCCATGAAAAAAAACCCGGCTTTCTCACTTTTTAGCTCTGGCAGAGAGTCTCTCCAAGTAGGTATTTTAGAGGAATTCATATTTATGAATTCCCCTAAAAATCATTTACTGCCCCCTAAAACCATCCACACTTCCCATCTCTCTTTCCCCTAAAATGTAGTGTATACAAGCAACTGTAACCCATGGTTTGGTGGAGTTGTCACTCTGTGATTCCCCCCACCCACCTCGGGCACACTAATAAATAATTATGCTTATATCCTATTAATATGCCATTTGTCAGTTGATTTTTGGTGAGCCTACAGAAGACAAAGGAAAGTTTTCTTTTGGCCCCTACGAGCTGCAAGCCAAGGAGTGCCAAGGATTTCTGGCCACCATCAGAAATGAGCAAGAGGCAAGGAAAGATTCTACCCAAAGTTACAGAGGAAGCATGGCCCTGATTACACCTTGATTTTGAACTTCTAGCCTCTAGAACTGTGAAAGAATAAATGTGTATTTCTAAGGCATCCAGCTTGTGGTACTTTGGTAGAGCAGCGCTAGGAATCCAATATGCTGCTTAAAATGCTTAAGCAAACTTACTCTTCCAGTCCACACCCAAGACTTGATCAAATACTACCAGAAATGTCTGAACCCTATTTGAGCCCAATCTGGATTCATGTAAAAGCAAAAAGAAAAGCTGCCTGACTTTGCCTAGTGGATGTCAGGAAAATTCATAGAGGAATTTATTTTTAATTTGCACCTTATATTTTGGTCAGATTTTGCCAACCAAGAGTACCTAGAAAGGGATTTAAGGCAGAGGAAATAGCATGTATATTTTTCCAATTTTTATGCCTGATAGTAATACATTTTAAAGGACTATATCAATAAACAGTTTTATTATTTTTTTCTTTTGCTTTCATAATTCTTATCTCTGTCTTTCATTTGGAAATAGAGACGATTTTTCATGTAAGAACTCTTGATCCGGTTGAATAACCACAGTTTAGATAATAGAACGTTAGACACCATAACACTCCATATAAAAGCACAGATTGATCGTGCATCTGACAGAGCCTGCAATGAAACCAAGTGGTAGTAAATTGTACACATCTGAAATATATACATAGATCTAAAACTAATAAAACTCAAAATACAAACAGATTCTGCATTTCCAGCAGAGATTATTTTTACTATTCTATTTTTTTGTTTTTTTTGGTTTTCAGAGCAAGTACATTCACTAGTATACATCAGTATATATTTTTCAATTTTATGCTGATATAACAAACCAAATCATACAAAAAAACTGCTTACACTATATCTATTGTAGTCCATAGGCTCCTGTCCTTGGGAATAAAAGATTATTGATTATTGATCTTTTCTCTATCATTTCTTAGTAGGAAAATAAACCAAGTAGAGATTTTTTCCATATACAGAGATCTTGTAAGTATAGGACATGAGGTTTATTGTAGGTGGATTGATAACGTTTCTTTGTGGAAATATCTAAGGCCATACTAACTTTGGAGTTATGCTGGTTTAATATGATCTTTCCAACATCATAGTTAGTGTCAGAACTTCTTTAGGATCCAGCTTTGACAATCCACAGATGAGTTATCCTATTATCTCTCTCAAAATCAGTCTATTCTGCCTTTCTATAGACTGACTTGATATATTTTAACAGTTATGGAATAATACCACATTTCAAATACAAACTGATTAGAAACATATCAGTGTAGATGTAGATATTTACATGGACAATAACTTTTGTTAATAAATGCAAAAGCTTTGAGTTTCACCTAGACCAGTTTACTAGCAATATTCTATAGAATTTGGGATTCCTCAGAGGATCTGAAATGGTTCCCTAAACACATTTCAATTAGGTAATAAAAGTGTACCTATAGCATAGTTCGAATTAAGATATCACAACGTATTAGGAGAAGCACTTATTATGGACTGGGGAGAGCTATTTAAATGTGTGCTGCTAATACTGTAAAACCTAGATAAGACGAGCAGGTGACTATAAAAATCAGTAACACTGATACTACAGTTCAAGGAGATTACAAAAATCTCCACCTACCTTTCTTGATTGATCAGCTCAAAAACAGAGATTGTATGACATTTTTATAATTCTGGATATTTGATGAATCTTCTCATTTTGCTAATTTTTTATAACGTGTTCAAGGAGATGAGTATAACAAAGAATGTTATCTATAAAACACTGTAATATATTTTATAAATATATGTATAAAAATAACACACTGATAATTGAGCCATTTGTAAAAAATCGCATAACTTCACAAAAACGAAGCTACAGCAGAAGTAAATGAAGGACTTAGATTCCTGTAAAAGCTATTGCTGAAACGTACTCAGTTTCTCTAAATGTTGCATAGCACATAGAGTAACAATTAAGAACATGCCGGCCAGGTGGGGTGGCCCACGCCTGTAATCCCAGCACTTTGGGAGGCCGAGGCGGGTGGATCACGAGGTCAGGAGATCGAGACCATCCTGGCTAACACGGTGAAACCCGGTCTCTACTAAATACACAAAAAATTAGCCGGGCGTAGTGGCGGGCGCCTATATTCCCAGCTACTCGGGAGGCTGAGGCAGGAAAATGGCGTGAACCCCGGGGGCGGAGCTTGCAGTGAGCCGAGATCGCGCCACTGCACTCCGGCCTGGGCAACGGAGCGAGACTTCATCTCAAAAAAAAAAAAAAAAAGAACATGCCAACATCTTTCAAAAGTAACCATTTTATGAAGACATTTTCCATTCTTTACAAGGATATGCTTTTCAATGACATCATTCATTGGCTATTCTGAAGAAAGATGCTACCAAGGCTATTTAAAACAAAACAAAACAAATTCTTTTTTTGATAAACTCCAATAGCTAAATATCTTTGAACAATCACATGGCTACAGTAGCTAGCATATTGCTGTAATTGCACTAATGGAAAGAACATGATAACGCAGGATTTGAAATGTTTTTGTGCTTACAACTGAAGATAAAATGCCAGCAATAAAATTAAAAGTTAAATATGGGACTCAATAGCCAAAACTAAATAAATATGCCTACTTGGAGAGACTATCTGCCAGAGGTAAAAAATGAGAAAGCTGGGGGTTTTTTTAATGGCCAGATAAAACATCTTATAATGGTATAAGACCTTTTATTAGTTTCTGTCAAACAATGAAGACTTAAACTTGTTGAGGAACAAGTTGTTATTACCTTCTAGTTTTATGTCTGACCCACTAAGAAATCACCAAATAATTGGATATGTTAATGTTCAAGTTCAAAACAATTATTTCCTTATATTCCTTACACTCCTTGCCCTCCTCCAAGTTTGCACAGCAGCTTGAGAACTTACTTTTTGTTATTATTTTCTGTAGCCACTTAGCTAGATGAAACAGGATATTCTTGATTTGAGGCTTTTTTAAAATCATACATAATTTTATTAAAAACTAGTTAATTAGAAAACAAAATTATTTACATGATATTTTACTTTTGATGCAAAACAAAAACACACAACTTCCCTAGACAGAAGAATAGTCATATGCATATTAAAGGAATACAGTGTATCACAATGCTAAGAAACGTCTTTGAGTTGAAAGTAAATGAAATTTAAGAAATTCTATATAAATTGCTGTAGTTTCCAAATTCCTTGAAATAAAACTTTACTATTTTTTCAGCCTTATAAGGTATAACTGACAAATAAAATTGTATACATTTCTGGTGTGCAATGTGATGTTTTGATATATGTAAATGTTTTGAAATGATCAAGTTAAGCTATTAGCATAGCTATGCTTTCAAGACAAACACATATACCCATTCACTCACACATTCACACAGAAAGCAGTTTAAATGTTCAAGTTACTATAAACTTAATGTGTGCCACTGAGGAATTTGAATTCCTCAAAAAAGTCATATTGTTTTCATTGGTTGGTAGGTACGTTTGATAAATTTAGGCTCATAAAATTTATTTATAGTTATAAAGTACCTTCAAAGGTAAATAACAAGATAGATGCTGTATATATTCAACTTCAAAATAATAGCATTATTATTTAACTATTTACTCTGGGCCAGCAAAATAGTACTCCAATCTTCTCCAGAAAATGATTATTTGGGTACTCTTTTAAAAATATCTTCAGAAAAGCAAACATCTGACAAATGATTCCTAGTTATTCCCAAATCAAAATTCAAAAGTTTCTAATGTCTACCATACATTTATCTTGTTCTTTAGCTCTATACTTTTTGCCTCAATCTTTAATGGAACTGAAAAACCACTTCATAGAATAGACTACAGAAAGAAATTATGTCACTTTTCTAAGCTTTATCTTCTTAAGGCTAGACAAAGTAAATCCCCTTTAATTTCAATTATAGGGGTTATTTTACAATAAATAGTTCTACAGTGAATAAGGGAAATCAAAATCTTTTGTCACCAATGACCTTTGGTAGAAGAGCTGGTCCAGCTCTGAAAATTAAACAGAAGCCTAGCGTCCTCACACCTGGCCTGATCAGCAGAGATAAGCATGATGGCCTGTTATCTTTATAAACTTGATGAAAGGGAAGGGACTGTAGATTATTTTTACACTGCCCTATACAAGAAAGGGCAGAAAGACAGGACTGAAAATTGTGTTAGACTTAGTGTTTCCAGACCCATTAATTTTAAAAGTTGGGATTAGAAGGCATTTCCTTCAACTGCATCCCAAGAACATTGGACTTCATCTTTAAGGACATTTTAAAATTATCTTCAGAGCTTCTTCAAATATTTTTCTCTTAAGCACTTTAGAGAAACTCAAGAGGTCTACACCTCAAAGCTAATAGAACATCATACATATTTCTATTCTCTCATGTATGCAAAATTGGAGAAAAAAATTGTTTCCAAGCCTTTTTTACAAATATGATACCCTCCATGTAAATCAGATGCAGTAATTTTTTCTCTTAGGTTTTATGTTTCACTTTTTGCTCAGCTGTTAGTCAAGTCTAATTATTGTAGTTTCAAGGAACCTGTTTTTCATAACCTCTTCTTTTCCACTATTTGAACTTTTAAAGGTTTCTCTGGTTTTTTACATATTTTTTCCTTCTTTAATTTCTTTATATGGCTTTGATAAGCTCAATTAAAAGTCAGAGGTTTTAGCTGCTTATGCTTTCATTTACATTGTAGCAGATTTTCAAATTTCTGAGTAAAGATGATTTCTTAGTTTATATAATTAGTACAGATGCAGTGAGTTGAATTAAATCACTCCTAATCAATTTACATTTTTTGGTTGAAAACTCTCATATATAATCTAAGAACACATTGACATTTCATTTGTTGGAAACAGAGAACAGATTTTTCTCATCAATTTCAATTTTTTATTTTAATTACATAGCACATTCTCCCAACACACAGAGAAAAAATACTTTAAACTCATACGTGTATACATACATGTATGTAGAGGATTAGACAAGTATTGTAGTAAAATCTGATGCCGTTCTGAAAAATTATTTGAATAATCACCCTTCAACTTTAAAAAAATATTTTTAGACTATACAGCATTTCATATGCCTACCCACGTAATTTAACATGTTGACAATGAAAATAGATATCACCATTCATGTTATTATTCTACTTACTAGAATTAGTACGACCATGTTGTCCAACCCTGATCATTATGAAAAATAAAATAGATTGTTATTAATAGTGTGTTAAGACAACAGAAATGTATCCTAGAAGAAAGCTGGAAAATTTTAACTGGAGTAATAAATAAAATTGTAATCTTCCTAATGTAAATAAACAAAGTTAAATTTTACCAGCCTAATGTAAAAATATTTATAAATCCAGTTAGGTTTCAGGCATATATTGTTGGCCTTGATAACAGAACCCCAGTATTATTTACGCAAGGGGAGAGTAATGTGTTAAGGGAAAGAAGTCTCTTCTTCCAGCCTCAGGGAATGAACCATGCTTCCTTTTATACTGAGTATAATTTATCATCTAATACATCATCATCAAATAAAATTTACAATGTCATGATTTGTCATGACATTGTATGTGTATTATGTATATGTATATATATATGTTCTTTGTGTATATATATATATTATTTTTTCATATACTCTAGGGGTTGTTATCATTTGAAATACACATAATCTAGGTGTGAATAGTTAGAAGTTGAAAGATTCTATTCAGGTGCCAACATTTCAGAGTATCTACTGTAAGTGCTTCCACTACCGTTATCTCTAATTAATAGTAGTGGGTTGGGCTTTTCATCATTTCATGGAAAGGGTAGAAAAATCTAGTGATCCCAGTAGTCTGTTGTCCTTAGAACTTGAGACTTAGTCCTAACTTATGCTTAATAACTGTGTGAAAATATTTGTGGAAGATCTTCTCACCTGATCTGACTAGAAGGTTAGCAGAACCCTGCTATTACACAATGGTGAAACTGCCTCCATGGAACCCTGTCTTATGAAATGTTTTTGTCAAGTACTTACAAGAACAGAAACTGGGACTTCATTGAGTTACAGAATTGATTGTATGAGTATTTTCATTCCTGCTGGCTAATAAATGTTGAAGTATATGGCAAAATTTGGTCTAAGACGTGCTCTTATTGTAACACACCTTCTGTTAAAAAAAATGAAAAATTTATGTAGTAGTCCTCATGTATCTCTTTCTTTTTGAGGATATCCATATCTTCCAGAAAAAAAAATGTGAATGACACAAAATCAAGATCAAATCAGTAAAACTAAAACCACTACAGCTATTTAGAAGAGTGAATTTTATACATAGAATTGGTTAATTGGAAGAAGTTGAGAGACTACAAGGCAAAAAGGGAATAGGGAGGTTACAATGATAGAAAATTACAGGCCTCCAACAGCAGGTCTTGAATAAACAAGGGAAGAGTTTGGGTTATGAGAACCTAGATGCTGGGAAGAGAGCTGTTCTCAGACCTTGGAGAAGGGGGCAAGTTCCAGTTACTCTGAGGCTAGTCCGAAACTGTGGAAAACCACCTGAAAACTGAATCAATTGACTGTGGAGGGACCCATTGCCTGGGATGGTAACAGAAGGATACGTAAAAGGAAGTCACGTATCTCTTCTCTCTCCTAAGGTTTTCTGGTTTCCTCTAGTCTCAGGACCTAATAGGGGAGAAGCCAGACAAGCAGAAATGCTTGCAGAATCCCAGCCCAGCATCACAAAGCAAACTATAGAAGAATGGGATTGCAGCTATGAAGAGAAAATGGCTTTGGTCATCTTGCAACACATAGAAGTTCAATACAATTTTGGCAATGATTGTATTGGAGAAAGCCATGTAAACTGGTTTCGGCTAATGGAACCTATGAGAACATCAGCTTGGGGTTACTGGTCTTAAAAATTCTTTTGAATAATGTGCTTGTTTGCTTTCTAGTTTCACCACTTACCTATGAATTGTTTTAAAATAAACTGTTTTACCTGGGCGAAGCGGCTCATGACTGGTATCCCAGCACTTTTGGTGGCAGAGACAAGAGAATCGCTTGATGCCAGGTGTTTGAGACCAGCCTGGGCACCAGAGTAAGACTCCTATCACTACAAAAAAAAAATTTTTTTTTTAATTATCCAGGAGTGGTGGCACATGCCTATAGTCCTAGCTACTTGGGAGGCTGAAGTGGAAGGATCACCTGAGCCCAGGAGTTCAAAGTTACAGTAAGCTATGATCATGCCATTGCACTCCAGCCTGGGTGACAGAGCTAAATGCTGTTCCAAAAAAATAAAATAAAATATTACAATAAATTGTTTTAGAATGAATAATCCTGAAATGAACCCACATGATAGGGACAACTGAGTTTTTGGCTGCAGTGCAAAGGTACTATAGTAGAGAAAGGAGTCTTTTCAACAAATGGTACTGAAATAATCGAATATTCAGATACAAAAAGAAACATGGACTTTTATTTATGCCTCATATATATTTTAAAAATTCAAAATAGATCATAATAAAACCTAAAACCATAAAACTTCTAGAAGAAAATATAAGAGAAAGCCTTTGTGGTTTGGGTTTCTCAAATTATTTTTTTATATATCATACCAAAAGAGTAATTCCTAAAAGAACATATTGATAAATTAAACTTCATCAAAATCAAGAACTTCTGCTCCTTGAAAGACACAAGAGAATAAAAAGCCTAGAAATAAATATTTTTGCAGCTTACATCTGATAAAGGACTTGTATCCAGATTATGTAAAGAACTCTTAAAACACAATAAGAAATAAAGACATGCAAATTTTGAAAACAAGCAAAAGATTTGAACAGACATTTCACCAAAGAACATACAGGGATGGCAAGCAAACATATGAAGAGATGCTCCATGTCATCAATCACCAAAGACATGCAAATTAAAATCACAGTGAAACAATACTACACACCTATCAGAATGCCTAAGATAAAACAGACTGAACATACCAGGTGTTGGCAAAAATATGGAGGAACAAGAGTGCTCTCCTAGTGAAAGTGTAAAATGGTACAATCTCTTTGGAAAATAATTTGGTAGCTTCTTAAATAGTTAAGCATACATCTAGCATAGGTTTAACTGTTTCACTTGAAAAGAAAATACATGTTCATACAAAGACTTGTACAAGAAAGTCCATAGCAAGTTTACTTATAATAACTAAAACCTGGAAACAATGAAAATGTCTGCCAACAGGTACATGGATTAAAAAGATAATAGTATATCCATACAATGGAATATCACTCAGAAATAAAGAGATGTGCTATTGATACAACAATATGGATGATCTCAAAATGGTTATGCTGAGTGAAAGAAACTAGACCAAAAAAACTATATATACTGTATGATTTTATGTGTACAAAATGGTAGAAAAGGGAAACTAATATATACCAACAGAAAGCAGATCAGTAGTGACTTGGGAATAGAGCAATGTGAAGCAGACAGAGATGGAGAGGAAGAATTACAAAAGGGTAGAAAGAAACTTCTTGGAGTGATGGTTATCTTCACTGTCCTGATTTGGTTATGGTTTAACAGATATATTCATATGTCAAAACCTATCAGATTTATGTACAATTCATTGTATGTAAATTGTGCCTTAATCATGTTTTTCTAAACTGTTTTTATACTTTTGATCTTTATATAAAATCACATTGAAATAAATATCTTGTGGCTTGCTTCTTTCATTCTAGATTTTTTTTTGACATTAACCCTGTTGATTATTAGTGGCAGTTTATGTGTACAATGTATTAAAATATATTTATCAATTACACTGTTGATGAACATTTAGGCTCCTTCTAGTCTTTGTCCATGGTGGCAGTGCTGTTTTACACATTCATATGCTTGTCCCCTGGGGCATTTGGAAGTGTTTTCTTAGGGTAAGTTTCTAAAGCTAAAGGTAAGATTATTTGCATTTTCAATTTTTCTAGTGAATGCTAAACTATTTTCTAACATGATTATTCCAATTTACACCCTTACCAGTAGTGAATATTCTTTTAGCTCACAAATTGACCAACACACATATAATATAATCCGATTTTTAAATAGCTGTCTATCTGAAGTATACTATTGTCTTAGCTCACGCTACCATAACAAAATACCATAGTCTCAGTGGCTTAAACACAGAAATTTATTGTCTCAGAGTTATGTAAGCTGGGAGTTCAAGATCAGAGTGCCAGTATGGTCAGGTTCTGGTGAGGGCCTTCTTCCTGGCTTCTAGATGGCCACCATCTCGCTATATCTTCACCTGGCAAGGGTGTGCACTTACAAAAAGAAATTGCACTCTCTTTCTCTCATCATAAAGGCCACTAATCCCATCATAAAAGCCTCGCCCTCAAGACCTAATCTAACCCTAATTACCTCCCCAAGCCCCTATCTCCAAATATCATCATATTAGGGGTTAGAGCTTCAACATATGAATTTCAGGAGGACAAAAACATTCAGTTCATAACAGCCATGAAATCACACTATAGCTTTAATTACTAATGACCTAATTACTAAAGAAGTTGGATGTCTCTTAAGGACTTTTTTTTTTTCTTTTGCCTCTGCTGTAAAATGCTTGATCGTACCTTTTGTCAATTTTTTATTGAAATGTTTGTATTTTTCTTATTGACTCATTGTTATAACATATATATTTTTAATTTATTTCTTTGTTGGCTGTTTGTGTTACAAATATCTTTTAATTTGTGGCTTAAATCTTCACTCTCTTCATAACAATTTGATATGTAAAATATTTTAATACAGTCAAATTAATATTTTTTAAATATTTTTAAAATTTTTGACTTTTTAAAGAGTTATTTTCTTTCCTAAAATAAAGTCTTAAAAGTATTAATCTATATTCTTTTTCTAATTTTATAAATTAGCATTTAATCCAAAGGGAATCTGGGATTTTTTGTTTCTTGAATTGTTTAAATTAATAAATGGTCAACACAGTCTTTGGCCAACCATAGTAGTAACCATAGCAGAGTAAATGTTGGATGGTAGATTAGAAAGATGGAAAGACCCTTAATCATTGATAATTTAATTAAATATCTAAATAAACCTTGGAACCACCTATTTTCTGATTTCTTGCTATTTGAGATAATGTTTTTGCTGCCTGAGCCACTCTTTTTTGCAGCTTTAGTAAGGTATGATTAATAAATGTGAGATATATGTAATATATATATTTCATATACACTATGTATATGTAATGATAATGTGAGATATACGTAATATATATATTTCATATACACTATGAAATAATTACCACAATTAAGCTAGCTAATATATCAATCACCTCACATAGTTACCATAGTTGAACTCATAGTAACAGAGAATAGAATGGTGGTTACCAGGGACTGAATGTGGGGAAAAGGGGGAGCTATTGATTAGAGGGTTCAAACCTTTAGTTAAAAGATTATAAGTACTGGAAATGTAATATACAACATGGTGACTACAGTTAATAATATTGTCTTATATACTTCAAATTAGCAGAGGGTAGATCTCAAGTGTTCTCACCACACTCACACACACACACACACACACACAGACATTCACACACACACACACAATGGTAAGTGAGCCACTCATGTCTGAGTATTCTTTTACTTACTCTTAAACATTTACTATTTGATAAAAGGTATTACAACTACCTGGGCACGTTTTCCTAAGCAAGAGGCACATTTTCCTAAGTAAGATTGGGAAACAGAACAGAAAAATCAAGACAAGCTAGCACAACCCTGATCCAATTATTAGGTTGGTGCAACAGTAATTGCAGTTTTGCATTGTTAAAATTTGCCATTTGATATTGGAATACATTCTTAAATAAATATGGTTATGTTATTCATCATTTTAGGGTATATTTCTCACTTTTTTTGCTAATGACATTGCTTGCTATATATTTTATATTTATTTCAGACTATCGAAATGACATTAGACAAAAAGAAAATTTGAGGGATTTTCTTATTCGAGTTCAAAATGGATTGTAAAGCAGCAAAAACAACTCGAAACATCAACAACACATTTGGCCCAGGAGCTGCTAACGAATGTACAGTGCAGTGGTGGTTCAAGAAGTTTTGCAAAGGAGACTAGAGCCTTGAAGATGAGGAGCATGGTAGTCGGCCATCAGAAGTTGACAACAACCAATTGAGAGCAATCATCGAAACTGATCCTTTTACAACTACAGAAGTTCCTGGCTGGGCGCAGTGGCTCATGCCTGTAATCCCAGCACTTTGGGAGGCCTAGGCGGTGGATCACTTGAGGTCAGGAGTTTGAGACCAGACTGGCCAACATGGTGAAAATGGATTGTAAAGTAATCCATTAATAGAGACAGTGAAACCTCGTCTCTATTAAAAATACAAAAATTAGTTGGGTGTGGTGGTGGGCCCCTGCAATCCCAGCTACTCGGGAGGCTGAGGCAGGAGAATCCCTTGACCTCAGGAGGCAGAGGTTGCAGTGAGCTGAGATTGCACCACTGCACTCTGACCTGGCCAGCAGAGGGAGACTCTGTCTCAAAAAACAAACAAACAAAAAACAAAACAGAAGTTGTCGATGAACTCAATGTGAACCACTCTACGGCATTTGAAGCAAATTGGGAAGGTGAAAAAGCTTGATAATGGGTGCCTCATGAGCTGACTGAAAATCAGAAAAATTCTCGTTTTGAAGTGTTGTCTTTTATTCTATGCAACAACACTGAACCATTTCTCAATCAGATTGTGATGTGCGACAAAAAGTGGATTTTATACGACAACCGGCAATGACCAGGTCAGTGGTTGTACCAAGAAGCAGCTCCAAAGCACTTCCCAAAGCCAAACTGGCACCAAAAAAAGGTCACGGTCACTGTTTGGTGGTCTGCTGCCTGGCTGAGCTACTACAGCTTTCTGAATCCCGGCGAAGCCATTACATCTGAGAAGTATGTTCAGTAATTCAATGAGATGTACCAAAAAGCGAAACGTCTGCAGTCAACAGAAAGGGCCCAGTTCTTCTCTCCTACAATGCCTGACCACAAGTTGCACAACCAGTGTCTCAAAAGTTGAACAAATTGGGCCATGAAGTTTTGTCTCATCGGCCATATTCACCTAGCCTCTCGCCAACTGACTACCACTTCTTCAAGTGTATCAACATCTTTTTAAAGGAAAAACGCTTCTACAACCAGCAGGATGCAGAAAATGCTTTCCAAGAGTTCACTGAATCCTGAAGTGCAATTTTTGCACTACAAGAATAAACACATTTATTTCTCATTGGGAAAAATATGTTGATTATAATCGTTCCTATTTTGATTAATAAGATGTGTTTGAGCCTAGTTATAATGATTTAAAATTCACAGTCCAAAACTACAATTACATTTGCACCAATCTAGTTGGTGCAAAATAGTGGATTTGTCTTTAAAATATTAAAATATTAAAATCCACTAATAGTTTTCATCTTTGTACTGGAGTTGACATGATGCCTTTATTGTTACCTAATTGTACCAGTTACCCTCTCTCTTTTGAGGATCCTACTCAGGGTTATCAGTTTCTGTTGCAAAACAAGACACAGTTTCAGTATTGAAAACAGCCCTCTCTCTTGGCTTCTTGTTATTGATACTAAGAATCAGCAACCTCTTGAAACAGCTCTCCTGAAACAAGCTTGATGATAGTGGCTGGCAGGGCCTGAGAGAGATTTGATGTACTTTTAATAGTACACGTGGTGCCATTCTGAGAACACTGCACTTGACAGAACATTATTGCAACCAAAGGGCCATATTAATGTCTTATGAGGCTGTAAACTTGTTGAAAATACACCTGAATTCTCAGATGTAAGGACATGAAGATGTAAGTAAGCCTGGGGCAAGCGTTTAGCTTTGCAGTTTATTTTCTGCTTAACAACAATCGGGAAAAGAGTAGCAAACTCCTATTACTTATGATTCATGCAGCGATCCACTTATACCTCAGGTGGACAACTTAGGGAAGATGAAGCTGTTTGCATCATTATACCCAAGAGAGTGATTCTCAAGATCTGGACTATGAAGATTTGACAGTGTGAAGCACCAGACCATTTAGAAAAACCCATTACATGAAATTTGTTCCAATTAATATGAAAGCCTAGCATTTCCCCAAAAGCACCTCCTAGGGTAAGCAGTGAATGGATTGATATTTTGCAGATTCTGTTGATTAGGTTAACCAGAGCATAAGGCATTATGGCTCTCAGTCACCAATTATTATGCTTTATTGGTATAACAAAATCTCTCATTTTCCAGCAAAATGACCTCCTCAGTTTGACCTCTCACACCCCAAATCACTTTATATCTGTTCAGTTTCTTTTGTAGAATATGACCTCCAAATAGAATTAATTAGTTAGTAAAGATTGGTGGAAAAGTCCTATACAAAAGAGATACCCACTTCGGAAGTAAGGGTGCAGAGCAGAACACAAATGACAAAGGGAAGTCAGGAGACCACAGAACTGGGCCTGACAATGTCTGTAATGCACCCAGTGAATTTATGCCTAATTTTTCTCATCTGTTTCTTAATAGGAGAAGTTGAGCTAGATTGCCTTTATAAAAGTAGATATCTTCACCTCCTTATTTCTGGATTCTTCTAACACATATTTTATTCTGCCTTTGTCACTGCTCAGGACATTCCCTCTCATCATCACCTTTAACATCCTCCATTAAACAACCATCAGAATCCTATGCCTCTTAGAAAATTTCTTGGTTTTCTAAGAAACGTTGGAACTCATAACCTTGTAACAATTGAAAGTCTTAAGATGTTTGTTTATGTGTTTGCTTTTCTCAAATAATCAAGAAAAAGATGGAGCCTATGACTGGCTTCTAAAGTGAGAAATTGGTCACGAAGCATAACTTCACACCCATGTACACAATATTATGTTGGAGTAATGTGGTAGGAAGTGAGTGAGAGGAAGGGTTCTGTCAAGATTTCACAATAATGGAAACAAGGCAGCCATGGTCACATGGTATGGCAACCTGGAGATGTGCTACTTATAGCTCCTTACCAGAGAGAACTTTCAGGAGGACTGAGCACAGAGGGGTTTCAACACAGGACTTATTTAATGGGAAGTCTTTTCTCTAAAGAAAGTTCATTCATATCCTGTGAATATACCTGTGATAGTCATATACACCAAAGACTAATCAATGTGAATATCTGCCCTTATTGGTCTAAAGGCTTTATTCAGTCACAAAAGCATACTCAGACATGCATACAACAAAGTAGAAGTTTCAAAGAATCAATATCCGCCAAATCAGCAATAACAGACAAGGAGTTGGTGGATAAAAACTAGGTTTTTCACCCTGGGATGGGGTAAGGTAGGTAACTCAGTTGTATACCACTTTTCTCAGAGTTCCCTAGAGTGTATACATTGTAACTGCCCACAGTAATTGGCTTAATTGTATACACTTTATATTGACTCCCGCTTCTCCCTGTTTTACTTCCACACTCATCTACTAGTTTATCAAATAAACTACTTTCACTTGCATCCTTGTCTCAGGGTCAATTTTTAGGTAAACGCAAACCAAGACAACTGGCTTGGGTTTGTTATCGCAGGCAAGACTCTAAATAATGCAGAAAGTTTCCCTGAATCTTCATGCCTGTTCATCTTCCAGAGCCTCCTATGTAAACCTCAGCACTTGGTACTTACCTGACACAAAGTAGCAGTTCAATAAATATTTGTTGAACAAAAGAATGAATGAAGAACAAGAAGAAATAAATTATGAGAGAGGAAAGCTTCTCAACAGTGTCTTCTCAGCACAATGCCTGTATTAGTCAGGTTTCTCTAGAGGGACAGATTTTATATATACATATATATATATATATATATATACACACACACACACACACACTCATGACAACTATATATATAGTTATATATATATAATATATAGTTATATATATAATATATAGTTATATATATAATATATAGTTATATATATAATATATAGTTATATATATAATATATAGTTATATATATAATATATAGTTATATATATAATATATAGTTATATATATAATATATAGTTATATATAATATATAGTTATATATATAATATATAGTTATATATAATATATAGTTATATATATAATATATAGTTATATATAATATATAGTTATATATAATATATATAGTTATATATAATATATGGTTATATATAATATATAGTTACATATATATTATATATATAGTTATATATAATATATAGTTACATATATATTATATATATAGTTATATATAATATATAGTTACATATATATTATATATAGTTATATATAATATATAGTTATATATAATATATGTTATATATAATATATAGTTATATATAATATATGTTATATATAATATATAGTTATATATAATATATGTTATATATAATATATAGTTATATATAATATATGTTATATATAATATATAGTTATATATAATATATGTTATATATAATATATAGTTATATATAATATAGTTATATATAATATATGTTATATATAATATATAGTTATATATATAATATATAGTTATATATAATATATAGTTATATATAATATATAGTTATATATAATATATATAGTTATATATAACCATATATAGTTATATATGTAATATATAGTTATATATTATATATAAAACATATATAATATATAACTATATATAATATATATAGTTATATATATAATACATATAGTTATATATTATAGTTATATATAATATATATAACTATATATTATATATATAGTTATATATAATATATATAACTATATATTATATATATAGTTATATATATAAAATATATATAGTTGTCATAAGTGTATATATATATATAAACTCCCATATATATATATAAACTCCCATATATATATACACTCCTATATATATATATACACTCCTATATATATATATATACACTCCTATATATATATATATATATATACATATATATATATATATATATATATATATATATATATATATGGGAGTTTATTAAGGAGTATTAAACTCTCATGATCACAAGGTCCCACAATAGGCCATCTGTAAGCTGAGGCACAAGGAAGCCAGTCTGAGTCCCAAAGCTGAAGAACTTAAAGTCTGATGTTTGAGGGCAGGAAGCATCCAGCATGGGAGAAAGACGTAGGCTGGCAGGCTAAGCCAGTCTATCCTTTTCATGTTTTTCTGCCTGCTTTATATCCTGGCCTCACTGGCAGCTGATTAGATGGTGCCCACCCAGATTGAGGGTGGGTCTACCTTTCCAAGCCCACTGACTCAAATGTTAATCTCCTTTGGCAACACCCTCACAAACACACTCAGGATCAATACTTCGTATCCTTCAATCCAATCAAGTTGACACTCAGTATTGACCATCACAAATCTGCCCTTCTCAGCTTGAACCCATACACATCTCTTGAGATCATACACACTTTTCAAATAAAGCCAAGGTCATAATTACACCTAACATAATACAACTGTACTTTGTACAACCAGAAACACACCAATCCCTAACCCAAATACTCTTCCATAAAGTTAACAATACCTAAATGCTGATATAAAGTCAATAAATCTTCTGTCACATGATAAAGGAAAAAGGAAATAAAATGAAGATATTTTCTTAGTACAAGTGTATACATGCACAAATATGTTTTTAACAAAAGGAGAAGGAAATACTCTTGACAATTACAGTCCTCGTTTCTGCAGCTGGTCACGTAGTCATAGCTGGTATTGATGACTACCTTCTTCTACTACCCATTCTGTATTCCCTTCGCTTTCAGCAAGCACCTCAGCAGGTTGTGGTTTTTTTCCTGTGGAGTGACCCAAACCTTCATTCCTGAGGGGTGTGGGCCATTTGTAGTCCTGCCTGGATTGGGCTGTTGTAGTTTCCCATTGACCTTAATCACAGGGCATGGTAATACTAAAAGATGCCCTAATGGATCTCCTGTATTCCATTCATACTCTTCCTTACCTCCATGTGAAGTAGATTAATTTTTGATAGTCTGAGTCAGTCACCCCAGTCAACACTGTAACTCACTTCTTAGCCTGTTGACTTAAAGGCAGGAGAAGCCCAAAGTGTCCAGTTGGCAATATTAACTTCCAGTTTAATGGAATCGTTGTTGTGTCTCCTGGTGGCTGCATTCCTCCCTCTGGAACTAAGACCTCTAGGCCAGCAGAATGTAATGTCACAGGAAAAGAAAGCAAAAAAATTGTTAGTGGATCACTAGGGGTGATGGTGAGTGGTGCCACTTCCACTTCCACTCCTTGATTCCTGGACCCATGGATCCTGGCTATGGGAGAAATGGTACCATATATTGGATGCTGATTCAGAGTGTACATGGCCTTCTGGAGAATTTGCCCCAGCCCTGCAATGTATTGACAACTAGTTGGCATTGTAATTGTGACTTTAAAAGGCCATTCCACCATTCTATCAATCCAGCTGCTTCAGGATGATGGAGAACATGGTAAGACCTGTGAATTCCATGAGCATGAGCCCACTGCCACACTTCTTTAGCCATAAAGTGATTTCCTTGATCAGAGGCAATGCTGTTGGAATACCATGACAGTAGATAAGGCATTCCATGAGTCCATGAATGGTAGTTTTGGCAGAAGCATTTTGTGCAAGATGGGCAAACCAATATCTGGAATGTCTATTCCAGTGAGGAGAGACCTCTGCTGAGGTCATCTCTTGATGAGCATTCACGTGGGATACAAATACCTTCACAGTTTTTGACAACTCAGAGAGGTCCATCCAACATACCTCTTCCCCAGATTTTTTTGTCACTAATTTTCCAATCATGCTTCTTCCAAGTTCCTGACCATCCAGCCAAACCATTGTCTACAGCCCATGAATCAGTATATAATTGCACATCTGGCCATTTCTTCTTCCTTGAGAAGTGCATAATCAGGTGCGCTACTCAAAGTTCTGTCCACTGGGAAGATTTCCCTTTACCGCTGTCCCTCAGGGATTTCCTAAAAAGGGGCACTTAGTGAAACAGCTGTCCACTTTTGGGTGGTGCCTGGGTGTCATGCAGAACCATCTGTCAACCAGGTCCTAGTATTCTCTGCCTCTGTTGACTGATCATAGGGAATTCCCCATGAGGCCATCAGTGCAGCCTGAGGAGAAGG
Source organism: Homo sapiens (assembly GCF_000001405.40). Taxonomy (NCBI): domain Eukaryota; kingdom Metazoa; phylum Chordata; class Mammalia; order Primates; family Hominidae; genus Homo; species Homo sapiens. The sequence goes on from NC_000006.12 coordinate 77,593,670, forward strand.
CAGGGTGGCAGGAATGGAGACCTTGGGCATTTGAGCCACTTCCTCATGTAACTTACTTGTGCCTTCAGGACCTGCTCAAGCCAAATATACCACTTCCATTTGATGATGGATTGCTACTGTGCACGACCCACTTTATGGCTAGATGGGTTAGAAAGCACTCAGTTCATGATAGTCAGTTCAGGTCACATGGTGACTTGATGACAAACATTCAGCTTCTGCCAAAGTCCAGTAACAGGCCAAGAGCTGTCTCTCAAAAGGGGAGTAGTAATCTGCAGAAGAATGGCATGGTCTTGCTTCAAAATCCTAGAGGCCTCTATCTACTGTGATTCACCTATGAGGGCCTGTCAAAGGCTCCAAACAGCATCCCTATATGCCACTGAAACCTCAAGCACCACTGGATCTGCTGGGTCTTACAGCCCAAGTGGCAGAGCAGCTTTCACAGCAGTCTGGACCTGTTGCAGAGCCTTCTCCTGTTTTGGACCCCACTCAAAATTGGCAGCTTTTTGAGTTACTCAATAAATGGGCCAGAATAACACTCCCAAATGAGGAATGTGTTGCCTCCAAAATCCAAATAGGCCCACCAGGCATTGGGCCTTTTTCTTGGTTGTGGGAGGGGCTAAATGCAGGAACTTATCCTTCACCTTAAAAGGAACATCTCGACAGGCCACCATACCTTTGGACCTCTACAAATTTTACTGAAGTAGGAGGTCCCTGAATTTTAGTCAGATTTATTTCCCATCCTCTGACATGCAAATATCTCCCCAGTAAGTGCAGTGTGTTTGCTACTGCTTGCTCATTGGATCCAATTAGCATGATGTCATCAATGTAATGGACCAGTGTGATATTTTGTGAAAGCAAAAGCAATCAAGGTCTCTCAAATAAGATTATGACACAAAGCTGGGAAGTTGATATACCCCATCGTAGGACAGTAAAGGTTGGCCTTGTCAGTTGAAGGCAAATTGCTTCTGGTGGGCCTAATGGACAGGAATGGAGAAAAAGGCATTTGCCAAGTCAATGGCTGCATACCAGATACCAGGAGATGTGTTAGTTTGCTCAAGCAATGAAATCACATTTGGTACAGCAGCTGCAATTGGAGTCACTACTTGATTAAGCTTATGATAATCCACTGTCATTTTCCAAGATCTATCTGTCTTCTGCACAGGCCAAATGGGAGAATTGAACGGGGATGTGGTGGGAATCACCACCCCTGTGTCTTTCAAGATATTGATGGTGGCATTAATCTCTGCAATCCCTCCAGGAATGTGATATTGTTTTTGATTCACAATTTTTCTAGGTAGATGCAGCTCTAATGACTTCCATTTGGCCTTTTCCACCATAATAGCCCTCACCCTGCTAGTCAGGGAGTCAATGTGGGGGTTCTGCCAGATGCTAAGGATGTCAATGTCAGCTCAGAGCCAGTGTCCAGTAGTCCCCAAAATGTCTGATCTTTTCCTTTTCTCCAGTACACAGTTACCCTGGTAAAAGGCCAGAGGTCTCCTTAGGGAAGGATGGGAGAAAGATTAAGAGCATAAATTGTTGGTAGTATAGTAGGGTCCTTCCTCAAGGGGACCTGGCCTCACCTTCATTGAAGGGGTTTTGAGTCTGTAAACTGGCTCACCTCTGGAAATTGATTGAGGGGCAGGGATACTCTGTTTTTACAATTCAAATTAGTCTTTTGTCCATTCAACCTTGAAGTTTTCTGCTTATATAAATTAAGTAGGAATGCAGTAGGCTTCCTATCAATTTCACTTCTAGGAACACTGTGATAAATTAGCCAATGCCAGAATTCTACACTAGTCAGACTATTCTGATTGCTGCTTTGCCTCTGCTGGCCCATTAAGGTAGCTAGGCCCACCTTGCCTTTGATGGTTGAGTGTCACCACTTTGCTCCTACCACCTCGGGCTCCAATTATTCCTATTGTTTTAAAATTTTGTAGTTGAGCTACTGTGGTTCCCACTGTGAGATCTGACATACACAGAAGAGCAGTTAAAGGGCTCTTCAAAGATGCAGGTGCTGTCCTCACAAATCTATTTTGCAAGGCATTGCTCAAGGATATATCTTCTGGACCCTCATAGCTGGGATAAGTAGTTCTAAAGTGATTAATCCACTCCACCATCCCAATCTCCCTAAGCCTTTAGATTCCTTCCTCTACATTAAACCAAGGAAGATTAGGTATTTCCAGCTTCCTCACACTGTGCCATCTTCTAATCCATATTTCAGCTAACTAAGCAAATAAATTATTAGAACCTTTTTTAATTCCCCAAGCTGCAACATTAAATGCAGAATCCCTATTTAGGGGACCCAAATCAATAAATTCTGCCTGATCCAAATCTATGTTCTTTCCACCATTATCTCACATCATTAATATCCATTCCCATGCCTGTTCTCCAGATTTCTGCTTATATAAATTAGAATACTCAAGCAGTTCTTTTCGAGTGTAGTACACACCACCTCATGGGTCACACTCTCAACCTCACTTCTAGGGGCCTGCTGGGACTTTAGTCTAGTTATAGGTTTAGAAGCAAGCAGGGGTGTTGGGGATGGCTCCTGAGTAGAATCAACATTATCATGCCTGGCAACTGCCTCAGGGGAGGCCATAACTGTTGCCTCAGGCAGTGCAGGGTTTATCTACTCAGACAAAGGTGGAAAGGCTGATGTCAGCATGGGTTGGGAAGGGGATGTTGTCAGTAGTGGGGATGGGAAGCTGTTTCTTCTGGTAAAAACATTCATCAGAGTTTACAAGCTCAGTGTCCCCAGCTTCATCAGGGTCCTCCTACAAATCCATATTCCAAGTTGTAGGGTCCCATTCTTTTCCAATCAATGCCCTCACTTTAGCAGTAGACACCTGGAGAGGCTTTGCATGCACCTTTCATTGAAGGTCAGCTACTTGCAAGATAAGAGCTTGTGACTGTTTTTCCACAATTTCAGCTCTTTCTCTGCAGGAAGGAAGACTCTCACTCAGGGCAATTTTAGCAGATTCGAGTCTCAGTATCTGCTTCTGAAGCCGGGAGATAGAATTTCTGAGCCTATCATTTTCTTACATTGCTTTGTCCAGTGAACTTAGGAGCAACCAACCAATTTCGTTGTATTCCTTCGTTCTCCAGATATTGTCAAAGGTATTATGTATAAGAGTCACTAAACTCCTTGCCTCTCATGAGCGGTGAATCAGGAGTGATAAACGGATATATTTTGCACAACTCTCTAAACAGTTCATACCAAAGACTATAAGTGTTCTCTATACTATTAGAAGTACAGTCCTTAGCATTATGGGGCCTAATTATATTAAGCAGCCAACTCTAGAAACCCCAAAACCAATGAAAAAGCTCCATCCTTAATATTCTGTTCCTCTAGAACCACTCCTGGTACCAAAATCTGTATGTCAGCATTCTCTAGAAGGACAGAGCTAATAGGATAGATAAATAGATATAAAGGGAATTTATTAAGGAGTATTAAACTTACATGATCACAAGATCCCATAATAGGCCATCTGCAAGCTGTGGAGCAAAGAAGCCAGTCCAAGTCCCAAAGCTGAAGAACTTAGAGTCTGATGTTTGAGGGTAGGAAGCTTCCAGCATGGGAGAAGAATGTAGGCTGGGAAGCTAAGCCAGTCTATCCTTTTCATGTTTTTCTGCCTGTTTTATATCCTGGCCACGCTGACAACTAATTAGATTGTGCCCACCCAGATTAAGGGTGGGTCTGCTTTCCCAGTCCACTGACTCAAATGTTAATCTCCTTTGGCAACACCTTCACAGATATATCCAGGATCGATACTTTGCATCCTTCAATCCAATCAAGTCAGCACTCAGTATTAACCATCACAACACCCAACACATAATAAGATACTAAAAAAAAATCTATAGATGGAATTAATAGCTCAGTGAATTTGGTGATAACTAGCTGAGAAGTTAAAGTTGGAGATCTAAGGACTGGGTGTATTCTTTGAAGAACTGTATAAATAGAAAGGATAATTTTGCTATTGAATAAGGTGCCCTTTTTTAGCAAGACAACTATAGTTGAAGCATTTGAATTGAAGAAATATAAAATATAAACTCTAATAAAATAATTTTCTATAATTTCCTGGAAATGACGTGAATCAAAAATCAGGGAGATGTCTAAAGAAATCAATATGCAATACGAGTGTTGAAACTCACATCAAAATCAATCATTTAGACAACAGAGGCTAGGTTCAGATACAAAGTTGGAAAATTAACTAGAATTAGCTTCAAGAAGAATATGATGCACTTGAAATTTATTTAAAATTTTATTTTAAAATTAGTTTCACTGTAGTTATGTCACTTACTAATCATAGGCTTTTTCTTTAAAAATTAGTGTCTTGAATTTTTTGAGAGGTCATTTTTTTTTTAGTCATAAACTTTTTATTTCACCCCTTAAAAAGGGATTTAGAAGAATTATACAAATCACCTAATTTCCTTAACCAGCCCAAAGTATAATGAATCAAAGTCGTTTGCTTCTTAAAAGTTTCTACTGAAAATCCAAACATAAATATTTATAATTTTTTGTGGTTTTGTATTTTAGTAACCATCTAAAATTGAAATAATTCAAGCAGAATATATTTTGAATTTAAGTTAACTTTATATACACTTAAAATGTATTCACAGAATCAGATCCTTTAAAAAAGTTACAGTCAGATATATAACTATGAAATATATAAAAATATGCCTAGTGCTAGATTGCCAGAATCACATGAGAAGAACACACATTAAGTACTTTCTGTTTGTTTATTTTTACAAAGATTTCTTAATATAGAGATTTCATGTCATGAATCCTGGGGAAAGCCAGACATCAGTGACACTGACTGTTGACATGAGCCAAAATAAAATCAATCTGAAAAGATTGCTTACTGTTTATGCTTCGTCTGCCTATTTCAGACTCCAGAGTAAATCTTTGTTTTTGTCCAAGCTTTCTCATTTCCAATGAAAGCTTCTAATAGCTGTATATTTGATAAATGGCAATTGCAGACTTCCCCAATGCAATCCTCAATAACGTGAGCTATGTGTTTTGCAAGTGTTAATTCTCAAGAGGACTGAGCACAGAAAGAAACTAAATATCACTGTTATTTATTTTATGGCTTCAAAGGCATTGTTCTACCCATTTATGGAAATTTATCAGAAATTATTATATATTAAATATAAGTAATATATCTACTAAGATTTATCACTATTAAAATATAAGTAATAGAGTTGGTATGTTAGAAATGTGAAATTCTAAGAGAGATTTTTCAAAAAAGAAAGTCAGCTTTCCTGAATCAATCTATGTTCTAACCTTTTCCTGATATTGATAACCTAAATTCAATTGCACCATATAAGATGGAGACAAAAATGCATCAGCTTATTTCGTTTCTACTTCCCCACCCCTTAGCTATTTGTTTTATTTTCATTTTTAGTTAAAGTCTCATGTGGAAACAGTTTTTCCTGTAAGTTAACATTGCTGTTTGTCTTACAGCTTGCTCATCTACCACCTTCATTCCAGTATGAGACAGTAATCAAATTAGAATGTGGGGAAATGGCTCATAACTTATTGAGATAGCCTATAGAATAGTTCAATGAGGGTTTATATAACTCCAACCAGGTACCATTCCTTTTAGATTAAACAATCATTTAGATTTAAAAATGATGTTGGAAGAAAGTTTAAAATCGATTTTAACATCTTAATTCACAGATGAGAAACCTGAGGCTCATAAAGTTTAAAAAGATGAGACATAGGTCATATTGCAAGTTAGTGGCAAAGCACTCAGAACCCAACTCCTCTACCTTTTAACTCAAGAAATATTTTAATTATAAAATTATCCTAAATTTTCTGTTTGTTTTACATTTTGTATTGCATATTTTGGCTCCCATAACTACTATTATTTCCACAAAAATGATTTTACATAATATTTCATCCATAAAACTTTTATTTAATGCTGATACAAGACATCTTTATTCACAAATGTGATCAACAAATTTTGGGGGGCAACTTTTCTATGCCAAGCACTACCCTAAGTTCTGAAAATATAGAAGTTAACAAAACAATAAAAATCACCATCCTTATTGTAGCATACTATCTAAGTACTGGCAATTATATTGGTATAATTGCCAATACCACCTTAGTCAATGAAATTGTTTCTTTGGTTAGAATTATTTTAGACAAGGGGTTTATGTTGATTCTAAAAATACTCTCTGAATGACAAGAGCAGCAGTGGTTATTCCAGTTTCAAAATCAGAATTACTGTGCCCAGACAAGGGAATGTAGCAAGCAAGGATAGAATCAAGAGAGATACAACTTTCCATAATGCCAAGCTTATAGGAAGACAGAGCTCTAACTGACTTATATAAAAACAGATAAATACAACTGACATTTATTCAGTATCCATGTGACTGTTAGCCCTGACATCTTGTTTGCTATTTAGTTACAGGCACTTTGAACTATGTGAGCCACATAGTAGTTGCTCAATAAATACCCTGGAAATGAAAGAATGGATAATCTAAACCAGATATTGTTCTAGATTTCAGAGATATAGAGATGAATAAAATATGATCCCATCTTGTTAGACATTCATAATATCATTGTAAACATAATATTTATTAAATGTCTTCTATTGATCAAACACTGTGCTAGGTAGTACATTGGGAATAGAAAATAAATAAAATTTAATTCTCTCAGGGAACTTATCTAAGTTCTAGTAGAAATTGGATTGTTGCTATTTAGTAATAAATAGTTTGAATACTGAAGCTATGGACAGACACTACTTTGTACTGGGGAACAAAAAAAAATTGTCATCTTTCCTAAATGGAATTAGTACCTTATAAAGTAGAGTCCAGAGAGCTAGCTTCCCCTTTTCACCATGTGAGTACATGGCAAAAAGGCAATGTTGAAATGTTGAAGAACCAGAAAGTAAACCCTCACCAGACAACAAATCTGCTAGTACCTTGATCTTGGACTTTCCAGGCTCTAGGTCTGTGAAAACTAAATTGTGGTTATTTATAAGCTACCTACCTTAGGGCATTTTGTTATAGCAGCCTGAACAGACCAAGACACATCACATCACAATTTATTTCTTCTCCTCCTCCTTCTTCTCCTCCTCCTCCTCCTCCTTCTTCTTTTTCTTCTTCTTCTTCACCTTCGCCTTCTCCTTCTCCTTCTTCTCCTTCTCCTTCTCCTTTCTTCTTTTTTTGTTTGCCTGTGATGTTATCTATAAATTTTTTGTAGCTCTTCTCCTTTGAGGTATCTAATAAAATTCTCTTTCCTCTTCTCTCTCTGTTTTTCTTTGCTATACTGTCTTCCAAGGTGACCTTATTTAGTCTCATGGCTATAAATAGAATCTACATATCAACAACTCCAAAATGTTTCTCTCCAGCTCTGCATCTGCTAATCTCCCCAGAACTCCAAAATTAAAAACAAGTGCTTATTCTACATCTCTAATTGGATGCTTAGTCAGCATCACAAATTTAATGGGACCAAACAGAAACAGTGATTTTCCCCCTGCATTCAACCTACTCTACCTTAATCTTCCATTTCATGAAGGGATACCACCCTTCCTCAACCCTCCATTCCTGTTCCAACCTGATCTCTGATTACTCAGTCTTTCTCAATATTCATATTTAATCTCTAACCAAATGCTGTCACTCCACTCTCCAAAACATTTTCTGAATGTTTCCATCTCTCTCTATTTATTGCTACCATCATGGTCCAGTTCTCCATAATCTGCTCTCTAGACCACCACAATAGTTTTCCTCCCTGCTACAGTCTTCCTCACAAAGAGAAGTCAGAAAAATATTTTAAAAATAATAGTCCAATGACATCACTCACATACCTTCTTTAAAAGCAATCATTACTCCTAAAATTGAAATTAAAGCTCTGGCTTTCAAACCAATCTAGCTAGAGGCTAGAAAAGAATTTTCAACCCAGAATTTCATATCCCACCAAACTAAGCTTCATAAGTGAAGGAGAAATAAAATCCTTTACAGACAAACATATGCTGAGAGATTTTGTCACCACCAGGCCTGTCCTGCAAGAGCTCCTGAAGGAAGCACTAAACATGGAAAGGAACAACTGGTACCAGCCACTGCAAAAACATGCCAAATTGTAAAGACCATCGATGCTAGGAAGAAACTGTATCAACTAACGAGCAAAATAACCAGCTAACATTATAATGACAGGATCAAATTCACACATAACAATGTTAAGCTTCTTGAAAGAGAGGATGCAGAATCATCACCCCTGAGGTTCCAGCTATGTAATTAGCAGATTTTGAGATGAATCAATAAAGTAAAAACAGTTGATTCAAAATTTTTAAATTACCATAATAAGTATAGAGAAAGAAGACTAAAAGGATCCATATTGAAATACTTATTATAGTTTACTCAAGACGGAAGAACTGATTTATTTGTTTATTCAACAAATATTTGTAGGGCACTTATTAGTTTCAGGCATTGTTCAAGTTTCTAGGCATATGTAAGTGAACAAGTTGGAGAAAGTCTCCAAACTCCTACAATTACATTATGGTAATTGGAGACATTTTAAAAAGAAAGGAGAGAAATAGGGAGTAAAAAAAGAAGATACCAGATAGACTAAGTGCTATGACAAGAATTTAAGGGCTGTAATGTGATCGAGTGACTTTTTAAGTAATCTAGACGGGTTAATGGGTGCAGCACATCAACATGGCACATGTATACATATGTAACAAACCTGCATGTTGTACACATGTACCCTAGAACTTCAAGTATAATAAAAAATATATAAAAATAAAAATAAATAAGAGAAAAATAATAATACAATTATAGGACTAAGTAAATATGGCATTAAAAAACCTAACAAAATAAAAGAAGAGTTAAGAGGAGAGAGGATGCATAGTAGACACTACTGGATGCTGGACTGAGCTGCTTAAACTTCAGTGGTGGGCAGTAAGGAAGGCTCCCAATTATGTATTATTAAAAATAATACACAATTTTATTACGTATTATTAAAAATAATACACAATTTTATTACGTATTATTAAAAATAATACACAATTTTATTACGTATTATTAAAAATAATACACAATTTTATTACGTATTATTAAAAATAATACACAATTTTATTACGTATTATTAAAAATAATACACAATTTTATTACGTATTATTAAAAATAATACACAATTTTATTACGTATTATTAAAAATAATACACAATTTTATTACGTATTATTAAAAATGCACAATTTTATTACGTATTATTAAAAATGATGCACACTTTTATTACGTATTATTAAAAATAATGCACTTTTATTATGTAATATTAAAAATAATGCACTTTTATTACGTATTATTAAAAATAATGCACTTTTATTACATATTATTAAAAATAATGCACACTTTTATTACGTATTATTAAAAATAATGCACTTTTATTACGTAATATTAAAAATAATGCACACTTTTATTATGTATTATTAAAAATAATGCACTTTTATTACGTATTAAAAATAATGCACACTTGTATTACGTATTATTAAAAATAATGCACTTTTATTACGTATTATTAAAAATAATGCACACTTTTATTACGTATTATTAAAAATAATGCACACTTTTATTACGTATTATTAAAAATAATGCACACTTGTATTACGTATTATTAAAAATAATGCACACTTGTATTACGTATTATTAAAAATAATACACACTTGTATTACGTATTATTAAAAATAATGCACACTTGTATTACGTATTATTAAAAATAGTGCACACTTTTATTACGTATTATTAAAAATAGTGCACACTTTTATTACGTATTATTAAAAATAATACACACTTTTATTATGTATTATTAAAAATAATGCACACTTTTATTACGTATTATTAAAAATAATGCACACTTTTATTACGTATTATTAAAAATAGTACACACTTTTATTACGTATTATTAAAAATAATACACAATTTTATTACGTATTATTAAAAATAATACATAATTTTATTACGAATTGTTAAAAATAATACATAGTTTTATTATGTAGTAATTTTACATAATAAAATTGGTCATAAAAATTAATCTGGCATTAAAATGCAGAAGGACATGGAGGAGGAGATGTTGGATGCAGGGGGAAGAGTTGGGAACGTTTCTGTAAAGAGCCAAATATGAGACAATAAGGGCCTAGACCAGGATGGTGCTGATGTCAAGAAAAGGGACAACGGGAGGAAGTTCCTGAAATTGATGTCACTTTACATCGTTAATATTATCTGATTTTTTAAATTTATGACAATATTACAAAGGTTATGGATAGCGTTCTATTATTTTTATTTTCCTATCAATATGACAGTCAAAAAGCTTTAAGTGACAGCGACAACTGAAAGGCAAATTTAATGAGTAACGTAATTATTGAAAATCAAATTTCAATCCTTATTCTCCTGATAAGTCTACATGAAAAAATATGAATTTTCATATTTCATAATAGGACAGGTATAAAAAGCAAAATATCACAGTTCTTCCCATGAGTTATCTAAAATAAGACGAAAAACAGTCACAAAATTATTTACTGAATGTATTAAATTTGCCTCAAATAGACTCTGAAATTTATAAATTAATAAAATATAAAACATATAAACTTGTATGTATGTATTTCCTGCCCTGAAATATAGTTTAAAATGTGATCTAATGCTTGGGGAATTGAATACAAAGTATAGATTAGTTTTAACTCAACAAACTGTGTAGCAACTCTCCTTAATACTTGCTTTGTATCAGAATGTGAAAAATTCCAGAAAAAATGATTAGCATACACTATTGCTCTATAAAGTCTTTATTCTTATGAGTTTCTTATGAAATAAATTATCACTTGGCTTTAGCCTTCTATAGAACAATACTTACAACAGAATTAGAACTTAAACTGAGAACAGTTTGAGGTCCAGAATATGAGGAAAAGATGGCCATTCTACTTATCACCTTGATGAGTCTCACAAGTTTTACCCATACTTCGAAGATACATAAGCACCAAAAATGACATATCACATACATTGACCTTTTTAGTTGCACTATGTTTTTGCCCAACATAAGCCTGTCGAGATGATTGAGAAATGAGGCATTACCTTACATGGGGACAAAGAAGAGGGTCGCTTTGTTACAGGGAAGTCTAGATATTGTCAGTCTAAGTTTGAACAATCTTTAGGAAAGAAGAAAGACTCGAGTTTTGTATGTGGTTTAAGACTATATATTTTAAGAAATTATAAAAACCTTGGCTGAAATATGCAAAATGAAGAATGCCATTAATTTTTCAGGTATTGGTTTGTTTTCAGCTGGACCTAAAAAGAACTTAAACTATAGTCATAAACCATACAGTTTATATTTGGGGTACCAAGATGAGGAAGTACTGCAAAAAATTTGTCTACAAGCTACCAATTCTATAGCTGATCCCTCATGCATGAATTTTATACTGTATTGTTTAGGTAAAAAACAATCTTCATCCGTATGCTCCCATATTGTCCTGAGAAGAAAGTCTGATTTAAGTGGCCATCTACAAATTGCCAGAACCTATGTTAAACACCTTTACATATGTAATCTCAAATAATACTAGATATTCACTGGGAAAGCAAAACAGTCATGTAGGAAGTAAATATAGTCAGTTGGTTGTATTATACGACTTCAAGATGTATTTTTTTGCAGTACAAATTTTTTTCAGTACTTCCTCATATTGAATAAAACTTCAATGTGACAAAAATTACCACATATTTAGGAAACACATTTTTCATTTTATACACTTGCTTTGTTTTGAAATATTACTGATATCTATCTGTCCAGGACTATTTAAATCCCATTTTATTTAGAGACAGATTAAATATAACAGACGTTTTTACTTTCAGGATATTAGAATTTTAGAGCTCCAGAGATCCACAGAAATTATATGATCCAATGCTCTGATTGGAAAATGAGGTCCCTAGAAGTTAAGTGGCTTGCCCAAGGTCATCTAGCTGACTGGTAGCAAAGTCAGACTAAAATACTTCAATCTTGTAGGAACAAATTATTATATCATCAACTTCCTTTTTCTTTTTTAAAAATCAATATCAACTATGAATATGTAACCAAAGTAATTACTTAGCTTTTCTCTTAATAAATATGCATATATAAAATAAAATCATTTTCAGTTTTAAATGATCTGATATTCTAAAGGATGTATGTCTGAGTAATCACTAAAATTTGTGGACTCTTAAAACTTTGTTGATTATAAAAATAATTAACCTCTATAAAAATCTCTCAGAAAGTTCTGTATCAATAATACAACTTATGACATAAGTATTTGATTTTGTTTCCTAAGTACAATAAAAATAACTTTAACATTTACTTAAAAATATATGTATTTACTCTTCATACATCCTAGCAAAATGAAACGAGAGCCTGATAATATGTAAAGAAAAAGGTATTGCTTTTTCTTTTTCTCTATGGCTTTCAAGACTTTCGAAACAGGGTAGTAGAAAATGTCCATGATCTGGAGGGATGAACTTCTGGCTTTGTTAGAACTCCTAGTTTCCTTCTCATTGTAATGTTTTCGGTCAAATTAAAGTAGTACTTTTTTATATATGTGAGAAATCTACACAGACATGTAAAGATTAGTAGAGTGGTGGACTTCAATCTCAGAAAAAGAAAAAGAGCTATTTTAAAAAAGAAAGAATATAACGATTTACTTAAAAGAAGATAACTTGCTGCTGCAAGCAACCTAAAGCCAGTGGTCTCTGTAAATTTCATTTAGTCAGCCTGTAGAAGACCGCTGCATACCTGTAATCACTATATAATGCAACCAACCCACCATGTTTACTTCCTACATGACTCTGTTTTGCTCTCCCAGTGAATGCCTAGTATTCTTTGAGATTATATATGTAAAGGTGTTTAACATAGGTTCTGGCAATTTGTAGGTGGCCAATTAAATCAGACTTTCTTCTCAGGACAAAATGGGAGACATAAAGATTGCTTTTTACCTAAACAGCACAAAATAAAAATTATAGAAATACTCTCTAGACCATAAAATTGAAAGCCATGACTTACATAATCTAGAAAGTTTCAGAGTGAAGGAAGCTCAAATAACTGGGCTAACATCCATTTTTCCCTCCTGAAGTGCTGGTAATCATTGGAAGAGGTGAAATCCATGTTTAACTCCACATTAAAAGTATACTAAATGATGTGGAAAGTCATTCCTATGAGAATTTCTCTCCCTCTCTTCTTGTTGCTGAACTAATATCACCCTATTTTCCCCGACAACTCCTGCCCATTGTATAGAAAATCTAGGTTTTCTCTCTCATCATTTTTCTTTTACTATTCTCTTTCCAATCCTTTTTTTAAAAAAATCTCTGCTCTTTCTAAATGTGAAGCAATGTTAAAGGAAAGTAGTGGACATATGATGGTTTTCACCTGCCCATTTCCCCTTGGTCTTCTTTGCAAACTATCTCTTTTCCACACTTAGTCCTTATCATTTAGGTTGGCATGACGCTATGCCCCATTCTTTCTAAAGTATCTTCTCCAGCCCCGACTGCAGGAATGGACATGCGGCACAAATTCACCCGTCAGCATATTTTATCTCTCTGGAAACAATGAAGAGGTCACTGATACATATGTGGCTTACCTCTGCTGAAATTATTGAGTGAAAGGGGCCCACACTTTGTTTTCATGGGGTGGAATTGTGGAAATGTCAGCATGGAGTTGCTAGTAGACGTGTCACAATAATGGAACAGCTTTTCTTCATGAGAGTGAAGCTACATGCAGGAAATCATAATTAAGGGAGGGGAGAAGAATATCAGTGACATAATTTGAGCACCTGGAACCCTGCGTTTATTTCAGTTATGTCAGAAAAGAGAAGTTGGTTTTGCTTTAACTTATTTGAATTGGGCCTCTGTTATTTGGAAAACAGTAAGCTTTGAGAACTACACTTTCCTTCTCTGAACTCTACCTTAAAAGCAATTTAGTTCTCCTGTTGGTAGAAAATTCAGAGCCATGTCATAGCCACTCCTTCAGGTAGGAATTAGTTGGTCAAGGGTATCTAACTTAAAACACATCTTATTTTAAATCTTGTGAGGGCAACAGTGTTTTGTACCAAAGTACAAAGAACATGTCTAATCACTGAGTAGCAAATGATACACGATTAATGATTTTCCTAGTCTAAACATGTTATATCATTATTTGGTCCGTATATTGATATCATCTAAATATGAACCTACAAATCAGTCACCTAACAAAACCCTAATTTAGTCTGACAAAGACCTGAGATGAAGTGGGTATATAAATCTAGTCAAATGGACTAATGGCACATAGGTTCTCCATATAGTATTCTAGAAATTGCTGAAGATAAAGAGGATGAAATATATTATAAGTCAGGTATTATAGTTATACTATTTATTCATTTCCATATTCAGTGCTAGGAGAAGATTTTGTGACTTGAAAAATCTGAGAAAAATTTATGCCCTAGACTATTCTGCTTAGGAGAATAAAGGATACAAAAAATATTGAACATACCCACAAAGTAAATATATAGTTATTTTGTGTTTGCTTGGAAAAAATGAAAAAAAAACTTATTCACGCAATAGAAATTGAAATTTTAATAAATTTTTTATTTCTCTGAAAATGAAAACCTGATTTTCTTGTTATTTTTTACACAAGAAATTTATAAAAGATATATTTAAGAGCAATGTGATACATAGTGTACCTAGAAAAAATAAATTTTTGTTTTGTTAGAGATATTGTTTATCTTTTTTAGGCACGAGCTTTTTAAAAACATCTGCAACAAAGACCACAGGATTCATGATTCTCTATCACTTTAAGGGAGTTCTCTCTCTCTCTCTCTCTGTCTCTCTCTCTCCTCTCTCTCTTTCTCTTTCTTTCTCTCAAGCCAACAGGAAGATTTATTTGTTGAACATGTACTCTGGGATAAAAATTAAACATCCTTTATATATGTATAGAAACTTACATAAAACATTACAAAAAGTATATATTTTGTATAATCTTCACCTCTTGGGAACTGAGAAATTGTATTGCCCTCAACTGGATTTTTCTCTGTTGTACACATGATAGTCATTGATGACTGTGGTCAAGTAGTTTCAGTGGCGTATAATAGAATGCATAGCATTCTGTTATGCACTCAGCAAATATTTATAGAAAACCTACTATATCCCAGGCACTGTTCTATACTATGGATACACAGCAGTGAACAATTAACTAAGTCCCTATCCTAAAGAAGCTTATGTGTTAGCTTCTTTCTAAGAAGCAAATAGCAATTATATAAAATCAGATAATAAGTGCTATGGAGAAACATAAAGCTAAACAAGAGATGTGATGGTTAATTTTACATGTTAACTTGCTTATGCCATGTTATCTAATTTTTGGTGAAACACCAGTCTAGATGAGGCTGTGAAGGTATTTTTTAGATGTGATTCACATTTAAGTCAGTAGATTTTGAGTAAAGCAGATGATTCTTCATATATGGGTATGCCTTATCCAATCAATTGATGGCCATAAGAGACAAAACTGAGATCCTCAAAAGAATTAATCTTGCCTCTAGACTGCATTTGGATTAATCACTGCAACAGTTCTGCTCTGGATCTTGCAGACTGCCAGCCTACCTTCCAGACTCAGACTTGCCCACCCCTACAATCACATGAGCTGATTCATTAAAATCTTTCCCAAGACAACAGAGGTGGGGGTTGAGGCGGGGGTGATCCTGTTGGTTCTGTTTCTCCAGAGAATGCTGACTAATAATACAAGAAGGATGGTAAAGGCAATGGTGAGGAAGAGATTGCTATCTTTTTTTTTTAATTATTATTACACTTTAAGTTTTAGGGTACATGTGCATAATGTGCAGATTAGTTACATATGTATACATGTGCCATGCTGGTGTGCTGCACCCATTAACTCGTCATTTAGCATTAGGCATATCTCCTAATGCTATCCCTCACCCCTACCCCCACCCCACAACAGTCCCCAGAGTGTGATGTTCCCCTTCCTGTGTCCATGTGTTCTCATTGTTCAATTCCCACCTATGAGTGAGAACATGCGGTGTTTGGTTTCTTACATAAGGTAGTGAAAAAAAACTGATGAACTTGTATTTGAGTAAAGGCCTGCAGGAAATGAGAGAGCTAGCCACAAAGTCATCTGAAGGAATTAGTCCAAAAAATGGGAACAGCTAGTGCACAGGCCTTGAGGCAGGAGCATATTCAGCATGATCAAGGAACAGCAAAGTAGCCAGTGTAGCTGAAGAGGAATAAATTAGGTAGAGAGAATGGTGTAAGATGAGGTCAAAGTGGTGAGGGAAGGGGCCAATCCTACAGGTCTTAAAATATAATGGCTTTTATTTTGAGGAAAATAGTAAGTTGCTAGTGGGGTTTTTCAGCAGAGAGGTAACATGGTCTGACTTCTGTGATTAAAGAATAAATCTGACCACATGGTGAGGGTAGAATCTAGGAGACAATTGCACTAAGTCAGGTAAGAGATAATGTTGTATTGCATTTGGATGGTATTAGTGGAGGTGGTGACAGGTATTAGTTTCTGGATAAATTCCGTAAAAGATGTAGTATGTAAGAGAAAGAGGTCAAAGTTTCTGAGCTGAATAATGGAGTAGGAATAGTGGACTGGCTACTGACTGAGATGAGTAACATTGGGGGACGAAAAGTAAGCATGAGTGGAGAGATCCACAATTTCTTTGGTCATGTTCAAGTTTTCGATGCTGATTTCTCATCAAAGGGGCCGTGTGGAGCAGGCAGCAGGAGGCTGTCTGGTTTGGGGGATAATAGTTTGTGAATAATTTGCTTAGAAACTTTAATTCTAGACCTGAGTGTTACTACCTCTTAGAGGGTATTTTGAAAAATTATGAGGGCATTTTGGTTGTCATTATGACTGGAGAGAGTTAGCTGGCATTTAAGGAGCAAAGGCCAAGGATTCTGGGATTCTCACAATGCACAGGGTAGTCCTGTACAACTGAATTTCCTTGAGTTTTACATTATCCTCGACTGTCCTACTGGAGTTAATTCCAGTAAGGTTAACAATTTGTTTTCTGATATATTGTAAAATTTTCAGGAATGTGACTGCTGTGCAAATCAACATTCCTTTGCACTTGTTTGGTTCTGAATTTTCAGAGTTTTTAGTTTCATAAAATCATATGACCAACAGCATTATCACTGCTGATGATATTTGAGATAACAACATACTACTTCCTAAATACTAGTCTGTCTTTACAGTTGTCCTATTCAGTTGCATAGCAGAGATAGTTGAGACTCTTTTTAAAAAACATACTTAGAAACAAATACTATTAAATTAATGAAGATACATGAAATTCAAGGATCTTATTAAATATTATTAGTAAATCTTAAAATATTTCATCTTGCTGCCAGTCTTTCTATTTTCTAATTTCATAGCACCATACTAAGACATCATGTTGTGAAATTACTTGTTGAAACTTTTTTAAATTTCTGCTTCTTTTTTCAAGTTATGTGGTATACTCAGTTGTCTATCAAAGAATGTCATTAAATTTTAGAGATATTTAATAGAATTCTAGGTAAAGATGTATTTTATGTGATAACATATATATAGCATGGAGAATTTTTTGCTTTTTTGAGATGGAGTCTTTCTCTATCACCCAGGCTGGCGTGCAGTGGCACAATCTCAGCTCACTGCAACCTCTGCCTCCCAGGTTCAATGGATACTCCTGCCTCAGCCTCCGGAGTAGCTGGGACTACAGGCTCACGCCACCACACCCTGCTAATTTTTGTATTTTTAGTAGAGAGAGGGTTTCACCATGTTGGCCAGGCTGGTCTCAAACTCCTGACCTCAAGTGATCCACCTGCTTCCCAAAATGCTGGGATTACAGGTGTGAGCCATCAGGGCTTTGAGATAACGCATGTAAATATACAGCAGCCCATTTGCTATAGTATCAGAGTTTTATATTTTATCATTTCTATCAATCATTTCAATAGTCTACAGTTTGAATTGGAACATTATTCTTACTTCAATCAAAGTTATTTTTCTCTCTCCTTATCAGAGAAGAATACTGGTCTTTATAATGGTCTTCTTCTAACTGTAGTTTTTACTTTAATGTACATCAAAAACCTTTATTTGCTGGTACTTCTGGTAGAGAATAATTTCTGGTCTTTTTTCTCATCTTATAGCTAAAGTTCTTACAAATTATTGAAAGTTTCATTATGTATTTTAGCATAGTCAAGCCTGCGCATTTGCATAATAAAGTATGTATTATTTTTGTAGATGTATACTTTGTTTTCCTATACATTACAACGACAGCATTATATTGACTTTTATTATTTGGTAGGTTATATTATCTATAAGCTAAATTTTAGGGTGAAAATTTGGAGCCATTACCATATATTTGTTATAAAATGCAACATCATTTTTGATAAAAATAAAAACACTCAATCTAAGAAAAAAGTTGCTGTTCTAGTCAGGGTTCTCCAGAGAAACAGACCCAATAGGGCAAGTATATACATAGAGAGAAAACTATTTATTTATAGGAATTGGTTCATGTGATTTTGCAAGTTCAAAATATGCAGGCTGGGCAATCACGCTGGAGGTAAGAGAACGAATCCTGCATTCCGCAGTTCAAATCTGAAGGCTATCTGCAACAGAATTACTTTCTGTTTGGGCAAGTCAATCTTTTGCTCAATTCAGGCCTTTAGCTGATTGAATGAGGCCCACCCACATTAGAGAGGGCTATCTGCTTTATCCAACATTCACCAATTTAAATCTCATCCAAAAATGTCATCACAGAAACATCCAAAATAATGTTTGACCAAATATCTGAGCACCATGACCCACCCAGGTTGACACATAAAATTAACCATCACAATAGCATAGGTTAGCTGCAGGGTAAGACGGACAATGATCCATAGGGCTTGATAAATAGGGCTCCACTGAACAAGTGTCTTCTATATAGAAGTGTTCAAACTGGTGAAATACCACCATTAGAGGAATAATTATGTTGAAGAAATTATTATAAAAATGAATAGAACATATAAAAGTAATACTGGAATTTTTAAGAAAGGACTTTGGTTCTGTTACCATAACATAGCAATTTTTTCAGTTGTAGATTTTCTTCATACATGTTTCAAATATTTTATATTTTGTCTTTGTAAATAAACAAATACTTATACATAGAATCAAAGATCTTTCTAAGGCACTCTAATCTTGTTTACTTCCATCCCCTCAAATATTCATATTTATCTTTTCAAAATATTCAATTTGAGATGGTTTTAAATTTCATGGGAATATGAAAATACAATAGAGATTCTTCTATAATTTAACTTTTAATTCACATAATTTTTAATTTACTTTAAATGATAAAAATTCTATATATTTATAATATAAAACATGATGTGTTGATGGATATATATATTGTGAAATGGCTAAATCAAGAAAATTAACATGCGTTACCTCACTAATACATTATTTTTGTGTGTGTTGAGAATACCTAAAATTTAATCTCTTAGCAATTTTCAAGTATATAACACATTGTTATTAACTAGATTCGCCATGTTGTAAATTGATATTTTAAACCTATTCCTCCTATCTAATTTAAACTTTCTATTCTTTTGACATCTCCACGATTCCCTCCAACCCCAAAGCAGCCCCTGGCAACCACCACTCTACCCTCTGCTTCTATGAGTTCCTCTGTTTTTAGATTCCACAAATAAATGAGATCATGAGGTATTTGTCTTTCTGTGTCTGACTTATTTCACTTAATATCATGTCCTCCAGGTTCATCCATGTTGTCACAAATGATAAGACTTGCTTCTTTTTTAATGCTGAATAGTATTCCATTGTGTATATATACCAAGTTTTCCTTATTCATTCACTAATGGATGCCATATCTTTTTTTTTAATTTTATTATTATTATACTTTAAGTTTTAGGGTACATGTGCACAACGTTCAGGTTTTTTACATATGTATACATGTGCCATGTTGGTGTGCTGCACCCATTAACTCGTCATTTAGCATTAGGTATATCTCCTAATGCTATCCCTCCCCCTTCCCTCCACCCCACAACAGTCCCCGGTGTGTGATGTTCTCCTTCCTGTGTTCATGTGTTCTCATTGTTCAATTCCTACCTATGAGTGAGAACATGCAGTGTTTGGTTTTTTGTCCTTGTGATAGTTTGCTGAGAATGACGGTTTCCAGCTTCATCCATGTCCCTACAAAGGACATGAACTCATCATTTTTTATGGCTGCATAGTATTCCATGGTATTATGTGCCACATTTTCTTAATCCAGTCTATCATTGTTGGACATTTGGGTTGGTTCCAAGTCTTTGCTATTGCGAATAACGCCGAAATAAATATATGTGTGCATGTGTCTTTATAGCAGCATGATTTATAATCCTTTTGGTATATACCCAGTAATGGGATGGCTGGGTCAAATGGTATTTCTAGTTCTAGATCCCTGAGGAATCGCCACACTGACTTCCACAATGGTTGAACTAATTTACAGTCTCACCAACAGTGTAAAAGTGTTCCTATTTCTCCACATCCTTTCCAGCCCCTGTTGTTTCCTGACTTTTTAATGATCGCCATTCTAACTGGTGTGAGATGGTATCTCATTGCAGTTTTGATTTGCATTTCTCTGATGGCCAGTGATGATGAGCATTTTTTCATGTGCCTTTTGGCTGCATCAATGTCTTCTTTTGAGAAGTATCTGTTCATATCCTTTGCCCACTTGTTGATGGGGTTGTTTGTTTTTTTCTCGTAAATTTGAGTTCACTGTAGATTCTGGATATTAGCCCTTTGTCAGATGAGTAGGTTGCAAAAATTTTCTCCCATTCTGTAGGTTGCCTGTTCACTCTGATGGTAGTTTCTTTTGCTGTGCAGAAGCTCTTTAGGTTAATTAGATCCCATGTGTCAATTTTGTTGCCATTGCTTTTGGTGTTTTAGACATGAAGTCCTTGCCCATGCCTATGTCCTGAATGGTATTGCCTAGGTTTTCTTCTAGGGTTTTTATGGTTTTAGGTCTAACATGTAAGTCTTTAATCCATCTTGAATTAATTTTTGTATAAGGTGTAAGAAAGGGATCCACTTTCAGCTTTCTACATGTGGCTAGCCAGTTTTCCCAGCACCATTTATTAAATAGGGAATCCTTTCCCCATTTCTTGTTTTTCTCAGGTTTGTCAAAGGTCAGATAGTTGTAGATATGCGGCGTTATTTCTGAGGGCTCTGTTCTGTTCCATTGATCTATATCTCTGTTGTGGTACCTGTACCGTGCTGTTTTGGTTACTGTAGCCTTGTAGTATAGTTTGAAGTCAGGTAGTGTGATGCCTCCAACTTTGTTCTTTTGGCTTAGGATTTACTTGGCAATGCGGGCTCTTTTTTGGTTCCATATGAACTTTAAAGTAGTTTTTTCCAATTCTGTGAAGAAAGTCATGGTAGCTTGATGGGGATGGCATTGAATCTATAAATTACCTTGGGCAGTATGGCCATTTTCATGATATTGATTCTTCCTACCCATGAGCATGGAACGTTCTTCCATCTGTTTGTATCCTCTTTTATTTCATTCAGCAGTGGTTTGTAGTTCTCCTTGAAGAGGTCCTTCACATCCCTTGTAAGTTGGATTCCTAGGTATTTTATTCTCTTTGAAGCAATTGTGAATGGGAGTTCACTCATGATTTGGCTCTCTGTCTGCTATTGGTGTATGAGAATGCTTGTGATTTTTGCACATTGATTTTGTATCCTGGGACTTTGCTGAAGTTGCCTATCAGCTTAAGGAGATTTTGGGCTGAGAGGATGGGGTTTTCTAGATATACAATCATGTCATCTGCAAACAAGGACAATTTGACTTCCTCTTTTCCTAATTGAACGCCCTTTATTTCCTTCTCCTGCCTAATTGCCCTGGCCAGAACTTCCAACACTACGTTGAATAAGAGTGGTGAGAGAGGGCATCCCTGTCTTGTGCCAGTTTTCAAAGGGAATGCTTCCAGTTTTTGTCCATTCAGTATGATATTGGCTGTGGGTTTGTCATAGATAGCTCTTATTATTTTGAGATACGTCCCATCGATACCTAATTTATTGAGAGTTTTTAGCATGAAGGGTTGTTGAATTTTGTCAAAGGCCTTTTCTGCATCTATTGAGATAATCATGTGGTTTTTGTCTTTGGTTCTGTTTATATGCTGGATTACGTTTAGTGATTTTTGTATGTTGAACCAGCCTTGGATGCCATATCTTGGTTGTTGTGAATAATGCTGCAGTGAACAGGGAAGTGCAGAGATCTCTTTGACATACTAAGTTCATTCATTTGGATATATACTCAGTAGTGGGCTTGGTGAATCATATGGTAAGTCTATTTTTGATTTTTGGGGGAGCCTCCAAACTGTTTTTCATAATGGCTATACTATTCCCTCCTGTAACAGTTTGAGAAGAATTGGTATTAATTCTTTTTTAAATGTTTAGTAGAACTCAGCAGAGAAGCCATGGGGTCCTGGGCTTTGAGCTTAGTTTGTTCTTTACCTAATTCCTTTGGTTTTTGTTTTTCTGGGAAAGTCTTTAGCTCTTCATTTCTGAAACACAGCTATTTCAGCTAAAGCATTCTTGGTTAACAGTTTTCTGGTTTTGTTTCTTCCTAAAGGACTTTGAATATACCATCCTACTCTCTCCTGGCCTGTGCGGTTTCTGCTGATAAATGAGATGATATTAAAATTCTGTCATGTGTGATATTCTTTTCTCTTGCTGTTTCAGGAGCCTATTTTTGTCTTTAATTTTTGACGGTTTGATATGTGCCTTGTTGTAGTCCTATTTGCATTGAATCTGATGAGAGACCTTTGACCTTCCTGTATCTAAATATTTATATCTATCCTCAGATTTTGGTAATTTTTAGCTATTTTTTTTAACTTAGCTTGCTTCCCCCTTTCTGTTTCTCTTTTTTTATTTAACTCCTATAATGCAAAAGTTAGCTCCCCTGATGGAGTTCCAGAAATTCTATGTTTTTCTTTCTTGCATTTGTTTCCTTTTTCTTCTTTGTGTATTTTCTTTATTTTATTTTATTTTATTTTATTATTATTATACTTTAAGTTTTAGGGTACATGTGCACAATGTGCAGGTTTGTTACATATGTATACATGTGCCATGTTGGTGTGCTGCACCCATTAACTCGTCATTTACATTAGGTATATCTCCTAATGCTATTGCAAGGACAAAAAACCAAACACTGCATGTTCTCACTCATAGATGGGAATTGAAGAATGAGAACACATGGACACAGGAAGGGGAACATCACACACCAGGGACTGTTGTGGGGTGGGGGGTAGGGGGAGGGGGAGGGATAGCATTAGGAGGTATATTTTCAAATAACACCTTTTTTGAGTTCACATATTCTCTTTAGCACTTGAACAATTCTGATGTTGATGTTTTCTGTTGCATTTTTCATTTTATTCATTGTATTCTTCAGCTGTAAATATTTTTGTTTTTTATTATTTCAAATTCTGTCAAATTTCTAATTTTGTTCATTTATTATTTTACTGATTTAATCAAATTGTTTCTCTATATTTTATTGATGTTTGTTGGGCTTCCTTTAAACAATTATTTTTAATTATTTGTCAGGCAGTCTAGAGATCTCCATTTCTTTGGTCTCAGCTACCAGGAAGTTATTATGTTCTGTGAATGCTGAAATGTGTTGTTGGTTTTTCATGTTTCTTGTTGCCTCATGTTGGTGTTGGCACATATGGTGGACCAGACTCCTTTTCCAAACTTTATAGGCTGGTATGGTGATGAAAAACCTTGCCCTGTGGGAGACTGAGTTGGTGTTGCCTGGGGGAGAGCATTGGTTCTGGCACCAGTTAGGGTACAGAACCATAGTTTCTGTGCAGCTCTATACACCTAGTTTGACATTAAAAATTTCAGGGATCCTCAATGATCACTTCGGTGGGTGTCACAGTGGCAGTGAGGTCTGTTAAGGCCTTTAGTGGTGATGGTTGCTAAGATTTTCCTGATCTCTTTTTATCCCACTGGAAAAAGTTGTGTCTGAGGGAATCCCTATTGTCACTAGGTTTGGTTTGTGGGTCCATTTGTGGTAGTGGTGGTACAAATGTCTTATGAGTTGCACCCATGGTGCAGCCACAGAGCTGAGGTCTAAAACATGGGCATGTACTTAGGGACTATAGCTCTGTAGTCTGGAGTGGTGATGGCACTAGTGCCTGGGGTGCAGGCATTCCTGCTTTTGGGTTGTTAATGATGTGTAAGATTTAGTGCTTGTGAAGCATCCAGGGAGCTGGAGATGGGAACAGGAGCATGTGCAGAGCTACAATGACTCTGGATTCAGGGTGTAGGGCCTAGCTCTCCACAACAGCTCAGCTGGTGACTGAAATTCAGGCCCCTATATGTTATGTGGTCTGGATGTGTCCCTCAAAATTCATGCCCTAAAAACTTATTTCTCAATGCAAGAGTGTTGGTAGGTGGGACTTTTTGGGAAGTGTATAGGTCATGAGGGTCTTGCTTTCATAAATGAATTAAGGCCACTATTAAAAGGGCTTATGAGAATCAGTTCATGCTTTTTGTCTTTCCACCTTCTGCCATGGGAGGATACAGCAAGAAGGCCCACACAAGATGCCAATGCCATGATTTTGGACTTTCCACCTCCTAGAACTATGAGAAAAAAAATCATATTCTGTAGAAATTACCCAGTCTATGTCATGTTGTTGTAGCTGCACAAATGGACTAAGACATAAAGAAAGACCTTGGTTTCAGGATCCACCGTGTAAGCTAGGGTAATAGCATAAATTTATTTTTATTATTTTTAGATGTTTAATAAGTTTTTAATAAATTGTTCTTAAGATCAAATTTTACTTTCAAGTATTATTTGGTGTACATCTAATAAGTTTTACTATGTTATTCAGGTATGAGTGTTCATAATTTTCTCTATAATTTTCTCATTAGCTATTTATAAGTGAAATTTATATAAAAAATTATATGAATAAATTTTACATATAAATTTTACATTTTATATGAAAAAATTGTAGTGAAAATCATTGTTAGACTGGATCAAAAAGAAAATAGAATGTCTGTTCAAAGATTACAATGCTTGTAGCTAGAATGGAGAAAATGACTCCTCTTTATATTAACGGCTATCTAGGTGAGGTTCCCATAAGGGGCTCTTAAACTCGTTAAGTCTTGTATCAGAAATAATGTTTAACCAGAGGAACAGCTGATATTATCAAACTCAAAGCTATATCCCAGTTTATGTTTGATACATTATCATCTTTCTTACTATGTACACAGGAAACTCTATCAAAATTGCAGGGTTTTCTTTAACTTAATATATAATTAATTGAGCCTATTCCTGTTCTCCCTCCATCCCATCCCCCACTCCCACCAATACTGGCTAATTGGGAATCCAGATGGAAAAAGGCATTAATTAAATATCTAATCTAATTGTAGCTTTTTTAGATTAAAAATTGTAAACAGTCTCTTCAGGCAGTGTTTAGTCTCTGTTAAATAAAGATTTTGTTTTTGTTTTTCAGAAAGCTTCTTTCCTCTTTCTTCTCATAATAATATCATGTGGTGTTTTTTAAATAATTATGCAAATTCTGAAATATTCTTCCCATCACTGAGATAAAGTTTATGTTACCTCTACTTGAACCTGGCTCAACTATTGTGGCTAAATAAATAGACAAATACAATTCAGGTCAAAGCAATGCTCTGTGACTTTTGGGGCTGGGTTTTAAAAGGTCAGGCAACTTGTCTGTTTACCTAAGCACATTTACTTTTAGCTGCCGTGTAACAAATGCAGTTACCCTGAGGCCATCATGGAAAGAGACCACATGAAGAAGAAGACTTCAAGATGACTTCGGCCACTCCTTATTATAACTGCATGAAATACTCCAAGTGAGAACTCCCTCAGTCCAGATTCTTGAGGAAAGCAAATAATTGTTATGGTTTAATTGATGTGGTTTATTTTGCAGTGAGAGATAACCAGAATAGATAGCATAGGGTTAACTGGAGGGACATGACAATTATGTGGCTTAAGTGTCTTGGAGCTGTTAGGGTGAAAGGTTGCCACTGTTGTGATGCTGTTCCTTTGGCATGTAATATCTGGAATTGCCTTCATTCTCCTCCTCCTTACACAGTATATATCCTCCCCCATCTCCCTTCATGTACCAAATACTTGGAGATGGAAAATTGGGATATGGAAGAATTGTATAATTTGGAACATTCTTTCTCAAGATATTAAGCTGGCCTGCAAGGCTACTTTTTTATTGGATAAAACTACTTTGAGTTACAGAAGCTATTACCTCTTTTTCATAGCAATCCTCCCGAACAAATTCTAATCTCTAACCACTTCCATCACCACTTCCCCAGCTCGAACAAAATGATTCCTGGGATAAACTGATAGGAGGTCATTACTCAGAAAGGGAAAAACACATTAAAGTTTTAAATTATATCTCTCCTTCCACAGGACTTATATTGTTGGGTCAGGGCAACCACCCTGTAATGACATTGGGGTTACTGCCAATCAATCACCAAGCTGGTGGAATAATAACCCAGTGCATGCCTCAAGTAGTGTCTACTTCTTCCTGCACAGCCACATCCTGGCTTTACTCCTGCCTCCACAGATCAGCAGCTTTATTTTAATTACAGCAGCAGGCAAAGTCAACTGCAGTCTTTTTCTGACTTCAAGAGTGTAAGAATACCAACCAACTCTGTTTTTCAGGAAGTAAAACTGACTTAGGCCCTCAGCTTTGCATGGGAATTTTAAAAATTTAAATTTAGGTATAAACACACCATAAAATGCACAGGTTTCAAGCCTACAGCTCAATAAATATTTACATATGTTAATACCCTGTAACCACTACCCAGATCTAGCTGTCACTCATTTCCAGCCACTAGGAGGCTCCCTCATATCCCTTCTCAGTCAATAGCTGCCACAAAGGTAAGCATTATTCTAATTTCTACTACAACTGCAGGTTAGTTTTGCCTGATCTGCTTCACATAAATGGAATCCTACTCTTTGGCTTCTTTAATTCAACATTATTTCTGAAATCTCTTCAGGCTGTTGCTTTGTAGCTGTATGGTATTCCATTGTATGAATATACCACAATTTATTGATCCATTTGAGTGTTGATAGATATTTTGGTCGCTTCCAGTTGGACTGGAAAGCTTTTTGTGATAAAATATGTGTACCATAAAATGTTCCACTTTAACTATTTTAAGTACAGTTCAGTGGCATTAAGTACATTCACATTGTAGTTAAACCATCATCACTATCCATCTCCAGAACTTTTTTATCCTCACAAACTGAAATTCTATACACATTAGGCAACAATTCCCTGTTTCCCCTTCCCACTAGCCCCTGGCAACTGCCATTTCACTTTATCTATATGAATTTGTCTATTTTACGTACCTTATGTAAGTGGAATCATGCAATATTTGCCTTTTTGTGACTGGCTTATTTAACTTAGCACCATGTCTTCAAGGTTCATTCACATTGTAACATATATTAGAATTTTCCTATTTTTAAGCATGAATAATACTCAATACATATGTATATACTGCATTTTGTTTATCTATTTATTGATGGACACTTGGGTTGCTTCTACCTTTTGGCTATTCTGAATAATGCTGCTATGAATATGGTTGTACAACTGTCTGTTGGAGTCCCCACTTGCAATTATTTTGTGCATATACCCATAAAGGTCATATAGTAATTTTATGTTTAATTTTTGAGGAACTACACCACTGTTTTCCATAGTGGCTATACTATTTTACAGTCCCACCAGCAATGCACAAAGATTCTGATTTCTTCACATCCTTGACATTTGTAATTTTTTGTTTATTTGTTGTTGATATATATATACATACATATATATATATATAAAATGGCCATGTAAATGGGTGTGAGGTGGTATCTTATTATAGTTTTAATTTGCATTACCCTAATTACCTCTGATGTTGAGCATCTTTTCATGTGTTTATTGGCCATTCCTATATCTTCTTTGAAGAAATATCTCCTCAGGTCTTTTGCCAATATTTTCATTGGGTTGTTTGTTTGTTGTTGTTGTTGTTGAGGCTGGAAACTTTTTACCTCTGTTTTTCTGCAAGGGTAGAATTCTTCTTTACCTTTGCTTGTTTTTGTACTTGATATGGTTTGGCTGTATCCCCACCCAAATCTCAAATTGTAGCCCCCATAATTCCCACGTGTTGTGGGAGGGACCCCGTGGCAGGTAATTGAATCATGAAGGCGAGTCTTTCCTGTGCTGTTCTTATAATAGTGAATAAGTCTGAGAGGTCTGATGGTTTTATAAAGGGGAGTTCTGCTGCACATGCTCTGTCTCTTGTCTGCTGCCAAGTAAGATGTGACTTTTCTCCTCCTTTGCCTTCCGCCATGATTGTGAGGCTTCCTCAGTCATGTGGAACTGCGAGTCCATTAAACCTCTTTTTCTTTATAAATTACCCAGTCTCGAGTATGTCTTTATCAGCAGCATGAAAACCAACTAATACAGTACCTATGAGAAAGCTGTGCATATACTTCTGTATGCTTCTTCTCATTTTTCATCTCTAAAAGTAGTTTTCTTATGTTAAACACAGAAATGCACTTTTGTGATTTCTTTTAATATGTTACAAATTATTGTTGCATGTTTAAAGTAGATGAACAGCTTCAGATTATATACTGACAAAAATGAGTTGAATCAGAGTTCTCTTTTTTCCCCCCTGCCACATATACTTCTTGAGGGCTTTGGGAAATAAATTTGTAATCATATAATTATTTAGGGTGCTCACTTTTAAAAATATTTGCATAACTAAAGGCCAAAGGAATAAACATTCAATACATGAAGGTGAATACTTTTAAATGAGCAACCTCTAATAGTTTCAGAGAAATCAGTAAATGAGACAGCATAATGCATCTAGCAGAGATGTCTAGATGGACAGGTGGGGAGTGGTCAGAGATAAAGCACACCTGTCTCCCGAATAGTCAAAGTATTGTACTATTTCACAGAGAACTAACGAGCTTAAGGTAGGGTTCATCAACCTTGATATTATTGATATTTTGGTTTATTGATATATCTTTGTTGTGAGGGGCTATTCTGTGTATTGTAGGAGGTTTAGCAACATCTCTAGTCTTGATCCACTAGTTTCCAGTAGCAACCTCACCCCTGCAAATCATAACAATCAAACAGTGTCTCTAGATATTGCCAGTGTGCCCCAGGGATTAAAATTTTGTCTTATTCAACTATTGCTTCAGTGCTGTGAGTGTTAGTTTAGAATGTGGTATATTACTTAGAATGATCCCTTGGTTTCCATGGCCAATATCATATCTCACTGGGGTCATAATGAAATGTAGGGTATATTGTATTTAAATCACACAGACCTGTGTTTGGATGCTAGATGGCACTGTAACTTTACTCAACCATGTTCCCCTTCAGTGCCTTTTTCCTTTAATTAATGAAAAAGGGAATAGTAATGGTCTGTGACCACTCTATAAACACCTGGTGAAAGTAAGTTCCAATCAATGGAAAGACCTAGAGAAAACATTTGAGCAAATCATATAGGATGTTCTTATCTAAAGGATATAGAAGGAAGTCAGTATGGTGAGGATACAAGGCAGATAAACATCATCCAGGGTAGAGCTTCACCCCAGAGGTAGGGTGGGAGACAAAGTGGAGTTGGTGGAATTGGTGGTAGGGTGCATATTTATGGTTGATCATACAGTGAGGAAGTGAGGTAGCATTAAAAATTCATGAGGCCTAAATGTTACCCAAGATGTGCAGCTTTACGTATATAAGACTAGGTCACCCTTCAAGTAGCCTTGCCTAAAAACACGCTGGCAACCCTTTTACTTGAGCCAGGTGCTCCCTGTTGATCACAGAATTATTTAATTTATGATATACAGTTAAGTTTAAATGAAATTCTTAGGATTTATTATCAGCCTCCCTAGACTAACAGAGCCAGGTGAAAGTAGATTCAAAAACCCCTAGGTGTGAATCCAGAATGATGAAAATGTACCCAGAAGTCTCTAGGAGTCCTGCTAACAGGCCTTAAACCAGTGTAGGGCCTATCCTGCAATTTTATTGCTGAGAGGTTTACTTTGAAGATTAAATGGAATTAAGAGAAACAATATAAGGAAAATTACTGATACACAGGGACTCATTGAAAAAGTGGTGTTTTAGTCAATTTTCTTTTGCTTATAACAGAATATCTAAAACTTGGTAATTTATAAATAAAAGAAATTTATTTCTTGCAATGATGCAGGCTGAGAAGTCTCATGTCAAGGGGTTGCATCTGGTGAGAGCCTTCTTGCTGGTGGGGATTCTCAGAAGAGTCCTGAGGTGGTGCAGTGTATCACTTGGTAAGGAGGCCTCTGTGCTAACACACTAGCCCAGGTCTCTCTTTGTCCTCCTTTAAAGCCACAAGTTTACCTCTCATTATAATCCCTTAATTCATTAATCCATGAATCCATTCATTCATGAATTGAATGGATTAATCAATTGATGAAGGCAGAGCCCTCATGATCTAATCACCCCTAAAGTCTCCGACCTTTCAATACTGCCACATTAGAGATTAAATTTCAACATGAGTTTTGGAGGGGAAAAATATTCAAACATTGTTATTAGCATCATTACTGTCATAACTGTATTGCTATTCTTAAGGTAGCACAGTGTAAACACTTAATATTGAGGACATTGGTAGAAACGGAGCCCAACTGACTTCTAGCTTTACTTACAGCAATGGGTTTATAGAAGATCGGAAATTAGGACTCCTGGTTGCCTCTAAATGAGTATATGCAATATATTATTTCTCTTTAACAGTCTTTTAGCATCCATCTAGGAAAGAAATAGTTGGAGTATAAGAAAATCTGGATAGATTTAAGTATCAAAGTAAGATTAAGACTAATAGAAAAGTCCTTTAAACTTTTTCAAAGATTTTAAAAATGCATGCACTCTGATAAGATTGGTGACTTCATTTTTTGCATATTCCTATGGCAACTAAATGTCTTAAAGTGGATTTTTGAAAATATTTTGGATAGAACTTGCTTGAGAAACTGAGAAAAAAATCAGTTTTTCTTGACTCAGCATTTTAGTTCTACAGTTTGTAAAACTCAAACGATAAATGTTGCATAAATAGTCACACTTCATTTAAAAATGATTAAAGCTATAGTTAAAAGTACTGCGTGTTTACTTTGCGTAAACCAAACTAATTAACAGGACATAATTTGTTCTCTAGTTAAAAGTACTGTGTGTTTACTTTGTGTAAACTCGGCTAATAAGCAGTAAGCGACTTGCAAATTTTCTCTAGAAGATGCTGATAAATGCTAAAGAAAACCATTTAACTTAATCTTCATATATCACTTGTAAATTTTAAGATTATCTTTATTACCTTTCTTTTCATACATTGGTCACAAACTAAAAATAACAAACTTATAAAATCAGGGGAAAACTAAGAAAATATGGTATTCCTTAATTCTATTGTGTTAATGAAGTATCTGAATATAAACTAATTTTGTTAAAGCATAGATAAGATTGATATGATTTGGCAATCTATTTCAAGAACATGGAAAGAAAACTTACGATTGTCATGAGGAAATTAATTATGAATTTGCATGTAATGAAATAAAGCAGAGATATGTGAAGTCACTGAATGTTACTTAATGGGTCCCAGGCCAACATAAGCCTATAGAAAAAAACAAGTCATGTGTTAGGAGAGTGAAAAAAGAGGTGAAGAAAGCTAAAAAAGAGATGAGGTAGAGTCCCTGCATTGGCTGTACACAGCCTGTCACTGCCTAAAGATAAGGTGTCTGGGCCCAATTTATCTGACATCTCTGTCCTCCTAGCTAAAAGCTGTTTTTAAGGCTATCGTATATTCTGTGTAATCGAGTGCATAATTTCTTTACTAATTCCCTTCACTTTAATTTCATGTTTATAAAACCAGTATTTCATTATAATCTAGTATTTGGGGCATTGAGAAAAAAGTGAGAATCATGCTAGTATGGGCATTTTAATTCTACAAAGAATTATAAATTAATAAATTGCCACTGTGATTTTAAGTTACTGGTTGTCAATAATTACAGAATAATAAATTTTCAGTCTTTAATAAATTTTATACACATTATATCTTATGAGTCTGAGTGACATAGATTTGCACCCAAAAGATGACCTTTCAGAGTCTGATACATCAAAGTTCTAATTCTGCTTAGCGGTGATCCAGCCTCTAATTTGTGGTGGATTCACCAAGGCCAATGCCATTTTGTAATGTCCCCAGCAGCCACCAGCTGGCTGCCCTAGATGACAACCACATCTCCAACTTCTTCATCAGTATATTGGCAATCTACATAAGAGCAATTTATTAAACCAGCAGGCATATTATTATTACCCTAAATTTTTTATTATCAATTGCAGTTTGGCCCCCAAGACTGCCAGATTCTCTTCCATGCTTCTCTAGTCAGCTTATTCTCCTAATCTGTATGGAAAATATTTCCCATCCTCTTCACTCCCCAGAAAAATCATGCCCTACCCCCATCAATTCACTTTCAGTGAAGATCTTCCCATTTATTTCCAGCAAAAACAGAAGACATCAACAATTTACTCTTTTATTTTCTCATCACTTAACCACAGATTTATTTGTACTAGAAAGTATTTCAGGGGAAGATACCTATTTTAATCTCAGAGGTGAAAGTCTTTCTACCAGGAATCAGGTTTATTATATATTCTCAGAATATATGATAAATTTCATCCCAATTTATATTCTTAGAGATTTTGTTTCATCAAGTGTCCTGTCTCCCCATCTCTGATAGTTGTAATGGGACTCTCCTATTTACATTAAAATTTGCTCTTTTTCAATTTAAAAATAATACAAATTAATAAACAAATGAATTAAGCAGCAAATCTATCTTTGCACCTCATAACACTGTCAAGCCACCATCCTGTTTCTTTTATTGCCCTCACAGCCATGCTTCTCTCCAAAGAGTTGACCTAATTTGCCATTCCTCTCTGCTTTCTCATCCTCCATTTATGCCTCAATGCTTTCTTTGGCAACATCTCCATTAAAGGACCATTTTATAAAGCAAGCTTGTCCAAACCACAGCCCATGGGCCACATGCAGCCCAGGATGGCTTCAAATGAGGCCCAATACAAATTTGTAGATGTTCTTAAAACATTATAAGATGTTTTTGCCTTTTTTTTTTTTTTAAGCTCATCAGGTATCGCTTGTGTTAGTGTATTTTATGTGTGGCCCAAAACAATTCTTCTTCCAATGTGGCCCAGGGAAGGCAAAAGGTTGGACACCCCTGTCCTAAAGTCATCACTGAATTTGATGTTGTTCTATTTAATGGAAACTATATTTTTCATTGTAAGAAATACATCACCTTTTAAACCACTGGCAAATCTCTTCTTAAGACATTTTTCCCTTTGCTCCTATGATGCTCCATCCTCTCACTCCTTGGCCCGTTTTCAGTCTCCTTTGGGAGTTTTTTCTTTTCCACTAATATTTGGAAGCAAATCAAGGGAATTGGGCTTAAAATCTGAATTATTTGACATAAATCATTACCATCAGCAACTGAATGGAAGTTAGGGCCATTCCTGAGATAAGAAACACTGAAGGAGGAATTCTCTTAGGAGTTGGGGGGAGAGCTCTTTGCAATGAATTCTGGGCATGTTTATTTTGAGATGCCTGTGAGATACCAAATGGAGAGGATCAATAGGCATGTGGGAAAAAGGATTAGAGTTCAGAAAATAGGAAGGCGATTGCCAGGTATAAACATTTTCTACTTGTAAATAATGTTTGAAAGCCTAAAGTGAACAATACCACCCAAGGAATGAGTGCATAGTAAAGAGATGCATAGTAAGTGCACTGGAGTGTGTAGTAAGATGGCCTGGTACCAAGGCCCGAGGAATTCCAAAATACAAGAGTTTGTACACGGTATTTAGAGCCTGGAAATTGATACAATAACCTAGGGAAAATGTAAAGATTATAAAGGCATGGAAGCCCAGGATCAGGTACTGGGCTCAGTAAACTTTAAAGGTTGAACAAAAAAAAGGAGGAACCAGCAAGGAGACTGACAGGAAGTGGCCAATGCTGTGTAAATACATCTTGAGATCATGGCTTCAAGGATAAGAGAAGAAAGTGTTCCATTTGCTGAAGGAAGGAAAGAAAGAAGAAAGGGAAGTAAGAGAAAAAGAAGGAAGAAAAGACAGAAGAGAGAGTGTGTTTTGCTTTGATTTGTGTCTCTCCTCAAAAAATATGTTGAAGTTAAAAATCCCTGGTAGAGTGGGAACAAATCCAATGATGTCCTTACAAGAGATGTCCTTGTAAGAAGAAATAAATTTAGACAGACAGTCACAGAGGGAAGATAGCCACATGAAAAAGAAGGCAGAAATTAAAGTGATGAAGGTGTTGCTAGTAACCATCGGAAACTAGTAAGAGGCAAGGTAAGATTCTTCCCTAGAGCCTAAAGAGGGATCCTGGCGCCGCCAACAACTTGATTAAACTTCTAGCCCCCCAGGACTGTGAGAAAATAAATTTCTGTTCTTTTAATCCATCACGTTTGTGGTAATTCTTGTGTCAGCATTACAAAACTAATATAGGTAGTGAGGAATCTTGAGGTATAATTAAGAGATTCTCAAGTTGACATTCATAATGAATCCACAATAATATAAAATTTCTCTGTTCCTCTTTGCAATTTTTTAATTTAATTTCTTGTATACAATTAGGTATCCTATGTTTTCTAATCACTGACATTTTCCCAAAGATTTTGAAATCTCTTACATTGTGTGAATTTTTTTTATTATGCTTTAAGTTCTGGGGTACATGTGCAGAACATGCAGTTTTGTTACATACGTATACACGTGGCATGGTGGTTTGCTACACTCATCAACCCATCACCTACATTAGGTATTTCTTCTAATGTTATCCCTCCCCTAGCCCCCCACCCCCCCCAGGCCCCAGTGTGTGATGTTCCCCTTCCTGTGTCCATGTGTTCTCATTGTTCAACTCCCACTTATGAGAGAGAACATGTGGTGTTTAGTTTTCTGTTCTTGTGATAGTTTGCTGAGAATGATGGTTTCCAGCTTCATCCATGTCCCTGCAAAGGACATGAACTCATCCTTTTTTATGGCTGCATAGTATTCCATGGTGTATATGCACCACATTTTCTTTATCCAGTCTATTATTGGTGAACATTTGGGCTGGTTCCAAGTATTTGCTATTGTGAATAGTACCGCAGTAAACATACGTGTGCGTGTGTCTTTATAGTAGAATGATTTATAATCCTTTGTATATACCCAGTAATGGGATTGCTGGATCAAACGGTATTGCTAGTTCCAGATCCTTGAGGAATCGCCACACTGTCTTCCACAATGGTTGAACTAGTTTACAGTCCCACCAACAGTGTAAAAGCGTTCCTATTTCTCCACATCCTCTCCAGCATCTGTTTTTTCCTGACTTTTTAACGATTGCCATTCTAACTGACATGAGATGGTATCTCATTGTGGTTTTGATTTGCATTTTTCTAATGACCAGTGGTGATGAGCATTTTTTCATACATCTGTTGGCTTCATAAATGTCTTCTTTTGAGAAGTGTTTGTTCATATACTTTGCCCACTTTTTGATGGGGTTGTTCGTTTTTTTCTTGTAAATGTGTTTAAGTTCTTTGTAGATTCTGGATATTAGCCCTTTGTCAGATGGATAGATTGCAAAAATTTTCTCCCTTTCTGTAGGTTGCCTGTTCACTCTGATGATAGTTTCTTCTGCTGTGCAGAAGTTCTTTAGTTTAATTAGATCCCATGTGTCAATTTTGGCTTTTGTTGCCATTGCTTTTGGTGTTTTAGACATGAAGTCTTTGCCCATGCCTATGTCCTTAATGGTATTGCCCAGGTTTTCTTCTAGGGTTTTTGTGATCCTAGGTCTTGTTTAAGTCTTTGATCCATCTTGAGTTAATTTTTGTATAAGGTGTAAGGAAGGGATCCAGTTTCAGTTTTCTGCATATGGCTAGCCAGTTTTCCCAACACCACTTATTAAATAGGAAATCTTTTCCCCAGTTCTTGTTTGTGCCAGGTTTGTCGAAGATCAGATGGTTGTAGATGTGTGGTGGTATTTCTGAGCCCTCTGTTCTGTTCCATTGGTCGAATTTTAAAGCAGAAATTCCTGCCTTGTTCTCTTGAAACAAGACTCACATTTCAAGGTATGCCATGGAAGAAACTCCAGGTAATGAGAGCATGAACAATTTCTGTATTCTCTGGGTACTAAACACGCTTTAGTTTCCATTTGCACATCATTCATGCCATGTTTCACGGACTTTATAAAGACCCATGCTGTCTGAAAGTACCCAAGAAGCATTAAAGTATAACATGATTTTATAGAAAATAACAATAATTATGGCTTTCTTTGATATCACCTGTCAATTTCCACAGTCAGGAGGAACTGAAATTATGTATAGTCACAGAAATGACTTGTTCTGAATATAATTACTAGTAAAAGATATGATTTACATTTTAAAAATTTACATCAAGAGCAATAGCCATTTTTAAAAGTAGTATGTATTTTTAATTATAAATCAAATGTGTGCCCATTAGATGCAATTGGGAAATCAAGACAAATACAGAGAAGAAAGTGATGATTATGCATAATTGCCACTGATAAAATAAGCTACCATTAACATTGGAGTGTGTTTCTAGTATTATCTACACGTGTAAATTTTAACATGACTTAGGTCATGTCATGCTGTATGTCTACTTTGTAGTCCTATTTTTCACTTAAAATATTTCATTCTAATAATTTTTTTCACGTAAAAAAAGATGTTTAAATCATCTTAAATTGTACAATAATAAGCTATGGTTTAGGAGATCTCATAATTTATTTAACCATTCTCTCTCTCTTTTTTTTTTTTGAGACAGCGTCTCCCTCTGTCGCCCAAGCTGGAGTGCAGTGGTGCAATCTTAGCTCACTGCAACCTCTGCCTCCTAGATTCAAGCAATTTTCCTGCCTCAGCCTTCCGAGTAGCTGGGATTACAGACATAAACCATCACCCCCGGCTATTTTTTGGTATTTTTAGTAGAGACAGTGTTTTGCCATGTTGGCCAGGCTGGTCTTGTACTCCTGACTTCAAGAGATCCACCTGCCTCCGCCTCCTAAAGTGCTGGGATTGCAGGCGTGAGCCTGCATTCTCTATTGTAGCACTTTCAAATTTTTATACATTCTTAAAAATGCCATTATGAGCATACATAGATATATTGGTGCTCACATATTTGCTTTTTTTAGATGTGGAATTATTGCACCTGTGATAATAATGATGAGTTGA
The DNA here is from genome assembly GCF_000001405.40 of Homo sapiens. Taxonomy (NCBI): domain Eukaryota; kingdom Metazoa; phylum Chordata; class Mammalia; order Primates; family Hominidae; genus Homo; species Homo sapiens. Next base: position 77,630,891 of record NC_000006.12, read on the forward strand.
AAGACAAGTATTCCAGCATTAAAAATGAAAAACAAAGATATGAATGAATAACTAGAATTTTAATTAAAAAAAGCAAATGCATGAGTCCTAAAGACTTGCAAAATTCAATATTGACCATTATCTCTAATTAAAAACTTTCTGCCCAAACAGCTGTCTACGGCCTCTCTTAGACCCAGTCAGAATGGCAACAAAGTGCCCTGGGATCCATGGCACTTTGCATTTCCTAAATTAGTGGAAGGTCACAGTATCCTGATGAGATACTGTGCATTAATTTAGAAATTTAGAAAATGCTCTTACAAATGGAATTTCTCAGGAGCATGCCATTAAAATGACAATTGAAAATGGCTCTCAGTTTTCTTACTTTCAGAGTAACCACTCTGGTGAGATGACTAAATAATTTGTGTGGAAGAAGCTATGGATATGTGGATATAATTAAACTGTGAACTTTCATGTCTATTGAGGTATGTTTTTAATTTATTCCCTGAGCAGATTGTTTTGCAAACCCATATTGGTTGTTCAATTTGAACAGGAATGAATGACCTTGGGCAAATCACTTCACGGTTAATTTCCTATGTGTAAAACAAGTAAGGCAATAATTTGGGGGACAGAGAGCCAATATGAAAAATGGAAAGTACAGATTTATTTTTAAAAAGTTATTATCAATGGCTCATGCTTGTAATTCCAATATTTTAGATGGCTGAAGTGGGAACATTGCCTGAGTCCAGGAGTTCAAGACCAGCCTGGGCAACATAGCAAGATCTCATTTCTAAAATTGAGATCAATCTATCTATCATCTATCTATCTATCTATCTATCTATCTATCTATCTATCTATCTAGTGAGAGAGACAGAGATCTCATATATATATTAATATGAATACTATTATATGAGATCTATATATATGAGATCTCTCTCTATATATATACATATTTTAAAAATAAAGTTGTAATTATTACCATTATAAACAAATAACTGATTCTAACCAATTGAATATTCAGTATCTCCAGTTCTTGCAAATTTTAGCTACTGTAATACTACATTCTAAATTGTGTTTTCTGATATTCCCCTCCCCAAATTCCTACATTAATGTTGAGAAAGAGCCAATAAAGTATCATTTTTACTTTAGAGTTCATAAAATCATATAAAAAAATCACTGAAGCAGTACTATGGCGATATTACATTCTAGACTTCTGTTAATAACTTGTGTGGAATATTGGAATATTCAACCAACATGACATATCAAATCCATAATCATTTCTGGAAGGTTTGTCAGAATATATTTTCCTATCAACCTAATAAAGTTGACCATTAAAGGCTAAATTCATAAAATACTATAGACCTGAGTTTCCATTTCCCTGTAAAAATATATTTTAGACAATTTTAGTGCTATGTTTTCAATCTGAAATGATGTAATATTTATCAGCTCTTTGAAAATTTTATTTAAGATGACAAGATTTAACACAAACTAGATGCCATAAGCAATAGCTTTCAATGAAAATTTTAACTGACACAACTTGATTGACTTAAATGTAAAGAATCTATACACTAGTACACAGGCATAATGTCTTCTCTCTTCAAAGAAAAATTTTATTGAACCAGAAAGTTTTTTTATTTTAATAGTAACTATTATATTTCTAGTACTTTTAAAGATGCTATTCTCCACAAGTTCTGTGTCGTTATAGAAAAGGCTTTAGAAACAAATTTAATAAATAATAACCCCAACTATTCTGATTTAAAATATTTGGACTAAATTCTGACACAATTTTAAAGTTATTTTTTAGTACCTTTGTGTTTTTTCTTAAAAATAAAAATAAATAACTTCTGTAGTTTTTGTCATCTCTACTATTCTCCCACTGTCTTCTTTCTCTGATACTCTTTAATCTGGTTTCTTATTTTTGACGGTGATTTTTCACTCTGAAGTTTTTAAAATGAATCTTTTAAACTGAAGCTTGTAATTTTCCATCATTTGACTTGCTTTAATCACAATTGTACATGGCCCACATTAATTTTCTCCTTATAGATTTGACCTGTTTTTCCTCAGCTATCATACGAACAAGGTGGCATTTCTGAATGTCCATGAATGGAAAAAAATTCCACTCAGTTTCTCTTCTCATCTTTCCCATCCATTATTGTTACTCCCTTCAAGCAAGCAAATCAGGGGCAACCTTTGATCATTTTTCTTTCATCTTATTTGGCTAAAAATTTACTTTTCCCTTCAAGAAACTTCTATAATTTATCCCTTTTTCCCTGAAGCTATTACTAGAAAAATTTCACCCATATTTTAATATTACCATTTTGGTTCTTGCAAATTCCCTTCTCATGCTATCCTATCAAACTTCAGTGTGGACAAAATATCTGTAAAAGTATTTTTTCTTATTAAAATAATTATTTAATTCATTTGTCAATCAGTGTTTCAGACTGTGTCACTATTGCATTTCTTTTTAATTGTACTCCTGCCATTCATTTTTTTCGTAATTAATTTCTTTATTGGTTTTGTTTTTCACTCAGTGTGTATCCCACTTACTATCTTTTTATCTACTTGTCTTCAAGTACATTCTAAAATTAAAGAAGGTGGATAAAGTTTCTCCACCAATTTTTGTTATCAAATAACCAATAATTCACCTAAATATGAACAACAATGAACCAGATATTTTTTTAAGTCCGTGTATTTTTTAGTTACCCTTAAGCAATTTCAATTTTTTCAACCTAGTGTGTGGTTTTTAAACCTCTGACATCACACTTTATGGTATGTTCTCTCTTTTTGAACATAAGAATGTGCTTTCTCATACAAATGATTTTTTGAAAGAATGTTTAGCTTCCATGAGGTGGATTCAAAAAAACTCCTTATTTCATATGTAATGCAGCTAAGCAATAGTACTACTATTACTACTGTATCTGTTTATGACATTATTTTTCAGAAAATAATGTCAGTTATTCAGTAAAAAAACTACATGTTTTTAGTTTCAACCTGTATGCAAGAATTCATCTCCACTTTTCGTATTTTGGTGATGGGACTTCCTTTCCGGTACTGGCTAGGCAACCTTAAACAAGATACTTAACCTCTTTAGCCTCAGTGTCCTCACTTGCAAGATGAAAAATACAAATAGTACCTATTTAATAGGCTAGTTGTGGAAATAAATGAGGAAATTCATGTAAAGGGCTAAGCACAGATGCAAGAAGTTTTCTGGAGGCATCTGGGAAAATTCTTCATCATTCTTAACTGGAAGTCTACTTTTCACTCACTGGCCTTGAATAAGAAACTATGTAGTGGTTGCTGCTCACAGCCAACTTCTAACCACAAACTGTTGGAATTTGACTCTGGGGATAAGAGAATGGAGAGATGAAAAGAACTTGGGTTCCTGAAGATGTTGTTCAGCTGCTGAATCAAACCTGAAATCCAACCTAGTTGTGGGCATCTTGTGATGTACATTTATATATTTCATCCAGTTTGAATTGAGGTTTCTGTTTATTTCAAATGAACACTAATAGAGAATTTGGTGAATTATAGAAGTTCTAAGGAGCAGAAGTGCCACAGGCTACAAACGCAGGAGTCAAAGAAAGCCCAAGTCATATGTGAGCCTCACTGATACCTATATTCCTGCCAAGTCTGTGGATCCCTGGAGGCCAGTGCAGTCAGCCTCACCTCTGGATCTGGCTGTGTGATTCTCAGGGTGGGGTATAATGAAATACTTAAAAAATTACAAAAAGAATGTAGTGATGTCAGAGGTGTTTAAACCAGAGTGACTCCATATTGAATAGGGGCTGGGTAAAATAAGGCAAAGACCTCCTGGATTGTATTCACAGGAGGTTAGGTATTCTTAGTCACAGGATGATATAAAAAGTCGGCACAAAATACAGGTCACAAAGACCTTGCTGATAAAAGATTGTAGTTAAAAAAAAAAAAAAAGAAAAAGCTGGCCAAAACCCACCAAAACCAAGATGGCAATGAAAGTGACCTCTGGTGTTCCTCACTTCTCATTATTCGCTAATTATAACGCATTAGCATGATAAAAGACACTCCCACCAGTGCCGTGAAAGTTTACAAACGCCATGACAAAGTCCAGAAGTTACTCCGTATGGTCTAAAAAGGAGAGGACCCCTCAGTTCCTTGAATTGCCCACCCCTTTCCTGGAAAACTCATCAATAATCCACCCTTTGTTTAGCATATAATCAAGAAATAACCATAAAAATAAGTAGCTGAGGAGCTCACATCACTGCTCTGCCTATGGAGTAACCATTCTTTTATTCCTTTACTTTCTTAATATACTTGCTTTCACTTTACTCTATGGATTTGTCTGGAATTCTTTCTTGCGTGAGATCCGAGAACCCTGTCTTGGGGTCTGGCTCAGGACACCTTTCTGGTAACAGTAATATAAGAATACATTATTTTACCAAAAGTAATCTGAACCTAATGTACTCTATGGTTCTGTGAGATGATGGGGCTGGGGAAGAAGAGTCTGGGGACTGGTTTCTCCTTGTTCTTAGAAATGAGAAAACTTTGTTGCTAGAGTTATGAATTGGCAGAAAAATGAACAGAGGATTTGGGGCATATATATCGAGAGAGAATTATTATAGTTTTAATATGTGCATGAAGCTCTGCATTTTAGCTTTTATCAATAAGCCACAGAGAAATGGTCATCATCTTCAAAGAACAAATGTTCCTTAATTTTAAAATAATTGGCTATTCATCTTTATACTAGGGAATAGGAGGATAAACACTTGAAGACATTTTTTGCAAAATCTTTAACAAAATAACTTTTAAAAAATATGCAGTCTAAAATCCGTAGACCTTTACAAATTTATTAAATATCTGCTAAATAACATTGCTTTCAGAGAATGTGAACATTATAATTCGTTCATCACCTGTTAGCTTGAAGGTTTGTATCTCTGGAGTTCAGTAGCTTTTCACAACCTTTTCATCTCAAAGCATGAATTTGAATATGACTATTGGTGGCATGAATAAATAAGGTGGATTATTCTGAATAATGTCCAGAAAACTAGATATTGTATCATTCTAAGAATTAAAAAAGTTGTGAGAGGGAATGAATGATTATATAAGCTTTGTAAGACAATATCCTTTATTATTGGGATTATTAACAGAGTCAGTGCTTACTCTGTTGTCACAGAGCTGTGAACCAAAACTGTTTACCCCTGTATTTTACCTTTCAGACAATATTCCCACCTCATGTCCAATCAAGAAAAAACTTGGGCAGTTATGAACCCTGGTTCAGCTTAATTTTTGAGCTGCTCTGTTTTTCTTGGCTTTCCCTGGCTCCTTATCCTCGGCTCCATCTCCTTGTCAAGACCCCCTCTTGCTTTTAGCCACTGATGCTCCATGGCTGTGACCCTTACTTTGAGTAGGAGGACTTGTGTTCATAAGAGCCTCTTAGCATTTCTGGTTCCTGGTATAATCAGGTAGGTCCTCCAGGCGGTTTAAGCCCATTCAGGCCTTTATGCTGGCCATAACCTGCTGTAGTCAGGAAATCTATATTTTCCCTTTATTCTTTAAGCATAATTGTTTCCAAAATTTGGTTAAAATCCTAAGCTCCTATAACTAACCTTTAATTTTTATTATCATTAACTTTAAAATAGCAGTATTTTAATTGATGAAATATTAGCCCAAGCAAGAGACTGATAGCATATATATAATAAACTTTTATAAATCACTAAAAATATTTGGTCATATTAATTACATGTAAAAACTGCAAAGAAATAGGTATTGGGTTATAGTTTATTTTACTAATAGCAGTTCAGAAATTGCAAGTAAGGAGCACTCACTGCTTTTGAGAGACATTTTCTCACCACAAAATAAGGGCAATATTTGGATAAAGCAATTAATTTCAATGCATGTGAGGTACGTACACATAGGGTATAGTTATATATGAGATAGGTGCTAGGAATAAAATCAACAGGCACTAGAATTTGATAGTATCTTCCCTCAACTTGATTGGGACTTGGCTTTAGATAAAAAAAACTCTAGAAATTTGGGGGTATTGAGAGTCCAACATTTTGAAGGGGTGGAGCATGTCCCTTTTTTTTGTTTTACCTACTAAGTCTAACATAGTACCATATATTAAGTTTACAATCATTTGTTAAATCAGTGAATAAAGAGAATTATAAAGTGATGATCAAAGAGCCAATACACTTGTGAGACAGTAGAACTGGAAGAAAACTGTGGGGGCTGGTTTGCAGACTCTGGTTTAGTGTCATGTCAATTTGAACATTAGGAGCTGCTTACATGCAAGCATGTCTCTGGTAAAATGATTATAGACATATACACTGAAATTGTGAAAAATCAAGTATATTTTGATTACAATGAGACTTAGGAAACACTTGCCAGCAGAAAAATCATTTGACGTATTTTAAAACTTTAATGTATTTTTTTTCCATTTTCAAGTTTTCATGCTTTGCTTAAAAGTAGTCAGACTCCCTACAAAGTGTACAGTGTTTTTGGTAGCTATGTCCAAGGCCTTTGCTACATTGAGCAAAGGTGATTCTCCTTTATCTTTTCTGGAGCTGAGTCAGTGGTAACAATATATTCTGTTTTGCAAAGAAAAAAAATGTAAAAATATCGGATAGAGACATTATTCAAATTATTTATTATTGAAAATACAGAAACATTGAAAGTTTCTAGCAATTTTTTTTATTTCTGCTAGAAAATGCATTGTGAGATGAATACTGTCTGAATTACTTTTCCCTGGTATCTTTGGCTTCCTTTTCTGCATATAATGGTTAAATTCTGTGTGAGCCTTTTCAATTTTACCGTAAAAAGGCAGCCAAATAGCCAAACAGAATCAATTCAAACAGAATAGCACTCTTTTGCTCACATTCCAATTTTGAAGAGGGAATCTGTGTGAAGAAAGTACATTTCCTATTAATTATTCTTTTGATAAGCCAGTATGAACGTGTGCTGGAAATGGAAACTCATATAGTACCAAAAAAGCTGCATATCTGCATGATTATTAAATGTATTAGCATGTGTAAAGTGCTTATAACAATGCCTAGCCACAGATTTTGTGCTCTGTATGGATTTGAAAACTAAAAATATAGACATAATAGCAAAGTTATACATGTATGGTAAGGCTAACCTAAGTTCTAAGAAAAACTGTAATTTCTAAGCCCGTGATATATTATTCACATAAAAAATATTGTTTTTCATTATTGTTTACTTGATTCTGGAGGCAGTAAATAACAATTTAGTATATGATATTATTTATTTTTACTTCTATGTAAATAAATATTTTTATTATTCTGTTTTATAACTTTTAGAAAATTGTTAGATATCTAAATTCTGTTCCCGGAGGAGACAATACGCCAGCTCAACTCATATTCATTGATGCTAAGTAGTAACTCCTTTCCTTCGATTAGTCATACATGGGAACTTTGAGGACCAGCGGTTCTCAAAGGTTGATTACGTAAGAACCACATAGGGGTTTCTTTCAGTGTAGCTTCCCAAGCCTGGTCACTGAGATTTTTAATCAAAAGGCTAAAAATGAGCCCTGGAATATGCTAGTTTGGCAAGCCTTGTCAAATATTCCTGATTCGGGCTGTTTCCAACAACACAGGACATTATCATCATCCTTTTACAGATGAGGCAATGTGGAAACCAGGAAAGGTTAAATTACATAATCAAAGGCACACAGCTAATTGTTTAAAAGCTAAAATAGGCTTGATGAATACAGCTAGCTTTGGTTGCAAAATTAGACATTTAATTAGAAATTCACTAGTCGGCCCGGCGCGGTGGCTCCGGCCGGGGATGGTGGCTCATCCCTGTAATCACAGCACTTTGGGAGGCTGAGGTGGGCGGATTACTGAGTTCAGGAGTTGGAGACCAGCCTAGTCAACGTGGCAAAAACCAGTCTCTACTAAAAATACAAAAAGATTATCCAGTCATGGTGGCGCACACCTGTAGTTCCAGCTACTTGGTAGGCTGAGACACGGGAATCGCCTGAATCCTGGCGGCCCAGAACTTGCAGTGAGCCGAGATGGTGCCACTGCACTCCAGCCTGTGCAAGAGAGCGAGACTCTGTCTAAAAAAAAAAAAAAAAAATTCAAATCTCTTGACAAGACAGGGACTGATATGAGTTCAGTTTTAAACCTTCTCTAAGCAGCCTCTCAATGTTATGCAGGATGCTAGCATTATTCTTTGCTTTGTTATTCAATCTACTCCATGTATTCTGAACCTTACTTGTGCAAGGCATTACCTAAAACATACAGATTAAAACAAATGAGAAAATTGTAACTTTTCAAATTTGATATTAATAAATTAATAACTAATCATATTTTATATTTAACAATTTTGGTATCTTTAGATTGATTCAATAAATTAATTAGCTACTTAGGCAATATAGAACCTTACTGTGTTGAGTCATAAATTTTTAATATGCAATTTTTCTTTTCATAGTTATAATATGCTCCTGGCAATAATTTGTGAAGTACAAAACATTTGTACCTAATTTTCTCTTCTGTTGTTCTGTTCTAAATTTAGAAATAATATCTCAACTCTAAATTTCTAAATTAAGTTCGGGCTTGTAGACATGAACGTCAGAAACAAAAACCACAATTGAATGTATTTCTCAGAAAAAAAGTTGATTATAGAATCATAGAAATGATTTAAAAATAGGGATGATGCTGTCTACTTTCTCCTCTAATACACATACTCTCACCCTGACACATACTCATACAATGCTGATGGCTTTAATGGGCAAGCACCATGGTCATTTTGTAGAAAGTCTTGAGTATAGTAAGGAAATTAGTATGTCTTATTTATCTTTTAACAATAATTAACATATTGGACATTTTCCATGTGTCATACTCTGCTATGCACTTGAAATACTCTCATTTAATTTTCACAGCCCTATTATAATCTTCATTTTATAGATATGAAAACTGAGGCTTGGAGAGGTTAAGTAACTTTTCTGAAGCTAGCATTTGAGTTGAAGAAATCTGATTCTAGAATTTGCAGTTTTAGCTACAATGCTGACATGTGTGCCTCAAGCTTACAACAGGATGGGATTTCAGAAAGGATTTTTTTATACTTCCCTTACCATTCTCATAAAATATTTCTGGCTTATCACTCATGTTTGAAAGTTGGATAAGAATTAATGTGATCAATGTGATCAACAAATGGATAAACTAGTCCTTAATATCACAGCTTTCTCCTACCAGCTTTCTTAACCTTCACTGCTATTTTGTATTATTGTTTTAATAAAAAACTTGATTGGCTTTCTAACTTTATATAAGAAATCGTTGCATTTTACTTCATCAAAATATTTCAAATAGAAATTATATGCTTTAAAACAAAGAAAGCTTATTTGCAGCAATATATTCAAATATTAATATCTTCACAGGTTTGATTTGAAAAGTAGTTTCGAGAATATTATTACTCTAAGAATATTAGAGTATTATCTAATATTAATTCTAAAACACATGCATAAATATTTCAATTAACATTTTCCTGTTTTTAACTCCTTTCATCTACAGGGAGGCTGAAGGAAAGCTGTGTAACACGGATCACAGCTAAGGGTGGTACACCATGTCTCTCAAAGCTGGAAATCATCATTATGGATGTCAGAGGCTTCTTTTGGTAATGCATGGAGACATAGAACTACATGGCGTTTTACGACAGGAACAATTTATAAATGAAGTTTTAGCTCTTCCAAATACATTGACGGCTGTTGCCGCATCTGTCTCATTAATATGCCCTATCAAACCAAGAAACAAACAAAAGGAAAGGATTTGCTTGAGGATAGATTCAAAAGCAAGAGCAGGAAAAGAATGAAGACAATAAGCTTCTGATGAGTTTACCATGAAGGCAAACACTCACCTCCACCTGAGATTTTGAAATTTGTTTATCTAGAGGAGGCATTAGATAGTATAAAAGCAGTCCTCAATAGAGCAGCATTTCTAAAAGATAATCAAATAGTGAAATCATTGAGGACAAAGAGCTTTAGTTATCTGAAGATACAGTATCAGACATTCAGTTTTAAGTCTTATAATGTATTATTCATGAACAAAAGCTACTGATTTTCAGCCTAAGGAAAATACTTTGAAAGAACAGGTAAGAGTTAGAATAGGTAAGAATAATATAATTTCTGATGAGCACACAGGTGCCAAAGATTCTTTCACAATAAGTAACTGGAAATAACTTTTCCAGCAGAGAGTTGAGTAGAATGTAAGGAAGTGAGAATTTAGGTATCATTAATTTATCAGCACAGCCAAGCTTATTTTGATAACATATATGAGGAACATGAATTAAAAAAATTTTTTTCAAAGAGATAACAATTTGCAATTACCAATAGATGTACTTTGATACTCATCCTGGTGAAGTAGGATATTTCCCTGAACCCTGTGACAGCAGTGCCTTGTTTACTCAGTCCACCACTCTCAACTCCTCGTGGGAGGGAGTGCGCAACTGAACAAGGTGGGAACTGGAGCGCATGCGCACTCGAACCATTTCAGCACTGGAAGGATCAAGCTCCACTCACTTGGACCCCCTGCATTCCACCTCTTGTGGGAGGGAACGCTCAGGTGAGTGGGTACAGGAGCCAGAGTGAATGCTTCTGGGTGTTGGCAGGAGTGAACTCTGTGCAGGCCCAGCAGCAGCATCCAGGTGGGGTGCCTGCAACTCTGGAAGCCTCAGAGGACATGTTACAGTACTCTTTTAGTTCTGCTGTCCACGGATGGCTTTTCAGTGAAAAGCCCTTTGCCTTTTCACGCAAGGCGGCTGCCCTCTACCCAGCAAGGGCAAAGGGCCAGCGTGGCAGCCTTTTTTATCCGCACTGGTGGCTCCCAAGCTCTTGTCCAGCGCCCAGGAAAAATGAGGTCACACGAACGAATCGAAGGATAGTAAGTGTGGGGGATTTTATTGCAAGTGAAAGTGGCTTTTAGTGGGAAGGAGTGCTGGAAAGGGGGTGGGGTGGGTAGGTAATCTCCTCCTGAAGTTCGGCTGTCTCTGGCTGGATTCTTCTCTGAAGTTATCCCATCAAGTTGTTTCTCTGAAGTCAAGCCACTTCTCTCTCTAAGGTCCAGCTGTAGTCCCTGACATCCAGATGCTTCTCCCTTCTGCTGGCTCAGTCTGGGGTGTTTATAGGCATAGGCTGGCAGGTGGGGCAGGCCATGAGTAGTTTAGGAAAAGGCAGCATTCAAACAGGAAAACAGGGATAGAAGTTCTCACTATGGGCCATGGGTATCAGGTTTTTCAGCATAAAGGTGGGGTTTCTATCGGGGACCCACCCTTTTCTGCCTAGAATTTCTCTGCCACCTATCCTTATCACTGGCACTCCAGGCCCCTTTGGCCTACGATCTAGGCTAGGCACTTTCTCCCCAAAACACTGTTACTTGTCTTGTTAGAATTCACCTTCTCATTACCTCTTCAAAAAGCCACTCCTACCTACCTTCTCCCCAAAATCTGGTATCCATTACTCTGTTTCCCATGGCACTCAGTGTTGGCTCTCATTAAAATAGCTATGATATTTTTTAACTCTTCTGCATTCCCCAGGAGACTCTGAGGTCCTTAGTGGCAATCCCTACAATGTTTACTCAGTGTTCTGAATAGCACCTCACAGGTGTCCAACCAGCATTCCAATATGGGCCATCAATAAATGAATACAGTATTTTCAGAGTCCTCAAGACCCAATGGTGCAACATTTTCATGGTGCGATTCTAGAAGAAACCAAGACAGCATGATTTTTGCCATCCATAAACCCCAACACATAAAGATCAGCAACTGAATGCACTTAAATTACACATACAACCAGTATTATACATTTATCAATTTTTTTCTTAATATTGCTACATCTGTCCTTTTTAAAAAATAGGGAGTGTGGAAATTGTAGACCAAAAAGTACCTGAGACAAGTCTCAATTTAGAAGTTTATTTGGCCAACATTAAGGACATGCCCCTGACATAGCCTCAGGAGGTTCTGACAACATGTGCCCAAGGTGATCTGGCTACAGCTTGTTTTTTCACATTTTAGGGAGACATAAGATATCAATCAATACATGTAAGATGTACATTGGTTTGGTCTGGAAAGATGAGGCAACTCAAAGGGAGGTGGGCAAGGGTGGGTTCCAAGTCATAGACGGATTGAAAGGTTTTCTGATTGTCAGTTGGTTGAAAGAGTTCATCTGAAGACCTGGAATTAACAGGATAGAGTGTCTGGGTTAAGATAAGGGGCTGTGGAGAGCAAGGTTCTTATTGTTCAGATGAAGCCTCCAGGTAGTGAGCTTCAGAGAGAATAGACCAAATGTTTCTGATTAGAGTTATAGAGTGGTCTGTTCTGTTAGTCTTAAGGTCTCAGTTTTAGTGTTAATACTGGTCAGCTGTGCCTGAATTCCAACAGGAGGAAGGTATAATGAGGCATTTCCTTTTTTTTTTTTTTGAGACAGAGTCTTGCTCTGTCTCCCAGGCTGGAGTGCAGTGGCACGATCTTGGCTCACTACAACCTCTGCCTCCCAGGTTCAAGCAATTCTGCCTGCCTCAGCCTCCCGAGCAGCTAGGATTACAGGTGCCCACCACCACGCCAGGCTAATTTTTGTATTTTATATTTAGTAGAGACAGGTTTTCGCCATGTTGGCCAGGCTGGTCTTGAACTGACCTCAGGTGATCTGCCTGCCTTGGCTTCCCAAATTGTTGGGATTACAGGCGTGAGCCTTTTTTTTTTTTTTTTTTTTTTAAGTGAAAGCAGGTTTATTAGGAAAGTAAAGGAATAAAGAATGGCTACTCCGTAGGCAGAGCAGCTGAGGTATTTCCAATCACCCATTCCCATCATGGCCTGAACTAGCATTTCATTACTTTAGAATGCCCTTGGCTGACAGGAGGGTTCCATTCATTTGGTTGGGGGTGGGTTACAATTTTATTTTTGGTTTACAAAATACTTTTTTTTCCCTTGAATAATAATAGGAATGTAGGGGTTATGCTGAAGGATAAAGGGACAACTTCAGTAATTTGAAGCAAGTTGAAAATTAATAATAGAGTCCTGGGCACAATTATTTAATAGAATTTAAGAGTAGAAAGGTATTTCCAAAGTCATCTTGCCCAGATCATTTCCTTGACACAGAGGGAAGCTGATTTTCTCAGTGTCACAGTGCAATAAATGGCAGAATACAGATTAAATCCCAAGTGCTCTGACTCTAAATCCAATCTTTTTCAGGATATCACAGCCCCTTCAATAGTGCAAGTAGAAAGGGCATGTTTCTGGCTTTAAGTTAGCAATGGGAGAAAGATATGTTTCTTGTTAGTATAACATAAATGGGGAAGAAAATGTTACCATTTGTGATGCAAATTTCTTCCACTGTAATAAGGCAGTACCACTAGCATCAAAGTAATAATTCTTTGCATAATATCATCTGGAAAAGGGTATGTAAATGAATGCTGAGTAACCAGCAGAATACACAGCAATACGGTTTTAGTGTACAATTAGTCCCCACAGTTTGTCATGATATACAACTGTGTTTCACTTAGCCCTGGAGGTGAATCATCAGAAAGTCTCACCTATATTAGGTTTTCTGACCCAGATCAAAGCCACCTAGATTTTCAGTGTGTGTCAAGGGAGTGGTGGGGGTTGAAGGGTTGAAGGGAGGGGGGATTTTGCTTTAGTTGGAGAAAATAACCCTGAGGCCAGGAAGTCACTACTTAGGATTAAGGAGTGTCAGAGCCTTGACTTTGCTGCTTAAAATGTCTGAGTGACTTTGGAAGTGTTAACTGCTGTAAATTGTTAATGGAGGGGAATATAAAATAAGAACACTTTATAGATTTGTGAGGTTTGTATGCTATGACGTCTGCAAAGTTCTAGGCAAGGGGTGAGGCATCAATAAACAATAGACATTGTTGTTACTTGTGATTGCCTTGACATATCAGGTTTGTACCTTAAACAGGGTCTAGGTTAATTATCGTACCCAGATAAAAATACTTAACAAATGGAAGATGAAGCAGAGAAAAATGTATGAAACTGTTTAGAACATCATAACTGTCAATGACAAAGTGACTATTAAAGTTAAAATTGTATTAAATTAATTGATTCTTTTTTTCTCTTCCCTCAGGTTGTATGTCATATACAGAAAAAAAATGATGCTAACAGCTCTTTAAAATTTATATTTTGAGAACACAATGAATTAAGGTTATTTTGGATGCTTGTGATAAGTTATCTGTCTATATTACACCAAATACAATATGTTTGGTTTGGAAAAGGTTGTGCTCAAAGGCAATGGTTTTCTATGTAATTTTTGGGTTGCAGTGCATGACAAAGGAATTGGGAAAGGTTTACTGAGGAGGTTGTGTTCCTTTGGGAGATCCAAATTCACTCATAAATTCTCATTACTAAGATTAATAATAATTGAGGGTTTCATTACGAAAAACATCACCCATACTCATTTGCTAATGGGCAAAGAAAACAGCAATGTCTACTACAGCAATCTATTTACTTGTATACTTGGATTTGCTAAAAAAAATCACTAGGCAAAGGGAGGTAGGAATTCAGGCAGTAATAATAGCAAATATTTATTTAAAATTTAGTATGATCCAGACACTCTCTAAGGTGCTATATATATGAATTATATCACTTGATGTAAGTGCAATTCTTATCTTCTCCATTTTATAAATTGAAGTTATAAAAGCAAAGCAATTTACACTGGGTCAACTGACTAGTAAGAAGCAAAACTAGGAGTATAATCCAGGCAGTCTTTATTCAGAGCTCATGCTCATATTCACTATACTATATGCCTCCTATTCAGAGCTCATGCTCATATTTACTATACTATATGCCTCCTGTCAAGGTCAAAAACAAAACAAGTAAAGCAACAAACTCATCTCAACTGAGGATAAAACAGATATATTGCTAGATAAAAGAAGATGATGAGAGCTGGGTTTTTCTGTATCCCTAAGCGTTTTTAGTACCAACCTTTCTAGTTTTGACAGTTTGCATGTCCTACTGAGCCACAGGCTGTAGAGTCTACACAGTCAGAACCACACTCTTCCACCAATGGATTTTCCACTACTCTGCTTTTTCTTCCTCTCCTGAAAATAATTGGTGAGCTTCTTTTCCCCAACTAATCTTAATAGTCCTTTGTTTAACATTATATTTTACCCTGAATGTTTATACTGATTAATATTTCCATTCTGAAATAAGACCTAACAATTGTGACTTTAAAAACTTCCCCATCATTAAATAAACTTTTACTTTTCTTAATGTTGATCTTGGCAGCGTTTAGTTCTGAATATTTCTTGATATTTCTGCCTAATTCTCATATTTCTTTAATGCAAATGGAATGCTTTAAAAGTACATCTTCTGCAGAGCACCTCTTTTGCCTTACCTTTCTTTGTTATCCGTTCTTTCAGAAAGTCACAATGGCTCCAACAGTAACTGAACAAGCTCTTTTGTCTCCATGGAAGGTTTCGCCATATGCGCCTCTGAAGTCCCTTTTCCAAACTGTTAGCATGCCTCAGTGATTTGCTTTTTTACTTGATATCTTAATAGAGTGCCTTTCTTGTTTCCTAGTAGATCTAAAATGGCTTCTATGGTGCTTATAATTTTAGTAGTTCAGTCTCATTTGTTTTGTATGTCCTTTCATCAATTCAGTTGGTAAAACTGTGAAACTTTTCATTCAAAAAAGCACAAAATTCAGTATATGGTGTTCCGAGAAAACAAAATAACACAAGAAACTGAGCTCATAAACACATAAATTAGGATGCAATATTCATACAACAAAGACTTATTTACTTTAGAAACAGATTTTTGTTTTCAGTGTTTCTTTTCAAAGCCTAAACATTCTCTGTACATTCAAAATAGAAATTTCATTTAAAACACTTTTGAAAATTCTTCACAAATATAAGTAGATAAAGTAAAATACTCTAATCTGGGGAACAGTTCTTTTTACAATGTGTGATTTTAAGTATATTAAAATGAGATATTATTCATAGTTGTAAACACTGCCTCTGCTCAGCTCTATTCTCAATCTTTCCACTTTTCTACAATTCTACACTTTATGCTTCAAAGTTAAGTATTTTTAAAACACATTTTTTCTTATTTCTTTCATATATTTAGCATAGTTTAATAGATTCAAACACTGTAAACTTTTATGGACTTTGCTCTTTTAAAACAAAGATAGCAACCATATTGACAAAGATTGGGAAAAAATTGCAAGAGGGCATCTGTAATATGCTAACAATTATGTAAATGACATTATAAATTACTAATTTTGTGTTAATAGCCATTGAATTATTAAACATAATGATGTGTGGGATTCTGTGGAATAATGTTAAATCAAATAACCATAGGTTCATTATCTATTGAAGATTACGTTAGGCTGTTAGACCAACTTGAAGAAAGTACAGCCAATCGTAAGTGATGACCAATATGAATATGAAGCAAAAGCAGGTGTGAAAGTTATCAGGTAAAATATTAGTCAAAATTCTGAGAAACTGTTAAAAGACACGAAAGAGTTGTGAAGGTGGCTGCCTCAGATACCAGGGAGAATGTTAAGACAGTAGTGGATGGAACACTCTGAACAGGAAGCTTGTAAGACAAATTAAAGGGAGGCAGCTAAAGAGAGACTGAGCTGGCCTCCTAGATGTGCTAGAGTGAAGGGTTAGGTTTATGCGCTTTAAGTTTATACACTTTGAAGTAAGATAGGGTGCGGTGGAGGTCTTAGCTCTACCACCTACAAGCTGAATGTCCTTGGATGAATTAATCAATCGGTTTCCTTATTGTGAAATAAGGATTAAAAACATTACTTGCCCCATAAGAATATTGTGAGGATTAATTAAATCAGAGAGTCCATGATTACCTGGTATAGTATGTGCAATATTTGCTAGTTATTATTAATCATTATACTTGATTTTAAAATTTGGTTCTCTTACTAGGTTGCTAGAACATTGCAAACAGGGATTTTCTTATTTCTAAGTGTACCTAAGATAATAAATGTTTCTCGAACTGCTAAACTGAACACAAAACTAATTTTTTTCTGTGTAAGGCATATTGGCCTAGGAATTATTGATGACATTTCTATTTTATGATAGAACAGTTTATACCATTTTTATAATTTTATATAATAAAATAATGCAAAATGTCTATTTTTTAAATAATGTTTTTAAACAATAGGTATTTTTAAAATAACACATCTTTATTTGACATGTTATTAGATATTCTGCTGTTTTTGATTAAAGTAACCATCTTAGAATTAATATTCAAATAACACACGACAGCAACTAAGGTGTTATTTGTGTTACTGTGTGTTATTTGATTACGTTTTTGTACTCATTTTATCCATTTTAAATAATTTTGTTTTATAGTAAACCAGCTAATAATAATTTAGTGTTCTCTTCATCTAAGGTTTTATATTTTGCAAACAGAGAAACCATTTTCTTTTGTGTTTTTATTCAAACTCTGAAAATTCATACATCATTACCATTAATAATTTCCTTTGCTAATTTATAGACTGGCTTTTAATAACCTTGCTGTCTTGAAACAGTTACATGTGAGAAGCATGATTTTTGAAAACATTCTGTTCCGACTATCTGCTGAAGCCCCATTCAGATCCTCTGTATTTAAATGCAATGAATAATAGGAAGAGGTAAAAGACCTTATGTGTATCTTTGCACATTTTCACCTTCTGTTATTTATAAACTCCTTTAGAAAAGTGGCTTGGGTCAAAGCCAATGATGTTTTTAGAAAAGTAGTTCCTAAAAGGCACAGAATTAAATACTTCAAGTACCTGGAGTTCATTCATTTCTTTATACAACAAAAATGTACTTATTACCTATTATGTATTCTCACTAAAAATGAGGGAGGCCAAAATCAGTAAAAACACTTGTACAATTTTCCTGAAAGTTATTCTCCATTATACACTTTTGGAAAATTCATAACCATGTTATTTTCAGAAGCTCAAAGAAAATTATAAATTTTACTTAGATTAAGAGACACCTACCTAAGGCTTAATGTGAAAGGGTATGTTTTCATTAAAATTCAGTTTGCAGTTTTCCCATTGGATTTCAGCGATTGCAATGTAGTTTGATTGTTTACCCATTTGTTTTAATTATCAGACTGTGCACTTGTATAGGGCAATAATCATGACTCACCCTGTGAGTTCAACAGGATTGAACTCCTGTTATGTGCTGGCAATGAATTTGAAGAAAGTACAGTCCGTAAGTGATGACCAATAGGAATATGAGGCAAAAGCAGGTATGAAAGTTATCAGGTAAAGATTAGCCAAAAGACTAAGAAACAGTTAAAAGATATGAAAGAGTTGTGAAGGTAGCTGCCTCAGATACCATGGAGAATGTTGAGATATTAGTGGATGGAACACTCTGAACAGGAAGCTTGTAAGACAAATTAAAGGGAGGCAGCTAAAGAGAGACTGAACTGGCCTCCTGGATGTGCTGGCATAACAGGAGTTCAATCCAATATGTTTAAATGAATGAATGAGTGGAATTGAAACAGAATTTCACACATGCAGCAACACAGGCAACTTTTCTACATTTCCCCTACTTGACCCTTGTTTATCTCTGTGAGAAATCAACTGTGATGATTGGATTTTACATTTGTCAATAAGAACAGCAAATACAGTAAGCCATTAATTTAGTGTTCATTAATTTGGGGTTCAAGAAAATTCAATCTTGGTTTATCTTAAATTTACCTCTGCAGGATTTAAAGATGAATGGTATATTAAACAAATTACAGTAGACTTAAAATCCTTGAATTTCTTTAATGGGCAGATGGCTAAAACAATCATGCTTAACATTGTACAGAAATTTATAATAACTGATTAGATGCAAATGAATGTCTTAATAAAATAAAATCCATTTAGTAAAATAAGTTTAACAAACCTCTATTTAAAAATGCTTGATATTTTATTCTATAAATAACATATTAAGACTTCTACTTAACAGCAACTAAGCATTGTGTGTAATACTACATATTACAGAGAATCTGCCTTCAGGATGTTTAGAATCCAGCTGAGATTCTAGTATAACATAAGGCAAAAAAATATGATTAAGACTAAAAGCGAAAATGCAATGTGAAAAATAGGAAAGTGAGAAAAATCACTCTACAATCACAATTTCTTGCAAGAAATAAAAATTTAATTTTCCTTTTGGAAAAAGAAAAATCGTTTTATAATTCATCTTTTCATCAGTTCTCGAAGTCCCCCTTTCCCATCCTGCTCCCTCATTAGAATCAATGCATTTATTTCCGTGAGATGTCTCTGTAGCGATTTTTTTTTTCTTTTTCTTCAAGGCCTTAATCTCACTTTCAGACGAGCAAGCTCGAGGGGGCGCTCTCCGGAGGAAAGAGACTTGGCCTGCGCCATTTCCTTCCCAAAGCCCGTATTAAAGAATGCCGGGTCCGTAGAGCCGAGTACCCGCGTTGACTAGGCTCCTGCTTAGAGCTGGAGTTATTTTCTCTGGACTGGTTGTGGAGCACTCGTCTCCTCCTCGGAACAGCCCGCCAAGAGGGGCAGAAGGGGTCGAGTCGGCCGCAGGGTCTTCTGGGGCTTGTGGTCTCCGGGACCTGCTCCCTCACTTCCCCCACGAGTGGAAGGCCCTGGGCGCTGGCCAGCGTTTCCCCGCTGGCTCTGGTGACCACCTGCGGGGCAGCACGTGGAACCCCGCCCCTGGGGATGGCGCAGAGCGCCTGCTCCAGGGCTCCCGTGCCCGCTTGAGGGCGCCCTCCCCCGCTACAGGAACCCAGAAGGTAGGCGGGGCGGGCCCTGCACAGCTTTCCAGGACGCCCTCCCTCAGCGCGAGGCCTGGCTTTCTGTGCCTGTGGACCACTCGTCCCTTTCACGTGCCCTGGGTTTGGACCTGAGCTCGCAATATTTTCAGGTGTGTATGGAGCTCCGCACACGTTTGGACGTTTCTGTTTACCTAATTGATTATAGACTGTGTCTGCTGTGGAGCTGCTGAAGCATCGGCCCACACCTGTGTGGATTTCTGTGGTATATGCCAGAGTCTGAGCATGTTCTAGCCTGGCTTGACCACCAAAATGGTTCCTGAGCTTGGAAGAGAGGCCTGTGTTTTGAGGTCTTTGGTGGAGTTGTCAAATCTATTCAGTGAGCAGATCTTTTTATTAAGCACCCATTCTATTGGACGAAATAGGTGAAGTGCTGTAGGTGTCAAAGGTGGGACAGACGTGGTCTTTTGTCTCAAGGACCTCACAGGCTTCAGTTAGCAAGGGATTTATAGATCCATAGGAAGCATTGAGGGTAAAGGGTGAACTTGCATAAGGATTTGATAAAGTAGTGTGGGACATGGGGGCTTGAGGGAGAAGCTTCATGGAGGAGGTGTCCCTTTAAGGAGGGATAAGAAACATTTGAAAAATAAAGGCAAGAGTGAGGAATACAGGACAAATGAAGGGCTTGTTAAGAATAAAGGCAGGAAGCCACATATGTATGGAGAAAACAGTGTCTTGGTATATCTAGATTGTTTGAAGAGGCAGGAATTAAGTCTGGAGGAATATCTTGGACTGAAAAGCTTTGAATGGTTTTAAAGTCTGGAATTGCAGACACATTTGGACTTGAATTCCATCAGGAACCATAGATAAGGCAATGTGCAGTTGTTTAATATTCATAAAATGCACATAACGTAGAAAAATATGAATGGAATATATTGTTCAATAGCAACATTTTTGTAAAATTGATTACACACATTGATCACTTTTGGGGGACTTGTTTGTATTTTTGTTGTCTATTTAAAATCGAGAGATTTACAGCGTATTATATGACTGCAAAGAGACTCAGTCACTTGACGGGGATTTGTGAGTTGCTATCCATTATTCTATTTATTTTTATATATGAGGACTTAGTCCTTCAGAAGAGTTTCAGATCAAATGAAATAAAGAGCATGTGTAATTTGAAACATGTATGGATGACTTTCAGGACATGGTAATGGACCATAAATTCAGATGTAAAATTTGAAAATGGTCACACAAAAATTGATAACCATGAGTATGTTTTTTATTCTTTTTTTGTGAATGTTAGTCTGAATGCCAGTATTTGGAATCAGCTTTGCAAAAAACTGTTTTGTAGGCCTTGTTAAAGCTTAGAAAATGTTACGTTACACCATGTCTTTAGTGTGTATGAGGATGTTAGCAGTCCATTGGATATTGTGGTGAAGATCAAAGAGAATATTTTAATTCTTTCATAAGGCATGTGTACATTAAACTCTGCCATGTCAAGGTGCTTGAAGCTGAAGGTCAGGCTGACAATTTATTATAACAAAGCTAGCTAAATTAGGCTAGGTCACTTAGGAGCATTGTTGAGGCAAACATACATATGACTACATTGTGGAGAATAGATTGGAGGGAGTTAGAGATCAGTTAGAAGGCTGATACAATCATAATGACGAGATACTAATGGTTTGAGGAAAATTAGACACATTTTAAAATATAGGACAATAATCATGGGAGTAAGGCTGCTGAAGTCAGAGAGCAAAGTGTTTTAAGAGTAGAGGAGTGCTCGTCAGGGTCAAATACTGCAGATAAATAGAATGGGGGTTTGCAAGTGGTCTTAAGGTTTGGCAGTTATGATGTCATTTGCGACCTAGGTCAGGTGGGGGTGATTGTGTATATATTTTTTCTTTTTTTAAAGCTGGGAGCAACCTGAACATTATTACGTATTGAAAGGTAGAAGTCAATTCAGGGAACGACATTGAAAGAGCTGAGAGGAGAGGATTGATGGAAAAGGTACAAAGGTTTGGTATGCAATTAGTGCACTTTCTTAGAATATAACTTAATGTTAAAGGATAGGAAGGAAGATATTGGCTATTTTTGAGGAGACCGTTATCCAGTAATCATAGCTTCCTTATGTGCCAGCAGAGTGCCTAGAATCCAGCTGGCTTATCTATCCATTCATGTTAAGTTATTCAGCTAAGATTTTCAGAGCTCATCATGTGTTAGCCACAGAGATTTCTGCTCTGAACAGACAGGAAATGGGCTCACTAAGGCCCATAGACATCAAACAACTGACTACATACGGGTTATCCAACTGCAATTGTGATAACTGATAGAAACAAAGAGTATAGAATGTTAAGAGCACCTGTAATCAGAAGGAATTGACATGGCCTGAGGGTATCAAGGAAGGAATTTTCAAGAATAGAATGTTTAAGCTGGTTCCTAAGAGAGGTCTCTCTTGTTACCAAGTCAGCCCTCCCACCCCTGATGAGGCGTTCTCTTGCCCTGTTATCATCTCATTTCTGCTTCTCTGTTTACTGGTGAGCTGGTTCTCCACTCTTGAGCACTTGAAATGTATTTTGCCAGTAGGTTGATAAAGTGGGAAAACTTTCAAAAACCAAGGCTTCGCAAGGATCTTTCTCAAGCCAGTTATTTCTGCATTATGGTGGCTAAATATGAACTAAGTAGACATTTAATTTTATTCATGCTACATTGATTACCATTAGGGAAAGAAAAGGGTTTTGGGTATGGCAAATTGATGTTCAGCCACAGCCTTAGCCTCTTAACATCCTTTGGAGGAACCACAGTGAGCACAGGGCCTGTCACTTCTCATTAGGAATTTTTGGTAACAGCCAATGGAGGTTAGTCTTCTTTTCTTTCATTTAAAATTTTGATGCTCTCTGGGTCAAGTGATTGGGGAATAAGCATCCACTCATATATCTTCAGGGAAATGAAGGTACTATTGCTGCTATGATTTTGCATTTATATAGCACCTGAGTGTTGGCTAAGTGCTTTTACAATCAATTTTATTGTTCAATTTAAAAGGTAGCCTAAAATCACTCCTGTCAAAATTTATCAGAGAAAAGGATCTTTTCTGAAAAATGGGCCTTCTATGATGTGGAAGAACTCTGATCTATCAAAAGATAGATGTAAGACAACGTTAACATCATCTAAAGAGAGTAAGCTGTTAATAGAAGATAGTAGCCACATAATTTTTTTTGTCACCTGCCTTTACAAGGAAAGGAAGTGAAAATAAATATTATAGTGGTAGAAATACATCCCTGTAGGAAGTCAACCCCCCATCATATGGTTTGTAACTAAGGAATTCAGTATAAGTGACAGTATGTATCTTTTAATATACATCCTTAAAGCATCAGGTTTTATTTGGAGCAAGGCTTGGCAAACTGTTTCTGAACAGTGCCAGAAAAAAATAAATATTTATTCAATAGAGTAAATAGTTCAGGCTTTGCAGGCCATACTGTTTCTGTTGTAACTACTAAACTGCAAAGCTGTAGTGCAAAAGCAATGATACATGAATGAGTGGGCATGTCTGTTTCAATGAAATGTGGTTTATAGAAGCAGGCCAGCCAGATTCAGCCTGTGGGCCAGTTTTCCAATCTCTGATTTACAGCATCTCTGAGATTTCTTACTGAACAGGGAGTGTTATAGATAGGAATGATTGATGGCTAAAAGCTCCATAAAGGCAGAGATAGACTTGTTTTGTTGACTGTTATATCCCTGTGTCTACCACAGTGCCTGACAGGTTGGGGATAATTAAATATATCTGTTGAATAAAAGAGTAAGGAATGGAATATTTGATGGAAAATTACCTAAGTTAGGTTAAATGGTTCTATATTCAGATTTTCAGGTTCTCTGACATGCACTGTATGGTACTGCCATTTTGGTTAGAGCAAATTCAGTAGACCTTCCTTATCTGTGGGTTCTTTATCCATAGATTCAAACCAACCACAGATTGAATATGTTTAAAAAATTGAAAACAATAATACAACACTAAAAAAAAAATGAATAAAAGTACTACTACTGTTTATTTTTTATGTTCATTATTATAACCCTTGCATTTTGGAAATACAGCAAGATATATTGAAATGCAATATTTTTTCGTTGATAATCAAATTGAATTTAGATGCATCTGGTTGATGGAATATTGTATATACAACTTCTCTCTGCTGTCCTTGTCCTTTACATTGGGATTTTGTAGAATGAGTCAAATTCACATTTTAATCCTCTGTTCTTCAGACAGTAAGTTTTTGAGTACCTTACCATCTCTATGTGTTTAAAACAGGGTGGCTAGAAAAGAAGCTCTTTTTCTTTTTATTTTTTTGTTTTGTTTTAGTTTTTATTTTTATTTTTTATTATATTTTAAGTTCTGGTATACATGTGCAGAATGTGCAGGTTTGTTACATAGGTGTACACATGCTGCCATGGTGGTTTGCTGCACCCATCAACCCATCATCTACATTAGGTATTTCTCCTAGTGCTATCCCTCCCCACCCTCTGACAGGCCCCGGTGTGTGATGTTCCCCTCCCTGTGTCCATGTGTTCTCATTGTTCAACTCCCACTTATGACTGAGAACATGCAGTGTTTGGTTTCCTGTTCCTGTGTTAGTTTGCTGAGAATGGTGGTTTCCAGCTTCATCCATGTCCCTCCAAAGGACATGAACTCATCCTTTTTTATGGCTGCATAGTATTCCATGGTGTATATGTGCCACATTTTCTTTATCCAGTTTATCATTGATGGGCATTTGGCTTGGTTCCAAGCCTTTGCTATTGTAAACAGTGCTGCAATGAGCTCTTTTTCTATGTGTTGTCTGATGGAGCTTAGTTAAGCATGAGCCCTCCAATAAATATGAGAAGAACCAACATTTCTTCTTCCGTTATTTGCAAATTTATGGGAGAATATAATCTTAATCCTTTTTATACTTCCTCCTCTGCTGTTTAAAATATGAAGAGTTGTCTTGGATGCGGGCTTTTTTCTTTCTGTTATCAGACTTATATATATTTCAAGGCTTTCTATCAAGGAGGTAAAATAGTTTACAAATTTTAGATATTTAGAGGGCTGTGTATATACTATCCTATTTTCTTTAGGTTTTCCTTAAAATAACGAAAGTACAGGAATCATTCTTTTATTACTTTTGGGAGCACTATTTAAAGTAATTTGTTGAACTTTTTATTTAGGTTTCAGATTTAAATGACAGACGTCAGTAGACTCAGAGATTTTTAGTATCTTGTTCTGAGATTTTTTGTTTGGACATTTCGCTCTGTTCTTATGTCCATTATTATACTCCTTAGATTTTGGAAATATAGTAAAATATATTAAAATGCAATATTTTCAGTAGATAATCAAATTGTCTTTAAGGAAATGTTCTGAAGTAGGTTCTTAAGCATAGCCTTCATTTAAGTCAATTTTTATAATGAAAGTCCAATTTACTTTTTAACAGGCTTTCAAAATATCTGTCAGCTCTTTAATTCTTCCTTCTGATTTATTCAGTGAGCTCATTCTTCATTTCATTTTTATTAGATTGCTTTCACCATGGCAGAACTCTGGAAAATAAATCCTCTTGTATTTAACATGTGCTTTAGATTAATCTGAATGAGTAGAAGAATGAAAACAACACATTAGGAAGTAATTTTGATTGTTGGAGAGAGAGATATGGCTTTCTTAATCTTTAAGATAATTGTTAGAAAATATATTTCAGAGGCTGCTTATTGATTGCTTGCTTCTTTTCTTATGACTTCCTATTTTCATGAATGTCTGTCTCTTGCAAGATTAAAAAAAACAAAACAGGGCATATTTTAAAAATTCTCAAAAATAGGTTTTACCATAACTGATTGTTTATGATCCATTCCTTTTTATTTCCTGATAGGAGAAAGCTACTTTCTTTCTTGTCTGAACTGTTGTGTACTTTATGTTCTATTATTCATGCATCAGTTTGTATTTTATGTATTTATTTCTATCTTCACAGTAGATTAAATGTTCCTAAGGGGAAGGATATCCTTAACTCTAGTGCCTGGCACAATCAATAAGTGGTGCTGAACATTTACTGAAAGAACATTAGTTTCTTATAATAATCTGCCTTTTCATAACGGTGCATAAAACACTTAGATAGTTCTCAAGAGGTTGTTGTTTCCTAAATAATTATTTCTCATAGATATGGCTCTAAATAATTTACTCTTAATAATCCACTCTTAATAATTTAGTTTCCATTCTTATAAAGATTATCTTTTAATTAAAAAAATTCACTCACTATCCATCATCCATCATTTATTTGATGATTACTAGATAGTATTTAAACCATGTAACAAATAGATTTTAAAAATTACAAGTATTTTTAGTAAACCCTCTTCATCAAAATCAGTTTCCCAAAACCAAAATTGTGTTACCTGATTGCTGTATGAATACAAGTAACTACAGCATAATCGCAGACAGCAAATGAAGCAACTGTTTCAGCTCAAAGACTTTGGCAGTATGTTTCATGCTAAATTGCTGCTGTAAAAATCTTTAGTGGCAAATAATAGACAAATTCCCAGTTTCTCATCTTTTTTCAAAAATAAGGCTACTGCACGAGATCACTGAGAAAGTTACTGATTGAAACTACATGGCTGGGAACTGGATTCCTTAATTATTAATGTGCTTACCTCATTTTCATTACTCATTGATTAAAAAGCTGAAGTTCAGTAAAGAAAGAAACAACTTCAGAGAATAGTTCAAGTGGGCTGAGTAAATATTATATCAGTATTATTTTGTACATGTTGTACTTTCCAGTAATTTTATTAGGTTTTCCAACTGGGATCCATCACTTCATTGACCTAGGATTGGAATCATATTCCAGTCTTCCATCACCTGCCCTCTCTTTTAACAATCTGGAAGCAAGCCCTTCAATTTCACAAACATCTTTTAGAGCTTCCTGTATTCTTTGTGCACTGTCAGCATCCTGGCTTAGTTCTTCCAGCCCTTCTTTACTATGTGGTGTCAACAATCCCTCAGCTCCTTTCTTCCTTGCTTAATCCTCTTAAAACACCACTTGGATTTTTTTTTTTACTCATCCACTCTGAAGGCTGCATTGTTTTCCAGCTGTCTACTTTAAGAAGTCAAGACCCCTCTGACTGACTTTCAAGACCCCAACTTCCCTACCCTATTTTCTTTTATTCCCTAATACCATATTCTTTAGTCAAGGAGCTCATGCATTCTTCCATGAACACCTATGCCATTATATGCTCTCTGCTCTGTTCACCCCATTTGAAGTGCTCTTTTGCCCTGCTTTTGCCTCTCTGAGTTCCCATCTTCAAACATTCCAGGTACACTTCAGAAGTCCCTCCTCCTCCTGTTCACACTAACCCACACTAGTTTATTTCTTTGAGTCCTTCATAAATGTATAGTCAGGTCCATGTGGAGACACAGGATTTGGAGGCGTGAGCCTGGGATTGAATCATGGCTGTATAGTAGTTTTCATGCGTGTCCGTGTGAAGAGACCACCAAACAGGCTTTGTGTGAGCAATAAAGCTGTTTATTTCACCTGGGTGCAGGCGGGCTGAGTCCGAAAAGAGAGTCAGCGAAGGGTGGTGGATTATCGTTAGTTCTTATAGGTTTTGGGATAGGCGGTGAAGTTAAGAGCAATGTTTTGCGGGCAGGGGGTGGGTCTCACAAAGTACATTCTCAAGGGTGGGGAGAATTACAAAGAACCTTCTTAAGGGTGGGGGAGATTACAAAGTACATTGATCAGTTCATTGATCAGTTAGGGTGGGGCAGGAACAAATCACAATAGTGGAATGTCATCAGTTAAGGCTGTTTTTACTCCTTTTGTGGATCTTCAATTACTTTAGGCCATCTGGATGTATACGTGCAAGTCACAGGGGATGCGATGGCTTGGCTTGGGCTCAGAGGCCTGACATTCCTGCCTTCTTATAAGAAAAATAAAACAAAATAGTGTTGAAGTGTTGGGGCGGTGAAAATTTTTTGGGGGGTGGTATGGAGAGAGAGTGGGCGATGTTTCTCAGGGCTGTTTCAAGCGGGATTAGGGGCGGCGTGGGAACCTAGAGTGGGAGAGATTAAGCTGAAGGGAGGTCTTGTGGTAAAGGGTGATATTGTGGGGATGTTAGAAGAAACATTTGTTGTATATAATGATTGGTGATGGCCTGGATACGGTTTTGGATGAATTGAAAAACTAAACGGAAGATACAAGGTCCGAATAAAAGAAGAAGAAAAATGGGTATTAAAGGACTAAGAATTGGGAGGACCCAGGACATCCAATTAGAGAGTGCCCAAGGGGGTTCAGCATAATTACTTGCTTGGTTGGCAAGTTTTTGGGCTCTATCCTTGAGTTTTTTTATGTTGTCATACACCAGGCCAGATTGATTTAGGTAAAAACAACACTCCTCATTTAAGAATATGCAGAGTCCTCCTTTTTCAGCAGTGAGTAAGTCAAGGCCTCGGCGGTTTTGGAGGACAACTGCAGCTAAAGAGTCAACTTGGGCCTGGAGGACTGATAAAGTTTGTGATATGTCTGTGATGCTAGCAGAGAAGTCATTAGACAGGCTACGGAAGGTCGTGACAGAGGTTGAAATGCCTGCTATTCCAGTACCGAGAGCAATAGTGGAGGCAGAAAGTCCTAAACCGACCATCAAGGGAATTAGTGGAATAACTCTTTTTTGTCGTGTCGGTGTCATGAGGGGAACAGGGAGCTCTTCGGTCCCATTTGCAAATTGAATTTTGGGGGTAAGGAAGACTAGTGTGCATGTGCCTGTCCAATTAGCAGGTAGACACATGTAGGTAGAGGATCCACAGAGGAAGAAGAGACCTTGTGTGAGGCAAAACTGGAGATGTAAAGTAAAAAGATGAGGAGTGCTGAAAGGGGTGTCTTGTACCCAGATTCCTAGGGATCCAGCTAGGGAGGCAGCTGTCAGAGGTTGTAATGGGGACTGATGGGGTAACTGCGTAGAGGGGGAGGTTCGATTTTCATGGTGTATGAGAAAACGTTGAGTATCTACGAGCAACCTTTCACTGTTATTTTTGGGGCTGGGTATAAGTAAACGAGAAGAGGGCCTGGGAGGAGAGTCTGATGAGCAAGGGGAAGGTAGCCAAGGATGGAGTGAAATAGAGGGCAAGTGTCTTCCTAAGCAATAATTACTGCTAATGTTTTTAAGTTTGTCAGTATTGATAGAGGGCTTGTCTGTAATATGGAGCTGGAAGGCTCCAATTGTTTCAGTGATGTGTGTAGTTGGGCTTCGGAGATGAAGAGTAAAGGAACATCGAGAAGGTGAAAGATTACCCAGGGGAATTCCAGTGGGTCTCTGCCGAGAGATACATAAAGGAGCAGCCACAGGAATAGTAGTTTGTGTTGTGAGAGGTCCAAATATGGGGGGAGTAGAGTTAATATAAGGAGAAAGGTTTTTTAAATAAGTGTGAAGGAGGGCGGCAGCTTGCTGATGTGAAATGTCTGGGGAAGTCTTGCTGGACCTGTCTAGAAAGTAAATGAGTTCTTCAGAGGGTAAAGGTGAGGGCTGTTAAAGGAAGTTCGGAGGTGTAGGGAGATGGGAGATGTTGCCCAGTCTGTCTGTAAGGCGGGGACAGCTGTGTAGGCACTGGAAGAAAGGGAAATGCAAAGCCAGCAGTTGTTCGCTAAGGAGGGATTAGAAGTGGCTAGGAGAGAATGGGTAAAGTTGATAGTGTGGTGGAGGTAGCTGGGGAGCGGTAGAGGGTGGCATAAGAATGGGAATGAGAATAAGAGTGAGTATAAAAGTAAAGAATAGAACTTCATCAGGGTGGAAATATTGGAGGGTGCCTTGCTAGCAAAGATCATCTATCCACTCTAAGAGGGAGTTAAGAGTGGCAGTTTGGGGATAGCACCAAGAGATATCAGCTGTGATGGCTTGAAGAAACAGTGTAAACCGGCGGTGTAAACAAGAGTAGGGCATTTGTAAGTAGTTGAGAATGGAGAATAGGAGTATGACCGGACAGAAGATAGTAGGGATGACTAGTTTTTTTTGGGGGGGCTTGGCCTAAGTGGTGGGGGTGACTTCGTAAAGCCCTGTCGCAAAAGTAGGGTAAGGACAAAAAGACCTAATAGAATGAAGGGATGTATTAGGCTCATAAGGGTTATTACTGTTCTTCAGAAATACGAGTGAGTTTAAGGGAAGTAGGGGAGAGTACTTGCAACTTCCAGGAGGAAGAGGAGGGATTAGGCTGGCTGTCCGATGGACACAGCTTTATTCTGGAATGGTGAACCCAGTGGGGAGGATCCTGCAGGCGGACGGCAGTCAGGGTACTATAGATGACTAAGTAGGGTCCGGTCCATTGAGGTTGTAGAGTTTGAGGGGTCAGATTCTTAACAAGAACTGATTGTCCAGCTAGGGTGTCTTCGTATGGCTGGGGATCTGGAGTAGGCAAGAGAAGATTAGCAGCCTGGCGAATTTCCTGTCTAGCCTGCTGGAGGACTGGAAGATAGTCGCCTAGAGGGCTGGTGTCTGGGATGAGGTTGGGGCCAAGCAAGAAAGTGCGTCCATATAAAAGTTCAAAAGGACTGTACCCTGTAGCATCTCGAGGACAGGCTGTGATGCTGAGAAGAGCAAGAGGTAAAAGTACTGTCCAATCCTTTTTAAGTTGGAGGCTGAGCTTGGTGAGGTGTGCCTTTAAAAGACCATTAGTCCGTTCTACCTTTCTTGAAGATTGAGGATGGTAAGGGATATGAAGATTCCACTGAATACCAAGAGCCTGAGAAACTGCTTGGGTGATTTGACTAATAAAGGCCGGTCCGTTATCAGACTGTATAGAGGTGGGAAGGCCAAACCGAGGAATTATGTCTGACAGAAGGGAAGAAACGACCGCGGTGGCCTTCTCAGACCCTGTGGGGAAGGCCTCTACCCATCCAGTGAAAGTGTCTACCCAGACTAAGAGATATTTTAGTTTTCTGACTCGAGGCTTGTGAGTAAAGTCAATCTGCCAGTCCTGGGCAGGGGCAAATCTCCGAGCTTGATGTGTAGGAATGGGAGGAGGCCTGAACAATCCTTGAGGGGTAGTAGAATAGCAGATGGAACACTGAGAAGTGATCTCCTTGAGGATAGATTTCCATGATGGAAAGGAAATGAGAGGTTCTAAGAGACGGGCTAGCGGCTTGTAACCTATGTGGAAGAGGTTTTGAAATGACGACAGAATAGAATGGACCTGTGAGGCTGGAAGGAGATATTTTCCTTGGTCTAAGAACCATTTGCCTTGTGTGGGAAGAGATTGATAGGGGGAAGTTTCAGAGGGGGAGTAGGTGGGAGTGACCAAAGTGAAGGAGAAAAACTGGCCGTGAGGGACAGAAGTTGGAGAGCTAGCTGCTTGTCTAGCCACCTTATCAGCATAAGCATTGCCTAGAGCAATGGGATCTGACGCCTTTTGATGCCCCTTGCAGTGAATGACCCCAGCTTCTTTTGGAAGTAAAGCGGCCTTGAGCAGAGTTTTTATTGAAGAGGCATTAATGATGGAGGACCCTTGTGTAGTGAGGAAACCTCTTTCAGCCCATATGACTGCATGATGGTGCAGAATATGAAAGGCACATTTAGAATCAGTATAGATATTGACGCGTAGTCCTTTTGCAAGAGTGAGGGCTTGAGTTAAGGCAACTAGTTCGGCTTGCTGAGAGGTAGTGGAGAGGGGCAGAGTGGTAGCCTCAATGATAGATGTGGAAGATACTACAGCATAGCCTGCCTTTGCTGGTGAGTGGTGATTAGGCCTGGTGGAACTGCCATCAATAAACCAAGTGTGATCAGGGTGAGAAACAGGGAAGAAGGAAATATGGGGAAATGGGGTGAACGTCAGGTGGATCAGAGAGATGCAGTCATGAGGGTCAGGTGTGGTATCCGGAATAATGTGGGAGGCCGGATTGAAGTCCAGACCAGGAACAATGGTAATTGTGGGAGACTCAACAAAGAGTGAGTATAGCTGAAGGAGCCGGGGAGCAGAAAGTGTATGTGTCCGGTGTGAGGAAGAAAATAAATTTTGGAAATTATGAGAGCTGTAGAGAGTGAGTTGAGCATAGTTTGTGATTTTGAGGGCCTCTAAAAGTATTAATGCAGCGGCAGCCACTGCACGCAGACATGAGGACTAGGCTAAAACAGTAAGGTCAAGTTGTTTGGAGAGAAAGGCTACAGGGTGTGGTCCTGGCTCTTGTGTAAGAATTCTGACCATGCTAACCATGCCTAGGAAGGAAAGGAGTTTTTGTTTTGTAGAAGGTGATGGGGTTTGGAGATCAGTCAGACATGATTGGCAGGGAGAGCACGTGTGTTTTTATGAGAATTATGCCGAGATAGGTAACAGATGAGGAAGAAATTTGGGCTTGATTGAAGTAATGGGGGCTGTCTGTGAAGCTTTGCAGCAGTACAGCCTAGGTAATTTGCTGAGCTTGATGGGTGTCAGGGTCAGTCCAAGTGAAAGTGAAGAGAGGCTGGGATTAAGGGTGCAAAGGAATAGTAAAGAAAGCATGTTTGAGATCTAGAACAGAATAATGGGTTATAGAGGCAGGTATTGAGGATAGGAGAGTATATGGGTTTGGCACCATGGGGTGGATAGGCAAAACAATTTGGTTGATAAGGTGCAGATCCTGAACTAACTTGTAAGGCTTGCCTGGTTTTAGGACAGGTAAAATGGGGGAATTGTAAGGAGAGTTTATAGGCTTTAAAAGGCCATGCTGTAGCAGGCAAGTGATAACAGGCTTTAGTCTTTTTAAAGCATGCTGTGGGATGGGATATTGGCATTGAGTGGGGTAAGGGTGATTAGGTTTTAATGAGATGGTAAGGGGTGCATGATCGGTCGCCAAGGAGGGAGTAGAGGTGTCCTATACTTGTGGGTTAAGGTGGGGGGATACAAGAGGAGAATGCAAAGGAGGCTTTGGATTGGGAAGAAGGGCGGCAATGAGATATAGCTGTAGTCCAGGAATAGTCAGGGAAGCAGATAATTTAGTTAAAGTGTCTCAGCCTAATAAGGGAACTGGGCAGGTGGGGATAATTAAAAAGGAGTGCTTAAAAGAGTATTGTCTAAGTTGGCACCAGAGTTGGGGAGTTTTAAGAAGTTTAGAAGCCTGGCTGTCAATACCCACAACAGTTATGGAGGCAAGGGAAACAGGCCCTTGAAAAGAATGTAATGTGGAGTGGGTAGCCTCCGTATTGATTAAGAAGGGGACGGGCTTACCTTCCACTGTGAGAGTTACCCGAAGCTCGGGGTCCGTGATGGTCTAGGGGGCTTCCGAGGCGATCAGGCAGTGTCAGTCTTCAGCCGCTAAGCCGAGAAGATCTGGGAAGGAGTCAGTCAGAGAGCCTTGGGCCAGAGTTCCAGGGGCTCTGGGAGTGGCTGCCAGGTGAGTTGAACAGTCCGATTTTCAGTGGGGTCCCACACAGATGGGACGCGGCTTAAGAGGAATCCCGGGCTGCGGGCATTCCTTGGCCCAGTGGCCAGATTTCCGGCACATGTAGCAAGCTCCTGTGGGAGGAGGTTCTGGAGGAACGCCTGGCCGTTGCGATTCAGGCGTTTGGAAGTTCTTGTGTGCTGGAGATGTGGCTGGGGTTTGTCTCACAGTGGAGGCAAGGAATTGCAACTTTTTTCTATTATTGTACACCTTGAAGGCGAGGTTAATTAAATCCTGTTGTGGGGTTTGAGGGCCGGAATTTAATTTTTGGAGTTTTATTTAATGTTGGGAGCAGATTGGGTAATAAAATGTATATTGAGAATAAGACGGCCTTTTGACTTTTTGGGGTCTAGGGCTGTAAAGTGTCTCAGGGTTGCTGCCAAACAAGTCATGAAGTGGGCTGGATTTTTATATTTGATGAAAAAGAGCCTAAACGCTATCTGATTTGGGATAAAGAAAAAGCATTAACCTTGACTATGCCTTTGGCTCCAGCCACCTTTTTAAGAGTAAATTGCTGGGCAGGTGGGGGAGGGCTAGTCACGGAACGAAACTGTAAGCCCCACCAGGTGTGAGGAGGGGAGGCGATAAAAAGATTATAGGGTGGAGGAGTGGAGGCTGAGGAAGAATTGGGACCTAGCTCGGCCTGGTGAGGAGGGGAGAGGTCAGATGGGTCTGTAGAAAGGAAGATTAGAAAGACTCAGCGACGCTTGGGGTTGGGACTGAGGGGACAGGCAGGAGGGAAAGAAGGAAGATTTGGGATGAGTTGCACTGGGCACAGAGACTAGGAAGGGACTGATGTGTTAAAGAATGCCTGGACATCAGGCACCTCAGACCGTTTGCCTTTTCTAAGACAAGAATTATTTAGATCTTGCAGGATGGAAAAATTCAAAGTGCCATTTTCTGACTTTGGAACTACTGTCGAGTTTGTATTGGGGTCAAGCGGCATTGCAGAAGAAAATAAGGCATTTAGGTTTTAGGTCAGGTGTGAGTTGAAGAGGTTTTAAGTTTTTGAGAACACAGGCCAAGGGAGTAGAAGGAGGAATGGAGGGTGGAAGGTTGCCTGTAGTGAAGGAAGCAAGCCTAGAGAAGAGAGAGTAGAGAAATGGAGGGAAGGGGTTCGGGGGTTCTTACCTGCCAGAAAAGTGGGAAAAGGGGTTGGGGCGCAGAGATAAGAGGTCGGGGCATGGAAATAAGGGATGGGGTGCAGAAATAAGGAGTCGAGGCACGGAAAGGGGTCGAGGCATGGAAATAAGGGGTCGGGACATGGAAATAAGGGATTGGGGCACAGAGATATGAGGTAGGGGTGCGGAAATAAGGGATTGGGGGTTCTTGCCCCCTAGAAAAGTGGGACTTGCCACTAAGGGTGAAAGATAAGGGGTTGAGGGGTACTTGCCCCTCCCCCAGAAAAGCGGGACTTGCCGCTAAGGGTGAAGGAGAAGGGGTTGAGGGGTACTTGCCCCTGCCCCAGGAAAGCGGGACTTGCCGCTAAGGGTGAAGGAGAAGGGGTTGAGGGGTACTTGCCCCTGCCCCAGGAAAGCAGAGAAGGGATAGAGACAAGGAGAGAAGGGATTGGGGTACTTGCCCCTTCCCCAGAAGAGCGGGATTTGCTGCTAAGGGTGAAGGACCAAGGCAGGTGTCCCTGCGTGGTCTGACACCTTTGAAACGTGGGTGAATAATCAGGTGTCCCTGCAATGATTAAACACCAAGGGAAGGCTGCCTTCCCAGTCCGTGACCGGCGCCGGAGTTTTGGGTCCACAGATAAAACGTGTCTCCTTTGTCTCGCCCGGAAAATGAAAGGAATTGAAATTAAGAGAAGGGAGAGATTGAAGAGTGGAAAGAAGAAAGTGGTTGAGGGACAGTGAGAGAGGTTGGAGGAGAGAGTAAGAAGAGGTCGCTTACCTGATTTAAAATTGGTGAGATGTTCCTTGGGCTGGTCGGTGTGAGGACCTGAGGTCGTAGGTGGATCTTTCTCATGGAGCAAAGAACAGGAGGACAGGGGATTGATTTCCCAAGGGAGGTCCCCCGATCCGAGTCACGGCACCAAATTTCATGTGTGTCCATGTAAAGAGACCACCAAACAGGCTTTGTGTGAGCAATAAAGCTGTTTATTTCACCTGGGTGCAGGTGGGCTGAGTCCGAAAAGAGAGTCAGCGAAGGGTGGTGGATTATCATTAGTTCTTATAGGTTTCGGGATAGGCGGTGAAGTTAAGAGCAATGTTTTGCGGGCAGGGGGTGGGTCTCACAAAGTACATTCTCAAGGGTGGGGAGAATTACAAAGAACCTTCTTAAGGGTGGGGGAGATTACAAAGTACATTGATCAGTTCATTGATCAGTTAGGGTGGGGCAGGAACAAATCACAATAGTGGAATGTCATCAGTTAAGGCTGTTTTTACTTCTTTTGTGGATCTTCAGTTACTTTAGGCCATCTGGATGTATACGTGCAAGTCACAGGGGATGCGATGGCTTGGCTTGGGCTCAGAGGCCTGACAGTAGTCTCAAGTGGATCAAGCATTGCAATGAATGTTTACAGTGTGATTGATAAGAGTTCATAGGGATCACATGTCAATGAACTAATTTTGTCTCCTCAGCAACTTTATAAGTTAGGTGCTATTTTGATTCCCATTTTACAGATGAGTAAACTGAGGCACAGAGAGGTTGTATAATCTCTGTCTGAGGTCACATAGCTGGTAAGGGGCAAAGCTAGGCAGTCAAGTTCTCCTGCTCTTCTAGCCGTTATGTTAGTCTTGCTTCTTTACGATATATTTGAAATGATTTTTTATGGTGATTTTTAGAATTGATTGATATGCAGTATTACTTCCTCCTGTCTCACTGGGGAAGTCTTTAGAAAGAAAACACAACTCCTTTATCTGTAAGTGCTTTTGGAGTTAATGTTTCTACATGCCTCTGTGTGTGTGTGTGTGTGTGTGTGTGCGTGCGTGCGTGCGTGCATGTGTTGCTGTGGTAGTAGGCTGAGATGGTGGTCATCAGGGAAGAAACAAGATGTCCACATGGTAGTTCAGGGAAGTGCATTCCTATCAAGGTTACATTTATTTCCTACTCCCAAGCCCAGACATTGTAATATGGAAATAATATGTAAAGAAAGATGAATATTATAAACACAGTTTTACCACTTGTTAACTGCATAGTCTTGAGAAAGCCACCTTCTCTGAATTTTAATTTCCTTAGCTCTAAACAGTGATACTAAATTTCACAATACATAATTCTAAATGAGGTAGTAAAATGAAGTAATTAAATGAGTAAATGAATATAAAGTGAATTCAGAGTATCCAATTTTCAGAGGTGTCCAATAGACATTTGTTACATTTCCCTTTGAGGCTTACCATGCCCCATACTCCAGCTAGGCTCATGGCTTTTCTCATCTCTGTTGATGCCTTTTCCATTGCCCATATGATCTCATTTCCATATCGATAAATTTCCCTAATTTATCCTGTCTTCCCCTAAGTACCATATACTTCATGAAACTTTCTGTGATTCCTTACCTGGAATTAATCACTCCTGTCTGTGAACTATTTCACTCACAACCCTTTATCATTTGGCATTCATATATAATATGGCTTAATCTTTCCCACTGAGCTGTGTGTTAGAAATAACACAAAGAAGACATAGTACTTGGCTCTGATGGGCTCACTCGCTCTCAGGGGAGAAAGACCCCCAAATGGCTATAGATACTACCTTGTGATAAAAAGCATCCCAGAGTGCTGTGGAAATGCAGACAAGAGAGCAGTTAATTTCAGAAAGAGGCAGTTGAACTGGACCATGAAGGGTGAAGGAGAACCTGTAGGCAGGAAAATGGGGGAAGGATGTATTCCTCAGAAAGTATCAGTGACAAAGATTCAGAATCATGAGAGCAAGTGGTTTGTTAGGGAGGCAGCAAGAATCCTGTGTAGCCAGACTGTCCACAGGCAGTGGAGAAAAGTCAAGCTGGAAGAGTAGCAGTGTTTTTGGTCCTCAGCAGAATCAGTTGCATGACTATAGATCTAGCTTAAAAAAAAAAAAAGGCTTATAATTTGTTTCTCCATTGTGACAGTCTGAATCACCACCGAGACCTGACAGTTCAATAACCTAGTAGCATCTTGGGTGAAATTAAGAAAAAGGTTGAATTTGTCACTGATTATGTCCACCACCAAATTGAATGTTTAATACTGGGTGTTACTGCAGAGGGATTTTGACAAATCAAGGACTCATTAGAGGGGCTGCCAGAATGAAAAGGAAACTCAATATTATGATGTTATGAGAAATGAGGAATTTTGCAGGGGAGAGCATGAAGGTTTGCTTTAGGTCCTTGGAGGGTGATTTGGGAAAGTGAACATTATACTCTTTTGCCTTCTAGGGCAAACCTGAGATTAATAAGCAGAAGTTACAGAGTGTCTGGAAGGAATTTCTAAGAGCTGATTGTTAGGTATTAAATTTTCAGTACTGTTCATGTCCATGGAGGCTGGGTAGGATTCCTGACCCTATCCTTGGGCAACAGACTGTATTATTTCTTCTAGTGGAAAGCTCCTTAGTGTCCATGATATTCAGTATATTCAGTATAGTATTGATGTTAAGTATATTTTATTGTATTTGAAATATATTGAAATAGATTATCTGTGTCTAACTATGCTAATTTAGTGTGTTCACTTGGCAGCCAATGAAGAGAGATTAAAAGTTTTGGAGTCAAACTATATCTTCATCTTTTACTGTCTGAGCCTCTGTTGATAAAGCAGAGATGATAAAAGGTACATCACAGGATTATGAGGAGGATTAAATAAGATTATGGATATAAATCCATACATACACTATTATATCATAAAATGCTATTGTTTTGAAAGTAATCATTTTCTTTTCTATAATCTATCATACCATAACTTTCTAAGAGCAATGAGCATCCCACGGCAGAAGTAAAGCATAGTGATATTTTCTGTGTTTTTTCTAAAGTGCCAGCTTTCTTTGATCATTCAAGTCCATTCCTGAATGTCTTCTTTATGAATAATAAATGTTACTTTTTCCAGAGTGACAAAAGAATGATGATGAATTAATCTAAAATTGTGAACTCACTTTCCATCATCTAGAAGCATCTCCAGACTTCAGCATACAGATGCAACTTCCTATATTTATTTATCCTTCATTTTCTGTTAATACAGACATGGATGCATAAAATACTTGCCCCCATTAATAAATGTCTATAATCATTTTATTTATTAAGATTTAAATAAAAATATTCATTGGCTTTCTAGTTTAGCACCCTTATTTTGAAAGAGGAAGCATGTGTGTGTGTGTGTGCGTACATACACATGTACACTTGAGTTCTTGCACACACATCAAAAACACAGATGAAGATTGTTAAATATTCTTTCTCATACTGAAAAACTGGATTTTTAATAGTTGTTTCAATTTAAAAAATTATGATTTTTCTTTCATAAGTTTTAAATGAGTGCCTAAAATGTTTAAAAGATGAACTTTTCTGCACCATCTTTTGCAGAATAATGCAGATAATAAACAGAGATGTAATATGAAATGATTAGGCTAAGAAGCTGACTTTTTAAGGGTTTATTATTACTGTTATTATTAGTGTCCTCATGTAATTGACTATGCTGTAAGACTTCAGTTTTGGATACTGAACTAGTCTTAACTGCTGAGTAAAAGAGTAAAAGCAGAGAGAGGGAAACAAATTTTCACATGTTTTACATATTATATATACATTTTATACACATCCTCCTAAATATACGTGTCTGTATCGTAATAGCTAAACTTTGCAAGTTCTTAGTATGTACCAGGCATTGTGTTAAATCCTTTACCTGAATTATCTCATTTAATCCTGACAACAACTCTATGATGTAGCTTTTGTTATTAGCCTCATTTCAGGTAAGGAAACTGAGGCTTACAAAGGTAAAGTCTGTAAGTGGTGGAGCCTGCATTTTAACCAAGCTGTCTGACTTCACAACTGGAACTTTTAACTGCCACACAACTTTGTCCAGGGGCTTGTGTAGTCACAGAATCAGAATTGGAAAATTGGTCAATCCTTGTAGTCTTCATATCAGTGGATGTTAAGTTTGTTCTCATCTCAGACAGATCCATGCAGCTTAAGCTTGAGTAACTTGGTAATTGGCATTTAATACCTTCGCAAGACAGACCCTTTCATTGTTGGACAGCTCCCATCACTAGATAATTTATTCAACTATTTATGGGAAATTTGTCTCCCTGCAATTTGCACATACTGGTTTGACTTCTGCTTTCGGAGAAATATTGAACATCTCTCTTCCCTCTTCTCCTTGGGAATCTTTCAAATGTTGTATTCCTCTAAGTCTTCTCTTTTTTCAGCAGCTCTCTGTGGTTTGTAGACTCATCACTATTATTGTCACTCTTTCTGACAGTATAGTTGATTGGTTATTTATGACAAGATTTAATACACAGAACTGAACACAGCTAGGAGGCAGTCACTGAGGCAGAAAAATTTCCAGACTGAACCATAACATCTAGGTTAAAATCTTAGCACTGATGCCTACTATATGACATTGGGCAAGTGGCAACATGGCCTAGTCTCTGATCTTCATCTGTAATAGGGACATAATGGCAATCCTAATACACAGGATTATCGTGTGACCACATAAGATGTTGCTTGGGAAAGTGCTGTATGTATCACAGCCCCTGACTCAGGCCTTTCAACTTCCCTCTCCTTGGCCTGCCTTTTCATGCTTTTTCACCTCAGCATTGCTTGTTCCTTTGTTTCCCTTTGCATATTTGCTCAAAAAGTCAACTAACTGAAGCCTTTTCTGTTACTGTATTTAAAATTGCAAACAATCCCTTACCTTTTCTCTTCATCTTACCTGAATTTGTATTCTCAGCCATGTTTATCACAATCTGAAATACATACATTTTACTTATTTTGTGGCCCCCCAACTAGAATGAAAACAATCTAAGCTCAATAGTTTATCCCTTTCTATCACTGCTGTGTTCTCAGGATGTAGCCGGTGATTTATAAATAAAAAAAATTACAATCACATTTATGTTTCTGATGTGGTCTGATCATCAAAAAGCACAATAAAGTGCTTTTCCTTTTTTAGCAGTAGAAAGGTACAGTTGGCAAATTTGTGAATTGTTGTTTTTTTTTTTTTTTTTTTTTGAGATGGAGTCTTGCTCTGTCACCCAGGCTGGAGTGCAGTGGCGCAATCTCAGCTCACTGCAACCTCCACTTCCTGGTTCAAGCAATTCTCATGCCTTAGCCTCCTGAGTAGCTGGGACTACAGGTGTGCACTACTGTGCTCAGCTAATTTTTGTATTTACTTTAGTAGAGATGGGGTTTCACCATGTTGGCCAGGCTGGTCTCGAACTCCTGACCTCAGGTGATCTGCCTTCCCTGGCCTCCCAAAGTGTTAGGATTACAGGCATGAGCCACGGCACCCAGCCTGTTCTTTTAATATTTCAATTCCATATGTTTATTAGTCTGTTAATTTCCTTGTACTGCAAGGTTGTTTGCTGACAAAGTGGTTATCTGAGCTGGACTCCCAAGCGTGAAATATGATTATAAAATTCTAAAATGTTAAAATGAAAAAAAACCGAAGTTTATTACTGGTTTCATTTTCTTATGTCTCAAGGTCACAGTTTGATGGATAAATGCATAAAAATTTTTATTTTGAAGTAGCAACAAATCATTGCATTTTCTATTTATTAACTCATTGTAGCCCCTCATTATCTTGATATCTGGTTTCTGATTGACAGTGTATCTATAAGGCCTTTGTCTCAAAGTGGTCATAGCCCAAGCTAGTTGACTGTTCCCATGTTATTATGGTTTTGGGAGCTGGTAGATGAAGGGGAATGAACAGGGCAGGGGAGGCAGAAATTCAGATGTGTTTAGGACCTATACATAGGAGATTAGGTATGCCCAGAGGGATGCTGGGATCTCAGCTTGGCTCTCAGCATGAACAAAGTCTAGGAAACATGCTACCTGCCTAGATAGAGTTCTCAGGAAAATCTCATAAATCTGCCTAAAGTGGGTTGTGAAGTTAAGATTACTGGGCGTGTAGGGAGTGCCGAATTTCCAGACTGATTCCTATCTTTTGTTTAGTGACATGCATATAGAGCTAGCTCTCTGCCTAGTCTTAATGGAAGAAAACAACTGAAGTCAGCAGAACGTCTGATTGTAACAGGTGATCTTTCTACTGGCGGGCGAAGAGGAAAGAATTTTCTCACAGCAAAAAAGTGTCTTGGGATATAGGAAAAGAAATAGAAAGATACATTTTCCTTGCTCAAGAGAGTTGACTTTAGACCTATGAATTATTGACACATGCTTTTTGGTGTTCAATGTTTGCACATCTATCCAGATCAAATAATGCTGTTAGCAGTTATCGCTGTGTCAAACTTTCCTGAATTTAAATCTGCAGAATCATGCTTGCTCAGAGTACCTGAAATATCCTAGAGCTGCTTATTTAAAATTATTTTTAATTTGCTTTAAAATGTATTTTAATCACCAGGGTGCTTTCAGAAGAATGCTATAAATCTATCATTGCTAAATAACAAAGCATTGCAAATATACTTTGTATGGTAGAATAATGACCAGATTAATGCATTATACATTTACATTCTGGTTTATTATTTTGTTTTTTTTGAGATGGAATCTCACTCTGTTGCCCAGGCTGGAGTGCAGTGTCTCAGTCTCCACTCATTGCAAGCTCCGCCTCCCAGGTTCAAGCGATTCTCCTACTTCAGCCTCCTGAGTTGCTGAGATTACAGGTGTGCACCACCACGCCTGGCTAATTTTTGTATTTTTAGTAGAGACAGGGTTTCACCTTGGTGGCCAGACTGGTCTCGAACTCCTGACCTCGTGATCCACCTGCCTCAGTCTCCCAAAGTGCTGGGATTACAGGCGTGAGCCACCACGCCCATCCTACATTCTGTTTTAAGTGAGAAGGGATATATATGTTTTGGAAGAATCAATATTTGTAATGAATGTATGAAAGTATGATTTTACAAATATATTGGAATTAAATTATTTTAGCAGGTAAGACAGATACAAGGTCAGTGCAAACTTTAATAACAGCAATCATGATAGATGCTTTTGTTAAGTCAACAATTACCATTGCTAGAAGAGTGAACATTTGGGCACAGAATTGACTAATTGTTCTTCTAGTTACACAGGATCTGCATTTTGGATTCAAGATTACTGATTGGGTGTCAAGGAAGACATTGATCAATATAATGGTTAAATTAATAAAAGGAAGGAGACCTTAAAATGAAGCATTAAGTGGTTTCCAAGACTCATTTCTTCCCTCCAAATAAATAGCATAATAGTATGGCTGTAATAGTAGTAGTAGTAGTAGTACTAGTAATGATAATAACTAATAATTCTTAAGTGCTTACTGTGTGCCAGGTATTATCATAAGTGCTTTTCAACAATGATTTGCTTTCATCTTTGAAACAATTTAAAACAATTGTTACTAACATATTTCTTGCTTTATGAATGAAATGAGATGCAGAGATTGCTCTGAGTCATTCAGCTGGCAAAGTGTAGAGCTAGATTCAGCCTGCAGGCCCTCTCTTCTGAAGGCTAGGGCTTAGTTTTTCTGTTCCCCAATTCAATTGAGAACATATCGACTTATGCACACCCTCTTGGGGGTGTTGGTGGAGGAGTGAAGAAGGGGAAGATGACATAGCCCCTGACCCTCAAGGAACTTTAATAGAGGAGAGAAAGGACAAAAGCAGATGGTGATTGGTTTAGGTGATGAGTACTCCAACAAGAGTTAAGAGAAGGGACAATCACTATGGGATGAAATGGTTAGGGAAGAAGTCCTCCTGGAAGAGGTGAACTTTGGCTTAGCCTTTCCTTATCTGCTGAGTAAACTTGCCACAACAAATTGTGTCCTTTAGTGTTCAGGTTCTGATAAGAATTGTATGAATAGTGTCCTGATATGGTGCCTTGCTTAGGTTTAAAGGGGCTTTGGGCACTTAAAAAATAATGTAAATGTGCATATATTTTTGATGTAGTTTATATCTGAAAACATAATTTATTGCTTATCCCTTCTAAAATGTGGAAGCATTTAATGTTTGATTATTTAAAAGGTCTTCTATATATGTGGAAGAAAGAGAGTTCAGAGAGGTGTTTCAGGTAGAACTGAAATGTAATGTTCTGCTGCAAAAGGTAGAGCAATGCTTTAAAAAGACAACTTTCTGCATTTTTTGGTAACATTCACAGTAAATACTTCCTTCAGCAGTGGGGTTGGGCTTGACTATATTAATGACATTAATTCTTTATTCAAATTCTATGTTTAGGCCCTTGTTTTTAAGTCACATCTAAGATTATTCAATTATTCTAAGGGAAAATAAGAGTTTTTAAATATGTGTATTATAAAAAAGCGCAACAAAATGCAGTCATGTACCACATGATGTCATTTCAGTAAACAGTGGTCTGCATATACTATGGTAATGTCATTTCAGTAAACAGTGGTCTGCATATACTATGGTAATACTGTAAGATTATAATACCATATTTTTACTGTACTTTTTCTATGTTTATGTATGTTCAGATCTACAAATACTTAGCATTGTGTTGCAGTTGCCTGAAGTATTCAATGCAGTAACATGCTGCACAGGTTCGTAGCCTAAGAGCAACAGGCAATATCATATAGGGCCTATGTTTGTAGTAGGTTGTACTATCCAGGTTCCTGTTAAGTACTTTCTATGAGTTGGCATAATGACAGAACTACCTAATAATGTATTTCTCAGGATGCATCTCTGTCATTAAGCAACACATGACAGTAATACAACAAATATGAGTGTACCCACCTCCCAGATTAAAAAAAATAATAGATCTTTACAAGACAGAACAAATTTCTCCTTTTTCTGACTGCAACTCCTCCTTCACCTGCAGAAGTAATCATAGTGCTTGGGATATACCACTCTATACATTTCTTTATACTTTGTCTACATATGGATATGTTTTTAAGCAATATATATTGTATTATTTATATTAATTACCTAAATTATATGCATTTTAATACCTTTTTTCTTTTAACTGTGAAATTTATTCATTTTGATGGATGTAACTAGTTCATTTATTTTTCATTGCTTAATAGTATTTGTTTGTATTAATATACCTCAATTTATTTAGTTGTTTTATCAACAGTTACGTAATTTATCATTTTTATTAGACAGTGAAGGCATGAACAGTTTTTAACATGTGTCTTTTTGTATATATGTCACTGTCTTTTTAT
Source organism: Homo sapiens (assembly GCF_000001405.40). NCBI lineage: Eukaryota > Metazoa > Chordata > Mammalia > Primates > Hominidae > Homo > Homo sapiens. The sequence continues at coordinate 77,675,160 of NC_000006.12, forward strand.
GTTTGCATAGTATTTTCTTTTTCTGTGCATTGCTTGTTATATATTTTGCCCATTTTTAATGGATTATCTTTTCTTTATTAATTTATAGGTACTCTTTAGATACTAGGAATAGTCACCTTTTATTGAATAGTTGTATTAAAAATGTCTTGCCTAGGCTGTGGCTTACCTCTTTACTTTTTCGTGATGTCTTCAATGAACACAAGTTTTAAATTTTAATGCAGTAAAACTGATAATTTCCCCCTTACCACTTAAATAGGTTTAATGTGCTATATGTGTCTAGTTTAAGAAGTCTTCTATACTGAGTGAATAAAATTTAATTTAAAAGTGCCCCTTAAGGCATTTTAGATGGTTAAGATGAAACAGGAAATATTGCTTTTTTTTTTTTTTTAAAAAAAAGGTTGAGTCAAAATTGGTTGACACCCAGTTAAAATATCTCTTATCAATACCAGTTTACTCAAAGCAGAGCCCACTGTCATACCTTAATTGCCGTATGTATGAATTTTCTGCTCAATCTCAATACTATCATCTGTAAATATGAGAGTTTAGGGAGGGAAAACCATAGATATAACATCAATTTTCACAGAATTCTGTAGATTTACTCATGTGCACATTCCTTCCTGTACAGAAAGCTCATGGTAACCATAAGTAACTCAAATGGGCCACTACTAACTATAATGAAGGAAGAAGAAGCCTAGGCTTCGGATACAATTTCAGCCGAGTGTCCCTGAGGTGTTTCATTGCTATGGCTGTTCTCATGGCCATTTCAAGTTTCTCTGCTTACTCATCATCTTTCATTGATAAGTTTGATCTTAGTTACAAAGCAATTTAATGGCCTCAGTTATACAATCATAGTCTAGCCAGGCCAGATAGAACTTGTCAACCACGAAGTTTGGAAGTTGAACTGCCTTGGGTTTGGGTGGTCCGTGTCCAGATTTTCTGAAATTTTGTTCCACTTTCTGCAACCATTTACATGGAAGTACAAGGACTTACAAGGAGAGATCCTCATGAAAATTATTGGTTTATTTCTTGGTGCCTCTTAATTTATCCATCATCATGGCCTCAATTATTTGTTTAATCTCCATTTTTATAATAATAATTCATAAATTGTAGTTGTACTTTACTATGAAATAGTTATAATTATTGTAATTAATAATAATAATAAAAGATTAGCCTGGGCAACATAGGGTGATCCCCATCTGTACAACAAATAAAAAAAAATTAACCAGGTATGGTGGTGCACGCCTGTAGTTCTAGCTACTGGGAAGGCTGAGGTAGAAGGATTGCTTGAGCCTAGGAGACTGAGGCTACAGTGAACCGTGATCATGCCACTGCACTCCAGCCTGGGCAATGGAGCAAGACCCATTTCAATAATAATAATAATAATAAATGTTAAATAACCACTGAAGCCTTCAATAAGATTCCTGTGGTATTTGCGTGCTTTGTAGAAAAGAAATGATATGGGTGGTTGGTGACTTCAGGCAATCCAGCCATTCTTTTTCTTAGAGACTCACTGAGTGTGAGTTTAAGAACTTTTGGGTGGGGAAGCCTGGCGGTTAGGATGATCCTATGAGTGTCATCCTCTGTTCTCTGACTTTCTTTATTCTTTTATCAGATTGAATTGTTCTTAAATTTTTCTTTTCTCTTTCCACCATTTCCCCCATCACTATGGACTGTAAAAAAGCAAGAAATATATCTAATTCATCTTTTTATGTTTGGATTCTAGCACAGTTTGGGCCTCAAGTGTGGTATGCTGTCACAACATATTTGTGGAACTGAATTTCTGTCATTGAGTTGTCACACATTACACAGAATGGTTATTAGAATGATGAACATAGGCTTAGTCATTGTAGGTAAAAATACAATGTTAATGGTCTATAGAGAGGCAAATTATGTGGGCTTATGGTTAAGATGTTTATATTACTTCAGTCACTTTATGCTAGAAAAGTTCTGTGAGAAATATAAGGTTTATTATTACCTTTGAATTAAGATAACAGTTGATAGAAACAGAATTGTTTTAAAATATTTAAAACAACCTTTCCTACTGCAAAAGTAAATTTGGATTTTTTGCCTCAGTCTATTTCATAGCTTCAACTGCCACCTGCATGATTTCTCAATATCCATCTCTTTTCTGAGCTCGTTTCATTTTCCCAATGGCCTACCACAGCTCTACCTTGCAGTTAGGTAAGAAACGTGGCACTAGCTGGCCCTTCCTGTACGTCTCTTTTGTTTCTGCCTTCTTTTCTCAGTTTATATTATCACCGTCTAGATAGTTGTGCAAGCTGGAACTTGGGGGTCATTCTTGATATCTTTTCTTCCCTAGTATAGTGTATCTAATGGATCACAAAGTACTTTTGATTTTACTTCAGTTATGTCTTTTCTGTCCTGACACTTTTTCTCCTATTGTCCTGTTTGGACCTTTCATTTCTCAGACAGAAGTAGGATTATGGCAGTATTCTGTTAAATGGCCTCTCAGTTTTGGCCTCTTAACCTCTCCACATGTCCTCACCTCAGCCTCAATAACAGTTGTCTTTCAGAAGTCCAGATCTGGGCCGTGAGCCTATATATCTGTAATCTCCTATAATGACACAGGAAAATAAGTTTAGCAGAAAAATCCTTTCATCCAGCGAAATACATGTTTTTATTATAAGAATATCTCAAAAGTTTTATTTTAAGATAAATTGTCACATATTCTACATGTATAAATTAATTATTTTCTTTTATTTTCTGTATTTCAGTAATATTTGTAAGGAGGTGATACTTTTACAGTTTTCTTATAGTAACTGAAAGGACAATTAGACTCAGAAACCATGTTAAGGTAAAAATCTGAGTATCTTTTACAGCAGGAGCTACTTTGAAAAATTTTCATGGTTTTAAACAATTGATTTTAATTGATTACCGTGGAGCTGAACTTAACACGCTGATACAGCCAAGGCTAGTTCTTATTGCTTGAGTATTCCATTTATCAGATGAAATAGATTTATGCTATTATCAGTAAAACACCCCTTTCATTATCACAAGATAGCATGACAAAAAAGACTCTAGAAATTGCGTAATACAAATGGCATTACCAAAAATAAAAAACAGATGTCCCTTCTGCTGCTATTCGGCCTGTATCTCTCATGGGAACCAAGGCCTGGCTGTGATGTCAGCTTGAGGCCAGTTTTTGACTGTCATGAATTTGTTTGGATTTGTGATCTCTAATTGGTTAGATCTCAAATTTTGAGGAAGGCAAGTTCTGATTGGTAGGTGAAGCATGGAATTTGAAATGTTTGGTATACAGTCATGCCCTGCATAACAATGTTTCAGTCAATGACAGAGTGCATTTACAGGGGTGGTCTCATAAGATTATAATGAAGCTGAAAAATCCTTGTCTCCTGGTAACTTAGGAGCCATCAATGTTTGTGGTGATGCTGGTGTAAACACACATGCACTTCCAGTCATGTACAGGTATGACACAATTATGCATGATACATAAATACTTGATAATGAATAAATATGTTATTTGATTATGTATTTACTATATGTTTTATCATTATCTTGGAGTGCACTCTTTCTACTTATTAAAAAAAAAAGATAATTGCAAAAGAGTCTCAGGTGGGTCCTACAGGACACAATCTGCAAGAAGGCGTTATCAAAGTACAGGTCCATGCATTTTATTGCCCCTGAAGACCTTCCGGTGGGACAAGATGTGGAGGTTGAAGACATTGATATTGATGTTCTTGACCCTGTGTATGTCTAGCTAATGTATGTGATTATGTCTTAGTTTTTAACAAAAATGTTTAAGAGGTAAAAAAAAATACAAAAGTTTAAAATAGGAAAAGTTTATAGAATAAGGACATAAAGAAAAAATGTATTGGATATGGCTATACAATGTATATATGTTTCCAAGCTAAGTGTAATTAAAAAAAAGTCAAAAAGTTAAAAAAATCTGAAATGTTTATAAGGTAAAAAGTTTTAGTAAGCTAAGGCTAATTTATCATTGAAGAAAGAAAAAATTTTAAATATATTTAGTGTAGCCTAAGTGTCCAGTATTTATAAAGTTGACAGTAGTATACAGTAATGTGCTAGGCCTTCACATTCACTCACCACTCCCTCATGGACTCACCCAGAACAACTTCCAGACATGTAAGAACAATTCATCTTAAGTGCCCTATACAGGTATACCATTTTTAAATCTTTTATATCGTATTTTTACTGTACTTTTTCTATGTTTAGATATATTTAGATACACAAATATTTATGATTGTGTTACAGTTGCCTACAGTATTTAGTAGAATAATGTGCTGCACAGGTTTGCAGCCTAGGAGCAATAGATGTAGATTTGTGTAAGTGCACTCTATGGTGTTCACACAGTTATGAAATTGCCTAAGGATGGATTTCTTGGAAGGTATCCTCATTATTATGGGATGCATGATTATACTTGTCTAGGATGAGAAGACAGCAGTTGTTAGACTGCAGGATTTTTGACTCTTTTCACCGTGAATGGTGCTTGCTACAAAGAAGAGGCCTAGAGACGAATTTCTGTTTTGTGTGTCCTCCCCTAGTGCCCATGGACATATGCTTTATGCTGTTTATTGGTGTTTCCCTCTGCCCGCGTCCCCAAGACAGTCTCGCTCCGTCTCCCAGGCTGGAGTGCAGTGGTGTGATCTCGGCTCACTGCAACCTCCGCCTCCTGGGTTCAAGCGATTCTCCTGCCTCAACCTCCCGAGTAGCTGGGATTACAGGTATGCGCCACCATGGCTGGCTAATTTTTGTATTTTTAGTAGAGACGGGGTTTCACCATGTTGGTCAGGCTGGTCCGCAACTCCTGACCTCGTGATCTGCCCACCTTGGCCTCCCAAAGTGCTGGGATTGCAGGCGTGAGCGACCGTGTCCAGCCATGAGTGTTGTATTTTTTTAAAAATGGTCTTGTACATCCTGGCTAACACGGTGAAACCCCGTCCCTACTAAAAATACAAAAAAAAAAAAAATTAGCTGGGCGTGATGGCGGGCGCCTGTAGTCCCAGCTACTCAGGAGGCTGAGGCAGCAGAATGGCGTGAACCTGGGAGGCGGAGCTTGCAGTGAGCCGAGATCGCACCACCGCACTCTAGCCTGGGCGAGTGAGACTCCATCTCAAAAAATAAAAAATAAAAAAAAAATAAAAGGTCTTCTAGTATTTAGCTTGTTTGGGGGTTGTAGTGGTACTCAGTGGGGTAGTGGGGTAAGTCGCATGGATCTTATGAATTGATGGGTTTTCAGTGGAGAAGAGCAACTTCTGTGGTATGAAAGTAGATTGAATCTGTTATTCTCTGATTTCAGGGGATACTTATTCACAGAACCTGGAAACTAGAGGACCAGTCCTGAGTTATGGCTAACCTGCAACAAGAGCTATATTACCTTTGTGTGTTTGTTACCTGGAATAAGTTAAGGAATGAGCTTAAAGGGCCAAAAATGCAAAGGGCATCATATGCCAGAAGATGTATAGAATGGAAGGGCTCCATATTTGTGAAACAGTCCCTCTCTCTTAATAAGTTATTTTAGGCTAGTGAAAGTAGAGCTCTATTTTGTTTTTAGGCATGCAAATCCATGTAGACTATAATAAAGGAAGTATTAGATTTACTTGTAAAATGGAGCCCTGAGAGAAGAAGCCATGACACACTGTCAGTTGCTGTCTGAAATTTGTGGTGTTCTCCTCAATGAAATTTAAATGAGTGAGACTGATGAGAAGTAGGATCCTTTATCAGAATTAATAATGAGCCCTAAAGAAAATCTGTCTGTGGGACTGCACTTTGAGTTTGTTATCTTCAGTATACTCAGAAGGCTTTACATAATAGAAGTTAGAAAAAAAATCAGTTTCCTAATTTGTCATTTACAAAATGACTTTTTTGGATAGGGCCATTTACCTTTTCCACAGGACTCTGTACCTCATCATCTCCCCTCTTTAATCTCCTCTTTGCCTTGAAGCTGAGGCCCTGGCTCAGCTGGTCCTGAAAAGCCTGGTCTCTTCCCTGGGATTGACACAACCTCTCTCAGTTGTCTCTTCTGGTTACTTCTTTGCTTTCTGGATTCATCCTATGTTCATTCTTATTTTATGACACGGGACTGTTTTTCACCGCCAGGGTATATATAGCCTTATAAAGATTCCAAATTTGTGAAGTTTATGAATTTGAGTTATGTAATTCATCAGACTTTTAAAATGTACTCTACGAACAATATATTATCTTTGTGATGAGGATTATATCAATTTCAGTGTGTAAAATACCGGTGTAACCACGAAACACCTATAGTTCTTCCAAAATATTTTTAAAAAATCCATGTTAATAGTACATATCTGCTCCCTATTTCCTTTTATGGATTTACATAGTGGAATGTGATTGCTGGTTGTGCCATGTGTACATGTCTCTAAATCTCTGAATCACTGTCTTTTCTGTTATCTTATAAAATATATGTGATGCATGTCTCCATGTGAAATTCTGCCAGAATCCAGAGATCATTCCTGTGACAAAACAAAGAAGCAATTTGAAATCAAAAGGTGTGGGATGGAATTAAAAAAAATAGTGTTAAGAGACCGTAGACAATTAAAATCCATGCTTAGTTAACTCTTTTTTCAACAAGAGAAACATGATAGATAGTTGATTTGTTTTGATGGGAACAGAAGGAAAAAAAGAAGCCTGTATCCTTTTATCTTTGCAAGCCTTCTGTCACGCACAGACTCTCTGCTGGAAAGGCTTCCACAGGGGCCCTTAATAATAAAAGTAGAAAAATTTGAAATCTCGAGTAAATCCTCATTCTTTTATGTAAAATTTCATATGACATTAATTTATAGAACACTTTACAGTACAGTATGTGCTGAAACTATAACAATAATTAGGAAATTTGTCAGACGGATCTAATCCAAAAATTACATGTTAGACCTTGTCCAAACTTTACTGAAACTATTAAACTAATTATCTCAAAAGTCTTGTAATTTCTTACTGTTCTAGCATTGCCAGCTCTGCTTCACCCCACACCGGGATTTGATAAATGCATATTTCACCATCATGATACATGAGGACTTCCTCCTGCACTCACGTGTTGCCTTATTACATTCATCTCAGTGATTTAAGGAGTGTTTAGCCAGTGTCCTTCAGTTTCTTGCTTTCTTGGCAAGTATTTAGAGTAGGTCTCACATAAGATAAAATCTGGTTTTCTCCCTTATAGCTTACCCTCTGACCTAAAACTGTATGCGAATTAGATTTTACCTTTCCTACTGTATTTTCTTTACTCAATAATTATTTTGGTGAAAGTTTAAGGTTATACTGTAGAAGGGCATAGTTTGGAGAGAGTAGACTCAGTGGAAATAGTGAAGAAAGGATGTCTTATTGAGTGAAGAGAGACAGATGTGACCTTTTGGTTAACTAATTAAGTTCCCTTCAGAACCTATTCTCACTCCAAGGCTATTTTCCTAGTATGTAATTGACCAAGGCTTACTGATGAGAGCCAGGGTTAAGAGTTGGCCAAGTAGCCCTGTGATTGTAAGACCTATATTGATGTATTCATTCATTCATTTACTCACTACTATTTAGTTGTGTGCCTACTGTGAGCCAGTATTCATGGCATTGGGGATACAGGGGATAGTCGCTTGCTGCTTGGTCATACTGGAAAGTTTTCTGCCACACTTCCAAAATCTGTGTGTCCTTTGAATTAGTGAAAAGAACAGAAAAGGCATTCAGAGGAAGGGATATGGAAATGGACTGTGGAAATGGCTGAAGTCAATGGGCTCAGTGGAATTTGGGAAAGCTGATCAGGAAGGTAGATTAGAGAAGCTAGGAGGCAGAATTCTCATTCCATGGACGATGTTTCCTCAATTCTGAAAGCCCTTTAAAATTTCGGTTGAAGTTATGTTTAATGTGCAAGTACTGTTCTTTCATTCTTATTCCCCTTGTCTACACCTAAGCTGTTGTTGAATCAATGGTGTATTTTACAGTTGAAGATGTCTCAGAATTGCAGAGGTAAGCGCTACAGGCTAAGCTTCTTTTCACAATCAAAAATTGATTGGTGCAGAGCTCTGAGACTTCATACAAAATGCTTCTTCATTTTGCTTTTTTTAATTAGCTAAAATCTTCTTTGTTTATTAATTTATTTTTCCAGCTTTATTAAGGTATCAACAAATAAAAATTTTATAAATTTAAAGTATACAATATGGTATTTTCAATATATAGACATTGAGAAATGATTAAGTCAAGCCAGTTAACATGGCAGTCACCTCATATACTTATTTTTTGTGCGTGGTGAGAACACTTAAGATATATTCTTTCAGGAATTTTCAAGTGTGCAAAACATTATTAACTATGTCACCATGTTGTACCATGGATCTCTGGAAGTTATTCATCTTGTCTAAGTGAAACTTTGTGCCCTTTAACTAACATCTCCCCTTTTCTCTCTGGCCCCCACCCTTGGAAACCACCATTCTATCTCTGTCTCTATAGGTTTGACTATTTTAGATTTCACATATAGTGAAATCATGCAGAAGTTATCTTTCTGTGCCTGGCTCATTTCACTCAGCATAATGTTTTTCAGGTTCATTAATGCTGAAATGACAAAATTTGTTTCTAAAGACTGAATAGCATTTCATTATTACATATTTTTCTTTATCTGTTAATCCATTGATGGACACAGGTTGATTTCATATCTTTTCTATTGCGAATAATGCTGCAGCAAACATTGGAGTGCAGATATCTTTTTGACATACTGATTTCATTTCCTTTGGATGTATACACAGAAGTAAGATTGCTGAATCATATGGTAGTTGTATTTTGAGTTCTTTGAGAAATCTCCATACTGTTTTCCGTAGATGTTGTACTAATTTATATTCTCACCAACAGTGTACAAAGATTTCCTTTTCTCCACATCCTCATCTTTTGTCTTTTTGATAAAAGCCATTTTAACTTGGGTAAGATGATATCTCATTGTGGTTTTAATTTGCATTTCCCTAATGATTACTGATGTTGAGCTTTTTAAAAAGTACACCTGTTTGTTATTCATATGTCTTCTTTTGAGAATTTTTTATTCATGTATTTTGCATTTTTAGTTTTTCTGGCTATTGAATTTTAAAACTCTTACGTTTTTTAAAAATTTTGTGGGTACATAGTAGGTGTATATATTTATGGGGTACATGAGATACTTTGATACAGGAATGCAATGTGAAATAACCACATTATGGAGAATGCAGTTTCTGTCCCCTCAAACATTTATCTTTTGAGTTAGGAACACATTATTGACTGTAGTTACCCTATTGTGCTATTGAATAGTAGGTCTTATTCATTCTGTCTACTTTTTTTTTTGGTACCCGTTACCTATCCCCACCTTTCCCCAGGTCCCCCACTACCCTTCGCAGCTTCTGGTAACCATCCTTCTACTCTCTATGTCCAAGAGTTCAATTATTTTGACTTTTAGATCCCACAAATAAGTGAGAACGTGCAATGTTTGTCTTTCTGTCCCTGGCTTATTTTACTTAATATAATTATCTCCGGTTCCATCCATGTTGTTGCAAATGACTGTATCTCATTGTTGTTTGTGGCTGAATATAGTACTCCATTGTGTATATGTACCACATTTTCTTTTAACATTAATCTGTTGATACACAATTAGGTTGTTTCCAAATCTTAGTTATTGTAAATAGTGCTACAACACGTACAGTGCAAATATCTCTTTAATATACTGATTTCCTTTCTTTTGAGTATACACCCAAAGTGAGATTGCTGCACATATGGTAGCTCAATTTTTAGTTTTTTTGAGGACCCTCCAAACAGTTCTCCATAGTGGTTGTACTAATTTACATTCCCACCAACAGTGTACAAAGGTTCCCTTTTCTCCACATCCTCACCAGCAGTTGTTATTGCCTGTCTTTTGGATATAAGCCCTTTTAACTGGGATGAGACGATATCTAATTGTAGTTTTGATTTGCGTTTCTCTGATAATCAGTGATGCTGTGAACACTTTCATATGTCTGTTTGCCATTTCTGTGTCTTCTTTTGAGAAATGTCTATTCAAATCTTTTGCCCATGTTTTCATTGGGTTATTATATTTTTTCCTATAGGGTTCTTTGAGCTCCTTATATATTCTGGCTATCAATTCCTTGTCAGGGGGATAGTTTGCAAATATTTATTTCCATTCTCTGGGTTGTCCCTTCACTTTTTTTTTTTTTTTTTGCTGCACAGAAGCTTTTTAACTTGGTGTGATACCATTTGTCTATGTTTGCTTTGGTTGCCTGTGCATATGGGGACTTGCTATTGAGTTTTTGGAGTCCCTTGTATATTTTGGATGTTAACCCCTTATAAGATATGTGGTTTGCAAGTATTTTCTCCTATTTTGCAGGTTGTTCCTTCAGTCTGTTGATTGTTTCCTTTGCTGTGCAGAAGCATTTAAGTTTGATGCAATCCCATTTGTCTATTTTTACTTTTGTTGCCTGTCCTTCTGTCATATTCAAAGTATCTTTGTCAAGACCCATGTTATGCAGCTCTTTCCCTATGTTTTCTTCTAGTAGTTTTATGGTTTCATGTTATATTTAAGTCTTTATTGCATTTTAAGTTGATTTTTGTATATGGTATGGGATAAGGGTCCAGTTTCAGTCTTCTGCATATTCTATAATTCCCACTTAGAAAAATATAGAATAGGGACAATTTCTGTAGGATCAGTATGAAGATAGTTTCCTGTCTTATATGTCTTATAATGTTTATTGTGACAGTTTGGGAACTATAGTGATATGGTTTTGATATTTGTCCCCTCCAAATCTCATGTTGGAATGTGATCTTCAAGATTACAGGTGGGGCCTAGTGGGAGGTGTTTGGGTCATGGGGACAGCTTTCTCAGGAATGCCTTGGGGCCTCCCTGTGGTAACCATTTCACTTGAGATCTGGTTGTGAAAAAGAGTCTGGGACCTCCCTCCCTTTCTTGCTTTTTCTTATCATGTGACACACTAGCTCCCTGTGCCTTCTACCATGAGTGAAAGCCTCCTGAGGCCTCACTAGAAGCAGAAGCTGGCACCGTGCCTCTCTACAATCTGAAGAACCATGAGCCAAATAAACCTATATTCTTTATAAATTACTCAGCCTTAGGTATTCCTTTATTGCAGTGCAAAATGGACTAGTGCATATAGAAAAGTATAAGTAAGAAAATAATATCATTCAGACTTCCTCAACTCATGGTGAAGGGTTGCTTTTATTTTGGTCAGTAAGTCTGTCTTTTCTCTTCTTTCCCTCTTTTTATCTTTCTCTTTTTCTTTTGTTCCTTCCCTCTCTTTTTCCCTTTCCCCTTTTGTCTTTAAATGTATCACTATATTAATGTCTATATGTCTGTAGATTTTTTTAATTTGCAGTTTTACTGCATTTACTGTTTTATGTTTTACTGTACATTTAATGTCATGTGGGAAATATTTTTCCATAACTTCAAATATTTTCAAAAACATTTTTAGTTGAGTTATATGATATATCACAATTTGATCTCTATTATTAGATATTCAGACTGGTGACAGGTTTTTTTATATTGGTAGTTATAATTCTATAAATCATGTATGGGCATAAAGTTTTGTATGCAGCTCTGATCATTTATTGAAGGTGAAATCTTAGAACTTGTATTGCTGGGACAAAGGGGAATACATACTTTGAAGATGTTTGATACATATTAGGAAAATATCCTCCTGAATGGCTATGTAATTCAAAATTCCCACCAGTCTTGAATAGGAATGGTCTGTGGCTCTTTTTTTTTGTAGATGTTTCATCAGTGATCTTGGTGATGAAGTAACTTTAGAATTTGAAGTTATAATATAAATATAAAATACTTGATGGTTCAGAAAATTAGCGAGTTGATAGCAAATTAAAGTTCAATAAGGAAAAATTAGGGCAGGAGAAATAAATGATACAAATGGCCAAAATAATGTGTGGAGTAGCTGTTTCTACATGCATTGCCTGAGGGAAAATCCAAGGTCATATGTAATATGACTACATTTTTTCACAGCCCCATGGGGAATGTTACTATGGTAAGAACTGCTCCCAAATAAAAAAGAATACAAGTAAGCTGTGCTGGAATTGATGCTGTGTTCTAAAAAGACTGATTTTATACTTTAAACTATTAAGAATTAAGAGACACTACATACCTTCGTGGGAGATATTAAATGTTCATTTTCATTATTTACTCTAATTATTTGAGCATAAATTGAATTTAAAAAGGCTTTCTGAAAGTTACTGCTGATCTTTCCTCAGTGAAACAGAGAATATATTTAGGAAGCTGGGGTGTTTTCCAGTAGCAACAACCAGTTCTGATTCTCTGGGCACGAACTAGATTTTCAACAGTTCACCTCAATTCTGACACTAACTACCTGGAGTTAGCTTCAGACTTCACAGGTTTAAGGGCTCAGTTCCATCAGACTGCACTCAGTTTAAATGCCAGTTGCAGGTACTGGGCCCGTAGGTTACTTGCACTCTGTCTGACTTATTCAGAGGTTCTCACAACCCTTCTAGTCAGGCTTGATAACTTGCTAGAATAACTCACAGAACTCAGTAAGTCACTCTATTTATTACCAGTTTACTATAAAAAATACAGCACAGGAACAGCCAAATGGGAGAGATGCATAGGGCCATGTATGGGGGGATTGCACAGAGCTTCCACATCCTTTCTAGGTGTGCCACCTTCTTAGCATCCTGATGTGTTCACCAACCTGAAAGCTCTCTGAATCCCATTGATTGGGGGTTTTATGGAGATTTCATCAAAAAAGCATGATCCATCATTAATTCAGTCTTCAGTCCCTCTCATCTCCCTGGAGGCTTGGGGTGGGACTGAAAGTTCCAAGCTTTTAATTATGGTTTGGTCTTTCTGGCAACTAATTCCTATCCTGAAGCTTTCTAGGGGCCTGCCACAAGCTACCTCAGGAAATTCTAAGGGATTTAAGAGCTTTGTGTCAGGAACTGGGGACGAAGGCCAAATATATCTTTCTTATGATGCCATAGAAGTTCATTTTTCTTCCATGAAATATTAGGGGAAACTGAATTATCTTTATTTTGCAAATGATACTTTGAGGATAGGAATGCTGTTCTACAATTAAGAAGGCATACATTTATAAACACACACATTTACACACACAAACATGAGGAAGCAGTTTTAAAAACCTGGTTTTGTTTGGTTGTATGTTGTTGTTCTGTGTGTATTTTAAGTGTGATTTATATCCTGCAAGCCTGTGCTAAACCTCTTTATTAGCAATTATTTCTTTTCATTTGTAGTACAAATCTAAATGTTCAGACAAATGACCCTGACCTTGATATAGTTACAATCCATAAGAATTTTATAATTTGATCTTTCTTTCTGATAGCTGATATTCAGCATGATTTTAAGACTATTAACAAATCATATGCAACAACTTAAAAATCAGAACATTTAGTTAATCAGGTTGCTTCAATCAATTAATTAAATATCTCTGCAGGATGACAGGGAATTTGCTGTGTTTTTATTATCCAGAGAACTTTGTCCTCTTGTGCTAATAAACTGTTTTTCTAGTTTTTTCTTTTAGCCTGGAATCCCACTGTTTATAATTGAATGTGAGATTCTTTTCTAACTGAAACAACTTTGAATAGGCACCTTTTAAAAAATCAGTATCATTATGTATTAGCAAACTTACTTCTTGAAGGAGGGTCTCAAAAACCATATGTCTGTCCTGTGCACATAGGGTGCTTTTCTGAGAGTAATGAGTGTCAGAGTCCACTGCTCCTATCGCTGATGACAGATGGAGGATGATCCAGGGAGTGAAATGGTTGTTGAGAAAGCTAAAATAAGTGGAGCTATAATTCTAATTAGTTTGTTCATCTTGACAGTATCTAGTCCTTAGTGTAGTCAACAGCTGTGAAAATACAAAGCTGTGTACTTTGATTCTGGAAATCTAGTTTCTTTACATTTTTAATTATAATTGATATATGTTAATTGAATAAAATTAGAAAAATAACAAAGAAATGAAGATAAGAGGATAAAAATCACCAATAATTCTACAGTTATACTTTCTATTTACTTTTTTTATCTTCCCCATTTTTCTTGTAACTGGGGTCCTACTGTCCATATAATTTCATGTCTTCATTTGTTGTACTTAACACTTTCTCAGGCTAATACAAAATTTCTAAAAATCTAATTTTTAATGGCTAAGTAATATTCATTTGTATAGTCATACTTTTATTAATTTAACTATTTGTCAGTCCATTTTCAATATTATCAATAATGCTGTGATGAACATATTTTATACAGATTTTTGTGTTCATTACTAATTATAATAAAACAGCATTAAGCCATTTGTTAGATTGTACATTTTCAGTGCCAAATTACAGGATATCAGATAGTTAGTTACACATCGCTGTGGGTGGGAATAGACCTGAGAAAATTTTATATGTTGGTATATGAGTTGTTCTTTAAAGGGTGCACAGTCAGGGCTTGGGCAGCTATATAAGAAATTCAGGGCATCACGGCAGTGGAAAATTTATGAGCAGAGATGTGTACAGGAGTACACTTGGGCTGTATCTGGTTGAGTGTGATCCAACCAATATGGAAGGATAGGCTGGGGAAATGGAAGGAAATAAAGTTTGAAATGTAAGGTGAAGAATTTGAAAATGTGTTAGTAGGATAGGTGGGGCAACTGAAAGTCCTGAATATTCTGGGTCATCTTACTTTTCACTCTTCATCAAGCATTTTTATTTAGCACATTTTATGTGCACAACTCTCATGATAATCTAATAAAGCCTGGAGGAGGCCACAGGGTCTTATACTTGAGTAGGGATGATATTAAAGCAGTGTATGCAGTGGTCTGTCATGTGGCCTCCATAAGTATGTTTATATTTTAAGACTGTGACACACTGTTGGTTTGGAAAAGTATGCTCAGAATGACGATTGGAAATCTTTGGAAGTGAAGAATCAGAGTAGACTCGCAACTTAAATGATGCAAATATTTAAAAGATTGTTCTCCATATAGATTGGAGGGGGCTGGTTAGAGGCAGAAATAGCAGGTAAAAGGTTCATTAAGGAATGCAAGATTTAACAGATGGGTTGGAGGAAAGGAAGGACTTAAATTTATAAATAGATAATTTAATGGTTCTGGTTATTCAGTGGACTCATTTTCAAAATATAAAAGCCTCAGTCCTACTCAAAATTTGCTAAATCAGAATTTTGAGGGAGTATATTTTGAAAGCTCCCTCAGAGATTCTGATACGTTTCTCTGGTTAGAAACAACTAAATGAATTAATATGTGTTTTTTCCATCCCAAGAAGTTGTCAAATTGTCTAAACCTACTATTGAATCTTAATATATTTAATATGCATGTGTGTGTATTTTTCTTCTGCATAATTTTCTCATACTGTTTTCAGTCCCTGATTTTTTTTTCTGTTACTTGGTGCCAAGTCTTATTATAAACTTATTAATTAATGTTACTCTGCAAAATCAATTTTAAGCAAATGAAATGCACTGCACAAGTTAAAAAGAATTTCTATAACTTTTTTCTTATTAAATGATAGGGACAAAAGCCAGGATGGATGTTCAAAAATGGTATTTGAGAACTTCAAAGCTGGCTCTGGCCTTGGCAATTATCCGCTCAAAACCAGCAGACAAAAGCAGCAGAGAATACACAGAGCACCTTGCTATGTTGCTGTCTGAGGAGCAGTCAAAATGGAGATCAAAAGTTGAAATCTTGGAAGCTGAAGTTATGCAATTACGTCAAAAACTTCTTGTGAGCAGGCTTTGTTCAGGATCCTTTAAGAGTGGTGAGTATATAAAATTGCCTTTTGGTAGTATGTCATACTTGTTTTATTTCAGTTGCACAATTATTTAGAAATGTATTCCCAAAACATGAAAATTTTTAGTTTCCATGAAAGCTCGACATCTTCTAGCCTTATACATTTTTTTACTTCTGGTCATTCATTAAAATTTTATTGTCACTTTCCTACATTTGACTTTGGAATGAAGTTAGAGAATGAAAATAGTATAGATGTGAAGGCAATAAGGTCTTTTAAAATCTCATTGTTCAACTTTATTATTTTACTATACATTTTATTTTGCTTTTATATTCAGTAGTTAATCTAGCAGTCCAATGTGAAATACCAGCTATCAGCCAGGCATGTGTGGGTGGTGAGGACTCCAAAACACATAAAAGGAGGTGCTGTCCTTGCTACTAAGTGTCTACCATTCTAGCAGAGAAAACAGGTGTATAAATAATTAACCTAGTTGTGATACATACTATAATAGAGACTGACAAAATACAGAGGAGGAAGTTATTCCTTCTGCCTAGTTTCTGGGAAGGCTTCTTACCTCTGGCCCTCAAAGTTCTGTCAGTGAAATGGTTACAGAACATCCAGTAAGATGCAGGAGCGTGTGCAAAGGCACTGGAGTGGAGAATACATATTGCATTCAGAATACTGCCATCATTACATTTAAGAGTGACCAGAACACTTGTAAGGCAAAGAAGCGATGGGGAAAAAGGTACAAGGTACAGAGGGAAGTTGGGACCGGATTCAGAAGGGTCTTGAATGTCAACCTAAGGAATATTTTACTGTATTGCTTATCAGTAAGTTAGCCATGTAATTTATGGTTTCTACTAGGACCCTTGTGAGGGTGAAAGGAAGGGCCTATTAATAATTACACTGGGAACACAGGGGCAAACCTGGGTTTACTTGAGCAAACTAGAACGTGTGGTTACCCTATTAATCAGGAGCCACTGGGCTTTTTTGAAGCAGAAGATTGACACTCATGATTGGGAAACATAATTCTGGCAAGTTAGAAAAAAAAACACATAAATCAGGCAGTGTTATTTCTTTGCATAAAACTCTTCCCTGGCTTTTAATTAGGCTTCGCATTAGATTCAGGCTTCTGATAGTGGCCCAAAATGCTGTGGGTGATTTCACCTCTACTCACCTCTCCCACCTCATCTCATACACTCTCCCCATTATCAGCTAGGCCCTAGTCAACATGGCCTTCCTTCTAGCCCTTGAAATCTCTTTATTGCCATGGTCCTCTCCTAGGTTCTTCTCTTTGACTCTTTGAGGCTGGTTTCTTCTCTTCCTTTGGTCTTATTTTAAGTGACACCTCCTCAGTGAGGTATTCCTTGACTCCTCTAGTGGACCCCCACTAGTTATTCCCCACACAAGCACCTCCTGTGTAGTATTTACTTATTTGTTTATTTACTTGGTTGCAGGTTTATCTCCTGAACTTGAGCTTATGTTCACTGAGGAGAGACCTTTGATTTTCTCAGGTCTCTTTACTTGTTGCCCAGCTCAAAGCCTGACACACAGAAGGTGATCAGCAAATACCTGTTCAATGAAAGAGGAACATAGAGGATGTTTTGGCTATAGAGGTGATTTGAGGCAGGGATACCAATTTTTAAAGCTTTGACTAAAGCCTACATAAGGAATAGTGAGTTGAATTAGATCTGTGATAGTGAGAAATAAAAGGACAGACATGTAGGAATAAATTCAGAGTAGACACTTTAGACATTTATGAATGGTTTCAGAGAGTGGTTAAGGGACATAGCAGTATTTAGGGTAATACCTAAATACCTAAATAAGGTTTCCCTCCTAGCCTACTGAATGGATTGTGATACTTTCAATTCAGATGGTGAACACAGAAATAAGCTAATAGGACAAAAGGTTGAGCCCAAGTTTCTCTGAGTGTAGGCTAATCCCTGGAATATGGATTACCTAGAAGGAAGGTGGAAGTATGGTCAGAGAGGATGAGCATGCTAGAACTACAGACACAGACTTAGGATCTGTTGGATTTAAGGAATAGTGAAGTTACTGCTGTAGATGAGACTCAAAGAGAATAGAGCCATGAGTGTAGGTGGGAAGCCTGCAGATTCCAATATTCCAGGGATGTCAGAGGAAGATGAGGCATTATCACATTAAGAGCGTGCAGCAGGTGTAAGGTGCACATATATGCTGTGGGTAATAGGAGACTTTAGTTTTGGGAATTATCATGAAAACCCAGTAACTTAATAGATGTTACTAAAATCTTACTATTGCATGAGCAAAAATAGTATTACACAATTTACAGCCACATTTTAGTTTCTCTAGAGTCCTTTTTGATAATGGGCTCTTTGAGTATACCCAGTGAATGAATGGCAAACATAGTCAATTTTTCTTTATTTTTTCCTGTATAGTTATACAATTAATATAATGTCTCAAATGTTAAAATTTCCAGGAATCTTAAACTATGACTATCATAAGCATCCATGAAATCAAAACTCTTGTTTACTATCCAAGGGTCTATTCATAATACTGATAAAATGTGCATGTTATTTTTTTGTAACATGAATGTGCCTAATAGGAGGAACCTAGGTGATAGCTTGTTTTTATGCTGAACACTTTCAGTTACAGTGCCTGTGAGAAAAATTTTCAAAAAATCATATAATTAAAGTCAGTTTTACTCACAGCAGGAGTTGCAGGTACAATGTTTCTGCACAGATGTATGGAAGTAATCTGGTTCTCTATCTGTTACCTTAAACTTCAAAAATGAGGAATAAATGAATAGATTTAGATAAATGGAGTAACTGTTAAAGGGGAGAGAAAAAATATACAAAAGGGGAGCATACACTGACAGGAAAATAAAGGAAGAACATGGCAGTTATGTAAGGATGACATGAAATAGTGATAATCCTTGCTCTAAGAAAACTCCATACCTGAAAATCAAAACTATATTAAAGTGTATTTATATTATTACATATTTTTTCTAGAATTTTCAGTGTTGTTTTATATGTGCAACTGTCGTTGAGTGTGTAGAGACAGAAAGTACTCAATAAATGTTGAATTGAATGATTCTTGACAGATTGAGAGGATGGGGAATTCAGTTTACAGCATCAACTATTCATTGAAGCAACTGAGCAACCCAAAATTAAATAAAGCAAAGCCAAAATGGCAAAATAAACAAGGAAGAAAGTATGATATGCTTTTTCTTTCTTTCTTTTTTTTAAATGTGAATATCAGATAAACAATGAGTAAGGTTTTATTATAAACACATCTCATTCAATATAATCATGTTATGCTAAACATTATTTGTTGTCTATTTGAAATTCAAATGTAACTGGGTGCCTGGGCAGCCGCGTTTCTTTTTCTTTTTATTATTTATTTATTTTAATTTTATTATTATTACACTTTAAGTTTTAGGGTACATGTGCACAATGTGCAGGTTAGTTACATACGTATACATGTGTCATGTTGGTGTGCTGCACCCATTAACTCGTCATTTAGCATTAGGTATATCTCCTAATGCTATCCCTCCCCCTTCCCCCCACCCCACAACAGACCCCGGAGTGTGATGTTCCCCTTCCTGTGTCCATGTGTTCTCATTGTTCAATTCCCACCTATGAGTGAGAACATAAGGTGTTTGGTTTTTTGTCCTTGTGATAGTTTACTGAGAATGATGGTTTCCAATTTTATCCATGTCCCTACAAAGGACATGAACTCATCATTTTTTATGGCTGCATAGTATTCCATGGTGTATATGTGCCACATTTTCTTAATCCAGTCTATCGTTGTTGGACATTTGGCTTGGTTCCAAGTCTTTGCTAGTGTGACTAGTGCCTCAATAAACATACGTGTGCATGTGTCTTTATAGCAGCATGATTTATAATCCTTTGGGTATATACCCAGTAATGGGATGGCTGGGTCAAATGGTATTTCTAGTTCTAGATCCCTGAGGAATCGCCACACTGACTTCCACAATGGTTGAACTAGTTTACAGTCCCACCAACAGTGTAAAAGTGTTCCTATTTCTCCACATCCTCTCCAGCACCTGTTGTTTCCTGACTTTTTAATGATCGCCATTCTAACTGGTGTGAGATGGTATCTCATTGTGGTTTTGATTTGCATTTCTCTGATGGCCAGTGATGATGAGCATTTTTTCATATGTCTTTTGGCTGCATAAATGTCTTCTTTTGAGAAGTGTCTGTTCGTATCCTTCGCCCACTTTTTGATGGGGTTGTTTATTTTTGTCTTGTAAATTTGTTTGAGTTCATTGTAGATTCTGGATATTAGCCCTTTGTCAGATGAGTAGGTTGCAAAAATTTTCTCCCATTTTGTAGGTTGCCTGTTCACTCTGATGGTAGTTTCTTTTGCTGTGCAGAAGCTCTTTAGTTGAATTAGATCCCATTTGTCAATTTTGGCTTTTGTTGCCATTGCTTTTGGTGTTTTAGACATGAAGTCCTTGCCCATGCCTATGTCCTGAATGGTATTGCCTAGGTTTTCTTCTAGGGTTTTTATGGTATTAGGTCTAACATGTAAGTCTTTAATCCATCTTGAATTAATTCTTGTATAAGGCGTAAGGAAGGGATCCAGTTTCAGCTTTCTACATATGGCTAGCCAGTTTTCCCAGCACTATTTATTAAATAGGGAATCCTTTCCCCAATGCTTGTTTTTGTCAGGTTTGTCAAAGATCAGATAGTTGTAGATATGTGGCATTATTTTTGAGGGCTCTGTTCTGTTCCATTGATCTATATCTCTGTTTTGGTACCAGTACCATGCTGTTTTGGTTACTGTAGCCTTGTAGTATAGTTTGAAGTCAGGTAGCATGATGCCTCCGGCTTTGTTCTTTTGGCTTAGGATTGACTTGGCAATGCGGGCTCTTTTTTGGTTCCATATGAACTTGAAAGTAGTTTTTTCCAATTCTGTGAAGAAAGTCATTGGTAGCTTGATGGGGATGGCATTGAATCTGTAAATTACCTTGGGCAGTATGGCCATTTTCACGATATAGATTCTTCCTACCCATGAGCATGGAATGGTCTTCTATTTGTTTGTGTCCTCTTTTACTTCATTGAGCAGTGGTTTGTAGTTCTCCTTGAAGAGGTCCTTCACATCCCTTGTAATTTGGATTCCTAGGTATTTTATTCTCTTTGAAGCAATTGTGAATGGGAGTTCACTCATGATTCGGCTCTCTGTTTGTCTGTTCTTGGTGTATAAGAATGCTTGTGAGTTTTGCACATTGATTTTGTATCCTGAGACTTTGCTGAAGTTGCTTATCAGCTTAAGGAGATTTTGGACTGAGACAATGGGGTTTTCTAGATATACAATCATGTCATCTGCAAACAGGGACAATTTGACTTCCTCTTTTCCTAATTGAATACCCTTTATTTCCTTCTCCTGCCTGATTGTCCTGGACAGAACTTCCAACACTATGTTGAATAGGAGTGGTGAGAGAGGGCATCCCTGTCTTGTGCCAGTTTTCAAAGGGAATGCTTCCAGTTTTTGCCCATTCAATATGATATTGGCTGTGGGATTCTCATAGACAGCTCTTATTATTTTGAGGTACGTCCCATCAATACCTAATTTATTGAGAGTTTTTAGCATGAAGGGTTGTTGAATTTTGTCAAAGGTCTTTTCTGCATCTATTGAGATAATCATGTGGTTTTTGTCTTTGGTTCTGTTTATATGCTGGATTACATTTATTGATTTGCGTATATTGAACCAGCCTTGCATCCCAGGGATGAAGCCCACTTGATCATGGTGGATAAGCTTTTTGATGTGCTGCTGGATTTGGTTTGCCAGTATTTTATTGAGGATTTTTGCATCAATGTTCATCAAGGATATTGGTCTAAAATTCTCTTTTTTGGTTGTGTCTCTGCCAGGCTTTGGTATCAGGATGATGCTGGCCTCATAAAATGAGTTAGGGAGGATTCCCTCTTTTTCTATTGATTGGAATAGTTTCAGAAGGAATGGTACCAGCTCCTCCTAGTACCTCTGGTAGAATTCGGCTGTGAATCCATCTGGTCCTGGACCTCTTTTTGGTTGGTAAGCTATTGATTATTGCCACAATTTCAGAGCCTGTTATTGGTCTATTGAGAGATTCAACTTCTTCTTGGTTTAGTCTTGGGAGAGTGTATGTGTCGAGGAATTTATCCATTTCTTCTAGATTTTCTAGTTTATTTGTGTAGAGGTGTTTGTAGTATTCTCTGATGGTAGTTTGTATTTCTGTGTGATCGGTGGTGTTATTCCCGTTATCATTTTTTATTGTGTCTATTTGATTCTTCTCTCTTTTCTTCTTTATTAGTGTTGCTAGCGGTCTATCAATTTTGTTGATCTTTTCAAAAAACCAGCTCCTGGATTCACTAATTTTTTGAAGAGTTTTTTGTGTCTCTATTTCCTTCAGTTCTGCTCTGATTTTAGTTATTTCTTGCCTTCTGCTAGCTTTTGAATGTGTTTGCTCTTGCTTTTCTTGTTCTTTTAATTGTGATGTTAGGGTGTCAATTTTGGATCTTTCCTGCTTTCTCTTGTGGGCATTTAGTGCTATAAATTTCCCTCTACACACTGCTTTGAATGTGTCCCAGAGATTCTGGTATGTTGTGTCTTTGTTCTTATTGGTTTCAAAGAACATCTTTATTTCTCCCTTCATTTCGTTATGTACCCAGTAGTCATTCAGAAGCATGTTGTTCAGTTTCCATGTAGTTGAGTGGTTTTGAGTGAGTTTCTTAATCCTGAGTTCTAGTTTGATTGCACTGTGGTCTGAAAGACAGTTTGTTATAATTTCTGATCTTTTACATTTGCTGAGGAGAGCTTTACTTCCAACTATGTGGTCAATTTTGGAACAGGTGTGGTGTGGTGCTGAAAAAAGTATATATTCTGTTGATTTGGGGTGGAGAGTTCTGTAGATGTCTATTAGGTCCGCTTGATACAGAGCTGAGTTCAATTCCTGGGTATCCTTGTTAACTTTCTGTCTCATGATCTGTCTAATGTTGACAGTGGGGTGTTAAAGTCTCCCATTATTATTGTGTGGGAGACTAAGTCTCTTTGTAGGTCACTCAGGACTTGCTTTATGAATCTGGGTGCTCCTGTATTGGGTTCATATATATTTAGGATAGTTAGCTCTTCTTGTTGAATTGATCCCTTTGCCATTAGATAATGGTCTTCTTTGTGTCTTTTGATCTTTGTTGGTTTAAAGTCTGTTTTATCAGAGACTAGGATTGCAACCCCTGCCTTTTTTTGTTTTCCATTTCCTTGGTAGATCTTCCTCCATCCCTTTATTTTGAGCCCATGTGTGTCTCTGCATGTGAGATGAGTTTCCTGAATATAGCACACTGATGGGTCTTGACTTCTTTATCCAATTTGCCAGTCTGTGTCTTTTAATTGGAGCAGTTAGCCCATATACATTTAAAGTTAATATTGTTATGTGTGAATTTGATCCTGTCAGTATGATGTTCTCTGGTTATTTTGCTCGTTAGTTGATGCAGTTTCTTCCTAGCCTGGATGGTCTTTACATTTTGGCAGGTTTTTGCAGTGGCTGGTACCGGTTGTTCCTTTCTATGTTTAGTGCTTCCTTCAGGAGCTCTTTTAGGGCAGGCCTGGTGGTGACAAAATCTCTCAGCATTTGCTTGTCTGTAAAGGATTTTATTTCTCCTTTGCTTATGAAACTTAGTTTGGCTGGATGTGAAATTCTGAGTTGAAAATTCTTTTCTTTAAGAATGTTGAATATTGGCCCCCACTCTCTTCTGGCTTATAGAGTTTCTGCTGAGAGATCCACTGGTAGTCTGATGGGTTTCCCCTTGTGGGTAACCATACCTTTCTCTCTGGCTGCCCTTAACATTTTTTCCTTCATTTCAACTTTGGTGAATCTGACAATTATGTGTCTTGGAGTTGCTCTTCTCAAGGAGTATCTTTGTGACATTTTCTGTATTTCCTGAATCTGAACGTTGGCCTGCCTTGCTAGATTGGGGAAGTTCTCCTGGATAATATCCTGCAGAGTGTTTTCCAACTTGGTTCCATTCTCCCGGTCACTTTCAGGTACACCAATCAGACGTAGATTTGGTCTTTTCACATAGTCCCATATTTCTTGGAGGCTTTGTTCGTTTCTTTTTATTCTTTTTTCTCTAAACTTCCCTTCTCGCTTCATTTCATTCATTTCGTCTTCCATCACTGATACCCTTTCTTCCAGTTGATCGCATCGGCTCCTGAGGCTTCTGCATTCTTCACGTAGTTCTTGAGCCTTGGCCTTCAGCTCCATTAGCTCCTTTAAGGACTTCTCTGCACTGGTTATTCTAGTTATCCATTCGTCTAATTTTTTTTCAAAGTTTCTTTTTTTTTTTTTTTTTTGAGACGGAGTCTCGCTCTGTCACCCAGGCTGGAGTGCAGTGGCGGGATCTCGGCTCACTGCAAGCTCGGCCTCCCGGGTTCACGCCATTCTCCTGCCTCAGCCTCCCAAGTAGCTGGGACTACAGGCGCCTGCCACTACGCCCGGCTAATTTTTTTTTGTATTTTTAGTAGAGATGGGGTTTCACCGTTTTAGCCGGGATGGTCTCGATCTCCTGACCTCGTGATCCGCCCGCCTCGGCCTCCCAAAGTGCTGGGATTACAGGCGTGAGCCACCGCGCCCGGCCCAAAGTTTCTATCTTCTTTGCCATTGGTTTGAATTTCCTCCTCTAGCTCGGAGTGGTTTGATCGTCTGAAGCCTTCTTCTCTCAATTCGTCAAAGTCATTCTCTGTCCAGCTTTGTTCCATTGCTGGTGAGGAGCTGTGTTCCTTTGGAGGAGGAGAGGCACTCTGCTTTTTGGAGTTTCCAGGTTTTCTGCTGTGTTTTTTCCCCATCTTTGTGGTTTTATCTACTTTTGGTCTTTGATGATGGTGACGTACAGATGGGTTTTTGGTGTGGATGTCGTTTCTGTCTGTTAGTTTTCCTTCTACCATTCAGGACCCTCAGCTGCAGGTCTGTTGGAGTTTGCTGGAGGTCCACTCCACATCCTGTTTACCTGGGTGTCAGCAGCAGTGGCTGCAGAACAGCGGTGGCTGTAGAACAGCGGATTTTGGTGACCCGCAAATGCTGCTGCCTGATCGCTCCTCTGGAAGTTTTGTCTCAGAGGCGTACCCGGCAGTGTGAGGTGTCAGTCTGCCCCTACTGTGGGGTGCCTCCCAGTTAGGCTTCTCGCGGGTCAGGGACCCACTTGAGGAGGCAGTCTGCCCGTTCTCAGATCTCCAGCTGCTGCTGGGAGAACCACTACTCTCTTCAAAGTTGTCAGCAGGGATATTTAAGTCTGCAGAGGCTACTGCTGTCTTTTTGTTTGTCTGTGCCCTGCCCCTAGAGGTGGAGCCTACCGGGGCAGGCAGGCCTCCTTGAGCTGTGGTGGGCTCCACCCAGTTTGAGCTTCCCAGCTGCTTTGTTTACCTAATCAAGCCTGGGCAGTGGCAGGTGCCCCTCCCCCAGCCTCACTGCCACCTTGTAGTTTGATCTGACACTGCTGTGCTAGCAATCAGGGAGACTCCGTGGGTGTAGGACCCTCCTAGCCATGTGTGGGATATAATCTCCTGGTGTGCCGTTTTTTAAGCCCGTTGGAAAAGCGCAGTATTTGGATGGGAGTGACCCGATTTTCCAGGTGCTGTCTATTACCCCTTTCTTTGACTAGGAAAGGGAACTCCCTGACCCCTTGCGCTTCCCGAGTGAGGCAGTGCCTTGCCCTGCTTCGGCTCACATACGGTGTGCTGCACCCACTGTCCTGCACTGACTGTCTGGCACTCCCTAGTGGGATGAACCTGGTACCTCAGATGGAAATGCAAAAATCACCTGTATTCTGTGTCGCTCACGCTGGGAGCTGTAGACCGGAGCTGTTCCTATTCGGCCATCTTGGCTCCACCCTGATATGCTTTTTCTACAGCATTTCAGGAACTCTGCTATTTCTTTATTCTTGTTTTTCTACAGCTTCTTAATGAATATACCTCTTTATTGTATTTAGTAGGGGACTAGACTATATAGGGGAGGGATAAAGAGAACTTGATTATATAATGTCACATTTTTATCTTACTTAAATGCGCTTTACTAATTTATGGAATGAAAGAATGAAAAACAAAAGGAAAGTAGAAAGGAAGGAAGGAAGAAAAAGAAGTGTACATACCCAGTGACACATTTCTCAAAACCTTTTTTGTGATGTGTGGCAGGTATGGTTAATCATCTTCCTGATCTATGGAAGAGAACATACGAGTGAAAAGCTATGCTCTTTTTCTTTATAAAAGATTACTTACATTTTATTTTATAGAATCTCTTTTTAAATTTATTTTTATTAATTTATTTTAAATTTCATAGACACTGCAACAGGCTCCTGTTAAAGAGGGACTCTTAATGTTGGCAAGGATTTAGTCTAGGTCTGAGAAGGTGGATGAGAAAGACTCACATCACAGAGACTAGCCAGGAAGATGTTAGTGGCTGTTTCTAAACTGGACTAGGGATTGAAGGGTTTATGGTGACAAGAGCAGGGCTTTGTTAATGGGAAAAATGGCATAGAATTTCCGTAGGCAGATTTAGGATTAAAATTTGAGTGTGTGTGCGGGTGGGGCAGGGGGAATCTGGACAGTTGCTATTATATTACACGGTCATTTGATATTCATAGGAGGGAAGTGGATGGATGAAGTGTCAGGTATGTGCCTTTTCGCCTGCAACTTTAAGTAGTTAATATATTCATAAATCATAGATAGTATTACACATCTATGTGTAATGTAATATACATAGATATATAAATATAACAATATATTTATGAATATATTATGAATATATTCATAAATCATAGGCTACAGGATGAGCAATTGGTTATAGTAAAAAGGATGAGCAGTTGGCCAGAGTGAAAAGAAAGTAAGAAAAAATCAAACTAAATTAATTCATTGATGTACATGTTTATTTAGTAAATGTTTATTAATTACAGGGCACTTGTATAGAGTGCTTAGGGTAGTGGAGGTGGAGGGCAGTATGCAGAGCAGTGTAAGTAGTTAGGGTTGAACTGAGTTTTAAGTTTTGGGTCCCGAGAAACAACCAACCCAGCCAGATGACTTTGGGAGCTTCCTGATCCTCTAGCTCACATTGCTCAGGTTGGTCCCCTCACTCTTCTTTTCTGCCTTATAGCCTGAGGACTGAATTCTCACTGTTCCATTGCCTCCCCAGTTCTTGCTTTCTCATCTTGTATAAGCATGTATTCAGGAAACAGTTTTTAGCTAGACTAGTGGTGACAAGAGAACAGAACAGGGGCCTGACAGATCCAGAATGGAGCTTGCCTTAGTCTTCTGATGACTGTTTTCCTGGTCCCAGCCTGCTCCGCCTCTGTTTCACCTCTTTGTCCTTCTCACCCTGTTCCAGACGACGTACTGAGGAAACATTGCAAATAACTGACTTACCGACACAACTGTGGAGCTCAGCATTTATAAGTTGGGGCATTCACTGTTTTACAGATGCTGAAAGAGTGTGAAAATTCAATGCGTAAGCATTTCTCTCTCAGTTCCCATATAAGCTTTCATAATATAAATTGTCTAATACAATAATGATGGAAGTTTGTTTAAAATTGTAGTTGATTTAAAACATACTTGAATAATACACATAAACATAAAAAGATGTATCCTTAATTTGATAGAGATTCTGAGAGGCTCTATAATAATTTCTTTCTGCATATCTCTGGAATCTCTGCATTTCTCTCCATTCCTGATGCCATTTCCTTGGTCATACTTAATTTATCCCAATGAGACTGGTATGTCTTTAACTGTAGCCTTTGCCCCTTTCTAGTCTAAATTGCAGCCCAGTCTCAAGTCATCTTATTTAATTTCAGATATAACCCAAAGGCCTTAAACTGGACTACAGACTTTTCCAGAATTTGGTGCTTACTTATTTCTCCAGCCCAACCTGTCACCACCACGTCCTTCACATTCTGCACTGAGACATATCAAATTTCTTCCACTTATTTGAATGGACCTTGCTCAGCCCCAGTTTTTTATACATATTCTCTCTGTAGGGTATGTTCTCCCCCTCCTTTTGGTCTGGCTGTGTACTATTCTTTCTTTTGTCATGCAGTTTCGATACCACTTTTGTCTTCACTAACTACCTCCCTAGACTAGATTAGGTTCTCCTGATGTGGGTCCCCATTATATTCTGTACTTTTTTATATGTGAGCTAAATTATAATTGTTTAAGCAGTCTGTCTTCCTTGTGAGACCCAAACTCTATGCTTTCAGAGACTATTTTCATCCCACTGTATTTCTATAGTTAGCACAGTTCCTGTCATGGAGGGACATGTTCGGTGGTTATTTGGTGAATAAATAAGTTTAGAAATGGTCTATGTGAGGGTTCATACTTGGAACAAAATGGCCTTGCCAATCTGTAGTTTCTAGATATCTGCCAAGCCCCTGTAACAGTGGAAGTAGAATACAGAGAGCAACATCCTGAATCCAGGATCGAGACCCAGTAAAGTAGGGTGAGTATTAGAGCTCCTGACTCTAAGAGAGCCACACATGTTTATAAGTAATTGAATCAGAATGGGATAAATGAAGAATGACAATGTTAGCTTCTTATCAGTGCAACAAAAGGCTAAAACCATTCACAGTACTTTTGCATTCCTAGGTCTTTGCTTAGTGTGATTTTTTTTTGGAATAGCTTAATGCTATAACAAATTGCAATCATCTTTATATTTAGGATTACATTTATTTTTTGACAGGTTTTATTTGTCTTTTAAGTGTCCTATTTATCTGTTTTTGATAAGTTTCTACTAGAAATCCAAACGTACCATGAGGATTCTGGATTTAATATGGATCCTAGAAATCCTGAAATTTATTTTTTAGGATAACTTTAATGTGCAGTGAATAAATCCAGGTAGATAGTTCTAGACTTTAGATTAGGCTGGAAAAATGTATAGTGTAATATCAATCCCATTATCAAATTGAAAAGGAAATTAGATAAATGGGGTAAATGGGATGAGCCTGAGATTCTGCATTTCTGATACACTTCCAGGTCATATTGATGCTGCTGGTCCGAGAACCACTATTTGACTAGCAAGGGACTGTGAGTGTGAGGGCGGGGGTTGGTAGTTGAAGAGAGTGCAAATGGAAGGACAGCATGCTGGTACTTTGAGAAGGAACCAGCAGAGAGAGAAAAGTAGAAGATACAGAAGGAAGAGGATAACAAAAGAATCATTGCTGGCTCAGGTTCTTTAATGTAGAAGAAATACAGAGCGCAAGTGGAAAGACTTGTCCTAGATCTCAAGAATATGTCAGCTTCTCTTTTTCTGAGACTCTTTTGAAGGTAGGAGAAGGTGCCCCTTTATCTTTGTTTTTGCTGAGTTCATTTCTGACAGGTTTTCTACAAGCTATTCTTTAAAGTTTATTTTCTTCTCCCACTTCTCCCCCAGTGCCCTTTATTCAGAAATCTGTGTCCTGGCCCCATTGTTTCTTTTTTCAACTGCCTTTGGGTTTTCATTCTTGAATTTCTTTCCTTGCTGCTTCAACTCTTGTCTAAGAAGTCGTCCTCCCCTCTTGCCTTGATTATAGATAAGGAAATGAGGAAAATAAGTTATCTAAAAGGTTAAATATATAGTAAATGGAATGGGGTTCCTATAGAATTCTAGAACAATGACTTTTAGTACTTTAAGGTGGTTCCTTAGATCAGTGAATTCCCCACAAGCTGCATGAGCATCAGGTGGGAAGTTGTTAGAAATGCAAATTCTCAGATCCCACCATTCCTGATTCTGTTAAGAATCAGAAATTCTAAGTGGGGCTCAGCAGTTTGTGGCTTAACAGGCCCCCCAGGTGATTCTCATGAATACTGGAGTTTGAGAATCACTGGTTTAAACAAAAGTGAAACATATGTTCAGGGAGCATAATAAAAAAATTTTACCAGAGAAGCGTCAAAGGAAACGTAATCATTCAAAACACCTGAGTGTTTTGAATGATTCAAACACCCAAGTGTAGTAAATTCAAAACATCCAAGTGCAGTAAATTAAGAGGGATTTGTAGGCCGGCTTCTGAAAGATTTCTCAGTACCAAGTGACATTTGGCACCTGGTCACCAAAGAATAAGTGTTTATTAAGAGCCTGATTGAGCTGAGTGGCAGAAATGAGAGAAAATGAACCAACAACAGCAACAAAATAGTAGTGCTACAATGACCCTAACAGCAACAACAACAATAAAAATAATAGTGCTCCAATGACCCTAGCAACTATGTTTGATACTGTTTCATACTGTTTAGTGCAATATGTAGATAAACATAATAGGGATCTAACAATTGGGTGTTGTTGATTCTTGTTCTAGGAGAACTCTCTCCCTTCTCCCCTCCATCTTACTGCCTTCGTTTGTTCTTAATAAGTACCCATATGTGAGGAGACATTTTGGGTAGGAAATTCAGTGTATCATACACTGGAAACCAGTAGAAAACCTTAAATTCTAATTAAACTATACTATTATATCAATCCATAGAAAAGTACATAAAGTGACATAGCTAAAAAGAAATGTATTGCATAAATGAATGCTAACATGTTGTAGGCAATAAGACAAAACAAATTTACTCGTAAATAAAGTTTACAAGTAATATCACACATGTGGAACTATAAACACACATACTTGCATTATATTCTGAGTCACACTGAAAGCTAAAATAGTAATCTTGATATAACATGAATTTGAGTGAATTCCTAAATAGAATATGCAGACAAAGCACATGTATCAATAAAAGTGGTACAAAACCAGCAGAGAAGTATAGTGATTGGAAATGAGTATCTGTAGAGGGAGGCCCAATGTGTATGTGGGATCCACATTGGCTTTACTGTGATTTGGGTGGTAGCGCCCACCCATCACAGGAAGGGGAATTATTACATTTTTCTTATATTACAAGTCAGTGGTGGTTTTTTCACATGAATTTCCTGTTACAAAAACACTGTTTATGTGAATTTTAAATTTAAGTGTGTGTGGGCATTTGTTAGCATTGGTATAGTAATTAAATACATGAGAGAATACCACTGTTGAGAGATGTGTGTGCTGTGAAGGAGACATTGAGGTGTTGTGAGCTGCTTTAAGTCATTGAGCAGATCCATTGTTTCACAGTTTTGTGGACTCAGAAAATGACACCATAAAGTGTGGTGCTTTGGTATGCTGAGTACTTCGAACTGAGGAACACGAAGGGTCTCAGAAGCAAAGTCCCTTTCTGACCTTCTCCCCTTCTTTCTCCCACTCCTCTTTCTCCCCAAGGCAGGCCATAGAAACTAGAATTATTTTTCCCCAAGGCAGGTCATTGAAATTAGAACCCCTTCCTGTAAAAAGCTAGACATAAAACCTAGAAACATTACTCTAACCTTCTTCTGCCTTTCTGTGTAAGAGCTGACCATAGGGAAATTCTCTGACCTACCTTATCTGAAAGTAGATCATAAGACACTCATTTCAGAAGGGGTCCTTCCCTGTGCCCACAAGGAATGAGTGCCACACAGAGAGGCCAGGAAAAATCCAAACAGACAGGCCTTGCTGGGTTTCCCCTCTTTGACTATTACCATTAGGTCATATCATTTTTGTTCAATTACATTTCTATATGGCTGTCCATTCTGCATCAAACCTAAGCATAAAACAGACAATTTTCTATGAATCTTTGGGTTGTCAATTCCAAAGGCTCCCATATCAAGTAAAATTTTGATTAAATAAATCTGTTATCTTTTTCTCCTGTTAACCTGTTGATATGGTTTAGATGTTTTGTCACCTTCAAATCTCATGTTAAAATGTGATCTTCAATGTTGGAGGTGGGCCTAGTGGTAGATATTTGGGTCATGGGGATGGATCCCTCAAGAATGATTTGGTGCTGTCCTCATGGTAATGAGTGAGTTCCCTATGAGTTCATGTGAGCTCTGGTTGTGTAAAAGAGCCTGGCACTTCTCTCCCTCTCTCTTGCTTCCTGACTCACCATGTGATACACCGGCTCCCTGCTTTCTGCCATGATTATAAGCTTCCTGAGGCCTCACCAGAAGCCAAGCGGATGCTGCCACCATGCTTATACAGCCTATAGAACCACGAACCAAATAAACCACTTTATAAAGTTCACAGTCTCAGATATTCCTTTATAGTGATACAAAACAGACTAACACAGAAAATTGGTACTAAACAATGTGACGTTGCTATAAAGATACCTGAAAATGTGGATGTGGTTTTGAAAGTGGGCAATGGGCAGAGTTTGGGAGAGTTTGGAGAGCTAAGAAGAAGACAGGAAGCTAAGGGAAAGTTTGGAACTTCTTAAGACTAAATGGTTCTGACCGAAATGGTGATAGAAATATGGACAGTGAAAGCCAGACTGATGAGGCCTCAGACGGAAATGAGGAATTTATTGGGAATTGGATAAAGGTCACCCACTTTATACCCTAGCAAAGAACTTGACTGCATTGTGTTCATGCCCTACGGATCTGTGGAAGTTTGAGCTTAAGAGTCATAATGTGCAGTATCTGGTAGAAGAAATTTCTAAGCAGTAATGTTTAGCATTCAAGATGTGCTGTGGCTGCTTCTAACTGCCTATTATCAGATGTCAGAGCAAAGTAATAACTTAAAGTTGGAAGTTACATTTAAAGGGGAAGCAGAGCATACAAATTTGGAAAATTCTCATCCTGACCATGAGTTAGACAAGGAAAGAGCGTTTTCATGGGAGGAATTCAAGTGGGCTGTGGAGCAATCACTTTCTAGAGAGATTTGCTTGACTAAAAGGGAGTCAAGTGCTACTATCCAAGACAATGGGAAAAAGGGCCTCAAAAGCATTTCGGAAGTCTCTGAGGAGACAGCCCCTTCCATCACAGGCCCAGAGTCCTAGAAGGAAGGAATGGTTTTCTGAGTCAGGCCCAGGGCTCTGCTGCTGTGCATCACCTTGGGAAGCTACTCACTGCATCCCTGCTACTACAGCTCCACCTGTGGCTCAAAAGGCCCCAGATACAGCTCAGGCTGCTGCTCTAGAGGGCGCAAGCCATAAGCCTTGGCAGCTTCCACTTGGTGTTAAGGCTGCAGTTGCATACAATGGAAGAGTGAAGGAGGCTTGGCAGCCTTCACCTAGATTTCAAAGGATGTGTAGGAAAGCTTGGGTACCCAGCCAGAAGCCTGCTACAGGGGTGGAACCCTTGTAGAGAGCTTCTACTAGGGCAGCATTGAAGGGAAATTTGGGATTGGAGCTCCCACACAAGAGTTCCCACTGGGGCACTGTCTAGTGGAGCTGTGAGAATGGGACTGCCATCCTCCAGATTTGAGAATGTTAGAGCCATTGGCAACGTGCACCCTGAGCCTGGAAAAGCTGCAGGCACTCAACTCTAACCAGTGAGAGCAGTCACAGGGGTGGAGCTGCCCAAGGCTTTGGGAGCCCACCCCTTACACCAGTATGTCATGGATATGGGACACTGAATCAAGGATTTTTTTGAAACTTTAAGATTTCATATCTGCCTGCTGGGTTTTAGATTTGCATGGGATCTGTTGCCCCTTTGGGCTGATTTCTCTGAAATGGGAACCTGTACCATACAATGTTGGAAGTAAATAACTTACTTTTGATTTTACAGGCTCATAGGTAGAAGGAACTTGTCTTGAGTCTCAGATGAGACTTTGGACTTTAAGTTGATGCTGAAACAAGTTGGGACTTTTGGAGACTATTGGGAAGAGATGATTGTATTATGGAATGAAAGGACATGAAATTTGGGGTGCCAGAGACAGAATTATATGGTTTGGATATTTGTTCCCTTCAAATCTCATGTTGAAATGTGATCCCCAGTGTTGAAGGTGGGGCCTAGTGGGAGGTGTTTGTGTCATGGTAGCAGATCCCTCATGAATTACATCATGTCCTTCTCTCAGTAAAGAATGAGTGGTTGCTCTGAGTTCATGTGAGATTTGGTTGTTTAAAAGAGTGTGACACCTCCCCTGTCTCTTGCCCCTGTTCTTGGCACATGACACTCTGACTCTCCTTCACCTGCTGTCATGATTATAAAGTTCCTGAGGCCCTCAACAGAAGCAGATGCCAGCACTGTGTTTCTTGTGTAACCTGCAGAAACATGAGCCAAATAAACTTATTTTCTTTATAAATTATCCTGTTTTAGGAATTTATTTATAGCAACGTAAACAGACTAACACACCTGTCTTTTGTTACAGTAATATTGACCGTGACCCTTATAAAGGGTGAGGAAAGATATCATACCTTTTCTGCCTCTATGGCATTATTAATTATCTTGTAATAAATGTGTGATAATATTTCTTGTTTTTGGTTTTTCTCAATTTTCTCATATTAGGAGAGAAATATTGCTTATATATCTTTAATACATTCAGACTATGTCAGCTATTTTTTTGTGCTTCAAAGTACACAAGAAAAAGATTGCATCCAGAGGAAGCTGTTTCTTACGTTTCAAAAAGCTGAGCTCTAAAAATTCCTCATTACTTTTAAAAATTAATACATCACACGAAGAACAAAGATTAGGTTGCATTTGTGTCCTCTTGTGGTGCTGGATTCCATGAGATCTTGTACCCAGTGTTTTCTCAAATATGTTTCTGGGCTTGATATTTAAAATGATCATCTCTGACTATGCTTGTAAATATAAAGCAGCAGAAATTATTTTCATGGAGTAAGTTTTTCTATGTAAATTATAATACATGTAAAATGTTAACATTTTACATCAATTTCACAAATACTAGTTGGTGAAAAGGTAACTGGTAAAAATAATGCTTCTGATCCTTATACATACTTTTTATAGTACTTGAACTTTTCTAACTTATTAATAAAACAGGATATGCAGAATTTAGGCACCTTTCTCTCATCCTTTGATATTCTAATAAAAAATACCTTCTTTCCTGGAATTAGTATAATTCATTTCTCTCTGTAAAACAGTATTTTTGACAGAATGGCCTTGACACCCAGTTCATACAAATTATATGGCATTTTGCAAATTTAAAACCTAAATGTGTTAATAACTGTGCTTTTAATAACTCCAAAGTTACTTCTACCTGTGTATTTTTAGGGAGTGTTTATTCTCATGTGTTTATTTTTTATTCTGTGAACCACAATGCATCTTCTCCTATTTGTCTTCCGAGCAGAAATCAGTCCAAAGCAGGCCAAGTCCATGCCTGTGGGCTGCTTTATGTGGCTGTGCAGCTCTCTGTTGTCTGCTAGGGTGAGAGATACAGTGGGGGCTGGACCTGGAGGCATGTGTGCCTCAGTGATTTATACTTTTCTAGTCCCACTTTAAAGAAGTGCCTTGCCCATGCACAGTTGTCTGTGATGGTGAACACAGTGACAGCAAACTTAGTTGTTCATTTAACCTTTTTAACAGTAAATACCATATGAATCCAGGCCTTTTGTACCTGGATTCCGGCAGGCCTGTAGTAGTGCTGAGGAGCTTCCATAGGTATGAAAAATAAAGTGTTGCTTGTAATCCCAGCACTTTGGGAGGCCGAGGCAGGCAGATCACGAGGTCAAGAGATCAAGACCATCCTGGCCAACGTGGTGAAACCCCGTCTCTACTAAGAATACAAAAATTAGCTGGGTGTGGTGGTGCGCACCTGTAGTCCCAGCTACTTGGGAGGCTGAGGCAGGAGAATCGCTTGAACCTGGGAGGTGGAGATTGCAGTGAGCTGAGATTGTGCCACTGCACTCCAGCCTGGTGACAGAGCAAGACTCCATCTCAAAAAAAAAAAAAAAAAAAAAAGAAAAGGTAAAATAAAGTGTCATTAATTAGATTTATAACATTAGTTTTATTTTAAAAATTTATTTTTCTTTTTTAAAAGACTTTCTGAAACTCTTTGCCTCTTTTGTATTGGTAGACTTAAGGCTAGAGTTCTAGGCAGTGACTCTCAACCCTAGCTCTGCATTACAATCATTTGGGGAGCTGTTAAAAGGCTTGATGCCTGGGTTGTACCCCAGACCAATTACCTCAGAATATCTAGGGTCTGGACTGAGACATGATTCTTTCATAGTCCTTAGGTTATTCCAACATACAACTGAGATTGAGAACCACTGGTTTAGGGTGAACTATTATTTTTTCTATAGTCAACCCAAATGCCCTCATTGGCAGTTTTCATTATTCATCTCACTTAATTTTAATCTTTTTATTTTACTGGGATATTCTCTGAAGTACACTACAGTTATCTATTAGAAAGAATGGAACCCCCATTCTATTTTCTACTTCTATGAGATCAGCTTTTTTAGATTCCACATATAAGTGAGATGATGCCATATTTTCTTTCAGGAGCTGACAGTTGGGGGAGAATAGAGAGATGTTGTTCAAAGAGTCAAAGGGTTTCAGTTAGGATGAATAAATTCTGGTGATCTGTTGTACAGTATAGTGACTGTAGTTAGTAATAATGTTCCATATCCATGAAAATTGCCAAGAGTAGATACTGAATAGTCTTACCACAGAAAATGCTAAGTATGTGAGGTGATATATATGTTAATTAGCTTGATTTAATTCTTTCACAAGATATGTATATGTGTATATATGTATATATATGTGTGTGTGTATATATATGTATATATAACACAACATTACCTTGTACACTGAAGATATATATAATTTTTATTTGTCACTGGTACTTTATAAAGCCGGAAAGAGAAAGAGAATGGAAGGAACTGATGTGGACCTTTCTGACATGGACCTTTTTGGGGATGCATTTGACTATATTTTCCTACATGAATCTCAGAGATTTGAGAGCATGAATGACAATGGTGAGGGTGTAGTGGTTCTGTGGGCAGCTGGAGGTGTCTCTGTGCATATTGGGAAGTGCTGCTGGCACAGCTGGGTTTGGACTTGGGCTCTTCGAGGTAATCTCAAACTCCCTTGAGTGAATACGGAGCAACTGTAAAATGAGAGCTAGCATTGATTCCAACCCCCTTTTTTTCTCTTGTAAAGGTAACTAGCAGAAGTAGACTGTTTCTTCTACTCTCAGAACTAGTATTATAAGGTACATCTTTAAAAAATTAGAAATAGTTGTATTTCTGCTCTTCTTCAGTATTACCTTTTGTTATCATATGTGGCTTACTGAACATTTGGGGTATACTTTTGAAACAGAACTCCTTATGATAGTACCATGATTTCTATGGTGTTAAGAGTCCTTAAATTAGTAGTAATACTCAGAAGCCCATGATTAGTTAAAATGCCTTTTCAGAAAGGGGTAAATATTTTTCCTTCCATTGATTCACCTTGTAGATGACTTCTTATATAAGCTGGCTATGAAATATTATTGGCAGTACGCTGAACATTTGCAAGAAACCCTGTATCAATTGATGCAGAGGTGCTTTTTATTGCATGATTTACAAGTAAATGTTTAAGAGGGTACTTTGTTTGTTTGCATATACACACACATACACATATCTACATGATTTTTAGTTAAAATTACACTAAAATCTTGTGGCATCATTTGTCTTAATTCACACATTTTAATATTAATACTGTTAATAAACAACTTTTCGAACAGTTCCAAGCTGTTAAATTTACTTAAATAATGGGGATATTATCTTTTAGGTAGTTCTGTGGTACATGCTTTTTTTCCCCAACTAATGAGGATTTTTATATTTAAAGAAAGTAGTAGACACATAACTTTATGGCATGAATATCATGAATTTATATGTTTACTAGAACACGTCTTGGAAATAAATAGAAGTGGTGTGATGTTAGCAACCATTCTGACAATAGATATGAATAAGGAAAAGGGCAAGGCTTAGAATGCCATGCTTAATATAAAAGACTTATAGATACTAATGAATGATCATAATCAACATTTATCATCCAGTAGGTGCTCCGTGATTAATTTAGGAATGAGCATGTATAAATTAATGAAGAAAGGAACAACAAAAGGAGGCCGGGTGCGGTGGCTCATGCCTGTAATCCCAGCACTTTGGGAGGCTAAGGCAGGTGGATCACGAGGTCAGGAGATGGAGACCATCCTAGCTAACATGGTGAAACCCCGTCTCTACTAAAAATACAAAAAACTAGCCGGGTGTGGTGGTGGGCGCCTGTAGTCCCAGCTACTTGGGAGGCTGAGGCAGGAGAATGGCGTAAACCCGGGAGGCGGAGCTTGCAGTGAGCCGAGATAGGGCCACTGCATTCCAGCCTGGGCAAAAGAGTGAGACTCCATCTCAAAAAAAAAAAAAAGAAGAAGCATTATTGATGGAGCATTAGGGTTGCCGAAGATGAATTCTTGGAGACACAGTGCTTATTGGAAAGAGCACTCTTTCCAATAAGAAAAAGTGGCTTTTAGAGTCAGAAGAATCTGAATTTGAATATTAGCTCTGTCAACATTAGCTAACTTCTTTGGAGCAAGTTGCTTACCTCCATGATACACACTCTCCTGTTCTGAAAAATGAGGATGACAATGGTTTGGATATTGAGGAACTTATGGTTAAGGATTAATGAGGAATGCTTAACACACTGCTTCCTGTCACATAGGCAACAAATAAATACTAGCTTTCTTCTCCCTTGGCCTTGATAATCTGATGGTAAGTTCATTAATTCCTTAGCAGCAGAAGAACCTAAGAATTTTTTTGTTTGTTTGTTTTAAGGAATTGAGAATTTTATTGTTTAATTCTGTCTTATATAAACAACTGAATCTAGCTGTTAAGTAGATTATGTTGTGGAAAAGGGTAGGGCAAATATTTAAGAGTGTTGTGTGAGTTTTTTTCTTCCAGTGAAATTGAATGATGGGCATCATGGCCACATTCTCCAGTTTCAGTCCAGAATCAAAAGTGAAAGATCCTCAGTGTGTTATGGGTCTGCTTCTCTTAGGAATAAATTGTTCAGAAAATGTAGGAATTCAGGTGTTACTGTGTTCAGTGATTTTGTGAGTTACATTAATGGAACTTGATTTTCATTCTCGATTCCGTTTCTGTATTGTTATAAGATGCTCTAATCTGATTGCTATTCTTTTGTTCTGATTTCTCAGTTATATAATTTTCAGTGTTCTTCCCCTTCCACAATGAGCTTTGTGATTTCTGTCATCTGTTAAACATCATCTCTACTTGCCTATTTCAGGAGCCCCCGTAATAGGTTGTCTGCCATGCTTATTGCCTCTACAGTTTTTTTTTCTGTCACAGTTAAGATCATGTCTTAAGTGTTCCCATCATTTAGCTCCTACTTATAAGTAAGAATATGTGGTATTTGGTTTTCTGTTTCTGTGTTAGTTTGCTAAGGATAATGGCCTCCAGCTCTATCTATGTCCCTACAAAAGACATGATCTCATTCTTTTGTATGGCTACATAGTAGTCCATGTTGTATATGTACCACATTTTCTTTATCTAGTTTATAATTGAGGGGCATTTAGATTGATTCTATGTCTTTGCTATTGTGATGAAATTGTCTGTACAACACACTCCATGACACAAGTTTACCTATGTAACACTTAAAAATTTAAAAAAAAAACAAAACAGAAAAGTAAAGCAAACAACACCATAGTCTATAAAATGTCAATTCTTTTTATTATACTTTGAGAATTGACTCTGAACTATTTTTATTATTTCTTTATAACATGAATGTCTGAAACAATACTATCTCATTTGGGAGGTTTTCCATAAATTTCACACATTGTAATATCATTTACTTCTTTCTTTAACAGTTTATGGTTGTCACTGTGAAAAACAACATTTCCACAAATTTAGTTTCAAAGATCTAATTGGCATTTTATTTGCAGTTCATAAACTAGGTAGCATCTAGTCTATAAAATAAAAAGGAGCTTCAATGAATTAAAATCATATCTTAAACAGTGAAGACCACGTTTTAAACAGTGAATGGATTTACGTGATTTAGGAGCTGATTCCATTCAAGGCGCTCTCTATTGTGCACCCAGAATTTCTTTTCAGCCCCATATCCCTATCTGTGCATTACCTCTGCTCCAGCTCTACTTTCTCCACACCATTGCTTGGTGCCCCTGCCTCTGTGCCCTCATCTGTGCTTCTTCCTGGTGTGAAAGACTGCCCCCCATCCCAATAAATGCTCCATGATCTCTCAACACTCATGCAATATCAAGTATTTTTTGCCCTTCCCTAGTTTGAACTAATTTGTCTGTGACCCTCTAGCGTATCACCTGGACCTGTGTTTGACAGAAATGCCTTTTTGCCTTGCAGTAGAGTCAGTTGTTGCCCTGCGTTTCCTGAGTTCTCTGATGGGAGGAAGCCATGCCTTATTTATCACTTGAGTCCTTTTAGTCTTATTTCAGTGCCCTTCCATTGCAACACCTAACATGGGTTTGATGAATTAAACAGAATACAGTATGAGTTGTGTGAAATCATTTATTCTGGTGAGGCGAATCTATTTAGTTTGGTTTATTCTCTTCTGGAAAAAAAATGTGTGTTAATTTTATGTTTTAATGGTAAGAGATTATTCTGCTCTCTTGGTTAAGTGTATTTAATTTCCTAGACCACTGATTTTGTAGTGAGTGATGGATGAACGATAATACTAAAGCTATGATGTTTTACTAGTTTTTAACTAGTTATAAAAACCAGAAAACCCCTGAGAATGGACTTTATTTTCAGGACCAACACAATAGTAAAAATCAGTGGAAATGAGTTCTGTTTGATTAAGGTATCTACAGAAAATTGACTTTGAGCTCTCCTTTTTACTAATCATAAGAATATATTAGGTTGGTGCCAAAGTAATTATAGTTTTATCGTTTTAATCATATTTGACAGGGTAATGATTGACCAGTGAGCTTTTTTTGGCTGTGCTTCTTTTTCAGAATTAGGCATATTTTTGTTTTGTCTTCCTATGCTAGATAATAGACTCTGCAGAATCAAGCATATGGCTTTTGGCCATATCCCTAATGTACTTACAGAGTTCTCATTTGGGCTTTACTGGCAGATAGACTATACTTAAAAAGAGTGTTAGCTATGGAATCACGTATGTCTCCAAACTTCAGTGTGTGAATAATTCTTGTCTTCATAACAAGCCTATAGTTAGTTCATATACTTAACGTCACGTGATGAGTTATTATGTCATGCTTCAAATATTTTATTCAATGGCGAAATGAAAGGCATTTAATTTCTTGGTTGAAAATTGGCCGGTTACAATTTTTTTTTCTATTTCTCGGTTGTCTGGTTTGATATATTTTTACACAGTTTTGTGAGCTTTTAAGAAAAGAGTAATTTATGTGATTCCACAGTGACATAATCTTTTCACCTCTGAACTTTTGTAATACGTTTTTAAAGAATATTGTTATAAGATTCTTTTAGCAGAAATTTCTGAGCACTCACCTTGTGCCTGGCACCATGCTAAGTGCTTGCAATACACTGGCAAAACAGATATGGCACTTTCTCTTTGGAGTTTACAGTCAAAGGCAGAAAACAGATGGTTAACGTATATTAACAGGTTTCATGGGAGCCAATTACAGGGGAATCAGATCAGATATAGACTATCAGAGATGGCCTTCTTGAAGAGAAGCATTTAAATTAAAATCTGAAGATTGAACATTAGTCAATCAGGATAGCTGAGTTTTGAGAGGTAAGAGAATATTCTGGATAAAAGAAATACCACAAGGTGTGGAAGTGAATATGGTTAGAGGAGTTATTCTCAAACTTGGCTGCACATTAGAATTACCTGTGTGCTTGAAAAAAATGCAGTTTTTATTGAGGTATTGTCAGCAGATGAGTGACACAATAAGATTTGCAATTGAAAAGACCACCCACTGGGCTCCATCATGAGACACATTGGCAAGGGGTGAGGCTGAATGTGTGGAGTCCAGTTAAGAATTCATTGCCCTGGGATTGGCAAAAAAGGGGAGTAACTTGGGCAAGGGTAGTATCAGTCGGGATGGTGAACAATGGTGAGAATAAAAGTTGGCAAAAGGTAAGTAGAAAAGGTGAATTAGGTAGGATAATTTTGGGAAAGGTAATATCATATAAACCAAGTGAAGAGAATGTATATTTTTAAAATTTTATTTTACTTTATTTTTCTGGAACAGAAAACCAAACACTGCATGTTGTCATGTGGAAGTTGAACAAGGAGAATATTTTCAGAATGAGGAAACAGATGAGATGTCAAGCAAGGTAGAAAATGATGACTGTCCATTTAAGTGACCAGGAGGTCACTTGCTTACTCACAGCTTTGTTGAAAGAAGTAGCATATTGTAGGGGTGGGTTGCCCCTACACACCTGTGGGTGTTTCTCGTAAGGTGGGACGAGAGATTTGGAAAAGAAAAAGACACAGAGACAAAGTATAGAGAAAGAAATAAGGGGACCCGGGGAACCAGCGTTCAGCATATGGAGGATCCCGCCAGCCTCTGAGTTCCCTTCGTATTTATTGATCATCTGTGGGTGTTTCTCAAAGAGGGGGATGTGTCAGGGTCACAAGACAATTGTGGGGAGAGGGTCAGCAGACAAACACGTGAACAAAGGTCTTGGCATCATAGACAATGTAAAGGATTAAGTGCTGTGCTTTTAGATATGCATACACATAAACATCTCAGTGCTTTACAAAGCAGTATTGCTGCCCGCAGGTCCCACCTCCAGCCCTAAGGCGGTTTTTCCCTATCTCAGTAGATGGAGCATACAATCAGGTTTTATACCGAGA
The DNA here is from genome assembly GCF_000001405.40 of Homo sapiens. Classification (NCBI taxonomy): domain Eukaryota; kingdom Metazoa; phylum Chordata; class Mammalia; order Primates; family Hominidae; genus Homo; species Homo sapiens. The sequence continues at coordinate 77,717,389 of NC_000006.12, forward strand.
CATTCCATTGCCCAGGGACAGGCAGGAGACAGATGCCTTCCTCTTGTCTCAACTGCAAGAGGCATTCCTTCCTCTTTTACTAATCCTCCTCAGCACAGACCCTTTACGGGTGTCGGGCTGGGGGACGGTCAGGTCTTTCCCTTCCCACGAGGCCATATTTCAGACTATCACATGGGGAGAAACCTTGGACAATACCTGGCTTTCCTAGGCAGAGGTCCCTGCGGCCTTCCGCAGTTTTTGTGTCCCTGGGTACTTGAGATTAGGGAGTGGTGATGACTCTTAAGGAGCATGCTGCCTTCAAGCATCTGTTTAACAAAGCACATCCTGCACCGCCCTTAATCCATTTAACTCTGAGTTGACACAGCACACATTTCAGAGAGCACGGGGTTGGGGGTAAGGTCACAGAATCTCAAGGCAGAAGAATTTTTCTTAGTACATAACAAAATGGAGTCTCCTATGTCTACTTCTTTCTACACAGACACAGTAACAATCTGATCTCTCTTGCTTTTCCCCACATTTCCCCCTTTTCTTTTCGACAAAACCGCCATCGTCATCATGGCCCGTTCTCGATGGTCGCTGTCTCTTCGGAGCTGTTGGGTACACCTGCAGACTAACAACAGACAAAACAGGCACACAAGGATTAATATGAGATTTATAATCGTAGTACTTCCAATGGTCTTAACCCAAGTGACAGGGTTAAGATTTGCGAGGCCATCAGCAACTCCTGCAATTGCCTCAGTTCCTGGCACCAAATTTAAATGGGCTTTTGATGCTTCGAAAATTTGTTCTTTTAATTTGGAAATGTCTAAAGTGAGATTATCTTCTCTTCCCTGTAGATGGCGTCTAACCATGTCCCAGTGATGCTCAGACTCATTATAAATTTGGGGTGTAATACAAAAATCTGACGTATTCCAGTCACATTGTAACTGGAAACGATGTTCTAAGCTCATGAGTCTGTCTCCCATCCAAATGACAGTTTGTCTAAGATCATTAATTTGATTTGCCAATTTTTGATCAATACTAGATTGTGAATTCCACAATCTTGTAGAATTTTTTTGCCCATCATTAACAAAGTTTACTGACTGAACAGAAGAGTGCAATGCAACTCCTGCTACAGCAGCCGTAGCTGTGACTGCAATTAATCCCATAATCACTGCAATTAAAGTAAAAATGAATCTTTTGGATCTATTTAAAACACCTTTTAATACTTCAGTCAAAATATGGATGGATGGTGAGGCCTCCCATGGTCGGTCCATGGACACAGGGATCCACACGCCCTCTCTTGCTCTCACCAGCAGAATACGGTGTTGCCAATTAAAAGTTGAATCAATGCAAGTAAGCAATCTACAATTTTCACAGGTTATAGTCTGGGAGTCTGGTTTAATAACTATATTTCCTACAACTAGCATATAAGGGGGCTTTACGCAACTTTGTAAAGGAAGTGTTAGACTGGAATTTAGGTCGACAGTATAAAATGGCTTACGATCTCTTGTTTCTAAAGTTTGATTTCCAGACCAAATTCTAATGTGGTGTGAGGCCACAGTAAGCCTCCATAATTCTGGATGTTCAGGACCAGAAACAGGACTTATTATTTTTGGTCTTGGGGTAGAGATTCCTTTTTCTCCCCATTCCCAAGGGTAGAAAGACTGCAATTTTTTATGCTTATGTTTGTCTAAACTTTCTGTTAAGTCGCTATCAACAGCTGGACTCACTTGTGCACTTGGACACGACTGAGTTTGTCCTGAGCAATTGTGGTAGAATTGACCTTGAGGTGTCCAATCTATAATAGTTCCAAATTCATTGTTTTGTAATATCACCGCACTATTGGCCACACATTCTTCCCAAACTAAAACTTCTGTATTTTTTGATTCTTTGGGAATTTCCTTGGGGCAAGGTTTCCCTTTAGGTCTAAATTTTAGTGATCTTTGATAAGAAAAGTCTTGTAAATAATTTACCCGTGGCCTGAGTGACATCCCGCTTACCATGTGATAAGTGAATCTACAGATGGGACTGACAATAGGTACTTCTACCAACCAATTTTGGACTGCAGGCATTAAACATCCTGGTGCTCTCCCTAGGCAAATAGGATAACGATACCCAATGGAAATATTTATCATCATCCCTTCTTCCTCAGGTTTGGCAGGGCAGCGATCATCTATGGGGCCAGGTACCCATACACTATCATTAACATATACTTCTATAGGATTATCCATCCATGTGACTGCCCGAATTAAGGGCGGGAAAGGCACATAGGCCCAGTTGGTATAGTTAGCTGCAGCTGCTCCTGCAGGCATAGGGAGACTTACCACCATTGATACAATCATCAAGGCTGCAAGCAGCATACTCTCTGGGGTTTGTGTCACCTTTGTGTTCTCTAGATATTTTGTAGCTAACTGCGTCAGCTTCTTTAGTTGTGCCCAAGTCGGCGGCTCTGCCTTCTTGGTGGATGGCAACTTCATCTGTTCTTCTGACGTCACCATTTTGTTCATCTTGTGAGTCAACGGTGCTCGATTGCGGTGTCTCCGTCTCCGCGGAGGTGCTTTTCTTTGCATCTCTGATGGGTTCATTGTAGAACTTCAAAGGTCTAGTGGGTATCCAAACAGGAAGCTGATTTTCTCCTGGTGAAACACAAGCAAAACCTCTCCCCCACGTTATCACCTTCCCTATTTCCCATGTCTTATTTTTATTATCTTTCCACCAAATTAGTTTTCCTTCATGTGGGCTGTTCTTTTTACCAGTAAGATGTTGTTCTGCAGAAGTAGTAGTCTGATTTCTATAAATGTTTAAAAAATTTAAAGTATAGAGTGCTAGATTAAGTTGCATCTGAGGAGTGGTACACTCCTTACTGTCTCCCCCTTCTTTTTGTTTAACTAATTGAGTTTTGAGTGTTCTATTAGTTCTTTCAACTATGGCCTGTCCTTGGGAATTATAAGGAATTCCTGTTGTATGTGAAATTTTCCACTGACTTAAGAATTTTTGGAAAGCTTTACTACAATATCCTGGTCCATTGTCAGTTTTGATTTTTTCTGGAACTCCCATTACAGCAAAACAAGACAATAAATGTTTTTTAACATGGGAAGTACTTTCTCCTGTTTGGCAAGTTGCCCATATGAAATGTGAATAAGTATCAACTGTTACATGAACATATGATAATCTTCCAAATGAAGGTACATGCGTGACACAGACCTCTGGGATTAACTCCTGCCTCTTGAGTGGGCAGGTGTAAGACTTGACACTGGGTGCAATGTTGTACAATATCTTTTGCCTGTTTCCATGTGACATCAAATTTGTTTTTTAATCCTGCTGCATTTACATGAGTCAAAGCATGAAGTTCTTGTGCTTTTATGAGTGCAGATGATACCAGTAAGTCAGCTTGTTCATTTGCTTTAGTCAAAGGCCCTGGTAAATTAGTGTGTGCTCGAATATGAGTAATATAAAATGGGAAATTTCTTTTTCTTACAGTTTGTTGTAATAAATTGAATAGCTGGTTTAACTGATCATCCATGCTATATTTAATTAGAGCTGTCTCAACATCCCTTGTAGCCTGTACTACATATGCAGAATCTGATATAATATTGATAGGTTGGTCAAAATCTTGTAACACTGTAATGACTGCAACCAACTCTGCTCTTTGAGCCGATTGATATGGAGTTTTGATTACTCGTTCTTTCGGCCCTGTGTAAGCTGCTTTTCCATTGCTGGAACCATCAGTAAATACTGTTAGAGCATTTTCTAAAGGTTCACGTCTGGTAATTTTAGGTAGAATCCAAGTAGTCAATTTTAAGAACTGGAAGATCTTTGTTTTTGGGTAATGATTATCAATAATTCCCACAAAATTAGCAAGACCAATCTTCCATGCACCAGAATTGATAAAGGCTTGTCTAACTTGTTCCTTGGTTAAAGGGACAACTATTTTGTCTGGGTCATTTCCACATAATTTTATTATTCGTAATCTTGTCTGACCGATTAATGTAGCTATTTGATCCAAGTACAGTGTAAAAGTCTTAACTGTACTGTGAGGAAGGAATGACCACTCCACAAGATCAGTATTTTGAATAATGATGCCTGTTGGAGAATGTGCAGTGGCAAAAATCAAAAGTTGGAGTGGGGCTAAGGGATCTATTCTATTTATTTGCGCTGACTGAATTTTTTCTTCCACTAATTTAATTTCTTTTGTTGCCTCTGGGGTTAACATTCTTTTACTATTTAAGTCTGAGTCTCCTCTTAAGATAGAGAACAAATTTGACATGGCATAAGTAGGAATGCCTAGAGTTGGCCAAATCCAATTAATATCTCCTAGTAATTTTTGAAAATCATTTAGTGTTTTTAATGTGTCTTTTCTTATTTCTATTTTTTGTGGCTTAATTTTTCTATTTTCTATCTGCATCCCTAAATAATGAAAAGGAGTAGAGGTTTGGATCTTATCAGATGCTATTGCCAGTCCAGCATTGGCAACCTCTGCTTGCAGAAATGTATAACAGTCAATTAATTTATCTTTCGTTTCTGCAGCACATAAAATATCATCAATATAATGAATAATATAACAGTCTGAAAACTTTAACTGGTTGAAGAGCTCGACCTACAAAAGTCTGACAAATAGTTGGACTATTAAGCATTCCCTGAGGTAACACTTTCCACTGAAACCTGGTGGCTGGTTCTTTATTATTTATGGCTGGTATAGTAAAGGCAAATTTTTCACAATCCTGCTCTGCCAGAGGGATGGTAAAAAAGCAATCCTTTAGATCAATTATAATTAAAGGCCAATCTTTTGGGATCATGGCCGGAGAGGGCAACCCGGGTTGGAGAGGCCCCATGGGTTGAATTACGGCGTTTACAGCCCTTAAGTCAGTTAACATACGCCATTTGCCTGATTTCTTCTGAATTACAAACACAGGAGAATTCCAAGGTGAGAACGAAGGCTCAATATGACCCTTTTCTAACTGTTCATTTGCTAATAAATGTAAAGCCTCCAGTTTTTGTTTTGGTAGCGGCCACTGATTTACCCACACCGGTTTTTCTGTTTTCCAAGTTAATGGTATGGGTTTAGGAGGCTCTATAGTGGCCGCCCCTAAAAAGGATACCCTATTCCTTCTCTTTTTTGATTTATTTTAGCCTCAAATGGAATTTTAATGCCATCTTCATTTTTCCCTAGTCCCTTTCCTGGTATATATCCCCTCTTGGTCATGATTTTTTGACTCGTGGGGCTATATAATGGAGCGGGCATGGTGATTTCCGCACCCCATTGTTGTAATAAATCTCGACCCCACAGATTAAGAGGAATTGAAGTAATCATTGGCTGAACAGTACTTTCTTGATTATCTGGCCCTAAGCAATGTAAAATCTCCATACTTTGATACACTTCTGAGGCTGTGCCTATGCCGACAAGTCCTGTAACAGCCTTTTGTTTAGGCCAATTTTTTGGCCACTGATTTAAAGCAATGATAGAGACATCTGCTCCAGTGTCTACCAACCCTTCAAACTGTTTTCCTTGAATAATGGCCTTACACACAGGTCTGTTCTCTGAGACCTGACTTGCCCAATATGCAGCCTTTCCTGTTGGATCAGTGCTTCCAAGCCCTCCTATTCTTTTTATTTCACTATTTCCACCCTTAATATATGGCAGGAGTAATAATTGAGCAATCCTGTCTCCTGGACTGGCACTCCAAGGAACTGAAGAGCTAATAACCAACTGAATTTCGCCTTTATAGTCTGAATCAACCACACTAGTATGAATTTGAACTCCTTTTAGATTTAGACTTGATCTTCCCAAGATTAGTCCTACAGTCCCCTCAGGCAGGGGGCCATATACCCCTGTAGGGATTTTTTGTGGGGGCTCCCCTGGAAGCAGAGAGACTGCTTGTATAGTACATAAATCTACTGCTGCACTGCCACTTGTGGCGGGGGACAATTGTTGTATTGTGGTAACTGGCTTATTCCCTGAAACACTTGGGACAGTGGGGGTTGTTGTCCCTGAAAACCCTGAGGAACAAATGGCTGAATTGGGAATGCCCCAGTTTGTTGTGGGGCCTGAGGCTGGCCCCTTTGCTCGTTTCCCGACAATGGTTGCCCATTTTTATCAAATTTAGAACGACATTGACTAGCCCAATGTTTTCCTTTTTTACATCTTGGACATAAGTCAGGTGGCTCTCTACCTGTTGTAGTTGCTTGAATAGTTATATTCTGTTTGTTTAAGACTGGGCAATTCTTTTTTAAGTGACCAATTTGACCACAATTATAACATTTTCCTCCAAATGTTCTAACTTGTCCTCCTAAAACAACTCCTGTTATTGCTTGAGCCATAAGCATAGCTTTATGCATAGCTCCTCCGATTCCATCACAGGCTTTTACATATTCTGAGATTACATCTGATCCTGCAGGAACCTTTCCTTTTAATGGCTTAATGGCTGATTGACACTCAGGATTGGCGTTTTCATATGCCATCAACTCCACTATGACCTTACGGGCTTTTTCATCGGCAATTGACTTTTGAGCAACATCTTGGAGCCTTGCCACAAAATCAGGATAGGGCTCTTTTGAACCTTGTCTTACTGTATTAAATGAGGGGCAGGTACTTCCTGGGTCTTGGATTTTTTCCCAGGCTCTAAGGCAGATAGCTCTAACTTGCTCAATGGCCTCATTTTGCATTAATGCTTGTTGACTAATAGTACTCCAATTTTGACCTATTCCTAATAGTTGATCTGCATCTATGTTAACTGGAGGATTGGCAGCCCTATTTCTTCGGACCTGTTCTTGTACCCCATCAATCCACCAAGTCTTAAATTGTAAAAATTGAGAGGGTGAGAGAGACGATTTTGCCAGAATCTCCCAATCATAAGGAATGAGTCTATGTCCATGAGCAATGGAATCTAATAATGTCCTCATATAAGGGGAGTTGGGTCCATACTGTTTTACTCCCTCTTTCATATCTTTTAGTATTTTTATCGAAAAAGACTTGTATCTGGCCTCAACTGTGGGAGGCTCTCCCTCTTGGGCTCCTTCTCCAGGTGGCATCGGTTCTAACGTTACTGGGAATTGCCATGCCTCAGTATCTCCTTCCTTTCTTGATTTATCAATAATTTCATGTAATTCACTACCCTGTCTACTAGGTGGTGCCGTAGGATTAAGTCTCCTAGTGGGCGGCTGAGGGTATGGCGCCCTGCCCTGTGGTGCTGGGGGCATTCCTGGATATCCATACTGACTTTCTGGGGGTGGCCGATACTGAAGTTCAGCCGGAGGCCAGTATTGATAGGCTACTGGCGGTTGGGTCTTATTTTCTTTAACCTGCTTTTGAGGTTGTAATGTTACAGGCACCTGACCTGCTGGAAGAGGACTTGTGCCTCGTGGTTTAGACTCTGATGGCCCCACTAATTCTGGACCTTTTCCTTCTAATTTTAACGTTTCAGGATATATCACCTCCTGTAATTGATTATAGTCAACATTTTGCGTTGACTGAGCCATTACCGGCTCTGCTACATATTCGCAATGTAAACTTTCGGTTTCTTTCTGGGATTTTTTCCTTGTCTTTTCATTACAATCTATTATACCGCTTCCAGGGGCATCAGAAACTGAAATACTATCTTCTTCTGTTTGAAATGGTTCTAAAGCTGCTTTAATAATGGCCCAATCATTCCATACTGTAAGTGGAATGATATTACCCTTCCTACCTGCTTGTTTTAGTTCCTTACCAATTCTTTTCCAATCTTTTAGATCTAAAGTTCCTTGTTCTGGAAACCATGGGCAAAATTGTTCTATTATTTGAAATAGCTTGATTAGATTTTTTGTAGATACTTTAACTCCCCCTCTTTTTAAAAGAATTTTAATAAAGCTGAGATAAGAGGCATATTTACTTTTAATTTTACTTTTAGTTTGCCCCATTATCACCCTAGCTTCTTCCGAGCGCACAAGCTTACCGTAAGGCTGACTGTAGACGTACTCGGGATCTCTCGTCGACTTGTCCTCAATGACCACGCTCGAGCGTACCTTCACCCTAGAGAAAAGCCTCCACGTTGGGCACCAGATGTAGGGGTGGGTTGCCCCTACACACCTGTGGGTGTTTCTCGTAAGGTGGGACGAGAGATTTGGAAAAGAAAAAGACACAGAGACAAAGTATAGAGAAAGAAATAAGGGGACCCGGGGAACCAGCGTTCAGCATATGGAGGATCCCGCCAGCCTCTGAGTTCCCTTCGTATTTATTGATCATCTGTGGGTGTTTCTCAAAGAGGGGGATGTGTCAGGGTCACAAGACAATTGTGGGGAGAGGGTCAGCAGACAAACATGTGAACAAAGGTCTTGGCATCATAGACAATGTAAAGGATTAAGTGCTGTGCTTTTAGATATGCATACACATAAACATCTCAGTGCTTTACAAAGCAGTATTGCTGCCCGCAGGTCCCACCTCCAGCCCTAAGGCGGTTTTTCCCTATCTCAGTAGATGGAGCATACAATCGGGTTTTATACCGAGACATTCCATTGCCCAGGGACAGGCAGGAGACAGATGCCTTCCTCTTGTCTCAACTGCAAGAGGCATTCCTTCCTCTTTTACTAATCCTCCTCAGCACAGACCCTTTACGGGTGTCAGGCTGGGGGACGGTCAGGTCTTTCCCTTCCCACGAGGCCATATTTCAGACTATCACATGGGGAGAAACCTTGGACAATACCTGGCTTTCCTAGGCAGAGGTCCCTGCGGCCTTCCGCAGTTTTTGTGTCCCTGGGTACTTGAGATTAGGGAGTGGTGATGACTCTTAAGGAGCATGCTGCCTTCAAGCATCTGTTTAACAAAGCACATCCTGCACCGCCCTTAATCCATTTAACTCTGAGTTGACACAGCACACATTTCAGAGAGCACGGGGTTGGGGGTAAGGTCACAGAATCTCAAGGCAGAAGAATTTTTCTTAGTACATAACAAAATGGAGTCTCCTATGTCTACTTCTTTCTACACAGACACAGTAACAATCTGATCTCTCTTGCTTTTCCCCACAGCATATATATGTGGAAGATCCAAACACCTGAGACTGGCAGTGAGTGTCATAGAATATTAATGGAAAGAAAACTGCGGGCATGTGGTTAGGGATTTTCAGAGAAGAGACAGCATGTGAACAAGGAAGCGTAGAGCATCAATAAGCAGGGGTTTCTACAACCCAGGAAGGGAAGAACATCCTGAGGTTTGGATTTAGTATGTCCAGGGCACAAAATATGATTGTTCTTATGAGGTTTGCCCTAAGACATTAAACAGAGGGGAGACATTAAAGGACCGTGTAATAGGCCTGGTGTAAAATCTACACCAGTTGTGTGTGGGATGTAGGAGAGAGGAAGGAACTAAAACAGGAAAATCTGCTAGGAGAAGATAGGTGTATTCTAAGCATGATGAGAAGAGAATGGACTAGGATGCTAGCAAGGCTAAAGGGTAAAGATTTCAGTGTGGTGCATTTTGTAACAGACAAAAATAAGCTTATTTAATAACTGACTAGCTGTAGGAGAGAATAAAAAGGAGTGCTCAAAAGGGATTCAAGATTTTGAAATTGGTGCTTTAAATAAATAACGTTTTATCCAACAATGATGTATGTATATGCTATTTAATTACTTTGTTCTTTATAAGGACTAAAGATACTCTTGGGAGGGAAGGGGGACATGTGTTTAATAAGCCAACAATTACAATTTTTTTTGGTACCTGCAAGATCCATTGTTAGATTTCTCTTGGGGTGATACCTCCACAAAAACGGGAGAGGGTCTCTCAGATGTGAGTGGTGATTCTGGACCCTCCAGGGTTAGTGAAGGTCAGAACAGAGTCCACCTACTTGGATCAACAGAATTTATGGGTATTCCTGGCACCCTGGGGGAAAAGGAGGTAAATGCATCAAGACCTTGAAAGGCACTAGTAGGATGACTGATGCATATTATGGCCTATATTATAATCTTCAGCGCTTTGGAGAAACACTATCATTTGTCCTCAGAAGTGAAGATTAAAGGGGATTTTATGAATGTTTTATGTATCCTAGGACTATGAGATTATTTCCTTGGCAAAGGCTAAGTTATTTGAAGATATATGTTTAGCATTTACCAGGGACAGTCTGAACTATTGATTCCAAAATAAATAAGAAGAAGGTGTTGGAAGACAGTATTGCCCACTGTGATCATATTTCATGTAATACTAGCAAAATATAGTAATCACTGTGATTTTCTGAAGTTTGTGCTTTCTTGTCCTCTGTTTCATAGAAAGCAATTTCTTTGGTATCTGTGATTGTCAGTAAGGTTTTAGAAAATAAATTATTTGATTCTGGTCTTTCACAGTGAAGTTTTTGATAGCTTTTAAACAAAGCCTACATTTCATGGACAGGTTTTGATGTGTCAGATGTAAAAACATTAAATGAAATCTTGAAACCAGAATCCATAAACCATAAGCCTATATAAGGCCCACTTTAAAAAATGTTCTGGTCACAGTAAGGCCTTACCCCTGGAGAAGCAGCTCAGACTTGGAGCATCCTCGCAGGAGTTTCCTGATTGAAATCTCTGTCTCTTTGATCGTAACAGATGTACATTAGTTAGAGAAAAACATGCTTGACTCTCTATCAGACTAATCAATGCCCACATACAGGCAGAGACTGTAATTGTAAGATTTATAAGTTGCACAGTACCTAGTAAGACGAATGTGGTTGAGAGAGTGAAGGTGAAAGGTGAAAGAATTGGAAGGTGAATTAAAATTGCAGACTTGTTGTGCTTGTTCAGGTGTGATATAGTAAACATTCAATTTAGATAGATGTTTATTGGTTGGATGATTATATAGGTAACTGAAAGTTAAAAAAATATTTTTCAATACAATAATGAAGATGTTCTAAAATAGCCAAAATAATTAATAGGTACTTAAATGTATTACACTAGCTTAGTTCTAAAGATTGTAAAAGAAGAAAAAGTCTGCTTACTACTCATTAGGAGCTTATGATATAGTTAGAAAGGTATGAGCTCCTAAAGTAGTCATGTATAAAGATACTACACATCATGCATATAGTTTTTTCTTGGGTTATATGCATGTTCATTTGTTCATTGATTGATTCATTTCTTTATTCAGCCAAAACACTTTGATTTCTGGAAGTCTACCAGGAACAAGACAAAAGTAATACAATTTATATTAGCATGGAGGATGTAGACATTAAAAAGTAAACCTGTAAGCAAGAAAACTGAATGTTAAAAGCTGTGAACAAAATAAGCCAGATTGAAGTGATGGAGTACCTGGAGATAGAGCAGGGCCACTAATTTAGACTGGATCGTCAGGAAGCCTTTATTCAGAAGGGAATGTTTGAGTTGACTCCTGAAGGAGTGGAGCCATCCAGATTGGTTTGAGGCAGAAAGTTCAGTGAGCAGAAACAGCCAGTGTGGCTGTGGAGCAGAGCAAGTAAGGAATAGAGGGTGAGTGATGAGGCCAGAGAGGAGACAGAGGAAACACCTGTTCCAGTGGGTAGGACTTTCAATACAGTGGGAATTCTTTGGTGAACTTTAGGAGTTTTAAACTTCTTGCTCTGGCTGCTGTATGGAGAATGGGCTGTAACTGAGAGGGGATATAGTAGAACTGTGCCCATAAGGGAGGTGATAATGGTTTAGCATAAGGTGGGATCGGACAGTTAGAACATGTAAGGCTCTACTTTCACAAAATAGAAAGTAAGTGAAGAGAAGCCCCGGAAAGGGAGCAGAGCTCCAGCTGAACTTTGAAAGATTAAACAAATTAACATGAACTCATAGAGAGGAAGTAGGAAGACATTCTTGGAGTCACAAAGGTGAGAGTGGAGGTGGGATAAATGGGACATATCCTACTTCTCTGCTATCCAAAGAATAGTAGTGTAAACATACATTAACCCATTTATGCCTAGTGTCCCATTACTGGAACTCTAAGCATGTGGGAGTTAATTATATCCTACTGCTCAAGGTCATCACCAAGGTCTGATTTCAAAATCGAAAAAGTTGCAACGTTAGGCATAAATGGGTTATTAAAAGATAGTGTTTCTCACACTGGAATAACCTAGGAGCTTTAAAAGATAGTAGTATCTGGGTTTTACACCCAGTGATTCTGATGTGTTTGGCATAGGATGTGGGTTAGTATTGGTGTTTTCCAAAAAGTAAGTCAGTCTAATGTGCAGGCAAGATTGAAAACCAGGGATGTAAGATCTTTCATTATGATGACTTAGTGGCCACAAGTCCAGCAAGAAACAGGTAATGCAGGCTGAGTGCAGGAGTTTGGGAAAAGAGCAAAGCAGTACTTTACAGACTTCTTCAATTAATCACCCCCTTTTTATTCAGCATTTATAGGGTACAAACAGTGTAGAGAACAGATATGAGAATCCCCTGAATATTTACTTAAAAGACAGTTTTCTGGAAACTTCCTTAGGAAACACTGAATGTCTATGCTTAGGAATAATTAATTTTAGTATTTTCTTCTTATGATAATATAAGTTAAGGAAACAATGCATTGGGTAAAAGGTATCAGTGCATCTGATTTTCAATAAAGAAAGTGAAGTAGATGCATGGTAGAAATGAATATCAACCTGAGTTGCCTAGCAAGGGAGGCTCGGGAGAACAACTCAGTCTAAAGGTAACATCCCAGCAGCATAGATGTGAGCAATTGGAACTCTGTGGCCAAGAGCTGAGGTCAAAGTAGTGTCTTCAGTGTCTTGGTGGCAAACAAAGTCAGGCAAATTCTCTTGGAGAAAGGCTTGTTCAAGGAGAGAGAGAAGATCTGTGAGATCTCAATGGGAAAGGTAATTGGGGCTAGACGGTGGAGAGAGCTGTGTGTTTGGCGTGTACAGTGTATAGGGGGCACTGAATTGGGTGTATTGCTGACTTCAGTAATTTTATTGTTTTTACCAGTTCCTCATGGTAGCATTCACACATTGATGAATGGAAATTATGCAGGTGGATTCACTGTTACACTTTGTAGCAGATTGTATCACCATGACTTTGACCTTATTCTATAGGGCTGTGTGTGATATTGACATCACAATATAAGTGTTCGCCTTCTCTCATCCTGACACTTCCTGTTTGTTAGGAAACGGAATTAGGACTATGTTTTCACTATACTGCAAGTTTTTGACCCTTAAATAATGGAATCCAAAGAGAGATGGTTTCCTCTTATCAGCTCCCAGTTTTTCCCTACTAACTCTTTTCTTTCAGAGCAATTATTTTGCTCATTTATTCAGTCCCTTTTAATTCAGTATTTTTTTTAGTCTTATATATTATTTATTTATTTATTTACTTTTATTTATTATTATTATACCTTAAGTTTTAGGGTACACGTGCACAATGTGCAAGTTAGTTACATATGTATACATGTGCCATGCTGGTGCGCTGCACCCACTAACTCGTCATCTAGCATTAGGTGTATCTCCCAGTGCTATCCCTCGCCCCTCCCCCCACCCCAAAACAGTCCCCAGAGTGTGATGTTCCCCTTCCTGTGTCCCTGTGTTCTCATTGTTCAATTCCCGCCTATGAGTGAGAATATGCAGTGTTTGGTTTTTTGTTCTTACGATAGTTTACTGAGAATGCTGATTTCCAATTTCATCCATGTCCCTACAAAGGACATGAACCCATCATTTTTTATGGCTGCATAGTATTCCATGGTGTATATGTGCCACATTTTCTTAATCCAGTCTATTGTTGTTGGACATTTGGGTTGGTTCCAAGCCTTTGCTAGTGTGACTAGTGCCTCAATAAACATATGTGTGCATGTGTCTTTATAGCAGCATGATTTATAATCCTTTGGGTACATACCCAGTAATGGGATGGCTGGGTCAAATGGTATTTCTAGTTCTAGATCCCTGAGGAATCGCCACACTGACTTCCACAATGGTTGAACTAGTTTACAGTCCCACCAACAGTGTAAAAGTGTTCCTATTTCTCCACATCCTCTCCAGCACCTGTTGTTTCCTGACTTTTTAATGATTGCCATTCTAACTGGTGTGAGATGGTATCTCATTGTGGTTTTGATTTGCATTTCTCTGATGGCCAGTGATGGTGAGCATTTTTTCCTGTGTTTTTTGGCTGCATAAATGTCTTCTTTTGAGAAGTGTCTGTTCATGTCCTTTGCCCACTTTTTGATGGGGTTGTTTGTTTTTTTCTTGTAAATTTATTTGAGTTCATTGTAGATTCTGGATATTAGCCCTTTGTCAGATGAGTAGGTTGTGAAAATTTTCTCCCATTTTGTAGGTTGCCTGTTCACTCTGATGGTAGTTTCTTTTGCTGTGCAGAAGCTCTTTAGTTGAATTAGATCCCATTTGTCAATTTTGGCTTTTGTTGCCATTGCTTTTGGTGTTTTAGACATGAAGTCCTTGCCCATGCCTATGTCCTGAATAGTAATGCTTAGGTTTTCTTCTAGGGTTTTTATGGTTTTAGGTCTAACATGTAAGTCTTTAAACCATCTTGAATTAATTTTTGTATAAGGTGTAAGGAAGGGATCCAGTTTCAGCTTTCTACATATGGCTAGCCAGTTTTCCAGCACCATTTATTAAATAGGGAATCCTTTCCCCAATGCTTGTTTTTGTCAGGTTTGTCAAAGATCAGATAGTTGTACATATGCGGCATTATTTCTGAGGGCTCTGTTCTGTTCCATTGATCTATATCTCTGTTTTGGTACCAGTACCATGCTGTTTTGGTTACTGTAGCTTTGTAGTATAGTTTGAAGTCAGGTAGTGTGATGCCTCCAGCTTTGTTCTTTTGACTTAGGATTGACTTGGCGATGCGGGCTCTTTTTTGGTTCCATATGAACTTGAAAGTAGTTTTTTCCAATTCTGTGAAGAACGTCATTGGTAGCTTGATGGGGATGGCATTGAATCTGTAAATTACCTTGGGCAGTATGGCCATTTTCACGATATTGATTCTTTCTACCCATGAGCATGGAATGTTCTTCCATTTGTTTTTATCCTCTTTTATTTCCTTGAGCAGTGGTTTGAGGTTCTCCTTGAAAAGGTCCTTCACATCCCTTGTAATTTGGATTCCTAGGTATTTTATTCTCTTTGAAGCAATTGTGAATGGGAGTTCACTCATGATTTGGCTCTATGTTTGTCTGTTCTTGGTGTATAAGAATGCTTGTGATTTTTGCACATTGATCTTGTATCCTGAGACTTTGCTGAAGTTGCTTATCAGCTTAAGGAGATTTTGGGCTGAGACAAGGGGTTTTCCAGATATACAATCATGTCATCTGCAAACAGGGACAATTTGACTTCCTCTTTTCCTAATTGAATACCCTTTATTTCCTTCTCCTGCCTAATTGCCCTGGCCAAGACTTCCAACACTATGTTGAATAGGAGTGGTGAGAGAGGGCATCCCTGTCTTGTGCCAGTTTTCAAAGGGAATGCTTCCAGTTTTTGCCCATTCAGTATGATATTGGCTGTGGGTTTGCCATAGATAGCTCTTATTATTTTGAAATACGTCCCATCAATACCTAATTTATTCAGAGTTTTTAGCATGAAGAGTTGTTGAATTTTGTCAAAGGCCTTTTGTGCATCTATTGAGATAATCATGTGGTTTTTGTCTTTGGTTCTGTTTATATGCTGGTTACATTTATTGATTTGCATATATTGAACCAGCCTTGCATCCCAGGGATGAAGCCCACTTGATGATGGTGGATAAGCTTTTTGATGTGCTGCTGGATTCGTTTTGCCAGTATTTTATTGAGGATTTTTGCATCAATGTTCATCAAGGATATTGATCTAAAATTCTCTTTTTTGGTTGTGTCTCTGCCAGGCTTTGGTATCAAGATGATGCTGGCTTCATAAAATGAGTTAGGGAGGATTCCCTCTTTTTCTATTGATTGGAATAGTTTCAGAAGGAATGGTACCAGCTCCTCCTAGTACCTCTGGTAGAATTTGGCTGTGAATCCATCTGATCCTGGACTCTTTTTGGTTGGTAAGCTATTGATTACTGCCACAATTTCAGATCCTGTTATTGGTCTATTCAGAGATTCAACTTCTTCCTGGTTTAGTCTTGGGAGAGTGTATGTGTCTAGGAATTTATCCATTTCTTCTAGATTTTCTGGTTTATTTGCGTAGAGGTGTTCGTAGTATTCTCTGATGGTAGTTTGTATTTCTGTGTGATCGGTGGTGGTATCCCGTTTATCATTTTTTATTGTGTCTATTTGATTCTTCTCTCTTTTTTTCTTTATTAGTCTTGCTAGCGGTTTATCAGTTTTGTTGATCATTTCAAAAAACCAGCTCCTGGATTGATTAATTTTTTGAAGGGTTTTTTGTGCCTCTATTTCCTTCAGTTCTGCTCTGATTTTAGTTATTTCTTGCCTTCTGCTAGCTTTTGAATACGTTTGCTCTTGCTTTTCTAGTTCTTTTAATTGTGATGTTAGGGTGTCAATTCTGGATCTTTTCTGCTTTCTCTTGTGGGCATTTAGTGCTATAAATTTCCCTCTACACAGTGCTTTGAATGTGTCCCAGAGATTCTGGTATGTTGTATGTTTGTTCTTATTGGTTTCAAAGAACATCTTTATTTCTGCCTTCATTTTGTTATGTACCCAGTAGTCATTCAGGAGCATGTTGTTCAGTTTCCATGTAGTTGAGTGGTTTTGAGTGAGATTCTTATTCCTGAGTTCTAGTTTGATTGCACTGTGGTCTGAGAGATAGTTTGTTATAATTTCTTTTCTTTTACACTTGCTGAGGAGAGCTTTACTTCCAAGTATGTGGTCAGTTTTGGAATAGGTGTGGTGTGGTGCTGAAAAAAATGTATATTCTGTTGATTTGGGGTGGAGAGTTCTGTAGATGTCTATTAGGTCCGCTTGGTGCAGAGCTGAGTTCAATTCCTGGGTATCCTTGTTGACTTTCTGTCTCATGATCTGTCTAATGTTGACAGTGCGGTGTTAACATCTCCCATTATTAATGTGTGGGAGTCTAAGTCTCTTTGTAGGTCACTCAGGGCTTGCTTTATGAATCTGGGTGCTCCTGTATTGGGATATATATTTAGGATATATATTTAGGATAGTTAGCTCTTCTTGTTGAATTGATCTCTTTACCATTATGTAATGGCCTTCTTTGTGTCTTTTGATCTTTGTTGGTTTAAAGTCTGTTTTATCAGAGACTAGGATTGCAACCCCTGCCTTTTTTTGTTTTCCATTTGCTTGGTAGATCTTCCTCCAATCTTTTATTTTGAGCCTATTTGTGTCTCTGCACGTGAGATGGGTTTCCTGAATACAGCACACTGATGGGTCTTGACTCTTTATCCAATTTGCCAGTCTGTGTCTTTTAATTGGAGCATTTAGTCCATTTACATTTAAAGTTAATATTATTATGTGTGAATTTGATCCTGTCATTATGTTAGCTGGTTATTTTGCTCGTTAGTTGATGCAGTTTCTTCCTAGTCTCGATGGTCTTTACCTTTTGGCATGATTTTGCAGTGGCTGTTACTGGTTGTTCCTTTCCGTGTTTAGCGCTTCCTTCAGGAGCTCTTTTAGGGCAGGCCTGGTTGTGACAAAATCTCTCAGCATTTGCTTGTCTGTAAAGGATTTTATTTCTCCTTCACTTATGAAGCTTAGTTTGGCTGGATATGAAATTCTGGGTTGAAAATTCTTTTCTTTAAGAATGTTGAATATTGGCCCCCACTCTCTTCTGGCTTGTAGGGTTTCTGCCGAGAGATCCGCTGTTAGTCTGATGGGCTTCCCCTTGTGGGTAACCGTACCTTTCTCTCTGGCTGCCCTTAACGTTTTTTCCTTCATTTCTACTTCGGTGAACTGACAATTATGTGTCTTGGAGTTGCTCTTCTCGAGGAGTATCTTTGTGACATTCTCTGTATTTCCTGAATTTGAATGTTGGCCTGCCTTGCTAGATTGGGGAAGTTCTCCTGGATAATATCCTGCAGAGTGTTTTCCAACTTGGCTCCATTCTCCCCGTCACTTTCAGGTACACCAATCAGACGTAGATTTGGTCTTTTCACATAGTCCCATATTTCTTGGAGGCTTTGCTCATTTCTTTTTATTCTTTTTTCTCTAAACTTCCCTTCTTGCTTCATTTCATTCATTTCATCTTCCATCACTGATACCCTTTCTTCCAGTTGATCGCATCGGCTCCTGAGGCTTCTGCATTCTTCACGTAGTTCTCGAGCCTTGGTTTTCAGCTTCATCAGGTCCTTTAAGCACTTCTCTGTATTGGTTATTCTAGTTATACATTCTTCTAAATTTTTTTCAAAGTTTTCAACTTCTTTGCCTTCGGTTTGAATGTCCTCCCGTAGCTCGGAGTAATTTGATTGTCTGAAGCCTTCTTCTCTTAGCTTGTCAAAGTCATTCTCTGTCCAGCTTTGTTCCATTGCTGGTGAGGAGCTGCGTTCCTTTGGAGGAGGAGAGGTGCTCTGATTTTTAGAGTTTTCAGTTTTTCTGCTTTGTTTTTTCCCCATCTTTGTGGTTTTATCTATTTTTGGTCTTTGATGATGGTGACGTACAGATGGGTTTTTGGTGTGGATGTACTTTCTGTTTATTAGTTTTCCTTCTAACAGACAGGACCCTCAGCTGCAGGTCTGTTGGAGTACCCGGCCGTGTGAGGTGTCAGTCTGCCCCTGCTGGGGGATGCCTCCCAGTTAGGCTGCTCGGGGGTCAGGGGTCAGGGACCCACTTGAGGAGGCAGTCTGCCCGTTCTCAGATCTCCAGCTGCGTGCTGGGAGAACCACTGCTCTCTTCAAACTGTCAGACAGGGACTTTTAAGTCTGCAGAGGTTACTGCTGTCTTTTTGTTTGTCTGTGCCCTGCCCCCAGAGGTGGAGCCTACAGAGGCAGGCAGGCCTCCTTTGAGCTGTTGTGGGCTCCACCGGGTTCGAGCTTCCAGGCTGCTTTGTTTACCCTAAGCAAGCCTGGGCAATGGCGGGCGCCCCTCCCCCAACCTTGCTGCCCCCTTGCAGTTTGATCTCAGAGGGCTGTGCTAGCAATCAGCAAGACTCCGTGGGCGTATTACCCTCCGAGCCATGTGCGGGATATAATCTCCTGGTGCGCCGTTTTTAAGCCCGTTGGAAAAGCGCAGTATTTGGGTGGGAGTGACCCGATTTTCCAGGTGCCATCTGTCACCCCTTTCTTTGACTAGGAAAGGGAACTCCCTGACCCCTTGTGCTTCTGGAGTGAGGCAATGCCTCGCCCTGCTTCGGCTTGCGAACGGTGCGCGCACACACTGACCTGCGCCCACTGTCTGGCACTCCCTAATGAGATGAACCCTGTACCTCAGATGGAAATGCAGAAATCATTCGTCTTCTGCGTCGCTCATGCTGGGAGCTGTAGACCGGAGCTGTTCCTATTCGGCCATTTTGGCTCCTACCCCCTTAATTCAGTATTTGTGAGGTACAAAACAATGTAGAAAATACAGAAAGATAAAGTTTAAGCCCTGCCCATAGCATCACACAGTCTAGTGAGGGTAAGATTACATCATTAATTGTACCCAATGAGACCCTGTAGTCCAGAGAAAGATACTAACGTTCAGAGGAGAGAAAGTGATTATTTTGTCTTAGAGAACAGGACTTTTAAAAGTATTTTGAAGGAAGTTGCTTGCCTTTAAGGATGGATAGGATTTAGAGAGCTATGGGTACTAGGCTATTTCAAACAAGTGGGAACAATGTAAAGTATAGGTAGAGGAATATACTGGCAAATGATGTAATATGATAGTGGCATACAGAGCATGAGGAGGTGTTCTAGAAAATAAGATGACAAACTAGGTTGAAGCCTAGTAAGAAAAGGTGTGACAGCCAGTGGAAAACATGCTGCATTCTGTAGGCAGTAAGTGGCATTTTAAGGATTTTCCAACAGGAAAATAAAAGGGAAACTTAATATTTATTGAGTGTATGCTGTGCATTTCTAAGACAGTATACTTTCCATAAGTTATTTATTTAGGTTATCTGATGGATAAGGCTATTTAGACAGAGTAATTAGGCATCAGTGTTTAGAATTGTTTGGGAGAGGGAGGAGATTGGAAACAGGGACATCACTGTCATAGCTCAGGTCTTACATGTAATTACTTTGGCATGGAAATAAAAGAGGTGCTGGTATTTTTAAAAGATTTTTAGTTGTTCTGAAATATTGAGCTCTTAACAATAAAGGCTCGGGATATAGCAATAAATCAGGGAGTCCAGGACACTTGAGGAGTGCACGTTCCTAAGGGCATGGACAGAATATGCCATTAGGAAATGATCAGAAAGTGGTAGTAATATTTAGAGAATTACGACTGGATGATATGATAGAAATTAGGAGATCATGGAGACCTTTCTGAGGAAGGGACATTTAAAGAGAAGCTTGAATGATAACATGGAATAAATAAGCCTTGAGACTATTGGGAGTGGGAGTGAGGAGAGCATCACAGGCAGAGGGAAGGTTTAATGCAAAGCCCCCAAAGGGGAACAAGGAAAGAAGGGAGAGATAGGATCAATATCATCTGTCAATGGAATGTATATGGAGGTCAAGGAAGAAGTCAAGGTTGACTCTCAGGTTTCAAACCTTGGAGACTGGAGGGTAGTAGCAGTACTAGCAGGAAGTTGTACCAAGAGTAAGTGGAAATGGTGAATTTTTTTGGACGAATGAGGTTTCAGCTTCTGAAGTCAAGTCATATTGAGATAGTAGCAAGGAAGGAAAGCTGGTGACTTGAACTTGAGAGAAGTGTCAGGATTAGAAATACAGATAAGAAAGTCATCTGCCTAAAAGAATTCTTTGAGGCAGTGAGAAAGATGGGGACATCCACGAAACTGGAATGAGGGGTTGTATCAAAAGCACAGCAAGGAGGAAGGTTTGTGTTGGAGAGTTAAAGGATGGTTTCGGAGAGAAAGTGACAACCAGGGAAGTCCAGAATTTGAGCACCTAAAGGCAAAGGGAATTGTATTGTCAAATAGTTTAGAGCCAAGCTGACCCACAAATCTTTTGTGTTGTTTTTTGAAGCTCAGGTAGTGAAGACAATTCAGCTAAAACGAATCTTCTCATTAGTTTATAATTTCACGCATTTGAGAGTGATACCTCTTTTGGTATATTCAAAGTTAGAAGAGTGATGCAAATTGCTAGAATGGGATAAATTAACTGAATTTTATTTGGCTCTTCTCTCTTTTCTTTCTTTATTAGTCTAGCTAGTGCTGTATCTATTTTATCAGTATTTTCTTTATCCAGTCTATCATTGAGGGGCATTTGGGTTGGTTCCAAGTAGTTAATATTGTAAATAGTGCTGCAATAAACATACATGTGCATGTGTCTTTATAGTAGAATGATTTATAATCATTTGGGTGTATATTCAGTAATGGGATTTCTGGGTCAAATGGTATTTTTGGTTCTAGATCCTTCAGGAATTGCCACACTGTATTCTACAATTGTTCAACTAATTTACACTTCCACCAACACTGTAAAAGCATTCCTATTTCTCCACATCCTCTCCAGCATCTGTTGTTTCCTGACTTTAACCATCTCCATTCTAACTGGTGTGAGATGGTAGCTCATTGTGGTTTTGATTTGCATTTCTCTAATGAGCAGTGTTGATGAGCTTTTTCTCATATGTTTCTTGGCCGCATAAATGTCTTCTTTTGAAAAGTGTCTGTTCATATCCTTTGCCCACTTTTTGATGGGGTTGTTTTTTTCTTGTAAATTTAAATTCCTTGTAGACTCTGGATAGTAGATCTTTGTCAGATGGGTAGATTGCAAAAATTTTCTCCCATTCTGTCAGTTGCCTGTTCACTATGATGATAATTTCTTTTGCTGTCCAGCTCTTTAGTTTAATTAGATCCCATTCATCAATTTTGGCTTTTGTTGCAATAGCTTTTGGTGTTTTGGTCATGAAGTCTTTGCCCATGCCTATATCCTGAATGGTATTGCCTAAGTTTTCTTCTAGGGTTTTTTTTGGTTTTGAGTTTTACCTTTAAGTCTTTAACCCATCTTGAGTTAATTTTTTGTGTTAGGTTTAAGGAAGAGGTCCAGTTTCAGTTTTCTGCATATGGCTAATCAGTTTTCCCAGCACTATTTATTAAATAGGGAATCCTGTCCCCATTGCTTGTTGGCACATACACACCATGGAATACTATGCAGCCATAGAATAGAATGAGTTCATGTCCTTTGCAGGGACATGGATGAACCTGGAAGCTGTCATTCTCACCAGACTAATACAGAACAGAAAACCAAGCACTGCATGTTCTCACTCATAAGTGGAAGTTGAACAATGAGAACCTGTGGACACAGGGAGGGGAACATCACACACTGGGCCTGTCAGGGGGTGGGGAGCAAGGGGAGGGACACCATTAGGACAAATACTTAATGCATGCTTGAAACCTAGATGATGGGTTGATAGGTACAGCAAACCACTATGGCACGTGTATACCTATGTAACAAACCTGCACGTTCTGCACATGTATCCCAGAACTTAGAATTAAAAAAAAAAATAGGAAAACCAACTCCTGGATTTGTTGATCTTTTGAATTTTTTTGTGTCTCAATGTCTTTTAGTTCAGCTTTGATTTTGATTATTTCTTGTCTTCTGCTAGCTTTGGGATTGCTTGGCTCTTGGTTCTCTAATTCTGTTAGTTTTGATGTTAGGTTATTAAATTGAGATCTTTCTAACTTTCTGATGTGGATGTTTAATGCTATAATTTTTCCTCCTAACCCTGCCTTAGCTGTGTCCCAGAGATCCTGTTATGTTGTATCTTTGTTCTCATTAGTTTCAAACAATTTATTGATTTCTACCTTAATTGCATTATTTACCCCAAAGTCATTCAGGAGCAGGTTATTCACTTTTTATGTAACTGTATGGTTTTGAGTTATTTTCTTATTCTTGAATTCTATTTTAATTACACTGTCGTCTGAGAGAATGGCTGTTATGATTTCAGTTCTTCTGCATTTGCTGAGGAGTTTTTTATGTTTGATTATGTGATCGATTTTAGAGTATGTGCCATGTGGTGGCACATGAGGATGAGAAGAATGTACATTCTGTTGTTTTGAGGTAGAGAGTTCTGTAGATGTCTATCAGGTCCATTTGATCCAGTGATGAGTTGGGTCCTCAATATCTTTGTTAATTTTTTGCTTTAATGATCTGTCTAATACTGTCAGTGGGGTGCTGAAGTCTCCCACTATTACTGCAATTGAAGCCTTTTCTTTGTCACCATTTCTCAAAAATGCTTTGCAATGTGATAAAATATATCCTTCTAGAGGCAGAAGTCAATTGCTTTAAACTGAAACACTCATATCACAATATGAATTATGAAATATTTTAAAATAGCATTTCCTGTTTGACCACCAGGTGGCATAAACATTGCTTTTAAGTAGTCGAATTTAAGGCATCAGTATATGTGAGTGATTATTATTAATGCTAGGAAATCATAGATGGTACTAACAAATTGTGTATACCTGTGATGTTATTTCAAGTGCATTTGAAGAGATTTTATTTGATCTCAACCTTTATCTGTATAGACACACACATATTTATATATTTATAAATAATGTTGAACATATATATTTTGAAAAAAATATATATATAATATGAATTCAGACCACCAATTATGTAGGAGAGCAGGCATCAAACAACAGAAATACCCACAAAATAAACTCTGTGTCTACCCTGAAGAACCTCGTCTTTACAATAGGGAGTCACTAAAACCCTTAAAACAGGTTAATGAGTACAGTAATATAATTATATGTAAGGTACAAGATAGCATAGACAGGGGAGATACTTTTTTTGTCTGGAGAGAGCAGGGATGGTTTCACAGAAAATTTGAAGCAGGGTTTGAAGAATCAGTACACATCTGGATTATGGTATAAGAAACACACCAGATGGGAAAAAACCTGTGCAGTTATGTTAATTAGCATGGCATGTTTTGGTGAACTGTCAGGAATTTAAAGTTGCTTGCATGTAAATAACGATAAGAGTAGAGGGAAGGCTGGAGAAGGACGAAGGGGCCACACAGTGAAAGGCTTTCTGGGCAAAACTGAGGAACATGGAGAACTCTGTCCTGTAAGGTATGGGTAGCCTGTGGGAGATTTTAAGGAGAGAATTTCTGTTATCAAAGTAGTATTTTAGAAGGGTGACTCTCTGATTGGTCTAGAGTGTGGCCTAGAGGAGAACAGAACCAGAAGGCAGTAATCAGCTAGGTGAGATAATTGTGGTAATCAGTTCAAGAGATCATAATGATGTGGATTAAAGTAGTGGAAGGGACTAGGGAAGGACAGATTCAGATACATATGTTATGACAGTTAATTTTATATGTCCACTTGATGGGTCATGAAGTATCCAGATGTTTGATCCAACATCATTCTGTGTGTTTTTTAATTTTAATTTTTATTTTTAATTTAAGTTTTAGGGTACATGTGCACAATGTGCAGGTTAGTTACATATGTACACATGTGCCATGCTGGTGTGCTGCACCCATTAACTCGTCATTTAGCATTAGGCATATCTCCTAATGCTATCCCTCCCCCCTCCCCCCACCCCACAACAGTCCCCAGAGTGTGATGTTCCCCTTCCTGTGTCCATGTGTTCTCATTGTTCAATTCCCACCTATGAGTGAGAACATGCGGTGTTTGGTTTTTTGTCCTTGTGACAGTTTACTGAGAATGATGATCTCCAGTTTCATCCATGTCCCTACAAAGGACATGAACTCATCATTTTTTATGGCTGCATAGTACTCCATGGTGTATATGTGCCACATTTTCTTGATCCAGTCTATCATTGTTGGACATTTGGCTTGGTTCCAAGTCTTTGCTATTGTG
Organism: Homo sapiens; assembly: GCF_000001405.40. NCBI lineage: Eukaryota > Metazoa > Chordata > Mammalia > Primates > Hominidae > Homo > Homo sapiens. The sequence goes on from NC_000006.12 coordinate 77,742,060, forward strand.
AATAGTGCCACAATAAACATACGTGTGCATGTGTCTTTATAGCAGCATGATTTATAGTCCTTTGGGGTATATACCCAGTAGTGGGATGGCTGGGTCAAATGGTATTTCTAGTTCTAGATCCCTGAGGAATCGCCACACTGACTTCCACAAGGGTTGAACTAGTTTACAGTCCCACCAACAGTGTCAAAGTGTTCCTATTTCTCCACATCCTCTCCAGCACCTGTTGTTTCCTGACTTTTTAATGATTGCCATTCTAACTGGTGTGAGATGGTATCTCATTGTGGTTTTGATTTGCATTTCTCTGATGGCCAGTGATGGTGAGCATTTTTTCCTGTGTTTTTTGGCTGCATAAATGTCTTCTTTTGAGAAGTGTCTGTTCATGTCCTTTGCCCACTTTTTGATGGGGTTGTTTGTTTTTTCTTGTAAATTTATTTGAGTTCATTGTAGATTCTGGATATTAGCCCCTTGGTGAGATGAGTAGTTTGCGAAAATTTTCTCCCATTTTGTAGGTTGCCTATTCACTCTGACGTAGTTTCTTTTGCTGTGCAGACGCTCTCTAGTTTAGTTAGATCCCATTTGTCAATTTTGGCTTTTGTTGCCATTGCTTTTGGTGTTTTAGACCTGAAGTCCTTGCCCATGCCTGTGTCCTGAATGGTAATGCCTAGGTTTTCTTCTAGGGTTTTTATGGTTTTAGGTCTAACATGTAAGTCTTTAAACCATCTTGAATTAATTTTTGTATAAGGTGTAAGGAAGGGATCCAGTTTCAGCTTTCTACATATGGCTAGCCAGTTTTCCCAGCACCATTTATTAAATAGGGACTCCTTTCCCCATTGCTTGTTTTTCACAGGTTTGTCAAAGATTAGATAGTTGTAGATATGCGGCGTTATTTCTTAGGGCTCTGTTCTGTTCCATTGATCTATATCTCTGTTTTGGTACCAGTACCATGCTGTTTTGGTTACTGTAGCCTTATAGTATAGTTTGAAGTCAGGTAGCGTGATGCCTCCAGCTTTGTTCTTTTGGCTTAGGATTGACTTGGCGATGCGGGCTCTTTTTTGGTTCCATATGAACTTGAAAGTAGTTTTTTCCAACTCTGTGAAGAAAGTCATTGGTAGATTGATGGGGATAGCATTGAATCTATAAATTACCTTGGGCAGTATGGCCATTATCATGATATTGATTCTTCCTACCCATGAGCATGGAATGTTCTTCCATTTGTTTGTATCCTCTTTTATTTCCTTGAGCAGTGGTTTGTAGTTCTCCTTGAAGAGGTCCTTCACATCCCTTGTAAGTTGGATTCCTGGGTATTTTACTCTCTTTGAAGCAATTGTGAATTGGAGTTCACTCATAATTTGGCTCTCTGTTTGTCTGTTATTGGTGTATAAGAATGCTTGTGATTTTTGTACATTGATTTTGTATCCTGAGACTTTGCTGAAGTTGCTTATCAGCTTAAGGAGATTTTGGGCTGAGATGACGGGGTTTTCTAGATATACAGTCATGTCATCTGCAAACAGGGACTTACTTAAATGTCCCTGTCTGTCAGCTTTGAAGATAGCAGTGGTTCTCCCAGCACGCAGCTGGAGATCTGAGAACAGGCAGACTGCCTCCTCAAGTGGGTCCCTGACCCCTGACCCCCGAGCAGCCTAACTGGGAGGCACCCCCCAGTAGGGGCAGACTGACACCTCACATGGCCAGGTACTCCTCTGAGACAAAACTTCCAGAGGAAAGATCAGACAGCAGCATTCGTGGTTCACAAAAATCTGCTGTTATGCAGCCACCGCTGCTGATACGCAGGCAAACAGGGTGTGCAGTGGACCTCTAGCAAACTCCAACAGACCTGCAGCTGAGGGTGCTGTCTGTTAGAAGGAAAACTAATAAACAGAAAGGACATCCACACCAAAAACCCATCTGTACATCACCATCATTAAAGACCAAAAGTAGATAAAACCACAAAGACGGAGAAAAAACAGAGCAGAAAAACTGGAAACTCTAAAAAGCAGAGCACCTCTCCTCCTCCAAAGGAATGCAGTTCCTCACCAGCAATGGAACAAAGCTGGATGGAGAATGACTTTGACGAGTTGAGAGAAGAAGGCTTCAGACGATCAAACTACTCCGAGCTACAGGAGGAAATTCAAACCAAAGGCAAAGAAGTTAAAAGCTTTGAAAAAAATTTAGACGAATGTATAACTAGAATAACCAATACAGAGAAGTACTTAAAGGAGCTGATGGAGCTGAAAGCCAAGGCTCGAGAACTACGTGAAGAATGCAGAAGCCTCAGGAGCCGATGCAATCAACTGGAAGAAAGGGTATCAGTGATGGAAGATGAAATGAATGAAATGAAGCGACAAGAGAAGTTTAGAGAAAAAAGAATAAAAAGAAACAAACAAAGCCTCCGAGAAATATGGGACTATGCGAAAAGACCAAATCTACGTCTGATTGGTGTACCTGAAAGTGATGGGGAGAATGGAACCAAGTTGGAAAACACTTTTCAGGATATTATCCAGGAGAACTTCCCCAATCTAGCAAGGCAGGCCAACATTCAGATTCAGGAAATACAGAGAACGCCACAAAGATACTCCTGGAGAAGAGCAACTCCAAGACACGTAATTGTCAGATTCACCAAAGTTGAAATGAAGGAAAAATTGTTAAGGGCAGCCAGAGAGAAAGGTATGGTTACCCACAAGGGGAAGCCCATCAGACTAACAGTCGATCTCTCGGCAGAAACCCTAGAAGCCAGAAGAGAGTGGGGGCCAATATTCAACATTCTTAAAGGAAAGAATTTTCAACCCAGAATTTCATATCCAGCCAAACTAAGCTTCATAAGTGAAGGAGAAATAAAATGCTTTACAGAGAAGCAAATGCTAAGAAATTTTGTCACCACCATGCCTGCCCTAAAAGAGCTCCTGAAGGAAGCACTAAACATGGAAAGGAACAACCGGTACCAGCCACTGCAAAATCATGCGAAATTGTAAAGACCATTGAGGCTAGGAGGAAACTGCATCAACTGAGAAGCAAAATAACCAGCTAGCATCATAATGACAGGATCAAATTCACACATAACAATATTAACTTTAAATGTAAATGGACTAAATGCTCCAATTAAAAGACACAGACTGGCAAATTGGATAAAGAGTCAAGACCCATCAGTGTGCTATATTCAGTAAACCCATCTCACGTGCAGAGACACACATAGGCTCAAAATAAAAGGATGGAGGAAGACCTACCAAGCAAATGGAAAACAAAAAAAGGCAGGGGTTGCAATCCTAGTCTCTGATAAAACAGACTTTAAACCAACAAAGATCAAAAGACACAAAGAAGGCCATTACATAATGGTAAAGGGATCAATTCAACAAAAAGAGCTAACTATCCTAAATATATATGCACCCAATACAGGAGCACCCAGATTCATAAAGCAAGTCTTGAGTAACCTACATAGAGACTTAGACTCCCACACATTAATAATGGGAGACTTTAATACCCCACTGTCAACATTAGACAGATCAGTGAGACAGAAAGTTAACAAGGATACCCAGGAATTGAACTCAGCTCTGCACCAAGCAGACATAATAGACATCTACAGAACTCTCCACCCCAAATCAACAGAATATACATTTTTTTCAGCACCACACCACACCTATTCCAAAATTGACCACATACTGGGAAGTAAAGCACTCCTCAGCAAATGTAAAAGAACAGAAATTATAACAAACTCTCTCTCAGACCACAGTGCAATCAAACTAGAACTCAGGCTTAAGAATCTCACTCAAAACCGCTCAACTACATGGAAACTGAACAACATGCTCCTGAATGACTACTGGGTACATAATGAAATGAAGGGAGAAATAAAGATGTTCTTTGAAACCAACGAGAACAAAGACACAACATACCAGAATCTCTGGGACACATTCAAAGCAGTGTGTAGAGGGAAATTTATAACACTAAATGCCCACAAGAGAAAGCAGGAAAGATCCAAAATTGACACCCTAACATCACAATTAAAAGAACTAGAAAAGCAAGAGCAAACGTATTCAAAAGCTAGCAGAAGGCAAGGAATAACTAAAATCAGAGCAGAACTGAAGGAAATAGAGACACAAAAAACCCTTCAAAAAAACTACTGAATCCAGGAGCCGGTTTTTTGAAAGGATCAACAAAATTGATAGACCGCTAGCAAGACTAATAAAGAAGAAAAGAGAGAAGAATCAAATAGACACATTCTGTGTGTCTTTAAATGTGTTTTCAGATAAGATTATTTGAACTGGTAGGCTGAGTAAAGCAGATTACCTCCGAAATGTAGGTTGGCCTCATCCAATAAGTGGAAGCCCTGAGTTGAAACAAAAAAGTTAACCCTTCCTTAAGTAAGGGGGGACTCCTCTTGCTCGAATGCCTTGAGCTGGGACATGGCATTTATCCTGCTTTCACACTCAAACTGCAACATCAGCTCTTGGGTCTTAAGTCTGCCAGTTTTTGGACTACAACTTACAGTATCCTGGGTCTCCAGCTTGCTGACTGCAGATCTTGGTACTTCTCAGCCTCCATGCTTGCTTCAGCCAATTGCTTAAGTCAGTTTCTTAAAATATATGGCGTGTGTGTGTGTGTGTGTGTGTGTGTGTGTGTGTGTATGAATATGTACATATATTTCGGTTTCTCTGAAAAACCCTAATAAAGGTGTCAAAGTTAGAATCAGGATAACATAGTGCTTTCACTGTATGTGGAGGGTAAAAGAGAGAAAGGAGCCAAGGATGGTTTTTTACTCTGGCCCTAGTGACAGGAGGGATAGCCACAATATTAGCTGAAATGGACAACACGTAGGGCAAACATAAATTGTGTATTTTTATGTGCGATGCATGAAGATGATTTGTTCAGTTCTATAAAGTTTATGAGCTTGTAGAGAGTTCAGGAAAAAATTACCCTTTTGACATTTGGTTCTATGAGTGTATTATTTCATTTTCACACTGCTATAAAGAACTGCCTGAGGCTGGGTGCGGTGGCTCATGTCTGTAATCCCAGTACTTTGGGAGGCTGAGGCGGGCAGATCACCTGATATCAGGAGTTCAAGACCAGCCTGACTAACATGGTGAAACCTCATCTCTACTAAAAATGCAAAAATTAACTGGGCATGGTGGCACACACCTGTAATCCCAGCTACTAGGGAGGTTTAGGCAGGAGAAGCACTTGAACCCAGGAAGCAGAGATTGTAGTGAGCCGAGATTGTGCCACTGCACTTCAGCCTAGGCAACAGAGCAAGACTCAAGACTCCATCTAAAAAAAAAGAAAAAGAGAAAGGACTGCCTGGAGACTGTATAGTTTACAAAGAAAATAGATTTAATTGACTCACAGTTCCAAATGGCTAGGGAGCCCTCAGGAAACGCACAGTCATGGTAGAAGGGGACACAGTCATGTGTTACATGGCAGCAGGTGAGAGAGAGAGCAAAGGGGGAAGAGCCCCTTATAAAACCATCAGATCTCATGAGAACCCACTTAGTGTCATGAGAACAGCTTAGGGGAAACCACCCCTATGATCCAGTCATCTTCTGCCAGGTCCCTCCCTTGATACATGGGGATTACAGTTCAAGATGAGATTTGGGTGGGGACACAGAGCCAAACCATATTATTCCACCACTGGTCCCTCTCAAGTCTCATATTCTTCTCACATTTTAAAACACAATCATCCCTTTGCAACAGTCCCCCAAAGTCTTAACCCATTTTAGCATTACTAAAAAATTCACAGTCCAAAGTCTCATCTGAGACAAGGCAAGTCCCTTTTACCTATTTACCTGTAAAATCAAAAGCTGCTTAGTTACTTCCAAGATACAATGGGGGTACTGGTGTTGGGTAAATGCTCCTGTTCCAAATGGGAGAAATTGACCAAAACAAAGGGGGCTACAGGCCCCATGCAAGTGCAGAATCCAGTGGGGTAGTCAAATCCTAAAGGGCTGAAATGATCTCCTTTGACACCATGTCTCGCATCTGCTGATGCAAGGGGTGCCCATGGCCTTTGGCAGCTCCGTCACAGGGTAGCATTCAGTGCCCATGGCTTTTCCAGGCACACAGTGCAAGCTGTTGGTGGATCTACTATTCTGGGATCTGGGGGACAGTAGCCCTCTTCTCTCAGCTTCACTAGGCAGTGCCCCAGTGGGGACTGTGCTGTGGCTCCAACCCCACGTTTGCCTTCCACACTGCCATAGCAGTGGCTCTCCATGAGGCCTCTCCCCCTGCAGCAGACTTCTGCCTGGACATCCAGGCATTTCCATACATCCTCTGAAATCTAGTCAGTGGTTTCCAAACCTTAACTGTTGAATTCTGTGCAACTGCAGGCCCAACACCATGTGGAAGCTGCTTGGGGTTTACACCCACTGAAGCAATAGCCCAAGCTTTACTGTGGCCCCTTTCAGCTACAACTGGAGCTGGAGCAGCTGGGATACAGGGCACCAAGTCCCTAGGCTGCACAGAGCAGGAGTGTGGTCCTGGGCCTAGCCCAGGAAGCCATTTTATCCTACTAGGCCTGGGGGCCCGTGATGGGAGGGGCTGCATTAAAGGTCTCTGACATCCGTGGAGACATTTTCCCCATTGTCTTGGAGATTAACATTAGACTCCTCATTATTTATGTAAATTTCTGCAGCTGGCTTGAATTTCTCCCAAGAAAATAGGTTTTTCTTTTCTAAGACATGGTCAGGCTGCAAATTTTCTAAACTTTTATGCTCTGTCACCTCTTGAATGCTTTGCTGCTTTGAAATTTCTTCATATAGATTTTCTAAGTCATCTCTTTGAAGTTCAAAGTTCCCAGTAGGGGCCGACAGACATGTCATACAGGAGAGCTCTGGCTAGCATCTGGCAGATGCCCCTCTGGGATGAAGCTTCCAGAGAAAGGAACAGGCAGCAATCTTTGCTGTTCTCCAGCCTCTGCCGGTGATACCCAGGAAAACAGGGTCTGGAGTGGACCTCCAGCAAACTCCCACAGACCTGCAGCAGAGGGGCCTGTTAGAAGGAAAACTAACAAACAGAAAGGAATAGTATCAACATCAAATAAAAAGATGCCCACTCAGAGACCCCAGCAGAAGGTCAGTGACTTCAAAGACCAAAGGTAGATAAATCCATAAAGATGGGGAGAAACCAGTGCAAAAAAGCTGAAGATTCCAAAACCCAGAACACCTCTTCTCCTCCAAAGGATCACAACTCCTCAACAGCAAGAGAAGAAAACTGAACAGAGAATGGGTTTGATGAATTGACAGAAGTAGGCTTCAGAAGGTGGGTAATAAACTCCTCCAAGCTAAAGGAGCATGTTCTAACCCTATGCAAGGAAGCTGAGAACCTTGATAAAAGGTTAGATGCATTGCTTACTAGAACAGCAAGTTTAGAGAAGAACATAAATGACCTGATGGAGCTGAAAAACACAGCATGAGAACTTCGTGAAGCCTACACAAGTATCAATAGCTGAATCGATCAAGTGGAAGAAAGGATATCAGAGATTGAAGATCAACTCAATGAAATAAAGTGAGAAAACAAGATTAGAGAAAAAAGAATGAAAAGAAACAAACAAAGCCTCCAAGAAATATGGGACTGTGTGAAAAGAACAAATCTATGCTTGATTGGTGTACCTGAAAGAGACTGGGAGAATGGAACCAAGTTGGAAAACAATCTTCAGGCTATTAGCCAGGAGAACTTCCCCAAACTAGCAAGGCAGGCCAACATTCAAATTCAGGAAATACAGAGAACACCACAAAGATACTCCTGAAGAAGAGCAACCCCAAGACACATAATGATCAGATTCACCAAGGTTGAAATGAGGGAAAAAATGTTAAGGGCAGCCTGAGAGATAGGTTGGGTTACCCACAAACAGAAGCCCACCAGACTAACAGCAGATCTCTCTGCAGAAATCCTACAAGCCAGAAGAGAGTGGGGGCCAATATTCAACATTCTTAAAGAAAAGAGTTTTCAACCCAGAATTTCATATCCAGCCACACTGAGCTTCATAAGCGAAGGAGAAATAAAATTCTTTACAGACAAGCAAATGCTGAGAGATTTTTGTCATCACCAAGCCTGCCTTATGAGAGCTCCTGAATGAAGCGCTAAACATGGAAAGGAACAACCGGTACCAGTCACTGCAAAAACATACCAAATTGTAAAGACTATCAATGCTGTGAAGAAACTGCATCAACTAACGGGCAAAAGAAACAGCTAGCATCATAGTGGCAGGATCAAATTCACACATAACAATAGTAACCTTAAATGTAAAAGGGCTAAATGCCCCAGTTAAATGACACAGACTGGCAAACTGGATAAAGAGTCAAGACGCATTGGTGTGTTGTATTCAGGAGACCCATCCCACATGCAAAGACACACATAGGCTCAAAATAAAGGGATGGAGGAATATTTACCACGCAAATGGAAACCAAAGAAAGCAGGTATTGCAATCCTAGTCTCTGATAAAACAGACTTTAAACCAACAAAGATCAAAAGAGACAAAGAAGGCCATTACATAATGGTAAAGGGATCAATACAACAAGAAGAGCTAATTATCCTAAATATATATGCAGCCAGTACAGGAGCACCCAGAGTCATAAAGCAAGTTCTTAGCGACCTACAAAGAGACTTAGACTCCCACACAATAATATTGGGAGACTTCAACACCCCACTGTCAACATTGGACAGATCAATGAGACAAAAAATTAACAAAGGATATCCAGGACTTGAACTTAGCTCTGGACCAAGCAGACCTAACAGACATCTACAGGACTCTCCACCCCAAATCAACAGAATATATATTCTTCTCAGCACCACATCATTCTTACTCTAAAATTGACCACATAATTGGAAGTAAAACACTTCTTAGCAAATGCAAAAGAAGGGAAATCATAACAAACAGTCTCTCAGACCACAGTGCAAATTAGAACTCAGGATTAAGAAACTCACTCAAAACTGCACGACTGCATGGAAACTGAACAACCTGCTCCTGAATGACTACTGGGTAAATAATGAAATGAAGGCAGAAATAAAGATGTTCTTTGAAACCAATAAGAACAAAGACAAAATGTGCCAGAATCTCTGAGACACATTTAAAACAGTGTGTAGAGAGAAATGTATAGCACTAAATGCCCACAAGAGAAAGCAGGAAAGATCTAAAATCGACACCCTAACATCACAATTAAAAGAACTGAGAAACAAGAGCAAACAAATTCAAGAGCTATCAGAAGACAAGAAATAACTAAGATCAGAGCAGAACTGAAGGAGATAGAAACACACAAAAAAAAACCCTTGAAAAAACTTGGTGAATCCAGGAGGTGGTTTGAAAAGATCAAGAAAACAAATAGACCACTAGCCAGACTAATAAAGAAGAAAAGAGAGAAGAATCAAATAGATGAAATAAAAAATGATAAAGGGGATATCACCATGTATCCCACAGAAATACAAACTACCAACAGAGAATTTGCAACCTCTATGCAAATAAACTAGAAAATCTAGAAGAATTGGGTAAGTTCCTGAACACATACACCCTCCCGAGACTAAACCAGGAAAACATCCAAGCCCTGAAATGACCAATAACAAGTTCTGAAATTGAGGCAGCAATTAATAGCCTACTAACCAAAAAAAGTCCAGGACCAGATGGATTAACAGCCAAATTCTACCAGAGGTACAAAAAGGAGCTGGTACCATTCCTTCTGAAATTATTCCAAACAATAGAAAAACAGGGAATCCTTCCTAACTCATTTTATGAGGCCAGCATCATCCTGATACCAAAACCTGGCAGAGACACAACAAAAAAAGAAAATTTCAGGCCAATATCCCTGATGAACATCAACACGAAAATCCTCAATAAAATACTGGCAAACCGAATCCAGCAGCACATCATCAAAAAGCTTATCCACCATGATCAAGTCGGCTTCATCCTTGGGATGCAAGGCTAGTTCAACATACACAAATCAATAAACATAATCCATCACATAAACAGAACCAATGACAAAAACCACATGATTATCTCAGTAGACCCAGAAAAGGCCTTTGACAAAATTCAACAGCCTTCATGCTAAAAACTCTCAGTAAACTAGGTATTGATGGAACGTATCTCAAAATAATAAGAGCTATTTATGACAAACCCACAGCCAATATCATACTGAATGGGCAAAAACTAGAGGCATTCCCTTTGAAAATCCACACAAGACAAGGATGCCCTCTCTCACTACTCCCATTCAAGATAGTTTTGGAAGTTCTGGCCAGGGCAATCAGGCAGGAGAAAGAAATAAAGGGTATTTACTTAGGAAAAGAGGAAGTCAAATTGTCTCTGTTTGCAGATGACGTGATTGTATATTTAGAAACCCCCATTGTCTCAGCTGTCTTAAGCTGATAAGCAACTTCAGCAAAGTCTCAGGATACAAAATCAATGTGCAAAAATCACAAGCATTCTTATACACCAAGAACAGACAGAGAGCCAAATCATGAGTGAACTCCCATTCACAATTGCTACTAAGAGAATAAAATACCTAGGAATACAACTTACAAGGGATGTGAAGGATCTCTTCAAGGAGAACTACAAACCACTGCTTAAGGAAATAAGAGAAGACACAAACAAATAGAAAAACTTTCCATGCTCATTGATAGGAAGAATCATATCACAAAAATGACCATAATGCCCAAAGTAATTTTTAGATTCAGTGTATCCCCATTAAGCTACCACTGACTTTCTTCACAGAATTGGAAAAAAACTAATTTAAATTTCATTTGGAACCAAAGAAGAGCCCACATAGCCAAGACAATCCTAAGCAAAAAGATCAAAGCTGGAGGCGTCACACTACTACAACTATACTACAAGGCTACAGTAAACAAAACAGCATGGTACTGGTACCAAAACAGATATATAGACCAGTGGAACAGAACGGAGTCCTCAGAAATAACGCCACGCATCTATAACCATTGGATCTTTGACAAACCTGACAAAAACAAGAAATGGGGAAAGGATTCCCTATTTAATAAATGGTTTTGGGAAAACTGGCTAGCCATATGCAGAAAGCTGAAACTGGATCTCTTCCTTACAACTTACACAAAAATTAACTCAAGATGGATTGAAGAATTAAATGTAAGACCTAAAACCATAAAAACCTTAGAAGAAAACCTAGGCAATACCATTCAGGACATAGGCATGGGCAAAGACTTCATGACTAAAACACCCAAAGCAATGGCAACAAAAGCCAAAATAGACAAATGGGATCTAATTAAACTAAAGAGCTTCTGCACAGCAGAAGAAACTATCATCAGAGTGAACAGCCAACCTACAGAATGGGAGAAAAGTTTTACAATCTATCCATCTGACAAAGGGCTAATATCCAGAATCTACAAAGAACTTAAACAAATTTACAAGAAAAAAAAACAACCCCATCAAAAAGTAGGTGAAGGATTTCAACAGACACTTCTCAAAAGAAGGCATTTATGCAGCCAACAAACGTATGAAAAAAAGCTCAGCATCGCTGATCATTAGAGAAATGCAAATCAAAACCACAATGAGATATCACTTCACGCCAGTTAGAATGGCAATCATTAAAAAGTCAGGAAACAGCAGATGCTGGAGAGGATGTGGAGAAATAGGAATGCTTTTACACTGTTGGTCGGAGTGTAAATGTGTTCAACCATTGTGGAAGACAGTAGGTCGATTCCTCAAGGATCTAGAACCAGAAATACCATTTGACCCAGAAATCCCATTACTGAGTATATACCCAAAGGATTATAAACCATTCTGCTATAAAGACACATGCACACGTATGTTTGTTGCGGCACTGTTCACAATAGCAAAGACTTGGAACCAACCCAAATACCCATCAATGATAGACTGGACAAAGAAAATGTGGCACATATACACCATGGAATACTGTGCAGCCATGAAAAAGGATGAGTTCATGTCCTTTGCAGGGACATGGATGAAGCTGGAAACCATCTTTCTCAGCAAACTAACACATCAGCAGAAAACCAAACACCGCATGTCTCACTCATAAGTGGGAGTTGAACAATGAAAGCACATGGACACAGGGAGGGGAACATCACACACCATGTCCTGTAGGGGGTTAGGGGGGTTCTGGGGAGGGATGGCATTAGGAGAAATACCTAATGTAGATGATGGGTTGATGGGTGCAGCAAACCACCATGGCATGTGAATACCTATGTAACAAACCTGCATGTTCTGCACATGTACCCCAGAACTTAAAGTATAATAGAAATAAATAAATAAATAATAAGTGAAGCTCAAAACAAACAAACAAGGCTCCAAAGATCTCTACGGCAGAGGCAAAATGCCGCCAGTCTCTTTGCTAAAGCATAGCAAGAGTTACTTTTACTCCAGTTCCCAATAAGTTCCTCATCTGCACCTGAGACCACCTCAGCCTAGGCTTTACTGTTTACATCACTATCAGCATTTTGGTCAAAATCATTTAACAGGTCTTTAGGAAGTTCCAAACTTTCTGACATCTTCCTGTCTTCTTGTGTACCCTCAGAATGGTTGCAATCTCTGCCTGTTACCCAGTTTCAAAGTTGCTTCCACATTTTCAGGTTATCTTTATAGCAGTACCCCACTCTATGCAGTACCAATTTCTTGTATTAGTTCATTTTCACTCTGCTATAAAGAACTTCCCCAAACTGGGTAATTTACAAAGAAATGAGGTTCTGTTGACTCACATTTCCACATGGCTGGGGTGGCCTCAGGGAACCCACAATCATGGTGGAAGGGAAAGCAGGCACTTCTTACATGCGGAGAGAGAGAGTGAAGGGGGAAAGAGCCCCTTATAAAACCACCAGATCTTGTGACAACTCACTCACTGTCATGAGAACGACACAGCAGTAACCACCCCCATGATCCAATCACCTCCCACCAGGCCTCTCCCTTGACATGTGGGTATTACAGTTTGAGATGAGATTTAAATGGGGACACAGAACCAAGCCATATCAATGGGTTTAATTTTATGGGTAAGTTAGGGAATGTAGAAATAAGTAAGAAAGGTATCAAGAATTCATGTGACTGGGCACAGTTGGTGGCACCTGTAATTCCCGTGATTTGGGAAGCTGAAGTGGAAGGATCCCTTGAGAGCAGGAATCAAGATTTGAGACCAACCTGGGCAACAAGTGGTACACAGTGTCCTGAAAAAAAAGAAAAAGAGATGGTGTGATTGTGAATAAATAGAGTATAATTAAGTACACTTAACTTAAGTATTGTTAAGTATACTTGAGATCCACTCTAAAATGGTAAATTAGTTCAAGGTGGACCTTATAAACAGAAAAAAAATGTAAGGGTTAAGGGTTCAGCAAAATGAAATATAAAGTCTATGGGATCCAGTGTGTAAGAGGGACTTAGAATATTGTAGATGAACTCTGTAGGTTTTGTTTATTCATACTTTTTTTTTTTCTAAGACAGAGTCTCACTGTGTCACCCAGGCTGGAGTGCAGTGGCACGATCTCGGTTTACTGAAACCTCCACCTCCCATGTTCAATCAGTTCTCCTGCCTCAGCCTCCCGAGTAGCTGAGATTACAGGCACACACCACCACACCCGGCTAACTTTTGTATTTTTAGTAGAGATGGGGTTTTACCATGTTGGCCAGGCTGGTCTTGAACTCTTGACCTCATGATCTGCCCACCTCGGACTCCCATGTGCTGGGTGTTTATTATAATGTTTAATTGATATTTCATGTACTTTTGGTTATGATTGCATACTTTAGCATAATTTAGATTTCTGATCTCCATAATTATGTAATAATAAAAAACATGAAACAATATGTGTCAAATTGTGCTGGAATGGTGTGTGTGTGTGTGTGTGTGTGTGTGTGTATTTTACCTCTATTAAATCTAATGACAAACAGATAGGTGCAATAAATTGGAGAGACATTACCGCAAGCTTGTCTGCACAATAATAAATGAAGGCAGAAACTTTATTTGACTTTTGCTTTACCTTAGTGTCTCCTGGAAAAACAGGAATTACAGAAAGCGGCACCAGCATGGCTTCATTATCTTTTCTCTCCTTTGGGCATGATGCTTTCTTAGCCATGCTTTGAGGTCTAACTCAGTCATACAAGCAAAGAATAGAATCTGGTTGTAGTTATGAAAGACCCATTTAAAGGGACAAGGATATATTAGTCTATGTCCATGCTGTATATTACTCAAACAAGAATGGATACTTAAAAATCTTTATGAATAAATATTTATGACTATTATCAGATATTATAACCCATTAATACTAATATTGAAAATATTTAATCTTTTCTAAGAAAACTTTTTTTCCTATTTATGTTTTTTCTCTTCTAAGGACACATACTATAGTCACAGCTGCCCACTATTATTTACCTTATTAGGGAGTGAGTGGTTTCCAGTATGGAAGCATTGGTTTCCAGTGTAAATGCTATTTGTAGTTGTCAGAGTTTTCATCGTTGAGGACAGATAGGAGCAGAACTAAATTGGTTATGGGTTATAAAAGTTATTAATAGTAGATGCTATAAAAAAGCATATTATTGGCTTTTTTTTAGCTGATTTTAAATAATTATTGCAATAGCCATATTCTTTTGGTTTCTCTCTTTCTCTCCCTCCCTCCCTCTCTCTCTCCCTCTCTCTCTCTCTCTTTCTCTCCCTCTTTGTATTCCTCTCTCTCCCCCCCGCCGCCTTCTCCTTCTCTCTATTTCTATTTCTGTCCTTCTGTCTCATCTTTCTAGGCTATCTATGTAATTGTTGTGGTTTGGTATAATTTTCCAAGGAGTTGATCATGGTTCATTATAAATATTAAAGATGACAGAAGACCTGTTATAGCCCACAGCAAGTTTCAGCTCTAAGCATTTCCCCTGATGAGGTGTCTGCTACAGATGATTCTATTGTTTAGTGAAAAGATCATAAGGATGACAAGAGACAGGGCCTCTGGCCTTAAGGAACTCATAAACAAGTGGATAACATTTAGAAATCAATGAACACTATAATGGAAATGTACAGAAGCTGGAATAGAGCACACAGCCTCTTTGCTGTCATTGGAAGGTGATTGGACTTGGAATGTAATGATTTCACTTGTTCACTGTGTGGCTCTTTCTCAGTTCTCTTAATCAAGCTGAGCTTCGTTTCCTAATTGGCAAATTAGAGATCAAAATAACATATCTTTCAGGGTTTTTGTGAATATCAGTTGAATTGTTTGATGAAGCTAGTTTGTATAATAAAATATGAATATAAGGTTCTTTTATTCAGCTTGATATTTTGACTTTAACATTGGGAGCCATATTGTGTAAAATCCCAGCATAGTTCTCTGTTGTGACATTAAAGCATTCCTTTAGAGCACTGAAAGGAGATTCTTCTTTGTGTGTTTTTCCATATTAGCATTTCTAACATATGCTCTCATGACATTTTTCTGATGGTATAGAAATAAAGCAGCCTGTAAGAAAGGTGGTCAATGTTGTGTATTCCTGTCCCCATAGCATACATTGGTAGAGGTACTCTTTCAAATTTGTACTTGTCATGCCTGAAGGGGATGAGATGGAGTGGATGTGGCTTGCCAAAAGGCATGGCAGTGAGAAGTAGAGAGAAAAACTGGCAATCACCTTTTTTCTTCCCAATTTATCCATTGGTAGAATTCATTTTCTGAGTTTTTCTTGAAATAATTACACATGAAGTTAAGCTTACCTTTAAGATTAATGCAATTGTTCTGTTTTTTAAATTACTTTAACTTCCATGAAAGAAAAGTATAATTTTCTAGATTAGTGTAGTCCGTATTTCCCCTTTATTTATGTGAAGAATGAAGTTAATGTCTTGAGAAGTCATTTTCAGTGTCTATTCACCTAAAATGATCAGTCCATCTGGCTGTGTTAATATAGAAATAGGACAGGCGTGGTGGCTCATGCCTGTAATCCCAGCACTTTGGGAGGCCGAGGCGGGTGGATCACAGGGTCAAGAGATCGAGACCATCCTGGCCAACATGGTGAAACCCTGTCTGTACTAAAAATACAAAAATTAGCTGGGTGTGGTGGCATGTGCCTGTAGTCCCAGCTACTTGGGAGGCTGAGGCAGGAGAATCACTTGAACCCAGGAGGTGGAGGTTCTGTGAGCCAAGATCGTGCCACTGCACTCCAGCTTGGTGACAGAGCAAGACTCCATCTCACAAAAAAAAAAAAAAAAAAGAAAGAAAGAAATAGCCACATGCAGTTCAGTTTGTTTGCTGATCGATCATTTTTCTGGTTACCACTACTTTTTGAACTTTCTGCATTATCATTGTCTCCTTTTAATTATCTCCTTTTAAGCATGGCATGTAGAAGTTGTAGTGATAATTAGCAAGCACATGTCTGCACATTTTTGATGGTTATAGTAGACACTTGTTAAATGAATAAATTCTAAGTTAAAGCTCAATCCTCCAATTCTACCTCATCAGCTTCCTTTTTTTCTGAAGGACAAGAGCAGCAAATTAGATTTACGAACCATATGGTGGAGAATGTAGAAGATGTCACATTTACCATTCTTTTTGTGCACTGTTCAACCACTGTCCCCCTTTCTCAAACTTTAAGAAAATATTACTGTCAGGTGAAATCTCCTTTAATTTCCTGTATGCCAATAGTAGTTCTGCACAACCCTATACTTTTTCATTCTTTTTCCTTCGGCTTAGAGAAAAGTGTTTACTTTGGCATTACAGATCCCAGCCCATCCAGTGGGTCCTTAACTCAGTCTCCTATCTTCTCCAGGGCCATGTCTCACCTGCCATTCTTTTCTCATATTTCCAACCTCTGCTTATCCATTGTGTTTTTTTATTTGTTTTTAATTGCTCATTTCACTCAATTTGTCATGCCACATTTGTCTGCAGTTGCTATCCATTTTATGCTTTCCTGATCTAAGTCCTCAGAAGTGTCCTTCACTTACTTTCTTCACTTACTTCCAGTCTTCACTTACTTTCTTCACTTCCAGTCTTCACTTACTTTATTCTCATTCACTCTTTAGTCCATTGCAATAAGTTCTCTGTCTGCCACCCTGTCTAATCGATCAAAACTGCTCTGGATGAAGCTGCTATGAATGAGGTAACTGGTGTTTTGTTTGTTTGTTTGTTTGTTTAAATTAGCAATTCCAACAGACATTTTTTCAACCTATTGTTTTGGTGGATTTTTTTGCTTCATGTATGTAACTCTTCTTGAAACTGTTTCCTTGACTTTTATGACACAATCATTTTTTCTTGTACCTTTTAAATTGTTCCTTCTCTATGTTCTTAATGACTGTTATGTCTCTATCCAGCCTTCAAATACTGATCCTATTCAGGGTATCTTTTTTGATCCTTTGTTTACTCACTGCCCATACTCTCTCTGAATGATTGTAATCATTTTTATAGTTTCTGCTATCTACACACTGATAACTCCTAAAATGCATTTTCAGTCTAGACCTTCTCCCCAGTCTTAGGCTTATGTGACCAGTTTCTAAAGGATCATCTCTGACTAGATTTTCTCCAGCTGCCTCAGAATTTATGTGACTAAACCTGAACTTTTTATAGTCTCTTCTAAGCCATTTCTTTTATCTTTTTACTATTTCATTTGGCAGCACCATAATCTACCTTGTCACCTAAGTCAGAACCATGGAATGCATGTATTCATACTTTCACTTCATTGCCCATATTCAGTCAGTAAGCTGGTCTCCAGATTACATATTGATATTTTGTGTTTATTTTCCCAGTCAGTCCTTTTCTTTCTCTTCCACTGCAGCTGCTTAGTTCATTTCACTCTTCACCCAATGTTGGGACTAATAGAGGTGCTTTTCAGTTGATCGCTCAATGTTTTATTATGTTCGCCTCAAATAAGCCCTTCCTATAGCCAATAGAATGATGAAATTAAAATAAGACTATTTCATTTTTCTGCATTACAACTTTCAGTGCCTCATTCCTGTTCCCACTGCTGACAGCCATATTTCTCATATTTAGTTTCATGGATATGTGTGTACTTTAGAATATTCAATGAGAACTTTTCAATTTGGTTTATGCATTTTACTGATAATCATTTTAAAAACAACCACAACTTTGTTTGTGTTTATGATGGCATGTCTGTCAAAGAGTGACCGAGAGTAATTAGATTTAGCTTTAAATGCAGTATTTTTCAGCCAAGATGAGGAAATTCTAGAAGTTATAGACATAGTTTCATGGATCTATACCACATACACACACATGTGTACATACACAGGTACATACACATGTATATACATATATATACACACATATATATACACACATATATGATATACATATACAGAGATATGTAGATATCTATATATATTTATATTTGTATATCAGATATTTTATGTGTGTATGTGCATAATTTTTCCAAAGGGGTCTTATATTATTCAAGTTGGAAATTCACTCTGCACTTTACAGGATGAATTGTAAATTCACTCTACACTTTACAGGATGAAGGTTCTTAACATGTCTTATATTATCTTTTATGATCTGGCCTCTATATTATTTATCTTAGTCTCTTACTTTATACTTTCTGTGGAAGCAACATCAAATTACTTGAGAGTCCTCATATACACAAATGCTATTATTTTTCCTGTTGTATTTATGCGTTTACATTTACCCCTTAGGTGTATGGTATTTTTTTGCCTTCTGTCTTCTCCTGACTTTAACTTTGAGCTCCTACTTTATAAGTAGTTCCATCATGACCTCTTCCAGGATACACTAATCTAACAAGGTAGGCTGTTCAATGGCCCTCCTGATTTTATAGTTCCCTCAGTAAATCTCTATGTCTGGGTACACCTTATTGCTTTGTAGTTACCTATTGGATTCACTACCAGACTGTGACCTCCTTCAGGTCTTGTGGCTTTCTCTTCTGCATCTTTCAAGCATGGCATTGTAATTGAATGAGAGATAATGACCTGAAAACACATGAATGAGTCACCTTTCTACCCATGAAGATAAAGACCTTTTTTCTACAATCTCTACAATTTCTTTCACAGTTTTTTCTTTACTCAGTTTTTACACTACTGCTTGTTAAATGCTTAATGTGTATTTATATACTTCATTTCTTATTTTAAGATAAGTATCAATGGCTAGTTTTACATGAAGAAATTTCAGCTGCATGAAGATAATCCTTCTATTCCTTTATTTTTCAGGATACGTTTCCTCCCAGTTGGAGGCTCAGGAACCTAAGAGTTCTGAAAGTACATTAACTTCGATGGAAGATTCTGGATGTGATTTGTCGAATGAGCAGAGAACTGAATCCTCAGACCTGTCCCAGCACTTTGTGGAAAGCTGTACCCCCACTCACTTTCCACCACTGCCTCTTGTGAAAAGACCTTGTGCTATCCTGCAAAATCCTTTGTCTTCTCACATGCAATTCTTGCAATATCTACTTGAATTAAAGAACTTGACAGAATCAGGTAATCTTAAAAGAGACTTAACCCACTTTGAAAAAGACTCTTCCACAGTCTCTGATTCTGTTTTTCAATTGCTGGATGGCCTGATCACTTTTTACCGTAATCCCAAACTTCCTTTTTCAAGATTTTGGACAGAAGCTGTTGGTACTTTAGCTAGTCTGATCAGTGACTATAACTTATCTAGTCATATTCTTAAAAAGTGTTCCAAGAAGTTGGAAGAATTTGAGAAAACCCTACTACATGCTATTTTAGGAAACAATCATATAAATCAGGTGAGTAATAAATCCCTCTTTTATTCCTAAAATGCTAGTAATTTTAGTGAACATCTCTTTGGGTAATGTCTGTTGTTGTCCCTTAGCCTTGTGGCTCAAGGAATCCCTTATTGGGTCTTTTTCTGCAGCTGTCTGCAGCTCTTATCTGTCATGATGTCTCCACTTCTAGCCTCTGATTGCTACAGCATAGTTTTCTGCATAGATGCCTTTGCTTCAAACTTGTTCTGCTCTGCTTTGAATTACTTTCTCTGTTTTATTATCAGCACCCTTGGATTCTTTTATTCTTATGTTTTCCCTTTTCTGTTTCTATTTCTTATTCAAAAAGTCTCAAAACTTTTGAGAAAACTGCTAACAAATAAGGTTTTCCAAACTTAACGTCTGTGAGTGTTAAATTCCTCATGATGGATTATCTGTACTGTATTGAATTTGCTCTTTTTCTGGCATTGACTAGCAAATGCCTTGGGGTTGAAGAATATTTTTCTCTTCTTTTGGCCTTTCCCTTGTAAGTGATAAATGCCCCATGGACCCTCTGCAGATGTAGGTGAATTGAATAAATTGGCTAAGGAGCACATAATATAAAGCTTTATTATGTTTTATTTCCTTACTTATTTATTTATTTAACATGGCTTAGAAAGATTTACTCAGGGATTCTTTCTTAACAAGTGACATTGAGATAACCTGAAGTTGTTTTGTTGTTTGGCTCTTGAGACATGATAGAGAATTTCTTTTTCATATTATTTCTGCCTTCTTTAATATCTGATCCTTTTTCTGGGAAATTCCAAATGGCTTCACATTTTAATCCTCTTTATTTGACTACCAAAAATATAATAGAAGAAACTAAAAGGTCTATCTAACTTATTTACTATATTTCATTGTAGGAAAAAGGTTATTGGACCTTGTTTCTTTGGATACATCATTGTTAAATATTTGCCTCCGTGCTATGATCTAACATTTAGGGTTTTTGTACAGTGGAGGCTTTATCTGAGTTTTCAAAATTTTGAATAAAATTTGCACTGATAAACCAATTTGTTTCATGTACAGCTGTTCTTTCCTTCTCTATTAAGGTATGATTTGATCAATATTTTAAAAACTTTGTGAGTAAGCTTCGGCATTTGTGAAAGATATTGAATTTTCTGTCTGGAAAATGGAAATCTTTTTCTTTTGGACATGGTCAATCAGGAATTAAATATCAGATTTGCCATAGTTGTATCTGAGATATAAAATCCATTTCTAAACCATGAAAATATCTTAAATACTTGATATTTTTTAAACTTCTTTTTATACTTTTGCTTTCTTTTTAAACACTACTTTAAGCAGTCTTTATGTAACTTGGAACCTTGAAGATACTGGCATTTATAGTCCATATCAGAATTACTGAATGATGCAAATATTTTTCCAGTCTAGTCTTTGCCTTCATATATGTATTGGAGGTTGATATGACTTAAACCTATACAAGAGTAGCCTTGGGAATTGTATGGAAGGAGGATAATGTGTAGAATAAACTACACATAAACTTGTGAATGAAAGTCCTCTTTTCTCTTTCTTCCACCTTCCTCAAGCAGATGGACCAAGTCTTGGAGGTGCAAGCTGTGCTGCCTGGGGTTTGTGGAGGGGTGACATAAGCACTTCCTTGGTTGCCTCAGCTAGTATCTCACTATGTTCCATGCACACCAAGTTCCCTGGCTCTGAGCCCAGCACAGCACCAGGACTTGTGCAGAAATTGTTGTCCTTGTGGTCTAGGTTGCCCTTCGTGTTTATTTAGAACCCCAGAATGGTTTAGTCCATGGTGGCAGGACTTGCCAAAACTCAGGTTCCAACTGCAGCAATTACCCGTGCAAGAAAGCCATTCATTCACTTGTTCTTCTACTGTTGACCAACTGTTCAGCAATGGTTGGCACAATGGCAAGTGACATAGGAAATATATATTTCATCTATAGATCCACCTATACCATCACAAGTTTGAAATGAAAACTCAAGTTTTCATTTCTTGTAGAGTCTTCCTGGTTTTGGTATGAGGGTAATCCTGACCTCATAAAATGTGTTTGGAAGTGGCCATTTTTATTTTCAGGAAGAGTTTAAGAAAGATTGTTCTCAATTCCTCTTTGAATGTTTGGTAGGATTCACCTGTGTAGTCGTCAGATTATTTGTTGGGAGACTTTTTTTTTTCTAGACGGAGTCTCACTCTGTCACCAGGTTGGAGTGCCGTGGCACAATCTTGGCTCACTGCAACCTCCACTTCCTGGGTTCAGGCGATTCTCCTGCCTCAGCCTCCCTAGTAACTGGGACTACAGGTGCATGCCACCATGCCCAGCTAATTTTTGTATTTTTAGTAGAGATGGGGTTTCATCATGTTGGCCAGGGTGATCTTGATTTCTTGACCTCGTGATCTGCCCACTTCGGTCTCCCAAAGTGCTGGGATTACAGGTGTGAACCACCACACCCGGCCTGTTGGGAGACTTTTGATTGCTGATTCAATCCCCTTATTTGTTACTGGTCTTTTCAGGCTTTCTGTTTCTTTCGATTCAGTTTTGGTAAGTTGCATATTTTTAGGAATTTATCCATTTCTTATAAGTCATCCAGATTGTTGGCATATAATTGTTCATAATACTTCCCTTATGATCCATTTTATGTCTAAACCATCCATTGTAATACCTCCTTTTTGATTTCTGATTTTGTCTTCTTTTTCTTTTCTTACTCTAGCCAAGGGTTGTCAATTATCTTTTCAAAAAGCAAACTCTTATTTTTTTTATTTTTAAACTGTTTCGTTGTTCACTATTTATTTTTTGCTCCAGTCTTTATTATTCTCTTTTTTCTGCTAATTTTTGGCTTAGTTTATTCTTCATAGTGGACTTTAATACCTCAATTACAATAATGGATGGAACATCCAGACAGAAAAATCAATAAAGAAACAGCTGACTTGAACAACACTGTAGAGTAAATGGATTTAATTGACATATACAGAACTTTCCAGTCAACAGCAAAAGAATACACATTCTTCTCAAGTGCACACAGAATGTTCTCCAGGATAAATCAAATTTTAGGTCACAAAACATGTCTTAACCATTTTAGAAGTTCAAAAGCTTTCTAGATGTTTCTTTCTGACCACAATATAATGAAATTAGAATACAACAACAATAGGTAAAATGGTAAAATTGACAAGTATGTAGAAACTAAACAATACAATTTTGAACAAACTTTGTGTCAAAGAAGAAATCAAAGGGAAATTCAAAAGTATCTCAAGACAAACAAAAATGAAAACAGAATTTACCGAAACCTATGGGATGCAGCAAAAGTAGTAATAAGGACATTTATAAGGTTGAATGTCTACATCAAAAAATAAGAATCTTAAATGAACAAGTTTTCAATTATTTTTAGCACAGTGATCAATAGCTCGAATTAGAATTCTGAAGCTTTTACTCAATAGCTATGACCTTAGACAAGTTAACTAACCTCCAAGTTCTACATCTGTAAAATGTAGGTAATAAATGTGACCACTTCATCGGGCTAAATACTAAGCATAATTTCTGACATCATATAAAAACTTAATAAATGTTTCTTTTTGTTACTTTTCTCTTGAGGAAGTGATTATATCTTATTTTCTCCACTATGCCCAAGACAATGTTGAGTTTGTTGTAGCAGCAACGTGAGATATTTTTTTGAATTGAAAATAAGATAATGAGAAGAAGTGACAACTTATATTTCATATACCCTCATAAACTTAAATACCATCAGCTGATTTTATTTTTTTTTAAATTTTATTATTATTATACTTTAAGTTTTAGGGTACATGTGCACAACGTGCAGGTTTGTTACATATGTATACATGTGCTGTGTTGGTGTGCTGCACCCATTAACTGGTCATTTAGCATTAGGTATATCTCCTAATGCTATCCCTCTCCCCTCCCCCCACCCCACAACAGTCCCTGGTGTGAACTAGTTCAACCATTGTGGAAGACAGTGTGGCAATTCCTCAGGGATCTAGAACTAGAAATTCCATTTGACCCAGCCATCCCATTACTGGGTATATACCCAAAGGATTATAAATCATGCTGCTATAAAGACACATGCACACATATGTTTATTGCAGCACTATGCACAATAGCAAAGACTTGGAACCAACCCAAATGTCCAACAATGATAGACTGGATTAAGAAAATGTGGCACATATATACCATTGAATATTATGCAGCCATAAAAAATGATGAGTTCATGTCCTTTGTAGGATGAAGCTGGAAACCATCATTCTCAGCAAAGTATCGCAAGGACAAAAAACCAAACACCACATGTTCTCACTCATAGATGGGAATTGAACAATAAGAACACATGGACACAGGAAGGGGACCATCAGCTGATTTTCTAAGCAGCAGCTCTTATTAACACCATGACATTCCTGAAACACCTCCATATATATTAGGAAGCTGTATATTATCTCTTTGTGTCACTATTTTCCACAGCTACAGCTTCCAGTTGACCAATGAGCTTAGTAGGGAATAGTGGATATTTTTCTTTCTGTTTTAATTATGGGAAGTCCTTTTAAATTTAACTATTTGAATGTTGTGGTTTTAATTACTCTTTCCACTGGTCCCTTCCTATAAAGCTGTGCTATGTTGCATCTCTGATATAGCATTTTGAAGTTGGTGATTCCCTCTAGTACTGTCGTTTTTGCTTCAATCACAGTGATTTTTGCTTAGATCATTTCAGGCAGTTTATGGATAAATCTGAAGATGATGGATCATGAAATCAGATATTTATTTATTTATTTTTTTGAGACGGAGTCTCTCTCTGTTGCCCAGGCTGGAGTGCAGTGGCACAATCTCGGCTCACTGCAAGCTCTGCCTCCTGGGTTCACGCCATTCTCCTGCCTCAGCCTTCTGAGTAGCTGGGACTACAGGTGCCTGCCACCACACCCGGCTAATTTTTTTGTATTTTTAGTAGAGATGGTTTCACCGTGTTAGCCAGGATGATCTCGATCTCCTGACCTCGTGATCCGCCCACCTCGGCCTCCCAAAGTGCTGGGATTACAGGCGTGAGCCTGTAATCAAAATCCTGATTTTGACCATGCCAGGTCGAAATCAGTTTTGTTTTTTTTCTAGTATGTATCCCTTAGTTGTATCTTGAAACTTATTCATGCTGTAATTGTATTGACCAGTAAAATATGTTGACTTTTTAATTTAATTCTACTCAGGTAGCAGTGTTTGTTGTATGTTTCTCTGCTGCAAGTTAGGACATTGTTTTAGTAATAACACAGGCTTTTCTTCCTGTGCTAACTTTCCAACAACCTTATCCTCTGTGTTTGAGATTTTTTATGTTCATGGCTATTAACCAGTTACTTAACCACTCTGCTTTGAGAATATTCCTTGGGAAATATAAAGGAAGTCTAAGGTTAAGGGTCATTTCATCCTTGCTTATAGCTGTATTAAACAAACAAACAAACGGCTGGGCGCGGTGGCTCACACCTGTAATCCCAGCACTTTGGGAGGCCTAGGCAGGTGGATCATGAGGTCAATAGATAGAGACCATCCTGGCCAACATTGTGAAACCCCATCTCTACTAAAAATACAAAAATTAGCTGGGCATGGTGGTGTGCGCCTGTAGTCCCAGCTACTTGGGAAGCTGAGGCAGGAGAATCGCTTGAACCCGGGAGGCAGAGGTGACAGTGAGCCAAGACTGCACCACTGCACTCCAGCCTGGTGACTGAGACTCCCTCAATAAATAAATAAATGAATAAATAAATAAATAAATAAATAAGTCAGGCATGGTGGCTCACCCCTGTATTCCCAGTACTTTGGGAGGCCGAGGCAGGCAGATCACTTGAGCCCAGGAGTTTGAGACCATCCTTGGCAACATGGTGAGACCCTGTCTCTACAAAAATTCCAAAAATATTAGCCAGGCATGGTCTTGCACACCTGTAGTCCCAGCTACTCACGAGTCTGAGGTGGTAGGATTGCTTGAGCCCAGGAGGCAGAGATTGCAGTGAGAACAGATCACATGAGAGCACTCTAGCCTGGGCCACAGAGCAGGAAACTGTCACACACACACACACACACACACACACGGAAAAATCTGGGTTAATGTTCCTGCAATTTTACTTTAATTAGATAAACACTTACTGAAACAGTTGTATCATAAACCAAAATCTTAATACTTCTTTTGATCACTGCATCAGTATATAAATCAAACATTTTCTGAATTTTCAAAGCAGTGTTTAACTTTCATTGCTCATGCAGAGGAAGGAGGAAGAGACAGAACAGAACTTTCTTCAATTTACTTTCAAAGTATACTATACATTTAAATACCTCTTATTAAAATAATAGCAGTCTTCCTATTATGCTTTATAGTTTATAAAGTACTTTCACATGGAACTTATTATCTGTTCAGACAACAACTCTGTGTCATGGTTGTTATTACTATCTTCAGTTTATAGATGAGAAAATTGAGTTCAGGCAGGTTAATGGACTCACTGGAAGTACTTAACCAGTAGTAGAAGACCTAGGTCTCATGTTCAGGTATATGATGCTGAATATTTTCCTCTTGATATTATGTCCTATTTCCATCACTAATTTTTACAGTTTTCTAGATTTTTTTTTCCTAAGTGCAAAGGAAATAAACTGACTTTTGTTAATGGGTTAAAGAAAATATTCATTGGTAATGAAAGACCTTAGTGCCATTTCTCTAAATTTCATAAAGACAATATTTACATTGGTTTGGTTAAATTGCTGAATTATATTATGTGTAAAAATGTATGTTTATAGGGCTGGGTGCGGTGGCTCACGCCTGTAACCCCAGCACTTTGGGAGGCTGAGGTGGGTAGATCACCTGAGGTCAGGAGTTCGAGACCAGCCTGGCCAACGTGGGAAAACCCTGTCTCTACTAAAAATACAAAAAATAGCCAGACATGGTGGCATGCACCTGTAGTCCCAGCTACTTGGGAGAATGAGGCAGGAGAATCGCTTGGACCTGGGAGGCAGAGGTTGCAGTGAGCTGAGATCATGTCACTGCACTCCCGCCTGGGTGACAGAGCAAGACTCCATCTCAAAAAAAAAAAAAAAATTACAGACAGCAACAGGAGAAAGAAAAGGAAGGTCCTGTTCTGTGGTGCAATATAGGATCACCTGTTTCTTGTTCTTTTTTATTGGCTATAAACAACAGTCTTTTGGAAACTTTATAATTGCATATACAGCCTTGTCATCTTAGTTTCTAATTGAATATAAGTTATATGGTTTTGCTTGTGTGTACATAAAAATAAAACTATCAAAGGAGGCAGAGCAAGATACCCAAATACAAGCCTCTAGGAATTGCTGTACCCCCTTTGCCTCCACAGGAAGACTAAATTGAACAACAGTCCACACAGGAAAGGACCTTCATAAGAACCAAAAATCAGGTGAGCTATAATAGTACCTGATTTTAACATTACATTAAGGAAAGAGGCATGGAAGAGGGCAAGAAAATCTGTCTTGAATTGCCTACACCACCCCTTCCCTATTCCCTGGCAGCGGCCATATGGCACAGAAAGATGATCTGTGTGTTTGGGGTAGAGAGAACATACTGATTATGGGACTTTGCTTTGCAGCTTAGTGCTGTCCTGTCAGTGGGAAGCAACAGGGGGCAGAACTCAGCTTGTGCCCATAGAGGGAATGTTTATACTAGGCCTGTCCAGAGGCAAATCATCCATCCTAGCAATTGGAACCTGACTTTTGGCAAGTCCTGCCACCATGGGCTAAAGTGTTCTGGGGTTCTAAATAAACATGAAAGGCAACCTAGACCACAAGGACTGCAATTCCTGCACAAGTCCTGGTGCTGTGTTGGGCTTGGAGCCAGGGAACTTGGAGTGCATGGAACCTAGTGAGATACCAGCTGAGACAACCAAGGAAGTGCTTGTGTCACCCCTCCACCAACCCCAGGCAGTACAGATTGTACCTCCAAGACCCCTTCCATCTGCTTGAGGAAGGTGGAGGGGAAGAGGACTTTGTTTTGCAACTTGGATTCCAGCCCATCCACAGTAGAATAAGGCAACGGGCAGACTCCTAAGGCCCCCATCCCAGACCCTAGCTCCTGGATGACATTTCTAAACACACCATGGGCCAGAAGGGAACCCATTGCCTTGAAGGGAAGGGCCCAGTCCTGGCAGAATTTATCATGTGCTGAATAAACAGCCCTTGGGCCCTGAATAATTAGTATTGGTAGCCAGGCAGTATTTACCACAGGCCTTGGGTGAGACCCAGAGCCATGTTGGCTTCAGGTGTGACCCAGCACATTCCCAGCTGTGGTAACTTTGGGGAGAGACCACTTCTGCTTGAGAAAAGGAGACAGAAGAGTAAAGGGGTCTTTATCTTGCAGCCTGGTACCAGCTTGGCCGCAGTGGGGTAGAGCACCAAGAGAGCACCTGGGATAAACAAAATCAAAAAACCTTTAGCTAGACTAAGAGTAAAGAGAGAAGACCCAAGTAAATATAATCAAAGACAAAAAAGGAGAGACATTACAACCAATACCTCAGAAATTCAAAGTATCATTAGCAGCTACTTTGAACAACTATATGCCAGTAAATTGGAAAACCTAGAAGAATTATATAAATTCCTAACATATACAACCTACCAAGATTGAACCATGAAGAAATTTAAAGCCTGAATAGGCCAATAACAAGCAATGAGATTGGAGCCCTAATACAAAGTTTACAATGAGAAACATTGCTCAAACAAATCATAGATGACACAAACAAATGGAAAACATCCAATGCTCATGGACAGGAAAAAATATTTAAATTTCTATACTGCCCAAAGCAGTTTATACATTCAATGCTATTCCTGTCAAAATACCAATCTTATTCTTCACAAAAAAAAAATTAAAAATTACACAGAACCAAAAAAGAGCCCAAATACCCAAGGCAATTTTAAGCAAAAAGAACAAAGCTGGAGGCATCACGTTACCTGTGATCCACACTATAGGGCTACAGTAAATGAAACAGCAAGGTGCTGGTATACAAACAGACACATAAACCAATGGAATAGAATAAAGAGCTTAGAAATAATGCTCCACACCTCCAGCCATCCGATGTTTGAGAAAGTAGACATAAACAAGCAATGAGGAGAGGACTCCCTATTCATTAAATCAACTCAAGACGGACCAAAAACCTAAATGTAAAACAAACAAACAAAAAAAATAACTGCTAAAACCCTGGGAGATGACCTAGGAAATACCATTCTGGACAGTACCTGGTGAAAATTTCATGCTGAAGACACCAAAAACAATTGCAGCAAAAGAAAAAATTGACATATGGGATCAAATTAAACTTTAGAGCTTTTGCACAGCAAAATAAACTATCAACAGAGTAAATAGGCACCCTACAGGAAGGGAGAAAATATTTTCAATCTGTGCTCTGACAAAGTCCTAATATCCAGAGCCTATAAGGAACTTAAACAAATTTACAAACAAAAAACAAACAACACTATTACGAGTTGGAAAAGGACATGAATCGACACTTTTCAAAAGAAGACATACATGTGGCTAACAAGCATATGAAAAAAATGCTCAACATTACTAATCATTAGAGAAATGCAAATCAAAACCACAATGAGATACCATCTCAACCAGTCTGAATGGCTGTTATTAAAAAAATCAGAAAAAAACAGATGCTGGCAAGGTTGTGGAGAAAAGGAAACACTTATACATTGTTGGGGGGAGTGTAAATTAATTCAGCCATTGTGGAAAGTATTGTGGTGATTTTCTAAAGAACTAAAAAGGAATTACTATTTTACCTGGAAATTTCATTATTGGGTATATACCCAAAGAAATATGAATTATTTTACTATAAAGACAGATGCATGCATGTGTTCATTGTAGCACTATTCACAGTAGCAAAGACATGTTATCAACCTAAATGCCCATTAACAGTAAACTGGATAAGGAAAATATGGTACATATACACTGTGGAATACTATGCAGTCATAAAAAGAATGAGATAATGTTCATTGCAGCAACATGGATGGAACTGGAGACCATTATCCTTGGGAAACTAACAAAGCAACAGAAATGAAATATTACATGTTCTCACTTATAAATGGGAGCTAAATAACAAGCACACATGGACACAAGGAGGGTAACAATAGACACTGGATCCTACTGTATGGTGGTTGGTAGGAGGAGGGAGAAGACTAGAAAAAATACCTATTGAGCACTGTGCTTAGAACCTGGGTGATAAAATAATCTGTACACCAAACCTCCA
This sequence comes from Homo sapiens, assembly GCF_000001405.40. Taxonomy (NCBI): domain Eukaryota; kingdom Metazoa; phylum Chordata; class Mammalia; order Primates; family Hominidae; genus Homo; species Homo sapiens. The sequence continues at coordinate 77,771,885 of NC_000006.12, forward strand.
TGACATGAGTTTACTTATATAACAAACCTGCACCTGTACCCCTAAACCTAAAATAAAAGTTAAGAGAAAATTATACACCTGAAATTCTAATTATAGAAATTTACATTATTATTTTATACATCATTCTTTTTGTGACTATCATAAAATAACATTAAAGTGAAATAAAAAGATAATTAATGGTGAAATTAAAAAGTCTCCCTGTAAAGAAAATCCTGGAATCAGTGACTTCACTTCTGAATTTTATCAGACATTTAATTTTGAACTAATACCAATCCTGCTCAAACTCTTCTGAAAAATAGAGAAGAAGATACTTCCAAACTCATTCTAAATGGCCAATATTACCCTGAAAGCAAAACCAGACAAAGACACATCAAAAAAAAAAAAAAGAAAACTACAGGCCAGTATCCCTCATGAACATTGTTACAAAATCCTCAACAAAAATCTAGCAAACCAAATTCCACAACACATTAAAAAGGTCATTCATCATGACCAAGTGTGATTTAACCCAGGATGCAAGGATGGTTCAGCATACACAAATCAATCAATGTGATACATCATATTATCAGAATGAATGACAAAAAACATGATTATTTCAATTGGTGTGGAAAAAGCATATGATAAACTTCAGTATCCCTCCAGGATTAAAACTGTCAATAAACTGGATATATTAATAGAAGTAATATACCTCAACAGAATAAAAGCCATATTTGACAGAGCCACAGCCAGTATCATACTGAATGGGAAAAAACTGAAAGCCTTTCCTCTAAGATCTGGAAGACAACAAGGATATGCACTTCAACATAGTATTGGAAATTCTAGCTAGAACAATCAGACAAGAGAAATAAAGTGCATTCAGATTGGGAAGGAATAATTCAAATTATTTTTGTTTGTAGATGATATCATTTATTTGGAAATATCCAAAGACTCCACAAGAAAACTGTAAGAACTGAAAACAAATTTAGTAAATTTGTGGGATTCAAGATCAACAAAGAGAAATCACTAGCATTTCTATATGCCAACAGTGAAAAATGTTAAAAAGAAATCAAGAAAGTAATGCCATTTACAACAGCTACAAATATAATAAAAGACCTATGAATAAAGAAGAGAAAGATGTCTTCAATGAAAACTGTAAAACACTGATGAAAGAAATAGGAGAGGAAACACACAAAAACCAAAATATATTTCATGTTCATGGATTGGAATAATCAATATTGCTAAAATGTTCATACTACCCCAAGCAATCTATAGAGTCATTGTAATCGCTATCAAAATACTAATGGCATTTTTCACCAGAATAGAAAAAATAGTCCTAAAACTTATATAGAACCACAAAAGACCCAGAATAGCCAAAGGTATCTGGGGCAAAAAGAACAAAGATGGAGGAATCACATTACCACTATACTGGAGAGCTGTAGTCATCAAAATAGTGTTGTACTGACATAGAAACAGACATACAAATCAATGGAACAAAATAGAGAACCCAGAAATAAATCTACCCATCTACAGTGAACTCATTTTTGACAAAGGTGGCAAGAACATACACTGGAGAAAGAACAGTCTCTTCTGTGAATGGTACTGGGAAAGCTGGATATCTATATGTAAAGGAGTGATACTAGACCCCTATCTGTCAACATATACAAAAATCAAATCACAGTGGATTAAAAATTAAAATCTCAAACTATGAAGCAACATTGGGAAAACTTTCCAGCACATTGGTCTGGGCAAAGGTTTCTTGAGTAATACCTCACAAGCAAAGGCAATCAAAGCAAAAATGGACAGATTGGATTACATCAAGTTAAAAAGTTTTGCCTATCAAAGAAAACAATTAAGAAAGTGAAGAGATGACCCACAGAATGGGAGGAAATATCTGTAAACTACTCATTTGACAAGGGACTAATAACTAGACTATATCAGCAGCTCAAATAACTCTGTAAGAAAAACATCTAATAATCTGATTTTTAAATGGGCAAATATCTGAATAGACATTTCTCCAAAGAAATACAAATGGCAAACAGGTATATGAAAAAGTCCTCAATGTCATTGATCATCAGGAAAATGCAAATTAAAACGATAATGAGATGTAATCTTACCCCAATTAAAATGGCTTTTATTAAAAAGACAGATAATGACAACTGCTGGTGAGGATGTGGAGAAAAAAAGACCCTTGTACACTGTTGGTGTAAATGTAAATTAGTACAACCACTATGGAGAACAGTTTGAGTTTCTCAGAAGAATAAAAATAGAACTTCAAATGATCCAGGAACCCCACTGCTAGGTGTATACCCAGAAGAAAGGAAATCAGTACATCAAAGAGATATCTGCACTCTCATGTATACTGCAGCATTATTCACAATAGCTAAAACTGGGGAGCAATCTAAGTGTCCATCATCAGACGAATGGATAAATAAAATGTGGTACATACACAGAATGAAGTAGTAGTCAGCCGTAAAAAAAGAATGAGATCCTGTCATTTGCAACGACATTGATGGAACTGGAGGCCATTATTTTAAATGAAATAAGTGAGGCCCAGGAAGACAAACTTCACATGTTCTTACTTATTTGTGGCATTTAAAAATTAAAACAGTTGAATCCATAGAGATAGAGAGTAAAATGATGTTTACCAAAGGCTGGTAAGCGAGGACCTAATTAGATTGTTGGGACATAGAAGGCCTAATGCAGGAAGTAGCTTTTAAACAGGATGAGAGGAAGTTAAGTAGGTAGAGTTGGAGTAAGAATTTTTGTGGTCTAACATGTCATTCTAAGACAGTTATCATAGCATATATGCCTGAGCCAGGATGTTATTTGAATATTTGAAAGGAAGCAGTGTTTTCAGTTTGAGAAAGAGAAGGGTAGAGAGCTGCAGCTCTCTACTCTTTACTCATAATAGTTTAGAAAAATATAGACTGGAAAGGATTGGTATGTTGCCTACTGTATTAGTTTTCTATGGCTGCTGTAACAAATTACCACAAACTAGTGCCTTAAAACAACAGAAATATATTCTCTCACAGTTCTGAGGCCAGGATTCTTAAATAACAGTGTATACAGGGCCACATATCTTCCTGTAGCATGAAAGGAGAATCTTTCCTTGCCTCTTAACATCTTTTAGGGTCAGCCAGCATTTCATGACTTGTGGCTGAATCTCTGTCTGCTCCATCTTCACATAATCTCCACCATTTGTCTAATATCTCTCTGCCTCTCTCTTACAAGAATATTTGCGACGGCATTTAGGGACCTCCTGGACAATTCAGGATTACCTCTTCATCTCAGATTCTTAATTTAATCATCTCTGCAAAGACCGTTTTTCTTTCTTCTATCATTCTATAGGATTTGGGGGAACAGGTGGTGTTTGGTTACATGAATAAGTTCTTTAGTCGTCATTTCTGAGATTTTGGTTTTCCCGTTAAGCAGTGTACACTGTACCCAGTGTGTGGTCTTTTTTCTCTCATTCCCCTCCCACCCTTTCCCCCGAGTCCCCAAAGTCCGTTGTATCATTCTTACGCCTTTGCGTCTTCATAGCATAGCTCCCACTTATGAGTGAGAACATACAATGTCTGGTTTTCAATTCCTGAGTTACTTCACTTAGAATAATGGTCTTCAATACCATCCAGGTTGATGTGAATGCCATTATTTCATTCCTTTTTATGGCTGTGTGGTATTTCATGGTATATTTATATACCACAATTTCTTTATTTACTTGTTGATTGATGGGCATTTGGGCCAGTTTCATATATTTGCAATTGCAAGTTGTGCTTCTATAAACATGCATGTGTAAGTATTTTTTGTGTATGTGACTTTTATTGTGACTTCTTTTCCTCTGGGTAGTTAACCAGTAGTAGGATTGCTGGATCAAATGGTAGTTCTACTTTTAGTTCTTTAAAGAATCTCCAAACTGTTTTCCATAGCAGTTGTACTAGTTTCCGTTCCCACCAGAAGTGTAAAACTGTTCTCTTTTAACTGCATCCATGCCAACATCTATTATTTTTCTATTTTTCGGCCATTCTTGCAGGAGCAAGGTGGTATTGCATTGTGGTTTTGATTTGCGCTTCCCTGATCATTAGTGATGTTGAGCATTTTTTCATGTTTGTTGACCATTTGTTTATCTTCTTTTGAGAATTGTCTATTCATGTCTTTAGCCCACTTTTTGATGGGATTTTTTTTTCTTGCTGATTTGTTTGAGTTCATTGTAGATTCTGGCTATTAGTCCTTTGTTGGATGTATAGATTGCAAGGATTTTCTCCCACTCTCTGGGATGTCTGTTTACTCTGCTAATTGTTTTTTTTTTGTTTTTGTTTTTGTTTTTGTTTTTTTGCTGTGTAGAAGCAAAGACTCTTTTTCTAAATAAAGTGGTAACAATCACAGATTCTAGGGACTTTATGTGGATATCTTTTGAGGGCTTTTTTTCTGCTTACTATACCTAACCAGTATTAATTTTGACTCTTACCCTTTGATTTTAATAAAATATCTATGCCTTCTTCCAAATAGGCCATGCCGCTACCCACAGAGCTTCTTGGTCTAAGGATAATTCTAATTTAATCTCCTTTGCCAGGTATAGAAACTTGGTGCATTTCAGTCCGGTGAGGCCCCAGAAATGGCTTCCTTCAGGCTTCTGGGAACTTTTCTCCTCATTCTCTGGAAGATTATGAGAGGCAACTTTTATTTCTTTCTCTGGCTACTCTCTTGTGAAGGATGTAAAACTGGAACTCTTACAGTTATCTTGCTGCCATCTGAAAGGATAAGCAGCCACATAAAGAAGGATAAAACCTAGAGAATCAAAGTAAATCCAAGCCAGAGCCATGTTAAGTCAACCCTGAAGCCTCTGTAGTTTCTGGATTTCCAATGATATGAGTCAGTGCATTTTGATACCATTTAAGGTAGTTGGAATTGGGTTTTCTGCAGCTTGCCAACACAAAACATCTTAACTAGCTAGGTCATGGCAAGGAGTTTGGGTTTTATTTGATATTTGATGGCAAGTCATTGATTGTTTTAGATTTTAAAACTTTACTTTGAATAGCATTAGGATAATTGATTAGCAAGAGATAAGAGGTAGCAAGAGAAACAACTTATGCTATGTAGTAGTCCAGGTGAGAGTGGATAGTGGCTTATTTTGGTGCTGTAAGTAGAAATGGAGATATGTATGCACCTAAAATATATACTGGGGGTAAAGTATACACTGGAAGCTTTTGCATTAAAGTTAGTATATTGAGGACACAAATCTAAACTGGCCCCTATCCTGATGAAAATGATAGTAAAGAACTTTTTTAAAAAGGCACAAACATATGGAGAACATGAGACTGCAACAGTAAAAAACTATTGGAAGTTAGAAAGGAAATAGACAATTGATAAATCCCTTAGCAGACCCAAGAAAACAGAACCACAAAGGAGAATTTGAGAAAGCTATTAACTAACTTAACACAGTACAATCTGCAAAAGACTCATAAATTAGCTCTACTAGTTACCTCTGGAAGAGAGAATGGAAGCCAGGTGCTAGAATATAAAATAAGGAAGATTGGTCAGAAATGTGCTTTGGAAGCACTTAGAATCCTGAAGCCCCGCTTCTGCCTCAGGAAAGGGGAATTGTCCTCCCACAATCAGTAAAAGACTGGATATTTTTTCATTGGAAATAAAAAGTAGAATAAAATTGACCATCCCAAGAGGAAAGATATGAATGTATTGCTATCAAATTTCCCTAAAGGAAAAAAGAGCAGCCAAATCATCCTACACTAAAGCTTACAGTGCACAAGCCTCACCCACGAACCAAGAGCTTCTAGTTAGCTTTCAGTCCTTGCTCTTAAGTATACCCATATAATCAGGATTAGCAGATATCTAAGGAAATAATCTAATGACAAAACTTAAATCCTGATGACAACATGGGGGAACCAAAGAGCAGGCAGAAATGCAAAACTTACATTTAAAATGCATATATTCTCAGAAAGGTAAAAGCATGTTTTACAACCAGGAAAAAAAGAAAATGATGTTTTAAAATTTTCAGGGAATTAAAAAAACCTTTAAATTTAAAAAATATGGTTATGAAAACACATAAATTAATAACAGTTTGGAAGGTTTGGTACATAAAAATTATGCCGATGAATAAAACAAGGTAATTACTAACAATAGGAAAAATTTACCAAAATGGAAAAGATACATAGTATTTTACATGGCTTGGCTGTGTGTAGTTTAAACATTGAGTAATGATATAGCAAAATTATTGAAGAAAAGTGTGTGTATATGTGAGAGAGCAGGCAAGAGAGTGCGGGGCGGGGGGTGGTGGGGTGGGAAGGAAGGGAAAGGGGGAGAGAGGGAGAAAAGGGAGATTAGTAAAGGGCAAAGAAAGTCAAATTGTAGGCATCCATAGTAGAAAATCAGTATTTTTTATGTTATTGAGAATAATACAGGTAAATACAAAAACAATCAGCTAGAAGAGTTGCAAATAGAGGTGATGGTGGAAAGGAGTAGGGTGTTACTTGCTATGGAATAAATGTTATAAAACTATCCTATGGCATATGTCTGAACAACTTTAGTACAAGTAAAAATCCAGGCTAGGTGTGGTGGCTCATGCCTGTAATTCCAGCACTCTGGAAGGCCGAGGCAGGTGAATTGCCTGAGCCCAGGAATTGAAGACCAGTCTGGACAACATGGAGAAGCCCTGTCTCTACTAAAAATACAAAAAAATAGCTGGGCGGTATGGCGAGCGTCTGTAGTCTCAGCTACCTGGGAGGCTGAGATGGGAGAATCCTTGACCCAAGAGGTCAAGGCTACTGCAAGCCATGATTGCAACACTGCACTCCAGCCTGAGTGACAGAGCGAGACCTGAGACCCTGTCTCAAATAAATAAATAAATAAATAAATAAATAAATAAATAAATACCAAAATCCAGTAAGTATTAGGGGGAGAATGTAAGGATTTGACATGGAGAAATAGACATCAACAGTATTCCTAGTTTCTGATCATTAACAACTGGGTGCATGGAGGTGCTATTTAGAGATATAAGAAGGCCTGGAAGGAGAACAGTCTTGGAAAAGAGAGGGGAGCCCAAGTTCCCTTTCAGACATATTGAGTTTAATGATAATTGTAAGATGACTGTAAGACAGATTTGCAAAGCAAAGCAAATCAGTGGCGTTATCAATATGGAGCTTAAAGGAAAGTACTGGCCTGGAAGTAAATTTAGTCTTTGTCAGAATTTAGAGGCTTTTTAAGGCTATGGGAAAACAAATCAGTATTAGAAAGAGGAGGACCTAGTACTGAGCCCAGAGGAGTGCCAACATTTAGTGGTCATGTAGAGATGAAGAAGCCTGCAAAGAAGTTAAAGAATTGGAGGATTAAAGCAATAGGAGAAAAATTAGGAAAGTATTGTCATGGAAACCAATAGAAGAGAGTATTTCACAAAGAAGAGTATAGTCAGCTTTGCTGCATGCTACTCAGAGGCTTAATAAGGTAAGAACTGAAAGGTGTTCCAAGTCATAAGCTTTTCATATGATTAATATGTAACTGTGATAACCAGATAATTTAGTACCCTTGTCACAAATTTGCTGAAGATATTCTAAAATCTTAATGTGCTGGCAGTCTTATTATTACTTGCATATAAACAGCTTAATTTTCTGAGCTAATGCTGGGGAAGAATAGTATAAATAATCCAAAATAATAATTTAAAATTACATGTGTATAAAAGTTATCATATTTGCATATGATTTTTGCTGAGCTTAAGACACACGTGCCTTTTGATTGTTGTTTCTGTTACTAGTGACTGTGAATGTGTTATGCCATTTTACCATAGCTGTTTTTTTGTTGTTAATAATTTGCCCCTTTCCCTGGTTTTCATCTCCCAGTTATCTCTGTCAAAATACAAAATTCCCCCTTACTTCTATGCTTTAGTTTGGAAACTCTTAGAAACAGACAGCAGAGGAACATGGCATGCAGATGGCTGTGGTTGTTCATGTTCATTTTGAGAGTTAACACTTTAAAATAAGCACTATTTTTCCTGATGAGAAAATATCTGTGACTCTCTTAACATAACATAGGCATTTGAAATTATTGGGGATGTCTGAAAGCCAGAATTTTAGTCAGTAGTTAACTCAAATGGATGGGTATTGGAAAATAACAAGTATTCTAAAGAGTTTGCAAAGAATGGAGACTTCTTCAGGTCAGCTTAAGAAAAAGCAGAGTATTTCAAGGATCATTGCAGACCAGCTTGCAGGCTGACTACATGCAGGGTTGGAGTCCGGTCTGAGGGGTGGGAAAAATTATAAAGTTATAGGAAATAGACACAAATCTTTTTGGAAGGCTGGGAGGTTTGCATAGCTTCAGTAAAAGATTTGGCTGAAGGCGGCCTAATCCTCTTACCTTGAGTTAATAGCTTAGAGTAGGTACAAAGGAATATAAGGGAGTTTATCTAAAGAGCTTGTTTACACATGTGATCCTAAGACTGACCTTTTGCAGGCAGAACTGATCTCTCTGGGGGAGGGTGATCAGATTAATTACCTACAGGTGTGTTGACTCAAAGCCTTTGTCATTAAATCTATGCTGAATAAATGTCCGCAGGGCCAGCTAGTCAGGGCACGGCTGCCACAACTGTTTCTGTGAGTGGCCCAGCCCCATAGCAGCTCTTTCACTGAATATCGGAGTCTGAGTATGTTATTCATCCATCATGCAGCCTGGGTCTGCAGGTCAGACCCTGGCAATGCAGCTGTTGGCACAGGCTTCTTTCTTTGACCTTCTCCTGGTTTATCTTTTCAAATGATATATGTGCTAATCTGTTAATTAATCTACTGTTTATGTCTTCTCTATATCATGACCTTTTGGTTCCCCCATATTTGAAACTAAACTAAGGACCTAGCACAGTCCTTAACATATTATAGTCCAATTGAATTAAGTAATTCGAATTCTAATATTGTCTTATTGAATTGAATAGTTGAATTGATGAGTATCTAATGTCTCTTCTGTTAAAAGTGTATGTCAGGATCATCATGCCAAAATCATCAAGTATGCTCCAATAAGCCATATATATGAATATTAATATTTATATATAGAATTTACTCTTTTTAGAAAAAGATGGGGAAGTGCAGTGGTGTGATCATAGCTCATTGCAGCCTTGAACTCCTGGGCTCAAGTGATCCTCTGACCTCAGCCTCTCTAGTAGCCGAGACTGCATGCCCACAGAACCATGCTCAGCTAATTTTTAAAACATTTTTTTGTTTTTTATAGAGACAGGGTCTTGCTTTGCTGCCCAGGCTGTTCTTGAACTCCTGGCTTCAAGTAATCCTCCTTCCTTAGCCTCCCAATGTGCTGGAATCATAGGTTTAAGCTACCATATCTGGCCAGATTTACTTTTAAAATAAAGTATGATAAAATTAATCTGACACTACTATATTTACTGATACTGTATCACATGATAATTAGGGATTGCTTTTGTATAGCTAAATGGACATCTCTTTTTCTTTTATTTTTCTAATGCTTACGACCTGTCTATATCAGTGCAATTAGATTTCCCAGAAATTGTGCATTATTTTCCTCCACAGCATGTTAATATACATTAAAAACTTGCTGCTCAAAATGTGGTCCATAAACGAACCATGTTGGTATTACCTGGGAGTTTATTAGAAATGCAGAATCTCAAACCCCATCTCAGATCTATGGAATTCAATTCTCATTTTTAATAATATCCCCAGGTAATTCACATAAACATTAAATTTTCAAAATATTTTGATTCTAATTTCTCACTCATTATGGTCTACATTATTAAGTTCTTTCTATATGTTTTGCAATTATTTCATTTAATCTTTATAACAATCCAGGAAAGGTATTTTATTATCTCTATTTTACAGATGAGGAAACTCTGTAAAACTCATTTTGCAGATGAGGCATAAAGAGGCCCAGACAGGCCTACTTAAGAGCTCTATTCTTAAACAGGACAGTTGCTGCCTTGTCAAAGCTATGGTTTCCTTACTTTCAGCTCCTGATAGCCCAAGGCCCTGTACTCTGCTGTTGTCTTTTCTCTAAGCTCAGAGAACTCTTCATCCTTTTAGTCTATAAATAAATCTTTGATGAGAACCATCTCTGCAATGGTTACCCACCGGGTTTCAGGCCAAATGCATGGATTGTGTGCTTTTTTTTTAACCCTCTGCACTCTCAATAGAAATCATGGTGACATTTTTGTCTGGGAAACAGAAGAATTGACCTTTTCCTGTATCTTCTGCTCTGAGAAGTCACAGGTCACTGGGACTCAGAATGGAGAGAGGGTAATGTTGTGGAATGTTGTGAATGCAGCTTGAATTCTGGCATTTAGAATTTCTGTAGGAAATAAAAGTTAAACTGTTAGTTAGGATTAAGGGAGGGATGAGAGAAGGGGAGAACTTGAGTCCATTTTGACTAGGCACCCTAAAACAATGAAAGTAGATGAATCTTCATTATCAGCCTATAAGACATTATGTGATTTTATACATAAGGGAAAGGACTTCTGTCTCTAAAAGATATCTTCTTCATATACTCACAGCTTTTAAAGTGACTTTATTGAGTTATTGTTATATAAAAAATTACACATACTTAAGATACAGCATTCAATAAATTTTCATTTACTCAGTTTTGCCTGAAATTCTTTTCCATTTTACACCACAAAATACAAAAATGAAAGGATTTTGGAGACTTTATTCCAGTATGATTGCGATATTGGCCAGATGACATTGAGCCTTTTTATTTTTTCATAAGGGAAAAGGTCTGAAAGAGGGAAGTCACATGTTACTTTTAAGGGGAAAGAGGATGCAACTTAGAAAGCAATGAGAAGATTGGGGCCACTTCTCTAATTTCACAGTTTAATCTGTTTATTGTCATCTATAGGTTCTTATATGTAGCTTTGATTGAGCTGGAAACATAGCCATTGCTGATACCTGTTTTGCACATGAGTAAGATTTTAAATATAAGTTTTGAATGAATAACTTAATAGATATATGCAAAATAATTTATTATTTTCAATCAAAGTCCTATCAACTTCAAATCTAGAGTAGCCTATGACTGAGTAAGTATAGCACTACAGTAATTGGCAACCATTTAAATTAACTTTATTTCTCCTTAGAGCTTTTGCCTGAAAATATGAAGGGGTTATTATGTTTTTTTGAAAATCTGTTGGTTTTTTCCACTGTTTATGTTTGTGGTCAACTGCAGCTTTGTTTAACCTTCTGCATGCTCAAGGGAAATCATGGTGACATTTTTATCTGGGAAACAGAAGAATTGAGTTTTTCCTACGTTTTGCAGTGATGACTATTTGAAAAATGGAGCCTTTCTGCCTTTTATTTCCTGGCAATCACAAATCCAATGACTTTAGGTTTATCTAAGAGAAACAAGTCAATTGGATGAATCCTGGGATGCAGGTGAGCATATATATGGCAATATCTGCTTACCCTGTGATAGGCATATACCTCAGGATATGGAAAAGACAAATGGCAAAATAACTTAAAAATATACCTTCCTTCATGATAAAAAGCTTGTTTTACTTTACAGAGGTGTTCAATTTTATTTCCATGGATCTTAATAAAAACCATGAAAAATCAGATGAAGCTGACAGCTCTACATGACTGTAATAACTTCAGATGCTAGAAACTATAGAAAATATAACAGAAGTATGTATTTTTTTTCTTGGCTTTGTAAGTACTTGAAACCAGAACAGGCTCAGAAAGATGTCTTAGTTTACTTCATCAAAAGTTTTAATTTGTGTTGTGGAAGCAAGTTTTTCTAAAATATAAGATCAATTTTAGTCCAAAGTAAGAAGCCTCTTTTTTATTTTATTAATTTTCATGAATATCTCTGTTTTTTTATGGTAAGCATTTTTTATGAGAAAGAACATCAAGTTGAACAAAATGTTAGGAATTTAATGTTGCCAGTAGGATATTCTTTTCATGATTTCAAATAAAATCAAATCAACTCAAATCAGAACATTTGAACAGTAATTCATGCTACATTTAAACAAAATTTGTGTATGTCCACTTATCAATATATGTTTACTGTTGTTTAGTTTTTATATTTTGCCAGAAGATACGTTCCTTGGAGAATAATACTGAATATATAGCAATTATAGCAATTATAGCAATCTAATCTTAAATAATTGAATTAAGAGAAATCAAGTTAAACCGCTACAGAGAACTCCAGTGTGCATTTCTTCTTCCAATTTTTCTGCTAACTGACATAAAATTGGCAGTAATCTTTAGCCTATTTTTTAAATAGTGATGCATGAATCCCAGCCAGACCCACTGAATCTCTGGGAATGTGAAGTTTCTAAGTTTCACAGGCAATTCTAATGCTTATTGTTCATGGAGAACCACTGTGCTATAGAGGCAACTGATTTCAGAATAAATACACACACCAATAAATAACTGAAAGAACAAAATATCTTTGTTTTTGATGATTTAATATGGGTACTACTGAAGTTTTAAGATGCTGTAGTGATCACCGGTCTCTCAATATGATGCTATGTATTTTCTAATTTAAGCTGTTACTGAGGAGACACTGTATCGAGCAGGCATCACATGCTAGCTGTTTCGGCAAATGTTGGGTTGACATAACCTGACTCAGCAACTGGGAGAGACTTTCTGCCCATCAACAAATGCTATATAAAAATAGATTAATGTATCTCTTTGATGCATTTCAAGTCTATGAACATGAGACTTCATTCCTTGCAAATTAATTAAATACCAAGGGAATTAATACTGAAGAAACTGTACATCCTTAGGTGCAAGAGTGTCAATTAAAGCTGGCAGAACAACAATTCAATCACAGGGGTTATTACAAAGCACTTTTAAAATTTGCAGTCTGTTAAGTAATAGCAAATGACTGGATGCTGAGCAGTGTTAAATGTAAATGTCAAATTAAATTGACTTGCCCGGAGTTGGTTTTTTAGAATACCATATTTGATGGAATAATTTCTCCTTTTATATCCCATGATAAATGGAAGAAAAAATATAATTGGCCATCTGAGTCCTGTTCACTTGCCATCCTAGGCAACTCGTATTAATCCTTCTATTTCTCATTCTCACTTTATAAAGAGCTACTTGTCCAAAGTTCCCAAGAACTCAGTTGCAAAGCACAAAGGATATTCAAGCACTGAGGCTTATTAGAAGTTTGCCGGTATGCCCTACTCCCATTCTACTTCCCTTTATGACATAATATGCTGAAATTTCCCCGTCAGCTAATCATTTGAACTAAGATAGTATAGAATTCAGGAAATCATTGGGAATTTGGATTGGGAAATCAGTTTTTCACTTATTGGAAATCTATATGCCTTCTCTGAGACTGCATTTTATCTTTTGAAAATGGATTGGAGGAGGATAAAATGATGTTTTTGGAGGCACTTTGTAAATTTGTAAAACTTTATGCAAATACTATTATTTTACTCTTAAATGCAGCTCTCTGGAGTAAGAGATGATCCATAAAGGCCACATTTAGCATTAACATCCTTGTGAAGATTTGTTTCAAGCACTTCTCAAGTATATATTACCACTTGGAGATAATAGGCCTAATTTGGTATCTAGAAATACCATATTTTCCGTATTTGCAATAAACTCTTTGGAATGGAGAAAGTCATAGCAGAAAGAATAAGAGGGAGGGCCTTGAGTGAAGGCAATGGTAGGGCACAGACTAGACATTTCTCATATCTCACTACTTTTCCCTTCAATTTTATCTGACTCTAGTACATAATTCTGCAAAGCAGTTACCAAGAATGAAAAAGCAAAGCAAGGATATTGTGTATGTTTATGTCACTGCATATTTGCTTATTTTTATGAGAAGGGTTATTTTTGTGAGAAGGTGAGAGAAATTACTAGTATTTAATTCGGAAAGAGTGGAGATGAGTAGAGATTTCAGTTTGCTTTTCTTCGTTAGAGAGCTTTTGGCCCCAGGCTCTTACTTTTACAGCTAGATAACAGGAAATTGAGGAAGGAACTGCCATTTTTTTGCAACTGTAGTTGGATATAAATAGTCATCAGCTTTGTTGGCTTAACCAGAGTCCCTAATCCTCACTAGATATTAAAATTACCTAGATTGCTCCCATCAGATTTACAGTATTATAGTCTTGGATGGTACCTGTCACATATTTAGTTTTGAATGAATGCCACAGAAACATCTGAAGCACAGCCAGAGTTTTACCTTGTTTTTGCCTTTCACAGTCTCTGAGTTCACATTCCCAAATGCCTTTCAGGTATCCACTATTCCTGTTTAAAAAAATTAAAATAAAAAAATTATGGAATGGGAATTATTTGATTAAACTATTTTCTTAATGTTCTTATGAAAAGTATATCTATAGGGGAAGATTCACTAAGGAAAAATATAGTGAAGAGGTTTTTGTTGGGGAAATTACATATATATATATCAAATTTTGAGTGACTGTCATGGTAACAGCTGATACTGAGTGATTTTATGCATGATTTCTTAATTATGAGCAGTCTCTCACTAAGGTAAAATTGTAAACATGTTAACCTTGAATTTAGAATAAATAGAGTAATATATATTGAATAAATCATTAATAATTTCCTTTAAAGGAATCTAAGTGGGGATCATGTATGTCAAGAAAAACTAACATTGCTACAAGTAAAGGTACTATATAAACAATTGTAAACATTCCCATTTTATAGTAAATAATATTACAAGGATGTCAAACATTATTCCTTCTATACAACATTTTACAGGAGGTGCTAGGAAATGTAATAAGACGGGAAAAAGAAATAAGTAATAAGGCTTAGAAGGGGAGAAGTAAAACTGTTTATATTTGTAGTTAGTATGATTAGTGCATATAGTAAATCCAAGAGAATCTACTAATGATTAGAAATAACAGAACTTAACAAAGTTTTAAATGGGAAGGCATTACTCAAATTTAAAGCTTCTTTATGCCATTAGTGATGTGTTGAAAGTTGGTTAAGAAAAAAATTTCATTGACAATAGCAACAAAAAATGTATAAGAATAAGACTAAAAATAAAAATAATATCTCTGTGGAAAAAAGAATATTAACAAAGGAAGTAAAATAATTAAATGGATAACTACATCATGTTGATGAATATATGTATTAAAAAACAATATGAAAGCAGTCCTGCCTGCACAGCTGGGAGACATGCCTATCTGTGTTGCCCAGCAAGCTTGACAACACTGGACGCACAGCAGATTCTGAAATGGTCCTGTATTTTGGCTCCAGCCCTTCTCAGATGTACCCTGAGAGAAGTTCTGCTTACCCAGGGACTTGGAGGTAGACACATTGTGTTCCCAGAGGCAGATATGCAGACTTTGATCTGAACTGTGGACACTGAAGCAGCCAGGTTATCCAGTTCCTGTAAGCCATGTTCTTTAGCCGGGATTTTCTACTAGAGAAACAGCCAATGACATAGCAGCAGCCCTCCCAGAGACCCGCAGGAAGGCCACATTCATCTGTGCACCTGCTAATGGGCCTTCAATTTGCAGACCAAGAAGCTGACCTTCAGTTTATTTCCAGCCCTAATGACCAAGGTTCTGAAGCCAGTCTAGTTCACTTAGGGACTATGCATTATCCTTACCTGCTTAAGCCCCTGGTGGTTGGTGGGGTGGTAGCCATCCCAACAGCCTTGGACCTCACTGCAGATCTAGCAACAGCCATGTGATCTGGCTCCAACACCACTAGAGTGCAATCCCAGGTGCAATTCTGTCAGCCCAGGGATCCAACAAGAGAAAGCTTTTATTGGCATAAATCAGTCTAAAAAGACGGGAAGAGGTGTTTGCTCCTTCAAATGCACAGACAACCATGCAAGGCTACACAGGTGACAAAGAATTAAGCAAACATGACACCACCAAAAGAAACTAATAAGGCTCTAATAACCAACCATAAAGAAATGGAAATCTAAAAATTACCTGAAAAAATTTCAAAATAATCATATTAACAAGTTCAATAAGATGCAAGACAGCACAGATATATAACCACATGAAATTAGAAAAATAATGAACAAAATTAGAAGTCAAATAAAGAAATAGAAACCACTTGATCATGGTGGATAAGCTTTTTGATGTGCTGTTGGATTTGGTTTGCCAATATTGAGGATTTTTGCATCGATGTTCATCAGGGATATTGGTGTAAAATTGTCATTTTGTTGTGTCTCTGCCAGGCTTTGGTATCAGGATGATGCTGGCCTCATAAAATGAGTTAGGGAGGATTCCCTCTTTTTCTATTGATTGGAATAGTTTCAGAAGGAATGGTACCAGCAGGGCTGGTTCAACATATGCAAATCAATAAATGTAATCCAGCATATAAACAGAACCAATGACAAAAACCACATGATTATCTCAATAGATGCAGAAAAGGCCTTTGACAAAATTCAACAGCACTTCATGCTAAAAACTCTCAATAAATTAGGTATTGATGGGATGTACCTCAAAATAATAAGAGCTATCTATGAGAAGCCCACAGCCAATATCATACTGAATAGGCAAAAACTTGAAGCATTCCCTTTGAAAACTGGCACAAGACAGGGATGCCCTCTCTCACCACTCCTATTCAACATAGTGTTGGAAGTTCTGGCCAGGACAATCAGGCAGGAGAAGGAAATAAAGGGCATTCAATTAGGAAAAGAGGAAGTCAGATTGTCCCTGTTTGCAGATTACTTGATTGTATATCTAGAAAACCCCATTGTCTCAGTCCAAAATCTCCTTAAGCTGATAGGCAACTTCAGCAAAGTCTCAGGATACAAAATCAATGTGCAAAAATCACAAGCATTCTTATACACCAAGAACAGACAAACAGAGAGCCGAATCATGAGTGAACTCCCATTCACAATTGCTTCAAAGAGAATAAAATACCTAGGAATCCAACTTACAAGGTATGTGAAAGACCTCTTCAAGGAGAACTACAAACCACTGCTCAATGAAATAAAAGAGGATACAAAGAAATGGAAGAACATTCCATGCTCATGGGTAGGAAGAATCAATATCGTGAAAATGGCCATACTGCCCAAAGTAATTTACAGATTCAATGCCATCCCCATCTAGCTACAAGTGACTTTCTTCACAGAATTGGAAAAAACTACTTTAAAGTTCATATGGAACCAAAAAAGAGCCCCTATTGCCAAGTAAATCCTAAGCCAAAAGAACAAAGCTGGAGGCATCACACTACCTGACTTCAAACTATACTACAAGGCTACAGTAACCAAAATAGCATGGTACTGGTACCAAAGCAGAGATGTAGACCAATGGAACCAGAACAGAGCCCTCAGAAATAACACTGCATATCTACAACTATCTGACCTTTGACAAACCTGACAAAAATGAGCAATGGGGAAAGGATTCCCTATTTAATAAATGGTGCTGGGAAAACTGACTAGCCATATGTAGATAGCTGAAACTGGATCCCTTCCTTACACCTTATACAAAAATCAATTCAAGATGGATTAAAGACTTAAACATTAGACCTAAAACCATAAAAACCCTAGAAGAAAACCTAGGCAATACCATTCAAGACATAGGCATGGGCAAGGACTTCATGTCTATAACACCAAAAGCAATGACAACAAAAGCCAAAATTTACAAATGGGATCTAATTAAGCTAAAGTGTTCCTGCACAGCAAAAGAAACTACCATCAGAGTGAACAGGCAACCTACAGAATGGGAGAAAATTTTTGCAATCTACTCATCTGACAAAGGGCTAATATCCAGAATCTAAATGAACTCAAACAAATTTACAAGGAAAAAACAAACAAACCCATCAAAAAGTGGGTGAAGGACATGAACAGACACTTCTCAAAAGAAGACATGTATGCAGCCAAAAGGCACATGAAAAAATGCTCTTCATCACTGGCCATCAGAGAAATGTAAATCAAAACCACAATGAGATACCATCTCACACCAGTTAGGATGGCAATCATTAAAAAGTCAGGAAACAACAGGTGCTGGAGAGGATGTGGAGAAATAGGAACACTTTTACACTGTTGGTGGGACTGTAAACTATTTCAACCATAGTGGAAGTCAGTGTGGCGATTCCTCAGGGATCTAGAACTAGAAATACCATTTGACCCAGCCATCCCATTACTGGATATATACCCAAAGGACTATAAATCATGCTGCTATAAAGACACATGCACACGTATGTTTATTGCGGCACTATTCACAATAGCAAAGTCTTGGAACCAAGCCAAATGTCCAACAATGATAGACTGGATTAAGAAAATGTGGCACATATACACCATGGAATACTATGCAGCCATAAAAAATGATGAGTTCATGTCCTTTGTAGGGACATGAATGAAGCTGGAGACTGTCATTCTCAGCAAAGTATCACAAGTACAAAAGCAAACACCGCATGTTCTCACTCACAGGTGGGAATTAAACACGAGAACACATGGACACGGCAAGTGGAACATCACACACCAGGGCCTGTTGTGGGGTGGGGGGAGGGGGGAGGGATAGCATTAGGAGATATATCTAATGTTAAATGACGAGTTAATGGGTGCAGCACACCAACATGGCACATGTATACATATGTAACCTGCACGTTGTGCACATGTACCCTAAAACTTAAAGTTTAATTAAAAGAAAATAACATTGAATGATAAAAAAGAAGAAAGAAAAATTACCTATTGGGTACAGTGTTTACTATTTGGGTGATGGCCACACTAGATGTCTAAACTCCACCACTATGCAATATACTTATGTAGCAAACCTGCACATGTACTTCCTGAATTTATAAAAATAGAAAAACTAAAAATTAACAAAATACATATTGAAAACTTCCCAAATCTTGGGAGAGATATGGGCATCCAGATTCATTATGTTTAGAGAACTGAAAGCAAGATCAACCCAAAGAAAATTATTTTGAGACTCATGATCATACTGTGAAAAGTGAAGGATAAAGAGAGTATCTTTTCTCAAATATATTTAATTTTTAAGTCAACAAAAAAATTGTATCTAATAGAACATGGCGTTTTGAAATATCTGTACATTATGAACTCAAACAAATTTACAAGAAAAAAACAAACAACCCCATCAAAAAGTGGGCGAAGGACAAGAACAGACACTTCTCAAAAGAAGACATTTATGCAGCCAACGGACACATGAAAAAACGCTCATCATCACTGGCCATCAGAGAAATGCAAATCAAAACCACAATGAGATACCATCTCACACCAGTTAGAATGGCAATCATTAAAAAGTCAGGAAACAACAGGTGCTGGAGAGGATGTGGAGAAATAGGAACACTTTGACACTGTTGGTGGGACTGTAAACTAGTTCAACCATTGTGGAAGTCAGTGTGGCGATTCCTCAGGGATCTAGAACTAGAAATACCATTTGACCCAGCCATCCCATTACTGGGTATATACCCAAAGATTATAAATCATGCTGCTATAAAGACACATGCACACGTATGTTTATTGCGGCATTATTCACGATAGCAAAGACTTGGAACCAAGCGAAATCTCCAACAATGATAGACTGGATTAAGAAAATGTGGCACATATACACCATGGAATACTACGCAGCCATAAAAAATGATGAGTTCATGTCCTTTGTAGGGACATGGATGAAATTGGAAATCATCATTCTCAGTAAACTATCGCAAGAACAAAAAACCAAACACTGCATATTCTCACTCATAGGTGGGAATTGAACAATGAGATCACATGGACACAGGAAGGGGAATATCACACTCTGGCGACTGTTGTGGGGTGGGGGGAGGGGAGAGGGATAGCATTGGGAGATATACCTAATGCTAGATGACGAGTTAGTGGGTGCAGCGCACCAGCATGGCACATGTATACATATGTAACTAACCTGCACAATGTGCACATGTACCCTAAAACTTAAAGTATAAAAAAAAAAAAAAGAAATATCTGTACATTGTGGAGTGGCTAAATCAAGCTAACTGACAGTGTTATTATTTCACATATGTACCATACCTTTTTTGGTGAGAGAACTTAAAATCTAATCTCTAGTAATTTTCAAGAATTCATTATTATTAACTGTAATTATGTAGTATAACCATTTTTACAATAGATCTATTGAACTTACTTCTCCTATCTAACTGAAATTTGGACCAACATCTCTGATCATCCTTTGACCAACACCTCCCACACCTCCTCACTACCTCAACCCTGCACTGATAACCACCATAGTACTCTTTACTGCTATGAGTTCAACCTTTTTAGCTTTCTAATGTAAGAGAGATTATAGGGTATTTGTCTTTTTGTGCCTTGGTTATTTCACCTAATGTAATGTCCTCCAGGTTCATCCATGTTATTGCAGATGACAGGATTTTGTTCTTTTTTAAAGGATGAATAGTATTCCATTGTGTATATATGCCACATTTTCTTTATTCAGATAAAGAAAGTATTGATGGACAATTAAGTTGATTCCATCTTTTAATTATTGTGAGGAAGGCTGCAAGGAACATGGGAGAATATATGTTTTTTCAAAATACTCATTTATTTATTTGGGATATATTCCCAGGTGTGGGATGTCTGGATCGTATGACAGTTGTAGTTTTTCGGGGGAACTTTTTTGGGGAATCTTTATAATGTTTTCTATAATGACAGTACTGATTTACACTCACACCAGCAGTGTACAAGGGTTTCATTTTCTGCAAATTCTTGCCAGTACTTGTTTTCTTTTGTCTTTTTGATGGTAATCATTCTAAAAGGTGTGAGGTGACATCTTTTTGGATCATATACAAAAAAATATTGCTCGGACTATTGCTATGGAACATTTCTCCTATGTTTTCCTCTAGTAATTTTACATTTTTTGTCTTATGTTTAAATCTTTAAGCAATTTTGAGTTGATTTTTGTATATGATGTGAGATAAGGATCTAATTTTATTGTTTTGCATGTGGATATCCAGTTTTCCCAACACTATTTTTTTTTTTTTTAGACGGAGTCTCGCTCTATTGCACAGGCTGGAGTGCAGTGGCGTGATCTCAGCTCACTGCAAGCTCCAACTCCTGGGTTCACACCATTCTCCTGCCTCAGCCTCCCGAGTAGCTGGGACTACAGGTGCACGCCACCATGGCCGGCTAATGTTTTGTATTTTTAGTAGAGACAGGGTTTCACCATGTTAGCCAGGATGGTCTTGATCTCCTGACCTCGTGATCCGCCTGCCTCAGCCTCCCAAAGTGCTGGGATTACAGGCGGGAGCCATCATGCCTGGCCTTCCCAACACTATTTATTGAAGAGAATGTTTTTCTCCCAGTGTGTGTTAATAGCAACTTTATTGAAAATCATTTGACCATAGTGCATGGATTTTTTTTTTCTGAGCTTGCTATTAAAGAGAGACTCTTGAAAGTGGTAAGAAAAGGGAGACTAATCACATACAAGTAAACCTCCATAAGGTTATCCGTAGATTTCTCAATAGAAATTTTACAAGCCACAAAGGAGGAGGATTATATATTCTAAGTGCTGAAAGAAAAAAGGCAACCAAGAATACTCATTCCAGCAAAGCTGTCCTTCATAAATGAATGAGAGATAAAGAGAGTCCCAAAGAAAAGCTGCAGTAGTTCATAACTAGTCCTGTCTTACAAGAAATGCTATAGGGCGTTCTTTGGGTTGAAATGAAAGGACACTAAATAACAAGATGAAAATACATGAAATGATAAAACTCACTGGAAAAGGTAAATATGTAGTGAAGAGCAGAAAACTCTAATATTGTAATGGTGTGTATAGGTCATTTTAACTCTAGTATAAAAATTAAAAGAGAAAATTGTCAAATATAATTATAGCTGTAATTTGTTAATGGATACACAGTATGAAATAGTGTAAAGTGTGATATCAATAGCATGTTATTGGTGGAAGAGAGGAAAGAAGAGGTTAGAGGAGAAGTCAGTGTAATTTTTGTATATGATTAAAGTTATTATCAGCTTCAACTAGAATGTTACAAATAAGGTGCTTTATGCAAGCTTGTGACATCACAAAGAAAAAGCCTCTAATTGATACAGAAAAAATTAAGAGAAAAAAATGAAAGCATACCACAAGAAGAGATAAATAAATCAAAAAGGAACACAGCAAGAGGAGAAAGGTACAAAGGAATTACAAAACAGTCAGAAAATAATTAACAAAATGGAAATAGTAAGTCCTTACCTGTCAATAATTCCTTTAAAAGTAAATGGATTAAATTCTTCAATCAAAAGACACAGACTGGATGAATAGATTAAAAAAACAAAAAATAAGAAGATTCTACCACATGGCTGCCTACAAGGAACTCACTTCAGTTTTAACAACACAGCTGGGATGAAAGTGAAGGGATGGAAAGCGATATTCCATTCAGATAGTAAATAAAGGAATGCAGGAGTGGCTATACTTACATCAGACAAAAGAATCTTTTATTCTAAACTGACACAGACACAAAAATTCACTGTATAATGTTAAAGGGGTCAGTTCCTTCAAGAGGAAATGACAGTTGTTAACATTTAATAATCTAACATCAGGCCAGGCGCGGTGGCTGAAGCCTGTAATCCCAGCACTTTGGGAGGCCGAGGCGGGTGGATCACGAGGTCAGGAGATCGAGACCATCCTGGCTAACACGGTGAAATCCCGTCTCTACTAAAAATACAAAATATTAGCCGGGTGTGGTGGTGGGTGCCTGTAGTCCCAGCTACTCGGGAGGGTGAGGCAGGAGAATGGCATGAACTCTGGAGGCAGAGCTTGCAGTGAGCCGGACGGCGCCACTGCACTCCAGCCTGGGTGACAGAGTGAGACTCTGTCTCAAAACAAAACAAAAAACCTAACATCAAAGCACGTAAATATATTTTAGTTACAAATATTAACAAAACTGAAGAGAAAGATATGACCACTCAATAATAGTAAGGGGCATCAGAACCCCACTTTCAACAATAGATAGACCATCCAGACAGAAAAAAAAAATAGGACTTGAATAACAGTGTAGTTCAAATGGCCCAAACAGACATATTTCATCTAACAGCAGCAGAATACACATTTTTTCAAGTCTATAAAAAACTTTCTTCACGATAGATTATATGCTGGTCAACAAAAGAAGTCTTAACTTTAAGAATGTTGATATCATCTCATATGTATATACTTTGACAACAGTAGTATAAAGTTAGAAATCAGTTCCTGGAGGAATCTTGTAAAATTCACAAGGATGTGCATTTTGAACAACCAGTGAATAAAAGAAGAAATAAAAATGGAAAGCAAAAATATATTAAGATGAAGAAAAATAGAAACACAACATAGCCTAGCTTATGGGTTGTAGTAAAAGCAGTTCTAAGGGTGAAGTTCATTGTGGTAAATGACTAACTTAAAAATGAAAAATCTCAAACAACCTAACTTTACACCTAAAATAACTAGAAAAAGAAGAAACTAAGCCCAAAGCTAGCATAATGAAGGAAATAATAATGATTAGCACAGAAATAAATGAAATTAGAAAGATGATAGACTTAAAAACAACAAATCTCTGACTTCACTGTCACCAACAATTTTACTCCTCGCTCATGCTTTGTGGAGTTTAGAGATCCAAATTGATTAAAAAAGACATGCTTTCCCTCTGTTAGAGGCAGCCTTCTTACAGTCATGCATGCACTCACATCAAAATACAAGCCTTTTGTCCTACCTACCCTTGACCTAGCTTAAATCACACACACACGTACACACACGCACATGACAATAGAAAAGGAAACAAAACTAAGAGTCAGTTTTTTGAAAAGGTAAACAAAATTGACAAATCTTCAGCTAGAAGAAGTGAAAAAATATTCAAATAGTATTACAAATGAACAAGGAGACATTACCAATGACACCACAAAAATGCAAAAAATCCTGAGAGACTACTGTGAACATTATATGGATAACCTAGAAGAAATTGATAAATTCTTAGAAATACACAACCTACCAAGACTGAATCCTGAAGAAATAGAAAATCTTAACATGGCAATAATGAATAAAGAGATTGCATTGGAAAAAAAAAAAACTCCCAACAAATAAAAACCCAGGACCAGATGGCTTTATAGTGAATTCTACCAAACATTTACAGTAGAATTAATGCCAGTCATTTTTCCAAAATTTGAAGAGAAGTGAACACTTCGAAACTCATTTTATGAGGACAGCGTTACTCTGATACCAAAGCTAGACAAGGACAGTACAAGAAAAGGAAGTACTCGTCAATATCCTTGATACATATATGCAAAATGCACAACAAAATAGTAGCAAACCAATTTCAGCAGCACATTAAAAAGATCCTATTCTATGATAGGGTAGGATTTATCACAGGGGTGAAAGTATGATTTCATTATAACCACATTAACAGAATGAAGGATTAAAAATCATGATTGATCACACACAAAACCATCTGAGAAAATTCAATATCCTGTTATGATACCATCTCTCAACAAATTAGGTATAGAAGGAATGCACTTCAACATTATAAAGACCATGTATGATAAATCCATAGCTAACATCATACTCAGTGGTGAAAAGTTGAAAAGTTTACCTCAGGAACAGAACAGGGTGCCCACTCAGAACACTTCTATTCAGCATATCAATGGAGGTCCTAGCCAGAGCAATTAGGCAAGAAAAAGAAATAAAAGATTCAAATTTGAAAGGAAGAAGTTACTTTATTTCTCTTCACAGATGACATAATTGTATATAGAACACCCTAAAAATGCCATCAAAAAACTGTTAGAACTAATATATGAATTCAGTAAAGTTGCAGACTGCAAAATAAACATTTAAAAAAATCAGGTGTGCTTCTATACACTAACAACAAACTATCTGAAAAATACATCAAGGAAGCAATCCCATTTATAATAGCATCAAAAATAGGAATAAGTTTAACCAAGGAGGTGTAAAATCTGTACAATGAATACTATAAGACGTTTGTGAAAGAAACTGAAAGACAAGAGTTTAAACATATCCCTAGTTTATGAATTGCAATAATTTGTATTGTCCATACCACCCAAAGTGAGCTACAGATTCAGTGCCATCCACATTAAAATTCCAAAGGTGCCTTTCACTGAAATATAAAAGAAATGCTAAAATTCCTGTGGAACCTCAAAAGACCCCAAGTAGCAGAAGCAATCTTGAGAATGAAGATCAAAGCTTACACATTTACACTCCCTGTTTTGAAACTATATCATAAAAAGTGATAGTAATATAAACAGGGTGATACTGGCATAAAAGCAGACATGTAGACCAAGGGAACAGAATAGATACCTCAAAAATAAACACACATGTGTATGATTAACTGATTTTTGACAAGGATGCCAAGAATAAAAAATGGTTAAAGGATAGTCTCTTTAATAAACGGTGTTGGGAAAATTGGATATCCACATGTAAAATAATGAAATTGGATTCTTATCTCACACCATACTCATAAATTAAGTCTGAATGTTTTAAAGACTTAAATATAAGACCTGAAACTATAAAACTCTTATAAGAAAGCATAGGAAAAAAGTTCTTTGACATTGGTCTTGGCAGTGATTTTTTGGATATGACACCAAAGCACAGACTATAAAAACAGAAACAAGTGGGACTGCATCAACCTAAAATGTTTTGCACAGCCAGGGAAACAATCAATAGATTGAAAAGCCACCTTATGAAATGGGAATAAACTTGCAAATTTATTAAGGAGAATTGGCTTACACGATCATAAGGCAAAGTCCCATGGTGGGCCATCTGCAAGCTGAGGAAGAAAGAAGCCAGTAGTGACTCAGTGTGAGTCTAAAAGCCTCAAAAGTAGGGAAGCCAACAGCCTTCAGTCTGTAGTCAAAGGCCCGAGATCCCCCGGCAAACCACTGATGTAAATCCAGGAGTCCAAAGGTTGAAGAACTTGGAGTCTGTTGTCCAAGGGTAGGAGGAACAATGGATGGAAGCATCCAGCACAGGAGAAAGTTGAAAGCCGGAAGACTCAGCAAGCCAGCTTATCCCATCTTCTTACACCTGCTTTGTTCTAGCCACACTGGTAGCTGACTGGATGGTGCCCACCCACGTTGAGGGTGGGTCTTCATCTGCCAGTCCACTGACTCAAATGTTAATCTCCTCTGGCAAAACCCTCACAGACACACCCAGAAACAAAACTTTACCAGCTATCCAGGCATCCTTCAATCCAATTAAGTTGACACCTAGTATTAACCATCACACTTAGTAAAGTAAGAGTCTCACACACACAAGCCTATGTATGTTCGAATGACTACATTGTTGGGTTTATAATATAAATAATAATAGTAAAAGATAGGAAATAAAACTAAACTAGAATAAGTTTGCTTTATTTTACTGACAATAAGTCAGTACTTACTTGAAGGCTATTATTTTCAGTTTAAGATTCATATAATAATGCAACCATTAAAATCTAACTTATAAATATAACTAAAAAATCAACAGGTAAATATAAAATGTATACATTTGATGCAAAAAAGGTAGTAAAGAAGGAAGAGTGGAATAAAAAATAAATGAGAAAAAATGAAAAAGCAAAACGGCAGGTCTAAATCCTAACGTATTGATTATTATTCAAACAATTAAATACTTATCAAATATTTGTTTAATAAATACAATGTATTAATATTAATAATTAAAATAAATATGAAGGAGGAGACATTCTAATTAAAAGAGATTGTCAAATTGGTAAAAAAATAGGTTCCAACTATATGCTATTTATAGATGAGGCACTTTATTTATTTATTTATTTTTTCTTTTATTATTATTATACTTTAAGTTTTAGGGTACATGTGCACATTGTGAAGGTTAGTTACATATGTATACATGTGCCATGCTAGTGTGCTGCACCCATTAACTCATCATTTAGCATTAGGTATATCTCCTAAAGCTATCCCTCCCCCCTCCCCCCACCCCACAACAGTCCCCAGAGTGTGATGTTCCCCTTCCTGTGTCCATGTGTTCTCATTGTTCAGTTCCCACCTATGAGTGAGAATATGCGGTGTTTGGTTTTTTGTTCTCGCGATAGTTTACTGAGAATGATGACTTCCAATTTCATCCATGTCCCTACAAAGGACATGAACTCATCATTTTTTATGGCTGCGTAGTATTCCATGGTGTATATGTGCCAAATTTTCTTAATCCAGTCTATCATTGTTGGACATTTGGCTTGGTTCCAAGTCTTTGCTATTGTGAATAATGCCGCAATAAACATACGTGTGCATGTGTCTTTATAGCAGCATGATTTATAGTCCTTTGGGTATATACCCAGTAATGGGATTGCTGGGTCAAATGGTATTTCCAGTTCTAGATCCCTGAGGAATCACCACACTGACTTCCACAATGGTTGAACTAGTTTACAGTCCCACCAGCAGTGTCAAAGTGTTCCTATTTCTCCACATCCTCTCCAGCACCTGTTGTTTCCTGACTTTTTAATGATTGCCATTCTAACTGGTGTGAGATGGTATCTCATTGTGGTTTTGATTTGCATTTCTCTGATGGCCAGTGATGGTGAGCATTTTTTCCTGTGTTTTTTGGCTGCATAAATGTCTTCTTTTGAGAAGTGTCTGTTCATGTCCTTCACCCACTTTTTGATGGGGTTGTTTGTTTTTTTCTTCTAAATTTGTTTGAGTTCATTGTAGATTCTGGATATTAGCCCTTTGTCAGATGAGTAGGTTGTGAAAATTTTCTCCCATTTTGTAGGTTGCCTATTCAATCTGATGGTAGTTTCTTTTGCTGTGCAGAAGCTCTTTAGTTTAATTAGATCCCATTTGTCAAATTTGGCTTTTGTTGCCATTGCTTTTGGTGTTTTAGACATGAAGTCATTGCCCATGCCTATGTCCTGAATGGTAATACCTAGGTTTTCTTCTAGGATTTTTATGGTTTTAGGTCTAATGTTCAAGTCTTTAATCCGTCTTGAATTAATTTTTGTATAAGGTGTAAGGAAGGGATCCAGTTTCAGCTATCTACATATGGCTAGCCAGTTTTCCCAGCACCATTTATTAAATAGGGAATCCTTTCCCCATTGCTTGTTTTTCTCAGGTTTGTCAAAGATCAGATAGTTGTAGATATGCAGTGTTATTTCTGAGGGCTCTGTTCTGGTTCCATTCGTCTATATCTCTGCTTTGGTACTGGTACCATGCTGTTTTGGTTACTGTAGCCTTGTAGTATGATTTGAAGTCAGGTAGTGTGATGCCTCCAGCTCTGTTCTTTTGGCTTAGGATTTACTTGGCAATGGGGGCTCTTTTTTGGTTCCATATGAACTTTAAAGTAGTTTTTTCCAATTCTGTGAAGAAAGTCATTGGTAGCTTGATGGGGATGGCATTGAATCTATAAATTACCTTGGGCAGTATGGCCATTTTCACGATATTGATTCTTCCTACCCATGAGCATGGAATGTTCTTCCATTTCTTTGTATCCTCTTTTATTTCATTGAGCAGTGGTTTATAGTTCTCCTTGAAGAGGTCTTTCACATACCTTGTAAGTTGGATTCCTAGGTATTTTATTCTCTTTGAAGCAATTGTGAATGGGAGTTCACTCATGATTCGGCTCTCTGTTTGTCTGTTCTTGGTGTATAAGAATGCTTGTGATTTTTGCACATTGATTTTGTATCCTGAGACTTTGCTGAAGTTGCCTATCAGCTTAAGGAGATTTTGGGCTGAGACAATGGGGTTTTCTAGATATACAATCAAGTCATCTGCAAACAGGGACAATTTGACTTCCTCTTTTCCTAATTGAATACCCTTTGTTTCCTTCTGCCTGATTGCCATGGCAGAACTTCCAACACTGTGTTGAATAGGAGTGGTGAGAGAGGGCATCCCTGTCTTGTGCCAGTTTTCAAAGGGAATGCTTCCAGTTTTTGCCCATTCAGTATGATATTGGCTGTGGGTTTCTCATAGATAGCTCTTATTATTTTGAGGTACGTCCCATGAATACCTAATTTAGTCAGAATTTTTAGCATGAAGTGCTGTTGAATTTTGTCAAAGGCCTTTTCTGCATCTATTGAGATAATCATGTGGTTTTTTTCATTGGTTCTGTTTATATGCTGAATTAAGTTTATTGATTTGCATATGTTGAACCAGCCTTGTATCCCAGGGATGAAGCCCACTTGATCATAGTGGATAAGCTTTTTGATGTGCTACTGGATTTGGTTTCCCAGTATTTTATTGAGGATTGTTGCATTAATGTTCATCAGGGATATTAGTCTAAAATTCTCTTTTTTGGTTGTGTCTCTGCCAGGCTTTGGTATCAGGATGATGCTGGCCTCATAAAATGAGTTAGGGAGGATTCCCTCTTTTTCTATTGATTGGAATAATTTCAGAAGGAATGGTACCAGCTCCTCCTTGTACCTCTGGTAGAATTCGGCTGTGAATCCATGTGGTCCTGGACTTTTGTTGGTTGGTAAGCTATTAATTATTGCCTCAATTTCAGAGCCTGTTTTTGGTCTATTCAGAGATTCAACTTCTTCCTGGTTTAGTCTTGGGAGGGCGTATGTGTCAAGGAATTTATCCATTTCTTCTAGATTTTCTAGTTTATTTGCATAGAGGTGTTTATAGTTTTCTCTGATGGTAGTTTGTATTTCTGTGGGATTGGTGGTGATATCCCCTTTATCATTTTTTATCACGTCTATTCTTCTCTGTTTTCTTCTTTTTTAGTCTTGCTAGCAGTCTGTCAATTTTGTTGCTCTTTTCAAAACCCCAGCTCCTGGATTCATTGATTTTTTGAAGGGTTTTTTGTGTCTCTATTTCCTTCAGTTCTGCTCTGATCTGAGTTATTTCTTGCCTTCTGCTAGCTTTTGAATGTGTTTGCTCTTGCTTCTCTAGTTCTTTTAATTGTGATGTTAGGGTGTCAATTTTAGATCTTTCCTGCTTTCTCTTGTGGGCATTTAGTGCTATAAATTTCCCTCTACACGCTGCTTTGAATGTGTCCCAGAGATTCTGGTATGTTGTGTCTTTGTTCTTGTCATGTTTATTTCTGCCTTCATTTTGTTGTGTACCCAGTAGTTATTCAGGAGCAGGTTGTTCAGTTTCCATGTAGTTGAGCGGTTTTGAGTGAGTTTCTGAATCCTGAGTTGTAGTTTGATTGCACTGTGGTCTGAGAGATAGTTTGTTATAATTTCTGTTCTTTTACATTTGCTGAGGAGTGCTTTGCTTCCAAATATGTGGTCAATTTTGGAATATGTATGGTGCTGAAAGGAATGTATATTCTGTTAATTTGGGGTGGAGAGTTCTGTAGATGTGTATTAGGTCCGCTTGGTGAAGAGCTGAGTTCAGTTCCTGGATATCCTTGTTAACTTTCTGTCTCGTTGATCTGTCTAATGTTGACAGTGGGTTGTTAAAGTCTCCCATTATTATTGTATGGGAGTCTAAGTCTCTTTGTAGGTCTCTAAGGATGTGCTTTATGAATCTGGGTGCTCCTGTATTAGGTGCATATATAGTTATGATAGTTAGCTCTTCTTGTTGAATTGATCCCTTTACCCTTATGTAATGGCCTTATTTGTCTCTTTTGATCTTTGTTGGTTTAAAGTCTGTTTTATCAGAGACTAGGATTGCAACCCCTGCCTTTGTTTGTTTTCCATTTGCTTGGTAGATCTTCCTCCATCCCTTTATTTTGAGCCTATGTGTGTCTCTGCATGTGAGATGGGTTTCCTGAATACATCACACTAATGGGTCTTGACTCTTTATCCAATTTGCCAGTCTGTGTCTTTTAATTGGAGCATTTAGCCCATTTACATTTAAAGTTAATATTGTTATGTGTGAATTTGATCCTATCATTATGATGCTAGCTGGTTATTTTGCTCGTTAGTTGATGAAGTTTCTTCCTAGCCTCAATGGTCTTTATAACTTGGCTTGTTTTTGCAGTGGCTGGCACCAGTTGTTCCTTTCCATGTGTAGTGTTTCCTTCAGGAGCTCTTTTAGGACAGGCCTGGTGGTGACAAAACTCTCTCAGCATTTGCTTATCTGTAAAGGATTTTATTTATCCTTCACTTCTGAAGCTTAGTTTATCTGGATATGAAATTTTGTCTTGAAAATTGTTTTCTTTAAGAATGTTGAATATTGGCTCACACTGTTTTCTGGCTTGTAGAGTTTCTGCTGAGACATCAGCTGTTAGTCTGATGGGCTTCCTTTTGTGGTTAACCCGACCTTTCTCTCTGGCTGCCCTTAACATTTTTTCCTTCATTTCAACTTTGGTGAATCTTACAATTATGTGTCTTGGAGTTGCTCTTCTCGAGGAGTATCTTTGTGGCATTCTCTGTATTTCCTGAATTTGAATGTTGGCCTGCCTTGCTAGATTGGGGAAGTTCTCCTGGATAATATCCTGCAGAGTGTTTTCCAACTTGGTTCCATTCTCCCCATCACTTTCAGGTACACCAATCAGTTGTAGATTTGGTCTTTTCACATAGTCCCATATTTATTGGAGGCTTTGTTCATTTCTTTTTATACTTTTTTCTCTAAACTTCTCTTCTCACTTCATTTCATTCATTTCATCTTCCATCACTGATACCCTTTCTTCCAGTTGATCAAATCGGCTACTGAGGCTTGTGCATTCGTCACATAGCTCTCATGCCATGGTTTTCAGCTCCATCAGGTCCTTTAAGGACTTCTCTGCATTGGTTATTCTAGGTAGTCATTGGTCTAATTTTTTTTCAAGATTTTTAACTTCCTTGCCATGGGTTTGAACTTCCTCCTTTAGCTCAGAGTAGTTTGATCGTCTGAAGGCTTCTTCTCTCAACTCGTCAAAGTCATTCTCCATCCAGCTTTATTCTGTTGCTGGTGAGGAACTTCGTTCCTTTGGTGGAGAAGAGGCACTCTGATTTTTGGAGTTTCCAGTTTTTCTGCTCTGTTTTTTCCCCATCTTTGTGGTTTTATCTACCTTTGGTCTTTGATGATGGTGACGTACAGATGGTGTTTTGGTGTGGATGTCCTTTCTGTTTGTTAGTTTTCCTTCTGTCATTCAGGACCCTCAGCTGCAGGTCTGTTGGAGTTTGCTGGAGGTCCACTCCAGACCCTGTTTGCCTGGGTATCAGCAGCGGAGTCTGCAGAACAGCGGATATTGGTGAACAGCAAATGTTGCTGCCCGATCGTTCCTATGGAAGTTTTGTCTCAGAGGAGTACCCAGCCATGTGAGTTGTCAGTCTGCCCCTACTGGGGGTTGCCTCCCAGTTAGGCTACTCAGGGGTCAGGGACCCACTTGAGGAGGCCGTCTGTCCATTCTCAGATCTCCAGTTGCGTGCTGGGAGAACCACTGCTCTCTTCAAAGCTGTCAAACAGGGACATTTATGTCTGCAGAGGTTTCTGCTGCCTTTTGTTTGGCTATGCCCTAGCCCCAGCGGTGAAGTCTACAGAGGCAGGCAGGCCTCCTTGAGGTGCGGTGGGCTCCACCCAGTTCGAGCTTCCTGGTGGCTTTGTTTACCTACTCAAGCCTCAGCAATGGCGGACGCCCCTCCCCCAGCCTCGCTACCGCCTTGCAGTTTGATCTCAGACTGCTGTGCTAGCAATGAGCAAGACTCTGAGCCATGTACGGGATATAATCTCCTGGTGTGCCATTTGCTAAGACCGTTGGAAGAGCGCAGTATTAGGGTGGGAGTGACCCGATTTTCCAGGTGCCATCTGTCACCCCTTTCTTTGATTAGGAAAGGGAATTCCCTGACCCCTTGCACTTCTTGGGTGAGGCAATGCCTCGCTTTGCTTTGGCTCACACTCAGTGCGCTGCACCCACTGTCCTGCACCCACTTTCCGACACTCGCCAGTGAGATGAACCTGGTACCTCAGTTGGAAATGCAGAAATCACCCGTCTTCTATTTCGCTCACGCTGGGATCTGTAGACTGGAGCTGTTCCTATTTGGCCATCTTGCCTCCACCCTCCCCATCTCTTTTTTCTTTCTTTTTGCTTTATTAGTAGTTCACATCCCTTTCTCTGTTCTAGAATCATTTGACCAGTTTCTGAGTATACTGATATCCAGGATCTTTCCCAGAAAAATGAAAATATCTACGTGATGGAGTTCAGATATCATTACCATTTTAAAAGCTTTCCAGGTGATTCTGAAGTATATCCATGTTTGAAAGGCACTCATCTATACATGATAGCTATCTAGTCTTCTAAGACAAGCATTGTCTGTCAATCTTATTTAATAGAGTTTTAGTCACATGTATGCTTATAAATGTCATGATTTTGGTATGACAAATATATTTTATGGGGCATTGGATTTTGTTCAGCAGGTTTTATCTGTACTTTTGGCATCGTTTGGCATATGCCATTTTAACTATAAAACATTTTGAAATTATATTGAGAAGTGTGTTGTTTGGAACTTTTATTATTATAAAATAAAATACAATCAAGTAATAGAAGATATTTTTATATTGGATGATAAAGATTATTTTATTGTAGAGAAAAAATACCTTTGGGTTGGAAAGGTAAATAATATGTAAAAATATGATAAAACCTAGATACAAATAAGAATTCCTTCCCACCATGTCACCCCTTCAGCCTTCTTATTAGATACCATACTTCTGTACAGTAGTGCTTTGAATATGAATTAATAGTATTCTGTGACCTATCACCATTCCCTGCTATGTTTTTCTTATTCAAGGTGACTCATTAAAATTTCATGAGCTTTCCAGCCTCCCACTTTTGATAATACTGTGTTCATTTTATTTTCAGTTAGATATTATACCATATAAAATGTATATTTGAAAAATCTTTTATGTAAGATCAACTTAAGAAAACTGTGTTGGGGGAACATTATTGCTCAAGGTCTAAAAAGAATAGGAGTTGAATTTTAAATTCTACTTTCTATTCAATTTAAATAGTAATTAGAGCTTTACATTTTTATAAGTTGTAGAGAAATAATGACAGTATAATCAGTTACTTAGTATTAGTGTCTTAGACCAGGAAAATATTTGTAAATAAGCTTCAAACACCTTACAGTTTAAAAATCAGGATTATTGCTTCAAGGAAAGAAAATTCTAAAAGGATAATGGTAAATAGATTAAGGATAATGTATTGTTTAAAAATATATACAGGTCTCTTACATAGATAATTTTTGCTGTTTTCTCTTTCCCTTAGAACAGAAAAATAATCATTTCATTCTGTAGCACAAGGACTTACATGAAGATTTTTTTTCTAACAACAAAATTTGTTAAGCATTAGAATGGATTATTAGAGAAAGTTATAAAATCTCTTTCTCTTGATGTCTCTAAAAATAGAATCATAGCTCCTTTTCTTAGGATGTAAAGAATATTTCTTCCTAAGAGAAGAGGGATGAAAATAACCTGACCTCTCACAATCCCTTTCGTCTGGCTTGTTTCATATTGCTTTGCTTGAGGAAAATGTATGTCCAAAATCTCATTATAGTCTTGGCCAAAAGAAAAGAGGACTAAGGAATAACTTTAGAACAGAGCATGTACATAAAGTGCATAGATAACATGCTGTTAATTTTCCATGAAGTCCTACTTCTGCATATTTATTGCTTTGGGCTTTACGAAAAATAAATAAGGTTTGATTTAATCAGTGTTGTTCAGTTATCTTTTCTTAGAAACAATATAATATCTACTCTGGGAGGCTGAAGTGTCTCTCAGTGTCTATAATAGCATACTTATTGGTGTTTTGGAGTACCTAGAAATGCCCTTGATAAACCCTTTGGTTACAGGTTAGCACATGCAGTGGTGATAAACAGAGAATTTAAGGAATCTGTAATATATGATTGCCTTCATAGAAATTTATATAACAGGTATTTCTATGGGGTGATTCTCACCCTGCCAAGATTCAGGGTATGTATAGAATATAGGGAAAGTTTTATATATAAAGGGATACTTGTTCTGGTTATTGGAATATTAATAAGTATTGAACCAATGATTTATCAAGGCCATGGTGATGTAAAAAATAAAAATGGAGGAACTTCTAGAGCATGGAGTTGTGCAGGAAATACAGGTATATGGGTGCTTTGAGGTCATATTTACTGAATGTCTTAGATCATTAATTTAAAGGAATTTGGTTGTTACAGAGCTTCAATTACTGTTTTATGGAATTTGTTTATTAAGAGATCAGGGATTGGCAAACTATGCTATTGGGTCAAATCCAGCCTACGACTTGTTTTTGTAAATCAGGTTTTACTGGAACACATCTACACCCATGTGTTTATGTGTTGTCTATGGCTGCTTTTGTACCACAATGGCAGAGTTGGGTAGTTCCAACAGAAATGTAAGGTCTGCAAAGCCTAATATATTTCGTATCTGACCTTTTAAGATAACCAGCGTCATAGATGATCATTTTGCTATTTTGCTTTGTTTTGTTTTCCCTGGAAAATGGTCTGATCAGATTTATGACTTAGAAAACTAGCTTTGGCAGCCCTGAGAGGATATCAGCTTCTTGACATATGCTATTTCTTTGGAAATAGGTGTGCTTCATAAGTTTTTTTTTTTTTTTCTTAAGAATGGATGTGTGAATCAATGAATTACAAATTTATTAGGAAGTACTTCTGTGAGTTAAGAAGTAATTTTAGATTTCAGTTAAAATCTAATAAAGGCCTGAAATAGGGTGATGGCAGGAAAGAGCAGAGAGAATATAATTTAAAAGTTATTTGAGAAATAGAATTAGCTGGACTTCATGTCATTTTAGTCAAAATCATATGTTTGTTTGTTTTACCAGTGGCCCTTATTTTAAAGCTCTTCATTATGGGAATTTTTAAACATTTACAAAAGTAGGGATGAACAACTATGTAATTCACCCCCAGTCTTAACAATAGACATTTGCCAATCATGTTTTTATCTACCCTTGCTCCTTAAAAACATGACACTGTTGCTGGAATATTTCAAGTAAAACCAAGGACTAGTCTAAGGGTGATCAATACTGCTAACCCTGCTAATAATCTCACTGCAGATATAGGTACACAATCAATGTTAGTATATTTCCTAGTTTAACTTAAAAGGTAGCTTGAACAGTGCTTGTCATAGAGTAGTGTAATGGCTCTTACCTAGGAAGGTTTTCCAAAATGCACATGCCTGGGACTATCCACAGACATTCTGATTTTATGGTTCTTGAGAAGTATTATGGTCATGCATTTTGAAAATATCCCAGAAGTTATTCCAGTGAACACCAAAGGCTGCAGAGTACTGGATTAGTTAAACACCTTGGCTGCATAAGATATCTTTATGAGTTGTACACACAAAAAACAGATGCTAAATTTTCGACCATTGCATCTTTTTGAGGCCTAAATCAATACCAAGGCTGTGAATACTATAACAGCAATACTATGTCTAAGCATTTTTAAATTCAGAAAGTTTGAAAGCAGTGCAGCGGACACCTTATACATAGAGTAAACCTGTTTCTGTGATTGCCTGGGCCAGTTCTGTTATTGCCTGTTGTCCTAGAGTAATTGTTAATAGCACTCCATTTCATTCTGAAAAGGGTCCCAGTTACAAATATGATGGAATATGAAATGTCAATATTCACTAATATAAGTATTCAGCCTACTTTTAGATCATAGAAAATGATTTGAATTTATGTCTGAAATCAAATGGAAACCCACTGAACAAAAGAATAATGTGATTCCAGTTTTGTTTTGAAAAGATCAGTGGTCAGTATTGGCAAATTGATTAAGGGCAGCAAGGGTATCCCTAATTCCAGATGATGGCACTAAAAAGAGATGCTATTCAGATGAACTTTTGGCTCTAGAAGTGTGAAACTCAGAACAGAGGTATAGACTAGAAATCAGTGTGGAGACCCTCAATGTCAAGAAGTATAGAAATGGCTGAGATCAATTAAGAGACAGTGTAAAAAAAATGAAAACAGGAGAGGACTAGGATTGGTCCTGGGTTAGTCTGGTATTTTAATGTTTGCAAAAGGAAAAAGGAGGTCAGGCAACAGATGAAAAGAGGAAAACCTTGAGAGGAGGTTGTTTCAGAGAGAGTTTCATCACTATTAAAAGCTGTTTTGAGGGTGTCACAGGTTGAATTCCCTGGGAAGCAGATTCTGAGATGTGTAATGTGAAGGATATTTATTTAGAAGGCCTTTGGGATCAAGCCCTTAGGAAAAGAAAGGAAAGAAACAGGATAAGAAGAAGTGGAGCATCAGTAGGCTCACTGACACCCTGGGGATTCCTGGAGCTAGAATGGTTTTTCAAGGCTGTCCTAAGTTGGGCCGGGACACCAGGTCATTATACTCCTGCATTGATCAATTCTGGAATGTGGGCCATTCTATGAAGGGGCATGACTTTGGGTGACGTGGCTCTCTGCAAATGAGGCAATGTCTGAAGGAGCTGGCAGCTGAAGGCTGCCTGTAGAAAGTGCTCCATACAGTTGGGGCAACAAGTGCTTCCTTGAAATGTGATCTGGGTGTCATATCACGGTGTCTACCAGAGGACAAGTTAGAGGAGTATATTTAAGTGACATTTGTTTATTTACTTACTCAACATAATTATTGAACATCTACATTGTGCCTAACAGTGGACTAAGTGCTCGTGGAAAAATATGTAAAACAACTATTGCATATTGTAATAAATGTAGTGAAATAAATGAACAGGGTCAAGTAATAGAGAATACAGGGTCAGGATTTACTTAGTTTATTTAAGGAAGTCATTGTGACCTTTACAAAAATAGTTTAGTGGAGTGGTTTGGGTAGAAACAGATTGGGGTAGTAGGAGAAATGCATGCAGTAGTTTTATTTTCAAACAGATGGGTTGTAATTTCTTTATATGTGAAAAGATAATGTGAGCTTCTTATATTAAAAACTTACTAATTATTGATGACTCATATATAGATTTCTCTTATATTTAGATTTTAGAATTCTTTCACTTCTGTTCACTTAGTTGATTCTCAATCTTGCATGGTTTACAGGAAAGGTATATTATGCGTTTTGTAATGATAATGGAGCTCATAGAGGCCAGGGAGTATACCTAGAGTTACAGAGTCTGGTGGAAAATAGAATGAGGCTGAGAATTCTGTCTTTTGACATATTCTCCAGTAGTCATTCTATCAAGTCAAACTAACCTACTAACTGGTTAATATTAGGGAGGGTTTAAGTATCTTTTACCAAATCTAAATAATCATAATATTGCATGTGAAGTTATCAGATGAAATAGAATATCTGAGACATGCTTATATTGAAAAAAAAATCATTGTTTATTTGAAATTTAAATTATTTGTGTTTCTTGTATTTTAATTTGCTAAGTCTAGCAGCTCTAGTTGTGTGGCTCAGTGAGATTTTTAGATTTCTTTACAGTCTATGCTATGAAAAAAATAATTTTCTAATATCATGTGCAGTTGGCAGCACTAGAAATATTAAGACCTGTCAAGTATGAGACCTATGTTGTTGGGCATACCTAAATGAATGTAAGTTGAAGTAAGCTAAATCAATGCATGCTGAGCAAGTCTGGCTCCTATATGTTGCCCACCATCAGATGTGGAATCTCATTAATGTCCACCCAGTCTTCCCAGGTGAGAAGAGACATGACAAGATAGTTTTAATGAGTGTTGAGGTATATCTAGCAGATGGTTCAGCATTTTCTGGTGCCAAGTAGGAAAAATCTGTAGTTAACACTTGAATGGATCTGCAAATCTTCCTCCAGGCCACCTGTTGGGGATTCTGTAAGATTATCTCTGGCCTTGGGATAGTAAATGTTGTGGAAAAAAAGGAATAGGAGCAGTTTGTCACAGTCTGTCATGATTAGACACTGATCTCTAGGCCAGCTGCTGTCCGGAAAAAGCGTATTTAAGAGTATGATCATACAGGTGAGACTATGAGCCTGATAAGGGGTGAAGAAGGCATCTGCCCGGTGCCAGAAAACAAAAAGTAAAGGCAATTTAGTCAATAAATTTCACTTGCACTTGTTTGAACATTGATGTTAAACTTAGAATTCCTAGGCTGTCATTTTTATAACATGAAAAGTAATTAAAACTCAGACTTCATGAGGCTTTCTAGCATTTGGCTAGAATCTTGCTGTTAAAGGAAAAATACATGTTATAGACTCCTTGAATTTATAATAATCAAAGGTTAATACATAAATAGCCACAAAATATACAAGGAAGTATTCAAAAATAACATGCATTTTTCAGGCATAAAACAGCAGTATTTATTCTTGTTTGTATTTTGGATGTTATAAATGATTCTGTTTTATCTTGTGGAATCCATGGTCTGTCTCCAAATTAATGTGTTTGAATATATCTTCTTGATTAGATCTTTTGCTGTGAGCAGGAGGAAAAGAAAAAAAAATCTATCTACCTTAAATCAGAACTGCTTATATTGAACTTGATTGCATGATTGGATATTCAAGATTATTTAATTAAAACTCAATTGCAGTCTAATTTTCTTTTAACATTTGATTAAAGCTGTATAAATAGATATCAGAGACATCGTTCCATTGTTTGTAGATGATCTCCAGTATTAGAAAACAAATATATTTAAGGACACACATGTGTTTACTAGTTTGGCATGTAGTTAACAAGCATAGACTAGTATCAGATTGTCAAAGGTCTTGGTTTGAGTCCTGACTTCATCATTTATTTGCTGTGTGACCTTGGGAAAGTAGTTCACCTCTCTGAACGCCAATAATTTTGTAAAAGGTGAATAATCATAAGGTGATTCTGAGGATAGAAAGTCCAATCTAGAGAGAATGCTTAAAATACTATCTAGCATAATGAACTGTGTAAAGTATGTTTTGATATGTGTTCATAGAACAAATTTTATGAGAGTTCATATATAGAGGATGAGATAATTTCAAAATATTCCATAAAAGAGCACTTGAAATAAGCCATGTTAGAAGTAAATCTTAATGTATTTTAACATTTTGATGCCAGCACTTTGGGAGGCTGAGGCAGATGGATCACAAGGTCAAGAGATCAAGACATCCTGGCCAACATGGTGAAACCCCGTCTCTACTAAAAATACAGAAATTAGCTGGGTGTGGTGGTGGACACCTTTAATCCCAGCTACTGAGGAGGCTGAGGCAGGAGAATCGCTTGAACCTGGGAGGTGGAGGTTGCAGTGAGCCAAAATCACACCACTGTACTCCAGACTGGCGACAAAGTGAAACTCCGTCTCAAAAAAAAAAAAAAAATTGATACTTTTGATACATATTAAGAAGTTATATTTGGCAGGACTTACTATGTAATGTTTTTAAAATAGTGTTTCTATGCAGATAAAGATGCTATACTTAGCTGTTTTATTTTCTAATTTTGGATATTCACAATAACTATATTTGATATGTGTATGTGATTTCTAAAATCCTTTGTAGGCAATTAATAAACTTATAGTACATAAAGTGATGTATTTTAGGATCCTGAGAGATGTGTGTGGAAATAAACCTTATTTCTGTTCAAAAGGAGGTTATTTAGGTAATAACAGTGAACAACCATATTCTGTGAAGTTATAGCTAAAATACGTGGCTTGTAACTTTTTTTTGGTTTTATTTTTTCCTAAACAGTTGCTTTTATGTTTGGGATTAATATTTGGAATGATTCTTGAAAAGTTAGACACTAGAACATATACAAGCAGCTGTTGCAAACTCATATGAATAATTATTTTTTCCTATAATTGTTAATGATCAAAAATTTGAATACCCACAAAAATAAAAAATACAAATAAAGAAAAGCAAGCAAGAAAAAAAGTTTAAATATGCAAAATTCTAAATATTTAAATATATAACTCATATTGCTTAGAGATGATGATGATGATGTTGATGATTATTATTGGTTTGAGGAAAAGGTTAGGAGGGTAGAAGGTTTTGAAAGAGAAACTAGAAAGATAGACTAAACTATATGCTTAGAGTGTTCTGTAGGGATTGTTTCTAACTCTCTGTCCTTGATGTTACTTGTAGTTAGAAGAGGAAATTACCCCATATGAAGTAAGTGATCATGGGTGATACAAAGTTTGACTCCTTGATGGTGGAGGGCTGGAGAGCTTAGGTAAATATCAGGATGCTTAGACTGATCACGTCTCTGGTAATTTCCCCAGAACACCACAAAAGTGAGCCTTTGTGTTTCATAGTCTGTGGATATTTCTATGCAGTAATGCCTATTCATTATGTGAGCAGGTGAAACCATGTGGGCTGTTGATTCTGAGCACCCCAAAAGACCACCAGAAAATAAAATGTGTTGATTAAGCAAACCTAAGTTTGTATAGCACCCCTTTGACAGAGGTGTAGAAGTATCTCCAAAGGGGAAAATTAGGGAAAGGTTATTTAAATAATTTTAGGGCCTGAAATGAGTAGTTTTCAGGTGAGTCTTGCCAAGCAGGGACATGGTTGGGATTGGAAAGAATTTGTGACATTATATTTTTGGATTGATGGGCATAGGTAAGTGAGTATCCTGAAGCAAGTCTTGATGAGTAGGTTATTTTGGTTGGATAAAAATCTTATCTTCCATGAGTAAATATATCCTGGAGCAACAGCTAAGTTTTTGGTGCCTGATCCCAGTATTTTTTAACACAGAGCTGGAAAAGATATATTTGTGTCATTATTGCTTAACATAGGGTCAGTAAATTATGCATGGTCCCATTTTTGCTTTATTGCTTAGTAGTTTGTTTCAGTTCTTAGTGACTGCAGCTATGAATGAGTTTCCTTTCATTTGCCTGAACAGTATCTGTGAGAGAGACAACAGCTCTACAGTACCTCAGAAGTTTTCCAATATGCAAGCATAGATTAACACATATATACAAACCTACCCCTAAGAAAAGCAAACAAACAAAAAACAACTGTATTTTTTCCCGTCTTCCTTTCTTCTGTCTCTTGACTGTCCCCAGATTCTAGGCCAATCTCTTCTTCAGGACATTCTTTTTTTTTTTTCATTTTTATTATACTTTAAGTTCTAGGGTACATGTGAGAACACTACTCTGAAACCATATTGGGGACTTGATCCTGATTCTTTCCACCATCATGTCATCCTAATATGCAGAAGCTTTGGTGATGAAGGTAACCTTTGTTCCCTGAGCATTATTTCCTTTGGGCTAGACCTAATGGTGGTTGATTTTGAGTATTGCAAGTCATTTGATCATTTTTGTCTGATCAAAACTACATTTAAAATATTATTTTTTATTTCTGCCATTTATTTTTTAACCTAGTTGGTATTAAACTTGTCCACTTATGGTTTTAGAAGAGGCCTGTTTCCATTTACTTATGTCTGATGATTTTAAAATGTCATTGGACCTATCTGTATATTTCATTTTTAATGTACATCAATGATGATTTTCAATAATAACATTTTAAAATTCATCATAAGTAGGACAAGAGAATCTCTTTCCTTTGGGATTTTTAAACATGGGAAGATTTTTCACAAGACCTTCAGTTTAATTCGTTGAAACCTATTATCCAAAAACCATCAGTATACACCTCCAATCAAAGTTAGATGTACTTAGCTCATTGAATATCACCCCAGAGGAGTGATCGTCTGGGGTTCAACAAACTAAGTACATCTAACATAGGGGCATCTCAGTAAGGGAGAGTTAGGAGATTTTGATATAGGGTTTCGGCTTATGCTGCATGACTCTCAGCATAGTTTAGGAAGTGTGAACTGGCTCTAGATTTGGTTACTGTTACAAAGCAGGCAACAGTTTAGCAAATGAATATCTCAGTAATCTTTCTTCAGGAGTCCAGAGAGATAAAACAGGGCTCAAGGTTCATTGATAAGAAAGCAGCAATCTTGCAAAAGGAAGAATTGTTAACCATTTTTTGCAGCTATGCTGTGGCTCAGCTAAATCCTGTTAGAAAATTGTTTGGGAACACCATGGGCCAAGTGGTAGCTGGGTTTATTTTCACTTTCTCAAAGTATAATCCTGTCTATGTAAACACTTGGAAGGAATAAAAACTCAGGATCCCAATTCACTAAGCCAAAAGGAAAGCATTAAGCTGAAAGCTGAATCATGCAAACAACTGCCTTTTCCTTTTGTTCCTAAAACGTTAAACATTTCCACAGGTAGCTACTCTATGTTCACCTTACCTTATGTAAAGTGCCAATTTACTGAGAACAAGAATAATACATAATTGAATGTTCCCCCTACCTGCTCCTTTTCTCTTGCAACATGTGGATTACCATACCTTCCCTTTTCCCCCTCTATCCCACTTTTCCCCTTTAAATATTTAAACTCTTAAAGTCATCTTTGGAGAAAGGCACAGACCACAGACTTTCTGTGATTCCGTGTTTCTTTTCTTCTGGCCATTGTCCTTAACCTTGGCAAAATAAATTTCTAAGTTGATCAAGACTTGTCTCAGATACTTTTTGGTTTACGTACATATATCATATGGATTGTGTTCTGTGCCCACTGTACCAAATAGTGCGAGCTCATTTCTTCATTTTAAGCCTCCTTAAGAGGATTACTGTGACTACTGTGTAGGATTGAATGGCCCCTTGGTGTTACTTTTTAAGCTCTTTGACAAACTTCCACCATATCCTCTAACCCCCACAAGAAAGGGTGCCGAGTAGAGTGCACTATCTCCAAAGTTGCCCTCTCCTCCAGCAACCAAGGCAATCAGTCACACAGACAGGCTTTCTTTCTTCTGAGGGTTATATTGCTTATCACTGTGAGGAGCCAGATGTTAACAAACTTAGGCAAATTATAACTAATATCCGAGATCCATGTTATTAAAGGATAATATCTGTAGCCATGGCATGT
Source organism: Homo sapiens (assembly GCF_000001405.40). Classification (NCBI taxonomy): domain Eukaryota; kingdom Metazoa; phylum Chordata; class Mammalia; order Primates; family Hominidae; genus Homo; species Homo sapiens. The sequence continues at coordinate 77,815,338 of NC_000006.12, forward strand.
GAGCAATAATAATATTCTTCAATTGTTTATCTGTTCTATTGGTTCCTGGTCATTAAAGGGCATAACATTAAATCATAATTTAATAGAGGCATTTCTGAAGGCAAACTGGCCAATATAGGTCAGATACACTTTTTAGTAGTGATCTAAGGTGATATTTGGCTGAAATTAGAGATGTCAGAAGAATGATGAGTTGACTTTTTCTTTTTTGTTAAATATTGGTTGTCTCTGCCTGTTTTTGATAAGGTGTTGGATGATATTCATTCACTTGTTCATTTGCCACAGACATATCTGACCTTGCTAAGTATGAGAACTTAGATACTAGGTAAAGTCTGAGAACTGCAATAATGAAGGCATGTGCTGGAATGTTAGGGTCACTAGTAACTGGTACTGCTGGGTTGGAACTTTAGGGAGTATTGAACTCTCTGGCAAATATCTAAAGTGTTTATATTATGTAGTAATAGCAGAGGATCACACATTTTGGCCATCTGATAACTAAGCAGAAAAACTGACAATTGTGAAAATTAAGAACATGACTTGAATCCTTAGACCAAGAAAAAAAAAAACCAAAACAACAACAAAAACTTCTTTGCAGGGTGCTTATAGGCAGAGGGTTATATGAGTGCTTATAGGCAGAGCCAATTTTTTCTCAAAAAACGAATGTAAAATTCTTTCTGAGAAAAATTTCAGAACAAACACTCATGCATCCATGAAAAGGTATTACATAGTCCCTATTTAACATTTAATATTCAGGAAATCTCTATCCTTATGAGCTGTCCAGAAGGAAAGCACTATAAAATGTACCTCTGGGTTACTTAATCAGCTGTCTTTTTGTGAGGTAATTGCCTATGATATGTTTGTATTCTAGATACTGTCTACTCAAATTATAATTTTAATTTTAGCATAGTTGATTATGATTTGCTATTTAAAACATCATTAGTATATTTCATTGTTTTTTAAAACTACTTACCTGTCAAAGTGTGTCATCAGTAAGAAGGAGGTCCTTATATTAATTTAATCGATAGTACACGGGCATAGTTCTTTTTAAAAAGTTGATCAAGTTAATCAATATAAATTAGTAGGAGGACTGGGATTTAGTCATGTTGAAACTTTACTTTTATTTTTAAAATACATTTCATCCTTTTTTATGGCCGCATAGTATTCCACAGTGTATATGTGCCACATTTTCTTAATCCAGTCTATCATTGATGGACATTTGGGGTGGTTCCAAGTCTTTGCTATTGTGAATAGTGCCGCAATAAACATAGGTGTGCATGTGTCTTTATAGCAGCATGATTTATAATCCTTTGGGTATATACCCAGTAATGGGATGGCTGGGTCAAATGGTATTTCTCGTTCTAGATCCCTGAGGAATCGCCACACTGACTTCCTTATTGGAAAACCCATTGTTGAACATACTGAATGCCTGACTTGTATGTTACTACTTTTGCTTTTTAAAGTAGTAATATTACCTATGTATGTGTTTCTAAAGAACATAATTCAGCTTTGTCTTTTTTTGAACTTTTTGTAAATTGAATTGCAATATAAATATTCTTTAGTAACTTGCAGGGCTTTGCGCAATGTTGTATCTGTTAAGACATGTATCTGTTAAGATCCAGTCATATTATTGAATGAAGCTGTAATTCTGCCTGCATTCATTGTTGGATGACACTATTGTGTGTGTGTGTATGTGTGTGTGTGTGTGTGTTGTTTTTGTTTTTACTTCCCTAAATATTCACACTTGTCAGCATTTTACCTGTAGCTCAATTATATTCTTATTATACACATATTATTCTTGGTATCTCTGAGGTGCTGCAAAAAGAGAATATATAATAGGTATTAAGGGCAGAATTTTTTTCTACTTTATAGGTTAGGTTCAAATAAGTCCCTGGAAAGCAGAAACTTGGTTGAACTTGTTCTTCACAGTACGTGCATACTTGCTGTTTCACAAGCATGCATGGTACTGTGAGGATAGGGATGGTGAAGTTTCTTGAGTTGCGAGGAGCATCCTTGAGTTCAGGATCATCTGGATTTCATCTGTAATATCCAGGGTGACCTTTGTTGCCTGATAGTGAGTCTTAGGGAGATCTTTATGTTTAAACTTTTGCTGACCTAAGTTCTGATTATCATTGATGATTAGTTGGGTCGTCTCTGAACTTTGTGCCTTTTTCATTCCCCATAAATCTGTGTCATCTCAAATGAAGTTTGCCATGTGCCACAAAGTGATAATTAATTTAGCCTTTATAGACTTTAAAACCTATTATTATTTCTCTAATCCTACTCTCAATTTGTATTTTTTATTTTTACTATATATTAAAAATTATAATTGCATATATTTATGGGATAAAATGTGATGTTATAATTTTTTTATAAAATATCATTTAAAAAATCTTGTTCTAGTGTTTATTTTACTTTTCTATACTCTTTCTTTTCTTCCATATATAGGACTGAGTAATGAAAGCAAAGTGGCTTTTAGGGCCCAGGTGTTAGGCAACATGAGGCGAGAGATTTCATATTTCCTGTGGCCTCTCATATTTTACATCCAACATCTCCCAGTCCTTGTGTCACTCACTTAGGCAGTGTCTTACTTCTTTCTGCTCACTGTCCATTATTTGTTTTTTTGGCAGCAACTTGAGCTGCATCGCTCATATACTGCAGAGATTTTAGCCAGTGTATGCAAACCTACCAATTAGAATCTATAAAACAAACCATTGAACAGTTTTTCAATGTGGCATTAAATTAGAGCTAGTTTTGTGTTTTCTGCATTTTTTTGTTTTGTTTTTGTTGTTGTTATCATCTACACTATTAGTCTGAAAAACTTACATTGCTGCCTAGCCTGTTTTGGTAATTACTGTAAGTTTTTATTTGACAATCAGTGTTTAAAATGAACATCTCTGGAAAATTATTTTATATCTAATTTTGTTTTAGATTATATCTGAAAAGTAGTAGAGAATCTTTCAAAATAGAAGCCCTATTTTGCATATCTTTTTATAAGGTAAAAAAAGTGTGTCCCATTAGAAGTATAATGGTATATGATCTATATTTATATCAGTCCAATTGATTTCTGAAATTTGCCTTTTCTAGTTTTTTAAAACAGAAACATCAACACCAGTAGAAGTCTAAAATTAAATTGAATTGATTTTCACAATCTTGCTTCTCTGGAAACTTTAAAAGTTTCTTTTCCTGGTCTTTGTAAATATACACAAATTTTTAAACCTATTTTAAAACCACCACTTGCTTTTCTTGTACCATCATAGTTCACATTTTTTTCTATATTATATTGTAAGTATTCTGTGTTATTATATAATTTTAATGTTGTGATTTGTGATATTTATTTAGTAGATTTAACCTAATTTTACCTATTCGTACATTGTTACATTGTTGGATATTTAGGTATTTTGTTTTTAATAGTGACAGGGTCTTGCTCTGTCACCTAGGCTGATGTGCAGTGGCACAATCATAGCTCACTTACTGCAGCTTGGAACTCCTGGGCTCAAACAATCTTCAAGCCTCAGTCACCGAGTAACTGAGACCATAGGTGTGCACCATCACACCCAACTATTTTTTTTTTATTTGTATGTTTTGTAGGTATAGGGTCTCACTATGTTGCCCTGGCTGGTCTTGAACCTAGCTTCAAGTAATCCTCTTGGCTTCCCAAAGTTCCGGGATTATAGGTGTAGGCCACCACACCCAGCCTGATATTTAGCTTTTATAAGAAAATAAAATTTAAATGTAGACATACCGTACTTTTATTCTTTTACATTATTTCAATATTATGTTCTAATTGAATAGGTATAAAGTGATATGTTAATTTTAATTTGGTTATTTTGGGGTAGAGAACTTTTATATGTGTATTTACCATTTCTATGTCAATTACTTATTCATATGTTTTGTGATTAATCTATATTGAACTCAATATTGTTTTAACTGATTTAAATATTTTCTGACTAGCACCATTAACTCTTTTTTGTCATAGTTTATGGATTTTTTTCTGAATGATTTTTTTCACTTTAGTTACTATTTGTGCTACTAGTTTAACATTTTTATAGAGATAATATTTTGTTTTATTCATTTTAGTGCTCAAAACTTAGAGAAATCATTATTGGACCAGAAACCTAATGATATTTGGTATTATTTTAGGGGAATATTCCTAGGATTTAAAAAATATCCCTAATTTACTTTAATCTGATTAGGATGTTATAACTAACATCCCTAAGTGATACCCTAAGCTCTTTCTTTTCACCCAAAGTTTTCTTCACCCTGTCCTTTCTTTCACCCAATGAAAACATTAATCTATGATGTAGAAAATACTTTAGGACTGGAATTTGGCAGATACCTTTCCTTTATTAAAGAGGCCCAATAGCTAATTTCTTAGGAAGTAATAAAGGCCTTTCTTTTTATTTGTGATTTAATATCACCTAGATATATATCTTAGTGTTGGATTTAGTATGTCAGTTTTATTTGGAACCTAAAGAATTCCTTCTATGTCCTCTATCTGATCTTTTGTTGGTTCCAAGGAAGAGTCCTTTACTTGGAGCAGCTTTGAGGAATTGGTTCTGATCCATTTCTGTTTTCTTCTTCAAGAACTTTTAGCTTTTACAATATCTTACTTTTACGTGTACCTGCTTTTTTTTCTTTTCTTCATTTATTTTTTCATTTGCTGATTAACTATGAGTTTGCTTTTTATTATAAGCTTTCTGAGGACCTAAATCTTATTTTTTTCTGAATGGTTTTCCTTCTATCACTGTGTACTTGGCAGTGTCAGTATCAGGATATGAGTTGTTTTGATAGAAACGAAACTGAAATATAAAAGTAAGTATTTTAAAACTTTAAAATAAATAGACATAAGAAAAGGGAAACAGACCTCTTCAGAATATCAAACACAAAGAGACTCCTGGGACTGGTTTTTTTTTGTTTTTGTTTTTGTTTTTGGAGATGGAGTCTCACTCTGTTGCCCAGGCTGGAGGGCAATAGCGCGATCTTGGCTCACTTTGGCTCACTGCTGCAGCTTCCACCGCTCGGGTTCAAGCAGTTCTCCTGCCTCAGCCTCCTGAGTAGCTGGGACTACAGGCACACGCCACCATGCCCCCCTGGCTAATTTTGTGTATTTTAGTAGAGACAGGGTTTCACCGTGTTGCCCAGGCTGGTCTGGAACCCCTGACCTCAGGCAATTCGCCTGCCTAGGCCTCCCAAATTGCTGGGATTACAGTCATGAGCCACTGTGCCCGGCCGGTTTTCTTTTTTAAATCCCTTTAGTATGGTTCTATCAGTGTTAAAATGACTCATATTCATACATTGAAAACGTCTTATTTTCTCTTTGTTCTTGAAGGATAGTTCTAGTGGGTACACAATTATAAGCTAATACATATTTTGTGACAGTAGTTTGAAGATACTAGATCAAAGATGTATGGCTTTTATTGTTGCTATTAATTATGTTGTCAGTCTAATTGTTCTCTTCTGTTAGTATACATTATACTTCTTTCCTCTGTGAATTCTTGTTGTTTCTTAGGCCTAAAAAACTTTCTTCCATTATTTTTTCCCATGTCGTTTCTTCTCCAGTAGTCTCTCTTAGTTTTTTTCTTTTTCTTTTTTTGAATTCTATTTAAAGATACTATAGCTTCTTATTCTATTCTCTATGTCTCTTAACCTCTACTCGTATATTGCATGCACATCATTTCTCTTTCCTATATTATGGATGATTTCTCTATGTACATTTTCCAGTTTATTGCCTTTCTCTTTACTTGTAACTAATTTGTTTATTATTTCATTCACTGAGTTTTAAATTTTAATGTTTTTCTTTCTTTTTTGGTATTTTTATTTTTCTCAAAGACTTCCTGTCATTCCATTTATAGTTATTCTATATTCCGTATCAGATAAGTGTAATTAATGTCTGAAGTCTTTGAAGGTCCAATTTTTAAAAATTTTTTATTATTTAACAGATTTCAAGTTTACTTGGTCAACTTTTATTATTAACCCATATTTGTCTGAACTTAGTCTATAAGAATTCTGAAAAACTGAACTAAGAGTGTTTTCCTCAAGAGTGGTTTTGTATTTGCATCTTGCAGTTGCCAGAAAAAAAAAGTAGCTTCATCTCTCAGCATGCGGTTTCCTTGTGGCAGACCCAATGTAGATATGGCTGGATTTGCAGATTCTTAAAGATGACTATTAATAGTGCTACTGGCCGGGCATGGTGGCTCACGCCTGTAATCCCAGCACTTTGGGAGGCCGAGACAGGTGGATCACCTGAGGTCAGGAGTTCAAGACCTGCCTGACCAACATGGAGAAACCCTGTCTCTACTAAAAATACAAAATTAGCCAGGCATGGTGGCACATGCCTGTACTTCCAGCTACTCAGGAGGCCGAGGCAGGAGAATCGCTTGAATCCCAGAAAGCAGAGGTTGTGGTGAGCTGAGATCGCGCCATTGCACTCCAGCCTGGGCAACAAGAGTGAAATGCCATCTCTCCAAAAAAAAAAAAAAAAAAAAAAAATCGTGCTGCTTACTGGTATTATTATTATTAATTATTGGGGGTGATTTGTGCTGGCACATTAGATCTTTACCAGTCTCTACATTTCACTAATTTAGGCTTCATCTTAGAAATGTTAGTCTCTCTCCTACTTAATAAAGGCCAAAGTCTTATTTGAAAATTTTGTGCTGGTGATGCTTTTTGCCAGCAGAGCAACCCCAGCTTATTCTTTTTCTGAAAGTTTATTGTCTGATTTAATGTTATATCTGTTTATATTTTTCTTTTTCTTTTGACCATTGAGGACCTCTCTTTCTTTCTTACGAATTCTGCATTACATTAAAATTTGCTGATTTATTTCGTGTTAAGATATACTATCAAATTCTGGAAATAAGGCAAAGGTTGGTTGATTGTCCAGTCAGTGACATACTGGGGCTTCATCTAACAGGACAACCTAATTATTACTTAAATTTCTAGGGGAATGTGATTTGGCAGGGCCCTGACCCTGTGAAGTTTCATATTAACCTATAGATCCCTCTATAATATAGATATAAATGATTCCTGTACAGTAGAAAATAAGTCCTGAGGTTATGGTAAGGGTTTATCATGTAAAATATTAACCAGTTTTGTGTCTAACGTAATGGTCTAATTCTACTTTTTTTCAAATTCAAGATTCAGTTCCTCAAATGCTTTTTACCCTCATTGATGCTATAAATACATTGACGTGTTAATTCTAAATTTGTATGAGAGTTAAATGTTTTTAACATTTTTAAAAGTATCCTTTCAGATCATGATAAGCTGGATTGCATTTGGATACCCCCCCCCCCTTTTTTTTTTTCTTGAGACAGAGTCTCACTATGTCACCCAGGCTAGAGTCCAGTGGCAGGATCTCGGCTCACTGCAACCTCTGCCTCCTGGGTTCAAGCTATTCTCCTGTCTCAGCCTCCCGAGTAGCTGGGAATACAGGCACCCACCACCACTCCTGGCTATTTTTTTTTTGTATTTTTAGTAGAAATGGGGTTTCGCCTTGTTAGCCAGGATGGTCTTGATCTCCTGACCTCATGATCTGCCTGCCTTGGCCTCCCAAAGTGCTGGGATTACAGGTGTGAGCCCTAACATAAGCAGAAGTAACTACTGAAGCAAAAATAATGTTATTTTATTTTTTATTGAATTCTAAGTGATAATAGGGACTAGCTGAGTCACTGGCACATAGATGACATTCAATATTTGCTGTAATGAATGAATGAATACATAACTAATTTCAACTATTATAGCTTCAATTTTGTTTTGTCCTATTCTTTAGAATTATGGCATCTTCAGGAATAATCTCCTCCCTTACAGGGAATCTTAACACATTTAATTATTTTTAAAACAACATTTTATGTAATTAATTACAGCAGAAACTTACTCTAAACTATGTATTTTTATAGTATATATATATTTTCTATGTGAGTGAGAGCCTTTGAATGTTGTTTCTTTTGACTTTCAATTGAGATTGAAGCATTTACCTTCACTCTAAGTACACTGAAATTTTAAGAATTTTTTAAAATAGCTTTTGTTCTACATCACAGATTGGAGCTGCTCTGTTCTTAGAGGGACAGTGGGATAGCAGCGTCTCTCATTCTTGTTTAGTTAAGATGTGAGTTAGTTCCAGTGGTCATTTCTCTGGATATTTCAGCCATTAATTGCTTGCCTATTGTGTCATCTCTACTGTGAGAAGCCAGATATACGTTAATAGCTATGGTTGATACTGCTAGATGTTTTGGTTATTTCTAAAGTTTTATAGGCATGCTTATAGCATTTCTGAGAAGAGAGTTTTTGTACTTTCTTATTTTCCAAACTTCCCACAAATAACATCTAAGGTTGGTTGGTTTGTTTTATTCTTGCTTTAAGCAGAGAGTTATTTCTTGGTTTAGACAATACATTTTTATTATAGAATAATAGGAAAATAAAGAGGTTGAGACATAATTCTGGATGCTTCAGAAAGTAGGAAACACATTAGTGGCATTACTGCATCAGCCATCAACATTTATGCGTGATACCATCTGTCCCTGGGTCTCTGTGTCTCTTTATCCTACTGTCCAGCTTGCTTACAGTGCTGGCCTGTTACAGAGGTTGATGGTGCAGTGTAATAGTTATGTTTCCTTAATTCAGAGTAGTAATTAGTAATTTTTTAAATCTGGCAAGTGGTTGAACACTTTTTATGGATCCCCTATGGACTATCAAAATTTCTATGCCTTAAGAGAAATTCAGATATGATACATTTGGGTATGCAATGGGTTGATAAACAGCACAAGTCACTACATTTTTTTTGATGGAGTTTTGCACTGTTGCACAGGCTGGAGTGAAGTGGAATGAGCTCGACTCACTGCAACCTCCACCTCCTGGGTTCAAGCGATTCTCCTGCCTTGGCCTCCCAAGTAGCTGGGATTACAGGCGCGTGCCACCATCCCCAGCTAATTTTTGTATTTTTAGTAGAGATGTATTTTGTGTTTTAGTTCAACATGTTGGCCAGGCTGGTCTCGAACTCCTGACCTCAGGTGATCCATCTGCCTGGCCTCCCAAAGTCACTACATATATTCTTATGTATATTTTTAATCTAACTTTGAACAAGTTAACTTACTCTCTTTAAAGTATGGGTCCCTAGTATTTAGTTTGAGATTAAACTTTCTTATGGTCTCATGGTTAGGATTAAATGATACAGTATATGTAAGCAGTAAGTACTGTACATAATGCAAAGTAAATGCTTAATAAATTGTCTTATATTGATATTATTATATTCTCATTTCTTGCTGTTTTATCCTGTAAGTTCTTTATGTTTTACTTTATAAGCACCAAATATATTAGACATTCAAGTTAAAAAAAAAAAAGATCTAGGTCTGACTTTGGACTCTACCCCTTACAAGTGACTTTAATGTTCCTGATTCTCAGTTTCTTCACATTAAGAAAAGAAAGGGAATGTTATTATCATTGTTATTGGGATATTTGATGTAGTATCCAACTCTTTTGCCTAAATTCTTAGTTCACATTGTTCCAATAGACATAATTAGTTGGTTTAAGTTTATTTCCTTCATTAGTAGGGCTATACAAATAGGTATCATAGAAAAAGAATCGTTCTTCATTCTAACATGCATCCATAGACAGTCCTTCCATATAACCAATCTCTATCACTTGTTCACTTGTTCAGTGATAATTAGGTACCTCTGATCTCAACTTTTTTTGTTAAATTTTATTTTACAGAATTCAGTTGTGAGCTTGTGGCACTCATATTTTTTCATTATATTCTTATAATTTGATGTATCTGATATTAGAAATGTGTATACATCTTTAAACAAATGTCAGTGACTCAAGGATAAAAATGATTTTTATAAAATCAGAAGGCATATGGTTTCTACAGCCTCCCACATTCTTTTGACCTAACAAAATATTATGTTCTTCTTATTATTTATTTTTGACATCTATTCAAATGTCATCCACTCCCCAATGATAAGGAAGTGAAATTCCGTTTATTAAGCAGTTGCCTTTGAGAAGCTGGTCATAAATAGGCACAATTTGCTCTACATACTGACAGATGGCTGTTATTAAAGGTTGTTAGGGAGGGCCCCAGAGCTTTCCAGATTCTCAAAAGAATCACATTAGTGTGAACAAGTCATTTCCCAAGTCACAGTCTAACAGAAATCACTGGCTGCCCCATCTCCAAGCCCACAGGAGACATTTTTTTAGGAAACACAAGGACCTTTATGAAGGTGCCCACCGTCCCTTCTTGTGGCTTTTGGATTCTTCTGGATATTAATTATCTTTAGCTTAAATCGGGATAAGTGCTTAGCAGGTAGCAAATGTTTTAAATATCTATAATTCTGATTCTTGTTTTCAACAGGTTATAGGAATTTAAGTAGATACAACATATATATGTCTCTATTGCATTTTACTTATTTGGGACTCATTGTTACAGCTTAGAGAGTTTATTTGAATCATCTTGATCTACTCACAGTATCTGTCTCTCTGGCTATTGCATAATCTAAAATTTGATTTTTAAGCTTTTGTTCAAATTATTTAAAAAACATTATAGTAGGGTTAAGTGCTGTGGTATGCTGTTAGAGGAGTGTCTTCAGTTACAATCTATACTCTGTGCATGCAGTTTATTCATCCATCCTGAAACTCATGTGGGAGAAAGAGCATCATATATTGGCCATTGGCTGGGAATATAAATTCCCTACCATTGAACAGTACCTCAACCTTATAAGAGGAGGTCTACCAGTTGGAACTATAAGTACTGAGTGATCAAACAACACTCACTTCTGCTTTTAGTTTTCACTTGATCCCAGTTTTGTTTATACTAAGGCTACTTGATGGAGTATTGTTGTGTATACCTAAATTTATATAGCACCTCTTTCAAATGAGTAGTTCTGGATATACACTTACTTGGTGTCCTACAATCAGGCAGGCACAGTTTATGGCAGGGCTAAATAACATATGTAAATTTTTATTTTCTAGAGAGAATAATGTTTAGTTGACAAGAAAGATATGACTTTGTTCTACACCCAGGGTCCCTCCTTTGTGATTTTCTAATTAGAGTAGGCTACAGACTCCATATAATATTCTGATCAACTGCAAGCACATTGGATCTTACTAATCATGATATCTAAAGGACAGAACTTCTTATTTCCCAACTTAGATCAGCTGGAGATCTTTATATACTACTCTGGCCCCTTCTCAAAGTGTACAGCCTTATGATTACTTGAAATATGCTTCCAAGTGGTAAACCAAATGGTAATATGTTGTCTCCAGAATTCACAAAGGCCTATCAAGCATTGTGTCGTTTTCTTAGTGATAGTAAATACATACTATAGCAACTTGTTTTTCACTTTAGAGGGAGTATTCCTACATGCATTAGACCCACAAACTTCTGCAGAATCCAGGGCTCTACCTAATAAGTGTCAGGGGCAGTGTTGATCCTTTCAGAAAATAACTACTTCTGGAACAACAGCACTGTGTAATTGGAAACACTACCTAATTAACTTTACAATAATTCACGGCTCTTCTCCAAGTTCCTCCTATCTTCTGCACAGTTAATATAGGAAAATTAATTGGGAAAGTGATAAGAATTTCTACCCATTTCCTTCATATTTCAAGACTAATGTGGCACTAAGCTTTGTGAATCCTCTAGGTAAACATATAGGTCAAAATACCTTTGGGAATGCTACATTTACAGGAATCATTCCCCAAACCACTGGGCAACCAAGGTAGCTGCTACTTCTATTGTGATTAAAAGAACCTACATAGGCCGGGCGCGGTGGCTCACACCTGTAATCCCAGCACTTTGGGAGGCCAAGGCGGGCAGATCACGAGGTTAGGAGATCAAGACCATCCTGGCTAACACGGTGAAACCCTGTCTCTACTAAAAATACAAAAAATTAGCTGGGTGTGGTGGCGGGTGCCTGTAGTCCCAGCTACATTGGGAGGCTGAGGCAGGAGAATGGTGTGAACCCGGAAGGCAGAGCTTGCAGTGAGTGGAGATCCCGCCACTGCACTCCAGCCTGGGTGACAGAGGGAGACTCCATCTTAAAAAAAAAAAAAAAAAAAAAAAAAAGAACCTACATAATTAGGTAACTCTGAAACAGCTGTGGGATGAGCCAGCACTCTGACACCTCAGCTGCTATCTGTAGCAACAAAATGCATGCCCTGTACCTACTTCTTTTCCTTGGTGATGCATTTCTAAATCAAGGGCTCAAATGAGTACTTTTGATTGGCAGAACTCACATCCAAAATCCTAACTGCAGAGTAATCTGGGAAGAATTACTTCTAGTTCTCCAGCTTCTTAAATACAGGAAGATGTGAAAGAAAAAGATTATCATGTGTGTTGAGTGTGTCCTCCCATGGTTTGGACCACAGTAGCCTCACATATAATATTGTTGTCAGTCTTGGTTTCCATGTCAGCCTTTCAAAAAAATTCCACTGTATTTACAAAAGGGCAAGTGTCAATTAAAATGTAAGGAAGAATAGAGATTATTTTAATAATATTCATATAATTTTGAACCACATTAATGGTTATATTGTCTTTGTATGAACTTCAGTCATGTCGGGGAGAAACAGTTCATAGCTATACTATGGAAGAGCTCTTTATGATGAAATTCTCTTCTCATCAGTGTTCTCCAATAGGATTATATTAACTCTAGAAAAATATATTTTATTTATAGTATTTAACTTTTCAAGGTTCAGTGAACTAAATTCCTGTTATATAGCTGTGAATGCTTTTGTGTTGTCATCCTAAATTATAACATTTCACTTATTGAGCACTTACTAGGTGCCTATCACTACAGTAAGCATTTTCACAATCTAACTTAACAGATATTTCTCTTCAACTCTATAATTCAGGGGTCCCTCAGTAAGCATTTTCACAATCTAACTTAATAGATATTTCTCTTCAACTCTGTAATTCAGGGGTCCCTAGCCACCAGGCCATGGACCAGTACTGGTCCATGGCCTGTTAGAAACCAGGCCACACAGCAGGAAGTGAGCAGCAGGGGAGCTAGCATTACCTCCTGAGCTTCCCCTCCTGTCAGATCAGTTGTGGCATTAGATTCTCATAGGAGTGCAAACCCTATTGTGAACTGTGCATGCAAGGGATCTAGGTTGCACACTTCTTGTGATAATCTTATGAGTGATGATCTGACGTGGAACAGTTTCATCTCAAAATGATCCACCCTGCCCCCCTTCCATGGAAAAATTGTCTTCCACAAAACTGGTCCCTGGTGCCAAAAAGAATGATAGATGACCTATCTATCATCTATCTGGCTAATCTATCTAAAAGGTAAGAGCTTAAGTATCTTGATTTATCATCTCCTTTATTCATTCTGTATATAGCCTATTATCTAAACTATTATCTTTTGCTATTTCAACTAAAACTTCCATTTTAGCACCCTGTTTCATGTTTCAAAATATTAACTGCTATAGAAAATCTTAGAGCCTAGAATATTATAATTTGTGTATTTTATGGTTGTTCTTGAGACTGACCCAGAATTACATTGATACTTTTTATATTCCTCACAGCATTTAGCTCAGTAGTAAGGTCTTAGAAAATACATTTTGATTTGACGTGATGGAATATAGAAACCTACTCATTTTTATCTTTAGTTTCAGGTGCAGCATTATGTCTCTCAGAGTCTGGTTACCTTGGGAAATTGCAGCTTGTTGAGAAAATCTATTATATCTCTGCTTCTATCAGAAGTAAATGGCTTTGCTGATGATCTGGGAGCCATCAATCAGGTACACATAACTTGAAACTGTAGTTCTCATATATAGTTATTGTAACTATATGTTTTTCTTTCTTTTCCCTTCTTTCTTCTCTTCTTTCCAGGCTGATGTTTTAGTTATTACCTTATGTCTAATATATGTGAGTAATATTACTGCCTACCAAAATTACAGAAAGATACTTTCAGAAAACAGTTTTGAAAGTAAAACCACTTTATAATGCTTACTTGCATATATGTGCCAAAGATGCCATTGGTGACAGCAAAAGAGTGCTTAGATGAACAGCTTTAAATCCCTCCAGGCAGGCAGCATGTTTCTAAAGCAAAATGAGAGAAAAGTGAACTGGAGAGGATTCTAAATGGAGAGTAGTCCTTAACCAGTATTTTTCATTCTGTATTGCTCATGAAAATCATCTGGCTAGCTTTTAAATATCCTGTTGCCAAGTCATATGCCAATCCTATTATTACATAGAGGTCTCTGAATTTGGAATTCTGGTACTGGTATTATTAGAGCACTTCAGGTGATTTCAGTATGCAACCAAGCTTGAAGACCACTGCTCTAAGCCCTTTTATCTGTGGAAAGTCTTCTATATCACTGGTGACAAAGGTGTAGAAGGAACATAAGTCATTCCCATATTTTAATGTTGACACTGGTTTATTACATGTATTCCATTTGACAGCTCATTAAATATTCTTATCATTTCTGTAGTCAAAGTCACAATTAAAGGAAATTAGAGATAGGTAGAAATGTCTTGGTAAAGAGAAAGAACTTTAATAAAATATTGTATATGTATGTAATTTAAATGGCTTTTAACAAAGTACTGACATCTAATGACATAGTCTAAAAATATTATGCAATCTAATTGAATTTGATGTTTGACATGTTGTATCTAGTCAGCAAATTTTCAAATGACTACAAAATGACAAACTCTCTTAAGAGCTGTTAGATTTTTTTTAAAAACTCATTTTCACTGTTATCAAGGAGTAAAAAGTAAGCTATATTTACTAATTGAAAAGGAGCAAAGTGTTAAAATGTATGATGTTTTCATAGGAGTTCCAAGATCAAGGAATAGGCCATGGTAGATTGCAAGTCCCTGAAAATAATTTACAGAAAAGGAAGTACTTGAAAAATGCATTTGAATTGAATGAGCAGAGGGTAACTGAATGTAGAGGCATTAGGCTGTTATTTAACAAGAGATGCTGAAGAGTCTGGGGAAACAAGGTGAAGTCTTAGAGTTTAACAATAGGAAGCAATGTGGAAAGTGAGTTTAATTGAATTCGATTGTTTGGAGGATGTCAGTAAGTGCAGAAAAAATGATGTATATGTTCTCATTTAATATTCGCAATAGCTCCATGAAGCGGTTATAATTTTCACAAACTTTATGGATAAGAATACAAAACATTAGAGTGGTGAAGTAGCTTGACCAAGACTGCAGAAAGAGCATATCCTAAAGCCATAATTCAAACCCAGATGTTCTGACAGTTAAGATACTTTAAAATAATAATAAGAAAAATAGCAATAACACAATAACAATAACTAGTGTCAGGCAGGTTTATGTTGTTGAATTCTGTTTGCTTGTATTTTGCTAAGGAGTTTTGCATTGGCCAAAGGGCAGTATTTAATAATTGGTGCCAGGAAAACTGGATATCCATATGCAAAAGAACAAAACTATATTTCATTTTTTATCGTATACAAAAATCAAATTAAAATGGATTAAAGTCTTAAATGTAAGATCTGAAACTATGCAACTACTAGAAGAAAACACTGGGAAGTGCTGTAGGACATTGGCCTGGACAAAGATTTTTTTGGGTAAGACCTTAAAAACACAAACAATAAAAGCAAAAATAGACAAATGAGAATATATCAAGGCAAAATGCTTCTGCACAGCAAAGGAAACAATTAGCCAAGTGAAGAGACAACCCACAAAATGGAAGAAAATATTTGCAAACTAGCTATCTGACAAAGGATTAATTACCAGAATATATAAAGAACTCAAACAACTCAATACCAAGAAAACAAACAATCTGAATTAAAAATGGCCAAAATACCTGATAGACATTTCTCAAAAAAAGACATACAAATGGCTAGCAGGCATATGAAAAAAAAAAAAAAGCTCAACAATACTAATCATCAGGGAAGTGCAAATCAAAACCACAATGAGATATCATCTCACTCCAACTAGAATTAAAAAGACAAATAGTAACAAATGTTAGTGAGGATTTGGAGAAAGGCAAATGCTCATAGACTGTTGGTAGGAATGTAAAGTAGTATAACCATTATGGAAAACAGTGTGGACATTCCTCAAAAATCTAAAAATAGAACTACCATATGATCCAAGAATCCCACTGCTGGCTATGTATCCAAAAGAAAGGAGAGATACCGGCACTCACATGCTCACAGTAGCCGAGATATGAAATCAACCTAAGTGTCCATCACTAAATGAATGAATAAAGATAATTTTATATATATATATATATACCAAATAATAATATTCCTCTCTCTCTATATATAATGGAATATTATTAAACCATAAAAAGAATGAAATCTCATCATTTGCAGAGCATGGATGGAACTGTAGGTGATTATGTTAAGTGAAATAGGCCAAGCATAGAAAAACAAATACTGTATGTTCTCACTCATTTGTGGTGGGAGCTAAAGACATGGATCATATTGAGGCAGAGAGTAAATCACGGTTACCAGAGGCAGGGAAGGGAAGAGAAGTTGGTTAATGAGTACGAAAATACGGTTAGATAGAAGGAAAAAGTTCTAGTATTCAATAGTACAGTTAGTGAATTTTAGATATAGTTAATTATAACTAAATTGTAGAAATTATAACATTTTTTATATTTCAAAATAGCTAGAAGTGAAGAATTGTAATGTTTCCAACATAAAGAAAAGATAAATGTTTGCAATGATAGATATCCCAATAACCCTGATTTGATAATTACGCATTGTATACATGTATGAAAATATCCCATTTATCCCCAGTATATGTACAACTCTGACGTATCAATTAAAAATGCATCAAAATATCCATTTAAATTCTGTGCATTCTACTATGTGTAGACTGTTCCTCAACTAAAATATAGTTTTTGAAATCCTAACAGATTTTCCAACCTAAAGTAAATATAATTTTTCTCAGTGCTTTTATACTCAGTGTTTTAGCTCACTTTAAAGACTTTATTTCTCTGTCGATATAAAGAATGCTAAGATCTCACCAAGAACTGTCTGAAAAATAGTTTTATTTTTAATGATATAAACTTTTCTAAGTAGTCACTAATTCAGAAAATGATTGTGTATGTATATATATGTATGTCATATTGTACTCTATATAAGTCTGATTTAATTTCTAAGGTATTTGATGGCAGAGGATAGATCTGTTTAATAAAGATTAATGGAGGATTCAATAATAATTATTATCATAAATATTTACTGAGAAGCCTTATGTGTCAAACATTATTCCAAACATTTCATAGTCCATCAAATATTTTGCATATATTTTTGTTTGAAATAAATAGCGATTAATTTTAATTTTATGTTATGTCATTTAATTCTCCTAACTACACTAGTAATTCATATTATTCCCATTTTACAAAAGAGGGCGATTAGGATTAGAGAGTTTAAATAGCCTGCCCATAGTCATAGGAAGTACAGCACCAGTCTGTTGAACCCACAAAGTCTGACTCTATAATCTAGAAGATAAAGTATGGAATAATTTCTGTTATTGACTAACCATGTCAGTTATTTGTATTTCACTAACACCATTTTATATTAATTTGTCTCATGCAACTGGTATGTGTGTTGTCTCACCTACTTTTTAGCAGGGTAAGTAAAGTAGATATTTGTGTCAAGTTTAACATATTTTTTATGTATATTCTGTGACCATTGAATCAGATTTTTGAAAGGTGGTTTTGTGAACTCTTATCCTAGTATCCTTTCTCTAGCTGTGTTCATTTGAATGGGTCTTGTTGAAATTACTTATGCAATGTTGAAGATAAAAGTTTCCTAAATATCTTGTCATACATGTATTTTGGATTTCCCCCTTTATTGTCTTTTCTTTATCAATAGGTTAACATTAAGAAAATGTATCTGCCTTTTTTTTTTAGTAGCAGCATTTTCTTACCATGATTATTGTATATTCACCATCTTATGACATAATCACCGTGGTTTTCTATTTACTTTAATAATAACTTTGAAAAAGTGGCTTCTTTATGTTATCATAGACTGGTGACCTATTTGATTTTCTAAGGGCCTACATTGTTTAGTTATTCAAAAATCTGTGGGCAGAATATCTCTATAAAAAGCAATATCCATGGTTTTAGTAAGTTTTTAAAATTTTTATATGAATTTTATTAATAGCTTATATGTTTCTTTAGATATCTAGATAGTATGTGATTTTCACAGGATCAGCTTTCTGATCAGCTATTACTAGAAGTCTTTGCTACTGAAAGCTCTCATCAATATATGTTATCTCTTAATATTTTACAAAGTAATGTGTTTTGTTTATTCTAGAAAAGTGACATTGAAAAAGAGGTACACATGTTCATTTTACATATGTGGATTTTTTTGTATTTATTTTATTTGATTTTACTTTAAATTCTGGGACACATGTGCTGAACATGAAGGTTTGTTACATAGGTATACATGCGCCATGGTGGTTTGCTGCACCCATCAACCCGTCATCTAGGTTTTAAGCCCCGCATGCATTAGGTATTTGTCTAATGCTCTCCCCTACCTTTCCCCGCACCCGCCAACAGGCCCAGGTGTATGATGTTCCCCTCCCTGGGTCCATGTGTTCTCATTGTTCAACTCCCACTTATGAGTGGGAACATGTGATGTTTGGTTTTCTGTTCCTGTGTTGGTTTGCTGAGGATGATGGTTTCCAGATTCATCCATGTCCCTGCAAAGGTCATGAATTCATTTTTTATGGCTGCATAGTATTCCATGGTGTATATGTGCCACATTTTCTTTAGTCTATCATTGATGGGCACTTGGGTGGATGTTTTAAAGAATACCAACTTAGCTCCAACCTGGACCCCATTAAAACAAAACAAAACCAAAAAAATAAGTACCAGCAGCTGCTTCATCTTCCTTCTTCTAACTTGCTTTCAAGTTCCTGGGGCCTCAATATGCAAAGAGAGTTGTTTATGGAACATTTATTTCTTTCTATGGAACCTTTAGAAAGAAAATGTTTTTATGAAGATATTTTAGTTGTTGACATGGTAAATAAGTTTAAGGTATTTCTGTTAAAAATTTTCAAAATTTATAATAAATCAAAAATTAGTATAATTTTCTCTGTTTTTGACTGGTTTCTAGTTCATTTCATATTATATATTTATAAATTATATATAATATAAAATTATATTATATATTTATAGATTATATGTCGTATAAAATAATTTTATAATATAAATTTATAAGATTTTATAATATAATTTTGAGGCAGAGCTCCTTTTGTGGGGGCACTAGCTGCGGGGGGTCTGTTCCTGCAGACCCCTGATTCGGCAACGGATGAATAAAGTACACTGACACACTCATATATTCTGCTTTGCCAGTCCAGCTGAGGGTCCAAGCCGCTTGCAGTCTCCAAGCTGAGTTCTGTAAACAGTTGCCACTGGGCCCCGATCAGATAGTGAGGCTCACATTTATTCAGTAAGACTGATTAACAAAATTGTGAGTAAACAGCACTAGAGGGTAAAGATTAAAGGCTGGGTTCCAAGGCCTAAAGCAAACAGCATTTGCCAGTAATAAACTTCTGCTGACCCCTTTCCCCCGCTCTCCCAAATAGGAAGCAGTAAAGTACCCGGTAGGACAAAGGTTAGTCTTAAGCCCATATAAGTAAACAGGTTAGTAAGATACACTTCCCACATTCCTTTGTACTTGCACCCTAATCTTTCTGGATCCTACAGAAACCCTGGCTGCCTTCAGCCAAGCAATCTGAAGCTATGCAAACTTTCAGGCGTTCCAAGAGAGTTTTTGACTATTACTATAATTATCTTTTATATTTTTCCCACCAGCCTGATCGAACCCTGATATAATTATAATTCTATATTATAATTTTATAATATACTTTTTATATTATATATAAAATGAACTAGGAATCAATCAGAAACAAGAGAAAAATGGGCTTAAGGATATGAAAAGGTAGTTTAATGGAAGAGAAAAGGCCGGGCGCGGTGGTGCATGCCTGTAATCCCAGCTACTTGGGAGGCTGAGGCAGGAGAATCACTTGAACCCAGGTGGAGGAGGTTGTTGTGAGCCGAGACTGCACCATTGCACTCCAGCCTGGGCAACAAGAGTGAAACTCCATAAGAAAACAAAACAAAACACACACACACACACACACACACACACACAAATAAAAAAAAAAAAAGAAGAGAAAAAAGCTCCCAAAAACAGAAAAAAAGGAAAAAATGGGGAGAAACCTAAAAGGTGATTTAACATGAATGATACTCAATCTCATGGTACCAAGTAAATGCAAATGACAAAAACAATAAAATGTTTCATACTGATTATATTGACACAATATCTTTTTAAAAATTACCTTGAAAACACTATCAGATACTATGATTATGTGGGGTAATAGAATTTATCTATTACCTGGGAAAATTAAAGATGCATATCCTGTAAAATATAGCAAATTCACTGTACTAAGGAGATCTGTATAAGGATGTTCATTTCAGCATGTTTATAATAGCTTAAATTTGGATATAACATAAATTTCTATTTTAAAATATGGCTTGATGTGGTGTATCTAAAATGAGTATTTGATAATAGTTAAAATGAATAAATTATTTCTGTATTAACATTCATAGATTTTGAAAAAAATAATGTTGATCTAAAAGGAAGGATGAAGTATCTGAGAAGGAGAGCTACCCAAATATACCATTTTTTTACAAATTGTAAATGAAAAATAATTTTTACAAAATATAAATACAAAACAAATTATAAATACAAAACATGACACTTTCACTGCGTGTATACTTTTAAAAATTTATTTAAAAAATACAGAATCTGTAATGTTTTTAATTTATGTATTGCATGTCCTCAAGATGCATGTTTTTTGCATTGTAAATATTTTTATATAGAAAAGAAAACATCTCTTTAGGTGTCAGACATGTATTGATTTAAAATGAATCGTTAATTTTTAAGTGATTTTTCACAGAAATGTTTTTCTCCGAGATGCAGTTCATACCTCTATCTAATCAGCATGTTTCTGCGTACAGTAGCCAAGCTATTAAAAATGAATAATGCTTTTGGAATATTGATAAGCACAGGTGAAATCTGAATTTAGAGTATTACATGCATACTTATATTAAATACTTCAGAGACCTAATGTTTACAAAGTAGATTAAAATTCTACATTAAAATAGATTTTAAAATTTGGAAGAAAGCATATTAGCAGGAGAAATCTCAAAAGTTCTGCAGCCTACATCAGGAAGCATTTTTACTTTTCTCTGTTTTCCTTGTAAAGTAAAATAAAAGCTAAGCAATTCATTAATAAAAATAGAACATGCAAATTAAATATTCTGAATCTGGAATGAGTTTATACATTTACTTCTCTAAAACAAACTAATTTTCTATATCAAGGCAAAATATAGCAACAAAATAAGCATTTTTAATAAGATAAAGAAAAGTAATCATAGCTCTGAGCATGAAACAGTTCACCTATTTCAGTTGAGAGAGGAACCATATTCTTTTCTGAAATTATACATGTCTTGATCATATCTAAGATCTACGAAGCCTGGCTCAGTCAGCAATCAATCCATCAGAGAGAATAGAATTATAATTTGCATCAAACTGTGCTCAAGTAGACAAAATAGAGATTAGGGACCCTGGGCATGAACTTTTTTTATTTAATCTTGTTTTGTTTAACAAGAACTTAAGAGAAATTCTGGATAATGAGCCCTGTTTTATCAGATTTGGCCAGTTTTCTTCATTACTGGTGTTTGTAATTCAAATAACTATTAGGTGTAAATGAAACAAGGCTGAACATTCCCCCAAAATACCCTATTGGCCTAAAAATTTCCACATCACTGAATGCCTTTTTGAAACTGCTACTTATTAAGAAAAAATTTCCATTCCTGAGCTCAGCTGGCAACGAAGATAAAAGGGCATTTGCCACTTATAGGCTAGAACATTTTAAGAGACTCTCCAAGGATAAACTAAATCAAATGATAAAGTGCATGAACTTTAGAATCAGATGTCTAGTTAAATTGTAGTGTGACCTTTGAAGTAGTCTTGTCAACGAATCAAACCTAAAGGTTCTAGAATGAATTGCTAACTTGCAGGTAAAACAAATAGAACACGTTAAATTAACCAGGAGGATGCAGTCAGTAAAACCTAGTTTGTGCAGGAAAAACAACTCATTTTCCTCAACAAATAGACTGCATTATAATGAAAAGAAGGAGACAGACCCAGACAAACAATGTGCCTGTATTTTAAATGAGACCAAAGAGACTTTATTAACTTATAGCCATGTATCAGGAGTGGATTAACTGTGGTCTATGAGCCAAATCTGGCTTGCCACCTGCTTTTGTAAATAAAGTTTTACTGGAACACAAATACTTGAAACAGTGAAACATATAACAATCTCCAAAGCATTCAATATTTACTATCTTGATCTTTACATAAAATGTTTGCCAATTCCTGGTATATATAAATCTTATTTGTATCCTGATTTAAACAAACCAAAAAATGGAATACATAATTGGATAATTGGGGAAAATCTGCACAAGTGTGTGTTATGATTTTAAGGAACTGTTAATTTTTAAAACTTTGATAATATTATTTTAGTGATTTTTTAAAAGGTGCTTATTATCCTTTATAACTACATATTTAAATGATTAAATGAAAATTAAAATAATACTTAATCGTTTTAAGCCTCAGTTTATCTCTTCTTAAAATATTGACAACAGTGCCACCTATCTCATACAGTTTTTGGGGGTCTCATGAGGTAATCATATTTGCATTTAGCAAACTTGTCATCATAAGTGCACCATTGCTGTTAGCTGATATTATTATTACTATTCAACAACATATAAAGCTTAAAATATAAAACCCCGCTGACATTAATACACATTTATAAAAATGAATGTTGTTAGAACCATCTTCAGGAGCAAGTTTTCAGATATTATGTTTGACAATGGATGTTTTTTAAACCATCTTCTGTGGAAGACAGGTCTGGGTAACCAGAAATTTTTTTTTTTTTACTGTAGGTATGTAAATTTATGATGTTCATCATCCTCTCAACATAAATATTGGACAAATATTTAAGAAATATTTTGGAGAGGTACTGAATTAGTCTCACTGTCTTTTCTGAATTTCATTGTGTGACGATGGCACTGAGCATCTGAAGGGGATTGAAAGATGTTTTATGGGAGGCCAGAAAATAAAGGTTGCCTGATTTATAATTTTGCCTTTGCATAATGAATAAAGCTTTAAACTCTGTAAACTCAAATCTAAAATGTGACTTACGGTACCAGATGAGATATAATAAAGCCACTACAATCTATCATTCTCACTGATTAAAACTAAAATAATTTGAAAATAAATATAAAAGTCAACTACCTGGCTGGGCGCGGTGGCTCACTCCTGTAATCCCAGCACTTTGGGAGGGCGAGGCGAGTGGATCACCTGAGGTCAGGAGTTCAAGACCAGCCTGGCCAACATAGTGAAACCCCGTCTCTACTAAAAATACAAAAAAATTAGCTGGGTGTGGTGGTGGTGCCTTTAATCTCAGCTACTCAGGAGGCTGAGGTGGGAGAATCACTTGAACCCAGGAGGCAGAGGTTGCTGTGAACTGAGATCGTGCCATTGCACTCCAACCTGGGCGACAAGAGCGAAACTCTATCTCAAAAAAAAAAAAGTCAACTACCTGAGAACCCTGAAATATAAAAAAGTAGCATGTGAATTGTTAAAGAAGTCAAAATGAAGGCAAAAAAAACTGCGGAATACGTTTCTCATTTTTTCCTTTTTTTCAATGTCCAAGCTTTGATTTAAGAGCAGCCCCAGTCAAGGAACTCTGTTGTACTTGAGAGTAGCAAAATCTTTAACAGAAACAACTTTTGGGCAAGAGGACTGGTAATGGGGACATTATGAGCTGGAGAGTATGGAAGGAATCCTCGGGACTTTTGTCTTTCTTTTTGTATTTGTTTTTTTATCTAGTCCCTGAAATGGGTTTTGTAATGGTTATGTAACTATGTACAAATAGGATGAATGGTGAAAACTCAGAAAAAATCAGTTCCTCTGGCAAGAAAAAGTAGGTAAAGAGACTTCTGGGAACAGAAGGGGGTGATGGTGAATTAAGGTGAATCTTCCTACACAGAATTGAGACTATCCTTCTCCAGCCCTTTGCTATCTCTGGACAACTCTCTGGAGTAGAGAGAGTTGGAGAAGGGCATCCTTAATTCTATGTAGGAAGGATATAATTTCCAGACTCACCCCTGACCTGTGTGAGACAGACTCCAAACAACATAGCAGAGGCTTTGATAACAGAATTATGATGTAAACCGCTGTGTATAACCCAGGCAAACTCCCAAGTGGTACACATAATGGAATAAACCCAAACTTCAGAGTAAAGACATGGAAAACTGACAGTGAAACTACCACTAACAGAAGGTAGGGCAGAATTTGTACGCTGAACCTAATTATTTTGGTTGCCAGTGTGCCACCTGCTTCTGTAAATAAAGTTTTATTGGAATACAGCTTTTCTGTAGCTGCTTTTATACTACAAAAAAGAAAATCAATATTCTATAAAAACAAAACAACTTAGTAGTCAGTGTGTCACAATATAATTCTTAGTATTTCTAGGATACAATCTAAAACTACTCAATATACACAATTACAAAGAATCAGAAAAATGTTGACCCAGTTCTCAAGGCAAGTGACAATCATCAGAAGTAATCCCTGAGGTAACCCAGATATTAAAATGACCAAGGACTTTAACGCAAGTATTATAACTATGCTCCTTGAGGTAAACATCAGTAATCCTGAAATGAATGAAATGGTAGAAATTCTAACCAGATAATTAGGAAATATATGTGTTGTGTGTGTTTTTTGTGTGTTTGTACCTGTGTACATACATACATGCATACATGTGTGCATAATTTTAACATATACATGTTTTAAAAAGTAAACGTTAGAACTGAAAAATATACTATCTGAAATAAAATATTCCCTGGATGGGCCCAAGGGCAGAATAGAGATAACAAAGAAGTCAGTGTACATGAAGACAGGTCAGTTGAAATGATCTAATCTTAAGAAAAAAGTTATACTGCAGAAAATTGAACAAAGTCTCAGGAATCTGTGAAACAATACCAAAAGGTATAGCATATATACTATTGTGGTCCCTAAAGGAAAAGGGAAAGAAATTTGTGACAAAAGTATATTTGAAAATAATGGTCAAAGGCTTTACAAATTTGGAGAAAACGATAAATGTATTAATTTTCTGTGAGCCATGAACATAATAAACTCAAAGGAAACCTCACCCAAACACATCATCATAAACTTCTTGAAAACTAAAGATAATTCTTTCTCCTTTTATATTTAATTTTTAAAATTTTTAATGATCTTTTAAATTGCATTTTATTTTAGATTCATGGGGTACATGTGCATGTTTGTCACATGGGTATATTGCATATTGATGGTGATTGGGCTTCTAGTGTACCCATTACCAAAAAAATGAACATTGTAATTACCCATCTATTTCTTTTTATAGATGCCAGAGAAAAATGGCATATTATATTCAGGGGAACAACATTTCAAATGACTGCACTTTTCACATCAGAACCCATGGTGGCTCCAAGATTTTGGAACAACATCAAGTTGCTAAAAGCAATAAACTGTCAACCTAGAATTCTACATCTATTAAAAATATCCTTCAGAATAATAAACTGTGCTTCACATGTAGGAAAATTAACATAATTCATTGTCAGTAGAACCTGTGAAAGAAATGCTAAAAGCAGTGCTTAAGACCACAGGGAGTTGTGATATAACAGAGAAACTTGTGATTTCAGGAATAAAGGCAGAGCAAAAGTAATGCTTAAGGGGGTAAATATAATAGACCATGTTGCTTTTATTACATTATTTAAAAACATATATGCTGATGAAACAAAGCTTAAACATTACTTGGTGTATATGGATGCAATGTATATGATAACTAAAATATAAAGTTATTAGGATAGCAGGAATTTTCAGTTGTATAGCTTCTAATTGAAGTGGAAAATGTTAACTCTAAATATACTGAGAAAGGTTACAAATGTGTGCATATATATATATATATATATTTTTTTTTTTTTTTTTTTTTTTGAGATGGAGTTTTGCGCTTGTCGCCCAGGCTGGAGTGCAATGGTGTGATCTCAGCTCATGGCACCCTCTGCCTCCAGGGTTCAAGCAATTCTTCTGACTCAGCCTCCAGAGTAGCTGGGAATACAAGAGTGTGCCACTACTCGTGGCTAATTTTTCTGTATTTTTAGTAGAGATGGAGTTTCACCATGTTGGCCAGGCTGGTCTCAGACTCCTGACCTTGGGTGATCCACCCACCTGGGCCTCCCAAAGTGCAGGGATTACAGGTGTGAGCCACCACACCCAACCCTATAAATGTATATTTTATCCTCTAGAACAAAATAATAAAGACCTTTAACAAAAAATAATTAAAGTGGAAGCTAATAAGCATTTTAATAATTTAAAATAATGTAGTTCTGTACTTTGCAAACATTAATCCAAAGAAAGTTAGATTGACTGTGTTAATATTAGCAAAAATATATTTCTAAACAAAGAACATCAACAGGGTAAAGAGAGATATTACATAATGAGAAAAGTGTCCATTCACCAAGAAAATATAATGATAAATGTGTGTGAGCCTACCAAATGCTTGAAACTTCCAAATCGTGAAGCAAAAATTGATAACATTGTAGGGAGGACTGGATAAATATGTTATACTTGAAGGTTTCATTACTCCTCTCTCAGTAATAATAAAATCAGGCATAAAATCAGCAATATCTTAGAAAACCATAACAAAGCCATTGACTAGTTTGACTTGTGTCATTTCTAGAACACTTCACCCAATAACAGCCAAATTCATAGTCTTTTCAAGGGGGATTGAGATACCATTCTAGACCACGAAACAAACTTTAACAAGATTTAAAGAATCATACATGTGATGTTCTCCAACCATAATATAATTTTGCTAGTAATTAATAATAGGAGTACATCTAGAAAACCCTTCAACAATTTGGAAATAAACAGTACATTTCTAAATAACCTATGGATCAAACATAAAGTCCCAAGAGAAACTAGAAAAAAATTGAAGTGAAAGTATGACATGATAATTTATGAGATGCATTTTGTAAGGCAGTAATAATTTGAGAAATATATGGATTTATGCTTGTCATTGAAGGGAGGTTTTAAATCAATAATATAAGAAACTAGAATAGCAAGGAAAAATTGAGCCCAGACCACATAAAAGGAAGAAAATAATGAATATAAGAGCATACATGAATGATGTTGAAAAGATGAAAACAGTAGAAACTGCAGGTGTTATCCTTTTAATATCTGTAATGATGTCCACTTCCATTGCAGTCATTGGTAATTTGTATCTTTCCCTTCTTCTTCCAAATTATAAGCATTCTTTTCCCACAGTACAAGCATTTGAGGGAAGAAAGAAAAGGTACAACTTGCCAATGCCTGTAAAGGGAAGTGGACATCATTGCAGGTGTTAAGAGGATAATAAGGGACTACTATAAACATCTGTAGTCCATAAATACAACAAATTAGATGAAAAGGACCAATTATTTGGAAGATATAAGCTACCAAAACTCCTTCAGGAAGAAATAGGTAACCTTGATAGTCTTACCCAATTAAAGAAATTGATTTCAAAGTTTAAAATATCCCAACAAAGAAAACTCTAGACTTCGAGGGTTTCACTATCAAATTCTACCAAAATTTAAGAAAGAAATATTACCATTTATATATAATCTATTCCAAAAATTGGAAGACAGAGCACTTGACAACTCATTTTATGAGGCCAGGATTACTATTATTAAAAAAAAAAAAAACAGGTAAAGACTGATGTCTCAAAATGTAGAGTACAGTGAAATGTTAGTTTTAATCAAGAAGCATTCTCTAAATTATGCTATGCCTTAGTTCCCTGGGAAACCCTGGGAAAGACTTACTTGAGAGAAGCAGCTCATGGAATACTTTAGAGCCAGGCAAATTATATAAAATTTCATATAATTTTAATTGCATTTATTATTGAATATTTTTGACACTTCATCAGAAAAGCCAGAAAGGATGCTGAATCAATCTAAGACTCAATCCTAAACTAAAGGAGCAGTTTGGCAGAAAATCCCAGTGATTTTGGCAAAATATTCTCTATTAAAATATTTAGTATTTTAAATTACTCTTTCACAGTTTTAATTCAAAGCCATAGACCATTTGAGAAAAACCAACCAAGGGGAAAGATGTCAAAATGTAGGCAGACAAATTAAAAAAAAAAAAACTATTACAGAACAAGTTGTTCAAAACAACCATCTGAACCTCTGGCTAGTTCGTGCTAGAGGGTATAATCGGTATATCACAGATAAAGACCAGGATGATAATCACTAAAAGCCATAAATCATGATATACTTGTGTTGTAATGGCCTCTACTTTCTAATTTCAGAAGACATTTCTGAAGATGCTGTGAAAATGCAACTCAAAATATGAAAATAAGCTATATGTCCTTATTTAAAAAGGATGGGCTGACATTTAAAAATAATCATTAATTTACTCATGATATGATCATGACATAATCATAGACATTAAGACAGACATGTAATAGAGTAGGTAAAATGTGAGGACAGAGAACAGAGTGCTAGTTGGAAGCCCTGAGTTCTACTTCTAGCTCTGTTGCTAATGAGTTTAATGGGTTTGAAAAATCCACTTCTCTGAGCCTAATTCTATAATCCAGTATGGTGGTTAAGTATAGGTATTTTTATCCCTAAGGAGTTAAATCAAAGTCTTTACAGGGCAATCAATCCAACATGAAGTTTATGAGTAGTCTTCAAACAGATCACATCATAATCACTTTTCTGGAGAGTGTCTCAAGGATCATATAGAACAGATGCTGACATAGGCCTAATGTCCCTACTGATGCTTATTAGAATGACTCATGAATCTGCATTTGTCTTTCTCTTGTCACAGTCACCATACACAGTTTTATGCCTCATGGTATTAATAATTTTTTAAGAATAGAGTTCCTCGTCACAAAGCCGGTCCTAAAATGTAGATTTGGAATTTCTGATTGCTTTTATTGCTGTAAACAAAATCTCTCCATCTACATTGGAGGGTCATAGTAAAACTTCTTTCCAAGCCTTAAGAACATAACAGAAGCCTTCCATCAATATATGAATACACTGTGGTTAATTTCAACAATGTTCTGAAGATCTAGAGCAATCTCTCAGTGAACTGCAAATATCCTTCTCAGCTCTTGAAATTTCTGCATATCAATTCAAAAGTTTTTATTGCAAATTGAAATCTTTTTTGTTAAAGATGAGGGTAATACAAAACATTAAATGAATATTCAGAAATTGGTAATTTTATAAGTGTTTTTAATTCTAAAATTTAAATTATGCAGGGAATATATCAGAGTATATTTAATGTTGTATTTATAACAGTGACTGGCCTTACCTGAATCCATCCTCTAATCCTTGTCACATGTCGAGGAAAGCAGTTAAAGGCAATGATTATATTAATAATATTAGAAAAGGAAAAGAGTCCAATATCTTCACATCCCTCTCCTCCCAGAAAAATGATGCAGTAGAGATGGCTATAGGAACTAGGACTCATTAACCTGTAAGGGATAAGACAATCTCTATAAATTTTAAACTAGTTGTGAACTGCATTCTCAGCTTGTGTGAGGGGTGTAGGGTAATGACTTCAAATCTTCAGAGACGTTTTTTCACTTTCTCCCATTCACTGGGAACCAATGAAACCTAGCAAGAATTCACACTACCTTGCCCTGTGAGTCTTTTTTTCCCCCTAGCTTGCCTACTGGTGGTGACTTTCGATGTCTTCAGCTTTATGTGGGTGCCTCAGCTTTAAAATTTCACATTGTACAGCTAACAGCTTTTGTCTTCTACCTTGTGTTGAGGCGGTCAGGTAAAACCCAAGATGCTGGGCAGGAGGAATTGGCAAATTCTCCTAATGGGTTACCTTCAGTACTATCTGACAGATCATCTTTTAGTATTAAGTCTTTCTTATTGTTTCCAACTTCCAAAGATAATCCTTATTTTTCAGAGAGTTCTCTTTCAATAATTTTATGTCTATGTGTCTACATGTGTCTGTGAGGGGGAGTGTGTTTATTACTTTCAAATACTCTCTAGCAAGAGGGTTAATTTGGTCACCTTATTCACTGTATGACTGGATCTCTATGCAATTTTATATCTTAATTTTCTACATTCAGTTATTTAATATATTTGGAAAGTGTATTAATCCATGGAGTGAGGTGGGACACTAAGTGGGAAAACATTCAGCTTCTCAGTTATTTGTTTAGCAACACTAACTTTTTCTTTTTATTTGGGATATTTCTTTTATTATGTACTTCATTTTCACATATATTGTCTTTGTTTATTGATCTGCCTGCCAGTTTGTACACTGCTATGGCACTAATTTAGTTAATCTACTTTTATTATGTATTTTAATACCTAATTATTTCAATGGCTTTTTATTAGATGTTCTTCCTGTTTATATATCTAAGTGGCCTTGAGAATAATTTTTTCAAGTTCAAAAGTAAAACTGTGTAGATTTTCATTGAGATATTTGTTGAGTGCACTGAATCCTTAAAACAGAAGTCTTGTTTTTTTTTTTTTTCTTTTAAGCTGAAGAAACATTTTAAAAATTATGTCTTTGAAAAGACCAGTCATTGTGGGGTTTATAGAGCTCCAATTATTTATATTTATTATCTTTTCTCATTATTTTCATTTCTTCTTTTCTATTACATATCAAGTGAATTTCTCAAAATTTTTCATCATTTACTCAATTTTCTATAATAATTCTTGAGTTTATCTTCAATATGAATTTCAATTTTGTTTTTTCTTTTTTTGAGATGGAGTCTTGCTGTGTCACCCAGGCTGGAGTGCAGTGGTGCAATCTCGTCTCACTGCAAGCTCTACCTCCCGGGTTCACGCCATTCTCCTGCCTGAATTTCACTTTTCTTATTGGAATTTTAATTCTTTTTTAATTCTGTCCTCAGTTCATCACATTCCATTTTGATTTCACTCCTTATATATGTTTTTTTGTCATTCGATGTGTTTATCTTTTTATCTTTTATTGGATTTCAGCTTTTTATAATGGACATGTATCATTTCATGCCACTGAACATGTCAAATTATCTCCTCTGGTTATTCTCGTTTCTTTAGTAAGTTATTTTCAGAGCTTTGCCCTGCTTTATTGAATTTAGGGCATTATTCCTTGTATCATTTACTGTTTCTCATAGGATCTGTATCATTGTTTGTTTAATTGGCTTTTTTCCTTTTACTTATATCTAATGAGAAAATCATCATTGGAACTTAATAAAATTTATCTAAAGAAGTCCATGTGGATTTTCCCTGTCCCTGGTCATTGTGTACTAAGGCACCAGTAAAACCCATCTTCACTCCTCTGCTGGAGAGCAGGTTGTGGCACTTGTGTTCAGTGCTTTTTACTTGACCTTGACATGGAATTCTGTACCGTTAACTATAGTGCTTTTTGATTAATTTATGGGATACAGAGAAACTGGAGTCTAAGCATTGACAGTTCAAGGGCCTTTGTTACATCTTGCAGTATACAGAGCATTAGTGCCCCTCAATCCCCCACCCTGTTGTTTGGTGAGTCTAGGAGAATTTTTTTAGGCTGTGCATTACATTTCTCAATGCAGCTCAGTCAGCCTCTCACTTAGAGTTCATTTTTCCGTCA
This sequence comes from Homo sapiens, assembly GCF_000001405.40. Taxonomy (NCBI): domain Eukaryota; kingdom Metazoa; phylum Chordata; class Mammalia; order Primates; family Hominidae; genus Homo; species Homo sapiens. Next base: position 77,846,982 of record NC_000006.12, read on the forward strand.
TAGATTCTTTCATTGAGAAACTGAAGGATTTTGTGTTGGGGAAATAATGTTTAACAACAATGACTGTCATCTTAAAGGGTTCTGTGCTTTTACTAGGAGTTGAAAGGAGTGAGGGAATATTGTTTTTTTTTGGTGAGTTAATGAAAAATTGAAAATGAGTTTAAATAAAAGATTCAGTGGTACTTTCTCTCAATGTTCTGAAATGGTGTGTATGGAGCCAGTATATACAGAACAAATAGTTGTGGAAGATCCAGGTGTACGGTCACTGTCAAAATAATTCTGTGTCTTAGATTATAATTAATTCAAGAGAAATGTTGAGTAAATACAGGAAATAAAGCCAATTATTTCCTCTGTATTTGTCTGTGCTAGCAGTAAAATGTCAATTAAGTATGATTAATTCTTCCTTTTTTCCATAAGCATGAGAATGTATTGCTGCAGTTTTAATGGCTGCCATGATGAGGTCTATCAGTCACTGAAAAGAAGTCAGCAGAGTCATTTCAGTGTCATGAGAAAATATCAAATGCATTTCAATAATATACCTTTACTGATTGTTTTTCTCTTGTTTCCTGTGGCAAGTAAAATATATTTGTTCAGAATAATTTTCTGATGCAATCGAAACCTAATGCCTTCTATGAAGACTTCTCTAATCAGCATGGAAAGGAGCAGCCATTTCTTTCCTACTCCGATCTTTGTATTATAGACATTAACACATTTTAATGGAACCAATTATAATCCAGTGTTATTTACATGTCTGTTTTTTGTATGTACTGAGGTTAGTGAAAATTTCTTATTTATTTTTCTATTTATATTACTCACCTATGAAAGAATGTGTTGATTGAATGAGGATTTTCACTTTAAATAAAATGTAGTAATCTGTAATCAATAACTCTTACTGACCCTGAAACTCACATTACTTGTTTTCCAAGCTGTAATTCACTCAGAATTAGAAAGGAAAAAAGGAAAGGAAAGAACGTCGGAATATTTATCTCCTCTTCACTTTATGTATCTTTATGCAGGAATCCTTTGAGTTCTTAAAAAGAATGATTTCGGGTACAAACTAATTTGAGGTTCTCTATGTTTTTCTGAGAGTATGTGAGTTATGCATGGCACATATTTGGTACTTTAAAAGTACTTATTGAAGAATAGAAAGCAACTATAAGGTATAATGATAAAGAGAGGGTTCTGGATGGCCTACTGGTGTCCTGGGATTAAAAGAAAGAAACAGGAAAATTGAAGCTGCATTTGAGTGTGAAAGTTGGGAGTTTTAGGTTTTAGAACTGGAACACTTCTAGTTGTTAGTGTAGAGTAGGTATGAAGTTCATTGCAATTGACCAGGCCAGCCATTTCTTCACTGGAAAGCCTTAGAAAGTTCTTCCACAGGGCAAGGGAATCATTTCTGATGATGGCAGCATGGGAAGCAGAAGGAAAGAGGGCCTGGGAGACAGTTCCCTGACATTTTGATCAGTGCCCACAAGAGTGACAGGCACATTATGTCTTAATAAGTAAATAAAAACTAAAGAATGAAAGTTATTTGATTGAAAACTAGAGAAAAAAGAGCAGTATGAGGATGCATCATTAGAGTCCCTGTTGAGGGCCATGGGCTGGACTATGCCAGGACCTCGGGGAAAGTGCACTTGTTGGTTGTGATGCAGCACATCTAGGTCTTCCCAGCTAGATTGCCAACCTCTAAACTACTCTCTCAAGGAAACTCTGAAGTTGTCACACTAAGTGCAGAGCCAGGTCAAGGAGACAAAAGGTAGTCTCAACTCTAATTATGATTGCAGTACTAACTAGAATGCTCTCATACTTGTGTTCTCATTTATTAACCAATTTATTTTGAATATGAACTGTAGCTTCTTTCAAAACCATATTGTTGTGTATTATTATCAATATTGTGATATTTATTGAGTTCTTACTATGGGGGAAGTGTGATGCTGAATGTCCTGGGGTAAGCCACAGGGATACTTAGAGTTTAATTGGGAAGAGAAATGCAGCTGCACTGTCCAAACCAAAGTAGGTCATCAATAATTATTTTGAATGAACACACATATAATATAATTGCTGGGTTTTTTTAATGGCATCATTAGCATTAGGGAAACACAAAAGAAATAAACAAAAATAAAAATCAGGAAAGAGTTATTTCTGTGAAAAATAACAATAATAAACCATTTATATATTAACCTAAAAATAATTGTTGAATAAACAGCTATGTATATTATTTAATATATTCAGATTTATAAATAGAGAAAATGTTAATGTTTTAATGTAGAGAACAAGTTGAAAACATTTAAGATAAAAGAAGTTTGTGTGGTGGCTGGGCATTCCCTGACAACCTCACAGAAAATAAAGGATTTAAGCCTCATAGGAGTGAGAGTGGGACTGAAAGAAAGCATTTCAGGTCAGCTGAAGGTAGTGATGGCACAATAAGGTGCCTGTGTGTGTGAGAGGGGTGAACTGACAGGAGCATAACTGCATTTCTGTTCGCTCTGAGCAAAAGCACATTTCATCTTTTTGCTAACACTTCCCTTGGAGATAACAATTTTAACTGTAAGTTATGGTTCATGGCATTTTATATAAGCGTTAGTTTCTTTTTGGTATATTTTCTTGATGGTGCTTAGATACTCAAATAATGCAAGTAAGGGAAAATGAGAATTCCAAATAATTTTTTGAAGAAAAACCGATTCTTTCCAGTCTGGGTGATTATAGAGCTGTAGTGCATACCGTAAAGTAGAACAGATATTTAGCGGTGCCTGGAATGCCAAAGTAGCAACTTAGTGTGATTCTCTGTAATGGTACTCAAAAACTTCTTTTATTTAGTTAGTTGATGTCAATATGTCACTTTTTGGTGGAATTGCTACTTTATACAATATTTTGTTAACATTTGAGGCAGCATTATCCATAAATATTTATCCCATGTGGCATATTGGTTTTAAACCCATACTGAAGAACACATCTAATATTAAAGTATAAAAGCAGTGGCAGAACGCGGTACAAATTAATAGCAATTTTATGTCTGTTTTATGTTAAACATGTTCAAATTAGTTAGGCATGTGAGAGGATAACTATATTGTATATTCTATTTCATTTGTCCTTCAACTACTTTATTGAAAAGCACCTACAGAGTTGAAAGCAGGGATTTTTATTTCATTGAGCAGTGGTTTGTAGTTCTCCTTGAAGAGGTCCTTCACATCCCTTGTAAGTTGAATATCGTGAAAATGGCCATACTGCCCAAGGTAATTTATAGATTCAATGCCATCCCCAACAAGCTACCAATGACTTTCTTCACAGAATTGGAAAAACTACTTTAAAGTTCATATGGAACCAAAAAAGAGCCTGCATTGCCAAGACAATCCTAAGCCAAAAGAACAAAGCTGGAGGCATCACACTCCCTGACTTCAAACTTATACTACAAGGCCACAGTAACCAAAACAGCATGGTACTGGTACCAAAACAGAGATAGAGACCAATGGAACAGAACAGAGCCCTCAGAAATAATACCACACATCTACAACCATCTGATCTCCGACAAACCTGACAAAAACAAGAAATGGGGGAATGATTCCCTATTTAACAAATGGTGCTGGGAAGACTGGCTAGCCATATGTAGAAAGCTGAAACTGGATCTTTTCCTTACACCTTATACAAAAATTAATTCAAGATGGATTAAATATTTAAATGTTAGATCTAAAACCATAAAAACACTAGAAGAAAACCTAGGCATTACCATTCAGGACATAGGCATGGGCAAGGACTTCATGTCTAAAACACCAAAAGCAATGGTAACAAAAGCCAGAATTGACAAATGGGATCTAATTAAACTGAAGAGCTTCTGCACAGCAAAAGAAACTACCATCAGAGTGAACAGGCAACCTACAGAATGGGAGAAAATTTCTGCAGTCTACTCATCCGACAAAGGGCTAATATCCAGAATCTACAAAGAACTCAAACAAATTTACAAGAAAAAAACGAACAACCCCATCAAAAAGTGGGCAAAGGATATGAACAGACACTTCTCAAAAGAAGACATTTATGCAGCCAAAAGACACATGAAAAAATGCTCATCATCACTGGCCATCAGAGACATGCAAATCAAAACCACAATGAGATATCATCTCACACCAGTTAGAATGGTGATCATTAAAAAGTCAGGAAACAACAGGTGCTGGAGAGGATGTGGAGAAATAGGAACACTTTTACACTGTTGGTGGGACTGTAAACTAGTTCAACCATTGTGGAAGACTGTGGTGATTCCTCAGGGATCTAGAACTAGAAATACCATTTGATCCAGCCATCCCATTACTGGGTATATACCCAAAGGATTATAAGTCATGCTGCTATAAAGACACATGCACATGTATGTTTATTGCAGCACTATTCACAATAGCAAAGTCTTGGAACCACCCCAAATGTCCATCAATGATAGACTGGATTAAGAAAATGTGGCACATATACACCATGGAATACTGTGCAGCCATAAAAAGATGAGTTCATGTCCTTTGTAGGGACATGGATGAAGCTGGAAACCATCATTCTCAACAAACTATCGCAAGGACAAAAAACCAAACACCGCATGTTCTCGCTCATAGGTGGGAATTGAACAATGAGAACACATGGACACAGGAAGGGGAACATCACATACTGGGGCCTGTTTTGGGGTGGGGGGAGGGGGGAGGGATAGCATTAGGAGATATACCTAATGTAAATGACGAATTAATGGATGCGGCACACCAACATGGTACATGTATACATATGTAGCAAACCTGAACGTTGTGCACATGTACCCTAGAACTTAAAGTATAATTAAAAAGAAAAAAAAGCAGGGATTTGAAAGGGGAGATCGTGATAGCTTCTAAAAGAGTGAACTTTTACTACATGGTATCTGGTTAGTCTTTAATGACCTAGACATATATTCCTATTGGAATATAACTTAACTTGCTTATTTGTAAATGAGTCTGGGAAATCATTTAAAAATGAATTGAACGCCTAAGTTCTATACATAGTGGACCAAATTAGGGATTCAAATTTGTAACAAAGTTTTATTCTTGTAATTTTAATCAAATTATCTTATTTAATGTAAATATAATTAAACTATTTTGTTTCCTTTCTGTAGAAATAAAAATGCCATCTAAGCCTGGTAGCTTTGCTCTAAGAACTTAAATGTCCCTCTCTTAGCTGAGCCTCAGCCTCTCTGTATCAGAAAACCTTAGAGGGTCATGGGACGTGGCAAATGGTTAAAAACGAACAAAGCAAGCAACAGCAGTAAAAAACTTTGAAAATAAAAATGCATGAATAAAATAACTTTCTTCAAGTGATGCTGCAGTCATCAGAAGGGCTAAGATGCCCACAGTTTTATTCACCATGGCTTATACATAATCAGTGCAAATGTTGACACAGTGACAGAGACATATAATGTATTAATATTAGTTTTATTCTGATAGTTTTTACCTCACATTAGATTGTGAACCATACTTTGGGAATTTCCCATGTGTCTTATTCTATTCACACTCATATAACAAAATACCATAAACTGGGTTGCTTATAAGTAACCAACTTTTATTTTTTTGCTTTTTTACTTTTTTTGTTTTTGTTTTTTGTTGTTGTTTGTTTTTTTTTTTTGTCTCACAGTTTTAGAGACAGGAAAGTCCAAGATTAAGGCATTGGCAGCTGTTTCCTGATTCATAAATGGTGCCTCCTAGCTGCATCCTCATGTGGTGGAAGGGAGAATGAGTTCCTTAGGGACTATTTTATAATGGCACTAATCACATTCTTGAGGCCTCTCCCCTTATGACTCTAATCTTATCTCCCAAAAGGCCCCATGTCCTAATTCCATCACATTATTAAGTTTCAACATATGAATTTTAGGGGGTCACAAACATTCAGACCATAAAACTATGTATAGGAAAAGAAATCAATAAAGCCAATAAGACAGATTAGGCCGGGTGTGGTGGCTCACACCTGTGTAATCCCAGCACTTTGGGAGGCCGAGGCAGGCGGATCACCTGAGGTCGGGAGTTTGAGACCAGCCTGACCAACATGGAAAAACTCCTTCTCTACTAAAAATACAAAACTAGCCAGACGTGGTGGCACATGCCTGTAATCCCACCTACTTGGGAGGCTGAGGCAGGAGAATCGCTTCAACCCGCGAGGTGGAGGTTGCAGTGAGCCGAGATTGCCCTATTGCACTCCAGCCCTGCAACAGGAGTGAAACTCCACCTCAAAAAACAAACAAACAAAAAAAGACAGGTTAATGCCAGCAAAACATGGTTTTCTAATACCTAGAGCATTGTGCCCTAGTGCATTATAGCTCATAGATTTACAGAACATCAAGAGAAAATAAAAGATAATCTAGACCAATCCTTGCATTTACTAATGTAAGATAAAAAACTTTTAAGGAGTTTCAGTGACTTGTCCAAGGTTGTTCATTTTAATAATAGCAAAAACAAAAGTGCTATGCTATCTCTGCAATTTCAGGGATTTGTGGCCTTAGGAAAAAATGGCATTTAATATCTTTAACTCTCAGTTCTTTTGTTATAAGTCAAAGATCACAATGTCTGCACTACATAACTTAAAGGCTTATGAAAAGCATGAGGCAATGTGCATCAGGGTGCTTTGAAAATTGCAATGAAATCTTGTGGTAGACCAAGATCTGGAGAAGTATTGCTTTCTGTGAAAATGTTGAGGTTTAGTATTTCAGAAGAGTTACATCTAAAATATGGCCTGTATCCCCTCACATGTATGTTTCATGAATAGTTCTATATCAGGACATAAATTAGGTTCTGTTAGAAGAATAGGGAATGAGATAATGAGAGGTCTAGGAAGTACAGTCTAAAAAATAACGTTAGAGATCTGTTTTTGATTATTCATTCTTCAAAGACTTTACAACATTCCACTAGAATAGTCAACTAATGGGCTACTCTAGTTAATTGTGTTTTGTTTAACAAAAAGTTAGTTCAACATAATTCAACATTTTCTTGACAGTTATGAATCTTGGAGAGTATGATACTTGTAAATGTCAGTTCTTGTTGGAGATTAGCTGAACTAAAGAGACTGTGTTAATTCTATGTGACCATGAGCTTCCTTTTTAAAAATAAGCCATATGGTTTTTGAATTATTATTTTTATGTTTCTCCAAAAGTATCATACTGAGTGTTCTAAGTCATTTGGATTCTGGTTAAGGTTTTTAGTTGAGAAATTTACTCTATTCATGACTCGCTATTAATTTTACTGCTTATATCTAAATAATAGATATTATTATTTATCCCAACAATTTACCCCTCAATATTTGAAATTAAATAGTTAACCAATATGCTCAATATCTTATATACTTTTCTTTTAAAATGTTTTTCTTAAAAAAAACAAAACCAAAACCTGAAGTGAATAGAAAAAATGAATAATGTACAATGCAGTGTTAATGTCAACAGTAATTATAGAGTGGTGGATTATAGATGCCTTTTTTTTTTTTTGCTAATCCAGATTATCTAAATTTCCATGGTACTATGTACATCTTTTTTAGTAAGATAAAAATATATTATTTTTATTTAAAAATTAAAACATATGGTTGGAGATAAAGATAAGAAGGAGGAAAAAAATGTGTCCAATGTGTAATCTACCCTAGTAGTAATAGCCACATAACAGTAGCTTATCTACAGAGCTATATGTAGACACCATTTGTGTCTGGCTTGTGACACTTATGACAGAGCACAGAAAAGGTAGTAATAATAACAGGTGGTTGTGGTAGTGGGGTGGTCATATTAGTGATAAACATGTCCTGAGTGCTTGCTGTAGGCACCAAGCTACACACTTGACTTATATTATCTCATTAAACCTCAAAGCAACCGTCTGGTATAGGTATCATTTCCTCTGTTTTATAGATGAGGTGATAACTTTTCTAAGGTCAGAAACTGGTGCCTGAACTAAAATGAAAACCTCACTGGTTTCAAAGCCACTAATTTAAGGATCAACTTATGCTATCCCCAAAATAATAATAATAGACATTGTGGGGGGTGGGAGGGGGGCGGTTAGCCCTTCCTGTATGTAGAAATTGTGCTAGATACTTAAGAAAATTACTGCATTTAGGTCCGGGTGTGGTGGCTCATACTTGTAATCCCAGCCAGCACGTTGGGAGGCCAAGGCGGGCAGATCACCTGAGGTCAGGAGTTTGAGACCAGCCTGACCAACATGGGGAAACCCTGTCTCTACTAAAAAAATACAAAAATTAGCCAGGCATGGTGGTGGGTGCCTGTAATCCCAGATATTCAGGAGGCTGAAGCAGGACAATTGCTTCAACCTGGGAGGCAGAGGTTGCTGTGAGCCGAGATCGTGCCACTGCACTCCAGCCGGGGCAACACAGCAAGACTCCATCTAAAAAAAAAAAAGACAATTACTGCATTTAAACATTACAAACCTCCCTATGGAAGATCTATTACTTTAGTTCAGGAACTGAGGTTCAAAGAAGATGGAAAAACTGCTTATGGTTCGTAAGGCTGAGGTCTATCTTACTCTAAACTCTAGTGCCTTAATGAGTATGCTTGGAAGATTATTAAAATAGACAAAGTAAAAAGATTTCCATGCTTTGCTAATGGGATTGGTTTTAGAAAGTAAAGATTAAATTGGGAATAACTGTACTACTATTGAAAAGGTGATTCCAGAAAAGTCTAACCCCTTCTGTATTGGAAACACAACTGTCACATTATTAAGGAAACACATCTGTGTTTAATGCAATGTGGAATGAGTAGAATCTGGAAATGAAAATTGAAAGAGTGGATTACATAGAACTTTAACAAAGTTCTTTACAAGGAGAATTTAAAATATGTACTATGCATTCTTATCAACTATCCATTTTAATATTGCTAGGAGAATAGTACTCTATTAGAATATTCTAATCTTCTTATCACAAAAATGTTAAGTATTTGAGGCCATGATATGCGAGTTTAATCATTCCACATTGAATTTAAAAACCATAACATCACTTTATACCTCATAAATATATACAAGAGTAATCTGTCAATACATTAAAAAAATTGCTGGTTTTCTCCTAATAAAATTTTCTTCTTCTGGTATCTTGCCCTGGAAATCAGTTCGACAATTTCCAGAATGCTCTATCAAAAACTATTTCCTACTTACATCCTTTCTCTGGCAAGAATTTTATCCTGTCTCTTTAGTGACAGGGTAAAATTCAAGTTCCTTTGCACAGTGAACAAGCTCTAATGAACCGGCCCGTCTGCCTTTTCAGCCTCATCTCCCACAGTGTACACTTAAGTACATTATTGTCTTTCTTATATCTTTGCTGTAGTTGACACTGCTGCTCTACCTGGAATGCCATTCCTGAACCTACCCTTCCTTCTCTTTTCTGACTCCTTCCCTTCCTTCAGACTAAACTCAGGTGCCTATCTAATCTCAGAATCTGGTATCCCAGTCCTACGTTCTCATAAAGCCCTACCTATGCCATTGTATACATAGAAGGTTGCCTGAATTTATCAGGAAGGACAGGCTTCATGAAATTAGTATTGTTAACAGTTTGATGAATTGAGAAATGAAGAAGGAAAATAGAGTAATGAAAACCACCTATTTAGTGACGTGGTCATGACCATGTTGCATGATTTTGGAAACACCCTGTCATCTCCAGCTATAAGGCTAGGTTCCCAGCATTGGTCCTCTCAGGGCTACAGAGTGTAAATTGCAAGAGCGTGGCTAAGGCCCGGCATCCAGACCCAGCTCATCACTCACAGCTACACAGATTTTGGCAAACAGCTTTGAGGCTGTTATTTTTTAAATATCATCTCATCTTATCCACCGACCTAAGCACTCTCATCTTATCCACCTACCTAAGCACTCTCATCTTATCCACCTACCTATACACTGAGCAAGGCACACCTCTTTACATTTTGTGCCCACTTGAGATTTCAGTTCCATATTTTGAGTACTTTTTGTATTATATGTTAATAATTATTTGGACTAAACTCTGCATTATGCTAATCTCCTTACCACAATTTTGATTTGATTGGTTGGCTTTATACATTAATATCAGTTTGTATGTCTGTGTGTATTCCATTTTTATAGCCGCAAATTTTTCTTTCTAGAATCCATTATTTTTCTATTTTCTGGAGTACATCTCCCAGCAGTTTTTTTTAGAGAGGGTTTAGAATGAAGTTTTACATTGTGTTGGCAACTTTGAACTAATGTATATTTCACACAGCCTGGATAGTTGTATTTCAGTCATATCCAGGACCAAATTTCTCATTTTGGTAATTACTGATTACTTAAAAGATCTAGAGAGGAGAATGTTTTAAAAATATGGATCTAATTTAATTTTGTTTGCTATTAAGCAAATAGTTGAAGCAGTGGGAAGGTTTTACTGATGAATTCACTGGGGAAAGAGCATTGTTCAAAGGAGTGGGACATTGGCTTCATCACAAAGAATGATTTCTGTTGCTTTGATAAAAATTTTCCATTCACACAGCCAATAATTTAAAGCTATTTCTGATTATCCCCTGTGATAACTAGAATGCTCCAGTGCCACAATTTGTCACCTGTTGTCCCCCACCCCATTAAAGCAAAGCCACAAGTATATGAATTGTGTTGGAATACTCTCCTACTCATGAGTTACCTAATTGTATCTGTCCATCTGGCCCCTCTGACCTTGTCACTTTAAATCACTGGGGCCACTTTGACCACATTATCCATGCCAGCTGCAAATTTTGTTAGGCTGAGTTGCATGAATTCCTTTAACAGAGTGTAGAATCAGAATTTTTCTCTCCATAAAACAATGTTGCTACATGAAGTTACCTCCCACAGTAACTTTGAAATCCAACAGTTGGTGAATACATTTGTTTCTTTTTGAAATGCAGAATTTCTTCTATTGAAGCCATGTTTTTAACCGTATGTATTGAGGGAATACTGTGCATAGTGATGTTCAAGTCACTTCTGATCAGATGTACTCTGCATCACAGTTCATTCTAAGTACATAAGAAACATCAGCTTTTGTATGGGTGTGTACTTTTTAGTAATTTGTGTGATAAACTGATGACATATTTTTGTGTTTATAATGCCTAAAACTATAAAAGGAATCATATTCAGGTATAAGTTTTATCTGTCATATCTACAATGAATGAAGTCTTCCATCTAAAATTACACAATAGTTTCAGTTATCTAACAGAGAGTAATTTGTTTAGGAATCTTTATTATATTGGCTGTAAAGAAGTACCCTTGAAGAAAGAAATAATTTGACTTTGTTTTCCATTGCTATGTTGTTTGTGAACAAAAGAGTTGGACTTTTATTTTTATTTTACCATCATGGCATATTAAGTATGTCACCTAATAGATGTACCTAGTCTAGTTAATGCATTAATGCTCAAAGGCATATACAACTGATCAGAACATTTTAAATAAATAATAATATTATTCAAAAAATAATTGCAATGCCAAAAAGGATTATGCATTAAATTATTTGAGTTATTTTGTTAAATAAGATTTAACTTACATGGTACAATACATTATCTATGCATATAGCAATTGGAGTTTTTTTTCTTTTTCATTTAATTATAATTCATGATCCTGCTATATCAGATTTCCATAAATATTTGTTGGCTAATAATGGTGTCCAAAAAGATCATGTGCCTTTTAATAAAATTTAAGGTGGCCTTTCAAGGACTGCAGTTAGGAAGGCGTGTTTACTGAATATTAGAATATTTTTAAAAGCCTGATTTAGACCTTTCACCAGCTAGTAGGATTTGTTGGAATAGTTATTTCCTTTAAATTCTCTTCTGTATATTTCCATCACAAATTATTTTAATGAGTTTCTATACAGTTTAAGCAGGATATACTACAATTTTTTTTTTGTAATTCCCTTTAATCTGGCATTCTAAATCTTAGGCACCTTTAATGGAAAAAAAATAATTTTGTAAGGAAAGGATTCTTTAGTTTCTTCTAAAAAAAAAAGAAAACAGGACACATGTGTAAAACGTGCAGGTTTGTTACATAGGTATACGTGTGCCATGGTGGTTTGCTGCACCTAGTGACCTCTCCTCTAAGTTCCTTCCCATCACTCCCCACCCTGCAACAGGCCCTGATGTGTGTTGTTCCCCTGTCTGTGACCATGTGTCCTTATTGTTCAAGTCCCACTTAGAGAACATGCGGTGTTTGGTTTTCTGTTTCTGTGTTAGTTTGCTGAGGATGATGGCTTCCAGCTTCATCCACGTTCCTGCAAAGGACATGATCTCATCCCTTTTTATGGCTGCATAGTATTCCATACTGTATATGTACCACATTTTGTTTACCCAGTCTATCATTGATGTACATTTGGGTTGGTTCTATATCTTTGCTATTGTAAATAGTGCTGTAATAAACATACGTGTGCATGTGTCTTTAGAGTAGAATGATTTATATCCCTTTGAGTAAATACTCAGTAACAGATTGCTGGGTCAAATGGTATTTCTGGTTCTAGATCCTTGAGGAATCGCCATACTGTCTACTATGATGGTTGAACTAATTTACATTCCCACCAACAGTGTAAAAGCATTCCTATTTCTCCACAGCCTTGCCAATATCTATTGTTTCCTGACTTTTTAATAATCGCCATTCTGAGTGTCATGAGATGGTATCTCATTGTGGTTTTCATTTGCATTTCTCTGATGAGCAGTGATGTTGAGCTTTTTTTCATATGTTTTTTGGCCGCATAAATGTCTCCTTTTGAGAAGTGTCTGTTCATATCAGAAAGGATTCTTATTGGGGCTACTCGTGCATATTAAATCATGGAAAAAGAATCTCTTGATGTTTGCTTACTGATCTCACGTACTCACAAATGCATTTGAAATGCAATATTTGGTGATTCCCACACTTTCATTTTAGAGATGAAGCTCTGTCCACCTGGGCACCAGTAGCAGAGTACTTCTGATCCACAGTGATCATTACATCATAAATCTGCCATTGATCAAAAGCCAGATGCAAATCTTATAATTATTCTGAACTGATTTTATTAGCTTTTATTCCATTTGATCTCAGGATATTATTAAATTCATGTGCTTCCAAGAATTATAAATTATTACAGAATAACCAAATCTTACAGCTTACGATTTCCAAAATTCATTTCACATCGCTTATTTGCTTCTTAGAATAATGCTGCAAAATCATGATGGGCATTGAGCATTCTCATTTTGCAGATGACTAGACTGAGACTCAGTATCCCTTATTAATTAGCAGCAGAATGTGGATTTTTCTAGCCTTGTTCCACTTCTCTCTCTACTGTAATATATGATTTTCTAAAAGTGATTGTGAAAAATCTGTGAAATAAAATTTGAACGATGTCAGAAGAGGGGAGTTGATAGCAGCTGCTAGGTGCACCTAAATCTGTTACTTAACTTGTTTATGATTCCAGTGGAAAGTGGAGCCATAATGTAGTCTAGAAAGATTCATTAAGCATTCTGGTCAGTGTACTTTAATAGAAAACCTATTCACACTCAGATAAGTGTTAACAGGGATAAGAAAGATGGACTGAAATGCTATAAAATGATTTTATTTCATTAAGAAACATCTTTTTATTATTAATAAACTACATTTCTTATTCCAAGCTCACACTTTCTGATAGTGCCTTTATGACATTTCAAAGTATTTTATATCAAACCACTGATAAAATGAGAGTTTTTACTTTGTATTTATGTCTCCCTAGCCATATTAAGAGCAAAATGGATATATAGACATATATATTATGTATATATAGTACATGTATATTGAATATCAGTGTCTCCAAAATACAACTCAAAGCTCTCCACTTTTCACGGTCTCCTCTGTAACCACCATAACTAATGCCACCATCTATCGCTTGAATCACTGAAATTGCCTCTCCAAAATGATCTCATATCTCTCTCCCTCTTCATATGAACATTTTATCTCTTCTTCTATTTCTTGAACGTGTTCCTCCCATTTCTGGCTCAGAGTATTTCACTTGTTGTTCTTTGTCCTTGAAATGCAGCTTTCTCATACCATGTTCAGCCACTTCTTGTCTCTCAGAGCATCATTAATCTAATAACAGTATCACCTTCTCAGAGAGGATTATCTTGGCAGTGTCTGAGGTAGAATTTCTCCCAACCCCATCACCCTCATAGAAGTTATCTGAATTGATCCTTCCCATCCAATAATGGTCACTTCATTGTCTGCCTCTCTTCACTGTAGCACAATCTCCATTTGTATGTCTTGTTCCACAGTGCCCTTTTGATTGGTTGGAGAGGCTTAGATTGGAAGGGAATTATAGGTTGGTACAAAAGTACTGGTGATCTTGTGATTTTTGCCATTGCTTTAATTGCAAAACCACAATTACTTTTGCACCAACCTAATATCTATCTCTAAAAGCTTGATAAAGTTTGTCTATAAAATTGTCTAGGCCTGGTTCTTTCATTGAAAGGCTTTGTTTTTGTTTTGTTTTTAGACAACAGCTTCCACTTTTTTAATTTTGGTTTTTGGATTCTTAAACTATTTTTGTCAACATAGATGAACTATTTATGTCAACATAGATTAAATGCCTGGAAAAATCAGGCATTTAATAAGATTTAAACTTCCATGCCACAGAAATTTTTATTCTTTTATGAATTTTAATATTTTTCCTGTCTTTTTTTACATGTGCTTTCTCATTCTAAATGTTGCAAGTGCATTCTCTGAAAGGCCACATGTATATTCATACAAGTTTGAGTTCTGGAGTTAAGCAAATATGAGTTCAAAATCTGCTTCAGGCACAGAGTACTTGGATGAACTTAAGCAAGTTAAATTACTCTAAGACTCAGTTTTATCATTTGTGAAATTATTGTGAGGATTAATGATGTAGTACATATGAAGTGCTTAGTCCAGTATCTGACACACAGTAAATACTTCATGATAGTTCTTGTATTGTTGTTATTCTTACTGGTAGACATAATATTTCTGATGATCTTTTTTTATAATTAGACCATATGGTTGTTTGTTATTATTATCATGCATACTTCAAACATGTCTAGATGAAACATCTTTTAACCAAACACATTTTGGGAAACATCATTCTAGGACATGTTTTGTAGCCAGTGAGTATCAAAAGCCTTGGTAGATCCACAGCAAAGAATTAAAAAAAAAAAAAAATGGAGGGTGGAGCCAAGATGGCCGAATAGGAACAGCTCCAGTCTACAGCTCCCAACGTGAGTGACGAAGAAGACAGGTGATTTCTGCATTTCCAACTGAGGTACCAGGCTCATCTCACTGGAGAGTGTCAGAAAGTGGGTGCAGGGTGCAGGACAGTGGGTGCAGCGCACTGAGCATGAGCCGAAGCAGGGCAAGGCATTGCCTCACCTGGGAAGTGCAAGGGGTCAGGGAATTCCCTTTCCTAGTCAAAGAAATGAGTGACAGACAACACCTGGAAAATCAGGTCACTCCCACACTAATACTGTGCTTTTCCAACGGTCTTAGCAAACGGCACAACAGGAGATTATATCCCACGCATGGCTCAGAGGGTCCTATGCCCATGGAGCCTTGCTCTTTGCTAGCACAGCAGTCTGAGATCAAACTGCAAGGTGGCAGCGATGCTGGGGGAGGGGCACCTGCCATTGCACCGAGGCTTGAGTAGGTAAACAAAGCAGCCCAGAGCTCTAACTGGGGGGAGCCCACCATAACTCAAGGAGGCCTGCCTGCCTCTGTAGACTCCACCTCTGGGGGCAGGGCATAGCCAAACAAAAGGCAGCAGAAACCTCTGCAGACTTAAATGTCCCTGTCTGACAGGTTTGAAGAGAGTAGTGGTTCTCCCAGCACGCAGCTGGGGATCTGAGAACGGACAGACGGCCTCCTCAAGTGGGTCCCTGACCCCCAAGTAGCCTAACTGGGAGGCATCCCCCAGTAGGGGCAGACTGACACGTCACATGGCTGGGTACTCCTCTGAGACAAAACTTCCAGAGGAACAAAAAGGCAGCAACATTGGCTGTTCACCAATATCTGCTGTTCTGCAGCCTCCACTGCTGATACCCAGGCAAACAGGGTCTGGAGTGGACCTCCAGCAAACTCCAACAGACCTGCAGCTGAAGGTCTTGACTGTTAGAAGGAAAACTAACAAACAGAAAGGACATCCACACCAAAACCCCATCTGTACATCACCATCATCAAACACCACAGGTAGATCAGGTAGATAAAACCACAAAGATGGGGAAAAAACAGAGCAGAAAAACTGGAAACTCTAAAAATCAGAGCACCTCTCCTCCTCCAAAGCAACGCAGCTCCTCACCAGCAATGGAACAAAGCTGGATAGAGAATGACTTTGATGAGTTTAGAGAAGAAGGCTTCAGATGATGAAACAACTCTGAGCTAAAGGAGGAAGTTCGAACCCATGGCAAGGAAGTTAAAAACCTTGAAAAAAAATTAGACGAATGGCTAACTAGAATAACCAATGCAGAGAAGTCCTTAAAGGACCGATGGAGCTGAAAACCAAGGCACGGGAACTACGTGACAAATGCACAAGCCTCAGTAGCCAACTCGATCAACTGGAAGAAAGGGTATCAGTGATGGAAGATCAAATGAATGAAATGAAGCGAGAAGAAAAGTTTAGAGAAAAAAGAAAAAAAGAAATGAACAAAGCCTCCAAGAAATATGGGACTATGTGAAAAGACCAAATCTACGTCTGATTGGTACCTGAAAGTGACGGAGAGAATGGAACCAAGTTGGAAAACACTCTGCAGGATATAATCCAGGAGAACTTCCCCAATCTAGCAAGGCAGGCCAACATTCAAATTCAGGAAACACAGAGAATGCCACAAAGATACTCCTCGAGAAGAGCAACTCCAAGACACATAATTGTCAGATTCACCAAAGTTGAAATGAAGGCAAAAATGTTAAGGGCAGCCAGAGAGAAAGGTTGGGTTACCCACGAAGAGAAGACCATCAGACTAACAGCTGATCTCTTGGCAGAAACTCTACAAGCCAAAAGAGAGTGGGGGCCAATATTCAACATTCTTAAAGAAAAGAATTTTGAACCCAGAATTTCATATCCAGCCAAACTAAGCTTCATAAGTGAAGGAGAAATAAAATCCTTTACAGACAAGCAAATGCTGAGAGATTTTGTCACCACCAGGCCTGCCCTAAAAGAGCTCCTGAAGGAAGCACTAAACATGGAAAGGAACAATCGGTACCAGCCACTGCAAAAACATGCCAAATTGTAAAGACCATCGAGGCTAGGAAGTAACTGCATCAACTAACAAGCAAAATAACCAGCTAACGTCATAATGGCAGGATCAAATTCACATATAAAAACATTAACCTTAAATGTAAATGGGCTAAATGCTCCAAATAAAAGACACAGACTGGCAAATTGGATAAAGAGTCAAGACCCATCAGTGTGCTGTATTCAGGAAACCCATCTCACATACAGAGACACACATAGGCTCAAAATAAAGGGATGGAGGAAGATCTACCAAGCAAATGGAAAACAAAAAAAGGCAGGGGTTGCAATCCTAGTCTCTGATAAAACAGACTTTAAACCAACAAAGATCAAAAGAGACAAAGAAGGCCATTACATAATGGTAAAAGGATCAATTCAACAAGAAGAGCTAACTCTTCTAAATATATATGCACCCAATACAGGAGCACCCAGATGCATAAAGCAAGTCCTTAGAGACCTACAAAGAGACTTAGACTCCCATACAATAATAATGGGAGACTTTAAAACCCCACTGTCAACATTAGACAGATCAATGAGACAGAAAGTTAACAAGGATATCCAGGAATTGAATTCAGCTCTGCACTAAGCAGACCTAATAGACATCTAAAGAACTCTCCACCCCAAATCAACAGAATATACATTTTTTTCAGCACCACACCACACCTATTCCAAAATTGACCACATAGGTGGAAGTAAAGCACTCCTCAGCAAATGTAAAAGAATAGAAATTATAACAAACTGTCTCTCAGACCACAGTGCAATCAAACTAGGACTCAGGATTAAGAAACTCACTCAAAACCGCTCAACTACATGGAAACTGAACAACCTGCTCCTGAATGACTACTGGGTACATAATGAAATGAAGGCAGAAGTAAATATGTTCTTTGAAACCAACGAGAACAAAGACACAACATACCAGAATCTCTAGGACACATTCAAAGCAGTGTGTAGAGGGAAATTTATAGCACTAAATGCCCACAAGAGAAAGCAGAAAAGATCTAAAATTGACACCCTAACATCACAATTAAAAGAACTAGAGAAGCAAGAGCAAACATATTCAAAAGCTAGCAGAAGGCAAGAAATAACTAAGATCAGAGCAGAACTGAAGGAGATAGAGACACAAAAAACCCTTCAAAAAATCAATGAATCCAGGAGCTGGTTTTTTGAAAATATCAAAATTGATAGACTGCTAGCAAGACCAATAAAGAAGAAAGGAGAGAAGAATCAAATAGACGCAATAAAAAATGATAAAGGTGATATCACCGGCAATCCCACAGAAATTCAAACTACCATCAGAGAATACTATAAACACTTCTACGCAAATAAACTAGAAAATCTAGAAGAAATGGATAAACTCCTCGACAAATACACTCTCCCAAGACTAAACCAGGAAGAATTTGAATCTCTGAATAGACCAAAAACAGGCTCTGAAATTGAGGCAATAATTAATAGCTTACCAACCAACAAAAGTCCAGGACCAGATGGATTCACAGCTGAGTTCTACCAGAGGTACTAGGAGGAGCTGGTACCATTCCTTCTGAAACTATTCCAATCAATAGAAAAAGAGGGAATCCTCCCTAACTCATTTTATGAGGCCAGCATCATCCTGATACCAAAGCCTGGCAGAGACACAACAAAAAAAGAGAATTTTAGACCAATACCCCTGATGAACATTGATGCAAAAATCCTCAATAAAATACTGGCAAACCGAATCCAGCAGCACATCAAAAAGCTTATCCAACATGATCAAGTGGGCTTCATCCCTGGGATGCAAGGCTGGTTCAACATATGCAAAGCAATAAACGTAATCCAGCATATAAACAGAACCAACGACAAAAACCACATGATTATCTCAATAGATGCAGAAAAGGCCTTTGACAAAATTTAACAACTCTTCATGCTAAACACTCTCAATAAAATAGGTACTGATGGGACGTACCTCAAAATAATAAGAGCTATCTATGACAAACCCACAGCCAATATCATACTGAATGGGCAAAAACTGGAAGCATTCTCTTTGAAAACTGGCACAAGACAGGGATGCCCTCTCTCACCACTCCTATTCAACATAGTGTTGGAAGTTCTGGCCAGGGCAATTAGGCAGGAGAAGGAAATAAAGGGTATTCAATTAGGAAAAGAGGAAGTCAAATTGTCCCTGTTTGCAGATGACATGATTGTATATCTAGAAAACCCCATTGTCTCAGCCCAAAATCTCCTTAAGCTGATAGGCAACTTCAGCAAAGTCTCAGGATACAAAATCAATGTACAAAAGTCACAAGCATTCTTATACACCAATAACAGACAAACAGCCGAATCATGAGTGAACTCCCATTCACAATTGCTTCAAAGAGAATAAAATACCTAGGAATCCAACTTATAAGGGATGTGAAGGACCTCTTGAAGGAGAACTACAAACCACTGCTCAGTGAAATAAAAGAGGATACAAAGAAATGGAAAAACATTCCATGCTCATGGGTAGGAAGAATCAATATTGTGAAAATGGCCATACTGCCCAAAGTAATTTATAGATTCAGTGCCATCCCCATCAAGCTACCAATGACTTTCTTCACAGAATTGGAAAAAACTAAAGTTCATATGGAACCAAAAAAGAGCCCACATTGCCAAGTCAATTCTAAGTCAAAAGAACAAAGCTGGAGGCATCACGCTACCTGACTTCAAACTTATACTACAAGGTTACAGTAACCAAAACAGCGTGGTGCTGGTACCAAAACAGAGATATAGACCAATGGAACAGAACAGAGCTCTCAGAAATAATGCCGCATATCTACAACCATCTGATCTTTGACAACCCTGACAAAAACAAGCAATGGGGAAAGGATTCCCTATTTAATATATGATGCTGGGAACACTGGCTAGCCATATGTAGAAAGCTGAAACTGGATCTCTTCCTTAACACCTTATACAAAAATTAATTCAAGATGGATTAAAGACTTACATGTTAGACCTAAAACCATAAAAACCCTAGAAGAAAACCTAGGCATTACCATTCAGGACATAGGCATGGGAAAGGACTTCATGTGTAAAACACCAAAAGCAATGGCAACAAAAGCCAAAATTGACAAATGGGATCTAATTAAACTAAAGAGCTTCTGCATAGCAAAAGAAACTACCATCAGAGTGAACAGGCAACCTACAGAATGGGAGAAAATTTTTGCAATCTACTCATCTGACAAAGGGCTAATATTCAGAATCTACAATGAACTCAAACAAATTTACAAGAAATAACCCCATCAACAAGTCGGCGAAGGATATGAACAGACACTTCTCAAAAGAAGACATTTATGTAGCCAAAAGATACATGAAAAAATGCTCATCATCACTGGCCATCAGAGAAATGCAAATCAAAACCACAATGAGATACCACCTCACTCCAGTTAGAATGGCAATCATTAAGAAGTCAGGAAACAACAGGTGCTGGAGAGGATGTGGAGAAATAGGAACACTTTTACACTGTTGGTGGTACTTTAAACTAGTTCAACCATTGTGGAAGTCAGTGTGGCAATTCCTCAGGGGTCTAGAACTAGAAATACCATTTGACCCAGCCATCCGATTACTGGGTATATACCCAAAGGATTATGAGTCATGCTGCTATAAAGACACATGCACACGTGTGTTTATTGTGGCACTATTCACAATAGCAAAGACTTGGAACCAACCCAAATGTACAACAATGATAGACTGGATTAAGCAAATGTGACACATATGCACCATGGAATACTATGCAGCCATAAAAAATGATGAGTTCATGTCCTTTTTAGGGACATGGATAAAACTGGAAACCCTCATTCTCAGCAAACTATTGCAAGGACAAAAAAACCAAACACCGCATGTTCTCACTCATAGGTGGGAATTGAACAATGAGAACACATGGACACAGGAAGGGGAACATCACACTCTGGGGACTGTTGTGGGGTGAGGGGTGGGAGGAGGGATAGCATTAGGAGATTTACCTAATTTTAAATGACGAATTAATGGGTGCAGCACACCAACATGACACATGTATACATATGTAACTAACCTGCACATTGTACACATGTACCCTTAAAGCATAATAATAAAAAAAAATTAAAAAAAATTAAAAGCAAAAAAAAATGCCAACAGCAAGAAAGATAAGGAATTGATGATTAGAGGTAGCATTATTCTGGTTGCAAATCTTATACTGATTTTATCAGTTTCACTCAATGAAAAATTATGCAAGTAAATATGGTAGTTTTAATGTCTCAAATTATTTAATAAAATCTAAGATACAGAACATTTGTTAGTTTGACTGCAGAGCTTCTGTGAACAGATCAACAGTATCCATATTTAATGAAAGGAAAAAACTTCCATGTAAAAAATACTACATATATATATATATATATATATATATGCAGATTTCAAGTAAAATCTCTTAGAGAAGTGTCTAGAGAACTCTGCAATAAACTCCCCTATTGATTCTCCCTTTTTCCAGATAACTCTTTTATAAATCTGTGTTTTTAGAGTAGAAGAAGTCTAGATGTTGAAAGTGATCAAAAATAAAGGAAGGTAAGAAGCCATATCTAAACTTATTTTCCTCAGAGTTTAAAAAGAAAGAGAAAGCTATTAAGCAACACTCTCCCAAGAATGAACCTAGGATACATAATCTAATCTACCTATAGAGTAGGTATTAATTCACCTTTACTCGTGATCCTGTGATCATCCCTGAGGTCCCAACCAGCAGTGCCCAAGTGCAGCACAGCCTGGTCACTGAAGTAGAAAAGAAGAGATTGGTAACTAGAAGAACAGCACCCATGGTTCATACGGCACTCCTTGTTTGAGATCTGCTCCTTTGTCTTTCATCTGGATCCATCTCTTACTTGGCCGAGCTGGATGCCTAATGCAGAAGGAGTCCTCAGAAAAGTTACTCACTCATTCAGTATTTATATACTGAACATCAGCTCTGTGCCAGAGACTGATTTAGGTGATGGGAATATTGCAGTAAGCAAAGCAAAGTGCTTCCTGGGCCTTACATTCCAGGGGAGGGAGCCAGAGAAAAAGCAAATACATATAAATTATGTCAAATAATAAGTGCTACAAAGGAAACTAAGTTACAGTAGGGAGAGGGAATGTTATGAAGCTGTGTCATTAGATAGAATAATCAGTTATGACATTTGGATTAACCTGTGTTCTCACATATTCATATGTCGAAGCCCTAATCCCCAATACTATAGAATGTGATCATATTTAGAAACAAAGCCTTTGAAGAACAGATTAAGTTAAAATGGATCCTTTAGGATGTGCCCTAATCCAATCTTTCTGATGTCCTTATTAGACGGGGAAATTTGTACACAGAAAGAAACACTAAGGGTGCATGTACAGAGAGGGAAAGCCACGTGAAGGGGCAACAGAAGGGCCGTCATCTGCAAGTCAAGGAGAGAGGGCTCAGAGGAAATAAACCCTGCCAGCATCTTGGTCTTGGGCTTCCAGTCTCTAGAACTGTGAGAAAATAAGTATCTGTTGTTTAAGCTACCCAGGTTGTGATATTTTGCTATAGTGGTCCTAGCAAATGAACACAGTTAGGATGGACCTCTCTGTTGGGGTGGCAGAGTTGACATTTGAACACTAGCCAAGATGAAGTAAAGGAGTGGATTGTGAATATTTGATGAAGAGAATATCAGGAAGAAGGGGAAGCAAGTGCAGAAGTCTTGAGAATGTTTCATGCTTGGGATAAATATTTGGTGAATACGAGAGTGGCTGATTGGATGGGTAAAAGTGGGTACTCAATACTTACCTGTTTAATTGGGAAGTATAGAGATGTACTGAGTGCCTATCAGCTCCCCACAACTCCTGGACATTCCCTCTTGTCAGAGCTCTGGCTGGACACAGACATGTCACTGTCTTATAGGGAGGCTTCTCGGGGCTATCTTATCACCCACTAAAGAGAGGAAAGGGGGCAAGTACTACAATACAGGTGGTCCCCAACTTGCAACAATTCAGCTTATGATTTTTCAAATTTAAGATAGTATGAAAGTGATACCCATGCAATAGAAAATGTACTTTGAATTTTGATCTTTTCCCAGGCTAGTGCTGTTTTAGAATACTCTCTCACCATGATGCTGAGCATGGACAGTGAACCACAGCTCCCAATCACACAGTCACCAGGGTAAAAAACAGATATGCCAAAGTGGACTCTGTTGCCAGATATTTTACTAAACTGTAGGCTAATGTAAGTGATCTGAGCACATTTAAGGTAGGCTAAGCTATGGCATTTTGCAGGTTAGGTAGACTAAATGCATTTCCACGTTTAGAATGCCAAGGAAATGAACAAAAGTATCATCACTTAAGTTTAGATTAAGTGATGTAATATTACTGAATGTCACTTTACTTTGTAAAGCAGTATGTCCAAACTCTAGTTAAATGGATATATCTTTTATTTGGCTTTCTTTAATTCTGGCACAACTTTTTTTAAAGGCATTTAACAGAGAGGTTCAGGGACAGTTTTAGGAGAGAACATATAATTACATGCCATTCAAACTGTTTACAAACATGAATGTTACAGAGCTAGCAAAACTGTACTTACATTCTCAGTGAAGCTTGATATGCTGGTTTTCATCAGGTAGTTCCATTATTAAAAGTTATTTTTTACAGCGAAGAAATGAAGTTTCCAAAAGAAGCTTGTGTTTTGAATTTGTAATGACTACCTGCCCATCATATTGTTTTCTGATAATAAATTACTGAAACTACTTCTCCCTTTTAAAATGACTACTGAAGTACAGTTGTTTTAGATTAAATATACCAGTGTAGGTTTGGTTTGAGGGAGATTTTCTGGTAATTCTGCATTTTTTACAAGTGCCTGTGAATTATATGTAAAGAAGACTTTTATAGTAATAATGATACGGCTCATTTTTCATATTTGCATGCTTATTTTAGCACCATGAATTGGATTCCTTAACATTCAGATGAAATCTCACTTTGTTTTTGATAATCATAGAATTCTACAGTTGGAGGTGACTTAGACCATTTCAGTTCCTCACAGGCAGTCCATCTTTTTTATAAATGAAGAGACCTCAAGTCAAATAAAGAGAAACCAGGACTTTTTCAGGACCATAGAGCAAGTGGCAAAACCAGGGGTAGGCTTGGAATCTTGACCCCTCGTGTTCTTTCTTCCTATTAAAACACAAACAAAAACAAAAGTCTACCTAAAAAAGATATTTGAGAAAATATAATCATGCTTTAAATTTATTTTAAATTGAGTTTTATTTTGTAGATCTAAATACACATATCATAACATATCATAAAAAGTTGTTTTCTTTGAATAAACACAGGAACAGAAAACCAAATACCACATGTTCTCATTTATAAGTGGGAGCTAAACATTGGGTACACCTGGACATACAGATGGGAATAACAGACACTGGAGACTACTAGCAGGGAGAGAGGGAGGAGGGCAAGGGCTGAAAAACTATCTATTGGGTACTATGCTCAGTACATGGGTGACAGGATCATTTGTACTCCAAACCTCAGCACCAGGCAATATACACATGTAACAAACCTACACATGTACCACTGAATCTAAAATAAAAGTTGAAATTATTTTTAAAAAAACATTTTTAAATTTTTATTTTTATTATTCTGTTAAAGGTGACATGTCAACTTTATTCAAGTTGGAACTACACAGAAAGGGGGAGTCACATTTCTTCCTCAAGATTTTAAAGTGTAGAAGGACATAGATGTACAAGGACACAAAACACTACTGAAAATAATTGAATAACAGTCCTAGATACCATTAGGACATCTACATTTCTAGAATATTATTGGCTTAATTAAAATTGTCATGGGAAAGTTTCCCTCTAAGATAATTATTTGTTTTCAAATGTGATTTTATCTAAATTTCCCCAAGACTCCAAGTTTGCTTGGATCATTTTGATCTTAACATTAAATTATAGTAATATAAGGAAACAGGAAAAACATGGTACCAATATTTCTTCAGCTCCCTTAAATCGTGTGCAGTGTTCCCAGGCCACCGTTTAGAGCCTTTTAATAGCTTTGTATTTTTACCAGAATAGGATTTTTTGTTTTTGGGGAATTTTTGCTGGAAGAAATGTGACTCTATCGATGCCATGTATGTTACTGCTGGTCTTTTCTCATGTTCACTCCTGAATCTTGGCCTTGCCTACTGTGGCCAGGCACAGTGGCATGCACCTGCAGTCCCAGCTACTCAGGAGTCCAGGGCAGGAGGATTGCTTGAGCCCTGGAGTTCCGAGGTGTAGTGTGCCATGATCATGCCTGTGTATAGCCACTTTAACCCAACCTGAACAACTTAACAAAACCCAGCCTCTAAAAATAAATAAATGAATGAATACAAAGTTGCTTTCTGGAGAAATGTTTACGAAAGGTGGCAGAGTTGTTATTTGTGACCCCTGAAAAAGGCAGGCAGTTTATTTTTTTATTTTTTATTTATTTTATTTTATTATTATTATACTTTAAGTTTTAGGGTACATGTGCACAATGTGCAGGTTAGTTACATATGTATACATCTGCCATGCTGGTGTGCTGCACCCATTAACTCGTCATTTAGCATTAGGTATATCTCCTAATGCTATCCCTCCCCCCTCCCCCCACCCCACAACAGTCCCCAGAGTGTGATGTTCCCCTTCCTGTGTCCATGTGTTCTCATTGTTCAATTCCCACCTATGAGTGAGAACATGTGGTGTTTGGTTTTTTGTCCTTGCAATAGTTTACTGAGAATGATGATTTCCAGTTTCATCCATGTCCCTACAAAGGACATGAACTCATCATTTTTTATGGCTGCATAGTATTCCATGGTGTATATGTGCCACATTTTCTTAATCCAGTCTATCATTGTTGGACATTTGGGTTGGTTCCAAGTCTTTGCTATTGTGAATAGTGCTGCAATAAACATACGTGTGCATGTGTCTTTATAGCAGCATGATTTATAGTCTTTTATAGCAGCATGATTTATAGCAGCATGATTTATACAGTAATGGGATGGCTGGGTCAAATGGTATTTCTAGTTCTAGATCCCTGAGGAATCACCACACTGACTTCCACAATGGTTGAACTAGTTTACAGTCCCACCAACAGTGTAAAAGTGTTCCTGTTTCTCCACATCTTCTCTAGCACCTGTTGTTTCCTGACTTTTTAATGATCGCCATTCTAACTGGAGTGAGATGGTACCTCATTGTGGTTTTGATTGGCATTGCTCTGATGGCCAGTGATGGTGAGCATTTTTTTCATGTGTTTTTTGGCTGCATAAATGTCTTCTTTTGAGAAGTGTCTGTTCATGTCCTTTGCCCACTTTTTGATGGGGTTGTTTGTTTTTTTCTTGTAAATTCGTTTGAGTTCATTGTAGATTCTGGATATTAGCCCTTTGTCAGGTGAGTACGTTGCGAAAATTTTCTCCCATTCTGTAGGCTGCCTGTTCACTCTGATGGTAGTTTCTTTTGCTGTGCAGAAGCTCTTTAGTTGAATTAGATCCCATTTGTCAATTTTGGCTTTTGTTGCCATTGCTTTTGGTGTTTTACACATGAAGTCCTTTCCCATGCCTATGTCCTGAATGGTAATGCCTAGGTTTTCTTCTAGGGTTTTTATGGTTTTAGGTCTAACATGTAAGTCTTTAATCCATCTTGAATTAATTTTTGTATAAGGTGTAAGGAAGGGATCCAGTTTCAGCTTTCTACATATGGCTAGCCAGTTTTCCCAGCACCATTTATTAAATAGGGAATCCCTTCCCCATTGCTTGTTTTTCTCAGGTTTGTCAAAGATCAGATAGTTGTAGATATGCGGCATTATTTCTGAGGGCTCTGTTCTGTTCCATTGATCTATATCTCTGTTTTGGTGCCAGTACCATGCTATTTTGGTTACTGTAGCCTTGTAGTATAGTTTGAAGTCAGGTAGCCTGATGCCTCCAGCTTTGTTCTTTTGACTTAGGATTGACTTGGCGATGTGGGCTCTTTTTTGGTTCCATATGAACTTTAAAGTAGTTTTTTCCAATTCTGTGAAGAAAGTCTTTGGTAGCTTGATGGGGATGGCATTGAATCTATTAATTACCTTGGGCAATATGGCCATTTTCACAATATTGATTCTTCCTACCCATGAGCATGGAATGTTCTTCCATTTGTTTGTATCCTCTTTTATTTCCTTGAGCAGTGGTTTGTAGTTCTCCTTGAAGAGTTCCTTCACATCCCTTGTAAGTTGGATTCCTAGGTATTTTATTCTCTTTGAAGCAATTGTGAATGGGAATTCACTCATGATTCAGCTCTCTGTTTGTCTGTTATTGGTGTATAAGAATGCTTGTGATTTTTGCACATTGATTTTATATCTTGAGACTTTGCTGAAGTTGCTTGTCAGCTTAAGGAGATTTTGGGCTGAGACAATGGGGTTTTCTAGATATACAATCAAGTCATCTGCAAACAGGGACAATTTGACTTCCTCTTTTCCTAATTGAATACCCTTTATTTCCTTCTCCTGCCTAATTGCCCTGGCCAGAACTTCCAACACTATGTTGAATAGGAATGGTGAGAGAGGGCATCCCTGTCTTGTGCCAGTTTTCAAAGGGAATGCTTCCAGTTTTTGCCCATTCAGTATGATATTGGCTGTGGGTTTGTCATAGATAGCTCTTATTATTTTGAGATATGTCCCATCAGTACCTAATTTGTTGAGAGTTTTTAGCATGAAGAGTTGTTGAATTTTGTCAAAGGCCTTTTCTGCATCTATTGAGATAATCATGTGGTTTTTGTCTTTGGTTCTGTTTATATGCTGGATTACATTTATTGATTTGCATATATTGAACTAGAAAGGCAGGAAGTTTAAAAGCTTCACCTGCTTTTAGTTTCCTTACTTTTAAAACTAAGTGGTCATAGCTGAAGGAACCCTTAGCTTTTTTGTATGTGTACATGGACCTGGTCATCTAACCCACCTCATGCTAATTTTTCTACCTGGATTGCTCTTCCTGCTTCCCTACACAAAAAGGTGGTTACTCTCAAGGCCTTCAGCTTCCTTGAGGGTCCCATCATGGATATGTCTCCATCTCCTGTTTTGGTCTCTCTCAGTATTCTATTTGTTTTCTTCATTTTACTCACCACTCTGTGTGTATATGCATGCATATGTATGTTTATCTATTTATTTCCTATCTCCTCGCTAGAGTGTAAATTCCTACAAAGCACATACTACATCTTCTGGTTTCACTACCATAGAACTCCTGTATTTTATGTAGCATATAGTAGCCCATTAGTTAATGTTAT
Source organism: Homo sapiens (assembly GCF_000001405.40). Lineage (NCBI taxonomy): Eukaryota > Metazoa > Chordata > Mammalia > Primates > Hominidae > Homo > Homo sapiens. The sequence goes on from NC_000006.12 coordinate 77,875,382, forward strand.
GCGAATGAATGACTACATGAATAGGTCACTATGTGATACGTGTGATCAGTGTTGTTTAACAATGGTTTTAGCTTTTTGCTATATTTGACATGATTGTAAAAGATATAGGACCCTTCAAAGCATGTTTTAAATCTCTGAAACCTTGAAATGGATATGTAAACTAGACAGAAAGTAGTTTTAGCTATTGCTAGTGATTTGTCAGCATTCAAAAAATCAGAAATCCAGGATCTTGGAAAGGGATTTTTATCATTAATAACAAACACTGAATACTGTTACAGATTGTTTTATACTAAATAAATATCTTAATAAAGTTTTATGACAACATAATTTAACAGATTTTGAAAATCTGAAAATTGTAAGAGTTTCAAAGAAATGCATATTACATGGTAAAATGCATATCATATAGCATGAGAGATGCATATACCCTTTAATCTTGGCACTTTGGGGGAACTCTAGGACACAAGGAATTTATCAAATGATACTCTTCACGGGATTACTGAGTTGAAGTCTTTATTTTTTTGACAAAGAAATTGTAATCCAGAGAGATTAGGTGATTCAACTATTTCAAGTCCTTTTTCTGGAATGTGATGATATAAATCAATACATAACTGACTTCTCCAAGGTCACACCAGCAGATAGTGGAATTTAAAATAAAAAAGAGCACATGTTTCAGAGCCATAGACACTTTGTGAGAACCTCAGCTCTATCATGACCCAGGTCAGCTTCACTGTTTCTTTATCTATATGATAGATAGTTTCTTTATCTATATGATAGATTTTCATATCTATATGAAAACGCAGAATTATACTAATGCTATGGTTTGAATGTATCCCCCAAATGTTCATGTGTTAAAAACTTAATTGGCTTTGTAACAGTTTTAAGAGGCGGGGCCTTTAAGAGGTGATTAGTCCTTGAGAGCTCTGCCCTAATGAATGGATTCATGCTGTTATGGCAGGAATAGGTTAATTATCATAGGAGTGAGTTCTTGATTAAAGGATAAGTTCAGCTCCATTTTCTCCTTGTGTCCTGTGTTCATTTACCATGTGATACCCTTAGCCATGGGATGGCCTTCACCAGATGCTGGCACCGTGCTCCTGGACTTCCCAGCCTCCAGAATCATGAGTCAAAAAAACTTCTGTTCTTTATAAATTACTCAGTCTGTGGTTTTCTGTTATAGTAGCAGGAAATGGACTAAGGCAACTACCTAACCCATTGTGGTTTAAATAAGAATTTAGGTATCAAGTATCTAGCACAATGCCTGTCCACACTTGGTATTCTGTAAATATTAGTTTCCTCTGCCTTCCCTTAAATGCGGTGCACCTCTCCTTATATAATGTCTAATAACAGGAACCCCACCATGTTTCTGCCAAATCAATCTGTTTATTAATTAAACCCATTAAAAATATTAATCATAATGACTTACAAAAATATGAGGCAAAGTACCATAGTAACTCCAATGACAAAATGTCTCAGGCAGTACCTCTCAAATTAGAAAGACAAATAGAAAAGATGTGGAAGATATGAAGGAAAAGGAGGGAAAAAAAGGTTGAGAAAGAAAAATGCAGAGTGAAATTTTAAATGTTAGGTTCATGCCCATTAATACAAGTCTTCTATTAATCTCTTGCAGAATAGATACTTGCCTCTTGTGAGGCAGCTACCAATTTAAGGCTAGAAGTATAATGTGCAACATTTAAGAAAAAATGGAGTTTAAAATTCATACTGATAGAAATCGTAGAAATACCCACTTTGAATTTAATTATTTATTTCACAAAGATATAAAAAACTCATTTTTAGCTGAAGCAAATGAATGTAATCACAATTCATTCTTACTATTGAAAGTGTCACTAGCTACCAACAGGATGTGTGTGTGTGTGTGGGTATGTGTGAAAATATATATATATTTTATATATAAGTGTGTTTACATATGATTGTTTATATTTTTTCTAAATCTCTTATAACCCTTCAAAGTTGTGTTGAAACATATGTCATTGCTCAGCTTTTTATGGCCAAATATTCAGAAAACAATCTTTTGACAGTTGAAATGCCAGTTTTCAGAAAGAAGGAAAATTAAGCCATTTCCCTCAAGCATCATCTAGCTGATGGTTGCTGACAACAGATTTTCTGACACTTAGATTTTCCAACCTTTTTGACTCACATACGTATCTATGTAGATGGCTCATGGTACAAACTTGAATAACAATCTTAAATTGTGATATTCAGAAATGTCAGCTCTGGCCCTTTACAAAATGAATACTTTGAAATTGTGTCTCTCTCCCTAATAGTTTTGTTTTGGAGGGGGGAAAATGGTGTGCTCCAGAAACCAAGCAGTCAGCCTTTTTTTTTTTTTTTTTTGAAAACTTATTGGATAAGCAGCCCAAGAAAAGGCGCTAGAAGATGTGAGAATGATTCTCCCTCCCTTCAAAAAGTTTTATTCTTATTGAGACACAATAAGAAAATAAAAAACAATTTAAGTGAGAACAAAAAAAAAGATTGCTTGTAAAAGATAATCCATGGTATGACTATTCTGAAAACTGCATTGGTACTTTTCACAAGGGAATACAGATGACCAAGTCATAATGAGTTGAACCTGATGAAAATAGATGGGCAGGAAGTATTTAATGATTCTCAGTCTTTAATAATTAAAATATAATTCAGCCAATTAGTAATATAATGTGCCAAACAATTCACTTGCAGTAACAAGTTTTGAAAGATTGGTTTGATTCAGGTACTAAGTAGTCATCAGAGGTGGCATTGTGTTACTGTGGAAAAGCTGATTTCCTTGGGTTTCTACATACATTTTTCTATTTGGATCAGATAAAATAAGTAATAAGTAAATACATAAAAAAACCTCTTGATATTAAGGCCTCACTACTTTTAGATGGCAAATACAAATGAATTAGTAAATTAAATACCACTGATTATTGATATTCCAAACATGAAGTGTTAAATAAATCATAGGACTTTTCCTGATGCCTACTATAAATGATTTTAAATAGTTTTTTAGGTAAAATTCACAATTAATAACAAACGAGTTTTTACGTCTTCAGAAAAAATGAACATAATAATAGAGAAATTATGGAGACATTGTGCAAACTTTAGATAGTGATCATTTAAAAGTTAATTTCATGACATGAATAGTTGGCCATTAACAATCTGGGCTTAAAGAATGTTAACATCCTAAATCATAAATAACCAATTTATTTTATAATGAATGTTTTCATTTCAAATGACCTGTAGATATTTGTTCAGAGGTTTGCTGTTGTATTCTGTTTCCTTTTGTTTTCTTTATTTTTTTAATTAACAGATAACACAAACCGCTCAAGTGAATTTTATTTATTGCTATGGAAATATATTTTTATTACATTAAATCATGTGAAATTGATATTTTTGTGGGTCAAAACTGTCAAGTCAAAAAATCTCATGGTTTAACTTAAAATAACAGAGGTCTGGGTCTAGGACTGAGCATTTTAAAATTTAATCTGTAATCCAGGCTTCTACATGAAAATGCATATAGTATGGCAACGTATAGACAGTTACCGAAGGTGGAAAGCATTTGAAATTTCATGAGGTTTGCATACTCAGTGACCTAAACTACTAACCTTTTAAAGGCAATCAGAATCCAATTTTTTTCAATGTTGCTGAGAAATAGAATCATTAAGGAGACCAGATATTTATTCCTTCAGCATGAAAACAGTATTATTATATCTGCCTAAACATGAGTAACCTGAGAAAACAAATTAACTAAAATGTATATGTATAGTTATTTTCCTTTGAATTTAAAATAAAAATCATGTAAATATTATTTTCTCATATTAAGTAATTAAATATATTAAAATATGACAGTGTTTTCTGTTTATATGCTGTGAACATTGTGAAAGTTTGAGTATTAACCGCCTGTTTCTTCATTTCTAAAACTGAGTCAAGCATCGAGAATTATAAAATGATGACATGAAAAGTATGTTTTAGAATTCTCTTGTATTATATATAGAATAAACACCATGCACATCAACCACACTTAAAATGCTAAACCACATGGATGGAGTTAAACCAAATTAGAGATTAATTATAAGTGGCTTATTCTCCCCTTCAAATCTAGTTTTTAAATGCTCTGTGAGACTATGCAAAATACTGAATTTAGAACTCTTAGGTCACACATATTTACATTTTGATTTCATAACTATGGTATGGCAAACAGCATACTTTTCTCAATATTAAAGTTGAAAAATCCCTTTCTCCATGCTACTCCAAGCCTATTGGAGTTGAAGAGATAAAAGTGTCCCTGAGAGCAGTGACCTTTGTGGCCATCTGCGGTATATACTTCTGTAGCTTTAGAAGTTGTCTGAGATGGTATCTGTACAAGGAGAACATGCCATGTTAGGAATAACCTGTCAATGTACACAAGACCAGGGGCCTTACAGGATCTGCTTTCAAAAACGCACTTCCCAGAGTATTTGGGGCTTCACATTCCATCCTCAGAATCCATATCTGATCCTCCACATGTATGAAGCAAACCCAAAACAAGAGAGAATAGAGAGACTGTTACATATACTTAAATAAACTATCTCAAAAAATGCTATTCTGTTTGGGCACCTGTGCTTTAGAATGAGATAGCTTTTATTATTGATGAAAAACAGAAAAGTCACTGAGAAGCAGTATTACATGCAGACAGAAATAACTGTGATAATAAGTGGAGTTCTATCAGAGAATTCTGCATTTTTCCACCACATAACTTAATGATTATTTACACAGTTACTCATTTAGTGTCTGTCCACATTGCCAGAGTAGAAGCCTTATGATGGCAAGAACTGTATTTGTCTCTCTTGAATGTATTATTGTGGGGTTTTTTTTGTTTGTTTTTTTTTTTTTTGAGACAGAGTCTCACTGTGTCGCCCAGGCTGGAGTGCAGTGGCACGATCTTGGCTTACTGCAAGCTCCGCCTCCCGGGCTCACGCCATTCTCCTGCCTCAGCCTCCTGCGTAGCTGGGACTACAGGCGCCCACCACCACGCCTGGCTAATTTTTTTGTATTTTTAGTAGAGACGGGGTTTCACCGTGTATTGTGGGTATTTTTTAAATCACTGATACCACTTTGTATTTATGTCATTTTGTATAAAGAATATGTTATTTTTAATGATAAATTTTGGGAGAAAATTAATAAGGAAAACATTTCATCTTTCCCAAAGTCTTAAGTTAAACATAAAAGTATGAGCAGAAAGAACAGAAAGTCACTTTTTTGCTTACTCTGAAAGAATCTGGGAAGAACGTACCCAAGCGTTCTTGACCTCTTAAGTGACACTAGTTATGAAAGAAGACACCACCCATCCTCCTGCTGCACACTTCAAAAACAGACTGCCTGTGGAGGAATGTAAATGACTCTTTGAAACAGAAAAATTCTTGAAAGCTTACTAATGGATTTCTCTTCAACAAAACAATTTCAGGAAAATGGATAGAAATTTTCCTTTCTGAGTTATTCACCTCAGTGAAGTAGTCTTTTAGCTCTGGATCTAAAAAAAAAAAATTAGGTTCTACATATAGAAAATCAGATATATTTTATATGGTTTTAAATTAAAATTAAAAATCAGCCTGCAATAATGATTAGTGTATTTTTTTTGGAGTACATATCTTTATTGATGTCAGTAAACATGACCTCATCTTTTTTTTGACATCTGAAAGTATCTAGATTTTTTTCTGTAACTACTTACTGTCTTTTTTTTTTTTTAAAGCCTATGTTGGCCTTTTTTAAATCACTTTAGTCTCAACATTGTGTTCTGCAGGGCACTGATTCTCTGTGAATAAACAAAAAAGCCTTCTATGTTCAAAATGTTGTGGTAAACAGACTAATTTGCTGAAAGCATCTAAAACTTCCTATTTAAATTATGGGTATCCAACAAGAGAATTATACTATTCCATCACTTTAATCTTCTTCAACTACAGAACCCTTTTTTCAGGAAGAGCCTCCTGGGTCTAATGTTTAGCAAAAAAACCCAAAACATTCTGGACAAAGTATACCATTTTCAAAATTTCATTTTATTATACAGATGTATCGCAAAAGAACATTTAAGTGTTTCTAATGACTTCTGACTCATTCTATGTTTTGAATAACTGCCTAGGTCAAATTTGTAGAAACCATGCATACAAACACATAGCTAGTTGCATTTTCCACATGGTTAGCTATATGCTGCTGCTCTTGCATCTGGGTTTTAATGGAAAACACAGGGGTAGATCTATTTGAATGTGCTCCTCATCTGTTGGTTATCTCTCTCCCTTCCTCACACCTTTGATGCTTATGAGCATCTATTTTTTTGGATGGCCTATGCCATCTTCTGTATTAACTGACTGATTTTGAGCTGGAAAAAGTGAAAGTGTCTTAGACATCAAGGGGTAGCTAATTGAACAGTATTATATGACATAATGAAAGTGTGAAATATAAGGGGAAAGTCTTGTGAAATTTATTTTATATTTTTTGTGACTTCCTTAGGTCATTTGCATACATTCCTATAATTTAATTCAATTTCAAGACACATTAGTGTATTCCAATTCAATTCAATTATGATGGTAACCACCTGGAATTAGTGCAGGCACTGCAGATTACAGGCGCAGTTACTGGTGAGATTGCGCTCACTTCAGATGCCAACTGTAAGTTCCTAGATTTCCAAGCCACCTACATTTCAAAACAAATGGATTCAAATATGAGAGAGTTCCTGCAATTTCCTTTAAGTCAATAATTTGCTGGAGTGACCTACAGAACTCAGGAAAGCACATGCATAAATCAATATCTGCCAAATAAGAAACACATAAAGTGAGGTCTGGAAGAGTCCTGAACCCATCTTCCCATGGAATCAGAGTGCATCACCCCCCCAGTGTATCAGTGTGTTCACTAACCGGATAACTACACCAAACCTGGTGTTTCACAGAATTATTGGTGTTTTAAATAGCCATGATTGATTGAATCATCAAGCACATGATTATACTCAATCTCCATCATTTCCACATTTTTCAGAATAATCATCTGTTTTTGAATTGTGTCATAGTTATATTCTTGGAGGCAATGCAAGCATATTGAGTTTCTTTCCCACTCTGAAAGGCCCAGAAAGTTTAATGTTGGAGTTGCATGGTTTTTTTCTATCTTACCCTTTGCTCTCAATTTTCACTTTTAGGAATGTCCCTTCTTAGCATTTTGTCCTCTGACCTTCTTACCATCAGAATTAGCTCTGATGTGCGTTGAGAGGATATGAATTAGCTCTGATGTGAGTTGAGAGGTATCAGTGACTTTCCTGCGCAGACTACTTTGTGTAGTCTACCAGGAAGGGTTTTGTGGAAGCCTTTTCACTGTCTCAGGGCCTGCAAATTACCAGATGCTTGACATTTTCGTTGTAGTATTAAATATATTATCTTATGTAAAGTTCTTAATGTCATTTTTATATCAAATCCAGACAATATATTGGGACGTTAATTTGAAGAAAGAATGTAACACTCTTCTAATTTAGTTCCCCAAAAATGTAAAATTTATTAAAATCTCAGACTAAAATTAAGAAAAAATACAAGTACTTTTAAAATGTGCTCAATTTTTATTTTAGATATATCTTTGATGTTAGCTAATGATAGTGAACTTACTATGGACATTTTTTTTCCAGAAAATAATTGCTTATAACGCATATGTCCAGGTTCGTACAAGTATCGGTTAAGTAAATTAATTGATCCATCTCACAAATGTAGGCAGTTTCTCAGAATACATGGTATTAGTTTTACCATATGTATCTGAAAAAAAGATGAGAAGAGCTTTTTTAGTAGTGTCTTTTTTAATGTATACATAATTGTACATATTTATGGAGTATGTGTGATATTTTGCATATGATCTGTAATGATCAAATCAAGGTATTTAGGATATGCCTCATCTCAAACATTTATCATTTCTTTGTGTGGGGAACATTTCTCATCTTCTAGCCATTTTGAAATATATAATAAATTATTGTTAATTATAGTCACCCTACAGTGCTATTGAACACAAGAACTTATGTTTTCTAACTGCATGTAAACATTAATGAACCTCTCTTCATCTCCAACCCCACCCCGCCTCCCCCCGTGAGCCTCTGCTAAATACCATTCTAATCTCTACCCTCATGAGAGCAACTTTTTTAGCTCGCACATATAAGTGACAATCTGCAATGTTGGTCTTCTCTGCCTGGCTTACTTCACATGGCACAATGACCTTCAGTTCCATCTGCAGATGACACTTTGCTGCAAATGACAGGATTTTATTCTTTTTTATGGCACAATACTATTGTGTGTTATGTATGTTTATATACATATATATGCAATGAAATGCTATTATGTAAGATATATATATATATATATATATATATAACTTTGTCTTTGTCTATTCATTTATTGGTGGACAGTTTGTTTTTTTTCCATATGTTGGCTAAGGTGAATAGTGCTACAGTGAACAGTGGGGGTGCATGTGTACATTTGATATACTGATTTCCTTTCTCGGATAAATACTTGGTAATGGTATTGCAGGATTTCATGGTAGTTGTACTTTCAGGGTTTTTTTTAAAAACCTCCATACTGTTTTCCATAATGACTATCCAGATTTACATTCCCTCCAGCAGTTATTTTCCTCTGCATCCTCACCAACGGTTGTTATTTTTTGTCTTTTGGATAATAGCCATTGTAATAGTAAGATGATATCTCATTTTGTTTTTATATTCACTTCCCTTATGACTAATGATGTTGCATATTTTTCCTTATACCTATTGCCCACTTGTATGTCTTCTCTAAAGAAATTATTCAGATTCCTTTCCCACTTTTTAATGAGATTATTTGTTTTTGGTGTTGACTTCATGGAATTCTGTGTATATTCTGGATATTAGTTCCTTGTCAGATGAACAGTTAGCAAATATTTTCCCTCATTTAACAAATTGTTCCTTCACTCTGTTGATTTTTCCTTTGTTGTGCAGAAGCTTTTTAGTTTAATGTAATAGTAATATGTGTCTATTATTGTTTTTGTTGCTTGTGATTTTGAATTTATAGCAATAAAATCCTTGTCTACACCAACATCCTGAAGCATTTCCCCTGTTTTCTTCTAGTAGTTCTGTAATTTGGGCTCTTACATGTAAATCTTCAATCTGTTTTGAGTTGATTTTTATATATCATGAGAGATAGGGGTTTGGTTCATTATTTTTTCCTTTGGATATCCAGTTGTCTCAGCACCATTTATTGAAGAGAGTGTCTTTTCCCCAATGTGTGTTTCTGATACCTTTGTTGAAGATCAGTTGGCTGTAAATACATGCATTTGTTTCTAGATTCTCTATTCTTTTACTTTGGTGGATGGGCCCGTTTTTATACCAATACCATTCTGGTTTGGTTACTATAGCCATGTAGTATATTTTGAAGCCAGGTAGTGTGATGCTTCCAGCTTTGTACTTTTTGCTAAGGATTGAATTGATTATTTGGGTTCATTTGTGGTTGTATACAAATATTAGGATTTTTTTTCTATTTCTTTGGAGAGTGTCTTTGGTATTTTTATAGTTGTTGCATTGTGTCTTTATATTACTTTGAGTAGTATGGTCATTTTAACAAGATTCACTCTTCCAATCCCTGAGCATGGAATGTTTTTCCATATGTTTGTATCCTCTTCAATTGCTTTCATCAGAAGTTTGTAATTTTCCTTACAGAGTTTTTGTCACCTCTATGGTTAGATTTATACCTAGGTGTTTTTTGTGTGGGTATTTAAATAGGATTGCATTCTTGATTTCTTTCTCAAATAGTTTGTTTTTACTGTATAGAAATGCTAGTGACTCTTTTTTTTTTTTTTAATTTTGAGACAGGGGCTAACTCTGTCACCCAGGCTAGAGTGCAGTGGTGCAGTCATAGCTCACTGCAGCCTCAACCTTCCAGGCTCAAGCAGTTCTCTCACTTTGGCCTCCCAGGTAGTTGGGACTACAGGTATGCACCACCATGCCCAGCTAATTTTTATTTTTGTGTTTTTTGTAGAGATGAGGTTTTGCCATGTTGCCCAGGCTGGTCTCAAACTGCTCGGCTCAAGCAATCCACTCACGTCAGCCTCCCAAAGTGCTGAGATTATAGGTATGAGCTATTGCATCTGGCCAAGATAGTGACTTTTGTACATTGATTTGTATCCTGCAACTATACTGAATTTGTTTATCATGTCTAAGAGTTTCTTGGTGGAGTTGTTAGGTTTTTTTTAAATGTAAGATCACATCATCTGCAAAGAGGGATAATTTAACTTTCTCTCTTCCAATTTGGATACATTTTATTTCTTCCTTGTCTGATTGCTCTGTCTAGAACTTCCAGTACTATGTTGAATAGGTACAGTTAAAGTGGGCATCTTTGTCTTGTTCCAGTTATTAGAGGAAAGGTTTTCAGCTTCTCCCAGTCCAGTATGTTGTTAGCTGTGGGTTTTTATATATGGCCTTTATTATATTGAGGTATGTTCCTTCTGTGCCTACTTTCTTGAGAATTTTTATCAGGAGAGGATGTTAAATTTTACCAAATGCTTTTTCTGAATCTAAGATTATAATTTTTTTCCTCATTCTGTTGATATAATGTATCTTGTTTATTGATTTGTGTATGTTGCATTATTCTTACATCTCTAGGATAAATCCCACCTGATTATGGTGTATTATCACTTTGATGTGCTGTTAGATTTGGTTTGCTAGTATTTTGTTGAAAAATTTTGCATTTATGTTCATCAGGGATATTGGCCTGTAGTTTTCTTTTTTTAATTGTTCCCTTATCTGTTATTTTCTATGAGAGTAATACTGGCATAATACAATGAGTTAGGAAGAATTCCCTCCTCCTCAACTTTTTTGGAATAGTTGAGAAGAATTCATGTTAGTTCTTCTTAATAAGTTTGACAGAATTCATCAGTAATGCCATCAGTCCTGCACTTTTCTTTGTTGAGAGGCTTTCCTGATTCAATCTTGTTATTCATTATTGCTTTGCTCATGTTTTCTGTGTCTTCTCAAGTCAATCTTGGTAGGTTGTACGTGTCCAAGAATTGACCCATTTCTTTTAGATTTTCCAGTTTTGTTTTTTTTTTTATGAGATGGAGTCTCACTCTGTTGCCCAAGCTGGAGTGCAGTGGTGCAAGCTCAGCTTACTGCAACCTCTGCCTTTCAGGTTCAAGCAATTCTCCTGCCTCAGCCTCCCAAGTAGCTGGAATTACAGGCACCCACAACCGTGGCTGGCTAATTGTTTTGTATTTTTAGTAGAGATGGGGTTTCAGTATGTTGGCCAGGCTGGTCTTGAACTCCCAACCTCAAGTGATCTGCCTACTTCGGCCTCCCAAAGTGCTGGGATTACAGACATGAGCCACTGCACCTGGCCCTGTTAGAGTATAATTGTTTATATTAATATTTAATGGGGCTTTGTATTTCTGTGATACTGGTTTTAATGTCTCCATTTTCATATTGATTTTATTTATTTGGGTCTTCTCTCTTTTTTTCTTTTTTGGTTGCCCAGCTAATGGTTTATCTGTTTTGTTTATCTTCTCACAAATCTAAGTTTTTGATTAATTTATCCTTTGTATTTTTTTAGTCTCCATTTCATTTAGTTCTGCTCTATTCCTTATTACTTCTTTTTGTCAACTAATTTTGGATTTGGTTTGTTCTTTCTTTTTTATTCCTTGGGGTTTATTGTTATGTTGTTTATTTGAAATTTTTCTACTTTTTGAGGTAAACATTTATTGCTGTAAGCTTCCCTCTGAGCGCTGCCTTTGCAGAATCTTATTAGTATCTCATAGTATGTTGTGTTTCCATTTTATTTTGTTTCAAGAGGTTTTTTTTTTCCTTCTTAATTTTTTCATTGACCCAGTGGTCATTCATAGTCATTTTGTTTATTTTTTTTTTTACAATTTCCAAATATCCTCTTAGTATTTATTTCTTTTCTTTTTTATTCTTTTTTGAGATGGAGTCTCACTTTTGTCGCCCAGGTTGGAGTGGAGTGCAGTGGCCTGATCTTGGCTCACTGCAACCTCCACCTCCCGGGTTGAAGTGATTCTCCTGCCTTAGCCTCCTGAGTAGTTGGGATTACAGGCATCGCCCACCACACCCGGCTAATTTTTGTACTTTTAGTAGGGACGGGGTTTCACCATGTTGGCCAGGCTGGTCTCGAACTCCTGACCTCAGATGATCCACCCCCCTCAGCCTCCCAAAGTGCTGGGATTACAGGCGACAGCCACCGCACCCGGCCTCTTAATATTTATTTCTAGTTTTATTACATTGTGGTCTGAAAAGTATTAAATATAATATTGATGTTTAAAATTTTGTTGAGACTTGTTTTGTGCCCTAATGTATAGTCCATCCTAGAGAATGTTCTATGTGTTGGTTAGTATAATGTGTATCTGCAGCTGTTGGATAAAATATTCTGCAAATATCTATTAGGTTCATTTGGTGTATTGCTCAGATTGTTTTTCTTAGTTGATTGTCTCTCTAAATGACCTAATGCTAGGAAGGGGATGTTGGAATTGCCAACTGTTATTGCATTGGAGTCTGTCTCTCTCTTTAGATCTATTGGTATTGCTTTATATATCTGGATGCTTCAGTGTTGGGTGCATGTTTACTTAGAATTATTATATTATCTTCCTGAATTCATTCCTTTATCATTATATAATTACTGTCCTCATCTCCTTTTATACTTTTTGATTTAAAGTTTATTTTGTCTGATACATGTATAACTACTTCTGTTTGCTTTGGTTTCCATTTGCATGGAATATCATTTTCATTCCTTCACTTTGTATGCATCTTTGAAAGGGAAGTGAACTTTTTGTATGCAGCCTATAGTTTGGTCATTTTTTAAAATCAATTCAGCCAGGCTATATCTCCTAAGTGGATAATTTATTCTGTTGACATTTAGAATATTATTGATAGGTGAGGACTTACTCCTGTCACTTTGTTAATTGTTTTCTAATTTTTTTGTATATCCTTTTTCTTTTTTTTTTTTCTCTCTTACTGTTTGTCATTATGGTTTCCTGACTTTCTTAATGGCAACATTTGACTCCTTTGTTTTTCTTATTTTTGCATTTGCTCTACCCTGAGTTTAATATCTTCCTGTTTCCATGGTGATGTATATTGGCCTTTTGCTTCCAGAAGCAGGACTGCCTTAAGTGTTTCTTGAAGAGCTAGTCTACTGGTGATGAATTCCCTCAGTATTTGTATGGGAAAGACTATTTCTCCTTCACTTTGGAAGGATAACTAATGGGCATAATATTCTTGGCTGACAGACTTTTTTTTCAATGCTTTGAATATATTATCCCATTCTCTTCTGGCCTTTAAGGTTTCTGCTGATAAATCCATTCTTAGTCTACTGGGAATATCCTTATATGAGATTTGATACTAATATGGCCTGGCTGTGTTCCCACCCAAATCTCATCTTGAATTGTAGTTCCCACAATCCCAATGTGTTGTGGGAGGGACCCAGTGGGAAATAATTGAATCATGGGGGCAGTTACCCTTATGCTGTTCTCGTGATAGTCAGTGAATTCTCATGAGATCTGATGGCGTTATAAGGGGCTTTTCCCCCTTTGCTCAGCACCTCTACTTCCAGCTGTCATGTAAAGAAGTACATATGTGCTTCCCCTTCCTCCATGATTGTAAGTTTCCTGAGGCCTCCTCAGCCCTGTAGAACTGTGAGTCAATTAAACTTCTCCTTTATAAATTACTCAGTCTCAGGTATTTCTTCATAGCAGCATTAAAACATAAATCGATACCACAGAGAGTGGGATGCTGTTGTAAATCACCCCACTGTCTGTGGTATCTGCTGTTGTCCCCACCTGAAAATGTGGAAGCAACTTTGGAACTGGGTAATAGGCAGAGGTTGGAAGTTTGGAGGGCTGAGAAGACAGGAAGATGTGGGAAAGTTTGGAATTTCCTAGAGACTTGTTGAGTGGCTTTGACCAAAATGCTGATAATGATATAGACATGAAGTCCAGGCTGAAGTGGTCTCATATGGAGATGAGGAACTTCTTGGGAGCTGGAGCAAAGGTGAATCTTGCTATACTTTAGCAAAGAGACTGGCAGCATTTTTCCCCTGTCCTAGAGATCTGTGGAACTTTGAATTTGAGAGAGATGATTTAGGGTATCTGGTGAAAGATATTTCTAAGCAGCAAATCATTCAAGAGGTGACAGAGTATAAAAGTTTAGAAAATTTGCAGCCTGACAATGCAGTGGAAAAAGTAAAAAACACTTTCTAGGGAGAAATTCAAGCTGGCTACAGAAGTTTGCATAAGTAGCAAGGAGCCAGATGCTAATTGCCAAGACAATGGGGAACATGTCTCCAGAGCATGTCAAGACCATCATGGCAGCCACTCCCATCACAGGCCTGGAGTCCTAGAAGAGAAAAATGGTTTTGTGGGCCAGGGCCAGGGCCCTCCCTGCTTTATGCAGCCTTGGAACATAGTGCCCTGTGTCTCTGCTGCTTTAGCTCTAGCTGCGGCTAAAAGGGGCCAAGGTACAGCTCAGGCCATTGCTTCAGAGGGTGTAAGCCCCAAGACTTGGAGGCTTACACGTGGGGTTGGGCCTATGGGTACACAGAAGTCAAGAATTGAAGTTTGGGAACCTCTGCCTACATTTCAGAGCATGTATGGAAATGCTTGGATGTCCAGGAAGAAGTTTGCTGCAGGGGCAGAGCCCTCATGAAGAACCTATGCTAGCACAATGTGGAAGGGAAATGTGGGGTTGCAGTCCCCATATACAGTCTCCACTGGGGCACTACCTAGTGGAACTGTCAGAAGAGGGCCACCATCGTCCAGACCCCAGAATCATAGCTCCACAGACAGCTTGCACTGTGTGCCTGGAAAAGCTGCAGACACTCAACACCAGCCCATGAAAGCAGCTGGGAGGGGAGCTATACCCTGCAAAGCCACAGGGGCAGAGCTGCCCAAGGCCATGGGAGCCCACCTCTAGCATCAGTGTGACCTGAATATGAGACATGGAGGCAAAAGAGATCATTTTGAAACTTTAATGACTGATGTATTGGATTTCGGATTTGCATGGGGCCTGTAGCACCTTTGTTTTGGCCAATTTCTTCCATTTGGAACAGGCATATTTACCCAAAGCCTGTACCCCCATTGCTTACAGGGAGTTACTAACTTACTTTTGATTTTACAGGCTCATAGAGAGAAGTGACTTGCCTTGTCTCAGATGAGACTTTGGACTTGGACTTTAGGGTTAATGCTAGAATGAGTTAAGACTTTGGGGGACTATTGGAAGGGCATGATTTTGTTTTGAAATGTGAGGACATGAGATTATGAGGGGCTGGGGTGGAATGATATGGTTTGGCTATGTCCCCACCCAAATCTAATCCTGAATTATAGTTCCCACAATTCCCACATGTTGTGGGAGGGACCCAGTGGGAGGTAATTGAATCATGGTGGCAGTTACCCTCATGTTGTTCTTGTGATAGTGAATGAGTTCTCACAAGATCTGATGGCTTTATAAGGGGCTTTTCCTCCTTTGCCTGGCACATCTTCTTCCTGCTGCCGTGTGAATAAAGACATGTTCACTTCCCCTTCCACCATGATTGTAAGTTTTCTGAGGCCTCCTCAGGCCTGCAGAACGGTGAGTCAATTAAACTTCTTTCCTTTAAAAATTATCCAAGCTCAAGCCTTTCTTTATAGCATGTGAAAATGAGCTAATACAGATACTTCTTTCTTGCTGTTTTTAGAATTATTTGTCTTTTACTTTTGACAGTTTTACTCTAACATGCATTGGAAATGAGCTTTCTGAGTTGGATCTTTTTGGGATTCTTTGAGCTCCTTGTATTTGGATGTCTGTGTCTCTTGCAAGACTTGGGAAGTTTTCTGCTATTAATTTGTTAAATATGTTTTCTATTATTTTGCCCACCTTTTCACCTTCTACAGCACCGAAAATTCATGTATTTCTTCACTTTCTGGTGTCTCATATATCATATATGCTTTCTTCATTCTTTTTCTTTCTCCTTTTTTTGTCAGACAGGTTATTTTCAAGTTCAACGATTATTTTGCTTATGAAGTCTATTGTTGAAGATGTCTTTTGTGATTTGATTTTATTTATTGAAATCTCTAGTTCCAGTATTTCAGTTTGATTTCTGTTCTGATGATATCTTTCTCGTCTGAATTTCTCTTTTAGATCATGTATTGTTTTCCTGACTTTTTTGTGTTGTTTAACCTTTGCTCTCTTGTATCTCACTGTTTCTTCAATATTATTATTTTGAATTTTTTTTCAGTCATGTCATGAATTTCCTTTTTGTTGGGATCATTTAACGAAGAATTATTGTGTTCCTTTGAAATTGTCATGTTTCCTTGCTTTTTCATATTTTCATGTTCTTTACATTGAAATTTGTGCATATGGTACAACAGTTGCTTTTTCAAGTTTTATGGATTGATTTTCATAGGGAAAGACTTTTTTATTGTTGTATCTATAATGTTGATTCAATAAGATTATTTTGCTTTGAATGTGGGTATGCACAGTAGGTTAAATTTTGTATGATTTGAGGCAGCTGTAATCAATGTCAAGTTTGTCTGTGTCTTCCTCATTTGCTTGGGCTGCAGTTGTTAGTGGATGCTGTGGTGAGACTTTGCTGGGGACAGGAGCATCAAGAGGGCAGGTCCTTGGGCACAGGTTTGCCAGTTCTCTGGCCCCCAGGCAGTGTCCACTGACACCAGTGGTAATATGCCTGGGTGAGCCAGTTCTTGGACTTCCAGGCATATTGCTTGTGTGTTGTCAGTAGCAGTGGTGGGCTTGGTGGACAGGCATGTCCTCAGGCCTTTGAGTGGTGTACATAGTGGGTGTGGTGGTGGTGGTAGTCTGTGCAAGCCACCCCCTACTCCCCATGATGGTGCTTGCATGTCATTGCCAGCAGCAGTGGTGGTAAAGGCAACCTTTCCTCAGGCTTCCCTGTTGAGTGCTGCCAGTGGTGGTAAGGTCAGGTTGATCTGTTGATCTCTAGGCTCCTAGACATTATGCATAGGTGTCACTGCAAGAGGCTGTAGGCAGGGTGATCCTATCCCCCACTGGTACACATGGGCATGGGCTGACTTGGGTAAGGCAGGCTTACCCCTGGATCTCCAGATGGCATGCTCAGACCTTGGAAGTGGTAACAGTTGGTGGTACAGGCTTATCCCAGAACCCCCTTAGGGTGCATGCAGGTGTTCTCTGGCCCTACTGCTGGAGGGGGCAGGGTTACTGTCAGTGGCATCAGTCTCAAGCAGGTGGCTCTCAGGCTGTAGTGAGTGCATTCTATTACTCTCTCTGTCCTGGAGGCAGCCCATTTCCTAGGCTATAGGACACTGCATGGGTGAGAATGCTTGAGAACTAGCCCCTCCACTCAGTCCAGCTGGCCTTATGTCACTGCAGCTCTCTGGATAAATGTAGGATGATGTCAGTAGGAATTCAATGATGTGGAGATAGAGAGGCTGTTGGGCCCCAAACAGTATATAGTTTGGTGGGGGCTGGACTCTCCAAATGGCTCCATGCTGCATCTGCTTGGATCTTGGGGCGTGTGTGGGACCCGTAACAATGGAATTGTGTAGATTCCAGGAAACTTTACATGCTAGTCTCAGGGCCCACAAGGGCTTAGGAACTCTCCCACAGCTGGGATTGCAGGAGCCTGCAGTGGGGATGTCTGTGGAAAAAGATATTTTTCCCACAATGGAGAGTGCCTCCTGGCTCCAAGCCAATCCTGGCCAGGCTGTCTTCTTTGCTTCTTTCTCTTTCCATGCTTTAGAGGTTCTCTGTGATTGCCCTGCTGCATCCCAATGTTCTCTCTTAGACACTCTATTTGATGTTTGATTATCTACTGACTGTTTTTGCTCCTGCTTTGTAGAGAAGGTGAGTGCCAGGTGCCACTTGACAGCTATCTTAAAAGGCTACAAGAACCATTTTTTTTAACGTGTGTATTAACATATGCATCCTAAGTTATTCTCCCATTTGCATTATTTTCCGTGCATTTAAGCTAATGTGAATTTCCCAGAATGTATTTAGTTGTACTTTGAAGATTTTGCTAGTTTGATTTTCTAAACAGAGATTTGCTGAGTGTTGACTTCCTGTCAACTATAACTCATTCAGTAGCAACACTACTACGGTAACACTTTGGACATAACCGTCTTATAGACATCTCATATTGTTCTATAATTATTTACATATGTAACGCTACCATGAATGGTAAGGCCTAAAGTATACAAAGCCGTCCTCTTTGTTGATTGTTATGTAATTTCTGTCTTAGCACTGTGCTTGACTTAGCCACTAAGGAAGTGTTATTTGAAGAGAATTTATAAAAGCATCAATAAGCCAAAGTCCCTTTCTTGTTCTATACTCCTTTTTTAAAAACATTTGTCATCAGGTAAGAACTCTTGCCAGCCACTAATGCAAGAAAGCTTTTTCTGGGACCATTTGGCTTTTTCTGTGACAGATAAATTGCCCCAGCTGTTTCTTAATAGGAAGATTATAAAAATAGTTAAATTGGGAAAACTATCTCATAGTTTTAAGTCTAGTTCCTTCTCCTAAGCTTTTTATATTACATATGAACCTTCCTTAAAAAAATTTCTCCCATATAACAAACCTGCTCATGTACCCCCTGAATCTAAAACAAAAGTTGAAATTATTTTTAAAAAAGAAAATCATAACTAAGAGAAAATATGTTTACTGTTTATTAAGTGGAAAAAAATTTCTCTAGATTATCTTCAGGCACCAGAATTATAGTTAAATGTGAAGTATTTTATGAATTGTAGTTAGAAGCAGACTTATTGAATGGTTTATATATTTTTTAACAAAAATTATGTAGAATGTGACAAAGTGTTTGAAATATTAAATAATATCATATACTTGTATGATTACTTTTTCTTTATGCAGAAATTTTTAATATTATGATATTTCTTTGTTCTAAAAAGTAATTTATCAAAATTAGTACATAAAGACCTGACAAGGGTGACTTACACTGTACCTA
The DNA here is from genome assembly GCF_000001405.40 of Homo sapiens. Taxonomy (NCBI): domain Eukaryota; kingdom Metazoa; phylum Chordata; class Mammalia; order Primates; family Hominidae; genus Homo; species Homo sapiens. Next base: position 77,894,326 of record NC_000006.12, read on the forward strand.
AATTATATCGCAACAAACTTGATTAAGAAAGGCAGGTGTGGTAAATGGTGATTGATTGTATTTTTTTTTAAAAAAAAGAAAGAAACGTAATACAAGTGTCTATAAGAATACGGAATACATACAGCTTTTTTTCTTCTTTTCATTTGTTGTGCAGTTCACTAAGTCTTTCATGTCATGTTCTGATAAACTGATTGTATCGAATTAGTGATGATACATAGTAAAAATAGGAATAAAAAGGGATAAATATGATGCCTTTTAATTTCTTTGAGTCAGCTCTGTTCAGTTGTCTTTTGTAATGTAATAATCTGAGGCTGATAAAATTTGCTTTCAATTTCTAAACAAAATTATTGGAAAGGTTCTGCTCTCTTGTGAGCCAATCTTGTTGTCCCTAATCATGGGTTTTGTATCCACTGCTCCTAAAAAGTATACCTGCTCACTTTGGTAAATTTTTCAAAGTTTAAGCACTACCTAGGAAATGATTTTAGCCTGTGGCTTTTGCCTGGCTGGGCAGTCACTGATGCTTCTCCAACAAATCTGGCTCCTGTATTTTGCCTGGTTGGGCAGAGTTTGATGCTGTTATAGAAAATCTTTAGAGTCCTAGGAAGAATATTTTCTGTTGATTTTACCCTCACTGGATATTTAAACATTTGTTTTCCATCAATAATGGACATACAGATCTCTACTTTTCAATATATACCATATGTTTCACCAGCTTTGATTTCTTTTCTCAAGCCCTGTCTTAATTACTAGCCTAACACAGTGAAATATTGCATTCTCTCCCAAGAATACTGCTTTTATGCTTCCTCATGTCTATACGTATCTTCTTTCAGAGATGTAAGTATAAATGTAAGTGATTATAGTCCTCATGGATTCCAACACACTCTTTGAGATTTTGTTAACACATAAAATTGATTTGGCCCTTGACTGCCCACATCAGGGAAATCTGGTTCCATTGTCCTACAGAAGGCTAAATTGTAAGGATTATTCTGAGTTGTTTCAGAGATTAACGACACCTCTCCCTGCTCTTCCTTTAAGTTCTCTGCCTCCTCCTTGTCTCAATGCATCATCACTAAGCAGAGCAGATACTCCTTGGTAGCAGCCAAACAGACATTTTTTCCTATACCGACAACAATTTTCAAGTCACCTCTCCTGAAGAATGCTGCCATACTCTCTAGAAGGAATTGAGTCTGCAGGATCATCATTCATGGTTCAGCTCATTTCCTGCCCTTCAGCATCTTCTCCCACCCTATGACTATTCCCTTTAGAGTTCTTTTATACAGCATGCTCTCTGCATTGCCATTATTTATTTACTTCTTTATCTCCTTAGATATATACCAGGGACTCTTATAGGTGGAGATCATGTCCTATTCATCCCTGTATCCCCAGCACCTACCCTTGAGTTAGACACATGAAAGTACCCAATAAATATTTGTGATAGGACAGAAGGGAGGAAGGGACTAGAGCAATGCAGACAGACACGTAAAGTTTTAAATTTCTAAGTACCGCCAGCTGAGTTAGTCCTTAGAGAATTTAGCTGCTTTTATTCCAGTTCCTGAACCTTGTTCTTTCACATAATAAACACTGTATTAATAAACAGATTGTCTGATCAGTATTGTTTTGTTAAGAACTGCTGTGATGATGGAAGTCCAGACTAACAAACGATCTATTTACTTTTCATATGTGCTTGAAAAAGATTTCCAGCTTTAGATTGTAATATTGTAGTATAAAATAGGGAAAGTTTCCTATAAGTGGGGTTGACAGCCCCATAATTTAAGACAGTGGTACTGAGAAAGTAGTGCAGCTGCAAGGTACAGTTTTTGAACACTAACTAAAGAGATTTCTGAGAACAGAGGAATGCAAGCTCTATCTATTATGAATGCTCTTTGTGAAAAGATCAAGAATTTATATTAATGTGGCATCTATTTTATCACCATATCCACCAGTCTGCTCAATCCAATGACCAAGAAAGTGATAAATGTGAGTCAAATCACAGGATGTTTCACCAAAGAAATGTGTGAAGATAAATTTTTAAGGCACTTGGGATTTAATCTATGATGATATTGGGTTAGACACTAAAAGAGCACATTACTTAGGGATCAGAAAATCACATCAACTTTCCTCTAGAATAGACTTGAACAAGTTTATCCATCTGACATTATTCAGATAACCAGAGAATATGTTTAAATAAAGAAATCAAGCTAGTTTCGTAAATACTGTGTTACATTAGGGTGTTGGAGATAGGGAATTGGTTGATTGGACCTTTTTTCAGTTGTTCATGTCTCATAAGACTCTGTTTAACACACACTTACACCTTCTTCAGGGCCTTGTGATATTAGAAAATCTTTAAAATAATCAATTCATATTTAGATTCCTTAGTACCATCCTTCTATGCAAAAAGGAATTATCTTCTAGATTACTACTGTCTATGAAGGATTTTCTTGATAGGGAACGTAGGTAAGGTTCTTTACACATCTCTAGATGAGCAATTCACAATCAGCTTGAAATGCCTTCAATAATTCACCACAGTGTAGTACTTGAATAATACTAGTAATTTTTCTCTAGATACAAAGTAGCTTAAGAGTTGAGACTATTGTTTCACTTTGGGTAAAAATATGACAGTAACGATAATAACAGACAGTAGATAACACTTACTTGAACGTGTATACTCCTATGCTGTGGTTTAAATTTATAATCTTATTCTCCCAGCATCCCAATAGAGGAGTTATTGTTATTATTTCCAAGTTTTAGATGAGGAAAATGAAGTTTAGAAAGGTTAAATAACTTTCCCAGATCATATAGCTAGTAAATGACTGAACTGGGATTTAATAAAGCAATTAATATACGTTAATTTGATAGCATTCCTTTACAAAGAAGGAATTCCCCAAAAGAGTGTTACTTACAAAGTAATATTCTAGTTTCTCAAAGATCTCAACCAACAAGGGCCTCTGCCATATATGTCCTTATTGGGAGTTTCAGTAGATGTTTGTGTCAGACAAATACAAATCATCCTTTTCTTTTTACGATTCTTGTACAAACTCCTCTTTGTAGGCCTTTTCTTCAGTTTACTCATTTTGCTATTACCTTGTTACATAAATTCAGCTTCAAGAAACAGACTTGTGAAAAGTAAAATAGATTAATGAGAAAATAATTATTTTTAAATAAGTCATATAATGACAATTTTTTAAAATTGTTATATATATATATCTTTCACAAATACTTATGTACACAACGTTCATACTTGTTGAACTGTTTCCAATACGAAAAAAGGGTAAAATGTCAAGATCCAAAATACTAACAGTTTTAGAACTTTTCATCAAAGTTATCACACATATTAGACATAAACCCTTTAGAACTAGTCTCATGGATTCAACATTTTAGGCAGATAATGGCCATTATCTGTATAAAGCAAAATGGATTAATACTTACTGAGTCTTTTCATCTTTCTTTTCTGGGCACTTGGATCAAAAGATGATTCACCAATCTATACCCCTCACTCCCTTTGTACCCTGCCTTACAATTCATCTCTAGGAAATTTCCCCTAATTAACTGTACTCTGCTCTAACCAGAGCTTTATACTCCCTCAGTATAGGCCCAACACCTAGGTTATGGGGAGAGAGAGAGAATATAACACAACCTTTGGAAGAAACATACTTTTAAACCAGTATGTGCTTCTGTTGTAATCATGAGCTCATTGATTTTATGTATGTAAGTATGTATATAACTTGCATGTGATTTTTTGACTCTGTTCTTGAGCATTTGAGCATTGTTGCAAGCATGGTCAGATGCTCTACTGCATTGGGCTCCTAGCTAAGCCCCTGCTTATTTGTTAGCTGCTTTGGTGCTTTCTCCTATGCTTCAGAAGTTTCAAGCTAGTTAGTAAATGGCTCATAGAGAGTTAACTTCATCCCCTTAGAATTCAGGACTAAAATTGACTGCCTTCTTTACTTTCTACTAAATAAAAAAGGATAATTTATTAAAAGTCAGGGTAAGTTTCCTACTGAATTATCATGGTGACAACTGACCTTTTCCTTTAAAGTACCATGTTGAATGCATTCTTTTAGAGACAACTCATTTTAGTTGTTATTACTTCTGTCCTATAAAATCTGGCACATAGGAAACTGACCAAATGGTATATTATATTCAGTGAACATTTAGTTTAACATTTATGTTATATGGCTGTGCTCCTTGACTTAATTTTCTGCTCTGTAATATTCTAAATATTTTCTTTCACTTATTGCCTTTGTAGTAGTAAGAAAAAATGTTGCTTTGTGCTTTTACCCCTTCCAGAGGAGCTTCTGAACATGTCAGACTACATCTCTGTATGTCCTTGGCTAGTGCTCATTATCAAATTGATTTAATGAACTGTTACATTTTTATATTTTACAGCATTAAATATAAACATCCAAACTACAAGTTGAACCTCAAATATACAGTCCCCTTTGTTACATTTTTTTTTATCCAAGGAATGTGACTTTCCTTTTGTCCCTTTAGATCTCTCTGTCTTTTCTGTATCAGAGATAGCAGAATGAAACACCTTTTAAAGAGTAAGGGACCTGAAGATTTCCTTCCCTGCCTAGATGAAGTCTCAAGGTTTCAATTTTAAAGGACAGAAATGGAAGAAGGGAACTCTGGCATAGTGCAGGAAAGGAACAACCATCCTTTGTGAGTATACTGGGCTGCACATTGCCATCGGGAATACGACTCTTTCTATTAATCCATGGGTGTCCCTCATTCTCAAGCTTACAAAGAAGCTATTCTACTTCCAAGCACTGCATCTATATTTTCAAACAGGAACGTTGATAAAGGGGAATGTGAAACGTGCATATGAACATATTTTGCCAGTCATTAATGAGCTCTCCCAAATGCCTAACTCAGCTACTTATACTTAGATCTCTTTAACCAACATTAGATAAAAAGACACTCAATAATGTAAATATTTAACTGATCCATTGCCACCTGGAACAAAACTGGAGTCTGTTGATGAGGAAGAAGGAGAAATGGATATGGCTTACTATCTGGTGATTTTTTTACCAGAAAATTATCTCATTCTCTGAAAGCTCCCCATTATATAAAATGTGATTAGATAATGATAAGTAATCATGGGATTGTAGAATTTTCCTGTCCAGCTTTTATCCAACTAAAAGACCTAGATGGAAACAGAAACTGTTAGCATTGTATCAGATATACACAGCCATCCTGCTTCAGTATCGAGGCTCATTCAGCTGCCTGGAGAATGTTCAGGCAAAACACCTTGATGCTTTCTAGATGAGCACGTTACACCTACATTGGATATTTTCCAGTGCTGGTGTGGATAAGTCCAGCTTGACTGCTAGTATGTAAAAATTACTCTAAAACTAGTGGAAGAGTATCAGCCATCACTTCATCCATGTTGCCATAAATGTTATTGCAAATGACAGTATTTTATTCTGTTTTATGACTGAATAGTATTCCACACACAGACACACATTTTCTTTATTCATTCATTATTAGATATGCATTTAAATTGATTCCATATCTTGGCTATTTGTGAATACTGCCGTAGTAAACATGGGTGTGTAGATGTCTCTTTGACTTAAATGTAAAACCTGAAATTATGAAACTACCAGAAAAAAAAAAACAGGAAATCCTTCATGAAATTGGGCTGATCAAGAATTTTTAAATAAGACCTCAAAATACAGGCAATGAAAACCAAAATAGACACATGGAATCATGTCAAATGGAAAAGCTTCTGAACAGCAAAGGAAAAAAAAATGAAGAAACCCACAATGAGATATCACTGCATCTCAGTTAGAATGGCTATTATCAAAAAGCCAAAAAATAATTATTGGCAAGGATGCAGAGTAAAGGGAACTCTTATACACTGTTTGTAGAAATGAAATTAGTACATCCAAATTCATATATCCAAATTAGTGCTTCCAAATTTCAAATTAGTACATTATGGAAAACAGTAGGGAGATTCCTCAAAATATTAAAATATTTCTACCATATGTTCCAACAATCTCATTACTGGGTATATATATATAGAAAGGAAATATAGTTGTAACTTTTTAAAGTACTTCAATTCCTGTTCAATTCAAAACAATGAATGTGTATTGAGGATCTATTATGGGAAAGAAAGACATAGCTCTAGACTATAGAAATTATAGTGACAAGAACATACGTGCTCCCCTCAGTATGAGTCTAAACAGGCAATAAAACAAATATATAACTAACCAGAATATAAGGCAGAATATTTAAAAATCTATAAAATTGTAGGGATCAAGAAAGGCTCAATGAATACATGGCATCTGTGATAGGTACTGAAGGCTGATCAGGATGCTGGTAATTGGAGACTGACGATAAAAGTCATTTCAAATCAAGGGAATATTTATTTTATATATACATACTTACATTTTTGTGATAAGAACACTTAAAATATACTTCTTAAAACAATTTTCAGGTATATACTTATTGTCATTAACTTTACCATAATGCACAACAGGTGTCTTGAACTTATTCCTTGTATCTAACAGAAATTTTGTGTCCGTTGACATCTCTCCAGTACCCTTATTCCTCGGTCTCTGGTAACCAACATTTTAGTCTCTGCTACTATGAGTTCAACTTTTTTAGTATCTATATATAAGTGAGGTCATGTGGTATTTGTCTTTTTGTGCCTGGATAATTTAACTTAACATAATGTCCTTGGGTTCATCCATGTTATCCCAAATGACAGGATTTTCTTTTCTTTTTTAAGGCTGAATAATAGTTCATTGTATATATATATAGTACATTTTCTTCACCTGTTCATCTGTTGATGGACACATAAGTTGATTCCCTATGTTGGTTGTTGTGAATAATGCTGCAATGAATGTAGTAGTACAGATATTTCTTTGACATAATGATTTTTATTTTCTTTAGATATATACTCAGTAGTAGAATTACTGGATCATAGGCTAGCAACATTTTTTTGAATTTTTTAGAGGCATCTCTGTTTTCTGTAATGACTCACCAATCCACATTCCACCCAACAGTTTAGAAGGGTTCCCTTTTCTCCATACCCTCACCAACAGTTATCTCTAATCTTCTTGATGATAGTCATCCTAACAGGTATGAGGTCATACCTCATTGTGGTTTTAATTTACATTTCCCTGATGGTTGGTAATGTTAATGCATTGTTTCATATACCTATTGGCTGTTTGTATGTCTTCTTTTGAGAAATGTCTGTTCAGGTCCTTTGCCCATTTTTAATCAGGCTGTTTATTTTTTTACTATTGAATTGTTTGACTTTCTTATATATTTTTAATATTAGCCCTTTATCAGGTATATGATTTGAATATATATTCTCCCATTATGCAAGTTATTTCTTCATTCTGTTTATTGTTTCCTTGGCTGTTCAGAAGCTTTTTAGCTTAGTATAATTCCATTTGACTAGCTTTTCTTTTCTGGCCTGTACTTTGGGATCATATCCAAAAAATAATTGCCAAGACCAATGTCATAGAGCTTTCTCCTTTTTTATGTAGCAGTTTTACAGTTTCAGATCTTAAGTTTAAATGTTTTATCCATTTTGAGTTGATTTTTGTATATGGTGTGAGATGAGTGTCTAATTTCATTCTACATATGAATATTCAGTTTTCCCAGCATCATTCACTGAAGAGATTGTCCTTTTTCTATTGTATATTTTTGTTCTTTTTTGGGAAAGCAATTGACCATAAATTTGTGGATTTATTTCTGGTTCACTGTTTTCTGATCCACTGGACTATGTCTGTTGTTAGTCCAATACCATACTGTTTTGATTATTATAGCCTTGTAGCAGATTTTGAAATCAGATAGTATGATGCATTCAGCTTTTCCCTATTTGTTTAAGATTGCTTTGGCTATTTGAGGTATTTTATAGCTCTTCACGATTATTAAAACTTTTTCTCTCTCTTTTTCTGTGACAAAATTCATTGGAATTTTGATAGAAATTGTATTGAATCTGTATATTATTTTGAGATACTATAGGCATTTTAACAATTTAATTCTTCCAGTCCATGAACCACAGGCATCTTTCTGTTTAGTTGTATATTCTTCAATATCTTTAATCAGAATTTTATAGTTTTTAATGTATAGTTTTTTCACCTCCTTGGTTAAATGTATTCTTAAGTATTTTGGATTTTTGTAGCTATTGTGAATGGAATTATTCTCTTGATTGTGTGGCTAGTTCATTGTTAGTGTATAGAAGCACTACTGATTTTTGTGTATTGATTTTGTATCCTTTGTGAAAGGAAAATTAATCTTGGGGCCTCCAAATCACTAAGCTATAGGGAAAATTCAGGCTGGGAAGTGATTAGGGCCAACCTGTCTCCCATTCTATCCAAAGTCACCCCTCTGCTCACTGAGATAAATGGATATCTGATTGCCTCCTTTAGAGAGGATAATCAGAAACTCAGAAGAATGCAGCCATTTGTCTGTTATCTACCTATGACATGGAAAGCCCCCTCCTGGCTTCAAGTATCACCTTTGCTTCAAGTTGTCCCGCCTCATCATGCATATGTTGATTGATGTCTCATGTCTCCCTAGAATGTATAAAACCAAACTGTGTTCTGACCACCTCGGGCACATGTCATCAGGAGCTCCTGAGGCTGTGTCACGGATGCATGTGCTCAAATTTGGCAAATAAACTTTCTAAATTAACTGAGACCTGTCTCAGATTTTGGGGGCTCACACCTTCCACTTTACTTATTTATTCCGACATTTTTCGATGGAGTCTTCAGGGTTTTCTATATATAAGATTATATTGTCTACAAACAGAGATGGTTTAACTTCTTTCTTTCTAACTTGAATGCCTTTTATTTCCTTTTTTTCTTTCTTTTTTTTCTTTTTTGACCAACTGCTCTGGCAAGGGCTTTCAGTACAGAGAGTCTCTGACTTGTGATGGTTAACTTACAAAATTTCAATTTAAAGTAGTGTCAAAGCAATGCACAATCAGCACAAACACACTTCAAGTACTCATACAACCATTCTATTTTTCACTTTGAGGACTGTTCAGTTAATTATGTGTGATAGTCAGCACTTTATTATAAAATAGGCTTTATTTTAGATGTTTTCTTTCCAAATGTAATGTAATCTAATGTAAGTGTTCTGAGCATACTTAAGGTAAACTAGGCTAAACTATGATGTTTGACAGGTTAGATCTATTAAACACATTTTGAACTCACAATATTTTCAACTTACAATGGGTTTATTCAAATGTAATCCCATTGTAAGTTGAGGAACATCTGTACTATGTTGAATGCAAGTGGAAAGAGTGGGTATCCTTGTCTTGTACTTGGTCTTAGAGGAAAGACTTTCAACTTTTTACCATTGATTATGATGTTAACTATGGACTTGTCATATATAGCTTTTCTTTTGTGGAGGTACATCCCTTCTATCTAATTCATTGAAAGTTTTTAGCATGAAATGATGTTTAATTTTGTCAAATGCCTTTTCTGTATCTATTCAGATTATCATATGGCTTTTATTCTTCATTATGATAATGTGGTGCATTACATTTATAGGAACATTTATGTTATATATAGTATAGCTACCCTTTCTATATTTAGTTTTCATTTATTTGGAATATCTATTTCTATCCCTCCACTTTCAGTGTATTTGTGTACTTAAAGGTCAAGTCAGTCACTTGTAGGCAGCATTTAATTGGCTAATATATTTTTTATCCATTCAGCCACTCAATGTTTTTGGATTGGAGAACTTAATCCATTTACTTTCACTAATTGTAGAAAAGTAAGAACTTAGTACTGTGGTTTTGTTGTTTTCTGGTTATTTTGTACATTTTTTTCCTTCTTCTCTTACATTCTTTGCAATTACTTATTTTTCCCTAGTGTTATGCTTTGAATTTTTACTTTTTATCTTTTGTGTATCTACAAAGCTTTTTGCTTTGTGGTTACCATAAGACTCACGTAAAGCATCTTATAGTTATAACAGTATGTTTTAAGCTGATAACAACGTAGCTTTAATTTTCTTTCCAACTTTTTTTTGTTTTAGGTTCAGGGAGTACATGTGCAGTTTATTACGTGGGTAAATTGGGTGTCACGGGGATTTGGTGTACAGAATATTTTTTCACATAGGTAATAAGCATAGTACTCAATAGGTAGTTTTGCAATCCTCACTCTACTCCCACCCCCCACTCTCAAGTAGGCCCCAGTATCTATTGCTCTTCTCTTTTTGTCCATGTGTACTCAATATTTAGCTCTCACTTATAAATGAGAACATACAGGATTTGGTTTTCTGTTTCTATTTTAATTCACTTAGGACAATGGCCTTCAGCTCCATCCATGTTGCTGCAGAGGACATGAACTCATTCATTTTTATGACTGCAGAATATTCCATGATGTATATGCACCACATTTTCTTTATCCAGTCCACGGTTGATGAGCAGTTAGGTTGATTCCATGTCTTTGCTATTGTAAATCCAATTTAACTTTCATTGCATAAAGAAATCTGCACTTCTACTATCTCCCCACATTTTATGTTTTCAGTTTCACAATTTGCATCTTTTTATATTGTGTACCCTTGAACAGATTATTTTAGCTATTATTATTTTTAGTATTTTTTCTTTTAGGCTTCATACTAAGATTTAAGTGATATACATGCCACTTTTACAATATTAGAATATTCTAATTTTCCTTTATGCTTACTTTTTACCAGTGAGTTTTATACTTTCATGTTTTAGGTTACTAATAGCATCATTTTCTTACCTTAAATAACTCCTTTTCACAATTTTTAAGACAGTTCTGGGGGTTGATAAACTCTCTCACTTTTGTCTGGGGAAGTCTTTATCTCTTATTCATTTCTGAAAGACCGCTTTGCCAGATAAATTAGTCTCGGTTGGCAGTTTGCTGTTGTTGTTGTTTTGGGGGGATTGTTTGTTTTTTCTGGGCATTTTGTATACATCATCTCTCTCTTCTGACCTCTAAAAATTCTGTTCATAGCCTTACTAAAAACTCCTTTTTCAGTATGTGATATGCTTCTTTTTCTTGCTACTCTCATGATCCTCTCTTTGACTTTGATTTTTGAATCCATGGCTATAATATGTCTTGTACAGTTTTATTTGGATTGAATGTAATTAGACACCTTTGCCATTTATATATCAGAAAATTTATATCTTTCTATAGATTGTATAAATTTTCAGCTTTTTTTTTTTTTTTTTTTTTTTTTTTTTTTTTTTTTTTGTGGCAGAGTCTCACTCTGTCTCCCAGGCTGGAGTGCAGTGGCACGATCTCAGCTCACTGCAACCTCCGCCTCCCAGGTTCAAGTGAATCTCCTGCCTCAGCCTCCTGAGTAGCTGGGACTACAGATGTGTGCCAGCATGCCTAGCTAATTTTTTGTATGTTTAGTAGAGATTGGGTTTCACTGTGTTAGCCAGGATGGTCTTGATCTCCTGACCTTGTGATCTGCCCACCTCGGCCTCCCAGAGTGCTGAGATTACAGGCGTGAGCCACTGAGCCGGGCCAGCTTTTTTTTTTTTTAATAATATAAGATTTCTGTCCCTTTATATTTTTTTCTCTTCTTTAACTCATAATTTACAATACTTGATCTTTTCATTTTGTTCCATAAATTCAGTTTTCTTCTCTTCTTCGCATATTTTCAAATAACTTGTCTCTAAATCTTTTTTCCTACTTGATGCATTCTGCTATTGAAAATATTGTTTTTTATTTATTGTATTTTCAGCCCCGGAATTTTCCTTTTTTAATACAATTTTAATATCTCTGTAAAATTTATCATTTTTTAATTGTTATCCCGATTTCAATAAACTAATTCTGTGTATTTTCTTAAACTGTGCTGAGCTTCCTTAAAATAATTATTTTTAATTATTTCTCAGAAAATTTGCACATCTCCATTTCTTTGGGGCAACTACTAAATTATCGTGGTCTTTGTGGTGATATGCCTCTTTGGTTTTTAATGTTTCTTGTTGCTTTGTGCTGATGTCTGCACATTTGGTGGAGAAGTCATTTATTCAGACTCTGCATACTAGTTTTGGTGTTGAAAGATCATGCCTTATGGGGTGGGTGTGTACAGCGGTGCTTGCTAGTTGGAGTTCAGAGGTTCCAGCACCAAGGGCAAAGTTGCATAGTCTCTGTATAGTTCTATCAACTGATGTCAAGGTTGATGAAGATTGCATGTATCCTTAGCAGCAAACACTGTGGATATCTACAGTTGTGATGAGAATTGCTGGGACCTTTAATAACAATCACTACTAGGGTCCTTTCAGTCTTTTATTTTCCTGCTGGAGAAGTTGTAATTGAATAAATCCATTTTGGCATTGGGTTAAGTTTGCTAGCCCTTTTATATCCGTGGTGGCACTGGAGTCCGATGAGTTGGTCAAGCATAGGGCTGAGGCCTAACATATAGGCTTGCAGGGAGGGAATACTGACTCTGGAGTCTGGGGCAGTAATGGCACTGGGCTTAGGGCACAGGTGCATCCATTGCCACATTGGTAACTGTATGCAAGGCATGGGTGATTATGAAACACCTGGGAAGTCAAGAAAGAGAGGACAGGCAGGCTCAGAGTTCGCTGTAGATGTAGCTCTCTATGGCTGCTATGCTTAACCCAAAGCATGGGTATGCTCAAGAGACCATGGCTTCAAAGAGAAACATCTGAACTAGCTCTGTATGACTGTGCACTACAGCGTCTGAGACATTTATACATTCTTATGTTGATAGATGCTCAGATAGATTCTAGATCTTGGCTATTTTTTTTTTTAAGGTATGGTTAAACTGAAAACTTTATTTTGAAATAGCAAGATTTTTTTCACTCAGGCAAAATAAAACATGGGAGAATATTGAATTACTAGCCATTTTTTTTAAATATACTTTGAGTTTTAGGGTACATGTGCATAACATGCAGGTTTGTTACATATGTGTACATGTGCCATGTTGGTGTGTTGCACCCATTAACTCTTCATTTAACATTAGGTATATCTCCAAATGCTATCCCTTCCCCCTCCCCGCACTCCACAACAGGACCCGGTGTGTGATGTTCCCCTTCCTGTGTCCATGTGTTCTCATTGTTCAATTCCCACCTATGAGTGAGAACATGCAGTGTTTGGTTTTTTGTCCTTGTGATAGTTTGCTGAGAATGATGGTTTCCAGCTTCATCCATGTCCCTACAAAGGACATGAACTCATCATTTTTTACAGCTGCATAGTATTCCATGGTGTATATGTGCCACATTTTCTTAATCCAGTCTATCATTGTTGGACATTTGGCGTGGTTCCAAGTCTTTGCTATTGGGAATAGTGCTGCAATAAACATATGTGTGCATGTGTCCTTATAGCAGCATGTTTTATAATCCTTTGGGTATATACCCAGTAATGGGATGGCTGGGTCAAATGGTATTTCTAGTTCTAGATCCCTGAGGAATCTAGAACTGACTTCCACACTGACTGCCACAATGGTTGAACTACTTTACAGTCCCACCAACAGTGTAAAAGTGCTCCTATTTCTCCACATCCTCTCCAGCACCTGTTGTTTCCTAACTTTTTAATGATCACCATTCTCATTGGTATGAGATGGTATCTCATTGTGGTTTTGATCTGCATTTCTCTGATGGCCAGTGATGACGAGCGTGTTTTCATTTGTCTTTTGGCTGCATAAATGTCTTCTTTTGAGAAGTGTCTGTTCATATCCTTCACGCACTTGTTGATGGGGTTTTTTTTTTTTTCTTGTAAATTTGTTTGAGTTCATTGTAGATTCTGGATATTAGCCCTTTGTCAGATGAGTAGATTGCAAAAATTTTCTCCCATTCTGTAAGTTTCCTATTCACTCTGATGGTAGTTTCTTTTGCTGTGCAGAAACTCTTTAGATTAATTAGATCCCATTTGTCAATTTTGGCTTTTGTTGCCATTGCTTTTGGTGTTTTAGCCATGAAGTCCTTGCCCATGCCTATGTACTGAATGGTATTGCCTAGGTTTTCTTCTAGGGATTTTATGGTTTTAGGTCTAACATTTAAGTCTTTAATCCATTTTGAATTAATTTTTGTATAAGGTGTAAGGAAGGGATCCAGTTTCAGCTTTCTACATATGGTTAGCCAGTTTTCCCAGCACCATTTATTAAATAGGGAATCGTTTCCCCATTTCTTGTTTTTGTCAGGTTTTTAAAGATCAGTTGGTTGTAGATATGCGGCATTATTTCTGAGGGCTCTGTTCTGTTCCATTGGTCTATATCTCTGTTTTCGTACCAGTATCATGCTGTTTTGGTTACTGTAGCCTTGTAGTATAGTTTGAAGTCAGGTAGCATGATGCCTCCAGCTTTGTTCTTTTGGCTTAGGATTGACTTGGCAATGTGGGCTCTTTTTTGGTTCCATATGAACTTTAAAGTAGCAAATGGAAAACAAAAAAAGGCAGGGGTTGCAATCTTAGTCTCTGATAAAACAGACTTTAAACCAACAAAGATCAAAAGAGACAAAGAAGGCCATTACATAATGGTAAAGGGATCAATTCAACAAGAAGAGCTAACTCTCCTAAATATATATGTACCCAATACAGGAGCACCCAGATTCATAAAACAAGTCCTTAGATACCTACAAAGAGAGAGACTTAGACTCCCACACAGTAATAATGGGAGACTTTAACACCCCACTGTCAACATTAGACAGAACAACGAGACAGAAAGTTAACAAGGATATCCAGAACTGAACTCAGCTCTGCACCAAGCAGACCTAATAGACATCTACAGAACTCTCCACCCCAAATCAACAGCATATACATTCTTTTCAGCACCACACCACACCTATTCCAAAATTGACCACATAGTTGGAACTAAAGCACTCCTCAGCAAATGTAAAAGAACAGAAATTATAATAAAATGTCTCTCAGACCACAGTGCAATCAAACTAGAACTCAGGATTAAGAAACTCACTCAAAACCGCTCAACTACATGGATAGAGACACAAAAAACCCTTCAAAAAAATCAGTGAATCCAGGAGCTGGTTTTTTGAAAAGATCAACAAAACTGATAGACCGCTAGCAAGACTACTAAAGAAGAAAAGAGAGAAGAGTCAAACAAACGCAATAAAAAATGATAAAGGGGATATCACCACCGATCCCACAGAAATACAAACTACCATCAGAGAATACTATAAACACCTCTATGCAAATAAACTAGAAAATGTAAAAGAAATGAATGAATTCCTCAGCACATACACCCTCCCAAGACTAAACCAGGAAGAAGTTGAATCTCTGAATAGACCAGTAACAGGCTCTGAAATTGAGGCAATATTTAATAGCTTACCAACCAACAAAAGTCCAGGACCAGATGGATTCACAGCCAAATTCTACCAGACGTACAAGGAGGAACTGGTACCATTCTTTCTGAAACTATTCCAATCAATAGAAAAAGAGGGAATCCTCCCTAACTCATTTCATGAGGCCAGCATCATCCTGATACCAAAGCCTGGCAGAGACACAACAAAAAAAGAGAATTTTAGACCAATATCCCTGATGAACATCCATGCAAAAATCCTCAATAAAATACTGGCAAACCGAATCCAGTAGTACATCAAAAAGCTTATCCACCATGATCAAGTGGGCTTCATCCCTGGGATGCAAGGCTGGTTCAACATATGCAAATCAATAAATGTAATCCAGCATATAAATAGAACCAAAGACAAAAACCACATGATTATCTCAATAGATGCAGAAAAGGCCTTTGACAAAATTCAACAACCTTCATGCTAAAAACTCTGAATAAATTAGGTATTGATGGGACGTATCTCAAAATAATAAGTGCTGTCTATGACAAACCCACAGCCAGTATCATACTGAATGGGCAAAAACTGGAAGCATTCCCTTTGAAAACTGGCACAAGACAGGGATGCCCTCTCTCAGCACTCCTATTCAACATAGTGTTGGAAGTTCTGGCCAGGGCAATCAGGCAGGAGAAGGAAATAAAGGGCATTCAATTAGGAAAAGAGGAAGTCAAGTTGTCCCTGTTTGCAGATGACATGATTGTATAACTAGAAAACCCCATTGTCTCAGCCCAAAATCTTCTTAAGCTGATAGGCAACTTCAGCAAAGTCTCAAGATTCAAAATCAATGTGCAAAAATCACAAGCATTCTTATACACCAATAACAAACAGAGAGCCAAATCATGAGTGAACTCTCATTCACAATTGCTTCAAAGAGAATAAAATACCTAGGAATCCAACTTACAAGGGACGTGAAGGACCTCTTCAAGGAGAACTAGAAACAACTGCTCAATGAAATAAAAGAGGATACAAACAAATGGAAGAACATTCCACGCTCATGGGTAGGAAGAATCAATATTGTGAAAATGGCCATACAGCCCAAAGTAATTTATAGATTCAATGCCATCCCCATCAAGCTACCAATGAGTTTCTTCACGAATTGGGTATTGGCTATTGTGAATAGGGTTCCAGTGAACATGGTGATGCAGGTATCCTTTTGAGATACTGATTTAATTTCCTTTGGACAAATAGTAGTTGGATTGGTGGATTATATTGTAATTCTATTTTTTGTTTTTTTGAGAAATCACCATACTGCTTTCCATGGCTACACTAATTTGCATTCCTACTAACAGTACATAAACATTCCTTTTTATCCACATTCTCACCAGCTTCTGGTTTTTTTTTTTTTTTTTGTCTTCTTAATCATAGCCATTCTAACTGGAATGAGACGGATCACATTGTAGTTTTTATTTGCATTTCCCTGATGATTACATTGAGCATTTTTTTGTATAACTGTTACCCATTTGTATGTCTCCTCCTAAGGCATGTTGGTTCATGTCCTTTGCCCACTTATTACTTGGATTATTTATTTTTTATTGTTGCATTGCTTGAGTTTCTTGCATACTCTGGATATTAGTCCATTTATTTAGATAAGTAGTTGGCAAATATATTCTCTCATTCTGTAAGTTACCTCTGCCCTCTTGATGGTTTCCTTTGCTATGCAGAATCTTCTTAGTTCAATATAGTCCAATTCAACTATTTTTTTGTTTTTTGTTTTCTAACTTTTACTTTAGCTTCACAGGGTACATATGCAAGTTTATTACATGGATAATTTCTGTGTCACTGCAGTTTGGTATACAAATGATCTTTTCACTGAGGTAGTGAGCACGGTACCCAATAGGTAGTTGTTCAGGTATTACCCCCTCCTTCTGACCCTACCTGCTATAGTAGTCCCTGGTGTCTATTTTTCCCATCTTGCTGTTCATGTGTACTCAATGTTTAGCTTCCACTTATATGTGAAAATGTGTGGTATTTGGTTTTCTGTTCCTGCATTAATTAATTTGCTTAGGTAATGGCCTCTAGCTGCATTTGCACTGCTGCAAAAGACATGATTTTGTTCTCTTTTTATAGCTGCAATAGTATTCCATGATATATATAATGCATATATTATGTATATAATACATATATTTTATTTATATATATAATATATATATATATAAATACATCTTCTTTATCCAGTCCACTGTTGATGGGCATCCAGGTTGACTCCATGTATTTGCTATTGTGAATAGTGCTTTGATGAACACGTGAGTGCATTTATCTTTTTGATGTTGTTGCCTGTGTTTTTGAGGTCTTTGCCTTAAAATCTTTGCCTAGAAAAATGTCCTGAAGTGTTTTCTCTGCTTTCTTCTAGTTGTTTCATAGCTTCATGGCTTATATTTAAGTCTTTAATTGATCTTGAGTTGAATTTTGTATATGGAGAGGTAGTGGGGTCCATTTTCATTCTTCCACATATGGATATACAACTTATTTAACATCATTTACTAATGTGGGTGTCCTTTTCCCAGTGGATGTTCTTGATATCATTGTTGAACGTCACTTGGCTGTGAATATATGGAATTATTTCTGCATTTGTTATTCTGTTCAATTAGTCTATGTTTGCTTTTATACCAATACTATATTGTTTTGATTACTTAATCATTGTAATATATTTTGAAGTCAGGTAGTGTGATCCCTCTAGCTTTGCTCTTTTTCCTCGGGATTGCTTTGGATATTTGGGCTCCTTTTTGTTTCCATGTGAATTTTAGGATTGTTTCTATTTATACGAAAAATGATATTGGTATTTTAAAAAGGATTGTATTGAATCTGTAGATTAGAGTAATATGATCATTTCAATGTTAATTATTCCTATCCATGAGTATGAGATGCCTGTCCATTTATTTGTGTTTTCTTCCATTTTTGTTATCAGTAGTCTGTAGTTGTCCTTGTAAAGGCCTTTAACCACTGTGGTTACATGTTTTTTTTGGGGGGTAATTTTTGTAGTATTTTAAATGGGATTACCATCTTGATATCTTTCTCAATAAGTTGGTTATTAGTGTCTAGAAATTCTACAGGGATTTGTATATTGTTTCAGTTTTCTCCAACTTTACTGAGTTTATTAGATCTAAGAGTTTTTGGTGGGCATTAGGTTTTTCTAGATAAAAGATATCATTTGCCTAAAGGAACAGTTTGACTTCCTCTTTTCCAATTTGGATGCATTTTATTTATTTCTCTTGCCTAATTGCTCTGGTTAGGACTTCTAGTACTATGTGGAATAAAAATATTAGAGTTAAACTAGGTATCTTTGTCTTGTTCCAGTAGCAAGAGGAAAAGCTTTCAGAATTTCTCCATTCAGTCTGATGTTAGCAGCTGTGGGAGTATCATATATGGCCTTTATTATGTTGAAGTATGTTCCTTCTATGACTAGTTTATTGAACTTTCCCATTATGAAAAGATGTTGAATGTAATCAAATGTTTTATCTGCATCTATTGAGATGATCACATGGGTTTTGTCCTTTATTCCATTGGTGTAATGTATTGAACTATCCTTGCATTTCTGGGATGAATTCTACTTGATCGCAGTGTATTTTCCTTTTGATGCGCTGTGTATTTGGTTTTCTAGCATATTGTTGATTATGTTTGCAACTGTGTTCATTATGTTTATTGACCTGTAGTTTTATTTATTTGTTACTTCTTTGCTGAATTTGGTAGTAGGGTAATAACTGGTCTCTTAGAACGAATTAGGGAGAATTCACTCCTCTTCAGTTGTTTGGAATAGTTTGAGGATAATTTGTGTTATTCTTTATAAGTTTGGTAGAGTTCAACAGTGAAGCCATCCAGTCCTGAACTTTTTGTGTTGTTAGAAGATGTTTTTATTACTGATACAATTTCATTACTTGTGATTGATCTGTTAAAGTTTTCTATTTCTTTCTGAATCATTTTTGGCAGGTTGTTTGTGTCCAGGAATTTATTTATCTCCTCGAGATTATCCATTTTGTTAATGTATAGTTGTTCATAATTGTCTGTGATGATCTTTTGTATTTCTATGGTATCTGTTGCAATGTCTCCCTTTTCATTTCTGCTTGTATTTATTTGGATATTCTACCTTTGTTTCCTTGGTTAGTCTAGATAACAGATTATCGATTTTGTTTAGTTTTTTTTTTTTTAGAAAAACTTTTGTTGAGCCCGGGCACGGTGGCTCACTCCTGTAATCCCAGCACTTTGGGAGGCAAGGCAGGCAGATCACGAGGTCAGGAGATTGAGACCATCCTGGCTAACACAGTGAAACCCCGTCTCTACTAAAAATACAAAAAAATTAGCTGAGTGTGGTGGCGGGCACCTGTAGTCCCAGCTACTCCAGAGGCTAAGGCAGGAGAATGGCGTGAATCCAGGAGGTGGAGCTTGCAGTGAGCCAAGATCATGCCACTGCACTCCATCCTGGCCAGCAGAGTGAAACTGTTTCAAGAAAAAAAAAAAAAACTTTCGTTGATGTTTTATATTGTTTATATGAGTTTCTATTTCATCATCAGTTCTGCTTGATCTTTATTAGTTTTTTTTTTCTATTAAGGGTGAATTTGGTTTATTCTTGTTTTCCTAGTTTGTTTATTGAGCTATATCATTAGATTGTTTGAAATCTTTCTACCTTTTTATGTAGACTTTTATTACTATAAACTTTCCTTTCAGTACTGCTTTTGCTATATCCCATGTTTTGATATGTTGCGTATTGATTTTTATTTGTTTCAAGACATTTTTTAATTTTCTCCCTAATATTTTCTTGACCTAATGCTCATTCAGGCACATATTATTTAATTTGAATGTATTTGTACAGTTTCTAAAGTTCTTCTTTTTACTGATTTTATATTTTATTCCACTGTGGTCACAGAAGATACTTAATACTAATTTTTTTTTAGATTTTTAAGACTTTTGTGTTCTAACATGGTCAATCCTGGGGGATATTTCATGTGCTGATAAGAATAACTTATATTCATGGAAGAAATGTTCTGTAAGTGTCTGTTAGGTCCATTTGGTCTATGTTCAGTTTAAATCCAATGTTTCTTTGTTGATTTTCTGTCTAGATAATCCGTCTAATGCTTAGAGTTGGTTGTTGAAGTTCCCAACTATTAGAGTATTGTAACCTATCTCTCCCCTTAGATCTAATAATATTTGCTTTGTATATCTGTAGACAATGGTGTTGGGTACATATATGTTTAAAATTGTCCTATCTTCGTGGTGTATTGTACTTTTATCATATAGATTGACTTCACTTTTTTTTGACTTAAAGTCTATTTTATCAAAGTATCACTTCTCCTGCTACTTTTCACTTCTATTTGCATTGAATATTTTTTCTATACCTTTATTTTCAGTCTATATGTGTCTTTACAGGTGAGATGAGTTTCTTGTAAGCAGCATATAGTGGGGTTATGTTTTTAAATCCATTCAGCTGATCTATATCTTTTAAGTGGAAAGTTTAATTTGTTTATATTCAAGGTTGTTATTAATATGTGATGGCTTATTCCTGCCATTTTACTAATTGGTTTCTGGCTGTTTGTGTGTCTTTCCTTCCTTTCCTTTTATCTATTTGCTTTCTATTGTGATTTGGCAGTTTTCTGTATCGGTAACATTTAAGTCCTTTGTCTTCCTTATTTGTTTGCTCTACTAGTTCATAATAAACCTTTGTGTATTTCCATAATGGTAGATATCTTCATTTCACTTCTGGTTGTAGGACTCCTTTCAGCATTTCTTGTAGGGCCAGTCTAATGGTGATGAGTCTCATGAGATTTTGCTTGTCTGGGAAATACTTAATTTCTCTTTATGAAGACTTCCTTTATTGGGTATGTTATTCTTGACTGGCAGGTTTTTTCCTTTTTTTAGACTTTGAATAAATCATCCTCTTCTCTCCTGTCCTGTAAGGTTTCTGCTTAGAAATCCACTGTTCATATGGTGAGTGTTCATTAAAAGTGACCATGGGCTTTTCTCTTGCTATTGCTCTCTTTGCCTTTGACTTTTGACAGTTTTATCGGATATAAGTATTACTACATGTATCTGGGTGATCTAGTGTTGGGTGCATATGTGTTTAGAATTGTTATATCTTCTTTCTAATTGGTCCCTTTATAATTATATAATGACCTTCTTTGTTTCTTTTTACTGCAATGTAATATACAGTAGGGAAGATCTTTTTTAATTCTGTCTCTTTGGGGATCTCTGAGCTTCCTGTGTTTGGCTGTCTAAATATCTTTTTAGACTTGAGAAGTTTTCAGCTATTATTTTGTTAAATTGCTTTTCTCTCCCTTTTGTTCTCTCTTTGCATTTGGGGGTCACTGGAAATTCAAATATTTGTTTCCTTTATCATGGTGCCAATGTCACATATTCTTTATTCATTCTTTTTCATTCTGTCATCTTTATTTTTGTCTGACTGGGTTGTTTCAAAAAACCTATTTTCAAGTTCTGGATTTTTTAATTCTGCTTGACCTAGTTGATTGAAGCTTTCAAATATATTTTGTGTTTTATTCAATGAATTATTCGGTTCTAAAATTTAAGTTCTTTTTAATGCTATCTATCTCATTGATACATTTCTCATTCATATCATGAATTACTTTTTCTGATTTCTTTGTATTGTCTATCTGTGTTCTATCTCACTGAGCTTTTTTTAAAATTGATATTTTGAATTCTTTTTCCAGGATTTCATAAATTTATTTTCCATAATAAATTGTTGCTGGAGAATTACTGTGTTTAGTGGCAAAATCTTTCCTTTTATCATGTATCTTGTGTCCTTAGTTTGATATCTGAACATCTGGTATATCAGTTGCTTTTCCCATTTTTGAAATTTGTTTTTTTAGTAGATGACTTTTTCCTAAAGATAATTCCATTATTTTGGTTATATTAGGCACATGGTGTTGGTTAGTTTGGTTGATGTTGATCAGATTCTGGGAGCATGCATTGTGTGGTCTTCTTATGATTTCCTCAGCTCTAAGCAGTATTAGTATTGTTTCTTATTTCCTCCATGGCTTTACCTACTAATTTTACATAGTATTCCAAATCTTTGTTGTCAACAATGTTTATAGCATCTTAACCAAAAGAAGATCCCATATCAAGAACCCACTTTCTTTGCTTATCCATTAGAAACCAGTATGTATCCATTCAAGTTTTATTATGAGATTGCATCAATTCAGTCACATTTTCAGGCTGCACCTCTAATTCTTTTTTTTTTTTAATATTATACTTTAAGTTTTAGGGTACATGTGCACATTGTGCAGGTTAGTTACATATGTATACATGTGGCATGCTGGTGCACTGCACCCACTAACTCGTCATCTAGCATTAGGTATATCTCCCAATGCTATCCCTCCCCCCCTACCCCCACCCCACCACAGTCCCCAGAGTGTGATATTCCCCTTCCTGTGTCCGTGTGATCTCATTGTTCAATTCCCACCTATGAGTGAGAATATGCGGTGTTTGGTTTTTTGTTCTTGCGATAGTTTACTGAGAATGATGATTTCCAATTTCATCCATGTCCCTACAAAGGACATGAACTCATCATTTTTTATGGCTGCATAGTATTCCGTGGTGTATATGTGCCACATTTTCTTAATCCAGTCTATCATTGTTGGACATTTGGCTTGGTTCCAAGTCTTTGCTATTGTGAATAATGCCGCAATATACATACGTGTGCATGTGTCTTTATAGCAGCATGATTTATAGTCCTTTGGGTATATACCCAGTAATGGGATGGCTGGGTCAAATGGTATTTCTAGTTCTAGATCCCTGAGGAATCGCCACACTGACTTCCACAATGGTTGTACTAGTTTACAGTCCCACCAACAGTGTAAAAGTGTTCCTATTTCTCCACATCCTCTCCAACACCTGTTGTTTCCTGACTTTTTAATGATTGCCATTCTAACTGGTGTGAGATGGTATCTCATTGTGGTTTTGATTTGCATTTCTCTGATGGCCAGTGATGGTGAGCATTTTTTCATGTGTTTTTTGGCTGCATAAGTGTCTTCTTTTGAGAAGTGTCTGTTCATGTCCTTTGCCCACTTTTTGATGGGGTTGTTTTTTTCTTGTAAATTTGTTTGAGTTCATTGTAGATTCTGGATATTAGCCCTTTGTCAGATGAGTAGGTTGCAAAAATTTTCTCCCATTTTGTAGGTTGCCTGTTCACTCTGATGGTAGTTTCTTTTGCTGTGCAGAAGCTCTTTAGTTTAATGAGATACCATTTGTCAATTTTGTCTTTTCTTGCCATTGCTTTTGGTGTTTTGGACATGAAGTCGTTGCCCATGCCTATGTCCTGAATGGTAATGCCTAGGTTTTCTTCTAGGGTTTTTATGGTTTTAGGTCTAACGTTTAAGTCTTTAATCCATCTTGAATTGATTTTTGTATAAGGTGTAAGGAAGGGATCCAGTTTCAGCTTTCTACATATGGCTAGCCAGTTTTCCCATCACCATATATTAAATAGGGAATCCTTTCCCCATTGCTTGTTTTTCTCAGGTTTGTCAAAGATCAGATAGTTGTAGATATGTGGCGTTATTTCTGAGGGCTCTGTTCTGT
The DNA here is from genome assembly GCF_000001405.40 of Homo sapiens. Classification (NCBI taxonomy): domain Eukaryota; kingdom Metazoa; phylum Chordata; class Mammalia; order Primates; family Hominidae; genus Homo; species Homo sapiens. The sequence continues at coordinate 77,918,114 of NC_000006.12, forward strand.
TCCATTGATCTATATCTCTGTTTTGGTACCAGTACCATGCTGTTTTGGTTACTGTAGCCTTGTAGTATAGTTTGAAGTCAGGTAGTATGATGGCTCCAGCTTTGTTCTTTTGGCTTAGGATTGACTTGGCGATGCAGGCTCTTTTTTGGTTCCATATGAACTTTAAAGTAGTTTTTTCCAATTCTGTGAAGAAAGTCATTGGTAGCTTGATGGGGATGGCATTGAATCTGTAAATTACCTTGGGCAGTATGGCCATTTTCATGATATTGATTCTTCCTACCCATGAGCATGGAATGTTCTTCCATTTGTTTGTATCCTCTTTTATTTCCTTGAGCAGTGGTTTGTAGTTCTCCTTGAAGAGGTCCTTCACATCCCTTGTAAGTTGGATTCCTAGGTATTTTATTCTCTTTGAAGCAATTGTGAATGGGAGTTCACTCATGATTTGGCTCTCTGTTTGTCTGTTGTTGGTGTATAAGAATGCTTGTGACTTTTGTACATTGATTTTGTATCCTGAGACTTTGCTGAAGTTGCTTATCACCTTAAGGAGATTTTGGGCTGAGACAATGGGGTTTTCCAGATATACAATCATGTCATCTGCAAACAGGGACAATTTGACTTCCTCTTTTCCTAATTGAATACCCTTTATTTCCTTCTCCTGCCTAATTGCCCTGGCCAGAACTTCCAATACTATGTTGAATAGGAGTGGTGAGAGAGGGCATCCCTGTCTTGTGCCAGTTTTCAAAGAGAATGCTTCCAGTTTTTGCCCATTCAGTATGATATTGGCTGTGGGATTCTCATAGATAGCACTTATTATTTTGAAATACGTCCCATCAATACCTAATTTATTGAGAGTTTTTAGCATGAAGGGTTGTTGAATTATAAAGCAAGTCCTGAGTGACATACAAAGAGACTTAGACTCCCACACATTAATAATGGGAGACTTTAACACCCCACTGTCAACATTAGACAGATCAACAAGACAGAAAGTCAACAAGGATACCCAGGAATTGAACTCAGTTCTGCACCAAGCGGACCTAATAGACATCTACAGAACTCTCCACCCCAAATCAACAGAATATACATTTTTTTCAGCACCACACCACACCTATTCCAAAATTGACCACATACTTGGAAGTAAAGCTCTCCTCAGCATATGTAAAAGAACAGAGATTATAACAAACTATCTCTCAGACCACAATGCAATCAAACTAGAACTCAGGATTAAGAATCTCACTCAAAACCGCTCAACTACATGGAAACTGAACAACCTGCTCCTGAATGACTACTGGATACATAACGAAATGAAGCCAGAAATAAAGATGTTCTTTGAAACCAACGAGAACAAAGACACAACATACCAGAATCTTTGGGATGCATTCAAAGCAGTGTGTAGAGGGAAATTTATAGCACTAAATACCCACAAGAGAAAGCAGGAAAGATCCAAAATTGACACCCTAACATCACAATTAAAAGAACTACAAAAGCAAGAGCAAACACATTCAAAAGCTAGCAGAAGGCAAGAAATAACTAAAATCAGAGCAGAACTGAAGGAAATAGAGACACAAAAAACCCTTCAAAAAATTAATGAATCCAGGAGCTGGTTTTTTGAAAGGATCAACAAAATTGATAGACCTCTAGCAAGACTAATAAAGAAAAAAAGAGAGAAGAATCAAATAGACGCAATAAAAAATGATAAAGGGGATATCACCACCGATCCCACAGAAATACAAACTACCATCAGAGAATGCTACAAACACCTCTACGCAAATAAACTAGAAAATCTAGAAGAAATGGATAAATTCCTCGACACATACACTCTCCCAAGACTGAACCAGGAAGAAGTTGAATCTCTGAATAGACCAATAACAGGAGCTGAAATTGTGGCAATAATCAATAGTTTACCAACCAAAAAGAGTCCAGGACCAGATGGATTCACAGCCGAATTCTACCAGAGGTACAAGGAGGAACTGGTACCATTCCTTCTGAAACTATTCCAATCAATAGAAAAAGAGGGAATCCTCCCTAACTCATTTTATGAGGCCAGCATCATTCTGATACCAAAGCCTGGCAGAGACACCACCAAAAAAGAGAATTTTAGACCAATATCCTTGATGAACATTGATGCAAAAATCCTCAACAAAATTCTGGCAAATCGAATCCAGCAGCACATCAAAAAGCTTATCCACCATGATCAAGTGGGCTTCATCCGTGGGATGCAAGGCTGTTTCAATATACGCAAATCAATAAATGTAATACAGCATATAAACAGAGCCAAAGACAAAAACCACATGATTATCTCAATAGATCCACCTCTAATTCTATTCCACTTGCTATTTTCACCGCATCTGCAGTGACTTCCTCCACTGAAGTCTTGAAGCCATCAAAGTCATTCAATAATTCTTCCAAACTCCTGTTAATATTGATATTTTGTATTTCTTTCATGAATTACACATTTTCTTAATGACATCTAGAATGGTGAATCCCTTCCGGAAGGTTTCCAATTTACTTTGCCCATATTCATCAGAGGAATCAATATCCATGTTAGCTATAGCCTTATAAAATAAGTTTCTTAAATAAGACTTATAAACAAAAATTACTCTTGAGCCATGGGCTGCAAAATAGATGTGTTTGTAGACATTAAAACATTAATCTCTTTATGCATCCATCAGAGCTTTTGGATGATCAGGTGTGTTGTCAATGAGCAGTAATCTTTTGAAAGGAATCTTTTCTTCTGAGCTGTAAGTCTCAACAGTAGGCTTAAAATATTCAGTAAACAATGCTTTCATCCAGGCTTGTTGTTTTATTGATAGATTGCAGCCAGAGTAGATTTAGCATAATAAATACTTAAGGATTCCAGAATTGTTGAAATGGTAAATGTGCACTGGCTTCAACTTCAAGACACCAACTGCATTAATCTTTAACAGTAAAGTCAGCCAATCCTTTGAAGCTCAGCATTTATTTCTCCCCTGTAGCTACAAAATTCCTAGACGGCATCTTCTTTCAGTAGAAGGCTGTTTCATCCACATTGAACAACTGTTATTTAGTGTAGCCACCTTCATTTATTATCTTACCTATAACTTCTTGATAACTTTCTGCAGCTTCTATATCAGCATTTGTTGCTTCACCTTGTAATTTTATGTTATAAAGGTGGCTTCTTCCCTAAGCCTCCTGAACCAGCCTCTGCTATCTATCTTCAGAGTGAGTTTTGTTCTGTAGCTTCCTCACTTTGCTCAGCCTTCATAAAATTGAAGAGTTAGGCCTTTTCTCTGGTTCAGGTATTGGCTTAAGTGAATATTGTGATTGGTTTGGTCTTGTATTCAGGCCACTACAATTTTTTCCATGTTACCAGTCGGGCTGTTTCCCCTTCTTATTATTTGTGTGTTCAGTGGAAGAGAACTTTACTTTTAATTTCCTTCAAGAACTCTTTCTTTGAATTTACAACTTGGTTAACTTTGGCACAAGTCCTAGCTTTTGGCCTGTCTCAGATTTTGACATGCCTTCTTCACTAAGCTTAATGATTTCTAGCTTTTGATTTAAAATTGGAGATAGGCAACTCTTTCTTTCACTTGAACACTTAGAGGCCATTTGTAGGGTTATTAATTGGCCTGATTTCAATATTGTTTTGTCTCAGAGAATAAGGAGGCCTAAGGAGAGTAAGGGAGATAGGTAATGGCCAATTGGTGAAGCAGTCAGAACACACACACTTATCAGTTAAGTTCACCATCTGATATGGGCATGGTTTGTGGTATCTCAAAACAAAGTAGTAACATCATGGATGACTGATTGCAGATCACTGTAACAGATAAAGTAACAGTGAAAAATTTGAAATATTGTGATAATTACCAGTATGTGACACAGATACAAAGTGAGCACATGTTGGAAAAATGACTCTGATAGACTAGTTTGATGCAGGGTTGCCACAAACCTTCAATTTGAAAAAATTGCAATATCTGGGAGGTACAATAATGTAAAGCACACTAAAATGAGGTATGCCTGTATATATCTTACTCTGCTTATTGGGTCACCTTGTTGAAGAATATATTTGTCTCAACTCTAAAAGAATGTTCTTTCATTTTTGTATTAATACAGTGAAAATATTTCGTAAATGTTCCCAAAGGAGTTTTCTTTTTTTCTCAATGTTAATACTTTCTTAATGAATTTGAACAAAAATGTACCAGGAAAATAAAAAAAGTTCTGTGGATTTGAGTTCTAATTAGTCTACTTTTCAGAGGATCCATTTCCTTGACTGTGGAATAGTGATAAACTATCTGCTCACCTCATAGGGCTTCTGACACATTTCTTAATTAATTAGCTAATGATAAAGCCAGTTTTCATTTTTATACTGATTCTGCCATTCTCTCATTTTATGCTTGCTATTGTCTAGTTTTTAGGCCTTTCTGTGACTTGACTTATCTATCTCACATTCAACCATCTAGTCCAAATTAAAAGTTCTACAAGATGCATCTACATTTCTTCTCATGACTATGTATATGATTCAATGCTACCCCTCCCTGAGTTGAGTTGTATCAGGAAGATTCAGTATGATATCACATCTATTCCCCTATAGATGATGAACCTACTACTCTGGGATTGTTTTATATCAAAATAAGTACCATGAATTCAAAAGTTTTGGCAAAAGATTGAATTTAACACTGGTATGACTCCTTGCCAAGTCACTGTTAAGACCCCTTGCCAAGTATTCTCAGATTCATTTGAGTATTCTCTGCAAGAATGCAGGGAAAGGATTTGGAGCTTCATGAAACAGCAAGAAAGAAAAGTCATTCACCATGATTGTAAAGTCTTTGAATAAAGGAAATGTTTTTTATTTCCCCCTTGTTCACCAGTGACAGGATGACAGAAGGTGTTAAATATTTCAAATATATTTCGTTTGCCTGAAACTCTGATATCTTTATATGACATTTTTCTTAGGTAATTTATACCCAATTTTTTAAAGGAGTTTGTTGTTTATTTGTAGGAGCAAGCCAGTTATGATGTGTCACGCTATGAAAACATTTTCTACCTGTTCTGGGTTCTGGAGCAGCTTCTTCAAAAGGAAACCGAAGAAGGCAACACTTCAAGTATAGGTCATGATGACCAAGAAATCAAGAAATTTCTTCAGAAGCATGATGAAACTATTTTCCAACTTTCTGATGCATTTCCTTTGTTTACTTTTTATTTATGGAGAGTGGGCATTCTTTTGAGCTCAGCACAGATAGAAACTCTTAGAAAATAACTCCATTCCTTAGCAATTTACCACGTTTGAAGCATAATAAAGTAGAATATATGAAAATCTCATACTGAAAAGATTTTCAATAGTATTTTAATTAGCATTTTAGAATTGATCTCTAAATATAATTATCAATTCAACTTAATGGTTAGTCTTAAATTGTATGAAATTTTATGAGTCATATTTCTATACTAAAATCAGCCAGTTTCGGTTGGTAATGCCATCCTTATTCCCATGTAACTGTATCTTATTTCACTCAATATAGTTTAGCTCTATTATTCTGTAAAATGGACCATTAATTGTCTGTCCCTTAAAAGATATTGAAGTTGTAAAAGATTTCCATATAATTGATGCTAAATGGTAATCAAAGAAAGAGATTTTTAAAGAAGTTTAGTTGCATTATCAACACAAAGTGTTGGAATATAAGAAGTGGTCATAAATGCAATTTTTAAAACTTTTTCTTACATAGTTGAACTTATATCATTGCTTTCACCTTAGACGAGAATCATATAGAAGTAGAACTTTTTTAACATTTGGAAACTTAATTGCTTTTTATTTATTTCAATTTCATATGGCTAATACATTTGTCGAGCTCTTTTGAAAATACTATTAATTAGTTGTTTAAAATGTTCTTTGTTTTTCAACAAATACTTGTTTCAATTCTGTTAATTAAATATGTTATAATAGTCTTGTAATTGTTAAATAGTATACAATTAAGTCACTAGACATATTTTATAAATTCTAATATCCATCTAAAAGTGAAATTTATAGTTATTTGGTGGAATTTTTCAGTTATACAATTTCATTGACTTCATTTCAATGATTAAAATCATAACCGCAAACTTAATGAGCATATGTTACATTTCCTATAGTGCCATTTAGGGAACACAAAATATAAATTTCCTTTATTAATGATATGTGATGGTGTTTCATAAGTTAATTAGCATTCCTAAATGTCGTTGGCATTAAAAGTAATCTTGATAATTCCATCTACAATGTATATACAATTATGTCATCTGGCACAAACAATTATCTTTGGAATTATTTCTAGCATTTTTGAAAAGATAATGCCTTTTTGATAATCCTGAAACTACATGTATGTCAGTCAGCTTTTGTTATGTGACAGATAGATAATCAATCACAAAATATCTATCAGTGGCATACAACAATAATATTTCTCAGATATATGCAGGTCACTCAAGGATCAGCTGATTTGGACTGGACTTGACTTTAATGAAAAGCTCTGCTGAGGTTGCACATACCACAGGAATAGGCTTCTTGCTAAAAGTCAGGCTTTCTTCTCTTCCACATGTGCATATTCTGAGAACCAGACTTGGGGGATAGTAGCTTCTCAGTGGAAGCTCCTCTCATGGCAGTGGCAATTGAGCAAGACGAAAGGCTAGGCTGAGAAATGTCACATTAGCACTTCCATCCACATGCATTGTCAAAGTACATCAAATGGTCAAGCCCAAAGAAAAGTGACTGACAGGGGAGTAGACTTGAGTGGGAGAACTTGCAGTTACAGGGCAATGAGCATGGATGTAGGTAGGTAATTATTAGGGCCAATAATTTACTTCACAACAAGTACCAGTTGAATACAAGAAGTATATTCCAAATCTTGGATTAGGAGGGATTTTTCTAATGTCTGATTCCTGTGAACACCTGTGAAGGCTTATGGAAGTCACTTCAGTTGATATAGCATTACACAAAATCCACTTTCCATGACACCTTCATCTTCTTTCATTGTGATTAAACAAGATTGGTAAATACACAAGTATCAGCAATGGCCCTTTCCCTATTGCAGCCAGCCAACGTAATGATCAGCTAAGAGACTTTTGGAGCTACAACAAATTTATTAATTTCAGTGGTCTCCAAGGCTTCAAGGTCTGAAAATTAGCCTAGGAAATATATTTATTATAAAAGAAGATGCAAGATGTTGGGATCACTGTGAATGCACAAAATGGAGAAACATTTTATTTCCATTTGGTATCCATTTTATATAAACATTTAACTTCCACCAAGTATATGATACTTTAATTATCCTGGGTTTCAGTCTATATCAGAGTGAATGGTGTAGTAAATTAGTATTAAGGTCCAAATCTACTGGTCAAAAAGAAGATAAAATGATAAAATGAGACATTTTTATCTGTGTTTCAGTAAAGCAGTGAATTAATGAATGATTTAAACTGGTATTACAATGTTTAAGAATGTTATAACAGTTTATATTTAGGTAATGTCTAACTTTAGAATTAAGGTTTTAGGGATAAGAGTAATGGAGTCAGTAGTAATTGGGCAGCATTGAAACTGGATATAAGATAGGATAGGAAATAAAGAGAACCATAGAATGATCATAAAAATGAAGCAAATAAAAAGTGATGATAATTGCTATAACTCTTATACTATTTAATATAAGCTATAATAAATATATGATAATATATTTTATATGAGAGTAAATATATATTAAATATTTTATATACATTTATATAATAAAATATATGAATAAGTAATATTATACATATATATACGATATGTATAATAAATACCAAATAGCCAGGTACTTACCTAAGCATTTTACATATATTAAACTGTTTGATTCTCCCAGCACCTGTAATGAGAAAGGTACGATTATTTCCTGAATCTGTATTTTAGAGATGAAGAACTCAGAACTTGCCCAAGTTCACAACACCAGGAAGTGGCAGTTAGGTTTCATCCTGAGGCAGTCCATCTTCCAATTCCACACTCCTACTTTACTGCACTGCCTGTTATGTGCAGCTCTCCTGGCACTTCAGTAAACTTTCACAAACACAGCTTCTTTGCAATTGTCATCAAAGCTTTATACATGCTTAACTATGAACCTTAAGGCACAACAGTGGAAATTACTAGCTTATGATTAGCTTATTTTGGATTTTTTAATTGCTGTAAACAAGTTGTCCTATCTATAAGTAAACCAGAGGAACAGCATCTTTGACCTTTTCAGGGTTGTAGCATCTTGCTACTCAAGACTGTAGCCAAGTTACAGATTGTCTTCAAACGATAATGTCCTAAAAGGTACAGAGCTCCCTCCAGAGGTGTTTAGGTAGACTGTGAGGCTGTAATGATAAGCAAAATGGGGAGAGAAAACAAATCTGACTGGTTTGTTCTTGGAAAAATATATACGATTATCTCACAGGCCTTGTACTTTTTAATGGTATTTGTTGTCTTTTAGCCAAGGTCAGCATATTTCAAGAGAGGCAGGGAAACAAGGCATTTGCATTTCCAAAATTTTATGTACATTTACAGATTTTCTGAACGCCATATTATGGGGAAAATATTGACAGCTCTGCTTTATTGTAACCTAATTTCATTTATTCATCAAATATGAAGCACCAATTGTCTACAAACCAATTATTTGCAAAAATAAAACATACTAAGCTTTAACTTTTGTCAGATTTATGAAACCAAGCTTTCTCTTAGCAGTCAATATAATGACCCAACTACATCAATATTTGCTGAAGGAGATAATTAACTTGTTAATGTTTATCTAATATTGAAAAAATATATAGGATTTTATTATTGTTAAAAGTTAATTGATTCCGAATTATTTATAGAATTGTATAATACAAAATTTATCTGGTTAATAAATATACTGGTCTTGTAAGAACTTTCTAAATATTACAGAGTATTACAAACATAAAAAATAAACTCAGCCTCTTTTTTGTTTCTTAATATGAAAGTCCTTTGTTTTTATTTAATATGAAAGGAATTTTAAGGATCTATTCCTAATAGGAAGCAAAGCTTCTGAAAATAATGTTCTAACATTTAAGACATTTAAATAATTCAATTATATATTTCATAGGCATTTACCCTATATTTGTAGTATTTTCTTCTGATATTTTAATCTAAATTTTGCTCTAACTGCTTAAATTGTTGGTGAACTTTTGTTGTATTTCTGTCAGCAGTTGTGTTTATGTAAATGTTTAGTCAGTCCACTGAAGCAGCAAGATTTCCAGGTGATAACATTAATTAACCTTAGTTGTCTCTGACCATATATAAAACAGCGGTCCTCAAATGCGGTCCCCAACCCAGCCATATTAGCATCACTTGGAAATGTGTAAGAAATAAAAAATTTTAGGCAGTATGGCCATTTTCACGATATTGATTCTTCCTACCCATGAACATGGAATGTTCTTCCATTTGTTTGTATCCTCTTTTATTTCATTGAGCAGTGGTTTGTAGTTCTCCTTGAGGTAATTTATAGATCCAATGCCATCCCCATCAAGCTACCAATGACTTTCTTCACAGAACTGGAAAAAACTACTTTAAAGTTCATATGGAACCAAAAAAGAGCCCACATTGCCAAGTCAATCCTAAGCCAAAAGAACAAAGCTGGAGGCATGACGCTACCTGACTTCAAACTATACTACAAGCCTACAGTAACCAAAACAGCATGGTACTGGTACCAAAACAGAGATATAGACCAATGGAACAAAACAGAGCCCTCAGAAATAATGCCACATATCTACAACCATCTGACCTTTGAACAACCTGACAAAAACAAGAAATGGGGAAACGATTCCCTATTTAATAAATGGTGCTGGGAAAACTGGCTAGCCATATGTAGAAAGCTGAAACTGGATCCCTTCCTTACACCTTATACAAAAATTAATTCAAGACGGATTAAAGACTTACATGTTAGACCTAAAACCATAAAAACCCTAGAAGAAAACCTAGGCAATACCATTCGGGACATAGGCATGGGCAAGGACTTCATGTCTAAAACACCAAAAGCAATGGCAACAAAAGCCAAAATTGACAAATGGGATCTAATTAAACTAAAGAGCTTCTGCACAGCAAAAGAAACTACCATCAGAGTGAACAGGCAACCTACAGAATGGGAGAAAATTTTTGCAACCTACTCATCTGACAAAGGGCTAATATCCAGAATCTACAAAGAACTCTAACAAATTTACAAGAAAAAAACAACCCCATCAACAAGTGAGTGAAGGATATGAACAGACACTTCTCAAAAGAAGACATTTATGCAGCCAAAAGACAAATGAAAAAATGCTCATCATCACTGGCCATCAGAGAAATGCAAATCAAAACCACAATGAGATACCATCTCACACCAGTTAGAATGACAATCATTAAAAAGTCAGGAAACAACAGGTGTTGGAGAGGATGTGGAGAAATAGGAACACTTTTACACTGTTGGTGGGACTGTAAACTAGTTCAACCATTGTGGAAGTCAGTGTGGCGATTCCTCAGGGATCTAGAACTAGAAATACCATTTGACCCAGCCATCCCATTACTGGGTATATACCCAAAGGATTATAAATCATGCTGCTATAAGGACAAATGCACACCTATGTTTATTGTGGCACTATTCACAATAGCAAAGACTTGGAACCAAGCCAAATGTCCAACAATGATAGATTGGATTAAGAAAATGTGGCACATATACACCATGGAATACTATGCAACCATAAAAAATGATGAGTTCATGTCTTTTGTAGGGACATGGATGAAGCTGGAAACCATCATTCTCAGCAAACTATCACAAGGACAAAAAACCAAACACCGCATGTTCTCACTCATAGGTGGGAATTGAACAATGAGAACACATGGACACAGGAAGGGGAACATCACACACCGGGGCCTATTGTGGGGTGTGGGAGGGGGAGGGATAGCATTAGGAGATACACCTAATGTTAAATGATGAGTTAATGGGTGCAGCACACCAACATGGCACATGTATACATACGGAACAAACCTGCACGTTGTGCACATGTACCCTAAAACTTAAAGTATAATTTAAAAAAAAGATATAAAAAAGAAATAAAAATTTTAAGCCTTCACCCCAGACCTACTACAGGATCAGAAACACCGGGGTTGTGGTTCAGTAATCTGTGTTTTATCAAGTCTTCCAGGTGATTCTGATGTCCACCAATGTTTGAGAAGCACTAATATTGTTTTTACTGATTAGGAAGGTTTAATACTTATAAAATTATTCAGAAAGTAGAAATTTAGTCATCCCATAGTATTGATTTTTTTTAGGTTTCCTTATATGTGCCTTAAAATTCCGAAGGAAGATTTTTTGGAAACCAGATTATTCCAGGTTCACTGAAGTAGCATATTTATGAACAGATTAACCTTAATAGCACTTAAAAAATAGCATTTTAATACTTAGCTTTTAGCTCTCTTACTAAAATATATCTTTATTCCCCATAGTAGTACTTTAAAAATTATTATAATCTGGGTTTAGATCAAATTAACTATAGCTTTTTGCATTTGTCCTGGGATAGAGCAATGAATGTGCAGAGAGATGCACACATGGTGTTACTTTCCTCTTATTAGCTGCCCCAAGTAATATCAGAATATTCCTTTTATTCCAGGAGATCTGTTTAATACATGTAGTAAATATAACTGAATTATAAACATATTATTCTATTTCTCAACCCTAGAGATGGAATTGTAGCTGCCATGAATCCTTCTAGAATATGGTGAGCTATAAATAATTAATAAACAGTGCTTAATTTGGTTCAACTTTGCTGCTTAATTTGATTCTACCACTTTGGGTCTTTCCTATGTTACTGTGAGCTCCAGAGTTGCCTAAGGACAGCGCCCCTGACACATGAGGAGGGAACAGAACAATCTCTGCTGTTAGCTTTAACAACTTAACTAAGAAGATATTTTCATGAATAAGTAATCATTTCAGGAACACTGGAAATGCCAGACACTTAAACCAGCATTTGTTCTTATTTCTCTCTCAAACACACACTCAAATTCCACATTTTCTAAAAAGAGATCCAAACCTCTTGAAACGAATTCTGAAGTTTGAAAAAGAAAATATTTCCTATATTTTACCTGGAGTTTTTAAGGGGAGCCACCACAAGCAGTAACACGACCGTTGGTGCCTTTTTGTTCTATCCGGCATTGAGGACATGGAATACACCCTGGGATCTCGTGGCATGACATTTCTCTTTAGGATAGTTCCAGAGCCAGTCCACTGCAAAGAGTGACATGAACCTTTAAAATGAGGAGGGTAGCCAGGCACGGTAGCTCACACCTCTAATCCTAGCACTTTGGGAAGCTAAGGTAGGATGCTCGCTTGAGGCCAGGAGTTTGAGGTGAGCCTAGGTGACAGAGAAAAAACTTGTCTGTTTAAAAAAAAAAAAAAAAAAAAAGAAGAAGAAAAAATAGCATGTCCCCTTCCACCATGGCTCAGGACTAAGAAGTGGAGTTTGCCATAGCTGACTAGGCATTTTATCTTGCAACTTGATAAAACCTATTAATAGAAGAGAACATAAGAGACCAGGCGAAGCAAACACAGCCATTCCAAGTGCAAAATGGAAAAAAAAGCTAGAAGAAATGTTATAGAAATGTGAAGATGTCTCCAACTCCAAATTAATATGCTGATACTATTCCCAAGTGAAGACTTCAAAAAATAATTTCTAAGGCTTGTATAATCGTGGCTCATGTGGTGAATCCCTTTTAAATAGAATTCTATTCCAGAGATTCTATTTAAAAGAAAATCACGTACCATAATCCATATGGCTTTGCACCATCACTTTAGTAAGGCAGATAGTACCCAGCATTTATTTAGCCTTTCTGACATGTGCTAGGCACTCCATACTTGTTCTTTATTATTTTGTTTAATCCTTCTAACAACCCTATGAGGTAAGTATACTGATTATCTCCAATTAGGTGAAAAGCAAGCACAGGGCATTTAAGTAATTTGCCCAAGGTGAAAGCTAGAAAAAAAATCAAAACCAAGATTTAGATAGGCAGCAAGCAACTGAGTCAACATGTACTCCACATTCTTGGCACTCAGATACAAACAGCTGTCATGTTCCTAACTGCAGAAGTAGAAACTGAGTGTAGAGCATAAAGTTATCCTGACAGCAGAACTCCAGTTTGCACACTTCTTAAAGTGTTCTTTTTAGACATATGCAGCATGTGCTTATGATAATTATAGTGGTGGGAAATTTACATTATATTAAGTAAAATTTGATATTGAAATATTCCTTTATATTTGGAAGAATAAAAGAAGTGCAGTAAGATGTTAGAGATGGCCAAATTGGTGGCATTTATTTAAAAGAAATAGACGTAAATTCTACTTTGCTATCTGATTGCTTTGTAAGTCAGTCTGAGTAACACTTTCTGAGGATAAAGTGCGTTAAATCTTTCAAAACATAAGGATCAAGATCAGACATCCATACATGGATTAGAGTTAATTCCTAAGACTTAGAAGTGAAAATAAATAATACATTTGAAGCATAGTTTACACTAGCTTCAAAATTATACTTTTTGTCATAAAGGAGAAGAAAAAAATCTCTATTTCAGGATAAGCATTAATCAGTATGATCCTGTTGACAGTGTTTGACATTTCTGAACCATCTTATGAAGTTAGAAAGAAAATGTCTTTATAACTTTTTACATCACGAGAGAAAATATATAAAATTTAAATAATTAGAAACATCTCTGTGATATTTTCCCCCCAAAAAAACTTTATTTGGACAAATATTGTTTACTCATTTTTCTTAGGTATGGGGAAAAGATGTAAGGACTATTACTTGCTCTGTGCCTTGTCAATCAGCACTATATTAAAGTTTCATTTGAAAATAGGCCTTTCTGTTTCTTGCCATATTAAAATAGCAATGAAGCCCAGAGAGACCATTTTGCAGAAGATACAAGTAGAAGTGGGGAGGTGTGGGGTTGTGGGTGGAGATGGGAGGAAAGAGGGTAGAGGACCATCGTTGGCCAAGTAATCTTGTGACTTAGGACAAGTCATTTAATATTCTTATTTTCGCATTATAAAAGCATCTGTTTTTTATTCATAAAGTTAAAGAACAAAGACTATCTGTATTTCTGCTAGAATCACTTATGTATACATCACTAAAATCGTGAAATATAACTACCAATTATTATTAAATGTTAAATGTAACTATCAATTATTATTAAATGTTATTACCCAGAATTGGGGAGTTTTGTCTTTTTTCTGTCTCCATGGAGGTCCTTCAGTGATATAATTTTGTATATATCTATAAGGTCTAGTAGAATAGACTCACAGTTAAAAGATGAGAGTATCACTATCCATATCATAAAAATAAAATATCTTTTTTATTGTTAAAATTTTAAAGAAGAATACCTTCACCACAGAATTGTTTTTGCATGAATGAAGTTAATATATGTGAAAAGCACTTTGTGAACTCTAAAGTAATAATAATGATACTAAGAAAAGGAGATAACACTTATATGATGTTTATTATGTATCAGGCACTGTCCCAAGCACTTTTCATGTGTTATCTCATTCAGTTCTAATAACGACCCTATACAATAGGTAGTATTACTATTCCTATTAATTCCATTTTACATAGGAAGAAGCAGGTGCAGAGAGGTTCAGTGACGTGTCCAGAGTCACAGAGATAGATAGTGTCAGAGACAGTATTAAATTTTATGTATTCATATCTTCTCCTATTCCAAGTATTCTGCCTGAATTCTAAGTGGACTTAAAGCCAAACCATACTGAAATAGTTTCTTTCCCTGAATCTCTTCTCATTCAACCTATGTTTAATGGCAACTACGATGATTATGTTATAATAATGTTATATCAACATTAATATTAATGTTACTCATAATTTCTGTGTGCTTGAAACTGTGGAAAGTGCTTAATTATACACTTAACTTGTTAGTATGCCAGAGATGAATCAGTCCTTCAGAGATTTTCAGTTGGCGAGATCTGGAACCAGTGGTATATTTAGGAGACCTCTTTCCTACCAGTGAGGGAGCCATGGAATAGAATTCAGGTGCCTACAGCCTAGGTGACAATTCTTTGTGCAAGGTTCATATGCCCAGGCTTCCTGCCCTAGCTCCTTGTTACCATTCCAATTCTCCATGAATATGGATCCTGGCCCTTGCTCTGGCTAAGGATAGTGGATTTGGAAATAACATCCTAATTTCCTTTTGTGAATTTTCTTGCCGATTATGCACAGTCTTCTTTAAGGCTGAAAAATCAAGATGCTGTTTTTTTCTAGTTGAGAAGTGTTCACATATTTGCTAGGCCATTTGGAAACTCCTTCTCTGGAATGTCAATCCTGTGCAGAATCACTGAAATCAGTTGTAGGTCATCCTTTATGATGGCAACACACTGATGATGAAATTGTTGAGTAGTTCTTGCTGCTAAGCCCTCAGAGCTACCTGCTTCTTGCCTTTTTCCAAATATGATCTTCCAGCTTTCCAGTTGAATCTATGAGCTACCACAGTTGTTCTTTAAGCAAAGCTATAACTTGTCTGCTTATGTTAACCAAAGACAGTTTCTGTAGCTTAGACCCACTGATCCCTAACTAATATACCTATAGAACTACTGTCCTATTACCCTTCTTTGTTCCTATGAGTGCCTTCCAGAACATAGCTAGAACATGCTTGCAGTATTTTATTCTTCAGTTCTCTCAGCATCCAATGATACTCCAGCCACTAGCTAATACTGCATCAGTCAACATAGGCCTCATGTGAACTATAACTTTTTTAGTTACTTTGCACTAAAGTCCACTGTTCTTTGAAGCATAAGCTACCACACACCCACCATCTCCCAATCTGACCTGCCTGAACTGAATTTGAATTCTGCACAGCCCTTGGACCATGTGATTTCATTTATTGACAATTTCATTGGCAGTCCACTCAATTTTTCAACTGAAAAACCCTTCAAGTTCATTTATCCTCATTTTATAGATGATAAAACAATGTCGGAAAGATGAAACAGTAAGCTTGACTCACACAGTTGATTGGTTGAACTACAACTACTTTTTAAATAAAATTAATATGTGTAAATTTGATATTGGCCACTACACTTTGAACATTTTGGAAACTTTTTTTTTTTTTTTTTTTTTGAGACGGAGTCTTGCTCTGTTGCCCAGGCTGGAGTGCAGTGGTGTGATCTAGGCTCACTGCAACCTCTGTCTCCCAGGTTCAAGCAATTCTCCTGCCTCAGCCTTCAGGGTAGCTGGGATTACAGGCGTGCGCCAACATGCATGGCTAATTTTTTGTATTTTTACACATAGAGACAGGTTTTCACCTTGTTAGCCAGGATGGTCTCTATCTCGACCTCATGATCTGCCCACCTCGGCCTCCCAAAGTGCTGGGATTATACAGGTGTGAGCCACCGCACCCGCCACTGGAAGAGTATTTCAAAACTTAAATCTTGATGTTTAGCGTAGGTTTGTGCTATGTTTCTGGAACATAGTAAATGATCAATAGTTGTTGACTGCATTGCTGTATTAATTTCTAAACTTACTATTAGTTTCCTCATTCTCTGTCACACATGGGAGTTAGAAAAGATGAAGCATATTTTGCAATGGGGAACAATTTTCCAAATTGTGAATGATTTGCACCCAAGTAGGTGAGTGAATATAAGTTTGAAGCACCCTTGATGACTTCCAGTCCAGGCAACTCTCCTTTCCTTTCCTTCACAGGGACCATAACTGAATACAAATCTGCAAATCTAGTCACATAGGCAGATGTATTCTCTCTTGTAGTTATCTTGTTTCTAGATGCTGTTGCCTAGGTGAAGAATGAATTGAAATTTAGAAAATATTTTTTCTTTAGGAAAAAAATGTTGCCAATTGTGGGTAGTCATAAATCAAATAACACTACAAGGTACATTAAGTTCATCATGAATTAAGCTGACTTTATGTCCTGATGAAAAACCTCATCACTATGTATAAAATTATTTTTGTGAAAAAAATATATTCCATTTTTAGTTACCCTCCTTACAGATGAACTTGGGTGTCTCAACTCATTTGTAATATGTAGACTGATAATAGAAATTTCAAACCTTTTCCACCCTTGACAACCATAACTTGTTATAGTTTTTAACTAGGTTACTGAAGAACTGCATCAAGTGTTGCACAGCCTGTAGGTGACAAAGTTGTCATGTATGTCTTTTCCTTTAGTATCTAAAATAAAATAATGTTTAGAGAAAAGAATGTCTTGAGGTTATGTGTATTGCTCAGACACAGTGGAAAGAAGGATTTAGGTTTTATATATTTATGTATAGTTTTGATTGACTATTGGATAAATGAATGAATGAATGATGCTGTGCTTTCAATTATCATTTCCTATGAGGTGCATTTCGTAGTAAGAAAGAAGAACCAGACAGCTGATGCAGTCCAATACTGATTGCTCCACTATTCTACAAATCTGGAACCCTATTAGGCCCCCATCTTTTTTTCCAACTCAAGAGAAAGGGAAGTTACGAAAATGGGGAAGAGCCTCAGGATATGAACATAAGAATAAGAAATGAGAGCTTAGTTTACTTTTGCTTCACTTTCAACAGTTACTGTTTACTGTGTCTGCTTCAAACCTTTAATCACTCAAAAAACAGATAAGCCTTTATCTGCTCATGGATACTTTTGCTGAACAATACAGAGAGTAATTCATAGCAAATTTTGTGTATTCAGAGGGATTATATGCAAATTTATCTATATTTTCTCCTCAAAATGGGGCAAAGGAAACATAGCAGTAAATGGGATCAATTATGGCAGAATGATGGCAGAATTTATTAATAGTCTGAGGACTATCATCAAGTCAACCTGCTATTCAGAGGAAATATGAAAAATTCATTAGAATGTTACAAAACATATTGTAGACGCAGTGTTTACAAGCAGGATACACTGAATAGACAATTACATAATAAAGAGTTAGTCTTGATCCCTGCTTCCAGGGGATGCAACATGATTTGACTTTCACCAATTTCAGTTTTGGAAATAAAATTACTGGCATCGTAGTAATTGTGAATGTGTTAAAGTGGGTAGAGATAATACAAAAGCAGTATGCCACATTGCAGGAAATACTGAAAATCTAACAAATTAATAAAAGTTAATAAGGCATGAAGTGATAGATCTATGAATATAGACGTCATCTTCCCTGAAAGTTGTTCTTTATAATGGAGAAAACATTTTCAATATTTCCATATAAAATCGACCTTTATTCATCTCCTTGTGGTATCATATACCTGCCAAGTATAGGGTTATAACTGTGTCAGTATGACATTTTATTTACAATTAATCTCAATGAGTATAAGGAAATGAAAGACATTATGACAAAATGAGCTTCTCAAGGTACAAGCACACCCATTTATAAGTAATTTTTCTACATTATTTACTGTTGAACTCTTTCAAGTCAAAAATAGATCATGTTACTTTTGAAATGTCATTGAAGAAAAAAGACTTCCTATTCGTTTTCCTTTCTTAATTTAGTTTTAAATAATGACTACTAAAGCTGGATAAATATCCATAGCAAATGTAGATGTCCCCTATAGTATAGTAATTGCCTTCCTAAGTAGATACCCAGAAGAATCTCCTCCATAAGTACAAGAGGGAACATTTATTAATTAAAGAATATTCCATCACTGTTTGTAATACCAAACTCTTTAATGCTCATGAATTAGAGGGCTGAGTAAACTGTATTACTTTTATCAGATGAAATACTATCCAGTAGTTAAATTACAGTGATATATAGCAATATGGTTCAAAAGTGAAAAAAAAAGATTACATACAATATGCAACCCATTTTATAGAATTAAAAATAATAAAAATGAAAATATATGTCTGTGGATGCATATACATGTGATAAGCTCTATAAAAGAGACATGTAGGAAGGCATGGGATGTTTCAGGATAATGTTAACAAGTTAGCAGAAGGCAGGGGAACAGGTTAGCCAAGATCAACCATATATTAGGTGTAAGTTATTGTGTAAGATTTCCTAAGTTTTGTTTTGGATTTGTACATGATTGTTTCACTATAAAAAGAAAACTAATACACGTAATAAAGAATGGAAGGAAGGAGAGAAAGAAGGGAGAAAGGGAGGAGAGAATACTATGAATGGACCAACAATGAAAGTGTATCATGACCCAAGAATCATGATTAATCCAATTCTGCATCTGCAGAACAAAAACAAAACATAAAAAGCAACATACAAGGCTATTTTTTGTGAAAAGATACTGGACTCAATTCTTTACCATTTGCAATTGTGCATTAGGCTAAGCCTGATTTGCATTAAGTATAATTGTCTTATTCAATAATTTATATTAAGAAATAGGCAACTCAGATACTTTGGCCACAGTTCAGGGTCACTAGCTGGCCTTTGAAGTGGTCATAGCCATTATTACCCTATGTAATCTGAAATAAGTGAGCAAATAATTTGTTTAAGCATACATAGGCAAAATTACCTTCCATCAGAACCTCACGTGGGAGCTAATTGGGGATAAATAAATATATCCTTCAGTTAATACAGAATAGCTTTGAAGCACTTTTATAAAGCAAACATTAATTCTATTATAACTTCTATTTTAAATTAGGTATTGCTTTCTCCTTGGGAAGAAATATTAACCAACATGCAATCAGATATTTGGAAACCCTACAAATCTTCTAACATTTTACATTTAAAGTGTATCAACTTTCTGATAACACACTCATAAGTATTCCCTAAACAGTAACAATGAAAGTGATCTATTCTTGCTGCTCAAAAAAGTGGGAAAATATAGGATATATAAGAAACAAGATAGAAATACTCAAACTTAAATTCTCAGCCTCCAGTTTAGCAAATTTAACTTGCTATCTATAGAAGATTATTTTACTTTTCCTGTGTTATGTCAGTCACCTTAGAGACTACTTTCCAGACACCATAACTGATACCCCTTGTCATACTGTTTGTAGATCATAAGAAACATCATATAAAAGTAACTGATAAGCTCAGCACTATCCTACCATTGGAAAGTAAAATCCCAGAATGTTCTCAGAAATGTCTTTGTTTGTTTGTTTCTTTTTTTGTCTTGTTTTCAACCATCTAAATGTATATACTGGTTTACTGATTTGTCTATTCAATTGATGTCTATATCTGCCTAAGGCCCTACCAGCACAGTAAAATGTTATTGTTAATTATATCAAGGTGCTAGTTATTGCTTGATATTATTAGATACCTGAATGTATCTGCAATGTCTTGAGTAATTCTGCCTAGACTCTCCAGGTGATCCAGGTATTACTGACAAGATGGTAATACAAGATACCTAAATGAATTGAATTGAGTTTACAACCCAAGGTTAATATTTCGTGAGAAACATGTATGAGCTGTTTCCCTACGTTCTTTAGAATACATAGAGAGTAGATTATCAAAACCAAGACATTTTCAGAGGGCATTGCTTTTGTCCTGAGTACTTCTGCACCTCACATACACCCAGTCCCCAAGTCTTCCATTTACTCAATTAAGGGGCACCATCTGTATGAAACAGTCCCACATTAAGGTCAATCACCCCCTTCCCCTTGACCACATTATTCTCTCTGGTTTTTATCATAGTGTCTGTATGTCTACATTCCACTGACAAAGACAGTGGCAAGTATTTTTATCTTATGTTTCCAGTTCCCCAACTCAGGATAAGGGTAGTGATTGCAGTGATTGGTCATTTGTACCCTAAACACATTTGATGAGCTTTCCTTGAGAAAATCACATAGGAAGACCTAATTTAGCCATAACACTGAAACTCTTGTGTTCTTCTAATTACTGCACTCTCATTTCTATAAGATCTCTCTCAAACCATTTATTTCCTCAGACCTATAACCTCTCATTTCCTCTCTTGGCAGATAACCTTGTCCTGTACTTTACATAGAAATTAGGACAAACAGGAATTCTCTTAACTTCCTGCTAGCAAACATAAACCTTACCATCTGCCATCATTTTCTCTTCTTTACCAAGTTTACAATACTCGTTGAAGTATCTGTGTTTTGGATCATGTATTCTCTTATGTTCACAAGAAACATGGCTGATATGCCTCTGTTCTTTATCTTTAAATTTCCCTAACTTTCCATACCCCAAACAAACCTTCCTGAATCCCTTATCTTTCTCCAACTAACATTCTTTTTCTCATCACAATTAAATAGTTATCTACAATGTCTACTATTATTTCCCTGCCATCCCAATTCTTCCTAATTCATGGCAACAATTATTAGCTTTCTGATAGGGTTCTTGTGATGATGAAATTAGATAATCAGGTAAATATCACAAATATTATTATTACTCACTTATTGCTCATTTGGGAGCATTCAACAGTTTGATCACTCTCCTCTTGAAACACTCTGAATTTTGGATACCATGATCCATGCACCCTGTATTGTTTCCCTGCCTCTCTGACATCTCTTTATCCTTATCTCTTGTTAACTTCACCTACTTCACACGATTCACTGTAAAGTTTCTCAGGAGTGTGTTCTCAGGCCTTCTTTAGCTTTATATGCTCTATTCCAATGTGAAATGATTTATTCTTGTGGTTTCGGTGACCATAATTTTACTGTATGGGTCACAGTACCCAGGTGCAAACAACTGTATGCAGACCAACTTACACAGAAAATGAATTTATTCAGACTATTAGAAAGCTTACAAAATCTCAAGGAGACTCAGAGCCAGGCTAAAGGCTAATTACAGAAACAGTGCTTATGCTGGGAAAATGTGCTAGTGAAAATATTACTGCCGCCTCTGAAGAACGGGAGGCTTCTACCACTATTCTTTCCCCCCATATAGAACAGGTTTCTTGCTTGTCTTGTTTATGCATTCATGTCTCTTAAAGTCATATCTGATTGTTGGAACTTAGGTCATATATCTGTTCTTATTAAAACTGTAAGCAACCTACAAATGTGAGTTTTCTGAATTCTAGTCAGGAAAAACAGGACTCATAGTTTGAAAGATTATAGAAAATAGAATTCTCCAAAATATTAGGTGACAAGAAATGGCACAGGTCCACCTCTACAGCTAATGTTAGCTGCCTGACATTAATGTATATACTTCTGCTAAATTTAATCCTCCAAATAGCAAAATGCTCACACCTATCCTAATGTGACTATCCATAAACAAGTATATCTTCATGATCTCAAAAAGGGGGAGTTTTATCAATCACAGTATCTGTGGTAGGACCAGTGAATTTCATGACAGTTGAAATTGAATTCTGTTCATACTGGACCCTCTTCCCTATTGCAATAAGTTATCACTAATTAAAATTTGTCCTTAACACTTTAGTGTCTGGTTTTGTTATCCTTGACAGAAATATCTGCTCATGCTACTTGTACTTCAGGACCTGCTTGAGGTCAAACCTGTATTTATAACATTTCTAATGGATGGATCATTTCTGGACCCAACCAATTGTATAGCTTGGAGTATTAGGTAACACCAAGTCCATGAGCATAAGCTCAGGTCATTTGGTGCTCTATCATCAGTTGTTTAGTGACTCCTAGCAGATCGTTTCTGCCAAAAAAAAAAAAAAAAAAAAAAAAACACAAACTTTTAATCAAAACAATAGTTACTTGCCATGAACTTTGCCTTAAAACATTAGGTACCTACAGCATGACTCTCCTATTAAGGCTCGACACGGGCTTTATACAGTATTGTCTTCTGCGACAGATACTTTGGAAATGATTGGATTTACTGTTATAAAGCACATTGCAGAATTGCTTTCATGGAGTGTTGTCCAGCCTAAAGATTTTCTCTTGCTAAGCAGACATTTAAAAATGTCATGCTTTTGGCCAGGCGCGGTGGCTCACGCCTGTAATCCCAGCATCTTGGGAGGCCGAGGTAGGTGGATCACGAGGTGAGGAGACCAAGACCAGCTTGGCTAACATGGTGAAACCCCGTCTCTACTAAAAATATGAAAAATTAGCCAGGCGTGGTGGCATGCGCCTGTAGTCCCAGCTACTTGGGAAGCTGAGGCAGGAGAATCGCTGGAACCTGAGAGGCAGAGGTTGCAGTGAGCCAAGATTGTGCCACTGCACTCCAGCCTAGGTGACAGAGCAAGACTCCATTTAAAAAAAAAAAAAAGTCGTGCTTTTGCATCACTAGCCAAATCAATCAGAGTATCCAACTGAACTGTAGTGATAATTTTCTCCAATATCCAAAGAAATCCACTGTACCTCTTTCTTTGTGACTTATGGAGCAAAGTACAGCAACTTGGCCTTTCACTTTCAATAGTATATTCTATATTGTTCTATATTACAGGATATTCTGAAACTTCAAAATGGCAGGGCCCTGTGTGAAGCAATTTCATTATTTTCTGGTCACCAACGTGTCTGAGTCTGGTGAAACAGAACATATTCATACTCAACAAGTTACATGAAGTGAATATTACTTACAGATAGGCAAAAAGAGACAACAGAAGCCTAGGATTCATTGAGAGCCAATCCCCAAGTCTCAGAAAGTTGCCCAGGGCAGATGGAGTCTTGACTGCACTTGAATATAGCTATATCTATTAACATCTACATTCTAATCTTCTGGGTCTTTTCAGGGAACCATTTAGGGAATAGAGTCACTCCAACTTTGCAATAATTCATTAATTTATCTTCTTTAATTCAAAAGATTTTATGGCACCTTTCATTCATTCAGCACAGGTCACCTTTGTGCATAAGTTTCAGTCAACTAACTGAGCAACCAATTAAAATATCTGACTGATTCTGGCTATTAAATTATAGGCAATAAGAGGTAACGAGAAGGGACAAACAAGAAATTTGCTTTCCTTGCAAAGTACTTATCTTAGGGATATCGAGGCAAGGCATTACTAGCCTAAACGGACTGGAAAATAGGTGCTGTTTTGCTGGCAAGACACTCCATGAGTGTTTGGGGTTCTATCAGATTTTCCCCCTTTTGATTCTGGTGTCTCATTCTTTTTCATTCAATATGCTGTTATTTAAAAATCTGATAAAGATATGAATTCAACTTAAGTTGAAATTCAGCAACCCAGAGCATCAGATAGGATGCTTGGTTATGTTAATACTGTTGTTGCAACAAAATATACTTTTGGCACAGACATAGTAAGATCCCGATTCTCTTACTACACCTTGAGCCAAGACTTTAAATTTTAACCTTACCATTTTTTGTCATTAAGCTCTCCAGTGCAGCTGGAAGCAACCAGCCTTCCTCCTCTTTGTAATCCTTAGTACTTCCTCTCATTCTGTATCAATAGCTACAAGGTTTGTTTATTTTTTTTAACTCTTGACTTCAATAGCCATTCCATTTTACAGGATAATTTAAGTAACTGTTTAACATGCAATGTTATTAACCACCAGAGTTCCCAGTTCTGTACTAACTAGATCTTCAATGCCTTCATTCGCAACCTGTTTAAATAAACTATTCAGTGTTCTATTTATTTGAGAGCCTATTGCCTCTCTTGAGGCCAAATATTACATTGGTCGGCGTTCTTAGTTGCAAACATGGGAAAACATTCTGGCTTATTTAAGGAGAAAATGGAATTTTAAAGCGGTGTTATATAACTTATACACATTTAAGGAAGAACTGGAGGGCAAGATTTTGAAGCTACCCTCCCAAAATCAATGACAATACAATACACCACATGGGCTACTCTGGAAAAGATACTATGACCATGCCACTTGGAACAGATTCCTCTTAGGATTGGTTGCCTGATCTTCTGCTCCCTACCTCCCCCACCCACAAACCTACACAGAAAAAAAAAATACCTCTGTCATTACATGTATTGGACATGTGTATTCGCCTTTAAGTGGTCACCTCTTCATAGCACTAACTTTTTAATGTGAATTTCAAGTGGATTCACCTGACTACAGAAATCTAAGTCACATGCCTTCTCCTAAAACTTTAAGGGGAGTCTGGCATATTACTATCCTGGCCTTTACCTTGGGAAGACTGACTAAATGATGAATGTCCGCTGCATAGGACATATCTTAAAGACACCTAAATTAATACCATCAATCCTGTGATAGATATTACTAGCACTCACCAAAATTTCTGCATCTTTTCTTCTACCTAAATAATAATGAGAAACTACTAATTCCCTGTAGAAATCAGTAGAGGCCATATAATTTACCTTGGCTGATGGAATGTAAATGGAAGTGACAAGTGTCACTTTAGGACAGAAACATTTTTGAGCTTATAAGCCTTTGCACACATTCTCTTGGCCTGCTGTGGTAAACAGTGAAGCCTCAAATAGAGACAAAAACATCACAACATGGGAAGGCATCAGTCAGTCCAGGTGCCTGAATAATAACTTGAGTGAAAAAGCTCCCTTCCTTACCTGCAATGGACATACAGCAAAAGCAAGACATAAACCTTTTTGTTCTAACTTGTTGAAATGTTTTTGTGACATATCTAGCTCATGCTGACTGACAAAACCCAGAGCTGTCTTCTCACTATACATTTTATACTGTATATACCTAATAGTTTGCAAGGCAGGATGCTGGGCTGTCACACAAGCACTCCAAACTCAACATGTCCAAAAATGAACTCATGAACTTTTCCTAAACTATTCTTCCTGCAGTGTTTTCTGCTTCAGTGCGTTAGCCAACAGCCATGTGTCTATTTAATCTAAAAACTTAAGTATCTTTCCTGATTCTCTTCCAGTTTCCACCACCTCTCCTTTCTACTGCTCAGGCATGTTTTTTACATCTCTGCTTAATATTATTGCCCTAGGAAACATACCTTCATTCCTTGATCTTCCAAACCTGTTATATTCTCCTAAAGAAGTTCATACTTAATGGTCACTCTTGTCCTCTTCTTGTTATAACTTCTGTGGGGTCCATCATCCCAGGACAATCTTTAAATTCTATGATGAAAAAACAGTGACTTCTTTACCATAGTTTTGTCAATTCCAGCATATATAGGTCATCAGTACTTTTTTTAATGAAGGTTTGAAATTAAGAAAATAAATGGGCCGATCACAGTGGCTCACGCCTGTAATTCTAGCACTTTGGGAGGCTGAGGGAGGCGGATCACAATGTCAAGAGATTAAGACCATCCTGTCCAACATGGTGGAACCCCATCTCTACTAAAAATACAAAAATTAGCCGGGTGTGGTGGTGCATGCCTGTAATCCCAGCTACTTGGGAGGCTGAGGCAGGAGAATTGCTTGAACTCAGGAAGCGGAGGTTGCAGTGAGCTGAGATTGCACCACTGCACTCCAGCCTGGCAACAGAGCAAGATTTCTTCTCAAAAAAGAAAAAAAGGAGAAAAAAAAAAAGAAAGAAAAAAATAGAAAATGAATGAATGACTAAAATGGCTCCTAGAAGATACTTTCACATACTTATCTTACTTCTAGTTTTTTGCTCTGCTCAACTTAAGTCCTTGTTCAGACCTTTTCCTTTTAAAAGGGTAGATTTTGGAAGTATCCTGTTCACTGCATACACCATGTTATCTGCCCATCTGTTCTACATTTTGTTTCATTTGTTCTACTTATATACGCCTACTGTTTGCATGAAATTATTTTAATGTCAATCTTCTTTACTATTTGGAAAACAAGAGTTTATTTCTCATACCCCATGCTGGCACAGAATAATGACACATTTTTTTGGATTAAAGTATTTTCAGGAAATATCCTCCACAATCTGAGAAGGTGGAGAAGAAAAGAAAAAAAATTTGATATTTTGATATTTTTCCTCTAAATTGAAAGAAATTCTGTTTTGGAATAAAAATATGGCTTGATTCATTCTAACTCTTACATCTAGAAAGCATTTCAGTGCATTTTAATACTTGAGTATTTAATTTAATACTAGATTTTAAATAACATCTTTGAAAATTGTTTTTAGTGTTTAATATGACTGATAATATACGGTTAACAAAAATTCTGTTGTTTAAATCTTTTCCAGTTATGTAATCTTGTAATAAAACAACCCTAGTAATGAACTAGAAAGTAGAATAGAATTTTTTCATATGTTTTTCTTTTTTGGTTCAAATGTATCTAAAGCATAATACATTGGTGGGATATAAGAGAGAATGTTTAAAATCCCATCCAAAGAGTAATTTTTGACTTTTCCAGGATATTTGGTCTCTAATCAATAAATCATGCACTGAGGGGTTTTTTAATGAGACCATGTGTGGGATAGATAGCAGCAACTTGGCAGGTCCCACAGATAATTCTTAATAGTGAATCCACATTCTTCATAGATCTCTCCTAACTTCATCAAGGTGTTTCTCTGAAGGGTGCATGGGAGCTGTCATAATATATTTTCCCACACTATGTTGAAGAACTGGGGAAACTGGTAAAAAATGAAAATTTGGGGGATATTAACAGATTTTCCCTTGAAGCCGCCTGCATATTATTCAGAGAAAAAAAAACATATTTGGTAAACAGCAAGAAAGGTAACTTAAAAAGCAGTTGCAGTGTGGTGTTATGGTATATTTTTAAAAAGCAACTTTGGTATAATAAAATAAGATCTGCAATGAACATTTTTTTTTTACATGAAGAGAAAAGACATAACTTTTAGGGGCAAATATATAAGTCAGAAGTTATTTGGATCTTTTTTGAGGACATCACAATATGTTTACCATCATGCCTAGGTTAAAGATCCTTTTAACAATTTTCTCCAAGCAGAGAGATTTGCAATCTGGTAGGCTCCAGGGTATTCTACCTATAATCTGAAAGCTCTTTTAAATTCTCTCTTCTAGTGAAAGAAATGTAAAATCTCCTCAGTACATCTGCTTTGCTTATTGCAGTTCATACCCCAGGAAAATCCATTTTATATTTCTTTTGGGAGTTATTAGGTATATATTACTATGTCCAAGGAGACATAAGCTCCTCTAGACATGGATATAAGCTTCAATATCTGTATTAACCATTTGTCTCTGATGTTTTGACATCTGGGGCCTTGTTCACTCTGAAGAGACTACCCCTCCTAGAGCTTACCAATTCCTAGAGGTAGTGAGTGACTGGGCTGCAAGCATAACTTTCACATGCAAACCAATCAATCCAGAGGCCATACCCCAAACATCCCTTTTCTAGAGCTTTCGCAGGGCTTACACTATGGACCTGTATCCACCTACACTGACCAGATACCAGATAACTAGAGACAAATCCTGTATCTCAGAGCCCCCTGAAATTACTCAAACTAGCCAGTCATTATATTGATTACCCTGCCTTGCCCATTTCTTCTGGGAGAAACCACAATAAAGGCTATTGCCCATGTTTTCCCCTGCTGCGTTTGCCTCTGCACTGACCCTGGTGCTTCCACATGTGCCACTCCCCTCCTCATTGTGTGTCATGCCCTCTCATTTCTGGGGGTCTGTGAGCTTAAATAAGCCACCTTTTGATTGGCAATTGTCTCCTGAAGTGTTGGCCTCACCATACCTTAATAACATTAATACCTACTTTTTAAAACAATATCCAAAGTTAGATGATATTCAAGGAATACTACGAGTTATTCTTTTGGTCAGAGTAGTCATTTCCTTTCTAGGTGATTTAAAAGATGCCAACAAGTTTTATTTTGCTTTGTGTTTTCCAACTTTTATTTTAGGTATGGGGGATACATATGTATGTTTGTTACATGGATAAATTGTGTGTTGCTGGGGTTTGATATACAAACAATTTTCTTACCCAGGTAGTGAGCTTAGTACTCAATAGGTAGTTTTTCAAAATTCACCCTACTCCTAGCCTTATCCTTCAAGTAGGTTCCAGTGTCTGTTGTTCTCATCTTTGCATCCATGGGAACTCAAAGTTGAGCTTCCACTTATAAATGAGAACATGTGGTATTAAGTTTTCTGTTCCTGCATTAATTTGCTTAGGATAATGGCCTCCAGCTCCATTCATGTTGCTGCAGATCACATGATTTTATTTTTTATGGCTGTGTAGTATTCCATGGTGTATATGTACCACATGTTCTTTATCCAGTTTACCACTGATGGGCATCCAGGTTGACTCCATGTCTTTGCTATTGTGAATAGTGCTGTGATTAACATATGGGTGCATGTGTCTTTTTTATATAATGAATGAATATAATGATATATTTCCTTTGGGTATATACCCAATAATGGGATTGCTCATTCTAATGGTAGTTTTGTTTTAAGTTCTTTAAGAAACCTCCAAACTCCTTTCCACAGTGGCTGAACTAATTTACATTTCCACTAGGAGTGTATAAGTGTTTCTTTTTCTCTTCAAACTCATCAATAGCTGTTATTTTTTGACTTTTTAATAATAGCCTTTCTGACTGGTATGAGATGGTATCTCATTGTGACTTTTATTTGCATTTCTCTATTAGTGACATTGAGCATTTTTTCATATGCTTGTTGGCCATGTGTATGTCTTCTTTCTTGCTGTTGGTGTTTTAGTTGTTGTTGTTTTGTTTTGTTTTGTTTTTGGTGGAAGTGCCAGGGATATGTCTTCCTTTAAGAAGTGTCTGTTCATGTCTTTTGCCCATTTTTTTATTGGATTGTTTGTTTTTGCATGTTGATTTAACTTCCTTGTAGATTTTGGATAGTAGTCTATCGTTGGATGCATAGTTTATGAATATTTTTTCCCATTCTGTAAATTATCTGTTTACTCTGTAGATAGATTCTTTAGTTTAGTTAGGTCCCATTTATCTATTTTTGTGTTTGTTGCAATTGCATTTGGAGACTTGATCATGAAATATTTGCCAAAGCATATGTAGAGAAAGTTATTCCCTAGGTTTTCTTCTAGAGATTTTATAGTTTTAGGTTTTACATTTAAGTCTTTGTCTATTTTGAGTTAATTTTTTTTATATAATAAAAGGGTTCAGCTTCAATCTTTTACATATGGCTAGCCAGTTATCCAAGCATCATTTATTGAATAGGGAGTCCTTTTCCCATGATATCTTATTGTCAACTTTGTTGAAGATCAAATGATTGTAGGTGTGTGGCTTTATTTTTGGGTTCGCTAACCTTTTCCATTGATCTATGTGTCTGTTTTTGTACCAGTACAATGCTGTTTTGGTTACTGTTGCCTTGAAGTATAGTTTGAAGTCAGATAGGGTGATACCTCCAGCTTTGTTCTTTTAGATTAGGATTTCTTTGGTTTTGGGGGCTCTCATTTGATTCTTTGTGAATTTTAGAATATATTTGCCTAATTCTGTGAAAAATGGCATTGGTAATTTGATAGGAATTGCATTAAGTCTGTTAATTGCTTTGAGTGGTATGATCATTTTAACAATGTTGATTTCTCCTATCCATGAGCATGAAATGTTTTTTTTCTATTTGTTTCTGTCATCTCTGATTTCTTTCAGCAGTGTTTTGTAATTCTCATTGTAGAGATCTTTTACCTCTCCGGTTAGCTGAATTTTTATGTATTTTATTACTTTTGTGGCTCTTGTGAATAGGATTGCATTCTTGGATACCATTTGTTTATAGAAATGCTACTAATTTTTTTACATTGATTTTGTATCCTGAAGCTTTACTGAAGTTGTTCATCACTTCTAGCACCCTGTGAACAGAAAGTACGGGGTTTACTAGGTATAAAATCAAAACAGAAAATCCAAGTAAACCCAATCAGAAATGACAAAAGGGACATTACCATTGACTTCACAGAAATACAAAAAAACTCTGAGACTACTATGAACACCTCTATACACACAAACTAAAAACCTAGAAAATTGGATAAATTCCTGGAAACATCCAAACCTCCCAAGAGTGAACCACGAAGAAATCAAAATCCTTAATAGACCAATAATTAATTTCAAAATTGAATCAGCAACAAAAAGCCTACCAATATCAATCAGAAAAAAGCCCTGTACCAGATGAATTCATGGCCAAATTACACCAGACATACAAAGAAGAGCTGGTACCAATCCCACCGAAATTATGCCAAAAAATCTAGGAAGAGGGGACACTTCCCTAATTCACTCTATGAAGCCAGCATCATTCTGGTACCTAAACTTGGCAGAGACACAATGAAAAATAAAACTTCAGACCAATAAACCAATACTCCTGATGAACACAATGCAAAAATCTCCAACAAAATACTAGCAAACCAAATCTAGCAGCACATCAAAAAGCTAATCCACCATGATGAAGTAGGCTTTATTTCTGGGATACAAGGTTTGTTCAACAGATGCAAATCAATAAATGTGATTCATCACATAAATATAACTAAAAACAAAAACCACATGGTCATCTGAATAGATGCATAAAAGGATTTTGATAAAATATAACATTGTTTTTTGTTAAACACTCTCAACAGACTAGGTAACATAAGTTTGAAGGAATATACCTCAAAATAATAGCCATCTATGACAAACCCAGAACCAACATCATACCGAATGGGCAAAAGTTTGAACCTATTTCTCTTCAGAACCAGAACAAGGCAAGGATATCCTCTCTCACCACTCCTATTCATCATAGTACTAGAAGTACTAGCCAGAGCAATCAAGCAAGAAAAAGAAATAAAAGGTATATAAACAGAAAGAGGAAGTCAAACTATATCTCTT
Organism: Homo sapiens; assembly: GCF_000001405.40. Classification (NCBI taxonomy): domain Eukaryota; kingdom Metazoa; phylum Chordata; class Mammalia; order Primates; family Hominidae; genus Homo; species Homo sapiens. The sequence continues at coordinate 77,949,527 of NC_000006.12, forward strand.
CACAGATCAACAGGTTGTAAAAATCAAAAATACCTGTGCCCTACCCCCTCAAATTTATACCAGACATTTTCACTAGATTAAAGAAAGACATTATTTGATATCGCTAATATAGTGATCTTCCCCTTAGCCACATCTCATAAATCATCTAAACTCTTAGATACCTAGCTGAATGCAAGATGTAGAGAAAAATGGGTTGTAACATGAAAACTTGTGTAACAGTGAAGAATTTCTTAATTCACATAAGAATGAGGAATGTCTTAATTCATAATTTGATATTTTTCTGAAATTGTTCTTTTTAGTAACATAACCATCTATTTTTATTAGAAGAAATATTTTACAATTAGTACATTTTGGTTTGCTCATCTAATGTGCTTTGCCACCATTTAAAGAAAAAAATGGTAAAGTCAAAATGTGTTAACATATGAGGTAAAACTTGCCAAAATTAAGTTCTCAAGATAGATTGAGCACTCTGGTGATTTGAAAGAAGCAGAAAACATAGTGTCCAGAAAACTAAACTTGTGAGCTCTGGAACTCAGGAGCCAATACGAAATACTACTCTAATGTATACTCCTTTTTTAAATCTTTCTTGAAAATATCCTGGCTTGATCAGTTTTCCATGAGCACTTCATATTCTGTGTCCTACCTAACCCACTGCCATGGTCTGAATGTATGTGACTCTCCAAATTCATATGTTGAAACCTAATATCCAATATGATAGTATTAAGAGATGGGCCCTTTAGGAAATGATGAGGTCATGAGGACTCGTTTCTCATGAATGCAATTAATGCCCCTATAAAAGAGGCCCATGGGATTTTGTTCATTCCTTCAGCCATGTGAAGATGTATAGAAGGCACCATATATGAGAAAGGGCTCTCACCAGACACCAAATCCGTTGGCACCTTGATCTCTTCAATTTCCTATTTTCCAGAACTGTGTGCACAGTTCTTTCCTCATCACTGAAGGGATGGCAAAGAAGTGTAGGAGTTACCAACATGGAAAATGGGTATTCTGACCAGTTAGTTATCATGCCATTTTAAATACAGCCATTAAAAATTCAGATGAATAAACTTAAAAGGGTTAATTTTATGAAAATTCTGAAGAGATTCTCTAAATACCGCTCCCTAGTCATTTAAAATGTTTGGATTTTAAATTTAAATAGCCTTGCCCATTTGTGCTTTCCCACTTTGTAAAATCATTTAGTATTTGTTGAGTACACCCTCTGATATGGTTTGGCAGTGTTCCCACTCAAATCTCATCTTGAATTGTAGTTCCCATAATCCACACATGTTGTGGGAGGGACCCGGTGGGAGGTAATTACATCATGGGGACAGTTACCCCAATGCTATTCTCATGATAGTGAGTGAGTTCTCACATGATCTGATGGTTTTATAAGAGGCTTTTCCCCATTTGCTTGACACTCATTCTCTCTGCTGCCACCCTGTGAAGAGGTACCTTCCACCATAATTATAAGTTTCCTGAAGCTTCTCTAGACATGTGGAACTGTGAGTCAATTAAGCCTCTTTTCTTTATAAATTACACATTCTCAGATATTTCCTTATAGCAGCATGAGAACAGACTAATAATACAGTAAATTGGTACTGGGATGCAGTGCTGCTATAAGGATATGGAAAATGTGGAAGCAAGTTTGGAACTGGGTAACAGACAGATTAGAACAGCTTGAAGGGCTTAAAAGAAGACAGGAAGATGTGAGAAAGTGTGGAACTTCCTAGATACTGGAAGGTTCAGAAGACAGGAAGATGTGGGAAAGTTTGGAACTTCCTAGAGACTTGTTGAATGGCTTTGACCAAAATGCTGATAGTGATATGGACAATGAAGTTCAGACTGAGGTGGTCTCAGATGGACATGAGGAACTTGTTGGGAACTGGAGCAAAGGTGATCTTCCTTTGCTTTAACAAAGAGACTGGTGGCATTTTGCCACTGCCCTACAGATCTGTGGAACTTTGAATTTGAGAGAGATGATTGAGGGTATCTGGTGGAAGAAATTTCTAAGAGGCAAAGCATTCAAGAGGAAGCAGAGCATAAAAGTTTAGAAAATTTGCAGCCTGCTGAGGTGACAGAAACTAAAAACCCATTTTCTTGGGAGAAATTCAAGCCACAGACTGCAGAAGTTTGCATAAGTAACCAGGATCTGAATGTTAATCACCAAGACAATGGGGAAAATGCCTCCAGGGCATGTCAAGAGACCTGCATGGCACCCTGGAGGTCTAGAAGGGAAAAATGGCTTCATGGGCTGGGCCCAATGCCCCCTGCTCTGTACAGTCATGGGAGTTGGTGCCTTGCATGATAGCTGTGGCTAAAAGGGGCCAACGTACAACTCAGGCACCTTTACAGCTGTCATTCAGGGCACCAAGTCCCATGACTGTACAGAGGGTGCAAGCCCCAAGCCTTGGTGGCTTACACATGGTATTGGGCCTGCAGGTGCACAGAAGTCAAGAATTTAGGTTTGGGAACCTCCACCTAGATTTCAGAGGGTGTATGGAAACTCTGGATGTGCAGACAGAACTTTGCTGCAGGGGCAGAGCCCTCATGGAGAACCTCTGCTAGGGTAGTGCAGCAGTGAAATGTGGGGTTGGAGCCCCCACAAAGATTTTCCACTAGGGCACTGCCCCCTCTTGTGGAGCTGTGAGAAGAGGGCTACCGTGCTCTAGACCCCAGAATGGCGGATCCTATGACAGTTTGCACTGTGTGCCTGGAAAAGCCACAGATACTTAATGCCAGCTGTGGAGGCAGCCATGAAGGGGGATATACCCTGCAAAGCCACAGGGATGCAGCTGCTCAAGGCCATGGTAGCCCACCTCTTGTATCAGTGTGGGAACAGACTAATACATCCTCTGTGCCAGGCCCACTTCTAGAGACTGGAAATGCAAATCTAAACAAATGATGTATCACACTATTGATTTGCATATGTTGAACCATGCCTGCATCCCTGCGATACATACCACTTGGTCACAATAAATGACCTTTTTAAAGTATTATTAAATTCTATTTGCTAGTATTTTGTTTCAACTGATGTTGAAAAAGCATTTTCCATAGTACTGGAAATCCCAGTAACAGCAATCAGATGGAAGAAATAAAGGGTATCCAAATTGAAAAGAAATATGTCAAATTAGACTTGTGATGTTTTGGCTCTGTGTCCCCACCCAAACAGCATGTTGAATTGTAATTTCCATGTTGGGGCAGGAACATGGTGGGAGGTGATTGGATCATGGGGGCAGATTTCTCCATTGCTGTTTCATGATAGTGAGGGAGTTCTCATGAGATCTTGTTGTTTAAAAGTGTGTAGCCTTTACCCTTCTTTCTCTTTCCTGCTCCACCACGGTAAGACCTGCTTGCTTCCCCTTCACTTCCATCCATGACTGTAAGTTTCCTGAGACCTCCTAACCATGATTCCTGTACAGCCTGTGGAACTGTGATTCAATTTAACCTCTTTTCTTTATAAATTACCCAGTCTCAGGTGGTTCGTTAGAGTAGTAAGAGAATGGACTAATACAGAAAATTGGTACCTAAGAAGTGGGGCATTGCTATAAAGATACCTAAAAATGTGGAATTGACATTGGAACTGGGTAATGGGCAGATGTTGGAACAGTTTGGAGGGCTAAGAAAAAGATAGCAAGATGAGGGAAAGTTTGTAACTTCCTAGGAACTTGTTAAATTGTTGTGATTAAAATGCTGATAGTGATGTGGACAATGAAGTCCAAGCTGAGGTGGTCTCAAATGGAGATAAGGAACTTATTCGCAACTGGAGTAAAGGTCACTCTTGCTATGCTTTAGCAAAGAGACCGGTGGCATTGTGACCCTGCTCTAGAGACCTGTGAAACTTTGAACTTGAGAGAGATGATTTAGAGTGTCTGGCAGAAGAAACATCTAAGCAGCATTGTTCAAGATGTGGCCTGGCTGCTTATAAGTGCCTATAATCATTTGCATAAAGAAAGAAATTCCCTGAAGCTAGAATGTATATTTAAAAGGGAAGCAGCACATAAAAGTTAAAAATAATTGCGGCTTGACCATGAGGAGGGAGGAATTTTCTGGGGAGGAATTCAGGGATGCAGAAATTTACACAAGTAAAAAGCATCCAAATGTTAATAGCCAATTCAATGGGGAAAATGCCTCCAGAGCATTGCAGAGGCCTTCACAGCAGCTCCACCCATCACAGGCCTGCAGGTCCAGGAGGGAAAAATGGTTTTGTGGGCCAGGCCCAGGGCCCCATTGCTCTGTGCAGCCTTAGGACATAGTTTCCTGTTTCCCAGCCACTCCAGTTCTAGCCATGGCTATAAGGGGCCAGGGTACAATTCAGGCTCTTGTTTCAGAGGGTGCAAGCCCCAACCCTTGGTGGCTTACATGAGGTGTTTGGTCTATGGGTGCAAAGAAGGCAAGAGTTCAGGTTTGGTAGCTTTTGCCCAGATTTCATTCAATGTATGAAAATGCCTGGATGTTCAGGAAGAAGCCTGCTGCAGGGTAGAGCCCTCACAGAGAACCTCTGCTTGGGCACAGCAGACAAGAAATGTGTGTTTGGAGCCCCCACACAGAGTCCCCAATGGGGCACTGCCTAATGAGAAGAGGGTCACTGCCCTCCAGACCACAGAATAATAGATCCACCAACAGCTTGCACCATGCACCTGGCCACAGGCCTCAATGCCAGCCCATGAAAGCAGCCACAGTGTCTGTGCCCTGCAGAGACACAGAGTTGGAGCTGCCCAAGGCCTTGGGAGCCCACTCCTTGCATCAGCATGGCCTGGATGTGAGACATGAAGCCAAAGGAGACTATTTGAGAACATTAAGATTTAACGACTTCCCTCCTGGTTTTCAGACTTACATGGGGCCTGTAGCCCCTTTGTTTTAACGAATTTCTCCCTCTTGGAATGGGTCTATTTACCAGTTGTATCTTGGAAGTAACTAACTTATTGTTTATTTTACTGGCTCACAGGTAGAAGGGACTTGCCTTGTTTCAGATGACATTTTGGGCTTGGACTTTTGAGTAAATGTTGGAATGAGTTAAGATATTGAGGGACTGTTGGGAAGGCATGACTGTGTTTTGAAATGTGAGAAGGACTTGATGTTTGGGAGAGTGCAGAGGCAGAATGATATGGTTTGGCTCTGTGTCACCATTCAAGTATCATGTTAAATTGTAATATCCAGTGCTAGGGGAGTGACCTGGTGGAAGGTGATTGAATCATAGGGACAGATTTCCCCCTTGCTGTTCCCATGGTGGGGAGTGAATTCTCAAGAGATCTGGTTGTTTAAAACTGTGTAGCACTTCCCCTTTCACTCTCTCTCCTGCTCTGCCATGATAAAATGTGCTTGCTTCCCCTTCACCTTCCACCATGATTGTAAGTTTCCTGAGGCCTCCCAGCCATGCTTCCTGGACAGCGTTTGGAACAGTGAGTCAATTAAACCTCTTTATTTGTAAATTACCGAGTCTCAGGTAGTTCTTTACAGCCATGTGAGAACAGACTAATACACCTTGTTTGCAGATGACATGATCTTATATGAGGAAAACCCTAAAAACTCCACAAAAAAACTATTAGAACTGATAAATAGATTCAGGACAGTTGCAGGGTACCAAATCACATACAAAAATTAGCAGCAGTTCTATATGCTAATAGTGAACAATCTGATAAATAAATTTAAAAAGGATTCCCATTTATAATTGCCATGAATAAAATTAAATACCTAGGAATTAACCAAAGAAGTTAAAGATCACTACAATAAAAATGATAAAACACTAATGAAAGAAATTGAAGAGGACACCAAAAGATGGAAAGACAGTCCATGTTGATGGATTAGAAGAAACAATATTGTTAAAATGTTCTTACTACCCAAAGAATTCTACCAATTTAATGCAATCCTTATTAAAATACCAATGACATTCTTCACAAAAATACCAAAAAAAAAAATCTAAAATGCATAAGGAACTAAGAAAGAGCCCAAAAAGCCACAACTATCCTAAGCAAAAAGAACAAAATGAGAAGAATGACATTACCTGACTTCAAAGTATCCTACAGAGCTATAGTAACCAAAACAGCATGGTACTGGCATAAAAACAGACACATAGACCAGTGGAACAGAATAGAAAACCAAGAAACAAATCCATACACCTACAGTGAACTCGTTTTGACAAAGTTGCCAGGAGCATATATTGTGGAAAAGACAGTCAGTTCAATAAATATTGCTGGAAAAACTGGATATCTATATGCATAAGAATGAAACTAGACCCCTGTCTCTTACCATAAACAAAGATCAAATCAAATAGATTAAAGACTTAAATCTAAGCCTTCAAACTATAAAAATACTACAAGAAAATATCAGGAAAACTCTCCATGACATTGATTTCAGCAAAGGTTTCTTGAGTAATATCCCACAAGCACAGGCAACCGAAACAAACATAGACAAATGGGATCCCATCAAGTTAAAAAGCTTCTGCACAGCAAAGGAAATAATCAACAAAGTGAAGAAACAACACACAGAATGGAATATATCTGCAAATAACCCATCTGACAAGAGATTATTAGCCAGAATATAAGTAGCTCAAACAATTCTATAAGAAAAAATCTAATCATTCAATTAAAAATGGGCAAAGTATAAGAATAGACATTTCTCAAAAGAAGACATACAAATGGCAAACATGAATATTAAAAGGTGCTCAACATCATTGATCATTGGAGAAATTCAGATCAATACTACAATTAGATATCGTCTCACCCCACTTAAAATGATATATCCAAAAGACAGGCAATACCAAATTCTAGCAAGGATGTAGAGAAAAGGGAACCCTTTTACACTTTTGATGGGAATGTAAATTAGTACAACTACTACGGAGAACAGTTTGGAGGTTCCTCAAAAAAACTAAAAATAGAGCTGGCATATGATTGAGCAACTCCAGCGCTGGGTATATACCCCAAAGAAAGGAAATCAGTATATCAAAGACATATCTGCACTTCTATATCTGTTGCAGCACTGTTCACAGTAGCCAAAATTTGGAAGCAACCTAAATGTTCATCAAACAGATGAATGGATAGAGAAAACGTGATGCTTATACATAATACAGTACAATTCAGCCATAAAAAAAGAATGAGATTCTGTCATCTGCAACAACATGAATGAAACTGGAGGTCATTATGTTAATGGAAATAAGCCAGGCACAGAAAGACAAACATCACATATTCTCACTTATTTGTGAGATCTAAAAATCAAAACAGTTGAACTCATGGACATAGAGAGCAGAGGATGCTTATCAGAGGCTAGGGAGGGTAGTGGGATAGTTGCTATGGGGTGGGGATAGTTAATGGGTACAAAAAAAATAGTAAGAAAGAATGAGTAAGACCTAGTGTTTAACAGCACAACAGGGTGACTATTGTCAATAATCATTTAATTGTACACTTAAAAAGAATTAAAATAATTGGATTGTTTTTAACATGAAGGTTAAATACTTGAGGGGATGCATACTTCATTTGACATGATGTGATTATTACACATTGCATGCCTGTATTAAACCTCTCATGTACCCCATAAATATATACACCAAGTGTCCATAAATTTAAAATATATGTTTAAAAACTTTGTTACTACTCTAAAAAAGTAAACAAAACAAAAGTAAAAAATTTCTTGCTTCATGAAATTCACAACCTGAGGAGTGTTTGTGTATAATAAATAAATAAAAAATATGTTGTCAATTAGTGCAAAATGGTATACCAAATAAAGCAGTGCAATGTAATAGAATCCTTCACTAATTCCTCATTACTTTAGAAAGGAGTGGGGCAGTCAGGGAAGGACTTTAAGGTGATGACATTTGAGAAGAGACTTGAAGGGAGTGGATCGTAAGAAAATATGGTGGAAAATCATTTCAGGCAGAATGAAGGCAGTTGCATAGTTCTTGAAGCAAGAACATGTTTGGAAACTGTAAGAAGAGCAAGAAGGTCAAAGTGTCATGAACACAGTGATGGTGGGGAAAGCAGTTAGAGACATTTGAGTCAAATCATGTAGGATTTGGCAGGGCACAGTGGCTCAATCCTAGCACTTAGGGAGGCTGAGGCAGGTGGATCACTTGAGGCCAGGAGTTCAAGACTGGCTTGGCCTACATGGTGAAACTCTGTCTATTAAAAATACAAATATTAGCTGGGTTTTGTGGCACATTCCTGTAATCCAAACTCCTTGGGAGGCTGAGGCATGAGAATCACTTGAGCCTGGGAGATGGAGGCTGCAGTGAGCCAATACTACCCAACTGCACTCCAGCCTGGACAAGAGAGCAAGACTCAATCTCCAAAAAAATAAAAGAAAAATACGTAGGAAATTGTAGGTTGTGACCTTTCTATGGTAAGGACCTTGAAATTTATTTCAAGGGGGATTGGAAGCCATTTGAGGGTTTTGGAGGGAAGAATGATGTGAGCTAATCTACATTCACAATTAATTTGGCTGTTCTGTGGAAAATAGACCGTAGGGGTCCAGAGCTGAAGCAGGAAGATGAGTTAGAGGGGTATTATATTAGTCCTATTGAACAATAGTGGTGGCATTTATTTTTCTATATAGTCATTTGTGTTTTTTACTGTACATTGTTTAAAGGCAGACCTTGATTTATTCACTTTTATTGTCAATATGCAGGAAATGCCTTGCACAATAAACAAATCTCAGTTCGATAAACACTTATAGAGGGAAGGGGGGAGTAAATGGATAATGAGTTTTAATATTCTTGAATCTAGTAAAAAGAAACTCACATGGGAAAGCATATCTCTTCCCAAACAATATAGTTTTTAAAATTTTTTTAAAAAGAAGCCTTCATTATGTTTTCTGGTGAAGGCACCCACGTGTTTTTCTATTTAAAAACTGAAAATGTTGGAATCTACTCATGTACCAGCACTAAATGAATGTGCAACCATGGAGGAGACTTCTGCAAAAAGTGACCAATTGTTTTTAAAGTTTATAGGAAACAGGAAAGGAAGAGTGGCTCATATTTATGAGAAGTAGGCAATGTCTTTAAAGAGGATAGAAGTAATTATCCCTGCATTCTCTCTCCCTTCCTTCTTTCTTAGCGGGTGGCACTGTGTTCTCTTGGGCTTACAGAAACTCAAGGTCATAGAGCAGATGGTTTATTATTGGGGTAGAGTAAAACAAAATAAATCTTTCATCTAAAATCAGTTTTATTTGGAAATAAAATTTTCACTTTCACAGATAAAGTTGGCACAAAAATGAGAACATGTTGAATTTGAATCAATTGCTCTGATTCCTTATGTTTTCTGTTAAGTGATAATCTAATGCTCTTCTGCTGTCATTGACAAAATAACAATAAATAATAAACTTTAATCCTAAATACAAGTATTAATTATATAAGAAACACCTGCAACAAGATTGTATTTGGAACTTCAATTAACCCCAATTCAGTCAGGCCCTACTACAATAAATTTAACATTTAAATGATGAATTTCATTCACAAATCAATGCTTTAGGTAGGAAAATAAGGAAAAATGGTCATGTCAATATGTCATTCATTTGATTATACTGTAAAATGACAGAACAGTTGAACCATGCACCTTGCCTATAAAGATAGTAAAGATTTTCTGATGAGCAATTCCGGATGGCTGCAATGTCTTTCAGAAGTTGGGGTGAAAAATATCCAATTGGGGGCTGGGCTTACAGTGAACACTCAGAGTTGTCTGAATGTGTGACGGACATTAGGGAAACTTCTGCTTGGACTATCGTTACCTCTTGTCATCCCATATCAGTTTGATTTTTACAGAGCCTGTGGCATCTGTCTTAATCTTAAGATATTCATTGGCAAGTGTCAATTTAATTTTCAAGTTGTTCAGATAAAAAAAAATGGGCTGCTCCTTGATTTCTATTTATTTCACATACTGCATATCCAATTTATCAATACATCCTGTCAGCTTCATTTGAAAAGATATATCCGAAGTCTTCCTGCTTCTTACCCACTATTGCCTTCATTATCTTGCTCCTGAATTACTGCAAATACTTCCTGTCTTCCTGCTTCTACCCTAAAGGCCACTCCACAGCCACAGGGATATCTTATATTAAAACATTAAGTCCAACTATACCTCTCCTCTCCTCAAATTCCCACAATGGTTTTTCATGAAAATGAAGACAAAGTCAACAGAATGTAAGCCTTATGTAATCTATGTCCTCTCTCTCCAATTATCTTTCTGACTTCATCTCCTATGATTTTCCCTTTTATTCACTCTGCACCAGGCATACTGGCCTTTTTGCTGTCTCTAGCACAGATATACTCTTGCCTCAGGGCCTTTGCACTAGCTGTTTATTCTTTTTGGAGTGCTTGTCTCCAGGCATTTACACAGCTCACTTATTATTTATTTCAGGATTTTATTGCAATGCAATGCAACTCTCTTCTTAGTGAAGCCACCCTCTCTAAAATTACAATACCATACCACACAAATCTATTTCCTTTCCCTGTATTTTTCTTCCTAAAACTTACTCCAACAAAATAGACTGTATATTTTACATACATATCTTTATTGTCTTTTCCCCTAATGATTTTGTCTATGTTCACTGCTACATCCCCCTACATCTAGAACAGTCTCTGGCACACACCAAATAATCAATAAGATTCTAATAAATATTTGTTAATCTATTTATCATTCTAAATTTTCCCTACCTACATACATTTTATTTTTTTACAATATAAAATTTTATGGATTAAAGACATGCAGGTTTGTTACATGGGTATATTGCATGACACTGAGGCTTGAGCTCCCAATGATCCCTTCACCCAGGCAGTAAGCATACTACCTAACAGGTGTTTCTGCAGCCCATGTCCCCTTTCATGCCTCCCCCATCTAGTATCCACAGCATCTATTGTTCCCATATTTACAATCACGTGTACCTAATGTTTAGTTTCCACTTATAAGTGAGAACATGCAGTATTTGGTTATCTGTTCTTTCATTAGTTCACTTAAGGTTATAGCCTCCAGCTCCATCCATGTTGCTGAAAATGACATGATTATATTATTTTTAATGAATTTATAGTGCTCCATGGTATATATGTACCACATTTTCTTTAACCAATACACTGTTGATTGGCACCTAGGCAGATACCAGATCTTAGTAATGTGGGTAGTGCAGCAATGAGCTTATAAGTGCATGTGTCTTTTTGATATAATGAATTATTTGCTTTTGGGTATATACGGTAGTGGGATTGCTGGATTGAATGCTAATTCCATCTTAAGATCTTTGAGAAATCTCCAAACTGCTTTCCACAGTGGCTGAACTAGTTTACATTTCTACCAACAGAGTATAAGTATTCCTTTCTCCCCACAGCTTTACCAGCATCTGTTAATTTTTGACTTTTTAACAATCTCCATTCAGATCTTTATGCGATGGTAATCTCATTATGGTTTCCATTTGTATTTCTCTGATAATTACAGATGTTGTGTTTTTTCATGTTTGTTGCCACTTGTATGCTCTCTTTTGAGAACTGTCTGTTCATGTCATTCACCCAGTTTTTTAAATTAAATGTTTTGTCTTTTGTTTATTGATTTGTTTAGGTTCCTTGCATATTTTGGGTATTAGACCCTTGTTAGATGCATAGTTTGCAACTATCTCCTCCATTCTTTAGGCTGTTTATTCTATTGGTAATTTCTTTTGCTGTGCAGAAGCTCTTTAGCTTAATTAGGTCCTATTTCTCAATTTTCATTTATCTTGAATTGCTTTGGTTTCTTAGTCATAAATTTGCCAAGGCTGATGTGGAGAAGAGTATTTCCTAGGTTTTCTTCTAGGGTTTTTATGGCTTGAGGTCTTACATCTAAATCTTTAATTTAACTTGAGATAATTATTGTATATGGTGAAAGGCAGGGGTCTAGTTTTCTTCTCCTGCAAAGGCTAGCCAGTTATCCCAGCACCATTGTTGAATAGGGATTCCTTTCCTTTTTGCTTATTTTTGTCAATTTTGTCGAAGATCAGATGGTTGTAGGTGTGTGGGTTCTCTATTCTGTTTCACTGGTTGATATGTCTGTTTTTCTACCAGTATCATGCTGTTTTTGTTACTGTGGCCTTATCTAATAAAGTTGGGCTATGTGATGCTTCCATTTTTGTTCTTTTTGCTTAAAATTACTTTGGTTATTCAAGCTATCCTTTCATTCCATATGAATTTTAGAATAGATGTTTCTGAGTTTGTGAACAATGATGTTGGTATTTTGATAAAGATAGCATTGAATCTGTATATTGCTTTTGGCAGTATGGCCCTTTTAACACTATTGATTCTTCCAATTCATGACTATGAACTTTTTTTTTGTTTATTTGTGTTATCTCCGATATCTTTCGGCAGTATTTTATAGTTTTCCTTGTCTAGATCTTTCTCCTTTTTGCTTAGATGAATTGCTAGGTGATATAGTTTGGCTGTGTCCCCACCCAAATCTCATCTTGAATTTTACTCCCATTATATCCACGTGTTGTGGGAAGTACCCAGTGGCAGATAATTTGAATCATGGGGGTGGTTTCCCCCATACTGTTCCCATGATAGTGAATAAGTCTCATGAGATCTGATGATTTTATCAGTGGTTTCCACTTTTGCGTCTTCGTCATTTTCTCTTGCTGCCTCCTTTTAAGAAGTGCCTTTTGCCTCCCGTCATGATTCTGAGGCCTCCCCAGCCATGCAGAACTGTAACTCCAATTAAACCTATTTTTCTTCCCAGTCTCGGGTTTGTCTTTACCAGCAGTATGCAAACAGATTAATAGAGTAAGTTGGTACCAGGAGTGGGATGTTGCTGAAAACATACCCAAAAATGTGGAAGCAACTGTGGAACTAGGTAACAGGCAGAAGTTGGAACAGTTTGGAGGGCTCAGAAAAAGTCAGAAAAATATGGGAAAGTTGGGAACTTCCTAGAGATTTTTGAATGGCTTTGACCAAAAGCCTGATAGCAATATGGACAATAAGGTCCAGACTAAGTTGGTTTCAGATGGAGATAAGGAACTTGTTGGGAACTGGAAGGAAAGTGACTCTTGTTATGTTTTGGTAAAGAGATTGGTGGCATTCTGCCCCAGCCTAGAGGTTTTTGGAACTTTGAATCTTGAGAGAGATGATTTAGGGTATCTGGCAGAAGAAATTTCTAAGCAGCAAAACATTCAAGAGGTGACTTGGGTGCTGTTAAAGGCATTCAGTTTTATAAAGGAAGCAGAGCATAGAAGTTCATAAAATTTGCAGCCTGACAATGTGATAGAAAAGAAAAACCCATTTTCTGAGGAGAAATTCAAGCCGACTGCAGAAATTTGCATAAGTAATGAAGAACCGAATGTTAATCCCTATGGCAATGGGGGAAATTTCTCCAGGGCATGTCAGAGGTCTTCATGGCAGCCCCTCCCATCACAGGCCTGGAGGCCTAGGAGAATATGGTTTCGTGGGTTGGGCCCAGGGTCCTTGTGCTGTGTGCAGCCTAGGGACTTGGTGCCCTGCGTCCCAGCTGCTCCAGCTGTGGCTGAAAGGGCCAGTGTAGAGCTAGGGCCATGGTTTCAGAGGCTTCAAGCCCCAAGCCTTGGCAACTTTCATGTGGTGTTGAGCCTGTGAGTGCACAGAAGTCAAGAATTGGGGTTTGAGAACCTCCACTTAGGTTTCAGAAGATGTATGGAAATACCTGGATGTCCAGACAGAAGTTTGATGCAGGGGTAGGGTGCTCATGGAGGGCCTCTGCTAGGGCAGTGTGGAGGGGAAATGTGGGGTCAGATCTCCACACAGAGTCCCCAGTGGGGCACTGCCTAATGGGGCTGTGAGAAGAGGACCACTGTCCTCCAGACCCCAGAGTAGTAGATCCATCGACAGCTTGCACCATTCACCTGGAAAAGCCACAGACACTCAATGCCAGACCATTAAAGCAGTTGGGAGGGAAACCGTACCCTGGAAAAACCACAGGAGTGGAGCTGCCCAAGACTATGGGAACCCACTTCTTGCATCCACATGACCAGGATGTGAGACCTGGAGTCAATGGAGATCATTTTGGAACTTTAAAATTTGACTGCCCCACTGGATTTGGGACTTGCACAGGCCCTGTAACCCCTTTGTCTTGGCCAACTTCTCCCACTTGGAATGGCTGTATTTACCCAATACCTATACCCCCATTGTATCTAGGATGTAACAAGCTTGCTTTTGATTTTACAGGATTGTAGGTGGAAGGGACTTGCCTTGTCTCAGATGAGACTTTGGACTGTAGACTTTTGGGTTAATGCTGAAATGAGTTAAGAGTTTAGGGACTGTTGGGAAGGCATGATTGGTTTTGAAATGTGAGGACATGAGATTTGGAGGGACCAGGGTGGAATGATATGGTTTGGCTGTGTCCTCACCCAAACCTCATCTTGAATTGTACTCCCATATTTCCCACATGTTTTAAGAGGGACACAGTGGGAGATAATTTGAATCATGGGATCAGTTCCCCCTTACTGCTCTTGTGGTAGTGAATACGTCTCATAAGATCTGATGGTTTTATCAGAGGTTTCCACTTTTAAATCATCCTCATTCTCTCTTGCCACCACCATGTAAGAAGTGCCTTTCACTTCCCACCATGATTCTGAGGCCTCCTCAGCCATGCGAAACTGTAAGTCCAATTAAACCTCTTTTTTTCTCCAGTCTCAGGTTTGTCTTTATCAGCAGCATGAAAATGGACTAATACACTAGGTATTTTATTTTCTTTATGGCTAATATAAGTAGGATTGTGTTCTTGATTTAGTTCATAACTAGACCATTCTTGGTATATAGAAATACTCCTGATTTTTTCCATTGGTTTTGTATCCTGAAACTTTACCAAATGTGTTTATCAATTCCAGGAACCTTTTCATGGAGTCTTTGGGGTTTTCTTTGTATAGAAGAATTATATTGTCAGCAAAGATAGATAGTTAACTTCTTTTTCTATTTGTCTTTTTTTTTCTTTCTCTTGCCTGATTGCTCTGGCTAGGACTTCCAGTGCTATGTTGAATAAAATTGGTGAGAGTGTCTTGTTTAACTTCTCAAGGGAAAATGCTTCCATCTTTTGCCCATTCAATATGATGTTGAATATGGGTTTGTTGTAGATGGCTTTTATTATTCTGAGGTATATTCCCTCAATGCCTGGTCTATTGAAGGCTTTTTTCTGCATCTATTGAGATGATCATATGTTTTTTGTTTTTGATTCTTTCTTTTTATGTGGTGAATCACATTTACTGATTTGTGTATGTTGAACTAATCTTGCACCCTAGAAATAAAACCTACTTTATTGGGATAGATTAGCTTTTTGAGGAGCTGCTGGGCTCATTTTTCTGGTATTTTGTTGAGGACTTTTGCATCAATCTTCATTAGGGATACTGGCATGAAGTTTTCTTTTTTCATTATATCTCTGCCTGATTTTCATATTACAATGATGCTGGCTTTGTAGAATGAGTTAGGGAGAAACTCCTCCTCCTTGATTTCTTGGAACAGTTTCAGTAGGATTGGTATCAGCTCTTCTTTGTAGCAATCTGAAAGAGCTTAATTTGGGGCTTTGGCCAGATAGAGCATTTGTAAAAATCTGTGGCCCTTTTGCTTTAGTTATAAAGTGAAAGTAGTTAGATAATCAGAATATGAAAGGTGAAAAATTTAGCACTGGGAAAAAAAAAACATAATATCTACACAGATTACTAAACGAAGAGGCCTGTCTTCATAAGCTCTTGAGGTGAAAGTCAGGTGAATGTGAAAGTCAGGAATGTGAATGGCACACTTAGCAAAAACAAGAACTAATGTCCACACCACATCTCTAGTTCTTCTAGATATTAAACAATTGAATCAAGCTCTATGAGTGTCAATTTCTTCATTTAAAGTGAAGGAGTTGAACTAGTTGTCTCCTTAAAATCTTTTTCTAAGTTCTACTGTCATGAATCCTTGTAGTAAAGTCTTTGGTGTACAATAATAGAATCAACATAAGGAAGTTTCAACATTAAAACAAAATTTATTACAGTAAATTTTATAACATTTTATATTTTATAATAAATGTTATAATATAATAAATTATAACATAATAAATATATAACATAAATATTTATTATAACATAAAAATATATAAATAAAATATAACATAATAAGTTATAATATAATAAATATATAATATTTTATAATAAATGTTATAATAATAAAATAATAAATTTTATTATTTTATAATAAATATAAAAATATATTTTAAAAATAATAAACTACAACTCTTGAGAAAGGATGCAATGGGGAGTAAGGATCTTGGTATCAACAGTTTGTGGATCTTTCATTAGAGTCCACCATTAAAATGACTCAGCACGCAAGTCCCATCCTCTGCATCCCTCAGTTCACATTCTTGAAGGAAAATATATTAGACCAAGTATAAGTCAACTGCTTACCACAGTCCTCCAATATTGCTAGAGAACCAGGGTAATGTGGTAGAATTATGGTTCTTTTGGACCCACCATTATAGATGGACTGACCATTTACAGAGAAAGAGACCAAGGAAGACTTTTCTAAAGGGACTGCTAAAATTCTAAATCCTAGTGTGTCTAAAACAGCAGGATTTTTACCTGAGGACAAGTTCTGATATTTTACAATGGAGATCACTCTAGTCAGATGATACATTTCTAACTTTTAAACCATCAATATTGAGATCAATAATTTTGCTTGAATTTAAGTGGCAGATTTGCTACTGACATGATAATTAATTGTAGATAAACTTTAAAATACCATCTGTTTAGTCAATAACGATCACAATAACTTTTACAACCTAATTTTATAAATCATAAAAATAAGTTTATATGCTTTCTGTATTCCCACATACAAGCCAGACCCTACATTAAATAGAATCCTCTTCAACTTTATCAATTTCTCATGAGCCAAGCAAGATAAAATTTTCTAGACGTAACAAATAGATTTTTACTTACTTTAGTGTTTTTACTTATTATGTGAAAATATTTCTTTGTGACTAGTTATCTTAAGATTAATTGTGAGACCAATGTTGTGATTCTTCAGTCCCCTTTGCCTCATCATTCTAAAAGTTTAGTTGTAGGGCTAGCTTAAAAAATAATTAAAATTTATTTCTAAGTGTGTATATATGCATGCTCACATATGAATGCTTATGTGCCTTCTTACCTAAAACTTAGCGTAAGTGTAGTAGGTTGCAACTCTAAGTGTAAGCAGGTTGTAACTGCAAATATAGTAAGTTGCAAATGTCATTTATTTGACATCTTAAAATATTACCTACTCTTTATTTTAGGATCAGCTTCTTTACCCCTTCATAATACTGAGCTTGCCCAGCTTACATAGTTCTTTGTTGACTTTGGAGCAAATCTTAAATTCCCAAAGAGCATTCTTTCCAATCTTCTGCCAAATTAAATTTAATTTGTTAAAACAAAAATATTATGCAAGGCTATTTTGAGAGGAATGTTTCAACTCTGATTCCCCTGAACCAAAATTTTTGGAGTCTCTGAAGACTAAGTGCTTATTCTCATTTCTAAGTTTCTTTGATTGGTAGTACAGGATATTTTTTCCCAGGTAACATTAGTGGAAATTAAATGGTTCATTGCTTTTGGGAAAAATTTTACTCTTTGCTTGATGGTTTAAATTTAAGATACTTTTCTTCTCTTGCTTTACTTCCACTTGACAAGCTTCAGGCATTATTTAAACCAGGAATCCAATATACCTAAATGCTACAGTATTAAGATCTATCTGAGTTTTCCACAAAATCTTTCCGAGAAACTTATACCTCAATAGTGCCCTCTCTTATCACAATAAGTTTAATAAAAAGTTTAACTAGGCTCTTCTCAACAAAAGACTTTAAAAAACTAAGAAAATCTCCAGAATAAGTTTTGGGGAAATGTGGAATTGTAACAGAATATAAACAAGACCAATAGGCAATCACTACTTCAAAGAATAGTGAAATGTTAATACACTGTAAGAATGTGTTTACAAAGGAATAATAGGTAATTGTTGATAAATGTTGCCATAATAATTAATGTAAAGCTTTTTATTCAAACTTCTGTCTTTCACCTTTCAACATATTTAACATTATAAGAATTCCTCCTGAGAATTACAAAAATAAGAATGGAAAGGCTTCTAAGACGCAAAGTGTGAGGCACTAGTTTGAGTCATCTGAGAAAAGAGACTCAAGGGTTGATTTATTTTCAAACTTTTAAAGAACTGTTCTAGAATACCCAGGGCATTCTTTCCTTCATTGTTACAAAGGGCAAACCTAGAGACAATGGGCTAAATTTCCAGTTAAAACCTGAGAACACAGGTCTAAGGGCATAAAGCAGTAGTTCAGAGACCTAAGTTTATATTGATTCACCTGGGAACTTTAAAAAATACCAGTTCCCAGAACAATTAAATCAGTTTGAGCATTGTTGTATTTTAAATGTTCTCATGGTGCTGCTAGTATCAAGCCAAGGCTGAAAAATCACTGGTGTGAAGCAAGAAGATTCTATGATATATACTTCATTGGAGCATATTAAGCCTTGAGTAACAAACTTATGAACATGGAAAATATGCCTACCTTTCTTGAAAGATGCTTCTTTCCAAGCCCTTATCCCTTTGGAAAGCCCTCACATTTTTTTATATATTTGTGATTTTAGAAGAATAAAAGTGCTATTTGTGTCAAGAATGTAGACATGGAGTTGAGGTAGTGTTTCCTGCTTCCTATAAGGGGTTATTAATTGTAAAACCAAACCTAGCCTCCTAAAATTAACAGAAAAATAAAAATCTTTAGGTTTCTAAGTGGCTCTGACTTTGCCATTACCCTGTTCCTTCAAGTCATTTCATTGGTCCTCTGGCTGGGAGCAGAGGACAGTGCCTTGACCCCCACCTCCAGCACTTTGACTCAAATCTGTGTCCTTTCTCTTTGAAAGTGAACTGGAACTCTCAAAAGTAAGAACAGGATAGTAAGAGATAGTTAAAGGAATGTAAGCTCATACATGTCAATAAAATTCAAAGTTCTATTTATGTCTTAGTCACTTTATTTGTGAGACCTGTTCCAATTCACCCACTGCCTTAAGACATCTATATGCTAGCCCTCCAATACAGGAGCAAGGTACAAGCACATGGCTAGTTTTTTTCATTTGTTTTCACTCGATCCATCCCCATGTGACAACTGCATGGTTTTGCCACGCAGGTATTTTTTCCTATTCTGCTTTATATCTCTCCGGGTAAATGTTAGATAAGAAGATTCTGCCCTTTAGTTAATAGAAAAAGAAATAATAGGAGAGGGAGAAGGAAATCTGATTTTTAAAATAATTAATACTATGTGTTTTATATATAGTATAAAACTTTATGTTAAAAAATAAAGAATACTTTATACTTTAAAAAAAATTTTATTAATGCTATGTGCTTTATATAAAGCATGTCTATATATACTGATCTTCACAACCACCATGACTTCTGAGTATTATTTTCCAAATGATGAGACCACAGCTCAGGGAGGTAAAATAACTCTACTAGGGATGTGCAGATATAAAAACTAGGCTGAGATTCATGATCTTTCCACTTTCTTTCCTTTCTAAGTCCTGTTTCTGGGAAAAAGGAATCACATGTGCCTAGAGTTGCCCAAAGTCCAAGGTATCCCAATCTTATAGTAGTCCATGTGAACAACACCTGACATAATTGTGCAATGCTTTCATAGGCCTGTCTCTCCTCAAGGATTTAGTATAAATGGTCTACTAATCAGGTGAGACACTACGTCCCCTCCAAACCAGTTGTAATAGTTATAATACTAACAGTAATTGCAGCGAATATACATTGTGCAATTATTATGAGCTAGACACTTTTCTGAAACATATTTTGTGAATTAACAAATTTAATCTTTACAACATTCTATCAGTTAAGTAATAGAATTGCCTTCATTTTACAGATGAGGAAACTGAGACAGAGAAAATTTGTTAAAGGTCACATAACTGGCAATTTATGGAACAGGAATTTAAACCTAGAAAATAACAATTATAATTCAACAAGATAACAATAACATTAGTGCAATAAGAATTATATATGTCAGCCAAAAGCTGTCTCCTCATACTTGTCATCTGCCTAACTGTGAAAGGAATGATCTAGATGATTAGAGGTAAAGACAGAATTATCCTGAAGTTTTAAGAGACAGGCTTGGAAATAAACTTGAAATGTAAGAGAAGTGGACAAGTAAATACTAGAGTACACTAAATATTTTGATATATTTTAACAGGATATGAGAAATGGCAGCTGAGATTATAATTTCTCTTAGGCATAACTTAAACTGAACAGTTGGTTTTGTGTTTAATATGGTAAAGCCAGACTGGACCATTCTTTCCTTCCAATTTTGAAAATGGATATTTAGTTAGAGGACAAACTGTATTCTCAGAGGGTTGAAGAAACCTGCCGGAAGGCTTAAAATATTTTTAAAAATAAGGTAGTATTTTTCCCAGTATTAGGATTCTACAAATAAAATATTGTAAGTAGAGTATTTCCAGGATATTTTGAATAGAAAATACCTATTAATATTACCCTTTGAATTAATTCTCATTCTGCCTATTACTCTTCTCACGGAAACTTGTGTTTCAATTTTCTAGTTCACTACATAAACTCTGGGTTTCATTAGTCATTGACATCACTGAAACTGTGAACTTTCTATATGTCTGAGTAGCTACAAATATCCAAGTAGTATCAAGCAATTTTATGAAATTAGAGAATAAAAGACTAAGTAGAGAGGAAATATCCTTAAGATAAGTACATTATCATGATTTGACAGGAAGGGGAGAGGATCATGGGACAAGAAGGAGAAAAAAAAGTTAATTTAAAAAAATTCTATTTCTTTCTCTTATTTGATTTCTCTGGCTAGGAGTTCCAGTACTATGTTGAATAGAAGTGGTCAGGCAAAGGAAATAAATAAAAGTCATTCAAATAGGAAAAGTCAAGCTATCTTCCTTTACGAACAATATGATTCTATATCTAGAAAATCCTAAAGACCCTGCCAAAAGGCTCCTAGAACTCATAAATGACCTTGGTAAAGTTTCGGGATACAAAATCAGTATACAAAAATAAATAGCATTTCCATACACAAACAACATCCAGGCCAAGAGTGAAATCAAGAACACAATCCCATTCACAATGGCTGCAAAGAAAATGAAATACCTAAGAATACAGTTAACCAACAAGGTGAAAGATCTCCTCAAGGAGAACTAAAAACCTCTGCTGAAAGAAATTAGACAACACAAATAAATGAAAAAAGATTCCATGATCATGGATTGGAAGAATCAATATCATTAAAATGGCCACACTACCCAAAGTAATTTATAGATTCAATGCTATTCCCATTAAACAACCATTGACATTCTTTACAGAATTAGAAGAAACTATTTTAAAATTCATATAGAACCAGAAAGAGAGCCTGAATATCCAAGACAATCCTAAGCAAAAAGAACAAACCTGGAGGCATCATGCAACCCAACTTCAAACTATACTACGAGGCTACAGTAACCAAAACAGCATGGTACTGATACAAAAACAGACACATAGACCAATGGAACTGAATAGAAAACTCAGAAATAAAGCCACACACCTACATCCATCTAATCTTTGACAATGCTGATAAAAACAAGCAGTGGGGAAAGGACTCCCTATTCAATAAATGGTGCCAGGATAACTGACTAGCCACGTGCTGAATTGATGCTGGACCCCTGCCTTTCACCATATACAAAATTAACTCAAAACGGATAAAAGGCTTAAATATAAGCCCTCAAACTATAAAAATCTTAGAAGACAACCTAGGAAATACTCTTTTCAACGTCAGCCTTGGCAAAGAAGTTATGGCTAAGTCCCCAAAAGCAATTGCAGCCAAACCAAAAATAGACAAATGGGGTCTTATTTTACTAAAGATCTTCTGCATAGCAAAAGAACTTATCAACAGAGTAAACTGACAACCTACAGAGTGGAATAAGATATTTGCAATCCATGCATCTGACAAATGCTTACTATTCAGAATCTATAGAGAATTTAAAGAAATCAACAAGTAAAAAGCAAATAACCCCATTGAAAATGGACAAAGGACATAAACAGACAGGTCTTAAAAGAAGACATAAAAGTGGCAACAATCATATGAAAAAATGTTCAACTTTACTAACCGTTGGAGAATTGAAAATCAAAACCATAATGAGATACCATCTCACACCAGTCAAAATGGCAATTATTACAAAGTCAAAAAACAATAGATGCCCATAAGGCTGCAGAGAAAAGGAATGCTTATACACTGCAGGTGAGAATGTAAATTAGTCCAGCCCCTGTGGAAAGCAGTTTGGAGATTTCTTAAAGAACCTAAAACAGAACCACCATTCAAACCAGCAATCCCATTACAGGGTATATACCCAAAGGAAAATAAATCATTCTACCAAAAAGACACATGCACTCGTATGCTCATTGCTGCACTATTCGTAATAGAATAGACATGGAAATAACAGGTGCCAAACAACAGTGTATTGGATAAAGAAATTATGGTACATATACACTATGGAATACATTGTAGCCATAAAAATAGTGAAAACAGGTCCTTTGCAGCAATATGATGGAGCAATCCTAAATTAATTAATGAAGCAACAGGAAACCAAATACCACATGTCTCACTTATAAATGGGAGCTAAACATTGAGCACACATTGGCATAAATACAGATACTATGAGCAAAAATAGATATTATGGACTACTGAGGCAAAAAGAGGTAGTGGGGGCATGTGTTGAAAAACTACCTATCAGGTACTATGCTCACTACCTGATTGACGAGATCCATACCCCAGACATCAGCAGATGCAATATCTCCATATAATACACCTACATATGTACCCTCTGTATCTAAAATGAGTTTAAATTAAAAATAAATAATTCCAAATGATTGTTTTTAGGAATTTTATAATATCTTCTTGCTTTAAAATGTTGCAAAAATGATCAACTTATTTTTTTGTTTTTTTTTAAGAACTTATTTCCATTCTTTAGAGGCAAGTAAATTGGTGTGAACTATTTACTCATATAACAATTTATTTTTGTTGAAAAAGCAGTGACAATTTAGTTAGTATGAGTCAGCAATATCTAAACCATTTTTTAAATATTCTACAGATGCAATTAGGATTACTAAAACAATGAGAGAAAAACTTTGCAAGCAATTTAATTGGACAATTGTGGAACATATCCCCTTGCCCACAATTTACCATCACACAAAAATAGCCAGTAGCATAAGAGTAAATCACAGCTGAAAGAGATGCAAGCCACAGGTCCTCCCAGACAAAGAGCACCTAGGAAAGCCCAAAGTTAAGTGTGGAGAGGAAAACAAGGACAAGAAATGAAGTTAAATTGTCTGGTGCCTGTAGCTATGACAAATATTAAACACAGTCCAACTCCTAGCCAGATGAGCATAAATCCCCATAGTAAAGACCTATTTATCTCACTTCCTATTACCTAATTCATTGTATCTGGCTTTAAACAAAAAGATTGCCAGGTATGTCAAAATTCAAGGAAAAAAAACCACTCTGAGAAAAAGGCAATCATCAGAACCAGACTCATGATGTCACATACATGTTGGAATTATATGATAGGAATTTTAAAATAACTATGATTAATATGTTAAGAACCCTAATAGCAAGAGTAAACAGCATGGAAGAACAGATACGTAATGTAAGCAGAGAGATAAAAACTCTAAGGGATAATCAAAGGGAAATTTTAGAATTAAAAACCACAGTAACTGAAATGAAGAATACATTCGGTGAGCTTTCAGTAGACTTGAAATGACTGAAGAAAGAATCAGTAAATTTGAAGACAGGTCAATAAAAACTTTTCAAATTATAATGCAAAAAGAAAAAAATATTAAAACAAACAAACAAATGAGGACCAAACGTCAAAGAACTGTGGGACAATATATAAAAGTGTAACATATACTTAATTGAAATACTTAAGACCTTTCCAAAATTAGTGACAGACACCACATAACAGGTCCAGAAAGTTCAGATAAAGTGAAGCGTAATAAATACCAAACAAATAGATTTTGGCATGCCATATTTAAACAGCAGGAAACCAAACACAAAGAAAAAAGTCTAAAAAGAATGCAGAGGAGGAAAACACTAATTTATAGAGGAATAAGAATTACCGTGGACTTCTCATCAGAGACCATGACAGCAAAAAGAGAGTGGAAATGAAGTTTTGAAAACAAAGTAAAATAAATACATCAACCTAGAATTTATCCAGCAAAATTATCCATCAAAAGTGAAGGGTAAACAAAGAAAAAAAACCTATACAACCAGCAGACTTTCCAAAAAATGGTTAAAAAAAAAAAAGTTCTTCAGAGAGAAAGAAAATGAAAATGATAAAGGTCAGAAATTTGGATTTTACATAAAGAAAAGAAAACATTGAAGAAGGAATATATGAAGGTAAATTACAATCTTTTTTCTAATTTTTAATTGATGTAAAAGATAGTTTTTAAAGCAATAATAATAACAATGACAATGTATTAGGTGATTATGAATGGGCAAAATGAGTGACAGCAACATCGAGGGAAAGGGGGGAGAAACTGGGAATAATTTCTTATAAAGTACTTGCACTACATGTTAATCAGTGTAGTGTTATTTGAAGGTGGACAAAACAGATAAAAATGTAAATTGTAAATTCTAGGACAACCAATACATTTTTTAAAGTAATATAATTTGTATGCTAAGATAGAAGATAAAGTGAAATCATGTAAAATGCTCAATTAAATAAAGAAAAATCAGAAGGTAGAGAAATAAGTAAGCCAATAAATTTTAAAAAGACTTTGAGATATCATAAATATTAGTCCACGTTAATAATCACTTAATGTATAAATGGTTTAAATAAACTAATTGAAAGAAAAATTTGGTCAGAGTAGATTAAAAACAATGTTTCCAAACCATATATTGTCTGCAAAAACCTACTTTATATATAAATTTACTAATAATTTAAAAGCAAAGGGTTGGAGAAAGATACATCATAGTAACACTAATTTTAAAAAGCTGGGGTAGGATGGGCGCGTTGGCTCCTGCCTGTAATCCCAGCAGGCTGGGATGCTGAGGCAGGCAGATCACCTGAGGTCAGGAGTTTGAGACTAGCCTGGCCAACATGGCAAAACCCCATCTCTACTAAAAATACAAAAATTAGCCAGGCGTGGTGGCAAGTGCCTGTAATCCCAGCTACTTGGGAGGATGAGGCAGGGAGAATTGCTTGAACCCGGGAGGCAGAGGTTGCAGTGAGCTGAGATTGCACCACTGCCCTCCAGACTGAGTGACAGAGCAAGACTCCCACAAACAAACAAACAAACAAACAAAAGCTGGGGTAGCAATATTACATTTAGACAAAAAGGACTTCAGAACAAGGAAAAGCTTCAGAAGTAAACAAAAGTATTCCATAATGATAAATAATCAATTCTTGAAGAAAGCATAATAATCATAAATGCATATGTAACTCACAAAAGAATGTGAAAATACATGCAGAAAATGCTGATACAACTGATTGGAGAAATAGACAAATCCATTCCTATTTGAGGACATCAGTATCTCTTTTAGCATTTGCTAGATCAAGCAGGTGGAAAATCAGTAAAGACATAGATGACCAGAATAGCACAATCCATCAATTTGTTCTAATTGACATGTAGAGAGTATCCCATTTAGCAACAGCAGAAGACACATTTTTCTCAAGGCTACATGGAACATTACCCAATGTAAACCACATTCTGGGCATAAAACATATCTTAACATACTTAAAAAACTAGCAATCATACAAAGCATGTTCTCAGACCACAGTGGAATTAAACTATAAATATGCTATAGAAAAATAGCTGGGAACTCTTCAAATATTTGGAAATTAAATAACACACTTCTAAATTATCTATGAGTCAAAGAAAAAGTCTCAAGAAACTTTAAAATACATTTTGAACAAAATGAAAACACAAATTATCAAAACCTGTTGGCTGCACCAAAAGCAATGCATAAAGAGAAATTTATAACATTAAATGCTTATGTCAAAAAATAAGAAAGATCTAAAATAAAAAACCTAATATTTTACTTTTGAAAACTAGATAACGAAGAGGGATTTAAGTTTTAGTGCATAAATAAAAAGAAGTAATACAAATTAGAGTAGAAATCGATGAAATTGAAAGTAGAAAACCAATAAGGAAGATGGTTTTAGAAATTCATTTTTTGGAAAGATCAACACAATACATTTTTAAGTATCTCAACCAACAACAAAAATGGGAGAACACACAAATTATCGATGTTAGAAATAAAAAAGAGATCAACACTCCGACTAAGGAAATACTACTTATTCATGTAACCAAATATCACTAGTTCCCCAAGAAAACTATGGAAATAAGAAATCTAAATAATAAAGCCAGTAAAATAAAATGAAGGTAATAATTTAAAATTATAGATAGCAAATATTGTAGGCTTTGTGGGTTACGCAGTCTCTGTCGC
This sequence comes from Homo sapiens, assembly GCF_000001405.40. NCBI lineage: Eukaryota > Metazoa > Chordata > Mammalia > Primates > Hominidae > Homo > Homo sapiens. The sequence continues at coordinate 77,975,935 of NC_000006.12, forward strand.
AACTCTGCCATTGTATTTCTGAAGCAGCCGCAGACAATATGTAAATGAATAAGCATTGCTGTGTTCCAATAAAACTTTACAAACGCAGGTGGTAGGCCATAGATTGCCCCACCTGGCTCTAAAAGAGCTTAAATAACTGCTTGTACTGAAGAAACAGCTTAGTGGCAAAGCAAATATAAGAATTCTTAGGCTGGATGTGGTGGCTCATGCCTGTAATCCAAGCACTTTGGGAGGTTGAGTTGAGAGGATTGCTTGAGCCCAGGAGTTCAAGACCAGCCTACGCAACATAGAGAGACTTCGTCTCTACAGATAAAAATTAGCCAGGTGTGGTGGCACATACTTGTGTCCCAGATGCTTGGAAGGCTTGAGTGGGAGGATTGCCTGAGCCTGGGAGGTCGAGGCTGCAGTGAGCTGTGATTGTACCATGCACTCCAACCTGGACTACAGAGGGAGACTCTGTGTCAAAAAAGAAAGAAAAAATTTCTTCAACCCTGAGAGCCTAACATGTCTAAATCTGTTTCTTATATGCTCATTGCCATTGTTTTCTGATGTTGGTTAGAACCTTAACTTTGAAATAATTTAACAAACTAGTAATAATACATATATGAAATACATTTTTACTTTAATAAATCATTACAAATAATAGGGAAAAAAATCTTTAAAAACTTGCCTCAATGATATTTTAACCACCAAATGGAAGGGTTCAATAAGAAGCAGTCAAAATTAACATAAAAACATAATAAAAGTAATGGAGTCAGTATCTTTAGTCTCTAAGACCGTTAGTTCTCATTTCTCAGTTTTGCAATTTAAAAAATGCATTCCTGCTGTTCATGTGTTCATCCATTCATCAAATAATTTTAATGACTACCATGTGCAGTATTGTTCTAAGTGTGATTTGAAAAGTAAATGTGATGGTACACATGAAATAAATGATAAGATAAATGAAATAAAACAATTTCTTGGAAGACAGAAAGGACTAAAATCCACACGAGGAGAAACAGATGACCTGAATTGCTCTATACAGGAATTAATTCAATATTTTATAAGATTCTCAAAAGAAATTACCAGGCCCAGATATTTTCACTGGTGAATTCTACAAAGTACTTAAGGAAGAAATAATACCAATTTTCCACCTTATCCAGAAAATAGAAGCAGAGAAAACACTTTCTAATGTATTCTCTAAAACCAGAATTATCTTAGTATGCAAATTGGCTGAAGACATTACAAAGAAAGAAAACAACAGAACAACCTCCCTCATGGACATATATGCAAAAATCTTAAACAAAATATCAACATGGAATCCAACAACATGGGAAAACAGTTTATACAAGAAACAAGTGGAATTTATTAGGAGTTTATAAAGCTAGTCCAACATGTAACAACAATGTAATCCACCACATATACTGGCAAAAGAAAAAAAATCAGAGATGATAATATGAATTGATGTTGATAAAGCATTTGATGAAATCCAATATCCATTCATGATAAAAACTCTCAATACTGTGAAATAGAGTGGAATTTCTTCAACTTTATTTTTTTAAGAAAGGAAACCTACATGTCCTACATCTAACATCATGCTCAATGATAAGAGACTGATGCTTCACCCCTAATATCAGGAAAAAGGCAAAGTAACCTTATCACTCTTGTTAAATATCCTACCAAAAGTCAGAGCTAGTGCAACAAAACAAGAAAAAGATAAAATGTGCACAGATTGGAGGGAAGAAGTAAACTTTTTTATTTGCAAATGACATAATTGCCAGAACAAAACCCCCCAAAGAATGTAAATAACAACAGCAGCAGCAACAACAAAATTCACTTCCTGGAACTAATAAGCAAGTATAGCCAAGTCACAAGATACAATATCAATATTAATCTCAATTACTTTCCTTTATAAGAACAATGAATCATTGAAGTTTGAAATTAAAGCTATACTATTTACAATACCACCAAATTAATGGAGTACTTAAGTATAAAATCACATACAGAATTTGTATGCAGAAAATTACAAAATACTGATAAAAAAGTGTCTAAACAAGTGGAGAGATATTTTATGTTCTTAGATTGGAAGACTCAATATTCTTAAAACACAATTTCCTCCCAATGTGATCTATTTATTTGATAATCACAATCACAATCTGAGCAAGTTATTTTATATAAACAAACTAATTCCAAAATTTATATAAAAATGCAAGTGAGCCAACGAAATGCTAAAAAAAAAAAAAAAAACTGCAGGACTCACAGTATCCAATTTTAAGGCTAATTATGAAGCCACACTAATCAAGAGAATTTAAAAGGATGGCAGATGTTAAGGGCCAGACTTTCTCACTGTTGGATTGGAAGATTACGGACCAGCAAGGGGATAAATCTAAAATGATTCATGTGGTATTAGATTTAAGTTGAAAACATCAGTATAAACTCATGTTTAGCTTATTAGTATATACTTCCTCTGTCAGCTGAAAAGGCTTAGAAGTACTGACACTTCAGTCATAATGAATATAACTAGCACACAAATCTTGGATTCTAATACCACACTCCAATAAAAGACAGTGGGCTCCATAGAGAAATACTTGATTCTAGGATTGAGTCAGAAGATAAACAAGATGTATTCAGAGCATTTTGTAGTGCTAAAAACAAAACAAACAAACCTTCGATGATGGTAATATGTCAAAGGGATAAAGTAGCTAAACAAAAGGATACCCATGACCAAAGCTAAAACAATTTGAGCAACAAAATGGATAAACTTGTATTAAATAATAATCTAAAATATAAAATAAAATTGTATAAGTCCATACTGACATAAATAAATGATTGAATAAATAAATAAGAGGAATAGATAATTCTCTCATCTAGAAGAATTCCAAATAATTCATATAGCTAATCTCTACTCAAGAAGGTGCAACATACTTCTCCATTCCTTATATATGGGCTGTACATAGTGACTGCCTTCCAAAGTACAGCATGGAAGGTGGGGAGTAACTTTACAATGAAGAAATCTGACAACACTACCATAGCCCGGTGTTCAAAGATAATATTGACAGGGATAAGTCATGTTAATAGCTTGTAGGATTATTGATACATTGTGATGAGAATAGTGTTTTACTTCTGTGGATTTTGTCCCCCAAAAAATATAATTTCAGTCTAATTATGAGAGGAAAAAAGAAAGAAACTGGCATGGCATGTGAGGAGTCATCACAGTGAAATGTAGTGTGATATACTGATTGGGATTCTTGAATAGAAAAAAGACATTTGGTAAAAACTACGGAAATAAAGTATGAACTTCAGTAATAATAATATAACAATATTGGTTCATTAATTGTGACAAATTAAAACTTATATTAATGTAGGATGTTAGCAATAGGGAAACCTGTGTGGAGGGTATATAGGAACTCTCTGTACTCTCTTCCTAACTTATCTGTAAATCTAATACTATTCTAAACTTTAACAGTAAACTAAAAAATAAAAATAAAAAAGCTGAGGTAGCATATTATGAAGCCTATAGCTTCTATTTTAAATTTTAACTTTCCATATTGATGTTATTTATTGAGATTTCACTCAAATCTTAAATTTGCGAAAGGCAAGCATTCTACAGCCAAATAAAAGGTAAATGGCATAATTCATAATATTGTACGTAAATATTACATGTATGGACTGGGTGTAATCATTTAATTTATCTCTACACCTTTTAAATGCTCAACACATTAAGAGAATAGTTAAATAGCCAGAAACATAGTGACAGTTGCATGAAAAGCAGTATAAAGAGAACTTTATTGTGTGGGAGTCTAAATCTCATTGTAGGTCTCTAAGAAATTGCTTTATAAATCTGGGTGCTCCTGTATTGGGTGCATATATATTTAGGATAGTTAACTCTTCTTGTTGAATTGAGTCCTTTAGCATTATGTAATGCCCTTCTTTGTCTTTTTTGATCTTTGTTGGTTTAAAGTCTGTTTTGTCCAAAACTAGGATTGCAACCACTGCTCTTTTCTGTTTTCCATTTGCTTGATAAATTTTTCTCCATCCCTTTATTTTGAGCCTATGTGTGTCTTTGCACATGAGATTGGTCTCTTGAATACAACATACTGATGGGTCTTGGCTCTTTACCCAGCTTGCCATTCTCTGTCTTTTAATTGGAGCATTTAGCCCAGTTACATTTATGGTTAATATTGTAATATGTGAACTTGATCCTGTCATGATGCCAGCTGGTTATTTTGCAGACTTGTTTATGTAGCTGCTTCATCGTGTCACTGGTCTGGGTACTTCAGTGTGTTTTTGTAGTGGCTGGTAACAGTTTTTTCTTTCCATATTTAGTGCTTCCTGCAGGATCTGTTGCAAGGCAGGCCTGGTGGTGGTGAATTCCCTCAGCATTTGCTTGTCTGAAAAGGATCTTATTTCTCCTTCACTTATGAAGCTTAGTTTGGCTGGATATGAAATTTTGTGTTGGAAATTCTTTTCTTTAAGAATGTTGAATTTTTGACTCCAATGTCTTTTAACTTGTAGCATTTCCACTGAGAGATCTGCTGTTAGCCTGATGGGCTTCGTTTTGCAGGTGGTCTGGCCTTTTTCTCTGGCTGCCCTTAACATTTTTGTAATACAGCCATTTGACAAATGTCTAATATCCAGAGTCTACAAGAAACTCAAACAAATTTACAAGAAAAAACCAAACAACCCCATTAAGAAGTGGGCAAAGACATGAACAGACACTTCTCAAAAGAAGACATTTATGTGGCCAACAAACATATGAAAAAAAAGCCCAACAACACTGATCATTAGAGAAATGCAAATAAAAACCACAAGAGATACAATTGAAAACCAGTAAGAATGGCAATTATTAAGAAGTCAAGAAACAACAGATGCTGGTGAGGTTGTGGAGAAAAAGGAATGCTTTTACATGGTTGTTGGAAATGTAAATTAGTTCAACCATTGTGTAAGACAGTGAGGCAATTCCTCAAAGATCTGGAAGCAGAAATACCATTTGACCAGCAATCCCATTACTGGGTATATACCCAGAGGAATATAAATCATTCTATTATAAAGATATATGCTCACGTATGTTCATTGCAGTGCTATTCACAATAGCAAAGACATAGAATCGACCCAAATGCCCACCAATGATAGACTGGATAGAGAAAAGATGGTACATATACACTATGGAATTCTATGCAACCATAAAAAGGAACAAGATCAACTCCTTTGCAGGGTCATGAATGGAGCTGGAAGCCGTTATCCTCAGCAAACTAACACAGGAACAGAAAACCAAACACCTCATGTTCTCACTAATAAGTGGGAGCTGAATGATGAGAACACATTGACACATGGTGGGGAACAACACACACTGGGGCCTGTCTTGGGACAGGGGGAGGGAGAGCATCAGGAAGAATAGCTAATGGATTCTGAGCTTAATACTTAGGTGTTACCTATGTAACAAACTTGCACATCCTGCACATGTACCCCAGAACTTAAAATAAAAGTTGAAGAAAAAAACAGAACTTTATTAGTCTACTAAGAGGATACTAGCTGAAATGATTGACTGACTAGTAACTCCTCAGTTCTGAAAGCTAAGAAATAATCACATCAAGAATAAATGAAAAATTATGAGCACCAACTTGACAAATCTAGATATGCCCCAAACAATACTTTGTCAACTCTGACTTCCCAACAAATATAAACACTATTTCTGTACTCTGAAAATTCTATCAAAAAATGGAATGTCTTATCCAGACAGGGCAGTAGGACTTCTCTTCCTTTGTAGTAGCTTCTCCATTTCTGTGATGCTGTGATGATTAGATACAATTACAACGACGATTGAACATCTCTCTCTCTCTCTCTCTCTCTCTCTCTCTCTCTCCACACCTTCACCCTGCCCTGTTGCCTAGTCTTCTTACTAGAAATGTTCTCATATTTCACTACTGTGTAGAAGTAGAGCTGCCTTGTTTTTTATGGGCAAGCCACTTAATGAGAAAATAAAATTCTACAATAACAAATGCTACTCACTGGGCCACAAATCTACTTCCAAAGAAAAGCTATCATGTGGAACCAAATGGAAAAAGCAGCCCCTGAAGAAGTTTTAAAATGCATAATAGTTTTAATCTCACTTGATAATATTTATGAAGATAGTATTTATGAAGAATACTGATGAACTTCTTCCACCGAAAAAGTGTCTTTCCTTCAATTGGGATTTAAGGCTGTACAGTTTCCTGCCTTTTCCCTTGAATTAGGTTAACTTTTAACCATATTTGAATGGAAAAGAAGCATAAAATATCTTTTAAAATTCAATTTAGAAAAATTAATCCTTTCTCCCATGTGAGCTCTGTAAAGATAGCAGAATATCCAATCAGGAAGTGAATATACAAGATGATCCTGACTTTCAAGCAAAACCTTATTAAAATTGAAAAGTTACACTTACTTATGATATTATCATGTTTTTATCATGGGAACCAAATTGCAAATATATGAACTCTGTGCAAACATAACAGTTTCCCTTTACATGACTTTTACTGAGAATTTTTTATGTGTCTTATTGACCTTAAATATATTAAGATATGTATGTCCATAGATTGAATTCTTTTGAATCAGCTCAAACCAATACTTGGCAGCAATGCATATACAGATTACTCAATTTGGAATTTTTACCTTTTTAAAAATTAGCACTTTTCTTTAAATCACATCTCATTGCACTTGGAAACATCTGTGACAAACAGAGAGGAGGATGAGCTATCAAGACAGAGTGTGGTATTTTCGAACTGATGAAGCCTGCCTCTTGCAGAGTCTCAGCAAGCAGTGAGGTGGAAATTCACACAGAGAGCTAGATAAGGTGCCTGGCCTATATGCAACAACTAGACTTTCATTCTCTATTTATATTTGAAACGTCTTTTGTTTCTTCAAGATGCATGAAATAAAATTGAGGAGTACATAACAAAAAGTCAAAGGAGTTTGATAATGACTTTGGGACTGAACAGAATGGCCTATGAAGAGTCAGAGCAAAAGCATATTTTTGACATCACATTTACATGTAAAACAACACTTTGAAACTAGATTTTTTATTCTCCTTATAAAGTAGATATTGCATATCGCAATCTGTCAAAAAATAAAACTACCTATCTTATTTTTGGAAGAAATTTTCATCCTAAAGAATCATTTCATCAGTGGTGTTCATTAATGCACAGCTGCTAAGCACCTGTGCATGCATGCATTGGCCCATGAAGATAAGCAACTAGAAATTTTGGTCCCCAGGTTCTGGAGATTCTATGCATATATATATATATGCATATATATATGGAGAGAGATATATTATACATACATATTTTCATATATACATTTTATGTATGTATGTTATATACATTATGCATCTTACCATATAAACCAAAATGAGTAGTGACACTGGTGCATTTAAACTGATCATTATTCCCTAAGTGCTTACCCTTATGGAAACCAACTTTGGAGGTTAGAACATTCTTTTTGGAGTATCCTTTCAGAAAGCTGGGAGCCACATCCAAGCGCCACCATTCATTACCTAGGAAACCAGAGGAAATTCATGTAACCACTGTCCTTTATCTCCATGTCAACGACCTGAGGGATGTGTACAGCACATGGTAAAAGCTTCATAAATGTTAGTAATTATTATGCTTATATTTCCATAAGCTGAAATGCTCTTTTCTCCCTTTCCCATCTGTTTTTACCCTTTTAGTCCTTCAAGGCTCACTTCAAATACAGAAAGAATAATCACAATAGCAACAAGAAATTTCCCTTACTTCTCCAACTCTACATACACAAAACTATTTGTATATCACTGCTCTCATGGAACACCTTGTTGGGAACACCATATAGTGGTTATAAATTGGTGAGGAGTTTGGAAAATTTGGAGTAAATTAAGCCCTGGAAAGCTTTTTCATGTGAATAACTCCTAATTTTGATAGATCTGCGGATGAGCATTGGGGAAGAAAAAATTGGGGCATTGGATGCTTTGATAAAGATCCCCAGGAGTACATATAAGACCTCCTTCTCCCAGACTTCCTACAAATCTACTAATGTATTTCATTATATTAGAATACAATGTATTTCACTCTATTAGAATGCCACACAATGACTTATCAATTTCCAATTTTTACCTCTTACCACAGAGTCTAACACATTATAAGTATTCAATAGACATATGTTGACTGACTAAATGAAAAATAGCTTTTGTTCTTCTCTGTGTTAAACAGTTCTAACTTAAAGAAAATGGAAGTTATCTATTGTGGACTTCAAATTGGTTGACTAGAAGCATTTCACGCTCACCTCCTCCACTTAAAAGATCCAAAATAGTGCGTAATCATACTTCAAATACATTATCCAAGAGATAACACTGGAATTCAACTGAAAAATGACAGGAAGAAACAAAAGCAAGGGAACAAAAAAAGAGAGACAGCCTGCTTGGCTGGTATGAGCTGGAAGCCAGGAGGAACTGCCCAATGTAGGGAATGAGTAAGTGAGAGATTCCCAGCATCTCACATTCCCAGCATGGAATCATGAAATCCTGGCAACAGGAGTCCCTCAACCCTTTCAAGACCTGAAACTAACATAAGGAGGTGCCAGGAGACAATGAGATGGAACCGCTTTAGGGAGAGAGCTTGCACTTGTTCTCGCACCCTTTCTGAGTCATAGGTGGCTACAGCAAAACACCATTTTCAATCCCAGACTTTATTAGACTGCATATTGTCCTTGGGCTCAGCAGCCCTTACACTGAAGTGCTAGGAAAACTTGGGCAGTTGCTGTTGGGACTGGGCCATGACCTGGGAATAGGCTGCTGCAGCCAAGGCTGAGAAGCCAGTGAGGTGTGGGCTTCAGCTACTGGTGTTGAGAAGCAAGTGCTGCCAGGACTGAGAAGGGGACACAAGTGGGACATGAGTTACCACTGGGACTTATGGTGGGTCTCCTGTAGCTGGGCCTGAGGTGTGAGCTAGGTGTGGGCTACCACTACCAGGGCTCAGAGATGAGACCCACTGTGACTAGGGCATGAGAGGGACATGTGTTCCCCACCAGCTAGCTTAGACTGTGGCCACTGAGTTTGGGCTCACCTTCCTCAGTGGGGCTAACACTACTGCTCACCCAGCATTCTACCTGGGTACTGAGGATCACCCTCAACCCACCAACCTTGGCTAGTGGCTGTTCTCACATTTGGGAGGCTTGAGCACAAGCCTGCCAAACCCAGCTTTGCCCCCATCTCTAAGACAGAGCACATGCTTCAAGGTCCTAGAGATTGCCCAAAGCAATTCACCACCCTGGGCACCTGAGCACTCCTCTTGGGGGCCTAATGTTCAGCTTAAACTCCTGGCTCTTCCCACCTTATCTGGCACCTACCTACAAGCACCACCTGAGGGCCCAGAGACTGGCCTACCCAGCCCACTGCAGCCACTACTAACATCAGTGTACATGATTTGGGACTCAAGAATCATCCTGCTAATGCTACTGGCATTGCGTATACAAACAAGCTGTCCAGGGACCCAGTAAATTGAAAACCTGCCTGGTCCATCTCTGCAACTATCAGCATTCAAGCTAGCCACCTGGAGGCCCAAGAATTGGCCCTCCAGTAACCACTACCACAGGTGCCAGTGTATGCCACCCTAAGGCATAAGGATCAGAATGCTCAGCCCACTGCTGCCATCACTAGGGCCTGAAGACTGGCTACGTGACATCCCCATCCCCAGTATTACTTTACTACAACCTCCACTAATAACTGCACCCTAACCCACTAAGGAAATCACAGATACCTCTAATGCTGTTTACAGTCAAAGAAATCATCCAGAGACTACACTATTGCATGTATACAGAATCAAATCCAAAGTGCCCTACCCAATCAACACCACAGATATATATTTGGGAAAAAGTCATCCTCTACAAAAGTCCATTCAAAAATATGAAAAAATGGCTATTACACCAGATGCACAGATATCAACATAAGGACACAGGAAAAATGCAAAAGCAAGAACATTTGACACCTGCAAAGGAACATAATGATTTTGCAGCAATAGATTTTTAATCAAGCAGAAATTCTCAAAATCTCAGATAAAGAATTCAACATATTAATTTTAAAGAAACTCAGTGAGATACAAGATAATTCTGAAAAATAATACAAATAAATCAGGAAATCAATTCAGTATATAAATGGGAAATTTTCCAAAGAGATAGATATTTTTAAAAAGAAACAAATAGAAACTCAGAAACTGAGGAATTCAATGAAAGAAATACAAAATGCATTAGAAAGCTTCAACAATAGACCAGACCAAGCAGAAGAAAGAATCATAGAAAATGAAGACTGGTCTTTTGAAATAATTCAGTCAGACAAAAATAAAGAAAAAAAACCATAAAAAAGAATGAGCAAAGCCTCCATGATGTTTGGGACAACAAAAAGTCACCAAATATTAAATTCTTTGTATCCCTGAGGGCAAATAGAGAATTAAAGAATTAGAAAACCTATTTAACGAAATAATAGATGAATGCTTGCTAGGCCTAGCAAGAGATTTAGACATCCAGAGACAGGAGACTCAGTGATATTCAAGCAGATACAATGCAAAAGGTCTTCTTCATGGCACATTATAACTAGACTGTCTAAACTCAAAGAGCAAAGCCTAAAAGCAGCAAGAGAAAAGTTTTTAGTCACCTATAAAGGAAACCCCATCAGATTTCACAGCAGAAACCTTACAGGGCAGAAGGAAATCAGATACTACATTCAAAGTACAGAAAGAAAATCATGACAGACAAGAATATTATTCAGCAAAATTATCCTTTACAAATAAACGGAAGATAAAGTATTTCCCAGAGAAGCAAATGTTGAGAGAATTTGTTACCACTAAACTGATTCTGCAAGAAATGCTCAAAGGAGTCCTATACCTGGAAGCAAAGGATGATATTTACCATTATGAAAACACAGAAAAGTATAAAACTCCTGGTTAAGCAATCACACAAAAGAGGAAGAGAAAAGACTCAAGTGGTATCACTACAGAAATCCACCAAACCACAATGACAAATATTAAGATAAAAAGAAAGAAACAGAAAATATGTAAAACAGCTAGAAAACAATTAGCAATGTGACAAAAACAAAGCCTTATATATATCAATATTAACCTTAGACAAAATGGATTAAATTCTCTATATAAAAGATATACAAAGATTTAGTGAATTTAAAAAATTGATCTAACTATCTGCTGCTTACAAGGAGTTCACCTTATCAGAAAAACTTATATAGACTGCTAGCAAAGGCATGGAAAGATGTTCCATGAAAAGAAACCAAAAGTGAAAAGAAGTAGCTTTATTTATATTAGATAAAACAAACTTTAAGTCAAAACATTTTTAAAAAGACAAAGCATATCCTTTTTTTGAATTGATGCCTTATATGGGCCTCATTATAATGATAAAGGCACCAATCCAGGAAAAGGATAAAACAATTCTAAATATATATGCAGCCAACATTAGAGGAACCAGAATTATAAAACAAATATTACTAGATCTAAAAAGAGAGGTGCACTACAATACAATAATAGTGGGGGACTTCAACACCCCACTCCCAGCATTAAACAGAACATCTAAGCAAAAAATAAAAACACTTTAGATTTAAACTGGACTTTAGACCAATGGACCTAACTAACATTTACAGAACATTTTTTCAACAGCTACAGAATTCACATTTTTCTAATCAGTGCATGGAACATTCTTCAGGATAGACTGTATGTTAGAAGAAGCCTCAACAAATCTAAAAAAAAAAAAAACATAATATCACATCAACTATCTTTGTAGAGTGCAAAATAAAAGTAAAAATCAATACAAAGAGGAACTTTGGAAACTACAAACACATACAAATTAAACAACATTCTCCTGAATCACTATTGTGTTAATGAATAAATTAAGATGGAAGTTTTAAAAATTTCTTGAAACGAGTGAAATTGGCAACACAACATGCCAAAACCTGTGAGATACCATAAAAACAGTTTGTAGGAATAAATGCCTACATCAAAGAAGTAGAAAGATAACAATCTAACAATGATCTTGAAGGAACTAGAAAATCAAGAACAAACCAAACCCCAAATAGCAGATGAAAAGAAATAATTAAGTACGGAGCAGTACTAAATGAAACAGAATTTTTTAAAAAATGCACAGGGCCAACAAAATGAAAATTGGTTCATTATAACTTAGACAAAAAGTTGCAGATTTTGTCAAACATGTGGAGGAAAATAAAACATGTCTTATATACAGTATGTTATTGGTGTGGATATAAATTACCACAGCCATTATTGAAAACTTGTGATTTCTCTAAAAACTGAGTTACCATTTGATTTAGAAATCCCAGTACTAGGTGTCTACCCAAAGGAAAAGAAATCAGTGTATCAAAGGGATATTTGTATTCACAAGCTTATTACAGCTTTAATGACAGTAGAAAATATATGAATTCAACCCATGTCCATCAATGGATGAGTGGATAAAAAATATATATATATTCCAATGTGAAATTAAATATATATGACTTCTATATAATGAAATATATTTATGTATAAATGCATTTATAAATATATATGTATATATTTATGTAATATATACTTATAAATATGAATATGTACATCTGTTATTAAATATATGTGTATATATATCACTTACATATACATTTCATTATTTTTTATGGTCATGTACTATTGCATTGTGTATGGATTGCAGAAACATGGATAGAGGAAATCACTATGTTAAGTGAAATAAGCTAGGCACCAAAAGACAAATATAACATGTTTTCTCACTTATATGTGGGAGTGAACACATTTGATCATGTAGAGATAAGGAGTGGGAAGACAGAGACTGGGAAGGGTGAGTGGGGGATATAGGGAAGGCTTAAGAGAAGTGTGTTGAAGGGTATGAGCATACAGTTAGAAAGAAGGAGCTAATTAAATGTTTTACAGTTGAGTAGGTTGACTACAGTTAACAAAAATGTATTGTACTCAGGCGATGGAAACTAACTGACTTGTTTACTATGCACTAGATATGTGTAATAAAACTTCACATGTACCCTATAATTTTGTACAACTAAAAAAAATCAAAATAAGAAAACAAAATGGATTTGCATGAGGTAGGTAAGTGGAGCTTACCATTTTAGATTTAGGAACTGTTATCACCATCAGCCTTACTCAAAACTGAAAAGTCTTATTTATCATAAGAAAATATATAGATATATAAAGATATTGATACAGAAATAATGCTGCACATTGAAACATTCAATTTTGTGATGGCTTGTCTGAAATTTTATGAAAATGTTATCAGAAAATAAAACAGTTTAAGAATGCATACCATCATTTTCAAATTATTTTATTAGCCCAATGATTCAATATATTTTAACCCCAATATCTCCTTTGCAATGTTTTATATGTTTAAAAATTCCCATGAAGATGGCATGTAATATCTACTGGATAATTTGATAACTGGATTTTTACAGTGTGAAGAAAATATGACAAACTGCTTAATTCCAAGTTGATTCAAAAAATAGATTTTGGTTTAAATGGTGTCCACTATTTGGTTCAAGAATAACAATTAAAAGAAAGAGGAGGTGCTGGGCACGGTGGCTCACACCTGTAATCCCAGAATATTGGGAGGCCGAGGCAGGCAATCACCTGAGGTCAGGAATTCAAGACCAGGCTGACCAACACGGAGAATCCCTGTCTCTACTAAAAATACAAAAAAAAAAAAAAAATTAGCTGGGCATGGTGGCACATGCCTGTAATCCCAGCTACTCAGGAGGCTGAGGCAGGAGAATCGCTTGAACCCAGGAGGTGGAGGTTGCAGTGAGCTGAGATCATGCCATTGCACTCGAGCCTGGGGAACAAGAGTGAAACTCTGTCTCAAAAAAAAAAAAAAACAACAACAAAAAAAGGAAGAGATAAGAAATTTGAAAGATGGCAGGGAGCAGTAGGAAGGATGAGAAGGAAAGGAAAATTTGTTTTTTTTCCATCTACATTGAATCTGTTTACTTGCGGTGTGCCCAAAACATGAAACAGGTTTTCAGAAAGTGTTCAGATTTAAAATCACTAATGTAACAAGTTCAAACCAAGTGTTTTTAATAATAAAGTAAAACACTAATCTGAATTTGATCAATCCATACCAAGACAGCCATTATAACAAGATCACCAGCAGTCACATCTGTAATTATTCAAGAGAAAGCACATGTTTTGAGATTCAGGAATGTAAAACATGAACTTGTTTTGTTGAATACATTAGAGAGTAAATTTGGCTCAGGCTGAAAATTAAAGCATGTTTCTAAATGTAAGGCACACCAAGAGACTGTTGTCTGGTAGTTTAGTAATTAAATTCCTCATGGAAACACTTTCATCATCTGTACAATTAGGATACTTTCATTTGCAAGTGTTAGAAACCCAACTCCAACTTAAGAAATGGAATTTAATGACTTACGTAATTGAGAAATCCCACAGGTGATGGTGGTTTAAGGCACAGCTGTTATTAGGCACTTAAAGATATTTTTCCCCTTCCTCTCCCTTTATTTCCCTTTCCTTTCTCTCTCTTTCCTCCTTTTTTCTTTACTTCTTCCCCTCCTCCCCTCCCCTTTCCGGCTCTCCTGTCCTCTCCTCTCTGCTCCCCTGTTCTCCCTTCCCTTCCCTCCCCTCCCCTTCCCTACCTTCCCCTCCCCTCCCCTCCTCTCCCCTCCTCTCTTCTCCGCTACTCCCCTCTCCTTCTCCTCTCTCTTCTTTCAATTTGTCCATTGCTCTTTCCTTCTCAACTTTATTTTATTCCTCTGTGTCTGCTTTATTCTTAGGCAAGCACTCTCTACGTAGTGAAAAAGTTGGCCATCAGGGATATAGAACTTAATTCTAAAAGCTAACCAACCTTAATAAGAAAGAGAACTGCTTTCGATAGCCCTGGCAAAAATCTCGTGGGAAATGTTGGCTTGCATGGCTGAGCCACTTAATCATCTCCGAACCAATCAAGGAAGTCTTAAATTTGTGGTGTTCTGATTGGCCAAGGATAGGGTGCATGACCCCAAATGACGCTAGGAGAAAAGAGAATCAACTGCTTTCAAACTTTGGGTCTGTTTAGGCACAAGTAATTAGTGGTACATGATAGCAGTGCTTCTGAAACTTTTATGTGTATTGATTCCAATTAATATGCATTTGTTAAAAATGCATTTTATTATACTTTAAGTTTTAGGGTACATGTGCACAATGTGCAGGTTAGTAACATATGTATACATGTGCCATGTTGGTGTGCTGCACCCATTAACTTGTCATTTAACATTAGGTATATCTCCTAATGCTATCCTTCCCCCCTCCCCCCACCCCACAACAGTCCCCGGTGTGTGATGTTCCCCTTCCTGTGTCCATGTCTTCTCATTGTTCAATTCCCACCTATGAGTGAGAACATGTGCTGTTTGGTTTTTTGTCCTTGCAATAGTTTGCTGAGAATGATGGTTTCCAGCTTCATCCATGTCCTTACAAAGGACATGAACTCATCATTTTTTATGGCTGCATAGTATTCCATGGTGTACATGTGCCACATTTTCTTAATCCAGTCTATCATTGTTGGACATTTGGGTTGGTTCCAAGTCTTTGCTATTGTGAATAGTGCCACAATAAACATACGTGTGCATGTGTCTTTATAGCAGCATGATTTATAATCCTTTGGTTATATACCCAGTAATGGGATGGCTGGGTCAAATGGTATTTCTAGTTCTAGATCCCTGAGGAATCGCCACACTGACTTCTACAATGCTTAAACTAGTTTACAGTCCCAACAACAGTGTAAAAGAGTTCCTATTTCTCCAGCACCTGTTGATCCCTCCTATCCTCTCCAGCAGCTGTTGTTCCCTGACTTTTTAATAATCGCCATTCTAACTGGTGTGAGATGGTATCTCATTGTGGTTTTGATTTGCATTTCTCTGATGGCCAGTGATGATGAGCATTTTTTCATGTGTCTTTTGGCTGCATAAATGCCTTCTTTTCAGAAGTGTCTGTTCATATACTTTGCCCACTTTTTGATGGGGTTGTTTGTTTTTTTCTTCTAAATTTGTTGGAGTTCATTGTAGATTCTGGATATTAGCCCTTTGTCAGATGAGTAGATTGCAAAAATTTTCTCCCATTCTGTAGGTTGCCTGTTCACTCTGATGGTAGTTTCTTTTGCTGTGCAGAAGCTCTTTAGTTTAATTAGATCTCATTTGTCAATTTTGGCTTTTGTTGCCATTGCTTTTGGTGTTTTAGAAATGAAGTCCTTGCCCATGCCTATGTCCTGAATGGTATTGCCTAGGTTTTCTTCTAGGGTTTTTATGGTTTTAGGTCTAACATTTAAGTCTTTAATCCATCTTGAATTAATTTTTGTATAGGGTGTAAGGAAGGGATCAGTTTCAGCTTTCTACATATGGCTAGCCAGTTTTCCCAGCACCATTTATTAAATAGGGAATCGTTTCCCCATTTCTTCTTTTTGTCAGGTTTGTCAAAGATCAGATGGTTGTAGATACGCAGCATTATTTCCGAGGGCTCTGTTCTGTTCCATTGGTCTCTATCTCTGTTTTGGTACCAGTACCATGCTGTTTTGGTTACTGTAGCCTTGTAGTATAGTTTGAAGTCAGGTAGTGTGATGCTTCCAACTTTGTTCATTAGGCTTAGGATTGACTTGGCAATGTGGGCTCTTTTTTGGTTCCATATGAACTTTAAAGTAGTTTTTTCCAATTCAGTGAAGAAAGTCATCGGTAGCTGGATGGGGATGGCATTGAATCTATGAATTACCTTGGGCAGTATGGCCATTTTCACGATATTGATTCTTCCTACCCAAGAGCATGGAATGTTCTTCTATTTGTTTGTATCCTCTTTTATTTCATTGGGCAGTGGTTTGTAGTTCTCCCTGAGGAGGTCCTTCACCTCCCTTGTAAGTTGGATTCCTAAGTATTTTATTCCTTTCGAAGCAATTGTGAATGGGAATTCACTCATGATTTGGCTCTCTGTTTGTCTGTTATTGGTGTATAAGAATGCTTGTGATTTTTGTACATTGATTTTGTATCCTGAGACTTTGCTGAAGTTGCCTATCAGCTTAAGGAGATTTTGGGCTGAGACAATGGGGTTTTCTAAGTATACAGTCATGTCATCTGCAAACAGGGAAAATTTGACTTCCTCTTTTCCTAATTGAATACCCTTTATTTCCTTCTCCTGCCTGATTGCCCTGGCCAGAACTTCCAACACTATGTTGAATAGGAGAGGTGAGAGAGGGCATCCCTGTCTTGTGCCAGTGTTCAAAGGGAATGCTTCCAGTTTTTGCCCATTCAGTATGATATTGGCTGTGGGTTTTCATAAATAGCTCTTATGATTTTGAGATACGTCCCATCAATACCTAATTTATTGAGAGTTTTTAGCATGAAGGTTGTTGAATTTTGTCAAAGGCCTTTTCTCCATCTGTTTAGATAATCATGTGGTTTTTGTCATTGGTTCTGTTTATATGCTGGATTACGTTAATTTTTTTGCACATGTTGAACCAGACTTGCATCCCAGGGATGAAGCCCACTTGATCATGGTGGATAAGCTTTTTGATGTGCTGCTGGATTCGGTTTGCCAGTATTTTATTGAGGATTTTTGCATCAATGTTCATCAGGGATATTGGTCTAAAATTCTCTTTTTTGGTTGTGTCTCTGCCAGGCTTTGGTATCAGGATGATGCTGGCCTCATGAAATGAGTTAGGGAGGATTCCCTCTTTTTCTGTTGATTGGAAAAATTTCACAAGGAATGGTACCAGTTCCTCCTTGTACGTCTGGTAGAATTTGGCTGTGAATCCATCTGGTCCTGGACTTTTGTTGGTTGGTAAGCTATTAATTATTGCCTAACTTTCAGAGCCTGTTACTGGTCTATTCAGAGATTCAACTTCTTCCTGGTTTAGTCTTGGGCGGGTGTATGTGTCGAAGAGTTTATCCGTTTCTTCTAGATTTTCTAGTTTATTTGCATAGAGGTGTTTATGGTATTCTCTGATGGCAGTTTGTATTTCTGTGGGATCGGTGGTGATATCCCCTTTATCATTTTTCATTGTGTCTATTTGATTCTTCTCTTTTCTTCTTTATTAGTCTTGCTAGTGGTCTATCAATTTTGTTTATCTTTTCAAAATCCATCTCCTGGATTCATTGATTTTTTGAAGGGTTTTTTGTGTCTCTATTTCCTTCAGCTCTTCTCTGATCTTAGTAATTTCTTGCCTTCCGCTAGCTTTTGAATGTGTTTGCTCTTGCTTCTCTAGTTCTTTTAATTGTGATGTTAGGGTGTCAATGTTAGATCTTTCCTGCTTTCTCTTGTGGGCATTTAGTGCTATAAATTGCCCTCTACACACTGCTTTAAATGTGTTCCAGAGATTCTGGTGTGTTGTGTCTGTGTTCTCGTTGGTTTCAAAGAACATTTGTATTTCTGCCTTCATTTCATTATGTACAAAGTAGTCATTCAGGAGCAGGTTGTTCAGTTTCCACATAGTTGAGCAGTTTTGAGTGAGTTTCTTAATCCTGAGTTCTAGTTTGATTGCACTGTGGTCTGAGAGACAGTTTGTTATAATTTCTGTTCTGTTCCATTTGCTGAGGAGTGCTTTACTTCCAGCTATGTGGTCAATTTTGGAACAGGTGTGGTGTGGTGCTGAAAAGAATGTATATTCTGTTGATTTGGGGTGGAGAGTTCTGTAGATGTCTATTAGGTCTGCTTGGTGCAGAGCTGAGTTCAATTCCTGGATATCCTTGTTAACTTTCTGTCTCGCTGATCTGTCTAATGTTGACAGTGGGGTGTTAAAGTCTCCCATTATTAATGTGTGGGAGTCTAAGTCTCTTTGTAGGTCTCTAAGGACTTGCTTTCTGAATCTGGGTGCTCCCATATTGGATGCATATATATTTAGGATAGTTAGCTCTTCTTGTTGAATTGTTCCCTTTACCCTTATGTAATGGCCTTCTTTGTCTCTTTTCATCTTTGTTGGTTTAAAGTCTGTTTTATCAGAGACTAGGGTTGCAACCCCTGCCTTTTTTTGTTTTCCATTTGCTTGGTAGATCTTCCTCCATCCCTTTGTTTTGAGCCTATGTGTGTCTCTGCACTTGAGATGGGTTTCCTGAGTACAGCACACTGATTGGTCTTGACTCTTTATCCAATTTGCCAGCCTGTGTCTTTTAATTGGAGCATTTAGCCCATTTACATTTAAGGTTAATATTGTTATGTGTGAATTTGATCCTGTCATTATGATGTTAGCTGGTTATTTTGCTTGTTAGTTGATGCAGTTTCTTCCTAGCCTTGACGGTCTTTACAATTTGGCATGTTTTTGCAGTGTCTGGTACCGGTTTTTCCTTTCCATGTTTAGTGCTTCCTTCAGGAGCTCTTTTAGGGAAGGCCTGGTGGTGACAGAATCTCTCAGCATTTGCTTGTCTGTAAAGGATTTTATTTCTCCTTCACTTGTGAAGCTTAGCTTGGCTGGATATGAAATTCTGGGTTGAAAATTCTTTTCTTTAAGAATGTTGAATGTTGGCCCCCACTCTCTTCTGGCTTGTAGAGTTTCTGCCAAGAGATCAGCTGTTAGTCTGATGGGCTTCCCTTCATGGGTAACCCGACCTTTCTCTCTGGCTGCCCTTAACATTTTTGCCTTCATTTCAACTTTGGTGAATCTGACAATTATGTCTCTTGGAGTTGCTCTTCTCAAGGAGTATCTTTGTGGCACTCTCTGTATTTCCTGAATTTGAATGTTGCCCTGCCTTGCCAGGTTGGGGAAGTTCTCCTGGATAATATCCTGAAGAGTGTTTTCCAACTTGGTTCCATTCTCCCCATCACTTTCAGGTACACCAATCAGACATAGATTTTGTCTTTTCACATAGTCCCATATTTCTTGGAGGCTTTGTTCGTTTCTTTTTATTCTTTTTTCTCTAAACTTCTCTTCTCGCTTCATTTCATTCATTTGATCTTCCATCACTGATACCCTTTCTTCCAGTTGATCAAATCGGCTACTGAGGCTTGTGCATTCGTCATGTAGTTCTCGTGCTGTGGTTTTCTGCTCCATCAGGTCCTTTAAGGACTTCTCTGCATCGGTTATTCTAGTTAGCCATTCGTCTAAATTTTTTTCAAGGTTTTTAACTTCTTTGCCATGGGTTCAAACTTCCTCCTTTAGCTCAGAGTAGTTTGATCATCTGAAGCCTTCTTCTCTCAACTCGTCAAAGTCATTCTCCATCCAGCTTTGCTGGTGAGGAGCTGCGTTCCTTTGGAGGAGGAGAGGTGCTCTGATTTTTAGAGTTTCCAGTTTTTCTGCTCTGTTTTTTCCCCATCTTTGTCGTTTTATCTACTTTTGGTCTTTGATGATGGTGACGTACAGATGGGGTTTTGGTGTGGATGTCCTTTCTGTTTGTTAGTTTTCTTCTAACAGTCAGGACCCTCAGCTACAGGTCTGTTGGAGTTTGCTGGAGGTCCACTCCAGACCCTGTTTGCCTTTGCCTGGGTATCAGCAGTGGAGGCTACAGAACAGCAGATATTGGTGAACAGCAAATGTTGCTGCCTGATCATTTCTCTGGAAGTCTTGTCTCAGAGGAGTACCCAGCCATGTGAGGTGTTAGTCTGCCCCTACTGGGGGGTGCCTCCCAGTTAGGCTACTTGGGGTTCAGGGACCCACTTGAGGAGGCAGTCTGTCCTTTGTCAGATCTCCAGCTGTGTGCTGGGAGAACCACTACTCTCTTCAAAGCTGTCAGACAGGGACATTTAAGTCTGCAGAGGATTCTGCTGCCTTTTGTTTGGTTATGCCCTGCCCCTAGAGGTGGAGTCTACAGAGGCAGACAGGCCTCTTTGAGCTGCGGTGGGCTCCACCCAGTTTGAGCTTCCCGGCCACTTTATTTACCTACTCAAGCCTCATCAATGGCGGGCGCCCCTCCCTCAGCCTTGCTGCCACCTTGCAGTTTGATCTCAGACTTCTGTGCTAGCAATGAGCGACGCTCCCTGGGTGTAGGACCCTCTGAGCCAGGCGCGGGATATAATCTCCTGGTGTGCCGTTTGCTAAGACCATTGGAAAAGCGCAGTATTAGGGTGGGAGTGACCTGATTTTCCAGTTGCCGTCTGTCACCCCTTTCTTTGACTAGGAAAGGGAATTCCCTGACCCCTTGCGCTTCCCTCACCCTGCTTTGGTGCATGCTGGTTGCACTGCGCCCCCTGTCCTGCACCCACTTTCCGACACTCCTCAGTGAGATGAACCCGGTACCTCAGTTGGAAATGCAGAAATCACCCGTCTTCTGCGTCGCTCATGCTGGGAGCTGTAGACTGGAGCTGTTCCTCTAAAAATGCATTTTTATATGCGTTTTTACATGCATTTATATGCATATAAAAATGCATTTTTAACAAATGCATATTAATTCAGTAAGTGAGATGTGAGACCAGAAATTCTAACCTTCAAGAAACTCTCAGGTGATTTTATGCTGCTGGTTTGGGAGGCATAGTTTGAAAACCATGGCTAGTTGGTAAAAGGATACGAGACAGCCAAAAGCAACAGAAGAGAGATAGAAATTAAACTATCCAAATAGGTTTAGATGAATTTCATAATTATAATTTCAGACACATATACTTGATAAAAATTTAAATTTTGAATTAGAACAGAAGCAGCCCTTCATGATTCCACATATACCAAAGGAAATCTTAAAAAGAGTTACATAAAGAATGAATAGCATGACTTAAGTCTGGGTTTGCACAGAGGACTATGTTATTTATATAAATACAATAGATTATGAAATACCCTATGCTAAACTACATGGTAAATTCTGCCATGGTTGCAAATATATTTTCATGTTAAAAATATAGCTTTCATTTACATATATTTTTACATATTATTCAATAATATGTATACTATATAGCTCAATTTCTGCTGAAATAATTCCACACCACAGTATACAAATACAGAAAAAAACTTTCTAGGTCACAACTGACTATCCTATTATTTTAAATCAAAGCTCATGAAAGTATTCTTGTACACAATAAAATTTAAATAGCCTACTACCAATGACTGAGAATTAGTAAGCAGAAGGGGTGCCAAGGTCTGGGTCTATGGATGTCAGAGAGGCACCCCTGTGACTATTTTGCCTACATTTCACATCTCCCGGGTTGCTTGCTAGTCAAATGAACCCAGTAAGTAGATGAGCACATGATCAGATACAATGAATTTTTCAGTCATTGTCAAAACGGTCAAAGAACTACAAAAAAAAAACAAAAAAAACCTATGTTGTAAGTGAAATCTTAAGTCCATGTTATTTTTTTTCTGATTTCAAACTACCTGAAAATTCAACTAGTGTTGAAATGCAATTGTTATGGTCTACATTCAGCTTACTACATTTGTAAGAAAGAAATCACAAGTAAATGCGTCAATGTAAGGAATTTGTTTTTAGGAATATGTAGAATATGACCTATTAGGGACTGGGATAATTCAACCAATTCAATTAATATTTTGTCTGGATTATTAAACTGATTTGATGCTATATAAATAAACATATTTACATTTCAAGTACATATTTTTATGTGAGAAATGAATGTAAGACAAAGTGGAGACATGCTTAAAGAAGCATTAATATTCAGAAAACTTGTAGGAAATAATGAACAATTACTTCCTCTGGAGAATGAACCTGGGTGATGGAGGGCTAGTAGGAAGAATTAATGTTTTTGTGGGTGTTTTTTGCATCTTACTATTAGTGTACATTAATTTATTTGAAATTTTAACGAACTCTAGTACCTTGTCCATCAATTAATTTAATCAGTATTTTTAAGAGCTAACATTATGAAGAAGAAACTTTGCAGGAGGCAGAAGTGATGGTGAATGACACTGACTTGAGCCCCATCTCATGCAGTTTACAGCATATCTGGGCAAGCAGACATTAGACACATGTTTATAAGTTCAATAGCTAGCACAAATGGGAAGTATAAGTGTGGCCAGTTGGAGTTATTCTCAAGAGTAAGGTGACATATCTTAGTTTTCAAAAATTGAATTGTGTCTTATGTCATTTTCTTATATACATTGCTCTAAATTCTTTTCTAAAATTATTTTTTGAAATTTTGCTGTGTTTACAGGAAACCTCACCTATAATGAGCATATTTATTGAACCTCATTTCTATCTTCTCAAACTGGTTTATCCTAAAAATTGAATTTCCTTGAATAACCTTGAATCTGAATTACCATATATGAGCAATAATAAGGCACCTTCTAAGACACAACCCCTTAAGTGTTTCAGTCATTTTTATGGTCAGTTCAAGCCTCAGCACCAAAAATTTAATTGTATATGCAGCAAGCAGTCATTGTTACAATGTGCCTAAGAATGCTTACTGTGATGATTTCTTTTAGGTGTCAACTTGACAGAATTAAGGAACACGTAGAAGCTTGGGAAAGTATTGTTTTTGGGTGTGTCTTTAAGGTTGTTTCCAAAGATTAGCATGTGAGTCTAAGAGGACTAGGTGAGGAAGATTTGTCCTCAGTGTGGCTTCTTACTCTTACTTCTTACTTCTTTATTTAGTCACTTATCTTCTCAGCTGTAGAACTGGTAATATGTGCTCATAATATGTACTGTAAAGGATTATTTGAAGATCCAGTGGGATCACATTATATAAAGCACTTTCTGGTATCTGACTTCAAATGACAGAAATTGTTACTATTGTACTAGCTTACAAATGCAATGGGTGGGCACCATCCAATCTTCTGGGAGTTCAGAGAAAACAAAAACAGGAAAAGGCTAATGTGTCCATCCAGCTGCAACTGTGTAACGTTCTTCCTCTCCTGTTCTTGGATGAAAACTCCAGTTTCATGGCCTCTGGACTCCAGGACTTAAAGCAGCAGCCTCCTGAGTTCTCAGGCCTTTGGTCTCAGACTGAGATTTACATCATTCACTTCCCTGGTTCTTAGACCTGGGAGCTTGGACTGAGCCATGCTACCAGCATCCCAGGGCCTTCAGCTTGCAGATGGCCGTCTCAAGATTTCTCAGTCTCCATAATGACGTGAGCCAATCCCCCTGATAAATTTCCTGTCACCTATCTGTCTATCTGTCCATCTATCTACCCATCTATCTATCTATCTTTCTGTCTATCTCCTATTGACTCTCTCTGGAGAATCCTAATACACTCTCTAATAATATCATATACTAGATTAACCATATGTTCTGTTCTGAAACACATTAAAATAAAGTACAAACATGGAGAAAGGGAATGGCCTCGGATAAGACATTCTTCAACATTAATACCAACTCTGTCTCTTATTTACTCAGTTACTTATTTTCTCCACTGTAAAATTGGTAAATACGTGCTGATAATAAGTGCTGCAAAGGATTATTTGAAGATCCAGTGGGATAACATTATATAAAGCACCTTCTGGTAGCTGACTTCAAATGACAGAAACCACTACTATTGTGCTAGATTACATATGGCAATGGCTACCTGAAATCTTTTTTTCAATTCTCTTGTGCATTTGACACTCCTCATGTTTTTGATAGGTTTTATTAAATAACAAGAAGATAGGTGAACAAAATTACTTTCAAAAAATTTACTACTACTATTAGTCCCTACAGCCAATGGTACTCTAATTCATCATAGCCTAAAATACAGACTCAGAAGAAGCCACAGAGTAAACCCATGGTATTCCGCCACCACAGTTTCAGTCATCCTTCATCTTGCTAGAATGTCAGCTTGTGTTAGTCTGCTCGCATAACCATAAAGAAATATCTGAGGCTGAGTAACTTACAAAGACAAGCGGATTATTTGGCTTACGGTTCTGCAGGGTGTACAAGAAGCATGGCACCAACATCTGCTTCTGGTAAGGGCCTCAGGAAGCTATAAGTCACGGCAGAAGGGAAAGGGGGAGCAGGTGTGTCACATGGTGAAGCAGTGAGCAAGAGAGGATGGGTGTTATGCTCTTTTAAACAACCAGCCCTCCTGTAAACTCATATAGTGAGAACTTACTCATTACCTCAAGGAAGGGAGCAAGCTATTCATGAAGGATCCACTTCCCACTAGGCCCCACCAGGCCCCACCTCCAACATTGCGAATAAAATTTCAACATGAGATTTGAAGAAGACAAATATCTAAAGTGTATCACAGCTTGATTAAGAAATAGCACAAGACTGCAAGATCTGAGTTTTAGTTTTTATTTGTCCATAGCTTGCATAATCATGTGTAAGAACTTGACTGCCATAACTTTTGGCTTATCCGTGTGTAAAATGTAATGGACCTATGTTGGCATTAATAACTGCATGTTTTGGGGACTAAATTATGTTTTTCTTCTCCATATATACTCAATTCATTTCCTTTTGGTTCCCTGAATGTGTACATTATCTTATTGTTCTGAGAAAAAGCTGCTAATTAGAAAGGATATTTTTTAGCATTGTTATTTTTTAGAGAAGGGTACATTATGTAAACAAGTTTGGTGACACATATTTACTTTATAGGCCTCACATCATACTTACAACAGGTAGGGTTACATAAAAGTAGTATTATATATTATAATATCTTGTGCAGATGGCTCCCTAGTGACTACACTGATCTTATCTAGTGTAAGTTCGTGTAACTCTACAGTACTTATAGCAGAATGAATCAGTGTTTCCATGTGGCTACAGAATGTTTTTCAGGCTCATTTATAATATTTAGTAACAATAAAATGAATGCATTATTAATACAGATAGGCCTTTAAATGGACTTGGAGAATAATTGCTAAGAGTGCGGAATGAGGTGGGGAAAATTAGCTGCCCACCAAAAATGTATGACCTCCTTCAGTAGTTGGGAATTTATTTTTAAGAAGTGACTGCCCAGTAATGGACTACACTTGCCCATCATTCTTGCATCTCAGTGGGGTCTCATGACTAATTCGTATCTGTAAAACATGGGACAAATTTATGTGGGTCACTTTTCTGCCAAGGTGGCTTGAAGTAGGAATACTTTTATATTTTTTTTCTCTCTTTACCCACTGACTCTCCATCCAGGGCAACTTGCTGTCTCTCTCCACCAGCTGAATAATCACCCAGGAAGATATGTGTTGGCAATGGCACAACCCTCATCATCCTGGTTCCCTAAATGACTGTGAAGTAGAACCCTATACTTCAACAGCCAAGAGCATCTGCATAGGACTATACATCAATGAAAAAATAAACATTCATTGTCTTAGGGTACTGAGTTTCAGTTTTTATTTGCCCATAGCTTGTATAATCATGGACAAGAACTTGACTGCCCTAGCTTATTTGGGAGCTGGTTTGTTAAAACAGCAAGCATTACCCTACCTAACATAGAAGAGATACATCTGACTCAAGGAGCTAGAGAAGGGAGAGACTATTTCACAAATCAGAGAATAATCTAAGTGTGTAAAGAATACGGGAAACTTGAGCTTTGGCCTTAAAACAGTTAAATCAAGCTGGGTACAGTGGATCATGCCTGTAATTCCAACCATTTGGAAGGCTGATGTGGGAGGATTGCTTGAGCCCAGGAGTTCAAAGCCAGCCTGGGCAACATAGGGAGACCCTGTTTCTATGAAAAAAGAAAAATTTAGCCTGATATTTTGGCGCATGCCTGTGGTCCCAGCTACTGGGTAGGTTGAATCACTTGAGTGCAGGAGTTTGAGGCTGCAGTGAGCCATGATTGTGCCACTGCCCTCCAGACTGGGTGGCACAGCGAGACCTTGTCTTAAAAAGTAAATAAATAAATAATAAAACATTACATATCAACTCATACAAGCAAACCCAAAATGAACCAGTTGTCTTGGGTATAAATTTTTAAAAATGAGAGTTACTAAGGAATTTCCCTAAATATTTATTTCCTAAAGCTAAATATATTGATGTATATTAAGCATTAACTTTAAATATTAGTATTCCCCTTAAAAATCATAGTGATAATTTGCTGCTAGCAAAATAATACTTTTTTTTCTTTTTACTGAAGAGAGAAAGAGAGAGAGAAAGAGGAGTCTTGCTGTATTGCCCAGGCTGGTCTCAAATTCCTGGGTTCAAGCGATTGGCCCATGTCGGCCTCCCAAAGTGCTGGGATTACAGGTGTGAGCCACCATGCTTGACCAGTAAAATAATGTTTACATGATGATATAATACATTTGTTCTTATAGCTATAAACCTAAAAAGTGTGCTGGCTGTTAGTAGTATCATTTTCTAACATATCTAGAATTATGCTAAGAAATGCTTAAGATAAATAACTATTTCACTTTTCACTAAAAGGGAGTCAACATTTATTCCCTGGTTTCAGAGGAACTACTACCTTTCAATACAATAGCTCTTATAAAGAATTATTTTTCTATCACCAAATTATATTCATGCTGTTAACTTATGTTTTATGGGAGAAATATTCATCCCCCAGCACAGAAAGAATGTGGGATAGATTGACTCTTCAGAGGAAGATGGGTCTCATTAGTAGGTTAGTTAACCCCAAATGTTCAAAAAGCATGTGATACAGAGTAAGACAGCAAATACACAGTCACACAAGGTTTATGCTTGTGTGGCAGTTTGACCAGATTTTCTTTTCTTGATCTCTTTGTTTTGCCCCTCCACCATTTTCCCATACCACTATTTGACAGGAATAAAAAAAAAAAGGATAAGTATGTCAGTAAGTACATTTTGTTACTTCTTAAACTTGAGAAAGATCAGAAAAGAGACAGAATTTTTTTTTATCAGAATGCAGAAAAAGAGTCTATGAAGGCTCTGAGATTTTTATCTTCTTTGTAAGCTAACAAGCCAGCCTGTCACAGTTTCATAAATGCCTGCAGAAAATACAAGATGCTTGGGTCAGGAGCAAAGAAGCTTATTAGACATTAACAGTAGCCACATTATCAGCATTTATCATTCTTCTTCCTCAGTCCTAATTTCCACAGAGATATGAAGAGGATAAGATACCACTGGCACATACAATGGACTGCGTTACAGGAGAGGAACCCTGAGCTTAGGGAACCTGAATCTTTTCTGATGAATGGCTAGCATGCCAACATTTTGCTGTGGAGGGTAGCACTGTCTCTATCTCCCAAGGCTACAAGCAAGCCTCTCTTGGTTCTGGACAAAAACACCATTTCTGTCTTCCAAGGCTATTTACCATACAGACATCCTTGAAATGAAAATAGTTCAAAATAAAAGAGGACAAACAGGGTCTCACTCACAAGATGTGCAGAAATGCAAAAAGACACATGGGAGCGAAAGTTATTTCTCTTTGTCTTTCTTTTGGTGTATGTGTTCGTATGTGCATATTTTATTATATATTATCAATTGTGCATGTTTATATTTATATGTAACTATATATTTATATTTTAATATATTAGGTATATTTATAATTTATATTTAATATATTAATATATGCTTATATCCTATTTTATATTTATTATGTATTTATGTTCTACATTAAATATATATTTAAGGTAAATATTTGGTTGGTAAATAGCTAATTCATTCAACAAAAAAGTAAGTACTCATTAATTCCTATTAAAAATAGTCTCACTGTGCCTTAGCTCCCTCACTTCTCATACTAAGACAATAAGAGTATTCACTAATTGAATTAATATGAAGTTTAAATGAGACAGTGCAGGTAAAGCACAACAAATTGTAGTTGGTTTACATGTCAGTCCAAAACATGTTAGTACATTATTCTATTATTATGCTAATGTTTATATTTTATTATGTAACTACTTATTTTACTAGACAATTATTAATAGTTCATTTATAATTACTATCACACATGTCTACTTAGATAGATACATATAAATTGCCTTGTTACATATAAAATACTTTTTGCATTACAAATATATTATACCTACAATTCAATTCATCTTCTAAAGAACTTAACTAGAATGCTCTTCTTCAGAATGTAGAAAGGTCTGTTTATTTTATTACTATTAATTGAAGTAAACTAAAGTTGAAGTGTGGAATCAAGTTAAAACAAAAGAAAGATACTAGCATGGGATAATTCCCTCCTATTTTGTTGATAGAATACTTTTAATAAACTGAGATCCACCAAAGTATGGAAAAGGAAACAGATGCACGATATGGAAAAGAAAGGACTTTTATTAAAGGCAATATGATTTTTCCTTCAAAGAGTATTCATGTAGAGCCTGTTCAAAGGGAGTAAAATCCATTTCCCTGCAAAAGAATACATCAGAGGATGGATCCTTTTTTATATATACTTGCATTTACCAAGAATTTCCTTTCTAATAGGAGGACTAAGTCCTGCTGCCAAACATATGCTGCTATAAGTGGCATTTTGCCAGTTTCTCAGTGGCTTTGATCATCTTTCATTTCTCAAGGAATGAAAACTTAGTGGGAAGGGGAAGCTCAGGTAATAGTGAAATTAGTACTATTAGTACTATGTGTATAGGGTTGGGGTTGTGGGTGGGAGTAATTTACACATGGAGACAGCAGGACAGTAAAACCTATAGAATTTATTCTTTCTTTAAAAATTGACGTGGGTTTTCCTGGGCAAGACAGCCGAATAGGAACAGCTCCTATCTGCAGCTCCCAGCAAGACCAATGCAGAAGGCGGGTGATTTCTTCATTTCCAACTGAGGTACCTGGTTCATCTCACTGGGACTGGTTAGACAGTGGGTGCAGCCCACAGAGGGCAAGCAGAAGTAGGGTGGGGCTTCACCTCACCTGAGAAGCACAAGGGGTCAGGGAACTCCCTTCCCTAGCCAAGGGAAGCCATGAGGGACCATGCCGTGAGGGACGGTGCCATCTAGCCCAGATACTATACTTTTCCCATGGCCTTTGCAACCCACAGACCAGGAGATTCCCTCGGGTGCCTATACCACAAGGGCCCTGGGTTTCAAGCACAAAACTGGGCACCCATTTGGGCAGACACCGAGGTAGCTGCAGGAGTTTTTTTTCAAACCCCAGTGGCACCTGGAACACTAGCAAGATAGAACTGTTCACTCCCCTGGAAAGGGGGCTAAAGCCAGGGAGCCGAGTGGTCTTGCTCAGCCTCACAGTGTAAACAAAGCTGCTGGGAAGTTCAGCCTGGGTAGAGCTCACTGCAGCACCACACAGCCACTGTAGCCAGACTGCCTCTCTAGATTCCTCCTCTCTGGGCAGGACATCTTTGAAAGAAAGGCAGCAGCCCCAGTCAGGGGCTTATAGATAAAACTGCCATCTCCCTGGGACAGAGCACCTGGGTGAAGGGGCAGCTGTGGGTGCAACTTCAGTAGACTTAAAACGTTTCTGCCTGCCAGCTCTGAAGAGAGCAGCAGATCTCCCAGCACAGCACTTGAGCTCTGCTAAAGGACAGACTGCCTCCTCAAGTGGGTCCCTGACCCCCATACCTCCTGACTGGGAGACACCTCCCAGCAGGGGTCAACAGACACCTCATACAGGAGAGCTCCAGATGGCATCCGGCAGGTGCCCCTCTAGGACAAAGTTTCCAAAGGAAGGAGCAGGCAGTAATCTTTGTTGTTCTGCAGCCTCTGCTGGTAATACCAAGGCAAAAAGGGTCTGGAGTGGACCCCCAGCAAACTCCAGCCGACCTGAAGAAGAGAGTCCTGACTGTTAGAAGGAAAACTAAAAAACCAAAAGCAATAGCATCAACATCAACAAAAAGGACATCCACAGAGAAACCCCATCCGAAGGTCACCAACATCAAAGACCAAAGGTAGATAAATCCATGAAGATGAAGAAAAACCAGTGCAAAAATGCTGAAAATTCCAAAAAACAGAATGCCTTTTCTCCTCTCAAGGATCACAACTCCTCACCAGCAAGGGAACAAAACTAGACAGAGAATGAGTTTGATGGATTGACAGAAGTAGGCTTAGAAAGTGGGTAATAATAAACTTCTCTGAGCTAAAGGAGCACGTTCTAACTCAATTCAAGGAAGCTAAGAACTTTGAAAAAAGGTTACAGGAATTGCTAACTAGACCCAATGCAAGGAAGCTAAGAACCTTGAAAAAAGGTTAGAGGAATTGCTAACTAGAATAACCATTTTAGAGAAGAACATAAATGACCCGATGGAGCTGAAATATGCAGCACAAGAACTTCGTGAAGCATACAAAAGTATCAATAGCCAAACTCATGAAGTGGAAGAAAGGATATCAGAAATTGAAGATCAACTTAATGAAATAAAGCGTGAGGACAAGATTAGAGAAAAAAGAATGAAAAGGAACAAACAAAGCCTCCAAGAAATATCAAACTATGTGAAAAGACCAAACCTACATTTGATTGATGTACCTGAAAGTCACGGGGAGAATGGAAGGAAGTTGGAAAACACACTTCAGGATATTATGCAGGAGAACTTCCCCAAACTAGCAAGACAGGCCAACATTTAAATTCAGGAAATACAGAGAGCACCATAAGGGTACTCCTTGAGAAGAGCAACCCTAAGACACACATAATCGTCAGATTCACCAACGTTAAAATGAAGGAAAAAAATGCTAAGGGCAGCCAGAGAGAAAGGTGGGGTTACCCACAAAGGGAAGCCCATCAGACTAACAGCAGATCTCTCGGCGGAAACTCTACAAACCAGAATAGAGTAGGGACGAATATTCAACATTCTTAAAGAAAAGAATTTTCAACCCAGAATTTCATATCCAGCCAAACTAAGCTTCATAATTGAAGGAAAAATATGATCCTTTACAGACAAGCAAATGCTGAGGGATTTGGTAACACCAAGCCTGCCTTAGAAGAGCTCCTGAAGGAAGCACTAAATATGGAAAGGAAAAACTGGTACCAGGCACTGCAAAAACAAAACAAAACAAAATGTAAAGACCATTGAAACATTGTGAAATGGTTCTCTTTTCGCCACACCTTCAGCAACACCTATTGTGTCTTGTCTTTTTGATGGTAGCCATTCTAACAGGTGTGAGATGATAATTTATTGAGATTTTGATGTGAATTTTTCTGATGATTAGTGATTAGCGCATTTTCATATATCTATTGGCCATTTTTATGCCTTCTTTGTGAAATGTCTACTCATGTCATTTGCCCATTTTTTAATCAGGTTATTGTTATTATTAATTATTATTATTCATTGCTATTAAGCTGTATGAGGTTTTTATATATTTTGGATATTAACCCCTTATCAGATATATAGCTCACAAATATTTTCTTCCAATCCATAGGCTGCTTTTTAATTTTGTTAACTGTTTTCATTGCCGTGCAGAAGCTCCTTAGTTTGATGTAGTCTCAATTGTTTATTTTGCTTTTGTTGCCAAGATTTAGTTGTGACATTCAAAAACTAATTCCTAAGTACAATTTCCAGGAGCTTTTCCCATATTTTCTTCCTGGAGTTTTGTGGTATTAGGTTTTATATTTAGGTTTTTAATCCATTTTGAGTTGAATTTGTGTGTGGTGTAAAGTAAGTGTATTTATTTGTTTGTTTGCATGTGGATATCTAGCTTTCTTAACACCATCTATTGGAGAAACTATTCTTTCCTCATTGTGTCTTCTTGGTATGCTTGTCAAAAATTAGTTGATTGTATATATTTGGGTTTGTTTCTGAATTCTTTTTAATGACTTTTAAAGTACACATCACAGATATACTAGTGTATTTTTCTATTACCTTTCAGAAGTATTATTTTTCTTGGAATGAAGTCCTGTGTCTCCCAATTGTTCTACTAACTCATCATTTAAATATATAAAACCTTTTGTAGAATGACACTTATTTGTACAATTGAACACATTGAAATATGCAAAAAAATATAGTTAACTGTTCACTCCCATGTTTAATTCATGG
Source organism: Homo sapiens (assembly GCF_000001405.40). NCBI lineage: Eukaryota > Metazoa > Chordata > Mammalia > Primates > Hominidae > Homo > Homo sapiens. The sequence continues at coordinate 78,008,574 of NC_000006.12, forward strand.
CTTAGTCTAAATGGCTCAAGAAAATGATTACTCTTTCATGATACAGGAAAAAGAAAATCCTGTAACAGACATTAACTGTTGGGATTATAGTGCACATCCACATTATTTTAGTCCTTGTAGTATGTCATCAGTAGAAAAAAAAAACTGTTAGAGGGTACCAAAAGAATGCTGGAAGCAAAAAGTGAGTCTCCCCACCCCCACCCCACCAATTCCTATTCAAAATGCCCACATGAAGCAGCTGGAGATAATCTTAAAAATGGCATATCCCACCCGGGTGTGGTGGCTCACGCCTGTAATCCCAGCACTTTGGGAGGCTGAGGGTGGTGGATCACGAGGTCAAGAGATTCAGACCATCCTGGCCAACATGGTAAAACCCCATCTCTACTAAAAATACAAAAATTAGCTGGGCATAGTGGTGCGTGACTTTAGTCCCAGCTAATTGGGAGGCTGAGGCAGGAGAATCACTTGAACTCGGGAGGCGGAGGTTGCAGTGAGCCGAGATCACACCACTGTACTCCAGCCTGGCAACAGAGCGAGACTCCATCTCAAAAAAAAAAAAAAAAAAGGCATATTCCTATACATAATATAAATTGAAGCAGTGATAAATTGTCTGTATGGTAATTTATTTTAACATTGTTACTTCGGTGTATAGAAGTAAGGAAATTCCTGACTCATATAATAAGCTGGGTTTTGTTTTCCTGGTCAAGAGAATTTATTCTGAGTTATGCACTTATTGAAACATATTACCTGTTAGTGATCTTGACAAAAAAGAACATGCAGATCCCAACTACCTTTCTCTAACCAGTGGAGGTTACCAATATTTACTAAAAGAAACTACAGCAAGTAGTTATCATAGCCTTGATGCATATGTGTTATTTGATGCCCAAAAGTGTCATGAAATGGCAAGTTCTTTTAATAAATATCAGTAATTACCACTGATTAGAGGTAGGTAGGTTTGTGTCACATGTCCCTTTCATCAAGATCACTAACAGATGATGTTTCAATGCAGATATGCAAGTTCATTAAGAAGGGGCTCAGTTACTTAGGTGGCCCAGAGGACTTAAGGAAAATGGTTATAGTCTATAGGCCTCATATAATCATATAAAAAGGAGATGATTTATATGACCCAGCAAGGTTTTGTTAATTTTTTCAAATTCGTCCCATTTTGCAAAAATATGTTCAAAAAATAAAAATAATTCATTTGAGTTTGAATTTTCCTTTTGCAAAAGTATAAAATCCAGACATATAAGAAAATGGCGTTTACTGTATATCATTTACTAATATCTGAAAGAAATTATTCTGTATCAAGAGATTAATGATTTCCAGTCTTTCTAATACAACTTTAATTGTGTGAAAAGAAATCAACTAAGTTAACAGGGGTTAAGAAATGTTTAAGAGAAATTTGGAATCATAGATCTTTCTGTTAGTAAAGTTGAAAATAATGATTACTCATATAGCCGATAATAAAAAGTTATGCTTTTTTTTAACAGCAACAAAAGTATCAGAAAGTATCAAAGAGAATGCAATTTTTAAAAAGCAAATGTAATGCCTCCCCACTTCATAGTATTTAATTTTGTTTCATATCTATTAAGGGATGACCTCAGCTAACCTCAAACAACCTAGATATATTACACATATTAGGGTAGGTATAAACTATGATAATACTCCATCACAAAATCTCAGTGGCTTAAAAAATAGTTTTTAAGCTTTCCCACTTATAAAGTTTACTGTAGATGTTGGGCTCTCCAGGGTGCTGAACTCAATGTGATGGCTCAGCATTTCAGGCAGTTTCAAATTTTAGAGTTTCCAATAGCAACATGTGACCTTCACTCTCATTCTTAGGGGTAAGAGCCGAATGGGAGAATCATGAGGAGGTTTTCTCTGCCTCCAGTGGGAAGTAATACTGACTGCTTCAGCTTACATTTTATTGGCCAGAATGTCACATATCACATGTTCCCTTCTCACTGAAAAAAGATGGGAAAGTATGGGGGCTCAGGGGAGAGATTAAATGTATGGCAAGCATCACTGTCTTTGATCAGTCATATTATTAAACATTTTTTTAAAACTAGCTCCAATAAAGAGCTTAAGGTTTTTAATATTCTCTTTCCCAAATTTCCCAGATTTCACATGCAAAAATTTCTATAAGGTAGGATAAGATTTTGATTGTATGGATTTTTTAAATTCGGTGGAGAAATAGAAACAAAAGAGCTTAATCAGACGTACTGATTTAGGCTCACAAATGTGTTCTAGTCCTTGCTGCCCTCCTCCTTATTAGCTAATTCTTCCTCCTGGGTGAGAGAAAACACAAGCATTTCCTTCTAGACCCCCAGAGAAGTAGCAATCTCTCTGTCTCCTCTTTCCCTCTTCCCCTCTCTCCCTCTCTCCTTCTTTCTCTCCCTCTCTCATATTTATCTCCTTTCTCTCTTCATTTATTCCTCTGTAGTCCCTGTTTTTCTTCCTTTCTCCCCCTCTCCCCCACTCACCACTGTCCCTGCTGTCTTCTCAACTAAAGATTCCGTCTTCTCTTAAAAATAACCCATGAAGTGATTTTTTTTCATTCCATTGCTCTTGGTTTAAAATTTGCTGCTGCCTCTTATTTGGGAAATATAAAAAAAGAACCCTCAAACTGAAGAGAACAGTTTTTACTTTATATTATTAGAAATTCCAGTTGTTTTAGATTTCTCTGTGTTTTATATTCACAGGTCACTGATCTCACAAGAAACACAACTGGTTGAAACCAAATGAGAAAAATGTAACAACATTTTATGATAATGATAATAATAAGATAGCTACAGCCCAGTATGAAAGCATGAAACTATTATGTAAAAGTACCTCTGGCATTTTCTGTTTGCTTTCATTTCTAGGGTACAAAATTATCCTTTTAATATCCTGGCACACGAACCTGATTTTGATGTATAATTCATAATTCTGAGAGACTTAATAGTGAAGTAGCAATTTTCTCTAAAACAAAATCTGTTTAATGCTAATAAAGTTGTATTTACTTTTGCTGTGACTAGGAATCAACTCAAGATATAAATGTCTTTTTTTCATTAACTATTATAGGTTGATAAATTTTTGTACTTTAATTATGATATTGAAGGGGTATATTATACCCCTGATAGATTTTCAAGTACTATATGAAAAGTTCTTTTCTACTATCCATAGATCAGTCTCTATAGTAGATTGAATAGGACCCCAAAAAGTAAATTCACCAGAAATATGTGAATGTGACCTTATTTAGGAAAAGGTCTTTGAAGATGTAATTAAATTAAATTTTTCTAGATGAGATTATCCTGGATTAGAGTAGGCCCTATATCCAATGGCAAGTGTCTTTATGAGAAGAAGAGTGGGTGTGGAGACTAGCACAGAGGAAAACGGCATGAAAAGAGCCTTTCTGTAGGGAGTTGGGTTTTGCTGCCACAAGACAAGAAATGATTGAAGCCTCCAGAAGTTAGAGGAAGCAAGGTAAAGTTCTCCTCTGAAGTCTTTGGAGGGAGTGGAGCCCTGCCAACACATTGATTTCTGACTTCTGGCTTCCAGTACTAAATTAGAGAATAAATTTTTGTTGTTTTAATCCATGAAGTTTATGGTAATTTGTTATGACAATTCTAGGAAAGTAATCGAGCATCTTAATAGTTCTGCACTCAAGGACAAATCTTTGAAGCTGGGTGTGTAAGAAAAGCTGTCCTGTGTTAGAATCACACATTTTGAGAGTCTTGCTCAGAGTGTAGAAATTAAGTAACACAAGCTCCTAGCTTACCTGCTAGATGATTTTTAAATGTCTTTGTCATTTATTTTTTTAATTAAAAGTGATGATATTTTTTAAAAATCTCAAACAAGAATCCTTTCATCCTCTTTATTAACCAAATGAGTTATCTTTGGGAAAATGAATTTTTTTTTAAAAAAGGTTCTTTCTCAACAATGGTTCCAAAATGAATGTGATTTATAATTTATAAATGAGAAGATTCAAAAATCCAGCACTGGGCATGGATGTGTGCCAAAAAAACAAACAAACAAACAAAAAAAAACAGAGTATTGCCAGTATTCACTCTTTCCTCATGATTTGAGGCCCACATGATGGCATGTGATGGGAAATTAAACAAGAAAATTCTGGCCAGGTGTGGTGGCTCACACCTGTAATCCCAACACTTTGGGAGGCTGAGGTGGGAGGATCAGCTGAGGTCAGGAGTTCGAGACCAGCCTGGCCAACATGGTAAAACCCAGTCTCTACTAAAAATACAAAAATTAGCTGGGCGTGGTGGTGTGTGCCTGTAATCTTAGCTACTGGGGAGGCAGAGGTGGGAGAACCACTTGAACCCGGGAGGCAGAGGTTGCAGTGAGCTGAGATTGTGCCATTGCACTCCAGCCTGGGTGACAAGAGCGAAACTCTGTCTCAAAAAAAAAAACAAAAAACAAAAACAAAAACAAGAAAATTCTTCACATTTTGGAAATATCACTACATTTTTAAGACATTTTAAAAATATGAGAAGGGATACGCTATGAACTTCAAGTTCCTTTCCCAGTTTTTGGGAAAAAAAGCAAGAACAAAAATAGAACCCATACTTAAACGGTTAAGAAAATTGAGAGTCCATGTTTCCAAACTCAGATCAGCTAAGTAGAATGGATTATCAGTGCAGCCTGTGTTCCTTGTACCATGATTGTTTGGAGGAGCAGCTCCAATGCAATTTCCTGAAACTCCTGTGGTGGCCCCTAGGGCTCAAATGTAGAGAGCAGCCACATCCCAAATTTCAGAATGAGGCCCACTGGTAACATTTGCAAGGGCCAAAGTAATCAAAATGAGAGGTCACAGACCTTATATTTACCTATTTTGAATATATGTTTATATTAGTAAACTTAATTTCAATTCTCCTCCCATTAGTTTCTCTTCAGCACAGGACTTTGAACTGGAAGGAGCTCCAGCTGGTTAGTGTGGAAGGTTCATTGGGTCCAGACTTGCCAATATCAGCAGATCTTCCTGCAGTCCTTTTCCGCTCTTCTGAGAATTGGAGCCTGCAAAAGCATGTCCCAGTTTCCACTTCTGTCCTTAGATTGCTAATCTAACTTTCTGGTAGTGGGTCTTACTGACTTTTTTTGTATCTTGCTTTTTCTCTGCATTCTAATAGACAGTAATATCATATGGATCCAGTTTGTCCTCCCTCCATCATATTTTGGGGTCCATGAGAATTTCTTATTATCTTGTTTTAGAGTGGATGTTTTCTGTGGGCTTTTTGTTTGCTTGCTTATTTGTTTACCTATATCGTTGCTCTATCAATTTTGGAAGGGGAGAAGTCAGAAAGATTAAAAGACTCCACTCAGAATTCTTGTTTATCTGAGTCTCCTTGTTCAACTCATCTGTAAAATATGGGTAATAATAGTATCCATTGTATAGGATTAAGAAAGGAATAAAAAATCCTATTTTAAAGGATTAAGAAAGGAATAAAATAACATGAGACATATACTGGCACAAAATTAGAGCTTGAAATACTTAGCTCTTATTTGCAGCCATTAGATTCAAGCTCTCTCAGAACTTTCTAGATTCTTGTTTATCATGAAGTTTCAAAGAAGCCTTTCTTACGTGTTTTCAGAACACATAGCATATAAGAAGCAGCAAACTAACAGGTGGTAGGAGGTGCCATTACTTACAACTACAATTATATCAGAAAGGTTCTTGACAGCCTGCTATTTGCGAGAAGATAAAACTAAAAAGCAATAAAGAACTATATTACTCCCTGGTACAATAATAAACCCATATTTTTCACACAGAGAGTATAGTACTGTTAGCTAATAGCTTAAAAAACATTTAAAGTATTTTAAAATAAAACATCAGAAGTTAACTCCATTAAAAGTTTCAAAAGAAAAAATAACTTACCTATAAAACATTTTATTATAAAGTTACCTTTTCATCCTTTCTTAGATTAAATAAATGGCTATATTTAACATAATATATAATGGTTAATATATATCTAAACCACTTATTTAATTACATATATTATTTTAAAACCTACAAAAGAAAAACCAATTAAAATTATTATTCAAAGTTATAGTGAAAGACAAATCATGTACCATTAGTTATGTAAGACATCTATCCCACAATAGTGCAGAAAATTCATTGTAATATATGATGTAATGTATGATGTTTATTATTCATCTATTCTATCAGCATTATTTTTGGGGAGTGTAAAGTCCATATCGGGTTTCAGCTATGTGCAAAATCAAAGGGTTTGGTGGTAGGACAAAATTATCCCCAAACGAAGAAACTGATACCAAGAGATTTGGTAAAGTCAAATTTGAAAACATATTTTCATTCCACTCTAAAATATATTGGCACTTTAAGGATCTCTTAGTGGAATATTGGGGCTGTTTGTCTTTGGCTTTTTTTTTTTTTTTAATTTCCCTAGAGAATAAATGACAGAAAGGTAGAGGCTGGAAGCTGAGTCCTGGTTATGATTGGAGAAAGAACATTGGAGGCTTGTATGACACATTAAAACAATCAGTAAAATCTACCTAATACCCAGCTGTCCGTATATATAGGTAGTTTTCAACAATGAAAGTAGCATGTGACCCAGTGTCCCCATCTGTACATAGTGACAGGGTCACTTCATAGCAAGGTCTTAAGACTCACCACAACATGGGTGTTTAGTGAATTCTTATCATTTTACATGGCCTCGGCACCTATTTTGAATACAAGTTTAAGTTTCTCATACTAGAAGCAAGGTTCAGTCACCCTTAACACAGCTTTCAGTTCTACACCACACCCCAGTGGCTCAAGCTGATGGCCAGAGACAAGAATTGAGAAACATCTCTCGTGCCCAACGACTATGCTCCCTGCTTTCCAGCTATTTTCTTTAAATGGACCATTCAGACATTTGCCCATGGACTTGAAGTCACCCACATCTGATTCCCATTTATATACTGCTGGTGGCTACTCACTGCCTTTCTCTCTCTGCCTGACCCTCCACTTCTGCCTCGTGTGGCCCATAATTTCCTCTCCATTAATTATGCCCTCCTTGCCCAAAATATGTAAGTAAAAATCTTTGGGCCAGGCACAGTGGCTCACACCTGTAATCCCAGCATTTTGGGAGGCCAAGGCGGGTGGATCACAAGGTCAAATGACCAAGACCATCCTGGCCAACATGGTGAAACCCTGTCTCTACTAAAAAAAAATACAAAAATTAGCCGGGCTTGGTGACACGCACCTGTAGTCCCAGCTACATGGGAGGCTGAGGCAGGAGAATTGCTTGAACCCAGGAGGTGGAGGTTGCAGTGAGACGAGATCACACCACTGCACTCTAGTCTGGGCAACAGAGCAAGATTCCATCTAAAAAATAAAAAAAAAATACAGTAAATAAAAAAAATCTTTAGCCTTGTTTCATCCTGTGGTAGTGCATTGTATTGAATGTTCAACTTCCATCTGAAGAACAATGGGCTGTCCCAGCCCAGGTTTTCCCCAGTGTCCTGGAGAGGACACAACATTTGGCTTTCATCACCAGAGAAATGGTCAGGTAGGCATAATGTAGTCATGGGTCATACAAGAGCCACAAGGTCATCTTCCACTGTAAATAAGGTCCCTGTGTGAGGGACCCTGGTTGCAAAACCAGGTAGTAGACCATCCTCCAGCTAAAAGAAGTATCTCATGAAAGGCACACTGTACACACTCATGTCCAACTCGCTTTCATTTTTCTTTAGCACAGGGGTGACAGCCTTCCTGGTACTGGATCCCCAATGTAGCTGGGGCTCTCAAAACAGAATTGTACTGGTGAGAAAAGCAGAAAGGCAAAGGGAGCCAAGGGGCTGTCGGAGGAAAGAACTGACCACCTGACACTAGAAAGCAGCATCTTGCTGAAAAATAAGAGTTAGACAAGGAAAGACAAGGATAAGCAGTTGAAATTCCATGATCTTTGAAATCTCAGTAGCATTTAATACTCTTAAAGATATTTCTTATTCTTGCAATGCTGCTCTCTCTCTTTTGAGACACTGCACAACCTCAACTGTTGTCCTGACTTCTTGGACTACTCCTTCTCTACATTATTTCTATTTTCTTTTCAGCCCCTGATTCTCTTGTTTTCTCTCTGACCTTGCTTTCTCTCTTACAAATGCATCATTCATTATGGTGCTTCCATATAATGTTTTTAAAAGCTAAAACAGTGTATTTAATGCCTTTTTGCTTTTTAATATATTAGCATTCCCATTCCCATTTTGAGTGAGCTATTTCACAGGAACAACATATTATCATGTCATTTTAATAAGTAAATAAATGACAACATTGATAAACTTGAATACATTAAACAAAGAACTACTATTTATCAAATGATGCCACAAAAGAGAATGAAAAGATAAACCACAAAGTGGAACTACTATCCATGAAATATTAAAATTCCTACAAATCAGTAAGATGAAAACAGATAATTCATTAGAAAAACAGGAAAATATCTTAACAGGCTCTTCAAAAGTATGATATACAATGACCAGTAAACACAAGAAAAGTTATTACACCTCATTAATTATCAGATGTATTAAGATTAAAATGATTTCAAAATATCACTACTCATCTGCCAGATTAGTAAACATTAAAATATTTAATATACCAAGTGTTGGTAGGATGCAGTGCTATGAGAACTCACAGAGCTAGCATGTGGGAGTGTTGGGTTTAGCCACTTCGAAAAGCAGATTGACTTATCTGAATAAGTTAAATATTTTAATTTCTAATGCCTATTAATTCCACTTCCAGGTATAAAGAGAAAATATTACAAATCTGCATAAGAAGTCATGTCCAAGAGTGTTTATAGCCACATCATGTGTCATAGACACATGGAAACAACCCAACGTCAATCTAAACTAAAATGGATATATAAAACCCAATGTATTCATATAATGGAATTTGCACAGAAATGTAAATGAAAAAAAAAGTCTGCATACAATAACATTCATGGTTACAACATAAAGTTGAACAAGTCTCAAAAATGCATAGAGTATAATTTCATTTATATAAAATTCACAAACAAAACTAAACTATATTTCCTTGGGATATGTCCAAAGATGGTAAAGCTCTAAGGAGAAGCAAAGAAATGATTCTCACAAAAGTCAAGACTGTGGTTACCTCTAGTGGGGAGGAAGGTCATTGTGTTCAAGAGGGGTGCACAGAGGGTGGGATTGGGGGTGAGGGAGTTTCTACTGTGTTGGCCATGTTGTTTGTTGATCTAAGTGGTATTGCATGAGTAGATATTTACTTTATAGTTATTATTTAAATTTCTCACAATTAAAAATAACAAGTAATAGGGGTTGAAAGAGAAATATGGTAATTGGCCTCCAAAGATGACCTTCCAAAGAATCATCACTTGGGTAATTTAGGGAGTCCCCTCCACAAAGGTAGTCTAGACTGCCTTTGACCCACACAATACAGTGAAAGTGCTGCTGCTTGATTTCTCATCGATGTGACTTTTAATTTGTTCTCTTTGAATGCTGACTCTGGGAAAAGCCAACTCATGGAAGTAGTCTGACTACTCTGAGGCCTCCATGCCATGAAGACAAACTAGTCAAGTGGAGTAGCTGCTGGAGCAGCTGCAACTATTCCAGTCATCCCAAACAAAGATCTAGATATGTGAATAAAGAAGACTTCATGTAACTCTAGCCCTGTAATGATCTGACGACAGCTGCATGAGAGACTCTGAGCACTAATCATCCAGCTGAATCCAGCTACCCCCCAAAATACTGTGAGAGATAGTATCAATAAATTCATGTTTTAGGCCATCAAGTTTTGGTGTGGTTTTCTATTCAACAATAGATAACTGGAACAGAGGGGGAGTGGAACAAATAGAAAAAATAAAATAAGAAATTTATTTTATAATTAAACAAGAGAAAGAAAAAACAGCATCTAATAAAATTGTTTAAATAAATAATAAAAATTTAGCATTGCTAAGAATAGGGCTCATTTATTTATTTCAACAAACATCCTCTGTTCTGAGAGCCACACTCATATTTTCAACTATCTGCTAGAGATATCTCCACCTGGGTATCCTGTTGAGTTTTTTAAACCAATAAATTTAAAATGAATATACACCTTCCCTTGAAATTGGAACTTTCTCCTAAATTAATACTTTTGTTAGTTTCAGGCTAAGCTTGGCTCATTTTAAATTCATACTCTCACTTAGTTACAGTCCTTTAATAAGATGTAAAATCTTATTCAATCACTTATTTATGAACTCCTTCAATAAATATTCAGTTACTGTTAAGTTCCAAGCACTAAATTAGGTTCTGAGCTGTTGTAGCCTCTGTAGAGGTGATCAAACCAGTTATGCTTCCTACCGCCTACAATATACTTGTAACAGTCTCTCCCATTTTGTTTTGATTATCTCCATTATCTTTCTCGGCTTCATTTCTTCTTGCTTGAACTAGCGGCCAATTCCTTTAACTAAGAAACAGTTTTTTCTACCTCTTGTTTTCACTGGACTGGCTTAGCCATGCTTCCAGATTGATCCACCCTCATTACTGTATTTCTTGGTAAAAATGATTCACTGATATAATACTAATCTTCTTCCTTCTCCCAGAACTTTAGTGTAATATTTAATATAGCATTTACATCATCCCTGTGTCTTAATTTCTGCTCATTATTCAAAGCATGTCACAAATATTACCTCTTACATGAAACATTTACTGTGTGTGAGATATCCTTTTGTTCATTTTGAAACCAGTTCATATTGCGGAGGGAGGGGCTTTATATTTTGCCAGGTAGTATAATTATTTAAAATGAATGACTGCTCTTTCCAAGATGTGGATTTAATCATGTTTCTTTGAACTGGAATAGCCTTTTTCTCAGTTGTTCAACTTATTTTACACTAATTCAACAGTCCATTTTCATAGTCTATTTTCGACTTAATCATGTTTACAACGTGTAAATGTGTTTTATGAATGCTAAAGTCCTGTCTCTGCAAGGTAACATACCTACAATTTTAACTGCTATGAATAGAGAAATGAAACATCAGATGTCTCAGAAATTTCTGTGTGAGTTTATATTAATGAGTCTGCAAATTGGTATAAAGATAAAAGCTAATTCAAATAGATTTTTAAAATATTGATTTTTAAAAAGAAAAAACTAAAGAATTTGACCCATCCCGATTCATGGATATGCAGAGCAAATACCAGATTTTTAAAATATAAACTTTTTCTTCAAATATTTTCCATAAATCAGTTTAATGAACTATATAATCAGTTTAATGAACTATCAGCTTAATGAATTGAACTACAGAATCTCCCCCATGTTTTTTTAACACTAAAAGTTGTTAATATTTTCATGCAAGACTAACTTTATATTCCATTTTTTTTTTGTTTAAAGCCTTGTATATAATGATACCTTAAAAAAAAAGAAATTCCCAGATATTTCAATGATTTTTCAGCCACACATATCATTTCCAATACTGTCGGTTTAACATGAAAAGCTGCACAGATTTTCATATGAAAGTCTTTTTTACAGAATTTTGGTTTAAACCCTTGTTCACAATGATGCCATAAAAATACAATTGCCAATAATTTGACTGATTTTTTTCTACAACACAAACTTAATAAAATACACCTGAGGAAGTTAGTTGGTGACACAAAGCTCTTTAACTGAAATAAATCCATAAGGTGTGTTATACCACAGCAAACTTGGGGGAAAGGAATTACTAAGATTATTAGAAGGTTCTCTCTTTCCTAAGAATTCTGCATTTAATGCTTCTATAGTTTTGAAGTCAGAGGCTGGCAGGACTTATTTTCTGGTCACAACCCTGCTGAACAAAAGAGGATCTGGTCCAGACATGATAAAATAAACTGGCAGGAGCCAGCAGATGACTAGGAAAGTAATCCCTACCTACCCTCATGGCTTATTAGCATAAGACACTCCCACCAGCACCATGACAGTTTACAGATGCTATGGTAATGGCGTGGAAGTTACCGCCCGTTTCCGTGGTAATGACCTGGAAGATACCGCTGCTTTCCTAGGAAGTTCCAGATAATGCCCCCTCAATTCATATTAACCTGCCCCTTAATTTGCATGTAATTGAAAGTGAGAATAAGTAGGTATAAGTAATCAAGAACCCATACTTTGCCGACTCTGCATGCACTACCAATGAGTTAGTCCTGCTCTGCAAGGAGCAATACCATTCAATAAAAGGTTGCTGTCTAACACCACTGGCTTGCCCTTGAATTCTTTCCTGGGTAAAGCCAAGAACCCTCCTGGGCTAAGCTCCAATTTGGAGCTTTGCCTGGCTTGCATCAGTCTGAAGAACAAGGAACAACCTTTTAAAGCACGTCTTTACCCTAATTGTTAACCATATTTCTTTGTAAAATATGAGTATTTTGGTGTAATTAAGTTTTCATAGGTGGCAGCCTGACATAGGAGCATAAGCATAGGGCTTATCAGAGAGCGTCTGTACTCTACTATAGACATTGGGAAACTTGGGGCAGTTTACTTAACTCTGTGAAGCTACCTCAGCTTCCCTATCTGCAAAATGGGAATGATAACTCTTCACTTTCAAGATTCAGATAAGAAATAAAAAAAAAAAAAGTGGGCAAAGAATATAAACAGACCTTTCTCAAAAGAAGACATTTATGCGGCCAACAAACATATGAAAAAAGCTCATCATCACTGGTCATTAGAGAAATGCAAATCAAAACCACAATGAGATAGCATCTCATGCCAGTTAGAATGCTGATCATTAAAAAGTCAGGAAACAACAGCTGCTGGCAAAGATGCAAAGAAATGGGAACACTTTTACACTGTTGGTGAAAGTGTAAATTAGTTCAACCATTGTGGAAGACAGTGTGGTGATTCCTCAAGGATCTAGAACCAGAAATACTATTTGACCCAGCAATCCCATTACTGGGTATATGCCCAGAGGATTATAAATCATTCTACAATAAAGACACATGCACACATATGTTTATTGCAGCACTATTTACAATAGCAAAGACCTGGAACCAGCCCAAATGCCCATCAATGGTAGACTGGATAAAGAAAATGTGGCACATATACACCGTGGAATACTATGCAGCCATAAAAAAGAATGAATTCATGTACTTTGCAGAGACATGGATGAAGCTGACACTGTCATCCTCAGCAAACTAACACAGGAACTAAAAGCCAAACACTGCATGTTCTCACCCATAAGTGGGAGTTGAACAATGAGAACAGATGGACACAGGGAGGGGAACATTACACACTGGGGCCTGTCAGGGGGTGGGGGGCAAGGGGAGGGATAGCATTAGGACAAATACCTAATGCATGCAGGGCTTAAAAACTAGATGATGGGTTGATAGGTGCAGCAAACCACCATGTCACATGTATACCTATGTAACAAACCTGCACGTTCAGCACATATATCCCAGAACTTAAAGTAAAATACAAACTAAAAATAAAAAAAGAACGAAATAAGATAATGTAGTGGGTAGTTGATCTTGTGATAGTAGTTGCAATAATATTAATAGAACAAAAGATTCCTGCTGTTCAAAGTGGCAGATGTCATTAATCATAGGAAATTGAACCTACTAGTGGTTAGGAAAGATAATATTCTATGTTATTGTACAGAAACACATTAGGAAACAAAACTCATGTTTCACAAAGCTGTAAGTAATCTGGCATCTGTGAAGGAAATATAACAGAATTGGCACATGTTGACACTAAAAAGTTCAATTTCTTAAAGCCATGCCATTCGATTTATCCTGATGGTCATGTCTAAACCTAACCGTGTCAATATCTCTGGATAGTTCATCACCAGAACTGAACGATCTTCCCTGTTGTACTCTAGCTGCTTAACTAAATAAGAACATGACCAAACAGTGCATTTACAAAGCAGTTAGAGACTTCCAATAGCTGACTCATGTCTTGGGCTTTCCACTCTCAAATATTGACCTGGGTAGCTAAAAAATATCCCCTCAGATGACTGTGTAAATAGAGTAGGAATGTGAGTGGTAGTTAAGCTGGAATATTTCTACATGATATTATATATTCTGCTAGTCAAATAGCTTCAGTTTTACTTTCATATTGATGAAATGAAGCTACTGACTCCCCAAATACCCACATTACTTATAATATGCTGGGCAAGGAATACAATAGGAATTGTAAAGAAGGCAATATGGTAACACTGAAGAGTCACTGTGCCACACAGAGACTGCAGTTCAGACACAGGCCACATGCAGCATATCTATCTCACGGCAGCCATTTTTAGGTTATTATTATCAAGACATCTACCAAGAAAGGTTGGCTCTTCCATGAATTTATGGTGTCGGGAGGGACACGTCATCTAGAGCTTCAGGTTGGGGATTCGTAGGAAAGGTGATTCAATGTGACATACAGAAAGTGCTAATGGGACTGTAAGATAATTTCCTTATAGTTAAGAAAGTAGAATTCAAAAGAAGGGGAAATGAATTAACATTTACAAGAAGCTTCCTGACTTCTGTTATTTCTATAAATTATAGTAATGACTGAATTTTGGTGTGTGACAGATTTGCTACATGATAAGATGATGAGTAGGATGTATTAGTGCAAGAATGAACACAGTGTCAATGGTAGTGACATCCTCATCATAATAATATTTGCTGGTAGTAGTAAATAGTCATGGTCAAATTCAAGGAAAGACAGGCATAACATCTTATGGGGTTGGAGAGGAAGGGAGAAGTCAGGGAGTATTTCACAGAGGAGGTGAAAAATGACCCATGATTAAAGGTAGCAAAACCACTAAGCTTTTGACAGATCCTTAAATAAATTTTCTAGCCCATTGTTCTTTATATTCTCATCCAGACCTGTGTAAAAGCATGAATTTTCCTTTTTGTATGCTTTTATATCCTTCTCACTTTCTGTCTAGCTTTAAGGCAGCAATTCCTAGTAACAGGATTATCTCATGATTAAATTATTGCTACCTCTTTGGAGCTGTTCCTACTTTCAGCACTATTTTCTCAACTAATATTTCTTCTAAATGTATTTCAGTATGCAGTGCTTTGATGAATAATAAACCCCTTCTCCATTTCAACTCTGCATATCCCTTAAACACTTCCTCTAATAAACTTCTTGCATCTAGTTGGAAGCTTCTGAAAATGAACTAACACCACTGTTTTCAAGCCTTTCTCTTCTGTTAGACTGCAAACACCCACAGGGCACAGAATTGCCCACAGTAGATGGTGCAGCCATTTTCAAAGAAATGCTGAAATTCCAACTGGAAAGGTTGATGCTTTCTTGCCTTTTCTTTATCCCTTCTAGAAATATTTAAGCTTCAACTACAATTACATTCTTACTTTCAAATATTCTCAGAATCTTTTACCTATATTCTAAATGAGGGTTCCACTTCTTGAGATACCCTTCAGAATCTCAAGATACTCTTGTTAACTTTCAGCAATTGTATGGAATTTTCCTAAGCTTTTATTCTCATATGTACCAGCTATAGCCTGATTCCACACATTCACAATCATTTCATCTTAAGTCTGAACTTAAATCCAGAAGCTGTAAGTCCAAATATGAATACCTTTTACTAGGTTTGATATATTGGGCAAGACAGCTTGCTTCTTCAAGCCTTAGTCCTCTCCTTGGTTACATTAAATATTAATACTTATCAGGGCCACAGAATTGTCATAAAGATCATGTGAAATAGAGTCTATATAGAGCTAGGCATCCTGTAAGGTACTAGAAACATATATACCATTATTATACTGAGATACTGGGTATACCAACAGATATATGTGGCCAGACCATTATGAAAATAAAACTCTGACCCACAACCTCTGCAGCAACCAGCCCAGGAAGCCAAACTATAACGTCTTCAGCTATTGGCCCCCAAACACAATTTAGTCAATAACTGACAGATTCCCTGATTTTTGCAAACCTTCATACCCACATCAAAAGCAGAACCAACTGGAGAAACCCAAATACGGCTCCTAAGCCAATCACATAGGCTGCCCCCCTTCTAGTTAGCCTGCCTCCAACTTCTCCATGCCAGCAACCTTCAATCTGAGCATTCCTAAAGGGTTCTCTCTCTTTCTGTTTTATTTACTACAATTTATTTATTTTCAACTCCTCTGTCTGCCCCTGAGTCTCTGCTAAATGCAAGTGATGGAGACTGACTCCTTTGTTAGAGCAAGCTGTGCATAAATTGCCTCTGATTGTTCTTATTTGAGTGGTCTTCATTTATTTTTGTACCTTGGTATATATTTAAATTTACTCTATAAAATTTGACAGTACTCCCTATTTTTTCTCAGAGAAATCCATTCATTCATTGGCTTAATGCTGATATTTATTAAGCATCTCCTATGTAATCATACTATGATTGCTCCTCAAGAATTTAAAAGCAGATTAATTTATGTAGAACCAGACATATGTCCTTGAGAAACCCATGGACTGGCTTGGAAGATATGATACAGCACATGGAAAAGTAAATTAAAAAGAAAGTGTGGTCAAGTTGAAAATGATATGTGTAAAGGTGTCAAATCAGTTATATAGGCAATAAACAAGCTAATTCCAAAAAGTGGATATCACTTATGCTTAGCTGGGGTCTAGGAAAGCTTCAAGCAAAAAACTGGGTTTGAACTGGGACGCGCAGGAAAGTTATACATTTATGGTGGGGGCAGAATGTGAAGACAATCTAGACAAGAAAATGCCTATTAGGTACATCCAGGGCAGGGATGTGCAAATCCACATAGGAGAGAAGATAATGAATACAAAAACAGTCTGTTAAGAGCAAAATGAACTGAAGAGAAGTGGTGGAAATTAAAATTCTAAAATTGTCCACAATCTAGAGGTGCTACTAAATACTTGTGATCAGAGGAGTAATACACGTAGATATAATTTCAGATTTAGAATGACTTTCCTCCAGATTTATATTAACCTCTCAGTATGTGCTGGAGACACTTCCCTATATTTTCGTCCCGTTTATAAAATTTCTGAGTAAAATCGTCACTTTTAATATAATTAACTTTAAAATATTTTAAATTATCAATTTCTAAGTACTGAAATTATGGTCTCTAGTTACATTTCTTGGAAAAATCTCCTTTTAATACTTGCTTACTTAAAAAGCATGCAGAGAGAAAGTCTTTGGAGAACATAAAGATGTTATGAATATTCATTTTATTATTAAGTCCTCAGTGGATTTTGTCTGAAGGCCCTTAGTCAGCAAAACTTCCATTAAAGATTTTGCCAAGCTGATTCTTATAAACTGATGTGCTGTAAAATCCTATGGTGTACAATTGTCACAAACAACCCCAAACACAAACAAAACTAGTATAAAACCTACAAATAAACTCAGGAAAGTTTCAGTTTATAGTACTAGTTACTTTTCTGAAGTAGAAATGTTCAGCTTTTCAATAATTTGTAAGGCAATCTGTAAGTTAAAATTTACCTTTTTGGTAGATACATAATAAGGAAAAGATTTTAGACAGAGCAGTCTGAGTCATGAGGCAAAAAGGAAAGGGTAGAAGCATCTTTTGTGGATACTCTCAAGCCCACCAACCTCTGAGCACTGGAGTGGTCCCCTTCCTGGCCATAATCCCCTTTTCTCATCACAAGTTATCCGTCAACACAGCCAAGTCTGCCTCCCAGCCTTGTTCTATTCAGCTGTATTCTGATGTATTTCATCTTTTAAAACTTTCAAACTTGACTTTTAAAAGTAGTCTTATTATATATTCAAGGTTTGATTTCAGTGGAATATCAAATGTACATATCAAACTGCTCTCCAAATAGTCAATTTCAGGAATGTATAAAAATCACAATGTCTTACTGATGTGGAGAACCTATTTTATTTCCTTTCTCAACCCACTTCTTGCCCGTCTGGGTCTCAAACACATACTAAATATACTTAACTCATTTCATATCACAACTCGGTTTTGAGAGGATGACTTTTTTTCTGTATCTGTTACAAAATACATCAAGCAGTTAATCTTTAGTTGACACTACTGACAGCCTTGTTAAAGCTAATATCTATAAAAGTCTGGGTTCACAAGCATTTAGTAACCTGGAGTAGGGGAAGTAATCCCTGCAAAAGAGAAAGTTTTCCCTACAACCATAAGAAGAGTGAATATATGAGGTATCCTGAATCTAGAAGAGCCTGATATCTACTTAGGAGCTCAGGGTAAATTATATAAACTTGAAAAGCTACTTCAGACCACCCTATGAAACCCTAATTCTATGAACACTATATGGTTTCTAAAATATTATTTAAACCTCGCTCAAATATTGAGTCTTACTGTAAATTCTTTTGGAATATCCATATGCTTGACTGACCAACAGTAAGATTAATTTTTAATGGATTGTACCATCTTCCCTTGAATGATTATGTGTGAATAATTGAAGTAAAAGCAATGAATTTTGACATGCATCTTTTCTAGTAGTTATTAAATATCAATAATCTGAATATCTCTTTTCCATGAGGAGAAATAATGGTTGTCAGGAAAGAAAGAAATACAAAAAAATTATCTTGCATGATTGAAGAAATAAATTAGCTACATGTCACAGATATAATAAAATACTTTGCATTTATAAAATTAATGCTTGTATACTTAACATTCATTTTATAGATAAAATGATAAAAATTTTACCTATAAAATTTATAGGTAAATATATACATTAAAATGTTTTCAAGGGGGAATAAATTTTAAAATATAAATATAATATTATAAGAGATTACAAAGTTGAAAAGACTGAACTTCATATTCTTTCAGATGTTTTATAATGAAAAGAAAGTAAAAGGCATGGCTAATAATAGGTGAAAGTTCAGCAGAGTGAAGTATCAATCACAGCTTAGTCAAAGAAAAGCTGGAAAGTAAAACGCAGCCAATCATAGAAGGCAAATAGTTCTAGAAAGATAAGGTTTCAGCAATAAGTCATCTAAGGAGAAAAAGATAAGAGGAGCACAAAAAGCAAGCAGAAGCAGGAATATGCACAGATAAAACATTATGTATGTATACAAAAAAGAGACCATGAAGAACTTTGAAAATGGGAAATGATTTTACTGCAGGTTAGCAGGAATTCAGCAGCTCAGCAAACTGGCCCTATTATTAACAGTTCTCTTCATCACATAGGATGAAAAAAAACCAGAATCATATAAATTCAGCATTGAGGTGCTGATTGGGAGACCAGAGGAAGTCATATTTGTCTCTACAAAAAAGATGGAAAATATAAGGAACCATAGAATCCCAGATTTGAAAGCATCTGAAGGGCATTAGCTGATTGAATCTCATCTACAAATTATCTCCCCAAAGCTTGTCTTCTGACCAGTGCTCAAAATATATGGTTTTAAAACTCTGTCACCAACAGGAATGCTCTTCTCTGTGCATGCTCCACTTAATGTAAGTCCCTTTATAATCTGATTAGCCTTCTTGAAATTATATTTTGTTACTGTAGTATAAACCAACTGAGTTTTGTATTGAGCCATATGATAATGTTAATAATCAGTTCAAGTTAAACACATGATTTTGCTAAGCCATATTTACTTGATCCTGTGCATAGAGATATGTAAATAATTTTGTTTTTTCCCTAACGTTTGGTCCTTATGTTTACATCTAATGATGTCTTATTTTATTGATTTGTTCTGACTGTCAGAATTTCTTTTAGCTGTACATTTGGTTGCTAGATTACACATTTTGCTCAGTGTGTATGTCTTCCTCATGTCGTTTAATTACTTGATGTAAGTCACTAATATAAAAATGATCAAAACAGGGCAACGAACAGGGCACAAAGCATGATACTATAGACAATATGCAAATTTAGCATCCAAAGATTCCTATGTATATGATCAACTAAAATAAATTTATCCAACTTGTCCTCAATGACTTCCTGATAAACTGTCACATACCATCCTTCTCCACATTTCTCTAAAATACATGATTAGAAAGTCTCTATAAAAGTTAAATGAGGTGACAAAATGTTCTTATTGAAGTTATGCAGGGTCCTAATGATCCATGGCCTTTTTTCCCCCTTTTCATGCCCCAGTATTTTTAACATTTAAAAAATTCATAAAAGTAATACATCATCATAATAAAAGTCATACAACTATGAAAAGTAATTCTTCCATTGTCACCAGTGACATCCATAATTCCTTAAAAGTAAACACAGTATTTTGGCATATATATTTTCAAATATATTTTTATTTTATATTGATATTCAAATGTACAGATAGAAAGCTAGTTATATCCTGTACCTATGGGTATGAATATACGTAGAAATAATATATAGATATTTTATACCACCATTCTATCATAGGTCTACTATTTATTAACACAGCCACCAATGTATCTATCCTATTCAGCTACTTGCCTTTTTAATTTAAATACCCCAATTTGTTTTAGTGGATAAATGCAAATTACTTTGAACATTGTATCAAGTGTAGATATTTTCTTACGCCATTCCATATTTATTTGCCACCCTTTTCCATCCTTTTTTGTGTCCTGGGAGGCGAGCTTGCATGGAGTACATGAACAGGCTCCCTTACCATTTGACTCACAACTTGGTTAAGCCAAAATAAAGCACCAGCAACAGATTGGAGAGGGTAGGAGAGTTGTTCTTCCCTCTCTAGAGGATTCTCTTGGGCTGGCTATATCATTTGACCACAGGTCCTAGCTCCAGTGAAGATAAGCCTTTCCTTTTCTGCTCTGGTGACGGCTCTCCCCTTTCCTATTTAGGTACAGAGGTAGCAGCTGGTTCCTCTATTAGAAGCATCACTTTCCCTATACCTTCCTAACACATTGCCAACACGTCTTCAAATTGTTCCACTTAAATCTTCCTAAAATTTCATAATTTAAGTGGGCAATCTGTTTCTGGCAAAAATTCTGATGAATAGACTTATTGATGATTTTTAAAATTATTTATGAGATTTCCCTTCTTCCAAAAATATTTTAGTAAACATCCTTGTACAAATATCTGTGCAAAACTTAGGAGACTATTTCTGTAGAAGCATATTCTAGAAGACGAATTTATGGGCACCTATCTGAATGTTTTTAGATATTGCCAAATTTGTCATAAAATTTTAAATTTGTATCTACAATAACACTGTGTGAGGGTTGGTGGGATTATAGACTATGTTCCCCTGTACCGTTGAGAGGTGACAGCGTGCTGGCAGTCCTCAGAGCCCTCGCTTGCTTTCGGCGCCTCCTCTGCCTGGGCTCCCACTTTGGCGGCACTTGAGGAGCCCTTCAGCCCGCCGCTGTACTATGGGAGCCCCTTTCTGGGCTGGCCAAGGCCAGAGCCGGCTCCCTCAGCTTGCAGGGAGGTGTGGAGGGAGAGGTGCCAGCGGGAACCGGGGCTGCGCGCGGCACTTGCGGGCCAGCTGGAGTTCCGGGTGGGCGTGGGCTTGGTGGGCCCCGCACTCGGAGCGGCCGGCCGGCTGGCCCTGCCGGCCCCGGGCAGTGAGGGGCTTAGCACCCGGGCCAGCGGCAGCGGAGGGTGTACTGGGTACCCCAGCAGTGCCAGCCCACCGGCGCTGCGCTCGATTTCTCGCCAGGCCTTAGCTGCCTTCCCGCGGGGCAGGCCTTGGGACTGCAGCCCGCCATGCCTGAGCCTTCCCCCGCCTCCATGGGTTCCTGTGCAGCTCGAGCCTCCCCGACGAATGCCGCCCCCTGCTCCACGGCGCCCAGTCCCATCGACCGCCCAAGGGCTGAGGAGTGCGTGCGCATGGCGCGGGACTGGCAGGCAGCTCCACCTGCAGCCCCGGTGCGGGATCCACTAGGTGAAGCCAGCTGGGCTCCTGAGGCTGGTGGGGACGTGGAGAGTCTTTATGTCTAGCTCAGGGATTGTAAACACACCAATCAGCACCCTGTGTCTAGCTCAGGGTTTGTGAGTGCGTCAGTCGACACTCTGTATCTAGCTGCTCTGGTGGGGCCTTGGAGAACCTTTATGTCTAGCTCAGGGATTGTAAACACAGCAATCAGCACCCTCTGTCTAGCTCGGGGTTTGTGAGTGCCCCAATCGACACTCAGTGTCTGGCTGCTCTGGTGGGGCCTTGGAGAACCTTTATGCCTAGCTCAGGGACTGTAAATACACCAATCAGCACTCTGTATCTAGCTCAGGGTTTGTAAATACATCAATCAGCACCCTGTGTTTAGCTCAGGGTTTGTGAGTGCACCAATCGACACTCTGTATCTAGCTGCTCTGGTGGGGCCTTGGAGAACCTTTGTGTCAATACTCTGTATCTAACTAATCTGATGGGGACATGGAGAACCTTTATATCTAACTCAGGGATTGTAAACGCACCAATCAGCACCCTGTCAAAACAGACCACTGGGCTCTACCAATCAGCAAGATTTGGGTGGGGCCAGATAAGAGAATAAAAGCAGGCTGCCCGAGCCAGCAGTGGCAACCCGCTCGGGTCCCCTTCCACACTGTGGAAGCTTTGTTCTTTCGCTCTTTGCAATAAATCTTGCTACTGCTCACTCTTTGGGTCCACACTGCTTTTATGAGCTGTAACACTCACTGTGAAGGTCTGCAGCTTCACTCCTGAGCCAGCGAGACCACGAACCCACCAGAAGGAAGAAACTCCGAACATCAGAAGGAAAAAAACTCCAGACGCGCCACCTTAAAAGCTGTAACACTCACCACGAGGGTCTGCGGCTTCATTCTTGAAGTCAGTGAGACCAAGAACCCACCAATTCTGGACACAGTATGACATCAATTTAATGACAGATTAAGTAGTTCATTCTAGAATATTTTTCTTGATTTGAGATAAAAAATATCAATCACAGCTTATAGAACCCTCTTAAAATGTTTTTTAAAAAATTGGAAAACTACACATTACACTTTCCCAGCTTCCATTTCCATTCTCTCTTCTCTTCCTATACACATTTTTTTTCTTTTGACTCCCAAATTCAATGTTCTTAAGGGTCATTATGGAAACAAATATGCTGACTATCCTTTTTTGTCTATAATCAGCTAACCTTGTTTTCCCACATACTGGATTGATCCCTACTTCATAATAAGCCCCACTCTTATGTGGTCTTTTAAATTTTAGCAAATATATTTTCATTTCATTTAATTACAGCAAATCAAGAAATCTTAGCCTTGGTCTCTCCTTTTCTTAAATCTACATCCTCTCTTTTATATTTGTATTAGTCAGGGTTCTCTAAAGAGACAGAACTAAAAGGATATATGGATATATGAAAGGGAGTTTACTAAGGAGAATTGTCTCACACAATCACAAGGTGAAGTCCAACAATAGGCCCTCTGCAAGCTGAGGAGCAAGGAAGGCAGCATGAGTCCAAAAACTCCAAAAGTAGGAAAGCCAACAGTGCAGCCTTCAGTCTATGGCCGAAGGCCTGAGAGCCCCTGGCAAACTACTGGCATAAGTCCAAGAGTCCAAAAGCTGAAGAACCTGGAGTGTAATGTTCAAGGGCAGGAAGTACCCAGCGTGGGAGAAAGATGAAGGCTGGAAGACTCAGCACATCAGCGTCTTCTGCCTGCTTTATTCTAGCTGCACTGGCAGCTGATTAGATGGTGCCCACCCAGACTGAGGGTGGCTCAGCCTCACCTAATCCACTGACTCAAATGCTAATCTCCTGTGGCAACACTTTCACAGATACACTCAGGAACAATACTTTGCATGCTTCAATCCAATCAAGTTGACACACTGTATTAACCATCACAATATTTAACCTTGGTTATGCTTCCACTGGCACTGACCTTTAATTTACTTTCCCTAATTGTTGTTTTCATTAAAGTATATACTACATAAAATAAATGCATATATTTTAAATATATAACTCAATGGCTTTTGACTGTATGTACATTTGTGTGTGTGTGTGTGTTACTGTCACTTCAATAAATATATGCAACATTTCCCTCACCCCAGAAAATTCTCTTGTGTCCCTATCCAGTCACCCTTCCATGAGAGTAAACATTGTCCTTATCCTGTCACCCCTCCATGAGAGTGAACATTGTTCTGATTTATATCACCATACATTAGTTTGGCCTGTTATAGAACTTCATATAATTGGAATCATACATTATGAACTATTTCATATCTGGCTTCTTGGATACAATGTAAATGTTTTTGAGATTTGTCCATTTCATCCATATTGATCCATGTTGGTATTTCATTCTCTTTGACGTTGAATAGCATTCTGTTGTGTGACAAGCCTGCAAAATTTATCCATTCAGCTCTTGGTGGACATTTGGGTTGTTTCTGGTTTTGGGTATCATATATAAAGCTGCCATAAATATTCATGTTCGAATGTTTGTGTGAATACATGTTTTTACTTCTCATAGATAAATGCCTAGGAGTAGAATTGCTGGGTCATGAAGTATGTATTTAACTTTATAAGAAATGATCAGTTTTCAAATATGATTGTATCATATTCTTGCCAACCATCAATGTTTGAGAGATCTGGTTGTTCTGGTTGCTCTATGTCTTTCCAAATATTTGGTATTGTCAATCTTTTTCCTTTTAGCTATTTCAGGGATATCATATTGTGGCTTTAATTTGTATGACTATTAATTATGGTTAGCATTTTATCTACTTTTTTAACTTTTTATCTGTTTATGTGAAGTGTCTGTTTAAGGCTTTTAGCCAGATATTTTTAAAATTAGCTTATTTGTCTTTTTATTTTTGAATTGTAAGGGAACATATTTGTACTCTAGATACAAGTTCTTATCAATTATATGTACTTCAAACATCTCCTGTCTTGTGACCTGCGTTTCACTTTTTAGGGAGGTCTTTTAAAAAGCAGGAAGTTTTAATTTTAATATAGTATACATGGCATTTTTACTGCTAAATTTATGTTTTTATATTTTTTAAAAAACTATTAATGTTTTTAATACCCTCTCCAGGAAATCTTTGCATACCCACAAGATGGTGAAGGTTTTCTTTCATGTTGATTTTTAGATATTTTATAGATTTAGCTTTTAAATGTAGATGTTATTCATATAATCCATCTCAAAATTATTTTTATATGGCATAAAGTAAGAATTGCCGTACAAATTTTTCCATTGAGATACACAGTTGTTTAAGGAATATTTATAAAAGAATACTTCCTTGTTTTAGTAAAAAACTAATTGCGTAAGTATGGATTGGAATCTGTATTCCAAGTGAATCAACTAATTTTCTATTCTTATTCCAATATTCCCACTGTCTTGAATGAAACAATTGTAACACAATGGTATTTGTGTATCTAGATATAAAATATATGGTGAAAATGTAGTGTAATAGATAAAAATGGTACACCTCACGATAAAAAAATGGCACACTCCGGCCTAGGGCATTATTGCACACTACTGTAGACTTTATAAACACTGAATACTTAGGCTAAACTAAATTTATTTTAAAGTAAGTTTTCAAATCAGGTCTTTCAGGTGTTGCTTGTTTGTTCTTCAAAATTGTTTGACTATTATAGGTTCTTTGAATGGCCACATTAATTTTGAAATTTACTTTTCAGTTTCCATGAAAATAGCCGCTGGGATTTTGATTCTGATTGCGTGGAATCTGTAGATCAATTTACGGAGAATGTCCATCTAAACAACATTGAATCTTCCAAATAAGGAACATGAAATATCTCTTTATTTATTTACACCATTTAAAATTTCTCTCAGTATTTTTCAGTATAGAGATCTTACATATTTTTTATTAAATTTCTTTCTAAATACTTTAAGAACAGTGGGCACTGTTCTCCTCATCCGGTCAGAAGTATAGAGGAAGTTTTCTCTCAATACTTTCTGATCTTTCCTGTGGGCAGCCCATGGGATAACTGGAGAGAAAGACTGCAAGAGTCCTAGCATCCCTATGTCTGCTGCTAGGGACTTCATACTCCTTCTCATACTAGCATTGCCTAACAACTGGAATACCTTCTGAGAAATGTGTTGTTAAGCAATTTCATCATTGTGTGAATATCACAGAGTATGCTTACACAAGCCTAGATAGTACTGGCTACTATACATCTAAGTTATATGGTATAGCTTACTGTTCTAGGCTTGAAACCTGTGCAGGATTTTTTTTTTTTTTTTTTTTTTGGGATGGAGTCTTGCTCTGTCACCCACGCTGGAGTGCAATGGCACAATCTCAGTTCACTGCAACCTCCACCTCCAGGGTTCAAGCGATTCTCCTGCCTCAGCCTCCCGAGTAGCTAGGTCTACAGGCGCATACCACCACACCTGGCTTATTTTTCGTATTTTTAGTACAGACAGGGTTTCACCGTGTTACCCAGGATGGTCTCGATCTTCTGACCTCATGATCCACCTGCCTCAGCCTCCCAAAGTGCTGGAATTACAGGCATGAGCCACCACGCCCAGCCTGTACAGCATATTACTGTACTGAGTACTCTAGACAATTGTAACACAATGGTAAGTAATCGTGTATCTAAACATATAAAATCTACAGTGAAAATACAGTATAAAAGAATGACAATGGTACACTCAGGCCTAGGACATTACTGTACACTACTGTAGACTTTATAAACACCGTATTCTTAGACCACACTAAATTTATTTTTTAAATTTCTTTTTTCAGCAATAATCTTAGCTTATTATAATTATTTTACCTTGTAAACATTTTAATTTTTAAAACTTTTTGACTACTTTGAAATAACAACTAAAACACAACCACATGGCACAATTGAACAAAAATATTTTCTTTCTTCATATCCTTATTATATAAGCATTTTTCTATTTTTAAATTTTTTTATTTTTTACTTTTTAGACATTTTTGTTAAAAACTAAAACAAAAACGCACGCATTATCCTAAGCCAAAACAGGGTTAGAATAATCAATATCACTGTCTCCCACCTCTATATCTTATCCTACTGG
This sequence comes from Homo sapiens, assembly GCF_000001405.40. NCBI lineage: Eukaryota > Metazoa > Chordata > Mammalia > Primates > Hominidae > Homo > Homo sapiens. The sequence continues at coordinate 78,035,308 of NC_000006.12, forward strand.
AAGGTCCTCCAGGCAATAACACACATGGGCTGTCATTTCCTATTATAAGAATGCTGTCTTCTGGAATATCTCCTGAAGCACCTGCCTGAGGCTGTTTTACAGCTATACTTTTCTTAATTAGTAGAAGTACACTCCAAAATAATGCTAAAACGTATACTATAGTAAATACATAAACCGGTAACATAGCCATTTATTATCATTATCAACTATTATGCAGTGTACATAATTGTATGTGCGATATTTTCATGACTGGCAACAGTAGGTTTGTTTACACCAGCACCACCACACACGTGTGAATAATGCATTGCACTATGATGTTAGGATGGCTATGAAACCAGCAGGTGATTGAAATTTTTCACCTTCCTTATAATCTTATGGGCCATTGTCTTATATGCAGTTTGTCGTTGATCAAAAGGTCATAATGTGGTGTGTGACTCTATGCTAGAGACTCCGGATTCTGTTATTTCCCTCTGAGTAATGATGAATTTTGTTCAAGCAGGCATTTGTTTCATGGCCTTTATCTTGTATAAGAAGTTTGGTTTTAGGCTTTGTTCGGTGGATCAATTTAAGATATGCCATCATGTCTGAAACGTGTTCCTTAGTCCTAGGTTGTGACCGTTCCGTAGCAGTCATGAAAATTCTGAGGTGTTTACCAGACCTCTCTAACTTGGAAGGATTAAACTCCAAACTTTGTCTTCCTTTCGCTAGAAAGAAGCTGTTAATATCTTTGTTCAGCATGTTCGGCCTTCTAGATTTTGTTTTCCCTCTCAGCTCCTTGCACTGTCACAGCTCATTTGTCCACGAAGAATATATGAAAATTGTTAGGCTTACCCGTCTATGATGTTCCTTTTCTAAGATACTGACACTCTCATTTTCCAGGTTCTGTGAGAGCCCTGTAATCCAAATTGTGACTCTTCAACCCAGTAAGACTACAACTTTGTGCCTGAGTATTATCTCTGTGTTGTTGTGGAGACTGAGGAATGTCCCAAAGAATAAATAAATATGGATATTTTAAAAGTTATGTGTTCTCTAGTTTCTAAATTGCTTCAAGTAAATCCTTTAATATTTTGCTCACAGTTCATTATTATTATTATTGGCAGTAGGATTAGTATTTCCAAGCTAATTCACCATTACCAGAAGCAAGAATTTGCTATATGATCTTTTCAAAATGTAAAAAGGAAAAGTAAAAGTCTTGGTGTTTATGGGAACACTGTAGTAATTTTTGCTAAATTTTAATAAGTAAGGAAATTGATTATACTTAGAAGTTAAAATGAAATAAGTGGTTTTCTACTTTATCTTCTTTGATGATAATGGAAACTCAGGGCTTAAAAACACAGAATTTTTAGTTACTAAATATATATTGTAATTGTTAGAATAATATATATATTGTTCTAGCAATTACAATGTACTTAAAATGTACATCAATATCCCAGTTTTTCTCAGAAATTCTTACATAAAACAAAATAATATCGAATAGCTTTATAAAAGTTTAATTGAAAAGTTTTAGGAATGACTAAAATGTTACGTGCAGACGTTGCATATTTAGGGGAAAATGCAGGCCTTCAGTTCAGAGGCATTTGGAACTCCCTATACTGAGGACACTCTGTTTTCTGAAAGTGGTTAATATGAAAAAGGCTGTGCTTTTCCATTAATTCACATTTTTTCTTTACCTTTACATTATTGGTTAAAAAAAGCCTATATAAAAATGAATTTAACAGTTTAAAGACTATTAGCACAGGTACTTAATTTAATGGAGAAAGAATGCATTTAACCACACTTTTGTAGTTTAAAAGTACACATTTAAAACCAAGCAATTAGAAATAATTCTTATCTTTTCACTAAAGCATGAACAATCATGTAAGCATGGTTTAGGATCTCATCAGCTTATTTCTAATTTTAGTATTTAACATTTTCAAGTTTCTTTTCTCTTTGTGTATCTCCAAGGTTGCTGCTAGTATCACAGTGTGTTGTTATTACTAGTTTATCAATCTGTTCTGATTGCCTTTGTCCTACCCAGCTTCATGGTTCCTGTACTCAGCAGGGTGCTTCACATGTGATAGGTACATAAGTACACAGTAAAATTCGACTATGTGTATATTTATTTTTGATGACTAGTATTATACAGTGTGTGAAATATCAGTCATCAAAAATTTGAATGATTGATATTTTACTAAACATTTAAAGGAAACATTAACAAACTCCATTATACCAAAAGTTTAGAGAAACTATAGAAGTTAGAGTACAGAAATTTTGTAAAGGAAATTCCACATGAGGCCAGAGTTGAAATTAGGGTTTTACTTGAGAATAGCTGTCCCTCTATTTGTCAAAGCTCCCCGATTAGTTTAGTGATTCTGTTAAGTTCAGGACTATGGCACTGGGCCCTGCCATCTCAGAAACCTGATTTCCCAACTCTTAGTTCAGGCACCTCATCTAAACATATCTGTACAATGTTAGAATGTCAGTGTTTGAAACGTAGACCTCTTACAGATGTTAGCTACTCCTCCTACCTTCTTTTTATGCATCCTTCCTGTGAAGGCACAGTGTATTATAGTACTTGAAATTAGAATCTGAAATGTACTTTCTGAGGATAAAATATAAAAAGACAATATTAATTATAATGATAACAATAATGTAAATAAGTAGTAAATAATAAGTAACAGCTATTATTTATAGAGCACTTATCATAGACCAGTCTCTTTTCTAAATACCATTGCATCAAAGATACTTATACAATAGGAATATATATGTTATAAGAACAAGATAGATTCATATTTTTGACCAGAATCTTTAGATCTCTTTTATAAAAGCTACTGTGACTAAGAAATCTCATTCTAATTTACTTCTTTTTTTATAGATTTTAAAACCTAATTTAGGTTATAGAGAAGTCCAGCTAGCCTGTGAGACCTTTGATTTATTTAAAGTATCTTTGTATGTAGCTGCATCGTTTGCTACGTTGTGATTTCATGTTGGATTCTCAGAGACGAATAATATTGCCTATTTTTCCAAGTTATTTGTAAGGAAGGGACTATGCAGTGGTAAAATGGTGTGGCTACTCGCCTGTCTTTCTTACACAGTTTTAGTGAGAATCAATAATGGTTATAATAATAATAAATGTTATTAACTTGTAACACTGAATGTGTGCCATTCACTGTTCTATGCATAACAGATATCGGTCCTTTTTACCTGAAAGTCATCCTATAAAATAGATACTCATAGAATCCTCATATTTTAGAAGACAATGAAGCACAAATAAGTCAAATACCATGCCCAAGGTGATGTAGCCAGTAAGCAGCAGAGTCCTAATTCAAACTAGGTGGTTGTCTCCTGAGTAATGAAAGTTGATTAGGGCTTTCTTTTTACTATAAAAGCATTGTTTTTATTTTTTCTTTTTATCATGGGAGATGCCATTCATTCAATGAGACAGTCTTATCTATTGAAAAGAGAACTACTTTCTCTTTTTGTCATTTTTGCATAGAAGGCTACTTAAATCTAAATGTGGCATAGATGGAAGATGTGGAACTAATCTGAATTTTTAAAATTAGAAATATAAGCCTAGGAAGTAGGGTAGTTAAAGGAAAGAGAATCAAACAGAATGAAAGTGTCAGCTCCTTCAGAAATAGGTTTAGAGATGATGGTCTCTGGGTGTCTCTTTATTCGCTTTTAACAGATTCAAACAATATGTTTTGTGAAAATGTTTTCTGTTCCTGAAAATAACTCCAGGAACGGTTCAGATATTAAAAAGTACTTTAATTTTTATTTCCATATTAAAGTCAGAAAAACATGATAGTTAAAACTACAATACATTATTAGCAGAATTGAGTTAATTTTGGAAGCTCTCATTAATGAGATGACAATTGTGGCATAAAGTAAGCTACATCTGATTAGAAGTATATAATTACATATTCGATATTAACTTTAAAGAAGGAAATAAGAATAATTTTTCTCTTATTTCCTCTTTAATGAACAAGACATTAAAGAATTGAAGACATAAACAATATTTTAGTAGATTTAAATGAAAGAGATAAATAATGAGCAAAGAAAAATTTATATTAGAGTGAAAATGTAGGGCTTGCATAAAAGATCAAATGTAGGAAAATTAAAGACTGCACTAAAGCATATTAAAAAGATTGTCACTTTCAGAACAATCTTCAATTATCAGTCATAAAAACAGAAATGCTTACGTTTCTGAAAGAAATATTTATCATACAATTAATTCTCACTTTGATTTGAGAGACAAGTTTTCTGAGATTTAAATTTTCCTAATTTTTTCTTTTATTATTAATCAATGATTCATTCAGTCATTCATTCATTCATCCATTCAACAATTATGTATCCAGGGCCAATCATGGATTAAAGCGAACCGACTTAAGAGTTTTAATATATTAATAATGTCTCATAAAGATACTTTGAAAATTGGCTGCATAGTATTTTTATTAAGGTAAATTTACATTTACTGACATGCACAGATCTTATGTTTTTAATCTATTGAGATATTTTATACCTCAGTTATAATAAGGCATAATTTGAATACATTAAAATTCATCTACCTTTTTGGAAGTAAAGTTATGTGACCTTTCACAAACACATGAAGTCATATAACCACTGCTACCTGAGGATGAAAAACCATTCTTTTACTTCAAAATAGACCCCTATACTCTCCTTTTGTAGTCAAACCTACTTCTACCTCTAACCCTTAGTAAACCACTCATAAATGCTTTATTCTTACAGTTTTACATTTGCCAGAATGTTATATAAATGAAAATATATGAAATTGAACATCATTGTGTCTGGCTTCTTTGACTTAATATATCTGAAATTCATCAATGTTGTTATCTGTATCCGAAATTTGATAGTTTTAATTGTTGAGTAGTATTTGATTGCATGATGTACCACAGTTTATTTATCCATTCACTCATCAAAGGACATATGAATTGTTTCCAGTTTGGAGTGATTAAGAATAATGATATTATAAACATTCAAGTACAGGTTTTTGAGTTTTTGAGTAAACATAAATTTTTCTTTCTTTAAGCTAAACTCCTAAGTGGAGGATTGCTCAGTCAAATGGTAGGGTTTAACTTCACAAGAGGCTACCAAACTGTTTTCCATAGGGATTGGAGCATTTTGCATTTCTATTGATGATGTATGAGTCCAGTTGCTCTAAATCTTGTTTGTTAGGTCATTCTTGCATTGCTATAAATAAATATCTGAGACTGGGTAATTTATAAGAAAAGAGGTTTAATTGGCTTGTGGTTCTGCAGGCTGTACAGGAAGAATAGTCTCAGCATCTACTTCTGGTGAGGTCTCAGGAAGCTTAAAATCATGATGGAAAGCAAAGAGGGAGCAGGCATGTCAAACGGCAGGAGAGGGAGTAAAAGAGAGAGTGCAGGGGTAGCGGGGAGGTGCCACACACTTCTAAACAACCCGATTTTGAGAGAACTCACTTACTATATTGAGGTACAGCACCAAGCCATGAGGGATCTGCCCACATTACCCAAACACCACCCACCAGGCTTCACCTCTAACATTGGAAATTATATTTCAACATGACATTTGGAAAGACAAATATGTAAACCATATCATTCTGCACCTATTCCCGTCAAATCTCATGTCCTCATATTGTAAAATACAATCATGCCTTACCAATAATCCCCCAGAGTCTTAACTCATTATAGTACTAACTCAGAAGTTCCAAATCCCAAGTTCAAAGTCTCATCTGGAGATAAGTGACTTCCACCTATGAGGCTGTAAAATCAAAAAAAGTTTTTTACTTCCAAGATTATATGTAGTTACAGACATGGAGTAAATATTCTTGTTCCAAAAGGGAGAAATTGGCCAAAAGGAAGGGGTTATATGCCCCATGTAAGTTTGAAACCCAAAAGGGCAGTCATTAAGTTGTAAAGCTCCAAAATAATCTCATTGACTCCATGTTCCACTTCCAGGGCATATATAAGTGCAAGAAGTGGGCTCACAAGGCCTTGTGAAGCTTTGCCTTTGTGGCTTTTCCTGCTGAGGTTGCAAGCTACTGGTGGAACTACCATTCTTGAGTCTGGAGGATGGCGGCCCCCTACTCATAGCTCCACTAGGCAGTGCCCCAGTGGGGACTCTGTGTGGGGGTTCCAACCCCACATTTTTTCTCACCACTACCCTAGTAGAGGTTCTCTGTGAGGGCTCCACCTCTGTGGTAGGTTTCTGCCTGAACATCCAGGCTTTCTCATACCTCCTCTGAAATCTAGGCAGAATCTGCCAAGCCTCCTTTATTCTTGCATTCTGTGCTCCCAGAGGCTTAACATCACATGGAATCCACCAAGGCTTATGGCTTGCACCTTCCAGAACAACAGCCCGAGCTGAGCTATACCTGGGGCCCTTTGAGCCAAGGCTGGAGCCATAACAGCAGATATGCAGGAAGCAGAGCCTGGAGGCTGCACAGGGCAGCAGAGCCCTGGCCCTGGCTCATAAAACTATTCTTCCCTCTTAGGCCACTGGGCCTGTTATGGAAGTGGCTGCCTCCTTAGAGACTTCTAAAATGTCTGTGAGGCCTTTTTCTCATTGTTTTGGCTATTATCAATTGGCTCCTTTTTCATTTTGCAAATCTCTCTAGCAAGTGGTTGCTCCACAACCTGCTTGTATTCTTCCCCTGAAAACAGGAAAACCACATTATTCCCCTGAAAATGGGGAAGACCCCACATGGCCAGTCTGCAAATCCCCTAAACTTTTACACTCTACATCCCCTTTTTAAATATAACTTCCAAATTTAAGTCATTTCTTTGCTCCTGCATCTCAATTTAGGCTGTTAGAAGCAGCCAAGTCATATCTTTAACACTTTGCTGCTTAGAAATTTCTTCTGCTAGATACCTCAAATCATCCCTCTGAAGTTCAAAATTCCACTGATTCCTAGGGCAGGAACAGAATACAACCAAGCTCTTTGCTAAGGTATAACACAGGCGACCTTTGCTGCAGTTACCAATAAGCTTCTCATTTCCGTCTGAGAAACAATTTTGTAGCATTATCAGCATTTTGGTCACAATCCTGTAAACAGACTCTAAGATGTTCGAAACTTTCTCTTATCTTTCTGCCTTCTGAGCCCTCTAAACTCTTCCAACTGCTGCCCATTACCCAGTTCCAAAGTCATTTCCACATTTTTAGATATCTAATTTATAAGAAAAGAGGTTTAATTGGCTCGTGGTTCTGCAGGCTGTACAGGAAGCTTGGCACTGGCGTCTGCTTCTGGTGAGGCCTCAGAAGCTTACAATTATGATGGTAGGCAAAGAGAGAACAGGCACATCACATGATGAGAGTGGGAGCAAGAGAGAGAATAGGGGTTAAGGGAAGATGCCACATGCTTTTAAACCACCAGATCTCAAAGAAACTTATTCACTATCTTGAGTACAGCACCAAGCCATGAGGAATCCACTCCCATGACCCAAACATTTCCACCACGCTCCTCTTCCAGCATTGAGGATTACATTTCAACATGAGATTTGGGAGATAAATATCCAAATCATATCATCGTCTAAGTGCTTGGTGTTGTCATTTTTTAAAAAACATCATAATAAGTATGTACTGGTGTCTCATGAAGTTTTAATTTGCAGCTCTATAATGACTAAGAGTATTGCATATCTTTTGTCTTCAATTTGGTAGTGTTCAGATCTCATGGACATTTTTAAGTAATTAGATTGATTTCTTATATTTGATTTTTGAGAATTCTTTACACATTCTACATGCAAGTCTACTATCACATATATGATTTCAAAATATTTTCTTCCCAGTCAGTAGCTTATCTTTTCATTCTCTTAACACTACCTTTCACATGACACAAGTTTTTCATTTTTCTGAAGTCTTATTTGTCATTTTAAATTTACTGATTTTTAGTATTGTATTTAAGAAATCTTTATCTAACCTGAGAAACTTGGAGGACATTACACCAAGTGAAATAAATCAGGCACAGAAAGAAAAATACTGCATATATTAGAAATTTTAAAAAAGTAAAATTCATAGAGGCAGAGAGTAAAATAGTGGTTACCAAAGGTTAGGGGTGGGGAGATTTTTGGTTAAAAGGCAAAAAGTTTCAGTTAGACAAGTGGAATAAGTTTTGAAATCTATTGCACAGCATGGTGACTATTGTTAACAATAATGTATCATATATTCAAAAATTCTAAAAGAGTGGATTTTAAATTTTTATACTACACACAAGAAAAATATGTAAGGTTATAGATATGTTCATTAGACAGATTTAATTATTCCATAATGTGTGCATATATCAAAACATTACAGTTTACCCTACAAACAAGAATAATAGAAAGTATTAATTTATAATTGTTTTGTTTAAGAGACAAGATCTCACTCTCTCACCCAGGATGGAGAGTGGAGAGTAGTGGCAGGATCATAGCTCACTGTAACCTCAAACTCTTGGGCTCAAGCAATCCTCCACCCTCAGACTGCCAACTACCTATGTTACAGGTATAATACCTAGTATTACAGGTACATGCCACCACATCTGGCTATTATTTTTTTAGACACAGAGTCTTGCTATGTTGTCCTGGCTGCTCTCGAACTCCTGTACACAAGAAATTCTCCCTTCTCTTCCTCCTAAGTGCTGAGATTACAGGCATGAGCCACTGCACCCAGCCTGATAATAGTCTTTTAATAAAGGTAACTCAAGTATATTGAAAAAAGGACTTTTACATTTTTTCTACAAATTTTATAATTTTAGGTATGAATAATAGTTTTGTGTATCATTTTAAGTTGATTTTATATTTTATGTGAGGTATGGATTGAGGTTGTTACTTTTTGCTTGTGAATATTTAGTAGCTCCAGCACTATTTGTTGACAAGACTGTTCTTTCACTATTGTATACCTTTTTCCCTTTTAAAAAAAATCAGTTGACCATATCTGTGTGTTTATTTCTGAACTCTCTGCTGTTTTCCATGGATCTATATGCTTATTATTTTGCCAATACTATATTGTCTTGGTTACTGTTGCTTTATATGAGTCCTTCAATTTTGTTCTTCTTTTTTAAAATTAGTTTTTTCGAAATTATTAATATTTGTTGTTCACTTATTTGTTTGCTTTCTGACTTGACTTTACAGTCAACTTGTAAATATTTCCACACAATCCTGTTGGGCTTTTCATTGAGGTTGTGTGAAATCTATATCAATTTGAGAAGAATTAACATTTTAATGATATCCATATTTATATTTTGGACTTCTTTGATTTATTTTATTAACATTTTGCAGTTTTGTCTTTCAAGTTCTGCCTGTATTTTGTTAGATTTATACTTTGCTATTTTATGGTTCTGATTTTTGTAAATGGTGCATTTTTTAAAAAGTTTTGGGTTTTGGTTTTTAATAGTTTAAAACTAGTATGCAGAAATAATTATTTTTGTATACTGACTTTGTATTTTGTGAACTTATTAAATTAATTTATTAGTTCCAAGAGGTATTTCTATGGATTTCTTGAGATTTTGTGCATTCTGTTAATAATGCTTTTTTTTTTTTAACGGTAATATATCTTCCTTTCCCATCTGTATGTCTTTTCTTTCTTGCATTCTTTCTCTTTTTTTAAACCTTTTTCATTAGCCAGGATTTGTAGCATAATATTAAATATAAGTGATGAGACAAGAATGTTTGCCTAGTGTATTAGTACCTTCTCACACTGCTATAAAGAATTTCCCTGAGACTGGCTAATTTATGAAGGAAAGAGGGTTAATTGACTCACTGTTCTACATGGCTGGGGAGGCATCAGGAAACTTATAATCATGGCAGAAGGGAAAGCAGGTACCTTCATCACAAGGTGGCAGAAGAGAGAAGAAGAGAATGTGAAGAAGGAAGAGCCCTTTATAAAACCATCAGATCTCATTAGAACTCACTATCATGAGAACAGCATGGGAGAAACTAGGCCCATAATCCAATTACCTCCCTCCCTTGACATATGGGGACTACAGGTCCCTCCCTTGACCTGTGGGTATTACAATTCAAAATGAGATTTGGGTGGGGACATGGAGCCAAACCATATTATTCCACCCCTGGTCCTTCCAGGGGTGAGAAGTCACATTGCAAAACCAGTCATGCCTTCCCAAGTCTAAAATTTTAATGCATTTCAGCATTAACTCAAAAATGCACAGTCCAAAATCTCATCTTTTATGCTCTGCTTCCTCTTTAAACACGAGCTCCAGTTTCCAATCATCTCTCTCAAGTTCAAAGTTCCACAGATCTCTAGGGCAGAGGCAAAATGCCACCAGCCTCTTTGCTAAAGCATAGCAAGGGTAACCTTTGCTCCAGTTCCCAATAAGTTCCTCATCTCCATCTGAGACCACTTCATCCTAGACTTTATTGTTTATATCACTATTAGCATTTTGGTCAAAGCCATTCAACAAGTCTTTACAAAGTTCCAAACTTTCCCACATCTTTTCTTCTTCTGTGCCCTTCAAACCATTCTAACCTCTGCCTATTACCCAGTTCCAAAGTCACTTCCATGTTTTTGGCTATCTTTGTGGCAGTACCCCACTCTACCAGTACCAATTTACTTTATTAGTCCATTCTCACACTTCCTGAGACTGGATAATTTCTTAAGGAAAGAAGTTTAATTTACTAACAGTTCCACATGGCTGGGGAAGCCTCAGGAAACTTACAATCATAGCTGAATGGGAAGCAAGCACCTCTTCACAAGGCAGCAGGAGGGAGAAGAGGAGAAAACTAAGGGGGAAAAGCCCCTTATAAAATCATCAAATCTCATGGTAACTCATTCACCATTATGAGAACAGCATGGAGGAAACCGCCCCCATGACCCAATTACTTCCCTCCATTGACACGTGGGGATTACAGGTCTCTCACTCGACACATGGTTATTACAAGTCGAGATGAAATTTGGGTGAGGGCACAGAGCCAAACCATATCATCTTGGTTTTGATTTTGAGAGGAAAGTCTTTAGGTTTTTCCCATTAAATATGATATTACTTGTAAATAATTTAGAGACACTCTTAAATACCTTTTCTTGTATTTATAGTTTGCTGAGAGCAATTATCATAAATGGATGTTGACATATGTAAATTCATTTTCTATATCTATTAAGATGATGCAGTTTTTCTTTTGTAGTCCATTTGTTGATTACATTGATAAATTTATTGTGTTTTACTTTGATAAATTTATGGGGTACAAGTGCAGATTTCTAACATGCATATATTACATAGTGATAAAGTCCAGGCTTCTGATATACCCATCACTTGAATAGTAAACTTTGTCCCCAATAGGTATTTAGTCAACTCTCAGTTCCCTCCCACCCTCCAACCTTTGTACCTTCAATGTCTGTTATTCCACTCTGTATTTCCTGGTGTACTCATTGTTTAGATCCCGATTATAAGTGAGAACATGTGGTTTTGACTTCGTATTTCTGAATTATTTCACTTAGGATAATAGCCTGCAATTCCATCCATGTCACTGTAAAATACATGATTTCACTTTTTTAATAGCTGAATAGTATTCCATGAGATACACACGCACATACACACACACAGATACACACATACATTTTCTTTATCCAAGTCTCTGTTGATGGTCACTTAGGTTGACTTTGTATTTTTGCTATTGTGAATAGTGCTGCAATAAACATATAAGGGCAGGTGTCTTCTTGATATAACAATTTCTTTTCCTTTGTGTATATATTCAGTAGTGAGATTGCTGGCTTAAATGGTAGTTCTATAACTAATTCTGCTGTTTTCCATAAAGGTGGTACTAATTTAGATTCCCATCAATAGTTTATAAGAGTTCCCTTTTCTGTCCCTCCTTACCAATATCTGTCGTTTTTTTGACTTTTACATAATGGCCATTCTGAGTAGTGTAAGATGGTATCTCACTGTGGTTATAATTTGCATTTGCATTTCTTTGATGATTAGTGATATTGAGAACTTTTCCATACATTGGCCATTTGTATGTCTTCTTTTGAAAAATGCCTGTTCATGTCCTTTGCTCACTTTTTATCATTTGTTTAGTTCTTGTTGAGTTGCTTCAGTTTCTTCTAGATTCTAGATATTAGCCCTTTGTAAGAGGCATAGTTTTCACTTCTCTAGGTTGTCTGTTGACTCTGTTGATTGCTTATTTTGCTGTATAGAAGCTTTTTTAGTTTAATTGAGTCTCATTTGTTTACATTTTGGCTTTGCTTTGCTTGCTTTTGAGGACTTGGTCGCAAATTCTTTGCTTAAGCCAATGTCCAGAGAGATTTTCATAGCTTTTCTTTGAGGATTTTTATAGTTTCAGATCTTATATTTAAGTCTTTAATCCATCCTGAGTTAACTTTTGTTAATATATGGTGAGAGGTATGGGTCTAGTTTCATTCTCCATATAACCATTCAAGTTTTCTAGTGCCATTTATTGAATAGGGTGTCTTTTCCCTAGTGAACACTTTTGTTGACTTTGTTGAAAATCAGTTGTAGGTATCTGGCTTTATTTCTTGGTTCTCTATTCTGTTTCATTGGTCTATGTGTTTACGTTTATGAAAGTAGTATGCTGTTTGGGTTAATATAGCCTTGTAGTATAATTTGGAGTCAGGTAATGTGATGGACTGCAGCTTTGTTCTTTTTGCTTAGGATTGCTTCAGCTACTTGGGTTTTTTTTTAATTCCCTATGAATTTCAAAATTGTTTTTTCTAATTCTATAGAAAAAGACATTGGCAATTTGATGGGGATTGCATTGAATCTGTAGATTGCTTTTGGCAGTATGGTCATTTTAATGATCTTAATTCTTCCAATCCATGAGCGTGGGATGTTTTTCCATTTGTTGGTGTCATTTACGATTTCTTTCATCAGTGCTTTGTAGTTCCCCTTGTAGAGATCTTTCACCTCCTTGGCTAAATATATCATAGCTATATTTTGTAGCCATTGTAAATGGGATTGCCTTCTTGATTGATCATTGGGTAGATCATTATTTGCATATAGAAACACTACTGATTTCTGTATGCTTATTTTTTTTTTGTATCCTGAATCTTTACTCAATTCATTTATGAAATCCGTGAGTTTTTTGGTGTTGTCTTTAGGGTTTTCTAGATATGAAATTATATCATCAGCACAAAGGGATAATTTGACTTCCTCTTTATTAATTTGGATGCATTTTCTTGCCTGATTTCTCTAGTGAGGACTTTCAGTACTATGTTGAGTAAGAGTGGTGAGAGAAGGCATCCTTGTCTTTTCCAGTTTTTAGAGGGAATGTTTCAGTTTTTCCCTATTAAGAATGATGTTGGCTGTGGGTTTGTCATATATGGCCTTTAATACTTTTAGGTATTGTTTCTTCCATGCTTAGGTTGTTGAGAATTTTTATCGTGAAGGAATGCTAAATTTCTTGAATGCTTTTTTTGCATCTACTTATATGATCATATGATTTTTGTCCTTAATTCTACTGATACGATGCATGACATTTATTGATGCATATGTTTAACCATACTTGCATCCCTGAGATAAATCCCACCTGATAATGGTATATATTATCTTTTTGATGTGCTGTTGGAGTTGATTTCCTAGTATTTTATTGAGGATTAGTGTGTCTATTTTCATCAGGGATATTGGCCTGTAGTTTTCTTTTTTGGTGGTGTCCTTGTCTGGTTTTGGTATCAGTGTGCTATTGGCCTTGTAAAATTAGTTAGGAGGTATTCCCTTCTCCTTGATATTTTCAGAATGCTCTCAGAAGAATTGGAATTCGTTTTTCTTTGCATGTTTGTTAGAGTTTGGCTGTAAATCCACCTGGCCCTGGGCTCTTTCTTTTGATTGGGAGATTTTGTATTACTGAATCATCTTGCTACTGATTATTGATCTGTTCAGTAGTTCCATTTCTTCCCAATTTGATCTCAGGAGGCTATATGTTTCCAGGAATTTTTCCATCTCCTCTAGATTTTTCAGTTTGTGAGCATATAGTTGTCTGTAATAGTATCTGATGATATAGTGATCAATTTTTTGTTGTTGACCAGCCTAGATAAGCCATGTTTGGTCATAATGCTTTATCTTCTTTCATATATTGCTGCATTCAATCCAATAATATTTTATTGAGAAATTTTGTGTCTATTTCCATCTGGAATACTGGTTTGTAGTTTCTTTGTAGTGTCTTTATTTGTTTTAGGTCTCAGGGTAATGTTCGCTTTATAAAATGAGTTGGGAACACTTCTTTTCACTTCTGGAGAGACGATACAAATTAGCATAATTTTCAATAGGAACCATCTGAAACAAGAGTTTTTTTAAGGTTTTAAACTAGTAATTCAGTTTTTAAAAGAGATATAACACTACTAAGTATTCTGTTTCTTCTTGCATAAGTATTGGTAATTTTTGTGTCTCAATGAATTGGTCCATTTATCTCTGTTTTTGAATTTGTATGACTAGGGTTCTTTATAGTACTCCCTTATCATCCATTTAATAATTGTAGTATTTACAGTGATATCCCTGAAGTGATAGTTTTCATTCAAGTAATTTGTTTCCTCTCCATCTTTTTCTTAGACCAGCTAACACTTTATCAACTTTATTGATCTTAAAAATAAAACGAAGTTTGGTTTCATTTATTTTCTCTATTTTCTAATTTCAATTTTATTTTTCTCTTCTCTTTATTATATCATCTTGGTTTCCGTGGGTTTAGTTTGTTCTTATTTTTTCTAGAAAAATAAAAAAGAATAAGTTTTCTCTTATTTTATCACAGTGAAAGTTTAAATTTATCTGAAAAATTTTTTCTTAATATGTGCATTTTAATGGCATAAATTTCTCTACAAGGATGGCTATAGCTGCATCGCATATGTATTAATGCATTGTATTTTAGTTTAAAATCAATTCAATGTATATTCTGAACCCAATTTGACCCAACCACTATTTAGAATTGCATTATTTGATTTTTAATAATTCAGGGAATTTTCTGGACATTTTCCTGTTATTGACATCAGGTTTAATTTCATTAGGGTCATATGACCAAAGAAGACACTTTGTGTTAATTCAATTCTCTTTAATTCATTAATGTTTGTGTTGTAACCCAGGATATGGTTTGTTTTCACAAATGTTTCATGTGTAGTAGTAAAGAATAGTTATTCTGATAATGTTGGATGGAGTATTCTATAAATGTTTATTATATTAAGATGTTCTATTTCTTTTGTCAAAGAAGAGAGAAGAAAGAAGTCCTTAACTGAAAGAAGAGAGTGTTGAAGTCTCTAATTATAATATTTTATTTATCTCTTTCTTGTTTGTTCTATCTAAACACACCAACTATAAAATATAGATTGGAAATTGGTTTAAAGAGCAAAACCAAATTATTGTCTACCAGAAACCCATTTAAAATATGCTAAAAAAGATAAGTTTAAAGAAAAAAGGATAAAGAAGTTATACCATAGGGAAACCAATCAAAAGATTGGTGGACATAATAATATCAGAGTAAATTTCAGGACAAGGAAATTAGCAGAGATAATAAGGAGCATTTAATAATGACAGAAGAACAAATACACCAAGAAGATAAAACAATCCAAAATGTGTGTACATCTAGCAACAATGCTTCAAGATACATGAAGCATTGTTTTTTATTGAAGTATCATTCATACATATTAAATTAATCTATTTTAAGAGGAGAGCCTGGGGGCTGTGGGAAGGGGGAAGTAAGTAGTTATAATCAATGGGCAGATTTCCTATAATCAATAGGTGGTTATAATCAAGTTTCAGTTAAGCAAGATGAATAAACTCTAGACATTTGCTGAATAACACTGCATTATAGTCAACAATAATGTACACTTAGCAACATGTTAAGAGGTAGATCTCATGTTTGTTTTTATCACAATAAAATGAGATTTTAAAAAGAACATAGTTGAATTTTAATAATTATATATAACCGTGTACCCACCACCACAGTAAAGATATAAAACAGTGCCCTCATCCTTAAATATTTTCTCCTAACTTTTCTGCAGTTGATCCTGCAACCTTATGCCCACCTTCTTCTTCTATCTCAGGCCACAGGAAATCATTGATTGTTCTGTTACAAGAAATTTCATATTTTCTGGAATTTCAAATTAAAATAATAATTATAAATTATCTATTTAATTTGAATTATTTTACCAATAATACTTTTTAAAGTTACTCTACGTTGTGGTATATATTGTGTTTCTTTTTCTGGCTAAATAGTGTTTCACTTCATGGATACATGTCATACTAATATACTATTCATCAACTGGTGGATATTTGTATCGAATCCAGGTTTTAGTTAGTATGAATAATCCTCCTATGAATATTTGCAGAAATATCTTTGTGTTAACAGATGTAATCACTTCTCTTGTATAAATACCTAGGATTGAAATTACTTGGTCATATATTTTTAACCTTTTAATATACAGCCATCATTTTTCCAAATGCTGAACTTTTCCCTCACATCCTGTACCATTTTGCCTTCCCATCAGCAGTGTATGACATTTTCAGATGCCCTATATCATCACTAAAAAATGATATTCATAGGCCTCTTAACTTTCATCTAGTGAGTGTCTAATGCTATCTCATTTTGATTTTAATTTGTATTTGTTTGATGTCTAGTCATCTTTTTATGTGCTTATTGCCTATTCTTATGTATTATTCCTTTTGTAAAGTGCTCAAATCTTTCATCCACTTTTTAGGTATATTTTCTACTTATTATCGAGTTGTAAGAGTTCTTTTTATAAAAAGGATACAAACTCTTTGTACATAGAGTTTTGAATCCGTAATGAAGTTAATTTGGGCATTGTTTTATATTTTGTGCTTTTAGGGTTCTGTCTAACAAAACCTTTGCATAACCTAAAGAAACAAATGTTTTTACCTATTTTTTCTATAAGATTATTTTAAAATTATTGCCAATATATACAACTAAGTTTGTATTGACCTTATATCCTGATTTCTTGCAAAATCTCTTATTAGTTTTAGTAGGCTTTTTGTAGATGCTTTAGCATTTTCTGTGTTAATAATCATATAAACTTAAAACAATTTTGCTCCCTAATTTACAAACTTTAAGCTCTTTTTTGCCTTTTCTCTTTTTTAAATAAAACTGGTAGGATCACACATACTTCTCTTATCCCCAAACTTTGCAGTAAATCATTCAGTATTGTACCAATAAGTATAATTTTAGTTGTAGGTAATTTTTAAGATACCATTTATCAGTTCTAGTGACCTTTCTTCACTTCCTAGTTAATTTATAGTTTTAGTTTTATTATAAATTAAAGCTGAATTTTGTTAAATGCTTTCTCTGCATTCATTGAAGTAGTAATTATTTTGATCATTCATTCTATTAAAGTGGTGAAATACATTGATTTATCCTTGAATATTAAATTTACCTTGTATTTATTAGATAAACATCACTTGGTCAAAATGCCTTACTATTTTAATGTTTTGTTGGATTTATTTGCTATAATTTTGTTAAGAAGATTTGTGTCGGCCGGGCGCGGTGGCTCACGCCTGTAATCCCAGCACTTTGGGAGGCCGAGGCGGGCGGATCACGAGGTCAGGAGATCGAGACCATCCCGGCTAAAACGGTGAAACCCCGTCTCTACTAAAAATACAAAAAATTAGCCGGGCGTAGTGGCGGGCGCCTGTAGTCCTAGCTACTCGGGAGGCTGAGGCAGGAGAATGGCGTGAACCCGGGAGGCGGAGCTTGCAGTGAGCCGAGATCCCGCCACTGCACTCCAGCCTGGGCGACAGAGCGAGACTCCGTCTCAAAAAAAAAAAAAAAAAAAAAAAAGATTTGTGTCTATGTTCATGAAGGATATTGATCTATAATCTCTTTTCTTACCAGGATTTGGTCTAGCTTTCATATAAGACAAATGCTAGCCTCATTAAATGAATTGAGAAGTACTCCCTCCTCTTCTATTTTCTGTAAGAATTTGTACAAGCATTCTACCATTTCTTATTTAAATATTTAACATAATTGACTAGAAAATTAATTTAGCCTAGAGTTTCCTTTATACTAAGTTTTGGAAAACAAATCCAATTATTTTATTTTATGTAGAGTTTTTCATATTTTCTGCTACATCTTACCTGATCTAGATACTCCCACTCCCAGCTTGCACCTTGTTTGCTAAGAGGTCTGAGCCTTTAATCACCATGTGCTTCTCAGAGTGTAGCTGCTTTGATGACACATTTACCATCAAAATTGAGCAAGGAAATGAGAAGAAATACCCAACCGGATCACTTGAATGTCAAATCTAGTTCTCCATGCTTTCATAACCAGTCCTAAGGCACATATATACATTCCTACCATTTCCATTCAAAATTTTATTGAACATCCTATCAAGTAAAATAAGTCCAACATCCTCTTGGTTATGAGGATCAATGATCCCTGCTAATATGAAAATTTCTTCCTTGAAGGTCTCTTGTTAGAAGGAGCATGAAATGACCAAGTATCAGCCATAGCTTAAAGTTTAAAGAACTCTTATTTTGTCTACTTGTGGATATGTCACCTCTCTCAAAACCAGAAACTCTAAACCCACACAGGAAAAACAGATTGCCCAAGTGAATCACTGAGAATGATGATAAGGAGAACTTCCATTCCTTGGTTCTCAAACCTATTTACGTTTTGGAAGCATATTACTATATAATTGTCAATGTTATGGAGGGCATTCTGCATTTAAAATATGGCATCTCATCTTTGGAGGAAATATTCTCCAAACTGGCAACACAGCTGACCTCCATGAGACTCTTCTATCACTGGTTCAGGATGGAAGTTACTGGTTGATAAGATTTATGGTAAGACTAGTTGATTCTATGGTCGTGTAACCTCTATCACACTTCTTTTGCTGTAAAGCGGATTGCCTAGTCCAAAGAGTTATTACGCATGATACTGTATTGCTGGTTCAAACACTTTGCCAGTTTTCTGATGTTGTACTGGTTGAAGTCGTTCAAAAAGAAAAGGCAAACAAACCCATGCTTGGAATATGTATCAGATCCAGTCATGATAAATCACTGCCCCCTCCAGTGTGGAAGGTCTCCAATGTAATCAACTTATCATTGAATGGGTGGCAGATTTACTGGATAGGTAGTGCCTTATCAGAAATTCAGCAATGATTTCTGTGGCTGCCAGGTCATTTAGCAATGAAAGGCAATATATTAGTCTTGGTGGTAATACACACCGTTTGGCCCTGGCTAAGCATCCATCTTTGCCTTCATCTCTACTTTATTTATATCCTGACTGGTCCAACACTAGGAAGACCAATTGCAGAGGCTAGCTAGTGTTGACCCACCAAGTCTTTCTTCTGCTTGGTTGTATAATGCCTTTTCTGTGGTAGAAGCTCTCTGGTGGGCTAATGCCACCATATGTGATACAAATACTTTGTGCCCACTTTCAGAGTTTCCCATTTTTCCCCCTTTCCAAGCTTCCTTATCCGTGAGTTTCAAATGCTTTTCTTTCCAAATCTCTGACTAACCAGTCAAGCTTTCAACTGTGGTCCAATAATCTATAAATATTCTATCTGTGGGATATGGCATGTTAATGATGTTCACAAATTATTTGACACTACTCCCATTAAGAGGTGAATTTCATTTATTATTCTCTTGAATTTGGGCTGGCCTAAGTCTGTTTTGACCAACAGATTATGGGAAAGTCAATTCTACTCCAACTGTGGCTAGAAGTTTCTGGCCTAGTCACTTGTAGCCTGAGCTGCAATGGAAGAATTCCAAAGGCCCCGGAGGACAGGCTGCACTGATCATTTCAGTGATGTCCCTCTCAACAATCCATTGCTTTGGTAAGTGGAGTGTTCTTGCAGGCTTTCCCAGGGAATATAATCATCTGGAAGGCTTTTGGGCTTGATGCCCTCTAGCATGCCCAATTCTCTAGCACTCTAGCATGCCCAATTCTCTGACCCTTTGGTTCCTTCTTCCAGCATCTCTTACTGCAGTTATGCATTTCTACTTTACTTTATCTAAGCCACTGTTTTCTCAAAACTCCCAAGGATCTTTGTGGCAATAAGTTAGTATCATAACCCAGGATCCTTGGCAAGGCATTAAAATATCATGGAAGAGGGCTTTATAGTGATAAAATTTTTCTTCCTCATTCTTATGTCTCATCCTCCTTGATTCAGAGTCCTCAGGTTATTTTTCTGTATATACTTCCCTGGCTCCTGTTGCATATATTGGTTAGGTCCCACATTTGTTTGGTGTAGAGGCCCTTTTTCTCTTAGTAGTCTCAGCACTTTCTCAGCCAAGTTTTGTATTGAGTTACTGTTATTATTAGACTGGTATCCTAGAAAGGAAGTATAGGTAGATCCTGAGGGGATAATTTGTTTTCTAGAAAGGCAGAGCCTCTCCATGATATTCAAGAATTGTGTAAGCACTAGCTAGCTTTTAACAGGAAAAAGTAGGCCAATTTTGTAGGCCAAAAGGTCCAGGGAAATTCCAAGAATTTCTACTGCATCAATCCAGATGACTCCATTCTATGGCAAAATTCCAGTTTCTCAGTTCAGGGCCTTTACGTTGAAGTCCACACCAGATGGAGTTGAAAATGTAACATCACTTAGATTTCCCTTAATTTTAAGAATAACCTCTAAGCCTGATCACCCTTTTTCCCTTCTGGGTGTAGAAGATGTGTTATGCTGCCAAATTGGCTCTCTGTCTTTCACACTTAGCTTTTAACTGGTAATTAATCACACTCACCTTTTCTTCCCTTTCTCTAAAGCATCTACTGGCCCCAGCAATAGCCATCCAATTCCATATGGAGTTCTTATAGTTACTGTTTCTCTTTTACCTTTAAGTAATCCACTGTTTTTCACTGGTATCCCTTTTCAGTTTACCACTACACTGAAAGTTTTAGTAATTGTATAATTATGTCGGGGTGGTCAGTGCTCCACCAAACCACCTCTAAAGAGGTCCTCGTTGCTGATCAATCTAATTTCAAGACAACATTCTAGAATCTGCTTCCTTCAACCACTTCTGGTACCAGCTGTTGCAGGTCAGGTTTCCTGGGAAGCAGACTCTGAGATGGAGATTTGCATACCAGAAGTTTATTCAGAGGTACTCTTTGTTTGTTTTTTGCAGTACATTGTTGAGTTAGTGTTTTTTTTTTTAATTTAACTTTTAAGTTCAGGGGTACATGTGTAGGTTTGTTATATAGGTAAACTTGTGTTATGGGGGTTTGTTATACAGATTATTTTGTCACCCAGGTATTAAGCCTAGTACTCATTAGTTATTTTTCTGATCCTCTTCCTCCTCTCACCCTCCACCCTCCAATAGGCCCCAGTATGTGTTGCTTCCCTCTATGTGTCCATGTGTTCTCATCAGATAGCTCCCAATTATAAGTGGGAACATGCGGTATTTGGTTTTCTGTTCCTGCCTTAGTTTGCTAAGGATAATGGCCTCCGGATCCATCCATATTCCCGCAAAGGATGTGATCTCATTATTTTTTATGTCTGCATAGTATTCCATGGTATATATGTACTATATTTTCTTTATCTAGTCTACCATTGATGGACATTTATATTGATTCCATGTCTTTGCTATTGTGAATAGTGCTGTGATAAACGTGCAAGTGTCTTCTTGGTTGAATACTGTATTTTCCTTTGGGTATACAGCCAGTAATGCAATTTCTGGTTGAATGGTATTTCTGGTTTCAGGTCTTTGAGGAATCACCACACTGTCTTCCACAATGGTTGAACTAATTTACACTCCCACCATCAGTATTCCTTTTTCTCTGTAACCTCACCATCATCTGTTATTTTTTGACTTTTTAATAGTGGCCATTCTGACTGGTGTGAGATGATATCTCATTGCGGTTTTGATTTGCATTTCTCTAATGATCAGTGATGTTATGCTTTTTTTTTCCATATGATTTTTGGCTGCGTGGTATGTCTTTTTTGAAAAATGACTTCATGTTCTTTGTCCACTTTTTAATGGTTTTTTTTCTTGCACATTTGTTTACATTCCTTATAGATGGTAAGTATTAGACTTTGTCAGATGCATAGTTTGCAAAAATTTTCTCTCATTTTGTAGGTTGTCTGTTCACTCTCCTGAAAGTTTCTTTTGCTGTGCAGAAGCTCTTGCTTGTGGTGGAAGTGATGGAAGCAGAATTGGGCAGAAGAAGCTCTAGCACTAGCACAGCAAATCTGTCTTGCATTGAGGCAACGGTGCCAGATCAGCCAATATTTTATCTTTATGTTTATGTATATAATTAAGTATGAATTTATTTTTGATAGAGAAAATGGGACATAGGAAAGAAGAGGGCATTTTATAATGTTAAGTATCACTCAAAAAATGTTACACAGGTCATTAGGTCATTCGAACACCTGTTTTAGGCAAATACCTTTTTAGTTAAGATGGTTAGGCAGCTAGAATATTTTTATAATAAAAAAATCTGTTGATAGTTGAAGTAAAACTGCATATGACCTTTTCTCAATACAAATATTGCCTCATTATGTAAAATTGCATATCCACAGAGAAGTCTAGATCTTTTTGCGCTTATCTAAGGAAATGGAAAATAACAAAAGGTTTTTGCCTAAGTCATCAACTTGGTTTTCACCAAGTGGTAGAGATATGTACAATAGTAAAGTGTATCTGCTTGCCTAGTGTACTACTCTGCACCTCATGTATATAAATAAATACATGCAACTGAATATCTACATGTGATTTTCAATAGTTTATAAAAAGAAGAAAGGACAATATTCTATTTTATTCTTCATCATTGGTATGCACAGGAAGCATTGTGCTGCCAAAGAATAATGATTTAATTTTTTTCTTGTTATTCTGTCAATACAGCATCCAGTCCAATTAAAAAGCAGTTCTTTTCCTGTTAAAGAAGTCAGCATTCATGCTTTACTGTAGTGTTCAGCTCTCAGTTATCAATAGCTCTCTTGACATCTTATTAAATTGGAAAGGCTTTCAGACTCAAGTTTAAACAACATGTATGAATCTCTTTATATTATTTGAAATATACATTATGTTCACATAAACTATTATTTCTATTATCTTCATTTTGTATAGCACAAAATGAATTATATAAATTATTATTACCAGGCCCTTAGAGACGGTTATTTTCTACAAAGAAAGTAGCCAGATAGAAAAAACATCAAATGTAAAATCACAAAAGAAAATGCCTCCAATCATAACCAACATGTTTTTTTTCCAAGGAAGATGAAGCATATCAGTCATCAGCTATTCTCTACCAATGTATATGATATGTGGATAAATAAATAAATATCTCCCCAATTTTATAAGATATATTTTTTCCTCCCAGATTCAGATAAATTGAATTAACTAAAAATAGATGTTCTTATTTAAATGATGTATCTAAGACTTAAGCCCAAGATATTGAAAACTATTTTTAGTAAAATGGAATTGGGGGATGTATCTTAAAAGCTGTAAGCAGAATTTGTAAAATAAATTGATGAGGCTTCTAGTCAAAGTGACATTGAAAGTTCATGGTTGGAGTGTTCCCTAATCTTCCAGCTCCAATCACTTACAGTACCCTTATTTATAATGGGATTTTTAAAACTTTATTGGGGTATAATTTACATATAATAAAATGCACACATTTTAAGTGTAGAGTTTTGACAAATACATATATATACACACACATGTATATTCACACTTATCAATGTGACAAATAAGTTACAGAATGTTTTGTCACCTCTGAAAATACTTCTTTGTATCAATTACCAGCCAATCCCCAATCCAATCCTCATCCCTGGACCTAGAAATTGCTGATCTACTTATTCTCTATCACTAAAGATTAGAATGATCTTTCTTATACTTTCATGCAAATGAGTCAACACAGTATATATTATTCTGTTATCTAATTTATTTTACTAAATGTAATATTTTTTAAGTAAACTTTTTACTTTAGGATAATTTTAAATTTACACAAAAGTTGCAAAGATACTACAAAGAGTTTTCACATACCTGACAGCCACCTTCCCCTATTGTTAAAACCGTACATTAGTATGGTGTGTTTGTCACTCCTAATCAACCAATAATGAAACATTATTAACTAAAGTCCAAATTTTATGCAGATGTCTTTATTTTTTGCCTAATGTCCTTTTATCTATTCCAGGATCCTTGTTAAGTTATCATGTCTCCTTAGGCTACTGTTGGGTGTGTTAACTTTCTCAGATTTTCCTTGTTTTTGATGACCTTAACAAATTTGAAGAGTACTGCTCAGATATTTTGTGGAATTTTTCTTAACTGGAATTTGTCTGAGGTTTTCTCCTCATAATTAGACTGTTTTTAGTGGTTTTGAGAGTAGAACCACAGAGGTAAAGTGCCATTTTCATCACACAATATGGAAACAAAAGTGACTCCATCTTTAGGCTGATCTGCCATGTTGACTTCTGATTAGCCCCAGTCCCCTGAATGCCTCCTGGTTTCTACTATATTTACTGTTCCTAGACTAAGAACAAAGCAATTTTAATGTTACTGCACAAACTAGAGGCTATGATGCATACAGCATTCTTGACTTTTCTGGAGGGTTGCCTTTAATTGTCTTGCACAGAACTTTCCTGTATCATACAGAAAGAATCTGAGGAGTAACAGTGTGGAGATCAAACTGTCTTCAGCCACCCAGACCAGGCTTCTGTCTGTAAGTTCCCCTAATCAATCACCCAAAACTGATAAACTGGATTCATTTGGCTCCTTTGGTTTCTTGGCTCCTTCAGCTTTTGGGGGCTACTGTGCATATAGGACCTTTTCACTGAACAAATGGACAGCTAGCCAGGAGTCAGGTAACTAAAGTTTGGGAAAGAAGAAAGAAGCATCCATGGGGGAAATCCTAGGGGTTCCTCCTCCTCTATGTGGGGTGGTGTTGCCCATTTGCTAGATGCTTGTGGACTACAGTGTATGAGAACATGCCCAGAACATCAGAAGGTCTAGAAAGCTTGTCAGTAAAAAAGCAATATGATTCATTGTGGTAAGAAAGTTCTTGGAGCTGTGACCCTGAGTTTGCCACTGTTATGATCTTGTGTGAGTGGCCACAGGTAACTGCTGAGGTGAGTGCAGGAAAACTGGAGAAAGAATTGCAGTGAGGAAAGGATATGAGAACTTCCACATCTGTGTTAGTTCTGGTTTGATGAATAAGCTTGAAACTCAGGAGGCACAGTTGGAAACCTTAGCTTGCCACTCTGTATGTTTGCGAGGAAGAAAGCTGCACAGGCTGAAAGTGAAGATTGTCCTTGCCAAACCAAGCTCAGATGCATATACCTGGAATTCCAGCAAACCAATTTGTGAGTGAGATGATGGCATAGAGGTTTACTCCAAGGAGGAAGATAATTATTCACTCCCCTTAAGAGCAAAACTGCTCATGCTGCAGAAAGCAAAATCCCAAAACATGCAGCACTCAGCAGGAATACTGGACATAGCAAAACCTTTTAAACAGCAGCCAAGAGAAATCTTAGCCACTATGGGACACCAATAAGGACTGCACATCCCTGGAAAGGAGTAAAGCTGAAAAAAATGAGACAAAGTGGCCCCCAGAAGAGGCATGTCTCCCTTGGGGGACAAGATGTATGTGAGGTGAGAGAAGCCATTTCTGATTTTGCAAAAAGGAAATAGGGAAGAGATAAAGCCCAACTGCTCACTAAAGGAAAAGGGAAAATGAGATAAATAAGGTTTGCTGGATTGAAAAAGGGAGGTCAAAGAGGCCCAGTTAGGATTTCTAGAAGTAAATGTGGTATAATCTGATCTCAGCTGGGGTAGACAACAAACAAACATAGACCAGCATCCTAACTCTATATTGTGAGCCTTTGAGAAGACCTGACTCCTGATCAACAGTTTAGACCCCTTCCCAGTGCCCCAAAAAGAAGGAGAAGGAAAAGAAGAAACTCTGTATAAAAGAATCCCAATCTCTGCGTTCCAGGAGTGATACTCCTTTCCAGCCTAGAGACTAGAGGTGGGGCCAAATTTGCCTTCATGGAAAAGCTATAGGGGTGACCGGAAGCCCCAGGTGGAGCTCATAATCTATTGGAGTTCAAAAACAGGCAGAGAACCTTAGCTTTAGTAGACACGGGTGCATAATGTATCTTAATTCATGAAATCCAGAAAGACAGCTGAGTAAATGGGCAGCTATAGATGGTCATTGGGGGCAGGAGGGGCAAATAATCTGAGTGAAACAAACTCCTCCCCTCCTTGGTTTTGAGTGGAGTCCCCTGGTACTTACTCTACGGTTCCCCTGTTGCTTACTCTACTGTCTTTATCTCACGTATTTCAGAAAATATCTTGGGTATGAATGTCCTTTTAGGATGTGCTTTATAAATGTCTGTGGGGGAATGCCACTTATCACTCTGGCTGGTAAAATGTATTTCAATCCTACAACTCCCTCCCCCACAACACATTGTTAAAGTGAAACAATATTGTCTTCTTGGTGGTACAGAAGAAATTACAGCCACCATGCAGGAAGTGGCCAAACTTAATATTATGCAGCTAGCTTAGAGTTCTTTCAACAGTCTTGTATGGCCAGTAAGAAAATCTGATGACTCATAGACAACCAGGAACTTAATAAGGTGATATCCAAGGTACACGGTGCTGTGCCTAATATAACTCAAGTGATAGAACAAATAATATAGGCACGTATCGTGCTGTGTTAAATTTAGTCAATGACTTCTTCAGCATCCCTTTACACCCTGATTTGTAGGCATTATATTGATGATATTATGCTAACTTCTAAAGATTTGTCATTGCTACAGCAACACCTTGATGCATTGTGCACCCTTTTCCAATGCAGAGGATGGGCCATCAATTGCCAAAGATATAAGGCCCAGGACCAGCTGTAAAGTTCCTAAGGGTTGCTTGGTTGGGTAACACATGCCTTATTTCAGGCAGTCATTGACAAAATACATTTTTACTTGCCTAAAACAGTTAAATAAGTTACAACATTGTCCAGGCCTTTTGGGATATTGGCAGGCTTTAGTCCACATTTAGCTCAATATTTGCATCCCCTATACAGAATAATAAATGAAGAAATCTAGTTGCTGCTGGGATAAATAACAAGAAGAAGCATTTGCTAAGGCTAAAATACTAGTAGTTTAAACACAAGCATTAGATTCCCCATTTCCCAGGACATCAGTGTCTTTAGATGTGACCATAAGGGTCACATCTTGCAAGTCCAACACGAGAAAGAAGTTCCCCTAGGATTCTGGTCACAGCCATGAAAGTATGTTGAAACCCAGTGTTCCCCAGTTGAACAGGTCCCAGGCATATACAAAGCTCTGCAGCAAGTTGAACCCGTAAGTGCTGCTTTGCTGGAAACAGAGAGAACAGGTCTCCCTACTAAGGTCTGGCTAGAGGGATTGTTTTCCAGGTCTGTCTCAACTATTGCTCAGGCCTTCACTTTACAAAAGTGGCATGCATGCCTGCAATAATGTAGGGCTCCTTCCATGAGTCCCTTGAAAAATAAACTGCATGCTCAGGGCCAGCACACTATGAGACTAGTGCTGCCCCTGCTATGGAGCTTCCACAGGTGATGCCTCCAATGACACACAAAGGCATGGCTCTTATCCCTAAATATGCTTGGGATTAAGACAGGTCGAGCCAAGGTAACCTCTGTGTACAGACAGTATTAGCATAGCTGTCTATCCATAGACAGATACTATCTGGTTTGAGATAGGAATGCAGCAGGGCAGTCAGTGGGCAGAACTCTGACCTGCATAGTTGGTTTGGACCCACAAGCCATGGCTTATAGTTGTCTGTACAGATAGTTGGGCATTACTGAGGCTCTTACAACTTGGCTTGCCCAGTGGGCCTAGGATGACTGGTGTGTGCTTTACAAATCCCTGTGGGGAACTGCCATGTGGAAAGACATTTGGAAAAGGCTACAATAACCCACTGAGAGTGTAATTGTGTATCATGTTTCAGCACACTTGTTAGGTTCACTTCCCACTGGTAACATGGAGGCTGATATCCTAGCAAAAATGAGAACATTGGCTCCCTTGCAATCTTCAAGCTGGTTGATTGCGTAATAAACATAGTGGACATCA
The DNA here is from genome assembly GCF_000001405.40 of Homo sapiens. Taxonomy (NCBI): domain Eukaryota; kingdom Metazoa; phylum Chordata; class Mammalia; order Primates; family Hominidae; genus Homo; species Homo sapiens. The sequence continues at coordinate 78,063,211 of NC_000006.12, forward strand.
CAGTGCATGCGTGGGCTGGAAAATAGCAAAGGAAGCAAGATTGCCCCTCCACTATGCAAATTTAGCAGCAGCAATAACAAACTGCTTAGTTTGCGCCCACGTATGCCCTTGCCACATCCACATATATCTGGACATATGCATAGAACAGCTGCACCTGTGAGAGACTGGCAGATAGACTATATTAAACCTCTGCTGCCAGTAAGCTTGGAACAAAAATGTGCACTGACATATGCCATGGAATTTTTGAAGGCCTTCCCTTGCAAAAGGGCAAACAAAATAGTCACCATTAATGGCTTGAAGTAAAACAGTGTCATGTATGGATACTCTTGATGCGTTGTTAATGACTGAGACACAATATTTCAGTGAACATGATGTCCAAGATTGAGCCATATGATCACCAAGCAGTAAGGTTAATTGAAAGGAAATATGGTATTGTGAGGGCAAAACTTCAAGCACTCTCATACTCCAATACTTTGCATGGGTGGGTGAAGGTTTTGCTTCAAGTCATTAGAAACTTGAATTCATTGAGAAAATACAGGGCTGGCAACATACCAATGACTCAGGATCACCATAGAGAAGGGTTCATTAACTGTGAGTTGTAAAGAAAGTCTGACCAGACAAACATCTACTGGAGTTGATCAAAGGTCAACAGCAAATGTTATTTGCAACTCCCCCAAGATCTTGAGCCAGGGTAGGGGACAACGGAATGAGAATTGGACTGGTAACTTTCTTAAGGTTAGATAAGTTATTTCTCATCAGAGAGCAAGGAATTTTCTTGTCAACTAAGGTGGTCTCCATTGATCCTTTTGGAGTTTGGATCAAGATGTTCCAAATACCAACACACTGGAACAGGGTTCCTTTTAAAGTAACCTTTGGTCAGCCATTTAACATGGTATCTTGCTGCCCCTGTAAGCTGACAGATAATACTGGCACCTTGGCCCCTTGGGCAACATGTTTGGTATGCATCCCCATCACATAATCATTTGACTGCCTATGTCCTGTCCAGCAGAGGTGAGGCTACACCGTTATTTTGCTTGTTCCACCAAGTACCTACTAAACATTGTATTTCCTCCAACAGTCATCTGTTTCTGTTGCTGTTCAGTGCTACAAAAAGCCTCTTGCTTTGGATCCTGGGAAACATGGTTGTGAAAGGCATTCTATGCCTTATGCCTGGCATAAGTATCATTGCTTGTTGTTTGTATTTTTGTTTTGACTTCTGCTTACAGGTAGAAAATTAACTGATGCAACTTGTCACTGAAACCATTGAAATGACTGCAGCACCCCTCACCTCTGAATGATCAGGGACCATCATGGAAGAGGTGGGCGCATGAGATTGTAAGAGAGATTAGAGGGGTGGAGACAAAAGTTACTTCATCTTGGATGCTAATCCACATCTACTAGCCCCACTCTTTGTGTTATAGGGTTCTATGGGTTTGATAAATATGGAGTGTCAATACTGTAGTATACAGAATTGCTTAATTGCCCTAAAAATGCTGCTAATATATTCTGATTAGCCCCAGTTTAGTGAATGCCTCCTGGTTTCTACTTTATTTACTGTCCCTAGTATAAGAACAAAGCCACATTGATTTTATTGCGCAAATTATAGGCCATGATGCATATAGCATTCTTGCCTTTTCTGGAGGGTAGCCTTAATTGTCTTGCTCAGAACACATGTATTTTTTCCTTATGGTATATAAGCCTTAAGTCTGGGGAGTAAGAGTGTGGAGATCTACCTCTCTTGCAGCCGCCCAAGACCAGTCTTCTGTCTGTAAGTTCCCCTAATAAATCACCTAAAACTGACAAACTGGATTTCTCTGCCTCCTTCTTTGGTTTCTACACTCCTTTGGCATTTGGGGGCTGCTTTGCATATATGGCCCTTTTATGGAGCACCTCACATAAAGGGTATGTGCTATGAACCTGACTTTCACTGTTAATGTTAGCATTTGTCACTTGCTAAGGTAGCAATTATCAGATTTCTCCAGTGTAGTCACACACCCCCTGCCTCCAACTTTCCGTGCTGTACTGTCTGGAAGAATGCCACTATATGGAAGAATGTCACTATATGTTGGGCACATTTAAAGAGTGAGGAAATCACACTTCAGCTCCTTAAGGGTGGAGTATCTGTATAAATTATTTAAAATTATGCTTCATGGAAATTTATTTTATATTTTTGACTTATGATGCAGTACTGTGTTATTCATTGTTTTAATCAAGGTATGTTAGCTTTGGCTATTTGGAGCTCTTTCAATGAGCTCCTTTGTTTCTTTGACAAACTCCTATTAAAATGGTGTTTTTGTTTTTGTTTGTACTTTTTAACCACTTTCTTACTTTCTAGCATTACAAGCTTATATATTCCCCACTGAAGTCCTGAATCTGCCATTTCTTCAGTGAAAGCTGGTTTCTCCTATTAGAAACCAAGAGTTGGGTATGCTTGTTGCTACCGGGTTATCATCATAGGCCTTCTGAGCTGGCAAGCAAGAACATATATCTGTTTGTGTGCATATGTGTATATATAGTTTTATATATATATTAAACCAATCTGTGTATAAACATATCTATAAATATTTCTATATGTATCTATCTGTATCTACTATATACATTAAGCTATATATGAGTTGATGCTGATGTCTCCAACTCTAATCCATTACCTCATGAATTAGTCTAGCCTTCTCTGCTTATTTATTTGCAATCTTTCATTCCAACAGTAAAAAACTTGACTCTTACCATCTACTGTCTCTTGACTCAAGTGATCAACTCCAGTATATGTATATAGTATAGCTATATCTAGGGGTTTCAGAATTGTTAACCTGTATACCTGTGGAAAAAAATATTCCTCAAGTAAAGTGTTATGTACATGTTCTTTAGTCTTTAGTCTTTAGTTTTATAGTCTCCACTGGTTTCCAAAATTACTTATTTCAGTAACTTTATCTCTTTAACCCCTTCAGTGAGGTTGTTTCTTATATTTGCAATACAGTTATATTTTTTTCATCACAACCTACATTCTGCCCTAGGATTCCTGGATCTCCTAAATAGTTTTTTTTTAACTTGCATGCATTAAGGCTCACTCTTTGTGCTATAGAATTCTATGGGTTTGATACATACATAATATCAATACTGTAGTATATAGAATTGTTTAACTACCCTAAGAAGTCCTTTGTGGCTCATCTATTTCATCCTTCACGTCTTTAAACCCTGGGCAACCACTGATCTATTTATATTTCTAAAGTTTTGCCTTTTCCAAGATGTCATACAAATGGAGTCATACATTATGCGTCCATTACAGACAGACTTCTTTCATTCGGAAATACACATTTAAGATTCATCCCTGCCTTTTCATGACTTGATAGCTTAGTCCTTTCTATTGCTAAAATATATTCCAAGTGTGTGTACCACAATGTATTTATGCATGTACTTATTAAAACACAATTCAGTTGCTTCTAGTTTTTGGCAATTATAAATGAAGCTGTAGGTGTTTTCATGTATGTACATTTTCAAATCATTTGAGTAAATACATACGAGTGTAAATGCAGGACCATATGGTAATACAATGTTTACCTTTATGAGAAACTGTCAAGTGTCTTCTAAAATGACTGGACTATTTTGCCTTCCTACCAACAACACACGCAAGTTCTGATTGTTCCTTATCATCACCAGCAATTGGCATTGTCAGTTTTTTAATTTTATAAATTTTAATAGGCCTATAGTAGTACCTTACTGTTGCTTAGTTTACATTTCCTTGTGACAAATAATATTGAGCATTTTTTCATGTTTATTTGCTATTAGCATATTTTCTTTAGTGAGATCTCTATTCAGATCTTTTGTCCATCTTCAATTGGTTCTTTTTTTTTTTTTTGGTCATTGGGGTTTCAAAGTTCCTTGTATATTTTAGATATAAGTCCATGATCAGATGTGTCTTTTGCAAATACCTTATTTCAGTGGCTTATCCTTTTATTTTTTTAACAGTGTGTTTCACAGAAGTTTTGATTGATTTAAGTACAATTTGTTTTTTTTTTCTTTCATGCATTGTGCTTTCATGTATCTAAAAACTCAAAGAGAAGACAACAAAAAAGACACTAAAAATGGACAAAATAGTTGAGGAGGCATTTCACAAATTAAGATCCATAAGTGGCCAATAAGCCTGTAAAAAAGATATTCTACAGTATTAAACAACAAGAGGTAAAGGAAATAAATTACTATTTAGAGACCACTCTAATTTCAAAAAAAATTTAAACGACAATAGGAACTGTCACTGCAGATATGGAGAAAGAACTTATGACACTTTTATTGAAAATATAAAGCAGTTACAGACACTGAAAAACTGCTTGGCAGTTTCTTATAAAATTAGACACACACTTACCATATGACCAGCAGGCTTTGGAAAATTGTTGGAATACATTCTAGCTTCAAATGGAAACTATTATATATTATAATTAGTGGACTGCCTTTAAATAATTTATATGAAGATAAAAATGACCCTCAACCTGCTGCACAGAGAGTGAATTGTTCTGGAGCAAGTGGAGGCAATAATGGTAGGAGGGAAACAACTGAAGTGTTATTTGAGTGTCAATGTTGGTGGTGATAGGAGTGGAGAAGAAAAGAAATGCATAGTTCAGGACATACTTTAGAGGAGTTAATGGGAATTGAGAATAAATTGGGTATGGGTAGTGAGCTAACGGAAAGAATAAAGAAGTCAAATACTAGTGTTAAAGTTTTGATTGAATCAATGGTAAGAATGAAGATGGCATTAATTTGAACTGAAAAGCCCTAGGGAAGAAGACTTTTTTGCAAATACAGTTTTATGTATTTTAAACTGGAGATTTTATTTGATGTCTAGGGGAAATATTTAAGTAGACTGCCAAATAAGGATGTCAATCAATTCTCTGGTATATGAATTACAAATATTTCCCCATGTTAATATTTGTCTTCTGAATGCGATTATTATATAATTACGTGTGATTATATAGTGAACATTTATATTCAAATATATGCTATATATTGTAAAGGGAAAAGAAAATATATTTTCTTTATCAGAGACTAGGATTGCAACACCTGCCTTTTTTTGTTTTCCATTTGCTTGGTAGATCTTCAGACATTAAACCAACGAAGATCAAAAGAGACAAAGAAGGCCATTACATAATGGGAAAGGGATCAATTCAACAAGAAGAGCTAATTATCCTAAATATATATGCACCCAATACAGGAGCACCCAGATTCATAAAGCAAGTCCTTAGAGACCTAGAAAGAGACTTAGACTCCCACACAATAATAATGGGAGACTTTAACACCCCACTGTCAACATTAGACAGATCAACGAGACAGAAAGTTAACAAGTATATCCAGGAATTGAACTCAGCTCTGCCCCAAGCAGACCTAATAGACATCTACAGAACTCTCCACCCCAAATCAACAGAATACACATTATTCTCAGCACCACATAGCACTTATTCCAAAATTGACCACATAGTTGGAAGTAAAGCACTCCTCAGCAAATGTAAAAGAACAGAAATTATAAGAAACTGTCTCTCAGACCACAATGCAATCAAACTAGAACTCAGGATTCAGAAACTCACTCAAAACCACTCAACTACATGGAAACTGAATAACCTACTCCTGAATGAATACTGGGTACATCACGAAATGAAGGCAGAAATAAAGATGTTCTTTGAAACCAACGAGAGCAAAGACACAACATACCAGAATCTCTGGGACACATTCAAAGCAGTGTGTAGAGGGAAATTTATAGCACTAAATGCCCATAAGAGAAAGCAGAAAAGATATAAAATTGACACCCTAACATCACAATTACAAGAACTAGAGAAGCAAGAGCAAACACATTCAAAAGCTAGCAGAAGGCAAGAAATAACTAAAATCAGAGCAGAACTGAAGGAAATAGAGACACAAAAAGCCCTTCAAAAAATTAATGAATCCAGGAGCTGGTTTTTTGAAAAGATCAACAAAACTGATAGACCGCTAGCAAGACTACTAAAGAAGAAAAGAGAGAAGAATCAAATAGACGCAATAAAAAATGATAAAGAGGATATCACCACCAATCCCACAGAAATACAAACAACAATCAGAGAACACTATAAACACCTCTATGCAAAGAAACTAGAAAATCTAGAAGAAATGGATAAACTCCTCGACACATACACCCTCCCAAGACTAAACCAGGAAGAAGTTGAATCTCTGAATAGACCAACAACAGGCTCTGAAATTGAGGCAATAATTAATAGCTTACCAACCAACAAAAGTCCAGGACCAGATGGATTCACAGCCAAATTCTACCAGAGGTACTAGGAGGAGCTGGTACCATTCCTTCTGAAACTATTCCAATCACTAGAAAAAGAGGGAATCCTCCCTAACTCATTGTATGAGGCCAGCATCATCCTGATACCAAAGCCTGGCAGAGACAAAACAAAAAAAGAGAATTTTAGACCAATATCCCAATGAACAGAGATGCAAAAATCCTCAGTAAAATACTGGCAAACCGAATCCAGCAGCACATCAAAAAGCTTATCCACCATGATCAAGTGGGCTTCATCCCTGGGATGCAAGGTTGGTTCAACATACGCAAATCAATAAACGTAATCCAACACATAAACAGAACCAAAGACAAAAACCACATGATTATCTCAATAGATGCAGAAAAGGCTTTGACAAAATTCAACAACCCTTTATGCTAAAAACTCTCAATAAATTAGGTATTGATGGGACGTACCTCAAAATAATAAGAGCTATCTATGACAAACCCACAGCCATATCATACTGAATGGGCAAAAACTGGAAGCATTCCCTTTGAACACTGGCACAAGACAGGGATGCCCTCTCTCACCACTCCTATTCAACGTAGTGTTGTAAGTTCTGGCCAGGGCAATTAGGCAGGAGAAGGAAAGAAAGGGTATTCAATTAGGAAAAGAGGAAGTCAAATTGTCCCTGTTTGCAGATGACATGATTGTATATCTAGAAAACCCCATTGTCTCACCCCAAAATCTCCTTAAGCTGATAAGCAACTTCAGCAAAGTCTCAGGGTACAAAATCAATGTGCAAAAATCACAAGCATTCTTATACACCCATAACAGACAAACAGAGAGCCAAATCATGAGTGAACTCCCATTCACAATTGCTTCAAAGAGAATAAAATACCTAGGAATCCAACTTACAAGGGATGGGAAGGACCTCTTCAAGGAGAACTACAAACCACTGCTCAGTGAAATAAAAGAGGATACAAACAAATGGAAGAACAACATTCCATGCTCGTGGGTAGGAAGAATCAATATCATGAAAATGGCCATATTGCCCAAGGTAATTTATAGATTCAATGCCATCCCCATCAAGCTACCAATGACTTTCTTCACAGAATTGGAAAAAACTACTTTAAAGTTCATATGGAACCAAAAAAGAGCCCGCATTGCCAAGTCAATCCTAAGCCAAAAGAACAAAGCTGGAGGCATCATGCTACCTGACTTCAAACTATACTACAAGGCTACAGTAATCAAAACAGCATGGTGCTGGTACCAAAACAGAGGTATAGACCAATGGAACAGAGCACAGACCTCAGAAGTAATGCTGCATATCTACAACCATCTGATCTTTGAAAAACCTGACAAAAACAAGAAATGGGGAAAGGATTCCCTATTTAATAAATGGTGCTGGGAAAACTGGCTAGCCATATGTAGAAAGCTGAAACTGGATCCCTTCCTTACACCTTATACAAATATTAATTCAAGATGGATTAAAGACTTACATATTAGACCTAAAACCATAAAAACCCTAGAAGAAAACTTGGGCTATACCATTCAGGACATAGGCATGGGCAAGGACTTCATGTCTAAAACACCAAAAGCAATGGCAACAAAAGCCAAAATTGGCAAATGGGATCTAATTAAACTAAAGAGCTTCTGCACAGCAAAAGAAACTACCATCAGAGTGAACAGGCAACCTACAGAATGGGAGAAAATTTTTGCAATCTACTCATCTGACAAAGGGCTAATATCCAGAGTCTACAATGAACTCAAACAAATTTAGAAGAAAAAAACAAACAACTCCATCAACAAGTGGGCGAAGGATATGAACAGACACTTCTCAAAAGAAGACATTTATGCAGCCAAAAGACACATGAAAAAATGCTCATCATCACTGGCCATCAGAGAAATGCAAATCAAAACCACAATGAGATACCATCTCACACCAGTTAGAATGGCGATCATTAAAAAGTCAGGAAACAACAGGTGCTGGAAAGGATGTGGAGAAATAGGAACACTTTTACATGGTTGGTGGGACTGTAAAGTTGTTCAACCATTGTGGAAGTCAGTGTGAGAATTCCTCAAGGATCTAGAACTGAAAATACCATTTGACCCAGCCATCCCATTACTGAGTATATACCTAAAGGATTGTAAATCATGCTGCTGTAAAGACACATGCACACGTATGTTTATTGCAGCACTGTTCACAATAGCAAAGACTTGGAACCAACCCAAATGTCCAACAATGATAGACTGGATTAAAAAAATGTGGCACATATATACCATGGAATACTATGCATTCATAAAAAATGATGAGTTCATGTCCTTTGTAGGGACATGGATGAAGCTGGAAACCATCATTCCAGCAAACTATTGCAAGGACAAAAAACCAAACACTGCATGTTCTCACTCATAGGTGGGAATTGAACAATGAGAACACATGGACACAGGAAGGGGAACATCCCACACTGGGGCCTGTTGTGGGGTTCGGGGAGCGGGGAGGGATAGCATTTGGAGATATACCTAATGTTAAATGACGAGTTACTGGGTGCAGCACACAAACATGGCACATGTATACATATGTAACTAACCTGCACGTTGTGCACATGTGCCCTCAAACTTAAAGTATAATAAAAAAAGAGAGAAAATATATTTTCTTATATCTACCTATTCCTTTTAATTGGCATTTCAAAAATAAGACATTCTCTGGATGCTTTAAAACTTCATAGTAGAAAATTTTCAAATGCCTTTATCAAATTTCCTAGCAACTACTGTATTTTCAATTTAGGTTTATTAAAATTATGCTTTAAATACTTAAGCACTTGTGTTCATATACAAAAGTAAAGTTCAAGAACCATTTGAGGGAACACAATTGTCTCTACTCCAATCACCATGAATGGAGGAACACTTGATCAGATATAACATCCCTTTTTATTTGAATTCCCAATTATCTAAAGTGAAAGCAAAAACAATCTTACTTGTTGAATAATTTTCTAGATGAACTTAAATATTTAAAAGTATAAGAAAATAAATGAACTAAATATACTTACATTTTGATCTTACACATTTTCTTTAAGATAATTTATTTTATAAATATTTATTTTTCACCTAAGATATATCTGATTCCATAAGTTTAGTTTTTTTCCCAGTTGCTGTTTTAGATCTCATAATTAATAATTATGATCTATAGGGTGTTTGAAGGGAACTGAAGTGCATTGTTACCTCTACTTTCCATTATAAATGCACTGCACAGTCTACTAGCATATTAAAGTCACATTTTTCATAATATCAAATTTATAATAAAATACTATATTAAATGTGTAATTTGTGGGAACTAGGTCAAAGTAGCCCCAAATCATCTGAGTTTATTATAAGATAAAAACTGAACTGACTCACTGAAGCTTCCCTTTTATCAGTAATAATCTTGACATTACTAGCTCAACATTTCTATGAAAGGGAATAAGGGCCAAAAATGCAAAATGCTCCCAAAGGAGGAGAGACAGTGTGAAAGAATAAAACTGTATTTTATTTATTTTTTGTTTTGTTTTGTTTTGTTTTTGAGGCAGAGTTTCGCTCTGTTGGCCAGGTTGGAGTCCAGTGGCACAATCTTCGCTCACTGCAAACTCCACCTGTCTAGTTCAAGCACTTCTCCTGCCTCAGCCTCCTGAGTAGTTGGGATTACAAGCGTGTGCCACCACACCTGGCTAATTTTTGTATTTTTAGTAGAGACAGGGTTTCAACATGTTGGCCAGGCTGGTCTTGGACTCCTGACCTCAAGTGATCCTCCCACCTTGGCGTCCCAAAGTACTGGGATTACAGGTGTGAGCCACCATGCCCAGCCTATCTCATTTTTAATATACACATACAAAAGAGGCAATAGCAAATGTTTTAGAAGTGTTGTATACAATTTGAACATGGATTCTGATACAGAAAGAGGCAGAAGGAAATTTGAAGAGAAGCTCAGCTTACATAATGTCTATAGTTCTGATATTTTATTAGTACTGTAGTTTACTTTCTGCAACAAGGGAAACAGCTATAAAAATAATAAGAACATGTTTATAACTGGCAAGATTATGCTACAAAGGGCTTTGTGGTTGACATGTAATTGCCATTAAGGCCTCCGACTCTTTTGTCTGGGTTCATTAGCCTACAAGTAAACTCCAGTTGCTATTTTTCTAAAAGAAGTGGACATTTACGCAAAGTTATGCTCATATTTATCAATTAATAAACAAGTTTCTCTTGTCACTTCCAGCAAGTACAAAGTTAGATAAATAACACAATACCAATTTTCTTTAATGCTTTATCTAAAGCACACTTTTATTTTGCTTCCCTATTTGAAGATTTTAAACTACATTAGCATGGATCATCTTTTTCAGGAAACTGCAGATATAAACTGAAATAGGTGGAAGGTAAGGGTGTGATAGGTAGACGTTAGAAGTATTTCTTAGGAGTGTTCTCTAATTTCCCTAATGACTATGAGTAGGCATTAAACTTTTTTTGTTTTGTTTTGTTTCTATAAGAACTGCAGAGAGTAAACTGATGCCACAGATCTTAAAGCCATTTTTAAAAATACTGAAAAAAGGAGGAAGTTACAAATAGGCTTCTCCCTAAAGAGCCTCATTGAATTTACAAGTACGCACACATACATCCCACGTATTTTACACACACACAAAACTGTCAAGGTTGCACTGGCTGAGCTGCTGTAGTAAAGCTGACCTTGGGAGATGATCTGATGGTAAATGAGGTGGCTGAGCATTCATTTGAAAGGGAAATTTTGGTCATTTTAATCAGAACAGTGGTTGGTTCTCCTGTAGACGAGACAGATTAATGATTGATTGGAATAATTAATTAATACTTATGAAAAGAAAATAATTATATAGTTTATTATAAATGAGCAAATTAAAGTTTTTATACTATAACTCTTGTCTAGATAAATACATTAGAGTTCCATTTTTTAAAAGATTCACAATAAAGGAACTGCAAAAAAAATTATAGGATGTTCGTAATCCAGTCAAGGTAAATGATGGCTATGAAGAGTTAAAATTCTTATAATTGGATGCTAAATTAAAAACACTATTTTCACTTACAACTCAATATGTAAAATTACATATGGTTAAGAACAACAGCAAAATCCTATAAATATTGAGTGGTTGCTGCTAAAACCAGAGATTACAGGTGATTTGAATTTTATCTTTATAGTTTTCTATGTTTTTCAGGCTTTCTACAGTCAGCCAGTAATGTTTTTTATAATCAGTTGCATACATAAGTTTTATTTAAATAGCTTTATCTATCAAATTATATCTCTTGCTTACACATTATCTTGGCACTAAGAATTATATTCTAAAAGTGAGACTCTATCTGTGAAGGTCCTGACAACCATGGACAAGCCCTGATAATGATTTACAAATACTCCCAGGAAATTACCTCTATCTTATAAACAACACAGCATCATGTTCTCTTTGCTTTAACTTATAATAGCAAATTTGTCATGGGACTCAATAGACAATTTTAATTAATGCTGCTTTTATTCCAACAATATTCTCTGCTTCAGTTAAATTCAAAGAAGCTGCTAATTTTCAAAGACTGAAGAGGGAGCTGGATGTGAGTTTTTTGGCCATGAAGAAGATTTTTGCTTCCTCTGCAGTGATGTGAATGAGCATGCTCATTCCTCACCTGGGAAACAAAATGTTGAGGCTGCTGTCATTCTGATACTGAAAATTATAATGATGAATGTGGTTTTTTTAGGTGCAAGGGCAGAGTTAAGCTGTGTTGGAAGAGAAAACAACCTTTACAAAAACATAGCCACACAAAGGAAAAGTACCATAAAGGACTGAACCAGTCTTTGAACTAAAGCTATCGTAAGATTAATCTGATTTATTTTGTGCAAAATGTTGAGCATGGCATATAGTAGAATCTCAATAATTGTGTATTGAATAAATTTGAAGTGTGACTATAAAGTAATAAGGCAGGTTCCACTGGTTGCCACAGTATTTTATGGCCATGGCTTGCTTGTTATTTTACAGTTGGTATAATAGAGATCTTCTACATAAGACCAATTTTGTCCTTGTTTTCTGACTTTAATACCCTTGATTTTTGCAGTACTTAAAAAAATAGATTTAAGAGTCAGACACAACTGGATTCAATCCTTGCTTTTGTATTGTGAGCCTATGCCCTTGGGCAAATAACCTAACTCATATAAGCCTCAGTGTCTTCGTTTGTAAAATAGGAAAAATAAAACCTAACTCAAAGGGATTTGATGAGAATTAAACAAAATAATGTGAGTAGAGCAGTACACCTGAGTTACAGTAAGTGCTCAATAGACAGTAGATATTATTATTCTTGAAATGAATTCATTCTATGCTGTTGAGAGCTAGTATCTTAGGCAACAATATAGTAGAATTGTTAAGAGTTTGGGGCCTAAGTCAGACCATCTTTGTTTCAAGTCCTATCTATCTCTTACTAGTTGTGTGATCTAGTTAGTGAGTTTTCTTAAGGCTCAGTTTCTGCACCTGTAAAATGACAACAAAACAGTTTCCTCACAGAGTTATTCTGAAGATTTAATTAGAGAATTCATATAAGGTGAGTAGCAGAGTGTTAAGATTTACTAAGAGTTGAGTAACATTAGTTTGCATGAACTTGTTACTGGCAAGACCCAGTCAAGGGCGACACTGATCCTGCTGCTGGTTCCCGAATGTCCACGCTTTCTAAAACCTTTGCACAGCAAAGAGCTCTTATATAAGCATCTGGGGGAGGGCTATGTTCACTCGTCTGCCTTGCTAGAGTGAATCGATAGCTTCCCTTTACCCTATTCCTAATGTCTTCGCTCAGCTCATCAAACAGCAGCTGCTCCACTGTATATATCCCATACACATTTATTCAGCATCATATACCCTTAGAAGTTGCTGTCTTTTGACACCATGGGGATAATGAAAAAATAAAAAATTACAAAGTAAAGGAAGTCTCATAAACTATTTGTGGTCATTATTCCTTGCCTCTTAAAAAAAAAAAAAAAAAAAAAAAAAGCTTGAGCTTCATTCCCCAGCTGTCTTTCCCGACCGCCTTGTAAGCTGGACATACAGATATCATTAGACCCAAGACCTGTCAAGACTTTTCAGTCTTATCTACTCTGTCCACATGGATCCCATTCTATCTCTAACACCACAGTCTTCAGCGTGACCACTCTTCTGTATAAAAACGAGAACCTATTGTTACAGAGGGAATCCAAGTTATCCTTAGTAAGCATTCATTAAATGCAATGCAACATACGTAATTGATCTGTGGTTCTCACTAAGCCCTGCAAGGCACATATCTCCAGTTCCACTTTACAGATTTGTAAATTGAGCTTCAAGCAGTATAACAGCTTGGTAGGAATGGAAAAGATGAAGCATAAAATCAGGTCATGGTCACTGAACCACAGTATCACTCAAAAAATGATCTAAATGATCAGTTGAACTCCTAAGTAGGACATATCCATGACTCATTTGTAAAATGTTGGTATATGCCATTTCCTTTCATGATATCTGAACCATTAATAATCTTGAACCATGTTAAAAAGAGCATAAAATTTTGAGGTATCAAAGGGATAATTTAAAATTTATTTTCCTTGTAAAATGATGCTTCTCTTTACAAAGAATTTATAATAAGGACACCAAAGTGGTACAGTCCATTGCAACACGTCTAAGGAACAGTGTGTGGTCACATTGGACTAAGTATCATCTTCTCTGATTTGTTTAATCAGAGTTTGGTAGTTTTCTGCATATAGATCCTTGGTGAATTTTGTTGGATTATTATACATAATAATTTTATTTATTTTGGTGCTAATATAAATGATATTGTGTTTTTAATGTAAAATTCCAATTGTTTATTGCTAGTATATAGAAAATAAATTGGCTTTTGCATATTAGCCTTTTATCCTGCAACCTCTCTGTAATTGCTTGTTAGTTGCAATTGATTTTGTTGTTGTTGTTGTTGATTCTTTCTGATTTTATACAGAAACATTTCATCTGTGAAAAAAAAAAGTTTTATTTCTTCCCTTTCAATTTGTATGGCTTTTATTGTCTTTTTGTGCAAGCTAGGACTCCCAGTATGATATTGAATAGAAGTAGGGAGAGAGGACATTACTTTCTAGCCTTATTCCTGATCTTGGGTGGAAGGCATCGAGTTTCTCACTATGAAGTACCATGTTAGCTGTAGGTATTTTACAGATAATCTTTGTTAAACTTAGCAAGTTTTGCTCTATTCCTAGAGTGCTGAGAGATTTTATATTAAATAATTGCTGGAATTTTTAAAATATTTGTTGTGCCAATTGACATGGTTGTTGACTTTATGTATTTTGCCTTTGATAAGATGGATTACATTCATTGATTTTGGAATGCTGAACCAGCCTTGCATATCTGAGATAAATCTCACTTGGTTGTGGGTTGTAGTTCTTTCTATACATTTTTGATTTGATTTTTCTAATATTTTTTTGAGAATTTTTGCATTTACGTTTGAGAGAGCTATTGCTCTGTAGTTTTTTTTTTAAATATACAATTGTTTTTACTGTGTTCACAGGATTGTGCAACCATCACCACAATCAATTTTAAAATATTTCTGTCACCCCAATAAGAAACCCAGTATCCATTAGTATTCATGTTCCATTTCCTTATGCTTCCACTAGCCTAACACACCTAGGCCTATGCCATCATTAGTCCACTTCCTGTCTCTGTAATTTTGCCTATTCTGAGCCTTTCATGTCAATAGAATTATACAATATGTAGTACTTTGTGAATGGCTTTTTTATGTAGCATAATGTTCTCCAGCTTCATCAATGTTGTAGCATGTGTAACTTCATTCTTCTGAAGGCTAAATAATATTCCATTGTATGACTATGCCACATTTCCTTTAACTTATCCATTGATGAACACGTAGGTTGTTTCCACCTTTGTGCTATTGTGAATAGTGCTGCTATGAACATTTGTGTACAGGTTATTGTGTGGACATATGTTTTCATTTCTCTTGGGTATATACCATGGAGTGGAATTGCTGAGTCAAATGGTGACTCCGTGTTTATGTGTTTTGTTTTTTTTTTATTATTATACTTTAAGTTTTAGGGTACATGTACCCAACGTGCAGGTTTGTTACATCTGTATACATATGCCATGTTGGTGTGCTGCACCTATTAACTCGTCATTTTGCATTAGGTATATCTCCTAATGCTATCCCTCCCCCATTCCCCCACCCCACAACAGTCCCCGGTGTGTGATGCTCCCCTTCCTGTGTCCATGTGTTCTCATTGTTCAATTCCCACCTATGAGTGAGAACATGCAGTGTTTGTTTTTTTGTCCTTGTGATAGTTTGCTGAGAATGATGGTTTCCAGCTTCATCCATGTCCCTATAAAGGACATGAACTCATCATTTCTTATGGCTGCATAGTATTCCATGGTGTATATGTGCCACATTTTCTTAATCCAGTCTATCATTGTTGGACATCTGGATTGGTTCCAAGTCTTTGCTATTGTGAATAGTGCTGCAATAAACATACGTGTGCATGTGTCTTTATAGCAGCATGATTTATAATCCTTTGGGTATATACCCAGTAATGGGATGGCTGGGTCAAATGGTATTTCTAGTTCCAGATCCCTGAGGAATCGCCACACTGACTTCCACAATGGTTGAGCTAGTTTACGGTCCCACCAACAGTGTAAAAGTGTTCCTATTTCTCCACATCCTCCCCAGCACCTGTTGTTTCAAAACAACAGGTGCTCTGTAGTTTTCTTTCCTTCTAATGTATTTATCTGGTTTTTAGTGTTAGGGGAATGCGTACCTCACAGAATGAATGAGAAACTGTTCCCTGGTTCTATTTTTTCCATACATTTCTGCAAAATGTATGGAAAAACTGGTATTATTTTCTTCACAAATGTTTAATAAAATTCATCAGTTAAATCATATAGGCCTGATGCTTTCTATTTAAGAAGGTTTTAAATTATTGATTCAATATCCTATATTCAGATTATGTTTCTCTTCAGTGAGTTTTGGTATTTTGTATCTTTCAAGAAATTGACCATTTCATCTAAGACTTAAATTTGTGGATATAGAGTTGTCCATAATATTTATTTATTCTATGAGCTTTAAAAGCTCATAGAATTAATACTGATTTTTTTTTTAATTTTTGATATGTTTCATTTGTGTCTTCTCTCTTATTGCTTTGCTAACCTGGCTAGACATTTATCAATTTTATTGATCTTTTTTTAAAAATCAGCTTCTTAAAGAACTTTTCTTCCTTATGGATTTTCTTTTTCAATTTCATTTGTTAAAGCTCTAATTTTTATTACTTCTACTTTTCTACTTGATTTAGGCTTTACTCTTCTTTTTCTACTTTTCTAATATGGAAGCTCAGTTTATTTATTTTGAATATTTCTTTTTTTCTAATATATTTTATGCTATAAATTTTCCTCCAACCACTGCTGTGGTTGCATTCCACAAATTTTGATAACCTGTGTTTTTATTTGTATTTACTTAGTTCTAAATATTTTTAAATTTATTTTGAGAGTTCTTCTTTAACTCACATTATTTAGAAGTATGTTCTTTAATCTCAAATATTTTGGATTTTCCAGGTGTTTTACTGTTATTAATTTCTAGTTTAATTCCATCATTGTTTAAGCATATACTTTACATAATTTTTATTTTTAAAAATTTGTTAAAGTGTGTTTTATGGAACAGAATGAAGTCAGTATTGTTTAATGTTTTCTATGAGCTTGAGAAGAACACGCATTCTGTTGTTAGATGAAATATTCTATATATATGTATAAAGTGGATCCAACTGATTGATTGTGCTGTTCAGTACAACTCTTTCTTTAGTGATTTTATGATCATTGGATATGTTAATTTTTGATAGGTGTTGTGCTGAAGTCTCCAGATATAATAGCATACTCCTCTATTGCTTCTTGGAGTTCTTTTTTTTTTTTTTTTGCTTCATGTATTTTAATATTCTCTTCACAGGTAAATGAATAAGATTTTTTATATCTTCTTGGAGAACTGACCCATTTTAAAAATCACTTAATACCCCTGTTTGTCACAAATAATTTTTCTTGATAAGAAGTTTGCCTTGTCTGAAATTAATATATCTATTTTTATGAGTTAAAACAGCTTTCCTTTGATCAGTGTTAACATAGTATATCTTTATCCTTTTACTTTAACCTATCTGTGCTTTATATTTAAAGTCATGGTGGGAGTCTAGTTCAAAACTAAACCCTGTAGGCTAGAGAACCAGCAAGAATTCAGTGTTTCCATTTCAGCCCAAAAGCAAGAAAAATATAATGTTCCAGTCTGAAGACTGTTTGGCGGAGGAATTCTCTCGTACTCGTCCTTTTTGATCTCTTAGCGGCATCAACTGATTGAGTGAAGCTCACCGACATAAGGGAGTGTAATCTTCTTTATTCAGTCTACCAATTCAAAGGTTAACCTCATCCTGAAACACCCTCACACACACAATCAAAGAGGTGAAAGATCTCTACAATGAAAACTACAAAATATTGACTAATGAAATTGAAGAAAACACAAATAAATGGAAAGATGTCCAATGTTCAAGGACTGGAAGAATTAACATTGTTAAAATGCCCATAATTCCCAATCTATGGATATAATTTAATCCCTATCAAAATGCCAATGACATTATTCACAGAAATAGAAAAAAAATCATAAAACTTGCATGGAACTACAAAAGACCCTGAAGAGCCAATGCAATCTTGAGCAAAAAGAGCAAAGCTGGAGACATTGCACTACCTGACTTAAAAATACACAAGGCAATAGTAACTAAAAGAGCATGGAATTGGCATAAAAAAGATGCACAGACCAATTGAATAGAGTATCTATATGACCCAGAAATAAATCCATGCATTTGCAGTCAATTAATCTATGACAAAGGCTCCAAGAACACACATTGAGGAAAGGACAGTCTCTTTAGCAAATGGTGTTGGGTAAACTGGATATCAACATGCAGAAGAATGAAACTAGAACCTCATCTCTCACTGCCTACAAAAATCAACTCAAAATGGATGAAAGATTTAAATGTAAGACACGCAACTGTAAAACTACTAGAAGAATACATAGGAGAAACATTTAACATTGATCTGGGGAAGAGTTGTTTTTTTTTTTTTCAATACCTCAAAGCACAGACAACAAAAGCAAAAGTAGACAAACGCATTATTTCAAACTGAAAAGCTTCTGCACAGCTAAGAAAATAATCAACAGAGTAAAGAGATAACCTACAGAATTGGATAAAATATTTGCAAGTTACACATCTGAAGTGGGGTTAGTATCCAGAATATATTAGGAACTCAAACAACTCAATAGCAAAAAGATACAACTAAATTTTTAAAAGGGCAAAAAATCCAAATAGACATTTCTCCAAAAAAGACATACAAAGGGACAACAGGTATATGAAAAAATGATCAACATCACTAACCATCAGGGAAATCCATATTAAAGCCACAATGATATATTGCCTCACACCTGTTAGAATAGCTATTATCAAAAAGACAAAAGATAACAAGAGTTGGCAAGGATGTGGAGAAAAGGGAACTCTTCTACACTGTTGGTTGGAATGCAAATTAGTAGAGCCCCCATAGAAGACACTATGGAAGTTCTCCCAAAATTGAAAATAGAACTACCATATAATCCAACAATCCCACTACTGGGTATATATCCAAAGGAAATTAAATTGGTTGGTTCAAGAGATGTCTGCACACTCATGTTTATTGTAGCACTATTCACAATAGCCAAGATGTGAAATTAACCTAAGTGTCCATCAACAAACAGATGGATAAAGAATATGTAATATATTTACACTATGGAGTACAATTCAGACATAAAAGAATAAAACCTGTCACTTTCAGCAAAATAAATGAACCTGGGAGACATTATGTTAATTGAGATAAGCCAGGCACAGAAAGTCAAATATTGTATGATCTCATTCATACGTAGAATGCAAAAACATTGATCTCAAAGAAGTAGAGAGTAGATTAGTGGTTACCAGAGGCAGGAAAGGGTAGAGGGAAGAGGGGCATAAAGAGAGGTTGGTCAATGGGTACAAACTTACACTTAGGAAGAATGAATTATCATGTTGCATTGCACAGTAGAGTGACTGTAGTTAATAATATATTTTATATTTCAAAATAAATAGAAGAGAGGATTTTAATTGTTCCCACCACAAAGAAATAATAAATATCTGATGTGATGGATATGCTTCTTATTCTAATTTGATCATTACACATTGTATACATATAGTGAAACATCACACTGTACCCCATAAGTATGTACATTTTTTGGTGTGTCAGTTAAAAAGTAAAAACAAATAATAATGTGTGACCAAATATATGAAAACCTTATGGCCCTGTCAAGTTGACACATAATTTTCACTATCACAATATGCACTGTAATTTTTCACTAAAAGCTGGAAATTGGGTAATAGGAGCTTAAGTTCATAAGCCTTTAGTGTGAGGTTTAATGTGAATCTGTCTAGGAGTTGGACTGTGTTTATGTTTGCAGTAGCTGTAGGGGCCATAGGTTTTATCATCCTCTAAATGTTCTTATTTTTGTCTCCTCTTTTGTCTTTGGATGTCTCTAATAATTCCTTTTATTGAATCTGCATCTTCAAGCTCTGTTAGTTATAATGCACTGTTATTATTCTAGAGCCCTTGTGATGTGATGGTAAGGCATTTTGTGATGGAAGGGAAAGTGCTCTATAATCCTGTAAATTAAATTTTAGTCTTTTAGGGGTCTGCATTTCTGAGCTATGGCCTTCATATGTGTTTCTTAGCTTTTATCTTTCCCCTCATAAGGAAGACAGGAAAACTAGAGCAGAATTTGACTGATTGCCTTTTCCCCAGATAGATTAGGTTTGGTTCTGGTTGTTGTTTCCCTTGGAGAGCAGTTCTTAGTCATGCTCTAAACGTATTTCAGAATGATTACTTTTCCTCTACCCCTAGTAGAAACATGACGGGATACGTCTTTAATCTTCATCATGAGAACTAGTCAGTTTCCTGGAGGAGAACTCATAAAAAGTGCAGCGGCTCCCTATGACTGTTGCCCCCAGGAGGTTCTCACTCTCATGCTAGGTCATCCAGACTCAGCCTCCAGTAATTAGCCAAAACTACTTTGTGTCCAATCAGTTTATGACTATGTCTTTGCTCCAGGTAAGCTGATCTTCATTGTGATTCTCTGCGTTCCTCTTTTCTCTACAGATTCTGGGTATTGGTTTACCTTGTGACCTTATTTCTCTAACAGGTCCAAGAAAAGTGGTTTATGTTCCCTTTCTCATGGGAGTGATGGATTCCAAGCACTTTATGTGTTAGAAATAAAGCAGAACTTTACATCTTCTCTACCAGTGACATTTTTGGAACTGGGGCTGCCCTTAAATCTCAGGTTTTATTACTTAAGTAAATCTTACAGGTTACTTAGCAGATAAATACTATTGATTGGTGACTCAACATATAATAAGTATTTACAAAAATGGATTAATAAATATTAATTTTCATCATCAATTTCTCTATGTAAACTGTTTATTGGTAGCAAATTAAAAAAATTTTAAAAAGCAAATTTAAGAGAAGATAATGTTTTTTAATGCAATGGATTATTATGCAGATAATCAAATTCTAATACCTCTCTGTAGAAGAATGGGAATATGCAACATGTTTTCTATGGGTAACATTTTAGTATCATATGTATCATTTTCCTTAAGAGTAATATAAATAGCCATATTTAATTCAGTCTATACAGTTTTACCTTTACTTTTCATACAGGTAATACCTTCATATAGTGCAACACTATAATTAGTATTTAAACATAAAAAATCTAATATTTGCTTACAGATTGAACTTTAACTTTTTGGCTGGTTAAAAGGTTGGGTTTCCATTAACTGAAATGAGTAGGACTTCAGGTAGAGCAGATTAGTAGAAAACATTCATAAATTGCATTGGGTTATTTATGTTTCATATTCCTACAAGATATCCAAGAAGATAGGTTGCGTTGGCAGTCAGAAATATATATCTAGAGTTCATCATAGAAAGTTGGGCTGGAGATATGCATTTGAGAGTCATAAGTAATTAAAAGTTGTTCAAAACTATGGAACTAGATGAGATTACCAAGATAGAGCATATATGACAGAGAACCAAGCCTTGAGCCACAGGGTCGACAATATTAATCATTCAGGAGAGTGAGGAGCATGCTGTAAAGGAAACAGACTGAGGAGGAGTGAAGTGGGTAGAAAGAATATTAGGAACTGTGGCTTCCTGCAATTCAAGTGAATAACAATTTAGGAAGAAAAAATGATCAACAGGATCAAATGCTGCTCATAGGTTGAGTAAGATGAGGACGAGATGGTATCATTTGATTCAGCAACACAGAAGTCATTAGTGATCTTTACAAGAGACATTATAGTGGAGAGATGAAGGCAAAAGTTGTATTGGTGTAGGGTCAAGATAGAATGGAAGAAGTAGAAATGGAGACACCAAGTACAAACAATTCTTGTTATGACAGCATTTTCTTCTACTTCAAATTTTTTACTATCAATTCCCTTTTGGTGATCCAGTGGCCTGATTAAGTAGTGAATGAGTTGATAGTGAGAATCTTCTTCACTTGCATTGTTCTCTCTGCATAGAGAATATTCTTCCCTCAAAAGCTGTTTTCCATAATTAGCCTTCCACTGAGGCTGGCTTCTTCTCCAGGTGGACCGTGTTCCTATGTTTCTTATAGCCTGCTGCCCTAGGAGACAGTCCAATATTTTCAAATCTCTTAGGGTTCCCTTTATTTGCTTGCAGAGATAGGGTACGAATTTCTCTACAACAATAATGTGATTTTGAGACCGGAGAGTTCCCCTGAGCCCCTCATGGGACTTACAACAGGGGTGGCTCCTTTACTGGGTGCTGCACTCAAACCTCTTGAAGGAGAGGGAGCACACAGGTTAACGGGTGCAGGAGCCAGGACAAGTGCCTTTGGGCACCAGCAGGAACAAACCCCATACTAGCCTGTGCAGCAGCATGTAGGGGTTGCCTGTGACCTCTGGAGCCCCAGAGGGCATGTGTTACAATCAGTGCTCTTTTAGCATTTGTCTTCCAAGAATGACTAAGTGTTAAAACAGCTTGCTAGAGAGTCAGCGTGACAGCATCTTGCACCCGCAGCCAGGTCCTTTTCCGTGCCCAAGAGGAATGAGGTCACATGAACTTGAAGGATGATGAATGCAAAGATTTTACTGAGTGGGGAAAGTGGCTCTCAGTGGTATGGGGAGCTGGAAATGAGATGGAATGATAATCTTCCCCTGGGGTTCAGGTGAACTCCTCTCTGACCATTGTCTCCTATGTCCAGCTGCTCTTCTCCTCTCAACATTCAGATGCTTCTTCTCTTCTCTCCTTCTCTGCTGTGCCACTCTGCCCCTCTGCTAGTGGAGCTTTGGGTTTTTATGGGTACAGGATGGGGGGCATGGAAGGCCAGGGTGGTTTTGGAAAAGGCAACATTTGGGCAGGAAAACCGGAATGCATGTTCTCATTTAGGGCTGCAGGTCTAGGCTTGAGGGTGGAGCCCTTGCCAATGACCCCGCCCTTTTCTACCCAGTTTTTCCCTGCCTCCTGTCCATATCAATTCTACCCTCAATGACTTCTTTTTAGTTTTATCTGCATAATGTCTAGGAATTCTTTGGCATGGGTGCCACCCATGGGTGGCATGGGTGGATACCTAGTGTCCAAGGGTTATTTCAAATTTTCTGTTCTTTTTAATAATTTTTGGTTATTCAGGTTTATTTTGTCAGAGGAAGGTAAAGGGAGGAATGATCATCTATGTTCAATCACATTTGTGGCAACTTAGGCTCAATAAAATTAGATTTGAGCTACTTACCAGCTGATTGCTGTTGGGCAAATTACTAAACTTATCTATGTGTCAGTTACCTTATTCCTAAAGTGACTGATGAAACACAAAGTATTACTGTGAAAAATTGTAGTGCTTGGCACAAGTTAAACTACTAGTTTTTGCCATTTTGAAAGCACACAGGATCTTCATGACATGCAGACATCACTGCTCATCTGTTATATGCAACCATAAAGGTATCATTAAACACTGGAGAAGACTGAACGTATGATGCAGAAAAAATACATAAGTTCTAAATTTCAGAAGTGTTGGGAGGAGTTAGAAAGAGGTGCATATTGTTGCCAAGATTTAAGAAAATTAGGTCTGAAAAAAATCATAGAATTTTTCTAGAAATAAAACACATGACAAAATCATGTTAGGAAGATTAAAATCATAGCAGAGCACCAAGGGGCATACTGGTCTTGGATTTTATGATTAATGGAAACATTATTATGTAGCCTCTAAAATTAATTTAGAGTACTTTTAATGCCCTTAAGGCATATAATAGGACAATGTAAGGTCACAAGCTTTAAATATAGCTATCATCACCCAATTCAATTTCTTCAAGCTGACTGCAAATTAGTTGTTTCTCCTCTAAGAGCCATTCTAATTCAGGGAATTAATAAGCAAAGCTTAATATGAAAACCTTCCTGCCTTGCAAACTATATTTTAGCCTGTGGTAAATGTGGTATACCATGAAGATCTTTTTTGCTAAATCATGAGAATTTTAGAAAAATAAAAAGTTTGTGTGTCTTATTTTTATTAAGATGTTGCATATCTTATATTTAATTTAAAAACATTAAACAATCAAAAGAGATCTGATGTCTATTTTATTCATTCTATCATTTTTTAGCTTTAATTTAGGTAAATAATTTGTTTTTATTGTCAACAAGGTCATCTAACAGTTTTAAAATTAAATGCAAAAACATGTTTTCTACTGTTATTTGTTTATAAATATTGGCAAACCATGGGGTATGAGATTCTTATTTTTCTAAATAATCTCACTTTCAAAGTTTCAACATACTTATATGTGAAAAGGTTATGAAAAAAATGAAAAAGGGAGAAAGGCATGGAGATTAACTCTTTAATTTATTCCGCAAAGCTGTATTAAATAGCTATTACATGCAAGTTCCTATACGATGCAAAAGAACTTATTGTCTTGTGGAAAAGCCAGTAAATAAATAGACAATACAACAATTTAAAAATTGCTATCACAAAGGAAGTACTTAGGGGCACAAAGAAGAATACTGACACAGACAAAGGAAACAGGATTATTGTTTTTGCATAAAGTTGGTTTTCCAGTTATCTGTGCTGCATATGTTGTTGAGAAATATGAGACACACATTCTGGAGAGAAGGAGTTGCATTTGCAAAAGCTTGGAAACTTAAGAAACTCCAGCATGGTTGGAAAAAGTGGTAAGAAGTGAAGGAATGAGGAGAGTTGACGCTGTATGGGTAGAAGCCTGATTTTTAAAAATTATTTTGTTTCAAGGAGTGTTATTGAATGCTTGACAGTTGAGTGTTGACTTGTCCATGTCTGTTTATTGAGAGAGCTACTTCCCAGAGATAGCGGGCTTCTTATTCTTAGGGAAACAAGCCTAATAACTGCTGATAGGTCAAGATAAGAACCAAAATGTGATCATATAATTTAGCAGCATTATAACATTAGTGGCCTTGGCAAGATTTAAAATAGATGTTACGAGGAAAGTTAGATGGAACTGACCAATGAACCTAGAAAAATCTATAGTCTATATTGAGGGCCTCCCTATTATAATTATGAAAAAAAAAGCTGTAGAAATATGCACATTGTGGATGGAGGTTAATAAAACATCTTTGAATGATAATAATCTAAATCCTTACTATTAAAAACTCTTTTCCAAGGAGTTTACCGAAGGGTGTGTGCAGATGAGCTCTAATCCGTGCATAGAAAGAGCTATCCTCAGAATTCAGGAGCAAGGTCAGAAAATGCCCTCCTATGATATTGAAGATATTTATCATCTTCATAAAAATGTGCATGTTTATCCATATTAAGGAGAAATGGTTTATGGAGGCTCTGCTGAAAATACAAATGCAGATCACAATTGCTATCAGGTGACTAATCTGTCTTGCAAATCTCATAAAATAACTAATGGTAAATTGGCAAGTAATACATTATAACACTATTGAAAAATTGGTGTCATGATACCAAAATGGCAGCTTCAATATACAAAATGTTAGAGGTTAATGTATGTTAAATTCAGTCTTCAAAGTAAGGTGTGTGCATCATATAGGGGCCACAAAATGCTCAACAGGTCTATCTGAAAGGTAAACAAATATTCCCACTTCTAAGCGTACATATGGGTTTGTGTATATACACATGCATATATGTGCATATCTATCTATCATCTATCTATCTATCTATCTAAATCTATAGTATGTTTTATTTTGTCTGAAAAAGAAATTATTTACCCTTACTACCATTTAATGAAAGACTCAAATTGGCTTCTTAGTTGGCCCATGGTTAGCTGCCATTCTGTAGGGAGAGCTGTCTCCCAGATACACTTCAATGTAAAGGTGTTTGTGGTGGCATCCTTTTCTCCTCTTTCATCATGTTGCACATACTGTTGTTTACACACGAACAGTCATTTAAAGCAGGCAAAAGACAAGTAGGATTGTTCAAATACTAGGAAATATAGAGGAGCAAACGTATTCAGGAAGCTACAACACATCTGATGCTATGAGAAAGTAGGGAAAATATGGATGAGTAAGGAAATGAAATGGAAATCTAACTGTAAATGTCATAATATTGATAGTAAGGCATTCTTTTTCCTCCCTTTATTGTCTTCTTTACCTATATTTCCAGTGGGCTCTGTGCTCGTTGTTTTGGGAGAAGTTTGTGGCAGGGAGGAATATAGGACAAGACCCTATGCTCTTACAGCTTTTATTTCCAGAAACTAGATGCACAAATTAGGAAAAGGATTCCTGACATACATAATATGAATTGAGAGAAATAGAAGGGAACATGAGACTTCTGTTTATAATCTCCAAGATTAAAAAGAGAACTGTGGAGAGAAGGGAAGATAGATAAATAGAGAGAGATGGAGGGAGGGAGGGAATAATGAGAAAGCTAGAAAGAGGAGAGAGAAAGGGAAGAGATGGAGAGAGAAAGAGGGAGGGAGGGAGAGAGGGAGAGGGAGGGAGGGAGAGAGGGAGAAAGGGAGATGTTGAGAGAGGGAGAGAGAGAGAGAGAGAGGTGTTGGCAGCTCCTGGCAGCTCACAAGGAATCTAGCAAGTCACCAGAGGGAAGTTTGTGGTGCGTCTAAGAAAATAAAGGCATGGGTAATTTCTCCAAAGTTCTGTAAGTTCTGTGTGGGACAGAATACAATTGAGTCACAGAACTTGGAGTATCCAAGCCAACCAAGCTGACATATATCTCACTGTAAACCTGTTGGAGCTAAGCCAAGATCCACATTGTTGTCCTTCCTCAAATTTTTGCCTGAACACTACATGACACTGTGAAAAGAAAATAAATCTTGAGACTCCAAAATCACTAAGCTAAAAGGAAAAATCAAGCTGGGAACTGCTTAGGGCAAACCTGCCTTCTGTTCCATTCGAAGTTATCCCTCTGAGGCTCACCCGAGACATATGCCTACCTGATTGCTTCCTCTGCCCTATCATTTATGTAAAAATGCAGATTCACTGAGCCAGAATAAATTGCGTATTCAGTGGAAGGCTGGTCAAGGACTCAAAAGAGTGCAATCCTTTGTCTCTTCTCTAATTCTAACTTGGAAGACCCCCCTTCCAGTTGCCCTGCCTTACCGAACTGAACCAATGTACACCTTACACATATTGATTGATGACTCATGTCTCCCTAAAATGTGTAAAAGCAAACTGTACCCCCAACCACATGAGCACTGTGAGAGTTAAAGAAAGAGGAAAGAAACACGAAATGCAGCTGGTAGTTAAAGACAGGTTTACTTTAGCTCAAACCTGAGAGGTTGTTCTGGCTATTTCGGTCAGGAGCGCTTACTCTTACGGACAAAGAGTATATATTGTTTTAGGGTGAGGGGGCTTATCACAAGCTTGGAATGTTTATGTGTGTGGAGAAGTTTATGGCGGGGCTGGAATCTCTCTGGGAGGATGGGAGATTATCTTGGGGCAGACGTCTTTCCAGCCCAGAGAGGGATTATCTCAGGGCTAGCATCTTCCCTGCCAGAGGGGGGTTTATCTTGGGGCTAGCATGTCTCTGGTTGGGGAGGAGTTTGGAATGTTTCTGGTTGGAAATATTATTTGTGCTTTATGGTCATGCTGACCTTAGCCATTAGGCTGATGCCCTTTGGATTTAGGCAGTTTTTTATTAAGGTAAACTTTAGAATGAGGGGCTTGTCCAAGAGGCGATGCTCCTGCTCTGTCAAGCACATGTCTCAGGACTTCCTGAGGCTGTGTCACAGGTGCATCCTTAACCTTGGCAAAATAAATTTTCTAAATTGACTGAGACCTGTCTCAGATATTTTGCATTGACAAGACCTCGGTATCGTAACAAGTCCCTGGAAGGTGGATGTGGAGAATGCCTAGAAGGGACTGAAATCAGCATGATAAAATAGAGACAGAAATTAACTTGAGTTACAGAAAAATAACTTGAGCTTGATACTGGATATTTAAACATCATTGTATATCTATAACGACTTTGTATTTAATCTGAAAAGTAACAGAGGACTCTTATACGAGCTTAAGTGCAAAAGTGTAACATCACATTTCTTATTAGAATACTGTTATGGAGAAGATATTAGAGGAGAAATATAGCAAAACATGTTCCCTGATGAGTAGAAAGATAGTATTTATTATTAATTAACAAATTGATACTGTACTGTAAAAATCAATATCTCAATTCAACTCAAGCTCAGGATGCTTATTATTTTAACAAAATAACTTCAAGTTTCAGAATCATCAACCCTGAAAATCAGATTCTTACCCATCAGGACACTGCTAAAAAATGGATCTTCCAATAAACTCAACCTGACCAGCTGGCATAATTCTCTTAATAACTAAAGAGTTTTTAGAGACAGTGAAACCTCATCATCCATATAAGCTCTAGAAATTTAACACCTTTTAACTGTCCTACAGGGTATGAGGGGATGGGAAATCAAAGGGGATGACAAACCAAAGTTGTGAGAGCAGCATTAGTAGAGAAAGAGGAAGCAGCACTTTTATAACTGTTACTAGTGTCAGGCCTATGAGCCCAAGCTAAGCCATCATATCCCCTGTGACCTGCATTTATATATCCAGATGGCCTGAAGCAAGTGAAGAATCACAAAAGAAGTGAAAATGGCCGGTTCCTGCCTTAACTGATGACATTCCACCATTGTGATTTGTTTCTGACCTACCTTAACTGAGCAATTAACCTTGTGAAATTCCTTCTCCTGGCTCAGAAGTTCCCCCACTGAGCACCTTGTGACCCCCGCCCCTGCCCGCAAGAGAACAACCCCCCTTTGACTGTAATTTTCCACTACCTACCCAAATCCTATAAAACGGCCACACCCCTATCTCTCTTCACTGACTCTTTTCGGACTCAGCCGGCCTGTACCCAGGTGATTAGAAAGCTTTATTGCTCACACAAAGCCTGTTTGGTGGTATCTTCACATGGATGCATGTGAAAACTAGCATCTTAGGAACATAGCTATGGCTTTATCTTATCTCCTACCCAAATTCTAAGAGTTAATAAATATGCAATAAAATTTCAAAACGCTAAGAAAATAGGCACCCTAATAATATCCATCTAGATTACAGATAATGATACAGAATTAACAATGGTGTCCTTCTTTCCTTCTTCTCTCCTTCCTTCCTTCCTTAAATATTTATGTGCCAGGTACTTTTCTAGGGACCAGGAAAATAAAAGTCTCTGTTCTCATACAGGCTTATGTTAAACTTCAAGAAACAGATAATAAATATATGCATACATTCATATGTGTTATATCAGGTTGTAAGAAGTGTTCTGAAGAAAAATCAGGAAAGGAGATAGAGTGATTCAGGGGTAGAGTTGCAATTTTAAATAAAATGGTTGATGGTAGTGACATGAGAGAGTGATCGATGATCTGCAAAAAGAGTATGCAAAGCGAATGAGAGTATAAAAGTAATGAAGCAGGAGCATGCCTGTCATATGTGAAGAATCAGGTAGGTGACACATGTGGCTAGATTACAGAGCATTAGATGAGATCACAGTGGCAACTGAGATACCATGCCAGATAGGGCCTTTAGGTCATTATGAGGTTTTTGACATCCACTCCAAATGGGGAAGAAAGATATTGATGTATTATTATGTGCAAATTTATAATATCTTATATTTTCAAAGAATCACTCTATGAAGTAGGGAAAGACAGGAATCAAGATTAAGTCTAATGTCATGCCCCCACCTCTCTTCCACCAACAACTGGAACAATGACATTGACAGAGACAGTGATGACTGGGAAGTTGTGTGTTTGAGGTAAAGATCCGGAGTTTGGAGTTTAGCATGTTATGCTTGAGATTTCCATTGACCAGCCAAATGAAAATGTCTAGGAGGTAGTTGGACAAATATTTTGAAGTTAGAGGAGAAGTCTCAGCTGGAGAAAAAACTGCTTCAATGTTTGCATCTAGATAATATTCAGTGCCATGAAACTGGACGAGATCACCTAGGGAATGAGTTCAATTAAAGAAGAGAAGAGGTCTGAAAATTGAACCTAGTCACACTAATTAAGCAGTGTAGAGATGGAAAGAACCAGTAAAGGAAAAATGGGCCAGTTATTTAAGAGGAAAATGAAATAGTTTGGTGTTCTTTAAGACGTATGAAGAAAGTGTGGAAATTATTAGTTATGCCAAATGCTGCTGGTTAGTCAAATAAATCTAGAATTTAGAATTGGATTTAAAAGTTTATTTGTGGCCTACACAATACTTTCGGTGGGTGGGAGCTAAAACCTGAGTGTGGTAATTTTAAAAGAGAATGGGGGGAGAGGGACTGTAAACACTTTCTCAATACTTGCTGAAAAAAGGAGGTGAAATTTGTTGCAGTATCTGGAAGAAGATTTGGGATTAAAATGGAAATATGTACAACATGTTGCATGGTGATTGGGCTGGTTGAGTAGATTAGAAAAAGTTGGTAACATGGCATACAGATGGGAGAGTTTCCAGAGCTACGTTCTTGAGTAGATGGGGTAGAAATAGATTTGGGGCACAAGTGAAGGGGTTGCCTGAGGTATAAGCATTGCTAACTTATTAACAATAGCATCGGGAAGGGCAAAGTATAAGGTCTCAGATGCAGGTTAGTAGATTGATATAGAGGTCAGTGCTGGTGGACATTTTCTCTGATTGCTTCTATTTTCTCTGTGGAATGCTTGTGGGCAAAAAGGTGTGGGACATTTAAGGCAAGCAAAGGGATGAAACAGTATTCCCAGACTTGAAGTCAGCAGCTAGAGTGAAGTGAGTCAGCTGGCTGTGTGTTTTTCTTCAACCAGAGCAGTTAGAGAAATGAATTATCCAGATTTGAAGTTTGGGCAAAATAGAGACAAATGAATTTAGGAATTGGCAAGAGTGTAATTTTAATGATGAACCATAGACCTTAAACTTGGTAAGGAGGAATCTGTCAAAGAAAACTTGCAGTTGAGAGAGTTACACAGCCAAGGACAACTTTATTCAAGACAATTGTACGAGGGAGAGAGATGGAAATCAACTCCACCAAAACAGAAGGTGGGAGTGTTTTTAAGTGTAGGGTGAGCTGGAGGATATTATTGGGGAGGTTGGTCAATTGGGTGTGTCTAGCATGTTGAATGAGTCACTTCTGAATTTGCAAATGTTTTTCTTTGTGATTAGGCTATTTGTGTTTGCTAATTGGCACTTAGCAATTAGGCTGCTATCTTTCCAGAGGCTGAAAGAGAAGAAAGCTACCTTCCTTGATGATTACATTTCAAAGGGATGACTCCCAGGTCCTTGAGAGAGACATTACTGGTTTATAAAATGGGCAGGAGGTTGGGAGCTGTGTCTACACTTTAAAGAGGCAGATAAATAATTTGCAATTACAAGCTTTTTAAAGTAAGTACTCTAAGGAAAGGAAGGTTTCTGGCCTATGGTTAGGAGGAAATTTGTCTAAAGTTTAGTCAAGCCAAGGGGATAGTTAAGACTTGGTGTGAAGCCAGTAGAGGTGATGGTGAGAGACATGAATATAACAGAAGAAATGGGTTACAGGTTCCTATCTGGTCAACTAATTTTAGGTATTGCCATATTGGTGGGAGTTAATCGGGAATACAGGTTTTAGAAAGTAATATTTTCTCTATTCTGCAGAAGGAAGCTTTTCTTCTCCTGGAAGGAAAAAATTTTGGCATATTAGAAACAAAACTGAGTTACATAAAAAGCAACCTGACATTTGTTTTCAGAGTTACTATTGACACTTTTTATATTTGAGTGATTCATTAGAAGCAAGTATTATAAATAAATTAACTTTGTAAATTGTGCCATAATGAATAAACCTCCACAAATAAGGGAATGTAATAACCATCTTGTGTATATACACTATATATCGATAGATGCTATGTATTTTCTCAAGGATTATTTTACTTAATCTTCACAACAGTTACAATCGAGTTAGAATTAGTCTATATTTTATGAATGAAGAAAGTAAATCTGACACAGTTTTTAAAAAATTGTCTAAATAATAATCCAACTCAGTCTACTTCAGTATTGATGAAGCCCGCTTTATTGTCATTGTCACTATGCCATATGTAACTGTAATTGTAAGGCAAAATGAGTTTTACAAAAATAGCAGACTAAACTTATTGAAAAGTTTGTTTTCTCTAGTGTAATCACTTCCATATTAAACTTTTTCAAATATAAATTTTCTTAATAAGAATTTTATGTCAAAACAGCTATTGGATAGGTTCTTTTTACTTCAGGTAGGGACACTGCCAACATCCTGTAGGGGAATTTTTTTTAATACAGGCACAATGAATAGTGATTTCCAGCTGTGAACTAAAGAGTTTCTCAGTAAGAATCTGACTAACAGGTTTGCTGAAATATCTTTTAATTTGAAGCCCCATAATTTAATAAAGTTGGTTTCTTTAATATGCAATTTAGATCCTCTTAAAGCATTTTTCCATCCACTTCTAAAGATGATATATTGAGGTTACTTTCATTTTAATGATGCACTCTAAATCCACTTAATACATGTAGAGAAAAAATGCTTTTAGACTGACTTAAGGTAGAAATTCCTTTGAAGTAAAAACTGTATTTCTCCATTTCAATTTCATAGCAATGGCCAGTTTAAAGTGTTTCATTGGTATGAATATTCTCTTACAGGATTCTGGTAATATTAGATTTGAAAATATAAAAAAAAGTCAATGCGCTTTAACTACAAATCAATTTTAAGGGTCTGTCTTCAATATCAAATACCTTTCCAATTCAAATTACTTTGTTTTCTATAAGCACTGTGTAAATACAAGAGATGAATCATATCAAAAAATCAAATTGGTTGGCTCTAGCTATTGATTATTGGAGAATAAAATAATGTCAATGGCATAGCTGAGCTTCAGACAATTACAAAAATAAAGTTAATTGATGCTTAGACATCCAAAATCACATTTATTAAATCATGCACAAGCCTTCTCTTTTAGTTTAAAGGGTGCAATGAGTTATTTTTTATGCTATGAAGATTGCCAGAGTTTAAGGATGTGGTTGACAGTTCTTAAAAAATAATATGAATTGCATGGATCTGTTCGATACATTTAAGAAGGAGAATAAACATTAAATTTGCAGATCAACTGATCCTTTGATATGTGTTCCCACTTCCTGCATCAGAGAACATTGTCTTCATTGCTATAGGCTAGTTAGTAGAGCAGTTGTCTGGCTAACATCTTGTGGGGACTCACACTGACATGATTGTGGCATACACCATTATAATTCTCCTCATTTTACTTACTGTTTTTTAAAAAGGTGAGGAAAAAAATGCTCTGACAAATTGCCACTACTCTGTGGGGATTTTATATAAGAACTTGAAATGATGTTTGCCAAGTCCAAAGCACTAGGTAAATAAGCAGAGATACATGGAACATCACTGAGAGAAGACTCAAAAAGGTTTTCATAACTTTATAGTTCTGTGCTGACTTAAAAAATACTGACATTGATATTTAACATAATTTCCTGAAGTAATTATTTTTGCCTATATCTTTATTTTGAAGTAAAATATTATAAATAGGAAATATTACATAGAATAAATAACAGTGAAATTGTGTATACTCCAACATTTCCTGAATCATCTTCTCTATATGATGCCAGTGTGTAGCTGGCCACAAGAGAAATTTGCATGAGATTTGGACCAGTGAAACAGGAGCAA
The DNA here is from genome assembly GCF_000001405.40 of Homo sapiens. NCBI lineage: Eukaryota > Metazoa > Chordata > Mammalia > Primates > Hominidae > Homo > Homo sapiens. The sequence goes on from NC_000006.12 coordinate 78,096,660, forward strand.
TCAGTCCCTAAAGATCATCACAGTTACAGGCAGTGAAAGACAAATTGGAGATACCTGTGGGTCCCAATTTATCCTCACTCATTTCTGAATTCTGCTCTTCTTCCTAACCATTGGCCCACCTAAACCATAATCTCCTGGGCCTACCAGTGCATGCTTGGCTAAAAATTCACAGTGGATATAGCTGTGGAGAGGCAATCAGCCTTCCACAGACTCAATAAACTCAATACAAGTATTTGTTAATTCTTACTCACTACTTACCTTCTTTTCCTTACTTCCTTTCTTTTTCCTTCTTATTAGAAAGTAGGCACAATGAGAGCAGAGACTTAGTTTATCTTGTTTCTCTAACATACCTTCTATACCTGCAACATATTGCCTATTTCTGGTAAAAAAAAAATATATATATATATATATATATATATACATATATATATATATATATATAGTGTTGAATGAATGGAATAAGTACTATTAGCAACAAAGTGATTTAATAATCAAATTCTTAAGACCATATATTTTCCTAATGAACATTCTGATTAAGTATTGAATCTGAGTTCTCCACCAGCTTAATCAGTCTCCCTATAGTTAGCTGTAACCCAGTGTTGTGTGAACATGATACAATTTGCCTTCATTTGCATAACTGTTTATTGCCTCCTAAAAGTAATCAATAATGTGATTCTGTAAATGATCATGAATCTGAAATAATATATAAAATACCAAATTTAAATTAAGCTGTTACTATGGTTATAAATATTTTCTCTGTTTTCTTTGTAAAATATTTGGTTTTCTTAAAATCCTCGCTCTTTAGGCCATTTAGCAACCAGATGTTAGCCGGCTTTAGAAATACTTTATATCAGGAAAGACATTTAATCTGGACATTGCATTTATTAATGGCATTGTTTAGTATTGAAAAAGCTTAAAATATTGATTATTTACTTTTATCCTAAAATGTCATTCTGTTTCAGTCCAAATGGTTGATTTAAAAAAAATAGGAATATTTTATTTGTCAGAGGAGTTAACTCTTTCTTCTGTAAGGCACATCAGAAGTAGTATTACCTTTTTATTTGAGGTCAAGGATATTGACATAACAATTAGTAAAATGCTAGAGAAAATAAGCACAATGAAAGAATATTAAAATTCAGGACACAGTAGTTTATCAATAATCATCGTTTGTTGATGGCTATTGTAGTGAACCAGAAACTCCTAATCCAGACATTTTTAAAATGATAGAACAAGTTGGACACATGAAACTTCAGCATAGCAGCTGTATGACATTAGTTCATTTGCTACAAATCTCTCCAAGCTTGTTTTCTCAGACTTTTACAATATACACTAATAATTACATTCATGCTTGTTGAGAGATTATTTAAAAATTTATAAGGTATAAATTATGAGCATAAAAGATAATATAAGCACTGGAGATATCAATATTATTAATAATAATAATCATTGATCCCACTGACTCTGTAACTCTTTTCCAAGCATCAGCCCATTTTTATCATTTACTTTTAGTCACTCTGCCATATGTGGATCAGCTGCAAATTATCTCCTTTTACTTCCTATATTTTACTGAACACTTTATGTTCAAATGAAAAATTTGTAAAAAAGAATTACCTAGCTCTATTAGTCATAAAATCAACATAGACCAATGAACCTCAGGTACTAACCCTCACTTATCTGATTCACTGGGACACCAAAAAGGTCCTTTTCCAGAAGGACAATATTGTAAGTGTGAGCATGTTGAAACTCTGTATTACAATAAATCTTTAAATGCAAACGTTTTCTACCTGAAAGAAGGCCTGTGTTTGCCTTCCCTTCATCTCAAATTTAATTGTATGCCAAGAGCATTCTGTTCCATTGAGTTAACCTTGTACAAGAGAATAATATTTCAGCATTTTTATCCATGTATTTTCTTTTACTACTATAAAATTTTCCTCTTTGCCTTGCAGCTCTTTCATTAGAAACAAACAGGTTAAAATGTTTTGCTCCAGTGGAAATAATACAGAAAATAATCTTAGTGTTTGTTTCAAATTATTGGCTCTGAGTTCCAAAATATGCCTTCAATGTTTACAACACAAACAATAGCCCTGAAAAAAAAATTAAGAGTGATAAGAATTTATGTAACTAAAGATCCAGAACCTGGAGAACTCGCAGCATGAAGTTTATGCTATAAACTTGAGTAGGATGAATGAAGGATGCATTGGTACGTGTACAAACAGCTGCTGGAAAAAAATAGACACAAAAGGTATAAAGGCCTAAGCACACTAGAAGTGTATTACTAGCTCACCTAACTATTCAAGATGGGTATTCCTGTTTTAATCCATATTTCAGCTAACCAAGCAAATAAACTATTAGAACCTTTTTTAACTCCCCAGATGCAACATCAAATGTAGAGTAGCTACTTAGTGGGCCCAAATTAATAAATTCAGCTTGATCCAACTCTGTGTTCCTTCCACCATTATCCCACACCCTTAATATCCATTCCCACGCCTGTTCTCCAGTTTTCTGTTTACATAAATTAGAAAACTCAAGCAGTTATTTCTGAGTGTAGTGCACCTCCTCATGGGTCATACTCTCAGCCTCACCTCTATGGGCCCACCAGGACTTTAGTCTAGCTATAGGACTGGAAGCAAACAGGGGTGTTGGCTTCCTGAGGAGAATCAACATTATCTTGCCTGGAAACTGCCTCGGGGAGGCCATCACCATTGCCTCAGGCAGCACAGGGTTTATCTCCTCAAAGGTGGAAGGGCTGATGGCAGCATGGGTGGGGGAGGGGATGTTGCCACTATGGGGACGGGAAAGGTGTTTCCCACACCTCCCCATTCCAAGTTGCAGGGTCCCATTCTTTTCCAACAAATGCCCTCCTTTAACAGTAGACATCTGGTGAGGTTGGGCATGCACCTTTCGTTGCAGGTCGGCCACTCACACGATAAGAACTTGTGTCTATTTTTCCACAATTTCAGCTCTTTCTCTACAGGAGATAAGACTCTCAGCTCAATCTTAGCAGATTTGGGGCTCAGTATTTGCTTCTGAAGCTGGGAGATAGGATCCCTGAGTTCATCATTTTCTTTCATCACTTTGTCCACTGAACTTAGGAGCAACCAACCAGCAGCATTATGTTCCCGGTTCTCCGCATAGGGTCAAAGGTATTATGCATAGAGTCAGTAAACCCTTTGCTTCTCACGAGTGATGAACCATGAGTGTCAAATGCATTTATTTTGCATAACTTTCTAAACAGTTCATGCCAAGGACTATCAGGGTTCTCCATAGTATTAGAAGTAGAGTCCTTAGCAATTTGAGGTCTAATCATATTAAGCAGCCAACTCCAGAAACCCCCAAACCAATGAAATAACTCCATCCTTAATATTCTGTTCCTCTAGAACCACTCCTAGTACCAAAATATCTATATTAGTCAGGGTTCTCTAGAGGGACAGAACTAATGGAAAGTATATACATATGAGTTTATTAAGAGTTAACTCACACAATCGCAAGGTCCCACAATAGGCCATCAGCAGGCTGGGAAGCAAAAAGGGCCAGTCCTAGTTCCAAAACTGAAGAACTTGGAGTTCAATTTTTGAGGGCAGGAAGCATCCAGCATGGGAGAAAGATGTAGGCTGGGAGGCTAGGTCAGTCTCTCTTCCTACATTTTTCTGCCTGCTTATATTCTAGCTACACTGGCAGCTGATTACATTGTGCCCACCCAGATTAAATGACTCAAATGTTAACTTCCTTTGGCAATACCCTCACAGACACACCCAGGATCAATACTTTGTATCCTTTAATCCAATCAGGTTGACACTCAGTATTAACCATCACAATAAGCTATTTATTACTGATTCAACTTTGGGGCTCATTATTTGTCTGTACAGGGATTCAATTTATTCCTGGCTCAGCCTCTTCACATTATTTATGTGTTGCGTTATTTTGTGTTACGTTGATAAAACTGTCTCCAATCCACAGTGGCGATCCGTTTGGAAACAGCACTGCACTGACATTAGGAAACAGTTTCTGAAGAGACATCTGATTTTTAAAAATGTTTTAAAAATTGGCCAGGTGTGGTGGCTCACGCCTGTAATCCCAGCACTTGGGGAGGCCCAGGTGGGCGGATCACGAGGTCAGGAGATCGAGACCATCCTGGCTAACACGGTGAAACCCCGTCTCTACTAAAAGTACAAAAAATTAGCCGGGCGCGGTGGTGGGTGCCTGTAGTCCCAGCTACTCGGGAGGCTGAGGCAGGAGAATGGCGTGAACCTGGGAGGCAGAGCTTGCAGTGAGCCGAGACAGCGCCACTGCACTCCAGCCTGGGTGAAAGAGCGAGACTCCGTCTCAAAAAAAAAAAAAAAAAAAAAATTTTTAAAAATCTGTGAACTTTTAAAAATAGTAATGAAATGATAAAGTGGCAAACTTCAATATCTCAATAGTTTTATTTTATTATTTTAATTTTGTAACAACAAACATTTATTAAGACACTACTGTGTATCTATTACTTGGGAAGCTGCTAGGATAAAATGGAAAAACAAAAGCGAATTGGAGCCAGATTAGGTCTAGATTTGAATCAACTCTTCACCACTTGCTACTTGTGCCTTTGGATATACGTCACCTAACCTCTCGAACTTCAGTGGTCTCACTTGCACAATTAGAACAACAATTACTTCACAGACTAGCTGTGTGGATTCAGTAAATCCATGCATAGGAACATGTCTAATTGGTGCTTACAGCAGGCTGAATAATGACCCCCAAAGACACAAGGTTCTAATTCCTGAAAACTGTCATGAAAAAAAGATATTTATAGATGTCATTAAGAATCTTGAAATGGGAAGATTATCCTGGGTGGGACATAAATGCAATCACAAGTGCCCTTTTAAGAAAAAGGCAGATGGAGATTTGAATCGACAAAGGATACAGCAATGTGACCAACAGAAGCAGACAATGGAGTCATGGGGCCACTAGTTAAGGAATGTCAGCAATTACTAGAAGCTGGAAGAGCCAAAAAATGACTTCTCTAGAGCCTCCAACAGGAATGAAGCCCTGTCAACACCTTGATTTCCAGTGAAACTGATTTTAGACTTCAGGAGTTGAGAACTGTGAAAGAATATATTTCTGTTGTTTCAAACCTCCAAGTTTGTTGTAATTTGTTTAGGAAAGAAAAGACACAGGAAATAATATAGTGTTAGTTAATTTGCTTTTGTGTCTTGTTTTTAATCTAAATTGTGTTTTTAATATGGCAAAAATGCAAAGAATCTAAATAGGTGTAAAATGAAAGGTAATTCTCCTTTCCACACATTGTCCCTCAGTCCCCCTCCACAAAGGCAACCATTGTTACAAATTTTTTATGTGTTCCTCAAAGATATTCTATACATAGACAAACATGCATCAGAAAGAACTTTGTAAAAAGTTCATCCCATATAAATGGTATTTCAAAAGTCTACTTTCTTGAAAGCACATACAATGCTTTTCTATTTGAGACCAATCTATAGTACAGAATCTTCAGACTTGGAGTCAGGCACAATATAAGAAAAACCCAATGACAAGAGCAAGACTTCAAAGGAGCCACAATAAAGATGGCAAAGACATTTTATTGTTCATTAAATTTTTTATAGAAAAGTAAACAGAGAAGAATAGAGTCTCAATGCAGTAAGTTCCAAGGCTTGAGGCTGGAACTAGTTAGACAATTAAGTGACATGCAACTGGTCTGTGCTATGATGTATCATGTCAAGATATATCAAATAAATTTAAGTAATTATTTTGTCCACAGTTGAATGGAATCTAAAAAGAGGTGAAGTTGTAGGCTGATTAAGAAAGGAACAACATAGGCCGGGCGCGGTGGCTCACGCCTGTAATCCCAGCACTTTGGGAGGCCAAGGCTGGCCGATCATGAAGTCAGGAGATCGAGACCATCCTGGCTAACAGGGTGAAACCCCGACTCTACTAAAAATACAAAAAATTAGCTGGGCGCGGTGGCGGGCGCCTGTAGTCCCAGCTACTTGGGAGGCTGAGGCAGGAGAATGGCGCGAACCGGGGAGGCGGAGCTTGCAGTGAGCCGAGATCATGCCACTGCACTCCAGCCTGGGCGACAGAGCAAGACTCCGCCTCAAAAAAAAAAAAAAAGGAAAAAAAAGAAAAGAACAACATAGACAGGCTTTTGTATAACCATGTCTTTTTAGATGCTTTCATGTTTTTTGACAAGTTTTTCTTTGTCTCTACAGGTAATACTACATTGGAACTTTTAATCAGTTTTTATTACTGGAAACAAGGTATCATCATATTCCTTGTAATATAACTCTTGATACAATTATTTTATCTAATTGTCATGATTGCCCAATAAATTTATTTGATTAAAATTATTCCTACCCATGTTTAATAGCAATCAATTATCAACTCTTACTAATACAACGTAAGATATTGTATTATGAGATATAGAAGATCCCAAGATAAATAAAAACAAAGTCCCTGGCCTAAAAGAATTTGTAATCTGCTTTAATAGTCATGCATGTATATGGCAATTTGTGTTAAAATGGTTAAAAAATAATTGGAAAACTAAATGGAGGAAAAGATTATTTCCTACTATGAATCAGGAAAGAAAGTCTTTACGGAATAATTCACATTAGATCTGCATCTTCAAGATAGCTATACTTTATCAAGATTCAAAGTCTGGGCAGGAAAGCACAGTCAACATTGGAGGAACTATGAGAGAGCTTAATACATGGGGTCATAGATGCCTCAGAAAGTGTGGGAAGGAAAGGCTAATTAACCAGAGGAACAGAAAGACAGAAAGGTAATTGATACTGCCCAATTACCTTATATGGTTTGATATCAAGTCTGGCTCTTTATTTTTGAAGATCCCACTATCCTTCATTTTTAAATACCAGAGGCTCTATCAGGGCTACAGAAGACTTTTAACACATAGGCCATGGGATACTAACAGTAATGTTCTAAAAAATTCATTAGGTAAAGTGAAGGAACAAAAGGAAATTGTATATTTCAAATTACTGTCTTTTAACTGTCAAATTCCTATGTGAATTTGATAGAATTGAAGTGGGTGAGAATAACAAAGTGCTCCAATTTGCCAGCACAGATTTTTCCATTGTGCTTTAGTATAAGTCCCTTATAGCTTTAAAATGTTTACATTGTTATTTTCAGAAGACCGTGGAACTAAAAGCAGTCAAGTCATGATATAATTGTACTTTAAAAGTCTGTGAAAAAAAAAAAAGACAATAAAAAAGCTGAATACAAGTCTCCACCAAACACAGCTTGCTGCTGTTTTTAGTATGACTATTAGATTTTTTTTTACACCTGAATTTTCCCTAAGTCAGTACACCACTTTTGGTGTTTTGAGGCTAAATTGGAAGACCAATATTCATTATCCTCTGTGTTAGATTACTATTCCTTTTACTCTGATGAAGACTAAGCCAGAAGAGAACATGAAGAACAGCAAAACTACTCAGGTAGATGCAAGACAGAAGAGATTAATGAGGCCATGGAAGCAGAGAGGGGACATAAGAAAATTTGCTTCTGGAGCTTGTATGCATCAGTAACCAAAATCAAATGTATAAGTCAGAGGATAGAGGGACAACTATGAGCAAATTCAGCTACGCTTAAAAAGTTATGTTTTACTACTAAGTTAGTTATTAATAAGTAAAGAAAATCAGCCCTCATATACTTAAAAATAATTATGCATATTATGATATTGACTTTTTAAAACATGTTTCTTTGGCACATAGTTGTGGAACACCAACTGCAGAATCACTGTGGTTTTAACTATTTTGAAGTTAATTGATTAAATGAATAGATAGCAAGCCTTCACATCTGTATAAGATTTTATAACTTGCATTCAGTAAATATAATCACACTTGCTTTTGTAATGATATAGATATGGAGATATGGGGGGGTATCAGATCCACTTTCTAGTTCAAGATTCATAGATAGTGGCTTGCCAATGTCACATAACCTCTAGTTCGAAGACTGAGGACTCAAACTTAGGTTAAGATTGATTCCCATCATATAGTTAATACACATGCTGTACACAAAAACTAATGTAGCAATTGTTTGATTAAAGGCATTTATAAGTATCAGAAAATATCTATAGCTATTAAAACTAATATTTTAAGCACTTACTATGTTCCAGATACTATTCTATGTGTTTACCCTCATAACCACTCTACGAGGTAAGTAATATTACCCCATTTTACTGATGAACACATTGAGTCAGGAAGTGGTTGCATAAAATACTCAAATTCATTCAGCTAATATGACACCATTATGTGAATCTAGGGAACTGGGCTTCAGAACCCATGCTCCTAACTGCTAAGCATATTGTCTCAAAATTAGATATGTAAAAAACAAAATTATTTTAGGTCTAGTTACTACTAGCAAACTGATAGGAATGTTTACATTTTGCTCCTCATCAATACATGGCCAGAAATGCTCAGCCAAATTAGAATAGAAAAGTGATTTGAATACTATAGATAGTACATTTAAATAATTAAGACTCCCTCTCCCATTTTGCTTTGAATATGCAGGACCTGGCTTTTGAGGAATATATAGTGTATGTTGACAGGACTTAGAAAATACTGCTATTAATCAAAATCTAAAGTCAATAGGAAAAGATAAAAATGTTCATATATTTTATTAATAATTGTAATAATTTCTGGCATATTATCAGTTGAATTGCTAAGATTCCAAAGTAGATCTGTTAGATAAATGTTCAACTTCCTACTTTATTTACCTGGGAAGAATTTCCCAGTGCCAATCATTTAGATTTTCATAGTAGAGAAGAGTTTTATAATATAGATTCAGATATGTCATTTATCTCCTAAGATAAAAAACAAAAACAAAAAATTGGCTCCCTGGTGCTGGGCAGGGGCCAGGTGGCTAGTTCTAGTTCACCTAGAAGGATGAGGTGTGAGCCTTTATCCTTCAGTGGTCAATCAGGTCCATGGGGAATCTTAAAAGAAGGAACTCACGGAGTGAGTGACTAACGCTCACTCTGCTCTAAACCTTAACAGGGGAAAGTAAAAGTAGTTTGGAGGTTTCTGCCTCTTTCAAACAGCTAAGAAAACCAGAAAGGAATTTGCATTGTAGTCTTTACTAGGTGTTTCACTAAATGTTCTCCAAGCCAATAGAATCAGTGTAACACACAGACAGACACACACACACACACACACACACACACAGAGTGAGAGAGAGAGACAGAGACAGAGAGAGACAGACAGACAGAGAGAGTAAGAGATTAATTTTAAGGACTTGGTTCATGCTCATGCAGGGGCTGGCCAGTGTGAAATTTGTACGGCAGCTCAGCAGTCTGAAAACTCAGGCAAGATGTTTATGTTAGAGTCTTGAGATATAATTTTTTCTTCTCTGGAAAACCTCAGCTTTTTATTCCAAGGCCTTCAACCAATGAAATGAGTCTCACCTACATTATTAAGGATAATGCCCTTCGCTTAAAGTCTGCTGAGTGTAAATGTTAATCACATATACAAAATGCCTTCAGAAGCAACATCCAGACAAATGTTTGACCAAACAACTGGACGCCACAGCCAAATTCACACATAACTAACCATCACACTTTGTAATAGTCTTCTCAGCTTCTCTTCCTTTAACTCATCCATATACATCAACAAATCATGTGCTCAATTCAATAAAGATAGCTAAAGATATAGTAATTGCCTCAAACTCTTTATCTTTTTCCTGACCTGTTTCAATAATACCTTCAGTTCACCCTAAAATACTGATGATTATTCAACACTCTGATGCCAGGCTGTCCTTTGACGATCTGGATAAAGGACTTGTTCCTCTTCTCTTCAGACACTCCTTAAAATGGATCTCACAGCACTGATCTCATGCCCAGTAGCCCATCTAGACTAATCCAAATGCTCAGGGAGTGAATCAGATTCTGACCCTAAAAGAAATTTGAAATTTCCTGTAGTACTTCCTGTAATATTCCCTAGAAACTAAAAATAATGGGGATGTAAGACATGACTTTACATTATCTGACTATGACCTGGCAATTATCTACTTCTGTGTACTATAAGAATACATAATTAGGCCACTGTCTAAGTCTCCACTACTTTCCCTCTTGTGTAATTTAACCTTCTGCTATGGTTTGAACATCTGTCCACTCCAAAATTCATGTAGTGTTTAATTGCCAGTATATTGATTTTAAGAAGTGGGACTTTTGTGAGGTGATTAGACATAGGGGCTCTGCCCTCATGGGTGGAATTAATGCCATTATAAAAGGGCAAATTTGGCCCCCTTTTGTCCCTCTTAGCCCTTTGGCCTTCTGCCACATGAGAATCCAGCCTTTCTCCCCTCTGGAGAACACAGCGTGCAGGGCACCATCTTGGAAGAAGAGAAAGGTCTCACCAAACCTGCCTATGTTTTGGGCTGAGACTTCCCGGCCTCCAAAAGTGTGAGAAATAAATTTCTGTTTTTTTATAGATCACTCAGTCTGTGGTATTCTGTTATAGCAGCCCCAAATGGACTGAGACACCTTTCTGTTTCTGCATCACACTAAGGCCATTTCTTCTTCAGGGATTTTGCCTATTGCTGTTTCTTCTGCTTAGCATGCTCTTTCTTTGGGATTCCAAATGCCTTTTTCATTCTTATCATTCACATCCTAGATAAAAGTCATCGAATATGCCTCTATCTAAATTATGCCTTTTTCTTCTGCCCTGGCCATTCATATCCATTTCATCCTCTACATTTTCTTTATTGCACTTATTGCTATTGGAAATTATCTTATTCATTTTTTTTCTTGTTTGTCTACACCTTCCTACCCACCTCTAGCTCCACTGTGATAAATGAGTTTTGAGATTTTGGGGATGTGTAGGAATCTTTGAGATTTCATGGAAAACAATCACTCCTGTGCCTCATTTTTAATTTAAATAAATTCAGAACATTTTGCTAATAGGATTATTTTGCTAATAATTTAATAATACTCTGTCACAATTGTGTTAGAATCCACATAACCAGGGCAAACCTACAGAACATATTGAGGTGGGAAAATTATATATTAATTGTCTTTAATTCCTCCTTTGGTGTCATTTTCTTATTTCTATAACTACTTATCTTTGAACTCCAGGTCCTCCTACCTTTTAATTGTGACTCTTATTTTTATCACTAAAAATATCTATCTAAAAAATCCCTATACATAGTCTTGTAACTCCCTATAAGAGAGTGGGAAGTTGACCCTCTGGGAGGATTATATATTAAATGCACAGTATTTATCTTTTGCTGTCAAGTTTCTTTGACTAAACACTGGGTTTGTGAGATACAACAATGTCGCATATAGCTTAAGTTTGTTCGTTTTCATTGCTATGTAGTATTCCATGACATGAATAAATCAGAATTAATTTATTCATATTAAAATTACTGGACATTACGATTGCTTTGATTTAATGATGGCTATGAATAAACTATGAATACACTATGAATGTCTATGAATGTTCCTGGACATTGATTTTCATGCACACATATATGCATTATTGTTGGGTATGTACCTACAAATGAAAATGACTAGATTTCATTAGGCATCTAGATACCAGCAGTTATAGTGTTTACAATACATGGATAAATCACAACCCAATACCAACAACTAAACATTTAGATTGTTTTCAATTTTTTTGTTGTTTTCAATTTTTTTTTGGTGGGGGAATGGAAGGTTAAATTAAACAGAAATTATATAATTTAAACAAATTTAGACAGTCTTAAAAAGGGGGTTAATCAAATTATAGTAGTTTGTATATTATGATAAACAACATGTTTTTTCTGAAATAAAGAGCTCATCCTAGGATCAGAGAAAAATCAAGTGACAGTTGCCTATTGTTATGACCAGCACTTTATTTGTTAACAGATCAACATCTCTTATTTTTGCTTGTATAATAAGTCCTGGGTGAAGTCATGGAAGCAACTCTGGGCATGAAGTAAGGTGAGCCACCTTCTCATTTTATCAATGTCATAGACCATTGATGTAGTCTTTTACTTATTTTTTCAACCTTTCTGGGGCTTGGTTTACTGATAAATAAAATGAAAATTTTAGAAAATCATTATTTTAACTCTAAAGTAAACTCGAATATAATTTTGTAATATAATATTTGTATTCCATCACTAATCTTATCTATAGGCCGTATTGAATTTCGCAGGAATTAGCAAGTGGTAAATATTTCCAACTACATTGAAAATAACAAATTACTTAGCATGTTATTAGAGAAGCCCAAAATGGTTTCTGATAATTTTCCAGCATGAATAATTATTCTTCATTTAGAGAAAAGATTTTTTTCTGAGCATTCATCCTCTAATACCATTATTGTCATTTTAATAAATTAGTTTTAGAGCACTGCAATTGCTATTTTAAGACATTCAGTTAGAGGAGCAACATTTTGAGAATACACCACAAATCTGTGATTAGAAAACACTTTATTATGCTCTCTAAAGAGACAAGTTTTTAGTCATTTTTCTATGAACAAAATTCTAAGAATTTCAAAATATAGTGTGACTGTATGAGTTGGAGAAGGAGCAGAGACAAAATTAAAATGCTGCACTAGGTTTGAAAACTGGTTCACCACAAGGTGTTTGCTATTGCTTATGTGCTTTCAGAGCACAATATCATTTTCATTATCTTTGCTTTGATATGGATTTAGCATCAGCCTTCAAATACTGAACATACATTTTAGATGTTAGACAATAAAATAGGGTCTAGAAAAAGTGAATGTATTTTTAGAATAATAAAGAATATATTTTATATCCTCTGATCTTCATAAGAGAATAATGAAAGCAGATTCTTAGATAACTAAATAAAACACTTCTGAATGGGTCTGTTCCTTGAAGGTAGAAAAAAGGACTTTCAGTTAGTTTTGTTTGTATTTTTTAATCTATGAAAATATAAATCTCATTTTATGCATAACTACCTTATTGAATTGCTATCACCACATATAATTACATATTCATGAATAAATATATACCTACTATATATATAAAATATATGTTTCAACATTTCAATGCACATTAATAAATGAACAGCCACCTTCCCATCACAGAACTATTGACATGAGTCTCTCAGGTTTTCCATATATGCCATTAGAATTAGGAGGATACTCTGTTTTAGTAATAATTAGGATAGTCTTTTTTTTTTTTTATAGTCCTGGCTCTCTCCAGACTCCAAATTCTTGGTTTATCATATGTTTAGGATATAAATGGCCAAAATATATTTTGAAAATAATGGGAGAGGGAAAACAGACAGAAGTAGAATCTCCTTGATGCATTCAGAGATTAGTGTTCTTAAGAGACAGTGAAAACCTGCATAGCTCAAGGTTTGTGTGTTTATGAACAAGCCTGTCATATTTCCAGTAAGGTGCTAGGGTGAGCACAACACATTAAGAACCTGGCAGTGCAGCACGGGTCATTTCATGACTGCATGGCTTCTTGTATCCCTTGTAAATACAAAATACACACAAAAAAGCCTCATTTGGCTCCGATTTTACTACAAGGCAACAGTAATGCATAAATACAGAAGAATCAAACAAAGACAGTGGCTTTTTTTAAATAGAAAAAAAGTGACATGAAAGGAAAGCATTTCAAAGCAAATTGAAAGTTGCCTAAAAAATATTAGTAGAACAAAAATAAATCCAAAAAGGAAGAAATGCAAAAGTAAAATGAAAATTGAAATGGCTTTTGAAGTTTGTAGTATGTTTCTGAACTGCTACAGAAAGAGGGCTGGAACGGTGAAATAAAAATTAAACAATGGAATGAATTAGAAAGAAAAACAGTCCATGGTTTCAATGTGATTATAAGTTGAGATACCATAAAAAATACATGTAGAAAAATTCACAAGTGTTTTATGCATATGAGATTAAATTTAGCATAAAAAAGGATCTCCTGGCATCTGTACAATGTAAAAGATTTTAAAATGACATTTATGATTAAGGATCAAATAAAGTGCCTGAATGATTTGCAGTGAAAGATAGTACACATAGAACTGCATTACTTCAGACACATCCTAATAGATTATTATGTTTTATTCTAAAAGCAAAGCATTAGTCTCATATAAGGATTATAATGGTGATAATGTCAAGATAAGCTTTTATTTAGATATTCTGCCATTTCTGAGAGTCCTCAAATAATCAATCTCTAATATATGACCTGTAAAGTAGACTAACTGCTTTAATAAGGTCTCCCTTAAGCTTTCAAGACAGCTCATTCTCTCTGTTGATAAAATGTGTAACCTTAGATTCTTTCTCTATAAAACCTTCCCAGAAAGCTCCAGCTGGTGACTTTACCATTGCTCAAGTTAGGGAACTTATAGTCTTCAACTAATCATGTGCTGATAGGAGTAAATCTATGATTTGTGGCATCTGAGGCACATATATTTGGGGAAGAGATTTAGGGAAAAAATACAAAATTATAAATACAAAATGAGGTACAGGGCCTTGGAAGTCAATTGAGATGTCCTTAGGTTGATGCTTTATTAACTTTTAGGTAAATCAGCCCCTGTGATGTATCTAAAGGTAGCTAACTCCTTTATTTGCCTAAAATTATTTTAGTAGGCACCAGAACATTCCATGTTTTCTCAGAATTGTAGCCAAACCTTTAAAGCTGAGGGCAATGAATGATAAATATCCTAAATTCTGAGTATATTTCTTGAATAGATTTACTAAGAGGTAGTCCAACTGACCCTTTGACCACTTTCTATCACACTCTATAACTATTCTCTTCTGTAAGAGAAAGGTAAAGATCTATTGGAGAAAATTTTAAATGAAATTCATAGGGCTAAACAGTTCTGTGGCTTTTCCCACCAACAAAATCAAGTTAAAGGAGAGCTCGAGTGATTAGGGTTATCTGCAAAAGAGTAGATACTTCATATACTGACTGGATGTTTGCTCACCTGTAGATATTCAAATGCCTGGCCTATACTATTAAAGAATTGAGCATGAAAAAAATTCTCAGGAGAAGTTCACATGTGTTCTCAATAATTTGGAGCCATAAAGTGAATCCAAAAGTTGCTTAAAGTTGCGTACAATATTAGCAAGTTAGAAAGTTACACCAATTTTTTGAAATATTAACAAAATAGACCACTAGCTAGATTAATAAAGATGAAAAGAGAGAAGAATCAAATACAAACAATAAATGATAAATAAGATATTACCACTGACCCCACAGAAATACAAACTACCATCAGAAAATACTATAAACACCTATATGCAAATGAACTAGAAAACCTAGAAGAAATGGATACATTTTTGAACATATACACCCTACCAAGACTAAAACAGGAAGAAGTCCTTGAATAGATCAATAACTAGTTCTGACATTGAGGCAGTAATTAATAGCCTACCAACCAACAAAAGCCCAGGACCAGATGGATTCTACCAGAGGTACAAAGAGGAGTTGGTACCATTCCTTCTGAAACTATTCCAAACAGTTGAAAAGCAGGGACTTCTCTCTAACTCATTTTGTGAGGCCAGTGTCACCCTGATACCAAAACCTGGCAAAGACAAAACAAAGAAAGAAAACTTCAGACCAATAACCCTGATGAACATTGATGAGAAAATCCTTAATAAAATACTGGCAAATCAAATCCAGGAGAACATCCAAAAGCTTATCCACCACGATCAAGTCAGCTTCATCTCTGGGATGCAAGGCTGGTTTAACATAAGCAAATCAAAAAACATAATTCATCACATAAACGATCAATGACAAAAACCACATGATTAACTCAATAGAGGCAGAAAAGACCTTTGATAAAATTCAACATTCATTTATGTTAACAACTCTCAATATACTAGGTATTGATGGAACTTATCTCAAAATAAGAAGAGTTATTTATGACAAAACCATAGCCAATATCATACTGAATGAACAAAAGCTGGAAGCATTATCTTTGAAAACTGGCACAAGACAAGGATGGCCTCTCACCACTCCTATTCAACATAGTATTGGAAGTTCTGGCCAGGGCAATCAGGCAAGAGAAAGAAATAAAGCGCATTCAAATAGGAAGATAAGAAGTCAAACTGTCTCTGCTTGCAGATGACATGATTCCATATTTAGAAAACCCCATTATCTCAGCCCCAAAGCTCCTTAAGCTGATAAGAAACGTCCGCAAAGCCTCAGGATACAAAATCAATGTGCGAAAATCACAAGCATTCCTATATACCAACAATAGACAAGCAGAGAGCCAAATCATGAATGAACTTCCATTCACAGTTGCTACAAAGAGAATAAAATACCTAGGAATACAGCTAACGAAATTTGTGAAAGACCTCTTCAGGGAGAACTACAAACTACTGCCCAAGGAAATAAGAGAGGACACAAACAAATGGAAAAACATTCCATCCTTGTGAATAGGAAGAATCAATATCATAAAAATGGCCTTGCTGCCCAAAGTAATTTATAGATTCAATGCTATTCTTATCAAGCTGCCATTGACTTTCTTCCAGAACTAGGAAAAACTACTTACATTTCATTTGGAACCAAAAAAGAGCCCACATAGCCAAGACAATCCTAAGCAAAAGAACAAAGCTGGAGGCATCACACTACATGACTTCAAACTATACTTCAAGGCTACAGTAACCAAAACATCACGGTACTGGTACAAAAACAGACACATAGAGCAATGGAACAGAATAGAGATCTCAGAAATAACACCGCACATCTACAACCATCTGATCTTGCACAAACCTGAGAAAAACAAGCAGTGGGGAAATGTATTAATCTGTGTTCATGCTGCTGGTAAAGACATACCTGAGACTCTGAAGAAAAAGAAGTTTAATAGGACTTACATTTCCATATGGCTGGGGAGGCCTCTGAATCATGGCATGAGGTGAAAGGCACTTCTTACATGGGGGGCAGCAAAAGAAAAATGAGAAAGACACGAAAGTGGAAACCCCTGATAAACCCATTAGATTTTGTGAGAGTTAATTCCCTATCATAAGAATATCACAGGAAAGACTGACCCCCATGATTCAATTTACCTCCACCTGGATCCTTCACACAACATGTGGGAATTCTAGGAGATACAATTCAAGTTGAGATTTGGGTGTGGACACAACCAAACCATGTCAGAAAAGGATTCCCTACTCAATAAATCATGCTGGGAAAACTGGCTAGCCATATGCAGAAAGCCAAAACTGGATCCCCTTATACAAAAATTAAATCAAGATGGATTAAAGACTTAAATGTAAAACTCAAAACCATAAAAACCCTAGAAGAAAATCTTGGCAATACCATTCAGGAAATAAGCATGGGCAAAGAATTTATAATGAAATCACCAAAAGCAACAGCAACAAAAGCTAAAATTGACAAATGGGATCTAATTAAAGAGCTTCTGTAGAGCAAAAGAAACTGTCATCGAAGTGAACAGGCATCCTACAGAATCGGAGAAAATTTATGCAATTTACACACCTGACAAAGGTCTAATATCCAGAATTCACAAGAAACTTAAACAAATTTACAAGAAAAAAAAAAACAATCCCAGCAAAAAGTGGGCAAAAGACATGAACAGACACTTCTCAAAAGAAGACATGTATGCGGCCAACAACCATATGAAAAAAAGCTCAACATCACTGATCATTAGAGAAATGCAAATCAAAACCACAATGAGATAACATCTCATGCCAGTCAGAATGGCAATTATTAAAAACTCAAGAAAAAAATAGATGTTGGTGAGGCTGTGGAGAAATAGGAATGCTTTCACACTGTTGGTGGGAATGTAAATTAGTTCAACCATGTAGAAGACACTGTGGTGATTCCTCAAAGATCTAGAACCAGAAATACCATTTGACCCAGCAATTCCATTACTGGATATATACCTAAAGGAATATAAATCATTCTGTTATAAAGATACATGCACATGTATGTTTATGCAGCACTATTCATAATAGCAAAGACATGAAATTCACCCAAATGCCCATCAATGATAGTCTGGATAAAGAAAATGTGGTACATATACACCATGGAATACTGTGCAGCCATAAAAAGGAATAAGATCATGTCCTTTGCAGGGACATGGATGAAGCTGGAAGCCATCATCCTCAGCAAATTAACACAGGAACAGAAAACCAAACACCACATATTCTCACACATAAGTGGAAGCTGAACAATGAGAACACATGGAACCAGGAAGGGGAGCAATATACACCAGGGCCTGTTGGGGGGACAAGGGGAGGGAGAGCATCAGGACAGATAACTAATGCATGCTGGGCTTAATATCTAGGTGATGGTGCGGCAAACCACCATGGCACACATTTACCTATGTATCAGACATGCATATTCTGTACATGTATCCTAGAACCTAAAATAAAATAAAATTAAAAACACAAAAAAGAAGCTATATTATCACTGCTTTGCAGGGCAAAGATGCATGAGTTTTTGTGGCCCAAGTTGGGTAGAATTTTAATAAAACTTTTCAGTTACTCCAAAGTGACCCTAAAGGGTAATCAGATGTGATCAAAGGAAATCTGGCAGCGTGTTTTCTCATGGTAGGAGAAGGAAAAAGTTTTTCTTATTTATGCTCTATGGAATTCAGGTTATTCAATGAAAGTTAAACTTATTTATTCAGTTGGTAAATTCCTTGGAAGGAACTAGGTTTATTTGTGTTTACATTTTCTGTGGCACTTGATATAATGCCTTCAATATTGTATTTGTTCCATGAATATTTGTTGGTTTGTTGATTACTTCCCTGTAATCTTTTTCATTGTCAATTGAAGTCTAGGAGAGGAACACCAGTTTTCTGAAAAGTGACTTAGCACAGACGAACAGCTGATTTCTTGCATTACTTTGCTAAAATGAGGGTTCTTTTATAATTATAAAAATTCAGCATTTATGCCATTCATTTCAAGTGTTTTTATAGGTATATAGCAGTGAAGGATTGTTACTCATAATCCAACTATTTTTGAGAAATGGAATCCATACAAACTCTCCACAAGAAGAGTAAAACTCGAATTTTCACTGAACTTTCCTTTGTATAACTCCCAGAGATAGACCCTAGATTGCTGATGATAAAAATTATGCTCCAGCTTTGAAATGTCAGCTATCAATTTCATAGCACTGTTTGACATGTGACAGCTTTTTCATGTGAACAAATTCCTATAGATTCTGACCTAACATGATTTCCTTTGATGAGAGTCAGTATTGTTTTGAAACATTCAATACATGTTTTAAAGGAAAATTTTACAATTTTAATAAAACCACTAAACTAGACTCATAATATTGCTGAGCATATCAAAAGAACGAGTTCAAATAGGATCTGCAAAAAATGACCAAAGACATATTATTTAGTGAGGCCTGGGGATTCATTTGTCTCAGGTCATTTTGACTAGATCTCTACTACACAGTTTAGTTACCAGTGTTGCGGCCACATATCTTTTGGAATGCTATATATTGTATTTTTATCAAAGCTAGCAAACAATATTTAAAACAGAATATCACAGTGCTTGATAAATAATCATTACAAAAGTCTTATATAATTATTGAGGTTGCACTGAGAAACTTCTGTGGATACTGATTAAGTCAGCAAGTCAGTGATTAAATTAACTGGAAAAAAAGATGCTCACTTGAGACCTTGCTTCCACTTATGTGTGAGAATATGTGGTGTTTGCTCTCTTGCTGTGTGATATGCTGGCTTTCCATCACCTTCCACCATGATTGTAAGCTTCCTGAGGCCTCAGCAGAAGCAGATTCCAGCAGCATGCTTCTTATAAAGCCTGCTAAACCATGAGCCAATTAAACTTCTCTGCTTTATAAATTATCTAATCTTGGGTATTTCTTGGCAGAAATGCAAGAACTGAGTAATACAGTAAGCATAGCCTGCCTCCATGATGGGATAAGAAATTATTACAGAACATTTACATCAAAAGAGAAGATGGCTTCCAACTTCAAATTTCCTTGTCAATATCACATATATGTGTGGATATACATGTGTCAA
This sequence comes from Homo sapiens, assembly GCF_000001405.40. Lineage (NCBI taxonomy): Eukaryota > Metazoa > Chordata > Mammalia > Primates > Hominidae > Homo > Homo sapiens. The sequence continues at coordinate 78,116,572 of NC_000006.12, forward strand.
TTTTGTGGAGCTCAATATTCTGTCAGATGTGTCATTTAAATTATGCAGATACTAAATTAAACTTTATACTTGACAATTACACATGAAACTGTTTTAAGAAAGAAATAGCAAGGAATGCACTAGTAATTGTCTGAAACACTCTAAATATTAACACATCTAAGCCTCATCACAATCTATGAGATAAGGAATATTCTTATCTCCATTTTAATACAAAGAGACTGAGGCATGGAGGATGGGGAACAGACTCAGAATTTAAAACCATGCAATCTAGTGCCACAGTCTATGTGCTTAACTACTAAAATTTTAAAGAAAAATCATTTCAATATTCTTTGGGGCATGAATAAAAGAACCAATAAAAATGGGTCAATGTTTTGAATAAATGTACATGTAGTGTGACACATCCTTAAGTATGTATCATTTATTAGATTTTAAAAGAATAGAGACGCCAATCACCCCAAACTGACTAGAATAATCACTTGAAAAAAAGCTCTTTAAAAAGTGAAGGAAGAAGTGGATATAAAGTATAATTAAGATAAAGTTTTGCTGTCTCCGCTTTAAATATAGGATCTTACAGAGACCAAGAGACAAGGACCTGTTCAGTCTGCTCTTCATTTGCAGAAAAATTCTGTGAGTATAATCATATTTATCACTGGATATTTTTTCACACAGTGTCTATTCTTCATAGGAGAAACAGGCAGAATTTACTGCCCAATACATTCTAGAATGTTAAATATATATTTGAAAATATAATGCTTTAAAAAATGCAGACTGCTCTGACAAAGACTACTACATAAATTAGATGATAAAAGTAATAGATGTTATTGTATCAGATTCTGCATATTTACATTAGGTAAAAACCATTCTGTGGCTATTATCAAATTGACAGAAAATAACAGATGCTGTCAAGGATGCACAGAAAAGAGAACCCTTGTACATTGCTCATGGGACTGTAAAATAGCATGGTCCAGTCATTATGAAAAACAGTATGAAGCTTCTTTGAAAATGTAAAAATATAACTACCATATGATATAGCAACCTCACTACTGGGTTGGTATCCAAAGAAAATAAAATTAATATGTCAGAAAGATATCTGCATATCTATTTTTGTTGTAGCACTATTCACAATAGCCAAGATAGAGTTACACTAAGTGTCCATCAACAGATGAATAGATAAAGAAAATTGGATAGATATGTATATAGATAGATAGATAGATAGATAGATATAGATATATATACTATTCAGCCTTAAAAATGAATAAAACCCTGTCCTTTGAGGCAACATAAATGGGCCTGGAATATGTTATGCTTTTTTTTCTGTGTATGGGTTGCATGTTTCTGCTGGTTTGCTTGTCTCTTATTTGTTTTCTCTTACTAAAAACTGAACATTTCAGGTAATATTTTGTAGCAACACTGGGTACTGATTTCCCCTTCACTACCTCCTCTCTGGGACTTGTTTGCTTGTTTGCTTGTTGGTGACTAGGCTGAAATATTTTACTGAAGTATATTTCCCTTGCAGTGTGCAGCCTCTGATGGTTTTCCTCATCTTTACAGTCACCCTGGCATGGCAATGGTTATACGAGGACTCTTGGTCTCTTTCCCTGATTTTCCTATTGAACCATCTGCTTCTGTAAGTATTACATCCATCTGTTAGCTTCCACTATTTGCAGGATGATTTCTTTATTGTTTTCAACAATGTTCTGGTGCATAAATTCCATTTCAGTTTGATCCAATTAAACATAGGATCCTTTGCATAAGATCAGTCTTTGAGATTTGTTCCAATCCAGGAGGGCTCTTACTTGCTTCTTTCTCTAATTTTCTCTCTGGCAAACTTGTGGCTGGACTATAGTTTAGCTTGTTGCTCTCATGGAGTTACCAGCCTCCTCTTAATGAATCAGCAAAATTTCATTGTTATCAAGAGTGCCCTTAGCTTGATCTTCCTCACACCTTGTTTGAAACAGTCAATTCACTTGAAGAGAGCTTCAGAGCCTTCTGCTTTTACAGCTCCACTGTATTCCAGAGAGCAAGACTCTGTTTCAAAATAAAAATAAATAAAAGTATACAGGAGAATGGGCATAGTTTATTTGCCAATATTATGCCATTTTCTATAAGGGAATTGAACATCCTCAGATTTTGGCATCTGAAGGAGGTCCTGGAACCAGTCATTCATGGATGCCAAGGGACAACTCTGTGTGGTATGGTGTCGGGTGTGTGTGTGTGTGTGTGTGTGTGTGTGTGTGCGTGTGTGCGTGTGTGTGTGTTATTTAACCAGATAATGGCTGTTTCTCTGGGGAGAGTGTTCATAGAGATCATTACTCTGCCAGTTTGGAATTGCTGTATATGTTAATGTTTCTATTGTTGGGGGTGTGAAGTGCTAATGGACTCTTAATTTTGTTTTCAAGAATAGTTTGCAAAATTATTGAAGCCTTTAATCTATATGATAGGTAAAGTGGGCCATACATTCCTTTTCTATTAAAGAATTACTGTTTAATAGACTATAAACCCCCTTTTATAATGATAAAATAATTTGATGAGTTTCAGGAGATTAAATTCATGTGCTCACTAATTTATAATTAACTCATAAACAAAATTTACCAAATAATTTATTTTTGTTTTACGAAGCTTCAAGGATTGAATGAGTGAGTAATGCTTTATGTCAACTGTTTACTTGCCTCTAACAAAAATACATTCAATCACAAATAAAATTTCGTCTGTCCAGTTTACATGGGAACCTGTCAGCACCAGCACGTCAGAAGCCATTCATAACTAAGCATGAGTTGAGCATTTGAGAATCAAAACAAAACAAAAAAAATGTCTATATATTTTGTCAGGTTAGATCTAAGGAAATAGAAAAACAAGACCCCCTTTTAACAGTTACATGTCTAAGTTATCTAAGTCAATATATTTCACAGAGGTCCAAAGATATACAAATTACTGAAAACTAAACACGTTTTCTAAAATATGCAAATACACAATGTCTGAGATCTTTCAGTAAAAGTCTCTGTGTGCAACATACTGTTGTGATATAGTTTGACTCTGTCCCCACCGAAATCTCATTTTGAATTGTAATCCCCATAATCCCCACATGTCTATGGAGAAATCTGGTGAGAGGTTGATTCGATCATGGGGGCAGTTTCCTCCATGCTGTTCTTGTGATAGTGAGTGAGTTCTCACGAGATCTGATGGCTTTATAAGGGGCTCTTTCCTCTTTGCTCCTCACTCTTCTCTCTTCTGCTGCCATGGGAAGAAGGTCCTCGCTTCCCTTTCACCTTCCACCTTCTACCATGATCGTTAAGTTTCCAGAGGCCTCCCCAGCCATTCAGAACTGTGAACTCTTTCCTTTATAAATTACTCAGTCTCAGGTAGTATATTTATAGCAGTGTGAGAACAGACAAATACATGTGGTAACATGTGGGTACTCCCCATGGTTCATTTCTAAAGTTTTTGTTTTTCAAGCTGTGTTAATTTTTCAATCTTGAGCTTATGGCCAGTGAGGGGACTGGCACAAACAAAAGCATATAGACATACATAAATACACCACAATGAACATGCACATGCACACACTCACACACATACACACACACATCTGATACAGAGAGAGGACCTAATACTTTTAGTTGCCTTCTCTGAGATTTTCTGTGTGTGTGTATGTGTTTTGCATTTTCGCCACAATATGTATAGCTGGGTTTTTCTTCTTATTCAACATGGTTTTTTTCAATATGTTTTTTTCATTTTGAATATAAAATTTTTTCATTAATTCTGGAAAATTCTCATTCATTTTCTTTTCCTCATTGCTTCTAATTTTTTTTTAAGTTGAACATTTTCATTCTGTTATCTATGTGCCTTTTTTCCAATTCTCATATTGCCTTTCCACTCTGTGTTCCATTTTGAGTAATCTCAGATATATATTCCAATTCATTAGTACCTTTTCATCTAAGACTAATTTAGTCTTTAACATCTATTGAGTTTTTAATTTTAAGAACTTTGGTTTTTCACAATACTTTCTTTTGTTCTGTAGATTGCATGTTTACTCTGTTTATAGTTTCTTTTGCTGTTTAGAAACTCTTTATTTTAATTAGGTGCCAATTGTCAATTTTTGTCTTTGTTTGATTTGCTTTTGAGGTATTAGTCATGAATTCCTCACCTAGGCTATTGTACAGAAGAGTATTTTCTAGGCTTTCTTCTAGGATTTCTATAGTTTGAGGTCTTATATTTAAGTCTTTAGTCCATCTCTAGTTATTTTTTTAATATGGTGAGAGGTAGGGTCCAGTTTCATTCTTCTGCATATGATTAGCCAATTTTCCTAGCATCTGTTATTGAATGGGGTGTTTTTCCCTGTGTTTTTCTTTTGGTCATCTTTGTCAAATATTAGTTGATTGTAGGTGTGAAGCTTTATTTTTGGGGTCTTTATTTTGTTCTATTGGTCTATAGATCTATTTTTGTACCAGTATCATTCTGTTTTGATTACTATAGCCTTGTAGTATAGTTTGAAGCTAGGTAATGTTAAAATGACTAATATCCAGAATCTGTAAAGAACTTAAGCAAATCAATAGGAAAAAAAACATCAAAAAGTAGACAAAGGACATGAACAGACACTTGTCAAAAGAAGACATATAGTCTGCCAACAAACATATGAAAAAAATGCTCAATATTAATAATCATCAGAGAAATGCAAATTAAAACCATGACGAGCTATCCTCTTATACCAGTCATAACGGCTACTATTAAAAAGTCAGAAAATAATAGAAGTTGGTGAAGTTATGGAGAAAAGGGAAGCTTATCTGCTGTTGGTAGAAATGTAAATTATTTCAGCTCCCGTTGAAAGCAGTGTGAAGATTTCTCAAATAACTAAAAGTAGAACTACCATTTGATCCAGCAATCTCATTACTGGCTATATACCCAAAGGAAAATAAATCATTCTGCCAAAAAGACACGTGTACTTGCATGTTTATCACAGCACAATTCATAAGAGCAAAGACATGGAGCTGGGCGCGGTGGCTCACGCCTGTAATCCCAACACTTTGGGAGGCTGAGGCAGGCAAATCACGGGGTCAGGAGTTCGAAACCAGCCTGGCCAACATGGTGAAACCCCATCTCTACTAAAAAATACAAAAATTAGCTGGGCGTGGTGGCACACACCTGTAATCCTAGCTACTCAGGAGGCTGAGGCAGGAGAATTGCTTGAACCTGGGAGGTGGAGGTTGCAGTGAGCCGAGATCGCACCACTAAACTCCAGCCTGTGCAACAGAGTGAGACTCTGTCTCAAAAAAAAAAAAAAAAGAGCAAAGACATAGAATCAACCTAGGTGGCCATCAGTGGTGGATTGGATAAAGAAATATGGTACATATACATCATGGAATAGTATCCAGGCAGCAAAAGAATGAAATCTTATTCTTTATAGCAACATGGATGCACCATTATCCTCAGTGACTTAATGCAGAAACAGAAAATCAAATACTGTACGATTTTACTTACAAGCTGAAGCTAAACACTGGGTACACATGGACATAAAGATTAGAACAATGGACAATGGAAGCTCCAAAAGTGGAGGAACAGAGAGGAGGCATGGTTGAGGACTCCCTTTTAGGTACTGTGTTCACTATTTGGGTCATGAGTTCAATAGAAGCCCAAACCACAGCATTACACAGTATATCCATGTAACAAATCTGTGCATGTATTCCCCCGCATCTAAAATTTTTTTAAAAATAATTTTTATTTCCAGTTGTATTTACTTATTTTCTTGTCATTTCTAATACTGGTAGTTTTTATCTTATTTATCTTGTGGTCACTATTCTCACTTTTGTCTCTAGCCAAATTACCTCATGTTCTTGAAGTATTAATTCTCCTGTTGCTACATTTTTTGGTTTTAAAATCCATCAGATGGTTTTTATTTTGAACTCTAGAATTTTGCAGATCATACTTGGGTTCACCAAAACTGTAAACATAAATATTTCAATCATTAAAACTTTAAAAGAAGAACAGCAACAAATCTCTGTATCTATTAAGAAAATGGCTAGCAGAAGGAGACAGTCATTCCCTGAATTCTAAGCCACTAATGGCTTTAATATACTGGATCTTCATTCTGAAAGCCTTTGAATATGCTCTGATGACAATAGCTCTTTTCTGCTCACCTAGACACATTCGATAAAGAGACAAAATAGGAGATTCTAGGTACTTCTAGAGAGTTCACGACTGTGGATCAAACTCAACTCCAGTGCATTCTGCCTCATGTACCTTAATATTTGCTGTTGAGAACATTGCTTGCTGCTAAGGAATTAAGCTATTTATGAGTTAAATGTTTTGCAATACCCTAAAAAGGGGGTTGATTTTCAGAAGATATTTTATTTCCTAAGACATACAACTACATGTAGAGTTTAAAGGTGTCAGCTGAAGAAAGAGAAGGTTCATCAATTTTGAAAGGAGAGCTTTACTTCTCATAAAGGGTTACAGGCTGCAGGGTGGCCATTCTGAGAAGCTGGGAAGCATAGCTTCTGGCCAGAAGCAGAAACTAGATAATTTGAGGTTGGGAAGAATAAGACAGGGATTTATGCTGAACAAGGTGGCCAAATATACATATTTAATAAGCCACGGAAGGCCATGAATATTTATGAAAGGAGAAACAAACACACGTGCAATTGAGCTTTGTTTCTCCCCATGGGACCCATGTTCAAAAAATGGGGGTGTTAGCATGATCTGTGGGTGGAGTTTTAAGCCCTCTCATGTCAAAAGGTGGAGCAGATGACACAAAAGCCCTTACTGTGAGTTTTCTGTAGACTGGCTAGAACCACTCATTTCTTGTGAGGCAAAAAGGGAGGAGCAATGTCAAGGAGTTAGTTAATACTAATGGTGGAGTCTTTTGAAAGGGCTAGCTTCTGTTTAGCTCTTGGGGAATAATGATTAATGGTGGTTAGCAGGGGAAGGGTATAAACAAGTCATGTATGACCTCCCATCGAGTCATGGCAGAGAACTCAGCTTCCAGGTTTTCTCTGGTGTGTCACTGACCAAGAGATGACCTGTTTAGTTGGTTGAGGGACTTAAGAGTTTTATTTTTATTCCTCAAAGTTTCCAACTATCAAAATTCATAAGGAGAGATGCTTAAAAATATTTTCACATCCAAAATCTGGCTCAAGTTATAAAACTCATCTTTGATTTGTGTTAATTATATGACCTAAGAGCTTTCATGGTAAAAAGTAAAATTAGCAAAATAAGACATTTTCCAACCTCTGTCATTCCACATCCCTTCTTCCATTCATATACACAAATTTATTTTTGAACTCCTACTTTTACATGGAAGGCATATAATTACAGATAATAAATCAGATAAAGTCTCTGCTAAGATTAATGCAAGACATACAAAATGTAAGAAGTAATTGTATTTATTAAAATAATAAAACTATTAACGTTTACTTCTTAATTGTATACTACATTCTTTATATGCATTATATCAATTAATCCATGAAACAATTCTAAGAGACACTATCCCACATATTATAGACGAGAAATCTGAGGACTGAAAGATTAATTTGCTATGACTACTCAATAGTAGATTTTGGATAGAACCAAGACAGGCTGAATTGAACAGGGGAATTTATGGTAAGTTTGGAAAAAATTAACATAAAAAAACGTGAAGAATGTATAGCATTTAGCACAAACTGGAGAAGGCTATTCTAAGAACAAGCATGTAAATAAGCCTGGAGGTACGAAAAAAACATGCCGTGTCTAGAAATTTTTGTGTCTGGAAATTTTTAAGTAGTTCAGTCCAGTTTGTCAAGACGTGCAAGGCTAGGCACATCAAAGGAAAGATGTTCAAGAACTAAAAATGCATCCAGAAAAAAGAATCTGGAGTTTTGATAATGGGGTTGCTGTAAGTGCAACATAGAATCACACACATATTTTAAGACTGAGAATGACATAATTAGAGTATGGGCAATAGGTTAGAGGGAAGCCAGATCAATTTGGATGCCATTGCAATAATCAAGGTAAGAGATAATATTGATTTACATGATGGTAGTCAGTGTGACAATAAAAAGCTGACCAGGTTTGATAATAAAAGAATAGAAGGCAAATTAAACAAGATTTATAGTTTCCTGGATATTGGAGTAAAAGGAAAGTAAATAGTTGGGAATGACACTCAGGTTTCCAGCTTTAACAGCCAAGAAAATGGTGGTGTCATTACAAAACAACAACAACAACAACAAAAAAAACGGATATATTTGTGAGGCATATGGTGATTTTACTCACATTGTAAACATGCTGACTTAGGTGATTGGTCCATGCAGAGAGTTGTGTGGTAGGAAATCTGATGTTGAAGTCTGCATTTCACCATAGAAATTGGAACCAGGGATGTCAATTGAGAATTCAGCAAACCAGAGATAACAGAGTGAATGAGATTGTCAAAGAAGAGGCTTGGAATGAGATTAAAACTTTGCCCAGGACAGAAACCTGAAAAGAAAAACACTTCAAAGTACAAAAGGGGAAAAATAACTTGAAAGAGAGCTGATAGGGAATGAAGTAATCTGAAAAAAAGGGGCTGGAAACAGAAAATGGAAAACTAATTTCAAATTTATTACTAAAGTTGTAACAAATGAAACAATGAAAATGAACAAACATGGAAGAGTTATAACTTGAATTTTAGTTTCTCTTTTTACTTATAAAAAATGCTAAGGTATTGGATATTTCTCCAAACTTCAAAATGGAAACTGAATATGCTAACTACATTGGTACTAGTGGAGGCAAGCTTAGGGAATATGATAAATCAGTTAATGCAGTGCATCTTTTATGTGAAAAAATTCTCCTGTGAAAAGAGAAAATAAAACAAGCAAGTGGGATCCCTGAGAGAAATAAACTGTACTATCAGTTAGAAAATGAAATAGATACAAAGGATCTTCTTCACATATTTTGTTGTTACAAGGATAAGCCAAATGAAAAAGCAAATACGACAAAGACAAAACAGTAGAGTCATCACTTGGTATCTGTAGGATATTGGTTCCAGGACGAGTCTCAGATACCAAAATCCACAGGTGCTCAGGTCTCTTATATAAAATGGCATAATACATATAACCTATGGACGTCCTCCAATATACTTTAAATCATCTCTGGGTTAGTTATAATAATACAATGCAAACATTGTCTAAATAGTTATTATACTGTATTGGTTGGGGAATAATGAGGATAAAAGAAATGCCTGTACTTTAGCAAAGGTGCAAATTTTTAAAATATTTTTGAAATATTTTCAATCCACCAATGCAAAACTCATGGATACTGAGGGGTGACTATACTGCATCAAAATACAAGAAAAGGCCTCAAAGCATTATGGATGGTTGTTCTTGTTTTGACCTAAAAAATCAACTTGTAGATTCCTAATTGTTATCACTATTTATGAGTAAATTCATAAATTTTTATTCAATATAAAGTTATTTCACTTTTAGAAAGATGATGTTAAAAGGGATAACATATAGCAACAGCTATTTAATGTTTTCCTGGAAAGGGAAACAAACCAGTATTTCCTAGTTTCTCTTTACTTCCTCAATGATAACTTCTTTTCCCACATGGTTACATAGTTTACAACTTAGTTTCTTAGGCTGTGAAAATAAAAAAACAATTTGATAAATAGGAGTTTTAATATTTTAATAATGAAGATCTTACAACATGTTTTAATTTAGTATAAGCACTAATATAAAATGTTTATTTAAAAATTTAGAAATCTATAATTGTCTAAAACTAATATATGAATTAAATTATAACAATACTCCCAATATTTTAAAAGAAGGGATAGAATTGGACTAACTATTCATTATTACTTTTTAATCAGTTAGTTAATATAAAAGAATAAATATTTAGATATAGTAGAACATGTAACAAAAAGAAAAAGAATACTTATATTACAAAACACTATGACATGATGCATTCAAATTGATATACTAGAAATAAATAATCAAATAGATCGGTAGAGCAGAACAGAAAAACATGAGATTGCAATAGATGTAAAAATTTAATACGTAATAATAGTTCAAATCATTGCAAAAAACTTAATAAGTGCCAGCTATTAAATAAAGTTGAAAACTTCTCTCAGCAAATAAACAAATATATACCTACTACATTAAAGAATTAATGGAAAAATAAAACAATGATATTTTTAAAGATAAAACATATATCCTAATAGTAGGGCAGAACTTCTTAAAACAGAGAATATTGAAATATGAAAGAATATAATGTTTGACTATATAGAAATGGAAAATAATTATATAGAAAAATACATAATTACAGCCAAATAGTTAAGCAAAAAAAAATTTGAAAGGTTTTCAGTGCAGATGACTTATTGAAGGCCCACACTAGCCACAAGTTAATCAGAAAATAACCAAAAACCCAATAGAAATATGAATAAAATATCAAAATAAACAATTTCTAGGACAGCAAATCCAATTGACCAATAGACACAGAGATATTAAAATTTACAGTAGTTAGTTACATAAATGTAAATTGAAGTCACATTGAGAGATTCCATTACACTGATGTCAATGAAGATCAAGGAGAGAATGAGATCAATACATTATGGTGTCTTTACTTTACGAAAGGCTATAGCTATTAATACAATAAATTGGACATTTGCCAGTTATTCGTGGCAGTATTATAAAGTGACAAAAGTAAAATTTATAAAAGGATATATAATATGATTGCATTTTTAGAAGTAACATAATGATGACACTCTTGTGTGTAAATGTAAATATGTGTGTGTCTGTGTATGTGCATTGATGTTGATGTTAGTAATTGAGGTGAAAAGTAGAGCAAGTTGTTTATGTGGGTTACTTATATTGGGAGAGAAGGGTGAGGGCCAGAAGAGATTTTTAAAGGGAGAAGTGGAGTAAGGCAAGTTGAAAATACTCCTTCTAAAACAATTCTATCATGCAACGATGTACTTCCCTTATGAAAATATTTTACACACACACACAAACACACACACATAGGAGAAAAATGAAATAACCAGCTGGGTGTGGTGGCTCACGCCTGTAATCCCAGCACTTTGGGAGGCTGAGTGGGGCGGATCACGAGGTCAGGAGTTCCAGACCAGCCTGGCCAATATGGTGAAACCCCGTATCTACTAAAAATGGAAAAATTAGCTAGGCGTGTTGGCATGTGCCTGTAGTCCCAGCTACTCAGGAGGCTGAGGCAGAAGAATCGCTTGAACCTAGGAGGCAGAGGTGGCAGTGAGCTGAGATCGCGCCACTGCATTCCAGCCTGAGTGACAGAGCAAGACTCTATCTCAAAAAAGAAAAGGAAAAAAAAAAAGAAAGCAAAAAAACAAATATCCCACGTCTGATGACTTAAATGATATATTTTCAAATTTTTTAAATAAAATTGAAGAATACAAAAAACACATGAAAAAATGCTCATCATCACTGGCCATCAGAGAAATGCAAATCAAAACCACAATGAGATACCATCTCACACCAGTTAGAATGGCAATCATTAAAAAGTCAGGAAACAACAGGTGCTGGAGAGGATGTGGAGAAATACGAACACTTTTACACTGTTGGTGGGACTGTAAACTAGTTCAACCATTGTGGAAGTCAGTGTGGCGATTCCTCAGGGATCTAGAACTAGAAATACCATTTGACCCAGCAATCCCATTACTGGGTATATACCCAAAGGACTATAAATCATGCTGCTATAAAGACACATGCACACGTATGTTTATTGTGGCATTATTCACAATAGCAAAGACTTGGAACCAACCCAAATGTCCAACAATGATAGACTGGATTAAGAAAATGTGACACATATACACCATGGAATACTATGCAGCCATAAAAAATGATGAGTTCATGTCCTTTGTAGGGACATGGATGAAATTGGAAATCATCATTCTCAGTAAACTATCGCAAGAACAAAAAACCAAACACCGCATATTCTCACTCATAGGTGGGAACTGAACAATGAGATCACATGGACACAGGAAGGGGAACATCACACTCTGGGAGATATACCTAATGCTAGATGACAAGTTAGTGGGTGCAGCGCACCAGCATGGCACATGTATACATATGTAACTAACCTGCACAATGTGCACATGTACCCTAAAACTTAAAGTATAATAATAAAAGAAAAAAAAAACTTAAAAATAAATAAATAAATAAATAAAATAAAATTGAAGAATAATGTGTATAATATAGGTCTATTTTGGTTAAAAAAAAGATGCACTGATATCTCTTAAAGGTGGTTGTTATATGTATTAACTTAAAAAAGATGTCGGAAAATACATAACTGGCTAATTACATTGGTTATTTGGGGTGCTGGGAATTAATTGAATGGGTATGGTCTGGAAGAGAAAATAATTTTGCTTTTATAAGACTTTGTAGTTAATTGTATCATTTGTTACAACAAGCATGTATTGTAATCATTTGCAAAATATAAATGAAGTATAACAGCTGAACTTTGAATTATATTTTATCTTTTCACCTCAGTCTATTCTTATTTAAGGTTTTTATTGTCTATTGAGAATAAAAAGCTAATTAAATTTTTTTATGGATTTCTAGAAAATTACTGTATAAGTATCATTTTTCTCCTGAGACATCATTCTTTATTCTATTCTCTTATTTAACAAATTTTATTAAGGGTTTGCTATGTGCCAGACGCTATGGTAGATACTGGTTTCACAATAATATGTGAAATAGATTCAGTTTTTTTTCCTCAGAGACTATATTCCTGAGAAGGAGAACTGTTGGCAGTCAATGAACTTAAAAAAAAAGCATATATAAGTGAAGCAAATCTCTATAAAAAAATGAATAGGATGTTGCAACAGATAATAACAAGTTGGGGAAAGGGCCACTTAAATAGACTGTAAAGAAAAGCTCCTTTGGTGTATAAATAACCCAGATTCTTAGATTATGAGTTCAGGTAACTTTCAGGCTGGTGTCTATGCAAAACAATCCTTCAGAAATGAAGGAAAAATAAAATATTTCCAAGACAAACAAAGTCTAGACAGTTCATTATCACTAGTCTTAAAGGAAATACTAACAGGAGTTCCTTAAGCTTAAAAAAAAAGGGCCTTAGTAAATAACACAAAACATCTAAAAATAGAAATCTCAATGCTATAAATAGCACAGAGTTGTATACAAAATAGGACTGTAATAGTGGTGTATATAAAATTTGAACTCTAGTTTGATAAGTAAAAGGCAAAACTATTAAAAAACTGTAGCTAAAATAAATTGTCAGGAGATACAAAGTATTAAAAATGTACACTTTCACACCTAATCATAAAACATGTGGAGAAGGAGTAAAAGTATACACTTGTATGTAGTCAAAGTTGTTACTAGCTTAAAACAGACTGTTACGAGATGTACTATGTAACCCTCATGGTAACCATTAGTAAAAATTTATAGTTGATGTACAAAATGTAAATAAAAAGGATCCAAAACATACTGCTACACAAAACCATTAAACTGCAAAGGAAGACAGCAAAAAAGAAATAAAGTATATCCAAAACAACAAGAAAAAGAATTAGAAAATTTCAGTGGTAAGTTTTTGCTATCAATAGTTACCTTGGGGAGAAGTCAAAACAAAATGGCAGAATAGAAAGCTCCACAGATCTTCCCCTTCCACAAGGACACCAAATTAACAACTATCTACACAGGAAAACAAACAAAAATAAAAAACCACTTTCATAAGAACCAAAACCAGGTGAGCACTCAGAATACCTGGTTTTAACTTCTCATCTCTGAAAGAAGCAATGAAAACATATAAAAAAATAGTTCTTAGGCTGGGCATGGTGGCTCACACCTGTAATCCTAGCACTTTGGGAGGCTTAGGTGGGCAGATCACCTGAGGTTAGGAGTTCAAGACAAGTCTGGCCAACGTGGCAAAACCTGCCTCTACTAAAAATACAAAAAATTAGCCGGGCATGGTGGCAGGTGCCTGTAGTCCTAGCTACTTGGGAGGCTGAAGCAGGAGAATCACTCAACCCCAGGGGGTGGAGGTTGAAGTGAGCTGAGATTGCACCACTGTACTCCAGCCTGGGTAACAGAGTGAGCCAATGTCTCAAACAAAACAAAACAAAACAAAAACAAACAGTTTTAAATCACCTACACCACCCCTCTCCCACCCCAGCCAGCAACATGGTGCATACAGAATCTCTGGGCACTGAGGGAGGGAGAACACAGCAGATGTGAAGTGCTGTCCTGTTGGAGGAGAAAGGAAACCAGGACCAACTCAGCTGTTACTGGCCCAAGGATGGAGTGTTTAAATCAGCCCTGGCCAGAGGGGAATTGCCTATGCTAACTGTCGAACTTGAGTGCCTGCAAACTTTGCCACTGAGGGCTAAATCACTCTGTGTCTCCAAGTAATCTTGAAAGGCAGCCTAGTCCATAAAGACTTCAGATCTTAGGTGAGTCCTTGTGCTGAGTTCAGTCCAGAGACAGTGGACTGAGGGGCACTTGACATATCTAGACACCAGTTGGAGCAGCCAGGAAAATGCTGGCATCACCTCCCACACCCTTAACCCCAGGCTGCACAGCTCAAAGGCTCCAAAAGACCCCTTCATTCTGCTTGAGGAGAGAGGAGTAGGGAGGACTTTTTCTTGCATCGAGGATACCAGCTCAGCCACAGCAGGATAGGGTACCAGTCAGAGTCATGGAAGCCAGGCCCTAGCTCCCAGATGACATTCTTAGACATTCATTGGGCCAGATGGAAACACACTGCCATGAAGGAAAGAGCACTCATGGTGGTATTCATCACCTACTAACTGAAGAGACCTTGGACCCTGAAAAACCAGCAGGGCTACCCAGGTACTATGTCAAGGGCTTTAGATGAGCCTCTGTGACTTGCTGGCTTCAGGTGAGATTTAGCACATCACCAGGTGTGGTGGCTACAAGGCAAATCTCCTTATGCTTGAGAAAAACAAAAGGAAACATAAAAAAGGACTCTGTCTTGCACCTTAGGTACCAGCACAGCCACAGGTGTTAGATCACCAAGTGAGCACTTGGGGGTCCCTAACTCTAAGACTTGACTCTTGGACATCATTTCTGGACCTTTGCTGGGCCAGAGGAGAGTCTGCTGCCCTTAAGGGTGAGTCCCAGGCCAGGCAGGATTCATGACAAACTGACTTAAGAGAACTTGGACCTTAAGGAACATCAGTGATAGTCTGGCAGTACTCCTTGTGGCCTGGGGTGGCAGAGGCTGTGGAATGAGGCTCCTTGGCCTTGGGAAAAGAGAGGAGTGGGAAGAACTGTGTCTTGTGGTTTGAGTGCCAGCTCAGCCACAATATAACAGAACATCAGGTAGACTTCTAATGTTTTTGACTCTAATCTCTGAGTACTGGATGGCACTTCTGGACCCAGCCGGGGACTAAGGGACCTTACTGTCTTGAAGGGAAGGACACAAGCCTGGCTTACTTTACTTCTGGCTATTTATAGAGCCCGAGGACCTTGAGAGAACATAGGCAGTAATCAGGGAGTGGTTACAGCAGGGATTGGACAAGACTCAGTGTTGTGCTGGCTTCAGGTCTGACCCAGTACAGTCATAGTAGTGGAAGCCACAGAGATGTTTGTGTCACTCCATCTTCAGCTTTAGGTGTCTCAAAACAGAGAGAGAGAAAGAGAGAGACAAAAACTCTGTATGTTTGAGAGAAAGTAAAGGAAGAGATCAAAAGTCTCTGCCTGATAATCCAGAGAATTCTGGATCTTTTCCAAGACCATCAAGGTGATACCTCTATGGGTCTGCAAGAACCACAGCATTACTGAGCTTGGGGTGCATATACAACTTAGATCACAACCTCCAAGTCCTATCAAATAACTGAAAAGCCTTCTCAAGAAGAACAGGTACAAGTAAGCCCAGACAGTGAAGACTACAACAAATACCTAACTCCTCAATGCCCATACACAAAAGAACATCTACTAGCATCACAACCGTCTGTAGGAGATTGGTCAGGGTGTGGGAAAAGTTATAAAAAAAAGTTATAGGGAAAGACGCAAAACTTCTTGGAAGGCCTGGAGGTTTTGCAAAAGCTTCAGGAGAGAATTATGGCTGAAGACAGCCAAATTCTCTTATCCAGAGGCTGAGAGCAAAGGGCAGATAACAAGGGAATGTAAAGGAACTTATCTAGATAAATTTGTTTACTCCTGTCTCCAGAAACCAACCTTTGGTCATTCTTGTGCAGGACTGCTCTCTACTCAGGGGGTTGACAATGTTTATTATCCACAAATGGTGTTTGCTCCAAGCCTTTTTGATTAACTCTGTATTAAATAAGTGTAAGTGGGGACGGCTTATGGAGGCAGCACTCTCGGTGGTGCCAAGCCGTGCACTCCCCTAGCTGCGCTGTCAGGCAGGATACCTGTGTCAGCGTACTTCTTTCATCCGTTGCTCAGCCAGAGTATGCAGTACAGACTTGGCAGGTGGTGCCCCATTGAGGACCACTGCAATGGATCATGACAGAATTCTTGAAAACAAAGGTGAAGAGACTGTGCTGTCTGTAAGTCGTTGTGAGAGGTGAAGCCAGCTGGACTTCCTGAGTCCAGTGGGGACTTGGAGAACTTTTCTGTCTTACAAGAGGATTGTAAAATGCACCAATCATCACTCTGTAGCTAGCAAGAGGATTGTAAAATGCACCAATCAGCGCTCTGTAAAATGCTCCAATCAGCACTCTGTAAAATGCACCAGTCAGCACTCTGTAAAACCCACCAATCAGCAGGATACTAAAAGTAGCCAACTGCAGGGAGGACTGAAAAAAGGGGATTCTGATAGGACAGAAATGGAACATGGGAGGGGACAAATAAGGAAATAAAAGCTGGCCACCCCAGCTAGCAGTGGCAACCCACTTGGGTCCCCTTCCATGCAGTGAAAGCTTTGTTTTTTTGTTCTTCACAATAAACCTTGCTACTGCCCACTCTTTGGGTCCCTGCCATCTTTAAGAGCTGTAACACTCACCGCACAGGTCCACAGCTTCATTCTTGAAGTCAATGAGACCACAAACCCACTGGAAGGAACCAATTCTGGACACAATTGGTGCCCACTCAGGATTTCCAAGTTCGAGGGAATTGTTCAGGCTACGGTTTCATCATGGGACAATAGTTATCAGCTCAACGTCAACAGCATATAAAAGTATTGAAACAGCTGCTTAAAGCTAGTAGAGCCTCAGTTTTGCAGGCTCAATTAAGGGACCTAATGCAAATTCTTGTTTCCCATAACCCATGGGAAGGCATTCCCAGAAGAAGGCACGCTAGACATAGAGCTCTGGGAACAAGCGGGGAGAAGTCTTAAACAACATTATGCACAAGGGCAATGTCCCAGGAATATCTTTAATGTTATGGGCCTTAGTTAGGGCTGCTTTGGTCCTGTTCTACACAGAAGAGCCTAAAAAGGGAAGGGAGGAGGAACCATCACATATCTTACTGCCTCCTCCTTCTCCCTCAGCTGCGCCATTACCGGGCAAAAATACCAAAGAGGGACCAGAAGCTTTCCCTGAGCCCCCACCTCCAATAAATTGGAAAAAAGACAAGGGATATGGTTCATCTATGGGACCCTGTCTTAGGCACCGGCATTAGAAGGGGAACTCTTGGCCTGCCTGGTAATGCATGATCGACAAGTCAATCAGGTGTATAAAGAGATAAGAAAAAGCATTAAAGAAAACGGAGCTGCTAGCCCATTTACAAAAGGAATAATTGAAGCCATAGAAGACAACTTCTGTATGATTCCATGGGACTGGTCAATGCTAGCTAAAACAACTTTAGAGCCCAGTCAATACCTCCTGTGGAAGGCAGAATATGATGAGTTGTATGAACAACAAGCCAACCAGAATCAATTGGCTGGGCAAGCTGCTATGCTCCAGGTGAGGGGTCCCCATGCCAATGTACAACTAAGTTTTGTTCTCCAAGCCTGTGCACAAGTGTCTTTGTGCACTCTCAGGGCTTGGGACCGAATTTCTGAAAGCGGAGTTCAACAGGGATCTTATACAAATGTCCGACAAGGGCCTCAGGAGCCATTTGTTGAATTTATCAATTGGTTAACCCAGGAAATTAAGAGACAAATTAGTCAAGCCCAGGCTGCTAATATCTTATTGTTGTAATTAGCTTATGAAAATGCTAATGTCAACTGCCAGGAAGCAATGCAGGCAATCAGAGGAAAGGCAGCCACAGTCGGGGAACTTATAGGAGCATGTCAACTGGTGGGGATTGAAACACACAAAGCCAAAATACTGGCTATGGCATTAAGGCCTCCTAAAGTGAAAAGAGAGAAAAACCCAAATTGTTTTCTATGCAGAGAGCCAGGTCATGTGAAGAGGGAATGTCCCAATAATAGAGACCAAAGTAACTCAGGAAAAGAACCCTCTTCTATATGACCCTGATGTAAAAAGGGGAAACAATGGGCAAATCAGTGCAAGTTCAAATTTGATAAAAATGGCAACCCCCTAAGTAATCAGAGGGGGCCAGCCCCAGGCCCTGCTCCAAATTGGGGCAATGCCAGCAGATTTCCTCGGTCAGATGGAAGGCCCTCCTCTCTCTCAGAGCGGCCACCTCTAGGAACGCAGGACTGGACTTACTCTGCCCCAATGAATTACTGCCAAAAGAAGGAGAAGACCCTAAAAGGGTTGCACCAGGGATCTGGGGCCCACTGCTTCCAGGAACAGTGTGATTAGTCCTAGGGTGATCAAGCCTATCCAGTAAAGGAATCAGTGTGCTCATCAGGGAAATTGATAGTGATTATCAAGGTGAGATATTAGTTATGATGGAATGTAAAGGTCTGCATATTCTTCCCCCTGCATCAAAGATAGCTCAGTTGCTACTCTTACCATACTGGGACCCCAGTGACCAGGGAAAGGAAAGGGAAAAGGGAAGCTTTGGAAGCATGGGAGCCAGAGGAGTATATTAGAAGCAATTAATCACTGTTCAAAGACCCATGATTACTTTAAAAATTGGAAATGAAAATTTTACTGGCTTATTGGACACAGATACAGACATTTCAATCATTAGTGATCAAAACTGGCCAGAAACTTGGCCTTGGGTCACTCAGAAACAAAAAATTGTTGGCATCGGGGAAGTACATACAGCCAAGCAGGGCATGTGCCTCCTAACATGCTGCAATTCAGAAGGAAGAAATGCAGTTATACAACTTTTTAATCATGCCCATCCCTGTTAATCTTTGGGGACGGGACCCATTAGCCCAATGTGGGGTCACTCTGCAGACCCCTTTCTAATTTTGGCCACTGTTGTTATTCCTCCCCTACCCCTGATGTGGCTCTCTCAAGATCAAATTTGGGTTGAACAGTGGCCTTTAAAGGGAAAGAAATTACAATAAGCACATGAATTAGTTGAGGAGAAATTAAAAGCTGGCCATATAGAACCATCAAGCACTCCTTGGACTTTGCCCATTTTCGTCATTCCCAAAAGGTCTGGCAAATGGAGACTTTTGCATGACTTACAGGCTATCAATGCTAATTTGCAACCTATGGTACCCCTTCAACAGGGTCTCCATTCCCCCACGGTGATTCCTCAAGATTGGCCTTTAGTTGTTATTGACTTAAAAGACTGCTTTTATACTATTCCCCTTGCAGAACAGGACAGAGAAAAATTTGTGTTTACAATACCAGCTGTCAATAATGAAAGGCCAGCTTGCCAATTTCATTGGAAAGTACTTCCTCAAGGAAAGCTGAACAATCCTACCGTGTGTCAGTATCATGTAAATCAGGCTTTGCTCCCCAGTAGAAAAGAATTTTCTAATTGCAGATTATTCATTTTATGGATGATATTTTACTAGCAGCCCCAACGGAGCCAGTACTTTTAAGTTTATATGCCTCAGTCATAAACAATACACAGTTAAGAGGTTTAATTATAGCATCTGAAAAAGTACAATTGTCCTCTCCTTGGAAATATCTTGGATACATACTAACTTCCTGGTCAGTAAGACCTCAAAAGGTTAAATTAAATAGTAGCAACTTACACACCTTAAATGCTTATCAAAAATTACCAGGTGATATTAATTGGCTTTGCCCCACCTTGGGCATAACTACTGATGAGTTACAAAACCTGTTTTCTATCCTAAAGGGCAATACAGTCCTAGACTCTCCCAGGTATTTAACTCCTGCAGCAAAAAGGGATATTGAGGAAATAGAGCAAGCTATTTCTCAGAGGCAACTAGATCACATAGACCCACAATATTCAGTCCGTTATTTGTTTATCCTACTAAACATTCCCCAACAGGATTAATAAGACAGATGGCCCCAGGGCTGTGCTTTCTAGAATGGGACTTTTGCTCACATACCAGGACTAAAACACTATCTCTCTATATCCAGCTAGTTAGTAAAGTCATCTATACAGGCCACAGACGATGCAATCAGTTGCTAGGTTATGACCCTGAGGTCATAAGAATTCCTTTGAGTAAAAAGCAATTTGAAGCAGTATTGCCCTTATCTCTAGATCTTCAGATAGCACTCTCTGATTATGCAGGCCATATAAAGGATGCCCTTCCTTCTGACAAACTACTACAGTTCTTATCTCGTACTCTTGTAGTTTTGCCTACAAAAGTAGTTCACTCTCTCACACCTAACGCTTTAACAGTTTTTACTGACGGCTCTGGTAAAAATGGAAAAGCAGCTATTTGGTGGGAGACTGTATAATTCGCTCACTCATTCTGGATTTACTAGCACTCAGAGAGCTGAGGTTAAAGCCTTAATATTGGCCCTGGAGACCTTTTCCACTCAGCCTATCAATATTGTTAGTGACTCTGCTTACTCTATTTATTTATTGCAGAACCTTGAAACAGCCCTCATTAAGTCCACTCTTGAGCCCACACTGTGTGCACTTTTTCTTTGACTTTGAATTGCTGGATCAACGTACACATCCTATTTTTATCACACATATTCGAGCCCACAGCTCACTGCCTGGCCCATTGGCTTATGGCAATGATCAAGCAGACCTGCAAGTTATGACATCATTGCTTGACCAAGCCACACAATCCCATAAATTTTTCCACCAAAATTGGATAAACTTAACTAAACAATTTAAACTTACCCAAAGACTAGCTAAACAAATTATCCTGCAATGCCCACATTGCCAGCTCACAGTCACATCCCCTCCTTCAACAGGTGTTAACCCTAGAGGACTAGAACCTAATCAGTTATGGCAAACAGATGTTACATGCATCCCTGAATTTGGAAAACTAAGATATGTACATGTATCTGTTGATACCAATTCTCACCTAATTAGCACACATGCTCTTCCTGGAGAGCCCACCCAATATGTCATTATATACCTTCTCTTAACTTTCACATTTCTAGGGCAGCCCACAAAAATTAAAACTGATAATGGTCTGACTTATGCCAACTTACAATTTCAACAATTTTGTCACGCGTGGAACATCCAACATGCCACAGGCATCCCATATAATACCCAAGGACAGGCCATAGTAGAACACGTCCATTCTGCTCTTAAAAATATGCTCAGAAAACAAAAAAGGGGGAATATGAGTAAGGACCCTGCAACACTACTAGCACAAGCCTTATTTACCCTTAATTTCTTAAATTCAAATGATAAATTTCAATCAGCTATAGAAAAGCACTTTGCTAAAACTTCTCAAGACATAAAACCCCTCAAGACATAAAACCCGCAGTTTTATGGAAAGATGTAAATAGTAATGTATGGTGTGAACCAAATGAATTGCTAACATGAGGAAGAGGATATGCTTGTGTTCACACCCCCTCAGGTCCTCTGCATTCCAGCACGATGCATCAAACCATACCATGGCTTTGCTAGGACCCAACCCAGTGCCAGAAATGAAGGAAGTGACCCTGCAGGACCCGCAGCCCTGGACAATGTCGCTTCCTCAGATGATACAATCTGTGGTATTACCTGAGGGATGCTGAAGAAGACAACAAAGGAGGCTGAGCAAATCCTTCTCTGGACACGGACACCATTCACTCCAGATAATTTGTTCCTTGCTAAGCTTTCTATTGTACATTGCAACACGTGTAGGGTATTGATCCTTTTTATGCTCCCACTTTGCCTGCAACCCATACTGGCTATGCTCTATTGGGCTCATCTCTTAGATATGCCTTTCTTCCACCGTGTTACTTGGGCAGACACCCCCTTCCCAGCCTCTAATAATGTAACTACTTGGCTAGGAGGGATTGACTTACCCCAGTGGGGTCCCTCATTAATGGCACACATTGGACCAAGGTCCCAGGTAACACTACTTATCACTCCACTATCCTCCCACTGTGTATAAGTTATAAAAGTTCTAACCCTTACTGTGTACCAGCCCAAACAAAATTATGGCTACATCACGGCAAAGGAAATGCCTTAACATTCTTAGTTGCAGGTAGCCTCAAACCAGGCAATGCAACCAATGCCACTTTCCCCAACATTCCTTCCTGTGCTAAAGAATGTAGCTAGGAAAGTAATGGATTCCACTTTGGCTGGGACAAGCCTGTAGCCTCCAGTTAGGCAATTATAACATCTTAGACTGGAGCCCCCATTACTATTTGCAGGGCAACCATACTGATGTTCGCATCCATCGTGGCATCAATCACAGTTTCATAGCCACGTCTCATTCCCCTGTGATTTGGGCCAATGAAGGGATGGGATACTCCAGACCCCAAGTAGAGTCTATACCACCCCATAACACTTTATGGTGCCTGGGACAACTTAGCACCTCTCTTAACACCTGGCATGGGACATTTCATAATTCCAGTAACAACTACACTATGACCATTATTCATAATCACACAGATCAGTTCCTGACTTGCACTACTCATCCATATGTTTTCCTTATGGGAACTCATATTTCCATTACACCCCAAAACTCTACGTTTGTGACCTGAGTGCAGGGACAGGCTTGATTCACCTCATGTATCACTAATTACTATATATCTAATTTAAATATTACTAGTGTCTTGGTATTAAGGAGACAATCTGAGGCATTCCTACCAGTCAATTTAACACATGATTGGCAAGGCTCCTCTGCTCTTGCCACCTTAGAATGTGCCCTGTACCAGGTCAGACATAAAAGATTCATAGGCACACTTATAGCCTTTGTAGTCTCAGTCATAGTCATCTTAGCAACTGCTAGTGTTCCTGTGGTCTCTATTACTGAATCAGTACAAATAGGTACATTTGCAGATAACTTGGCCAGAAATGTGTCTAGTGAACTTCTCTTACACAGGGATGTATATATCAAAAAATTCTTGCACATCTGCAAGCCCTTGAGGCTGCCTTAGAATATGTAGGGGAGTGACAAGATGCACTGGCATTCTGACAGCAATTAAACTGTGACTGGGAGCATAAGCATATCTGTGTCACCTCTCTACCTTGGACTCAATCAATACATAGTTGGGATGAGGCGAAACAACACCTCTGGGGAACCTTACATGATAATTTAACCACAGACATAAAGCAACTTAGAACTAAAATTCTAGAGTCCCTAAACACCCAACAAACAGCCATATAGAAGGATGTGTGAGAACATCTCTCCTGGATAGACTCCCACTCCTGGGGGTCACTCCTTGATTGGAAAAGAATGTTACTGATTCTACTCATGTTTGTCTTATGTTATTTACTAATTCTATGATACAAAGCTGGAATACCAGCAGTAACGGCTGTGCCAGGCAAACCTGTTGCTGCACACATCTGTATTCTTAAATTAACAGAACCTGATGCAAAAAAACAGGCAAGGGGGAGATGTAGGAGATCAGTCAGGGTGGTGGGAAAAGTTATAAAAAAAAGTTATAGGGAAAGATGCAAAACTTCTTGGAAGACCGGGAGGTTTTGCAAAAGCTTCAGGAGAGAATTATGGCTGAAGGCAGCCAAATTCTCTTATCCACAGGCTGAGAGCAAAGGGCAGATAACAAGGGAATGTAAAGGAACCTATCTAGATAAATTTGTTTACTCCTGTCTCCAGAAACCAACTTTTGATCATTCGCGTGCAGGACTCCTCCTACTCAGGGGGTCAACGATGTTTATTACCCACAAAAGGTGTTTGCTCCAAGCCTTTGTCATTAAATCTGTACTAAATAAATGTGAGCGGGGCTGGCTTATGGAGGCAGCACTATCATTGGCAGTGCTAAGCCATGCATCTCCTAGCTGTGCTGTCAGGCAGAATACCTGTGTCAGCACACTTCTTTCATCCGTCACTCAGCCAGAGTCTGAAGGACAGACTCAGCAATCATCCAGAAAAATATGGTCTCACCAAATGAACTAAATAAGGCAGTAGGGACCAAACCTGGAGAAACAGACAAGTGTGACCTTTCAGACAGAGAACTCAAAATAGGTGTGTTAAGGAAACTCAAATAAATTCAAGATAGCAGAGAGAAGGAATTCATAATTCTGTCAGATAAATTTAACAGAGAAAGTGAAATAATAAAAAAAAATTCAAGAAGAAATTCTGGAGCTAAAAATGCAACTGGCATACTGAAGAATGCATTAGAGTTCTCTTATAGCAGAATTTATCAAGGGAAAGAATTACTGAGCTTGAAGGCAGGCTGTTTGAAAATTCAGTCAGAAAAGACAAAAGAAAAAAGAATAAAAAATTATGAAGCATGCCTACAGGATCTAGAAAATAGCCCGAAAAGGGCAAATCTAAGAGTTATTGCTCTTAAAGAGGAGGTAAGAAAAGAGATACAATTAGAAAGTTTATTCAAAGGGACAATAACAGAAAACTTCACAAAATGAGAGAAAGATATCAATATCCAAGTACAAGTAGGTTACAGAATATCAAGCAGATTTAACTCAAAGAAGACTACCTCAAGGCATTTAATAATTTAACTTCCAAAGATCAAGGATAAAAAAAGGAGCAAGAGAAAAGAAACAAATAACATACAATGAAGCTCCAATATGTCTGGCAGCAGACTTTTCAATGGAAACCTTACAGGCCAGAAGAGAGTGGTATGACATATTTAATATGCTGAAGGAAAAATTTTTTATCCTAGAATAGTATATGAGCAAAAATATCCTTTAAACATGAAGGAGAACTAAATACTTTCCCAGGCAAAGAAAAGCTGAGGAATTTCATCACCAGTCATCCTACAAGAAATGCTAAAGGGAGTACTTCAATCAGAAAGAAAATAATATTAGTGAGCAATAAGTAATCACCTGAAGGTAGCAAACTCACAGATAATGGAAAGTACACAGAAAAATACTAAATATTTTAACACTGTAACTGTGGTGTGTTAACTACTCTTAAGTACAAACACTAAAGAATAAACCAATAAAAAATAGTAAGTAAAACAATGTTGCAAGACATAATCAGTACAATAAGATATTGTCCAAGAGTTAAAAAACAAGGGATGTAGTTAAGGCATAGAATTTTTATTAGTTTTCTTTTTGCTTGTTTGTTAGTTTGTTTATACAAACAGTGTTAAGTTGTTATCAGATAAAAATAATAGGTTACAAAACAGAATTAGCAAGCTTCATCACAATCTCAAAACAAAAACCATACAATGAACACACAAAATATAAAAAATCAATAAACTAAATAATATCAGCAGAGAAAAATCACCTTCACTAGAGGAAGACATGAAGACCAGAAAAAAG
Organism: Homo sapiens; assembly: GCF_000001405.40. Taxonomy (NCBI): domain Eukaryota; kingdom Metazoa; phylum Chordata; class Mammalia; order Primates; family Hominidae; genus Homo; species Homo sapiens. Next base: position 78,142,080 of record NC_000006.12, read on the forward strand.
ACCAGAAAACAAATAACAAAACTTTAGGAGTAAGTCCTTACTTATCAATAATAACAATAAATGAAATGGAAAAAATCTCCAAACAAAAGACATAGACTGGCTGAATGGATGAAATAACAGCATCCATTTAACTGTTGCCTACAAGAAACACACTTCTCCTATAAAGACACAAATAGACTGAAAATAAAGGGATGTAAAAAAAATATTCCATGACAATGGAAACCAAAAAAGTGCAGGAGTTATTATACTTATATCAGACAAAATAGATCTCAAGACCAAAACTATGAGACAAAGAAGGTCACTAAATAATGATAAGGGCATCAATTCAGCAAGAAGATATAACAATTTTTATGCACCCAACACTTGAGTGCCCAGGTATATGAAGCAAATATTATTAGCGCTAAAGAGAGAGATAGGTCCCACTACAAAAATAGACAGAGACTTCAAACACCCCACTTTCAGCATTGCACAGATATTCCACACAGAAAATTAACAAAGAGACAGCAAATTTAATCTGCACTCTAGACCAAATGGATCTAAGAGATATTTACAGAACATTTCATTAGACAGCTGCAGAATACACATTCTTTTCCTCAGCACTTAGATCACCCTCCAGGATAAATCATATTTTAAGTCACAAAACAATTCTTAAAACATTCAAAAAAATTGAAATAATATCAAGTATCTTCTCTGACCACAATGGAATAAAACTAGAAATTTATAACAGGAGGAATTTTGGGAACTATACACATACATGGAAATCAAACACTATGCTTCTGAATGACCAGTAGGTCAATGAAGATATTAACAAGGAAATTGAAAAATTTCTTGGAACAAATGGTAATGGAAACAAAACATACCAAAACCTATGGGATACAGCAAAAGAAATACTAAGAGAGAAGTTAAGAGTATAAGTGTCTACATCAAAAATGAGGAAAAACTTCAAATGAACAATTTAACAATCCATCTTAAAGAACTAGAAAAGCAAGAGCAAACCGACATCAAAATTAATGGAAGAAAAGAAATAACAAAAGACCAAAGCAAAAATAAATGAAATTGAAATGACAAAAACAACATGAAAAGTCAATGAAAAAAATGCATTGTTTGAAAAGCTAAACAAAATCACAAACCTTTAGCCAGACTAAGAAAAAAAGAGAGAAAATCCAAATAAATAAAATAAATTTAAAAAGGAGACATTACCACTGATACTGCAGAAATTCAAAGAATCATTAGTGGCTACTATGATGTCAATACATTGGAAAATCTAGACGAAATGGACAAATTCCTGGATATGTACAACCTACCAATATTGAACTTAGAAAAAAATCCCAAACCTGAATAGATCAATAAGTAATGAGATTGAAGCTCTAATAAAAAGTCTCCTAGTAAATAAAAGCTCAGGGCCCAATAGCTTCACTGCTGAATTCAACCAAACATTTTAAAAAGAACTAATTCCATTCCTACTCAAACCATTCTGAAAAATTAAGGTAGTGGAAAAACTTCAAAACTCATTCTACGAGGCTCATATTTCCCTGATACCAAAACCAGACAGAGACACATAAAAAAAGAAAGAAAGAAAAAAAGAAAAGAAAGAAATAAAGAAAAAAAAGAAAACTACAGGCCAATATCTCTGATGAATATTGATGCAAAAATCCTTTCCAAAATACTAGCATGCTGAATTCAACAAAACTTTAGAAAGATCATTCATCATGACCAAGTAGAATTGATCCCTAGGATGGAAGGATGGTTCAACATAGGCAAATCAATCAATGTAATACATCATAACAACATAATGAAGAATAAAAACTATTTGATCATTTCAATTGATGCTGAATAAGCATTTGATAAAATTTAACATTCTTTCATGATAAAAATCCTCACAAAACTGGGGATAGAAGGAACATAGCTCAACATAATAGAAGCCATATATGGCAGACCTATGACTAGTATAATCCTGAATGAAGAAAAACGGAAAGCATTTCAAGATTTGGAACACAAGGATGTCCATTGTCACCACTGTTATTCAACATAGTACTGGAAAGTCCTAGCTAGAGCATCAGACAGGAGAAATATATAAAGGGCACCCAAATCAGAAAGAAAGAAGTCAGGCCAGGCGTGGTGGCTCACGCCTGTAATCCCAGCACTTTGGGAGGCTGAGGTGGGCGGATCACGAGGTCAGGAGATCGAGACTATCCTGGCTAACACGGTGAAACCCCGTCTCTACTAAAAATGCAAAAAAAATTAGCCAGGCTTGGTGGCAGGCGCATGCAGTCCCAGCTACTTGGGAGGCTGAGGCAGGAGAATGGTGTGAACCTGGGAGGCAGAGCTTGCAGTGAGCCAAGATTGCACCACTGCACTCCAGCCTGGGTGACAGAGCGAGACTCCATCTCAAAGAAAAAAAAAAAAAAAAAGAGAAAAGAAAAGAAAGAAAGAAGTCAAATTATCCTTGTTTACAGATAATATGATGATCTTATACTAAAGAAAAAAAAACTAAAAACTCCACAGGAAATCAATTAGAACTGATCAACAAATCAACAAATTCAGTAGTTGCAGGATACAAAATCAACATACAAAACTCAGCAGCATTTCTATAAGCCAACTGTGAACAATTTGAAAAAGAAATAAAAATGTAATCCCATTTATAATAGCCACATATACAATTAAATACCTTGGAATTAATCAAAGAAGCAAAAGATTTCATAATGAAAATTATAAAACACTAATGAAAGAAATTTAAAAAGATACCAAAAATGACAAAATATTCCTGGTTCATAGACTGGAAGAATCAATATTTTTTAAATGTCCATACTACTCAAAGCAATATACAGATTCAGTGTGATTCCTATCAAAATACCAATGACATTCTTCAAAGAAATAGAAAAACTATCCTAAAATTTATATGCAACCACAAAAGACCCAGAATAGCTAAAGCTATTTTAAGCAAAAAGAACAATACTGGAGGGACTACATTATCTGACTTCAAATTATACTACAGAGCTATAGTAATCCAAACAGCACGGTACTCACATGAAAACAGACACATAGACCAATAGGATGGAATGGAGAACCCAGAAACAAATCCACATACATACAGTAAACTCACTTTTGACAAAGGTGCCATGAACATACACTAGGGAAAAAACAGTCTATTCAATAAATGGAGCATTTGAAAATACCGGACATCCATATACAGAAGAATGAAACTAGATCCCTATCTATCATTGTGTATAAAAATCAAATAAAAATAGATCAAAGACTGAAATCTAAGACTTCAACCTATGAATCTCCTACAAGAAAACATTGGAGAAATTCTTCAGGACATTGGTCTGTCTGGGCAAAGATTTCTTAAGAAATACCCCACAAGTACATCCAACCAAAGCAAAAATGGATGAATGGGCTCACAATAACTTAAACAGCTTCTGCACAGCAGAGGATACAATCAACAGTGACAACCCACATAATGCGAGAAACTATCTGCAAACTACCCATCTGAAAAAGGATTAATAACCAGAATATAAAGAGCTCAAACCACTCTACAGGAAAAAAATTCTAATAATGTGATCATAAGTGAGCAAATGATTTAAATAGACATTTTCTCAAAAGAGGACATACAAATGGCAAACAGGCATATATAAAGGTACTCAACATCACTGATCATCAGAGAAACACAAATCAAAACTACAGTGAGATATAATCTCAGACCATTTAAAATAGCTTATATCCAAAAGGTAGGTAATACCAAATGCTTGTGAGGATATGGAGAAAAGGCAACAATTTTACACTATCGATGGAAATGTAAATTAGTACAACAACTATATAGAAGAGTTTGGAGTTTCCTCAAATAACTAAAAATTATGCTATTATATAATCCAACAATCCTATTGCTGGGTATATACCCAAAAGAAAGGAAGTATATCAAAGCACTCCTATGCTTTTTGCAGCACTGTTTACAATAGCTAAGATTTGGAAGCAACCTAACTGTCCATTAACAGATGAATGGATAAAGAAAATGTACTACATATACACAATAGAGTACTATTTAGCCATAAAAAAGAATGAGATACAGTCATTTGCAACAACATGAATGGAACTGGAGATAATTATGTTATGTGAAATAAGCCAGGCCCAGAAAGACAAACACTGCATGGTCTCACTTATTTGTGGAATCTAAAAATCAAAACAATTGAACTCACGGACAGACAGTAGAACAATGGTTACCAGAGGCTGGGAGGGGTAGTCGGGGTCATGGCAGTTGGAGATCGGGATGGTTAATGGGTAGAAAAACAGAAAGGATGAATAAGACCTACTATTTGAGCATCATATTTTTGCTATAGTCAATCATATCTTAATCCTACACTTTAAAATAACTTAAAGAGTGTAGTTGGATTGTTTGTAACTTGAAGGACAAATGTTTGGCAGAATGGGTACCCCATTCCTCATGATGTGTTTATTTCATACTGAATGTCAGTATCAAAACATCTCATGTACCCCATAAATATATACACCCACAAAAATTCAAACATTTTTTAAAAATTGCAATTAAAAAATAAAATTCACCAACCTTAAAAAATTACTTTGAATGTAAATGGATTAAATCTTCAATAAGAAGACATAAAGTGTCTAAATAGATTGAAAGATAGAAAACTAGACCCAGCCATATGCTGCCTACAATAGACTCCCCTCACCTTTAAAGACACACATAGTCTGAAAGTAAAGGGATGGAAAAGGATATTTCATACAAATGGAAACTAAATGAGAACAGAGATAGCTATACGTATATCAGACAAAGTAGAGTTTAAGTCAAAAACTGTAAAAAGAGGCAAAGTAGGTTATTATATAAATATAAAGGGATTGGTTGAACAAAAGGATATAAAAATTATAAATATATATGCACACATCAGAGCAACTACATTATAAAGTAAATAATCTGAATAGAGATAAGTAGATCTGAAGAGATATAGACTGTAATGCAATTAGAGTAGGGAACTTTAATACTCCAATTTTAACAATGGATAAATCATTCAGACAAAAATGCAGTAGGGAAACAGCAGACTTGAACAAAACTTTAGACCCAAATGAACCTAATAAGCATCTACAGAACATTCATTACAACAGCAACTGAAGACATATTCTTCTTTTGTGCACATGAAACCTTCTACAGCATAGATTGTATGTTAGTTCACAAAACAAGTTTGAACATATTTAAGAAGATTAAAATCATATCAAGTAAATTTACTAATTATGATTATATAAAACCAGAAATCAATAACAGGAGAAATGTTGGAAACTTCACAAGTATGAGGAAATTAAACAACATGCTAGTAAACAACAAATGGGTCAAAGAAGAAATTTAAAAATAAAATTAAAAATAAATATCTTGAGACAAACAAAAATAAAAGCAAAACATACCACAATGAATGGAATACAGCAAAAACAATTCTAAGAGGAAATTTTATAGCAGTGAATGCCTATATCGAAAAGCAAAAAGATATCAAATAATCTAAGATTACATCTCAAGTAACTGGGAAATAAAAAGAACAAACTAAACCCAACGTTAGCAGACAGAAGGAAATAACAAATTCAGAGCATAAATAAATGAAATAGGGACCAGAAAACCAATAGGAAAAATAAACAAAACCAATAGGAAAAATCAACAAAACCAAGAATTGCTTTTTTGAAAAGATAAACACAACAAATTTAGTAAAGAAAAAATGGAAATAAATAAAATGAGAAATGAAAGAAAAGAAAATTACAAATGATATACCAAACTACAAGGGATCACAAGAAACTATCAAGAACATTTATATGCCAAAAAATTAAATAACCTAGGGGAAATAAATAAACTCCCAAACACATAAAATCTACCAACCCTGATTCAAAAATATATGCAGTCTAAATAGATAAATAATGAGTAAGGAGTTTGAAGCAGTAATAAAATAATCTGCCATCAAAGAAAAGCTCAAGACTTGAAGATTTTATCACTGAATTCTATGAAACAGTTAAAGAAAAACTTGCCGGGTGTGGTGGCTGACGCCTGTAATCCCAGCAGTTTGGGAGGCCGAGGCAGGCAGATCACCTGAGGTCAAGAGTTCGAGATCAGCCTGGCCAACATGGCAAAACCCCATCTCTATAAAAACAGAAAAATTAGCCAGGCATGGTGGCACATGCCTGTAGTCCCAGCTACTCAGGAGGCTGAGGCAGGAGAATCACTTGAACCCAGAAGGCCAAGGTTTCAGGGAGCTGAGATGGCGCCACTGCACTTCAGCCTGGGTGACACAGTGAGACTCTGTCTCAAATAAAAACAAAACAAAACAAAAAAGACACACACAAAATAAAGAAAAACTAATACCAATCCCTCTCAAATGCCTTTAAAACATCAAAAAGGATGGAATATTTCCAAACTCTTTTTATGAGGCCAACATTACCTTGATACTAAGGCCAGATAAGGACATTATAATAAAGGAAAAATACAGGCCAATATCCCTGACTAGCATAGATGCAAAAATCCTCAACAAAAGCACTAGCAAATCAAATTCAACAGCATGTTTAAAGGACAGTGATCATTTATCATGATCAAGTAAATCATGAAAATGAATAATTTACCATGATCAAGTGGGATTTATTCCAGAGATACAAGAATGCTTCAGCATATGCAAATCTATAAATTCAATATATCACATTCAGAAGAACAAAAATTACATGATCAAATAAGTAGATGCATGAAAAGCATTTGACAAAATTCAACTTTTTTTAATGTTAAAAACTCTTAATAAATTAGGTGTAGAAGTAATGTACCTCAACACAATGCAGGCCATATATGACAAGCATGCAATGAACATTGTACTCAACAGTGGAAAGGTGAAAACTTTTCCATTACAATCAGCAACAAGACAAGGATGTGCACTCTCACAATTTCTATTTAATAGAGCACTGAATGTTCATGCCTGAGTTATTTCACAAGAGAAATAAATAAAAGGCATCTACATAGGAAAGGAATATATACAATTATCAAAGTTTACTGATGATATGTTCATATGGAAACCCTAAAATTACACCAGAAAACACAGAATACAGTAAAGGTGCAGAATACAAATGAAATCAACACACAAAATTAGCAGCATTCCTGTACACTAACAACAAATCAAGACAACAATCCCATTTACAATAGCTTCCCAAAAAATACTTAGAAATAAATTTAACCAAAAAGGTGAAAGACATGTACACTGAAACTTACAAAACACTGATCAAAGAAATTGAAGAAGACACAAATAATTGAAAATATATTTTATGTTTATGTATTAGAAGAATTAATATTGTTAAAATATCTATACTACCCAAAGTGATCTACAGATTCAATGCAATCTCAATCAAAATTCCAATGTCATTTTTCATTGAAATAGAAAAAAAACTCTCAAGTTCATATGGAACCACAAAAAACTCTGAATGTTCAAGGCAATCTTGAGCAAAATCAACAGTGTAGGCATCACATTACCTGACTTCAAATTATATTACAAAGCTATAGTAATTAAAACAGCATGATACTGGCATAACAATAAAAGCAATGGAATAGAATAGAAAGCCCCCCCAAAAAAATGAACCCATGTGTTTACAGTCCATTGATTTTCATTGAAGATGCCAAGAATACACAATGGAAAATGAATACTCTGTAATAAAGAGTGATGGGAAAAATTGGTATCCACATGCAGAAGAATCACATTGGACCCTTATCCTCATACCGTGTACAAAAGTCATCTTTAAATGGAATAAAGACTTACGTGAAAAATCTGAAACTAACACTGATTTTTAAAATTTGATTGCAAAAGCTCAGGTAACAAAAGCACAAGTAGACAAATGAGGTAACATCAAACTAAAAAGCTTCTGCACAAAAAAGAAAGAAAATAGAATGAAGAGACAGTGAACAATTTGGGAGAAATATTTACAAGCAATACATCTGATAAGAGGTTCATATCCAAAATACATAAAGAACACAAAAAAACAAATAATCTGATTTAAAAATGGGCAAAAGGATCTGACAGCCATTCCCCCAAAAAAGACATACAAATCTCCAATATGTATATGAAAAATATGCTCATCACTAATCATCAGGGAAATGCAAACCTAAACCACAAAGAGATATCACTGCATATTTGTAGAATAGCTCTTATAAAAGAACAAAACAAAACAAAAACAAACAAAGAAACAGAAGATAGCAAGTCTTGGCAACTCTGTTGGTGAGAAGGTAAGTTAGTAGAGCCATCATGAAAAACTATATGGAAGCTCCTTGAAAAACTAAAAATAGCATTACTATATGATCCAGCAATTGCATTTCTGGATATATATCCAAAAGAAAAAAAAAAGAAATCAGTACATTGAAGAGATATCTGCAGTTCTATATTCATTGCAACATTCCTTGCAATAGCCAAATTATGGAATCATGGGAAAATGTATATAATGCATATCAAAATATGATTGATATCCTTAAAAGATGACAACGTTTTAAAAGTCAACCAAAAAAATTACAAAACAGAAAAATGATGAACAAGCAATTTTTCAAGGTACTACAAAAGCAGATGAAAATATGTTTTCAACCCAACCCCCTAGTAGTCACAAATTAAACAATAATGAGAAAGCATATTTTTCCTTTAATATTTTCGATGAATATAAAGAATAATAAAACATTGTGTTGGTGAAATATTTAGAAACTACCAATTGTCTACAACGCAGAAGAGAGTCAATTGAGAACCATATTGACAACAAGTATTAAACCTTTGAATATGTGAATTATTTTGAACCTAGTAATACCATTACTTATAATGCTTTCTTAGAAAATTCACAAAAATTCTGTGTGAAGATGCAAGAATAAAGCAGCTCAGAGTGACATTATTTACAATTGCACAAAACTGGAAGTACTTGATTTGAACTGTGTGGGTCTATGTATACAAGGATTTTGTTCTGCCTCTGCTACCTCTAAGACAGCAGGAACAGCCCTTCTTCTTCCTCTTCCTGTCTACTCAACAGGAAGATGAGGATGAAGAGGATGAAGACCTTTATGATTATTCACCTTCACTTAATAAATGGTATATATATTTTACCTTCCTTAGTATTTTCTTCATAACATTTTCTTTCTCTAGCTTTCTTTCTTTCTTGTAAGAATATAGTATATAATACGTATAACATACAAAATACATGTTAATTGATTTTATATTATCACTAAGGTCAATAGCAGACTATTTAATAGTAGTTAAGTTTTTCACGAGTCAAAATTTATATGCAGATTCTTTACTGGACAGGGTGTTGGCACCCCTAACCCTCATGTTGTTCAAAGGTCAACTATATATTGTATTTGTATAATAGAACACTATATAATAATTTAAAATAATCTCATAAATAATATTGTCATAAACATGTTCATGTCACATTTATTTGAAATGTGCTTTCAAATACATGTATGTGAAAATATTTAACATATATACATAAATATATGTTTTTACATACATGTATGTTTTATATGTATATATTTATATGTATATGAAGAAAATAGATTAATACAGCAATAATCATATTTAAGTGGCAAGATTGTTGCTGATTTTTCACATTATCTTTCAAGATCTTTTGAATTAATCACATATTACTTCTTAAAGAGAAGTAATTGCAATTTTAAAACATAAAGGTGAATTACATTATTTCCTTACTTTCTAATATTTAAGTTGCAGAAAGTTGCAACCTTTGAGTGTACACAGAAAAAGAGATATTGACTTCTCTTTCAAAGGTGCATACTAAGTACAGGCCTCTCTCTACTTCCTTGAATTTATAACAAATAAAATTTTAAAAAATTTAAATAATATTAACTTTATAACTCCACAACAACGTCGGAAAACAAAAGTGGAACCTCTTGATAACCAAAGGAGACAGGAAACCCCTTTGGGAAGAAAATTAAGTAACATTCAATAAGAAAGGATAATCAAAACACAAAACAACAAGAAAGTACTAACAAAGGATGAAGTATTTGCACAAGAAAATGTTACACACCTGCAGAAAATCTGCTGGGAGTAGGTTTGTTCTCATAAGAACAACACAAAAGATAATTAGCTGAGACGCCTTTGCAGGCACTAGCAAGTCAACTCTTCCATCTAGCTCCAATCTTGGGTTAGGTAGAAGCAAAAGGGGTTCTACCTCCAAGTAGACGCAGGAGCATGGGAGCTTGGATTAGAGAGACAAAGTGATATATGAGTTAAGAAGAAATCATTTAGGCAGATAATAAGGGTAAGGAAGTCTTTAGTAAGGTTTTCCTTATAATGAAAAGCAGCCCCCAAATCATTTTCTTTTCTAACAAAGAGCAGCCTGTAAAATCAAGCCACCTCATAGCCAAGCAAGTTGGAAGCTTGCATGGGTGAATGCCCATATTTGTGCTAATAGGAAAAGGCTACGTGGGACTAGGAGTATTCAAAATGGTGGCTTGGTCTTTCCTTTTCCTTTCCAATCACGTGTGCACTAGGGAGCAGACAACATGGCACTGGCCAGGTGAAAAGCCTATTTGCATAATAAGATTAGGACGGGTGGCCAGCTTCCCCACACACTATATAAATGACCACCTGGTCCAACCAATCTTTAGGTCCTACATAAATCAGAGACCGCCTGCACAAGCCTGTCTATAAAAATCCGGTGCACAAAGACCCACTGGGGTGCCCCCCCTCTCTCACATGAAAGAGAGTTGATCTCCATTCTCTTTCTTTTGCCTGTTAAACCTCCACTCTTAAACTCATGCCTTGTGTGATTCTGTGTCCTTAATTTTCTTGGCATGAGGCAACAAACCTCGGCTATTAACCCAGACAATGATGCCACTTCAAGAGCAGTGCCAGCAACTCCCAGGACTAGAGAGAATTGGGAAGCAGGTCACTAATATCTCAGAATTCATTTCAAGACATGGCCTGATGCTCGCTCACTTTAATTGAAAGTATGCAGGTGTATCAGCCTTAACTACATGACGTTAAAATAGTAGGATAATGAGGAAAACCTTTTCTGACAACTATCAAAACATGTAATAAAAAAGATGTCCCCAAAAATGTGGACATATACCATATTTATGGATGAGAAAACTCAACATTGTGGAGTTGCAATTCTTTCCAAACTATTGTTCAAAGTATATACAATGTCCTATAATGTCAGTAAAGCTTCTTCACAAAAAATGATGTGCTGATTCTAAACTAGACACTTGGACGGGTGAACATCAGTGGTTTCTGGATTTCAGAAATTAGTTTTAGTTTAGATTCAGAGTTCAGTAAATGCCTAGAGTTCTAGGAATTTCCCTTTCTTCATTATATTGCTACCCTGGAAGATGAGCACAAGAATATTTGGACAGGATTTAAGGGAAGATTGTCATAAAATTCTTTCTTCTTTCCACCTCTTCTTTTATGAAAGAGGTAGTGAGTCTTTTATTGACTGAGGGTTGGAAATGAGTAAAGTGGCATGACTATGTAACTCAATCAAGCTCTATGGGCAGGAACTAGAAGATTTTTACTTATAGAGATAAGGCAGCATTTCAGAAGGGTGTCTATTTTAGTTCTGGTGTCCCTGTGAATAACTACCCTCTGCTAGTGATAATTTCTGGTCAGAACCTTTTGATTATCTCTTTGGCTCTGATGCCTTTTACATTGCCTGTCTTGTGGTTAATTATTCCCATTTGTTACCTTCCACTCTGGTATCTCATTCTTTTTGGAAAACCAGAGAGCCCATTTCAATGGTAACATTTCATATTGTCATTCTGTCAGAGGCGTTTGAACAACAGACATTCCATTTTGAAAGAGGACTGGGTAAAATGAGGCTGTGACCTAGTGGGCTGCATTCCCAGGAGGTTAGGCATTCTAAGTCACAGGATGATAGGAGGTCAGCAAAAGATATGGGTCACAAAGGCTTTGCTGATAAAGCAGGTTGTGGTAAAGAAGTCAGGCAAAACCCACCAAATCCAAGATGGCAATGCAATTGACTTCTTGTTGTCCTCACTGCTCATTATATGCTAATTATATTACATTCACATGCTAAAAGACACTCTCACCAGCCCATGACAGTTTACAGATGCCAAAGTAACTTCAGGAAGTTACCCTATATGGTCTAAAAGGGGAGGAACCCTCAGTTCCAGAAATTGCCCACCCCTTTCTTGGAAAACTCATGAATAACCCATCTCCTGTTTAGCATATAATCAAGAAATAGCTATACATATCCTTAGTCCAGCAGCCCAAGCTGCTGCTGTGCCTATGGAGTAGCCATTCTTTATTCCTTTACTTTCTTAATAAACTTGCTTTCACTTTATGAACTCGCCCTGAAATTACTTCTTGTGCAAGGTCTAAGAACCCCCTCTTGGGGTCTGGATCAGGACCCCTTTCTGGTAACAATTCCTTTCAAGGATTATGGTGCCTATCTCAAAATGTACATTTAATATTTAATACTACTGTAATGTACCACATCCACTTGGCACTGGTTATCCTACTTACCTTGGCCTACTTCTTTCTTTTTAGACAGAACTTATCATTATGTGGCATATTATACTTTCCTAATTCATTATGTTTGTTTATTTTTTATAGTATATCTCTCCTCTGCTCCCTTACCACCACTGGAATATAAGTAAGTTTCACAGTGGTAAGGACCTTTATCTGTTCTTCTTACTGACGAATCCCATGTTGGAATATTTTCTGGCTCATGATTGCATTCAGTAGTTATGAATTAATGAGTGAAAGAATAGAATGAATATATACCTCAATTTTTTAATAATGAGAAGGTCTCTGAGCCGTCTCAATAGACATCGTTAAAAGAGTACATGACTGGGTCTCACATTATAAATCTATTCTATCAGTTCTATCTTCCTAAGGCTTTGAATATCTTCCAAAGGTTGTCTGATATTATAAATTTCTGCTAAGTTTAAGTATGCATGATAGTCTCTAAGGTTTATTTATTAAACAAAGTAAACTTATTGTCTCCAAAATGCTCTACAAACTAAATTAAGAATCTGTTTTTGCAATCAACCCTGTCAAAAGAATGGTTTGGCACTTAACCGGTTCCTTGTACCCAGGATTTCTAAGTCCTTCGAATATCTTGTCTGATAAGACTATATTTGTTTTCTTGGGGGTCTTGAGTCACACCAGATAGCCTAGGCTAACAATGTAATTCCTGATAGAGGCCTTGGGCCACATAGTATGAGCTTGATTTCTAGAAGAACTGGAGACTAAGATCAGATATTCAGGCAGTCAGACATATCTATGTGACCAACCCCAATAAAAGCCCTTGAACTGAGGCTTGGGTGAGTTTCCCTGGTTGGCAATATTTTATACATATTTTTAAATATCATTAGTGAGAGAAATAAGCATTGTCTCAATTACTCCACTGGAAGAGAGCAACTAGAAGTTTCACATCTGTTCTGTCTTGGATCCTGCTTTCTGGATCCCTTTGCTGATTCCTTTTGTTGATTATAATTTGTATCTTTTCATCGCAACAAGCCATAACCATGTATATAATAGCTTTTCTGAGTTCTATGATTCCTTTTAGTGAATTATTGAATCTGAGGGTAGTCTCAGAACCTCCCAAATTGCACCATGATAAGTGTAGTACTATGAATAAAATCAGCCCAAGCCCTCCCCATTCTTTGATTTAGAACCAATAGAATTCATTTCAATTATATGCTCCACATTTTTGTTGATATGCAACTTAGCAAAATCTTTCATTTAATCACCAGTAAAGAAGATAAAATTATGGAAATGTGAATAGCTGTATAGGTTGAAGAAATGGTCTAAAATTGGTAAATTGAGATAATGAAAGGCGAACGGTAAGCTGTTTCCTAATCTCTACCCAGTATTCCCAGGGTGGTGTGGGCAAGTGGATGGGAGCATTTAAAAAAGGGATTGTAAAACTGTGTACACCCCAGGGATAAAGTTCTGGAAAATAATATAGTGAATGTGCTTGTTGAAAAAGAAAACTATCCTATATTTGCCTCCCAAAATAATCATTCCACTCCATTTGGCATTCAATAGATCTCATTAAAAGTATTATATTCAGATTACATTTTGTCATTACAATAGAAAACCAATTTTAGTGTCATAAATAAAATGATAAGGTTCATTAAATAAAATGTTTAAGGAAAGTTTCATGGAAATGGACATATTCAGTCTGTTGGAAAGATAATAATAAAACATGATATTTAATGATACCTAGAGGGCCATTTTCAAAGTGATTTGGGTCATTTGTTTCTAGTTGACAGGAAAATAATTGTAAGGCAAGAAGAATTCAAATTAATTAAAAGGGATTGGACCGGGTGGCTACACATACAATTTCATGTACTATGTTATCCAGGCTAGATCCTTGGTGTAGTTAACATTCCCTTATTATCCAACCCAAGTTAACCATTAGCTTTGGGCCATTCAATACTTATTCCAGAAAGTAAAGTATACTTCAAAATACATTTGCAAACATGTACATAAAGAATATTGGTGGAGGTGATTCTAGAGGAAAATTACTACTGGCATGCTCCCAAGATCCCTTTCACCTGTTTAATATATTTTCCCAATAATTTGGATAAAGTTGTCTCCATGATATCCTGAAATTATTGTGTGTCTTCTCATATAGCTTTTAATATCTGGAAGAGATGAAATATATTTTTATCAGATTTTGCATTCTTACTGCATAACGTGGGATCTTATACATCTCAGATGCTCAGTAAATGTTTAATAGAAAACAAAGTCATGATGGAAAATAACAATAGTCTGGGGAAGGAATGTTACAAAAATAGATTTTAGTCGAATAAATTACAATTCCACATATGGTTCCAAAAGTCCAAATTCATGACTATGCAATGGAGTACATGGCCTGGCACACTGCATACATTAAAGGCTGGAAAGGTTTTAGATGACAGTACAGTTTTAATTAAAATTGTCATTAGCATAATATCATTGTCCAAAAACAATATTAATTGGAATATATTTTTTGAATGCTGATTACATCACACATAGAATATAGGACTTATTTCTGCATGCCATTCTTTGAAAGTTACAAAATAATGTAATGGTTCACATAAGAAAGAAGTCAAGCGACTGCTAAGCTGGGGACTTATATAGAAGTGTTGAAGATTTGGGCTGCTTATTACTACACTATTTTAGAGAAGAGACTATGCATGGGGGAGTAGTGTAGCTAACTATTTGAAGAGTTGCTATGTGACAAAGAAATCAGGTTTTTTTTTTGCTGTAGCCCTTTAGGGCAACCCTAGGATTATAAGTAGAGCCCATATATTTTTTTCTTTTTTTCAGATCAATTGAAATTCCTCACATGCCAGGCAGTTTTATCACAAGAGAGATTAAAGTTAAGTCCCTACCAAAGGAACTTTGGTGTCTAAACAAGCTGTAGACCAACCACTTGGCAGCAAATATACTGGATTTCAAAAAAACGAGATGAGCCAAATGACCTCTAAAGTCGCTTCAAATCTTCTTGAAATTCCATAATTCTATACGTTTTTCATCAGTCTAGCGTTTAACCTTGAAACAACAATAACCATAACAACAAAGAATACTTGGTTACTGTGGCTATATTTCTTGGCAACATTGTATTTGTTCTCTTGCAAAGCTCTTATCATGCCCCATAAGTATCCGTGAGGCCATTTTTAACAAACTAACTATAAGCCTTTGGAGAAAAACTGCCACTGAATTCACTCAGCAAATATTAAATGGGTACCTACTATGTGGCAGGCCCTGTGGTAGGAATGCAGGATTACATGACAGGAAGCTTCCTTTAACACACTCATCTGGGGTGGAGGGTAGGGGTGAGGTGAGCATGGATATAATGAAACAGCTGTCAAATTAGGTTAATGGTACTAAACTAGAAATGTATATAGGAGGTATGAAGGGAATGGCGAAAGTGAACAAGATGCCAGGAAGAGGTATGAAGGGAATGGCCAAAGTGAACAAGATCCCAGGAAGAAGTTACAGAAAACTATGCCTGTAATGAACATGTTTGAAGACAATGTGATTTTTGTGCTTGGCAGGGGCTAGATCATGAATGTCCTCAAATCCAAAAAAAAAAAAAAAAAATGATGCTGACATCACACAAGCTTCTCCAACCACCTTACTTTGTTGTTGTCATTCTGTTTTGTTTTAGGGCTTTTAGCAGCCTGAAGCCATGGGTTTTAGTTTCTGTCTCTAGTGATAAGTTGAAAAGAGGGATGAGGAATAGGCTTAAGTTGAAAAGAGGGATGAGGAATAGGCTTTACTGGCCCAACCAGAAACAGAAACTAAGAACCCATGACTGTATTCTCTCCTTTGGATGCCCCTGATAGATACTTGTCACAGTGTTTTGTGGTACACCAGGTCCTCCATGTTCTTAATACGTGTAGTATGGAAAGAGGTTGTATAATAAACATAGTTCTATGAGTCACAACTGTGAAAAATTCTGTAGAAGCCTCTTTAACCTTGCTGAATCAGTGTCTTCTACATTATTTGCTGAAAGAATCTTAAAAATACCTTTTAATGTCTCTTAGAAATGTTCATGGAAAACAATTAAGGAAGTGCTCTCCCACAGACATAGGGAGTCAAGAGAGTCTTGAAGAGTCAGGACAAAACATGAACCAATTTTTATTTAGCAAAAACATCGTCTTGGTTCAGAAGTAGAAGTGGAATAGTATGAGGCAAAGAGGATCCTTGAGAGTAATCGAAGTAGGAAAAGATCAAGCCTTATGGTCAACTCTTAATGTCAAGAGCCAAGGCTATTGTTTCTCCTTGTCAGACACCACCATTGAAACATTTCTTACACTTCATACACTGTTTCCATTCTCAATATTCTGTTTTGTTGTTAAGTATTTTTTTCCCTCTCTTTTTTTTCCAGGCTTTGGAAAATGTTCCCATGAAAATAGCATGTGTCAACCATATCAGTTTTATGTGAACACCTTTAATGAAGTATATGTGATTTCTGTTAAAATTACACACACACACACGTATATATATACACGTCTATACAGAGATGTATACATATATAGATGTATACATATGTGTGTGTGTGTGTGTGTGCGTGTGTGTGCGTGTGTGTGTGTGTTTATTTTTAGATCCTCTATTTGCTTATTTTGTGTCAAGGGAGCTGAAGATATGGCCACTTTTAGCAGATGGGGCTCACCTGCAAAACAGACAGAAAGGAGCAAACAGGTCCCCAGAGGCAGCATGCTCAGCATGGGAGGGTCTCTTCTTGAACCTCACTCCCAGGTACCTCATTCTTATTCCTTCTTTCAGCCCATTTCTGGGCTGTGTGGCCTCACAGAGTCTTGTCTTCAATTTCCTGTGGTACTGGCCTTTGACATGATTGACTCTGCATTTTTGCAGTGATGATCTTTCCCCTGCACCTATCTAGTTTATTTCACTGGTGTTTTCCTTCTCCTTTGTACAGTCAGCTGAAACATTTAGTATATTCCTAATCCAGAGAAACTAACTCCTCCCAGGCTAAACAAGGCTGTGTCCCTTAGAAGGCAAATGAGTCAGGACAGATACTCAGACAAAGGATATCTTCAGCACTTAAATAAGAAAGAAAACCATTCCCAGAAATTACTAGGAGTAGAAAATAGAAGCTCTTTAGGAATACAACTGGCTAAAAAATATGCACTTTGCTTATTTATTTTGTAGAGCTTATTTTCCAGGGATCTTAGTCTCTGGCCAGATTCAGCCACAGCTCTCAGGCATTGACACTTGTGAAAATAGACATTCTGGTGATGCTTTAGAATATGGCATTGCCAAGGACAAAGAAAAAAAAAGGCAACACCTGACATCTGAGAACTGGTCTGATGCTCATAGGTAATCCATGTTCTCAGGTTGAAGTTAAACGATCTGAGATAGTAATAAAGTGGGACAAAAACAAGATCTATTTTTGTTGGCACAACCAGCAAAATATCAAATAGTTCCCCCTTCCAATTAATATGAGTGACTGTTGGATCCTCTTTGTACCATTATCCACTTCTTCCCATTGATAATATTTCTTTCAATGCCTAATCGTAGAATTATTCTACCTTCCTGACAGTATACAATCCAGAACGAAGGCCCACTTCTTTAGATTCTCCTCAAAATTACTCAACATTGAAAGCCCAAATCTTGTAATAGGTACTTTCTAACAATTTACTGATATACTTCGTGATTTCCCCTCGTGTCTGTTCTTTCTCATTTTAGTGAGCTAGAACAGGAATTTTAAAAAAATTAAAGAATGTGTAAGCAGAAATTCAGGTGTATGTAAGAAAACCCAATTCCCCCTGAGAAAAAGAAAGAGCTGGAATCCTTAAAAAATTAACTGCCTGTTTTTCTGTGGCTAGTGAGCCTTGTCTCTCCTCTTTTCCCAGACATTGTGAAGACCCTGTTTCTCTAGCTGTGCAGCTGCAAGGTCACTAGACAGATAAACTCAAGTCATAAAACATGTTTTTCCTTAAAAAGTAAGAAATGATGTAATGCATGTTTCAATTAATTGAATAACTGTTTTTTATTTCTTGCTTCTGTAATATGCTTCCCCCTGTACAGATCTCCCCCACCCCACCCCGCCCCACAAAATGCTTAAAAGGTAACTTAACTCTTTGTTCAGGGCTCAGTCCTTTGGATGTTAATCCAACTGGACCGGTGAACCTAAATAATAAATATCCTCCTGAACCCCACTGGTCTCTGATTCCTTATCAATCCCACTACAGAGCAACAAACTCAACTTGTTCAATTACAAGTGTATTTCCAGGGATCTTTGGCTAGAGGGCATTGACACCAAAGAACAGAAAGGATTTGCTAAAATTAATGATGTCAGTTGATAATAGATTAATAACATCTATTAGTAAGATATTATCATAACTAAAGTTGATAAATATTGTGCAAATAATATTATTATAAATTCTCCTTATTTTTCCTGAGAGACAGTAATATATAAATAAATATTAGTAAAATAATAATTGAAATCTTATAAAAGTGACAGTAAATCAGTCCCAAACCTTATCCCACAAATTGAATTATTTTTAGATTCGATCTTGCTTCTTAGAAGCCTATGTCCATATTTATATATAACTTTATATATTTTAATTCTCTTAGCTGTACAACCAGACCAGTTCAAGTCAACATGGTAAAAATATAATTGAGTATATGGTTTTACCAGTTAAAACCTATACACTTCATATTAGGTAAAATAGAATCTGAGCTAAATACCTATCTAAAACCCCACTTTCCGAGATCCTTTAACTTGGCTCTTTATGAAAAAAGCAAAATAAATTAGTTACAATTATAAATACCCAAGATGGAATGACAAC
The DNA here is from genome assembly GCF_000001405.40 of Homo sapiens. Classification (NCBI taxonomy): domain Eukaryota; kingdom Metazoa; phylum Chordata; class Mammalia; order Primates; family Hominidae; genus Homo; species Homo sapiens. The sequence goes on from NC_000006.12 coordinate 78,161,362, forward strand.
AGTATATAATTAACTAAACATAAAAATTTACATCTTTTAATAAATCATGGTGTGTTTCTTATATTAATTTTCAACCCCTCCCCACTAAGGTACTGGTGAAAATATTTGGTCAAATGTGGCAGAGAAATATTTCTTTCAGCCCAATTTCATCTTCTATGTACCACTTTTGCCCTTCCAGTGTGCACTGTTTCCTTCAAAATATTATTATTATTATTATTATTATTATTATTATTATTATTATTATTATTTTTGAGACGGAGTCTTGCTCTGTCACCCAGGCTGGAGTGCAGTGGCGCGATCTCGGCTCACTGCAAGCTCCACCTCCAGGGTTCAGGCCATTCTCCTGCCTCAGCCTCCCGAGTAGCTGGAACTACAGGTACCTGCAACCACGCCCGGCTAATTTTTTTGCATTTTTAGTAGAGACGGGGTTTCACTGTGTTAGCCAGGACGGTCTCGTTCTGCAATTACACAAAGTTCTTTTAAAGTACAGGTATTCGTTCATCAAGAATGTTTCTAAAGAGGTCTTATTTACATTGGAAAATCCCTGCCCCTAGTTGCTTATTACCAGAAATGGTTTCTCTTTCTTGGTCCAGCCCTAGAGATATTCATTGCCTGAGTATCTGTCTTGTTTCTGTTCTTCTCCAACTGTAAGGCAGGAGGGAGTTCACTTTGCTTTTCCATGGATGAAAAGGCTAACTTCCAAATTGCATCCCAAGTAAAACTGAATTCTGGCATTGTTTGTCAACCTGGGTAATAAGATATACTTTGTGCGATTACAATAAGCACACTCGGGTCACAGTATACCAGGCATTTTATGACCCAGCTATTTAATACCAACTCACTAATCTTATAGACAGAATGATTTTAGTAAATGTTTAACTTTGCATTCTTTTTTTCTCTTAACAGTGTAACATAAGCAGTTTCTATACAAATTTCACAGAATTATTTTAGTAGGGTTCTTAACAATATTTCATTATTTCATGTAATAAATATACAATAATTGTTAAAATAGTCCTCTGTCATTAGACATTTAAATTTTGCTATGAAATATTTGGGAGTACCTGTTTTATTAGATGATACTCTGTAAACCCATTTTTGTCACGTGTGTGTGCTGAAAGTAACTAAGAGGTTAAATCAGTTATCATACTTGTTAAAATTATGCAACCAGCAAAATATGCAAGTGAGGATGGTAATGTAATTGTGTGGAACCACATCAAATGGGGATGATTAAAACTTTCCTGTCTCTTCTGCACATGGGCAGCTTTTTTTTTTCAAATCCATTTAGTTAGGCACATTAAATATTTACTTTACATGTTGCAACAAAATTTTAAAAACATATTATTTTGGAGAATTGCCATATAGTCTTCCATTCCTGCTCAGAACCGGACTAGTTTTCATAAGCCTGGTAAATACTTGACAATTTAGTGACTGACTTGAAGACTAGCTAGTGAGTAGCTACTTGACCAGAAGTTGAGAATTTCTGTGTGAGGGAAATGACAGAAACAGGAATAGAAAAGGAGGGAGAGGGGAGAGTAGTATGAAAGATGGAGAAGAGAGAAAAGAGTTAATCTACCTTCAAGAAGATTCCCAGTTGGAAATTCTCCCCGGTTTGCCCCCCTGTTGACTCGTGTTAAAATTTCAGAATTACTTTACAGCCACATCTACAGACAGTCTGTCCTGATCCTTGGTTTATGTCATTCTAACAATGCTTTGATCACATTTATACACCTTACTTTCTTCCTTATTTAAAGTTTTCTCTTTAAAAATAACATCTTGGCTGGGCACGTTGGCTCACACCTGTAATCCCAGCACTTTGGGAAGCCGAGGCAGGCGGATCACAAGATCAGGAAATTGAGACCATCCTGGCTAACATGGTGAAACCCTGTCTGTACTAAAAATACAAAAAGTTAGCCCGCGTGGTGGCGGGCGCAGGTAGTCCCAGCTACTCGGGAGGCTGAGGCAAGAGAATGGCGTGAACCCGGAAGGCGGATCTTGCAGTGAGCCCAGATCGTACCACTGCACTCCAGCCTGGGTGACAGAGCGAGACTCCGTCTCAAAAAAATAAATAAATAAATAAAATAACGTCTTAAAATATAATGCATTTTTTGACTCCATTCAAACTCCATTACATTGAGTAAATAAATATTTGATAAACCAATCTAATAAACTCTCCTCTAATCAGAGAGCAAGCTTTACTAAATGAAACTATGAATCCAATAACATCTTTGCAAAGCTATACTGGGGCTATTTGAAATCACCTCTTTGCTTTAAACATATTCCAGACATCCTGCTTCTGTTTATTTATATTCATTATGGTTCCTTTTCTCAGTGTCATTTACTTCTAAAATGCAAGGTTGTGAGGCTCTCCTCAATGCAGGTGAGGATGGTAATGTAATTGTGTGGGACTAAGTCACCAAATGGGGGTGATTAACAACTTTCCTGTCTTCTGCACATGCGCAGCATTTGCTCAAAGTTACTGCCAATTAGCAAGAGAGTGGTACTCTTGTGTCATTTTTTAAATTAATTACATTTCTCAACTGTTCTGAGAGCATAACAGAAAAATCAATTGACAGATTTGAATAAATCTTGACATTGATTATAAGTTGTGAGCCTGGGACTTTCTTTTCTAAGTCTCTTGAAAAGTTGAATGCTAATCTTTTCAGCTAACTTGCTTTATGTTACATTGCTATCAGTCAATCACGCTTGTAATTGACTTTTGCTTTTATAGCAATACTCATATGACTTTAAGGATGACTGAGTCCACTTTTGTTCTAGTTTCTTCATTGAATACCAGATATCCCAGAAAGACTATTAATCATAATTTTAAGATCCTTCAAGTAAAAACCTCTCCAAACTAAAACATTAAAATTCACTCAGTGGACAGACTTTAAGTCAAGATAAGCACTTAAATACTTGTATAATATATGCCATATTAAAAAATCAAAATTTTAAAAAGTTTGTGCCTTTAATGAGTACACACATATACAGAAATAATTTATAGATTCTCTAGTATATCAGCACCTACCTTTAATAAGCGCTGTCCTCAGAAACTAATATTAATCAATGAATGTCTTGAAAACCATTTGAAGACTGAGCAGTTCTATGCATTATCCTTGTTAAAGTCAAAAACTAATTTCATGGCAACCGCTACTTCTGTCATTTGCTGAATATTAACATTTTTTTCTGGGGGACTTTTATAAGCAAGAAACAACAAATCCTTTCTCATTATTTCAAACAAAGCAAATTTCTACTTATAAAACAGAATATGTACAACAGAATGTCTGAAAAATCTGATATTTTTGATAGAACCAATGTTTAACATAAACCTTTAAGATTTATTTTGAATATCATAATTATGAATAAGTAGTAAATTGGTGGAGATGCTGATTCCAGATAAATTCGGGAAGAAAATCTGATCAACTGAATCTTAAATTCTCAAGGAAGTGACAAATAATAATTAATGTTTATCTTTGGAAAAATTTTATAGCTGTTAGGAAACTGAATTACCTCCATGCTTTATTCTATTTGTTCCTTAACTCTACATGGTGAAAGTATATGCAGGAGCTGATAATGTCTTCATTCCTTGAATCATCTTTATATTTCACAGTCCAAATTCAACATATGCATTATTTTATACATAACTATTTATATAACCATAAAATCCTTGTACCTAAACAGTAGAAAATCCAGGTTTCACAAACTGAGGAAATGAGACAAAAATATAGATCTACCTCAGAATGTATCCATGATTGTAGATGCACTTTAACATGGCAACTATATGGCAAGCTCAAGGTTTGGAGGAATATGGAATTATTCCCTCTCCCCTCTCCTTCTTGCCAAAATTTACTCACAGGAAATGTGAATGAGGAATTTGAGTGAAACAGAGAGAATAAGAAAGACAACGGGCAATAGAATTTCTAAGTGGAAATGTTTATGTCCCTCTCTCAATAAAGTGTTATCTTGGTAACTGATGTGAGTTATTACCTGCCCAATCACAGCCCGGGGACTTGTGGTGTTTCCACTTATCACAACAGTCCTGATGTGGTCTCGATAGGAAGCTACGCTCCTGAGTACATTCAGTAGAAACATTGAAGTAGAAGAGACTTCTAACTTCTCAAGATACTCCAAAGCAGAACTGGCTTCTTAAAAATGATTGATTTATATTAAAGATTTTGGGGGATTATAATCATTTGTTCACTATTTATTTTAAATTCCAGTGATACACCCAAAATATATGTCAAAAACTATGCCTTCCCCCTTTTGTTAAATTCTTTTACCATTTTCAGCCCAGGGTGGAATAAAGAGATATTCTATTGTTATTTCCAAGGATAGTTAATAGCTATACCAATTTACTCCCATTCCCCTACTTGATTCTTTCTGATTTGACAAAAACTGACAAAGACTTTTGAAAATTTTTCTTCTTTCAACTGGCATCATACATAACTTTTTTGTCATTAATGTACATGCAGTGTAAATCAATAATCAATAGGTTGTTTATATATGTTATTTATACATTTTAGTTCCTGTATGTCAAGGACTGTGTTATACACACACATTTCTTACAAATGGGATTAGAATCTACAAAGAAGAGATAAAATTCATCAATAATCACTAAACATAGTGAAATAAATGTGATGTGTTAATAAAAGTAATAAAGTTCAAAAATGAATTTAACAGTAGTATTTTTAGCCCTAATTATAGCTGTGCTTTTGGGGAATAGCAGTATTTATTAATGAATTATGGAAACTAATCTCAGAGTAAAGGATTTCTAGTGATGGGAAGGCAATAATCAAACCAGACATTATGTTTTGCACCCTAAAGGCGAGGCACCCTCTAAAACCTCTGCCACCACAGCAACAGAAAGTATTTGTAGGCATGTTATTTGCAAAAGCTATCAACAGTGTAATATCTCCAAAATTTTATTATTTTTTATGAAATGGAACAGAACACAATGCACTTGGGATATATAAAGAGCAAATCTAGCACAATTGCAAATATAGAAATGGTTTGCAATTAGTATATCGGTCAATTCTGAATAACAAAACTGGCTGAACTTGTGTCTTAGTAAATTTGGGCTGCTATAACAAAACACCATAGATTAGGTAGCTTATAAAAATGCCAGAAATTTATTTCTCACAGTTATGAAACCTTGGAAATCCAAGATCAAGGCATCAGAAAATTGTCTGATGAGGCTTGCCTCATAGCCAGCTGTCTTCTCCCTGTAATCTCACATGAAAGAAGGGATAAGGAGTTTTTCTCTTCTTATGAGAGCACTAATCCAGTCATGAGGGTTCTTCGTTCATGACCCAATCACCTCACAAAGGTGACCCAATCACCTCACAAAGGCCCTATCTCTTAATATCATCACATTGGGGTTTAGGATTTCAACATATTCATTTTGGGGTTAGGGATAAACATTCAGTCCACTGCAACTGGCATGGATATGGAGATAGATAAATGCACAAAGTAGGGTGAACAAGATAAAGAACAAAGAAAAACACATTGAGACTAAGCTTTCAGATATTCTTAGTAAAGGGTTGCATCAATATCCTAGAGAGGAAGAATTATGCACACTGAAATTCTTTTGTAGTATCATATGTTACATGCCATCAATAAGCTATCTATATAAAATAAGCATGGCAAAGTGATGTTATCCGTCAGTAGTTGTTTTTCATTTCTCACATGCTGGTGGAGTTTCTTGCCATCCAGAATAAAGCTTTACTTATATCTAGGTTTAGCCATGTGACTAATTCTGGCCAATGAGGTTTAAATAGAAGTGTCACATGGCAGCTGCCAGGTAAATTTCTTAAGATTAAGTTGGCACCTCTCCATTTGTCCCCTTTTCAGAGTTTTCTTCATCCTGTTCCCTGGAGTACAGATACCACCTTTGTGGACCATAGGGTGAAGGATTATATGTTAGGGATGGCAAGGTGGTGAGCTGGAAAGATCCCAGGTTTTTGGAGGCTTCATAGAGCATAACTACCAAATTATCCTGGGACCATTTCTTGCCTCTGGATTTTGTTTATATGACAGATAAATTTATTGATATTTATTTAGATCACTATTATTTTTCCTTTTCTCTCACTTTCAGGCAAACATAATCCTAATTAATTAAATGTATTCATGAATCTATACACAGATTTATACTTGTATACATAGATCTTTCTATAGTGAATTACTTTTCAACATATGAGTCTGTTCTCTTGCTGCTATAAAGAAATACCTGAGATTGGGTAATTTATAATGAAAAGAGGTTTAATTGGCTCACAGTTCTACAGGCTGTACAAGAAATGTGGCTGGGGAGGCCTCAGGGAGCTTTTGCACATGGCTGAAGGCAAAGCAGGAGGAGTTGTCTTCATGTGACTGGAGCAGGAGGTGGAGAAGTGGGAGAGGTGCTACATACTTTTAAATAACCAGATCTCATGATAACTCACTCGCTCACTATCATGAGAACAGCACCCAGGAAGATGGTATTAAGGTATCAGAAACTGCCCTGATGATCCAATCACCTTCCTCCAGGCCCTATCTCCAACATTGAGGATTAAAATTAAATATGAAATTTGGGTGGGGACACAAATTCAAACGATATCAATACATCTTTTTGTCAAACTTTAAATGTTAGAAGAATGCTGCAAATAATAATTGATAAACATACTTCGGCTAGGCAAATCCAGTCAACATTTGTGGTCAATATTCTTTTTGAGAAAATGGACTAACTATGCAGTGCTACTGGATAAAATCAGAAAGAAATTGGGAGGTGGAAAAAGAGATGCAGGAGAATTGTAAAAAAAAAAAAAAAAAAAAAAAAAGAGGAAAGAAATAATTAGAAAAGAATGAAGAAAAAAATATATATAATCGATAATGAAACAGAAGATTTTATTGACTGGTGGAGGTAGATCCCAGCAAGATGGATGGGGAACCAGAAGGGGGATGGAGTGGGAAGGTGGTCTTGCTCTGGAGTTGGGCCACCCACCAGCCAGACTCTCCTCCGACTGCCCCCCGCCGAATTCCTTTTGGTGTCTGTGTTGTTCCACCATTGCTGGCATGCCCATGTCTGGTGGTGTCTGTTGGTTTGTTCTTCTGCTTTTCTCAACATTCAGCCCCATGTGTCTGGCCCACTAGGGTCTCAAGTTTTTATGGGCAGAGGATGGGGGCATGGCAGGCCAAAAGGCAACTTTTTGGGCATGAAAATAGAAATGGCTGTCCTCATTTAGGTCCTGTGGGCACGGGCTTCAGGGTGGAGCCCTCGTCAGGGACCCTGACCTTCGCTACCTAGCATTTCCCTGCCCCCATCCCATATCAACAACACATAATATATAACAAAATAATTTCAGTGTGCATTATTCCTCTTCTCTAGGATATCAATAAAACCCTTTGCAAAGAATATCTGAAATCTTAGTCCCACGCATTTTCTATTTTTGCTGTATCATGCTTATCCTACTTTGTATATCTTTCTACCTACAGGTACATGCCAGCTGCAGTGAACTGAATGCTCATGTTTCTTCCAAAAGGTATTTGTTGAAATCCCAAACCCCAATGTGATGATATTAGGAGGTAGGGCCTTTGGGATGTGATTGGGTCAAGGGCGAAGAGCCCTAATGACTGGACTAGTGCCCTCCTAAGAAGAGATGAGGAAAATCTCTCATTCTTTCCTTCTTTATTGTGAGATTATAGTGACAAGACAACCACCGTCTCTTGGATTTCCCAGCTTCAACAAGACTTTGTCACACACAAATACAGACACACACACACATACACATGTGCACACACATACATGCAGCATTAAATAATATAACCAGGCATGTTGGCATGCACCTGTAGTCCCAGCTGCTTGGGAGGTTGAGGCAGGAGGATGGCTGGAACCCAGGAGTTTGAGGCCAACCTGGACAACATAGTAAGACCTTGTCTCAAAAAAAAAGAGGAATATACACAGTTTTGATACACAGCTTTCTACATTCAGTATGGCAGACTGTCCCTGGGAATCCTAAACATTCACTGTCTTGATTAACACCCTTCAGACCCCAAGAAAACAGTTCTCCGCATCTGTTGAACTATGCCCTCAAAACACTAAGTAACTGGTCTCAGATTTCATGAATGTTTGTGGGTAGTGCTGTTTCAGAGTACCAAAATAATCTGTGCAGCATGACGTTTAGATCCAAGGGAAGAAGATATTTAACTCTGATAGCATTTAACTCCGATAGCATGAATTCGACAGCTTCTCTCAAAAACATTTCATTTCCTAGTTTTGCTAAGAGTTATTTTCTTGGTTTTTTTTTTTTGTTCCAATGTGAAGTTCTGGAGTTACTCACAAATTAATATGGTATTTGAAATATCACCTGTGGTACCTGGGGAATATTCCTCTCTCCTAAACAATTTAAATTCTCTTAAATTTGTATATGTCTAGACATAACAAGTATCTTGACACTGATTTTTGTAATTGACAACTAGACAAACACTGAAAACTGGAACAGAATTTTATTTTATAAAAATATTTAACAATATTTAATAAAATTGTCTAAATTAAAATTTATATTTATTTGTTGTTTTAAATGCCAATTTATTAACAATGTTTATTATTAACATTTGATTTTTGTCAATTTAAGGTTAATGATTTTTAATATTATAAGAAAAGTAACTTTTTGAAACCATATGTAAAATAGTTTTAACTTTTGAAATTTTACATGTACTTTAATGTATTATTAATTAAAATGTACATTTTTACACAATGAATACAATTTCATTTCTCTTTAATACTTTCAATGTATCACAAGATTTAAACATATTGATTACAACATAAGGAATAAAGATTTACCTTTTTGCTCTAACATCTTCATGTGGTTAGCTATTGGGACTCTTTAGTTCCTGTGTTTTCTTATTTTCCTTAAGTTCTCTTATTATACCATGTGTCACTGTTTATACTGACTAAAGAATTCATTCCTAACCATTCATTTTTACTTGTATTATGTCTCATTTATATAATGATAAAATGTAATGATGAGGAAATATAAAATGGATAAAATCAGAAAGAAATTGGGAGGTGGAAAAAGAGATGCAGGAGAATTGTAAAAAAAGAAAAGAAAAGAAATAATTAGAAAAGAATGAAGAAAAAGAGGGAACTGAAACCAGAAAATTTAAAAATGGCTTGCCAAGACACTCATGAATGAAATAAAGAAGAAACAGAGATGCAAAGAGCCATGCAGGGTGAAGGCCTAGCAAGTAAGACTTGTGCGGTCCCAACTCTGCTCCATAGACACTGTCACATCACTTAACTTTTGGTAGTCTATTTTCAACAGAATGCAAGGTTGGACTCAGTTTTAAAGTTCACTTCTATTTTTAAGGTTTCATATCTGAGAGAAAACAGTCCAGATATAAATTAAAATGACTGTAGTGCCTTATTACGGCTGATTTACTTTCACTAATAATAATTTCAGAAAACTGAGTATCTCAACATAAATATATGAAAAAATAAAAACACATTTATTGTTATGTGATGTACCAAAGTGATTTTTGCTTGTCAGGATCAGTATTTTACACTAGTTAAGCATCTCCCATTTGTGTGTCCCAAATATCCCTCTATGCTTTACAATTGAGGACACATAAGTAACAGTGTCAGGCTATCTAAACTTGAGGTTAAATTTAAGATCAGTAATGCAGTGACAATCATACTTCACTGCCTTTTTCCTCTCCTGTTATTGTAAGACTCAACCCTCAATTCATAGTGGGGATATTACATGTATGCATATTCAAATTCACTAACCTACCAATATAGTGATTGCTGGTTTTGTTCTGTCTTCTAGCTTTGGTCTCCTTGTACGTGTCTCCTATTAAAACCTCTACAGTTAATCCTCCAAACTGAATTAATTTTTTCTGCCATATATATATGTATACATACGTATATATGTATATATGTGTACATATATATATCTGCCATTTATATAAAATATATATAATACACACACACATGTCCTTTTAACCTCTGTATTTCTCCTTTGAACATGATTGCAATTAGAATTAAGGAATTATTTGTGTAATTATGTATTTCAATCTCTTCACACCATTGGATCTCTGTGAGGGCTAGGGGATGAGATAATGTTGCTCTTACGATGTATCCTGGCATCTAACACACAACCAAGATACGTGAATGCTTTGCTAGATTTCCAGGGCTAGAGAAGAATGCTGCTTCTAATAGCACCACTGCGTATGATCCACTTTTCCAACTATTGCTGTGCTTGCTGATGTTTGCATATCACCTGGCGTTTTTCCGCCACCCTAAGAGAAATCTACTGCTGAGGTCTTCAAAGTGCCAAACTGATGCTTTGTTCTCAGGAGTTCTCCAGGTCCTAAGCAGTTAATTCTGCTTTCCTGGCAGAAGTGAACGAAATACCTCTCAACCCCTTTTAAATTACATTTTGCACTCTGAATGTCTTTTAGGAGAAAATAACTCTTTCAGCTCTTATAACACAGTTCCTCCTACAACTCAGATGTGAATTATTTGGAAAAGAGAGGGTGTATATTTATGTGTATATGTGTGCATGCATACATGTATGTGTTCTGCCACTAAGGGTAGCACTAGATGTAAGAACCAACCTGAATGACAGGCAGTGTCTCCTTGTTTGAAATTGCCTCTTCATTTGGATTAGGAAGACTTTGTTTTAGGACAGAGTTTTATGCCTACTTCCTCTTCTCACACATCCTCCCTCTGTAGCCCTCTCATAAGTGTTCCAGAAATCCCCATGTGTCTGAATTTGTTGTGGACATATCTTACCTTTAGGCTTGGGTCACACACTGCCATGTCTGCCACAGGCAGAGGAAAAATACAGCAGAGCATTGCTGTTCTTCTGTGTTGCCTGTCAGTGTGTGGTACACATTCATCATCAATATATATTTTTAATGGCTGTGGCATCCCCTCCGTTCATTAGATATTATTTGAAATTGACTTGAATTCAACATCTCTATTATAATTATAACAATATTTAATTGGATATTTATTCTCAAAGACTTCAATAGCCAAGAATTCGAAAGTATGATAATTACCAATCCTATTCCAACTACACCGTTGCTCAATACCTGTGACCCTTGACAAGCCTCGAAGCTCTTTGTCTTAGGTTGTTCATGTAGTAAATGATAGGGGAAGACCACACACTTTCTCACCTTTTGAGTTCTCATTTCATTCTCAAACACAGGTCTGATATTTCTATAATTATATTTATATTATACAATATACATTGTATTTTAAATGCATAGAAATATAAAGAAGTAAATAAAAGTCACCTATACAGAACTGCTACATTTTGCTATGTGTTGGTGTTATGTGCATATTTTTTCTTTTATAAGAGAAACATATATCTTTATATCTTGCTCTTTTTATTTTATATTTAAGAACATTTTCTCATGTTAGTAAATGTTTATCAAAATAATGAAAAAAGTTGTTCAAGGTCACAATTATTAATGGCTGCATATTAGAATAGATGTGCTGTAATACATTTAATTAATATTATATTGATGGATATTTTTTATTTTTAAATTAAAATCAATAATGCAAGAGAATTCTCTCATACATATTCACACATACATATGTATTACAGATATTTATTGTATAATAATACCAGTAATCCTAGCTAATAAAACAGCTCACATATATAGGGATCTTATGTGCCAGCCTCTATGCAAAGGATTTTGCATGTATTACTTTATTTAATCCATACCATAATTCTTTGAGGTAGGTCTCAAAGTATTCCCACTTTGTAAATGAAAAAAAAGGAAGCACATGGATTTTAAGGAATTTTTACAAAATCACAGAATTAGTAAGCTTTGAGATGTAAGTCCAGGAGGTTACATACCAGGCACTAGGTTCTTTAAAACTATATCCTATAATGTTTTCATAAATATTTATATGCTAATTTCCTTAGAATAGATTATTAAAAGTCAAATTTCTGAGTCAAAATTTATTTAAAAAACTCATGGTCTGTATACTACTATATTTGGGATATGCCCTAGGAAGCAAGTCTAGACTATGTAGATACCAGGTTTAAATGTTAGTTCCATAGGAAACTGAATAGCATTGTCAGACTTCAAACAGGAGTTTTATTAAAAGGTTCAGAGGTGAATAATAAAATAGTCAGAAATATGGAAAATGAAAGAGAAAACAAAAAAATAAAAGACACAAAATAAGAAATTTCAAGTTAAAAACATGTGAAAAAAATTTAAAGATTAACTTTCTAATTTTCTTCTTCCCTTACTCACCAGCATGTTTCTGTCAAAAGGGTGTAAGTCCTCAATTCCAGAACCCTTTTCTTACTTATTTGAAACCAAGGAGAAAATAGAAAGATCAATAGAAATGAAAGAGAATCAAAGTTTAAAAATCAAAATTAGGAAATGCCCAATAAACAGACAAAAGACACCTAAGTATATAATCATTGTCATTTTGAATAAAGATTTTATCTTTCTTTCTTTTAAAAATAATCATGTGTCCCCTTGAGCGATGTTTATCTATTCATAGTAAAACACAAAAATAAGATTTTTAAAGTGAAGTCATCCTCATAAAAGTGAGCATATATTTCAGAAGTGTCCCCACTATCTAAGAGAGAAAATGGATAAAACTCTCAATTTAAAATTTGTCTGTTGTAATTATAGGATGGTAGTTAAATCTAGATTATTCTTCACAAACAAGGTCCTGCACTAACTCATTCCACACCTTGGGTGGTGAACTCCTTCATGGCAACCCTGAATAGTAGAAAAGTTTGTATTATTCGTAGTTGGGAAGGAATCAAGATGGCAGACTACATTGAGGTCCTATGTGCTCCTCCACGGAGAAGACCCAGAATAGTAAGTGGATACACTGAGAACAGATTGTCTAGAACAGAATGCTTTGATTCATCAGAGAAGAGATGGGGAGCACCAGAAGTAAGGAGAAAGTTTGCAGTAGCTTGCCCAGCTGGGAACCAACTGAAAGCTGGGAGAGGCTACGAGACACTGGAAAATAGTAAGAGAGAAATCCTCAGAAATCTGAAATGGGCTTTAATGATCTTGGGTATGGGAGAAATACTCAACCCGCTAGGGCCTGATGCCTGAAATACAGAGATGCCTATAGACTTCACAAGACGTTGCTCCAGAAAGGAAACGCACACAGAATCCCATAGGCATATAAAGCCTAGTGCAGCCTCAGATGCAAGCCATTTTGAGAGCCCCAATAACCGAGGATTTACAGACACAGCTGCAGTTGCTGTTCTGTTCCAAAGAGGGAGAGGGGAAACTGGTGGTGTTCACATACCCCTGGGAAGATACTTTGCTGTGAGCTGCCTTTGAGACTGAGATACAAGTGAACTGCATTCCACACAGCTTCTTGTTCACACTGCTTGCCTAGGTGATGCCCATTCTCTCTGGTCCCAGGCCCAAGGTACCATTTCAAGAGTTTTATGCCAAGCTGTTTCACACCCTAACCCTGAGTTTGGGCTTATGGCTGCAGCTACTGCCCAGCCAAGAGGGAAGTGAGGCTGTCTTACAACAACCTATGACAATACCCAGTGCCCTTCTACAGGCTGCTGTGAGACCAAGAATCAAGCAGACCATACTCCTCACAGCTTCTTGCCTCTGCTGCCCACCTGACACAGGCCCAAACCACTCCAGTCACATTTCCATAGATGGCATCATTTTGAGAGCTTATAGACATTTTTTGGTGATCTAGTAGCAGCAGTCACAGTAGGCATTTTAGTCTTGAAACAGATATTGGGTCTGTTGCTCTGTAGTGGGGAAGGGCTGTAACAGCCAGAATCGAGTGGAAAGTGTAGAGATTGCCCCAGCAGTAGGTATTGGAATTATATGCCCCCCATCATTGCAGGACTGGAGGAGGAGAGTAGCTGAAGCCAAATTTCTCCTGGGTAGTGAGACTTACAGCCAGAGACAGCTTTGTGACCTGAAACCCGGTCTGCATGTATCATTTCTGGGTGCTCTAGTCTGTTCCCTTGGTGAGTTAGGGAACAGTGTCCCACCAGCTCTGAGGAGCAAGAGAAAGGTGGAACCCACTCCTCTAATCTAACTCTTGGTTTGGTTTGCCCCTAAGGGAGGGTGAAGTGCAGCCCACTAAAGCTCCTGTTAGCACAATAAAAATGCAAGCATGGCACCAGCCACTGACAGCAGCTCCACCGAAGCCCAGGAATGGATGTAGAGACAAGGTTATCTCTTACCCCTTGCCATGTGTCCTCAATGCACTGTTGTGGACTTAGCAGCAGCTACTCCCTTAAGGGCCCAGGGAGCATGGGCAGAAAGAGACTGCTTCTTGGGCTTCTCCAGCAGCTCCACCCCCAACGAAGGCAAACACACACTGGAGAAGGGTGCTTTTCATACTTCTTCATTGCCACTTCCCATGCCCCTACCTGCTGGCTCCTACTCTTAAGCAACACCAACTAGAGTACAGCCTGAATTATACCACCAAGAAAAATTACATTGCTACAAAAGCAATGCCTGAGAAAGCCATTTCACAAACCTGCCTTCAACCAAGAAACCTGTACAGAGACGTGGCAACCTGAAAGCACCCAGAAACGAAGCTAATCAAACAATACGTACCATAGTCATACCCCCAAGGGAATAAAATCAAGAAGCCCCATCCAAATCAGAGTAAATTTTTTAAAAAACTGTCAGCCCTAGCAGACTCTCAAATGAGAAGAAACCAATGCAAGAACTCCAGCAATAGAAAAAGTCAGAGTGTTTTGTCACCTCCGGAGGATCCCACTAACTTCCAAACAATAGATCCTGACCAGAATGAAATGTCTGATATGATAGCTATAGAATTGAGAATATGGATGGCAAAGAAATTCACTGAGATCCAAGATAAAGTTGAAATCCAGCACTAAGAACACACACACAAAAAATGATCTAAAATATGAAAGAAAACATAGCCATATTAAGAAACAACCAAACAGAGTTTCTGGAATTGAGCAATTCACTACAGAAATTTAAAAAGACAGTTGAAAGTCTTCACAACAGACTAGACCAGAGGTCTCCAATCTTTTGTCTTCCCTGGGCCACACTGGAAGAAGATGAATTGTCTTGGACCACACATAAAGTACACTAACACCAAGGATAACTGATGAACTAAAAAAAAAAATTACAAAAAACTCATAATGTGTTAAGAAAGTTTATGAATTTGTGGTGGGCTGCATTATAAGCTGTCCTGGGTTGCATGTGGCCCACAGGCCATGGGTTGGACAAGCTTGAACTAGACCAAGAAGAAGAAAGTATTTCAGAGCTCGAAGACCAGTTCCTTGAATCAATCCAGTCAGACAAATGATCAATGAAACAAAAATTTGGTTTTCTGGAAGGATAAACAAGTTTCATAGACAACTAGCTACATTAACGAAGAAAAAAAGAAAGAAGATACAAATGGCACAATCAGAAATAATAAAGTTGACATTATAATTGATCCCACAGAAATACAAAAGGTACTCAGAGACTACTATACAAACATCTCTATGCCCATGAATTAGAAAATCTAGAAGGAACTGATAAATTCCTGAAAACACACAATCTCCCAATATTGAACCAGGAAGAGACAAAACTCCTAAGAAGACCAGTAATGAGTTCTGAAATTGAATCAGGAATAAAAAATAACCTACCAACAACAACAACAAAAGAGCCTCAGACAGACCAGATGGATTCACAGCCAAATTCTACCAGACATACAAATAAGAGCTGGTACCAATTCTACTAAAATTTTCCAAAAAATTGAGGAAGAGGAGCTTCTCCATAACTCATTCCATGAAATCAGAATTATCCTGATACCAAAATCTTGCAAAGACACAACAACAAAAAAAAATTACAGGCCAATATCCCTGATAAACATAGGCATAAATATCCTCAACAAAATACTAGCAAACCAAATCCAGCAGTTTATCAAAAGTTAATTACAACAATCAAATAGATTTTATTCCTCAGATGTGAGGATGGTTCAACATATGCAAATTAATAAATGTAATTCACCACATAAAAATAATTAAAAACAAAAACCATATGAGCCTCTCAATAGACGCAGAGAAAGCATAAAACCCTCAACAAACTAGGCATCAAAGGAACATAACTCAAAATAATAAGAGCCATCTATGACAAACCCACAGCCAACATCATTCTGAATGGGCAAAAACTAGAAACAATCTCCCTAGACTGAAACAAGACAAGGATGTCTACTTTCACTACTCCTATTCAACCTAGTACTGGAAATCCTAGCCAGAGTAATCAGGCAAGAGATAAAAATAAAAAGCATCAAAATAGGGAAAGAGGAAGTCAAATGATTGTCATTGTGGATGATAAGATTCTATACCTAGAAAATGCTAAAGATTCCACCAAAAGACTCCTGGAACTGATAAACAACTTTGGCAAAATTTCAGGATACAAAACAACATAAATAAATAGCATTTCTAAATACCAATAACATTTAAGCTGAGAACAAAATCAGGAATGCAATCCCGTTTAAATAGCCACACATAAATAATTAAATACCTAAGAATAAATCTAATTAAGGAGGTGAAAAATCTTTACAAGGAAAACTATAAAACACTGCTAAAAGAAATCATATTTGACACAAGCAAATGAAAAAGCATTCCATGCTTATGGATTAGATGAATCAATATCTTTAAAATGTCCATATGGCCCAAAGTAATCTACAGATTCAATGCTATTTCTATCAACTAACATCATTTTTCATGGAATTAGAAAAAGCTATTTTAAAATTCATATGGAACCCAAAAATATCTCGAATAGCCAAAGGCAATCCTAAGTAAAAATAATAATGCCAGGGATATCATATTATAGGAATTCAAACTATACTACAAGGCTACAATAGCCAAAACACCATGACAATGGTATAAAAATAGACACATAGACTTAATGGAAACAAATGAAGACTCCAGAAATAAAGATGCACATGGACAACTGACTGATCTTTAACAAAGTTGACAAAAAAAAAAAAAAAGAAAACAATGGGGAAATGAGACACTCTTCAATAAATAGTGCTCAGAAAACTGGATAGCTGCATGCAGAAGAATAAAAACTGGACTTCTTCCTTTCACATTATACAAATATTACATCAAGATGGATTAAAGACTTAAATATAAGACCTCAAAATATAAAAACCCTACAAGGAAAACTAGGAAATGCCCTTCTAGATATTGCCCTAGGCAAAAAATTTATGACCAAGTTATCAAAGGCAATTGTACCAAAAACAAAAGTTGACAATTGGGACCTAATTAAATTAAAGAGTTTATGCACAGCCAAAGAAACTATCAACAGAGTTAACAGACAACCTACAGAACGGGAAAAAATATTAGCAAACTATGCATCCAACAAAGGTCTAATATCCAGCATTTATAAGGAACTTAAATCAACGAGAAAAAGACAAGCCCATTTAAAAGAGGGTAAAGGACCTGAACAGACACTTTTCAGAAGACATACAAGGGGCCAACAAACATGAAAAAATGCTGAACATCACTAATCCTCAGAGAAAGGCAAATTGAAACCACAGTGAGTTACCATCTCACACATGTCAGATGGTTATTATTAAAAAGTCAAAAGCAACAGTTATCAGTGAGGCTGCAGAGAAAAGGGAATGCTTATACACTGTTGGTGGAAATGCAAATTAGTTCAGCCCCTTTGGAACCAGGCTAAAGATTTCTCAAAGATCTAAAAATAGAAATATCATTTGACTCAATAATCCAATTACTGGGTATATATCCAAAGGTATATATCCAAAAGAAAATAAATCATTCTACTAAAAAGACACATGCACTTGTATGTTCATTGCAACACTATTTACAATAGCAAAAACATGGAATCAACTGAGGTCTCTGTCAACAGCGGACTGGATAAAGAAAATGTAGTACATATATACAATAAATTACTACACAGCCATAGAAAATCATAAAATTACGTTCTTTGCAGAAATATGAATGCAGCTGGAGGCTATTTTATTTTAAGCAAATTAATGCAGAAACAAAACTATATACCAAATATTCTCACTGTAAATGGGATATCTCCCACTGTAAATGGGAGCTAAATATTGGGTAATCATGAACATAAAAATTGGAACAATAAACAATGGAGATTCTATTAAAAAAAAAAGAGGGAGTGAGAGGGCATGGGTTGAAAAAGCACCATTGGGTATTATGTTCATTACTTGGATGATGGGATAATTAGAAGCCCAAACCTCAGCATCATGCAATATACTCATATGACAAATCTGCACATGGGCCTTCTGAATCTTAAATTTAAAAATTATTATGACTTTTAGTAGAAGTAAAGCCCAATATCTTATTAAGTGTTTAAAATGTTAGCAATTCAATACAAACTATTAAGGCAGTGTAATATTATAGATTAATTTTATTTTCTTAGCAGTGGATTGTCATTTTTGTATCTTGAAGTGCCACATGGGTAGGAAAATTAGGCTTTGAAATTATGAGCTTGAGGAATAGGGAAGCCAACAGTGTAGCCTTTAGTCTGTGGCCAAAGGCCTGAGAGCCCCTGGCAAACCACTGGTGTAAGTCTAAGAATCCAAAAGCTGAAGAACTTGTAGTCATATATTCAAGGGCAGGAAGCAGCCAGCATGGGAGAAAGATGGAAGCCAGAAGACTCAGCCAGTCTAGTCCTTCCAGGTTCCTCTGCCTACTTTTATTCTAGCCATGCTGGCAGCTGATTAAATTGTGCTCACCCAGATTGAGGGTGGGTCTGCCTCTCCCAGTCCACTGACTCAAATGTTAATCTCCTTTGGCAACACCCTCACAGACACACCTGGGAACCGTACTTTGCATCCTTCAATCCAATCAAATTGACACTCAATATTAACCATCACAGGGGCCATTGTGTGGTTGTCACTGGGTTTTTGTTCACAAAGTTGAGTGGGAGAGCAGAATCAGTAAGCAATTTTGAAAAGCTTTGGTTATGGGTGAGACAGAATAAAAACTGAGCTGTCTAACCAGAGAGAGGCATTTTCTGGGAAATGACAGAGATATTTAAAAAGAAATTTTATAGTTTCTACTGTGGGATACGTAATGAGAATCTTTTTCCTCATATCCTTATGGAATCTCTAGGAAAAATAACTGTCTGTTTTTAACACATTCAATTCCATCTGGTTTTGAAGCTGCTTTGAAGAGCAAAGCATACCTTCGAAGGGTGGAGTAGAGAAAGAAAAGAAGCTGCCTACCAGTCACATACTGGTTATGTAAGTCTTATAGAATCTAGTTAACGTCCTTGTTATTGAAGACCAGGTTTTTCATTTCAGACATAATAGAAACTTGAAACATTATTACTTTGCAGAGTCTGCCTGGCTAGATTTGCAATAATAGGAACTAATTAGAGGTACCTTTACAAAAATAACTTTCGTGTTTATCTATTACTAATAATTTTCATTTCTTGAATTCATTTAGGCTTTTCACAACTCAGGTTCTCTATGATATATTCTTTCAGAAAACCCATAATTTCATGTATTTTAGCTATATTTAGAATGTTAAAATAGTTAAATTTCATGAAAAATGTCTAATATATCTTAAGTTCAATTATAGAAGTTTCAGTCCATATTTTGTTCTACTTGAGAAATACTTAAACTTTTATTTTCACCAGTCTAGACAATCAGATATTTTATGATTCTCTAAACATAAAGATGCAATTTTTATAGTAATATACACACTCTCAGCTCTATAGTCATATATCTTAATGTATTTTATTTCTTTCAGTAATGGAAATCTCATATCTGTGCCTCCCTCAACATAATTTTATTTAAAAATTATTTAATGAGTTAATATTTATGCAAGAGCCTTCCAATGTTTTCTTTTAAACTTTGAATGAATATTTTCAATATTTTCTCTTAATCTTGATTCATACTTTATCTTAAACTTTATTGATAGTGTCAATCATCATAACAAAACAGTGAGCATGGCATATCAACTAAAATGTTTACATAAGTGCAAAAATGTCAATTTACTTAAAATTTCATTATTCAAGTTCTTCAAGGAACAGAAAGTGATTTCAAATGTTGCTGAGGTATTAAGGTAGATGAAGGCTGGGAACTGAGGCTTAGCTGGGAACACTGGTAACATTGCTAACACTGATAAAAGGAGCTTCACTGAAGTGGTGAGGAGAAAGCCTGATCAGATGTAGTATAAAAGTGAGCTGGATGAAGAGTTAGACAGTAGAGGCAACACTGTGAGTTTTACAATAAAAAATGTAGAGATAGAAGATGGTAATTGGAGGAGGTCTGTGAAATCAAGAGGAAGTATTTATGAAGATGAATGACATTAAAGCATGCTAATTTCATGAGGGGCAAGACAGACAACATTCCCCTGGAAGACTGGTTGTTCCAGTTACTTCCATTGTATTATTTGTATTATTCCTTCCATTGATATTATTTGAGTATCACCCCAGCTACTGTGAATAATCTAACAGAGAGGGAAAGTTTAGTACTAAAGGAGATCAAGGAGTTAATTGCAGCATCACAGTTCCAGAATATGTGAGAAGCTAGTACAGAAATTGAAGGATTGGCCTTTTGTAACAGAATGATCAGGTCAGCACTTCATTAGCAGAGAAAACAGTGTGAAGGGCACAAGCAGAGGGAGATTAGAAGTTTGGTTGATGGAAGGGTTTTTTTATGTTTGCTCTTTTTCTTGAAGCAGATAAATAAGATAAACAAGGTCATCAGCTGAGTGTGATACAGGTGATAGGTATTGCAGGTTTGTGGAGGGAATAGAAAGCTGAAAAATAAGAAATGTTCTTGGGAAGCAGCCTGTTTTCTGTTACAGCAGGAAGAAACAAACTTTCAAAGAAATAGATGGGTATGTGCATGCAGGATTTTATGACAGACTGTGAGGTTTTTTTAAAAAAAAGAGCAGTGGGAGGCTTTAGGACAGTAGTTTTCAACACTGGCTATACATTAAAATCAACTGGAATTAAAAATTTACCTGTGCTTGGGCCATGCCCAAGATTAATAAAATCAAAACCTTTGAGGTTGGATTCAAACGTCAGATTTTTCTAAAAGCTCTTCACAGAGTCCTCATATGAAACCACTTTTGGGACCTGGCTGAGGGGATGAGGCAGCATGAAAGCTTGAGATTACAATAAGGCAGAGGATG
This sequence comes from Homo sapiens, assembly GCF_000001405.40. Lineage (NCBI taxonomy): Eukaryota > Metazoa > Chordata > Mammalia > Primates > Hominidae > Homo > Homo sapiens. The sequence goes on from NC_000006.12 coordinate 78,182,469, forward strand.
AATAGGGATGACCTGTGGCTAGACTCTTGATGTGAAGAAAGGTTACGCTGATCTAAGTAATGTAGTAATGCAATATTCTTAATGAGCTCTTCATTAAAACTGTATGTATATCTAGTTTTTAAAGCAAAATTATCATAGATATTCATGTACCCTTCCTTTAGACATTTTCATTTTGTAAATAAAGGAAAATACAGGGAAAACCCAACAGTTACGTGATCTCTGATAAAGATGTTTCTTGCAAAATCTGTTATCTCACTGGTAGGTACTTGATAAAGTAATCTGTATACTTTATTAACTTTATTTTCTGAAAAACCAAGAATAAATTTTTATTACATTAAGTTAAAGAAAATGTATATGATTGATTAAAATTAATTCTCATTTTTCAATGTAACTAAAATTTATATACAAAGAAGACTTGGCTTGCAAATAAAACATCCTATAACACTATTTACTTTAAAATTAGATCTATCCCAAAATTCTTCCTGGAATTGGATCCTCATCAACTTCAGTTGACTCCTAAAAGCTGTGAATTGGGACAGGAGCAGTGATTCAGAAGTCTCCCAAAACAGACAGCCAACAGGGGAGACAATCAAAAGGCTGTGGATTTAGCACTTAGGATTTCCCCAGCATCTGTCTGAATTTCTAAGAGTTATGCCACCTTTTCTTTCGTTGTTGTTGTTGTTAGAATTTTGCTTCGCATTTTTCTTTTCTGTTTAATTTCTGTTGGTACATAGTATGTATACGTATTTCTGGGTTACATAACATATTTTGTTACTAAAATACAATAAATAATAATCACATCAGGGTAAATGAGGCATCAATAAATAATAATCACATCAGGGTAAATGAGGCATCCAACATCTCAAGTATTTATCTTTCCTTTATGTTACAAATAATCCAGTTCAACTCTTTAAGTTATTGTTTAATGTACAATACATTATTGTTGACTACTCATCCTGTTGTGTTGTCAAATACTAAATCTTATTCATTCTATCAAACTATATTTTTGTACCCATTTACCATCCCCTTTTCCCCTTGACTACTACCTTTCCCGGTCTCTGGAAACCATTATTTTACTCTCTATCTCCATGAGTTCAATGGTTTTAAATTTTTTAGGTCCCACAAATAAATGAGAGCATGCAAAACGTGTGTTTTTGTGTCTGACTTATTTCACTTAACACAATAATATCCAGTTCTATCCATGTTATTAAAAATGACAGGATCTCATTTTTTATGGCTGTAGTACTCCATCATGTATATATACCACATTTTTAATGCATTTGTCTGTTGATGGACACTTAGGGTGCTTCTTGGTTATTGTCAATACTGCTGCAATATGCAGGTATCTCTTCCATATACTGGTTTCTATTCTTTTGATTACATACCTAGGAGTGACATTCCTGGATCATATGGTAGCTCTCCTTTGGCTTTTCTGAGGAACCTCTAAACTGTTTTCCACAGTGGTTGTAATCATTTGCATTCCCATCAATAGTATACAAGTGTTCCCTTTCTCCACACCCTCATCAGAGTCTGTTATATCCTGACTTTTGTATAAAAGTCATTTTAACTGGGTTGAGATAATGTCTCATTATAGCTTTGATTTGCATTTCTCTGATGATCAATGATGTGAACATTTTTATATACCCAACTGCCATTTATAGGTCTTCTTTTGAGAAATATCTGTTGTGAACTTTTGCCCATTTCTAATCAGATTATTGTTTTTTCCTTTAGAGTTGTTTTTGCTCCTTATATATTCTTGTTATTAATACCTTTCAGATGGATAGTTTGCAAATATTTTCTTCAACCATTTCATAGTTGGTTTTTTCATTTTCTTATTTTCTTGGCTGTGCAGAAGCTTTCTAACTTGATGGGATCCCATTTGTCCATTTTTGCGTTGGTTGCTTGTACTGGTGGAGTATTACTCAAGAAATCTTTGCCCAGTCTATGTCCTGGAAAGTTTCCCCAAAGTTTTCTTTTAGTAGTATCATAGTTTGAGGTCTTATATTAAGTCTTTAATCCGTTTTGATTTGATTATTATATTCAGTGAGAGATAGGAGTCTAATTTAATTCTTCTGCACATGAATATCTAGTTTTCTCAGCACCATTTATTGAAGAGACTATTCTTTTCCCAATGTATGTTCATGGCAGCTTTGTTGAAAATGAGTTCACTGTAGATGGATAGATTTACTTCTGGGTTCTCTGTTCTGGTCCATTGGTCTATGCATATGATTTCATGCCAATTCCATGCGTTTTGGTTACTATAGCTGTGTAGTATAATTTGAAGTTAGGTAATGTGATTCCTCCAGTTTTGTTGTTTTTGCTCAGGATGGCTTTCACTATTCTGGGTCGTTTGTGGTTTCATATAAATTTTGCAATATTTTTTCTATTTCTATCAAGAATGTCATTGATATTTTCATAGGGATTCCACTGGATCTGTAGATTCCTTTGGGTAGAATGAACATGTTAACAAAATTGATTCTTTCAATTCATGAACATAGAATATCTTTTCATTTTTTGTGTCCTTTTCAATTTCTTGCATCAATGTCTTAGAGTTTTATTGTAAATATGTTTCACTTTTTGATTAAGTTGATTCCTTGGTATTTTGTTTCATTTCTAGCTACTATGGATGAGATTGCTTCCTTGTTTTTTTTTTTTTTTTTTGAGACGGAGTCTTGCTCTGTCGCCAGGCTGGAGTGCAGTGGCACGATCTTGGCTCACTGCAACCTCCGACTCCCTGGTTCAAGCTCTTGGTCTCTTTTTTCAGATTGTTTGCTGTTGGCATATAAAAATGCCATTACTTTTTGTATGTTAATTTTGTATCCTGCAATTTTACTGAATTTGTTGATCAGTTCGAATAGTTTCTTGGAAGAATCTTTAGGTTTTTCCAGATATAAGATCATGTCATCTGCCAATAAGGATAATTTGACTTCTTCCTATCCAGTTTGGATGCACTTTATATCTTTATCTTGACTAACTTCCCTAGCTAGGACTTCCCATGCTATGTTAAATAACAGTGGTGAAAGTGGGCATCCTTATCATGTTCCAGATATTAAAGGAAAGGCTTTCAGTTTTACCCTATTTAGTATGATGCTAGTGTGGGTCTCTCATATAGCTTTTATTGTGTTAAGATATGTGCCTTATACATCCAGTTTTGGTTTTTTTTTTTTTATTATGAAGGGATGCTGAATTTTCTCAAATGCTTTCTCAGCATCAATTGATCATATAGTTTTTTTTAATCATTCTGTTGTTATGATAAGTCACATTGAGGTGGGTATGTTAAATCATCCTTGCATCTCTGGGATAAATCTCATTTGGTCAGGATGAATGATCTTTTTAATGTGTTGTTTAATTCAGTTTTCTTGTAAATTTTCTGAGGATTTTTACATCAATATTCTTCAGAGTTATTGGCCTGTAGGGTTTTTTTTTCTTTTTGATGTGTCTGTTTGTTTGTTTGTTTTTAAATCAGGGTAACACTACCCTCATAGAATTTTAGAAGTATTCCATCCTCTTCTATTTTTCAAAATAGTTTGAGTATGTTGGGTACTAGCTTTTCTTTAAATGTTTGCTAAATTTCAGCAGTGAAGCCATCAGACACTGGGATTTTCTTTGTTGGGAGACTGTTTATTACAGCTCCAATCTCATTATTTGTTATTGGTCTTTTCATATTTTGAATTTCTTTATGGTTTAATCTTGGTAGTTTGCAGGTGTCTAGGAATTTATCCATTTATTCCATGTTTTTCAATTTATTTGCATATACATACTCATACTAGCTGCTAATGATCTTTCACATTTTGCAGTATTGGTTGTAATGTATACTTCTTCATCTATTATTTTATTTATTTGGATCTTCTCTCTTTTTTGTCCTAGTCTGGATAGCTAAAGATCTGTCAATTTTCTTTATCTTTGCAAAAAAAAAAAAAAAAAAAAACACGCAAATTTTTATTTGGTTGATCCTTTGCATTTCGTTTTGCAAGAAAACGAGTTTTTGTTTTGTTAATCTTTCGTGTTTTTTAAATTCGAATTTTATTTATTTCTGCTCTGATCACTTTTCTTCTTTTCTTTTCCTTTACTTTTTCAATCTTTATTTTAAATTCAGAGGTGCATGTGCAGATTTCTTCCATAGGATTATTTTGTGATGTTGAGGATTGAGGTATAAATGATCTTGTCACCCAGGTATAGATCATAGTACCCAACAATTTTTTAACCCTTGCCTCCCTCCCTGCCTCCCCATACTAGTAGTTTCCAGGGTCTCCTGCTGTCATCTCTAGGTCCATGTGTACCCAATGTTTGGATAAAATGTTTTGTAAATATCTTTTAGGTCCATTTATTCTATAGTTCAGATTAAGTCTGATATTTCTCTGTTGATTTTCTGTCTGGGAGATATGTCCAATGCTGAAAGTGGAGTGTTGAAGTCTCCAACCATTATTGTGTTGTGATATATCTCACTCTTTAGCTTTAATAATATTTGCTTTATATATCCTGATGTTCCAGTCTTGGGTGCATATGTATTTATAAATGTTATGTCCTCTTGCTGAATTAACTCATTTATCATTATATAATTACTTTCTTTGTCTCTTTATAGTTTTGGTCTTGAAATCTATTTCTTCTGATATAAATATAGCTAGCTGTGTTCTTTTTCAGTTTCCATACGAATGGAATATCATTTTCTATCCCTTCATTTTAGTCTATTTATGTCTTTATAGATGAAGTGTATTTCTTGTAGGCAACAGGTGATTGAGTCTTATTTTTTTAATCCATTCAGTCAATCTATGTCTTTTTATTGGAGAGATTAATCTTTTTCATGGATTAATTCAGTGTTATTATTGATAAGTAAGGACTTACTTATTATTATTGATACATTCAGTGTTACTATTGATAAGTAAGGACTTACTCCTACTATTTTTTAAATTTGTTTTCTCATTGTTTTGTGATTTTTCTCTACTGTCTTTCCTTCCTTCCTGTCTTTCTTTTAGTGAAGGCATTTTCCAAGGTGGTATGTTTTAATTTCTTGCTTTTTATTTTTTGCGTATATGCTGAATATTTTTTATTTGGGGTTACCATGAGGCTTGCCAATAATACCTTATAACTCATTATTTTAAACTGACGACAACTTCACACTGCATAAACGAACTCACAAATAAGCAAAGAAATAACTATGTAACTCTGCACTTTAACTTCATCCCCTCTGATTTCTAACTTGTTATTATATCGATTTCTATTTTATTATTTCATCTATTTCTTAAAGATTTGTTTTAGTTATTATTTTTGATAGGTCCATCTATTAGCCTCTCTACTCAAGTTATAGGTTGTTTACACATTACAATTACAGTGTTATAATATTCTGTTTTGCTTCATATTTACTATTATGAGTGTTTAGCATTTCTCGTAGGACAGGGCCAGTGTTGCCAAAATCTGTTATCTTTTTTGTCTAGGAAAGTCTGTATTTCTCCTTCATGTTTGAAGGATTTTTTTGGATGAATATACTAATCTAGGCATATTAATCTGTTCTTGCACTACTATAAAAAAAATACCAGGCCAGGCGCGGTGGCTCATGCCTGTAATCCCAGCATTTTGGGATGCCGAGGCAGGCAGATCACAAAGTAAGGAGTTCAAGACCAGCCTGACCAACATGGTGAAACCTCATCTCTACTAAAAATACAAAAATTAGCTAGGTGTGGTGGTGCATGCTGGTAATCCCAGCTACTCAGGAGGCTGAGGAAGGAGAATCGCTTGAACCCAGGAGGCAGAGGTTGCAGTGAGCCAAGATCGCACCACTGCACTCCAGCCTGGGTGACAGAGTAAGACTCTGCCAAAACAGAAAAAAACAAACAACAAACAAACAAACAAACAAAAAAACTGAGACTGGGTAAATTATAATAGGCTGTACAGGTAGCATGATTCTGGCATCTTCCCAGCTTCTGGGGAAGCCTCAGGAAATCTACAATCACAGCAGAAGGTAAAGGGGAAGCAGGTATGTCTTACATGGCAGGAGCAAAAGGAAGAGGGGAAGGTGCTACACACTTTTTAAACAAACAGATCTTGTAAGAACTCACTTACTATGATGAGAGCAGCACCACTGTGGAAACCTGCCCCCATGATCCAATCACCTCCCACCAGGCCACACCTCCAACATTATGGATTAGAATTTGACATGAAATTTGGGTGGCAAGGCAGATTGTATTACTTCGTTCTCATGCTGCTAATAAAGACATCACTGAGACTGGGTAATTTATAAAGAAAAAGAACTTTAATGGACTCACAGCTCCACATGGCTGGGAAGGCCTCATAATAATGGCAGGAGGCAAAGGAGGAACAAAGCCACAGCTTACATGGAAGCAGGTAAGAGAGCATGTGCAGGGTAACTGCCCTTTATAAAACCATGAGATCTCATGAGACTAATTCACTGTCACAAGAACAACATTAAAAAAGAAAACCCTGCCCCCATGATTCAATTACCTCGCATCAGGTCCCTCTCATAACATGTGGAGATTATGGGAACTACAATTCAAGACGAGATTTGGGTGAGGACACAGCCAAACCATATCATTTCACCCTTGGCCTCTCTGAAATCTCATGCCCTCATATTTCAAAACCAATTGTCCCTTTCCAACAGTCCCCCAGTCTTAACTCATTTCAGCACTAACTCAGAAGTCCATAGTCCAAACTCTTATCTGAGACAAGGCAAGTCTCTTCTGTCTATGAGCCTGTAAAACTGAAAGCAAGTTAGTTACTTCCCAGATACAATGTGGGTACAGGCATTGGGTAAATATACTCATTCCAAATGGGAGAAACTGGCCAAAATGAAAGAGCTACAGTCCCCCTTCCAATCCAAATCCACAGGGGCAGTCAAACCTTAAGGCTCTAAAATGATCTTTGACTCCCTGTCTCATATCCAGGTCAAGCTGATGCAAGAGATGGGCTCCCATGGCCTTGGACAGTTCCACCCCTGTGGCTTTGCAAGGTACAGCCCCCACCTTCCAGCTGCCTTCACAGGCTAAAGTTGAGTGTTTGTGGCTTTTCCAGGCACACAGTGCAAGCTGTCGGTGAACCTACCATTCTGGGGTCTGGAGGATGTGACCCTCTTCTCACATCTCCACTAGGCAGTGCCACAGTGGGGACTTTGTGTGGGGGCTCCAAACCCACATTTCCCTTCCATACTCTGTCCTAGCAGAGGTTCACCATAGGGGCTCCACCCCTGCAGCAGATTTATGCCTGGACATACAGGCATTTCTGTACATCTTCTGAAATCTGGATGGTGGTTCCTAAACTTCAATTCCCGACTTCGGTACACATGAAGGCCCCAAACCAACTGGAAGCTGCCAAGTCTTGGGGCTTGCACCCTCTGAAGCAATGGACTGAGCTCCAGGTTGCTCCCCTCTCACCATGGCTGGGATGCAGGGTGCCAAATCCTGAGACTGCACAAAGCAGCAAGGCCTTGGGACCAGCTCATGAAACCATTTTTGCCACCTAGGCCTCTGGGCCTGCAATGGGAGGAGCTGCCTTAAATACCTCTGACATGCCCCGGAGACATTTTTCCCATTGTCTTGACAATTAATATTTGGCTCCTGGTTACTTATGCAAATTTCTGCAGGCCACTTGAAATTCTTCTCAGGAAATGGGTTTTTCTTTTCTTTTGCATCATCAGGCTACAAATTTTCCAAACTTTTATTCTCTGCTTCCCTTTTAAACATAAGTTGAATTCCAAACCATATATTTGTGAATACATAAAAGTGAATGCTTTAACAGCATGCAAGTCACATCTTGAATGCTTTGCTGCTTAGAAATTTCTTCCACCAGATGCCCTAAATAATCTCTCTGCACAAATCCCTATGTTGCCAGTCTCTTTGCTAAAACATGGCAAGTGTCACCTTAGCTCCAGTTCTGAACAAGTTCCTTATCTCCATCTGAGACTACCTCAGCCTGGACTATATTGTCCATATCACTATCAGCATTTTGGTCAAAGCCATTCAACAAGCCTCTAGGAAGTTCCAAACTTTCCCCCATCTTCCTCTCTCCTGAGGCCTCCAAACTGCTCCAACCTCTGCCTGTTATCCAGTTCCAAAGTTGCTCCCACATTTTCAGGTATCTTTATGGCAGCACCTTACTCTACCGGTAGCAATTTACTGTATTAGTCTGTTCTCATGTTGCTGATAAAGACATACCTGAGACTGGGTAATTTATAAAGGGAAGAGTTTTAATTGACTCACAGTTCAACATGGCTGGGGAGCCCTCACAATCATGGTTGAAGGTGAATGAGGAGCAAAGTCATGTCTTACATGGTGGCAGGAAATAGAGCTTGTGCACACAGGGAAACTTCCACTTATAAAACCATCAGATCTTGTGAGACCTATTCACTACTATAAGAATAGTTTGGGGGAATCATCCCCATGATTCAATTATCTCCACCTGGTCCCACCCTTGACACATGGGAATTATTACAATTAAAGGTGAGACTTGGGTGACAACATAGCCAAACCACATCAAATGGACTTACAGTTTCACAAGGCTTGGGATGCCTCACAATCATGGTGGAAAGCAATGTGGCAGCAAAGGCATGTCTTTCATGGTAACAGGCAAGAGAGTGTGTGCAAGGGAACTGCCCTTTACAGAACTATCAGATTTTTTGAGACTTATTCACTATCATGAGACCAGCATGGGAACCCACCCCCCATTACTTCCCACTGTGTCACTCTCATGACACATGGGGATTATGGAAGCTACAATTCAAGATGAGATTTGGGTAGGGAAACAGACAAATCATGTCACAGATTCAAACCATACTATTCTGCCCCTGATCCCTTCCAAATCTCATATCCTACTCACACTGCAAAATCCAATCATGCCTTCCTAACATTCTTTTGAATTCTTAACTCATTCTATTAGTAACTCAAAAGGCAGGTCCAAAGTCTCAAATGAGACAAGGCAAGTACCTTCTACCTATGAGCCTGTAAAACAAACAAACAAAAAAAGTTTGTTACCTCTAAGATACAATGGGAGTATGAGTATTGGGTAGATACTCCCATTCCAAAACAGAGAAATCAAACAAAAAAAGGGGGCTACAGGCCCCATACTAATCTAAAACCCAGCAGGGCAGTTATTAAATCATAAGGCTTTAAAATAATCTCTTTTGACTCCATGTCTCACATCCAGGGCACATTAATACCAGGGTTGAGCTCCCAAGGCTTTGGGCAGCTCTGTTCCTGTGACTGCAGATTTAAGCCACCAAGGCTGATATCAGGGCTGATGTTGAGTTCCTATGGCTTTTCCACATTCATAGTGCAAGCTGCTGGTTGATCTTCCATTCTGGGTTCTGGAGGACTGTGGAACTCTTCTCACAGCTCGACTAGGCAGTGCCCTAGTGGGGACTGTGTGTGGGGGTTCCAACCCCACATTTTCCTTAGCACTGCCCTAGTAGAAGTTATTCATGAGGGCTCCTCCCTGCAGTAGGCTTCTTCCTGAACATCCAGGCTTTTCCATACATCCTCTGAAATCTAGGAGGAGGCTACTAAGCCACAGCTCTTACATTCTGTTTACCTTCAGGCTTAATATCACATAGAAACTGCCAAGGCTTATAGCTTGCACCCTCTGAGGAAGTGGCTCAAGCTGAATCTGGGTCCTTTTAGCCACAGCTGGAGCTGGAGTGGCTGTGACAAAGGGAGCAGTGTCCTGAGGCTGCGCTGGGCAGTGGGGCAGTGGGGCTGTGAGGCCCTGGGCCCTGCCAAAGAAATCATTTTTCCCCCTAGGCCACCCATCCTGTGATGGGAAAGGCTCCTGTGAAGGTCTCTAAAATGCCTTTGAGGCCCTATCCCCATTGTCTCCACTATTAGCATTTGCCTTCTATTTACTTATGCAAATTTATGCAGCCAGCTTGAATTCCTCCCCTGATAATGGGTTTTTCTTTTCTACCACATGACCAGCCTGCAAATTTTCCAAACTTGTACACTCTACTTCCCTTTCAAATGTAAGTTCCAGTTTCATATCACTCTTTTGTTTTGTGTTGTTTTTGGCTCAGACATATGAGCATAGGTTGTTAGAACCTACCAGGCCACATCTTGAACAATTTGCTGCTTTGAAATTTCTTCTACCAGATACCCTAAATCATCACTCTCAAGTTCAAAGTTCCACAGATCCCTAGAGCAAGGGCACAATGCCTCCAAGTTCCTCGTTAAAGCATAGTGAAAGTGACCTTTGCTCCAGTTCCCAATAAGCTCCTCATCTCCATCTGAGACCTCATCAACCTGGACTTTATTGTCCATATCACTCTTAGCATTTGGTTACAACCATTTAGTCTCTAGGGAGTTCCAAATTTTCCCTCATATTCCTGTCTTCCTCTGATCCTTCCACACTCTTCCAACCTCTGCCTGTTACCCAGTTACAGAGTTGCTTCCACATTTTCAGGTATCTTTATAGATACCTGAAATCTATAAAGATTGATAACCCACTCTTCAGTACCAATTTTCTGCATTAGTACCAAATCTCTGTATTAGTCAGTTCTCACAGTGCTATAAAGAAATACCCAAGACTGTGTAAGGTAATTTTTTTAAAAAAGAGGTTTAATTGGCTCATGGTTCCACAGGCTGTACAGAAAGCATGATTCTGGCATCTGCTTGGTTTCTGGGGAGTCCTTGGGAAACTTAAAATCATGGCAGAAAAGGGAAGTAGGTACTCCTTACATGGTCAGAGCAGGAGGAAGAAATTAAGTGGGGTGGGGGAGCTTTTATACATTTTTAAACAACCATATATCATGAGAATTCACTATCACAAGAACAGCACCAACAGGAAAATCTGCCCCTACGATCTAATCACTTCCCATCAGGCCCCAATTCCAACATTGGGGATTACACGAGATTTAGCATGAGATTTTGGTGAAGACATATATCTGAACTCCATCGGAAGGATAAAATTGTCTTTTTTTTCCATCAGAACTTTAAATATGTCATACCACTCTCTCCTGGCATGTATGGTTTCTGCTGAAAAACCTGCTACCAAACGTGTTGGAGCTCCTTTGTCTGTTGTTTCTTTTCTCTTGCTGCTTTTAGAATCATTTCTTTATCCTTAATATTTGGGAATTTGACTATTAAATGTCTTGAAGTAGTCTTCTTTAGGTTAAATCTGCTTGATATTCTGTAATCCCCTCATACTTGAATATTGATATCTTTCTCTAGGTTTGGGAAGTTATCTGTTATTATCCCTTTGAATAAACATCCTACCTTGCTCCCACCTCTCTCTCTCTCTGTCTCCTCTGTAAGGACAATAACTTAGATTTGTTCATTTTGGGCTATTTTTCTAAATCTTGTAGGTGTGCCTCATTCTTTTTTATTCTTTATTCTTTTGTCTCCTCTGAATGTGTATTTTCAAATACCCTCTCTGCAAGCTTACTAATACTTTATTTAAAATTTTTAAATTTTTTTATTTTTGTGAGTACATAACAGGTGCATATCTTTATAGGGTATATGACATATTTTGATACAGGCATACAATGTGTAATTAACACATCAGGGTAAATGGAGTATCCATCAACTCAAGCACTTATCTCTTTGTTACAAAGTATTCAATTCTACTCTTTTAGCTCTTTTTAAAGGTACAACAAATTATTGTAGACTGTAGTCATCCTGTTGTGCTATCAAATACTAGACCTTATTTATTCTATTTAACTAAAATTTGTGCACCCATTAAACATCTCCATTCCTCCCCACCCCCACATTACCCTTTCCAGACTCTGGTAACCATCTTTCTACTCTCCATGTCCATGAGTTCAATTGTTTTAATTTTTAGATCCCACTAATAAGTTAGAATATGCAATGTTTGTCTTTCTGTGCCTGTTTTTTTTTTACTTAACACAATGACCTCTGATTTTATCCATGGTGTTGCAAATGACAGACTATTATTCTCTTTTATAGCTAAATTATACACCATTGGGTATATATTTCATATTTTCCTTATCCGTTTGTCTATTGATGGATATTTAAGTGGCTTCCAAATCTCAGCTATTGTGAAAGGTGCTGCAATTAACATGAGAGTGCAGATATCTCTTCAATATACTAACTTTTTTTCTTTTACATATATATCTAGCAGTGTGATTTCTGTATCATATAGTAGCTCCTTTTTTTTTTCAGTTTGTTGAGAAACCTCTAAGCTGTTCTCCATAATGTTTGTACTAATTTACATTCCCACCAAGAGTATAAAAGGCTTTTCTTTTTTCCACACCCTTGCCAGCATCTGTCAGTACCAGACTTCTAAATAAAACAATTTTAACTGGGGTGAGATAATATTTCATTTTAGTTTTGATTTGCATTTCTCCAATGATCAATAATGTTTTTCATATGCCCTTTGGCCATTTGTATGTCTTCACTTGAGAAATGTTTATTCAAGTCTTTAGCACATTTTTAAATTAGATTAATTTTTCCCTATAGAGTTGTTTGTGCTCCATATACAGTCTTGCTATTAATACCTTTCAGACGCATAGTTTGCAAATATTTTCTCCCATTCTGTGGGTTATCTCTTCACTTTGTTGATGATTTCCTTTGCTGTGCTGAAGCTTTTTAACTTCAGATCCCGTTTGCTCATTTTTGCTTTGGTTGCTTGTGCTTGTGAGGTATTACTCAAATCTTTTTCCAGTCCTATGTTCTGGAGAGTTTCTCTAATGTGCCCTTTTAGTAGTTTCATAGTTTGAGGTCTTAGATTTAAGTTTTTAATACATTTTGATTTGATTTTTCTACATGGTGAGAGATAGGAGTCTAGTTTTATTCTTCTGCATATGGATATCAAGTTTTCTCAGCACCATTTGAGCTTTCTAATTCTTTCTTCTGCTTGATCAGTTCTGCTAGTAAGAAACTGATGCATTCTTCATCATGTCAATGGCATTTTTCAGCTCTAGAATTTCTGCTTTATTCTTTCTAATTATTTCAACCTGTTTTTTAAGTTTATCTGACAGAATTCTGTATTCCTTCTCTATGTTATCTTGGATTTTTTTTTTTTTAGCTTCCTCAAAACAGTTACTTTGAATTCCCTCCCTCCCTTCCTCCCTTCTTCCCTTCCTCCCTCCCTCCCTCCCTCCCTTCCTTCCTTCCTTCCTTGTCTCCTTTCTCTCCACTCATTCCCAGATAATTCATCCTTGGTGAGACATGAGACCTCCAGCCCTGTAGATAGGTTTCTTTACTCACTTCAGCTATTTGGGAGTTCCTCCACTAGATGTAATCTTTGTGAGAGCTGTGACTTCATTTTATTCTTTTTGGTATCCTTCATGGAACATATTCCTGACCTACAGAACCTACTCAATATAAAAATTAGTTAAATAAATAAGAGAATAAATGCTCGCCTCTGACCTTGCTCCAAAAGCAGCCTTCACAGAAAATACTGGCACTCTCCAATAGTCAAACCAATGTTTTGCTTATCTAAAAAAGTATTTAACTTTTAAGTTACCTTCAACTGAAATTGAATTATAAACTTAATACTTCCAGTGAACATGGAGTTAACTCTGTGCTCTCTAGAGGTGCATTAGCTTTCATGACAATGAAGCCCTATTTCAGTAAATGGCTTTGTCTATTTTGCTAGCTGGCAGCTCTCACGCTTAAAACAAATTAATGCTACTCTTCAGAGTAAGATAAATATTTTTCACTGTTAGTCAGACACATGCATCACTGGTCTGAACATCTTGAGTAGAGATAGGTTATAAATAATTACAATTCCTTACAGAAGTAAAATGAAGCAAGCAATAAGAGGTGAGGGTATTGCTTTTGCAGCACTCTTTAGTGGTACATTTCTTTACCCTATCTTTAGCAGGCCCCTTCAATTATCAAATAATTGCATTTAAAACAGTTGAAAATTACAGTAAAAAAATGGATAAATCTTCTTTTCTTGAAACTCCTTAAAGCTCCAAGGGAGGATGAGAGCCAAGCGCTAGGCTCTGTGACAGTGGAATAAGCCAGTAAGGTTCTTGCCATTGACATTCATGTTGGGCTAACACTTTGGTCATCAGCCCAAGTCTGTCTAGATTTATGGACACAGCCAATAAGAAATAGAGAATATTCCAAGCGAATTGCTGCCATGGAATATAATGCCACATACCACAAGTTAAGCAAAAATGCATGTCTCATTTGTCCTTGAAATACATTAGTATAGCACAAAGATAGAAAACATAGCAGACTCACTTTGATTATGACCCCAAGGGAATTTCAACAAGACCTTCACTATAGTAACAGGGTTTATTTTTCCTGAGGCAGAAGGAGTATATTGAAAAAAAAAATATGCCTTTTGTGGCAATGAGGAAAGCATTTAATGATTAGGAGTATTTATTACCATTTGCCTTTTGGCCAAAACTTTATTACTGATGATTGGGGGTAAATCCTAATGCTCTACAATTAATTTCCAAAGTCACAAAATAATTGAAAAGAATCACTTTTATTAATCTTTAATAATTGAGAATTGTAACAAGAATGAACAAAACTTTGAAAGACAAACATCATGTTTTCTAAAGTTAATTTATGCCTACTTAGTTCATTGTCTAATTGTAACATATACCTTACTATGTACAAGAAATAGCTGAACAAAATCAGTACCATCTGTACTCAATGTTTAGAAGATCGCCTTTTACCTTTATATTTAATTGGGTTTACAACTTCAAAGGATTATTCATAATAAATTTTCATTTTAATGTATTCTTTGAAATTATGCACCTGTAATACCTCATAAATTTATGCACAATAATAATAATTAGCATTTATATGAAGCTTTTCATCTTCAAAGCATATTATATACATTAGGAAATTCATCATTTCAACACCCTTCTGAGGAAAGTAAATATTGTTATCTTCATTTTACAGATAGAGAAACTAGAAAGATGCTAGAAATTTCTAAGACAAGTCATCTATAGGCATAATTAGAAGTGGGCCTTAACTTTTTGTGTGTGGTAGGGTTATAAAATATTTACATTCTATTTTAACATTTGTAAAACAGAGAGTACAAACCATTATTTTGAAAACGTTGTATATCTGAATATTTGCATTTGCCTCAAATACATACACATATTCTACAAATATGGTGTGCAGTTTTAAAAATGTTATAAATAATTTATCTATAGCCCAATTCAATTTTTCCCAGTGTCTAAGCAGGTGTTAAATTATAAAATGAAAACCCTCTACCCTTAGTGGTAAGAGATTTGACTTATGTCTAACTTCTTGCACATCACTTCCAAATTATTAAAAATTTTCTTCTTTGGTATGTTTTTGTGGAAAACTGAGGATTCTTTATGCTTTGAGAGGTTGATTACTTTTACGAATTTATAATGCAATCATTTACTTGAGTAACTTCAATATGCAAGGCAGTACATGACTACTTATATATTCTGTTGCACTCAATATTATTTAAAGCATGTAAATACTGCTGTTTTCTAATCATGTTTCTTATCAAAATCTGCTGTTCATGTTTATGGTGATATTTAATCTACTGTTTGACATTGACATATGAATTTACCTAAGATTTCATGACCTGTTGAAATGTTTTTTTCAGAAACATGGCCTTGGAGCCCAAAGTAACATTAAAATTTAACATAAAATATTTGTCTTAGGAACAGACTCCAATATAGACATGACTATGCAGATTTAATTAGAGTTTTCTCTGACATAGGGAACAATACCTGGAGGGCGTGAAGGAAACTGGATTGTCCAGGGGAGAAGCTAAAATTTAATACAGTAATACTATAAACTAAGAGGAGATTTGAAGCTGCCATGGCGTTACAAATTGAGGCAGGGAGCTGGGTCTTTGTACCCCAAATCAACTAGTCATAGGATGCTGGATGCCCCTGAGGAAGTAACATAATCTGGATAAAGCATATCCCTTCAGCCAGAGAGAAATTCCCAGAGAGACAAATCAGCACAAAGTCACCAGCAGACAATTCTTCTGACCCTGAAAGTGCATCCGGGGAGCATAGGACAGCGTCCATTAAGATAAATTATTGGGTATCAAGAAAAGAAGCAATCTTTGCTCTGATTTCCTAGCCCATAGACTGAACCTTGGCTCCAATGGAACTCTTATGCCCTTGTGTCAATACAGCCATTAAAGTTGGCTTATAGAAGTAGTACTCCTGAAGTGAAGATGAAGTGTGAAGAGACTGGGAGGGTAGGCGCCCCAAATATATACAGCACAGGAAGGAACATTCTTCTATGCAAAATTATTGTTTAATCCTTCTCCTCAACACACTAGGAAGATATAGTCAATGTGCTGGCCAAAGGAACCAGGATCAAGATTTTTGACCCAGATGACTGAAGCTGGAATATGTCATTTAGAAAAGGTTGCTCTGAGAAAAAAATTCCCATAAATATAAAGCTGAGCTAAACATAAGGATTATATAGTGTTAAACACAGAGAAAGCAAGATAAAAAAATAAGGTCCTGGGGACAGAAACACAAATTCAGGCACTGAAAATAATTAAAAATGAACTAGAACAAGTTGAACAGAAGAGAGGATGACCCTGGAAAATTTCTCTAAACCCTTCCTGAGTATGTTTAGCTTATCCTTTTTGAATATTGTGCATAGGTTTTGATATAAAGTTAGAATAGAAAATTATGAATGGATACTTTTAAGAAAAGTCCTTTTCTTTATCTTTTTGTCTAAAAGAAGGCCCTTATTTGCTACCTACTCAGTAAGCTTTAAGCTTCACGCAGTGCTATAGTTTGCATATCCATCCCTTCCAAACCTCATGTTGAAATTTGATCCCCATTTTAGTGGTGCTGGAAAATGAGGACTAACGGGAAGTGTTCGGTTTACAGAGATGGATTGCTCAGGAACACATTAACAGACCCTGGGGGAGAGGGTGTGACTACTCATTCTATGAGTTCACCGGCAAGAAAAGATAGTTGTTAGAAATAAAAGAGCCTGTCACTCCCCGCCCACCCTGACCCTCTACATCTACCCCCACCCTTGTTTCCTCTCTGGCCATGAAGAACCATGAGCCAAATAAACCTTTTTTCATAAATTACCCAGTCTCGGGTATTTTTTTTTTATAGCAACACTAAACAGATTCAGGCATCCAGCCAACACATATTACTAATGAAATTTTAAAAAGAATAAGTTCAGCTGATAAGCAACTTCAGCAAATTCTCAGGATACAAAATCAATGTACAAAAATCACAAGCATTCTTATACACCAATAACAGACAAAGAGCCAAATCATGAGTGAACTCCCATTCACAATTGCTTCAAAGAGAATAAAATACCTAGGAATCCAACTTACAAGGGATGGGAAGGACCTCTTCAAGGAGAACTACAAACCACTGCCCAGTGAAATAAAAGAGGATACAAACAAATGGAAGAACATTCCATGCTCATGGGTAGGAAGAATCAATATCGTGAAAATGGCCATACTGCGCAAGGTAATTTATAGATTCAATGCCATCCCCATCAAGCTACCAATGACTTTCTTCACAGAATTGGAAAAAACTACTTTAAAGTTCATATGGAACCAAAAAAGAGCCCGCATTGCCAAGTCAATCCTAAGCCAAAAGAACAAAGCTGGAGGCATCACGCTACCTGACTTCAAACTGTACTACAAGGCTACAGTAACCAAAACAGCATGGTACTGGTACCAAAACAGAGATATAGACCAATGGAACAGAACAGAGCCCTCAGAAATAATGCCACATATCTACAACTATCTGATCTTTGACAAACCTGACAAAAACAAGAAATGGGGAAAGGATTCCCTATTTAATATATGGTGCTGGGAAAACTGGCTAGCTATATGTAGAAAGCTGAAACTGGATCCCTTCCTTACACCTTATACAAAAATTAATTCAAGATGGATTAAAGACTTACATGTTAGACCTAAAACCATAAAAACCCTAGAAGAAAACCTAGGCAATACCATTCAGGACATAGGCATGGGCAAGGACTTCATGTCTAAAACACCAAAAGCAATGGCAACAAAAGCCAAAATTGACAAAAGGGATCTAAATAAACTAAAGAGCTTCTGCACAGCAAAAGAAACTATCATCAGAGTGAACAGGCAACCTACAAAATGGGAGAAAATTTTTGCAATCTACTCATCTGACAAAGGGCTAATATCCAGAATCTACAATGAACTCAAACAAATTTACAAGAAAAAGACAAACAACCCCATCAAAAAGTGGGCGAAGGATATGAACAGACACTTCTCAAAAGAAGACATTTATGCAGCCAAAAAACACAGGAAAAAATGCTCATGATCACTGGCCATCAGAGAAATGCAACTCAAAACCACAATGAGATACCATTTCATACCAGTTAGAATGGTGATCATTAAAAAGTCAGGAAACGAGGTGCTGGAGAGGATGTGGAGAAATAGGAACACTTTTACACGTTGGTGGGACTGTAAACTAGTTCAACCATTGTGGAAGTCAGTGTGGTGATTCCTCAGGGATCTAGAACTAGAAATACCATTTGACCCAGCCATCCCATTACTGGGTATATACCCAAAGGACTATAAATCATGCTGCTATAAAGACACATGCACACATATGTTTATTGTGGCACTATTCACAATAGCAAAGACTTGGAACCAACGCCAATGTCCAAAAAGGATAGACTGGATTAAGAAAATGTGGCACATATACACCATGGAATGCTATGCACCCATAAAAAATAATGAGTTCATGTCCTTTGTAGGGACATGGATGAAGCTGGAAACCATCATTCTCAGCAAACTATCACAAGGACAAAAAACCAAACACTGCATGTTCTCACTCATAGGTGGGAATTGAACAAAGAACACATGGACACAGGAAGGGGAACATCACACACTGGGGACTGTTGTGGGGTGGGGAGAGAGGCGAGGGATAGCAATAGGAGATATACCTGATGCTAAATGGCAAGTTAATGGGTGTAGCACACCAACATGGCACAGGTATACATATGTAACAAACCTGCACATTGTGCACATGTACCCTAAAACCTAAAGTATAATAATAATAAAATTTAAAAAAGGATAAGTTCAAACATGTTAATTAGAGAGCTATACAAGAGGAAAAGGGAAGTTATGATTAAGAATCATCTTGCTGTTTGTATGGAATGTTTTTATTTTGTCATCAGGAAATTCACAAATAGGATCTCGGTGCGGGTAAAATGAGGTCAAAAAGCTTTTCTCCTTAATCTCCTTAAAAAGCAGGACATCCACATTTTATTGTAAAACCTTCTGCCATTTTCAAGCAGAATATTGACCATGAGGACAGCAGAAAATTTCTGCATTTGACTTTTTAAAAGAAAGTTAGATTTTTAAAATTGCTTGATAGAGTATACAATCTGAAGCTTTTCAAAACAAAAAATACAAAGAAAGCAATTTCTCAAAAATGTCTTGTACTAAAGGATTAGTTATTAAATAGTGTGTAAATGAGCTTTTGGTGGTTTAAAGAGATTGCTCCAGTGGACCTGTTAGAGGCTCTGACAGGGCTCACAGAATTGAGTAAAGTGGGAACGTACTTCAATCACTAGTTCCTGTTAAGTTGATACCTGTTTTATTCAGTGCATCTGACCTTTGAGCTTGACAATGATTCTTTGTAAGTGGGAGCTTAAAATGTCATCTGTAACATAAAATATAAGGTATGTGGGTGTTACAAAAGTGTTCTGTCTCTGTAATGGAGTGGCTCTTGGGAGAGTTCACTACCTAGGGATCTTTTATCTGTGAGCCATAGTTGCTGGCAGACTTTACACACGGGCTTTAAAGTCAATGTGTGCTCTGTGTTGAGACTTTAGTGGACAAGTACCTCTGTGGTCAAAGTTCCTGGCACAGTTTGCTAAGACAGAAATGAATAAGTACTAATTTGATTCTAGTCTAGCTTATTATTTCTTCTCTTATGTGAACATTTTAGGTGGTAAGTAAATAGTGGTCACACCTGCACTGTCAGGTCATCAGTGCTTGTAACTGAGTGCAGACCTGGCTTCTCAGTGCTTGCAAAACCAGTAACATTGTCAACGTGCAGTGAAATAAAAGTGACTTTATTTCCAGAGCTAGCAGTGGGGAAATGGTTAAGGCTTTTGCCTTGAATACAACATTTCAGGTTTTTGTGTCAAAGGTAAAGGCTTAAAATGGGGAGTTTGGTATAATGGGCGTACAAGAGTGATGAGGTAGTGCCAGTCTACATGATTGTTCTAATGACTATCTTGAACTGTTGTCCCATCTGGTAAGTGGGCTGGCACAATCTTGAGTACACCAGGTTGCAAATTAACTGCAGCCTTGAAGTAATCTCCAGGTGGCAGAGAATCCCACAGTGGCCTGACTGTTTCAAGATTTAGTCTCTGGAACTTCTAAGTAAATACATAACTAGGTAAAGGAAACACTGTGCAGGGGGGGGATGCCTGGTGGAAAGCAAGACAAGGAACAGGCAGGAAAGTAAAAGAAAAAAAAACTTTTAAAAACAAGATGCTTGGTTACAGGCTGAGGAAATGAGAAGCATCCTTGGAGCAGGAATCTGGAAAACTGAGTTCTAGTTGCATCTTTGCTATTAGCAATGAATGTGACTATACACAAATTACTCTGTTCTTTGATGGTTAATTCCTCAATTATAAAATGAGATAAAATCACATAATCTTTGCAGTCCCTTCCATCATCTTGATCCTTATATGTCATATTACTTACCTGTATTTCAATAAGCAAAGCAAATTTGTTGAGATGCTACACTGGAAGAAAGGTTATTTCTGTGGTTCTGAAAACACAACCAGAAAATCCATAACATTTACTCTATCGGGAACTCCATCCGAGTTGCTACGGAGTGTGAAAACTAAAGTATAGTTAAGACTTTATATTTATGAAAAAGTCTGCATTTTAATAATCTGGCATACTTAAATATCCTTCTTTACATATTTTGACTTCTTCTATTACTAATCAGTGTTGATGACAATGAAAACTATAGGTGTATTTTGGAAAGTCACTAAGAACTCCCCAGATATAGGTTTAAGTTGTATTTTAGAATATGTAAACCTTGTAGCTTGTCAAGAGTTCAGACTCCTTTGATTCAAGGACAGAAAACTCAACTCACAATGACTTAAACAAAAGGAAACTATACAACTCACACTGACTTAAACTACATTGGTTTAAAAGTTTGAGGGTTGGGTTAACTATAGGCGAGGCTGCTTTCAAGGGTTCAGATTATATCATCGTGATCTGATCCTTCTCTAGCCTCTCCCTTTTATGTGACTTTGATGGCAAGATGACTACAGCAGCTTCAGGTTTATATTCATCCGGTTCAAAACAGTAAGAAATATAGCGTACTTGTCCTCCAACTCTTCTAACAAAAATCTCATTGCATTTCATTGTATTTCATCACTTGCTCATTCCTACATATATCAATGAATCTAAAGAATGAGATGCTCAGATTGATCATACTTTATTCCCACACTCAACTCAGGAGCAAATGTGAAGCCTTACCAGAAGCACATGAGCTGAAAGTCAGGAAGAGGATGATTCCACAGAGCAAAATCAGGGTACTGCTAGCAGAAGACAGGGAACTGGATGATGGGCTGCAAAATAAAATATCTCTATTAAAGTATAAATCTACTATATTATCAAATTATTACATTTTCACTGATTTATTTCAAAATTAGGAGTATTTTTTTCTGCTCTTGTAAATCTAACCAAGTAGCAAAAGTTGGCTGCCATGTAATGTATATCAACCTGTACTGATATCACAATAGTATTATTTACTAATGTCAATGTTAAGAATAAATACAATGGCTTTTAATACTAAACAATGTTGCTAAAGTTAAAAACTGATGTAAACTCAAATCAATAAAAATTGAGCTTTTATGCATACATTAATGGAAAGTGGGGATCCTCTATCTCAGTTTTTGCGTCAAACTATTTTGTAGAAAATCCTAGAATACTTCAAATAATCCTCCAGGTTCCACACCGCAAAGTAGTAAGAGTGAAGCAGATAATCTTGTTTGAGCTTCAAGGTGCTAGTCTTCCTCCTCTCCAAGGGCTAAATAACAAACCTCATAAGAAAATTATGTGCTAAATCTGAAGGGAAACATAGATGATCATAATTTTGAAATGACCTTATAATCTCAAAGAAGAACTTTCTGGATAAAAACTGGATTGGAGAATGAGAGGTACACACAAGGACAAAGTGTGACCCTTTTTCCCTCTCCTACTTAAGGGAAGACATCAGGGTATAGAGGGCAGGTCAAACCTGACTTACCCACTCACTCATAGAGAAGAAGGCCAATGAGGCCACTCAGGGATGCAAGCAGTGAAAGACAAATAAGGAGATGGAATAAAGAGACTTCTGCTGGAGGAAAAGTTCCTGACCTCCCCACTGATTCATCAGACATGAAGAGAAAAAGAAAGTATTAATATGATGTCTGGTTCCTGACCTTGACATAGTAACTCCAGCTTCCTGAAACTTGGCCAAATGAAGGTTTTATATTTGGAAAAGTGGATTTATAAACTCTACTTTTGCAAGGAAGAAGACAAGGGATGTGTACCAGAGTAGAAAAGTATGCAGAAGTGTATCTGCTCACAGTTCCCTCTGTGGGGAGGGAAACAGAGTTCTCTCCTATGTGGAAAATATGAGGAAGGGTGGAAAGTTTCCCCCAAATATTCAGCCACTATTGGTTTTAGATGAGAGTATGAGCATGTGTTAAAAGGCAGGGTTATTTTTGCTCTTAGTTAGTGTAATAGACAGATCTGTGCCTGCTCCCACCAAACCCCCAACCCCAACAACGATCTTCAATTCCTAATTTCAGAACCTGTAGATACATTACATTACATGACAGTTGCCAATCAGTTCACTTTAACAGAGAGCAGTTATCCTGGGTTATTCAAGTGGGCCCAGCGTAATTATATGAGCTCCTAATAGCTGGAAAAAGGAGTCCTACAACTGCTAGGACCTGAATTCTACAAGCCCCCAGAAAGGAATGCAACCTGCAGACTCCTTTATTTTAGTTCACTGAGACATCTACCAGAGTTCTACCTACAAAAATGTAGGATAATAAGTTTGTGCTATTTTAAGCTCTTGCATTTGTGGTAATTTGTTATAGAAGCATTACAAAAAGCAGAGTACTTAGTCACATAAAAGGCTTTGTAAAGAGTTCGAAGGTATGACTCAAAGATTCCCTAAATTAAACCAGAAAATATCTCTCAGAAGATATAAGGCTATTTGTCCTTCAGCCATCTTAGCAAAATCCAAAATTGGAGATATTTTCTAGGAATGATTTGTGAACAAACCTCTTATCTAATGAAGTGAATCCTGTGAAATGCATGAGAGACCCACAAGGTGCTTGAGAATTTTATATTAGCAGAAGCACTGCTAGCATGAACTGAAAAGGTATTAAATAGTATTAAAAGAACTAAATAGTATTAAATGAAAGAAGGATGTTAGACTCTCAAAATTCTGCAGGCAGATAACATAGGCTGATAAAACCATTCAGCTACAAACACATGCAATCCTTTAGCCATGAAAGAAAGGATGAACCAAAGAACAAAGCTTTAAGCTCAGAAACTAGAACCAGGAACAAAGGAGAATTACTCTGAGGCCTTGAAATCTAATAAAGTTTGTCTGGTTGTATTTAAAAATTGTTTGAGAGAGGTGACTTTTTTTCTTCTAATTTCTCCCCTCTCAAATCAGTATGTCTATAACAATTAACTGATGACTGTCCCATCGTTGCATTTTGGAGGAGATAACTAGTTTCCTAGTTTTATAGATCTACAAGTAGAGGGAAATTGTGACCCAGGATGGATTATACCCAAGACTCACCCATAACTTCTTTGAATTTTGTACATAGTGAGATTTGAGACTTTAGAACTTATGAGATTTAGTACTTTTAGTTGATATATAATAGAACGAGACCTGTGGAAACATTGTGATGGGGTGAATGTGTTTTGTATGTGGGACAGATCCAGAGGGTGGATTGTGGTAGGCGGAATGACTCAAAAAATGTCTAAAACTTAAATTTTTATAGAAGCAACAGAAAACTAATAGCCAGTGGTCTTTCTGTGAACTTGTGCTAGAAATATAATACTTTACAGCAGGAAGCACCTTAGGCAGCCTGTAATTCATTTCCATTATTGTCTAGATGCTGAATCCAAGGATAAAAGTTGATGAGATATTTATTCTATGTGCCATAGCTCCTTTCTGTCAGAGCCAGGGATTGAATGTCTATTTCTCTATTGAACAAACAAAGTTCATATTATCCTCTGTTTTCAGCACTTTATTTTCTGTGCTCTGCTTTATTCTCTTTGACTTTTGCCCCAGGAACCCTCTATGAACACTGGCTGCCTTCAATACAATGCTGAGTAAAGCTCAGCATTACCTCAATTCTTTACCCTCCTGTCCAAACTGATCATTTTATTTTCAAATTAAACAACCTTCAGCTGGCTCCCCTGTTTCTTTGACTTTTGAGAAAGTGGTTTCTGTGAAGTCAGTAATGTGTTACTTCTAAAGATTTTTTCTTTTAATGGGCTAATCAATTAAACATCCAAACAGAGGAGATAGTATTGAAAAAATTTCAAAAACAATAAAAAAGTATTCAAGTCTTTTTGAGTGGGTAAGCCCCTTCTGCCTATGAGCCTGTGAAATCAAAAGCAAGTTAATTACTTCCTAGATACAATGCAGATACAGACATTGGGTAAATAGATCCATTCCAAATGGGAGATATTGGCCATAACAAAGAGGCTACAGGCCCCATACAAGTCCAAAATCCAATGAGACAGTAGTTAAATCTTAAAGTTCCAAAATAATTTCCTTTGACTCCATGTCTCACATTCAGGTCACGCTAATACAACAGGTGGGCTCTCATAGCCATGGACAGTTCTGCCCCTGTAGCTTTGCAGGGTACAGCCACCCCTCCAGGCTGGTGTTGAGTGATGGCAGCTTTTCCAGGTGCATGGTGCAAACTGTTGGTGGATCTACTATTCTGGGGTTTGGAATACTCTGGCCCTCTTCTCACAGCTCTACTAGTCAGTTCCTGAGTGGGGACTCTATGTGGGGGTTCTGACCCCACATTTCCCTTCCTCATTGCCCTAGCAGAGGTTCTCCAGGAGGGCTCCAGCCCTGCAGCAAACTTCTGCCTGAGCATCCAGACATTTCCATACATCCTTTGAAATTTAGGTGGAGGTTCTCAAACCTCAGTTGTTGACTTCTGTGCAGTCACAGGCTCAACACCACGTGGAAGCTGCCAAGGTTTGGCGCTTGCACCCTCTGAAGCAATGCCTTGAGCCATACCTTGGCCCCTTTTAGTCATGGCTGGAGTGGCTGGGCTGCAGCAAACCAAGTCCCTAGGCTGCACACAGCAGGGGATCCCTGGGCCCTGCCAAGAAAACCATTTTTTTTCCTCGTAGGCCTCTGTGCCTGTGATGGGACGGGCTGCTGCAAAGTTCTCTGGCATGCCCTGGAGACATTTTCCCCATTGTCTTGGTTATTAACATTCAGCTCCTCATTACTCATGCAAATTTCTGTAGCTGGCTTGAATTCTCCCCAGAAAATTGTTTCTTCTCTTCTATTACATCATCAGGCTGCAAACTTTCAAAACTTTTATGCCCTGCCTCCTCTTGAATGCTTTGCCACATAGAAATTTGTTCTGCCAGATACCCTAAATCATCTCTCTAAAGTTCAAAGTTCCAAGATCTCTAGGGCAGGGGCAAAATAACACCAGTGTTTTTGCTAAAACATAGCAAGAGTCACCTTCATCCCAGTTCCCAAGAAGTTCCCCATCTCTATTTCAGACCAGCTCAGCCTGGACTTCATTGCCCATATCACTATCAGCATTTTGGTCAAAGCCATTCAACATGTGTCTAGAAAGTTCCATACTTTCCTACATCATCCTGTCTTGTGAGCCCTCCAAGTCGCTAGGAAGTTCCAAACTTTCTCCTATCTTCCTCTCATTTTCTGAGTCCTCCAAACTGTTCCAGCTTCTGCCTGTTACCCAATTCCAAATTTACTTCCACATTTTGGGTTTCTTTACAGCAGCACTCCACTATTCAGTGTCAATTTACTGTATTAGTCTGTTCTCATGCTGCTATAAAGAACTGCCCGAGACTGGGTAATTTATAAAGAAAAGAAGTTTAATTGACTCACAGTTCTGGATGGCTGGGGAGGCCTCAAAAAACTTATAATCATGGTGGAAAGGAAAGCAAACACATCCTTCTTCACATGGTGGCAGGAAGGAGAAGAATGAGAGCAAAGAGGGAAAAACCCCTTATAAAACCATCAGCTCTTGTGAGAATTTACTCACCATCATGAGAACAGCAGCATGGATGTAGCAGCCCCCATGATTCAAATACGTCCCATTGGGTCCCTCCCACAACATGTGGGGATTATGGGAACTATAATTCAAAATGAGATCTGGGTGGGGACACAGCCAAATCATATCACCCTAGTTTAAAACACACTTATGACTATTCTAGGGCCACTTTCAAAATACTATACCACTTCATGGATAGTGCAGGTGCCTTATGACAGGATATTCTTGCTTCTTCCCTCCCATCCCTTATAACATTGTGCTCATTCATTTCACTTACTCAAAAACTATAATTACTAAACTGCTGCTATCATTATCTTGAACAAACTTGTTAGATAAACTAAGAATAAGAAAAGTAAAGTACTTTATTTTGATTTTACCTTCATTTTTCCTGCTCTAGTGTTCCTTCTTTCTTTGCATAGACCTAAGTTTTTGACCTTTATCATTCTCCTCTCTGAAGCATTTTTAACATTTCCTGTGAGACAAGTATACTGACAAGTTTTTTGAATTTCTGCTTGTGTGAGAAAGTCTTGTTTGTCTTTCATTTTTTTTTGTTTGTTTTGTTTTGTTTTTTAATTTTGAGATGGAGTTTCACTCTTGTTGCCCAGGCTGGAGGACAATGGCACAATCTTGGCTCACTGTAACCTCCACCTCCCAGGTTCAAGCAATTCTCCTGCCTCAGCCTCCTGAGTAGCTGGGATTACAGGCACCTGCCACAATGCCCGGGTAAATTTTTTTTTTTTTTTGAGATGGAGTCTTGTTCTGTCACCCAGGTTGGAGTGCAGTGGCACCTCTCGGCTCACTGCAAGCTCCGCCTCCTGGGTTCATGCCATTCTCCTTTCTCAGCCTCCCAAGTAGCTGGGACTACAGGCACACACCACCACACCCGGCTGATTTTTTTTTTTTTTTGTATTTTTAGTAGAGACGGGGTTTCACCATGTTCGCCAGGATGGTCTCGATCTCCTGATCTCGTGATCCGCCCGCCTTGGCCTCCCAAAGTGCTGGGATTACAGGCGTTAGCCACCGCGCCCGGCCCTAATTTTTTGTGTATTTAGTAGGGACGGAGTTTCACCATGTTGGCCAGGTTGGTCTCGAACTCCTGACCTTAGGTAGATCCACCCACCTCAGCTTCCCAAAGTTCTGGGATTACAGATATGAGCTGCTGTGCCTGGCTGAACAGTTTTGTTCAATACAGAATTCTAGGTTGGCCTTTGTTTTTTTTGTTTGTTTGTTTTTCCTTTTAACACTTTAGATATTTTGCACTAATCTCTCTTGTTTGAATGGTTTCTGAATAGAAGCCTGCTGTAATTCTTATCCTTGTTTCTTTTTTGGTAAGGCATTTTTTTCCCTTTGGCTTCTTTCAAATTTTCTCTTTGTCTTTGCTTTTCTACAGTTTAAATACAAATTGCATAGGTGTGGATGTTTTGATATTTATTCTGCTTGCTATTCTCTGAGATTCCTGGATCTGTGGTTTGCTGGATGTTCTTAATTTTGAAAAATTCTTATAATTCTCATTCCAAAATTCCCATTGTTAAGGAGAACATAGCTTTCTGGACATATTTCAAAATGGCTACTTTTTTCTTTCTCCTGCTAGAAGCATAAAGGAATGTTACTCCGATCTTTACTGTAAGAATTTGGTGGAAGCTCCTGGAGGTAAATCTCAAAGTGTGGGCTCCCCTAAGAAAAGTCCTCCAGAGTTTTTAATTGTCAAACTTGTCTACAATGAGCATCTAGATATTTGTCAACTACACTTTAAGGCAGGGGTCCCCAGCCCCCAGGCTGCTAACTGGTATCTGTCTGTGGCCTGTTAGGAACAAGGCCACACAGCTGGAAGTGAGCAGCAGGCGAGCAAGCATTACCACCTGAGCTCCACTCAGCATTTTTATTCTCATAGGAGTGCAGACTCTATTGTGAACTGCACATGCGAGGGATCTAGGTTGTGTGCTCCTTATGAGAATCCAATGCCTGATGACTTGAGGGAGAACAGTTTCATCCCCAAACCATCCCCCCGACACCCCACTGTCCATGGAAAAATTGTCTTCCACAAAACCCACCACTGGTGCCAAAAAGATTGGGGACTGCTGCTTTAAAGATTTCTACCAGTACTAGCTCCAATGACCAGCTTCAGCTCCTGAGCTTCTGCTCTCAATGACATGTGATTCTCAGGATCTACCTTTCTCTACAGTTTTGTAGCAGCAGTTTGCTCTATGACCTCAATTCTCTGATGGATTGAGTTATTGATTTTCAGTTTGCTTAGCTTTTTTCTTGTTATCATGATAGGAGTGATGACTTCCAAGCTCTTTACATGACAGTGTAGAAGCTGAGAACTTGCTATACTATATATAATAATACAAATAATGTATATACATACATACTAAATTTAATATAAATATCACTGAAATGGCATCAAATTACTTTCAACCTACCTTTTGTAAATATTTTTCATGTTTCCAAATATATGCACAAAATACGTTAATATTTGCCTAATATCCCATTATATAGATACATCATAATTAGATTAGTCAATCACAAATGTTAGACACATAGCTTGCTGCCAAGTTTGTGTGTGTTTTTTTAATGTGGTAAGAACACATAACATGAAAACTTATCTTTTAACTAATTTTTAAGTGTTCAGTACAATATTTTTAACTACAGGTACAATGTTATGCCGCAGATCTGTAGAAGTTATTCATCTTGTATAACTAAAATGTTGTATCTATTGAGCAGCAATTTTTATTTCCCTCTCCCCTCCAGCCCTTGGCAACCACCATTCTGCTCTATTGTTCTATCTTAGATATTTCACATAAGTGAAATCATGCAGTATTTGCCCTTCTGTGGTTGGCTTATTTCACTTAGCATAATTTCCAGGTTCATCCATGTTGTCCCTTATGTCAGGATTTCCTTCATTTTTAAGGCTGAATTAGTATTCATTGTGTGGATATGTATATGTGTGTATGTTCTTTGCTAAATAATATTTCAGTTTTCATATTTTGACTATTGTGAGTAATATTGCAATGAACATGGGAGTGCAGATGTCTTTGAGACACTGATTTCATTTCTTTTGGATATATATCCAGCAGTGGGGTTACTGGATCCTATGATAGTTATGTTTTTAAAATTTTTGATGAATCTCCATACTATTTTTCATATTTATATTTCCAATTCATATTCTCACCAACAGTGTACCAGCAATCCTTTTTCTCTAAACCATCACCGACGATTGTAATCTCTTGATTTTTTGCAGAATAGTTATTCTAACAGATGTGAGGTGATAGCTCATGGTGGTTTTAACTTTCATTTCCCTAACGATTACTGATGAGCATTTTTTAATATACTTATGGGTCATTTGTACATCTTCTTTGGAAATGTGTCTGTTCAGGTCCTTTGTGAAAAATTATTTTTTGTTTGCTATTGAGTAGTTTTTAAAATATATTTTAGCTATTAATCCTTTATCAGATATATGATTTGCCAATATTTTCTCCCATTCCTTAAGTTACTTTTTCATTTAGTTGATTGTTTCCTTTTAGTTTGATATCATCTCACTTGTCTGTTTTTGCTTTCAATACCTGTGTGTTTGGTTTTATATCCAAAATATTATTGTCGAGACCAATGTCAAGAGCTTTTTTCTTTTTTTTTTTCTAGGATTTTTGTGGTTTCAAGTCTTACATTTAATCCATTTTCAGTGAACTTTTGTGTGTGATATAAGGGTCCAGTTTCATTCTTTTGCATGTGAATATCCAGTTTTCCTAACACCATTTGGTGAAAAGACTACCCTTTTACCATTGTGTATTCTTGGCATCCCTGTTGGAGATCAGTTCACCATATATGTGTGGATTAATTTCTGGGCTCTCTGTTCTACTCCACTGGTCTGTGTGTCTATTTTTATGCCTGCAGTTTACTGTTCTAATTACTGGAGCTTTGTAATCTATTTTGAAATCAGGAAATGTGATGCTTCCAGCTTTGTTCTTTCTTAAGATTACATTGGCTATTCAGAGTCTTTTGTGGTTCCGTGTGAATTTTAGGATTGTCTTTTCTATATCTCTAAAAAATGTCACTGGGAGTTTGAGAGAGATTGTGTTGAACCTGTAGATCACTTCAGATAGTGTGGATATTTTAACAATATGAAATCTTTTAATACATAAACATAAGATTCCTATTTTTGACAATTACATAAATGTGGAAGTGGGGTAAGCATCCTTTGAATCTTTGTGCACATCTATGGTGATTTCCTTGGAATATTTTCAAATATTTCTATGCAAAAGTTAGATTCAATATGTGTGACGCCTTATTGGAAAAACAGGTAAAAGAGAAGGATCCCACTTCCCTCTTCAGCATTGTCTATCTCCTCCTAACTTCCCTCTGGCTAATTCTGTTATCTTTCCCCTTGCTCTCCCATGTGCCCAGTGCCCTCTGGCTCCCATACCCTTGGGTGGAGCTCAGATAACTGTGCCATGTAATGTGTCCTATGTGGGAGTGAGGATTTCTGGCAATAATGTGGAGGATGCTTACTCTCTCCTCCCTTCCTCCTCCTCCACCTAATTCTCATCATCAGCAGAAGAAAGATGTCCAGAAGGTACTGTTGTAGGGAGCAGCTCACAGAAGCCTCAAAATTAGCACAGAAACTCACAGGAGCCTCAAAATCAGCTGAATCAGAAGTCTAGGTGAAGGAAAAACACTGGCATTTTTTTTTCACACCTTGGTGTGTGATGTTTACAGAATAAAACACTTGCACTTTTATGTTTTCACTAATATTAAGAACAAGCTGAGATACATACACCTTTAAAAAGTATAAAAATATCATAATAATAGTAGTTGAAAACCACTTTCTTTTTCCTGTCTTTTCATGTATGTTATTGATTTAAGGGTGCTTAGTTCTTTAAATAGCAAACAATCATTTAACACGAGCCAAGCTGAATGTCATTTTCACATTTAAGCAAAAATAGAGTACTAAAAATATGCACAAACTCTAGTCACAGGAAAGATATTTGGGGTTTTGCTATGTGATAAAAATATAACATATTTGGAAATATATAATTAAACACATAATAGCAAAGATTTATCCCTGGAAGTTAAGATCAAACAAATGACCTTAAATATTTTCAAGCATTATACATTGATTAGTCTGGCTATAAAAATAAACATAATTTTCCTAGATTATAAAAAATGCTTAATAATTTTAAATTTGAGAGGACAAAAAAGATTAGTAAGAGAAACCCTATAAGGAACTGAATACACTCACAAGAGGGAGTAACAGCCAGTGCTTCAGGGCCGAAAGCGATTTCTCCCAGGCATCTTTAGAATATGCATTTGGGAAACCTAGAGGTTTGTATGAAAAACTACATTTAATGGCTTTTCTGTTATTTTCATACATGAAACTAAAGCCTTGCCAGAACCAAGCAACCAGATGACTGTAAACTTGTAGGGTGTCATGCTCTATAGGAGTGCACCTTTTCTTTGCTCATCAGCATATCATTCAGTATTAGGTGCCAGAACATAGAAAGTGAATCTGGAAGGTTTCTGTGTCCACTACGGTGCCCCTTCTCCGTCCTGTGGGAAATACATACTTTGTCCTCATAAACACATATGAAATAATCATATACAGAGCTCTGCTTCTAAGATTTAAGATTAGTCTGGATAAAATCTTTACATTTCATAATAGAACATTTTTATGTTACATTTTTGATTGACATTTATTTTAATACTGAATCCTCTTTATTTCTTACCTCTCAACACCTAGGCTTTCTGATTTAGAAAACTTTTCCATTCCCACTCAGCTGTAAAACTAAAACTAATAACAAAAATGTTGTTAGTCACCTGTTTCTCCCCATCACCAGGAAATGTTTAACACCCTCTCTTTTAAGCATTCACTAAGTGAGAGATGTGAACCCATTCTCTCCTTGATTCTTCTTAAAGAGTTTCAACAGAGAAATCAAACCAATTGCAGGGATTAAGTAAAATAATGAAGTTTTTATGTATGATTTATAAGTATCACAACCATCTTGGGTAGGAGGCATTATCATCACTCTAAGGTTACTGGTTGGATAAGCCAAAAAGTTTTAGTTACTTATCTTTATTCAAACACTTGAATGCTACAGGATTTGATACCTTCATCAACAATACTCAGATCTCTTCTCCAATAGAAAAGCACTTCCCCAAGCTGCCAAATGATTCTAAATATTACATATGAAGCTTTTTTTTGGTTTTGTTTTTAATCGACATATAATAATTACACATATTTATAGGGTATAGTATGATGTTTCTATGCATGTATAAATTGTATAATTAACAAATCAGGGTATTTAGCATATCTATCACCTCAAATATTTAATACTTCCTTGTGGCAAGAATATTGAAAGTCCTTTCTTTTAGTTATTTTGAAATACACCATACTTTTAACTATAGTCACCCTATGGTGCAAGAGAGCAAAATAATGTATTTCTCATATCTAACTGCAATTTTGTAGCCATTGACCAATCTCTTTCCACTCCCATTTCCACGACTCTCCTCAAACAACTCAATAGCAAAAGTAATAATAATCCAATTTTAAAATGTGCAAAAGACCTGAATAGACATTTCTCAAAAGAAGACGTATAAATGCCCAATAAGCATATGAAAAAAATGCTCAACATCACTACTCATCAGGGAAATGCAAATAAAAACCACAATGAGATATCATCTTAACGCAGCTATCCCAGGATCTTTAGATATTATGTACTATGGTACTCTGCCCTACTTACATTCACTGATGGTTGGGAGATAATACAACTTGGTCTAAGACATAGAAGCAGTTTGTACTTCACTTCTAATTCATTCTGTCCCGAAAGAGAAAGTCTTCCTTCTCCAGTTCTCATCCCTATCTCATTATCTCAAAGTAAATAAGAATATACTTTGTCTCCTGGTTGGTTTCAGTCTAAGGTTTAAGATGACTCCTTATCTTACTTTTCTTAGGATGTTTTAATATTTCTTCTAATGTATAATAATAATAATTAGCATTTATGAAGTACTTAGTATAGACTGGTACTGTTTTAAATGCTCTACATATATTAATACACTAAATCCTCACAATAACTCTATTAGGAGAGCAATATAGTAGCACCATTTTATGAGATGAGTAAGCTGGAGGAGCAGAAGTATCACACAGCATGCCCAATATCAACAGTTAATAGTATAAGAACCAGGGTTCAAAGCCAAGCAGTTTAATTTCAGAATTCCTGTTCTTAACCAAACACTCTGTTGCACTGCCATATACACCTCATTCCTTTATCCCAAAGACCTCCCCTCTGTTCCACTCCCAATGTTTTACATATTCTTTTTGTAAGGGACGTATCTCTTACCTTCTTCCTTATTGAAGGCATCTGATGCCTTTAAACAATAATTGAAATATTAAGAGTTTGACACTATTGAGCATGGGAGATAGAGTTGTGATTGCAAGAGCTGACCCCTATATTTCTCAACTTGAACCTGGGGGTCTTAGGTGGGCAGGGTCTTTATGGCAGTATAGTGGTATAAACCAGTCTGCTGCTCCTGTATCCTATACGTTTTATACCAATCTAGAAGTCTCAAGGTGAGAAGTGCTTGCATTCATGCCAATTCAACTGTTTTTTGTCTTCAAGCTTTTTCTTAGAGGTATATGATTCGTTACTACACAGCTAAAAAGCGGAAAAGGTTGGACTCCTCAGCAAATTAATATGCACATATTGGTGCTTGTGTACTAGAATTGGAGGCTTAAAAAGTCTAACATGATAATTTTGGTTTTTCAATTGCTGTTTGCAACCACCCTCTATTCAGCCCCCTCCCTTAATATCTTGAGCAGATTCTATATTTCCATTCACTTATAAAAAGTTGTGTCTAATCCAAAGTAGATTAAAACACCCATTTCCTATCAGATTTAAATATCTTAGGTCTCAGGGTTTTAAAGTGGAGAGAAGAGTAGCTCTTTTTTCCTCCTCCTTGCAGTCTAATGTCTTGGCATATGGAAGAGGTATACAGTTTCTGGGATCTTCCCCCTCACTCCCCATACCCACCTTCCCTTCCAAGGCCTCACTTCTCCCATGCTAGAACTGGAAAAAGAAGTTGGGGAAGCAGATGACATCTTCTGTAATTGGGTACCTGGAAAAGGCAGGCAGTATTTCCTGGCCACTCCTGGCTTGGTCTGGTTCTCTCTGCTGCTGTTTTGTAATTTTTACATGGATTGCATATGTAGTTCATCTTTATCCCGGCACTTTCCATTACGAAGGACACCCTCAGAGAGAGACAATATGATCTTCCTTGAGCCCTACATGTAACACAACTTGGAACCCAACCATGTCCCCTATCTAGTGGGGCCTCACCATGCTTGTCTACTTGGAAAATCCTTATACAAAGTGAAAAATTCCTTCATTTGTTTACTTTATGTGTGAATATTTGATATTGGATTTTCACAAAACAGAACACATCTATACTTTACTTGAAACTGTAATACGTTTTACTGCTAAATTCAATTTTATTAATTCTAAGAGCTGTAAATTTCTTTGTATTCAATGAATTTTAAACGTTGCAGAAAATCTATTACTATTCAAAAAGAAATAGTTTTTCATTTAGGCTTGCTACAAGTGTGTCCATTGTAGCATATGCAGAGAAAATCAGTCTGTAGTTTATTCTGCATTTGTCTATATGACTAAAGTTGAGGTCTCATTACTTGCAGAGCCAACATTCAATAACCTTTCATTTTGAGGGTGAAAGAAGTAAGATACAGCAATGATCTGCCTGTAAGTGCATGTCAACACTACTGCATATGGATAAACACATTTGAATTAGTATATAGGAAGATGGCCACTAAAATGCATTCTATGTCAAGTGGTGATGCATAAGCTTGACTTTTTAAGAAAATTCTACTTGACTGAGCTCACTGTGCCAATTGGATTTCATGGTGTGCCCTGAGTGTCTGTTGGTTTCAGCTTCCTTCTATCCTACATCCCTCTGCATTTTCAGCTCACATTGGTCTGCTATTCTCCTTTCTTGGCACACGATTTATAGCCTTCCCTCTTTCTCCTTTATCAATATTCCTTCCCACTATCTAGTTGTGAGGCTGTACCTCTCTGGCTCTCTCATGTTCCTAGAACATAAGTGAAACTTTGGTTCAAGGCAAACAGGAATGCACAGCATTGTACAACAAAACCCTTGTCTTTCTTGGAATAACCTGAAGTAAATAATTTGTATGAATATCCTACATAAGGAAATAAAACGTAATTCCCCATATGAAGTAAGAAACACATAGGCAAGACTAAATGAAAAATCTTCTTACCCAATTTGAAGAAATGGAATTTATCTGAATGTAATCATGTTCTAGGCTAAAATTATGAGGTGCTATGTGAAATTCCACACAAATGAACTTGGAAATAGATATTGTTTTACTTGGTGTTCTGCCCAGGATTTTGCCAAAATTTCAAAGAATTAACGGAATTTAACTTAATATTATGGCATGGCAGAGTTTAAAGAATGCTTCTCTTTATCCATTCCTATTTCTTTCCCTTCCAGAGGGGAAGACAGATGCAGAGTTACTGAGGATCATCTGAACAGTTTATGTTGGTGTCTCAGAGATATGTTACCTTCCCTACACTCAATCTTACTTCTCTGAATATGTGCTGTAGCGCACCATACTGATGGAAAATGCTCATTTCTCCCAGTTCCCAGAGGCCTTTTTAATTTCCTATCTCACCTTTTAAAAATAGCAAGAAATAAGACCATGATGCAGAACTCTTATTAGATGTTTTTCCAAATGCCTTGGGGTTCAATGATGGTAGTTGGAAGCCTGCCAGTGTAGAAAACTTACACTAGGTTATGTATGTTTGCCAGATACCTTGTGAAATCAGTTACCATTTAAAAGACGTTTTTTACTATGAATTCCTCCTTATCAATTCCCAGGCCTCTGACTTTCCAGACATTTTTCCAATGTCTGCCTTAGAGAACACTATACTGTTTACAACATTTCTATCCCACCTCCTGAACTCGTTTCATCAGACATCTCCTGCCCTAGGCATGACCTTGACATATAAGTGTCTTGTTCAGCCAATAAGTGTTTGACTGCATGGTTTGTATCCACCTCTGTGCCAAGAACTGTCACAAGATCCAAAGAACAACAAAAACAATCATAGAGCTTTCCGTTTATTTTAGATAGGTAAAACGAAAGCTTACAAGCTAATTGGAGAATTATTAAGAACTGAACTATGAGAATGAAGGCAGGTAAATATTACTGAAGAATAAAAGAGTCATCAGTTTATTTGAACACCTTTGAGGAAATTCACAGCTACAATAAGACATGATCTGCAGCCTGAAAGAATAAACAGACTGGTGAATGAGGAAACAGGAATGGGCATTCCAGATAGGGAGGCAAGCATGAGCTCAGTGGTTGAAATAATCTCTGAGTCTCATGGGAGTCCAACATACATATTAGTGCACAGGGAAGTAAGTGTGGAGGACAGGCAGAGTGCCCTGATCATGAAGGGTTATGTACTAGACGGTGGCATTTGGCACAAATGATTTTAAATAATTACTGCAATAGCCATATTCTTTTGGTCTCTCTCTCTCTCTGCAAAGCCAGGAAAGTTTCTTTGGTTTTAAAGATTCATGTGATTAGATTGTGCCTACCTAAATAATCCACAGGAATCCCCCCATCTCAAGATCCATAACCATAGTTATATCTGCAAAGTATCTTTTTCCACGAAAGGCAGTATAGCCATAGGTTTCATGCATTAATGTATGGACATCACCATAGGCCATTATTCTGACCATCACAAATTGTCCTCTAAAAATTTATTGAATCTCTGCATTTGCTTGTATTCCCCTCCTATTCTCCTGTGTAATGTATATACTTTTATATTATTTTATGATCATTTTACTGTGGTTCTGTGAGGAAAAGAAGCTAAATGAATGAGCTTAGTTTGGCATCTTGAATCAGAAGACTTTCCCCAGGAGTTTCTTTTGTTCATTATTTGAAAACCATTGTCATATAGTCTTGAGTAGGGAAATGACACAATAAAACTTTTTATTTTTAAAATACATTTTTAAAATTATCTAACATGTTCATCATTTTTATTGTTCTCGTATATCTTTATCATTTTAAAGTATTCTATACATGTTCAAATGCTGACACTCTTTTTTGTATTTGTGTGTGTGTGTGTGTGTATTTATATGTATGTGTCTATATGTGTATATTTCTATGGGGAGATTTTATGTTAAAGTGGTATCAGTTATTTTGCTAGAGAAAAAAAAACTTTCTTTCCAAATAACTTTCAAATTGAGGAAGAAATATGATTTGTCATAAAATATTTAGTCTAACCTTACAGTTTAATTATTTTAAATTTTTTAAAAGTTCTCATTGCATATTAAATTTCTCATTAGGAATGATGTATTTTCTGTAGTTCAGTAAAACTTCAAAATACTCTACATACCAAAAACTATTATCTCCCAAACTGTATTCCACAAAATTCTATATTCTTGTGTGAAGTGAGTAGCTCTTAGGAAAAAAAGCCATTCTGTGAGCAAATAATTTGGGAAAATGATTAATTGTACTACCTTTCTCTCTTAAATATTTTTAAAGTATATTAAGATAAATTATACAGCAAAACGAACATTTTTAAACCTTTGGTCAGCCCCAAATATTCTACATATATTTGATCATGTTTCTTTTTTTTTTTTTTTAATTTGAGGATTATCCCTTAACAGCTCATGGGAAACTATAGCTCAGAAACAGTTTGAAAGTGCTATTGTAGCCCATATCTCTAATCATTTTGTGCTAAATATTTTGGCTTTATTATACACAAATGTAATAAAGGGAATGATTACCCAGACAGTGTTACAATGAAAGGGAATTAGAACACGTGCTCCGAGGCATGCAGTCAAGCCCTCTGCTGTCCTTCCTCTGGTTCCCTCACTAGCTGACATTAGTGGGTTGTCATCGCTTTCCTGAGTCGTGCATCTGAGAGCTCAGCATGGACTTCTGCAAGTTTGTTGAGATTACTCTATGGCCAACAGCCCATTTCCCCTATTCATTCTGCTCTTCTCTTCTAAGGATGCTAACACAGTGTTAAGATATAAGACACATCAGGAGAAAGAATGTAGTAGGGCACAAAATGCTTTCTTCAGCTCAACTCTCATCTGTAGACATCACTTCATTTGACTCAGTGAGAATACACATTATCCTCTCTCCCAAGTGACCTTGTGAAGAGGGTTCAAAGTCAGTTTAGTAGGTATTTATTTGCACCTCTCCTTCTTTCAGAAAATACTTCAAGATATTTTCAAAAATGTGTAAATTGTAACAATATGTTAACATGTTAATCTAACCTACATACTTACCATTCTTAGGCCCTTATTTTGTGCTATATTTTCCAGAGACCAAGTGCAAACAAGGAATCTTTGTCAGTTAACAAGTGTCACAATATCCACTGGATTAAAAAATATATATATCAATTGCTTAAGAGAATTACAACTATTCTTTGTACTAGAATCAGGCACAATTTTATCTGGGGGCTTTGTAAAGAGAGCTCTTTGATGTTTAGTCAACAGCATTCTACAAACTCAAAAAATTCCATAGAGATGTTTTGCATAACATTGTCAATAAAAATTGATGTCTTCTCACCTAAGCATAATTTAGTAATAATAATAATAATAGTGTGTGGGTTTTGGTAACAATAATAATTTGTGTGTGTGTGTGTGTGTGTGTAGGGGCATAGCTTTAACTTAATACTAATTAGGTGGTCAGCTCTTGGCTGACCTTGAAGAGAGTTGAATTCTCAGCACCCAACCCATTGCCCTGAATGTAGCAAATGCCAATAAATCTTGGTTGAAAGTGATAATTATTCTTCAAAGGGAGCACATAGGAAAATATGTATGTGAATGGTTTTTCTATAGAGCTCACACAATTATTTTGTTCTACAAACTACAGCTGTCCTGAAGCCTAGACCTGTGAGAATGGAAGAAAAGTATGTCTGGTGGCCAAGTTATGAGATGAAAGATTGCTCCTCAGTTTGGGCCAGCCCATATTTAATAATTGCAGTTTCCAAAGCACAAAGTTAATTTTTAAAATATATCTCTAAAATATATCTCTAAGATGGGTCTTCAGATTTACCCATCTCCCAAGTTTAATTCTGTTTATTGCTGATAGATGTAATATTCCTACATGGTAGGAACTCATACATAAAGAAACTGAGATTCAGAATAGTTAAGCGTATTGATGTAATTCATTAAGCTAGCAAGTGGCAGAGGTGGAACTTGAACCCAACTCTGTCTTACTTCACATTTCATGATTATAATCTACTGTTTTGTGCTGAAAAAGAGCCTGTAGGGCTTGAACTTTACGTTTTCCCTTACAAAGAAAGAGCAGGAAAGGACACTGCAGACAGAAGGAGCCATTAAAACTTCACAGTCAATAATTCTGGAAATTCAGATATTTTAAGTCTGCTCTGATGCTCCAGGGGTCTCAAACCTTATTTCAGCTGTCATGTGAGTTGACCTTTCTCAATGCCAGCTTTTGTGTCATGCTTCAAGGACAACAAGTCTGATGTACCTTTTGAATCCCAGGGACACTGACTTTCACAGGAAGTAGCTACGTCTTTTCATTTATTTTGTGTGCTCTTGAGTGGTATTTAAGTTGACAGCCAAGTCCTCAGTCTTCTTCTCAAGGGATTATAGGTGTTGAACTACTTTCATCTTTCGCTGTGCATTTTCTTTAACTGATAAAGGATCAAGAAGTATGTGAATCCTCCTCTCTCCCCAGTCATCCCCTAGCATTCTCGGTGACATGTTAGTTGGAAAATCACACTCCCACAGTGGTGGTTAGATAATTGAAATTCATTCCAGCAGGGAGAAAATAAGTTCTGGAGGCTTATTTCTTTGCAGATTCTTTATTAGGATTTTGAAACTGCATCTTCACTAGTCAAATTGCAGAGAATTAGAGGAGGGGAATGGGGACCCCTGGAATTTTCCAAAGTGAGATGAATACAACCAAATTCTGTACTTCTGAGATGGCCTGCATACACTACACATATCCCTCTGGTATGGTGTTCTTTAGATGTTCTTTTTGATGCCAAGCCCTCCTGCAAAGCATCTTTAGCAAACACTATTTGAGGTTTAGATGTATTGTGTTCATATTAATGTGAGCGCTTATGGAACATTCTTTTTTTTTTTTTTTTTTTGTACTCTAAGCAGGCTGACAACCACATTACCCTCTTCTTCACTGTTTCCTACATAATTATGTCAGGCACACATTTTAACAGGATGTATTTGTCAATGAAGATGATCTATCTCTTTTTTTTTGTAAGAAAGCTGGCTTAAAAGAATATGATCTCTTCTGACAAACATAAGGCTAACATTAGCTGGAAAGAGAATGTCTCATTTTAAAGTCTGATTTTCTGATTCCTTGAATATAGTAAACATAGAATTAAGTCTACACTCACAATGTTAAAAGAATTTGAGAAATATGAAAGGTATAAAGACATTGTTAATATTCTTTGTGTCTGCATATGATGGCCCTGGGACAGTAAAGGGATCATAAAAAGAAAGAAAATAGGTAAAAGAGGTCTGCAGTATAAACTGGTAAGTTTGTAAAATCTATGAGGTACATGTTAAGTATCAGTTTCTATTCCTCATAATTTTTAGCTATAACTAAGATTCATAAAAGAATGATAAATGACATGTAATAGGAGATGGATTTTAATAAAGAGAAAATGTTTGTAGCACCAGGGGTATAAATAAAGTTAATATAGAATAATAGCGTATTTATATATAAGGCAAGATGTAATGGAAGGGACTAATAAATGAAGTCTTTCTGATATTTGGATTACTTCACAGGCTTATGTTTGCAAAATTAGAAACCAAGAATCTGATTGATTCAAATATATTATAGTAAGATTCAGACATTATCCAGAAAAAAAATTCTCATAAATCTGCATTAACTTTTTATCCTTGACTTTTATATCATATATAGTTAACTGGGTTGCTAAAATTCCATGACATCACTGAGAAAGTGGCAAGGCAATCAGAACTTTTTAAGTGTACATGCCTG
Organism: Homo sapiens; assembly: GCF_000001405.40. Lineage (NCBI taxonomy): Eukaryota > Metazoa > Chordata > Mammalia > Primates > Hominidae > Homo > Homo sapiens. The sequence goes on from NC_000006.12 coordinate 78,223,713, forward strand.
ACATTCAATTAAAAAATTAACAGGCATATTAAGAAACAAGGTAAAGAGAAAAATCAGATAATAGAAATAGTAATTAGTTTAGATAATCCAAATATTGCATTTACTAGATATGGACTTTGAGTGAACTATGATTAATATGTTTAAGAAAACACATACTAAACTGAAGTAACTGGCCAGAGAACTGAAAAACATAAAGCAGAATAAAGTAGAAAACCTAAAACTTATAAAGGCATTGGCAGAAAATTAAAAATCAATGTAATGATTTATTACAGTTGATAAGACACAGCCGAAAAATAAGAATTAGTGAACTGAAAGATACGTCACTAGAAAATATTCAGACTGATGTGTAGAAAGTAAAATAATGGAAAGTATATAAAAGGAATAAAGTATATACGAGGCACAGTGAGAAGGCCTGACACACATGTAGATAGAATTCTGAGACATATACACACACACAGAAAGAGAGAGAGTGTGTGTGTGTTTTGAGGAAGATATTATTTGAAGAGACAGTGAATGTAAATTTTTCAAAATGAACAGAAAAAAATAGATCAGAGATTCAAGAACTGTTGTGAACCCCTAGCAGGATAAATAGTAAAATGTTAAAAAAAAAAAAAACTTTTAAAGATAATATCTTATAAACTACACTTAATAACAACAGATCAGCCAAAAACGACTACTGTCAGCAGAAGAAATGGAAGCTGTTAAACTGTACACCTTTAACATGTCAAAAGAAAATCACCGTCAACCTAAAATGATATGCCCTGTGAAACTGTCTTTCAAAAAATAAGGCAATCAAAAACAGAAAAAAATTAACTGACAAAGTGATTTTTCAGTAGAAAGAAAATAATGTTAATTGAATCTCAGAATTATAGAAAAATGGAGAATAATAGGAAGTTTAACTATGTGAGTAAATGGAAGAGATAATTCACTGTTTACAGAATAATAATAAAACTTGCAGACAAATATATATGTAGAATAAAAATGCATGGTAACAATGGCATAAAAGATGAGAGGAGAATAAATGGAGTTTAAAGTTTGAAGGTCCAAAAATTGTCAGAAAATGGAAAAATGCTAATTTACATTTAATATTAATAAGTTAATGATGGATATTATAATTGGTAGGATAATACCAAGAGAACAAAAAAAGAATACTTAACTAAAAAGATAAAATAATAATGAATAGAATAATAAAACATACTTGAAGACCACTGGTTCCAGCAACAATGGAATAACTAGTATCAGACTCATCCTTCCACTATAAACTACTATTACAGCTATAAAAGAAATATTTAAAAAAATGTTTTCAGTAAAAGGATAGCAAACATGAGGCTATAAAAATTTTTAAATTTGTATACATTTAAGAAGCACATGTGCAGTTTGGTTACACAGATATATTGTGTAGTGATAAAGTCTGGGCTTTTAGTACATCCATCACCCAAATAGTGTACATGGTACTGTTGAGTAATTTCTCATCCCTCATTCCCCTTCTACTCGCTCACCTTTCAGAGTCTCCAAAGTCTATCATTCCACACTCAGTGTTTATGTCTGCACATGATTTACTTCCCACTTATAAGTGAGAATATGTGGTATTTGACTTTAAGCTTTTGAGTTATTTCACTTAACTTAATGACCTCCAGTTCCATCCATGTTGCTTCAAAAGATGTGATTTCTTTCTCATTTATGGTCTATATATATAGTCTGTATATGGTCTATATATATATATATATATATATAAACATTTTATTTATCTAATAATCTGTTGATGGACACTTAAGTGTTCTCTATCTTTGTTATTGTGAACACTGCAGCAAGAAACACATAAGTGCAGGTTTTCTTTTTACATAATGGTTTCTTTTCCACTGGGTAGATACACAGTAGTGGGACTGCTGTATGGAATGGCAGTTATATTTTTAGTTTTTTGAGAACTCTCTATACCGTTTTACACAGAGGTTGTACTAATTTACATTCCTGCAATATATAAGAGTTCCCCTTTCTCTGCATTCTCACCAATATTTGTTATTCTTTTACTTTAGTAATACCCATTCTGACTGGAATAAAATAAATCTCATTGTGGTTTTAATTTTCATTTCCCTGATGATTAGTGATGTTGAGCATTTTTTTCATATGTCTGTTGGACATTTATATGTCTTCTTCTAAAAACGTCTATTCATGTCCTTTGCCTACTTTCTAATGGGATTATTTTTTCTTGAGTTCTTTGTAAATTCTGGATATTAATTCCCTGTCAGATGAACTGTTTGCAAATATTTTCTCTCATTCTTCCAGTTGTCTGTTTTCTTTGGCTGTGCAGAAGCTTTTTCATTTAATTAAATTTCTTTTGCTGTGCAGAAGCTTTTTAGTTTAATTAAATTCGATTTGCCTATTTTTGTTTTTGTTGCTTGTGCTTTTGAGGTCTTGTTAATGCATTATTGGCCTAGACCAATATCTGTAAGTTTTCTTTAGGTGTTCTTCTAGTATTTTTAGAGTTGAGGGTCTCATATTTAAGTATTTAATCAATGAGTTCTTTTTTATTATTATACTTTAAGTTTTAGGGTACATGTGCACAATGTGCAGGTTAGTTACATATGTATACATGTGCCATGCTGGTGTACTGCACCCATTAACTCGTCATTTAGCATTAGGTATATCTCCTAATGCTATCCCTCCCCCCTCCCCCCACCCCACAACAGTCCCCGGAGTGTGATGTTCCCCTTCCTGTGTCCATGTGTTCTCATTGTTCAATTCCCACCTATGAGTGAGAATACGTGGTGTTTGGTTTTTTGTTCTTGCGATAGTTTACTGAGAATGATGATTTCCAATTTCATCCATGTCCCTATAAAGGACATGAACTCATCATTTTTTATGGCTGCATAGTATTCCATGGTGTATATGTGCCACATTTTCTTAATCCAGTCTATCATTTTTGGACATTTGGGTTGGGAAAAGACCAAATCTACGTCTGATTGGTGTACCTGAAAGTGAGGGGAGAATGGAACCAAGTTGGAAAACACTCTGCAGGATATTATCCAGGAGAACTTCTCCAATCTAGCAAGGCAGGCCAACATTCAGATTCAGGAAATAAAGAGAATGCCACAAAGATACTCCTCGAGAAGAGCAACTCCAAGACACATAATTGTCAGTTCACCAAAGTTGAAATGAAGGAAAAAAATGTTAAGGGCAGCCAGAGAGAAAGGTCGGGTTACTCACAAAGGGAAGCCCATCAGACTAACAGCGGATCTCTCAGCAGAAACTCTACAAACCAGAAGAGAGTGGGGGCCAATATTCAACATTCTTAAAGAAAAGAATTTTGAACCCAGAATTTCATATCCAGCCAAACTAAGCTTCATAAGTGAAGGAGAAATAAAATCCTTTACAGACAAGCAAATGCTGAGAGATTTTGTCACCACCATGCCTGCCCTAAAAGAGCTCCTGAAGGAAGCACTAAACATGGAAAGGAACAAGCGGTACCAGCCACTGCAAAATCATGTGAAATTGTAAAGACCATCAAGACTAGGAGGAAACTGCATCAACTAACGAGCAAAATAACCAGCTAGCATCATAATGACAGGATCAAATTCACACATAACAATATTAACTTTAAATGTAAATGGACTAAATGCTCCAATTAAAAGACACAGACTGGCAAATTGGATAAAGACTCAAGACCCATCAGTGTGCTGTATTCAGGAAACCCATCTCACATGCAGAGACACACATAGGCTCAAAATAAAAGGATGGAGGAAGACCTACCAAGCAAATGGAAAACAAAAAAAAGGCAGGGGTTGCAAACCTAGTATCAGATAAAACAGACTTTAAACCAACAAAGATCAAAAGAGACAAAGAAGGCCATTACATAATGGTAAAGGGATCAATTCAACAAGAAGAGCTAACTATCCTAAATATATATGCACCCAATACAGGAGCACCCAGATTCATAAAGCAAGTCCTGAGTGACATACAAAGAGACTTAGACTCCCACACAATAATAATGGGAGACTTTACCACCCCCCTGTCAAAGTTAGACAGATCAACAAGGCAGAAAGTTAACAAGGATACCCAGGAATGGAACTCAGCTCTGCACCAAGCAGACCTAATAGACATCTACAGAACTCTCCACCCCAAATCAACAGAATATACATTTTTTTCAGCACCACACCACACCTATTCCAAAATTGACCACATACTTGGAAGTAAAGCACTCCTCAGCAAATGTAAAAGATCAGAAATTGTAACAAACTGTCTCTCAGACCACAGTGCAATCAAACTAGAACTCAGGATTAAGAAACTCACTCAAAACCGCTCAACTACATGGAAACTGAACAACTTGCTCCTGAATGACTACTGGCTACATAACGAAATGAAGGCAGAAATAAAGATGTTCTTTGAAACCAACAAAAACAAAGACACAACATACCAGAATCTCTGGGACACATTCAAAGCAGTGTGTAGAGGGAAATTTATAGCACTAAATGCCCACAAGAGAAAGCAGGAAAGATCCAAAATTGACACCCTAACATCACAATTAAAGGAACTAGAAAAGCAAGAGCAAACACATTCAAAAGCTAGCAGAAGGCAAGAAATAACTAAAATCAGAGCAGAACTGAAGGAAATAGAGACACAAAAAACCCTTCAAAAAATTAATGAATCCAGGAGCTGGCTTTTTGAAAGGATCAACAAAATTGATAGACTGCTAGCAAGACTAATAAAGAAGAAAGAGAGAAGAATCAAATAGATGCAATAAAAAATGATAAAGGGGATATCACCACCTATCCCACAGAAATGCAAACTACCATCAGAGAATACTACAAACACCTCTACGCAAATATACTAGAAAATCTAGAAGAAATGGACAAATAATTCTTTAATTTCCATCTTGATTTCATTGTTGACCTAATGAAATTGAGAAGCAAGTTATTTAATTTTCATGTATTTGCATGATTTTGAAGGCTCCTTTTGGAGATGATTTCCAATTTTATTTCACTGTGGTCTGAGATAATACTTGATATAATTTCAATCTTCTAAAATTTATTGAGACTTGTTTTATGGCCTACCATATGGTCTATCTTGGAGAAACTTCCATGCACTGATGAATGTAATGTATATTCTGTGGTTGTTGAGTAGAATTTCTGTAAATATCTGTTAACTCCGTTTGTTCTAGGGTATAGTTTAAATCCATTGTTTCTTTGTTGATTTTCTGTCTCGATAACCTGTCTGGTGCTGTCAGTGGAATACTGAAGCGCTTCACTATTATTGTGTTGCTGTCTTTCTCATTTCTTATCTCTAGTAGTAATTGTTTTATAAATTTGGCAACTCCAGTGTTAGGTGCATATATATTTATGATTGTGATATTTTCCTATTGGACAAGGCCTTTTATCATTATATAATGTCCCTCTGTTTTCTTAAACTTCTGTTGCTTTAAAGTTTGTTTTGTCTGATATAATAGCTACTCCTGCTTACTTTTGGTGTCCATTTGCATGGAATGTCTTTTTCCACCCTGTTACCTTAAGTTTATGTGAGTCCTTATGGTTAGGTGAGTCTCTTGAAGGCAGCAGATATTTCATTGGTGAATTCTTACCCATTCTGCAAATCTGTATCTTTTTAGTGGAGCATTTAGGCCATTTACATTCAATGTTAGTATTGAGATGTGAGGTACTATTCCATTCATAATACTCTTTGTTGCCTGAATACCTTGGGTTTTTAACATTTATTTATTTATTGTATTTTTTTATAGGTCCTGTGGGATTCATGCTTTAAAAAGGTTCAGTTTTGATATGTTTCCAGGATTTGTTTCAAGATTTAGAGTATCTTTTAGCAGTTCTTGTAGTGCTGGCTTTGTAGTGATGAATTTTCTCAGCATTTGTTTGTCTGAAAAAGACTGTATCTTACCTTCATTTATGAAGCTTAGATTCGGTGGATACAAAACTCTTGGCTGATAATTGTTTTGTTTAAGGAGGCTAAAGATAGGGTCCCAATCCCTTCTAGCTTGTACAGTTTCTGCTGAGAAATCTGCTGTTAATCTGATAGGTTTTTCTTTACAGGTTACCTGGTACTTTTGCCTCACAGCTCTTAAGATTCTTTCCTTTGTCTTGACTTAGGTAGCCTGATGACTATGTGCCTAGGCGATGATCATTTTGTGATGAATTTCCCAGATGTTCTTTGAGCTCTTTGTATTTGGATGTCTAGATCTCTAGCAAGGCCAGGGAAGTTTTCCTCAATTATTCCCTCCAATATATTTTCCAAACTTTTAGATTTCTCTTCTTTCTCAGTAACACCAATTATTCTTAGGTTTGATTGTTTAACATAATCCCAAACTCCTTGGAGGCTTTTTTCATTTTTAAAATTCTTGTTTCTTTGTCTTTGTTGGATTGGGTTAATTTGAAAACCTCGTCTTTGAGCTCTGAATTTCTTTCTTATGTTTGTTCGATTCTGTTGCTATTTCCTTCATTTCCCAAAGTTGTGATTGTTTTCTATTTATGCTGTCTATTTCACTGAAGATTTCTCTTCTCATATCTTGTATCTTTTTTTTTTAATTTCCTTAAGATAGACTTTTTTTATTTCCTTAAGTTGAACTTCACCTTTCTCTGGTGCTTCATCAATTAGCTTAATAATTGACTTTCTGAATCCTTTTTCTGGCAATTCAGAGATTTCTTCTTGTTTGGATCCTTTGCTGGTGAGCTAGTTTGATTTTTTTAGGGGTGTTAAAGAACCTCATTTTGTCATATTATCAGAATTGTTTTTCTGGTTCCTTCTCATTTGGGTAGACTACGTCAGAGGGAAGATGTGGGGCCCAAGGCTTCTGTTCATTGTCTTTTGTTCAACAAGGTGCTCCCTTGATGTAGTACTCTCCCTATTTTCCTAGGGATGTGGTTTCCTGAGAGCTGAACTGTAGGGATTGTTACTTCTCTTCTGAATCTAACTACCCAGCAGGGCTACTAGGCTCAAGGCTAGTACTGGGGGCTGTCTGCAGAGAGCCCTGTGATGTGAACCATCTTCAGATCTCTCACCTCCCCTACTCTGCTAGAGGTGGCAGGGGAGTGAAATGGACTCTGTGAGGGTCCTTAATTGTAGCTGTTTAAGGTACTAGTTTTGTGCTAGTTGGCCTCCTGCCAGGAGGTGGCACTTTCAAGAGAGCATCAGCTATGGTAGTATGGGGAGGAACAGGCAATGGGTGGGGCCCTAGAACTCCCAAGGGAATATAACCTTTGTCTTCAGCTACCAGGGTGGGTAGACAAAGACCATCAGGTAAGGGCAGGGTTAAGTGCATCTGAGCTCAAGACTCTCCTTGGCGAGTCTTGCTGCAGCTTCTGTGGGGGATGCGGGTGTGGTTCCCAGGTCAATGGAGTTATATTCCCAGGAGGATTATGGCTGGCTCTGCTGAGTCATGGAGGTTGTCAAGTAGGTGGGGGAAAGTTGGCAGTTACAGGCCTCCCCCAGCTCCCACACAATCCAAAAGCCCGGTTTCATGCCCACTGTACCCTCCAAACAGCACCAAGTTTGTTTCCAGGCAGTAGGTAAGCAGGACTGAGAATTTGCCCCAGGCTACCAGTCTCCCAGCTGAGAAAGCAAGCAGAGCTTTCCTGCCTCCTTGCCTGTGGACTCTGCACACCAGATTCATGCCCTCCCCTGAGTTCTGGCCAGAACACTTTGCATTCAGTTGGAATTGTTACGAAGTTCAGCTGGTGGTTTCCTTCTCCCTGTGGTCTTTTCCCAGTTCCTCTGGCAGCCCCTCCCCAAGGACCTCTATGAGACAGTCAGAAGTGGCTTCCCTGGGGACCCAGAGAGCCCACAGGGCTTTACCTGCAGCTTTTTCTACCCTTGTATTTTTTTTATATATTTATTTATTTATTTTTAATTTTATTATTATTATACTTTAAGTTTTAGGGTACATGTGCACAACGTGCAGGTTTGTTACATATGTATACATGTGCCATGTTGGTGCGCTGCACCCATTAACTCATCATTTAGCTTTAGGTATATCTCCTAATGCTATCCCTCCCCCCTCCCCCTGCCCCACAACAGTCCCTGGTGTGTGATGTTCCCCTTCCTGTGTCCATGTGTTTTTATTGTTCAATTCCCACCTATGAGTGAGAACAGGCGGTGTTTGGTTTTTTGTCCTTGCGATAGTTTGCTGAGAATGATCGTTTCCAGTTTCATCCATGTCCCTACAAAGGACATGAACTCATCATTTTTTATGGCTGCATAGTATTCCATGGTGTATATGTGCCACATTTTCTTAATCCAATCTATTGTTGCTAGACATTTAGGTTGTTGCTCGGCTCTCTAAATTATCTCAGCTCCAGGTAAGATAAAATCCTTCTCCTGTGATCTGACTTTCAGGTTCCCCAGTGAGAGTGTGTGTTCAGAGATGGACAATCACCCTTTCCCAGTTTCACTGTTTGGACACTCACAGTATTTAGGCTGTCTCCTGGGTCCTCCAGGAGCAAACCACTCCTCCAAAGCGTCTGTAGATTCTCTCAGCTGTCCTAGTATATTCCTGGCAGGTAGTTCTTAGAGAAAGTGTTCACAATGTGAGACTCCACATGCTCCTCTTTCTGTCCAAGTGGGAGTGTAATTTATTCCTGCCTCCTATCCCTATTTTTTTTTTTTTTTTTGAGATGGAGTCTTGCTCTATCTGCCCAGGCTGGAGTGCAGTGGCACCATCTCAGCTCACTGCAACCTCTACCTCCATAGCTCAAGCGCTTCTCCTGCCTCAGCCTCCTGAGTAGCTGGGATTACAAGTTTGTGCCACCATGCTTGGCTAATTTTTGTGTTTTCAGTATAGACAGTGTTTCACCATGTTGGCCAGGCTGATCTCAAACTCCTGACCTCAAGTGATCCACCCACCTCAGCCTCCCAACATGCTGAGATTACAGGGGTGAGCCACCGTACCTGGTATGGAGCTAGTTTTAAGTATGTTTAATCAACCAATGACAACTCACTTCAGTAAATATGGTTTTATGAAGTAACCAAATATGGTTCTGTGAAGTAACCAAACAGCAAAAGCCCTTCACATCTGAAAGTCAGCCAATCAGGTAAAGACCCAATGACCACGCATCTGAGTGCCAGGCAATCAACAACAGTCATATACAAATAACCACATAACTACAGTGATGTTAAATTACTCCATGTTCTCTGAAAATCTGCTAGTCATTGAACTTCATCATTTTCCAAAACTCTATAGAAGATTAGCATTCTTCTCTGCTTAGAGACACTGTGCCTGGCTTATACCTCCATCAAACTCTGTGGCCCCTCTTACATTCATATCAGGAGCTCCTAAGCCACCGATATGATGTCAGTGGGATCCACAGAACCCAATTTGAAAACATATGGTGTATACATTATGACAGTGCACTGAAAAAGATTGTTTAAGATTCTACAAGTAATCATATTTTGTCAAGTTTGGTGAGGTTTAAAAAGCATAAACTAAAATATCAGACAGCAGTGGCATATAAGTTGGGGAAGGGGTCAAAATTCAGCAACCTAAATCTTAGATTATTTAAGTTGGAGATATTAATTTCTTAAATTTGTCTGCATGTTAAAAAAAATTCAAAGGCAATCATTAAGTAAACGACATAAAATGTGTAACTTCCATTCCAGAAAAAGAGAAACAAAGCAACAAAATAATCTGGATAATCCAATACGAGGAAGGAAAGGAAAAAAAAAAAAAGAAGCAAAGAAATGTATTATCAGTGATGTTCTAGAGCCAGCTTATAGTCTTTCAGCAGCTTTCAAGAGCTGCTATGCACATCTCTTTTCATCTTTTCAAATCTACTTCAGTTACTTCATGTCGGTTGCTTGAATTCTGCCATCTTGACAGTATTTACATCAAGGAAATAATCAAATGCTACAAATTAATAATCAAATGCTTTTGTTTCAGAGAGCCTGTGTTTTGTATTTGTTTAGAAGATATCCACATAAAAATAGTAGAGTTGAAAAAATATGAACTTGATGTTGAGAACTAGTGACACTGAGCAGAGACAATTCTTATAAGGAGGTAGCTTCAATTGCGTAGTTGTTACAGAGTGGCATAGGGCCAAGGAGAAGTTGTTTTATAATAAGGGGAAAAGCCTGAGCATGTTTACATGTAGAAGAGAGGGACCTAGCAGAAAAATAAAGCACACTTATGATACTGAAGAAAGAGAACAGAATTGATAAACAGGGCCTTGATGCATTGACTGAATTAAGAACACAAATGAGAAGAAAAGAACAGAACACAACTGTTATGTAATGGGAGGAGAGGTTGAATGCAGAAGGTTGGTGTTTCTAGCAAATATGGGTATAAGGCAAAGTCCAATGTAAAACTCCCCATATTTAGTACAACCACATCCTCACATTTCTGCTTCCAACAAAATTTGGGCTAGCCAAGCAACAGCAGCTTTTAAGATGAGATAGAATAAAGGTCTTGAAAGAACAGAGTGTGGATACTTTACTGCCATAGGAAACCACAGATGTTATCTTGATGTCCAAGGCAGCTGCAGAACTAACAGCATGGGCAAAAATTGCATCCCCTGGGAACCTACCTTTACTGTTTCTCCCTTTATCATATTCTCATTTTTTTTCTCTCTCTCTTGTTCCCAACCCTCTCCTATGGAACACTCTGCATCAATTTTCACGTGAGGATCACATCTGCACTGAAGTCACTAGGACAGGCAGAGGTTGCTGCAGTTGCATTGATGGCTCTCGTCCTTAATGACACTTTTTTTTTCTCATCAAGATGGAGGCATAATGATCTTGAAGCAGCAAAGGGATCAATTAAGATCCTGATCCCACTTCCCATCCTTCTATTCAGGCTGGGGTGATGGGATTTAGAGGAAGCATTGAGCATAGGAGAGATCCAGATTTTATTAGAGAAAATAAATGGAGGTCATATTCAGAGAATGGTTGAGGATTAGAGGTGTCAAAGAACTCAGCTGAAATATTCAAGAGAGAGGAGAAAACAATTATTTGAGGGAAAAAGGAAGCACATTACCAGAGTAAAGCAGGAATTAGTGGAAGGGAGAAAAGACTCCAGAGACTTTTTTTCTTGGATACTAATCAAAGGAGGATAGATGTGAGATACTGCATTTTTCTCTCACTACTAAATGATAAGATAGCGGAAGAAGGGATTTGGTATGTATTGCTAGGTTCTCGAGATAGCACTGGGAAAACTGAAAACATTCTCTAAGAACTCCTAAAGAATGTGGTCCCTAGTCTAGAGTTGTGATCTCCTTTTCACATGATTAAAGTTTTTGCTTGCATTCTACTGTTAGAGTGATTTTCCCCATAATACAAGTATTTGACACACTGGGGAGGCTGTTAGAAATAATTTAATGTAACAGCTTAATGTCCTTCTTGATTTCTGAAAGATATGTGAATATAATTATGGAATATTTTTCTTGATCCAAACAGGAAATGACCAAATAGATTGGGGTGACACCACTTAAAGAGGAAAATCTTGCAATTATTCTCCTTTATTGAGGCAAAAGCCGTTACCCACCCATCTCCTTTTCAAGGAAAATGTTGCCTAGGATTTGGGACTCCAGATACTAGAAGAGTTAGGAAGGGTATCCAATCACTATGGCCTTCACTGTTTGACTGTAAAATGAGGATGTTGGGCTGGATGATCTCAAAATACCTTGTCACCTCTAGAATCACAGTGATTCTCTGTGACCATGTGCCCCTGTATAATGAGGGCAATCATCCTAAACCTTCTTAAGAGAGAAGTTATTCTTGGCGTGAACCCGGGAGGTGGAGCTTGCAGTGAGCCAAGATTGCGCCACTGCACTCCAGCCTGGGCTACAGAGTGAGACTCCGTCTCAATAAAAACAAACAAACAAAAAAGAAAGAAGTTATTCTTAAGAGAGATGACTCATAAACTAACTGCTTCCTCACAAAACAGCTGCTGGCTAGACATTAGAAAAAAACTTTAAGTTAATTCATAGAACTTTAGAGCTAGAATAGACCAGTACTAGCCTGCAACCTGCCTCTTACAGGTGAGAATATAGTCCCAGATTGAGTTAATGACTTGCTTAAAGGAACACACTGATTAGTAGTGCAATTTAGCTTTTTGCTCATGGGCTATAGCATTTAAAACTTGCCTCTGATATACATATTCGGTGAGCTAAACTGAACTGCTTTTTAAAAAGCTTGTACACTTTTTATATAATTTCTATTTCATAGAGATTTAAATAGAAAACAAGATTTTTAATAAGGAGATTTAAAGAGGCTTCATCACAGCAGCAGTACATAACATTCAATCTCCTACAGTAGGTTTTTACCAGTTTATTTCTCATCACACACAGGAGTTCATTAGCTTGGGTGAGAAAATGACTTCTATATTCAATTAAAGCTCACTGTCCATCTCATTTTAAATGGGATTGTAATAGAAAATATTGTACCAGGTAAAACTTCAGGCCAATTCTGTGCAGATTGCAGTCAAATTGAGTATGTTTGAGGGGCCATAAAATTTATAATTAAGCTTATGAAATATAGATGGTTTCTGATAGGGATGCTTCACAACAATTGATTGCTTTATAAGCCATAATAATTTGGAATAGGAAATAGAATAACCTCATAATTAAGTATTGCTTCTTTTCAACCTGAAAGTAGTGATTAAAGGACTACTCTGATTTTATAATTCTCTGAAATATTTAGATTTGTAGGCAATGGTGAAATGCTTTTTGATGCATCTTCTGAAATATAAAGTGTACAAAGCAAAGTGTAATCACATCCAAGAAGAACAAGCTGCATCTTTTCTTTTAGAATATTTTGTGTTTGTCTCCAGTAGCATTTTAATTTTATTTTAGTCTCGTGGACTGCTCTAGCTGGGACACTGTTTGCAATGTAAGGAATTTAAGATTTTAATTTTGTTCATGACAAAAAAATGGCATTTAACTGATGGCCTTTGATAATCAGAGTAGAAAAGAGTGGCCATACTGAAAAATAAATCACTAATCACTTCATTTAGGAAAACACTCCTGAAGCAAAGCTATAGCAAGGTAGAAAGTGAATATAAATCAATAAAATATTATGTGAAGTTTAGCTTTTAGGGAAGAGAAAATAGGTAACTTTCACTGTCTATGGTATAGATTTTACAGTAAACAATAATAGCACATCTAAGGAGGCACCACTTACGTTCAGGTACGTATATGTACATTGTACACATTGTAAGTGTGTACATTTATTGCAATTTTCCTAATATATATTTTTGAAAAGGAACACTAGTTGTAATCCAATTTTTTTTTTTACAGTTTGAAAGTTCCAAACCATTTTTACAATCAACTTCAATCTCTGTGTATAGGGTGAGAGGGGGTATGCATATGTGTCTGTGTGTCAGTGTTTCTTTTAGCCTTATGTTACCTATTACCTCAACACAATTTTTAAAATAAGAACGTTAAATACTATAGAAGTTAAGCGAGTTAATCTATCATTAACTGGGATACCACAGCAAACATCAACCCCAATCATATTTTAAATAAAACTTCAAAACAACTCCTTGAAACAAGCACTGTAGAGTTAATGAAATGAAAATCTATACATATAAACTGCAGAAAACAACATTTTGCATTATTATTTTAACGTTTAAAATATAGAAACTATAGTATATTATTTTCATTCAGAGAACTGTTCATGGGTTAACACAATTTTTCAAAGAAGAAAAATAAAAGTGAATCTGAACTCTGTCATTTAGACCAAAAATGTTTTAAAGAAATGTCTTATTGAAGTCCACAGTGAGTTCTAGAAGTAGAACTCATTTGTAGCTAATATTAAAAATTCTATTTGAAAATATTACTTTGCCTTAGTATTAGAAAGATCTCTAAGATTCACTTTATATAGTTTTACAATTTAATGAAACCTAATGCTGTATTAGAGAGAGTGGAAACGCGAAGATATCCTCTGTTGTATTCTATTTTGTCTTTAAAGTTATCAGTATTGTATCACACGAATCAAAGTTAAATTGGATCTCTAATAGGCATTTTCTCTTGCTAACAAAAGCAACTGCTTAGTGTTTCCATTTAAATGTGAAATAAATCAATAATGTGATATAGGCAAGGAAGAAGAACATGCTCACAAAGACAACAGATTTCTAAATAATGAAAATACAGTCTTGGGAGTCACATGCACCAATATCTGTGATGCCAGGAGATGTATCAATGATCATACTCTTGAAGATTGTGATCCTGTCACCATGTTTACTACCGGATCTACATCTGAGATTGCTGGCTCTAGAGGTACCATGTGTGTGTGGATTCAGAGATGTATTCATCCCTTATCATTACTCATTTAATATTTAAGCAAACTATTCTACCTCTCTGGGTCCTCTATGAGAATTGGAAATAAAAACAAAAGTCACACAAAAGATTTTTCCAAAGTGTGTTATACAGAATGTAACTTCTTATGATGTAAGTAAAGAATAAGTAAAAAATAAATCCTGTATTGAGGTATGATAAAGAAATATTAAACAAGTTTCATTTTTCCTTTCCATTCTAAAGCACATTTAAAAATTCTAAGAGCACAATATACTGTGTGGCATTTCTCAAGTACACTTGCATGTGGAACTTTTAACAGAGTCCTTACTGAATCAGCATTTGGGAAATGCTATTGTAAATAATGGCTCTTACAAATTGTAGAAGAGCAAAGCATCTGGAATTAAGAACCCTTTTTTCTCACACCAAATGTATTAGTGCAATAAACATTTGATTTGTAGTTAGTAATACAAGTCTTAAAACACAGAAGTTAGAAGACTTACTTTAAGTCAGATTATCTCTGAGGAATCCAGAGGCATAGCAAGTGGTTGAATTTATTATTCTAGAATTATATTGTGCCCAAAGCCCAATTGTCTTGGGGTTACGATTATTACTTGATTTATTAGACCTAAGTAATATTGGAATGCAAATATCCTGGAGAAATATCCTAGAGATATGTCCAAACTCTAAAGGAATCAGCTGATTATGTAATATAACATTATACTAAAGCCTAATTCAGGATGTTAAAACATATATAGTATGATTATCAACCCATAGAGAGCAAAAGTTGTTAATGCAGTCTACCCATATAGAAATAAGGGTCCCCAAGGGGCAACTTCTGGCCCTGATGGCATGAAGAGGTTAGCAAATCCTCTGCCCCTTCAATAAAACATAAAACTATAGAAAATTATCCACATAATTTCAAGGATCTAGGAATTGATCAAGGCAAGTAACAACTCATGAAGTATTTATATAGGAAAACTTCATAGAATTCTATGTAAGAACAGTAGAAGTCTGTTAACTTTATTGATGGGAGCTACTTCCACTATCTAGAAGACACCACATTCTAGACCACAGAACAAATTCCCATAAAATTAAAAGGATTGAAATAATACAAAGTGTGTTCTCCAACCATAATAAAATTAATCTGGAAATCAAAAATAGAAATAAAAAGGAAATCTGCAAAAAAGTGGAAATTAAACAATGTACTTCTAAATAACCGTAAGTTAAATAAGAAATCAAAAAGAAAATTGAAGATATTTTGAAGAGAATGAAAATAAAAACTGAATATAAAACTATGGGAGACTGAAAAACCACATTTATAGGGGCATTTAAAATTTTAAACATTTATATTAGGAAGAAAAAATATTTAAAATCAATTATTGAAGTTTTTACCTCAAAAAAAGGGAAAATAAAATGTAAAAACATGAAATAAATAAAAGATAATTTTAAGTTACTTAAAAATTTTTTTCTTAAACTCCTTTCATTCATTTCTTCTTGTATTCTTAATTTTATAGCTCTTTACAGTAAGTAGGAAATTTTGTTACTAGCCATTCCATCATTACCTTATACATGCCTCTTTATGAATCACTCTTTCTACCAAGTTGACAATGATACAAACAGGAGGTAGGGAAATACTGGGTAGAAGAGTGCCATTCCCTGGCAAAGATTCCACCCTCAAGCCTGGAAACACACAGCCCTAAATGAGAACAGGCATTCCTATTTTCGCACTCAAATGTTTCCTTTTCCAACACCACTCTGACCTACCATGCCCCATCCTGTGCCCATATAAATCCCAAGCTTCAATAGCAGAGCAGCACAGCAGCACAGCAGAGGAGGAGAGAAGAGAAGAAGTGTCTGAACGTCAAGAGGAGTTCAGCTGAGGACAGTCGGAGTGGAAGTTGGCTGTGGGATAGCCAAACTCAAGGAGAAGATCATCTTCCCACTCTATCCCCTCTCCACCTTCCCATCTCACTGAGAGCCGCCTCCATCACTCAATAAAATCCCCGGACTCACCATCCTTCAACTCCATGTGACCTAATTCTTCCTGGACGCCAGACAAGAATTCAGGATGCACTCAGTGTGGGAATCCAAAAAGGCTGTCACACTGACTTTTCACTG
Organism: Homo sapiens; assembly: GCF_000001405.40. Taxonomy (NCBI): domain Eukaryota; kingdom Metazoa; phylum Chordata; class Mammalia; order Primates; family Hominidae; genus Homo; species Homo sapiens. The sequence continues at coordinate 78,240,056 of NC_000006.12, forward strand.
AGTGGTTTAACATTTAAGCTGTCCCTGGACAGCAGGGCTAAAAGAACACTGTAATACCCCTAGACATTGCCATGGGGCTGGAGCCCAAAAGCACTCACCCCAGCTCCTGCACCTGCTCACTTGCATGCTCCCCCTCCCATAAGGGGTTTGGGTGCATGGCAGCCAAGTAAACAAGCCACACTTCTGTCACAAGTCCCATGAGGGGATCAGGGAACTCTCCCATTTCAATAATAGATTGGATTGAATCTACTGAATACAGTGAGATAAATAAAGCTATGTTGCAATTGTTTAGGCCAGGCATAGTGATGGCTTTGTCTAGCCTGATGGTGATAGTGCAGGAGAAAAATAGATAATTGTGAAAAACATAGGGAATACTATTGATATGATTTGGTATTCAGTAGCATGACAATAAAAGGCAAAGGGTGTTACAGAATGACAGGTTTCTGGCTTAGCCTACAAGATGGATAGTCATAGTAAATTTGAGAGTCCTGTGAGTTTTCCAAGTGGAAATCATGACAAATAGGGCACATTTACAACGATAATAACACAGACAGCTCCTTGAACTTTAGCTGTAAATATTCTATTTTCAGTCTACTTTGGTTTTTCATTCTGCATTCTGTGAGCTCTGTAAGGATGTACCATAAATAAGACCACGTCTAATTTTTCTTTTTCTTTACAATACCTGACATAGATGGAGCATGTCTGAACTAAGGCAACAGAAGTAGGAATGGTAGATTAGGGAAAGAGGAGAGATTAAAGAGGCAGAGTCAACTGAAGTTAGTAATTGATCATATGCAGACAATTAGGACAAAGGAAGGAGACTAAAGTGATTCCCCAGTTTAAGGCATGGGCATCTTGAAAAATGGTGGGACAGTTGGTTAAAATATAGATTATATGAGCAGAAGCAGTCTTGAAAAATGTACTGAGTGTTGTTTTGATAAGTTGAGTATGTGGTTATGTTCAGGTGAAGGTGAAAAGTAAGAAGTCAGAAGTACTGGCCTGAAGTTTGTAAAGTAAATCCGAGCTACAGATACAGTATTGGAAGCCAGTGTGTATGGTGGTCCACAGGTGTGGATAATATAAATTAAGTCTTGGGTTTAAACCAAAAAGAAGAGTTCTAAATGGAACCTTGAGGAACCATTATTTAAGGTAATAGGTGTGGAAAAGACCGTGAGCTCAGTGAAAAGCATTGAATAAGTTTAGGAATGAGTAACCAGAGATGAAGAAAAAAAAAAAAAGCAGACAGCGGTGCTATGTTTCATTGTTTTTTAATTTTATAATTGGTAATTTCCACTTTTATTCCTTATTTGCTGCTGTGAAATGTCACACAATTATTTAGGATTCTGAAAATAGTGGAATTTTCTACTTCTACTTAATTTTTCTCATATCCTTTTTGAATTATATGCTCATGAATGTTTTTACATTGTAAATAAGTCAGTAAATACACACACATATACATAGATGGGGAAGTGAGAGTGCTTATAAAAGAAACCCAAAAGTTTCTTTCTGATAGGGTATATTTCGAAGAAAGTTTGAGAAGTACTAGTCTATGCCTATTACAATAACCTCCTAAGCCTGCTTGTAAAATTACACCTCCAGCTAAACTATCTTTCACAGTATTACTGGAGAAGACTTTTTGAATGTCTAATCATGATAGTTTTCTGTACAGTTATTTCTGATGAATCACTAAAGTTTAAAACTCAATGTCCTTTTCATTGTAACCCACCCTAAATCCCACAATTAGCTCCAGTTGTATTTTTTGGCGCTCTCTTCCCAGGGGTCGAGTGCTTTCTCTGTTTCTGTTTTCTCTATTTTCTGAACATACCCTGATGCCCTTAAAAATTTGCTGTTCCTTTAGTGTCCTCTACTAAAAATTTCCTAATAAATATAGCCTTCCCACATCCCAATAGGCAGAACTGAGGGTTTTTTCCCACCATACAATTCCCACCATACAAAGGACATTTAACTGTAAACATTCACCACTGTGCCCATGCACATCCCATGTGTGTATTTGTGTTTATGTCTGTCTCTCTTTCTAACTGTAATCCCAGAGAAGGAAGGAACTATTTTCTTTTTTTTAAATTTCCCATACATCTTAATGGCAATTTACCTACTTGGGTTTTTAAAAAAAGGATTTTTGAGTTATTTTGAATTGAATCAAAAGTATGATCAATAACTTATTCTTAGTAACAAAGAATAAGAAACATATCTTGTTAGTTACTTGTTTCTAAAATAATAACCTGTATGCATTAGCCGTGGATTTATATTGCTATTTACAGCTCTCCCAATGCTTCTAGCTTTAGATATGAGATCACATCTGAAAAGATCTCATGGACACTTGGGAACATTTTCCTGGAAAATCTTTGCAATAACTTTATTATTTGAAAACAGTAATATTTTTTAAAGTGTCAATTTTTATTTTATTTTAAGCCAGATGTAAAGCCCTCAGGGAAATAACTGAGTCATATTTTGTCACTTGTGAGGTTCAAAGGACATCTCTGGAAATTGACATACAAATATATCATTATTATCATAGTTGCCTCTAAATACTGTGTTACATTTAAATGTAAATGAGTTCTTATGTTATTTACAACTAAAATTTCACTAAATTTTCCATTAGCCTAGTTTTGTCTTTTTTAGAGTTTCACACCACAAGTATGAGAACTCCCTCAATGAAGAACCATAGTAAGGGAGTAAAGAGGTGTGACTCTCCATCAGTTTTATTGACAATATATTCCCTAAGATTAGAGGTCTTCAGAGTTGTTCAGGCAGCAAATAAAATACTAGTTAAACAAATGTTATTGATACCATCCTTACAAAACAATGAAAAGAATTATTCGTTTGTCTGAAGAATTAGATGAATAGGTTCCATTGAAATTTTATATGTTCAGAGGAATATATGTGCCTATTTTCATAGTAATAAATAGCACAATTTCCCCAAGAAAATGTGGGATTTTAATAAATTGTGCTTCTGGTTTACTTCTCAGTGGGGCTGTGGTGGCTTCAGGTTCATGACAAATCCAATTATTTGGTTGTTGAACTACCCCTTCTGGAAAGCAAAAATAAAAAATAAAAATCCATGAGAGAAAAGAAAATAATATGAAATAATATATTGAATGCCTCAGGCTTGCTGCTAGAAAATGTGCGTGTATTTTCTTATTAAGTGCTCACAAAGCTATCTGTTGTCAAAATGCGTAACTTAGGAAGGGGCTTCAGGATGACTGAATAGAGAGGCGTCTTGTATACATCCTACACAAAAGAACTCATCCTACACAAAGAACACAACAGGGATTGACAGTGAGCCTGGAGTGGCTCTTCAATATAAGCAAAGGGTAAGTGAGACACACCCACCAGTCCACATTTCCATTCTGGATCCTAAAATCCTAGCCATGGGACAACCCCTCGACCCTCAAATGCCTTCAGACTCACATAGAGAGATGCCTGGGGACCACACAATGGCATTGCTACAGAGAGGGGTCTCACACTGTGTTCCACACACCTCTGAGTCCTAGGAAGCTATATACCCAATTTTGACAGCTCAGCCCCCATGAGATTACAGTCTTCTCTGGGGCCCAAAAGCTCCGGCATTTCCACATCCCTGGAGCCTCTTTGACATCCCTTGCCCACAGCCACTATCTTGGATGGCTGCTGCTGCCAGGGTTATAGAATGAGTCATTGGCAGTGATCCAGCAATTTCCAGCAGCAAAACTGCTGCTCATTTACATCATCTGAGGCCTTTCCCTATGAAAGCGAATTTTAAAAATTGGAAGAAGCAACTGTTACACCTGATGCACACATGTCAACATAAGGACATAAGAAACATGAAGAGTAAGAAAATGTGACACCTTAAAAGGAACACAATACTTCTTTGACAACAAATTCTAATCAGAAAGAAATTTATAAAATCCCTGAAAAAATCATTCAAAATAAGGATAATTAAGAAGCTCAATGAGATAAAAGAGAAAACAGACAATATAGAACAAATCAGAAAAAAATAATTCAGGAAATGAATTAGAAATTTACCAAAGATACAGATCTTAAAAAAAAAAAAAAAAAAAGAAAGAAACAAGCGCAAATTCTGGAACTGAAAAATTCATTGAATGAAATACAAAATACAATTTAAAGCTTCAACAATAGACTAGGTCATGCAGAAGAAAAAAACAGAACTTAAAGACAGACCTTTTGAAATAACTCAGACAAAAATAAATTGTAAAAAGTGAACAAAGCCTATGTGACATACGGAATACAATAAAGCAACAAAATATTCAAATTTTTGGTATCCCAGAAGATAAAGCTATAAATTAAAGTGGCAGAGACCATATAATGGAATAACAGCTGAAAACTTCTCAAGTCTAGCAAGATTTTAGACATCCAGATGTAGGCAGCTCAGAAATTGCCAAATAGATACAGTTTTAAAATACCTTCTCAATGGCATATGCCAGTCAAACTTTCAAAATTCAAAGACAAAAAGAGAAAAACAGCAAGAGAAAAGTCTGTAGTCATTTATAAGGGAAGCCCCATCAGACTATCAGTGAATTCTTCAGCAGAAATTCAGGTAATTCAGAAAAAATGAGATGATACATTCAAAGTGCTGAAAGAAAAAAAATGACTACAAACAAAGGATATTATACTCAACAAATCTATCCTTCAAAAGGCAAAATAAAGTCTTTCTCAGGCAAGCAAAAACTAAGGGAATTCATGTTTTGAATTGTAATATACTCTTGATGAATTCATCCCTTTAGCATTATATAGTCTTTTTTTCTAAATTGTCTTTTTTTCTAAACACTATATTGTCTTTTTTTCTAAAATAAATAAACACACTATATTGTCTTTTTTTCTAAAATTTGTTGTAGGACTAGATTGGTCTTACAAGAAATGCTGAAGGGAGTCCTGCATCTGAAAACAAAATGATAAAATTTACCATGATAGAAACACGAAAATATAAAATCCGCTGGTAAAGCAAACACAAATAAGGAAAAGAAAGGACCCAAAAATTATCACTACAAAAAACCAACAAACCATGATGAGAAGCAGTAAGAAAAAATGGAACATGAGGGACTTTTTTGTTTGTTTTCTTCTATTTGCTAAGGTTTTCCTCTAACCGTATTCTGCCACCAATGCCATTTTCCAAATACCACCACAATCCTTATTAATCAGACACACTCTCCTTTGAATTTAATTTAACAATTTATGCTTTTTGTACATTCGCTTGGAGCCTTATACTTCATCTTAGGCAAGTAATTTCCTACAAGTCAGTCCAGTGTTCTCAATCCTGTGTCATATTAGAGAGTTCTTACATATAAAAATATTTCATAAAAAAATTAGATTTGACATCAGTGAAAAGTGGATGAAAAATAGTTTATTCTGTTTTATGGGTGCATATGTTGCTATCCACATCTAGGTGTGCATGAAATATTTATCTGGTGTTTCCTAGACCATCAGAATCAAGAAAGAGTTTTGAGAGTTGTTTGAGCTCCAATAATAGCAACAGAATTTGTAGATTCTTATCCAATGCTCCAAACTAATGGTTTTACTGCAAGAAGCCAGCCTTTATTTAATCTTTGGAGCACAGTGATAATAACACTGGTTCTGGAGGCAGGTTCTGTTATGTATAGCTCTATACTTTTGGAAAGGGCATTTAAGACAGTTTTCCTCATTAAAAAAAGCATCAGTGATAATAATATTATTTATCTTTGATGCCTTTTTTTGGGATGGAGTCTCATTCTATTGCCCAGACTGACTGGAGTGCAGTGGCACAATCTTGGCTCACTGCAGCCTCTGCCTCCCGGGTTCAAGTGATTCTCCTGCCTCAACCACCTGAGTAGCTGGGACTACAGGCATGTGCCACCTCGCCTGGCTAATTTTTGTATTTTTAGTAGGGACAGGATTTCACCATGTTGTCCAGGCTGGTCTCGAACTCCTGACCTCAGGTGATCCGCCCACCTCAGCTTCCCAAAGTGCTGACATTACAGGCGTGAGCCACCATGCCCAGCTTCTTTGATGCTTTTAAATGCATGTATAAAGTGCTTTGCATGTGTTATGATGTTAACCATTATGTCTAGTGGGTTTCTTTAACTCTTGTTTTTGCATTGCAGGTAAACATCTGTACTCTCTGTCTGTCTGTCTCTCTCTCTCTCTCTCTCTCTCTCTGCCTCCCTCTGTAGAGACAGAGAGTACATAAGTATATATAGACTATATAGACAGATTATATATATAGAGAGAGTGTACATACAGAGAATACATACATATATACATATATATGTATATATGTATAAAGTGCTTTGCATGTATTATAATGTTAACCATTATTTCCAGTGGATTTCTTTAACTCTTCTTTTTGCACTACAGGTAAATGTCTGTACTCTCTGACTCTGTCTCTCTGTCTCTTTCTCTCTCTGTAAAGACAGAGAGTACATAAATATATGACTCTATATAGAGAGTATATATATATATATATATAGAGAGAGAGAGAGAGAGGAACTACAGAGAATACATACATATATAGAGATGATTAGATAATACTCTATATTAGATAATAGACTATTAGATATGACTAATAAGATTAAAACCTCTAATATTAGTGCAAATTTAGTACAAATGTCCATAATTTCTTCTAGTAATCAATTACTTGGCTTTTTTGTCTCTCAGTAGCTTTATACTTATATAAATAATACAAATTTTTACTATTTATTTTTCTACACATTAATAGATTCATTTTTATATGTACTCCTTTATAATTCACATTATTGTCTAATTTTTGAATGAATGTCATTGTATCTTATCTGACAGGCATACAAATGTAAATTTTGAGGGTATATGATAATATTTATTTTATGAATACTGGTGATGATGATGGGCATGATAGTGACAATTATGATGCAACGGTGATGATGATGTAAAAAGTAATGATGATAGGGATAGAAGAAATTGGAGTTGCAATGCTAGTTAATATTAATTTTTTCATATGTTGAGTTCCAGAAAATAAAATCAAGTGCTTTTATAAATTAGCTTAATCTTCTCAGAAATTCCATGCAGTAACTAAGATTTATTTTTTAAAATTTAGCTTTAGAGATATTAAGAAATATGCCCAAAATAACTTATAGCAGGCAGAGCTTTGATTCTAATTGAGACTGCCTGACTCCAGAGCCAAGTAGGCTAATGACAGCATGTTTAGTTTTCATTTTTTTTTTCAAATGTCAAGAAACATGTTTAATTAAATTGAGTCAATAAAGCAGAATTCCCTGTAGAATTCTCTCATGCCAAATTGGGCTCAGGCCATTGGTTTGAACATGTTTTAAAATCACCTAGAATAATATCGAGGTATATTTTTGTGAAACATCTTGTTTTGTTATAAAGAACCTCTTCTTTAAATGCATGAAATAATGACTATACATTATTGTTAGACTTTTTCTTCCATTTAATTTACTATAATATCCCATTACCTCAGCTTTCACTTTTCTTGCTGAACATACATACAGCATACTTTGGTTAATAATAAGCATAATTTTAAAATAGAATTTCAGAATACTTGTTGTAAAAGGTGACAGGGACTGAAAGAAGAACAAGCATCAACAGGAATAAAATTTAAAACATATTTTTTGGAAATGAAATTTTAGGAATGATTGATAAGTGTTTCTTTAATTTCTCAAAGCCCTAGTTTCCTCATTTGTAAAATGATTATAATAATATATGTCTCATTTAATAATTGTGAGGGCAAAAGTTACATAATTGTTGTTAAGGGCTGAATTGTCTTGCCCTAAACTTCATATGTTGAAGTGGTAACCCCTAGTACCTGAGAATGTGTCTGACATTCTGGACAATTAACTTTAAAGAGTTAGTTAAGTTAACATTAAGCTATTTGTATGGTTCTAAAACAATCGATTTGTCCTTATTTTTGAAAGAGAATTTTGATATAAAAGGGGACAACAGAGACACACGGGAGCAGTGAGATAAGCGTGCGAAGAGTAACCAAGTGAGCAGCCATCTGCAAGCCAAAGAGAAAGGCCTGGAGCAGAGCATCCCATTTTTGTCCTGCTGACATCCTGATCTTGGACTTCCAGACTCCAGAACTGTGAGAAAATAAATGTCTGCGGTTTAAGCTACAAATCTATGATATTTTGTTATGTTAGCCTTATCATATGAATATGATAGTATGTAAGTATATACTATAGACACCACGTGTGTCTAATTATGTTCTTCTGTCAGCCATTAGTGTGACAGGTTAAGTCCACCCAATACTTTGTGGAGTTGCTTTTGGAAATTGTTACTACAGCTTCCTTCAGACCATCACAAATTTCCAGGATCCTCCAGAAATAGAATGCTGTAACGTTGTGCTTAATGTTACTTCTAGTTTGCCCAAGAATTTTTCTCAGCATTCCTGCTCCACCAGTTTTCAGCAGGACCTCTGTGCCCAAATCACAGAAGGTTCTCTCTGCAATCTTGCTCCTCCTCATTGGCAGTTCACTGTTATATTTTATATGTGAAAAAATCATGATAGAAACCGTTGGTAGTTCCCGGTTCTCCCGGTCTGGACTTATTCTAAATCAGACCCTGTTCACCAGGCCCTGTGTACCTGGCTCTTCTCCCTAATTCAACCAAACTCTTTATTGCGTGTGTGGAGGGTCTCAGAAGAGAGAACATTTTCTATCCTTCCCTCAGTCATAGCAGTATTGGTTGGTATCAGTACAGCATTCTGGGTCCAAGCTTCTCTCTCAGGGGCAGATAGATTTTCCTGCTCTCTAGGTGGCAATATACCTTTGCATGGGACCAGGATCAGAAGGATTTGTTGGTCTTCCCACAAAAGTAGACTACACTGAGCATACAGCTCGTGGGATTTTCTTTCCCTCTCTTTTTTCCTTCCCCAGCAACAGATGACTTGCTTCGACCCCTTCCCCTCTGAACAATGGATCTTTGCCTGCCTTCTATTCCCAAGTTGCTTGAGGCTTTTAATTCATATAATAAAAGAGCTCAAGACATAGGCAAGGTTTTGTGCCCACACTCTTTTTCCTTCCCTGCCTCTAATCTTCCTCATGAGTATATAGTGGAGGCTTATGAAAAGTACATGGCAAATGAATGCACACTTTCACTGGGTCTGGAGTTCTCAAAGGTTCTAAATCGTCATGCTAGCCCACAATCAACTTCTAATAAAGTACTGAAATGTAATTGTTTCCTCTTTCCTGCTTGTACAGTGTTTTTGTCCCATGTTTTGCCAAAGGTGAAACATTCGTCTGTTCTCTCTCTCCTCAGAATGGCCTGCCATTCTGGAATTTAGTCCACCTGATTGCCTTGAGATCTGAGCTCTGATATGTCAAAAAATGTGATAATTTTGAAGATTATCTGGCCTTTTCTTCTTGCCAATTAAGGTGGGAGTGATATTCTCTTGTAGGACATCATAAATAGAAGCACAACTCTCTACTGACAATCCTTTGAGAAGACTCCAAATATGAATACCTGAATATGCTGAGACTGTAGAATGCAAGAGTATAAAAAAGCAAAAATGTACTTTTTATCAGTAAATCCAATAAATATATTTCATAAGAATGATATCTTCCACTTACAATGTATGTATATATTATCTAAGTATCCCTAGTGATTATATGTAGAGGTCATTTAAAAGTTAAGAATGCTCAAAGAGGTTTTGGAACTAATTATATTTCATCTAGAATTATGTATTTCACAGTTATACTTCAAAATAAAATCATCATGGTAGAAATTGAGTGATTTTGCATTATGAGGAGACATCAGACAATCAAGACTTGTTTGTTTGTTTTCGTTTTTGAGGTGGAGTCTCAGTCTTTTTTTATTGTTGTTGTTGTTGTTGTTGCTGTTGTTTGAGATGGAGCTCAGGCTGGAGTGCAGTGGCACGATTTTGGCTTACTGCAGCACCTGCCTCCTAGGTTCCAGCCGTTCTTCTGCCTCAGCCTCCGATTAGCTGCGATTATAGGCATGCACCACCATGCCCAGCTAATTTTTGTATTTTTAGTAGAGATGGGGTTTCACCATGTTGGCCAGACTGGTCTTGAACTCCTGACCTCAGGTGATCCACCCACCTTGGCCTCCCAAAGTGCTGGGATTACAGGTGTGAGCCACCATGCCCAGCCAAGACTTGTCTTTTTGAAGTAAGAATAATTTACCTAACCCCCAGAGTATCTCCAATACATTCTGAAATTTATCAGATAGCCAGCCACAAGAGAGATACAACATTATATATCCAAAATTAAAAATAAAAAGTAGGATAAACTTCATTATTAGACAATTAGAAGTATATGCCCAGAACATACATTTGTAAAACTACGCTATAAAAGTAATAGAATTCAACAGGCTGAATGTTAGATCTATAAACCTAGGGTATCCATTCACTAGAGAATGAAACAATAAGAATAGTAATCAATGCCTCAAGAGAAAGCTCAATATTTCTAACAGAAGAAATCCTGCATATATAACAAAGGGTTACTAGTGGCTTGAGAAACTCCAGGAAGCCTATATAGAGAATGTTTTATCAACCTCCCCACTGCGAATGTTCCTGTGGAAGAGGAAGCACAGGAAAGTACTGCATCTTTTAAAATCTTGAAGCAGGGACTGAATATTTACTCTCAGGGGGTGGTACACTTGCAATAAGTATTTTGTTATATTACCAAAAGAAAACAATCTGAGGTACAAATGGTAAGAAAATGTTAGATTATTCAGAAAGCTCTAAATTCTGGAATTTTTTGTTAAAGCTTCTGAATATCTGCACATCTACTAATATAATTTTAGTAATATGTGTGTAATTACAAACCTGCAAATTTGTTGATATTACCATGCCAATAAATGTTTCCAACTCAGCATTTCTTAAAATATGGATAGGAGAATAGAAAATTTATATTCCTCCAACTTCTTTACCACTTTATGAATTTTAGTAAGATAGAAAGCAGCCTACCCTGAACACATTTTAGGAAAACCCAGCTTTTCTTCTGTATTCTGACAAGGGAAAAACCTACGAAAGTAAAAAAGGCTACCGTCTCTCTTGCTCGAGGATACCACTTACATTTAGTTCAATCACAAGAACAGATAATAAAGGGTAAATTGCAATAGGCAATTTGCCACTTTCCTATGATTAACAATCATTACATTGCTCATTGCTGTGCCACTGTGTCTGTGTATATAATTGTGTAAATGTTTTTTTCTGCTTATCCATGGAATATATCTAGACAATTTGAAATCTACTACCTGCTTGTTCACTACTCCTATTGCAGCTAATCTCTTGAATGTTAAATTTAACCTGTCTATTTAAAGTCATGATACTTGATAATAAGTACTACATTTATGAAGCACTTATTACATGCTAGTCATTTGGTGTACATTATCCACTTTAATTATTACCACAGCTTTGAGATGCATGAAATATTATGATCTTTATTTTATAGATTAGTAAAATGAGGTTTACAGTGTTTGTGTCATGTCCAATTTCACCTAGCTAAGTAATAGATAGAAGAAAAATCTGATCTGATATGTACCTGATTACTATGTATCTTTTCCTACCTCTTGCACTGTACCGTCTCATCCCTCCAGCAAGAATGACTTCAAAAGTTTACTTTTGTCTATTTAACTTGGATACCAATAACTATTTCTTGACTTTGAACTACATAGGAATTTTTTTTTTTTAGAGGAATTTTGCTCTTTTGCTCATGCTGGAGTGCAGTGGCACGATCTGGGGTCACTGCAACCTCTGCCTTCCAGTTTCAAGTGATTCTCCTGCCTCACCTCTGAGTAGCTGGGACTACAGGCGCCCACCGACATGCCCAGCTAATTTTTGTATTTTTAGTAGAGACAGGGTTTCACCATGTTGGCTGGGCTGGTTTCGAACTCCTGACCTTGTGATCCACCTGCCTCGGCCTCCCAAAGTGCCGGGATTACAGGCATGAGCCACCACGCCTGGCTGCATAGGACTCTTAATAGTCTCGGACAGTGGCTCATTTCTCTAACTATTGCAAAATTGAGTTTTACAATCCATCACTCTATATTTCTCAACCAAACATCTTCTCTTTAGTACCATCTTGTAGTCCTCCACCATCAGCTGCTAGTTATTCCATATAGCTGAGTCATTTAAAAAAACACAGACGAGAAACTGAAACCACACAGTCATATTGACACATGATGGGCCTTTTTGGATAAATACAATATGGCCTCAAGTCCAGATTGATTCCAAGCATTAATTAAGTGCTTATGACAAGAATGTGTTTGAAAAGAATGGATTTTATTTGGTACATGTAGTTTTAATAACTACACTTCTATATTTCAAGCCCTAGGCACTATAGCTGCATTCCTCTGAGAATTTTCCTCATCAGAAACATTGTGGAATTAGGTACTATATGACATCTGGTGTAAAATCAAAGTATTTCTGAGAAGGTAAAATGTGATATTATTCAACTCAACTTGAAACATTTTAAAAATACTCCTATAGCCCTGGAAACTTTGTTCACTAGGCCATTGAATGCATGCTATTTTGACGTAATGTCACTGAAGAGACAGGAGTTTGATTCTACACTGAAACGTCAACTCAAATTTCAATCATTGTTATAAATTTGTGCAATTTATTTGCATTTTTTTTCTAAATTTCAGGAAGTGCTAAAAGCAAATGGGGCAAAATTATGTAGTAAATCCACAAGTTTTGTGCTCTCCTAACTGCATTGTGCATTGTAGCAATAAAAAATATTTAAAGAGAAAACCAAAAGAACAAACAATACCCTAGAAAAAGATAAACTTTTTAAAAAGCTGAAAATTGAATATAAAATACAAAGAAGCTAAGACAATGAAGTTAAAGATTGCCGAATGTCAGGTTTGGGAGAACACTGTAGCAGACTGAGGTTCAGTTTCAGAGGATTAACACGGACCAAAAGTGTTCCTATGCCTGGAGTTTAATTTAGATTCATTGCTTAAAGAAAGAAACTAAGAACAAATGCTGCTGATGGCTACCTGTGGCAAGGACTCATAGGATCGTGTGGGCTGAAGAGATGGGAAAATATAAACACAGCCTCACAGAAGAAATAAACTAAGTTTGAATCTGTAACTGGCTGGATCCACAATATCCACAAAGCAGAAAAGCCAAAATGAGAGACCTGATTCCAGATGCTGATTCTACTGGAACATGTTCAAACAAGCCTCTATATAGAAGATCACATGGAAGGACGGAGGGAGATAAGAGAAAAAAGAAAGGAAACAGAGAGAGAGAAAGAGAGGGATCCTTTTCAATCAAATGAGTCTGCAAACACAAATCCTGAATTGCCTGAAGAAAGATGCACACAAACAAAAATCAACAATTAGAACATTAATTCATTCCATATGAAATTGATTATAAATGTTTCATAAACATATTAAATATATTTAAGTTGCTTTAAAGGATAAATTAAGATTTGGCATTGATAAACAATTTTTAAAAAGAAATAAAAAAAACAGAGAAAATGTGTATAAAATAGTACAGGTGCATATGAAAAGAACCTACTAGAAATCCTGGGGAAAATATAGTCATTATAATAAAAACTCTGTTAGAATAATGGCCCCCAATGAATCACAACCTTCTTATTTTACATTCTTTTATAGTATGAGTTTCCCATTTCTTCACCTCTTTAATTCAGCATGGCTTTGAGATTTGCATAGACTGACAGAATATGACAAGAATGATATTATGTGACTTTTTATGCTAGGCCTTAAGAGACCTTGAACTTCCGCCTTTTCTGTCTTGGAATGAATCTTTTGTCTCGTGAATAAGCAACTCTGGGCTCCTATGAGATGAGAGGCCACATAGAAGAGAAGTAAAAAGCTACAGACAAGAGCCAACACCAACCACCAGACATATAATTGAGGTTACCCTGAAATAAACACCCCAGTTAAGGTTCAGATAACTGAAGCCATATATGAGTAATCCTAGGCAAGATCAGCATAAGAACTACTTAGATAAGCTCAACACAAGTTAAATAAATATATACTTGTTTTCAGACACTAAATTTGGAATGATTTGTTACACAGAAATTAATAATTAATACAAACATTGGCAACTAGAAACAAGGTGCTGCCATAACAAAATCCTAAAAGCTAGGCATTGGCTTTGGGACCATGTAGTAGGTGGTCTATAGAAATTGCTATTTATGTCTGAAAATGTGGGGATCAAAACTATTGGCAAAACTTAAGACTTAAATAGATTAAAAAAATGTATGCAATGAATGTGTAGATATAGCCAAGGTGATATCCCGACAGAACAATGAAATTGACAGTTGGCTTTTTGTATCTGTCTATAATAAATAGGAGAGGAGGAGATGAACCAAAGGGAGTATGATTCATTTGGAAAGCAGAATTTAGAGGAAATATAAAGGTTCAAGATGTGCTGGGTTAGAAAATAAAATCATTTCATATTTCTAGACTTTCTAGCTGTGGTCTTAGAATAAAAATCAAACCAAGTGTGTGGTGATAAAACCTTTAGTTAAGCACACAGAGAAATTTATGATAGTGATCAGTAAATCCTTGCAATTAGGCAAAGAACTTCTATGAGTTTCAAGGGTATTATCTCACAAACACCTTACAAATGGCCCAATGTAAGTAGAGGTTTATTTGTTAAATAGTTATGGATGTGGCTTTTGAACACGGAGGGAATCTCAATTAGATTCACAAAAAATTCAAAATATTTAAGGTAGTTATAATGTCTCATCCATAGGAAATAGAGACAGTTTATAATGAAAAGAAGACTCTGGGACCCCAAATCTCTGTGGTCAGGAAGCAGACTGGGAATCCCCTTTAGTTGCAAACACAGTCCATTTATTATAGAAAATGAAACAAATCTTAGAGCGTGGAGACCAGTTACCTGGAAGGCAAAGTCAAGAACTAAGGAGATCAATAGTTAGGAAACTATTCAGCCGAGGAATAATTGGGCCCTTACTAGGATGTGTTTTCTTACTATGGAGAAGAAGACTCTTACAACGTATACATGTCTATATTTCAGAATTTGTAAGAACCAGTGACTTCTATATGCCTAATTCCATTTCTTCTCTCTTTTTTTTTAATTGGAAGTGTCTATTGCAATTATTCTTTCCCTGTCTTATCAGCACATGTTGGGTATATTGGGTGTTGATAATTTATTATTTGTTATTTACAGTTTTATTGAGGTATACATAAAAATAAAAATTGTGTATATTTATGGTGTATAGCATAATGTTTTGATATATACACTGTGAAATGATTATCAAAATCAAGCTAATTAATATATGCATCAGCTGACATAGTTATGCTTTGTTTCATTGTGTTTTTTTTTTTCTGGTGAAAACACTTAAGATCAATTCTCTTAGCAAATTTAAGTATAAATACAGAATTGTTAACTATGGTCTCCATGCTGTACATTAGAGCTCTAGAACTCATTCATCCCACATAACCGAACTTTTGTACCCTCTGACTGATATTTTATTTCCTTCCATTCTACCCTTGTCAACAGGAGTTCTGGAGGGAACAAATATTCAGACCATAGCAAAAGGCATAGAATATAAGAATGTAATTGTGCACAGAAATTAATAAAACATATTTATTGCTTGATAGTCTACGTCCTATATGCTTGATAGTCTACATCCTACTCAGGAATGCCTGTAGCTAGTGACCAATTATTATTGCAATACAAAACTCAGCTCCTTTGCTTCAAGTCACGATACACTTAGAAGTATAATTTATGCTCCAGAGTTTCTCAAATGATTAAGCATTCTTGGATGCCACCAAAATTGTATCTTTTCTGGGCTTCTTACCTACCCTTCCTTTTCCTGCTTCCCTCACTCTTACTTGTTTCTTCTGGTAGTACTTGCTCAGTAAATAACTTGCACCTAAATCTTTGACTCATCATCTACATCTGTAAGAACCTGTCCTAAAATAAACATATTAGTTTAAGAAATAACTGGAATTTTTACTGACGCCTAGAATGTGGAAACTTGGAAAGAGTATTACTCCTACATTAATAACAGTAAAATGTCAGTTTAAATTTTAAAAATTATAACTTTTCTTGAATCTGTCAGAGAACTAAGGTCTTGGGGAAACCAATTAGCTTGGAATTCAAGGAAAGTCAGGTGTCTCCAAGCAGATGAGATAGACACACTGAAACACATATGGCAGAGAACAGGAGGAAAATACATCACTGTCTTGTAAGTGGTTAAAAAGAATTTATCAATTTTTTTTTTTCGAGACAGAGTCTCGCTCTGTCGCCCAGGCTGGAGTGCAGTGGCGCGATCTCGGCTCACTGCAAACTCCGCCTCCCGGGTTCACGCCATTCTCCTGCCTCAGCCTCCGGAGTAGCTAGGACTACAGGCGCCCGCCACCAGGCCCGGCTAATTTTTTGTATTTTTAGTAGAGACGGGGTTTCACCATATTAGCCAGGATGGTCTCGATCTCCTGACCTCGTGATCCGCCCGCCTCGGCCTCCCAGAATGCTGGGATTACAGGCGGGAGCCACCGTGCCCGGCAGAATTTATCAATTTTTTTTATCTGAAAAAGCTCAAGTATGGGCTAGCATAAGAGTATAGAACCGCTGGGAGGCATGGATATCAGGGGTCTTCATAATACTTGCAGGCTATTCTCCACAGACTTCTAATGGGAGCATGATTGGATACAGAAATCCTCTAACAGTGGTGCAGACTTGGATAAGGAGAGCATTCATCGCTACACAAACAAGCATAAATCCCCATGTAAGACCTTCTCCTCTATGGAACAAAAGCCTTAAATTGCTGGGGTAAGGGCAGCACAAACCATCACCCCCAGGGCACAGATGAAGATGAAGCTAGGGAAGGTACAAGAAAAAAACAAAATATCTATCCCTGAGGTAGGGGTAGGAAACTGTCCTGGACCAAGTTCATTATATGTCTCCTACCACTAGGGGAGGGGCAGGGAAGTCTCCCATACAAGACCTAGTAAAGATTCACAGCAAAATTTGGCTTCTATCGGCAGATTTACTAAGAAAATATCAACATTAAGACCAAGCTTGCCTAAGTTTTGAAATGGTACAAAAATAAGAAAAAAATCCTTTTGCCCCCTAACACCAAGATCACGAACACCAAGTAATAAGCACTAACAGTCTACTACTGGAGAGAATAAGAACATGACAAGATCCGTTGTCAGGTGCAAGAGCAAAAGGGAAGGCCAAATGTTGAGGGTAGATAAGGGACATTAAGAAAAACACTCTGGTAATCTGATTTTCACCCTACGGTATTGCTAAAAGAATTTTAAACTGGTTGTACACTGAAGGTAACCATAGTAACAGCAAAATCCCAAATCAGCTAAACTCATGACTAGGTTGACTCCAGTCTCCACATAAACACACTGGCAGAAGAGATGTGCATCTTTCTTTCATTTTTCTTTATCTTTTTCTTTTTCTTTTTTCTTTTTCTTTTTCTTTTTTTTTTTTGAGACAGGGTCTTGTTCTATTGCCTAGGCTGGAGTGCAGTAGCATGATCTCAGCTCACTGCAGCCTCAACCTCCTGGGCTCAAACAATCTTCTCACTTTAGCCTCCCAAGAAGCTGGGACTACAGGTGTATACCAACATGCCTGGCTAATTTTTGTATTTTTTGTAGAGACGAGATTTTGCCATGTTGCCCAGTCTGGTGTTGAACTCCTGGGCTCAAGGGATCCACCTGCTTTGACTTCCCCAAACAGTGGGATTATAGGCGTGAGCCATAGTGCCTGGCTGCGATGTGCATATTTCTATGCAAAAATGCTATTTACTTCAGTCTCGACTGTACTTTTCCTTCATGTCTAGGATTCAGTATTAAAACAGAAAAAAATAAGGAAAAAATAACCCACTTAGAAAAAGCAATCATATCAATTAGAGTCAGAAAAGACCCCGATGTTAAAATTATCAGGGAATAAATTTAAAACTATGACTAACAGTTTAAAAGTTTTAAAGCATAGTTTCCTCATCTTCAAAATAATTTTTTAAAGTGTCAAGTGTCAAATTCTTATGGTTATTGTGCATATTAAATCACATAATGTTAGTGAAGTGCATACTTAACAAAATATCTGACACAGGGTAAGGATTTAGTAAATGACAGTAGTTGTAGTCATTATTACCTGCAATACTTAATAAAATATGGTTGACTGTCCAAATGTGTTTGTGATAAACTTGGTTTGAATAATTCCTATTAATTATGCCTTTCTAGAAACTTTTGCAACAATAAAATAAATGCTGCAAGGGCTGATTGGTTTTATTTCAGATGTTCCTAAGCATATCTTTAAGCCTTACCCTACCCACTCCAAGCTGATTTCCATCACTCCCCACCTCCTTGCTCCTTGCTTCCTTTGCCTTAACTATATTTTTTGTTGTTGTTATTGTTGTTGTTGTTTAATCAGGACTAGGAGATGAAAGGCAGCTGAACTTCGTTTTCCTCTGTGATAGAAACTTTGATATTGGTAACTATTTCAGCTCTCTATTCAAGAACACTGGAAAGTTTCTGGTCACAAAAAAATGTCAGTGACTTCACTGTAGTCTGTACCTTTTTTCTTATTGTAGAACTCAAAATTCTAATTTTCCACTTATTATTTTATTTATCTCTATCATAAAGCCAAATATTCCAATTAACACCACATAGTAATTTAAAGTACTATTGGAATATACTTTAAAATTATTCCTATTTCCCTTGAATTTTGTATTGTTTATGTAAGTAAAATTCAATTATAAGTCCATATTCATATACTAATCAGTGATATCCAGTTGTAATGATAAATGTTGTTTCTAAAACTCTTTTATCATTCAAGGGGCAGAAACTGGATTACAGAATCCATCTCCTTTACCCAACTTTTCAGAGTTTTCAGCTCCCTTTTATTTTTATGTATCTTGAGTTATTTCTTCTGATAGATTCTGTGCCTTGAAATAATCTTCAACTAATAAAATATTTAGAATTTAGGCAATAGAATGTGTCTATCTGTTTCAATCATAGACTCTCCTCTCCTTGTAACCAGACTATATTTATAGTATGAATATTATTGGCCAGCTACCCATAACCAACACAGATTTTTAGTATATCTAATACCATCATGGTTGCTGTAGTTCTTTCAAAATGATGTATCAAAATTAAAGTTAATGACAAGTACAATGTAAAAGTAAGGCTGCAAGGTATCTCTGTATTTAGCTGCCCTGTGTTGGGATATCTACTATTGGAATCTTGACAGCAAATTTTACTGCTCATTGAAGATTATTCCACATGCACTTAAGTTTCTCTAGCTAATTCATTATAGTTCCTCATTAAATTATAATTACTTTTAAAAATAATAATTATTTTAAGAAGGTGAATCCAAGAGCTGTTGATATCATGTGGCTTATTTTCCCCATTTGGTGAATGTATTAGTTCGTTTTCATGCTACTGATAAAGACATACTCAAAGCTGGGAACAAAAAGAAGTTTCATTGGACTTACAGTTCCACATGGCTGGGGAGACCTCAGAGTCATGGTGGGAGGCAAAAGGTACTTCTTACATGGTGTCAGCAAGAGAAAATGAGGAAGAAGCAAAAGCGAAAACCCCTGATGAACCCATCAGATTTCGTGAGACTTATTCACTATCATGAGAATAGTGCAGGAAAGACTGGCCCCCATGATTCAATTACCTCCCCCTAGGTCCCTCCCACAACACATGGGAATTCTGGAAGACACAATTCAGTTGCGATTTGAATGGGAACACAGACAAACCATATCATTCCACCCCAGCCCCTCCAAATCACATGTCCTCACATTTCAAAACCAATCATGCCTTCCCAACAGTCCCCCAAAGTCTTAACTCATTTCAGAATTAACCCAAAAGTCCACAGTCTGAAGTCTAATCTGAGACAAGGCAAGCCCCTTCAACCTATGAGCCTGTAAAATCAAAACAAGCTAGTTACTTCCTACATACAATAGGGGTACAGGTATTGGGCAAATACAGCCATTCCATATGGGAGAAATTGGCCAAAACAAAGGGGTTACAGGGCCCATGCAAGTCCGAAATCCAGTGGGGCAAATTTTAAAGCATCAAAATAATCTCCTTTGACTCTAGGTCTCACATCCAGGTCATGCTGATGCAACAGGTGCATTCCCATAGTCTTGGGCTGCTCTGCTCCTGTGGCTTTTTCAGGATATAGCCTCCCACCCAGCTGCTTTAATGGGCTGGTGTTGAGTGCCTGTGGCTTTTCCAGGTTAACAGTGCAAGCTGTTTGTGGGGTCTGGAGGGTGGTGGCCCTCTTCTCACAGCTCCACTAGTCCAGTAGGGTATCTGTGTGGGAGCTCCAACCCCATATTTCCCTTCCATACTGCCCTAGTAGAGGTTCTCCATGAGTGCTCCACCCCTGCAGCACACTTCTGCCTGTGTGTCCAGGTGTTTCCATACATCTTCTGAAACCTAGGCAGAAGTTCCCAAACCTCAATTCTTGACTTCTGTGCATCCACAGGATCAACACCACGTGGAACATGTCAAGGCTTGGGGCTTCCACCCTCTTAAACCCAAGCTGTACGTTCGTTGGCCCCTTTCAGCCACAGCTGGAGTGGCTGGGACACAAGGCACCAAGTTCCTAGGCTGCACACAGCACAGGGACCTTGGGCCCAGCCCACAAAACCACTTTTTCCTCCTGGGCCTCTGGGCCTGTGATGGAAGGGGCTGCCATGATGGTCTCTGACATGGTCTGGAGACATTTTCCCCATGGTCTTGGGGATTAACATTAGGCTCCTTGCCACTTATGCAAATTTCTGCATCTGGCTTGAATTTCTCCTCAAAAAATGAGTTTTTTTTTTTCTACTGCATCATCATTCTGGAAATTTTCTGAACTTTTATGCTCAGTTTCCCTTTTTTTTTTTTTTGAGATGAAGTCTTGCTCTGTTGCCCAGGCTGCAGTGCAGTGACATGATCTTGGCTCACTGTAACCTCCACCTCCCAGGTTTAAGCGATTCTCCTGCCTCAGCCTCCGAAGTGGCTGGGACTATAGGCACGTGCCACCACACCTAGCTAATTTTTTGTATTTTTAGTAGAGACGGGGTTTCACCATGTTAGCCAGGATGATCTCGATCTTCTAACCTCATGGTCTGCCCGCCTTGGCGTCCCAAATGCTGGGATTACAGGCATGAGCTGCGACTGGCCCCATTTCCATTTTAAAATTGAATGCTTTTAACAGTACCCAAGTAACCTCTTGAATGCTTTGCTGCTTAGAAATTTCTTCCACCAGATACCCTAAATCATCTGTCTCAAGTTCAATGTTCCACAAATCTCTAGAGTAGGGGCAGAATGCTGCCAGTCTCTTTGTTAAAACAGTAAGAGTCACCTTTGCTCCAGTTCCCAACAAGTTCCTCATCTCCATCTGACACCACCTCAATCTGGACCTTATTTTTCATATCTCTATCAGCATTTTTGTCAAAGCCATTCAACAAATCTCTAGGAGGTTCCAAACTTTCCCACATTTTCTTGTCTTCTTCTGAGCCCTCAAAAATGTTCTAACCTCTGCCAGTTACTCAGTTCCAAAGTCGCTTCCCCATTTTCAGGTATCTTTTCAGCAACACCCCACACTACTGGTACTAATTTACTGTATTAGTTCATTTTCATGCTGTTGATAAAGACATACCCGAAACTGGGAACAAAAAGAGGTTTCATTAGACTTACAGTTCCACATGGCTGGGGAGGCCTCAGAATAATGGCAAGAGGCAAAAGGCACTTCTTACATGGCAGCAGCAAGAGAAAATGAGGAAGAAGCAAAAGCAGAAACCCCCATAAACCCATCAGATCTCATGAGACTTATTAACTATCATGAGAATAGCATGGGAAAGACCGACCGTCATGATTCAATTACCTCCCCCTAGGTCCCGCCCACAACATGTGGGAATTCTGGGAGATATAATTAGGTTGAGATTTGAATGGGAACACAGCCAAACCATATCAGTGAGCCCCCACATCAGTGGCAAAGTTAGGATTGCAAGCCCAGGTCATGTGACTCCAGAGTCCATTCTCTTAACTACTCTGCTATGCTGTCTCTTACAATACTTTCTAGGCCGTCTAACTGCCACTAATTGTATGACCTTTGGAAAGACCCTTAAATTATCAGGACCACTGCTTTCACATATGAGAAATGGGGATAATAATAAAAATTATTACAGTGCTGTTTTGAGCATTAAATGAGTTAATGTTTGAAAGCACTTATAAGTGTTTGACACACTATAAGCACTGTAAAGGTGTTGGCTAAAATGAGTTCTTTTAAATATTACCTTACAATTATCTTATTGGTATCAGTTAACGTTTTTATAAGTAGATTAAAAGTTTGTACAATTTATAATTAAATAAAAGAATAATTGTTAGTCCGTGGCTGGAATAAGTTAGGACTTTGACATTAAAACCCCTTATAGTTGTGTAATTACTTGCCTGACAATACTGAGTAAGCATGTGGCTACTCAAATCCTTTATAAAAGAAATTCTCGTAATTTAGTGATATTACTTATGATAGGTAGCATTCACTAGGAATTTAGTATGCTTCACAAGCTATTCCTAATACTAAAGTATTAATTCTAATTACCAGAATAATTCCATGGAATAGGTACTACTATTATCACCATTTTAGAGATAAGAAAAATAAAGCACAGAGAAGTAGCTCCAAATTCATAGAGTAACTGGTAGAGATGAGACGGAAGAATTTATCATGTCCTAAGCACTTCCAATTTAGCCAGTTTTCCACTCTTTTCTTCTCCCAGCATCGTAAAATCTGACTGATAAGTATAAATAAGGAAGAAAAAATAACATTTATTCTCTACAATATAGTCTCCTCACTACCTGATGCTAAATATGAAGGGACAGTTCTAATGAAAGTGATCAACAAGTTCTAGAAGGAACTAAAGCTTAGTTCCTTCCTCAACCTCAGTGAAAAGAACAAGGTTATTAGTGGCGATGTTTTTCCTAGGTGTGGGGGAGCTAAGCATTTTGAACACAGCAAAGATAAGGAAGTCGGTCTGTAATCTGCAAAAAGGTAAGACATTTATTAAAGCATTAATCTTACCTAGACTGGCTTGGATTTTCACAGTGATCTCTTGCTCATCATGCATTTTAACACCCCTTGCCACACAACCACTTCTAAATTCTTCCTCTAAAGGTAAAGAGCTGTATGTTCTGAGAGTAAGGAGGAAATTCCTAAAAAAGTATCTAGAATCTAGAAAATTATTCTCTAGGTTTATGCCTCATACATGATTGCAAACCATAGTGATGATGAGCATGTTTGTAGAACTGACTTTAATGGTCTTCTACAACAATTCAGGCTACATCTGCCCAGAGAGTGTGTGTGGTCCACATGTTCTTTCAAATGGAGAGGACCTAATCATTAAGACATAGCTTTTTTTTTTTTTTCTTAACTTTCAGGAGTCAGATGTGGAGGATATAGAGAGAATTTTGACTTTTAGTCCATGTTGTTTTCCCTGACACATTTTCAATTACATTGACAACTAAAAAACAAGACCTTGGCAAGAACATCAGGGAGAAATGGTGATGAGATGAAAAGATGCTCAGATAGGCAGATTTTGATATATGACTGGTCAACAGACCTTGGGAGGCTCTCTCTACAATGAGAACAGAAGCATCCTTGTGCTAAAGGCTCATCTGCTTACAACGGTTGAGATAAAGAGGAATTTCTCGAGCTAGTGGAAGAAACAGGATGAGAAGTGTGAAAGGAAATTAAATTTTGGGATTCAAAACTCATTTAGCCAAAGGGAAAAGTCAAGCTGTGAA
Source organism: Homo sapiens (assembly GCF_000001405.40). Classification (NCBI taxonomy): domain Eukaryota; kingdom Metazoa; phylum Chordata; class Mammalia; order Primates; family Hominidae; genus Homo; species Homo sapiens. The sequence continues at coordinate 78,263,771 of NC_000006.12, forward strand.
CTGGATCATGCAAACCTGCCTCCACCTTTCAGTTCCTAAATAAAATGGCTACAAGATGCAAAGCTACTCACCTTTCCCATATTTTGCCAACAAGGAAATTCCTGATGAGCTGTTAAAACTTCACCATGGCAATGCTAATTGATAGCTTATCTTTATAGGTGCAGTCACTCAGCCTGCCAGACACAAATGCATATCAGATTGTTCCCCTACCCCATTTTATTTGTGTAATGTAAAATGCAGATTTCCCACATTTTTCCTTTGCCCCTTTTAAGTGAAAACTGTGTGCTTCTCAATATCCTGCCCTTTCCCCTTTAAATTTGGAGCCCTCAAAATCATCTTAAGAGAAAGGCATAGACCTGACTCCTGGGCGTGTCCTTAACTTTGGCAAATAAATCTCCAAAAATGATTAAGACTTGTCTTGTCATTTTCTTCGATTCACAGAAGGCAGGATATACAAGTAGAAAGCAGAAGGCAGGATGTACAAGACATCACTCTAAAACCTTTGAATCAACAAATGAATAGCAGAAAAGCAGATGCCTTGACATTGTCCTTTTAAATACACGGACTCAACAAATATCATTGCCAGCTCCTAATATGTTAGGCCTTGCTGATACATTGGTTGACTAGAAAGAGTTTCCTGTCCCAATGGAGCTGATATTGCAGAAAAAAGTAAATTGTACAATTAATTACAAATGTGTTGAATGCTTTGAAGAAGTATAGATCATTTTGAGAGCCTCCATAATGGAAAATTTAACCTAGCTTAGTCAAACAACACAGAAAAAGGCATTTAATCTAAGGCTTCAAGCATGGGTAGACTTCAGCTTTTCAATGTGGGCAAACCGATATAGAGAATTCAGGCAGTGACAAAAAAAAAAAAAAAGTAGCCTTAATGTCTCACTCACAAAGCTAAATTTATGGTTGAAAATGTTAATCTATCTTCTCTCATCCAGAACCAAATAAGGATTGAAAATGTATATTTTCAGAAGGATTATGTTAATGAATATTTATTGCATGCTCTTCCTGTGCCACCAAAACGCTAAACTCTTTATATTCAACACATTATTTAATCCAAGCAGTAGCCTATGTGGAATGTGCTATCATTCCTTCCATTTTACACATGAGGAAACTAAACATCAAAGCATTTACACTGTATATATATGATAAATCCAGGAATTCAAATAAAGGTCTCCCTAGCACACATACCAAACTCCTTCCACAATGCTTTTCCACATTTATTAGAAGAAAACAGGAACAAAAAAAGCAGTACTCAATAAAAGCAAAATAAGTTACCCTGGTGAAAAGGAATGCTGGGAGGAATGCTTTTGGCTATTTATAATCATACCTACATCCTCAAAAATCCATTGCCAGAGTCTATTTCCCTGTTTAACAATTTGTGAGGATCCTTAGAGAATCAACAGCAGGAGGCACCACTGTTCAGCCCATTAGATATGATCCAAGATTTGTCTCAGTGCCTGACTCTTCTGTTCTCTAGTAAGGGGTCTATCAAAACCCAATGTACTTCATTTTTAGCAGAAAGGACACATTTCCCAGGGGAAATTGAAGGTGATCCTTCTCAAAGTACAAATCTAGCTGTTTTTTGAGATGCGATATATCGATGTCTGGATGACCATATTGTGCAAGACAATTCTCTTCAGGCCCAAAGTTCTTTTCATATTTACAATAAAGGAATGCTATACAGAAAAATTTTCACAAAGATCAAAACAATTCAAATAGATTATGCCACACAATTTCAGTGAAAAGAAAGCTTCAACATTTACCCAAAGCATCATCAGAAAACCACACTTGCTAGAAGACTTAATGTCTCTCATATCACCCACAGAGACATGAGTGAGTGATCATTCCCAGAACGTGCTATTCAAAGAAAATCCATTCATCTTGTTACTAGTTGTCAACTTCATGTTTTAAATCTCATTTCAATCACACAAGAATAAGACATTTTCTACACCTCTTAGTCAATGAAAGAGAAATCAATACATGCTTTTTAAACCAAAAATTTATATCTTCATTACTGAGAGAAGTCAAAAACAGAATTATCTTAACAGTAATAGTGGTATATAACACCTCTCCTTTTTATTTGTTTGTGATTCTTTTGTTTTCTTACATAGCATATAAACAGCTTAGTTTATTTTTCCTTCTACTAAGTCTTCATAATCATCTCCCTTAGACTGAGTTCCAAACTCTTTGGAAACTACTGATGCGTTAATTGGCTTTTTAAATTATCTTAAAAATATAAACTTTATTAATTACCACATATGTTCTTTCTTTTAAATATTAATGACTTGGCCAGGTGCCGTGGCTCACACCTGTAATCCCAGCAATTTGGGAGGCCGAAGGGGGTGGATCACGAGGTCAGGAGGTCGAGATCAGTCAAGCCAACATAGTTAAACCCATCTGTACTAAAAATACAAAAAATTAGCCGGTTATGGTGGTATACACCTGTAATCCCAGCTATTTGGGAGGCTGAGGCAGGAGGATCGCATGAACCTGGGAAGCAGAGGTTGCAGTGAGCAGAGATCACGCCATTGCACTCCAGCCTGGGTGACAGTGTGAGACTCTGTCTCAAAAAAAAAAAAAAAAAAAAAAAAAATATATATATATATATATGTGACTCTTCATCAAGTAGTTTCTATGAATAAAATCAGATTTCACAAACTCTGTAAAGTGGGAGAATGAAAATCTAGTAGGTTTTACTTATCTGCCACAACTAAAAATTAGTATAGATTTGAGGAAATGTCATTTTGTTTTGAAGAGTGTGATTTAAAAAAAAATATATATATATAATATATATATATATAATCTTAATTTGCTTTGTCACTCATATAAAGGAAACCGTAGTTGAGTTGTAGACAATGAGGAAACACTTGAGGCTTCCGCTGTATGTTTCTTTGTTATTGTTATGTTGTTACCCAGTAACTTGAATATTGTTTAAAGTGTTGTAAGACATTGTAGAGTTTATCTCAAGCTGTTAAAAATGGTAATGTACAAATGTGAATAGACACTTATCTATATAATATGGGTAAGTTTTGTTTTGCCTATAATAGATGTTTATAAAACAAGTGAGGGAGCAGTTGGTATTTTTATTTCCTTTTCTTTCTTTCTTTTTATTGAAAAATCAAGATTGTATAAACCAAAAGCTGCAAGATGCCAAAATCTTGTAGATGTCAAATAAAAAGTTATTTTACTAAAAAAAAAGTGTGCGTTGGTAATCACTACTATTAATAATTTTAAAAAGGATAAATAAGGTCATATAACCCTGTCTCTGGTTCAGCAATTTGGAAAAGTTGTAGTTAGAACAGGAGACTGTTCTAATAGAGAGAGTGAAGAGTACAATATGTAGTTTAGTTCTCTCATTTGGTAGGTGCAGACACAGAAGGAATGAAAGGCTGCATTTACACGATTAGCTAGATCTGTACAAACATTTAGTACTTTAACTTTTCTCAAAGCCTTTTATGTATTATCCTATGGGTAATGTTATCCCAAATGTATGGATAAAATTAAAACAAGAACACTAAATGACTTCACAAAGACCTGAAAGGCAGATCAACGGCATAACTAATATTAAAACTCAGGACTAGTGCTCTGAACATCAAACCTCCTGGATGAGGTCTTCCGTGGCACATCTCTCATTTGTTGAACAGTTTTTAAAATACTGTGTGCTGGGCTTTAGGTTGAGAGATAGGACACGTGATTTATCCCTTCAGGGTGTTTGCATCATAAAGAGGCCTGTGATCTTCAATTAATCATGTGGCCAAAGTTATTTCTAGGGGTCAGGGAGTCATTGACAATTCATTATGCCAAATGTGCCAAAATGCCGAAAAAAAAAAAACCAAAAACCAATAATGTAAGTCTCCTGAATATAAAATTTTCAAAAACTGAATTAGAAACATTTTTTTTTACTCTAGCAAGAGCAATTCAATAAAAGCAGACATATAAAGGATAATTTTTTAAATCTGTGACCAAAATTGAATATGAGATTGATTCATCTACAAAGTGTCTTACTTTTCTGTAGTACAATAAAATAAATTATACTGTCCTAGACAGGCAAACTTCAATATAAGGGAGATTTAATGTCGTCTGTCCTATCATAGTGAAATTTGACTCCACTATTAGTTTCTGAATACTTTCATGATTTCCCTCCTGCTAGTTTACCATGAGACACCATCTCAGACTTCTACACAGCTCATTTGCACCCATCACAATATATAAATAAACAGGAGTGTGCCTTTTCTCTGCCGTATTTCCACTCAACTAATTCCTGTATCTTTCAGCTCCACCAGTTCTTTGTATACTTGCAAATAATGGCTGAAAATATTTATATTTTTTCTTGACTTCATATTTCTTCTACACACTATTAGTTTTCTTACTCTGTAATTTAAGTGACAGATTTGGAGTGGGACAAATCTGTATGAAAACTTATAAATTAAATTTCCCATTTAATGAGAAGATTTTAAGTAGAGGTTAATTGGTAAATTACTTTCTCCCTTTTCCCCCATGCTCTTTTCATATTCTGATTGCATTATATGTATGTATATTTCTAGTTATGTGTACAACTATACAAAATTTGGGAATATAAATTCATTTCATTAACACCTGTACCCTTTTTGCTCCTACTCAACTCTTTTTTGCACGCAATTCAGCAAAACTTTTGGAAATAGTTGTCCATATTCACTGGCTTCTCTTTCTCATTTTTTCACCTCTCACACAATCCTTTGGAATAAGGTTTTCATCTTCATAATTCCACAGAAACGGGGAACACTCATGTTGCCAAATTCAATAGCTACCTCTCTAACCTCTTCTTATTCCATCTCTTAGCACACAACACAGTTGACCAGTTGCTCATGCCCTGTTTCTTTAAAAACTCCTTTTTCTTGGCTTTTTTGAACCACACTTGTCTGTGACAGCCACCACTCCTTGACAGCTGTGCTGTCTCCATTTGACCTCTAAATGTTAGGACTGATTTGTGTTAATAGAATTATAGGTTACGGAGATGGAGCCCTCACAAATTGGATTAGTGTCCTTATAAGGGCCAAGGAAACCAGAGCTCTTCCCCTCAACTATGTGAGGACAGAGTGAGAAGGTTCCTTCTGAGTCATATAGTGGGTGTTCACCAGATACCAGTTTTGCTGGTGACTTGATCTTGGACTTCTCAGTACCCAGAACTGTGGGAAAAAAAATTTGGCTGTTTATAAACTACTCCACTTATGCTATTTTGTTATAATTGCTCAGAGTAAGAAATGAAGATATTTCATCTTACTTATCTTATTATTGCTATTTCTCCAGCTTTGGACACAATACTTAGCACTTTGTGGAAACTCAGTATATTTTTTAAATGAATAAATACATAAATGAATTCACCAAATAGGTAGTTAAAGAACCATAAAAATCATCATATCCTTGTTTTCGAAGTGAATTAGAACCAGCTGAGTTGCACAGAATTGTAAATCAGAACATCTTGCTGATCTTTATCTCTGCATACAGACCTGATTTTCATAGAACTCACTGTCTGAATTACATGTGACAACAGATACAAGGATGTAGATTTCACTTTATTTTGCAAACATGAATTTCATCATCTACATAGTGGATAGTTGATTCTCCAGTGAAGTCAGATTTCTGAAGTGTTAATTTAATATTGTGCTATTATACTTTAAAAAAAAAAACATAGCACACATCTTCTAGTAAAATGGCACATATCTTTTTGCAATAGTCAGGAACTACAGACATGAGCTAAATCATGTATTTGAAAGGTAGTCCCAGAGTGGCTAAGTCAGAATAAGGTATATCTTTCTTTCTAAAGTACTGCTTTGATTATATTATTTTCTGCTCCTCAATCCACAGTAGCACCTATTAGCAGTTCTGCCTTTGGCAATTGACATATGTTATCTCCTGTTGCTATTTATCAATTTACTGTCAGTTATGTTCTCTCTCTCCAATTGGACTGTAGGTTTTTGGCAAGATGCAATCTGGAAGTAAGCTCTATCAAAAGTAGTTATTGAATAGATATTTGTAAAAGATTACGATGAAAACATTTCTAACTCTCCAAATCTAACTCCACCTTATCTTTAGTCTTAAACACAACGTGAAAATTAAACTAAAAACATTGAACAAATTAATCTTGACACTGTAATATATTGCAATGGCTAAAATAATTTTGAATCCTAAATATTAATTTTGTTATACATCTTTTTTATATATATTTCCCTGTATGGAACATGTTATGAATAAATACTTGATGTTCTTTACACAGTCTAGAGCTTGCTACATATTGTTGATCATCTCAGAAACAGCTTAATAAAATCAGCATTTGAAAATCCCAGTATCAGCACCTGTGACATTAATAATTCTGGTGAAACAGGTGCTTCCTGGGAATTTCAAACATTTGAAAATAAAGTGATAGGCCGGACGCGGTGGCTCACGCCTGTAATCCCAGCACTTTGGGAGGCTGAGGCAGATGGATCACGACGTCAGGAGATCGAGACCATCCTGGCTAACACGGTGAAACCCCATCTCTACTAAACAAAACCAAAAAAATTAGCCGGGCGTGGTGGTGGACGCCTATAGTCCCAGCTACTTGGGAGGCTGAGGCAGGAGAACGGCGTGAACCTGGGAGGCGGAGCTTGCAATGAGCCTAGATCGCGCCACTGCACTCCAGCCTGGGCGACAGAGCAAGACTCCATCTCAAAAAAAGAAAATAAAGTGATACTTCGAGGGAATTAGTTGTGTCACAGATAAAAATAGATTGTGCTTCACTGCACTCATTTTAAAACATAGTGACTGTCTTCAATGCTACTTTACAAGTGAGGACCAGATAATTAACTGAAGTTTCTTTCTCAAGCCTGATTGCGTTGTTTCTTTTTCTTCACTACTCTTCTCCTTTACTGTCCCTTCACCATTTAGGAGGAGGATATGCTTTTCTACACATCTGTTCCTTAGGAGGATGGTTGATACAGCTACCAAAAAAATTTGTTTCATGTTTTAAAGTAATCATCATTCTCAGTAAACTATCCCAAGGACAAAAAACCAAACACCGCATGTTCTCACTCATAGATGGGAATTGAACAGTGAGAACACATGGACACAGGAAGGGGAACATCACACTCTGGGGACTGTTGTGGGGTGGTGGGAGGGGGGAGGGATAGCATTAGGAGATATACCTAATGCTAAATGGCGAGTTAATGGGTGCAGCACACCAGCATGGCAGATGTATACATATGTAACTAACCTGCACATTGTGCACATGTACCCTAAAACTTAAAGTATAATAATAATAAAAAATATGCTTTGCAGAGTTAAAGCAAAGAAAAAGTCGTAAAAGACAAACTATATTTTGTCTGTGAGAGCCAGCTTGTTAAGACAGAAAAGTTGTTTCTTTTTTACATTTCTAAAACTTGGTTTTAAATGTGAAGAGACAAATACTAAAAGCAACAGAACTTAAGGTTTCTCTGTAAACAAATGTGTTTGTTTCAGTCATACCAGATATTATGACAAACAAATGCTAAGTTTATGAGATTTAAAACCATGAAAGTATATTTTTGAATGCATTAAAATACCGTGAAGGTGTTAATGGTTCGTAACTGGGAGTGGCACAAAGGCCAGTTCTGCCTCCTGAAATCATTGACAGACACTGAGCTGATGGAAGATTTGTTTTTTTAAATATATCTCTTTTAAGATCATCGTGGGTGTTAACAGGTAGCCAAGAATGTAAGAAGGAGAATATTAAGGTTGTACATTTGCTTAACTGCCTTGGTCTAGGAAAAAAAAAATATCTTCCATGTACTTTTTAGCCTGAAGAAGTTACTTGACCCCAGTCAGATAAAAAGAAAGCTGACAAATAACCATATCCCAGGAATAACTCTGTTTTCTACAAGAGGACTAAAACAGGAAGCCAAGGGAATGAGTCTGTGGTTATCATTTTCTAAAAAGTGGGCTCTGTCCCCTGTCAATTTCTGAAGTTGAAATTTTAGAGGTAGAGAGAAACAGAAACCAACACATAGGTATGGGACTCAGAGACCAGAGAGTGTTTGTGCTCAACTTGCTTTATGGAACTCAGAAGAGATATAATCTCATGGAGAATTCACTGCTCACACAGGCTAGCATCAGCAGAATTGTAATGGTGGCAAAACAGTATAGTCCGATATATAGATTGAAATAGGACCCATCCTCAGTCTATCAGAGGTCCTTAACGATGCAGGAGATCATCTGAAAATAGCTTGTCCTGTCCCATATTGATTCAAGATAGGCCAGAGAGACCTTTTAGTTGCAAAGGATAGACAGAGTAAATAGCAAGTACCTAATGACTGGAGAACAGGGTAGCAGCATAGACATGGATATCAAGCTTAAGTAGGGATAAGTGTTGACAACCTACGGTATGCTGGCATTGGTGGGGTGAGGTTTTCTTCTCCTTAGAAAAGAATTCAGTTAAATAGAGGTATAGAAGAATAAATAGAAGTATTTAATGATATGGCTTAGCTTGGTGGTTTGAAATACATGCCTGCTACATCTGGATTCTGAATATTTCTGTATTTGTAACCATCTCAAAAACTCCAGGGTATTAATAAATTTGTCCATAAATACTTAACAATTGGAAAGGCATATGGCTTTAGATTTACCTTTTCATTTCAGGATTTTACTCATTAAATCAGTATTAGATGCTGCAGCATAATTAAGTTGAAGCTGACATTTGAGAACATTATTTGTTTTTCTCTTTCATGACATCTAAATACATTTGATATTTTTTCCCAATTGCCAATCAAGTATTCTTCCACTAGAATTTACTTTTACCTGATTTTAAAAGAACATTCCAATCATGGTTGGTAGCCATATGGACCTCTCACTCAACTACAATGTCAGTGGCTCTGGGAGCTATTTGTCTGTGTCTGAGTGATAAAATCTTTCTCAGTTCCCTTTGAGATAATTTTCCTCTCATTTTCTACTGCCAAATGGACAATCTTTGGATTTCTCCCTGAAGTGGTCTTTATTCTCAAGTGACCTTCAAATGGTTTACCTCTGAGATATTCCCACAGCACACCCAAAGTGAAGATATAGCCCCTTCAAAGTTGGCAACAATACATCTAGAAGTTTTCTCATGGTGGTAAAATAGACAATAATTTCATTTTTTCTAAATAGACTCACTCAAGTCAATATCCACACAGCTTCCCACACACAATAACCCATTCCTTTTGTATACCCTTGGTGCCTTAGTCTAGGTCTTTTTTCTGACCATAGCATCCTTCATTATCTTTTCAGATCTCACTTCTTTCAACATCAAGCCTTCTTATGTCCAGTGATAAGATTTATGTCTTTTTGTAAGAATTTTATGTATTTATTAAAAACATCATTTAATTGACTTAATCAGTTTCATTGGGATTACTTTTAAATCTTTATTAAAGATCCTTCAGAGCAAGGGCCATTTTATACATCTTTTTTGGTAATTTTTCTATATTGTTACCTAAGTTCACATTATCATAGAGATTAATCAGACCACACAAAACAGTGAAATTGATAGTGACTATAGAGTTAGCCTGAGTGTTCAGTACAGGATGACTGGCTCCTTTTGAATAATAAAGATGATCTCTAAAATAATAGCATATATCTCATTAATACAATTATGATATCTTGAACTGTGCAGGACAAACAGTCCTATTTTTATTATATGAAATAGTCTTTGTAAGTATCTAATTACCTACTTCCCTTGATAACACTGAAAAAAGACCTTGAATCTTAAAAATTTCCACTTTAAAGTAAGTATAGTGCAAGGACAGATCAATGTAGTACTATGTTTTTATGCCCTCTCTGCAGCGAGTTTATATATAACCTGAACTTTTCATAGCTCCCAAATCCAAAAAAAAATGCTTGCAACCATAATTTACTTTTTACATTTAAACTATCGACAATAACTTCATAGCACTGGTCCAGTTGCTCATTTCACTTGTGAAAGGGGTCAAATTTTCACCTAGAGTTTTATTGAATGCCACATTTTATAGTAACTGTTACTCAGGCTTATTGTTTCTCACAGTTGTTTGTTTATTTTTGTGTGTGTGTTGTTTTCTCCTATGTTTATCATCACGGTTGCTTCCTGAGGAACTTTTGCTAGTCGTCGCTTCAAAGTAATATCTCCTTTTCAAGAATGGGTAACTTGATAACAATGAAACAATCAAGGTATTGACTCAGAAAGACTTAACCAATGTAAACACACTTCTCTTTACTGATATTGTCTTAGTTTGGGATGCTGTAACAATATACCATAGACTGGGTAGCTTAAGCAACAAACATTTATTTCTCACAGTTCTGGAGATTAGGAAATCCAAAATCAAGGTGCTGGAAGATCCAGTGTCTGGCTAGGGCTTTCTTCCTGGTTTATGATTGTCTGTCTTCTCAGGATAACATCACAATGCAGAGAGAGAAAGAGATCTATTCTCTTTCTCTTTTTTTAAGGATGCTATTTCTATCATGGAGTCTTTGCCCCGATAGCCTCATCTAGCCCTAATTACCTGCCAAAGGAGACACCTAATACTATCCCATTTGGGGTTCGGGTATCAACATATGAATATTGGGTGGGCAGAAATATGGATTCTATAACAGAGATGTACAGTCTTCAAAAATGATTAGAATCAAGATAGAGTTAGAAATAATTTGGTTACAAATGTCAGAAACTCATAACAAACTTCATAGGTAAAAGGAGAATTTACTGGTTCACTAACTGTAGGAAGGAAAGAACTAAACTTCAGGTACACTGGAACCAAAGAATTTGAGGCAAACTAGGCTCAATCTTCAATTCTTAGCTCTACTTCCCTCTATATGTTGCCATTATTCTTTCTGACCAGCTTCATTACAAGAGAATGGTTGAGGTTAACTTTGGCACCAAGTTAAATAACTATAAATAATTAAATTAAATAATGTAATTTAAATAATTAAAAAGTTAAATAATTAGCTTTCCATGGATAGAATACTCCTTGCTGATCAATGATGACTGCAGTGATAGCTACAGTACGTTAACAGCAGCACCCATCAGAAACATGATTCAAGTTGGAATGTGGGTAAGGAAGCTGATATTTGACATAGCAGATGATAGATGGTCACCGTTGGGACTTATAAATACTTTAAATCAGTATTAAAAGGACATTTATATATTGACACTACTGATGAAATAATAGTTTTATATTTTTGTTTAGTATTCCACAAATGTATCACTACTATATAAAATATGGTCTCTTTTATATAATTACTTAATTCAAGGAACCAAGAAGGAAAAAGATTATTTCAAATCTATATAATGTAATGGTCCCATTTCTTACATTTTCAGTCTTCATACTGTGAAGTCACTAACCGTAACTGTTGTAGTTTATTTTCCACAATCACTTAGGTTTCTTGTTTATCAAAAATAAAACTATCAAACTATCAAGCTCAGTAAATAATTTATATCATTTGACAGAATAATAATCTTAAGTAAAAGTGGCCTTAATATAGATAGATATTTAGGAGACCAATAAAAACACTAATCCAACTTAAGCAAAATGTTACCAAAAATAACTCAGATTACAGTTTTAATTGTTGTTTTATTTATTTCAAAGTGATTTTTTGTGAAGGCCAGACATACTTTTATTCTGAACACTTAGAAAGAGATTATCTTAACATACTGATATATTAAAGGACCATTGACCAGTATCCAAAAATGGTACTAATTTAAATAAAATATTTATCTACTGAGTTCTATAATATTTCTCTTTAGCATAATGGGACAGTGGTATATTAACCCATGATAATTTTCATTATTACTTTCCATGTTGTCCCCTTATCAAACAAATATCATATAATTCACTATTTCAGATTATACAGGTTTGCAAATATTTAATTTTAGACAGTAGAAGACACCTTAATGAGCTTTTTTTCATAAAATACATTATGACTAACCTTCCTCTGAAGGATTTATTCATCCAAAAATATAGCTGAGTTCTTACTACATGCTAGCATACTCCAGTTGCTTAAGATAGAAAGATGAATATCAAATAGTAAATAAAGACAAGCAGTATTCAGAGAAATAGTTTCACTAGACTCACTCTGCCTGAAAAAGCTAGGTACTTCCACTTTAGCCATCAGACCTGGTATGAGTCACAGTTGGGTACACCAGGGAGCAGCCCATAAAGGCCCTGCTGTGAGCGTTCTAGTATAGCCCATGACATGAGGATAGGCTTAATATTAAGAATGGACACTGAGACTGATGCTTCTGTCTGCCTCATTTAAATACAAAACTGCAAATATTTCCTTTAATTTGTATGCAACTTACACCTTATCACAGGACACTACAATAGGAAAGTGGAATTTATGGTGCCCCCTTCCCAATTTTGCCAAAATTGGGGAGTTTCTCTAGAATAGACTCATCAGCTTACAAATTCCCTTTTTGAATGGAAAGCATAGAAGTGGAGCAGGCCCCTGTAGGAATACTAATTTTAACTGTCTATATTTCGCATTTACTTTTCAAGATGGAAAGTACTAGCACGTGTTTTCAGGATTAGTGAAAATTAACCAATACAGGGAAAGAAAGTGATAACACTGTGGAAAGCAGGAAAAACTACAGAAGCAAATGTAGGAAAAGGTAAGAAAGGTGAAGGGTTCTGAAACACAAGTGAGCACTTGGATATCATAGAAGGAGGGCACTTTTTCACCTTAACAGGGTAAGAACAGCAACGAGGAAGATGCTAGTACAACTCTCAATTTGGTAATGGCAAGGTAAGGGAGCCCTCTTTTGATAGCTTCTATTTTATTTTTTATTAAGCATAAATATATTATCTGCAAGATGAAGAGAGGTTTTAGAAGAGAAGAGAAATTTCTTTACTCATTAGTCGATTGGCACTTGGGTTGATTCCACATCTTTGCAATTGTGAATTGTGCTGCTATAAACATATGTGTGCAAGGGTCCTTTTCATATAATGACTTGTTTTCATTGGGATATATACCCAGTATTGGGATTGCTGGATTGAATGGTAGATGTACTTTTAGCTCTTTAAGGAATTTTGATACTGTCCTACATACAGGTTGTACTAAGTTCCATTCCCATCAGCAGTGCAAGCTGCTTTTTCCCTACATCCACCCCAACATATATTGTTTTTCGACTTTTCAATAACGGCTATTCTTGCAGGAGTAAGGTGCTCATTGTGGTTTTAATTTGCATTTCCCTGAAGATTAGTGATGTTAAGCATTTATTCATATGTTTGATTGCTGTTTGTGTATCTTCTTTTGCAAAATTTCTATTCATGTTCTTTGCTTACTTTTTAATGGAATTATTTGGGGTTTTTTCCTTGGTGATTTGTTGGATTTCCTTATCGATTATGGATACTAGTCCTCTGTTGGATACATAGCTTGCAAATATTTTCTCCCATTCTGTTGATCATCTGTTTACTATGTTATTTCTTTTGCCGTGCAGAAGCTTTTTGGTTTAATTAAGTCTCATTTATTTATTTTGGTTTTTGTTGCATTTGCTTTTGTGGTCTTAGTTATAAATTCTTTGCCTAGGCCAGTGTCTAGAAGAGTTTTTGTAACACTGTTTTCTAGAATCTTTGTGGTTTCAGGTCTTAAGTTTTTGATCCATTTTGAGCTTACTTTTGTATATGGTGAGAGTTAGGAATTCAGTTTCATTCTTCTACACGTGGCTTGTCAGTTTTCCCAGCACCATTTATTAAATAAGGTATTCCTTCACCAACTTGTGTTTTTGTATGCTTTGACATATCACTTGGCTGTACATATTTGGCTTTATTTCTGGGTTCTCTGTTCTGTGCCACGAGCCTATGTACCTACATTTATACCATTGCCATGTTGTTTTGGTAACTGTACCCGTGTGGTACAATTTGGAGTCCAGTAATGCGATGTCTCTAAGTTTGTTCATTTGCTTAGGATTGCTTTGGCTATCCAGCCTCTTTTTAGGTTCTAAATTAATTTTAGGCTTGCTTTATTTTTCTAATTCTTTGAAAAATGCTGTTAGGTGTTTGATGGGAATTGCACTGAATCTGTAGATTGCTTTGGCCTGCATGGTCATTATCACGATATTGATTCTTCCAATGAATAAACATGGGATGCATTTCCATTTCTTTGTGTCAGCTATGATTTCTTTCCAGAGTGTTTTGTAGTTCTCCTTGTAGTGATCTTTCACTTCCTTGGTTAAGGTATATTCCTGGATTTCTTTTTTATTTATTTATTTTTTATTATTGACAGCTGTTTTAAAAGGGATTGAATTCTTGCTTTTATTCTCAGCTTGGTCATTTTTGGTGTGCTACTGATTTGTGTACATTGATTTTGTAATCTGAGACTACTCAATTCATTTATCAAACCTAAGTGTCTTTGGAGGAGTCTTAGGATTTTCTAGGTATTCAATCATATTATCGGCAAACAACGATAACTTGACTTCCTCTTTTCCAATTTGGATGGCCTTTATTTCTTTCTCTTGACTCATTGCTCTGGCTAGTATTTATAGAACTATGTAGAATAAGAGTGGTGAACGTGGTCATCCTTGTCTTGTTCCTGTTCTCAGGGGGAATGCTTTCAACTTTTCCTCATTCAGTATGATATTGGCTGTGGGTTTTTCATCTATAGCTTTTATTATTTTGAAGTAGTTTTCTTCTATGCCTAGTTTATTCAGAGTTTTTATCATAAAGGGGTGCTGGATTTTGTTGAATGATTTTTCTGAATCTATTGAGATGGTCATGTAGTTTTGTTTTTAATTGTGTTTATGTGATGTTTTTAATTCTGTTTTCTGTGACGTATTCTCTCTCGATGAATCTAGCTAATAGTCTATCAGTTTTATTTTTTCAAACAATGAGTTTTGCGTTTCATTGATTTTCATATATTTTTGTGTTTGAATTTTATTGAGTTCTGCTCTGATCTTTGTTATTTCTTTTCTTCTTCTAGCTTTAGGTTTATTTTGTTCTTGTTTCTTCTGTTCCTTGAGGTACGACATTAGATCGTCAACTGTGCTTTTTTAGACTTTTTGATGTAGGCATTTAGTGCTATAAAGTTCCATCTTAGCACTGCTTTTGCTGTACTCGAGGTTTTGATAAGTTATTGCACTATTATTCAATTCAAAGAATTTTTAAAGTTTTGTCTTGACTTTATTGTTAACCAGATACCATTCAGAAGAAGATTATTTAATTTCCATGTCTTTGTATAGTTTTGAGGGTTCTGAAACTGCCTTTGCAAAATTATAACTGAGGAAATTATGACAGTGCAGTGAAATAAATCAGAACTTACTAACTCTATCTTGCTTCTAACCCTTAAGCTGTCCTTGTTCATTCCTGGGTGTAGGCTGGACTAACTTTGGGAAGGAATTTAGTTCATGGTTTGACTCTGAAACAAAACTGATAACAACCCTTTCTTGCCTGGTGTCCAGTCTGCTTTTTCAGGACTAATAAATTAGCTACAAGATTAAAAATTATAATTTAGGGGTCATACAGCCTCTGGCTCCAAGAGTCTGAAAATCCACAAATTGCTCCTAGGGATAACACCACTATTGTAAAACCTAAGATCAGTGCTTGAGATATTTTGCAGACCCTGAACTCCATAGATCAGCCAACACCACCCAGACCAGTAATCTGGCCCAACCAGTTCTGCCAATGCACCCAAGTACAGAAGACATTAAGAAAACCTAACTTTGACCTCCTATGGTTCCATCTCCAACTTGACCAATCAGCACTTCCCATTTCCCAAGCCCCTACCCACCAATTTATCTTTAAAAAGTCTGATTCCTGAATTCTCGGGGAGACTGATTTGAGTAATAATAAAACTCCAGTCTCCCGCATGGCCAGCTCTGCATGAATTATTTTTTCACCACTGCAATTCTCTTTTCTTGATAAATCAGCTCTGTCTAGGCAGCAGGCAATGTGAACCAATTGGGCTGTTACAGTTCTTTGTGAAGTTGATTTCTAGTTTTATTCTGCTGTGGTCTGAGAAGATATTTGATATAATTTCCATTTTAAAAAATTTATTGAGGCCCGTTTTGTGACCTATTATATGATCAGCCTTGGAGAATGTTCCATGTGAAGATGAGATGAATGTGTATTCTACAGATCTTAAGGTAAAATGTTCTATAAATACCTGGTAAGCCCATTAGTTCTAGTGTATCCTTTACATTTATTGTTTCTCTGTTGACTTTCTGTCTCAAAGATTTGTCTAGTGCTGTCAGTGGTATATAGAAGTCTCTCACCATTACTGTATTGCTATCTCATTACTTAGATGTAGTAGTAATTGTTTTATGAATCTAGGAGCTCCAGTGTTTGGTGCATACATATTTAGGATTATAATATCTACTTATTGAATTTATCCTTTTATCACATATGTAGTAATGATCTTTGTCTTTTTTTAAATTTTTGCTGCTTTGAAATCTGTTTGGTCTTAATATGAGTATAGCTGCTCCTGCTCACTTTTGGTTTCCATTTGCATGGAATACCTTTTCCTACCCTTTTACTTTGAGTTTATATAAATCCTTCCCTGTTAGGTGAGTCTCTTGAAGGCAGCAGATATTTGGATTGTGATTTTTTAAATCCATTCTGCCATTCTGTATCTTTTAAATGGAGCATTTAGGTAACTTACATTCAACGTTAATATTGAAATGTGAAGTACTGTTCTCCTCATCGTGTTAATTGTTACACAGATAGTTTCTTTTCATTGCATTATTGTTTTATAGGCCCTGTGAGTTTTAAGCTTTTAAGACATTCTATTTTGCTGCATATTGGGTTTTTGTTTTAAGGTTTAGAACTTCTTTTAGTATTTCCTTTAGTGCTGGTTTGGTAGTGACAAATTCCCTCAGCATTTGTCTGAAAATGACTTTATTTCTCATTTATGAAACTAAGTTTTATGGGAAACAAAATTCTTGGCTGACAGTTGTTCTGTTTAAGAAGGTTGAAATTAGGACCCCAATCCCTTCTGGCTTGTAAGGTTTCCGTGGAGAAGTCTGTTCTTAGTCTGATAGGTTTTCCTTTATGGTTTACTTGATGCTTTTCCTTACTGTTCTTAGAATTCTTTCTGTTGACTTTAGATAGCCTGATGACTATATGTCTTGCTGAAGATCTTTTTGCAATAAATTTCCCAGGAGTCTTTTGAGCTTCTTGGATTTGGATATCTAGATCTCTAGCCAGACCAGGAAGTTTTCCTCAACTATTCCCTCAAATATGTTTTCCAGATTTATTATTTTCACTTCTCCCTCAGGAGAAGGAAAGCCAATTATTGTTATTCATTTTATGTATTTCCATATTTCTTAGAGACTTTGTTCATTTTTATTCTTTTTTATTTTTGTCTGATTCAGTTAATTCAAAAGCCTTGCCTTTGAGCTCCGAAAATTCTTTCTCCTAGTTGTTCTAGCCTATTGTTAAACATTTCCACGGCATTTTATAATTATTGCCCAAGTGTATCTTTTATTTTCAGAGTTTCTGATTAATTTTTCTTTACGATATCACTCTAGAAAATTTTTCATTCATATCCTCAACTGCCTTCTAAATTTCTTTATGATTTTTTTTTTGCCTTTCTCTGATATCTCCTTGAGTAGCTTAATAATCAACCTTCTGAATTTATCTGGTATTTCAAAAATTTCATCTTGGTTGGGTCCACTGCTGGAGAACTAGTGTGATCTTTTGCGGGTGTTATAGCACCATGTTTTGTCATATTACCAGAGTTATTTTTCTGGTCCTTCTCATTTGGGTAGACTATTTTTTCTAATTATTCTTTATTTTACATTTGATTTAATTGTGTTTCCTTTGTTTGTTTGCTTTTAATTTTTTTCCTCTTTAAGGATGAGACTTCAATGCTTTGAGTTAATTGTAGCCTAATTTGGTTCTTGGTGCTTTCAGGGTCAAAGACTCTGAAGAGTCCCTTGGTTATAGAAAGTGTTTGTATGATGGCTTTCTCATATGCTGGTATAGTAGCAATGGGCTCAGTGTGGAAACAAATTCAGTATCTCCTATGGGGTTGGAATGGTAGAGGTCTCTTAAAGCTTATCTCATTCCCCTGTGGTGGCACTTTATTTATTTATTTATTTCCCCCCATATTTTATTTACTGGTTTGATGGTTCAGATTTCAGGCCAGTAGGGGAGGTATCCCTGGGTAGGGACCAGTTGTAGGTAAAGCAGGTGGATAAATAAAGTCCCAGCATTGACAGAGGTAAGTGGAGGAGCTTAAGTGAGTTGCACTGAGGTTTTATCAAGTGAAGTTTTGGAACCACTTTAGCTCCCTGCCAGGTCAGTAGGAAAGTTATCCACCTCTCAGACATGCTACTATCCCAGTGTTCTGGTTATTCAGATCAGGCAGGCACCCTTTTCATCTGTAGAAATGTTGACCTTCCAAGTAGAGAGGAATTGTGACTCTGTCTCTCATGCAAGCCTGAACCCAGGTAGTGCTCCTTCTGTGGGGATGCAGTACCCTGATGTGTTCCAGAAATGCTGTCTATGGTTGCACCCATACTGAGCTCCTGTTGGAGAAACCCAAACTGCGCCTATGATGGTGGATAAGGGGGGAAAGGCTTCCTCTTCTCCAGTACTCTTCATGGATACCAGGACTGTCTGACTGTTGGAACTGTCTGACTGAGAGCTGAAGACCTTCCCTGCCTAGCCCCGCACCTCAACAGTACTGCTGCTGAAGGAAGCTTTCCACCAGTGGAAGGATCCTGTGGTCAAGGCCTGCCATCTGGATTCTTTTGTCTTACAGTGTGTTCTCTTGGGGTTGGAATGGTAGAGGTCTCTTAAAGCTTATCTCAATCCCCTGCGGTGGCACTTTATTTATTTATTTATTTCCCCCCATGTTTTATTTACTGGTTTGATGGTTCAGATTTCAGGCCAGTAGGGGAGGTATCCCTGGGTAGGGACCAGTTGTGGGTAAAGCACTCTCCCTTCCCCTAGGAGTGGGAATCCCTGGGAGCCAGACTACTGTGGGTGTTGTTGCTCCTCTGGGTCTAGCTGCTCAGTGGAATTGCCCCACTCCAGGCTGGTGTTGGGGAAATGTTTGCAAGGGATCCACTGATGTGACCTGTCCTCAAGTTTTCTAGCAGTGGGTAATGGCACCAGCTCTAATGGGAGTGGCAAAGGAGTGACATAGATTCTGTGAAGTTCCTTGGTTATTGATAGTCTTAGTGTGTTGGCTTTCTTGAACACTGGTTATAGCAGTGATGAACTGGTCACATGGACAGATTCAGGAGCCCCTGGTTAGCCAGAGCGGTGTAGGCAATGGTGATAGCTGAGATGCACAGCCTTCTCCTTCTTGGACACGGTGTTATTCTACCAAGAAATACAGTAATGGACTGTGTCGGTTGTCCTGCAGCCAGGAGGTGGTGCTTGCCAAAAAGCATCAGCTGTGGTGGCAACCGTGGCAGTTTTGCTTGCCTTATGTTTCCTGTTGGAGGGGAGTATCTCTGATTTCTCAGGCAATGGGCAGGGCCAAGTAGCTCCCAAGAGATTTTGATCTTTTTGTTGAGCTACCAGGGCCGATGGCAGGGCAAAGCCAGGTGGGAGCTGGGTTGGGCAGGTTTGCATTCTGAGTCTCTGTGTGTAGGGCAAACAGCAGCCCCTGTGGGTTTTTGGGGACAGGGGCAGGTTTCAAACCGCTGGGTTGATGTTCCAGAGGAGAGTGTTGCTACCTCTGCTACACAGAAGGTTTTGTGCAGGGAATGGGGAGTAAGCCCCATGGGGTGGTAAGCCCCACAGTTCCCACACACTTAGCAAGGCAGATCTACTCCCACAGTGTTCTACCGGCAACAGTGAACTGAGTTGGTAAGGCGGTAATCAGCACTCACCACTAACAGTAGTCATAAGATTTTCCCACAGAGAAAGCAACCATGGCTTTTAGGCCTTGCCCTTCTCTGTCTGCTGCAAAGCCAGGCACCTGGCATCTGCACCCAGGGCTCCTGCACCCATGGGCCTACACTCATGACTCTTGCACTCATGGCACGCTTTTCACTCTCCCCATCCTGGCCCTGGCCAAGGGAGTTCGTGTCCACCCAAAGTTATATTATTAAATCCCTTTGGGAGCCTCTTTCTACCTGTGGCCACCACTTGAAATGTTTGGCTCTCTTCCTCAGCACCCTTTGTGAGGAACAGTAAAGAATAGCTACCCTCAGTTCACACTGGGATCTAGGAGTCCATGCAAGGGTCTTCCCACTGCTGATCCTACTTTTATACTCCATGACCCTCCCCAACTCTGTTTCTGCACAGGGTGGGGTTAGGGCCTTCCCCCGTGTATTGAGCTTTCAGGGTCCCCAGTGGGAGTGTATATCCTAGAGGCAAACTCTCCCCTTCTCATACTCTATGTACTCACAGCCTTTGCCTGACTCACACTGTAGGCTGCAGCCTCTAGCATCCTTCAAAGTGTCCATAAATTCCTCCGGTTTTCCTGTTCAGTTCCTGTGTCACTTCTTGAAAAAAATTCACAGTGTGAATCTCTGCACACTATTTTGTCCTTCCAAGTGTGAGAGATATGCTAGCAATGCCTTCAATCCACCATCTTGGGGGGAAAAAACTCTAATTTGCTTTTAAATTAGATTTTGTATTAAGACTTTTAATAATCAAAATAATCACTGAATGCTGAACTGAATTTTTAAAATATTAAAAATAGCAATAGTTCAGTCTGTTAATCACTAACCTAACATACACATTTATTAAAACCCTATTTCCAAAGTTGAACTGTAATTAAGTTTGTATGGAGAGATTCACATAAAAGTTACCCCATTACTTCTTTAGTAGTTTTTTTGTTGTTGTTGTTTGTTTTTGTTTTTGAGATGGAGTCTTGCTCTGTTGCCCAGGCTGGAGTGCAGTGGCACCAACTTGGCTCATTGCAACTTCTGCCTTGCTGGTTAAGTGATTCTCATGCCTCTGCCTCCCAAGTGGCTGGGATTACAGGTGCCCACCACTACACCTGGCTAATTTTTGTATTTTTAGTAGAGATGGGGTTTCACCATGTTGGCCAGGCTGGTCTCAAACTCCTGGCCTCAAGTGATCCACCCGCCTCGGCCTCCCAGAGTGCTGGGATTACAGGCGTGAGCGACCACTCCTAGACCCTTTAGTAGTTTTATAGTTTGGGCTCTTATGTTTAAGTCTTTAATTAATTAAGATTTTTTTAATATGGTGAGAGATAGGGAATCTAGTGTCATTCTTCTGGATATGAACATCTGTTTTCTTCCTGGACCATTTATCAAAGATGGTATCTTTCCTCAATGTATGTTTTTGGAGCATTTGTTGAAAATGTTCCAATAGTCACAAATAAACATTCTATTAAAAAATTTTTTGAATAATGGTTAGCATCTACATTACAGTTAATAGCTAGGTCTTACTGTTAATAATTGACTAATGAACTGTTATACTAATATTCACTTTCAAAACCATCATAAAAAAACAGTTTTATGAAATAGATACTTTTAGAATTAATGGTTAATGAAAACATTCATTTTTTTCTATAAAGTTATTTTTGTGTAATATTTTTTCTTTTTTATTGATACGTAATAATAGTACATATTTAAGAGGTGCATGTGTGATTTTACTACAAGCATACAATGTATAATGATGATCAATTAAGGTAATTAGGATATTCATCACCTCAAACATTTATCTTTTTGAGTGTTGAGAGCATTTCAAATCTTTACTTCCAGCTATTTTGATATATACAATAAACTATTGCTTATGTCCCCATCCCTACCCTCATTTATGCACTTTTTCCAGCCTCTGGTACCTATCGTTTTACCCTCCCTACATGAGATAAACTTTTTAACACCCACATATGAGTGACAACATGCAATATTTGTCTTTTTGTGCCTGGCTTATTTTACTTAACATAGTCCATCAGTTCCATCCATGATGGTACAAATGACAGAGTATTATATTTTTATGGCTGAAAAGCCTTTTATTTATAAAGTTTTTATCTGTTAATCTGTTCACAAACACTTGTATTGGTTCTATATCCTGGTTATTGTGAACAGTGCTGCAATAAACATGGGAATGCAGGTATCTACTTAATATACTGATTTCCTTTCCTCTAGATAAATACCCAGCAGTGGCATTGTGGGGTCATATGGTAGTTCTATTTTTAGATTTTTAAAAATGAACCTCCAGACTGTTTTTCTATAATAGCTGTACTAATATATATTTCCACCAACAGTATATAATTCTCTTTTCTCCATATTCTTGCTATCATTTGTGTGTGTGTGTGTGTGTGTGTGTGTGTGTGTGTGTATTTTGATAATAGCCATGCTAATTGGGTCGAGATAATATCTTACTGTGATTTTGATTTACATTTCCCTGATGATTAGTGATGTTGGCATGTTTTCCATATTCCTATTGAAAACTTGTATGTCTACACTTGAGAAATATATATTAATATTATTTGCCCAGTTTTTAGGGAGATTATTTGATTATTCTGTTGTTGCATTGAGTTCCTCATATATTCTGCATATTAGTCCCGATGGATGAATAGTTCACAAATATTTTTTCCAGTTCTACAGGTTGTACCTTTACTATGTTGAACATTTCTTTTACTGTGTAGAAGCTTTATAGTTTAATATAGTCCCATTTGTCTATTTTTTTGTTTTGTTGTATGTTTTGAAGTCTTAGTCATAAAATATTTGCATTGACTAATGTTTTGAAGAATTTCTCCTATGTTCTTGTTTAGTAGTTTTATGGTTTGGGGTTATATTTAAGTCTTTCATCAATTAAGTTTTTTTAATATGATGCAAGATAGGGAATCTAGTGTCATTCTTCTGCATACGGATACCTGTTTTCTCCAGGAATATTTATCAAAAATGGTGTCTTTCCTCAATATATGTTTTTGAAACATTTGTTGAAAATTGGTTGGCTGTAAATACAATAATCTATTTCCAGGTTTTTTATTCTGCCCTGTTGGTTAACGTGTCTGCTTTTGTGCCAATATATTGCTGTTTTGGTTACCATAGCTTAGAAGTATATCTTGAACTCAGGTAGTGTGATACCTCCAGCTTTGTCTTTTTTGCTTAGGATTGCTTTGGCTATTTGAGGTTTTTACGGTTACAATTTTTCTTTTAATTTCTGTAAAGACTATCATTTGTATTATTTTTTTTGAGACAGACTCTACCTCTGTTGCCCAGGCTGGAGTACAGTGGCACAATCTTGGCTCACTGCAACCTCCACCCTTCAGGTTCAAGCAATTCTGCTGCCTCAGCCTCTCAAGTAGCTGGGATTACAGGTTCACATCACCATATCTCGCTAAATTTTTTGTATTTCTAGTAGAGACAGGGTTTCACCATGTTGGCCAGGCTGGTCTTGAACTCCTGACCTCAGGTTAACTGCCCACCTCAGCCTCCAAAAGTGCTGGGATTACAGGCATGAGCCACCATGCCCAGATTGTATTTTGATAGGAATTGCATTCAATCTGCAGATTGCTTTCAATAGTATGGTCATTTTAACAATATCAATTTTTTCAATCGTTGAGCATGGAATATTTTTCCATTTGTTTTCATCCTCTTCAATTTATTTTATCAGTGCTTTGTAGTTTTCCTAATAGAGCAATTTTCATCTACTTGTTTAAATTTATTCCTAGTTATTTTTATAGCTCTTGTAAATGATATTGTTTTCTTATATTCTTTTTTTTATCTAGTTTGTTATTGGTGTATAGAAATGCTACTGTTTTATATGTTGATTTTGTATTCTGCAAGTTTACTGAATTTGCTTATCACGGCTAAGAGGTTTTTGGTGGAATCTTTAGGATTTTCTATATAAAGACTGTGTTATCTGCAAAAAGAGACAATTTGTCTTCCTCTTAGATTGGAGTGTGTTTTCTCTTCTTTTTCTTGACTAATTGCTCTGGATATGATATCAAGTTCTATGTTGAATAAGAGAGGTGACAGTGGGTATCCTTGTCTTGTTCCAGCAGGTTTCCACCTTTTCTCAATTTCACCTTTTCTCAATTCAGTATAATGTTAGATGTGGTTTGTCATATGTGGTCTCTATTATGTTGAAATATGTTCCTTCTATGCCTAATTAGTTGACAGTTTTTATCATGAAAGGATGTTCAATTTTATCAAATGTTTTCCTGAATCTATTGAGATGATCATATAATTTGTGTTCTTCTTTTTTTTTCTTTTTTTTGAGAGGGAGTCTCACTCTGTCACCCAGACTGGAGTGCAGTGGCACAATCTCGGCTCACTGCAACCTCCACCTCCCAGGTTCAAGAGATTCTCCTGCCTCAGCCTCCTGAATAGCTGGGACACCAGGTGTGCACCCCCATGCTTGGCTGATTTTTGTATTTTTAGTAGAGATGGGGTTTTAACATGTTGGCCAGGCTGGTCTTGAACTCCTGACCTCATGATCCACTGCCTCGGCCTCCTGAAGTGCTGGAATTTCAGGCATGAGCCACCACACCGGGCTGATTTGTGTTCTTCTTTCTGTTAATGTGATTTATCAATTCTATTGATTAGTATATGTTAGATCATTTTTACATCCCTGAGATAAATCCTACATAATCACAGTGTACCACCTTTTTCATGTATTATTGGATTCAGTTTGAGTACTTTATTGATAATTTTTGCATCTATATACATCAGAGATATTAGCCTGTAATTTTCTTTTTTGTTGAATTCTTGTCTGGTTTTGTAATCAGGTTTAGCTGGCCCTATACAATGACATAGGAAGAATTCCCTCCTCTTCAGTTTTTTTAAATAGTCTGAGAAGAATAGATGTTAGTTCTTCTGTATAGGTTTGGTAGAATTCAGCAGTAAAGCCATTCAGTTCTGAGCATTTCTGAGTTGGGAGGTTTTTTTCAGCTATTATTGCTTTTGATTCTATCTCTCTTATAGCTCAAATAATATCTGTTTTTCCTATCAGGGTGCTGTGGTGTTGGTGAATATACCTTCACAAATGTTATATACTCTTGAAAATTGATTCCTTTATTATTATATAATGATGTCCTTTGTCTTTTTTTATGTTTTTGACTTAAAGTTTATTTTGTGTGATGTAAGTGAAGCTACTCCTGCACAGTTTTTGTTTCCCTTTGTGTGGAATATTCTTTTCTGTTCCCTCACTTTCAATCTATGTGTGTCTTCACAGGTAAAGCAAGTTTCTTGTCAACAGCATATAGTTGGGTTTTGTATTTTTTATCCATTCAGCCAGTACATACTTTTTAAGTAAGGAATTTAAACCTTTTACGTTCTGGAATGTTATTGATAGGTGACAACTTACTCCTGTCATTTTGTCAATTATTTTCTAATGTTATTGTATATTGTTTCTTTCATTCTCTTATTTTTTACATTTACAATTTGATTATTTTTGTAGCAACAACATTTGATAGCTTTCTCTTTCTCATTCGTGTATATACTCTACCAGTGAACTTAGTACTTTTGTGTCTTTTCATGAGGGTAGATATCTTTTCACTCCCAGATTTTGCATTTTCTTAAGCATTTCTTAAGCATCGTAGGATCAACCTATTGGTGACAAATTCCCTTGGTTTTTCTTGCCTGAGAAAGGCTTTATCTCTCCATCATTTTGGAAGAATAGCTTTGCACAGTTTATTATTCTTTACTGCCATGTTTTGTTCTGTTTTGTTTTGTTTTGTTTTGTATTGTTAGTACTTTGAATATCCCATTCTTTCCTGGCTTATAAGGTTTCTGCTGAAAAATTTTGAGAAATTAGCTGTTGATCTGATGGGGATTTCCTTATATTTGATGATGTTTTTTCTTGCTATTTTGATGGTTTTACTCTACCTTAAACATGACCTTTTAGAATTGAATCTACTTGGGAATATTTGTTGCATTTCCTGTATCTGGGTGAATTCATGTATATGGATGCTTCTTATAAATGGATGCTTCTTATAAATGGATGTATATATTTTGTTCAAGACTTGAGAAATTTTAACCTATCATTTTGTTACATAAGTTTTCCATCTCTTTTTCTCCACAATTCCCAAAATTTGAATATTTGGTTACTTTATGGTGTCCCATATGTCACATAAGCTTTCTTCATTCTTTTTAAGTCCTTTTTTCTTCTTTTGTCTATGACATTTCAAAAGACCTGTCTTCAAGTCAGAAATTCTTTATTCTGCTTGATGAAGTCTATTGCTGAAGATTTTGATTGTATTTTTATATCACTGATTGAATTCTTCACTTCAGGATTTCTGTTTGTCTTTTTTATCATATCTAGCAATTTATCATTCAGATTATAAATTATTTTCTAATTTCCCAATTGTTTATCTGTGTTATCTTGTATCTGGCTGAGTTCTTCAATATTATTATTTTGAATTCCTTTTTAGATATTTTATAGATTTTTCTTTTTTGTGATTTCCTACTAGAGAATTATTATTTTCCTTCGGTGGCATTATGTTTCCTTGCTTTTTCATGTTTCTTGCATCTTTAAATTGACATATCAGCACATCCTGGGTGACAGTCACTTACTTCAGTTACATGGATTGGCTTTTACGTGGAAACACTTTTTTTCAATTGCTGAGCAGTTCTGCTTTTTAAAGCAGCAACTGAGCTGTAAAGCAGACCCATCCTTAGACAGGAAACTGAATCTACGTGGGAGGAAGACACAGTGGTGGGCAATCTGGAAGCTAGAAGGAAGGACAGTCAGAGTGAGTATTGTAAAGCCAGAAGCATGGCTTATCTAACACCCCGCTGGGATATCTAAGAGAGCCCCCTTCTCAGGTTTTTTTCTGTCTCAAAAGAAACTGAGGCATGGGTAGTGATAAAATCACAAGTAATCTCACCCTACCAAAACCCAGTCTCCTCATTAAATGCTACAGAAGTCTGGAAGGAGTTCTCATTATACAGGCCTATGACACTCTCACTGTCCAACAGTCTTCATTTCTGGTTTTGTTCAAGATTATATCCCTCTCACACACAAAGAAAGCATTTATCATGAGAGAATTTTGGTACTTTATGAAGTTGTCTGCCTTTAATTATTTATATTGTCTTCTTTCTCTTAGTATTTTTGTTTTTTTTTTCTTTAGGGAAGGGATAGAGGGGACTGTTTTTGATATTGCTATTCTTCTTCTGTCATCTAGGTAAAGCTTCCTTTGAAAATGCCAACCTGTTTGAACACTCCTCAGGAGACATGATGAAAGATGTTCTCTATAATTTATCTGTATATTCCCAGTTTCCAAATATGGCAATAACAGCAAGAATAAACAGACGGATATCTCAATAAGATGAAAAATTAGCAGGAACTGATGAAGGGACACTCTTATCGCTGTTGCTTTCCATTATGATTGTTGAACTCAAACAGCTCTTCCTGTGTCTCAGGCAGAATCAATTATAGATAGAAAATTAACTTACAAATATCTTTATTTACTTGATTAGGAAAAGGATACTGAGTAGTCAGCAAGTAATAGTTAAAAAGAAATCATAAAATTGGAATCACAAGATCTGTGTTCCAGGGCTTCCTTTGACTTTAAAAAGTGGATTACCCTTAACTGAGTCACATACTTCTTTAAGATTTTTTTATATCATCATCTGTACAACAGGAACAGCAAACTAGAAGATCTCTGAGATCCCCTTAAATTTTAAATTGTTTCAAATTATACCCTAAGATATCTGAGCAAGAAAGATTTAAAGAGCAAAATTTTACCTCAACAGAGATGAGAGTTTGTTAGTGTAATTGAGGGGGTCAAAACAAAATAATATATTGTTAAATAGTGGGTGAAGACTTAGAGTGATAGAAGTCTTTTCCATAAAAAAATTTAGTTTTTAATAAATCCTTTCACTGACATCAACACAGTAATAAAGGAGAAGCACCTATAACACGGCTTCAATAGCAATTTTTACAGCAATGTGTAAAACATGCCATCAGAGAAGAATTCCTGTTCCTTAAATTTCCACGTTACCCAGCATCTGCCATAGCTAACAGGAAATGAAATAGAATAAACTATGGAAAGATATTGAATAAAGACTCCTTAACTATGGAGTTTGATAATTTGAAGTAAGGAAATAAGAATTCTCTGCTTTTAGAATAAGAAACATAATTCCAACAAATGAAAAATCTACTGTTTCTCCCTGTGGAATGTGAACAATCTAGCATAGGTTTCTGAAGGGAACCTGGCGCTATGGTAGAAAATGATCAGAACTGTATTGATTTACATATGTTTCTTACTCTTATAGGCATATAGGAGCCTTGCATGACCACACTTTAAACAAATATTTTCACAGTATTTATTATTGATAGCATACATGCATTAAATTGTTTTTTATAAACTCTAATAATTAACTTCATAAACCGTCTTAAATAAATGTTTTTCTTATTTGTATAATGACCTTAGTTTAAAATGTAACCTTTCAGATATTTTCAGAATTACGTACATAAAGAGGGTGAACCTATCTTAGAAATACAATAGTTTCCGCTTTCCAGAACAATAAGACTAATGAAAAACCGCTTTAAATAATGTTGCTTGAGGGATGGTTTCTCTCTAAACACCAGAATGTGTAGAAAATGTTTACACGGCAAAATAAATAACCTGTTAAGAGGCTTAAAATTTTAGTTAGAACAATAATATACACAGTCAACATAAAAGCCTTGTTTACATGGTTGTTTGGGAATATTTTAAAACAAAAACAGTTTGCTTCATATTCAGATCTCCCATGGCTCCCAAAGAAGACTTTAGTTAGAGAAAAAGAGTTGTTTAAATAAAGAGAATTCATTTATTTCTGTTATAGTGTAATAATAATAACTAGTCATTTATAGTTATTCATACATTTGTATAATTTGAACAAAAGCCATCAGCCTGAGGCTTTCTTTCTCATTTCTGCAAATAAAGATATAGAGTGTTTGAGGAATTCATGTAGTTTGCAAATATTTGCTTTTGGAGACAAATGATGATAATTAAATAAAATGCTGTGTGTTTTGTTGAATGAGCAATGTAATAACATTTAGGCATGTAAACTTAAAGAATAAAGCTTTCCATTTTGAAAAGATCTTATTTTGCATATTTAATGAAAGTCTTGATTATTTGTTATATACTGTCATCAGTTTGTATTCAAGTAAAGGTAATTAATCATACTTCTTAACTAAAAAATTATTAACAACTGTTATGCATGGTATACCTGACCATATCTCTCATAAATAAATATACAGGTAGGATAATGAGGTTCAAAATATAGTGTAACATACAATTTGGCTTCATAGAACATAAAACATACCATTGGATGTTGATGGGTATGTTTCTATATGCATCAATTTTCATTCTAGAGAAAAGATCATAGGCTTACTCTTTAGATATACCTGAAGTTGCATATAAGAATAATCAAGTGAATTTGCGATGTGAATTTAGATAATTTATACAGGCTATTAAAGGCTGTTGTGTTCTATCTGTAAAGGTATAAAATGCAATACATCTTAATTCATTATTGTAAAGACTAAATAACTAATTCTCATTCCTCACTTCTCTTTTTTATTTATGCCTTCTATTCATCTTTCAGCATGTTCTCCTCCTCTTCACTGCTCTTTCACATTCCCATTAACTATTGCATATTATTCTCCATATTTTTGTAGCAGAACCTAAAATATCTTTAACCAAAAAATAATCTTATTTCCCTTTTATTGTTGAGCACTCCGCTTAACTACAATTCTGAGCCTCCCTTTGCATTATGTGCAGGCTTTTAACTGAGTTGGGGTCAATGAACAGTGTCTAGGAGTAAAAAATGGTACTTCCTGATCTGTCTCATATAAGGCTTGATGTCATTCATCTTGTCTTTCCCCACTCACTAAATGTAGAAGACTCAGGGACATGGAAAAGGGTAAAGCCACTGTCATAAGGTAAAAGTCACCTGAGTCCCTAAACATCTTGTGAATATTGGCATTTAATTGTTATGTAACTAAACAAAGTTTTTTTTGTATAAAGCTACTGAGATTGAGATATTTTATAGGAGTTTATGTCACTTTAATTCATGTAGAATTGGTATCTTGAAGTGAATGTTGTGAAAATATAAGCATAGACTTAGCTGTGAGGTGACTGGTGGAAGAATAAACTACTATGGGAAGCAGAAAATCTGCAGAG
Source organism: Homo sapiens (assembly GCF_000001405.40). NCBI lineage: Eukaryota > Metazoa > Chordata > Mammalia > Primates > Hominidae > Homo > Homo sapiens. The sequence continues at coordinate 78,293,762 of NC_000006.12, forward strand.
CCATACAACGTTGTGATAAAACATTTGACAGAAATGTCACCTGCATTATATGGACACCATGTGCCTGTAGCTCTAGAAGAGGTTGGAAAACAAGATATGAGTTTTTAGTGGTGATTTTTAAAACTGGCCTTCCTTAGTATGCTATATATGCTTCGCATGTATGCTATGCCTACAGAAGGAAGAGATAATCTCCAGCAAAGAGTGAACAATGTGCAAATAAAAAAAAATGAAATGACAGAGAGAGTCCAGAAATCTGAAATATTGGATTATGGAAACACCAACAGTTTTAGACCTTAAAGAGTATGACTAAGAAAGGTTTTAAATAATGCAATCACATCAAGACTCAGCAAAATTGAATAGCAACTTCACTAGTGGGAAACAGGAATGAAAGGAAGAAGGAAGAGATGATGACAAAAGTAGAAAACAAATAACAAAATGGCAGAAGTAAGTCATTACTGATCAATAATAACATTGAATATAAATGTGCTAAACTCTTCAATCAAAAAACATACACTGGCTGAATGAATGGGAAAATAAGACTCATTGATCTGTTGCCTACAAGAAACACATGTCACCTATAAAGACACACATAGACTGAAAGGAAAGGGATGAAAAAGCATATTTCATGCCAATGTAAACCAAAAAGGAGCAAGAGTTGTGATACTTATATCAGGCAAAATAGATTTCAAGACTAAAACTGCAAGAGACAAAGAGGGTCACTATATAATGATAAAGGGATGAATTCAGCAAAAGGAGATACCAGTTTTAAATATATATGTACCCCAACATTTGGAGAATTGAGATATATAAAGCAAATATTATAGCTAAAGAGAGAGATAGACCTCAATACAATAATAGCTGGAGACTTCAACACCCCACTTTCAGCATTGGACAGATCTACTGAACAGAAAATCAACAAGGAAATATCAGGCATAATTTGTACTAGAGACCAAATGGATCTAATAGATATTTAAAGAACATTTCATCCAATGGTTGCAGAATACACATTTTTCTCCTCAGCATATTGATTATTCTCAAGGATAGGCCATGTGTTAGGTCACAAAACAACTCTTAAATATTTCAAAACAAATTGAAATAATATCAAGCACATTTTCTGACCACAAAGGAATAAAACTAGATAATAACAAGAGGAATTTGAAAACTACATGAATACATGAAAAGTAAAAATTGTGCCCCTGAATAACCAGTGGATCAATGAAGAAATTAAGAGAAAAATTAGAAGATTTCTTGAGACAAATGATAATGAAAACACAACATACGAAAACCTATGGGACACAGCAAAAGCAGTACTAAGATGAAAGCTGATAGCTCTAAATGCCTACATCAAAAAAGAGAAAAAACTTCAAATATACAATCTAATGACGCATCTTAAAGAACTAGAAAAGCAAGAGCAAATCAAACCCAAAACTGGCTGAAGAAAATAAATAATAAAAAATAGAGAAGAAATAAGTGAAACTGAAATAAAAAATAGAACAAAAGTCAACAAAACAAAAAGTAGTCTTTTTAAAAAGTTAAAGTAAGTGGACAAATATTTAGCCAGACTAATAGAAAAAGAGAGAAGATGCAAGTAAGATTAGAAGTGAAAATGGAGACATTACAACTGGTATTTCAGAAATTTAAAGGATCATTAGCAGCTACTATGAGCAACTACATACCAACAAATTGGAAAATCTAGATACAATAAATGAATTCCTAGACACATACAATCTACCAAGATTGAATAATGAAGAAATCCAAAATCTGAACAGACTAGTAATAAATAACAAGATCAAAGCCATAACAAAAAGTCTCCCAGTAAACAAAAGCCCAAGACCTGATGGCTTCACTGCTGAATTCTGCCAAACATGTAAAGAAGAAATAATATCAATCCTACTCAAACTATTCTAGAAAATAAAGGAGGAGAGAATACTTCCAAACTCATTCTTCGAGGCCAATATTCCCCTAATGCCAAAACTGGACAACAACACATTAATAAAAAATAAAACCTATAGGTCAGTATCTCTTATAAATATTGATGCAAAGATCTTCAACAAAATACTAGAAACCCAAATTCAACAATACATTAGAAAGATCATCCTTCATGACCAAGTAGTATTTATCTCTGGGATGCAAGTATGATTCAACATATGCAAGTCAATCAATGTAATACATCAATAGAATGAAGGATAAAAAGCATCTGATCATTTCAATTAGTACTGAAAAAACATTTTATAAAATTCAATATCCCTTTATGTTAAGACCCTCAAAAAACTGGGAATAGAAAGAACATACCTCAACATAATAAAAGCAACATATGACAGACACACATCTAGTGTCATACGGAATGGGGAAAAACTGAAATCCTTTCCTATAGGATCTAGAACATGACAAGGATGCCCACTGTCACCAGTGTTATTTAACAAAGTACTGGAAGTCTTTGCTAGAGTGATCAAACAAGAGAAAGATATAAAAGGCATCCGAATTGAATTGAAAGAAGTCAAATTTTTCTTATTTGCTTAGGATACAGTCTTACATTTGGAAAAACCTAAGGACTCCAGAAGAACACTACTAGAACTGATCAACAAATTCAGTAGAGTTACAGGAAACAAAACCAACATACAAAAATCAGTAGCATTTCCATATACTAACAGTGAAAAATAAAAAAAATTAAAAATAGTCCCATTATACTGACCAAAAATAAAATTAAATGCCTACGAATTAATTTAACCAAAGAAGTAAAAGATCTTTACAATTAAAACTATAAGACACTAATAAATGTAACTGAAGAGGAAACCAAAAAATGGAAAAATATTTCATGTTCATTGATTGGAAGAATCAATATTGTTAAAATGTCCATACTACTGAACCAACATATAGGTTTAATGCTCAAAATACCAATGGTATTCTTCATAGAAATAGAAAATACAATTAGAAAATTTATATGGAACCACAAAAGACCCACTACCCTAAGCAAATAGAACAAAACTGAGGGAATCACATTACCTGACTTCAAAAATTTTGCTACACAACTATAGTAACAAAAATAGCATGGTACTGGCATAAAAAGAGACACATAGACCAAAGGATGAATGTTGAGAGCCCAGAAATAAATCTACACACCAACGGTGAACTCATTTTCAATAAAGGTACCAAGAACATACACTGGAGGGAAGACAGTCTCTTCAATAAATGGTGCTGGGAAAACTGGATATCTATATGCAGAAGAATGAAACTAGATCCTTCCCTCTCAACATATAAATTAACTCAAAATGGATTAAGGACTTAAATCTAAGGCCCCAAACTATGACATTGGAAAAATCTTCAGAACATTGGTCTGGGCAATTTGTAGTGCACTGGGAGTGTCATAATACCTTGTTTTTTCATATTTCCTGTATTATTATGCTGATTTTTTGCATCTGGAGAAATAGTTGCTTCTATTTATTTTTGAATTTATTTTGTTGGGGTGGGGCTTTTTCCCCCTGAGAATACAACAATGATGTATTTTGAATAGGGCCGTATGGCTTTGCTTCTGAGTACATTCATTGTTAAAGACTGCTTAAGTTTTTTGGTTATAAATAGCCTTAATATAGTGGCTTCCTCAAATGCTGGTAGTAGTAGCAAGAGAGCTTGTGCACAGCAACCAAAATAACAGAGTAAACAACAACCTACAGAGTGGAAAAAAGTATTTACAAACTATGCACATGACAGAAGACTAATATCCAAAATTTACAAGGAACTCAAACAACTCAACAGCAATAACAAAATAATCCCATTATAAAGTGAGCAAGTGACATGAATAGACATTTTTCAAAAGAAGACATACAAATGGCCAACAAGCATATAAACAAACATTCAACATCATTTCTCTTATCATTAGAGATACGCAAATTTAAACCACAATGAGATATAATTTTACCCTAGTCAGAAAGACTATTATTAAAAAGTAAAAAAATAATAGATGTTTGTGAGGATGTGAAGGCAAAAGAATGCTTAGTAAATTAATACAACCTGTTTGGAGAACAGAATGGAGATTTCTCAAAGAACTAAAAATAGAAGTACCATTTGATCCGGCAATCCCACTACTGGGTATCTACCCAAAGGAAAAGAAAATATTATATCAAAAATACACCTGCATTTGTATGTTCATTGCAGCACTATTCACAATAGCAAAAATATGGAATCAATCTCTATCCATTGATAGATGAATGAATAAATAAAATGGCGTGTATATAGATAAAATGCTATGTGTAGATACACACATGCACACATACATGTATGTGTATATATGTACATATATACACATATGCAAACATATATATAACATGGAATACTATTCAGCCATAAAAAAAGAATGAAATAAATGAAATCATGTATTTTGCAGCAACATAGATGAAACTGGGGACATTATCTTAAGCGGAACAACTCAGAAACAGAAAATCAAATAATGCATGTTCTCATTTACAAGCAGAAGCTAAATAATGTGTATATACGGACATGAAGTGTGTAAAAAGAGACACTGGAGACTCAGAAGGGTGGTGAAGGATGAGAAATTACTTAATGGGAAAAAATGTACATTATTTGGTTAATGGTTACACTAAAAGCCCAGACGTCACTATTACACATTATATCCATGTAAATAAACTGCAGTGTACCACTTAAATTTCTACAAAATAAAATTAGGAATCTTTGTTTATAACAGAATGAAAAAAATAAGCCACTGATTGGGAAAAGCTATTTGCAATGCACATACAGTAAGAGGCTTTTAATAGACTAAATAATAAACCTTCACAAATATATAAAAAACAGAAAATTCAATAGATAAATGGGCAAAAGCTCACAGATTCTTCAAAATTAAATAATACTAAAATGACAAATAAACATATATAGATTCTCCACTTCATTATTATTCAGAGAAATGCAAATTATAACCATAGTGACCTATCATTATAGAACTGTTAAGTTTAAAAAGACTAATAATGGAACAGCTGGTGAAAATGTAGACCAAGAGAAACTTATGGATACTTCAAGACATCGTGTTGTATATGATAAATACATACAATATTATGTGTCAAATTTAAAAATTAAAAATTAAAAAATACCATCTGAGGGATGTGAGATATTGAATTCTTAATACAATTTAAATTTTCTTAATGTTGATTCAGATTATAATGATGAAGATAATTTTAACAGTGATTTGGTGAATGATAAAAAATAGCTAGCTGTTTTACAAACGGACTACTTAAATGATGCTATAATGTAAAAGCAAATTACACAAAGTGAGATTTAATTAAGGAGGATATAATAATACCTCACATTTTTTGATTTTTTAAAATAGAATTGTGTTTAGCAGTTGAATTGTCTTATTTAATATTCATAAAAGCCTGGGCACCAGACACTATCATCAAACATAATTTAGAAATAAGAAAACCCACCAGGCGCGGTGGCTCACACCTGTAATCCCAGCACTTTGGGAGGCCAAGGCAGGTGGATCACAAGATCAGGAGATCGAGACCATCCTGGCTAACATGGTGAAACCCGTTTCTCCTAAAAATACAAAAAATTAGCCAGGCGTGGTGGTGCGCGCCTGTAATCCCAGCTACTCGAGAGGCTGAGGCAGGAGAATCGTTTGTACCTGGGAGGAGGAGGTTGCAGTGAGCTGAGATCGTGCCACTGCACTTCAGGTTGGGCAGCAAGAGTGAAACTCCGCCAACCCATCCCAAAAAAAGAAATAAGGAAATCAAGTATTACAGAGCACAAGCAACTTTTCCTAATGTTAGGTCTAGGATTTGGAAGTAAGCAGTGTCATCCAGAATTTGTGTTCTTGCTATATAGAGGAAGTCAAAACAATTACCTAAACAAAAACTGATATTCAAGATTTTCAAATTAGGCAAAGTTTTAGTAACTTGTATTGATAAAGAAAAACTGCCTAGAATATCAATAAAGATTTATGAATTTTCAGGATTAAAAGGAACCTAAGATGCCATTCTCTAGCTGAACACTATTTCATCTTCCTTTGGACATCATTGATAATTGGCTCTTCATTCATGTGAGGCTCCACACATTAGAAAAATATTCCTTTAGTAGAGCTGAAATTTGTGTTATGTTTTGGTTTGTTTTAGCTTCCAATGACTGACCCTAACTCTGTCCCTGATTAATTTGCAGTCTAATTTATATTATACTGGGTCGTTCTGAAACAATTAGATAAACCTATCAAGTCATACATAATTTCTTCTCTAAATATTTCCTGTTGTTTCATTTTTTTTTCCACATGGAATGATTCCTGATACCTTTCCTCAGGGTATGCTCATTTGTCAACATCCCTTATTGATAAAATTGGAAAATTTCTTAGGATAATTGCATATATAAAGAGATAACTTATGTCCAATATCTGGGACATGATAAAATCTCTCAAATTTCCTTAAGAATTCAAAGCTGTGATAGTCTCATTTGTGTGTGGAGTAGTCCCCTCTTGAAAATTACAAACTTTATTTGTTTTTAATTTATGAATGTTTCTTTATTTTTCCTTTGGGACAAAGAAAGAAAAAAGTATGCATGAGCACTATCTTTTTCAATATAAGATTATTTATTTAGGTTATATTTCTATGAATGGAATTGATGGATAAGAAATCGTCTTTTTGGATAGAGACTAAGTTGCTGTAATGAAGAAAATCCCAAAATACAATCAATGGCTTAAATATGATAGAAGTTCATTTCTCCATCAGGAAACAGTATAATTAACAGGGTAACCCTGCCTCATGAGAACTTCTAGGGAGGGTGGTTTTCTCCATCTTGTTCTCTATCAACTAATAAGACATTGCCCTTATCTTCATGACCAAAATTATATCATTGCAAAATCTGCTTTCCAGTCTAAAGAAAGCATCAGTCCAGAACAAGAGATTTCACTTTTATTATAAATTGTAACTGACCTGGAAGCTGCACACGTAAATTTTGTTCTCATTCCCTTGAAGAGAATGGATTCAAACAAGACAGGTTGGTTGTAAGGAGGCTGAGGAGTGTGGTCTCCAGCTGTGAAGCCATATGCATTGCTTCAGCTCTTTTCCTGTGAAAAGAGAACAAATCAAAATTTAGTGTGTCAACCATCTCTCCTACAGAGACTACATTCTTTTGTTTCCATGAATCTCGAAATAATTTTCAAGATTCTTTACAAATGATTATTATCTTTAAAATATTAGTAACCATATTAATCTGTAGTGTAAAAATCAAATTTTTAAGACAAGAAATTAATAATAAAATCAATATCGTGTGGTAAGAAATATAATTGACTCATTAAGTAAACATCTCAAGTTACAGAAACAGAAGGGTGTGAGCATATTAGAAATGTGTATGTTGACCACAAGCATTTGTGCTGTCACAGGCTTTAGTGAGTATAATTTACTTAAAGACTAGAGAGCAAAATTTATCTTGCAGGTTTTTTCAATGTGGTCAGTTAAGGCAGCTTCTCTTGTACCAACTTCTCTGTGGTACATCATATGTTGCTCTGAACACCACATTCTCAAACATCTGCTTAAAGCTGTCCTCTAGTAATTTAGAGCTCACTCTAAATAGTCACATTATATTAAAATAAGTAATTCACATTTCTCATGTATGCTGGTAATTTTTCTAGTAAATATTGCTTATATTGAAGAATCATTTACTAATCTTTTTGCTGTTACATGAAAAAGTGTTTGCACAAACAAGGTAAATAAGTGGAAACCAAAATTTGCATGTTTAGTGATTTCAGAGGATATCAAAATAAATAATAATGCATATTGATAAGGTAACCAAAATCATTCGGCATTCCTTCAATTCCAATCATAGACAAAGAAAGCTTATGCTATTCATTTGTGACATTCTGGATTCTCTCCACCTTTCATGTGCCTATTCATTTTTAAGTTTTGCTCCAGGATAGCCCTATTGAACTGTACAATTTCTGAGGAAAGAAAGCAATACATGCAGCATTTCAAATATATCCTTGCTGTTAAACCCGAGATGGCTAGTTCGCAACTACTCACTGGAACCTGACCTAGGAGAGTTCTGTACAGCATGCAGCCAATGGGAAGGAAAAGTCTCCACCCTCCAGGACCTTAAGCTTTAGTTAGTGAAGATAAAATATACTCTAAGAAGCAACTATTTACCAAGTCTAAATCTTAAAGTAAGCCCTGAATCATTCATATTTTAGTCCCACATCCAGTTAATCACGAAGTCTTATATTCTAACTTCTCATCTTCACAGCCACTAGTTTATAATATTTCCAACAGTGCTGTCATTCGTCCCACCAGCTCTGGTCTTATCTCACTGTAATACTCCCTTGCAGAGATTTCTTTCACTGTGCACCTTAACTTTGAAAGGTATAGATAAAAAAAATAAATTATTACATACGAGTAACAGAAAACAACTTAGATAATGAGTCAGTCCACATGCACATAACCCATCTCTGAATTAGTCAATATAATATGCTCAATTACCCACTTTCTCCACATTCTTATGTGGCATACTTACTCTATGCTCTTCAAAAAAGATTTATATTTTCAGGGTTGAAATATGATTATGTCATCTCCATTCTCAGTTAGAATATTTTAAATATACCCTCAAAATTCCTAGGTAAGTCCAAATTCCCTTATATGGTTCTTGAAGTTCTGGAAGTGGTGTTACCTTGCTCTCTGGATTTAGCTGTAGTTATTACTCTCCATGTGTGCTAAAGTATGCCATTTAAAACTATTTGTAGTTATCTAACTTTATATTCTTTCTTGCCTTGGGGCTTTGGCACATGCTGTTTCTTGCCTAAATGTACCCACCCCTTTCATGTTGCTTGTAAATTCCTCCTTGTCTTCCATGACCCTAGTCTAAGAACTAAAGTATCTTTCTTAAATGCTCCCATAAAACCATGTACTCATCTTATCATAACACTGATAGTACTCTGTTGACATTGTCAACTCCCTGTTTCAGATGTCTATGAAACCTCAACTCCCTGATTACAGAGACTATATTTTTCTCCTTTCTATACTGAGTGGCTAGTACAGTATCTCATGCATAGAAAATATACGATAATTATTTGTTAAATTGAAATTCACAATTTGTGGCATAGATTAGATGCATTTGTGCCTAACTAAAAAAAGGAGGAGGTTTCTCTTTACTAGGCATTATGCTGGATATTAATGATTTCAAAGTTAATGTGCTAAAATTCCTGTCATTCCAGAACACATCTTAGTTTGTTAATTTCTTTCTCTTCCTTTTTTTTTTTTATAAGTGGTCACATTTGTTATTATTTTTTAGAAAATACTTGGGATAACCCCAAATTTGAATCCATATCTGCATTGCAAATATGGGGTAGAGTTAACTGGGGAAAACTTGAATTTTCTCTTGAAACAAAATTCTTATGTATCTAGTATAAATAAATTGGGCTGACCTACCAAAAAGAATACATAGCATGGAAGGGAATCAATAAACAATTGTTTGAAATAAAAATGACTGAGTAGATTTGCTGGAATAAAGATAATCCAAGGGCCAGGTAAAAGATATGAAGTCTATGGATTATAAGTGGGATCTGAGTCATAAAAAGAGATTTGGAGAACTGAAGATGTTGAGTGACTGAGTTTTGATCAAGTATATAATGGGTTATCCAAGTAGATAAGCATATAATAGATAATTTTTCTACAAGATTTATAATGAGCAATTTTAAAACATCTGGGCTAGAGAAATATAAATTGAGAAGGTTGAAATTATAGTGAAATTTTGAAAATACATTAGAACATCTCCAACAATGATAGAACATTTCAGAGTCTAATAATTTCAGTCCTTAAAATTTTGGTTAAATGTTCAAGCTGGGATGAATAATTTGGCCTTTATAGTCTCGTTTAAAAGCTTCAGGAGCTGCGGTGGCTCAGGCCAGTTGTCCTGGAGCATAAGGAGGCGAGGCTACACATTCAAGGCCAACCTGGGCAACATAAAAACCTCTCATCCATTAAAAGCTTCAAAAATTGCCACAATCTAGAACACTGTAAGATTGTTATATTTTCTGCATGAGAGAATTTTAAAATATTATTTCTGAAATATTGTCTTTATATATTTGAGAGTGATCTAAAGAGTTAATAACCTCCAAATCTGCATCCTCACTGAAGATAAAATAAAATGAAATGTGCCTTTACTGAAGCAGAGGAGATTCGGGAAAAATTCAATCAAAACCTTCCCAAGTTAGGGATTTCTACTCACATTTACTTAGAACTTCAAGGAGGAAAGTTTTTGAAAATGATATAGGCCTTCCAATATATAGTTGGAACCTTTTTATGATTCTATTATTTAAAAAAATTTGCTATTTTAAAAAATGTTTGTGGGAACATACTAGATGTATATATTTATGAGGTACATGAGATATTTTTATACAGGCATGTAATGTGAAATAAGCACATCATGGAGAATGGGGTACCCATCCCCTCATGCTTTTATCCTTTGAGTTACAAACAATCTAATTACATTCTTTAAGTTATTTAAAAATATACAATTAAGTTATTGTCACTGTAGTTTTTTGAGAAGCCTCCAAACTGCTGTCCATAGTGGTTGTACTAAGTTACATTTTCACCAGCAGTGTACAAGAGTTATCTTTTCTCCACAACCTTGCAAGCATTTGTTACGGCCTGGCTTTTGGATACAAATCATTTTAACTGGGGTGAGATGATATCTCATTGGAGTTTTGATTTGCATTTCTCTGATGATTAATAATGTTGAACACCTTTTGATACTCTTGTTTGCCATTTCTATTTCTTCTTTTGAGAAATGTCTATGCAAATCTTTTGCATAATTTTTTATTAGATTATTAGATTTTTTCCTATAGGCTTATTTGAGCTCCTTATATATTCCGGTTATTCATCCTTGTCAGATGGGTAGTTTTCAAACATGTTCTCACGTTCTGTGGGGTGTCTCTTCACTTTGTTGATTGTATTCTTTGCTATTAAGAAGCTTTTTAAATCGATGTGATTCCATTTGTCCATTTTTGCTTTGGTTGCCTATGCTTGTAGGGTATTGCTCAAGAAATTTTTTCCCAGACCAATGGCTTGGAGTTTCCCCAAGGTTTTCTGGTAGTAGTTTCATAGTTCGAGGTCTTGGATTTAAGTCTTTAGTTCATCTTTATTTGATTTTTGTGTATGGTGAGAGCCAAATATCTAGTTTCATTCTTTTGCATATAGATATCCAGTTTTCCCAGCATCATTTATTGAAGTCTTTTGCCCCATTGTATGTTTCTGACATCCTTGTCAAAAGTGAGTTTACTGTGGGGGTGTGGATTTGATTTTGTGTTCTCTATTCTTTTCCATTGGTCTATGTGTCTGTTTTTATGCCAGTACCATGCTATTCTTGTTACTAAAGTTGTGTAGTAAAATTTGAAATCAGGTAATGTGATTCCTACAGTTTTGTTCTATTTGCTTAAAGTAGCTTTGGTTATTCTGGGTCTTTTGTGGTTCCATATAAATTTTAGGATTGTTTTTTCTATTTCTATGAAGAATGTCATTGTTATTTTGATAGGGATTGCATTAAACCTATATATTGCTTTGAGTAGTATGAATATTTTAACAATATTGATTCTATCAATCCATGAACATGAAATATTTTTCCATTATTTTGTTTCCTGTTCAATTTCTTTCATTAGTGTTGTATAGTTTTCATTATAAAATTATTTCACTACTTTGGTTAAATTAATTCCTAGGTATTTAATTTTATTTCTGGCTATTATAAATGGGACTATGTTTTTATACTTCATGCTGTTGATATGATAGATCATGTTGATTGATTTGTGTATGTTGAACCATCCTTGCATCACAGGGATAAATACCACTTGGTCACGATGAATGATCTTTCTAATGTATTGCTGAATTTGGCTTACTAGTATTTTGTTGAGCATTTTTGCATCAATATTTATCAGAGGTAGTTTTCTTTTTTTGATACAGTTTTGCCAGGTTTTGGTATCAGGGTAATAACGTTCCTCGGAGAATGAATTTGGGAGCACTCTCTCCTCTTCTATTTTTTGGAATGGTTTGAGTAGAATTTATATTAGTTCTTCAAATGTTTGGTAGAATTCAGCAGAATTCAGATGAAGCCATCTGGTCCTAGGCTTTTCTTTATGGGGAGGGATTTTATTATGGCTTAGATCTCATTACTTGTCATCAGTCTGTTCAGGGTTTGGATTTCTTCCTGTTTCAATCTTGGTAGGTTGTGTATGTCTAGGAATTCATTTATTTCTTCTAGATTTTCCAGCTTATTGGTATATAGGTGCTCATAGTAGCCACTAATGATCCTTTTAATTTCTGCAGTATCAGTAGTGATGTCTCCATTTTCATTTCTGATTTTATTAATTTGTATCTTCTCTCTTTTTTCTTAGTCTGGCTAAAGATTTGTCAATTTAATTTAACTTTTCAAATAACCTACTTTTTGTTTAATTGACTTTGGAATTTTTTTTCAATTCTATTTATTTCTGCTACAATATTTATCATTTATTTTCTTCTACTAATTTTGGGTTTGATTTGCTCTTGCTTTTCTAATTCTTTAAGATGCATTGTTAGACTATATATTTGAGGTTTTTTTCTCTTTGTTGATGTAGGCACTTAATAGCTATCGGACTTCCATCTTAGCATCGCTTTTGCTGTATCCCAGAGGTTTTGGTATGTTGTGTTCCATCATAATTTGTTTTAAGAAATATTTCAATTTTCTTCTTAGTTTCTTCACTGACCCACTGGTCATTCAGGAGCATATTATTTAATTTTTGTATATTTGTATAGTTTTCAAAATTCATGTTGTTATTAATTTCTAGTTTTATTCCATTGTGGTCAGAGAAGATACTTAATATCATTTCAGTTTTTTGAATGTTTTAATCCTTTTTTTTGTGAACATATTGTTTATACTTGAGAATAATCCAGGTGCTGAGAAGAATGTGTATTCTGCAGCTCTTGGATGCAATGTTCTGTAAATATCTATTAGATTCATTTGGTCTATAGTGAAGATTACATCTGATGTTTCTTTGTTGATTTTCTGTCTGGAAGATCTGTCCAAGATGCTGAAAATAGGGTGTGAAGTCTCCAGCTATTATTGTATTGGGGCCTATCTCCTTCTTTAGCTCTGATAATATTTGCTTTATACATCTGAATGCTCCAGTGTTGAGCACTTATATATTTAAAACTGTTATATCCTCTTGATAAATTGATTTCTTATCATTACATAGTTACCTTCTTTGTTCTCTTACAGCTTTTGTCTTGAAATTTATTTTGTCTGATGTAAGTACAGCAACTTCTGCTTTTTTGTTTTCCATTGGCATGGAATATCTTTTTCCATCTCTTTATTTTCTATGTATGTATTTGTAGGTGAAATGTGTTTCTTATAGACAGATTAATGAGACTTGTTTTTTCATCCATTCAGTTACTCTATATCTTTTGATTGGAGATTTTAGTCCAACTACCTCAATGTTATTACTGAAAAGTAAGGACTTACTCCTGCCATTTTATTATTCTTTTTCTGGTTGTTCTGTGGTCCTCTCTTCTTTCTCTCTTTCCTGTCTTCCTCTAGTGAAGGTGATTTCCTTTTTGTACTTGGATATTGATATATTTCTGTAGGTTTCAGAAGTTGCCTGTTATTATTCCTTTGAATAAATTTGCTCCCTCTATTTATTTATCTACCTCTTCTTTAAGGCCAATAATTCTTAGATTTTCCCTTATGAAACTATTTTCTAAATCCTGTAGGCATGCTTCATTTTGTTATTCTTTTTTCTTTTGCCTTTTCTGACTAGGTATTTTCAAATAGCCTGTCTTCAAGCTCACTAGTTCTTGCTTCTGCTTAATTCTGCTGTTAAAGGAACTTGATGCATTCTTCATTATGCCAACTGCATTTTTTAACTCCAGAATTTCTGCTTGATTCTCTTTAATTATTTTAATCTGTTTGTCTGATAGAATTTTGAATTTCATCTCTGTGTTATCATGAATTTTCTTTGAGTTTCCTCAACCTACCTATTTTGAATTCTCTGTCTGAAAGATCACATATCTCTGTTTCTCCAGGATTTGTCCCTGGAAACTTATTTAGTGTTCATTTGGTGAGATTAAGTTTTCCTGGATGGTGTTGATGCTAGCAGATGTTCTTCAGTGTCTGGGCATTGAAGGATTAGGTATTTATTGTAGTCTTCACTGTCTGGGCTTATTTGTACTCATCCTTCTTGGGAAGGTTTTCCAGATATTTGAAAGGACTTGGGTGTTGTGATCTAAGCTGTATCTGCTTTAGGGGGGAACCCACATCCAGTAACTCTGTGGTTCTTGCAGACTCATAAAGGCAACCCCTTGATGGTCTTGAATGAGATCTGAGAGAATTCTCTGGATTACCAGGCAAAGACTCTTGCCTTCTTCCTTTCTTCCAAATATATGGAGTCCCTGCCTCTGCTCTAGCCACCTAATGCTGAGGACTGGAGTGACACAAGCCCCCTTGTGGCCATCATTAATGTAATTTCACTGGGCCAGATCTGAAGCTAGCACAGCACTGAGTCTGGCTGAAGGCTTGCTGTAGCCACTCCCTGATTACTGCCTATGTTTCCTGAAAGCACTTGGGCTCTCTAATCAGCTGGTGGAAAAACCAACCAGGCTTATGTCCTTCCATTCAGGGTAGCAAGGTCCCCCAGACCCCCAGTGGGTCCAGAGGTATCATCCTGGAGTCTGCCCTTTTTTAAATTAAAAATAAGCAATCAAGAACAGCAACAACAAAAAATTGCCAGAGTAAACATCATCTTTATCTTAAGCAATGTCAGAGTGGAACTTAAAACTTAGAAACTGGAACTTAGAATGCCTTATTGAAAGAAGAACACACATATGGACTTAAAATGGTACCAACAGAGAGAAGACCAGGAAAAAAAAATTAAGTTCATAAACTACTCTTTGCATTTTGCTTTTATTTAAGAATTATTCCTTGCTTCTTTCAATAAATTTTGATTGTGTGAGTTTTCAATTCTCCAGAAATTGAAAATAACATAATGTGCTCACTATTCATGATTGCATAATAAAACCACTTGGGTATTAAAAAAATAATAATTCCTTAGCTAGAGGTTACTGAATGACAATAGAAAAAAGAAGAAAGAATCTACATAAGTGGAGACAGTTCTCACTCTAAGCTGCTGAATATGCTTTCTGTTTAACTAAGTAAAAAGAAGTAATCAAAAAACAATTTCCACAATTTTTTATGACCATATTCACCTACCTGCCTCTGTATGTACATACTGTGTTCTCTCTCTTGTTCTGTAGATGAGCCATCCACATGGCAAGCAAAGGGCAGTCTCTCTACTATGTCCCAGATCTCATTCATTCTTGCCTAGACAAGAGCAATTTTTCTGGAACTCTCTCTTTTCTCTCTTGCATTCTTTTTTTTCTCATGAGCATATTAAAATGCTGCTATTTCACTCTCATTTGAAAGTAAATATAGACATACACGTATGTGTATGCATATATGTGTGCATGTGACTTCACCATACCCTCCAGTTACTGTCCCATTTTTTTCTTTATTTGTTTTACAGTAAACTTCTCAGAAGAGTTGGCTATATTCATTGATTTCAGTTTCTTTACACTTGAACCTGTTTCTATCAGGCCTTTGCCAACACTACTCCACTGACGTAGCTGTAGTTAAAGTCACCAGTGGCATACTCTTTGCTAAATCATGAGATTGATAGTCATTTAACCTATTTGGGCTATCGGCAGCATTTGCATAGCTGATCACTCCCTTCTCCTAGATACTTTCTTTGCTTGGCTTCTAGGACACAAATTCCTCTGCTTTCCTTCTCCTTCACTGGTCTCTTCTCATTCTTTTTCATTTATTCCTACTCATCTTTCATATCTTTTGGAGCTCAGCCCTTTGAGATTCATTCGTAAGTAAGAACAATCTATCTCACTGCTTTAATGTTCATCTAGATGCTCATAACTTCTAATTTGTATATTCAAGTGACTGCAGAACAGAGAAGTAATCTCAAAATATGCACCTCCAAACCCAAATGCCCGCTATTATTTACTACTTTGCTATAACCTTTTCTATTTCCACTCCTTATTCAATAAGAAGCAGCTCCTTTCCATAAGGCAGCTCCTTATTTTTGATTGTTTGGGCCACAGGCCTTGGAGTCACATTTACTCTACTTTTTCTCTCATCTGCTGTCTAATCTGTTAATAAATCCTCTAGGTTATGCCTTCAGAATATTTCCAGAACTTTTATCCTCTCACTGCTGCATTGTTGCCTCTGTTACTAAAATATGAGTTAGACCATGCCTCTGTGGTAATCAAAGCCTTCAGTGGTTTACTTTTAACCCAGAGAAAAAGTCGGCCATGAAAAACATGTACAATCTGCCTGCTCCTCCTCCTCCCACTCCCCACTCTTCACCTGTATGATTTCTCTTAATTTTCCTCCTATTTACACTTTCACCCAGAGTCTTTTCATTTTCTCTTCCATCTGTCTGAATGTTCTTCTTTCAGATATTTGTCTGTCATTCCCCATTTCCTGCAGATTTGAGTCTCCTTCCCTGACAGGCCTCCACTAACCACATAAAATTTCTACCTTCCAATTTCCTTTTCTCTTCCTCTTCTACACTTTTCTCCTTACCATTTACCACTATCTAACAAGCAATTTTAACTTTATTCACTTTACAAGGAGTTCTGACTGTTTTACCCACTGACATATCCCTAGCACTGAGCTTGTGGCACATTTTAGGTACACAATAAATATTTATTGCATATTGCCATATTAGAATTACTGATGAAGACCCAGGAGGCTGTCTTTAAAGGAAGGGATTTTTTAAAATGAAAATGTTAGAAAAGGTTTCGAAGAACAAGTTGCATTTGAATTGAGGTTAGATTAAATGATAGGTAATATTTGAGTGTGTGGATGAGGGAAAGGTACCTGTGGTGGTGATTACTGAGTGTGAAAAGCCAACGATCCTCGAAAATAAGACATCTACCAAGAACACCGTCTTTCAATTTGGGTGGAATTTGGAAGGCTTGAAAAGAAGATATGTTCAAGTTACTGGGAGGTAACTTGGGATGTATAAGATAAGCAGAAAGCCTATTTGGGTCACTGAGGTTAAGCAATGAATTTCTTCCCTTTCTTGAGCAAACAGGCAGATCCTTGATATGTTACATTTAGATATGTGCAGTAGCTTTAATATCTTCTTCCAGAATTCTTCCAGTGACAGTCTTTCTGCTTATCAAGCTGGCTAAGGGAAATCAAATCAACAAACCTCATTTCTTATTGAGGTGGGCCAGATACTTATTCATGCATATTTAGGGAATATAAATCTCAGTTCCAGAATGTTCGAACTATAGACTATTCTGCATAAGCCAGAACATAATTATAAACATGTAGAAAGAAACCACTTTACTCCAAAGGTGTATAATCTATACATATTTTAATAGAATTTCTCTTTTATACTTGGGACCTAAATTTGAGTTTAGAAAAAGCAATCAGTAAACTTACATAATGAGATTTAAGAGGAAATAGTCAAGCAGGAAATTCCTCTCCCGAGCAATAATTTTTCTACTTCTCAATCTGCACCTCTTTTTTTCCTGCCTGACTCAAAATAGCAAAATTCTAGCCTTAATTCTCCAGGACCCCTGAAGGCATTCTCTTCTAATACGGTGTTTTTTCCTTTTGGTTCATCTTCCATAGCTGTTTTGAGATCAGAGGCCTTGGCTTCCATCACCGCCTGGAACTGACTTCCCTCACCACTTTTAAAAATCAGAGATAAATAGTGAATTATAAAAATATGAGTAAAGTCAAAAGCAAACACTGGAAACATGATCAAATACAACAAGAACATCAAGTGAAGTACTTCAAATAGCACTTCAGGTCTGTATATGTGATTAGATGAGTTTATTTTTAGAATAATATATTCATTGACCGGGCATGTGTTGGCCTGTCACATGCTATAGATTATTAGACTGACAATAACCCCTATGACTTAAGGATATTATTAGTGTTAGCTTTCAATTCTACTTATATAATTATTAATGATTATTACTGTAATTATAAATAATTATTTATTGAGCACCTACTATATGTTAACCACTTAATATGAATTATCAGATGTAATCTTCACAACAGCCCTCTTAGTTAGGATATATTATAATTTCCATTTGACAAATGAAGGAAGTAAGGCAAAGTGATGTTAAGTTACCTGCCCAAGATCACAAAGCAAGAGGTGTCAGACCCAGAATTCGAAGGCCATCTGATCACTACAGCCTGATTTCAGAGTGTAGAGTTTTAACTATTCCACAATTCTGCTTACTTTCAGTAATATACAACTTCTTCAGTTATTAAGAAGTAAAAGTGAGAGCTAGCTTTAATCAGGTGCCTATACACCAGACACCTTGCATTATTTCCTTTAATCTTTGCAACAGTTCTACAAATTAGAATTTTATAGGTGAGAAAGAGGTTAATTTAGTTGCCCAAGGTCGTTCTCTCCAAAAATAAAGTTCTATTTTCCTTAAAAACATATTGGAAGATTGTCATGAGGTCAATAATGTTCAGCAGGCATACTTCTGCAAAATCATAAAACTCATCTTATTTACTTAGTAAAACCATGGCTAAATTAAGAAAGAGATAAATAAAGGTGCATTCCATTATTTTTCCCACTTTCAAGGTCCAGCTCAAATGCTGTATTTTCTAGGTCTAGTTCCTTCATTAAGCCTTCCTCAATTCCCTGATCCCCAAAACCAACTAATCTTATATTTCAATTCAATTAAGGAGAAGCAAGTCTAATGGATTGGGAACAGATGTGCATATTTTTAAACTGCTGTTGCTTACTGTGGAAGTCAGACCTATTAAACCCTCCATTTTAAAAACCTTTACCCTTTACATTCTGATTATTTTATGGTACATATTCTGCTTAGTAGTAGTGTTATTGTGTTGTTCTTATTCTGTCTTCCAAATGATAAGCAGATGATAAGCAAAGACTTTTATATTCATTCATTCTTATATCTTCTGTAGTGTTTAATACAGTGCCTAGCATACTGTATATGGTCAAAAATGGTTATAATATTGATGTCAGTGGATAATTCAATGATCCCACCTTTGATTAGCAATTTTTTAATTTAATAATCTTTAAATGCCTAGAATTAATAGCACCATTCTCTCAGCTTCTATACCCAGGATAATTTCTGGACACTTCTGATGACTTTCCCATGATCTCCGGAAATAATAAAAGATAAGCTTTACAGATGAGGTAACAGATTTGCAAAATATTAAATATGCCATTACCTGAAGAGGGCGTAAGTTGAGCCCTTTCCTTCATCTCTTTCTTGCTCACAGATATTACAATATCTGTGCAAAAATCCTAATGCAAGAATGAGCTTAGCATATTCCAGGGACTGTCATTAACTGAAATACATATATAACAAGGAGGAAAAGATACAATAAATGTGGAATTTATTCTAATTACAATGGAAAGCAAGTGGAGAGTTTTAAGTAATAAGTTTTATGCTTTAAATTTTTTTGGCTGCTGCATGGAAAAGTTCCTTGAAGGAGAAAATGTGAATAGAGAGTGGTGGGAATGGCAGAGGACTATTGCAAGAGTCCAGTTGGTTGCTGATGTTATCTTGGACTAGGGTTATCCGTGTGGAAATGGTAAGACAAGGTAATATTCAGACTTGCCAGTGTACTACCTGTGGGTGTGAATGACAAATGTGAGATTCAAACCCAGGTCTATATTGCACTAAAGTTTACAACATTTGCACACCTCTATATTCCCTCAATTGGGTATCTTGTTTACTTTTTAAAAAAAGACAATATAAAACTTATAAGCCTAGTTTTTCTTCAGGTTACTTTGTTGCTTTCTGATTTACCATTCTTATCGCCCTAAAATCTAAATGTAATTTTAGAGAATATAGTTATACATTGAAAATATAAGAGCATGCATGGGTACATGGAAATTAAGTATCTTGAGAGATTATATCTATTCTCAAATTTACCCTTGACAATGCAAGCAGTTACACCAAAGAGATGAACCAATTACTGTAAACAAGACAGAAAGCACGTAATCTTTATCTTTTTTCTTTGTATAAATAACTTGCAGCATTCCAGACGTCTCTCTCATTGCAAATTGATATAACCACAAAAGGATTTTGAGTATAATTTCAAGGAACATTTGTTTGCGATCATGCTTCCCACCTCCCACCAAAAATAATAATAAAGATCATGGCTAGAACTAACGCTCCAAGAGGTACTTTTAACCTTAAGGAAGTGTAGACTTTAAAATCTATTAGTGAGGCAAAACAAACTTTGTTTCAGCTAGTGCTAGAGAAATCAGACCCCTACCACTAGAGAACTATAATGCCCATTAAAAATAAAAATTAAACACAAATTGTGACATTAAAAAATATGAGTGCCTGGGTCTCATTTCCAAAGGTTCTAGTTCAACTGGTTTGAGATGAAACTCACGAAGCAGTATTTAAATTTTTTTCTCAGATGATTTTAATGTACAAATAAGATTGATGAGAACAGGGCTTGAGGAAAATAAATTATGTTGTCTTTTTTTTATAATATCTTAGGATGGGAATTCATCCTCATTTTCCAAGTTAAAATAACTGTCTTGCTCTGGCAAAACTCAGACAGAACTCATGGAAAATACAAAGTTTTCATCTGTGTGTGTGTGTGTGTGTGTGTGTGTGTGTGTGCATGCACCCAGAAACACACATGTAAGCACACATGTAGCAATGGTTTAAAAGAGGACTTTTAGAGCTCTACAGTCAGGTAGAGACACATATCTACGAGAGAAAGCAAACTTTTCATCATAAGTCAAAGGAAAGGGATGCAATTAAGAGCGAGCACAGATCTTTAGAAAGCAATACCAAATGGTTTGTAAAAGGGGATATTTGTGAAAATAGTGATCGTATGCTAAAAATTCCTCACATTTTTATTTCAATGCCAATTAAATATTCCAGTTTTAAGTAGTTCAGGATGGAATTTTTAGTCACATTAAGATATCCTCCTCTCAAGTTCTTTGCTAGAGGCTACTAGTTTTGTTTCCAACATTTTCTGCCTTATCAGCTACTGACTGAAACCCATTAATGAATTTAATTCTATTTAACAAATAATTAATGAAGACCTACTCTACCAAACCAAGTATAGTAATACTCATGGAGGCAATTTTCCGTAAATATGATGACCAGCTTTATGAACAAAGGACTTGTAGTAAGTCCCATCTGATGATGGGTCCAAAAGTGAATGCAAAGTCAGGGAAGTTAGAATCTCTAGATGCATGCATTCTGAGTGTACAAGAGAAATAAAGCCTCTCAAGATTCCCAAAAGATCTGTTTCTTCTACTTTATACATAGATTCAAAATGGATAATTTTGTTGATCAAGAAATCCCTTTCAAATACTACCTGAAAGGACACAAAACCCAGGGAACATGGAAGAACGGAATCAGGTCCTGCAGAGCAAAGGAGAATACAAATAAGAAATAAAATTAACTTTTGTAACAGCAGTAAGATGGTTGTTAGGGAATTTTATTTTTATAGTGAAAACTTAAAGACTGAGTTTCTCAAGCGTTAAAATGAAAATGTTTTTATTTGTGAATTCATTCATTCTGCAATTATTTAGTGAACACCTACTAATATCAGGGAGCAGTTTATGAATTTTGAAAATAATGATCAAAACAGACATAATCTCTGCTTTCTTGCAGCTTTTATTTAAGTAAGAGGGTCAAACAAAACACAGCCTAGTGAATAAGAGCATTACATAGTTAGGAGATAATAAATGCTATGAGAAAAAAAAGTGCAGGATAAATGCAAGGGAGGGTCAGGGTGAGTTGGAACTTTAAATAGGGTGATGAAGAAAAGCCTCTTTGAGAAGGTGATATTCCAGCAAAGACCTGAGGGAGGTGAGGAAATTAGCTGCACTAATGCTTAAGGAAACAGGGACAAAGAAAGGTAACATTTTGAGATGGTGCAAATAATATCACATTTATATGCTGATGGGAAAGATCTACTAGCAAAAGAAAAACATAGTGAAGAAGGAGAAAGAAGAGAAATTGTGGAAACACTGAGAAATGGAAGAGGAAAGGATCTAGGGAACATGTGGAGGTATGCTTTAGAGAGGAGCACGGACCCTGCTTGTATACTAACAGGCGGAAAAGCAGAGGACCATTTTGTGTCAGATTGAAATTCCACATACTGGAAAGCCCATTCCTCAGAGAGTGTGCGACAACAGCATCAAATAACTTCCATAACTAATGTTTTTCTTTTGTAAAATTAAAGTTTATAATTAATGACCTATTGTGGTTACTGATTATCTTGATAGACAGGAGGAAAACAGTGAAGAGTAGTAAGACTCAGGCTTACATGCAGAAGACACATCAAGAATAGAACAGACTGCCTAACATCACTCACCTCTATATCACAGGCTTTCACGTTTTTTACCAATTGCACTTGGATATTGAGTGGCTCGCTCTAGCCTATACTGTAAGGGCAGTGTGTTGGACCAAGTGAATGTCTATGCCACTTCACAGAGGTACCATTCCAGATGTTTACTAGTGTTCCAGGTGTTGACAAGTTAGGATAAATGTGATCACAAAGATCCTTCCTTTTTACCGATCCTGGCTCCTCCTTTGTTCAGTGGCCAGGCCTGGCTTCTGTCTCAGCTAGATCATTTTCTTCTACAAATTTTTGCTCCACTATCAAGTCCTTTTTGCCTTTTGCACAATAAATCTTAGAAACAAATTTGCACATATTTATTAGAGTACCCTAATAGGCTAACCCTCAAATAGCATTTGCTTTATTAACAAAATGTTTAATCAATAAAAAGAAGCAGTTGATGGGAAGTACTGAGGGTTGCTCTTAGAGGTATTCTTGAATAGCTCTCAGGTGTGGGTATGTCTAGCATGTGATTTACTCTGCTTACTGCATTTTACTCTTTTTTTCTTATAGCCTACTTAGTTATATACAAACAACTTCATTCAATTCAGCAAATCATCAAGTAGTTATTGACTAAGTGTCAAGAACTATGCTTAGTTCTTAGCTCAAGCTACTGAAATGATGTACTGCTCTCTACTTTAGGGCTGCAGATAAGTTGGAGAAACAAAATTGCAAAAGGCTGCTCTCCCTATAATAGGCCAGATACTGTAACAAACACATAACCCTCGTGCTACTGACACACAGTAAAGAATCTAGCCTAGCAGAGTCTATGGGTTCAGGGAATGTTGAGACTCACAAGAGTTCAATAGTGAGCAGAAGTGCACCAGGCTAACAAAGGTGGGAAAGATACTCCTGGTAAATAATTAGATGGTAAAGAGAAGATAGATATAAATGACAGATAGATAGATAGGTGAGAGAGAGAAAGAGATGATAGAAAATATGCTGGTATCTGTATGTTTATTTGAATGAGTTGGGTAATCTGAAATTTAACATGCAATAATATCTAGTTAAACAGAACTATCCCTTCTAGACTAGATAAATATTTCCTTGCTTGGTAAAATTTCAAAAGACCATTGTATTCTCAATGTTGAAGAAATAGCCCTGCACCTTAGAGAAGAAAAAAATCTGTCAGGAATACACTATTTTCTAGTCTAACTTGTTTGTAACAGAGGCCAAAAAAATATGGTAAAAGCCATTCTCTACACAAATAAATTGAAAAGTTCTACAAAGTTCAAATGTTGACCACACAGTGAACCTACTATTGAATTTTTAGATGTGTTTTTGCTTCAAAGATGTATTGACATAAAGGTCCTTTGAAGGAATATAATAATTCTTTTGAAATCATTTTGAATATACCCTGTGCGATACAGATTGAATCATTTGTCCAAGACTTTTTATTTCTGAAGTTTCTGCTGAAAGTCAACCTTCTCTAGAACCATTATCAAGTTGTAAAAGTAAAGATTTCTAACAGCCTTGAGGATTTTGAACTTGAAGAAAAAAAATTTAGACATTGGAAAATTGTCTTTATAAAAAGTATAATATGCAATTTAGGATCTCTAAATGTCCAACTCCAACACTAGTAATAATGCTTTATTGCCAATGGGATGGACTACTCAAAAGAAACTGACTTACTGCATGGACAGGATTTATCTCTCAAACTTTAATATTTCAAAATTATTCTGAATTCATTTTTGAAAAAGTAAGAATATCTGTTTTCTACTCAAAGGTAAAACTCTGTTGCTGGTATAAATGAAGAAGTTAAAAGTAGTTTCAATAACTCAATAATAACATATAATAATGCTAATATATAATAATTGCATGATATATTATATATTACAATCTATTATTATAGTGTGCTAGTTTTAGAGTATTGATGTTTTATTGCCTCTCTCCATACTCCTTGCCAAAAAATAATCAAGTAAAGAAACAACAGGGAATAAAGTAAATCCCATTTCTTCTAACAACATGTTGAACTAAAAAACAAAAAGATAGTAGTTGATGCTTAGATATAAGTAAGGTTTTTGGCAATACTTGCATTGTTCACATACTGGTAGAATGTGCTGTGGGGGGTCTTATGCAAAGCAGATTCCTGGGATTTTATCTTTTAACCAGGGGGTCTTAGGGATAACACTATTTTATATTAGTTTACTACGATATGAATGACTGTTTTTCTTGGCCATCACTTCCTCATTGTGATAGCTGTACAGTGTTAAAAATAGATTTTTGAATATTAGACAGAAAATAGAAATGCACATTTTTATAGAATTGCAGAAAGACTAAGTTATGATACATATTTTAACGTATACTTTCTCAAATTCTTATTTGTATTCTCATATTTAAGAGTAAAGGCCAGGCACAGTGGCTCATGCCTGTAATCCCAGCACTTTGGGAGGCCGAGGCGGGTGGATCACCTGAGGTCAGGAGTTCAAGACCAGGCTGGCCAACATGGTGAAACCCCGTTTCTACTAAAAATATAAAAACTAGCCGGGTGTGGTGGTGGACACCTGCAATCCCAGCTACTTGGGAGGCTGAGGCAGGAGAATTGCTTGAATCCAGGAGACGGAGGTTGCAGTGAGCCAACACAGTGCCACTGCACTCCAGCCTCGGCAACACAGTGAGACTCTGTCTCAAATAAATAAATAAATAAAGACCCTAAGACAAAAAAGAAAGATAACTATCTGCAGTCTAGAGATGAAACCACCTTAACAGTTTTAATTATATTAGGTTGCATTTTCAAGTGTCAGATTGTCCCAATTCATACAGTACTTTTACTAGTTCTCAGAATGATCTGTATAGACAGTACCATACTGTGTCAGTTCCCTGGCATGGGATAGGATGTAGTGAAAAAAAAATCATGGAAGAGAAAATAAATTATTCAAGCTCCAGTTACTAAATTCCCCAGTCACTTAACCTTTTGGAGAATCAATTTTAACATCGGTAAATGTAAGGATCACTATGAATGCTTTACCTATCTCATAGATCAGTTGGGAAAGTCCAATATAAGAAACATAGATCTGAAAGTGGCTAAGTGATGTGTAAAATAATAGTTTTTCTATTTTGCAATGTATAATCATGGTGGGTCTAGGATTGAGTCTGACACTGTCCAAATCAAAGTTCTCCACTTTTCTCTGGATTACATCCTCTGCTTTTTCTTCTGGAAATTTGGTGTATTATGATTCTCCTAAATTTTCAATTTCTCAATTTCTAATGGCTATTTATCATCAGCATTTAAACATAATCCTAAATTTACTGTCTTAAAAAAGAGTCTTTAATAATTATAATCCTTTTTGGCTATCAGCATCTCTCTCCTCCCTTTTAGAGCTAAACTTTCACAAAGTTGTCTATCCCAACTTTCTTCATTTTTATGTTCCTTTCCCCTTCCACCTCAAGCAATGTGAATTCCAACATAACCATCTATAAAAACAGAAATTTCTCTCAAAAATTACCACTTTCTGAAGGCTACATCTTCTTTAACTTTTTATTTTACATTGTTTACCAATTCCTTCTTCCTGAAACACTTTTGTGGGGGATAAGTGTCTTCCATGAAACTGCATTTTGCTACTTTTCTTTCTGCCTTTTTATCTGTTTGTCTCGGTCTTTTTAGAAGCCTCCTTCTCTTCTGTTTATCCCTTAAAGATTGACATTCTTCAGAACTTACCATAGGATCTTCATGCTCTTCACCTTTACTTTCCTCACTATTAAAATCACATCTATTTGCATGGTTTTAATACACAGCATGCTCTTTCATTCATCTCAGTTTATTTTCTCCTGGACTTCAGATGCATGGGCATATCCAATTGCTTATTGGATATCTTCACTCCAATGTTTCACATGCAATTCGGACTCATCATTGTTCTCCACTGCCTACCTCTTGTCTCTCTGTCTTAATGAATGACATCATAATCTTCTCAGTGACTGATGCCAAATCTGAGTTTTATCTTAGATTTCTCCCTTCCCTCAACTTCCACAACAAATTAATAATGTGTCTTGCCAATCCTACTTCTTAAATATCTCTCAAACACATCTTCATCTTTTGATCACATCACCACCATTTTGGTCACAACTATGTCTCATCTAAAATACTGAAAATATTATCCAACCTATGGTAGCACAAAAGACTGACTGCAGTGTGTTTCATGGGGATGTTTTGGCATCCTCATTATATTAATTATCTATCGCCATATAACAAACTGACACAAACTTAGTGCCTTAAAACAACACAGACTCCTACTTTACACTTACTGTGTATGTAAGAATTGGGTATGGTTTAGCTGAGTTCCCTGCTACAGGATCTCTCACAATGCTAAAATCTAGACGTCTTATCTCAAAACTCACCCGGGGAAGGATCTACTTGTAAGATGATGTAGTTGTTGGCAGAATTCCTTTTGGGTTGATGCACTGAGGACCTTAGTTTCTTGATGGCTGCTAGTCAGAGGAAGCCCTTTATATCTTGTCATGTGAGCCCCTCCATAATGCAGCGTGCAACATGGTGGCTTGTTTTATCAGAACTAACAAGGGATAGAGTTTGATAGCAAGCCCGAGGTCAGAATCTTATGTAACTGATTCACAAAAATGACATCCCATCATCTTTGAAATATTTTATTGGCTAGAAGCAGGTTATAGACCCTGTGCACACACAAGAGGAAGACGCTGCACACGAGGATAAATACCAAGAGGCAGAAATCACCGGAGGCCATCTTGGAATTGATCTGCCAGATTTCATTATTCCTTTCTGCTTCTTAAACTTCCCACAGCAGCAAACAATGTAGGTAAACATTGTTGCAGTCTACACAGATGCAGTTTTAAGGAAAATCCCTGAGGATGCAGAGGTAGGTAATAAGACCCTCTCGTGTACTTCCTTATTATCCTTTATTTCTCCTTACATAGCCCTACATTGTATTATAATTGTTGTCTCACATGTATATTAGATAGAGACCTTGGTTATCATATTCATCACAAGTGCCCAGCACAGAGTCTGCTGTATAGTAAGTGTTCAAAAAATATTTCTTACATAAATAACCCCAACTAAATAAAATGCTATGTGGCATTTTTGCTCTCTGTGGTTTACATTCAAAAGATTGATAGATCCCTCAAATGAATAACCTTAATAAAACAATACTGTCTTTATCACCACTGAATTTATCTAAATCCCTCTAGAATTATTTATGGTTTTTGCTTCTATCCTCCCCAGGGTTAATGGGTACTATTCCTTAATAACTCCATCTATTTGCTCTAAAATTACCTCTTTCTTGACTCAAGAAGATACTCAATTTCTGCATTCTGATTTTTCAATAATTAATTCTATATTTATACTTCTGTACCCATCACAAGGTTGAACATTACAATCCAAACACTTCCTGATTAAAATGTTTCAGCCTTATTCTTCTGTTTTCATGTAGAAAATGCCCAATCCCTTTGGTAAGTTGCCTGGATCTTCTCCAACTGCATATCTTCTTTAGGGTACAATGATCAGCACTTCACAGTTTTGTTTAAGGAAAGATAAAATTCGTAATGCTAAGTTGAGATACAAAAATAAAGATGGTGCCATTTCTCCTAGATCTTTATAATAACCTTAGTTGTAAGGTAAATTAGTGGCTGGGCTGGCATGAAGTCTGAAATATTGGTTTGGATGCATTGAATGCTAATGGAAAAACCTGCTCCAGGTAGAGTTTTGTGATAGAGTTTATCTTCTGTGAACTTTATTACTCTTTTGTTAACTTCCATTTGTCCATAATATAGTCCCTCCCTGAAGGTTCCAAGGTGCATCAGACCTTTTTTAAAGTACCTTATGACTACTAACCAAATGATAAAAAACTAAGTTGGAAAATGGGATTGGAACCAGTTACAGGGGAACATAGATCCCAGCTATGCCATTTGACCCAGTGCTGATAATAAAAAAAGACATAATACCAAACTCTGTAATCCTGAATGTTGAAATCCCAAAAGATTAAATTCCTTAAATCTGAAATCTATAACATCTAAAATCCAGAAAATCACCATCTCGGAAGATTAAAATCACAAATATTGAAATCCTGAAAGCCAAATTCTATGGAAGGCATTAGTGCATTTTCAGTTGCACACAGGATAGTTGCATCATGTTAGTTGCATAATGTTAGGTGGGACAATAATATTACCTTGTTATTGTCTTTATTTGGAAATTAAGTATGATTTAAGGAGACATGTATGGGTGCCAAGTTGACAAGGAGTGAACTTGTGGACTTAATTGTCTGGGTCAACTTGACTAGATTAAGGAATACCAAGAAACCTGGTGAAGTATTATTTTGGGTGTGTCTGTGAGAGTGTTTCCAGAGGAGATCAGTGTGTGAGTCTGAGCAGACTAGGTAGGGAAGATCCGCTCTAATTTGTTTCATGCATGTTTTGCAAATTTGATTCCACGAAAGTGAATTATTACAATGTTTACTTTTTGTGTAAGCACCATCCAACTGGCTGAGGGCCTAGAGAGAACAAATACAGAAGACAAACTGATCTCTGAGAGCTGGGGCAAATTTTTCTTTAGCTTCCTAGGATGTCAGAACTTTGGGCTCACCGGCCTTTGAACTCCAGGACTTACACCAGTCCTCCCAACCAGGTCCTGAAACTTTCAATGCTGAACTGAGAATTACACCATTGGCTTTCTTGTTTCTGAAGATTTCGAATTTTGATTGAACCATACTGCTGGCATCCCTGGGTCTTCATCTTGCAGACAGCCTGTAGTGAGACTTCTCAGCCTCCATAATCACATTAGCCAATTACTATAATGAAGTCCTTCTCATGTATCTATATATCATCTTGGTTCTGTCTCTCTGGAGAAGCCTGATGAATACTGATTTGGTATTTAGGAAATCAAATATTATTCCTTCTTACTGTATTTTATTTCTTACAACATAATAGAAGAGATTTGTGAAATTGTTTCCTCACAAGGAAGCTGTAATACAATAAATGCATGAGGCTACTCAATGGTGAAACACAAAATTTAAAAGCTAATTGTTATTGGTGCTGCAAAAGCAGAAAATCACTTAGTTACAATAGCTGAGCAATAACCAGCCCAAAAATGGACAGCATATACTTACAAAATTTGTAGACCACAACCACACTCCAAATACCAGTGCAGCAAGTGTTTTGAAGATCCCAGAAGTGAAAATTCAGGTGAAAAAGACAAGAAATCCCTGCCAAACAATTTAATCTGTATGACTTCCGCTCCTTTACACAAAATTGTTGTTATATATTTCATTTTAGCATCATTTTCAATACTGGAATTTAAAATTGTATAAATAATTTTAAAGAGCTCTAATTTGTTTCATGCATGTTTTGCAAATTTGATTCCACGAAAGTGAATTATCACAATGTTTACTTTTTGTGTAAGAATTTTGCATATATGTAAAAACACTGAAAACTTCTTCAGTAAATGAAGGAAGGTTCTTCTTTTATATCTGCAGCTTTTGTGAAAGATAAGATTTCTCTTTGGGCAACTGCACATGCCGTGGTGACCCATGGCAGTTTTTGATGGATCTCATCAAAACTCAGGTTGCTTGTCGTAATATTTCACATGAAAATGGTTACAAACTGGATGCATGCAATTACTAACCATAGTCATATATGTTTATACATTTTGGTTTCAGACTTATGTCATATGAATACAGCTCATTTTCTCATAACTGTTATATCAGTGTGACTATCATTAGTTTCCCTGAGTGTTTATGCTTGTGAAAATGTTTTATTATTGCCTACTTTATTGTGTAAAGTGGCCCATAAAGTGTTCTGTCATGTTTTTATATGTTTCTTAAGTAAATATTCTTTTAAAAATGAGATACATTATATTTTAAGGAATTAAAAAATTTGTTTTTAGAATTATGTTTTCCAGATTTTGATCTCTCAGGATTTCAACAATCAGGATTATGCCTTATGGATTATGGCTAAAATCTGTTTTGGTTTAATCCCATAGGCTGTGAGGAGCCATTGAGAGTTTTGGTGCAGAGGAATCACATGATGAAAACTGAGCATAGAAAGGATGAAAAATGCATTTAGAGATTGTCACTATAATTTCAGGAAGAAGTAAAGAGGCTGAAGAATAATGATGATGTTGACAATGTTTTAAAAAGTATAAATATGGCCAGGCACGGTGGCTCATGCCTGTAATGCCAGCAGTGAGACCCCACCTCTACAAAAAATAAAAAGTGCAGTGGTTCATGTCTGTAGTACCAGCCACTCAGGAAGCTGAGGTGGTAGGATTGCTTAAGCCTAGGAGGTTGAGGCTACAGTGAGTCATGATCATGCAACTGTACTCCAGCCTAGACAAAAGAGCAAGACTCTGTCAAAAAAAAAAAAAAAAAAAAAAAAAAAGGGTACAAAAATGTTATAGTATGAACGTATTGGGAGAAAGGACATTCATATTGGCTTACAGATTTTGAACCTGGATAAAAATGTATCCTTAGATAGAAGTAATAAGTTCTAGTGTTTGATAGCACATTAGAGTTTTGATGAGATCCATCAAAAACTGCTGTAGTTCATCACTGCATATGCAGTTGCCCAAAGAGACAAGATCCTGAGAAATCTTATCTTTCACAAATGCTGCAGATGTAAAAGAACCTTTCTTCATTTATTAAAGAAGTTTCAATGTTTTTACATATAGGCATAATGCTTACACAAAAAGTAAACATTGAGCTAATGCACTTTCATGGAATCAAATTTGCAAAACAT
This sequence comes from Homo sapiens, assembly GCF_000001405.40. Taxonomy (NCBI): domain Eukaryota; kingdom Metazoa; phylum Chordata; class Mammalia; order Primates; family Hominidae; genus Homo; species Homo sapiens. The sequence continues at coordinate 78,324,860 of NC_000006.12, forward strand.
GCATAAAGCAAATTATAACTCTTTAAAATTCTTTACACAATTTTAAATTCCAGTATTGAAAATGATGCTAAAATGAAGTACATAATAGCAATTTTGTGCTATGTGTAGAGGAGCAGAAGTCATACAAGATTAAATTATTATTTATTTATTTATTTATTATTTTTTGAGATGGAGTCTTTCTCTGTCACCCAGGCTAGAGAGTGCAGTGGCGTGATCTCGGCTCACTGCAACCTCTGCCTCCCAGGTTCAAACGATTCTCCTGCCTCAGCTTCACGAGTAGCTGGGACTAAAGGCGCACGCTACCACACCCAGCTAATTTTTTGTATTTTTAGTAGAGATGGGGTTTCACCGTGTTAGCCAGGACGGTTTTGGTCTCCTGACCTCATGATGCACCAGCCTCGGCCTCCCAAAGTGCTGGGATTACAGGCATGAGCCACCACGCCTGGCCAAGCTTAAATTATTGAATTAAGAAATTACAACAGGGAAATAATGACAGAGAAAACTAGAGGAATAATTAGCATATTATTTAAATCTATGCAAATAAGATTTAAAGCAGATGAAAATGATTGTTTCTAAGGAAAAAAATGCCAAAAATGTTCCCTGAAGATACAGCAAATTCTAAATTGTTAAATTTGTTACTAATTTTTAAATTATTTTTCATTTTTAAAAATCTCATTAGCAATAGTAACAACAACCACCAAACAAGGGAAAATACCTAGAAAGAAACATGCAGAATCTACATGAAGAAAACTTTAAGGACTACTGGGAGACCCAAACAAGTATTTAAAAAAATAGAAAAATATACTCTATTTCTCTATGTCAATTTTTAACATTTCATAAATATCAGTTATCCCTAATCTGTACATTTAATATGATAGCAATAAGATTACAATAAATTTTTAGAAGTAAACAAGCTGATTCTAAATTTTATCCGGAAAAATATTAATAGCATTAAAAAATCCCTAAATTTAAGAAAATATTAAGGAGGGGTTAGTCTTCTGATACTGAAAAAAAATGTATGATGCTACAGCAAAAAAAAAAAAATGTGGTTCTGATACACAAATAGATACGCAAATAAATGGAACAAGATAGGAGATATGCTGGAGAGTTAGTCTTTGCTCTGAAATCCAGTTTCCACGCTTGCTTTTCTCTTATGTGAATGTCATGGAGCTAGGTTTATCATTTCTCTCCATCTTCTGATTGGGTCTAGTCAATAAGAGGCACTGGCAGAAATTGGCAGGAAGGAAGGGGAGAAAATCCAGATATTTCTCTGGCTCTCTCTCCATGACTCCTATTCTTGTCAGACAGCTACTATCTCCATCATCTTAGCTCCCACTGGGTGTCCCTTAAAATAGCTGTCTCCCAACAGAAATCCTGACTGTGGGGCTCCCACTACTAGCTTCCCCTTTGTCACCATAGCAATAAAAGTTGCAGCAGCTTCCTGCTCTTGCTAATCTTCAGGTTGTCTTGCTGTTCCCTTTCTGGTACCCTCATTTCCCTTACCTGTGTAACCAATTCTGTGCATTCTCACAGGAATGTATGAGAGTACCTTAATCCTACAAAGCATTGTAAATTTTTTATAAGATAGGTTTATCATGACAGTGTGAATTTGCTTTTCTCTTATGAGCAAGATTTAACATATGTTTATATATTTAAGATACTTCATATCTAATTGTATTTTTCACTTCTGTGTACTGTCTAGTCATACCTTTGCTCATTTTTTCTTATATTGTTCATTGTTTTTGAAGATTTGCAGTGTATATATATATATATATATATATATATATATATATATTTTTTTTTTTTTTTTTTTTTTTTTTTTGGAGACGGAGTCTTGCTCTGTCACCCAGTCTGGAGTGCTGTGGTGTGATCTAGGCTTACTGCAACCTCTGCCTCCCAGGTTCAAGTGATTATCTTGCCTCAGCCTCCCGAGTAGCTGGGATTACAGGCATTCACCACCACGCCTGGCTAATTTTTGGATTTTTAGTAGAGACTGGGTTTCACCATATTGGCCAGGCTGGTCTCGAACTCCTGATCTCAGCGGATCCACCCTCCTCCACCTCCCAAATTGCTGGGATTACAGGCGAGCCCCCTGCCTGTAGTATAATATTTTTATATTAAGAAAAATTAGACTATTATCTGAAATTAAATAATGTATATTGTATAGTTTGTTTACTCTGCTTTTGTTTCCGATAGATTTTTATTTTTATGTAGTCTCATTTATTTATCTACCTTGTCTTTCACATCTGAGTTTTCTGTCGTACTTAAGAAAGTTTCTTTCCTTTGTATTTTCTTGTAACAATTTTACAAAATGTTTTTAAATGTAAATCATTTGACCCATCTGGATTTTATTCTGGGCATAAGGAGTTAGATGGGCTATCACATTAGTTTTTCACTAATGTTCTCCAATTTTCTCAACACAATTTGTTGAATGGCACCTGTTTCCCTCCTTAAATACATTGCCACCAGGAACACCTGGGGTCTAAGCAAGAAAACTGAAATCACTTGTATGTATTACAAGCAGAGACTTTTGATACAGGGAATTGGTTACATAGGTGAAATGAGGCTACAAGAAAGGGGACAGTGAGACAACCTGAAGATTAGCAAGAGCAGGAAGCAATTAGACAATAACTACCAGATACAGAAATATTCACTTGAATCATAGCAATTCTACTCCAAGAAATTTATCCTTTCACCACAATTGCACATTTTCAAATTGAAATATGCATTAGGATATTGTTTCATTGTTAATAAAAGACTGAAAATAATCTGAATGTCCAATAGGGTATTGGTCAGGTCAGGTAATAATGTTAGGACATACAATGAAATATTGTGTAGTCATTAAAAAGAGCAGCAGATCTCCAAGATGTATTATATATAGTAAGAAGCAAAATATAGTAGATGTTAAGAATGTATATAGAGATAGACATACATTCAGTGTATAAAATAACCTTGAAAAGATAGTAAAGAACTATTAGTGGGGAAAAGAGTGATTAATGCACAGGTGGAGAGATATTTAACACAAACCTTTTGAATCTTTTTATTCTTTCTACTATGTGCCTGTGTAACTTTAGGAATGTAAAAATATGAGCATTTCAACTTACAAAATTTATGTTTAACTTAACACTCAGTCAAGAAAACATTTTTACAGTTTACAAAGGAAGGTACTTCTTTTGAGTACTAATATTATTTTTGAAATGTTCATTTTTAGACAAAAGCAAGAAAATAAGTATTTTCTTTCAAGTATTCATCTGAACACAAATAAAATCTCTTTGTTCTGCATTACTTTATCTCAGTAAACTACAAAAAAATTATAAGAGGTCCATTCAGGTATGTCTGGCTGAGGCACATGAAGCTGTTTCTAAAATAAATCACCTATAACTCCCCAGACAGTAAACAAAGCAGCCCCAGGTCAGCTACTCTCACAGTTGCCTAGTTAGTGCAAAAAAAAAAAAAAAAAAAAAAAAAAAAAAAAAAAAAATTCTGCACTCCCAAAGGAAAGAAAGTTGAAATCATATTGATACACTTAAACTAGTTTTAAGGCAAGTGATTCAAATTACAGGTTAAGTAAAAATCAGAAAAAATAAATTTCACAAAAAGATTCTAATATGTTTCTAAACATTGACACATAACCTTCAATATCTTAAACTTGTGAGATACAAACAATTCTTACACACATTAATTAAGGCCAAAGAAAAGACTTATTGACATTAGATCAGGGCTTCAAAAATTAATATCCTTTGGCATCAATATGAGGAGACTCTTGTAAAATGCTGATTCAGTAGGTCTGGGTTTAGGTTTGAGCATCTGCATGTCTTATATTCTCATAGGTGATGCCAATATGATAATCTGCAGACACACTTTAAGTAGCAAGGGTTTAAAGTGTATTATTAATTCTAACCCTTGCTCATAATGGTTATCTTATGAAAGTATCTTGACACAGATACCCTGTGTCTTAATTATGAATAGGTTGTATTAAACAAACAAATAAAATGCATACCATCATCCCTTTGTCAAGAAAGTACATCTGGTCAAGCTAAAAAAGCAGCATCTTTGCTTTACATAGTGAACTTTTTTGTTAGTTTTAATTGACATGGCAGTGAGAGACTGAATATCCTCAGAGGGCTTCTGTTAGTTAAGAACAGCAGACTATCTAGTTACATTTCCAACCCTTCTTAGCCACCTGGTTGGGCCACCAGCCAAGGACTGAAAGTTATAGGAGAGATGATAAGCAGTGAGAAAAGACTTCAGGTGGTGCAGGATTTGATAAAATGAATATACTTCTCACTGACTATTGAAAGATTCTTTCTATATAGCAAATATATTTAATTCTACCCTCTCAGTGGACTTTATTTTCCTCAGCCTGTCTTCTAAATTACCACTAGTGTAGGTTGACTATAGCAATGTTTCAAGTAGATTGCATAATGTTTTCATGTTACTAACTTGCTCCCTTGTTCCTATTTTAATCTATTTTTTTATTCTCTTGATGAATACACTTGATTTTAGAAGTGTGTTGGCCTCAAGCTATGTTATACATCTCTTGAAAAATGCTTGCTCAAGACTATTGATTTCTGAAATTGTTTGGTTATAGCCAGCAGCACACTCTTCCAATGACATTTGATTCCAGTGTCTTACAATGTCACATTATCAAAAACTTTTACTTATATTTGCAGAATTTGTACCCAAATGGCACTGATTCAGCAACTGGGCTGTTGGACTTCTAAATGAAGGAAGCCACTTCTCTTACTGCCAAGGAAATGACAGCTTCCATATCCAACTTGACTATTCTATTATATTGTTGCTTTCCTACTGTTTGCTGTGTAAATTATGCAGCTAGATATAGCTCAAATCACTACAAATTCCAACAGGGAGCCAATTCCTTTATTGCTGTGGTTGGATTTTAAGTTCCTTTGTAGTGAGATGTTGCAGTAACAGAACCATCACCTGGCTCCAGATATTCTTGGTTATTCAGATGTTTTTGTTACAATGGGATTTAATTTAATAGGATTTAACCTGGAGGGACCACAAGAGTGGTGGCCCCAGCATCCATGTAAGCACTGGGGAATAACATCGATTGCATAGTACTTGATGTCTAATCCTCTTGGTTCCACTAAGTAAATTTGTTGAGAAGTTAACCTTTAATATTCAAAAGGAAGACTGTTTACTTCCTAGAGCCATTTTACTAGATTTACAGGAATGTACCAATTTCTTCTGCTTTCAGAGCGTGGAAAATTTGACAAAAATTAACTCAAGTTTTACTTCACCCCTTTACTCGCTAGACTAATAATTTTACAAATAAAGCCCTTAGGATTCTGAAAGTCACTGGATAAGGTATTTATAACTTCCAAAGTGAAGAGAATTCTAAATACGAAAGAGCACAATGAAAAAAACACTTTTATCTTGCTTAATTTTTTAAAATGTTTTTTCATTTTAAGCATTTTTTTTCATTTCTTATTTCATAATAGTCCTTTTCACTACCAAGCCCAGCATGTTTTGCCTAAAATAAAAAATTATACTAAAGTGCAATAGCCTTTAAGACTTGGTAAATAATATGTGCGAATTGATCAAATTAACATATTCCTAGGTTGTGTGTTTCCTACTTTAATCTGCCTTATTCATTTTTTATTTATTTATTTTTGAGAGGGAGTCTTGCTCTGTTGTCCAGACCAGAGTGCAGTGGCACTATCTCGGCTCACTGCAACCTCCACCTGCCGGGTTCAAGCAATTCTCCTGCCTCAGCCTCCTGAGTAGCTTGGACTACAGGTGCACACCACCACGCCTGGCTAATTTTTGTATTTTTAGTAGAGACGGGTTTCACCGTATTGGGCAGGCTGATCTCGAACTCCTGACCTCGTGATACAACCGCCCTTGCCTCCCAAAGTGTTGGGATTACAAGCCTGAGCCACTGCTCCCAGCCTGCCTCTTTTTTTTTTTTTTTTTAATGCTAGAAAGCATGTTTAGAACACCAAATAGTAGCATTAAGGGCAATAATATTTATAATTACAGCGACTGTTAGGGTGCTTACATGCTGGACATTTTATATGCTTTAATATTTACAACATCTCTATGAGTTCAGTACTAATATTGCCATTTTACAAATGAGAAAACTAAGACAAAAACAGGTCGGGTTACTTGTCAAAAGTCATTGACACAGTCAGGCTTTGAACTCAGTCTGTGTGTGCCGGACACCCAGGCATAAGGTTTGTTTGCTGGAGGGCATACATTTCATTTTGGCATTTCTCTAACCTACAGTTCTTTGCCAGCCTCTTTCATTATGACATCTGTGGAATCCTGAAGAAGGATGCCTTGTTCTACACCGATTAGGTTTTGTCCACACCCTGAGAGAGGGGAAGGTGGGCTTCTCCAAACAGTGTAGCAGATCCCTCCTGGGCACCGGGGAAAAGATGAGGAGGCCAAATCCCTTCTCTCTTTGTCAAAATGTTGGCTTGTCCCCCATTGGGTAGAACAAGCACTTCCTCTCAAGTTTAAAAATTGGGAATGTTAGTTTCAAGAGGTTGTCTGAGTGATTGCCAGAGCTCAGACAACGCTGGACTTACTTTATTTTTGTTTTCCTCATCTCACACAGTATAATCCATCCCCTAGTCTTCTCCTCTGATTGTTTCCATACCATCTGTTGACTTACCGTTCTGGCTCTCTTTTGCTTCTCTCATATATAGTTTATTGATAACAAGCAAACCTTACAGAATTGATAAAGAACTAAGTAATATACATTATAATTAAATTTGCTCTGCAAATAAACAAATTTAAAAAGAAAATGACAGTCAAAATGCACAGACAGTAGAAATATATCTGAAAACGACGGCTGCACATTTTTAAAACCAGCAGAAAGAGAGCATTGATACACGACAGGGAAACCAATACCTCCATTCAACAATAAAGTATCTACCTACAAGAAGTTGTTTTGTGAGCATTGTGGGATATGAGAGGATGAAAAGAATATGAAACCCTCTTTCAAAGTTCTTAAAGCCTGGTGGCAAAAAAAGATGAATGTATAAATAAAAGTAATACAAGACAGAAAGCAGTAAACATTACTGTCGAATCTTTCCTGATCCCTGCCACCATTCCCACCCCTAGCTTTGCCACTCATCTGTTTTTGATAATATTCAGCATGCACAGCTCCATTATAAGGTAATCAACCGTATGTCTGGATTTGTTGGGAAAGTCCTGAGTCATGCCTATGGTTTAAGCATAATTACTAATTGTCCCTCTCACTCTCAAAAATGGCCCAGATTAGACAATTAATCATATGGTCACCTTAATTATTGTGACATTTTGTTGCTTTGTTTTTTCTTTTGCTTATGTATCTATTTCTCCACTAGAATGTAATTTCCTTGAGAGACAAGACCATATTTTTAATTTAAAAATATCCCTTGTATTTAGCATGTGCCTAATATATAGTAGGAAATCAGTAAAAGCAGTGAAAAAAATACTATTTCTACATTTGAGGAAAAGGCAAATTTACATTTATTTAAAAGAAAGGAGGAAATTTAAATGGAGAAATTGGCATTTAAAATGGACCTTGAAGGAAGGATGAGATATACTCCAGAAGAGATGAAAAGCATTAAACTCTAGGTAAGAGAAACTTCAGTGATATCAAGGCAAAAGGCAGAGATGTAGACAGAGAGGACAAGTATTAAATTACCACTAAAAAACATAGAAATGCAGTGCCGTTCCCAGTCTCAAGCAGAGGAAATGAAGTCTATCCTGTATTGCGATAAACTCAATATTCTCCTATGGCCTTCAGGATCCAATAAATTTCCTTAGTACTTATTACTTTCCAAGATAAAGATACATATTTGTAATTTGTACCCCAGAGGGTTTTAAAATTTTTACTTGTAATTGTTGCTGGAGTAATACAAATGAATAACGGTATGGAATATTAGCAAAGAGTAAATGTTCTATACTGACATGGTTTCAAGACATAGGTTTGACACTGTGTGTGACCTTACTAAACCTCTCTAATCCCCAGTTTTATCATCTTTAGTACAAGAAAAACCACTGCATTCTGTTTGTGTGAGTACTGATAGAAAGCAGAGGCTGCTACAAAGCAAGCAATCAACCACTGTCGTGATTAGCTATTACATCAACTTCAAAATGAACAAGCAAAACTTGTCTTCTATGTGTATACATGATTAAAGAACTAATCCCAGATCATTTCTGCAGTAGAAAGAGTAGGTAAATCTGTTTGCTGTATTTCAGTATATGCCTGCATTCTAAATAGATTTTTTTTCTAGATTTGCTTCATCAATAGTAGACATTTTAAATTTTAAATTACAAAACTATATTTGAATTCTTGAAGTCATACATTTGCAGCAGTGGGAAAGAGCATTCTTTCAGAGATGTGGAACACACGTTTTATAACATCTATTTCTGAAGCTCAGAATTTCTGTAATTTCCAAAAGAGTTTTTCAGAGAAAAAGAGATGTTGATACATTTCAAAAATAGGAGGAGGAGGAGGAGAAAGAAGGGGGGAAGAAATGGAGGGAGAGAAATGAGAAGAGAAGAAAGTGGAGGAAAGAAGGAGGGGATAGAAGCGGCAGGTGGAGGGGAAAAACAGTTGCCAAAAAAGTAAATATGCTTAGAGGAAAATATTAATATTTAAATGTTTCTTCTTAAAAAGTTTTATTTTTTACACTATGTAATTTATCATACAAATATATATATAGTATATAAGATATATACTATATATATATCTACTTTTTTTTTTTTTTTGAGACAGAGTCTCGCTGTGTTACCCAGGCTGGAATACAGTGGTGAGATCTCGGCTCAATGCAATTTCTGACTCCTGGGTTCAAGCAATTCTCCTGCCTCCGCCTCCTGAGTAGCTGTGATTACAGGCACCCACCACCATGCCCAGCTAATATTTGTATTTTTAGGAGAGAAGGGGTTTCACCATGCTGCCCAGGCTGGTCTCACACTTTTGATCTCATGTGATCCGCCCACCTCGGCCTCCCAGAATTCAGGGATTACAGGCGTGAGCCACCACACCCAGACCCTCATATATATTTGATTATGCCTTTTCTCTTTTTGTAATTTTCTTTTGTTTTTATAGATTTAGGGAGTATAAGTGCATTTTTCTTATATTTAGATATTGCCTAGTATATTCCTTTTAGTGGAGCATATTCCATTGAACACTGTGGAAAATGAAACACTGTTCAAGTTCAACCCCTTTCAGTTTGCAATGAAAGAAACTGAAGCAATAAATCTTAATTGACTTGCTCAAGTTCCTACAATTGATTTGTCACAGAACGAGACATACAGTCCTATATTCTTTATAAGTCACCACTAATACTAAAAATTAGATAATTTGCAAAAGGCTATTGCTTGTTGATACTAACAAGTAATGTGCCTATCACACTGATGTGAATCTGCAATTTAACAGCATGATCTTATTCTGTTTTTATCTTGGCAATCACATATTTCTCCTACTTGACTGTTTGCATCAACATATCTCTAACGTGTCATGTGGCTTTAGTGTCTGTGTGTCATCTTGCTTCTGACTGGTGTTTACCAGTCTAGTCCCGTCTTTGTAATTGTCTCCCAACATTCAATGCTCAGCTCTTGTAGATGTTTTGTAGTTTCCTTCTCAACTAAGTAAGTCATCATTGATTGGATATTCTTTTATCCTATGACTGTGTGGTTGTAGGTTAAATAGTTTTAAGGTTTAAATGATGTGTCACAGGTGTGCTATGTGTGCTTTTAAGCTTCTCCATGGGTATTAATTAGCTCTGAACTATATAAGTAGACTATTTCAAGGTGATTTATATTGCACTCTTGAAGTATACAGAAGGCACAAGATTATAAGGCCATTTGTTAATTTTTGAACTGTTAGAATTGGAATAGACTGTGGAATTACTCAGTTGACTATCTCATTGAATGCAGGAGTCTCTTTCATCTATTAGCATGATAAGTCCCCTCCACTCAAATGAGAGTATCCGTGGTAGAGATCAGATATTATAAAGAAGCTCATTTTCTTATTACAAAGTTGTGTTAGAATTTTTAACCTCATGTTTGGTTGAAATGTATTTTTTTAGTCTTTCCTTTCTTCTCTGAAGAAATAAAACAATCTCTGATACTTCTACTTGACATTAATTGAGATTCAAAAAAGAACAGAAACCTTAGTGAGGCATCAGGTAGATGTTTTCTAATCTCAATTGCTATATCTGATGAGGCTTTTGTAGTGAGAGATAAAAACATAGGCATAAAGGTGGTAGTTTGAGTAATGGAGGAAGGGATCTCAGTTTCTAAACATAGGATGCAAAGCCTTTCAGTATCTATATCCCTCTAATACACAGGCCAGTGCAAATATTTGTGACATTTAATAATTTGTCTCTCCTCCTGTTTTAACACTTGTCTTAAGTAAACTAGTAACCCATAATTCAATCTGTCCTCTCCTTTCCCCAGAAAATTCAATGGTCTTATATTGTGGAAGAAGACTGAAGAGACATAGGCCAAGGGAAATTTATGATGATGACATGACTCCAGTTCTAGATAGCTCCAAGGGTAATTTCAGATTCAGAGGAAAGCTAAACAATAATCTACTGAGTATAATGCCTGTGTCTTTGAACTGGAAAATCAGTTGGAGGCAGTCTCATATTTTACTTAACTTTTTGCCAAGCCATTTATTCCATTTTGGTAAGAGATTGTCATAGGTTGTATAAAGTTCAAGACTATGCTTTGAAATCCATCTACATCTCTGATTAAATCAGTGGACCATTCCTTGCACTTTGTGTATAATATTTGCTTTATGCAATTTCCATTACTAATGCTGCTATTTTCTTCCTTTTGTGTGTTTCCATGGGTTGGTTGAAGAAATCTGGAAGAATGCACTTGTCTAGTCTGGCACAACAATAATAAAAAAATCCCCCATCACCCACCCACATGCCTTTCTAAGTGCACTCACATAAATACAGGTTTCACCTGTTTAAAACTTCATCATGATTTTTGCCAAGAATCAACACAACTTTAGGAACACAAAAACACAAAATGTTAGTTTTGAAAGAAATAGTCCTAGAAGAAACTCTGAAGATCAATAGAATAATTATTTGAGCCATTTTGAACATCACCACTTACTAGCAGAGGTGAAAAAGTTTGATATTTCCTAGCATTATTAATATCCCCTGCCTGCCCCAAAAAGCAAACCTACCCCTTATGTTTGTATTCTTGCTCCATGTAAAGATTTTAATCATGCTGTTACAATGTGTATGGGTTGTGACCATCCTAACACCATTCTTGTGTAAGAGTGTTCATGTTAGTCGTTTATGGCCATAGTAGGGTGGCATTTCCCAAAGTTGACCGCTGGTCTGTAAAAATGATCTACGTATAAAATGTCCAACATCAAATAAATATGTACGATACTGCATGCTACTTCTCTTAGAAAGTTATGCCGGGCACGGTGGCTCATGCTTGTAATCCCAGCACTTTGGGAGGCTGAGGCAGGCGGATCACCTGAGGTCACGAGTTCGAGACCAGCTTGGCCAACATGGCGAAACCCTATCTCTACTAAAAATTCAAAAATTAGCAGGGCGTGATGGTGCACACCTGTAATCCCAGCTACTCGGGAGGCTGAGGCAGGAGAATCACTTGAACCCGGGAGGTGGAGGTTGCCGTGAGCCAAGATCGCCCCATCATACTCCAGCCTGGGGGACAAGAGTGAGACTTCATCTAAAAAAAAAAAAAAAAGTTACATTGCGCATTGGCATATAAAAGGATCCCTTAAGTCATGTTCTAAGATGTCCCATGTATGATATACATCTACTCTTCCAAATTTCATTTTAAAACATTCAGAAACTGCTATCACAAGTATACTGTCCACATTTTGCTTATATTTCCTTGATATATGAACTTTTTAAAGAATAACTTTATAAGCTTACTTGTTTCCCTTAATATCTGGATTTCTAAGTTTTTGGAAGTTGGTTTACAAAACTTTAAAACTGAATTCCCTTTCATATTTAGCTATACTCCCTTCTTTGAAGTATCTTATACTATAATTACATGCATATTTTTTCTCTCAACTTTATGAAATATACTTCATGATATCCTAGGGATTATGTCTGACACTTCCAGAGTAGATTTCTTTCATTAGTCAATATTAAATTAAAAAAATTAAATACCATAGAACCCTCTCTGCATATTAGAGAACTATTTAACTCCATTTTTAAAATAACAAAAGCATTTTTATTGTTATGTTTCTTAAAAGAAGTCCATCTAGTAACAATATAAACTTTGATATGGCCAAAAAACATGTGGTCCTAAACAAAATCAATACAATTTTTATTGAATGTTACTGTTGGCAAAGAACTGGGTAATGATGTGAAGACTACAGAAACATTTAAAATCTATATTCCCTGTTCTCCACATTCTGTCACCTAGGTGGGAGTGCAGTGGTATGATCATGGCTTACTGCAGCCTTGACCTCCTGGGCTCAAACAATTCTCCCACCTCAGCTTCCCAGGTAGCTGGGACTACAGGTACATGCCACCAAACCTGGCTAATTTTTGTAGGTTTTTGTAGAGATTGATTAAGTTTCATCATTTTTGCCTAGGCTGGTCTCGAACTCCTGGGCTCAAGAGATCCACAGGCCCTGCCTCCCAAAGTGCTGGGAGTATAGGCATGAGCCACCACGCCCGGCTTCCACATTCTTTTTGTCAAGTTGAAAACACGCTAAACAAACATGTGTAAAATAGAAATAAAGGACTTAAACAACTCTACAAACATAAATAGAAGGGATGCTACAGTCTACTCTGTGATGGTTAAATGAATTGAACAATACAATAATTTACATGGAAATTAGTCTAAGACGTTTTGAAATATCTAATAAAATTTCATAGCAGATAACAAATGTTTATTTTTAATATATATGATGAAGTCACTGGAATGTCATCAATTTCTTAGCAGTACCCATATCCGGAGAAGTGTTGTCAGCATTGCTATATTTGTCAAGATAAGTCGATTTCATTTTAATTGGAATTTCTAGTTCATCTCAGAAATACATTTAGAAGATATTTTTTCCCAATAGTGTCTTTCCCAGTGGTTTATTTAACATCTTGGCACTAATTAAATGGAAATATTATTTTTAAATTTTTTTCTGAAAATACTTTAAGAATATGAATGGAATAGACACTCAGAAATTTAGAACAATGAAACTGAGTAATGGAAAAATAGTGTTATAAAAACGGTAAAATTAATTTAAATAAAATGATGATTTTGGATTTTTACTTATCAATTTATTTTTTGATACAACTGTTATTCTGGCAACATCCTTTGAAGTAAAAAAGATCCAAGATCTGAATTACTCAGTAGTTGTGTGACTACTACTAATGCAATCACTTAACCTCTTTTCCCCACACTGTCCTCATCTGTGAAGTGAATATAATAACAGTACATAATTTCTAATGATGTGGTGATTAAATTAGATAACTGCTTAGCAATTTTTCTGTCAAAAAGTAGCTACTATTATTGTTTCTAAACAAAAACAGAAATGCTGTAGATACAGTATGTCTCAGTTTCAACAACACAGTTGACACACTCTCTTACGATTCCCTGTGGACAAGATAAAATGTAAGCTGGATGACAGAACAATTAGGTGGATCCATGCTAGTTGAACAACTGTAGCCTAAAAATATTGATTAATGGATCTTTATTACTGTGAAGGAGGTAAACTGCGGGGTTCCACACTTGGCCCTTTTCTATTCAACAGTTTCATCAATGAAATTGGAGAAAAGCATAAGTGAACTTACCTAATTTACACATTACCCAAAGTTGAGAAAAACAACTAACACCTTAAATGAAAGTATCTGTGTTCATATGATCTCAATAAAATATGGCAAATAAAGGTTAAATGTGATGATAGGAACCACACTAAAACAAACAATATTATTTCTATTTAAAATATGTACGTGTACACATATAATATGAAGGAAAATTTGATAGGAAAGAAGCTGTTGTAAAAAGATCTATGAAATCTTTTTGGTTTTCAAATTACATTATTTAGAGGAAGACAGTCTATTGTAACAAACCTACCCAAAATTATATAATCATTCAAAGACAATTCCAAATGGATTTCCCCGATCAGTTGGTGACTCTATGAGATGTTTTGAATCAGGGACCATCTTGCAAATGCTATTTTAGGCCTGGATTCCTAACCTAAGTGCATTTCCTTTTTTCTCCTTTTATAAAATTTATTTTTTATTGAAGTAAAATATGCATACATAGTTTACTATCTTTACCATTTCTAAGTCTACAGTACAGCAGTAATAATCAGGCACTATTTAAAAAACAATTGATCTAAAATAATTGTCACAACTTTATAGACTTCCATTAACATATGTTAACAAGATAAAGTGTCATATCTAAGTCAAAATTATATAAATATGTCAAAACAGTGGTTCTTAAACTTGGCTACATATTGAAATCACATCAGGACATATCTAAGAAAATGCTTTTTATTACCAGTGAGGATAACATTGCCAAATACTAGAGGCCAGATGATAATGTTTAATCATCATAATTAAGGTGGACTTAATTATCTTAATCAGCATCAAGACTGGAGAGGCAACCAGGACTTCAGACCCATGGAGAACTACAGCAGCAGTACAAGAAGCACAGTCTTCTAAGTGTAAAACAGATCAAAAATAACCAATCAGAAGTCTGAAGATAGCTGCTTTAAAGATATGTCACAATTCTTGCCCATCTTCTGGGTTTAGGCCAGTTTTGAGCCATGGAATTCATTGACTGAGAGTCCAAGTCCCTAGTATGAAGGGCCCTACAATACCACAGCAAGTTTTCACAATAATGATTCTTCCAGTTCTTCCACAAAGGATATTATGGTTACTTCTTGTGTGAACATACACTGCAGAATGGAGAATACCTAGACATTTCAAAGACTATAGGAGATATGGTTCAAAGTGACCTAAGGACCTGAAATGCCACCATGGTCCCCCTGTTAGAGTAGTGGAGGGAGAGGAGGTAGAAAAGACTTATATGAGAACCGTGTGAAGCCCTGGCACCAATCCAACTCACAGTGGATCCATTGGGTCCACAGATATACTTAGTGTCCATTTTTTCTGTCCCCAAATATTATTGGATGGGGAATACTTAATAGTTGGCAAAAGTCTCCATGTTGGTTTCTTACTCTGAAGGTTAAGAATTATTATAGAAGGGAAAGTCAAATAGAAACCTCTGAAACTTCATCCTTTGGCCAAGATGCTAAAGAAAAAACATTATTGTATTTCAGAACAATCATGTGGATCCAGGTAGGTTGAACAACTGCAGCCCAACACTGTTCAGAAGGAGTGGCAGAAATTAATGCCACTCTTAAACACCCAAGGAATACAGGGATGATGCTTCCCATCAGAACCCCTTTCAATTCACCAGTCTCTGCCTTTTCAGTAACCAAATGGATGCTGGAGGATGACAGTGGGCTATTGAAAATCAAATTGTAATCTCAGTTGCAACGGTTATGCAGGTGTGGTATCTTTGCTAGAGCAGATTAGCATGGCTTTAGGAACATAATGTGATGCTATATGCTTTATTTTTCCAAAACTATCAGAAAAGAGAAACATAGTTCACATTAAATGAAAGAAACAATAGTATATTTTAAAAATATTGCCCAAAAGCTATTTTAATGCTCCTGTTCTCTGTCATACAATAGTCCATAGTTATCTGGGCCATCTATCAGGACTTTCTGCAGAACATCACACAGGTCTACTTTAAAGATGACTAATTTTAATCAGAAAAAGAAAATAAATGACAAGCATATTGGAATCTTTGGTAACGTAAATGTGGTCCACTTTTATTTAGTTGTTAAATAAAAAATTCTACAAATACTTAGATTACTACATCACCAGTGAATATTTAATGGTCCCATGATCGGGACCATGGGACCATTAGCATTTCCTCCCAAAGTAAAATTCAAATTAGTGCATTCTACATCTTCCAGCACTGAGAGATAGGCCTCTTCAAGTACTAGAGGCAATATAATCCACACTTGGAATAATGGTTCCAACACATTTACCAAGTGACATGGAAGATGGCCAGCTTTTAACAGGGCACATAAAAGAAGATATACTGGAAAAGGTTCAAGCTGTTGTGCAAGCAGCCTTATCAAATGAGCCATATGAATCAGCAGACTCTACAGTCTTAGAGGGAGCTGTGATGGAAATTTTTGTTGCATAAAATTTATGGCAAATCCCAATAGGAGAATCAAAACTGAGGCCTTTAGGGTTCTGGAGCAAGAGTGTTCCATATTGCCAGTTGTGGTGGCTCATGCCTGTAATCCCAGCACTTTGGGAGGCCAAGGTGGAAGGATCACTTGAGCCCAAGAGTTTGAGACCATCCTGGGCAACATAGTGAGATCCTGCTCTACAAAAAAATAAAAATAAAAAAAATTAACTGGACATGGTGGTATATACCTATAGTCCCAGCTACTTGGGAGGCTGAGACAAAAGGATCATTTTAGCCTGGGAGGTCAAGGCTGCAGTGAGTCATAATCATACCAGTGCACCCCAGCCTAGGTAACAGAGTGAGACCCTGTGTCAAAATAAATAAATAAATAAATAAAATGGTTTGGCTCTGTGTCCCCATCCAAATCTTATCTCAAATTGCAATCCCCATGTGTAGAAGGAGGGACTTGGTGGGACGTGATTGGATCATGGGGGAGGTTTCCTTCAGGCTGTTCTCATGATAGTGAGTGAGTTGTTGTAAGATCTGATGGCTTAAAAGTGTTTGTCAGTACCCCCCTCACTCTGTGTCTCTCTTGCTGCCCTGTGAAACATGCCTTGCTTTCCCCTCACCTTCCACAATGATTGTAAGTTTCCTGAGGCCTCCCCAGCCATGAGGAATTGTAAGTCAATTAAACCTCTTTTCTTTATAAACTACCCAGTCTCAGGTAGTGCTTTTTAGCAGTATAAAAACAGACTAATACAGTAAGTACTAAAAAAAGTGTTCCATCTTTAACAGAGAGTTATATACCTCATTGAAGGAACAGTCACGGTTATGCTACTGGGCCCTGATAGAGAAAGATCAAGTTAGCCTGCAGTCAGAACTGCATTAGTTGGATTTGGTCAGGTCCATTAAGTAATATTTGGGCAGGCTAACACTAATCCACCATTAAATGAAAATGATACATTCAGGATTGGGCAGTATAGGACCAGAGATCAAACATATACTACATAGAACCTTACGTTGTCTACCACTGTATTATTGGCACTTCTTCCTCAGTACACAACTGACGGAAGAGGTAATACTGTAAGGTTGCTTCACAGATGGCTCAGCTCTGTATGGGGCATATGCCAAAATGAAGTACTGCTGCATTATGATATTACTCAGTGAGGTCCTTGAAATACATCAGTAGGTCAGTTATTCCAAAGGGAAGTGCTTTGGGTAGTACATCTGGTCATCGATTTCATGTATAAAGAAGCGGCAGGAAGGGAATAATATATATGGTTTTATGGAAAGTAGAGAATGGCTTGCCTTTCCAGGAAGGAAAAAAATTGGAAGCTTAGGGACAAGAGGCACAGATAATCTATAAAATTGGACACAAAATGTGAAATTTTTTGTGCTGTATGTAATTGCCAACCAGAGGACACCTGCAACTAGAAAAGGCACTAAATAACTAAGTAGACATAGTGATTCAACCATTTGATGTTAGCCAACTTTCTGTCATCTTCCACCCTAGTGTTGTCACAATGGAAAGATAAATGGAGTATTATGAATGCAGGGATGAGGATTTATCTGTGGGCCACACATAAGTCTCTACTTACCAAGGCTAACTTAGCTACCACAACAATCAAATGTCCAAACTGCCATCTGGAGAGATAACACTGTATTCCCAAAATGGCATCATCTCTCTATTAGGTCAATAATGTCTTGGTGTCAAGTTGATTACATTGAAACCCTTCCACCTTGGAAAGGGCAGGGAGCACATATTCCTCTTCTGCCTGTAGTGCTTGAACAAGTACCACTGTCTCAGGACTTAGTGTTTAATTTTCTGACACTGCAGCCCACTTAACACTGCGGTGTACCAAACAACAAACTTTACAGAGAAGAAGATGAAAATCAGTCATGTGAACATGGGATCTACTGATCCTATAATATATCACAGTACCTGATACAGTAAATGGAATGACCTTTTAAAGCTGAGGAGTTAGGCTTGAGTTCATAACATGCAGAGATAAGGCACTATCTTCCAGGATGCGTTATATATTCTAAATCAGCAGCCATTTTTTGTTGTTATTATTATTTTTCAACATTAAAGTCCAAGATTGAAAGAGTAGAAGTTGTAGAGACCTTCCTTGGCCTCACTCTCCTTGGACATTTTGAGATTCTCACCCCCACAACCCTATACTCTGCATGTGTAAAATTCCTGATTCACAAAGCAAACATATCTACAATAGACATGGCAGGAATCTAGCAGCCGAGAGAGGCATACAAGGAATAGTAACATTATCCTGGAAAAAAATGACCCTAGTCATGAGGACAAAGTAGGGCTGCTACGACACAATAGGGAAAGGAAGAAATATGTCTGCTACACAGATGATTCATTGGGAATCTCAGTACCACATGCCCAATTTTTGATGTTATATTTATAATTACTGTATAAAAATTCATTGAAAAATTATTTTTTGTTAACAACAGTTACATCAGTATGGATTTTGCTCATTTCTTGGATATATTTACCAACAAACTCAGCCCTTCTTGGCCACAGATTACAGCTGATTTCAGCTGGGGATCTCAGTTGTGCTACTGCCAGCCCTGGTGTTCATGCTTACCGATAGACAGAGTGAAAAAGTTAGAAACTCTGAGCATCATCAGAGGGAGCCATCCTTTTAATATATGATTGTAGTAGGGAAAGTGTCCCAGAGTGACCGTGAAGAATAGGTTTCTCTCCTATCGAATCACTCTTTCTCTTTTAAATCCAGAGCTGCAAGATGCCTTCAAATGCGGCAAAATTAGGCAATATACCATAGGAGGGAAGGTCATGCTGATTAACCATGAAAGGAAATAATAGTTTAATTTTCATAAAATATTCTTACTTATCTAATATTCAAAGTGCTTTAAAGAAAATTGCCACCTCATCTGGGGTGAAGAAAGTCTTTGCACAGTATCCCATCTCTCTCTATCAAATAGCCACAGTCCACTCACCACTGGGACTAATCTGTGTGTGCTTTTGGATTCGGTTTATGCAGTCACACAGAAACTCCAATTCTCGTCACTTCTTTCTGTCCTTCTCTATGCAAATAAGGCTGCACCATCTCCCCTTTTCCTCTTTCTTAAATCCTGAAACTCTCACTGTGCCCATTGGAATTCATAATTCATCATCAGAAAAATCTCTGGTATTCTTCATCTCTCTAACTGAAATGTGGCTTTTCCCTGAGAACCTTACTTTGCTTCATATGAAATTTGTTTTCTTTCCCATGACCTTGTAACCCTGGGCCTAAAACTATTTATATTTACCCATTTCATCTCATGAGTAATAGTACCCCAATATTGCTGTTGTCTTTCTGAATTTTAATTGCCTGTTTATTTGTATATTTCCTTTAATCAAGTGTAAATCCCTTGATGTACATGGTAGTCTCATATTCAGAGTTGCATTGAGCACAGCATTTTGCACATCAAAAGACCTCCTAAGCATCTGTTAAAAGAAACAATAAATGAATAAATATAGTAACAATGATATTTCAGATATTTCAGAAATGTTTGTAACTTAAACCCAATCGTTCCACTTCAAAAACTTGTCCTAAGGAAACCCTAAGAAAATGTATTCAGATGTGCTCAAGAAGATCTGAATCTTCTTGACTCGGGGGATGGAAAGCTAAATTTACACAAAAAAAGTGACTACTTAGGTATTTTACCATGCATTTATACAATACAACACTATGAAACCACTAAAGTCATATTTTGCAAGATTAAGAAATATTCATTATGTTTATTATGAACTCAAGTTTATAGGCAGATAACTGTTAAGTAAAAGAAGCTATTTCCAATTTTTTTAAAATCTAAGATGCTAATGAAGGCTTCTTCTGTGTGGTGAGATTATGATTGACTCTTTCTTATTAAAATACATGTCCTAAAAATTCTACAATGGGCATGTCTCTTTACTACTCTGAGACTCAGTTTCCTTACCAATTAACTAAGAAAAATTTCCCCATAATATTTTTTTTTTCACTCTACAATGATACCTCCACATTTTCGATGTGGATAACACTTTCTGCTCATGGATTGTGCCTTGTTGAATAACCATAAAATGATAAACCTAGAGTTAGGGCAAAGAAATATCACTGATTAGGAATGCCAATAGTATACATCCTACACTGTTGCTCTGTTTCACTTTTTCCATTAAACCTGCAATTGCACTAATACTACATTCCCTAAGTAAGCAATGAATTAAAGCTTTGCGAATCAGCCAGCAGGTCTAGACCCACTTACAGATGTCTGATGACTTCTGAAGCAGGGAAGATAAATGTCTCCCTTAGGAACCAGCATTTAACATGGTAGAACAACACCCCAACTCCCTATCAAACAGTTTTCTATGGAAGTTCTCAGTCAGTTGAGATCTGATCTCTTCACAGTGAAAAGTGAAGTAAGATGAATGATTGCCTCTACTCAACATGGAAAAATTAAATTATCTTCTTCAGTGTTTGGATTCAGGATATGGCTTTAGAAGAACTATTTCTCACCATACAGGTCAAATCCCATTTCAAAATATGCCATTATAACAGAAATCTCTGTACAACGAAAATATTTTTCCAGCTAGCAATACCTATATCTGTAATTATTCCTATAAGAAATTTCAATTACTATCCCAATAATATGTAAAATCCTTTAGAGAAAGTCAAGGGTAGATTTTGAATATTTTATAGTATTATTGTGTCCATTCACTGCATGCAGTGTGTATGTTTTGTGCAAAGAAATATTAGTTATACATTTTTCAGTTATCCACATTTATATGCAGTTATTAGCAGTAGCACTGTCTATGAATATAAAATGCAAGAATGTGAGTCATAGTTAACATATAGTTATTGCTTTATTGTTTACACTCCATTTTATTACTTTCTGAAGTAATAAAATTGGTAAATATCACTCCTATTTTTTTGACTGAGAAAACATTTGCAGATAGATTCTACTCTATCACATGGAAAACGATTAGCAAGACAATTTGGTTCTTGTCCTTCCTTATGCCCTGGCTCCACAGCCTCTTAATCGCCACCACTGTCATTTAAATAACATTTTGGTGGGTCACCTAAAGGACAGTAATTTGTTTTTCAAGTCTTCATACCTGTCTCTGTTTCTCAGGTTTTGCCATCACATTGTGGGTATTTGGAAGATAAGGGCATTGCTTTGGAATCCATTTTTTCAGCATTAATAAAGGAGTCTTTTTTTTTTTTTTTTTTATCACTGAAGACTGCACACACACATTAGGGGTCTGCACCTGGGTTCTGTTTTGAACTGTATGAGGGCTGTTTCCTCTATAAGAGATTTCATGCAACACCTAGAAACTTCAGTCTTTTCATTTTGCATGTCTTTGTTTCAGTTCAGTCTAATCTGCCTTGTCCTTCAATCACACGGTGATTAACTTCCTTCTCAATGCCTAAATTAGTATTTTAATTCTTTCTTTTATAACTCTAATTCACCACTATAGAGAGAGTAACTCTGTAACCCTGAAATTTATTAAGCAAGTCTTTTTATTGTTAAGTGTTGATGACACTTAAACCTCTGCCACAAATAAGTATTTTTCAGTTTTGTCCTACTATTTTCATTCTTGCTTTAAAATATTTGAGAAGTACCAGTAATTTAAGGAAATTCAAAATCCATTGTGGTGAAAATTGTTCATGTTATTTTCATGAACCAATTTCAATTTGGATGGGTCATACACCGAAGAATTCTGAGAAAGGTGCTATGATGAATATACAACAAAACAGACTAAATTATAGTCTCTATCCACATGGAAGTTACCACCTATTAAGGGTGACAGTCATGATGCTATCAATGAATAATCATGAGGTATATAAATTTGGAGAGGAGACTTTGTTTCTTATAAAAGTTTGTAGCCTATAGGGTGGCCATTCTGACAGGCTGGAAAGTGTATCCTCCAGCAGAGATCAAAATCAAGTATTTTGATGGAGGAGACGATGAGACAAGAATGTATGCTGAACAGGTTGTCCAAGTATACATATTCAACAGACTACAGGAGGAGACATGAAGATTCAAAGATTCACAAAGGAGGTTGTAACACAAGCAAACGGAATAAACATGTATGTTACATATGATCCATGTTTCACTTTGGGGTGGAGACAACATTAAAATGCAGTCAAATCAATTTCTAAATGTCAAAAGGTGAAACAGGGACACAAAGAAACTCAGTGCACAGTCTCTGTAAACTGGTCAGAACCAGTCCATTGTTGGTAGTCTCTTATCAGAAGAAAGTTACTGAAATTAATCTCTTGTCCAGTCAAAGCTGTATTGATGGCTTGTGGAACATAAGGGTCAATTAGTCAGTGTCTGGTGGTTGGTGAGCTGCAATTGTTTCAACATTGCTTATCTCAAGGCCAGTGATTATTCAGCTACTGGAAAAAAAGAAAAACCTTGTGGCAATGAGAACAGTTTATTAAGTGTAGGGGTGCATGACCTAACTCCTGCCTGGCATGGCCTTAGGTCTTGTTTATAATTTGTATCTTATTTCCACAAAAAGTTTGT
This sequence comes from Homo sapiens, assembly GCF_000001405.40. Classification (NCBI taxonomy): domain Eukaryota; kingdom Metazoa; phylum Chordata; class Mammalia; order Primates; family Hominidae; genus Homo; species Homo sapiens. The sequence continues at coordinate 78,347,576 of NC_000006.12, forward strand.
TCTGTCGGTATTATGATCTGACACTCTATTTTAACAGTGGACTGGAAAGAATACTGATTTGGGGACAAGAAGAGTTGTTTCAAGACCCAGATCTTATCCTCACAGGTTGAGGACTTTATACAAGCTACTTAATCTCTGGGATAGCTTTCCTGTCTCCTCAGGTGCTGTTAGACGAAATAATTACGTCAAAATAGTTTACAGACTGTGTTTCAGCTACCAAATAGAAGGTGTTGCTAAGGGAAGGAGATGTGATTTGAGTAGTGGCATAAGATATTAAAATAATAGTTACTAGGATTAATTGCACACAATATATGATAGAAACTTTGCTAAATGCTTTATTCATATTTCATTGTTTTATCACCGTAGCAACCTGTTGAGGTAAGTACTATAAGTACTGTATTTTACAGATAAGAATATAAGGTTTAGAGGAGTTCAGTAAACTGCCCAAGATCATACTGCAACTAAATGTTTGAGCTGGAATTTAAATTCAATGATCACTCCACAACTTGTGCAGGAATATGAAGTCGGATATTCTTCCTAGCTCTGCAACCTCTTCTCCCTTCCGTCTTTTTCTTTCTCTTCAACCTCCCTTCACTCACCTTCCTTTTACACTCCTCCTCTTTCCTGTATACACGACTTCCTATGACAGAAGGAAAGGAACACTTTCCTATTTTAAGGAAAGGAACAGTTTCCTATTTTAAGGAATACTTAAGACATACCAAAAAAGTATAGGTCTTAATAAAATTAACACCCATGTACTCACTATGCCACTTTGGAAATAAAACATCCCCAATACAATTGAAGCCCCCTATGAACCCCACCTCAAAATCATTGTTTTCCCTTTTTATTACTATTTATTCAATTTCCTGTTTGTAAATTCCATACTTTATGTATTTACTTAATATGGATACATTCTTAAACAATATGTGGTATTGTTTTGCCTGTTTTCAAACTTTCTAAAAATTGAATTATAACCTGTAGATTTATTTGCACTCATATTTGAAAGTTTTATCAACATTGATATATCTAGCTCGTTTATTCATACTTTGATTCTTTATGGTATTCAATTATATAAATATCTAAAAACCTATTCTCCAGTTTATGAGCATTTAGAGTATTTCTAATTTGTTTCTATTACAAATATTACTAATATAAGGACCCTTGCACATGTACCTAGTAGTAGAATTGCTAAATAATGGCATGAACACACTATCAACTTCCTGAAGATAGCTAGATTGTTCTCCAAGGCAGTTGAACTAATTTATTCAAATTCAGGAAGGCATTAAAAATACTAATCTTCCCATCTTTGTAAAGCATGTATTATTATTCTACTTAAATATTTATCCATTATTAATCTGATGGGCATGAAATTGTATTTCAACATGGCTATGCTTAGTGTTTTCCTAATTATTAGGGAGATTGAATTTATTATGTTTTTGGCTATTCTGTTTTGGATTCTATGAATTGTCCATTTTCTATTTGGTTGTTGGTCTTTCCTTGTTGCCTTATACAAATTAAAGATATTTGCAAGATTCTAATTTTGACATAATCTTGTTTTTAATTGTATTTAAAAGAGATCAATTTGTGAAAAACTAACACCTGTGCTACAGTATTTTTATACATGAATATAACTTCCATTTATTTACATCTTTTTACACTAGAATTTTGCATTTTCTTTATAAAGATTGTTTACAACTTTTGTTAAATGTATTCCTATGTATTGTTTATTCTGTTGATACTTTAAATACTATTTTTTAAACTACATTTCTTAAAAGTTTCTTACTGGAATAGATTAATCTAATTGGTATGTATGTATGTGTGTGTGTATGTGTTGATCTTACATAAGCAAATTCATTGATTTTACTCAAGTTCCAAAATTATACTGGAGATTCTCTGGGGGTTACTATGGTATATTCACATTGTCTTTGAATAAAAACAGGTTTGTGTGTTTCTTTCCTATTCTTGTTCTATTTTTCTTGTCTAACTTGCTGGCTAGGACAAGTGTGATGGTGAAAAAAAATTATGGTAATATCTTTGACTTTTTCCACTTTTAAAAGATAAATCTTATATCACCATTTTTGTTTCGTATGTTATAAATTATCTAGAAATTCATGTTACACCATTTTTGTACTATTGAAGAAAATTATTCCACAATAATTTGTGTCTTATTACTACCTGTGTTAATCAGGGTTTTCCCAAGAAACAGAATTCACAGAATACATATATACATATGTATTCCTATTTTAGGAAAGCATATATTGTTATTCAATATCTATCTACTTTATGTATATTCTCTCTATATAATTACATATTATTCTATATATTCTATATATGTACATATATGTATTTTGTGAATTATGTGAATTCATGTACATGTGTATGTACAATGTGTGTGTGTATATAATGATGAGATTATGGGAATTGATTCATGCAGTTATGGAGACCAGGACGTTCCGTCAATTATACACCATCAATTATACACCATCATCTGTAAGTTGAAGACCCAGGAAAGCTGATGATATAACTTAGTCTGAGTCTTAAGGCCTGAGAACCAGCAGAGCTGATGATGTAATTCCCAGTCTGAGGCCAAAGGCCTAAGGACCAGGGGAATGGATGTAAGGCCTGAAGTCCAAAGGTCCTAAAACTAGAAACTTTTGATGTCCAAGGACAAAAGTATGGTGTTCCAGCTCAAAAAGAGAGACAGAGGATTTCATCTTCCTTTGCCTTCTTGTGCTATGCATGCTCTTAATAGATTAGATAATACCTGCCTACATTGGTCTTCTTTACTCAGTCTACTGATTCAAATGCTAATCTCTTTCTGAAAGGCCCTCACAGACACACCCAGAAGTAATGTTTTACCAGCTATCTGGGCATCCCTTAGCTCACTCAAATTGACACACACAATTAACTATCAAACTATTGTTTTAGATTCTGGAGAATTCAGATTACTAATATCTTTGAAATAAAATGTAGCTGTAATTTTTATACAGTACTTATATGACTTTGCAAAGTATAACTAGCACCATAAAATGAATTAAGGAGTGTTTTGCATTATTACTCTCTGAAATATTATAAAATTGGTATCATCTAGGATACTTTGTGAGATTTTAACCACTGATTCAGTTTCCCTAATTGTTACAAAATTACCCAATTTTGCATTTTTTAAATTTATAATGATAAATTTTATTTTTCTTGGAACACGTAAGTTGTATCTGCATTCAAACTTACCAATATAAAGTTATTTATAGTATTTTCTTATTAGTAATACCTGCTGTATGTCTAATTATAATCACTTCGCAACAGCAGTACTTACTCCCTTTGTCTTCTATTTTTTTCTCAGTATTACCTTTTGGATTTTTTCCCCTTTTTCCTGAACACATTTAAATTTCTTCCAAAAAGAGTCAAATAAAAACTAACTCTATTCATTTTTTTTAATAAAAATACGTCTATTTTATCCTTATTACTAAGTGAAAGTTCATTTGAGAACACAATTAAGATTGACAAGGTATTTTTATTTCTAGTATTTTGAGTATATTATCCCACCTTTGTGGCTTACATTTTTCTGCTAAGAAATCAGGTGTCATTCTAATTATTGTAGGTAATTTGTCTTTTTTTTCTTTTTAAAATAAATACTATAAAAAAACTTCTACTTTGCTATACATAAACATAAAGTTTAGCTATAATGTATCCAAATGTACATTTTTTATATTTGTCTTTCTGTGGGTCTTGTTTTTTGAATGTGAATAGTCTGTGTCTTATATCAATCCAAATAAAACTCAGAATTTATATATTCAGCTATTGATTTCTACCAATTCTTTTATTTTTCTCTCCTGTAACTTCAATAAGACATAGAATTGATCTATCTATTTTGCCTGCTATGTCTCAATATTTTTTCTATATTAACCCACTATGTGTCTCTTCTCTGTTTCTGGCTAATTTCTTCATATATAATATCCAGCTCAACAATATTCTCTTCGCTTGTGTTATTAGCTGTTTATTGGTTCCACTGACTTTTACATTTGTATTATTTTTATTTCTAAATGCTATATTTAGTTGTCTAAAGTAAATATCATATATGTTTTGATAGCTTTCCTTTCCTTGATCATATTTTAAATTCTTTTTTGTTTAAATATTGTAATCACTGTTATTTTATATTTTGAATCTGGTAATTCCAAATTATTTAAATTATCATTGTTCCAATTCTATAATTTATCATTTTGACTAACTCTTGCTTATGGTGAATTATTGTCTCGTGTTTTGTGATTTGAGGAATTAAGCTCATATTTATAATATCTTAATATTTAAGATCCAAAAGAGGCCTAAATTGAGGGCAAATTATCCAGGGAGGATGTGAGATAGCTTTAGCTGAGCAAAAGAGGACATTATCAAGGTAGGACCACTTTGAATTTACTTCTCACTGTGGGATTTTCTGGGCCATGTGGAGAGACAGAGTTTTGCTGCAGTTCCATGAGAGCAAGCCTGTGGCTATGGTCTTCTGTAGTTGGAGCAAGTCCAACAATGAGAAATTCCAATATCATTTTTCTCTGTTATTTGGTCAATTTTATTTTTAGTTTCACTAAGGTTGTAGGATTTGGATACAATGAACATTAAGTAGGAGTGCCTTTCCCCTCACTGTTTTGGGTCCAAGACTTTTCCCGTGTCTTCTTCAAAGACTGTAAAACCCAAGGCTTTAAGTTCTCAGTATAGCCAAATATCCTCAAGGTAGCCCAGCATTAGCTTGTGATTTTGACCCCACTTTGTAGCTGCCCATTTCTTTTTTATTCTCTGAGGATTTCCTTTCTTTCTTTCAGCAGAGATATATATTAATGGTTTAATGGTTTTTAAAGTCATATGTTGCATTTTTTTCCAGCATGCTTAGTATTTTGTATTGGGGAGATTATTAACCTTCCTTTCTTTCAGCAGAGATATATATTCATGGTTTGATGATTTTTAAACCATTAAAGAGATATATACTAATGGTTTAATGGTTTTTGAAGTCTTAAGTTACATTTTTTCCAGCATGTTTAGTGTTTTGTATTGGGAAGATTAATAACCTTAATTTCTGGAGGCATAAATCTGTAAATTTGTACAAAGTTGCAGGTTGAAAACAAATTCTGAGATGGGATTATGAAAATCTATTTTTCCCCAATGTAAAATAAAAATTAGACTACAGTGCTTAACTACTGTGCTCTTCTCTTCACTTTCTTCTCTTGGCATGGAGGATAACAGAAAAAGTGATTATATAATTAAATTGTTTTGCAACACATTTTTATATAATTCACATACTGAACTTGTCAGTCAGAGAACCACCCCCAAAAATATTTTGAATGTTTAACATATTTGATTTTTTAAATGAGCAAAGTGAGTAACTGAAGATGATTTTGCTTCTTTTTTGGACTCAAGAAATCTAGTCTCCAAAAGAAAATCGGCAGAATGACTCCATAGGGATTCTCTCCCCATGCAAAATTCATAAACATTTTTTAAAAAATCTCTGCCCTTTGTTATTTGCAAATAAGATATCTCAATACCTTGCCAAAATAAAAGATTATGAGTGTTTTATACTTGTTACACAGACAAAAAAGACAACTATGAATCATTTTTCCTCAAGGGAAATAAAGTGTTTTCATCAAACAAGGTTTGTACCTTCGGCTAAGAGATAGGATGAACACTCTTGACAGCTGGTGATTGACAAGTCTTGGATATGACAAGGATTTGCTGCTCTAAGTGACTTTTGATGCAAACCTTGATGTAAGATCATCTCTCTTCTTCAGCAGAGATAGATTTTAACTTCATTACTTATTAAAACTTAGCAGAAGTCATTCAAAACATCTTGACTCTCTTCTGTTTTTATTTAGGACAACAGAAAACATGAGAAGTTTTTTTTTCTTTTTTTAATTTATTTGACTTCTGTATTAGTCTGTTCTCACATTGCTATAAAGAATGACCTGAGACTGGGTAATTTATAAAGAAAAGGTTTAATTGGCTCATGGTTCCACAGACTGGACAGGAAGCATGGCCAAGAAAGCCTCAGAAAACTTAAAATCATGGCAGAAAAGCTGGCACATCTTACATGGCTGGAGCAGGTGGAAGAGGGAGCAAAGGGAAATGTGTGACACACTTTTAAACAACTAGATCTCATGAGAATTCAATCATGAGACAGCACTAGGGGGATGACACTAAACCATTAGAAACCACCTCCATGTTCCAATCACCTCCCACCAGGTCCCTCCTCCAACATTGGGGATTACAACTCAACATGAGATTTAGATGGGAACTCAGAGCCAAACCATATCATTCTACCCTTGGCCTCTCCCAAATCTTATGCTTTTTCACATTTCAAAACAGAATCAAGCCTTCCCAACAGTCCCCCAGAGTCTTTACTCATTCCAGCATTAACTCAAAACTCCACCGTCCAAAGTATCATCTGAGACAAGGCAAGTCCCTTTCACCTATGAGCCTATAAAATCAAAACAAGTTAGTTACTTCCAAGATACAATGGGCGTACAGGCGTTAGGTAAACATTCCCTTTCCAAAAGGGAGACATTGGCCCAAACAAAGGGTCTACAGGACCCTTGCAAGTCCAAACCCCAGCAGGGCAGTCATTAAATCTCAAAGCTCCAAAATAATCTATTTTGACTTCATGTCTCACATCCAGGCCACACTAATGCAAGGGGTGGACTCCCAAGGTGTTAGGCAGCTCTGTCCCTGTGGCTCTTCAGGGCTCAGCTCCCATGACTGTTCTCAAGAGTGCCTGTAGCCTCTACGTTCCCTTCTTTCTGACTTCTCCCATACCAGCAATACTGGAGCCTTTCTGTTTATAAGAGAGACAAACGACTTTTCTGATCTGATCACAACTCAAACCCATACCAGCTTCCTCACCCTCACCCTTTGCACAGAACTATTCATCATGCATTGTTTTGGCTTAACATTAATATACTTTCTTGCTGATCATGGTACATCAGCATGTTAATAACAGACATAGGCCCAGGTCTTCAGGCAAGCTACTGGCTTTCAGAGGCAGTGAACTGTAAACAGTATAGTTTCTAAGCGACAGAACTAGATCTTACATCTTTTAATGAAAGCTTTGCACTCCTAAGGGAAATTAGCACTCTAGCCAAATCAAACAGATTTCCCAGGTTCCCCTTGCTAGTATCTGGAGTCCTACATGAAAGCTAAGTGTTTTCCTAGAGAGATGAGAAAAAGATAACTTGGTTGGACAATGGAAAACCTTGTCATAGAAGTATCTTGGGATTTGTGCTGGGAGTAGTGGCTCGTCTGTAATCCCAGCACTTTGGGAGACCGAGGAGGGTGGATCACTTGAGGTCAGGAGTTCAAGACCAGCCTGGTAAATATGGTGAAACCCTGTCTCCACTGAAAAAAAAAAATACAAAAATTAAGCAGGTGTGATGGTGGGTGCCTTTAGTCCCAACTACTCTGGAGGCTGAGACATGAGAATCCCTTGAACCAGGGAGAAGGAGGTTGCAGTGAGCTGAGATCACATGGCTGCACTCTACCCTGGGTGCAAATACCAAAGAAGTATTTGGGGTTTTGTAAGGCCATTGAGAAATATAGTTTTCGACTAGTGTAGAACTTATAAAGCTACATTCTGGTTCAGAGTCACCACTGTTAATGAATTTTGCTTTTATTTTAATAACACATCCTTGAGATACCTTGCATTCCACGTCTTTCAAAACATGGAAACTTTGGGCTATTGGGATATCAAGAGATTAGATTTCCCAGACTCAAAGTGAGGAGGAGAAAAGTATTAGGTTCAGGGACAAGTAAGACCTCCATGAAGTAACCTGAGCTGTCCCTCGGTGCCATGAGTGTTTCTAATGCCAGTCTGCCCCAAAATTTCACCTTAGGAGTAATTTTACTCATCTTAAAAAAGTTTCTTTTTTTTTATGATAAAGCAAATATAAGGAATTCTCTCACAAACTGACACCAATTTATATGCAACTAATGATACTATACAGCTGGAAGAAACAGACAAGACTTCCTTAAGTTCTTTTAGTCTCCAGAATTGCTAAATGCCAATTAGGGTTTTCGATGTTGGGCAGATACAAAGAGTGCAAGTAAAAGAACCAAAGCCAACATACAATCTCAATAATTTTTTTTAGTGTTTCCATATTTCAGTGTTATTTGGAAGTAAACAAAGCTGAAACTGGACTTAAAACCAAAACAACTCTCAAAACTTTTACATTTTTTTCAAAGGGGCACATTTTAAATATTTTTTCATCTTGGCATAATTAGGCTTATACACATAGATATTAAACAAAAAATGAAAGTCTACATTTTGATGGAAATATCTCCCAATGTCACAAATACATATAAAATGCCCTTTCTATTTTTTATTAAAACTGAAGCTATTTCAACTTCACAGCATCAAACAATGGTGCAAATTGATCCAGGGGTTGTTATTATGGGGCCTGCCATCCTAGAACCACCTATCATTAGTTTTTCAGGATTTCTTCTTGAAGACATCTAATTTTTTCAGGTTGTATTTACTTTAGACATAAAGAGTGACATGGTTTTTCATTCATCCATTACTACTTTTGTATACCTTTTCTAAACCATCACTAAGTGCCAGGTACAGTGCTGGGGATAACAATATAAAAAAGGCAACAAATCTGCCTCATGCACTGGAAAAATTCTTCCTTATTTCTCTTTCATGCCATATCTTGAAAAAGAAGCAGATTTTTTTTCTCCTCCTTCTCTTCCTTCTCTTTTTCCACCCTCTTTCTCCCCTTTTCTCCTTCCTTTATTCATTCTTTCATTCAACAAATATTAGGAGACCACAGTGCATCAGATACTGTCCTGGGTACTAAGTTATCAAAGGTGCATAAAATCAATCCCAGCATTCATGGGGCTTTTGGTTAATGGATATATTGTTAATATGCAAGTGATGAGATGGCTGGCATAATTATACAGAATACTGTGATTAGAACTATACAGGAAGTAAAGAGAGAACTCTGTTAGAGAATGAGAGTTCTAATTTGAATAGTTTGGTGATGGTCTGTCTGATGTGTTGGTATTTAGGCTGAGATTTGAAGAAAGAGACAGAGGCAGTCTTGGAAACAACTTAGAAATAAGAAATGAAATCTTCCAGGCAGAAGAAAAGGTATATGCAAAGGTACTGAGGTTGGAAAAAAATTGGAATGTTTAAGAACCTGAAAGAGGAAAAAGAATGAAGTATAGTGGCCAAACAGGCAGTTTCAGAAGAAGAAATTAAAAGCTAGACCACATAGAAATGTGTGGGCTACTATGAGAAATTTAGATTTTATTCTAATGAATATGAGGCCATTATAGGATTTCAAGCATGAGACCAATTACAGTCATAATAGCAATGCTAAAAATAATACCTCACAATTTTACAGCATTTCTCTGCATAGTGGCAAAGCAAAAAAAAAAAAAAAAAAAAAAAAAAAAAAAAAAAAGCAATATATTGCTAATCTGTTTCTTTCAGTAATAACCATATTACTAAGCCAACAAGTCAAGTTTTCAGAAAGGGAAACAACTTTAAACACAGCTTTAATATTTATAAACCTATTGCCTAGTTTTAATCCCTTCTAAATAGGCACAGTTCACTGTTGCTCAACAGTGTCAAAGATGGAAATACTTTTGCATATGATAGTCTTATGACAACAAGGACACTAAAAGTATCATGGGAACAAGAGATCAGGCCTTATGCTTCTTAAATCCTTCCCCATACACACATGCAGCAGATCTACACACATTGTAGGAGACAGCTGATCAAAGCTGTCTCTCTAAACAATAATAACATCAACAAGTGAGGTAGCGTGATGCCTCCAGATTTGTTCTTTTGGCTTAGGATTGACTTGGCAATGTGGGCTCTTTTTTGGTTCCACATGAGCTTTAAAGTAGTTTTTTCCAATTCTGTGAAGAAAGTCATTGGTAGCTTGATGGGGATGGCATTGAATCTACAAATTACCTTGGGCAGTATGGCCATTTTCACGATATTGATTCTTCCTATCCATGAGCATGGAATGCTCTTCCATTTGTTTGTGTCCTCTTTTATTTCATTGAGCAGTGGTTTGTAGATCTCCTTGAAGACGTCCTTCACATCCCTTGTAAGTTGGATTCCTAGGTATTTTATTCTCTTTGAAACAATTGTGAATGGGAGTCCACTCACGATTTGGCTCTCTGTTATTGGTGTATAAGAATGCTTGTGACTTCTGCACATTAATTTTGTATCTTGAGACTTTGCTGAAGTTGCTTATCAGCTTAAAGAGATTTTGGGCTGAGATGATGGGGTTTTCTAAATATACAATCATGTCATCTGCAAACAGGGACAATTTGACTTCCTCTTTTCCTAATTGAATACCCTTTATTTCTTTCTCCTGCCTGATTGCCCTGGCCAGAACATCCAACCCTATGTTGAATAGGAGTGGTGAGAGAGGGCATCACTGTCTTGTGCCAGTTTTCAAAGGGAATGCTTCCAGTTTTTGCCCATTCAGTATGATATTGGCTGTGGGTTTGTCATAAATAGCTCTTATTATTTTGAGATACGTCCCATCAATACCGAATTTCTTGAGAGTTTTTAGCATGAAGGGCTGCTGAATTTTGTCATAGACCTTTTCTGCATCTATTGAGATAATCATGTGGTTTTTGTCTTTGGTTCTGTTTATATGCTGGATGATGTTTATTGATTTGCATATGTTGAACCAGCCTTGTATCCCAGGGATGAAGCCCACTTGATCATGGTGGATAAGCTTATTGATGTGCTGCCGGATTCGGTTTGCCAGTATTTTATTGAGGATATTTTCATCGATGTTCATCAGGGATATTGGTCTAAAATTCTCTTTTTTTGTTGTGTCTCTGCCCGGCTTTGGTATCAGGATGATGCTGACCTCATAAAATGAGTTTGGGAGGATCCCCTATTTTTCTATTGATTGGAATAGTTTCAGAAGGAATGGTACCAGCTCCTCCTTGTACCTCTGGTAGAATTCGGCTATGAATCCATCTGGTCCCGGACTTTTTTTTGTTGGTAGGCTACTAATTATTGCCTCAATTTCAGAGCCTGTTATTAGTCTATTCAGGGATTCAACTTCTTCCTGGTTTAGTCTTGGGAGGCTGTATGTGTCCAGGAATTTATCCATTTCTTCTAGATTCTCTAGTTTCTTTGCATAGAGGTGTTTATAGTATTTTCTGATGGTAGTTTGCATTTCTGTGGGATCGGTGATACTGACCAAGGTAATTTATAGATTCAATGCCATCCCCATCAAACTACCAATGACTTTCTTCACTGAATTGGAAAAAACTACTTTAAAGTTCATTTGGAACCAAAAAAGAGCCCAGATTGCCAAGACAACCCTAAGCCAAAAGAACAAAGCTGGAGCATCTCGCTACCTGACTTCAAACTATACTACAAGGCTACAGTAACCAAAACAGCACGGTACTGGTACCAAAACAGAGATATAGACCAATGGAACAGAACAGAGCCCTCAGAAATAATACCACACATCTACAACCATCTGATCTTTGACAAACCTGACAAAAACAAGAAATGGGGAAGGGAGTCCCAATTTAATAAATGGTGCTGGGAAAACTGGATAGCCATATGTAGAAAGCTGAAACTGGATCCCTTCCTTACACCTTATACAAAAATTAATTCAAGATGGATTAAAGACTTAAATGTTAGACATAAACCCATAAAAACCCTAGAAGAAAACCTAGGCAGTACCATTCAGGACATAGGCATGGGCAAGGACTTCATGTCTAAAACACCAAAAGCAATGGCAACAAAAGTCAAAATTGACAAATGAGATCTAATTAAACTAAAGAGCTTCTGCACAGCAAAAGAAACTACCATCAGAGTGAATAGGCAACCTACAGAATGGGAGAAAATTTTTGTAATCTACTCATCTGACAAACGGCTAATATCCAGAATCTACAAAGAACTCAAACAAATTTACAAGAAAACAAACAACCCCATCAAAAAGTGGGTGAAGGATATGAACAGACACTTCTCAAAAGAAGACATTTATGCAGCCAAAAGACACATGAAAAAATGCTCATCATCACTGGCCATCAGAGAAATGCAAATCAAAACCACAATGAGTTACCATCTCACACCAGTTAGAATGGTGATCATTAAAAAGTCAGGAAACAAGAGGTGCAGGAGAAGATGTGGAGAAATAGGAACACTTTTACACTGTTGGTGGGACTATAAACTAGCTCAGCCATTGGGGAAGACAGTGTGGCAATTCCTCAGGGATCTAGAACTAGAAATACCATTTGACCCAGCCATCCCATTACTGGGTATATACCCAAAGGACTGTAAATCATGCTGCTATAAAGACACATGCACACGTATGTTTATTGTGGCACTATTCACAATAGCAAAGACTTCGAACCAACCCAAATGTCCATCAATGATAGACTGGATTAAGAAAATGTGGCACATATACACCATGGAATACTATGGAGCCATAAAAAAAGATGAGTTCATGTCCTTTGTAGCGACATGGATGAAGCTGGAAATCATCATTCTCAGCAAATTATCACCGGGACAAAAAACCAAACACCTCATGTTCTCACTCATAGGTGGGAATTGAACAATGAGAACACTTGGACACAGGAACATCACACACCAGGGCTTGTCATGGGGTGGGGGAGGGGGGAGGGATAGCATTAGGAGATAAACCTAATGTAAATGACGAGTTACTGGGTGCAGCACACCAACATGGCACATGTATACATATGTAACAAACCTGCACATTGTGCACATGTACCCTAGAACTTAAAGTATAATAAAAAAATTAAAAAAAATAACATCAACAGGAAGACAAGAGGCTGCTAAATTTACTTCTTTGGAAAGTGCAGCACAGAATGTCTGGCCATTGTGCCTTTGCACTATCCTAGTGTGGGGATAACCTGTAATACTGCCCTGTTAATTTTGTCAGGTATTGACAGAGGAGAATGTAGCTACATAAGCTAAGGAAGTGAGTCTTGGAAGTTTAAAGAAGGGAGGCTGATATAATATGTGTGGCTACAAGTTATCACAAACTCCTGGGGAAATTTCAGACACAGTTTCACCTTATCTCTTCAGAGTACCTTGCAGTTTTTATTTTTCTGCAATGATCTCTGTGGAATAAGTCTTTTCTATCTCCAAAATAAATCTTAACCCATTTGGGTAAGAATTTAAGTGTAGGAAGAATACTTATTGGACATGATGTTTGAATGAAAATGAACACAGCTTATTTAACATTCTGCTTTTCACCAGTTATCAGAATGATCTAAAAACAATTTAATTATTTCAGACCGGCAACACATGTTGTTATATTCCATTTTAAGTTTCTGGGAACATTATAGAAAAGTTATAGTAGGACACAAATCTTTGGAAGAACGGATCTCTCCATGACAGAATTTATTTGCAACTACATTTTCCCTGGTCAACAAAAATCCAAGTAGCTTAATGAGCTCAGACCTATCATCAAATTCTTTGGTAGCCATGTGTGCCCTAATGACCGTTAAATTATCCTGAGAAAGCAAACCACCAACTACAAATGGAAACTAAAATCTAAGAGATTACCTATGCTTTCTTTATAAACATATATAATTAGAAATTTTATTAAAGTATCCACCTAACTTCTCTGGTTACATCTAGAAAGTATTAAATTTAGACTGTATTCTTGACTATCTTAATATGGGCTGATCAGCAGATTCACTATGTGGTATTAGATTAGCAAACTGTGATGGAAAACATTAAATGCATATAATGCTAAGAGCATATGGAGTTATCCAAGAGGTGTCTGAGAGTTGGCTACATTACAATTTAAAACTAGCCTTACCTTCATAGTTAGCAATTGTGTCGACGTGGTGTCATAAAAAAAAAAATTAAAGTCAGAAATTTAAATTCCTACCTATATTTTTCACTACTTTACTGTAAAACATTGGGCAAATTATATAAAATCTTTGTACCAGACTCTTAAGATTTTTAATGCAGTGGGTAAGAATCGAGTTTTCACATTTGTGCATTCAAGAAATGTAATTTTCTATACTTGTTTATTGTAAGCCAACTTAATGTCTATTCCACTGGATTAGTAGAAATTTAGCTCCAATATATTACATATGGCCCTCTCAGTTTCTTTGGGGTGCATCAATACTTCAAAAGTTGGCTTTAAATTAGTCTTGCACACTTCTAGATATCTATCTCTGTTAGCTATTCCTCCTAGCTTGCCCTCAGTGCCTCACTTGCTCCTACCTATGGGACCATCTCTAGTCCAGAGGCTATTGGCCACTTCCAGCCTCGAAAGGTGGGGTAGAATCATGATCATGATGTTCACAGGCCACATGGGGACAGGGATACTCTGGAGTCACCACCACACAGGCAGTTTTTCTTTGAGGTCTTACAGCCTTGGAGAACTCCATCCAGAGAAATAAAGAACAGGTACTACTTGCTCTTGACAGCCACAAATCCAGCTGCCATTTGGCCTTCCTTGGAGCTTGGCCTAGGGTGTTAAGCACAGAAAACTCCTCTTAGGCCCATGAAAATTTGTGCTTCTTGATCCTCTTCTTTTCCTCAGAAAAATAACTTTTTCTAGTCCATGTTTGAGAAAGCTCTCCTCTTACTCATGATTTTTTTTTCAGCTCCCTTGTTTCTTCTTTATGTTATTTCCACTCTCCACTGGGTTGGTGAACAGAACAGCCTAACAGATGATAATTTCTCTCTTCCTTCTGCTATTATACCCCTTTCCTGAGGCAATGAGTACAGAATGAGCAAGCTTGAAGAAACTGAATGATCTCTAAGGATGCTTAGAGTCTAGATCCTAAACCTGGAAGAATTAAACGTAAAATTTCTGTCTGAACGGGAAAAGCCATTAAGAAAACATGATGACATAACTTTTTTTTTAAGTGCACACAATAATTTTATCTTATGCAGTTAGCAACTGGGTGTGTCACTTAACTACATTATTTTATTAATGCAGAATTTACATAGTCTTCATAACATACAGCTCTCTGATTTTCACAAACTAGGTACAATTTAGACACAATAAATATTGGTTACATACAATCCATATATCTTTAGTCATTCAGAATACAATACAGAATCATCTGTGGTTTTTAGTGACTATAATATGTTACCTGACAGCATGTGGAAAAGATTAGTTCAAGTAGAATAACAAATTTTATTCCATTAATAGAGTAACTCCAACTGTGTCTATGTGTGTGTGCATGTGTGTGTGTATGTGTGTGCACACGCATACCCATGAGATGTGAGCAATTTGGTTGTGCTAGAACCCTATAATTGAATGGATCCACTGTGCATTGCTTGACATTTTAACATAAATAAAACAAGTCAACTAACTTAAAATCCTTTTTGTAAGAAAATAGGCAAATTAGAAAAAGTAGCTGAAAGTAGAGCAAATATGAACAGAAGTTGAATTATTCATTTAAGGAAAGACAAGCTATACCAAAACTCAAAGAGCTGACAATAATAATTTAGGAACTTAAGCCTGTAAATCCGCAAGCTCTGTTGAGTTTGATTTTATGGTCTCTAAACAAACATTCAAAATGTTCAGTTTATAACTGTATTAACGTAAAATCTATAAATTTTAAAAATCAAGTGTTCCTGTTGCTGCAATCAATCAGTAAACTTTTATTGAACCACTACAGCCCTTAAACACTATATTGGGCATCATAGACACAAACACTAGGACAAAATTACTTCCTTAAGCTCAAGGCTGGTTCAAGAGACAAATAAATCATGACTTAGAACACAATGGCTAGTCATGTAATCAACTGACAAATATTTGTTGACTGCTAACTTTAGAGTCTAGGCTAGGCATCAGATTAAGATACTTTCCTCTCCTACAAATTGGGGCCACTGGCCTTCTGGAAAAGGTAATCTAAAAGATAATTAAAATATATATGCTTAGATAAGGCTTATAATTCTACAAGAGATCCAGGAGAGGCACCATATATTCCATTAAAAAGGCACTCCTACTTGAAGGAAGCAAAGTAGAAAATATCCAGATTAAAGGAGTGGGGAACATAGGAGCAAAAGAAAACAGAAACTCCATCATTCAAGAAGTTCATTTAACCTGACTAGAAATTAAGAATGTATAAAGAGAAATTTCATGATGTGGGGTAGAAGTGTAATAAGGCAGAAAAGGTTATGGCTAGAATTGAAGCTTGCAGTATTTAGAATAGCAGATATTGCCTCTGAAATTTTCCATGCCCTGATCCTCAGAAACTGAATATTTAAAGTAGCATGCAAAAGAGACTCTGCAAATGTAACTAAGGTTAATGACATTAAGATGGGGAGATAAGCCTGGATTATCTGAATGAGACTGATCTAATTACAAAAGCTCTTAAAAGCAGAGAACTGTCTCTGGTTAGATGGTAAAAAAAAAAAAAAAATGGTGAAGTCAGACAGATTCAGCACATGAGAAGGATTCAACCCATCATTTTTGGCTTTGAAGATGAAGGGAGCCACAAGTAAGGGAATTTGGCTTTATATGTTAGGGAAAGTCCTGATTGACAGCCAGCAAGGAAATGGGGTCCTTAGTCCTACAGCCACAAGGAACTGACTTAAGAAAACAACCCAAATGAGCTTGCAAG
Source organism: Homo sapiens (assembly GCF_000001405.40). Classification (NCBI taxonomy): domain Eukaryota; kingdom Metazoa; phylum Chordata; class Mammalia; order Primates; family Hominidae; genus Homo; species Homo sapiens. Next base: position 78,364,163 of record NC_000006.12, read on the forward strand.
TGGACCCTTTCCAGAGTCTCCCCCAAAAGAGCTCAGGACAACTGACACTTCGATTTTTGCCTTGTGAAACTCAGAACAGAGAAAATAATTGACTTCAGACATACAGAACTATAAGATCATAAATTTGTGTTTCAGCCAAAATTCTGTGGTTTATTACAGTGGCAATAGGAAACTAATACAAGGTTAAAGAGGTAAGTAAAAACCAGGTTATATAGGTCCTTATATGCCCACTAGGTTATGATAGAGGTTTGCTTCAAAGTGCCTCTATCAAAGTGATAGAGGCAGGAGGCAGAGAAAATCTAGGCAGACAGGGGCAGGGCCCTAGTGGAACCCCACCTTCAAGCTGAAAAGCCCAAAACCTGCCACCCAAAGTGAGAACTTCTATCTCTGTTTGCCGACTCTCTCTCTCTGACTGGTTCTTTCTGAATAATGTCTTTTTACCAATGGAATGTTGCCTTTTTCAAAACTACCTACAGCCCACCTCACCCCCTAACCTGTGCCTATAAAGACCGTAGACTCAGTCAGTAGAGGAGAGAAGCGTCTTGACTGGAGAGAGGTGAGAGGTGACTTGACTTCAGAGGGACAGCTGGACTTTGGGAGAGAGATGACCTGACTACAGGGAAGAGTCATCCAGAGACTGCCAGATTTCAGGGAAGACTACCTGCCCATCCTGGCCCTCTCTGGCTCCCCTCTCTGCTGAGAGCATTTCACATTGCTTAATGAAATTATCTGCCTTCACCAACCTTCAAGTATCCGGGCAACCTCGTTCTTCTTGCATGCCGGACAAGAGCTTGGGGCCCACAAATTGTGGGTACCCAAAAGAGGCTGTCACATTGGCCCTTTGCCCTCAATGGTGGAGGGCAGCCACCCCATGCCACATGGCAAGGGGCCCACTGAGCTGATAACACACTGCAGCTGTCCTTGGACAGCGGAACTAAGAGAGCATTGTAACATGCCCTCTGGGGTTTTGGGGGTCACAGGCACCGCAGCTGGGCACTGCCACAGGGCCCGAATGGAGCCTGCTCCTGCCAGCACCCAAAGCAGCTGGCTGGATCTCGCACTCACTTGCTTATGTGCTCCCTCCCGCAAGGGATTGAGGGTGGTGGGCTGAGTAAACAGGGCACCCCCATCGCAAGTCCAACGAAGGGGTTGAGAAAAATCCTGCCTCAAAAGCATGTATACAAAGAAGTAACTTTTGCACGAAAAATAAATTTCAAAGCAAAGCTGTGGTCTAGTGTCTAGAGTAGACATTAGAAGGAAATATCTCCTGCAATGTGAGTTCCACGAAGGGAATAGTTATTGTCTGTACAATGTTACTTCTCCATTCCCTAGAACAGCTTCAACACTTAATAGGTGCTCAATAAATATTTATTATTGCATGAATGATACTAATCAACACTGAAAAGGATCGATAAATTATTGTTCAAATTTTGCTCACTTCAAGTATCTTTACGTGTGCATATTTGGGAGAGGGTGCTCATTTTCTACTGACATTTCTTTCCATTTTTGCTGAGTGGACTATTTAGGCAACAAAATCAAAATTCGTTCAGAAAATAGCACTAAGATGGCAGTGAGTGCTATCTTATAGAAGGTGAAAGGAACAATAAATATATTGTGAGGACTTGAGTTGGCAGGAGGTCATCTGGCATCAGGAGTAAGTGCCTACTGAATCGCTCCTATTTAATGTTTCTGTCTATACCTCTTCCTTGTCATTGCTATATGTTCTGGATTTCTAAGTTGTTGAATTAAGTGGAAATAAAACTAAATTTCTTAGGAAGTGTTCAGAGTGAACCATTCAAAATGGGTAACATAAATGGGCAAAAAGAGAAATTAAATCCAATTGAAAAGACCATTCTGACTTACTGGTTTGGGTCTTGTAAAGGAAACAAATTCATTTTGTGCAAGATTATGTTTATCTTATTTTCTACGTCTGTAATCCTATTCATGGTTTAGATCATAATTTCCTCAAAGGAAACAATGAAGTGAATCCTCATGCATCTGTACAAACATAGCTTAATATTTTATGCACGAATATTCATTTAACAATGTTGTCTGCCCTATTTGAAAAAGTTAAAAGAAAAAAAAAGAGCCAAAAGCAGATCCCCTAATAAGTTGGCAACTACACTCTTATTGCAATCTTAATTCCAGCTTTTTTCTTGTCCTGTACCCCAGAACAGGTAAAAAGACACTTTATTCATTTGGTCATTTGACAAACTATTACTTAGTGCTTACCATGTGACATGTGCCATATTATAATCAGGCACAAGGTTATAAGAAAATCAGACTCAGTTGGTCCCTGATAAGACAGTCTACTTGGGGAAACAGACATGATGTACCCAATAATAATAATAATAATATAACAGATTGAGTAAGCATTCTTAATAATGTAAAGACTATATTCCTCGGGTATAAAAAGGGAAGCAAAACAGTATGAGGCAGACATTTCCATGGAGTTCTGATGCATGTTAGAGGAATAGCAAATTGTGTAGAACTGCTAGCACACAAGGTTGGACACGGTGAGCAGCTACAGATGGAATACAGAAGTGGGAAAGCCTGCACATGTCCAGCTGAGTTACCTGGATTTTATTTGGCAGATGATGAGCACATCCATAGTCTTGGGGCTTCCACTTAATAAAGTTATCATTTTAATTTGCCATGTAACTTACAAAAACCATACAGTTACAAATTTCTATGTTTACAAAGCATTTAGCTAAACAAATAATAGTGTTAGTAATAATAATAATTTTGTCCCATTTTCTTAAAAGAAAAACTTCAGATTCTCTTTTTAATTTATTTAGAAAGGAAAGTATGCATGTAGGTAATATTTCAGTCATACACACAAACACAAAATTAATCTGGAAATTGTCCCCTTCATTCCAGAACACAAGTTGTACATATCAAATAGAACAATAGACAGAAAGCTTCTCTGTTTCATCCCCAAAGATTTTTTTTTTTTTTTGAGATGGAGCTTTGCCCAGGCTGGAGTGCAATGGTGCGATCTCAGCTCACCACAACCTCCACCTCCTGGGTTCAAGCGATTCTCCTGCCTCAGCCTCCCAAGTAGCTGGTCATCCCCAAAGACTTTTTAACAGAACAGAAAATAAAAATACTACCACCATAATAAATACAAACTAAATATAATTAGAGACACTGAAGAAATACAAAATGACTTTCCATTTGGTAAAGAAATATAAAATGTAACACTTTAATGAGAACATGTAGATATTCTTTTATACAAACCTAACATTGGAAAATATCAATAAGGACTATTTATATTAGCATTTACTTTAATAATGGCAATCGATCTTACTCTTTTCCCAAAAGGAACAATTTTGATTAAAAAACACAACCCAGAGTTTAAATGGGGAAGTTTTAGTTCCTGAATTCATAAAAATTGATATTATTCATTGTTACTTAGCAATTTTTCCAAAATAGGAAAAAATAGTTGGCCATTTTGTTTCATTTGCTCTTATTCTAACCTCCTGCTTTATCATCTGTACAAGCAATATACGTTAGAAAAAATATGTTAGAAAAAATATGCAATATATGTTAGAAAAAAATGCAGTGTAAAATCTCTCTAGTGAAAACAGTGAATGCTCAAGTCCATAACAAAAATATGTGGGTTCTTTAGGGTAGAGGGAGGGACTCTTCCATTTTGCCCTAAAATGGAGAAGGTCATCTGGATTGGACAAATCCTCTGTTTCCTGTAACACTCTGAAGATACTATCTATAAGAAAATTGTTAACACATGAATAATTGTTTAAACGTAGATTAATAACAAATTAGAGCTAGGAGAACTTAAAAGATTATCTTATCTGCATTCCTATTTTTCAGTCTTCAGGAAGGTGTCTTATCTTGCCTAATGTGCAGAAATAATTGGGCACTCACCGAATATTATATTTGCTTCTCTATGTTTCCTAGATTCTCTTGTACTTAGGTTGAGCCTTATAACCAGTTCCAGTCAATGGATTATGAATGAAAGTGATATATTAATTCCCAGCTGAGCTCCTAAGATCTTGTGTGCCTCCTCCATCTCTCTTTTCCTCCTGTAGCAACCCACAAAATAGTGACCCCTCAAGCAATCTGGGACCCTGAGTGACTATAAAGTCCCCTCTCCTGCCAACTTGCATTGGAAAAAAGATGTGGATAGGGAAAAAAATTACTGTTTTGTTGAACCACTGAGATTCTGGCTTTTGTCCTTCATGGCAGTTAGCAATTATTTAACCCAACACATATAGCATGAAATGTGCTTCTGGTGTAACAAAATCTAAAGTATTTGGTATTGTTCTATTGTCCTAGGGCAAGTTAAATGATAAAAGCTGGAAAGATGGAGGTACAATTACGCATAAGTAACATATTTGTTAATTCTGGTAAAGTAGGGGAAAGATCCTTATAGTTACTGACCTTATACTTGCAGAGAAAGTGTGCATATTATTTGCCTTTGGCTGTGTTTGATAACATAGCACAAGAAAGTGATTAACACAAAAAGAATTAGCCAATTTGCAAAAAGAAATTTAGGCCTTGCATCCTGGAAAAAACTAACAGCTTTTTAAAATTGGTTTCAAGAGACAAAGGCCAGCACATCTGTTCTACTGAACAAAATAAAACAATCAAGACCAGATTAAGGTGTGACTGACACATCATTTCAGAAAGCCTCAAGGTAGCTTCCAATAAGTGTGGAGACAGACATAGGACAAGAAAGCCAAAAATTAAAGCAGACTTCAGTATCATGACTCATGGAACTGACTGGTAAAAAATAAATTAGAAGCCTACTGCATTTTCAAAGGAAAGTTATCATAAGCTTGAACTATTAAATACTTCTGATTGTTCCAAAGGTAGAGTCAGGGAATAAGGAAAATGACAGACATAGGAAGTCTTCCTGAGCAGAATAATAAACATATAAAGGTGCCTCTACCACGCAGGGTAGGAGGTCTTCAAAACATCTGCCCAGTTGAATTTCTAAGTTGCTACAGAGGAGTCACTGCTATGTGCTGCTCAGTCTTCCTTTGTCCAAATGAATTGGTTTTTTGCAGTCATCTTGTTCCTATTTCAATTTTACACACTGATGTGGGCTGTATGCAGGTAACCTGTCTTTTTAGTTCACATATTCACCTCATAATTGATTCACAATGGAACTGAATGTCTCATGAAAATCATAGATTTTGAATTTGATTAATTAACTTATTGGAACACTGGGTTGTCTCACTTGAAGAGGCATTGTCTGTTTTCTATATGTGAGAAAAAGAAAAATATATTGGTCTGTGCCACAGGCAGCTAGTGCTTACCAAGCATTCCATATGTTTCCCTAGGTATTCTATTTTGGGGAGTGATGAAATAGCTGAGCAGCAGACTAGTGTTTCTACCTAGAGCAACTGGAAAGGCAAAATAAAAATGTAGCATACATTTTCCAGAAGGTAGAAGGAAGCTTCTGAGGCAAGGAAAATAGAAACACTAAGATTCTGGAGACAGAAGAATATTGAAGAAATGACTGGATTCTGCAGAGAATTTTATTTGGGCTCTTTTGATTATTCTGGGCATTGACAAGAGGCAGAATACGCAGTGAAACTCTGGTGCAGGATTGCTATGTTGGAATGGAGAAACTAATAAGTAGAGATTTAGAGAGCCTCAAGTACATGGCTAGTATTGCAAAAACTGGGGCATTATGGGTCAGGAAGCCAAAACTTTAAGGAAAAAGACAGTAAAAAGCAAAGAATTGATGGGACAAAGATTCAAGTTTGGCTCCTACAAAGGAGGAGAGTCTGCAGAATATATCAGACTCCTGTTTACTTGAAAACTCTGTAGGGACAGGGATGAACATGTGGTAGACCAAATGTTTTCAGGGCTACACTGATGCAATGACTGTGTCCAGTACCTAGTTGATCAACCACCAATCTCTCTGCCCAACAGAGGCAGGGAGAACCTTCTGAGAAAAGAGGTAACATAATTAAGAACCGTTACATATTTTATCTATAATACAAGATTATTGATTAAATAGATTAAAGATTAAATACAAGATTATTTAGCAAGGTAAAAAAAAAAAAAGAGAAAAATAGACAATAGAAGCATACCCCCGATGATCCAGATAGTAATCCTTGCTCTTAAGGTCATTAAAATGTTTAAGATTGACATGGTCAAGAAAATCATGAAGAAATAAACAAAATAAATAAAATATGGAAAATTTAACCTGGAAATTAAAATCTATGGAAAAAAAATCAGCTGGAAATTGTAGCAGTAAAATAACACACATCAAAAGTTAAAATCTCACTAGACGCTTCTAACGAAGATTACACACAGCCAGCAGAAGGCAGTATTAGTGAAGTAAGGTAGATCAATAGAAATTGTTCACATGTATCTTAATATTTCCCAACCTCTTTTGCAGTCAACTGTGGCCTTGTGACTGATTTGAGAAAATGAACATGTATAAAAGTGATATGTATCTCTAAGGTCAGTCAGGTAAAGATTAGTGTGTCTCTTTAATCCTTCTTGATCTTCTATGATAGCTTCAGAATCATATAGTCCCCACTTTGGAGACAGTGTCTCCATCGACCAAGGTCACTGAGTAACTGTCAATCTAATCGCCCCACCATCCTTATATACCTATGTGATATCTAAAACATACAAAAGGAATAATTATTTCTTGTCAGTCACTGAAATTCTGTTTCCTAATTCCCTGCTGTGAAAGTTATTAAGGGTTAACTCAGTAAACATAATGTATCTATGTTTATATAGAAAGTTAGTTGGTAAAATCTGCTGATTCTGCCTCAGTTGTTTTTCTCTTTAAATCACACTGCCTCTCAGGTCTCGAGCTATGAGCTAAAATAACCAACTTACTCATAATAGTCAAGGAAAAGCCATCTGGAAATCAAGATTTGTTTTGTTATTTGTTATCTTGTTTAATTTGCACAGCAAACACATTTTGTTACCTAGGATTACTGAAAGCTTTGTTAGCAAAGGATTTTATCAATTTTCTAACACTGGGTCCAGCAGCAATGTAGCAAAGGCTTGATTTGGTCCTTGATTCTGATCATGGCAACATTATTAAAATTAACTCTCTGATCTTTCACAAACCTGACAAAAACAAGAAATGGGGAAAGGATTCCCTATTTAATAAATGGTGCTGGAAAAACTGGGTAGCCATATGCAGAAAGCTGAAACTGGATCCCTTCCTTACACCTTATACAAAAATTAATTCAAGATGGATTAAAGACTTAAATGTTAGACCTAAAACCATAAAAACCCTAGAAGAAAACCTAGGCAATACCATTCAGGACATAGGCATGGGCAAGGACTTCATGTCTAAAACACCAAAAGCAATGGCAACAAAAGCCAAAATTGACAAATGGGATCTAAATAAACTAAAGAGCTTCTGCACAGCAAAAGAAACTACCATCAGAGTGAACAGGCAACCTACAGAATGGGAGAATATTTTTGCAATCTACTTATCTGACAAAGGGCTAATATCCAGAATCTACAATGAACTCAAACAAATTTATAAGAAAAAAACAAACAACCCCATCAACAAGTGGGCAAAGGATATGAACAGACACTTCTCAAAAGAAGACATTTATGCAATCAAAAGAAACATGAAAAAATGCTCATCATCACTGGCCATCAGAGAAATGCAAATAAAAACCGCAATGAGATATCATCTCACACTAGTTAGAATGGCGATGATTAAAACGTCAGGAAACAACAGGTGCTGGAGAGGATGTGGAGAAATAGGAACACTTTTACACTGTTGGTGGGACTGTAAACTAGTTCAACCATTGTGGAAGTCAGTGTGGCGATTCCTCAGGGATCTAGAACTAGAAATACCATTTGACCCAGCCATCCCATTACTGGGTATACACCCAAAGGATTATAAATCATGCTGCTATAAAGACACATGCACATGTATGTTTATTGTGGCACTATTCACAATAGCAAAGACTTGGAACCAAGCCAAATGTCCAACAATGATAGACTGGATTAAGAAAATGTGGCACATATACACCATGGAATACTATGCAGCCATAAAAATGATGAGTTCATGTCTTTGTAGGGACATGGATGAAGCTGGAAACCATCATTCTCAGCAAACTATCACAAGGACAAAAAACCAAACACTGCATGTTCTCACTCATAGGTGGGAATTGAACAATGAGAACACATGGACACAGGAAGGAGAACATCACACACTGGAGCCTGTTGTGGGGTTGGGGGAGCGGGGAGGGATAGCATTAGGATATACACCTAATGTTAAATGATGAGATAATGGGTGTAGCACATCAACATGGCACATGTATACATATGTAAAAAAACTGCATGTTGTGCACTTGTACCCTAAAACTTAAAGTATAATAAAAATAAATAAATAAAATTAACTACTAACTACTACACAACCAAATTGGTATCTCCATAACACAAGGACTGAAATTTCTAGGCAAATCCTAGAGCTGAGCTTCTTTCAGAGCCAGTGGACTAGGGCAGCAGTGGGGCACTGGGGAAGAGGCAGGGGACATGACCTACTGAGACAAGAGTAAGGGTGGCTAAGGGAGTGCTTGTGCCACTCCTCTCCCATCCACTGGTAGCAGCTGTGTGGTGTGGAAAAATCTGTGCACCTGGGATAGAATGCGGCAATTGTGAGACTTTTCATTCAATGTAGTGCTGTCCTGTTATCGCAGAGTGAAGCTGTGCTAGGTTCAGTTAGTACATACACATGGCGGGAGCATTTGGACCATACCTAGCCAGAGGGGACTCACCCTTTCCAGGGGTTGGAACTTGAGTTTCTCGGTAGGCCTTGCCATCATGGGCCAAAGTGCTCTAGGGTTTTGGGTAAACTCGAAAGGCAGTCTGTGCCACAAGGACCACAATTTCTAGGCAAATACCAGTGCTAAGGTGGGATTAGAGACAGTGGACTAGGGTGGCACATGACCTAGGGAGACACCAGAGTGGATAAGGGAGTGTTTGTGCCACCTCTTCTCCAACCTCAGGCTGTGCAACTCATAGCAATGAAAGTGACTCATTCCTTCTGCTTGAGGGGAGCAGAGTGAAAAGTAAAGAGAACTTTATCTTACATCTTGGATAGCAGTATAGCTACAGTAGGATACAGTCTTGGGCAGAGTCATAAGGCACCCATTCTAAGCCCTAGCTCATGGACAACATTTCTAGGTATGCCCTGGGCCCAAAGGGAACCTGCTGCTTTGAAGAGTAGGACCCAGTCCTGGCAGGATTCATCACCTGCTGACTAAAGAACCCTTGGGTCCAAAATAACCCACAGCAAAACCCAAGTAATATGACATGGGCCTTGGGCTCTAAGACATGATGGCTTTAGGTGTGACCCAGCACATTCCCAGCTATGGCAGCTATGGTAAAAGAATCTTTCCGTTTGAGAAAAACAAGAGGAAAAGTAAGGGGACTCTGTCTTGCATCTCAGGTGCCAGTTTGGCCACAATGAAGTAGAGGAATAAGCAATCTCTTGGAGTCCCCAAATTCAGGACTAGGCTCTTGATCAGCATTTCTGGACCCTGGGCCAGAGGGGAACCCATTGCCCTGAAGGGTGAGTCTCAGGCCTGGCAGCATTCACCACAAGCTGACTGAAGAAACCTCCATGGGTTGGTGGTAGTGGTGGCTATAGGGAGAAGCTCCTCTGCTTGTGGAAAGAGGAGAGAAGAATAGAAAGGACTTTCTACCACCACCACCACCACCCCATGGAGGGTTCTTCCAGGCAACCACTGATGTATACTTAAATTTCAAGGGTTCTTCAGAAGAAAGAATTAGTAAGCTTGAAGACAGGCTATTTGAAGATACACAAAAGAGGCAAAAGTAAAGAAAAGAAAAACAATGAAGCATGTCTACAATTTCTAAGAAATAGCCTCAAACATATAAGAAGGTTCTAGAACACCAAGAAGATTTAACCCAAAGAAGACTACCTCAAAGCATTTAATAATGAAACTCCAAAAGGTCAACAATAAAGAAAAAATTCTAAAAGCAGGAAGAGAAAAACAAAACAAAAACAAACAAATAACAGAATTGTTCATCAATATGCCTGACAGAAGACTTTTCAGTGGAAACCTTGCAAGCCAAGAGAGAATGGCAGGCCATATTTAAAGTGCTGAAGGAAACAAACAAACAAAAAAACATGTTTACCCTGAAATAATATATCCAGTGAAAATGTCTTTCAAGTGTGAAGGAGAAATAAAGAGCTTCCCAGACAAATAAAACCTGAGAGTTTTCATCAATATCAGATCTGTACTGCAAGAAATGCCAAAGGGAGGTCTTCAACCTGAAAGAAGGAATATAAATGAGCAATAAGAAACCACCTGAAGGTATAAAACTCACTGGTAATAGCATACATAGAAACAGAATATTATAACACTGTAATTGTCATGTGTAAACTAGTCTTCTATTAAGTAGAAAGATTAAATGATGAACCAATAAAAAATAATAATGACAACACCTTTTGAAGACTTAGAGAGTAGAATAAGACATAAAGAGAAACACAAAAAGTTAAGAAGTTGGGGAATGAAGTTACAGTGTACAGTTTTTATTAGTTTTCTTTGTGTTCACGTGTTTATTTCATTGCTTATATAATCAGTGTTAAGTTGTCACCAGTTTAAAATGATGGGTTGTAAGAAAGTATTTTCAAGTCTCACAGCAACCTCAAATCAAAAACCATATGTAGCTCTATGAATCTGCAAGACCTACAACATTATTGGGTTTGAGGCCTACGCCCCTTCAAATTCCTGGAAAGCCTGCCCAAGTATGGGCAGAAACAAGCCCAGACTGTGAAAACTACAATAAACACCTAACTTTTCTATGCCCAGGCACTGACAAACATCTACAAGCATCAAGACCCACCAGGAGAATATGACCTCACCAAATAACAGGTATGTAAAGATTAAAAGGCAAGAAATTAAATCATATCACTAGAAAAATCACCTTCACTGAAAGGAAGACAGGAAGGAAGGAAAGAAAGAAGACCATGAGACAACCAGTAAACAAATAACAAAATGGCAGGAGTAAGTACTTATCAATAATAACATTGAATATAAATGGAGCAAACTCTTCAATCAAAAGACAGAGTGGTTGGATGGATGAGAAAGCAAGACCCAATGATCTGTTGCCTACAAGAAATATACTTCACCTATAAAGATGCATATCAACTGAAAATAAAGGATGGAAATAGATATTCCATACCAATGGAAACCAATAAGAAGCAGGAGTATCTATACTTATATAAGACAAAATAGATTTCCAGAGAAAAACCATAAGAAGAAACAGAGTAGGTCATTATATAAATATAACGGGATCAATTCTGTAAGAGGATATAACAATTTTAAATATATATGCACCCAGCATTGGATCACCCAGATATATAAAGTAAATATTATTAGAGCTAAAGAGAGAGATAACTTCAACACAATAATAGCTGGAGACTTCAACACCCTGCTTTCAGCATTGGACAGATCTCTGAGATAGAAACTCAGCAAAGCAACATTGGACTTAATCAGCACTATAGATCAAGTGGACCTAATAGTTATTTAAACAATATTTACTTCATCCAAAGGCTGCAGATTACACATTCTTCTCAGCACAGATCATTCTCAATTTTAAAAAATTTAAAAAATGCCAGGCATCTTCTCTGACAACAATGGAATAAAACTGTAAATCAATAACAGGAGGAATTTTGGAGACTATTCAAATACATGAAAATTAAACAACATGTTCCTGAATGACCAGGGGCCAAAGAAGTAATTAAGAACACAATTGAAAAATTTTTTGAAACAAATGATAATCGAAACACAACATACCAAAATCTATGGGATACAGCTAAATAAGTATTAGAGGGAAATTTATACCTCTAAGTGCCTACCTCAAACGAAGAAAAAAACTTCAAATAAATACCCTAATGATACATCTTAAGTAACAAGAAAACCAAGAGCAAATCAAACCCAAAATTAGTAGAAAAAAAGAAGTAATAAAGATTAGAGCTGAATAAATGAATTTGAAATGAAGAAAACAATATGAAAGATCAATGAAACAAAAAGTAGGTTTTTTGAGAAGATAAATAAAATTGACAAACTTTTAGCCAGACCAACAAAGAAAAAAAGAGGGAAAACCAATATAAATAATAATAGACATGCAAAAGGTGACATTACAACTGATACCACAGAAACTTGAAGAATTATTAGGGGCTACTATGAGCAAATGTATGCCAACAAATCAGAAAGCCTAGAAGAAGTGATAAATTCCTAGACATGTCCAATCAACCAAGATTGAATCATAAATAAATCCAAAGTCTGAAAAGACCAATGACAAGGAACAAGGTGAATCCATAATGAAAAGTCTCCCAATTAAGAAAAGCCTGGGCTGGGTGCAGTGGCTCACACCTGTAATCCCAGCACTTTGGGAGGCTGAGATGGGCGCATCATGAAGTCAGGAGGTCAAGACCATCCTAGCTAACATGGTGAAACCCCGTCTCTTCTAAAATTACAAAAAATTAGATGAGCATGGTAGTGGGCACCTGTAGTCCCAGCTACTCTGGAGACTGAGGCAAGAGAATGGTGTGAACCTGGGAGGCGGAGCTTGCAGTGAGCAGAGATCGCGCCACTGCACTCCAGCCTGGGTGACAGAGCGAGACTCTGTCTCAAAAAAAAAAAAAAGAAAAAAAAGAAAGAAAAGCCTGGAACTCAATGACTTCATTGCTGAATTGTACCAAACATTTAAGGAAGAACTAATACCAATCATCTTCAAACTATTCTGCAAAACAGAGAAAATATGAATACTTGCAAACTCATTCTATGAGGTCAATATGACCTGATACCAAAACCAGACAGACACACCAAAAAATACATTTTACGCCTAATTCTTCTATATTAGGCATAAAATGCTTGAACAAAATACTAGCAAACTGAAGAGTTAGGTGTAACAATCCTCAACAAAATATTAGCAAACCAAATTGAACAATACATTTAAAAGATCATTCATCATGAAAAAGTAAAATTTATACCAGAGATGCAAGGATGGTTCAAACCATGCAAATCATTCAATGCAATACATCCTATCAACAGAAGGAAGGACAAAAACCACATGACCATTTCAATCGATGCTGACAAAGCATTTTATAAAATTCAACATCCCTTTGTGATAAAAATGCTCAAAAAACTGGGTCATAAAGAACATGCCTCAACATAATAAAAGCCATATATGACAGACCCACAGCTGGTATCAAACTGAATATGAAAAATCTGAAAGCCTTTACTCTAAGATCTGGAACACGACAAAGATGCCCACTGTCACTACTTTTACTCAACATAGTACTAGAAGTCCTAGCTAGAGTAATCAGACAAGAGAAGGATGTAAAGGGCATCCAAATGGAAAAGAAAAAGTCAAATTACACGTGTTAGCAAATGACATGATCTTATACTTGTCAATACCTAAAGACTCTGTGAAATAAACTATTAGAACTGACAAACAAATTTAGTAAAGTCACAGAATACAAAATCAACATACAAAAATCAATAGCATTTCTATATGCCAACAGTGAAACATCTGAAGAAGAAATAAAAACATAATCCCAGTTACAATAGCCACACATAAAACTAAATACTTAGAAATTAACCAAAGAGGTGAAAGATCTCTATAATGCAAACTATAAAGCAGTGATAAAAGAAATTGATGTAACACCAAAAAATGAAAAAATATCTCATGTTCATGAGTTGGAAGAATCAATGTCATTAATATATCCATACTACCCAAAGCAATCTACAGATTCAACACAATCCCTATTAAAATACCAATGACGTTCTTAACAGAAATAGAAAAAAATCCTAAAATTAATATAAAACCACAAAAGACTCAGAATAGCCAAAGTTATCCAGAGCAAAAAGAACAAAACCAGAGGAATCACTTTACTTAATTTCAAATTTACAAAGCTATAGTAACAAAACAGCATGTTATTAACATAAAAACAGACACATAGACCAATGGAACAGAATAAAGAAACTAAAAGCAAATTTGTACACCTACAGTGAACTCATATTTGACAAAGGTGTCAAGAACATACACTGGGGAAAGGACAGTCTTTCAATAAATGGTGCCCAGGAAACTGGATATTCATATGCAGAAGAGTGAAACTGGACCTCTATCTCTAGCCATTTACAAAAATCAAATCAAAATTAACTAAAGACATAAATCTAAGACCATAAACTATGAAAATTCTGCAAGAAACATTAGGGAAACTCTTTCAGACATTGGTTTGAGAAAAAATTCCTTGAGTAATACCCCACAAGCACAGGAAACCAAAACAAAAATGGACAAACGGAAGCTAAAACTTCTGCACTGCAAAGGAAACAATTATCAATGTGAAGAGACAGTCCACAGAATGGGAAAAAAATATTTGCAAACTGCCCATTTGTCAAGGGATTAATAACCAGAATATATAAGGAGCTCAAACAACTCTATAGAAAATAATTTAATAATCCAATTTGAAAATCGGAAAATTTTGAATATTTGTTTCTCAAAAAAAATAGATACAAATGGCAAACAGGCCTATGAAAAGGTGCTCAACATCGCTGATTATCAGATAAGTACAAATCAAAACTACAATGAGATTTTATCTCACCTCAGTTAAAGTGGCTTTTATCTAAAAGCCAGACAATAGCAAATCCTGGCAAATGTGGAGAAAAGGAAACTCACATAGGCTGTTTGTGGGAATGCAAATCAGTACCACCACTATGGAGAACAGTTTGGAGGCTCCTCAAAAAAACTAAAAATAGGCTGGGCACAGTGGCTCATGCCTGTAATACCAACATTTTGGGAGGCCAAGGTGGGGGCATCACCTGAGGTCAGGAGTTCAAGACCAGCCTGGCTAACATAGTGAAACCCCATCTCTACTAAAAATACAAAAAAAAAAAAAAAAAAATAGCCAGGTGTGGTGGCAGGCACCTGTAATCCCAGCTAGTTGGGATTCTGAGGCAGGAGAATCACTTGAATCCGGGAGGCAGAGGTTGCAGTGAGCTGAGACCACACCATTGCACTCCAGCCTGGGCAACAAGAAAAATCTCTGCCTTAAAAAAAAAAAAAAAAAGCTAAATATAGAGCTACCATAAGATCCAGCAATCCCACTGGTGGATATATATCCCCAAAAAAGGAAATCAGTATACTGAAGAGATATCTATGCTCCTATGTTTGTTGCAGCACTGTTTACAATAACTAAGATTTGGAAGCAACTTAAATGTTTATCAACAGATGAATGAATAAAGAAAATGTGGTACATCTACACAATGGAGTACTATTCAGCCACAAAAAGAATGATATCCAGTCATTTGCAACAACATGCATGGAACTGGAGATCATTATGTTAAATGAAATAAGGCAAACACAGAAAGACAAACATTGCATGTTCTCAATTATTTGTGGGGTCTAAAAATCAAAACAATTGCACTCATGGACATAGAGAGTAGAAAGTTACCAGAGGCTGGGAAGAGTGGAGGTGGGGATGACTAATGGGTACAAAATAAAACTAGTTAGAAAGAATAAATAAGACCTATTTGATAGCACAATAGGGTGACCGTAGTCAATAATAATTTTATTGTAAGTTTTTAAATAACTAAAAGTTTATAATTGGATTTTTTGTATCACAAAGAAGAAAAACTTAAGGGAATGAATACCCCATTTTACATGTTGTGATTAGTATACGTTGCATGTCTGTAACTGGGTATCTCATGTACTCCATTAATATATAACCTACTATGTACCCACAAAAATTGAAAATAAAATAATTTTTAAAAGATGCCAACACAACATGAAATTATAAGAATTCATCACATCAGTTTTTGGAGTGCAACTGACTTATGTTAAATTATTTATCTGACAATTACTAGTATAATGTCTTAAACCTCTTTGAGTTCCATTTTTATTTTTCTTTATTTTTTAAGCACAAGGATAATAGTCCTGACTCATAGAGATGTAAGAATTAAATATGATAATACAGGGTACATGGTAAATGCTCAATAGTTGGCTTCCAGGAATAGTAGCTACACCACAATGTAGTTGTGTATGTAAATGTTTCTGTATCTCAGTACTACAGAGCCAGTAAAATTGTTTTAAAAGATGAAGCCTCTAGTATTTCAGGAAATGATAGGAGTTAAATACCCACCAGGGGTAGCTAAAAACAGAAAAAGTAATCATTGTGTTTGAAAGTAAAGTTGTACTGGTAATATAGAGGTAGATTGCTACTTCCTTAAGACAGCTCTTTGTCTCCTCATTGAATGTAAAGGTATTTTAAAACTGTCTTACTGCTATCAAAATCAAGGATAACAGCTAACATTCATAAATACCATTAACAAAGGGTGACAAAATACAACTTATTTCAAAATAATTTATGATAATAAACCAAATATGTCAATACTTTTCTTCTTAAAAATGAATATTTATTGAATGTCTTCAGTAAGTCTTTTAGGCACTTGACAGCAACTGGTAAACAAAAATGTTTACCTCCCTACATTAGAAGTCATATACCAAAACCATTTGTTATTTAAAAAATATCCTATTGGTTATGCAGCCCAGCCATGATTCAGTGTGGGTGGGGATTCCATAAAGCACCGCTGCCAGAATACAAGGAATATTCAGGACAAACTTGGAGGCTGCCTAACTCAGCTTGCCCTCTGACCTATGATAAATCATGTTCCTCCCATATGCAAAACATACTCCTCTCTTCCCAAAGTCCCCAAAAGTCTCATTCTTTGACAGCATCAGTCAACGTTATAACTTTTACCACCTAAATTAAGACCAAGTGTAAATGAGGCTCCAGGGATCCAGTTCTGGGCTCTCACTATAAAGACTTGAGAACTAAATAGAAAAGCTGTCTTTTTACCATACTCCTAATGCAGATTCTCTTTTGAAACAGGCAAAGATTAGCCACTCTTAACTATCCCATTGAAAAAGAAAGACAATAAGAGTCACATAGGAGTCACTGGTTTGTAACAATCCTTAAATTCCACAGGGAGCATACTGCCAGTTCCTTCATTAGCACTAAAGGCCTGGTAATGATTTGAAGGATTATTTTGCCCTTCCAGATGTTCTTTCTTTGTTCAGAAATGGAGCCTGGATTTGCAGCTGAGTAATTTTTTCAGTTTACTTTCAGGTAGTAAAATTTGGGGGATCTAAATTCCTCTTTTTATTTTGTACTCTCTCTGTCTTCTTCTGATCAACCTTGCAATGTTTCTGCTAGTATAATTTTCTTAAAATTTCTTTGGTCCTTTATGAATCATACTGGGGTACATATCATTAGACAAAAGCCACACCACCTATAAGCATCTTCAAGATAATATGTATTCTACCTTGGTTTCAGCTTAGTCTATGACAAATAAGTCCTATTGTTTAACTGAATGGTTCTCTGAGGTACCACTATATATTTTTCTGAGATTTTCAACATTGAATTTTACAGTCATATGTATGGCTTCCCCTTTAAGTCATACTTTCCAAGCTAAAACAATATGCATTCATTATGTCTCACAGTTTCTTTTTTAAAATAAATTTTATTGTATATATTTGAGGTTTACAACATAATGTTATGGGATACATATAGATAGTTCTGTGGATAAAGCATTCAGGGGCAGCTCATCTGGATGATTCTGGTTGTCTCTCATGAATTTGTAATCAAAATGGGGGCCAGGTATGCAATCATCTAAAGGCATAACAAGAGTTGGAAGATCTACTTTCAAGGTGTTTCACTCACATGGCTGGCTACTATTTGCGAGTTGTTGGCAGAAGGCCTCAGTCCATCCCCATATGAACTGAGACACCCTTCCACAAGGGCATCTGAATGTCCTCATGATATGAAAGATGGCTTTCTCCAGAGTAAATGATCCAAGAAAGGACAAGATAGAAACTGAAGTATCCTTTATTTCCTAGCCCTGCAAGTCATGCAAAACCACCTCTATAGTATTCTATCTTTCTTTCTTGGGAAGTTTTTAATGACTGATTCAATCTCCTTATTTGTTATTAGTCTGTTCAGCTTTTCTATTTATTCATGATTCAGTCTTGGTAGGTTATACGTTTCTAGGAATTTTTACAACATGGATGGACCTGGGTGATATTATGGTTAGTAAAATAAGTCAGACACACAAACAAAACACAAATATTGTATAATCTCACATATATGTGGAATTTAAAAATTTTGAACTCAAAAGACAGAAAAAGGGTAGTTGCTAGTGTCTAGGGGGTGAGGGACATGGGGAGATATTGGTCAAAGGGTACACACTTTCAGTTATAAGAATAAGTTCTGGACATCTAAGGTGCAGCATAGTGACTATAGTTAATAATATTGTATTGTTTGCTTGAATTTTGATAGAGAAGATTTTAAGTCTCCTTTTCCCCACCTTCAACACACAATATCTATGAGTGATAATGAATGTTTTGACTGTTATAATCATTACACAATGTGTATATATGTATATAAATCAACACACTGTACATGTCAAATACATATAATTTTAATTGTATGTCAATGAAAATTTCAAAATAAATGATAACAATTATTTTAGAACCTTTTTGTAGCAATTTAACACTTTATTAAGCTGGAGCATATGGTAGTACTACTTTTAACTTTTTGAGGAACCTCCATATTATTTCTTATAATGACTGTACTAATTTACATTTCTACCACTGTGTTGCAATCCCATTATTGCATGTATGTCCAAGAGAAATGAGATTAGTGTATTGAAGATATATCTGCACTCCCATGTTCATTGCAGCATTAGCCAAGATATGGAATCAACTAAGTGCTCATCAATGAAGAAATGGCTAAAGAAAATGTGGTATATACAGTGGAATACTATTCAGCTTTAAAAAGAAGGAAAGCTGTCTGCCACTTGCAAAAACATGGATAAACATGGAAGACATTATTGTAAGTGAAATAAGTCAGGCACAGAAAGACATATAACACATGATCTCACTTATATGTAGAATCTAAAAAAGTAAAACTCACAGGAGCAGATAGTAGAATGATGGCTACCAAAGGCTTGGGGGTGTAGGAAAAGAGAAAGGATTAGTGTTGGTCAAAGGATACAAAATTTAGCCAGAAGGAATAAGTTCAGGAGATGTATTGTATAATACGGTGACCACAGTTAACAATGTATTATATATTTGAAGATTGCTAAGAGTGTATATAAACGCTATCACCATAAAATATAAGTATGTGAACTAATAAATGTTAGTTTGACATATTCATACACAATGTATACATATATCAAAACTTCAAGTTGTACAAGCAATTTTTATTTGTCAATTAAATATAAATTTAGGAAAAATAAGCACTTATCTACATACATTTAAGAATTATTGAAATAAATAGACTATTAGAGATGGGTACTGTGTTCATCTATTGACATAAAATGTCAGTTCTCTCCCAATGAATCTATAGATTTATTGCCATTTCAATAAAAATCCTACATCATTTTCCAAGAAACTACCAACTGATGATAAAATTAATATGAATGTAAGAAGAAAAAAACCAACACTGAAAATTAGCTAAGATACTCCTAATGAAGAAGACAAATAAGTTTTGGGAACTCATCCCATCCAGATGTATCAAATTGCAAAACCTTCTGACTTTCTTTATGTATGTTGATTAATTTTTCCTTAAGCACATGTATCCTTCTGAAAAAAAATTCAGTATCAAATGCATGTGGACATGCTTAAACTCATTATTTATCAAAATTGAAGCAAATAACTATTGAAACAATATTCTGTTAGAATTTAAATTAGTTTTCTCTCATGGGGTTAAATAATTACAGAGTAAAATTGTTGAATTAATTACCAGTATGAATTTTAAATGATTATTATCAGGGATATTTGTTTAATTTACAATAATAATTGACTGATGATATTCTAACGATATCCCCATAGACTTTTCAGAATTTGTTCCCCAGGGTGACTGTCATTTTCAAACCATGTGGCCTGAGAGATCTAAAAGGCTTTGATCATGCTCCCAGAGAATGTGGAAATAAGAACAAAGTCTACATTCTATAAATGATGCCAGGCCCAATGGGAGCTCTATCACTTCACCTGACTCTATCCTTTGATCTCTTCCCACCATAATCAGAATAGTCTGTAATGGGATATTTTGATTTCTTCTCTACCGAGGACAAATTTAATACAGTTGCTTAATAAAATCAATGAGACACTTCAGTTTATAATAAACAAAATTTTCAGTCAGGGTAAAACTTTTTAATATATACAAATGCATGTGAATATTGCATGTGTTCAATTGTCTTACAAGAAGTACACATAAAAACTAATGTTCCACAAATGCATTATCCATTCTCTATTTTACAATTTCTTTTTTTTTTCCTTTGAGACACGGTCTCACTCTGTCACACAGGCTGGAGTGCAGTGGCACAATCACAACTCACTGCAACCTCTGCCTCCCAGGCTCAAGTGATCCTTCCACCTCAGCCTCTTGAGCAGCTAAGACTACAAGCTCATGCCACCACACCTGAATAATTTTTGTATTTTTTTTGTAGAGGCAGGGTTTTGCCATATTGTGCAGGCTGGTCTCGAACTCTTGGCCTCAAGCAATCTGCTCACCTCAGCTTCCCAAAGTGCTGGGATTACAGGCGGGAGCCACAGGGCCCAGCCAACAATTATTGATATTACTATTTGCTTCCTTCTTTCTCAAAAGCATTACATTTTAATTTGGTTTAATTAATTCCTCTGGAAGGCTTATCTAGTCCCATAAAGAATTTACCACCCTTTCCTTTTATGATGCTATGCATACATGTGGTAGCTCTGGCAGTCCCTTATTCCACCCATTTGTTCACATGACTTTCCTTCCTTCCTGATTGTAATCACTTGAGAACATAGATGGCATCCTATTCATCTGTGTGCTGGCCACCTAAGGAAGATGGATGATCTTCCTCACAAAGTATGGCAGATCTCTGAACTGTTATCTCCACTGCCACACCATCCATAATGTTTCCTTTCATACTCAATTATTGTACAGCCTCTTCTAGTTTTTCTTAAATATTCTTTGATGTTGTATTTTTAGAAATTACATGATCTTTGGTTCACATCAGTTTTTGATGTGTATTTATCCATACTGCATTTACCTAGTATTTCCGATGAGCCAAGTACTGTGCTAGGCACTAAATATATACACACAAAGAAGGCACAGTTTTCACCCTGAAAGTACTGGAAGACTAGTGAAAAAGCAAAAACTAATAATTACAATGCAATGCAATAAGTGACATAGCATAAACAGGCACAGAGTGATCTGGAAACATAGTGACTAGTTTGGGGCAGTTAAGAAAGGATTCAAACAAAAAAGATGTATATGCTTACCTAGTTGGCAGACAAAGAAGGCAGGAAGTAAAGTTTAGGAAGAATGTATGCAAATGTTAAGATAGGATCAGGGTTATCTAATGAACAAAACCTGCTTAATATATTTGGAGCATAACGTATCTGATGTGGAGAGCAAGAAGGTTAGGAAGTCAGAGAAAGAGGATAGACCTTGTGGGCAATTTTAATAGATGTGTGCTCTATCTTTGGTAGCATGAATATAAAAGTAATATTTAAACAAGGCAGAGACTAATCAAATCTAACTTTAGGAAAGTCAGGCTATTTGCAGGATGACTGTATTAGTCTGTTTTCATGCTGCTGATAAAGATATACTGACACTGGGTAATTTATACAGAAAAAGAGGTTAAATGGACTAACAGTTCCACGTGGCTGGGGAGGCCTCACAATCACGGCAGAAGGTGAAAGGCACATCTTACGTGGCAGCAGACAAGAGAGAATGACAGCCAAGCAAAAGGGGTTTCTCCTTATAAAACCATCAGATCTCATGAGACTTATTCACTGCCACAAGAACAGTATGGGGGAAACTGCTCCCATGATTCAATTATCTCCTACCAGGTGTCCCCCACAACACATGGGCAATATTGATGCTAAAATTCAAGATGAGATTTGGGTGGGGACACAGCCAAACCATATCATTCCACCCCAACCTTTCCCAAATCTCATGTCCTCACATGTCAAAACCCCAATCATACCTTCCCAACAGTCCCCCAAAGTCTTAACTCATTCCAGAATTAACTCAAAAGTCCACAGTCCAACGTCTCATCTGAGACAAGGCAAGTCTCTTCCACCTAGAAGCCTGTAAAATCAAAAGCAAGTTAGTTACTTCCTAGATACAATGGGGGTGCAAGCATTGGATAAATATACTCATTCCAAATGGGAGAAATTGGCCAAAATGAAGGGGCTACAGGCCCCCACACAAGTCTGAAAAACAGCAGGGCAGTAAATCTCACAGCTCCAAAATAATTTCCTTTGACCCAATGTCTCATGTTCCCGTCATCCTGATGCAGGGGGTGGGTTCCCATGGTCTTGGGAAGCCCTGTCTTTGAGGCTTTGCAGGGTACAGCCCCTGCCTGGTTGCTTTCACAGGCTAGCACAGAGTGTCTGTGGCTTTTCCAGGCATACAATGCAAGCTGTCAATGGAGCTATCATTCTGGGATCCAGAGGATGGTAACCCTCTTCTCACAGCTCTAGTAGGCAATGCCCCAGTGGGAACTCTGTATGGGGGCTCACACTCCACATTTCCCTTTACCATCACCCCAGCAGAGGTTCTCCATGAGGGCCTTAACCTTGCAACCAACTAATACCTGGATATCCAAGCATTTCCTTACATCCTCTAAAATTTAGGTGGAGGTTCCCAAACATCAATTCTTGACTTCTATGCACCCACAGGTTCAACACCATATGGAAGATGCCAAGGCTTGGGGTTTTCACCCTCTGAAGCCATGGCCTGAGCTCTATGTTGGTCTCTTTAGGCATGGTTAGAGCAGCTGGGATGCAGGGCACCAAGTCCCTGGGCTGCACATGGCAAGGGGGCCCTGGGCCTGGCCCACAAAACCATTTTTCCCTCCTGGTCCTCCAGGCCTGTGATGGGAGGGGCACCTCAAAGGTCTCTGACATGCCCTGGAGACATTTTCCCCATTGTCTTGGTGATTAACATTTGGCTTGTTACTTATGCAAATTTCTGCAGCTGGCTTGAATTTCCCCTCAGAAAATGGGATTTTCTTTTCTATCGCATCATCGGGCTGCAAATTTTCTGAACTTTTATGCTCTATTTTCCTTTTAAAACTGAATGCTTTTAACAGCACCCAAGTCACCTCTTGAATGCTTTGATGCTTAGAAATTTATTTTGCCAGATACCCTAAATCATCTCCTTCAAGTTCAAAATTCCACAAATCTCTAGGGCAAAGGCAAAATGCTGCCAGTCTCTTTGCTAAAACATAGCAAGACTCACCTTTGCTTGAGTTCCCAGCAAGTTACTCATCTCCATCTGAGAGTACCTCAGCCTGGATTTCATTGTCCATATCATTATCAGCATTTTGGTCAAAGCCATTCAACAAGTCTCTAGAGAGTTCCAAACTTTCCCACATTTTCCTTTCTTTTTTTGAGCCCTCCAAGCTGTTCCAACCTCTGCCTGTTACCCGCAGTTCCAAAGTTGCTTCCACATTTTCAGGTGTCTTTACAGCAATGCCCCAAATTACTGGTACTGATATACTGTATTAGTTCATTTTCATGTTGCTGATAAAAACATACCTGAGACAGGGTAATTTATGAAGAAAAAGAGGTTTAATGGACTCTCAATTCCATGTGGCTGTGGAGGCCTCACAATCATGTTGGAAGGTGAAAGGCACATCTTATATGGTGGCAGATGAGAGAATGAGAGCCAAGCAAAAGGGGTTTCTCCTTATAAAACCATCGAATCTCATGAGACTTATTCACTACCAGGAGAACAGTATGAGGAAAGCCACCCCCGTGATTCAGTTATCTCCCACCGGGACCCTCCTACAACACGTAGGAATTATGGGAGCTACAATTCAAGATGATATTTGTGTGAGGACACAGCCAAATCATATAATTGAGTATCAGTCTAGAGGTAAGAAAATTTTGTGGTAGAAGATTGTATCATCTAGAGAAAATATAAAATTATTTTTCAAATGGTAGAAGCATTGTGGAATGTAAAGATTAATTTGATTGATATTGGTGAAATATACTCGACTAAGCACAGTGGGAAGAGGAATAAGTAGCTTGGAGGAGGTATGAGTGATTTCCAATTTTTTCTATGGAACACTGAAAAATACCAGGATCTCTCTAGGTTCAAATGATGTTTGGGGTGCCTAGAGAAAATACAGGCAGACAAGCCTAATATGATACACATATTTGGAATTCAAGAGTAAAATTAGGACTAGGAGATTAGAAGTTCTCTGCTTGTAACTGGTAATTAAAACTATGAGGGTAGATGGGATAACCCAAGTTTTATGTGGAAAGTAAAAAAGGAAATAGAGAAATGTAGAACCTTAGCGATCTATTGACATGTAAGGGGTAGCCCTAGTGGAAAAAAAAAAAAAAAAAGAGCTTGTGAAGAATTCAAGAAAGAATAATCAAAATAACAGCAAGAGCCAGAAGAGGACAAGCCACTACTGTTGAAAACTGCAAATGCCTCAGGTGAGAAAAGAGTTCAGTTAACTTTGTCAAACAGAAAGAAACTTCTATTGAGGTTGAAAAACCCATTCAGACAGAGCAGAGCAAGGGTCAATACCGTGGTTTGAGAGGCAAGTATGGAAGACATAAACTATTTTTTTAATATGAATGGTGCGGAAAGGAAAGAAATACATAATGTCAGTAGTTTGGGCAGAAGATTAATGGAAAACTTTTTTTTGAACCTTAAATGGAGCTAAAATAGAGAAAATTTATGGTAGAGGAAATAGAAAAGATAATGGGATTAAATTCCTGTGTAAGTGATAGAAAATTAGATATTGGTATATTAGATTTTTGCTGCTGCTATAGCAAATCACCATTATTTTGATAGCTTATAAAAACAAAAATTTATCTTATAGTTCTGGACATCAGAAGTCTGAAATGGGTTTTATAAGCCTAGATGTCAGCAGGACTACATTCCTTTCTGGACCCTGTAGGAGAGAATATATTTGCATGCCTTTTCCAGCTTCTAGAGGCAGCATCCATTTCTTACCTTGAGGTCCTATCACCCATCTTCAAAGCCAGCAGTATAGAGCATTAAAATCCACACCCCCTACCCCCCACCCCGCACCTCTGTCTGTCTTTTCCTCTCTCTCTCTCATATGGTTAGGCTTTGTGTCCCCACCCAAATCTCATCTTGAATTATAATCCCCATAATCCCCTTAATCCCCATGTATCAAGGTAGAGACCAGGTAGAGGTAATTGAATGAGGGCAGCTTACCCTGTGCTGTTTTTGTAATAGTGAGTTCTCACAAGATCTGATGGCTTTATAAAAAGGCTCTTCCTTCCCTCTTTGCTCAGCACTTCTCCTTCCATGGTTAGGCTTTGTGTCCCCACACAAATCTCATCTTGAATTATAATCTCCATAATCCCCTTAATCCCCATGTATCAAGGGAGAGACCAGGTAGAGGTAATTGAATGAGGGCAGTTTACCCTGTGCTGTTTTTGTAATAGTGAGTTCTCACAAGATCTGATGGCTTTATAAAAGGCTCTTCCCTCTTTGCTCAGCACTTCTCCTTCCTGTCATCTTGTGAAGTACATCTCTTGCTTCTCCTTCACCTTCCACCACGATTGTAAGTTTCCTGAAGCTTCCCTAGCCATTCAGAACTGTGAGTCAATTAAACCTATTTCGTTTATAAATTACCCAGTCTTGGGCAGTTCTTTATAGCAGTATGAGAACAGACTAGTGCACTCATTCACACACACACAGCACACATCCCTGTTTCCATTGTTACATCTCCCTCTCTGATCTTCCCACCTGCTTCTTATATGAACCCTTGTTGTTAATCCCATGCAGATAATTCCTAATTTTACCTTACATGGCAAAAGAGACATCACAAATATGATTTATCTCCATCTCAGGATCCTTAGTTTAATCGTATTTTCAGTGTCTCTTTTGCCATGTAAGGTAAAATGTTTACCACTTCTAGAGATTAAGGGGTCAACATTTTGGGGAATGTTATTCTGCCTATCACATTGAGCAAGGATGGGGTGATTCAATGGGAAAGGACAAACAACTGCTTTTTAAACATAAGGGAAGAAAGCCAGAATGGGTGATGTCATATCTAAGCTCAAAGGTCAAAGTCAGTGACTGGGCCCTTTTGATGGCTGTATTTTTCTCTTGGCAGCCTTGGGAGATTAAAGTATGCCATTGACAAGAGGAACACATTTTTGAAAAACCTGCTAGAATCTATTGCAGAGAACATGACTAGAAACAGGTAAAGAGATAGGGAAGAAGCATGGGGATGAGAATGAGGGTGCCAACAGAGCTAGAAAATGCAGGGTTGTTGTGAAGCTTTTTGGCTAAGTCGTTGTCCAGCAACACTTGGCAGCCTAGGAACAGAATCAAAGGAAATAAACAGATAGATTAATGAAGTGATGGATATCTGAAGGCTGGGCATAGTTAAGGAAATAAGGAAAAAATTAGAGCAAGGATCTTAGTGAATACACTGATCCTAGCATTAGTTTTGGTCAGGTCCGATCTACCCCAATTTCAAAATTTGTAAAAATCAATTTGTTTAATGTATAAGCGGTGTGTGTGTGTGTGTGTGTGTGTGTGTGTAAGACAGAGAGAGAGAGAGAGAGAGAGAGAGAGAGAGAGAGAGAGAGAGAGAGAGAGAAATGATCCCCAAGCCTTGGGAATGCAAAATTCCTGGCTATAACATTGACAGAACAATATTCTTATGTATTCACATTACAAAATCACATCAATAACCAAAGTAACTTCATGGAGATTGAAACTTATAAAAGCAGAATTAGGATGAGAAATAAATCTATCCTCATTCTTCTAGCACATAATATTGATTTAAACATTTTTGAAATCTGTTTTTGACAGGCAGATTATTTTCATCAAAAGTTTATTTAACGATGTCTAAAGCTAACCAGCAAATAGAGAGGGTTTTCCCACTGGTAGAGATAAAGAATATAATTTACCACATAATTATTTAGTAATTACTTTGTTATCAGATATCTTTTATGAGAAATTTAACTCTATCTCCCATGTAATCCATTCCATTTACTTTAGATCTCATTATTCTCATTCTCTCTGTTATAATTCATTAAAATATTATGCCAATTTCATTAGCTGGCCAAAAACTGTCAGTCAACATTCTAGAAGGCTACAATCATTTCATTATTAAACATTATACCTCTAAATTTTTCTAAGTAAAAGAATGCTTGCGAGCCTATCATAAAATATAAAATGTTCTTGTAATACTTTGGTTTTTTCTTGTTAAAATATTACATTACGTTTTTGTTTATTTACATATCCTACTATTTGCCCATATTTCTTTTCTTGGCTTCATTTGCACAAACTAAGTGGATCTAGTGACTTTTTAATCTTTTAAACTATTTGGCAAATCATACGTATATCAAAGTCACATAGGAATTTAACAAAAATACAGATGGGAAGAAAATTAGTAAATGTTTCAGAGAAAAGTAATGCCATACTCAGGGCCCTAGACTGAGAAGATTATTTTGATAGTAGCTGGTAGTGGGAAGAAATCAGAAATGACTGCTCCAGGAAAGAGATGATTACTGTAGCCAATGATGGAAGTATTGCATTCTGAACCAAGATGATAGTCACAAACATGTTAAGATTAAGATTATTAAACATAGAAGAGAAATCTGTAAAATGGGTATAGTAGAAGTTGTCCTAACCCTCACACAGGATTGTTCTGAGAACAGTGTAAAATTTAGTGTGGGGGAAATTGTTTGATTAAGTCAGAATTCTCTACATGTTAACAGTCTTCATATTCTTTATTATGTAAGCGCACATTTCTCTTTCCAGGTTCTCTTCTTCACTTGGAAGAGTTCACGAGAGGCGAGTTCATACCTGCCACCACAATCTACTTCTCCTGTCAGTCAGTGCTCACAGCCTGCTTTTATAGTTAGCCATTAAAGGAGATTTTTATTTGCTATTTCCTTTAAAAAGATCTGCTTATTATCGCTGTAAAATGAAAGTTATTTTTAAAATTTGTGTCTTGTTTAAATAATTACATGTATAACACAAAAGACTATGCTCTAAGCCATTGCCTTTTTTGGAATAGAATGAGATACCAGTACTTGCAAGTTTTAATCAATGGGAAAAATGACAGTTCTCATTTTTTTCTGCCATTCTGTCCACATTAGTAATAAATTTTAAGATGAAGTACAATGAAAAAGTATTCAATATTTACAAGTGACATACATTATTTTCACTGTTAAAGAATACAAATATACCAAAATTTATTATATATCTAAATTTCATTTTAATTTCTCATTTCAGTTTTTCATTAAGTTTTTATTAAACAGAATTTTCTATCTTGTTCCTTGCCGTTGGTGCTTACATCTAAGGGTAACTTATTAAGTAACTATGACTTCAGTAGTCTAAGATTGGATGAAAGATTTTAGAAAGTGTTAAAATTATTTGGACTGTTAGTCAATGAATAATTTTTCACATTGACAAAGAACTGCATTCACACGTTACAACTGTCAGACAGCAGTTGTGATAAGCATGTTTTAGAGAACGTCAGCTGGAGAGTAATCATTGCCATTGTAGTAAACAAGAAAAAATAAAACCTTACCACATTTCAATGCTTATTTTCAGAAAAACAATAATACATATTATATGTTTCAGAGTAAATATCTGATAGTGCCGTCCATTCACTACTGAGAACATTTTTTCCATCACACCCAAACAAGCCACTTTAAATGGGCACTCAAATTTAGCTTTCAATTCAGGAATAAGGTCAACTGCAACATTCATGTGCAAAATAACAAGGTATTTACTCACCTGTGGATGCATTAATCCTCAAAAAATTTAAGAAATCATTATAATAAATTAGTATTGTTGATTTTAAGTTAATTTATTTTAAAGAAGATAAAACAGATAAATTCAGAAAGTAAATTTCACATCTCAAATCAGCTTCTTATTCCACTAAGGGATCACCACTGAATTTCTCTGGCTAGGCTTTCCTTTAGTGTATTTAAGATGGAATAAAAAATTGACTAATATACACTTTCAGAAACATCAGCCATGTAAATGGTTTATCATCTAAAATGAGTTTATCTGTATTCTATTTCTTTTGCATAACCTATATTAAAATGCGGAAATGGAGAATATGTTTTGCTGAAACATTTTTTGGTTGATGTATTCCAATATTCCAATCTATTTTTATCAAGATTCTATTACACCTCCAAGATATCTCTTATTTCAGTACATTTCAAAATCAATTCAATAAACAATATTAAGAATCCTGCTGGATCATTACATGTTTATACTTTTAAGATTGGCTTATTACTTTAAGCCTGTGAAATATATATCTCACATTTAAAAATCAATGACTTAGTGATAAATGTCTTTGTTTTTCTGATTTCCATTTTGCTAATATTACTACTTACTTCACAATAGCATTGATATTAAATAGATTACACATACCTACTTCTATAAAATATTTCAACCTAAAATAAACAATTTACAATTCCAACTTAATCTTAGACTGGGATATATGTGAAATTAAGTTATTGTCAAAACCTTTTCTTAAATCCTGATTGGTTTTATTGTATGTACCAAGGACACAAGTTACATTCATTATATTTCTACTTTCCTTATTATCTTTTTGGATACAGCTCTTTCTCTCCCGAGATAGTTCCAGAAATAATTTAGAGATGGGATAATAATAAAGTTTTTCTTCTAGTCCCATAGGTAGTTATATTTTGACACCAAAGAAATAGAATTTTCACTGTAATTCTGCTTTTCCAAACTTCTTTTAAACTCTAAAGAGAATGACCAATAATTAAACAAGTGACTGTGGTAGCCAACTTAATTTACCTAATCTTCAATGATCAACTTGATAAATGATATTTTCAATATATTTTAATGATAATTATAGTACCTTTTTTACTTACAAATCAATGTATTCAGCACACATTTTGCATTTTTCTTTCCAAGACACTTACTCTACAGAAAAAAAGGCCTTATTAGTGTCTGAATTTCCTTTGGTATTTTTATTGCTTTTACCACTACTTCTCTTAGCAATAGCACAAGGATAAAATCATCTGCTCATTAATGTTAGGCAAAATTCAACCTAGGTGGTGTCTTGAGTAATTTATAATTTTGTTGGATAAAATAATTGGAATTTTTTCAACAGAAACAATGGTAAATTCCCCTGCTATAAAAAAGCACAAAACATGCTTTCCGTTATAAACATATAATGGAAAAAAGGTGGCTATGAAGTCAGCTGGGTGACTTTGGTCAGTTTACTTGATTTTGGTGAACATGATTTACTCATTTTTAAAATGCAAATAAAAGACCTACCTCATATGGCTAGATACAATATATACCCAGCACATAATTGTGTTCAATAAATGAGAATGGAGGAGGAGGATAGAGAGAGGATGATTACTGTGATGCAGCAGTTACTATCTAATGTCACATGACCCCATTCCCTCCTTTCAAGTCTCTTTCCCTCACTCCCTTATCACTCAAATTACCTCATTTCCCCAAACTTAGTTATTCTCTGCCTAATTCTAGGGTTTCTCAAGACTAGCTAAGTCTCCCAGAATCTTAGATCTTTAGCCTCTGGCCTTAGTCAAGACTGGTGCATTCTAGGATGCCCAAATGTTTTCATTTAGAAATGTAGGCCCTAGCTACATTGAGATACTCAAGCTGGTTTCACCTCCTCCACAGATTTGATTTAGACTGAATGTTTGGGGTGTAAGGTTTGAAAATGACTGACAATATGATCCAAGTCCAGTTCTATAGGAAAGGTCATGATTACTATTCATGTATCATGTTTTATTTTCTCTAGCTTCCTATCAGACACAGAGGTAGACTCAGATCATCATTTTTTCATACAACTCTTCAGAATATTCTAAAGAAATAATTTTCTAGAAAAATAAAAACAAGGAGCAAAACATCTCTACACAAGTGTTTTGGTTACTGCATTTTAGATGGATATTACTTTCAGGTGTTTAAATTATATGTATTTGCCTCAATAGGCTCCATTTGATACAAACTCTTCTTCCATGCTCATGGGCACCATGCAGGCCTAGATTCTTTTACAAAATCCTATGCCTTAAGTCATATTTATCAGGAAACAATCTTTGAGATATATATTTTTGTGCAGGAAGATTATTGATCAGGGCTCTCAGGACCAAGACCTATGAGGAAAATGCAGGAAGCCAGATTGGGTAGAGGGAGAGGTTAAATCACAATAAACTTGCAGTAAAGAAAGGCTCCAGCTAAAGTCACAGTAAATTTTGGAGCTAGACTCACCCTGTAGAGTTGTCCAAAATTAAGGCCAGAGTCTGGCCTTTTTATCCTTAATCGCCAGTTATTGCATGTGGTTGCTTTCTTTGGGCAGGCTGTTCCCTGCCGCTGACTGAGGGCAATTGCTTGAGAGGGCACCTAGCTATGAGCTGTTAGTAGCCAATACACCTGGCCATTTGGAGAAGTAGTGTTTCATCCTAAAGGGAGGTATGGGTGGTGCACTGCAAAAGGCACTCCCTACTGCTAACCAGCAGTCATTTACTTTAATGCTTTGAAATAAAATACTTTGTATTTTTAATTCATATGTATTAAAATGACACAACTCTTGTCAGAGTGACATTTCAAATACTTTTAACAGGTGAAAAAATAACAGGATTTATCCTTTGTGCTCACCACATACTGTTCTGGGTTTCAGGAATTCACCTGCAATTATGGCAATGGATGATCACTAGACTTGTTATTCTTCAGCATTAAGTATAGTAGAGAGACTTCTTAGCATAGAATGGCAGTAAAAATGCTGAGCATTGTGGATTTTAGTGAGTGAAAGACTAGAGAAATAAGTTCGTCCAGAAGTTCTTGAAAAATTGCAGGTACTCTACATCTCAGAAACCAATACAACTAAAAACCATAGTGTAAATGGGGTCATATTTTGGTACCAATATTGGGATCTGCAGTCCTTGTTCACTGGCTGAAATGTGTCTATGCTTTTTTCCCAGTGGATTCTTACTGCACATTAGTCCCATAAGATACTCAATTTTTTAAAAATTCTATGATTAAATGTGATTGGGAAACTTATAATTTCAAAATCCCTTCTGAACTTTGCCACATGTATTAATAATTAATAAGCAGGCTGCTTTATCAACACAGAATCAGAATATTCTCTTTTATGGATGTCCTCTACTGAAATTCTCCTGGGAAAAATAGGCTAAAAGCAATTGCAGTTCAAAAGTCAACAAAATAGTTTCTCTATCAGTGAGTGACACGTGTCCATATGCACATATACATTTTCTTACCTAATTGAAATAATCCATTAAGCCACCATTATTTACTTTTTCATATGTACCAACATTTGAATTTCAAGAATGTTTGTGTGTGTGTGTGTGTGTGTGTGTGTGTGTGTCACTTGGAAATACTCAGAAAAGCCAAAATGACCTTTGTGAGTTGGGACAGGATGCTAGTAATAAGGAACTAACTAATTTCTTTTTTTTAACCTCACATGGTATAGGCACAGAAAATGTGGCACATGAAAGCAGCAGAGCTTTGAATGATATGAAAAAGGCTCCAATTCTAACTTCAGTCATCAACTGAGTAATGTTGACCAACTACTTACCCACTCTGACTTCAGGCTACTCAAATATAATATGGAGGTGACATCTCCTGTCAGGAAACTTGTCTTGCAGATTAAATAAAATAACATTTGTATAGGGAAATAAACCTAACTAGATCTTACCTAACAAATAGTAGTGCTCCTTACCTAGTTCTTTTTCTCACTTTTTTTTTTTTTTTTAACAAAGTAAGGCATTTACTGCAAAATATTACTTAAATTGTTTTGGGGAGATTTTTGTTTTCTTTTTTTAACTTTTAGTTTCAGGGGTACAAGTGCAGTTTTGTTCTATGCATAGTGTCTTGTGATGGTTTGGTGTATACCTTATTTCATCACCCAGGTAATAAGCACAGTATCCAATAGATAATTTCCCACACTCACTCTCTGCCTACACCGCACCCTCAAGTAGGCCCTGGTGTCTGTTGTTCCCATCTCGTGTTCATATGAACTCAATGTTTAGCTCCCACCTATAAGCGAGAACATGTGATGTTTGGTTTTATGTTCTTGCATTAGTTCCCTTAAGGTAATGGCTTGCAGCTCCATCCATGTTACATCTTACAGGTGATTCAGGAAAAATTAGGGATAGGGTTTCTGATAACTTTTTCTTTCAAATTTTTTTTTCAAATGTTCTAAGTCCTTGACATTGTCTATATAAGAATCAGAAAAGACATGGAAAGTGAAAATATAATATGGGAATGGATTTTCTTTAAAAGCAATTGTTGCTTAATCACTTTAAATGTTTGACATTATTCCTAATGCAATTTGGACATTTTATCAATAATAGGTTTTTAATCATAGCAAACTATTTCTATCTGGCAACTGACAGTGAATACATTGCACAATTTAAATGCCTATGCACTGAATGCATCGAGAGCATGGTTGTTCGTAATGTGAAATGCAAATTAAAAGTACAAAAGGCACTAATCTTAACCCATCAGATTGCAAAGATCAAAAAGTTGCATAATATCATGTATTTGCAAAGGTTGGTGTGAGCCTAAACTTGCATGACATCTAAAGGAATGTGGTAACAGCTAACAAAATTCGAATTGCATCCCCTTTGACCCAGCAACACCATTTCCAGCAATTTATCCTACAGAAATACTCTCTTGTATGCAGAACAAAGCAGCTTCAATGTGCAGCACTGCTAGTTACTGTAAAAGCCTAAAAAGAGCCTACATTTTTATGAATTGAGTACTATTAAAATATTTTGGTACATTTATAAAATAGAATATTATATATAATTAATGTATACCATTTATTATAATACTGGTCTTCAAGATATGTTATAAAGCAAAAAAATCAAGTTTCAAAATATTTATATATTAAAAATGTATAATGAATCTACACTCAATAGGTGTAGATCATTTCTGGAAAAGAAATATCTAAGAACCTGACAGCAGCTGCCTCTAGGGAGTGTATCTGGTGACCAAGAGGGCCATAACATTTCCCACTGCCTGGCTAAACTTTTAGACAGGCTTCTCCCTAACATTAGATAACCGACCTCCGCATTTTCTTTTAAAATTTGATTTGGAAAACTTGTAATTGCAAATTCTTTCTCTGTTCTTTTAAAATATAAATCTTTTTGAAAGCTTGTTGCCAGTTTTACAACCCGGAACTGTCTTTCTCAATGACTTGAGAGCCATCCCTTTGAAATGTAGTCATCAGGGGAGATAGAGGCCCTATCAATCAGTCTCTGTGGGAAGGTAAGAGTCTATCTGCCATCAAGGTGACTAGCTCCAAATTGTAAAACTATCTCTTGTCATGAAGATAAGAGAAAGTTTACTTTTCCCTTAGGTTAGGCCAATTAGCCAACATAGGTGGCCTAAAATTCCCTTCTCCTAGTTCTTAAAAACCCTCCAGCCCCTTTTATTGGTGGGGTCGGGTGGGGTGGGGGGGTTGATTTGAGTTCTGGCCTCTTTCCATATTGCAATAAACTTCAATTATAGGTACTTTGGCATAATTTTTGCCTTGACACTGGTATACAAAAAACTCTGATCAAAATGGAGACTTAGTTTTCGCTCAATATTTTTTGTACATTTTGACATTTTCATAATGTTCTTGGATTATCTATTCAAAAGATAATCAATCTATTCAAAAAAAATCTAACAAAATTCTTATAGCAGTCTATGGTCTACAGAAATACAGGCTAAGTTGTCCTGAAGAGAGTCAAACAACCAGTTTCAGCTTTGAAATACTTGTTGAAAATATTTTAAAGGGAAACAAAAACTTCCAATTAAACAATGTGAACGTTATATAAACTGAGACCAAAATGGGAAAGTCATTAATTCCCTCAAATAGTGTTGTTAATACAAAGAAAGTGTTTTTGCTTAGTTGAATGAAAATTATAATGAAATCTTAAATGAGAGCTTACTATACTTTTCAGAGATGCTTGATGGATAATTATTCTGTATCTAGCCTATTTGGGTAACCCTAATATTATATAGGTTTGGGTCAACCTATATTTGACTGTTGAAACCTTCAAACCTCAAATCAGCATTCAGTTAAGCCAGTTGCTTTGTGATGACTTACAGTCAAAGCAAATAAGAAGGGTAAGCTCTCATAATTATAAAGTCAGAATAATTCATTTTCAATGACATATTCTTCTTTCCAAGGAAAGTTCTGAAGTCTGCAGCAAGAAAGTAGGCCATCAATTTTCACCTTCTAGTGAGTTAGTCATGATTTTTAAAATAAGTCCTTTCCTTATGAGGTAAACTTCAAATTCAGAGTATTTAATGACTTATTAAGTTATTAGTATTAAGGATGTTTGCCCATAAATTTGCAGAAAGAAGAAATTTAATTTTTTTTTTGCATAATAGCATCTTAACACTATTAACACAGCTGGATGACATTTTTTTCCTATATCTAGACTATCATCCTCTGTTTACTGTGAGACAACTTACTCCTGATTAGAGTTAACTAAAAAAAATGTTGGGGGAACAATGGAAAAAGACTTAAATATATAACTCAAGGAAAAAGACAAATATTCTTTGAATGTACCATGATTCTTAGTGTTCAGTGTGTACAGCTGAGAAACCCATCATCACAAGGAAAGACTTTTTTTTTTTTTTTTTTTTTTTTTTTTACTATTTAAAATTGACCAGATACTTCAAGAAAAAGAAAACTGTCTCCTGAAATCTGTACTACCTCTGGTAGTGCATCTTTTACTCCTTCCTCTGAATCCATGCCATAGAAGGCATGTTCCATGGATTAACAGCATTGCCATCATTTAGGAGCTTGTTAAGAATGAAGAATCTCAGTCCCTATCCTAAGCCTCTTAATCAAAATCTGCATTTTAACAAGATCCCCAGGTGATTTGTATTCAGACTAAAGAGTCTGAATGTCCTCTCTCCTCCTACTCCACAAACATTAGCTATGACAGAAGATTGAAGAGCTCTTAGAACAAAGAGGAAAACATTCCATGTAGTCCCCCAACCACACCCTCTCTTTTCCATTCTGTCTGGCATGCCATTACCAAAAATGGTCTCCCCAAAATATTGCTGTGTCATGCTCCTAACAAATATAATAACGTACTCACTTGAAGTATATTTTGAACAAAGTTCTTTCATGTAAATTGTCTGAGTTTATTCTCACATCAATATTGTAGATTACGTTGTATTGGTTCCAGATGTATTCTCAGAAAAGTCACATACATTCCTAAAGTCAGTCATGAAATAAGCAGTGGAACCAAGCCTCACTGCGTTAAATTGTATCATTAAATATTGCACTCCCTCCCCCATTTTATTCTGGCTCATTCCCTTGTCCTGTTTTGCAACAATTCTCCACTACAAATTTTTAAAACTCCGAAAACGTGACACAATCTGGCCCCACTGACCTCTCCTACCAGACCACACTCTATGTCAAAACCAATCCTGTGAGATGGCCCCACAGCCTAGCTGTATTCACCCAGACTTCTTTACTCACACGTCTCTTTCAGAGAAACCAACACCATTCCAGTTTTTTGAAATGCAGCTAAAGACCATCATTATATAAGAAGGAATATAGGCCAGGTGCAGTGGCTCAGGCCTATAATTCCAGCACTTTGGGAAGCTGAGGTGGGTGGATCACCTGAGCTCAGGAGTTCAAGACCAGCTTGGGCCACATGGCAAAATCCCAACTCTACTAAAAATACAAAAAAAAAAAAAAAAAAAAAAAAAAAAACAACTTAGCCGGGCGTTGTGGCGCGTGCCTGTTGCCCCCACTACTTGGGGCTGAGATGGGAGGATCGCTTGAACCTGGGAGGCGGAGGTTGCAATGAGCTGAGATCACACCACTGCACCCCAGCCTGGGTGACAGAGTAACACCCAATCTCAAAAAAAAAAAAAAAAAAAGAAAAAAAAAAAGAAAAAAAAAGAAAGAAAGAAAGAAGAAGAAGAAGGAATTTAAATCTTAGAGTGTCCTGAGTTTCTCAGCTCAATATAATGTTTTTTTCTTCCAAATTTTATTTGCGGTTCAGGGAGCACATGGGTGGGTTTGGGTAAATTGCATGTTGCAGGAGTTTGGTGTACAGATTATTTCACCACCCAGGTAATAAAGCATAGTACCCAACAGGTAGTCTTCTGATCCTCATTCTCTTCCCACCCTTCACAATAAAGTAGGCTCTGGTGTCTATTTTTCCCTTCTTTTTGTCCGTGTGTATTCAATGTTTAGGTCCTCTTATAAGTGAGAACCTGTGGTATTTGGTTTTCAGTTCCTGTGTAATTTGCTTAGGATAATGGCCTTAAGTTGTATGCATGTTGCTGCAAATAATATAATCTCATTCTTCTTTATGGCTACGTAGCATGTCATGGTGTATATGTACCACATTTTCTTTATCCAGTCTAACATTGATGGACATTTGGGTTGATTCCTTGTCATTGCTATTGTGAACACTGCTGCAATGAACCTAACACGTGCATGTGTCTTTATGGTAGAACAATTTATATCCCTTTGGGTATATACCCAGTAATGGGATTGCTAGATCGAATTGTAGTTCTGTCTTAAGATCTTTGACAAATCTCCAAACTGCTTTCCACAGTGGCTGAACTAGTTTACATTCTCATCAGCAGTGTACAAGCATTCCCTTTTCTTCACAACCTTGCCAGCATCTCTTATTTTTTCTTTTCAATAACAGCAATTCTGACTGGTGTGAGATGGTATGTCATTGTGGTTTTGATTTGTATTTCTTTAATGATTAGTTATGTTGAGCACATCTCCATATGCTTGTTGGCTGTGTATATATCTTCTTTTGAAAAGTGTTTGTTCACGTCCTTTGCCCATTTTTAATTGGGTTTTTTCACTTGTTGATTTAAATACCTTATAGATTCTTGATATTAGACCATTGTTGAATGCATAGTTGGCAAATATTTTCCCCCATTCTGCAGATTGTTGGTTTACTCTGTTGATAGTTTATTTTGCTCTGCAGAAGCTCTTTAGTTTAATTAGGTCCTATTTATTAATTTGTCTTTTTCTTACAATAGCTTTTGACATCTTTGCCATGAAATCTTTGCCAGGGCCTATGTCCAGAATCATATTTCTTAAGTTTTCTTCTAGGGTTTATTTCACAGTTTAAGTTTTACATTTAAGTATTTAATTCCTCTCGAGTTGATTTTTGTATATGTTAAAAGGAAAAGGTCTAGTTTCAATCTTCTGCATATGGCTAGCCAGGTATCTTAGTGTCATTCGTTCAATAAGGAGTCACTTTCCTCATTGTTTGGTTTTGCAGACTTTGTTGAAGATTAGATGGTTGTACATGTGCAGCTTTATTTATGGGTTCTCTAAACCGTTCCATTGGTCTGTGTGTCTGTTTTTGTGCTACTATAATGCTGTTTTAGTTACTGTTGCTTTATACTATAGTTTGAAGTCAGGTAGTGTGATGCTTCTGGCTTTGTTCTGTTTTTTAGAATTGCTTTGGCTACCTGGTCTCTTTTTTGGTTCTATATAAATTATAGAATAGGTTTTTCTAATTCTGTGAAAAATATTATTGTTGGTTTTATAGGAATAGCCTTGAATCTGTAAATTGCTTTGGGAAGTACGGCCATTTTAATGATATTGATTCTTCTTATCCATAAGCATGGAACGTCTTCCCATCTATTTGTATCATCTCTGACTTCTTTTAGAAGTGTTTCATAATTCTCATTGTAGAGACCTTTTACTTCACTGGTTAGCTGTATTTCTAGGTATTTTATTCTTCTTGTGGCTACTGTGAATAGAGTTGTGTTCTTGATTTTGTTCTCAGCTTAGAAGTTGTTGGTGTATAGGAATATCAATTATTTTTGTACTTTGATTTTGTATCTTAAAACACTGCTGAAGTTATCAGATCTAGGAGCTTTTGGGCAGAGACATGGGGTTTTCTTAGGTATAAAATTATATCATCTGTGAAGACAGATAGTTTGACTTCCTCTCTTCTTATTTGAAAGCCTTTTTTTTTACTTTCTTTTGCCTGATTGCTCTGGCTAGAACTTCTAGTACTATGTTGAGTAGGACTGTCAAGAGTGGGCATCCTTGTCTTATTTGAGTTCTCAAGGGGAA
This sequence comes from Homo sapiens, assembly GCF_000001405.40. Taxonomy (NCBI): domain Eukaryota; kingdom Metazoa; phylum Chordata; class Mammalia; order Primates; family Hominidae; genus Homo; species Homo sapiens. The sequence continues at coordinate 78,403,282 of NC_000006.12, forward strand.
TGTTTCCAGGTTTTGCCCATTAAGCATTATTTAGACTGCAGGTTTGTCATAGAAGGCTCTTACTATTTTGAGGTATGTTCCTTCAACATCTAGTTTGTTTAGGGTTTTTTAACATGAAAGGATGTTTGAATTTTATCACAAGATTTCTGTATCTGAGACACTCATGTGGTTTTAGTTTTTAGTTCTGTTTATGTGATGAAGTACATGCATTGATTTGCATATGTTGAGCCAATCTTGCACCCCAGGGATAAAGCTTATTTGATTGTGATGGAGGAGGTTTTTGAAGTGCTGCTGGATTTGGTTTGCTAGTATATGTTGAGGATGTTTGCATCTATGTTCATCAAAGATATTGGCCTGAAGTTTCCTTGTTTTGTTGTGTCTCCACCAGGTTCTGGTATCAAAATGATATTAGACTCATAGAGTAAGTTAGCAAAGTGTCCCTTCTCCTCAATTTTTTGGAATAGTTTCATTAGGATTGCTGCTAACTATTATTCATACCTGGAGTATAGTCTGGTAGAATTTGGCTGTGAATCCATCTGGTCCAGGGTTTTTTTCTGGTTGGTAGGCTTTTTATTACTGATTCAACTTTAGAACTCCTTGTTGGTCTGTTCAGACTGTCAATTTCTCCCTGCTTCAATCTTGGGAGGTGGTATGTATCCAGGAATTTATCAGATTGTGTGTGGGGGGGGTTGGGGGGGGGGGTTCTAGTTTCTGTGCATTAAAGGGTTGATAATAGTCTCAGGTGGGCTTTTTTGTATTTCTTTGATGTCGGTGGTAATGTCCCCTTAGTCATTTCCGATTATGCTTATTTGAGTAGTTTCTCTTTTTCTTTATTATTCTAGCTAGTGATCTATCAATTTTATTTATTCTTTCATAGAACCAACCTTTGGGGTTTTTTTAATCTTTTTATCTTTTTTATCTCAATTTCATTCTGTTTGGCTTTGATTTTGGTTACTTCTTGTCTTCTGCTATCTTTGAGGTTGGTTTGCTCTTGTTTTTCTAGTTCCTCTAGATGTGATGTGAGGTTGTTAATGTGAAATCTTTTTAACTTTTTGATGTGAGCATTTAGCACTATAAACTTTCTTCTTAACACGGTTTTATCTGTGTCTCAAAGATTCTGGTATGTTGTATATTTTCTTAATTAGTTTCAAATAATTTCTTGACTTCTGTCTTAATTTCATTATTTACCCAAAATTCATTCAGGAGAAGGTTATTTAATTTATATGTAATTGTATTGTTTTGAGACATCTTAGTATTAATTTTCATTTTTATTGCATTGTGGTCTGAGAGTGTGATTGGTTTGATTTCAGTTTTTTTAATTTGTTGAGAATTGTTTTATAGTCATTCATGTGGTTTGATTTAGAGTATGTTCCATATGCAGATGAGAAGTATATATATTCTGTTGTTGAGTGGAGTGTTGTGTACATGTTTGTTAGGTCCTTTTGGTCAAATGTTATTAAGTCCCGAATAGCTTTGTTAGTTTTCTGTCTTGATGATCTGTCTAATACTGTCAGTGGGATGTTGAAGTCTCCCACTATTATTGTGTGCTTATCTAAGTCTCATTGTAGGTTTCTAATAACTTGTTTTATGAATTTGTTACTCCTTGGTTGGATGCATATATATTTAGAATAATTAAGTCTTCTTGTTGAATTGAATATTTTATCATTATGTAATGCTCTTGTCTTTTTTGATAATTGTTGGTTTAAAGCCTATTTTGTCTGGAATTAGAATAGCAACTCCTGCCTTTTTTGTTTTCCATTTGCTTGGTAGATTTTTCTTCATGTCTTTACTTTGAGCCTTCGGGTGTCATTGCATGTGAGATGAGTTTCTTAAAGATGGCATAAAGTTGGGTCTTCTTTATGAAACTTGCCACCCTATGCCTTTTAAGTAAGGCATTTAGACTGCTTACATTTAAGGTTAATATTGATATGTGAGGATTTGGTCCTGTCATCATGATATCGGCTATTTATTATGCAGACTTAATTGTGTAGTTGCTTTATAGTGTCAATGATCTATGTACTTAAGTGTGTTATTGTGGTAGCTGGTAATGGTCTTTCATTTCCATGTTTAGCACTCCCTTAAAGACCTCTTATAAGGCTGGTCTGATGGTATCAAATTCCTTTAGCATTTGTTGGTCTGAAAAGGATCTTATATGTCCTTCACTTAGGAAGCTTAGTTTGGCTGAATATAAAATAATTGGTTGGCATTTGTTTTCTTCAAGAATGCTGAATATAGGCCCACATTCCCTTCTGGCTCATACGGTTTCTGCTGAAATATCCACTGTTAGCCTGATAGGTTGCCCTTTGTAGAAGACCTGCCCTTGTCTCTAGCTGCCTTTAATATTTTTATTTTCATGTTGACATTGGAGGATCTGATGACTATGTGTTTGGCAATGGTCTTCTTCTATAGTATCTCAGAGGTGTTCTCTGCATTTCCAGATTTTGAATGTTGGCCTTTGTAGCGAGGTTGGAGAAATTTTCATGGACAATATCCTCAAATGTTTTCCAAGTTGCCTGCTCTTTCTCCTTCTCTTTCAAGGATACCAATAATTCATAGGTTTGGTTTCTACATAATCCATATTTCTCAGAGGATTTGTTCATTCTTTTTTATTTTTATTTTTTTTTGTCTTATTGAGTTGATTCAAAGAACTGGTCTTCAATCTCTGGGATTCTTTTCTCAGCTTTGTCTATTCTGCTGTTAATACTTTCAATTTTGTTATAAAATTCATATACTAAGTTTTTCAGCTCTATCATTTTCATTTGTTTTTTATGACTATTTCATTTTTCAGCTCTTCATTTTATTTCATTCTTAGATTCCTTGAATTGGGTATTGACTTTATGCTGAATGAATCTGAAGTTTAACTTTTCCTCCACATACCCTTGAGTGTAGGTTGTACTTAGCAGCTTGCCTCCAAAGAGTAGAGTACGACAATGAGCGAAAAATACAACTTTATAGCAATGAAACCTGGTAAACACTAAATTAGACATGCTTTCAAAGTTAAAATAATCAGTGATTATTCAAGTTGATATTATATACCCTTGATATGAAGAAAGGGGAATGGTACCTCAACTTTGTGGTCTTTCTTCTCAAATCCCATAACCCTAGCCTAATCATTAAACATCAGGCAAACCCCAAATCAAGAGAGACTACAAAAATACCTGATTAGTACTCCTCAAACTGTCAAGATTCATGACTATTAAAAACAAGAAAATTTAGAGAAATTATTATTGACCAAAGGAGGATATCATGACTAAATATAATGCAGAATGACTAAATGTAATGAAGGAATTATCAAACAGAAAAATGGAATTAAAAACTAGTGAAATCTTTTCAGAAGTGTACAGTTTAGTTAATAGATAAGCTTCATCTTTGTTTTTTAGTTGTGACAAATGTACCATAGTGATTAAGATGTTAACAATAGGGGAAACCGAATGAGAGATATATAGGAATTCTCTGTATTATCTTTGCAACATTTTTGTGAATCAAAAACTACTCTAAAAGATTTATTTAAATTTGTTTAAGATAGAAAACTAAATACTTTCTTAAACAAAAGCTCAAAGATTTTTAACCAATAGACCAGTACTATAAAAATGTTAGTTGAATTACTTCAGGCAAAATGAAAATAATAACAGATATAAACTCAAAAGTATGTAAAGAAATGAAGAGGATTAGAAGTGGTAAATGTGTGTTGCAAATAAAAAGAGATTGTTTTCATCATTTTTTAAACAGGATAATTGATTGTATAACAATGTATTTTGGATTTTAACATACATAGAAGCAAAATATGTGACAATAATTGTAATGTTACGTGAAAGGGCTATATAAGCAAAGTGACCTTCAAATGTTAAAGGAGCTGAGAAACCAAAGTAGGAGGCAGAAAAATACATTTTTTCGTATTGGTGAATGAATTGAGGGAACTTACCAATAGAAGCATGGTCTTGGGTGACCACAAGACGACTAGATATCCACACTTTTACTCTTCAGACCCAGCACTTATAGGGAAAGCATATACCTGCTCTAGCAAGACAATTAAAGGCAACCCTCCAGAAGAGGCAAGAATGCTATGTGCACCACAGCCTATAATTTATGTAATAACATCAAGGTTGACATGTTCTTAAATATCTACAATAAATAAAGCGGAAATCAGGAAGCACTCACAGAAATGGGGCTAATCAAAAGTCAACAAGACAGATTAGTATCCCAGATAAAGTCACTTTTGTGTCCACAAGAACAAAGGACAGGTCAGAGAAAATGTCGGTATACTCATACTATATGTGAGGATATATAGTATCACTTGAAAAGTTATAGGTAATAAGCCAACAAATACAATAAAATAGAATAAAAACACTCAATCCAAAAGAAGGAAAATTGAACAAATAAAAGATTACAATAATGTAAAGATGGAACTTTTAAATTATTGGGCAACCACTAAAAAAATAAAATAGAACACTAGTGGATCTCAAATGGAACACAAAAAATATTAATCTGAAAAGGCAGAAAAAATATGTAAAACAGAACAAAAGAAAATAGATGTTAAAATAAAACAAATAGCAAGATGGTAGATTTATATCCAACCATATCAATAGTTTTATTAAATGCAAATGATCTATTCAATGGATACAAAAATGAGACATAATTCTATATCAGAGTCTATAAGGGATACTTTTTAAAGGTAGAGGTTGGTTAAAAATAAGAGAATGAAAAATGCAAGCGAGGGAAGAGACAAATTTCCCTTGTAGAAGATTTCAAAAGAATATATGTAAACATGCTACCTTCAATGGGAGGGACCATAAATCCCTACTCCTCAAGTGTGAGTGGGGTATAGTATGTTTCTTTCAAAGACCTCAGTGTAGAAAGAAGAAAAAAGTGTAAACAGACAAGTAAATGTAAAAGGAAGACATATATATTACATTTACATAAGTATATATATATATTTATATTGACATAAGTATATATTATATAAGTATACAATACAAATATATATTTACATAAGTATATACTTATATAAATATATAAGTATATACATATATACTTATATAAATATATAAGTATATACGTATATACTTATATAATATATACTTATAAGCATATACATAAGTAAAAAAGGAAGAGATTATAATATATATTTACATAAATATATATATTTGTATGTCTAATCTGTCATGTTGACTTTTGATTAGCCCCATTCCTGTGAGTGCCTCCTGATTTTCACTTTATTTATTGTAGCTAGTGTAAGAACATGTCAACCTTGATGTTATTATTTATGTAAATATATATATCATATATATATATTTGTTACCCCCCAAGCCAATTTCATATGTTAACCCCAATCCCTAGTATCTCAGAATGTGACTGCATTTGGAGATAGAGCTTTTAAATAGGTAATTAAGTCAAAATGAGGCTGTTAGTGTAGGGCCTAATTCAATCTGACTGGTGTCCTTATAAGAAGAGATTAGAACATGCAGAGAGACCCTAAGGGTACATGTATACAGAGTGAGAACCATATGAGGAGACAGCAAGCAGGTGGCCACCTGCAAGACAAGGAGAGAGTCCTCAAGAGAAATCAACACTACTAGCAACTTCACCTTGAATTTTTAGCCTTCAGAGTTGTGAGACAATAAATTTGTTGTTAAAACCAACAAACCAATTTGTTGTTCAATACCAGTCTGTGGTATTTTGTTATGATAGCCCAAGCGAACAAATACAGTTAGTAACAGACAAGGCAGATTTTAGAGCAAACAATATTACCAAAGACAAAGAGAGGCATTTCATAGTAATTAAGGGGTTGATTTATCAAGAGGACATAAGAACCTTTACTACCTATGCACCCAATAAGATAACTTTATAAGGTATAAAACAAAAACCGACATAAGTAAAATAAGTTGACAAATCCACAATTATAATTCAAATGTCAACAATATTCTCATAATTGATGTAACAAGGAAACAAAATAGAAAACTTCAAAAACACTATCAACAACAAGATCTAGTTAACACTTATAGAACACTTCACCCAACAAAAGGAGAATGTATATATTTTAAAGTATACATAATACATTCACCAGAAACGACTATATTCTGTGCCACATAACAAGTTTCAAAATGTATGAGAATTCAAATCAACAGCAGTACTTTTTCTGACCGTAACAAATAAATTCAAAATTGGTACCAAAGAAATATCTAGAATATTCCCTAATATTTGGGAATTAACACTTTTCTAAAGAAACTATGGGTCAAAAAATCATGAGAGATTAGAAAACATATTGAACTTAATAAGCACTAAAACATGACATATAAAATTTTTTGATGCATCTAGAACAGTGTTTACAGGGAAACTTACAAATGTAAATATTACAGAAAAAGAGAAAACAAACGATAAAAGAAAAGGAAAAATGTTGTGATAAAGTTTTTACAAATAGGACACAGATGGTACAAACCATCACATAAATGACAAATTAGGTTTCATAAAAAATTTAAAATTCTGCTAACCAAAAGACATTTAGAAAATAAAAAAATGCATTTCATCCTGATTTAATCTGGGAGAGTTGTATATTTGCAAGAATGTATCCATCTCCTCTAGATTTTTCTAATGGTCTATCAGTTGTATTTTTCCAAGATCCAGTTTTTGTTTCACTTGTCTTTTGTATTGTTTTGTTTGTTTTTTGGTTTCAATTTCATTTAGTTCTGCTCTGATCTCAGGAAGAAATAGAAACTCTGGAGAGACCAATAACAAACAGCAAGATTTAATCAATAATAAAAATGTCAACAAATTCTGGTACAGATGGGCTCACATCTGAATTCTATCAGACATTCAAAGAAGAATTGGTACCAATCCTACTGAAACTATTCCAAAAGATAAAGAGGGAATCCTCCTGAAATCATTCTATGAAGCCAATATCACCCTATTACCAAAACCAGGAAGGGCAATAACAAAAAAAGAAAACTACAGACCAATATCCCTGATGAAAATAGATGCAAAAATCCTCAACAAAATGCTAGCTAACAGAATCCAGCAGAATATCAAAAAGGTAATACATCATGATCAAGTGGGTTTCATACCAGAAATGCAGGGATGGTTTAATATACACAAGTCAATAAATGTGATACATCAGATAAACAGCATTAAAATCAAAAATCATATGATCATCTCAATAGACACAGAAAAAGCATTTGACAAAATCCAGCATTCCTTTATGAGGAAAACCTTCAACAAAATTGGCATACAAGGGGCATACCTCAAAGTAATAAGAATAATGTATGACAAATCCACAGCAAACATCATACTAATGAGGAAAAGTTAAAAGCTCTACCCCTGAAAACTTGAACAAGACAAAGATGCCCACTTTCACCACTTCTATTCAACATAGGGCTGAAAGTCCTATCCAGAGCAATCAGACAAGAGAAGGAAATAAAGGACATCTAAACTGGAAGAGGAAGTCAAACTGTCATAATTTGCTGATAATATGATTATATATTTAGAAAACCCTAAAGATTCATCCAAAAAGTTCCTATATCTGATTAGTGAATTAAGTAATTATTTGGAAGTCTCAGGATACAAAATCAATGTACACAAATCAGTAGCACTGCTAGACACCAACAACAACCAAGCTAAGATTTAAATCAAGAACTTAATCCCTTTTACAACAGCTGCAAAAAATAAATAAAATACTTAGGAATGCACTTAACCAAGTTAAGGCATAGAGTTTTTATTAGATTTCTTTTTGCTTGTTCGTTTGTTTGTGCAAACTGTTAAGTTGTTATCAGGTTAAACTAAGGGTGTTATAAAATAGTATTTGCAAGCCACATAGTAACCTCAAACCAAAAAACACACAACAGATTCATAAAGATAAAAAGCAAGAAACTAAACCATATTACCAACTAAACTCTCCCATCAAAAGATACAGACTGGCTGAATGGATGAAAAAACAAGACCCATTAATCTCTTTGCCTTTAAGAAACACACATCATATATGAAGGTGCATATAGACTGAAAAAAAGAGATGAACAAAAATATTCCATGCCAATGGAAACCAAAAAAGAGCAGGAGTAGCTATACATATATCAGACAAAATAGATTTTCAGACAAAAACTCTAAGAAGAGACAAGATCACCATAAAATACAAAGGGGTTAATTCAGCAATAGGATATAACATTTTAAATATGCATGCATTCAACACCGGAGCACCCAGATATATAAAGGAAATATTATTAGAGATAAAAAGAGAGATCCCAATGCAATAATTGCTGGAGACTTCAAAATCCCACTTTCAACATTGTAATGGTCTTCCAGACAGAAAACCATAAAGAAATATCAGACTTAATCTGCACTTTAGGCCAAATGGATCCAACAGAAACTTACAAAACATTTCATCCAATGGCTGAAAAATGCACATTCTACTAATCACATGGATTATTCTCAATGACAGATTATACGTTAGGTCACAAAACAAGTCTTAAAATATCCAGAACAGTGAGATAATATCAAGTATCTTCTCTGACCACAATGGAACAAAACTAGAGAGTAATAACGAGGAATTTCAGGAACTATACAAACACATGGAAAGTAAACAACATACTGAATAAAGAAATTATGAAGGAAACTGAAAAATGTTTTAAACAAATGATAATGAAAACAAAACATACCAAAATTTATGGGATACAGCAAAAGCAGTACTTAAAGGGAATTTTATAGCTATAAGTGCCTACATCAAAAGAGAAAACTTGAAGCAAACAACCTAATGACGCACCTTAAAGAAATAGAAAAGCAATAGCAAACCAAACTGAAAATTAATAGAAGAAAAGAAATTATAAAAATTGGAGCAGAAAAAATGAATTTGAAATGAAAAAAGAAACCATAAAATATCAATGCAACAAAAAGTCGTTTTCTTAAAAGTTAAAAAAATGACAAACCATTAGCCAGACTAAGGAAAGAGAAAGAAGATCAAATAAATAACATCAGAAATGAAAAAGGACACATTGCATCCAATATCACAGAAATTCAAAGGATCATTAGTGGCTACTATGAGCAGCTATATACCAAGAAATCTGGAAATCTAGAAAAAGTGAACAATTTCCTAGACAGAAACCTACCAAGATTAAACCAGAAAGAAATTCAAAACCTGAACAGAACAATAACAAGTAATGGGATCAAAGTTGTAATAAAAAGTCTCTCAGTAAAGAAAAGCACGGGACTTGATGGCATTATTTCTTAACTCTACAAAACACTTAAAGAACTGATACCAATCCTCCTCAAACTATTCCAAAAAATAGAGAAGCAGGGAATATTACCAAAGACATTCTACAGTGTTTTTGGGTATTCCCCGATACCCAAAAACAAAGACACATTTTTTAAAAACCTACAGACCAGTATCTCTGATTAATATTGATGCAAAAATCCTCAACAAAATACTGGCAAACCTAATTCAACAAGACATTGGAAATACCATTTAGTATGACCAAGTGAGATTTTTCCTTGGGGTGCAAGAATGGTTCAACATAAGCAAATCAATAAATTTGATATATCATATCAACAAAATCAAAGATAAAAACCACCTGATCATTTCAATTGATGCTAAAAAAGCATTTGATAAAATTCAACATCCCTTTCTGATTTAAAAATAAAAATAAAAAAGCAGTGACTGAAAGAAACACACCTGAACAGAGTAAAAGCCGTATATGACAGACCCACAGCTAGTATCATACAGACCCATGGCTAGTATCATACTGATCTAGTTGCTAAGATCTGAAACACAACAAGGATGCCTATTTTCACCACTGTTATTCAACATAATACTGGAAGTTCTAGCTAGAGCATTCAGACAAGAAAAAAAAAGGGCAACTGGCCAGGCCTGGTGGCTCACACCTATAATCCCAGCACTTTGGGAGGCCAAGGCGGGCAGATCACCTGAGGTCAGGAGTTGGAGACCAGCCTGACCAACATGGAGAAATCCCGCCTCTACTTAAAAAAAAAAAGACAGAATTAGTATGGCGTGGTGGCTCATGCCTGTAATTCCAGATACTCGGGAGTCTGAGGCAGAAGAATTGCCTGAACCTGGGAGGTGGAGGTTGCAGTGAGCTGAGATCGCACCATTGCACTCCAGCCTGGGCAGCAAGAGCGAAACTCCATCTCAAAAAAAAAAAAAAAAAAAAAAAAATGCATCTAAATGGGAAAGGCAGAAGTCAAATTATACTTGTTTGCAGATGATATGACCTTATATTTGGGAAAAACTAAAGACTTCACCAAAAAAACATGAGAAATGATAAACAAATTTAGTAAAGTTGCAGAATACAATATAGACATACAAAAATCAGTAGCATTGCTATATGCTAACAATGAACCAACGGAAAAAGAAATAAAAAGTAATCTTATTTATAATAGCCACATATAAAATGAAATTCTAGGAATTAACTTATTAAAAGAAATACAAGATCTCTATAATGAAAACTGCAAAACACTGATGAAAGAAATTGAGGAGGACACCACAGATAGAAAAATATTCAATGTTCACAGATTGGAAGAATATTGTTAAAATATCCATACTACCCAAAGCAATCTACAGATTCAATGCAATCTCTATCAAAATACCAATGACATTCTTCAAAGAAGTAGAAAAAATAACCTTAAAGTTTATATGGAACCACAAAAGACCCAGAATAGGCAAAGCTATTCTAAGAAAAGAAAAGAAAAAGAAAAAACTGGAGGAATCACATACTTGACTTCAGATTATTCTACAGAGCTATACCAGCCAAAACCACACGGTAGTCCCATAAACATATACACATTCACCAATGGAAAAGGATAGAGAACTCAGAAACAAATTAACATACCTACAGTGAACTCATTTTTGACATGGGTGCCAAGAACATACACTTGGGAAAAGACATTCTCTTCAATAAATGGTGCTGGGAAAACTGGATATCCATATGCAGAAGAATGAAACTAGACCCCTATCCTTTGCCATATACAAAAATCAAATTGAAATGAATTAAAGACTTAAACCTAAAGATCTCAAACCATAAAACTACTATAAGGAAACATTGGGGAAACTTTCCAGGACATTGTTCAGGACAAAAATTTATTGAATAACACCTCAGAAGCACAGTCAACCAAAGAAAAAAAAGGACAAATGTGATCACATCAAATTAAAAAGCTACTGTACAGCAAAGGTAACAATCAACAAAGTAAAGAGACAGCCCACAGGATGTGAGAAAATATTTGCAAACTACCAACTAACAAGAAATTAATAACCAGAATATATAAGGAGCTCAAACAACTCAATAGGAAAAAGTCTAATAATCCAATCAAAAAAATGAGCAAAAGATTTGAATAGACATTTCTCAAAAGAAGATGTACAAATGGCAAACAGGCATATCAAAAGGTGCTCAACATTATTGATCATCAAATAAATGCAAATCAAAACTACAATGATGTATCATCTCCCCCCAGTTAAAATGGCTTATATCCAAAGACAGGCAATAGCAAATGCTGCTGAAGATGTGGAGAAAAGGGAACCCTCATACACTGTTGGTAGGAATGTAAATAAATACAACCACGATGGAGAACAGTTTGAAGGTTCCTCAAAAAACTAAAAATTCAGCTACCATGTGACCCAGCAATATCATTGCTGGGTATATACCCAAAAGAAAGGAAATCACTATATTGAAGACATATCTGCAGTTCCATGTTTGTTGCATCACTGTTCACAATAGCTAATATTTGAAAGCAACCTAAGTGTCTGTCCATCACCAGATAAATGGATAAAGAAAATGCGGCACATATACACAATGGAGTACTATTCAGCCACAAAAAAGAATGAGATCCAGTCATTTGCAACAACATGGATGAAACTAGAGGTCATTATATTAAGTAATATAAGCCAGGCACAAAAAGACAAACATCGCATGTTCTCACTTATTTGTGGGATCTAAAAATCAAAACAATTGAACTCATGGATAGAGAGAGTAGAAGGATGATTACCAGAGGCTTGCAATGGCAGTGGGGGGCTGAGGAGGAGGCTGGGATGATTAATGGGTACAACATATAGAAGAATGAATAAGATATACTATTTGATATAACAACAGGGTGACTCTAGTAAACTGTAATTCAATTGTACATTTTAAAATAAAAATGAAAAAAATAATTTGCATTTTTTCTAAATTTTTCCTCTGTCTATAAATATTCAAATGCCCTCCCTTTAAATTCAGATTTTTTTATGCTGCTTGATTAAATCTGATGTTGATGCTCTCTATTCCATGGTTTTAAATTTTATTCATTGAATTCTTTAACTCCAGAAATTCTGTTTGCATCTTTTTATAATTTCTATCTTTTTCTTGAACTCCTCATTTTGATCAGGTAGAATTTTTCTGATATCATTATCTGTCTGTGTTCTATTGTGGCTCACTGAACTTCTTTAAAACAATTATTTTGAACTATTTGTCACACAAATTGTAGATCTCCATTTCTGTCCAATGTCGGAACATTTCTAACATATATATGTTTAAAATTAATTAAAAATTAATAAAATTTAACTATCTTTTATAATTTTTATTCGTGGATTCAAATGTTTTTCGTATCATAAATAAAAATGCATTAAAAAATGAGATACTTGTCTAAAGGCAAAAATTCCCACGTTTATGCAAGATATTTCTCAAATTTCTTTAGCATTTTGAGTGGAATACAAGAGTGGAAAATATTTCTTATAAAGTAAAAATATCAATGTCTGATAATAATTAAGAATGTACTTACTCATTAACTTCTACCACCTAATCAATTTTACATATTTCATTGCTGTTGCATACATTTCAGATTATGTAGGACCTTCAAGTAAAATCTTTATATTTTAACCAAGTAAATAAGAAGCACATGGAAAATTATCTGTCTTAAATTTTGGAAAATTATTTCCTTATGCAAAAACAATCACAAGACTAGTTGGTAGCTATTGCAATAATCCAGGCAAGCGGTAATGGTAACATATACCACAATAGATTTCAGATATATTTAACAGGTAGAGAAGAAAGTGTGTTTTAGGGTACCAGAAAAAGAAAAAAAGACAAATATAACACTAAGATTTCTGGCAAAAGCAACTGCTAGATATAAGTTGTGTATAGTGGTGTAATCAGCACATAGCAGTTTTTGAAGCACTATAAAAATAATAGGTCAGGAAGATGAAAGAACAATAGAGAATGGAAAAAAAAGTAGCCAGAGAGATAAGAAATAAACAAAGAGAGTGTATCCTGGAACCCAAGTAAAGAAAGATGTGATCAACTGAGTCAAATGGTGCTGATAAGTAATCTAAGTACTGATAAATGATTACTAGATTTGGTAACATGGAGGAAATTGATAAACTTGACATGAGCAGTTTTAGTGGAATGGTTGAGATGAAATCCTAAGAGAAGTTGGTTCAAAAGAGAATAAGAGGAGAGTAAGTGGAGACAACAAGTACAGGCAACTCTTCAGAGTGGTTTTAATTTAAACTGGACCTAAGAAGGGAGACAAGTACACGGAGTGAAACATGAAATCAAAGAAGACATGTGGTTTGTTTAGGTTGTTGTTACTATGACTTGTAAATATGTCACTGGAAATAATCCAGCAGAGTAGGAAAAATTAAAGATGAGAGGAGAGAAGGGAGAGCTGTAGGAGCTGTATAGGCAAGAGCAGACTGGCACCAGTGCACAGAAAAGGGGTGAGCCATAGATGAGAACCTAGCTCATTCATAGTGAAAAGACTCAAGGCAGAATTTGGGAATACATATGTATGTAAATGCATGTAGTTTTAGAGATAGAAGATGGAAATTCTTTTCTTTCTTTTGTTTTTTCCGTAAAATAATAAGCTATTAACTGAGAGTAAATAGGGAGAAGCAGAGTTGGAGATTTGAGGAGAAAGAGAAAGGGATGAACAAATTCTCTAGAATAGTAGTAAGAGGATTGATTAGCAAAAAGGATATGTGGGCAGCATTAAGGATGTTTTCATATTTAGTCATGAATTCAGGGGAGTCCAGCTGCATGAAATAGGTGTATTTCCCAGTCTTGTTCAGCTGTTTGTGTGACGGCACAGAGAATGCGATGTGGAGATACAGACAGAGACTGTAATGTTGCATCTATGAACAATGGAACATCAAAAATTGCCAGGCATCACCAGAAGCTAGAAGAAAGGCATAAAACATGTTCTCATTTAGAGTCCTCAGAAGGAATCAATACAATTTACCTCTTGATATTGAACTTCTAGTTTCTAGAACAGAATTGTGAGAAAATAAGTTTCTGTTGTTTTAAACCACTCTGCTTGTAATACTTTGTTAAGACAGATCTAAGAAATTAATTAGGTGGTAAATGCTGAAGTCAGTGAATTCATCATTAATTTAGAATTTGATTGTTCTCTCAACATATAAATTCTCACTTTCCCAAATCAACATTTTTTTATTAGATACTTACCCTACATGCAGCCTGAAGTGTGTCTTAATTATCTTAATGGAACAGTTTTTGCAAATTCAATTTTTTCTCTTTAGATCTTTTTATATCAATGTACTATATAGCATTACTATCATTCCTAAAGGATGTCGCTGCAGTTGCGATTTTTTTTATTACCCCAATTGTTTGCTTCGTATCTTTTGTTTTGTTTTAGTTTATTTTTTTTTTGTTGTTGTTTTGTTTTTTTTGAGACGGAGTCTCACTCTGTCGCCCAGGCTGCAGTGCAGTGGCGCGATCTCGGCTCACTGCAAGCTCAGCCTCCCGGGTTCACACCATTCTCCTGCCTCAGCCTCCCAAGTAGCTGGGACCACAGGCACCTACCACCACGCCCAGCTAATTTTTTTGTATTTTTAGTAGAGACGGGGTTTCACCGTGTTAGCCAGGATGGTCTCCATCTTCTGACCTCATGATCCGTCCGCCGTGGCCTCCCAAAGTGCTAGGATTACAGTCTTGAGCCACCACGCCCGGCCTGCTTTGTATCTTTAAATATGTTCTCTATAATAGGCCAAGCATTTCCTTTCATGACTTTTGAAAATCCAAATAATTCAATTAATAAAAATTATGAACATGCCTTTACACAAGAGCATTAAACATATGTATGACATTACCAATGCAATTTGTTATTGAAATAAAGTTACTGAAGCTAATAATCTAACAGAGATGAAAAATTTGTATTAACACCACATAATTCTAAATGTTACTCTAGCATTCAGAGTGCAAATTCTAATTAACATCCTGAGTCTGCTACAAAACCATTGGCTCATAAAATTCAGATATAAACTTCATCTTGCTAATAATTAATGCAATAAATTCTCAGTAGCAGGATGTGTAAATTTAGGCTGCTTCATACCCCATTTTTCTACAAATATATTAACACAAAGTCAACATATGTGAAAGCCTCACTTAGCTGATAATTTTTATGTTACAAATACTCATTTAAAAGTTATAAATATGGTCCTTTTATCTAAAACTTGACTTTGATGATCCAGTTCCATATTTAATAATCATAAAATTAAAATGAAGGCAAATTATTGTTTATACAATGAAAAGAACCTATCTTCTTACATGTTCTAATGGCTATCTTTCAGTAAGTACTACTTTCAGTTTATAAATTTTAATATTTTTTTTTCTACAGGGCTTGACACCTAATTATCTTTTTAAGAGTCTGACACTATATTTTTTTTAAAAAAAATTAGTCAGTGAACTTTAATTTCATCATCTGGTTTTACCAAAAGATGACAAAAGTATCTTTGACTTCAATTATAACAAAGTATACAATAATAGTAACAAAATCTTTATGTGAAGTGTATATTTGATAACTTAATATAGTAATATTCAAAACAAGACATTTCTATCCAACTTCTATTAAAAGGAATTTTATGAGCATTGAGGGGAAAAATATTAATTTTGAAGATTATTAAAATGAAGAGCAGCCCCTGAGCACTCCAAACTAATGACCAGTTGAAATTACTCCCCTAGCTGAACTCAGTAAATGAGTGTAACTGCAAACTAAATTTGCTACTTCCTTTGATCAAGTTCTTACTGAATAATTTGCCTTGAACAATTTCTCTGTATATAATCAACACAAGAAACACTGTTCTGAAAATTCATCTACATCCTCTATATTATAATCCTGTAAAAGATATAGCAAGGGGTTAGACAAACACTTTGCATTAATACATAAGTTATCAGGAGAGAGCAAACCTCGTCCTCAGGAAACAAAAGAGAGTTCATATTCTTTGGCTTAAATGGAGAGCGAAAGTTTAAAGGATTTTAGATGACTTGTGAAGATTCTTTTCAACTCGATAATAATCTCCCAATAGTTATTCTTTTTTGTTTTTTTTTTGAGGCGGAGTTTCTCTCTTTTTGCCCAGGCTGGAGTGTAATGGCGTGATCTCAGCTCACTGCAACCTCCACCTCTTGGGTTCAAGCGATTCTCCTGCCTCAGCCTCCCAAGTCACTGGGATTACAGGCACCTGCCACCATGCCCAGCTAATTTTTATTTTTAGTAGAGACGGGGTTTCGCCATGTTCACCAGGCTGGTCTCAAACTCCTGACCTCAGGTGATCCACCCGCCTCGGCCTCCCGAAGTTCTGGGGTTACAGGAGTGAGTCACGGCACCTGGCCCCAATAATTACTACGTACAATCTCAAATAAAAGAGAGAATGCTATATTATTTAATGACTCATTGAAACTAAAATTTGAGCACTTAAGCTTACATATGTAGGAAGTATGCCAAGCTTCAAAAAACAATGTAATTAAATACCTGTTTATGCAAATAACCCTTTCTCTCTTGGAGAGACCACTTTATTCAACCAGGGCTTCAATCAGAATTTCTCCTCTTATCAAGACAACCAAACTGGCATTTGCCAAAATGCTACAGAGTCAGTAAATACAAACTTAATTTTTTCCTTATTTGTTACCTTATCTCATTTCTGTACTGTACTAACTAGCAAATATGCAGTATTAGAAAATAGAAAGATTGAGTTATTTCTTTAATAAATTGTAAAATAAGATCTTTGTCTCCAGGACAGAAATACATCACTTCCATGACACAAGCCTAGTACAATTTGAAGCTATCAAACCATCAAACCCAGTTTTGAGAATCTGCTATGTTCTACTCTGTTTTTGGCCCCAAATGATTTAAAAGCAAAATGACTTGGCCCCCAAATGATTTAAAAGCATATGTGCAAATTACCAAAGATATTCCATGACTTTCCGTGGCAATTTAATCAAACTTCAATTGACAAGGATATTTACTATTCCAAATTTAGATTTTCTTGTATTTATTTCCTGAACTGAGAAATTTTATTTGTATATTCAATTAATCCTTGTACAAACTATGTTGAAAGTTTAGTATAGAAATGACATATGGAAATAGTAGAAATTTTAAATTCCATAAAGTTTACTTGTAACACATCTTGGAAACCATTTACTGAGCTCACCATGCTCTACTGAACCATATCATCATTGAAATTTGGTAGAATTAAGGTTTAGAATTTGAATTAGAAAGTTGATATTTTAAGCCAATAAAACATAGCTATAGAAAGTTAAACTAAAAAAAATTCAAATGACCTATTGTACGACATAGTGAATGTAGCTAATAACAATATATCATATGCTTGAAAGCTGCTGAGAGATTTTAAGCACTCACCACACACAAAAAAATGATGTCTGAGGTAATGTATATGTTAATTAGCTTGATTTAGCCACTCCACAATGTATACATATTTCAAAACATCTAATAAGTATGCAAAATTTAATCAACCTACAATTGACAAGGATATTAACTATTCTACATTTATATTTTCTTGTATTTTTCTCCCTTAACTGAGAGATTTTATTTGTATATTTAATGAATCCATGTACAAACAAATGATACTGGGGCAAAGTCATTTTACTTTTAAATCATCTGGGGCCAAAGAAGGTAGAAAACATCATATTCTCATGTACATGTTAAGTACATACAATTTAAAACTTTTATTTACTATTAAAATTAACTTTTAGGCTGAGCACGGTGGCTCATACCTGTAATCCCATCACTGTGGGAGGCAGAGGTGGGTGGATCACCTGAGGTCAGGAGTTTGAGACCAGGCTGCCCAACATGGCGAAACCCTGTGTCTACTAAAAATAAAAAAATAAAAAATAAAAAATAAAAAAAATTAGCTTGTCTTGGTGGCAGGCACCTGTAATCCCACCTACTTGGGAGGCTGAGGCAGTAGAATTGCTTGAACCTGGGAGGTGGAGGTTGCAGTGAGCCAAGATTGCACCACTGCACTCCAGCCTGGGGGATGGAGCAAGACTCTGTCTCAAAAAAAAAAAAAAGAAAAATTAACTATTAGAAATCAATATAAACCTCTATTTCGTGAAAAAACAAAGCTTATACGCTTTTAGCTATATGACTACCTGGAGCTTGTATCTATATTGAAATTAATTAATAAAGATATTCTGTTAACTAATAACTTTTAAAAATATTTACCCATTGAATATATCACATCTGATACTTCAAAGAGTGTTCCTTTTGCACTGAATGGTTGTGAAGTAACCAAACTAGAGAGAGCCTGATGAGTGTTCCAAGGAAAGTATATTAATAGCCAGGACAAAGAAGTAAATAAATTGAAAAGAAAATAAACTTTGACCTTGTTTTTTTTGTTTGATTTTTTTTTCTTTTTTTTTTGAGACAGAGTCTTACTCTGTTGCCCAGGCTGGAGTACAGTGGCATGATCTCGGCTCACTGTACCCTCCGCCTCCTGGGTTCAAGCGATTCTCCTGCCTCAGCCTCTCGAGTAGCTGGGATTAAAGGTGCCTGCCACCACACCTGGCTTATTTTTGTATTTTTAGTAGGGATGGGGTTTTGCTATGTTGACCAGGCTGGTCTCGAACTCCAGACCTCAGGTGATCCACCCATCTTGGCCTCCCAAAGTGCTGGGATTACAGGCATGAGCCACCTCGCCCTGCCAATTTTGACCTTGTTTTATAGAAGAAAAACATTAAATATAACTAGTATTAGAATGAACAGATAAAAATATTCAATTTACCAAAAAAAAGTTAAAAAGAAAGGACGATAGAGAGGGAAGGAAAGTAGGGGAGAGAGGGAAGATAGAAGGAGCAATGAAGGAAGAAAGCTGAAATATTTGGGAATACTTAATTATTAAAGCCTAAGAACATTATCTTGGGCAGGGCTGGCATTCAGAAGGAGTTTCTCATACCCTTTTCTGTGTACAAGTCCCAAGGCCTTGAGGTGACCTAAAGGATAAATGGTACTAGAAATATAATTTGCAAAAAAAAAGCTCAGGACCAGACAGATTCACAGCTGAATTCTACCAGAGGTCCAAAGAAGACCTGTTAGCACTCCTGCTGAAACTATTCCAAAAAGATGAGGAGTAGGGATTCTTTCCAAGCTCATTATATGAAGCCAACATCATCCTGATGCCAAAACCTGGCAGAGACCAACAAACAACAAAAAACTTTGGGCCAATATCCTTGATGTACATAGGTGCAAAAATCCTCAACAAACTGCTGGCAAACTGGATCCAGCAGCACATCAAAAAGCTTATCTCCACAATCAACTAGAGTTTATCCCTGAGATGCAAGGTTGGCTCAACATACACAAATCAATAAAGGTGATTCATCATGTAAATGGAACTAAAGACGAAAACCACATGATTATCTCAAAAGATGCAGAAAAGCCTTTCAATAAAATTCAACACTGCTTTACGTTAAAAATTTTCAATACACTAGGTATTGAAGGAACATACCACAAAATAATAAGAGCCATTTATGACAAATCCACAGCCAGCATCACACTGAAGGAGCAAAAGCTGGAAGCATTCCTCTTGAAAACTGGCAAAAGACAAGGATGACACTCCTATTCAATATGTTAATAGTATTGGAAGTTCTGGCCAGGGCAACAGGCAAGATAAAAAGATAAATGGCATCCAAATAGGAAGAATGAAAGTCAAACTATCTGTGTTTGCAGATGACATGATTCTATATCTAGAAAGCCCCATAATCTCTGCCCAACAGCTTTTTAAGTTGATAAACACCTTCAGCAAAGTCTCAGAATACAAAATCAGTATATAAAAATCACTAGCACTCCTATATACCAACAGCAGTCAAGCTGAGAACCAAATCAAGAAAACAATCTCCTTCACAATTAGCATATAAAACAAAATATCTAGAAATACAGTGAAACAGGGAGGTGAAAGATCTCTACAAGGAGAACTACAGAATATTCTTAAAGAAGTTAAAGATGACACAAACAAATGCAAAAACATTTCATGCTCATGGATAGGAAGAATCAATATCATTAAAATGGCCATACTGGCCAAAGTAATTTATAGATTTAATGCTATACCTATTAATCTACCATTGATATTCTTCACAAAACTAGAGAAAACTATTTTAAAATTCATATGGAACAAAAAAAAAAAAAAAAAGAGCCTAAATAGCAAAGGGAATCCTAAGCAAAAAGAACAAAGCTGGAGGCATCACACTACGTGACTTCAAAATATACTATAGGGATACAGTAACCAAAACAGCATGATACTGTTACAAAAACAGACATATAGACCAATGGAACAGAAGAGAGAGCTCAGAAATAGGGGTGCACACCTATGACTATTTGATCTTTGACAAACCTGACTAAAACAAGCAATGGGGAAAGGATTTCCTATTCAATAAATGGTGCTGTGATAAAAGGCTAGCAATATGCAGAAGATTGAAATGACCCCTTCCTCACACCATATACAAAAATTAACTCAAGATGGATTAAAAACTTAAATGTAAAACTCAAAACCATTAATATAAAAACCCTAAAAGAAAACCTAGGCAATACTATTGATATGGCTCCGATGAGTGGAGGAACATCAGGGTTCTTGGTCTCATGCTGGTTTAGAAATAATGACATGGGCACACATGGTGTGGTTTTAAGGAGCAGAGTTTAATAGGCAAGAAAGATGGGAGAATGCAGAAGGAAGGAGGAGGTGGTGTCTGATTTGCATAGGGCTCAGGGGATTGGCTTGACTAGGCATGTCTTTCACGTAGCCCGCAAAAATAAAACTGGCCCTCCCACCTAGCTTTTTAATATGCAAATGCAGGGCACCATGATGTTCTACACATGTGGGGATATGTGGGGGGTGGCCATGTCACCAGTCACATGTGGAGCAAGGGCAAGAAGAAGAGGGTAGAATCGCCGTGTTTGGGTGGACCCAGTTTCTTTTTTCTTTTTTTTTTTTTTTTGAGATGGAGTCTCGCCCTGTTGCCCAGGCTACAGGGCAATGGCACGATCTCGGCTCACTGCAACTTCCGCCTCCCGAGTTCAAATGATTGTTCTGCCTCAGCCTCCCAAGTAGCTGAGATTATAGGCACCCACCACCACACCCAGCTAATTTTTGTATTTTTAGTAGAGACAGGGTTTCACCATGTTGGCCAGGCTGATCCGAAACTCCTGACTTTGTGATCCACCCACCTCAGCCTCACAAAGTGCTGGGATTACAGGCCACCTGGTGACCTACAGACCAGGTGAGCCACCGTGCCTGATCTGGGTGGACCCAGTTTCTAATAGCCGGTATTTGCATATCAAAGGTTGCAGGCCTGGCTCTAAAGCCCTGGCTTTACAAAAAACTTTTCCCGAGATGCTTTAAAAAATGAAAACTTCCCAAGGACCCCTTTTCATCTCTATCTGCCTAAAATAATTTCTTAATAACTCCTACAACACTATTCTGGACATAGGAATGAGCAAAGATTTCATGATGAAGAAACCAAAAACAATTGCAATGAAAACAAATTAGACAAATGGAACCTAATTAAACTAAAGGGCTTCTGCACAGCCAAGAAAACTATAACAAAGTAAACAGACAACCCATAGAATGGAAGAAAAGTTTTGCAAACTATGCATCTAACAAATGTCTAATATCTAGCATCTACAAGAAAAAAACAACCTCGACATGAGCAGACATTTTTCAAAAGAAGACATACATGTGACCAAGAAGCATATGACAATAAGCTCAACATCACTGATTATTAGAGAAATGCACATCAAAACCACAATGAGATACCATCTCACACCAATCAGAATGGCTATTCTTAAAAAGTCAAAAACAAACAGGTGCTGGCAAGGTAGTGGAGAAAAAGGAACTCTTATGCACTATTGGTGAGAGTGTAAATTAGCTTAAGCATTGTGGAATACAGTGTGGCAATTCCTCAAAGACCTAAGAACAGAAATACCATTTGACCCCACAATCCAATTACTTGGCATATACTCAAAGAAATATAAATCATTCTATTATAAAGATAGACGCATATCTTTGTTCACTGAAGCACTATTCACAATAGCAAAGACATAAAATCAACCTGAATGCCCATTAATGGTAGACTGAATAAAGAAAATGTGGTACATATATACCATGGAATACTACATAGCCATAAAAAAGAACAAGATCTTGTCCTTTGCAGGAACATGGACGGAGATGGAGGGCATTATCCTTAGCAAACTAACACAGGAACAGAAAACCAAATGCCACATGTTCTCACTTACAAGTGGGAGCTAAATGATGAGAACACATGGACACATAGAGGGGAACAACAGATACTGGGGCCTATCAAATGATGAAAGGTGAGGGGAGGGAGAGGATCAGGAAAAATAACTAATGGGTACTAGCTTCATACCTAGGTGATGAAATAATCTGTACAACAAACCCCCATGACACATGTTTACATATATAACAAACCTTCACATGTACCCCTGAACTTAAAAGTTAAATTCAAAAAAAGAAATATAATATGGAGGATTTAAGGCAGGCATAAGTCACTAGACATGAACAGATGATCATCTCTATTGATCCACAATACCAAAATGACACAGAGCTCTGTAAGTAAAGTAGCCTTTACTTCTGGTTCTGATAACTGTTTTCTTTGCCTAAGGATAACCAAACTATATAATATAAGTGATAAACTAAATTATAAGTTGAAGAAACATACAGCAGAAGACTTTGGAAAATGAGACCCACTAAGAAAGTTTTGCAATAATAGAAGATTTGTAAGTCTTTTAAGGAAGACTCAATACCAAGGAGATGGTATCTTTAAGACAAACACCAGAGGCCAGAGGCCAGGTGCAGTGACTCGGGTCTATAATCCCAGCACTTTGGGAGGGCAGGGTAGAATCACTTAACGCCAGGAGTTTGAGACCAGTCTGGGCAACACAGTGAGACCTTATCACTACAAAAAATATTTCAAAAAAAATTAGTCAGGTATAATGGCTCAAGCCTGTAATTCTACCTACTCAGGAGGCTGAAGCAGGAGGATCACTTGAGCCTAGGAGTTTGAGTTACAGTGAACTATGATAATGCCACTGTACTCCAGCCTAGGTGACAGACTGAGTCCCTAAGGAAAAACTAAAGGATAAACATGCTCTGATTCTTAAGTAAAAATGAAGGCTTGAGTGACAAATTTTAAGGGTCATTTAAAAAGAGACCTCAAACAGCATTCATTTTGGCATTTGTTCATTTGTTTTCATCTCTAGGAATAAAATCTGGACTATTGACTCTAACTTCAGTTAGAGTTTTGGTTTTGTATGTCTTAAAGATTGCTCTGTTGGGTCTTTATATCTTAGCTTTCCTGCACAATTTTATCTCTACTTTCTTCATGTTTTTTATCCCACTAATTGTCTTGGCTGAGAACTTTCCAGTTCAATTCTCAGGCTTAAGGAATTTTTTTTTTTTTTGAGTTGGAGTTTCACTCTTGCTGCCCAGGCTGGAGTGCAATGGCACTATCTCGGCTCACTGCAACCTCCGCCTCCCTAGTTCAAGCAATTCTCCTGCCTCAGCCTCCTTAGTAGCTGGGATTACAAGCATGCACCACCACACCTGGCTAATTTTATATTTTTAGTAGAGACAGGGTTTCTCCATGTTGCTCAGGTTGGTCTCAAATTCCCGACGTAAGGTGATCCGCCCACCTCAGCCTCCCAAAACGCTGGGATTACAGGCCTGAGCCACCGCGCCTGGCCTCTCAGGCTTAAGGAATTTTAACTTCAGTTGGTCTGGTCCCAGCCCCTGACAAAAGGAAAAATACATAAGATATTTTTTTAAAATACATTTTAGAGGAGGCAACATGAGGGACAAATACGTTTTGGAAGAAGAGAATTCAACAAGGGATTCCATATTCACCTACGCAGCTATCAGTAAAGTGATCATATATCTTATCATCTAGACCATGATACTTTAGAGAATTTAAAACATCACTAACTAGACAGACTGCCAGAAAGGATATATCAGCTGAAACTTCTGGGACAAAGTTGAGCATATGGTGGTCACTATGATGGTTAATTTTACATGTCAACTGAGCTGAGGAATGCAAAGACAGCTGGTGAAACATTATTTCTGGGTGTGTCTGTGGGGAATGAAAGTCAGAAACATAAATGTTAGAGCCCCAAATAAGTTCTTAATGTTGGAAGTAAAAATTAGTGTGACTGTCAAGTAGAAGAAAAGTTTACCTAATTTCAACAAGAGATCAAAATTAACATTTATGGAGACAAGGGATAAGGGGAACCTCCATCTCCCATGCATTTTTAATAATGTAATGATATCATGTGGTTGTTTTTGATCAAAATTAAGTTTCACTTTGAGATTTGTTTTGTGGAAAAAAATTAAAAACAGAACCATTTTAATAAAATTTGAAACACTTCACTTCTAAGGAGTGTTAGAATTCAGGTTTTAGATTTAGCTAAATGTCAAGAGCAAACTCAAAAGCAGTCTACTGATATTATAGAATTAGCAGGAATGGCAGGAGGCTTCAATCACAAGAACTCAGTTCCTCTCTTATTGTAGCTTTGTTATCAGGAATTATCACTGACATAGCAATTTTTCTATGTTACTTCAACATCTGGCTTACAGGAAACATCATGGTTTGTCTTTCTTGCCAGTAGACACAACCTATCAGGAATTTAAAACTAATGAGGGATAAATTTTAAAATATCGCAAGGGTCTTTCCTTCCTCAATAATGCTTCTCACCACTTCTAAAATCAAATTTTCATTTATGTTTTATGGTATAAAATATAATGAATTGATGTGAGACATGGTTATTCTGTTATAGAATATGTTTTCATAATGTATCAGCTATGGTTGAATCCAAGGTGTCAAAGATCTATTTTTCTCAATTGACTCTGATTATATCCTTGGGATTTTTTTACATTTCTCTTAACTTAGTCCCTAATCTTTGCACAATTTGAAGTCAAGAAGGTCACCGTCAATGATGCGGGCAGTCGTTCTCCAAACCCTTGGAGGCATAAATAGAACAAAAAGTTTTAGGAAGGGTGAATTTGTTCTCCTAGACCTGGAACATTCTTCTTCTTTTGCCCTCAGGCATGATTGCCCCTGGTTCTCAGGCCTTTGCACTCAGACCAGGATTTATACCACTTGTTTTTCTGGTGCTCGGGTCTTCAGAGTTGGGTTGAATTACGCTATGGGTTTTCCTTGTCTCCAGCTTTCAGAAGACAGATGTAGGACTACTTGGACCCCATAATCACATGGAGCCAAATCTTGTAAAAAATCTTCCTACCTCTACATACATATATGTCACATTGGCTCTATTTCTCTGAAGACTCTTGACTAATACAGTCACCCTAGCTAAAAATGAATGTGGCATTACCCCAGTGATTCTAGAAACAAAAACTAAGGTTGGGGAGGGGAGCTGCAAAGAAACTCATTGGCATTGCCAATCAGGACATGGCTTTACACATAGTTTGATATGGTGTTTTGTATTAAACCTTCCTTGGTGTCTTGGTCTTCAAACACACAGTTGCCCAAAGAATAGGCCCAAGTCAAGATAAATGTAAGAAATTCCAAGGATGTAATCAGAGTCACTTGAGAAAAATAGATCTTTGACAACTTGAATTTAGCCATAGTTGATACATTATAAAAACACATTCTATAACAGAATAACCATGTCTCAAATCAATTCATTATATTTTGTACAATAAAAAATAAATGAAAATTTGATTTTAGAAGTTTTGGAAAGCATTATTCAGGAAGAGAAGATCCTTGTGATATTTAAAAATTTCTCCTTCACTAGTTTTAAATTCCTGATAGGTTGTATCTATGGGCAAGAAAGACAAACCATGATGTTTCCTGTAAGCCAGATGCTGAAGTAATATAGGAAACTTGATATGTCAGTGACAATTCCTGACAATAAAACTACAATAATGAGAAGAACTGAGTTCTTATGATTGAAGCCTCCTGCCATTCCTGCTAATTCTATAATATCAGTAGACTGCTTTTGAGTTTGCTCTTGACATTTAGCTAATCTAAAACCTGAATTCTAACACTCCTTAGAAGTAAAGCACTTCAAATTTTCTTAAAATGGCTTTGTTTTTACATTTTTTCCACAAAACACGTCTCACAATGAAAATTTTCATCAAGACAACCACATGATATCGTTACATTAGTAAAAATGCATGGGAGATGGAGGTTCTCTTTATCCCTCATCTCCATCTCCATAATGTAAATTTGATGTCTTGTCTAAAGACTTAGAATCTTCATTAACCATTCTCTTGTCTTTATCCTTTTTAAGGACTTTTTAAAATAGCACTTTCAGGTTCACAGCAAAGTTGAGAGGAGGATAGAGAGATACCCCATATAGTCCCAGCCCCAGATATGCATAGTATCCTCCACTATTAGTATCCTCCACTAGAGTGGCGTATTTGTTGCAATTGATGAACCTACACTGACACAATATCATTATCGTCCAAAGTCCATAGTCTACCCTAGGGTTTATTCTTGGTGATGTACATTCTTTGGGTTTGGACAAATGTATAATGACATGTATCTGTCATTATAGTAACATTCAGAGTACTTCCACTGCCCTAAAAATCCTCTGTGCTTTGTTTATTCATCCCTACCTCCCCTCTAATCTCTTGGCAACTACTGATGTTTTTACTATTTCCATAGTTTTTAGCTTTCCAGAATGTCATGTAATTGGAATCATACTGTAGCCTTTTCAGATTGGCTTCTTTCACTATCTTCTTTCACTTTCTTCCATGTCTTTTCATGGCTTGATAGCTCATTTCTTTTTAGCACTGAACAGTATTCCACTGTCTACATGCCTGTGGTGAGCTGCATGTACTGTAGTTTATCCATTCACCCACTGAAGGACTTCTTCGTTATTTCCAACGTTTGTCCATTATGAATAAAACTTCTGTAATCATCCATGTTCAGGACTTTATGTGGCATAATTTTTCAACTCTTTTAGGTATATACCAAGGAGAAAAATTGCTGGATTATATGGTAAGAACGTGTTTAGTTTTGTAAGAAAACACCAAAATGTCTCCCAAGTGGCTGCTTCATTTTGTATTCCAGCAGCAATGAATGAGAGTTCTTGTTGATCCACATTCTCACCAGTATTTGGGTTGTCAATGTTCTGAATTTGGGCCATTCTCATAGATATGCAGTGGTATCTCAATGTTTTAATTTGCATTTCCCTGATGACATATGATGTGAAGTATCTTTTCATATGCTTATTTGCCATCTGTACATCTTTGGTGAGGTCTTCAGCCCATCTTTTAATCAGGTTGTTTTCTAATTGTTGAGGTTTGAGTTCATTGTGTAATTTGGATAAGCATTCTTTATTAGATATGTCTTTTGTAAATATTTTCTTCCATTCTGGGGCTTGATTTTTCAGTCTCTTGACAGTGTTTTTCTCAGAGCAGAAATTTTTAATTTTAAATGAAGTCCAGCACATCAATTCTTCCTTTCATGACTTTGGCATCTTACCTAAAAAGTAATTGCCAAACCCAAAGTCATCTAGATTTTTCCCCCATGTTATTTGTAAGAGTTTTATAGTTTTGAATTTTACATTTAGGTCTGTGATCCTTTGAGTTAGTTTTTTTTTTGAAGAATGTGAGGTCTGGGTCTGGATTCATTCTCCATTATCTTTTATAGTTAATTAATCTCCAAGTATCTCTGAGAAACTATTCAAATGTGTTTTATTTCTGCCATTTCTTCTGTCACTGAAATCCTCCCTGTTGTAAATCACATGTCAGAAAATATGGAAAACACACCTTAAAACATTATAAACATAGACATACTATTCTCATTCTCAATGGGGAATGAAATATCCTAAGACAGGCATTTGCTCAAATATGGATTCTATTGGGATTTCTGGCCTATGAACCTTCTCTATTGTTATAAACAAAATAAGAGAAGAAAAGCAGTATTTCTTTGACTTATCTCTGATTTGAGAAAAAATAAAAAGATTTAAAGAGAGCAAGATAAAGTTGGGGGAGGAGGAGAGGATTAGAGAAGAACTAGCCTTACACATATCATCACAATCTTGTTCCCATTTACAAGGTCACAGGAGGTAGGCTTCAGTCCAGAGTATTCCTTACTCATTTATAATCTAAGACAGATAGCCAGAAAAATAGAGTAGCTTTGGAAATAATTGAGTCACTATAATGGGCACCAAATTTTTTTTTATTATTTTTTCCTTTAAGTTTTCCAAATTATGTTTTGTCAATTGGACTATAATGATTGTCAAGGGCATTTAGTGATGGTTTTAATGAAGTATCTTCAAGACAGTGGAAATCTTTCATATATGTACAGTATGTTTCCTGAATACCATTAACTGTCTTATTGCCTTACATTTATCATTCAATGAATACTTATTAACCACCTACTTTGGGTCAGGCACTATGTGTGATACTGTGTAAGGCAGTGATAAATAATACAGACAGGGATCTTAAGTCTGGTTAGGGAATGAGATAATAAACATCGAAATATGTAAATAATTATGTAAGTACAAACTGAGAAGAATGCTAAATATCAAATTAGTAAGGAAGAATAGGCAGAAATAACTTTGAAGACATAGCATTGAAAGTGTGATGGGAGTGATAAAAAGCCATGTGAGAAGGATTTGTAGAGAGAACATTCCCACCAACAAGAACAGTTTTGCACTGTTCCTAAGACAGGATGTATGTAATGAACCAAAAGGAGCTCAATTCAGCTTCAGCATAGTGAGAAAGGGAGAGAAGAGAGATTATATTACAGAGGTTGTCAGGGAGCTATGATCCAGGGTCTTTAGGTTAGGTGGGTGATATGAGTATCACCCTAAGTACAAGGAGGAACCAGGAAAACTTTTAAATCATATCATAGTAACCCCAAAACTCAGGCACAGTGGAAGGACCACTTTGAGGTAGAAGGAAGGACATCCTTGTATTTAGGGGAAAAGAAAGGGACCAGAGTCCCTTTGCTATTTGTGGACTTGCTGATGGAATGCCTTTTGAAGCTCCCTTTGGATAGCTGCTACCTTCTTAAATCAATGAAATAAAGTCACCAGCTGATATTGGGGAATATGAGGGGCAGTATAAGAAGAAAAAAAAAATATGTAAATCACCAGAAAAACAACGAAAATTGATGCTTCAACAAAAATGAAACTAAGAGTTCAATAAACTATTTTCTCCTACTGCTGTTTTTCAGAAGAAAATGGTGTTAAATAGTACCCGTGTAAAATCCAGCATAAAGTAAATTATGTTTGTTCAAAATCAATTAAGAAATATAGGGAGTATTTCTGTAAGTCTACACTGTAAGAACCAGGATACTTACAATCCTTACTTTCTTAGTTCAGAATCAGTATTTACCTTAAGGGACCATAGTGATAATAGAACTGTACTGCTGCCCTGTCTTCCTCATTTGAAAAGAATGCACTAACCCTAACTTTTTTCAGTATAAGTTTTTAAACTGCATGTATATAAAAACATTACTCTTAATTTTAAAGCAAGTTTTTACATATTTTTAAAATTATAATTCATATTCATAACATTTCAATAAATGTAGAGGTTTAGGTAATAAATTATAAAGCCTTTTCCCTCACCCCCCAAAGTCATTTTTATAGGGAAGCCAATATCATCGCTTTGGTATGAAACCATTCACACTGTCTTCTTTGTTTATTGAAGCATGCACAAGTTTTTGTTGGCTTGTTTTTATTTTGCTCTTATATTAATGCAATCACACTAATCATTGTTTCTATAACATTTTTATCAATTAATGTGTGACTTTACAAGTCAATATATCCAAACCTGAATTATTTGTAATGACTGCACGGTATCCTCTAATTTATATCTTTCATGTTTTGTTTAATCTTTGCTACTTTTATGGCAAATTAGGTTATTAATTAAAACAATGCTGCAAAAAATATCTTTGAGCCTATATCATTGCATACAGATGCATTCTTAACATCTGTTGGCATGACAAAAGAGTAAAAATGGAGGGCTTCATACCATATGTCTAAATACTTAAAGTTATTAATCAAGTTAACAAGCTGTAAACAAAATAGATTCTATCTTCCTGCTTTGACAAATATACCCCCAGAATGACGTGGAAAGGCAGCTTGAAATTTTTAATCTCAGATGTCTTGGTCCCTGGCCATTTGCCTGCCACCGGCTCCACTTCTTGTTCTACCCTTGGGAGAGTCTTATAATACATGTGGTCTTGTGCTCACATGTGGACACTCCAGTCCTAGAATTCGCTCCATCTGCACTCTTCTCATAGACTTCCTTTCCACAAACACCCTCCAGTTGATCATTCCTTGGGCCTAGTGGTACTGGGAGAGGACAAATTAAAGAAAAGGCCCATTTACAGCCTAAAAACTGACTCGGATAATTTGACAGAAAATCCTTAGTCCATGTAGATGGAATGTGATCCAGGGTGGGGTGAGGAATCACAGGGTCCAAGATAACTTGTTTCTTGACTCCAACAACTCTCTACCCAACAGGGAAAGGCAAGTAGGACCGGCCCCTTTGAAGAACAGGGCCAGGAGCAGGGGTTCCTCTGACCTGAGTCTAAGGGCAATAGAGATTGTACAGGTAAGCATTAATTTTAGTAAGACAGATGCCTAGTAGTGGAATTGATGGCAAAAGGATGCAGTCATTTCTATTTGGAAAAACCCTGTTTCATGCACCAAAAATTGCTAGCTATCTATATCCAACCGATGATGTGTAAGAGAGCCTTTTGCTTACACCCTCATAAAAATTATATGTCTGTGTGTATTTTAAGTTTTGCTGAACTAATGAATTAAAAATAATACTTCATTATTTGCATTCGTATTGCCCTTAGTGGTGAGCTTTATATTTAACTGTATATTTTTTGTGAAATGCCTGTTCATATTTATCTTAGTCTACTCAGATTGCTATAACAAAACATCTTAGACTAAGTAATTTGTAAACAATGGAAATTTATTGCTCATAGTTTTGGAAATGGGGATCAAGATCAAGGTATCAGCAGATTCCATGTCTGGTGAATGTTTAC
The DNA here is from genome assembly GCF_000001405.40 of Homo sapiens. NCBI lineage: Eukaryota > Metazoa > Chordata > Mammalia > Primates > Hominidae > Homo > Homo sapiens. The sequence continues at coordinate 78,434,538 of NC_000006.12, forward strand.
ACTCTACTTCAAATATGGTGCTTTTTGCTGTGTCCTCACATGGTGGAAGGGACCAGAAGTCTCCCTCAAACCTCTTTTATAAGGGCACTATCCCATTCACCAGGGCAGAGCCCTCATGACCTAATCACCTTTTAAAGGTCCTTTTAATATTATCACCTTGGGTATTAGGTATCAATATATGAATTTGGAGAGGACACCAGCATTCAGAGCACAGCAATATTGTCTTTCTTAGGAGAATCACTATTTTTATGGTTTAGCCAACAATTTTCATTTGTTCACTTTAGATTCATTTCAGCTTTTATTTTCACTGATTTTATTCTCCAAAATTACTTTAGGTACATTATTTTTGGTATGTTTCTAGTTGCTTAAGGTGATCACTGATTTGCTTTCCATCCTTGTTTTCTTAATTAAAAGCTTTTAAAGCCATACATTTTAGTCTAAGTGCAAGCTTTAGCTATGTGACATTGGTGTCCATGCAAATTACTCATATTTTCATTAATATTTATATAATTTTAAATTTAATTTTCAGTTTATTTTTGGTCCAGGAATTTAATTTTAAAGGGGTTAATTTTTTCTAATTTTTAATTGTTCATTTTGAGATTAACTGAATTATGATAATCAGAGACTCTGGCTTATAGTTCTACTTTTTGGAATCATCATGATGCTTTCTGTGACACAGTACGTGATCACATTTGGTAAATATTCTACTGGCAAAATAGTCAAAGTAGACTATGAATAGGAAAAGTGTTTGTGCATGATATACCAAAAGTATTTAGAGCAGAAGAGTAGTATAAAGGATTGTTATTCCAAGGAAAGGCCACTGAAGATACAAATATAAAAATTTTGCTTGTAATGCAAATATAAACTTTACAAGGATAGAAAAAGATGAGAGCAAATATGCTGAAACCAAAGCAGCATATAAGACTGTAGCATGTAAATCCAGTCAGGAAAAAGGTCTGTAATGAATATACACAAACACACAGGGTTCTAGCATTAGAGGAATTGAGCTTAGGAATCAAGGATACTTCCAATTAAAAAAAAATTAGATTTTAGAGTCAAGATACTCAGCTGTCAAAACACAGAGTAGAAGTCAGCGTAACTCTAAGCAGAAAGTCAGACTTGATTTTGAATTAGTATTTGGAAGCTTCTTATGTCTTCCCCACTTACGGCATAGTTGTTCTCAGAAGAGAGAGCAGAAATAACCTGATGCTATTCTCATTTGCTTGTTTGAAACCATTTTAACATTTTTATCTTTAAAAAAGCACTGTTATGTTTAGTTCTGTTACAATATTTTTATATATTCTTTCCCACATATGTGTAGCATAAGATTTGGCAGTGAGCTTGAACAAATTAACAGAACAGCTGTTAATCTTGACTTGTACATTTAAATACATATATTTAAATATGAGAGAAAATAAGTTTCAGGAAAAATTTTCAGTTCATATGCAAGAAACACCCATAAATAAAAATATCTAAGAACAGACTATAGCAACAAGACGGTCCAAAGTACATAGCCTTAAGTCTAAACAGACCCAGACTTCAATATCATCTCTACCACTTTGCATGGTTTTCTCTATCTTGAAATCTTCTGTGACTATTAGCTGGCTGCAGGGGACCATCTACTGTAGCACAGATAATGAAAACATGCTAACTGCTAACTCTCCTCCCTCCATATATCACATTGCAAACTTGTTAAATTCCACGCCTGTTAGTTGGTACATTAGTTCAATACACTAACATCTACTTAACCAATGGAGCTTACGAACAGCCTTCAGTAGTTCAGAGGTCTTCAATCTGCCCAACACAATGCTGAAGAACCTAGACAAGGATTTTTCAACTTCAGCACTAATGGTATTTTGCTGAGGGCTTTCTTGTGCCTTACAGAATGTTCAGCACCATCTCTGGTTTTTATTCCTTGAATGCCAGCACCATCTCACCCCTATTTACAAAGACCAAAAATGTCTTCAGAAATTGTCAATTGACCACTGGGTGGTGCAAAATCACCCATGGCTCAGAAGCACTGACCTAGAGAGAACAGAAATGGCTATAAATTTTCCTCTACCAATGGAGAGGAAGTAACCTACTTTGCAGTTGTGTAATGGATGATTTCAGGATATATTTATCATTTGGCTTATATATAATAAGTCTCACTCAGAAAAGACATGCACTCTTATTTTTCCATGTATTTTTAATATATGAGATTAAAACAAACTTTGAATTTAAGAAAGTATGGCAAACAGCCCAAATAAATTATTTCCATCTATATTAATCATAGAACACCCAGAAAAAAGTTTAATTGAACTTAAACAAAACTTTAATTTTATATGTTAATCTATTGAAGGTTATTGAAATTAATTCTAATCGCAGAATTTAGGGAGAAATATTTTGACGCTTCTTTAGACAACTTGAGGTATTTTTGACTGTCATGTCACCATTGTAGGAAATTGCTACTGCACCTTCTCACCATTCCTGGTGGTGCAAATAATGAATGATCCACTGTGGCCCATTACGAAAAAGACCATTGTCCACAATGATACATACCTTGAGGAAATTTAGGAAGAAAATACAGCCAGGCCAATCCACTCATGATCCTAGCTAAATTTTCCCCAGTTTTGGACATTGCAGCTAATCTGGGAGTGCAAACATCAATAAGAACAGACTAATCACAGTTCATTGATGTTAAAAATTCAGCTAAAGGTGATGGAATTTCAATCATAAAAGGCAAATTGTGCTATGATTTGGTATTTTAATAAGTAGTAAATAAATTAATAGAAGTATTTTACAGTCTCTAATGAGTAAAACAGGTCTGTAGCCATTAAAATTAGCCTAAAGACTCCAAGGAGGAGTACCTTTTATTAGACAAATAAAGATTAAGTCAATTATATTGGGTAATAAAACGGAGAAGCCAAATGAAGTATAACAAGCAATTGATGGTTGTGGGTTAATGGTATTCAGTATTACATGTTGGAAATATTTTACACAAAACAATTTTCCTTAAAAGGTGATTCAATCAAACAATCTTCTAAACAAGATAAACTCTTCTCTAAAGTACTGAAGATATTCAGAGAGTTCTTTAAATGCATCTTAATCTATAGATGGAACATGTTTCTCTCTCTCTCGCTTTCTCCCCTCTTTCCCCTCCCAGGCTGTTACTACTTTTAATTTAGAAACTTCAGCAAATAATAGCAGTTAGTCCATCATTTCTCAATGTCAAGGTCAAGTCTGATGTGGGAATGGATTAATAAGCTGAAGAAAGGAGACATCAGAAGAAATCATTGCTAACTTAAAAACTGTTTTCTGGATTTATCATATGACCAATAATGGGTAGCTGGGATTAGCTGAATGATAACAGTAATTAAATTCTATTTAATGCTAGCTGTGGACAGCTCAATGATAAGAGTAATTAAATTGTATTTACATTATTTTAATACTTCTTGAACGAACACATACTCTAAACTTCAATCAAAATGAAATTTTCTAATATATTACTTGCTAATGCAGTTCTTTCTAAAAAGCTCTATTTCTTGAGACAATACAGAGATCTCAGATGCATGATAAAATGACATTTGAAGGATTGCTGATATATTTTGGAAAATAAACTAAAGGAAGAAAATGTCAAATATATATCAGGACAAAAAAAGTATCAGTATTAAATGTAAGTGAAACAAGAAATAAAAACGCTGATTAGAGTGTCAATAAGAAAATATGGAAGCAATATAAAATCCAATAGGGATTTTCTACCACCAAACGAGGATATATTTGTGACTGTTATTATGCTGAGTGATATTGCATCATATATTTCTACAAGTGCCTCATTTGTTGGTATTTCATAGACATAATACATATCCTAAAATCAGAAAGTTAGGCTGATAGCATGAAGATTGAGAGATTAGGAAGAGACAGGTAGAAATGAAAACAGAATAAATCAAAGTCTAGTGAAATAGGATAACATAATAAATATTCTGTTAAAAACATGTTTTATTCTACTGAATAAAAAGTTAAAACTGGGAAAGATAATAGAGTGATGATGTTTCTAGGTCCTCCAAATGAAGGGGAATAATTTCTAAACACAACTATAAGTTGCCGAACATTTATAATTAATAAAAAATTATGTAAATGTGAGAAAGTTTCCAGTAAAGGCATACTAAATCATTCAAATTAACTCTACCAATGAAAACAAAAAAAAAAAAATAAAATATTTTTATTTTAAAAATCACACTAGCATTGAAGAGCTGAAAATTAGTTAAACAATTTGAAGTAATTGAAGAACTATTAATGTCATACTAGAAGAGCTGGAAAGTTCCACAAAATATTAAAATTAATTCAGGCATATAGAAATATTACTAGATACAAAATAAATATTAAAATAAATTATATATCTGCATAACAGTAATAGAAAAATATTTTTTAAATAAAGTTGTATCCAAAATGTTAAGTACATATAAACAAACTTAAAAAAATATTGGTTAACACTGTTCCATTTAAATCTTCTCTTCTAGACCTTCTATTGCTTCTGTAACAAATACCCTATTAGAAGTAGTGAAAGATGTTTTTGCTTTCTAAATTGTTCTCACAAGTAAATTGCTTTGACATGAATTTTGAGATCAGATAAACTTTTGTTAAATTTAAAAATTAAGAAAGATAACTCATTTAATTCATTTATTTCTTCAATAAACATTTACTGAATACTTCCGACTGGATTGGCTCCCTGATAGGTTTCATATAATAAGTTCGTAAACAGAGACTTGAAGTAAAGAAGAGTAACAAAAAATTTAGCAAATAGTAATGGCTTAAATTTTACAATCCTGTGGCAGGGTGTGGTGGCTCACACTTGTAATCTTAGCTCTTTGGGAGGCAGAGGCCAAAGGATAGCTTGAGGTCATGAGTTCAAGATCAGCCTGCACAACATAATGAGACCCCATCTATACAAAAAAAAAAAAAAATAGGAACACGTTAGCCAGGTGTGGTGATATGCTCTTGTAGTCCCAGCTACTGAGGAGGCTGAGGCAGGAGGATAACTTGAGGCCAGGAGTTTGAGGATGCAGCAGTGAACTATCACCATTGACTGCACTCCAGTCCAGGTGATAGGGCGAGAATCTCTGAATCCAAAAATGAAAAAATTGGAAACCCTTAGTTTCTTCATCAGTAATACAAGCATAATTACAAGCCTTCACAGAACAATTTTGAGGATTTAGTTTATTACAGTGGATCCTTCCGGAAGATTCTCATGTCTCCTACTCCTTCATGATTTCTCACATGCTGTTCCACGTGTGTCTCAGATGCCATGTGTGCTGTCCCATCTCTCTCAGATACCAGTTCTTTCCTCTGCTGTATTTCCTACATGCCAAACTTCTGCTCCTTTTCTTAAGGCTCAGCTGATGAATTATCTACTTAGTAGTTTCCCAGCTTCTCTAGGCAGATTTAGGTGTTCTCTGTGTTTCTTTAAAGCTTTTTTTTACCTAGCTCTCTTAGAGAACTTAACACTTTGTATTTTCAATCTCTAGCCATGTATCTATCTCCCCCACAATCTCAGAGCCATTTGAGGAAAGGAACTGTGCCTTATTCATGCCATTTTTCTTACCATATATTTCATGTTGCCAGGTAGGTTAGCACTAAATGTTACCTGAATAAATAAAATGATAGAATTTTAGCATTATAAAAAGTTTGATGAAATTATCAAGAAAAGACTAGAAAATATTAGAGCTAATAAAATATTTGATGAGTGTGAGGTCCTAGAAGTACTGTGTAGTATCAAAGGAACAGCTAAGGTCCTCAGTGAAACTGTAGCGATTCCAGAGATTATCACTCAGAGTGGGTTTAGCTTTTTTCTATAGATTTCCCAAGTGGTATAAATATCATTTTGGAATAAGCAATTGTTTCAAGGGTACTTTTGCATGAAAGTTTACCTGCAAGAAATTCTTTATTAACATTAGCATGAAGTAACACATTTCTCATCCACAGCAATCAGGGAACGGGACTCAAAGGAATGGCAAGCAAGATAAAAATATTTAGAGTGCTGCAAGCAACTTTCATGAATAAATACTGATCCTTAGTTAACTAAAATTCCCTATTCAAAAAGCATTTGTTACACTTTAGAAAAGCTAGATGAAAACATTTTGCTCAGGAAGACCATTTCAAATATATGCATTCTTTTTTACTTTCTAAGTATGAGATAGAAACTGTGTATCTCTAAAAATGTATTTTCTAGGTTGAAGACCATATCATTCTGTTAGGTTTGGCAATTTCTTTCATCTTTGCTTCTATCATTCTGGATGTTTATATCAAATTTTCCAAATCAATGATACTATATGTATATATATAGAATCACCATTTTTTCTACCAATTCAAATACCCATAGGCAGTAACAAAACTAAAAAATTTGAGTAATTATGTATACACTTGTATTCTAACTCTCAGGGAGAGTGGAGAATTGAAGGTGATATCCTATAGAGACCAATCCTCTTAATCACTGTGTATCTTACACAATTTCCTTAACTTCCTGAAGCCTCAATTTTTGCATTTGAAAACTGTCAATAATTATATCCACCTAGTAAGGCTAGCATAGGAATATAGCTCATGTAAAACATTAGTATAGGCCTTGACACACAGTGCCAGGGACTAATACTTTGTTGTATTGTCATTACTGATTACAGAAAACCTCATTACAGGCACTATACTAGGTTCCGAGTGGTAAAATGGTTCCAATTTGAGTTGTCTGCTTCCTAACTCTGGAATCCAGACTTTATCGGTAAGGAAGTATCCACCTGCAAGAAATGGAACTTCTGCCTAAACTCACGTTAAATAAAATTTATTTTGTCACATAATAAGTTCAGAGATAGGAGTGCTTTCATGCTTGCTTAATTAAGATGCTCCACTTTGTCATCAAGAACTCAGGTTATTTCCATCTCTACTCTACCATAAACAGGATCAATTCCATGTTATACCTGATTGACTTTATGATCTTAGAACGGCTTCTATAATCAAAACGGCCAAATAATCCTTGCTTAAGTCCAATGTAAAGAGAGTGTCAGAGATTCTTGATTGATTGACTGATTGATTCCAACTTTTGTGAACCTGAATTATGAGCAATCCTCTCTCCTTGTGTCCTTTTTCCTTTTCTTTTTTCCTTTTTTCTTCCCTTTATCCTAGCTTTATTTTCCTTTCTTCCATCTTTTTTCACTCCCTTTTTTCCTCCCATTCTTTACATTTTTTATTCCTCTCTCATTCTTTCTTCAACAGTAATTTTTTTTTTAACTACCATAGGTCTGTCGTTGTTCTAATTCCTAGAAATGTAACAGTACACAAAAATCCTGCTCTCATGTAGCTTGCATTCTAGGGCAATCAAGTTACTCCCACAGCTAAACAGATCACTGACCAGAAGAATTTGGTGACAATGGTTAGAGACTAACCAGTTGGAATGAAATGGATAATAGGGAGACTACCATACTAGCCTAATACACCTCAAAAAATATTCTTGGAACTTCTTATAGGCATCAAATCTTCAAGCATCTCAGAGTCTGTGGCAGGAGAAAATCATACCATGTCCTGTTTCTAAATATTTGCCTCATTTTCTGTGTCCCACAGACAAAAAGTTACTCAATGATATGCATTACATAGACATTACCAGATATATTTGTTTGTTATGTTACAATATGCTGTTAGTAAAATTTAAGCTCATTTTCTGTGGTCATCTTTTAAAAATTCCAGACCTAGCATTTATCTTGTTTTATTATGTAATAATAATTTAATCCTTTAATCATAGACTATATAGTCTACTATAATGGTAATTTTTAAGTGCCTATTTCATTAAAATTTTATGTTGCACACAAGACCTATAAGTTCCTGCTGCTGCAGCAAATCATTTCATAACTTTATCTAATAACAATGTCTGGTGGTGATTTTCAATTAAATTGAGTCACTCATAATGCATCAGGGTAAATGGATCTGAGCCAAGTCTTGCTGTTTCGATTCCACATATAATGTGCCTTCATGATCATGCCACAGCAGGGTTTTGCCTCAATTCCCACCTCATCCTAAATCCCACTGGAGTAAAGCAATATGCAAATATGCCAGAACTAAACTGTAAAGTTTTTTTTTAAGGATAGAGTATTTCAGTTCTTTTGTATGAATAGAGCACTAATATAGTGGTCTGTGCCCAGTACTCATGGACTAAAACTGGATTCCAATAAGGATTCATTCATGCTATGATCAATTATAGTCATATATTAGGGACCACTTGGTGAAGGCAGAGAGAGTTGGAAGGATTCCAAAAGGATCAGTGGTATAGTGCACTCACTCCTTTGCTGCCATTTGCTTTCTGTCATTGTTATATTCATATCTGAAGTTATGATATAAGAGGATAGAATGTGTATGGTTAATATCATTCTATCTCTAAAATACTACCATGTAATGAGCTCTTAATATGTGTCCTTAACTCATTTCATCCTTACAAGAACCCTAGGAGACTAATATTATTAACCCCATTTTACAAATAAGAGGCCTCAGCTCACAGAAATTAAGAAATGTGTCCAAGGTGCTACACAATTTCCCAGCCCAGCATTCAGTTAAGAACATCAGAACCAAGGCAAACATACTGATTCATTTCAAAAATCCCTATGTTAAAGGACCAGGAGTTTACCTTAACAAGAAAATGGAAAGTCTCCTTTGAAAAAGAAAACCATCACAACAATAATTCAACTTTTGTGAACCTGAAAGCTAACAAAGATAATAAAATCAGTAATTTCAGGATAAATGTAAAATTCAGTCATTTAATGAGGTAGTTAACATTTTGAGTTTGACATATTTCTGAATGTTTTTCAACTTAATTCCGTTTATACTCATTAATTTTTTTAAAAAAAGATTTATACAGGGTAGCTATTACCTTTCCTAAAAGTATTATGTGGAAAGACAGAAGTTTATCTATCTTTAAAACTGGTGCATGAGAGGTAGGATCTGCACTGTATGGGTTCCATGGGCCCTTCCAATTCTCACTTTTTTAATATAAGCTGTAGAACCCCAACATACCTAGGCAGTGTAGAAGTTTGGAATGGATAAGTTCTAAATATCTTCCAACAGAAAATCATATGATTATGTAAAAAATAAGCTTTACTATAATTAACAAAAATGTCAAAAGTCAAATCTAGAAAAGCAATTAGTCTGTCTTCCAGAGGCAAGAAGGTAATACAAAAAAGAAACCTTGAAAAATTAAGAGATTGTAGATGCAGCCAAAAATGTGAGATTTGGAACATAGCGCTTCACTTAAAAAGAATAAAGTTAATTTCTTAAGAAATACCTAATGTCAAACTCATCTTGCATAACTCCTACACTGCATTATATTCTCTAAATAATTCAGTTTTTATATAAACCATTTACAGAAGAAGGTGAAGAAATATAATATTGTTTAAAGAAGCTTCCCAGAAGACCTACTGCGGCAACTATTCTTGTTATTGTCATTCATCTTTTTAAAAATACTGATGTATGTGTAAGTAGACCTGCCACTGAATAGATAAGCTTATTATAGCAGCCATTTTCTGTTCTCATTGATTGGACATCCGTTCTAATTTCCAGACTGTCATGCCATACAGGTTGTTCAATATGTTAAATATTATTCCTGTATACCTGTATTACTATAATGTATTTTTCTGCAGTAATGTACTTTTTTGCAGTAAGTCTAATAAAAACTTATTTAAATTCATCACTTAATATAAATCAGACATAAAAATTGGTAATAAAATCAATAATCTAAATTGTTGGGAGCTTTCAAAATTGAAAGACCACTTGCATTGTCAGTTTTATTTCAGTCTGCATTGACTAGATACTACAAATCACAACCTTTAGACTACATAATTTTGGTACTATCAGGTATAGGTCAAGTATTAGTCTTCTTAGGCTTCTGTAACAAAATGCCACAGGCTGGGTGATTTAAACAACATAAATTTATCTTTTACAGTTCTAGAGCCTGGAAGTTCCCCATCAAGTTCCGATGGAGTTTAATTTCTGGTGAGGGTTGTTTTCCTGGCCGGCAGATGGTCACCATGCTGCAGTCCACATACGGTCTTTTCTCTGAGCATGGGCAGAGATAGAGAAGAGAGACAGCAATCTTCTTTTCTTATTATTAGGGCACTGAACCTCTTAGGGCCCCACTCTTATAGCCTAATTTAATTTTAATTGCCTCCTGAATAACCTATCTGGAAATATAATCACATTGGGAGTTAGGGCATGAACATGTAAATTTTGGAGTGATACAATTCAGTAGGTCAACAGACTCTATTCCTTTATTTATTTATTTATTTATTTATTTATTTATTTATTTATTTATTTTTGAGATGGAGTCTCGCTCTGTCGCCCAGGCTGGAGTGCAGTGGCACGATCCTGGCTCACTGCAATCTCCGTCTCCTGGGTTCAAGCAATTCTCCTACCTCAGCCTCCCAAGTAGCTGGGATTACAGGTGCCCACCACCATGCTCAGCTAATTTTTGCACTTTTAGTAGAGACAGGTTTTCAACACGTTGGCCAGGCTGATCTCGAACTCCTGATCTCAAGTGATCCACCTGCCTTGGCCTCCCAAAGTGCTGGGATTACACGCGTGAGCCACCACGCCCGGCTGACTATTCCATTATTCTAAGTACGAACTCAGAGCTGGAAACCAAAAGGGTTTTGTGGACACAATTTTATTTTATTTATTTATTTATTTATTTATTTATTTATTTATTTAATTTTATTATTATTATACTTTAAGTTTTAGGGTACATGTGCACAACGTGCAGGTTTGTTACATATGTATACATGTGCCATGTTGGTGTGCTGCACCCATTAACTCGTCATTTAGCATTAGGTATATTTCCTAATGCTATCCCTCATCCCTCCCCCCTCCCCCCACCCCACAACAGTCCCCGGTGTGTGATGTTCCCCTTCCTGTGTCCATGTGTTCTCATTGTTCAATTCCCACCTATGAGTGAGAACATGCGGTGTTTGGTTTTTTGTCCTTGCAATAGTTTGCTGAGAATGATGGTTTCCAGCTTCATCCATGTCCCTACAAAGTCTATGTAAAAGACTCCATATGCAGTGCATAATCAAAATCTATCAAGTAGTTGATCTTATGTAAAAAAAAAATTATTGCTTCACACAGGCAAGATGATTATCTAAGTTTTGAGAAATGAGGACTTGGTAAGTACAGCATCTATTAAAATAATTAGAAAAAGGATAAAAATTCACACTCAATTTCTGTGGATTACTCTATCAAGTTTAATAATGCTTCTATAGTTTTATGCAATAATTAGAACTCCAATGTGGATTCATAGAGAACAATATGTAGAAATCTACTGCGTTCTAGTATATAAGAAATACCTAGATAAAGTAATAATTTAACAATCTGTAAACTTATAACAGATATTTAGCTATTTTAACAAGCAGATAAAGACTGGTACTATATTTTATAAGTAGAAACATGCCATAAAACAGAAAAAAAATGAGTATATCATTCTACCAGTTACTAAAAAAATGTACAAAATAATAATAATATAAAACTGCTCACTTTAGTAACTGAATGATTTCTCATAAACTCATTGGGCACTCTGCTACTATAATCTTATCTAAAAAATTTATAAAACATGTTTTTGGACATTTTTCTAATTTAGTAAAACATTTACTATGAATATATTAATACTAATCTGTTATTAATATAATATTGATATTAATATGGTTATACTTTCGTTATATTATATATTATCACTTTTTGTTTTTAGATCTATAAGCTTGGTGACCTTATAGGAGGAATAGAAATACATTTGGGATCATTTTATAATTTTATTGTATAGTTTTATATTTTTGGAGATTGCATATGAAGATTGTTTGAGAACTGGGTCATTAATGACCATGAACTATTCAAAGTATACATCTAAGCAGAGGTAACTGGTACAAGTGAGGCGGAGGGCTAGGCATTTATACTTATACTCTGATAGAATATTAACAATCAGCACTGTAATATATGTGCTTTTTGCTTTTGACAAGGGTGACTGAGAAAGCCCTACAATTTAGGGGATACCTATATTTAATGTGAGTGTGGAACTGGATCACAGCAGGTCATACTCCTGCACGAGAATTGGGGCTTTTAAGAGCACACACAGTAAATTCTTACTATTAGAAAAAAAAAAGAAGAGGCCGGTCGCGGTGGCTCACGCCTGTAATCCCAGCACTTTGGGAGGCCGAGGCGGGTGGATCACGGGGTCAGGAGATCGAGACCATCCTAGCTAACACGGTGAAACCCCGTCTCTACTAAAAATACAAAAAATTAGCCGCGTGTGGTGGCGGGCGCCTGTAGTCCCAGCTACTCGGGAGGCTGAGGCAGGAGAATGGCGTGAACCCGGGAGGCGGAGCTTGCAGTGAGCCGAGATCGCGCCACTGCACTCCAGCCTGGCGACAGAGTGAGACTCCGTCTTACAAAAAAAAAAAAAAAAAAAAAAAAAAGATATGCGTTTCCATCCTGAGAGTTCAATTTATGTTTTGGAGTCCAGAGTGACAGCTACTGTAGTGGAAAATGTAGAGCTAACATTTTTTTGTTCACTAGAACATTTCAATTTCAGTAACAAATTATTATAATGAATGAGATCAATAAGGCATGTATTATTAAAAGATAGTCTACACCATATTTTTCAATCATAAATGAAATCATAAGAGGAAGGCTTATTCATGGAGAAAACAAGAAATGATGTTGCAAATTAGTTAAATTCTTAAGCACTATTTCATAAACAAAGGCAAAGAGAAAGTTTTTGAGAAGTAATATATTTTAAAATATTTCTCTTTCAGTAGGAAACTTATTCTCTGGACATCATGGAACTCTCCTGCTTCTGAACACAGACCTACACCTCCACATAGCCATCAAAGAGCAGGACCCTCTCATGATCCTGTAGGTATGTCACCATGAACCCAAGAGTCTTACTATTCAAGCAGCTACACACAGAGTTCGTAATATCTCTCAGGAAACTGGCCTCTTTGCTCTCAATTGTTGTGGTCCCAGTCCACAAATAATCATCTCATCACCTTTACTCACTTGAATACTCTCGTCCCCTTGTTTTTCTCCCATGAGCACTAACATCTTACCACTAATAACTTAGTCCAAATTTTCCCACTCATCACATTCTTGCCTAGTTTTCTCTACAACTTTTCTCCCTTTAACCCTTACCAATAGCCTCCATTCTCAGTGTTCTGGATCCTACTCCTTCACCTCTTTTAATAAATGCTTCTTTTTCTGTAAGCGGTTTTTATTTCTCTTTACTTCTTTAAATTCACTGAATTTAGGACTTGATGACCCATGATGCTACTACACTGTCTCCTAATGCTTACTCCATTTAGTAAGCCAATTTTACCACTGTAGACTAGTAATCTATGGTCTGCAATTCTCCTACGTTTTGGTCATCATTTTATCTGTCTACAATCCCACAGATCTATTTCCATCTTCTTAGCTGAGTTTAGTACCCAACTCACGGGCATCATTGCAAAGTTCTCCGCCATCTTCATAGCAATTTCAACAAACATATCAATAATTCCCCAGACTTCTTCACTACCTCCAGTCCTAAATATCAGCACTGCTTAAGTGAGCAATTACTTATCCTATATGCACATTTAAAATATTAATTTACATCATCAAGATCAACCTCTTCAGCCTAGCTAAAGTCTTTCATTATCTGACTACCATTCTTACCAATAGTAACAGGGCTAGTAAGATTTGCAAAGATCACATTAGAAGTAACACATGTCCAGAAATGCCTGGCAACCTACTCCAAAGGACTTTTCAGAAGTCTATCTGAATAATAAATTTAAAGACTTCCTGGAAACAATTTCAGAAATTATTCAAAAGGAAGAATCAATGTCCACAACCTTGTCTAAGATAATGTATCAACTTGGAAGAAAAGGGATGATTTCTAATAACTTCGAGTTCCTGAGCTCCAACTCCATGGATTTGGGACTGATTCTGGGTATGGCAAAGATGTAGCAAAAGGTATATTCTAAATATCTAGAGAGGGAAAAGCTGAAATTACTGGAACACAATAGACCCATCTAAATACATTTTATCAGGTATGTAGATTACTGAACAAACTTTCCAGTTTTATACATTGTACAACAGTGAAACTTCGCTTGTGTGGAGAATACCGTTGTCATTTACAAGCCATATTCCTGCTATCCCCAAACACAATATTGTTTGCAAATGTCACTGAGAGGAGAAGCTGTAGTGTAAAAAAAAATTCAAGTAGAATTTATATTTGAGATATTGAGAATATGACTCACAAATTCTCCTATGGTTCTGGAAGTCTGAAGTCTAAAATGTCTTAGGGGTCTAAAATCAAGGTGTCAAAACCTCAGTTCCCTCTGAAGGCTCCAGGTAACAATCTGTTCCTTCCTTCCCCCACTTCAGTGTCTGCTGATATTACTTAGCTGTGGCCACATTACTTTAATTGCTGCTTCAGTCACCACAGTGCCTCTGCTCTTCTGCTATTAAATCTAATTCTACCTCCCTCTTCTAAGGACACTTGTGATTGTATGTATGGCCTACCCAGATAATCCAGTATAAACTCTCCTTCTCAAGATGCTTAATTTAATCACAACTACAAAGTCAATCTCGCCATACAAAGTAACATTCACAGTTTCCAGAGATTAGGATGTGGTTGTCTTTGGAGGCCATTTTTCAGCTAACCACAGTGTAAGTGCCAAAGCACACCCTGGTCTTTCCACAGGAATCATTGGGAAATATTAAATAACACTAGTCACAATGCAGTAGCAGCAAAGCTGAAGAGGCAGCTTTCTCGTAATGTTGGCATCATGGGGCATCATCAGGCACTTATTGGTGGGTGGGCTGGGGGCAGTGGCAGTGGCATTCACAGTGTGTCTGACAACCCATATGATGGTTTTCCCGTGTAATCTAGAGTGTCGTAGTAAACATGGGGTTAACAATTTTATTTTGTTCAGTTTTCTTTGTCCTGGTGTCTGATAGTTACATGCCCTACACCCTGTATGCTCAATTTCTGATAACCCCCTTCTGACATTTCTTCTCCTCTCCTGAAACTCCTTCCTTTTTGGTCCTGTACCTTTTTCAGTGCTAGCTATTCAAATTTACAATATCCCCCTGATGGTTTTCTACTTTTCCCCTCATATGCTTATCTCACCTCCCCGTTCTCTATATGTCTTAGCTTTTTGAATCATAATCACATAGTTTGGCATTTCTTGCAAGTTTTAATTTTTGCTTGTTTTAAAAATTATATTTCTCAGTTGGATTGTTTCTTTCTACAGAATAGAATACTCTACACACAAGGGAACACTAAGCAAATACTATATAATTCATTTATTCAAATTCCTTATTTGGTTACCTGGAGAAACATGGAAACTTCTAGAATTCCAGGTCCATAGATTATGATGATGAAATTGACTAAGTGCCCATAATAATAGCTTAAAACCATGTGCATATTAGCTACAAATAATATAAAAATAATAGTAATGATAGTAATAAGTATTTTAAAAAGAATTCTGACTTTAATGAGGGAGTTCAATAAAGAGTCAATTTGGATATGCTGTTATTAATATCTGTTCTTCCACATTGCAGCTGCAATCATCACAAATGCTTGAGTCTAGAGCTCAAAATAATTTTTTGTAGAAGTAAATTTATTATAGAAGGTGAGACAACAGCTCTACTTGGTACCCTAATCCATATGGTTCAGGAGGAAATCCTCCACAAAACACTTGACTAAATGCTTGATGCTGGCCTTGAAGAAGTAGTTTCTTTTTGGACTATGAAGAGATTAAGTTATATACTGAACCATGAAATCTAATTGTTCTTAATATTTATAAAAATAAATCTCAGGTTCTCCTGGGCATGGGCCTTACTTGTTCAGGATATTTTTTCCACATGAAACAGCATCATGTGTATCTAGAGCTAAATAGAAACAAAAATAAGTAATGCAAAAAGTTGTTGCTAAACAAACGTCATTCAGTTTTTTTAGAAGCCAAATGAAAAATGTTTCTCAAGGACAACCAAATAGTGAATTTCAAATATGGATTTTGTGTTACATCAAAGTGACTTTCATTATTTGTTCTAAGTACATAAAAGCCATTCTAAAGAGAAGCTTTGTTCTTGTATTGTAGTAAATATAAAAACAATCATTAATTTATTCCCTCTGTGACCTTTACATACAAATGATCACTTATCCTTAATTTTACCATTTTGTCTTAAAGGTATTTCAGTAATACTTAATCCTTCCTAAACTTAATAAAACTCTTTGTGATTCTAAAAAGTAACTACAAAAGTTTGCATGTTTTTCTACTTGATAGGTTTCCCTCAAATTGAATTTGTGTTTAACTATGTAAATTGATTTTTTCCCATTACCTAACAGATTTTAAAGAAAAAAATTAAGAATTTTAACTGTTGCAGGAGTGTTGAATCTTTTATTCTAAAATGGGTCAATTCTAGAACTGGAATACATGAATCATTAAATGACAGAAAATATGTAGATAGTGATATATGGGTATCTATGAATACCAATAATTTAAGGGACTATATAAGGGAACCAGGGCACAAATATTTTGAAATGAAATCATCACAAAATAGAACCACAGAATATAGAAATATGATCTGAGTACTTATCTTAGCTCTCCACTCCATTGTGCACTATCACAAATTAAGGCCAGGAAAACTCAACACAGGAATGTAAAAAGAAAAAGAAAATGGACCTTATTTGTTCAGGATATTTTTTCCACGTGAAACAGCATCACGTATATCTAGAGCTAAGTAGAAACAAGAAGAAATAATGCAAAAAGTTGTTGCTAAACAAATATAAGTCAGTTTTTTAGAAGCCAAATGAAAACTTTTTCTCAAGGACATTTTTCCCAAAATTCAATCCACAATCCTTGAAAATATAAATGGAAGATGTTTTGCACAATATAGAACATATCAGAAATAATGTTATAACACATATAATTAAGAAAGAGAAGTTTTAGTGCTAACCAGAAGAGAGCATTTTTTAAATAAAATCAAAATTTCAGTATCTAAAGTTATTAATATGTGCAGTAAATGTAGCTTGCTCTGATGTTTTAAGTTAATTTAAAAGACAACTTTTAGTGGTCTTTTTTTCAGTAAATTAGCTAATAATTATATTTTTATGTTAACCTTCAGATAACATCTTATTGGAGTATATTTAAATATAACTCAGTTCTGGTACAAGCCAAATCTCAGTTAAAAAAAAAAAAAGACAGAAAATTCCACTATGCTATCTTGCCTGACTGCTTTATCAGTAAACTGACAATGTCACTCATGACAATTGAACATATATCACAGATTATACAGATAAAAAAGTAGAGATATTAAGAATCCAAACCTCCTTCTAATATGAATTTTTTAAAACAAACTAATATAGCCTATTGACTTTCAGATAAAGGTTGTTGAATAAACATATGCATTATTTTAACATTCTCCTAAAACTTGATTAAACTTTAGTGACATCTTTTAAGACATAAACTCATTAAAACAATCAGAATTGAAAACCAGAATAATTAAGAAATGCGTGACAGATGGAAAAAATGATAACTCACTTAGCATATTGAGACAGCTGAATCTTAAATTAGAAGTGCAAGAAGTTCAAGAAATAATTTCATTTAAACATAGATCCCTAAATACCTGAGGAATTGGTAAAATAAGGTATTTTTGTAAATGGATTGAACATGACACTAAAAATATAAAAACTGGTTCCAAATCTGCTTAAAAAGTAATTTGAATATGCTACTATTGGACTCTAAGGAAATGGGGGGAAATTAGACACATTCAAGCAAAAACACTAAGCCACCAATAAGGAAAAAATGTTAAAATGGCTTCACATTTTTCAACAATATTTTATAACACAGAAAGTAGATCATATCTCCAAATCTGCTGCAATTTCACACCCCTCTTCTCTCCAAACCATTCCTTTATACCCAGAGTTAAAGGTAGATAATCAGAAAAATATCTATCTTTAACCCCTTTTCCAAAAAGTTCCCTCTACCTTGCTCCAGTGGAAAATTGACTATTCCCTGATGCCATTGCTTTTCCTCAATCCTTCTTTGGAGACTGCTTTCTCTTCTTGCCTTTTATGGAGTAGGAATGAGTGTACTCCTTACCCCTCCTTACCCCTTCAATTCCTCCTTTGAAGCTCATTCATTCAGACTGTAACATCATATGCTAAATGTAATATTGATCCCCAAAGAGAACCAGGTCCTAATCCCTAGAACGTAGAATATTATCTTATATGACAAAGACTTTGCAGATGTGATTTAAGTTGAGCATCTTGAGATGGGGAGAGTACCACGAATTATTTTCATCGGTAGATCCTAACTGCAATTACGTATGTTAAGACAAGGAAATAAATCTTCCCCTCAGAGGCTCCAGAGTAACCAGACCTGCTTACAACTAGGCATTAGCCCAGTGAAAGTAATTTTGGAATTCTCATTTCTAGAACTACAAGTTGGTGGTCTTTTTTTACAGCAGCAATAGGAAACTAATACATCAATGTTGGATATAGTCAACTACGGATGTCCAGGCCACCCAATGTCACCTCTTTCCAGGAAGATTTTAGTACCTGGCTTACTATCTTGTTCACTGATACTACGCTTGTAATGATTTTTATGAACTAAGTATTCACTGATATTACTATATTTTACTGACTCTTCCCAAATCTTGGTCTTAATTCCTTGTCCTCCTCACCCCTTCTTGCTGCCACCATGTGAAAAAGGATGTGTTTGCTTCCCGTTCCTCCATGATTGTAAGTTTCCTTAGGCCTCCCAGCCTGTTCATCCTGCCCTCTGCATCACATAAGAAAATAACTCACAAAGTCATCCCCTGTCACTATCAGTAAGTAGGATCTCTCTCATCATCCATAATTTTAATTTCTAAGATCTTATTCGCTGAACGTCACCTCTATCTTTCCATCTCATTACTTACACTCCCTCCTCAGTAATCTTTTGGCCTATGAGCATTTCCAATCGATTAACACTACCTCTTTCTCTTCCTTCACTTATCTCATGTTGTCCATTCTTCAGCCATTCATTATAATCAGTCTCCTATATACACTCTCAATCCCCTTGTCAGTCTCCCTATACAATACTTTTTTGTCATAATCCCTAACTTGATTGACTCCAATCTCTGTCCAGTCTACAGTCTGCACTGACATATAAATAGCTGAGTAAAACTAGAGAGCAGATACAAAATTTTGTTGATTGCTCTCAATTTAAATTCATAACCACTACTCCCAAGTGAGCATTTAGTGTTGGCTATAATTTCAATTATATTTTCTTTTACTTTAATCACCCATTTATGACATGTATATTTCAATATAGATTAAAAGGCAGGAGTTTTGTGTGTTTTGCATACAAATGCATTCCTAGAAATTTAAATAGTTCCCGGTACATAACAGACATTAATAGTGTATATTATTAATAAGTTAAGTTTACATGATTTTTTCTTCTGAAACTCCAACAGTTTCTTAACCCTCCTAATTTTAAGGTGATTATTTTGCTTATTTCATCAAAAAAGAGAGAGAAAATGAGAAATTAAGGCCCACACAAATAGAATTCAATTTTTTAAAACTAAACACTTTTTACCAACATACCAAGACAATTCAATGCAGGAAGGCGAGCCTTTTAAACAAATGGTGCTGGAAAAATTGGAAGTGAATTAATGAAAACATAAAACTACAAAACCTCTAGAAGAAAATAAAAGCATTTTAACATTAAGTTACACACAGATTAGGTACAGCACCAAAAGTGTAAACCATGAAGAAAAAATCAATAAATTGGACTTAATCAAAATTAAGCCTTTGCTTTATGAATTCTGTTAAATGAATGTGAAGACAAGCCACAGACTGGGAGAAAATATTTTCAAATCACATTTCTAACAAAAGTCTTGTATTCAGAACATATTTTAAAACTTTCAAAACTTAACAACAGAAAAGATGCAACCAAATCTTTTTCTTTTTATTTATGTTTTGTAGAGGTTAGTCTGTTCTCCCACTGCTAATAAAGACATACCTGAGGCTGGGTAATTTATACAGGAAAGAAATTTAATTGACTCTTAGTTCAGCATGGCTGGGGAGGCCTAAGGAAACTTACAATCATGGAGGAAGGGGAAGCAAACATATCCTTTTTCACATGGCGGCAGCAAGGAGAAGTGCCAAGTGAACAGGGGGAGAAGCCCCTTATAAAACCATCATATATTGTAAGAACTCACTCATGATCACCAGAATGGCATGGAAGTAACTGCCCCCAGGATTCAATTACCTACCACTGGGTCTCTCTCATGACACATGGGAATTATGGGAACTACAATTCAAGATGAGATTTGGGTGGGGACACAGCCAAACCATATCATTCCATCTCTGGCTCCTCCCAAATCTCATGTCCTCACCTTTCAAAACACAATTATGCCTCTCCAACAGTCTCCCAAAGTCTTAGCTCATTCCAGCATTAACCCAAAAGTCCAGGTCCAAAGTCTCATCTGAGACAAGACAAGTCCCTTACACCTATGAGCCTATAAAATCAAAAGCAAGTTATTACTTTCTAGATACAATGGGAGTACAGGCATTGAGTAAATGCACCCTTTCCAAATGGGAGAAATTGGCCAAAACAAAGGGACTACAGGCCCCTATAGGGTAGTCATTAAACCTTAAAGTTCCAAAATAATCTCCTTTGACTCCATGTCTCACATCCCAGTCATGCCGATGCAAGAGCTGGGCTCCCATGGCCTTAGGCAGCTTCACCCTGTGGCTTTGCAGGGTACAGTCCCCCAACCCTGGCTGCTTTCACAGGCTGGTGTTGTGGGTCTATGGCTTTTCCATACACACAGTGCAGGCTGTTGGTGGGTCTACCATTTTGAGGTCTGGAGGATGGTGGCCCTCTTCTCACAGCTCCATCAGGCAGTGCCCCATTGGGAACTCAGTATGGGGGCTTCCATTTGACATTTCCCTTCCCTACTGCCCTAGTAGAAGTTCTCCATGAGGCTACCAACCTTGCAACAGACTTCTGCCTGGACATCCGAGAATTTCCATACATCCTCTGTAATCTAGGTGGAGGTTCCCTAAACTCAATTCTTGACTTCTGTGTATCCACAAGCCCAACACCATGTGTAAGTCATCAAGCCCAGGAGCTTGCAACCTCTGAAGCAACAGCCTGAGATACACATTGGCCCCTTTTAGCCACAGCTGGAGCTGAAGAAGCTGGGACACAGGGCACAATGTTCAGAGGTTGCACAGAGAAGGGGTGCCCTGGGCCCAGCCCACAAAACCATTTTCCCTCCGAGCCCTCCAGGCCTGTGATGGGAGGGGCTGCTGTGAAGGTCTCTGACAAGCCTAGAGATATTTTTTCCATCCTCTTGGTGATTAACATTTGGTTCCTCATTACTTATGCAAATTTCTGCAGCCCACTTGAATTTCTGCCCAGAAAATGGGGTCTTGTTTTCTATCACATTGTCAGGCTGCAAATATTCCAGACTTTCATGGTCTGCTTTCTCTTGAATGCTTTGCCACCTACAAATTTCTTTTACCAGATACCCTAAATAATCTCCCAAATTCAAAGTTCCACAGATCTCTAGCACAGGAGCAAAATGCCACCATTCTCTTTGCATAGCAAGACTGACCTTTATACTCCAGTTCCCAACCAGTTTCTCCTCTCCTTCTGAAACCACCTCAGCCCGGACTTTATTGTCCATATCACATCAGCATTTTGGTCAAAGCCATTCAACAAGTCTCTAGGAAGTTCCAAACTTTCCCACATCTTCCTGTCTTCTGAGCCCTCCATCTCTCTAGGATGTTCCCAATTTTCCTGCATTTTCCTGTCTTCTTCTGAGCCCTCCAAATTGTTCCAACCTCTGCTGTTACTCATTTCCAAAGTTGCTTCTACATTTTCAGGTATCTTTACAGCAGCACCTCACTCTACTGGTACCAATTTATTGTATTAGTTTGTTGTCATGCTGCTGATAAAGACATACCTGAGATGGGTAATTTATGAAGGAAAAAGTATTAATTGACTCAGTTCCACAGGGCTGAGGAGGCCTCAGGAAACTTACAATCATGGAGGAAGGGTAAGCAAACACCTCCTTCTTCACGTGGAGGCTGCAAGGTGAAGTACAGAGCAAAGAGGGAGAGAAGTCCCTTACAAAACCATTGGATCTCATAAGAACTCACTCACTATCACTAGAACAGCATGGAGGTAACTGCCTCCGTGATTCAATTACCTCCCACTGGGTCACTCCCATGACAAGTGGGGATTATGGGAACTAAAATTAAAAATGAGATTTTTGGTGGGGACACAGCCAAACCATATTAGATGGGGTCTCACTCTGTTGCCTGGATTGGTCATGAACACCTCAGCCTCCCAAAGCTCTGGGATTGCAAGTGTGAGCCAGCATGCCTGACCTGAAACAATCCAATTATTTTAATGAGCAAAAAAAGCTAAACAGATACTAGTGAGTAAATGAAAAGGTTCTAAACAACCTTAGTCATTAGAGAAATACAAATTAAATGAATGACAAATTACTGAACAACTATTACAATGACTAAAAAGATGTTGACAATACCAAGTGCTAACGAGAATAGGGAGCAACTGAAATGCTTATACACTTTTGGTTTTACTTTGGAAAACAATTTGACAATTTCTTATTAAGTAAAATATATACCAACCTTATGGCCTAGCAATCCTACTCCTAAGTATTTATCTAAAGAAATAAAAACTTATGAACACACAAAAATCTGTATATGCCTTTTACAGCATCTTTAGGTGTAAACTGACAAAGGTAAAACAACTTAGATGTCCTTCAGCTGAAGAATGAATAAGCAAACTTAGGTACATTTGTACATTCTCAGTTTAGACATTCTTTTTCTCATTTTAACAGAAATAGACTGAAACTAAAAAGGTTAACTCATCTCCTAAAGGTGACTTGAGGAATAAGGGGAAGAGTGGACAATCCATTCCAGATAATTCTTGGCTCACATCTGAGGCTTTTCTTCAAGTACCACACAGCCTGGCTTCTTCTCATGCAGTCAATTTGTCATCTAAGAACTCATACACAGTGTTCTTTTCTAACTGGATCCCTGCTCCATTTATTCATCCAACACGTATTTATTGAGTGGTGACTACCTGTCAGGCACCAACCTACATGCTTAGGATGTCATAGTCAACAAAACAGAAAAAGTTTTTTACTTTTATGGAGCTTACATTCTAGCAGGGGCTGACAAACAATAAACAATAAAAATAATATATCAGTTATATTGTACGCTAGAGCGTGATAAACACTATACTTCCAAAATGTAGAGAGCCAAGTAAGGGGATGACGATTTCCAGGGGTGGAAAGAAGGGCTGTTAATTGTAAATAGAGGGATTTTTGAGGAAGGAAGGGCCTCTTTGAAAAGGCAACATTTGAGCAAAACCTTGAAGTATGCAAGTCAACAGGAAAAGAAGAGTGTTTCAGGTAGGGTGAACAGCCAACCAGCACAGAGGCCCAAAGGCAGCACAGAGGCAGAGAGGCCAATGGGGTTGTAACTAACAGAGAGCAAAGTTCCAGGAAATTACCAAAAATGTTGATGTTTACTATGAGTGAAATGGGGAGCCAGTAAGGATTTAAGCAGAGAAGTTAAACAATTTGAACCATATTTTAAAATAATTACCCTGGCTGATGTATTGAAAATAGACCGAAAGGATAACAACAGAAGTAGAATGACGAGTTATGAGGCACTGTAATAAACTGGGTGAAAGAGAGGGATGTCTTGGACAGTCATAGTAGCGAGAAGGGATCATGACAACTAGGTTTTCTTAACAGGATGTGGGAAGATGAGAAACAGAAGGAGTCAAGGCTGACTCCAAGGTCTTGTCTGAGCAACTGGAAAAATTGAGTTGCCATCAATTGATAAGGAAGAGTGAGGATACTCAGGCTTGCAAATAAAACAAGGAGTTCAGTTTTGGTCACGTGGAGTCAGAGGTGTCTATTCAACATCACAGCTGCAATTGCAGTTGGATGTATAAAACTGGTGTTCACAAGAGAGGCCTAGACATTAGCACATAGAAGCTATTTAAAGATCCCATGGGGTCGCCAAAGAGGGGAGTATGAATGATCTTACTTATATATGAAATCTAAAAAAGTTGAACTCATAGAAGTAGAGAGTAGAATGGTGGTTACCAGAGACTGGAGGGTGGGGTTTGGGGAAATGTTGCTCAGAAGATACAAAATTTCAATTAGACTAGAGAAAGAGATCCAAGACATCTATTAAACAACATGGTGACTACAACTACTAGCAATATATTATTGAAAATTGTTAAGAAAGTATGTTTTAAGTGTTCTTATTACAAAAAAATTCATAACTATGTGAAGTAATGCATATGTTAATTAGCCTGATTTAACTATTTCACAATTTATACATACTTCAAAACATATTGTATGCCATAAATATGTACAATTTTTATTTGTCAATGGAAGGAAGGAAGGGAGAGAGAGAGTCACTTCTCTGCTCAAATTCATCAAAAGACTTCTTATCTCACGCATAATAAAATCCAAAATCCCAACTTGGCTTTGGATTACAAGTCCCACATGATCTTCTATAATTCTTGCCTTTACTGCCTACTCCAGACACCTTTTTATTCCTTCAGGGCATTTGCACTTGCTGTTCTCACTGGATTCTCCATGGCTTCCTTTCCCACTTCCTTCAGACTCTGTTCAAATATCCCCTTATCACATTATCAGCAAAGGCATCACTGATGTGGGAATTTAACATTGCACAGCTCCTCACACTTCCCTCTCTCTTCTAATTAATTTTTCCCAAGGGCTTAAGACCAAAGAATAAACTACATGCTTTACTTATTTACTTATGCCTTCTCAATAGAATGTAAGCCTTCATATCTTTTGTTGATTGCTATCTCCACAGAAAAACAGTACAGGGTAGGTTAGGAAATATCAACTGAATTTCTAAACCTGAGGAACAAGCAATATTTTATCTAGTATTTTATAGATGAGAAAACTAACCTGAGACTCAGAGAACTTAGTGCAAATGATCAAAATCACAGAGTATGCACTGGTAAAGTCTAGAAGCCTAATAAAGAGAGATTCTTCTTTTTTTTTCCCCCCCTTGGCTTTGGGCCAGCTCTGAAAAAGCTCATTGCAAAAGAGGAAAGGGAAAATCTTCTAAAGATTTGCTGCCCTTCAGTTGCTTTTCATAATGTGCAAAAAAAAAAAAAAAAAAAAAATCAGGAAATATTGAAAAAACTGGGAATATTTGTTAATATTAACAGCCTTTGACCTATTTAGTGCTTAGATTGAATGTCTAAATGAAATTCATACAAAGGAAGAGCTGTGCATGACAACTGGTCTCATTTTTTTCTTCCCTTTTTCCACACGGCTTGTAGCTTGATTCACTCCAGTGGAAGAGGACAAATAATTCACTGAGTTATTTGATATGGATAATGAACAATCAACCCATGTGAGTTATTCAGAGTTTGAAAAATGAAAGGAAATTACTTTGGAAGGGAGATGAGCCCAAGGACCACATCAGCAAACTAGGAGAATGCACACAGACAGGAATGATATTTGGAATGCAAGCAGACATTCATGCCTGAAAGCTGTTCTGGAAATAACTGCTATTATTGCCCCCACTGAGATGCTGCACTGAAGAACACAGGCCACCAGTCCCATCTAAAACTAAAAATATCCAAGTTGTATCAGTAAAATCACTTTCATGGTTATTTGATTCTATACAATTATAAGTTTTCATTAAAAGTTTAGGTCTCAGGTTTATCCAGAAGTTTTCAGTTATTTACAAGATATTTGCTCAAGTTATCCATCTGAGGTAGGAAGCATTTCTATACTCATCATTTATTTTAAATAGTTAATGCCTTAACTGCCAACACGAGCCTGATGATGAATTTAGGTGATGATTTGAAGAATACTGGGATGGTTATTATTTCATTAAAAAAACACCTCCAGTGAGGGTTTTTGTTTCCCTTTAACTCCAACAGTGCTCATAGGACTGCCTCAATCCCTTTCACTGAGCCAGGCCCAGATCACCTGATTTATCTGGATAAAGTTCCTTTGATGGTGAAGAGACAGGGGGAAAAAAGGAATATGTTAGATTTTTTTCCAGTCCTATTAAGGCACAAGACTCTGAATCATTCCCACCAAAAGATCTAGAAAACAAGTACTGAGACTCAAGAATAAGACATCAAGATAGGGAACAAGTAGAACAAATCTTAGCATAGCCTTGCGGGTGGTTGAAGAATAAGCTGCATGGCTGGTCTAAAACTGTGAACATACCTTCAAGAGAGTTCTGGGTAACAAGCCCTCATTCCAGTTCTGCAGCTTTAAGTTCAGTAGCTCACCAGGATTGCGCTTTGTTAGTCTGGAGAGGAGGCATGTTATGAATGAGAGCTGTGTTCCTGTCTGAGTCTTCTGTTTTACTCAGCAGTCACATGGTATATTGTATAACCCTGAAATCCTATGAGATAGATATACATAGCTCAGGTGAAGTGATCCTCCCAACACACATCCAGACTGCTTTAGGTGTAGTCTGTTGACGTGATCCAGCTTCACCTGCACATGTATAAGGCTGTCCTGAGGAGTGCAGTGTGGGTGATTGGGCTTCCTGAGGTTCTGAGGAGTATCCGGAAGCTAGTGCCTTCATAAATAGCCCTGACAAGGGTTGCTGATTACACCCACTTCCCTCTGTATTATTTAAAAAAGCAAATTTTATTTAACTGATCCAACAGGTGTTTTGTCTTTCTGTTACTGCAAATCTACAAGAAAAATTGACTGGCAATTATCAATACAAAGTTTGTGCTTGCAGTTTAGCATTTTGCATTGGTGTTTTGGCTGATAGGAAAGGAAAAGCCCTGTTTTAACAACTTCTCTAATTACACATACACAAACATATATATTAAATAAAGCAGATAGTTATATATATGAATAACAAATGTAAAAGAAAT
Organism: Homo sapiens; assembly: GCF_000001405.40. Lineage (NCBI taxonomy): Eukaryota > Metazoa > Chordata > Mammalia > Primates > Hominidae > Homo > Homo sapiens. The sequence continues at coordinate 78,461,507 of NC_000006.12, forward strand.
ATTTCCAAATGCTATATTGTTTATTAATATATAAATATTAGTTTTTAACCAATAAAAATAAAATTCTATATTAAATATGTATATAAAATACGTATATTTAATATTTGTATATTTATACACAAATATTAGATAAATTTATATAAATACATATATATTTAAATACATATATATATAAACATTATGATACTTTCTAAGAGACTTTCTTAATTCCCTTCATGCTGAGAAGTGTGTTACAGAATGAAAGGGTCACAGACCTAAGTATTTTAGCAAAGAAACAATTTTTAATATAAGTATATATCGTTTGAAGGTATTTGACCTGACCTTTATAATAGAAGTATTTTTCCAAGCATTTTAGTTACAGGTGCTCATATTTGCTAACTATTCCAGTGAGGCAACACATGACAAAAATGCCATTAAGATGACAGATGTACCAGATGTAGATAATGCCCCCAAATTGGCTCTTAGAAATTTTACATGAAATGAAGGCAGAAGCTGAAAACTGTGATTCCCAAAACCACTAGTTTCAAATGTAACTCTGCTTCTCACAAAATGTATAGGCTACCTTTGCTAAAGAATCAGGAATCAAAGTATCTAGATAAAATTAATAAAGATGGTATATTTAGAAAACAAATTAGAGTTTTATATAAGCACTAAGCCACATTAAGCTATTCAAGATAATTAACTTCAAGAACTAATCAACAAACGGAAGTCTGAAATATAGAAGATAATTATTTAAAATTCAAAGAATTCTCCTATAAATGAATGCAGTGAAACAGCACTAATCCTTGTTCTTCATTGGACTCTGAATCAAATGTGTGCCAAAAACAAAACCACTTCAGCACAGGTGCAGCCTATAAGCCATAGGGAAAAGGGAGCTGAAAGAAGTTAGCAATCCTGCACAAGAATCCTGCATAGGAAGCAAGGGTCAGTTTCTCTCCTTTGATTCCAAGAAGAATGGGACTCACAGGAACTCGGAGACAGGACGGTTTGTACTGGCAGGTTTGTGGCACCTTGTGGACATTTTCCAAACCAGACCAGAACTTGTCGTTACTTCTTCCTGCTCCTATTTGAGATGAGAGAGCTACTACAAAAGCCACTTTTGCTATTTTCTTTAGACACAGGACATTCCTTTAGGCTATATCCTCCACATATCCTCCACAAATTTTTTTGTATTTTGAAATACAAAAAAGCTTTGTATTTCAACTTTCATGAGGTCTCTACCCTCTCTGTCTAGTGGCTTCACATCTGAAATCACATCATCTGCATGGCCTCATTACAAGAAGTGTCCAGTGCAAACTCTAGATAGCTTTAGCTACCTTTTCCGAGGGAAGGCTCCCCCAACATCACCCATAGCTCTCTGCACACTGCTGACTCTAAAGAAATGATGCAATGTTTACACATCCAGTCAAGTCTTCCGGGATGCCTGGTGTTCACACCCTGTCTGAGAGATGGGATCTGATGAGTTATTGTGCTTAAAGATCTCCAAAGCAGGCTGGGCGTGGTGGCTCACGCCTGTAATTCCAGCACTTTGGGAGGCCAAGGCGGACAGATCACGAAGTCAGGAGATTGAGACCGTCCTGGCTAACACGGTGAAACCTCGTCTCTACTAAAATACGAAAAATTAGCCGGGCGTGGGGACGGGCACCTGTAGTCCCAGCTACTCGGGAGGCTGAGGCAGGAGAACGGCGTGAACCCGGGAGGCAGAGCTTGCAGTGAGCCGAGATTGCACCACTGCACTCCAGTCTGGGTGCCAGAGAGAGAGACTCTGTCTCAAAAAAAGAGAAAAAGATCTCCAAAGCAGTTTTTTCTTTAAATACAGTGTTTCTTAAAAGAAAATAAATTTTTCTTTTAATTTTCACTATTTCAACAGTGTATTTCAAACATCAGTGCCTGTTTAGATTCTCCACTATTCCTCTGTGTTCATCCTCTGTTTATCCTCTTTCAGTGTGTTCCCGTGCATGTGTGTGTGTGTGTGTGTGTGTGTACACATGCACATCTTTGTTTTTTCCTACATTTTCATTTTCCTCTTCCCTTCCTCTTTTATCCATTGTATAATAGCATTGTAGTTTGCTATTTCCAGGGATGGGTGTTACATTATCCATGTATACAGATAAAGACTGTGATTTCTGCCATGTAGCACCACAGCACTTCTTGGGATAAGATGAGAACTCCAACTCTCCTGAAGGAGATGACTCTAACAAGGTTGAGCATCTTTGCAAAATGAATATTCCTCAGGGGTTAGGGTGGTCCTACAGAGGAGTTTACCTTCAACAATAAATTAGAATCTTAGAGGTAAAAATACTCTCACCGGGCGCGGTGGCTCACGCCTGTAATCCCAGCACTTTGGGAGGCCGAGGCAGGTGGATCACGAGGTCAGGGGATCGAGACCATCCTGGCTAACACGGTGAAACCCCGTTTCTACTAAAAATACAAAAAATTAGCCGGGCGTAGTGGCGGGCGCCTGTAGTCCCAGCTACTTGGGAGGCTGAAGCAGGAGAATGGCGTGAACCTGGGAGGCAGAGCTTGCAGTGAGCCGAGATCACGCCACTGCACTCCAGCCTGGGTGACAAAGCCAGACTCCGTCTCAAAAAAGAAAAAAATACTCTCAAATATCCCCCAATTAAATTATCAAAAAAGAAACTAATCATCTTGCAGAGTATACATCAAATAACATTTTTAGCCACCAAACAAAACTGATTATTAAAACAATTATGGTTTATAAATGTCATTATCACATAGTATTATTTTAAAAGTCAACTAATTACCCTAAGAGGATGGCAAAATCTACCCAGTATAGCAGCATTGTTAAAGTTTTCCAAATAAAACAAAGGCCATTAGTTTTGACACTCTGTTAGAGTGCCAATTAATACAGTATTTGTGTAACAGTGAAGAAATACGCTACAAAAAAACTTTATATATTTATATAATAAAATTGGTGTAGACTATGTTTTATTAATAAAAATAGTACTAAGAATAGCTTTTTATTAGCTTTCTGTATAACAGAAAGTGATCAACTAGTGAGCAACCAGAATCTGTAGCCTTCCTTCCATGTAAAATGTATAAATACACAAATAAATGTTTCTTAAAAATCTTTATCAAGCCTTTTTTATTATGTGCCAAGTACTAAAATGCACACTAGTCCTCATGAAATCATATAAACGGGCCTATTTATTATCTTTTTTATGAGAATGATGAGACTTAGAACAAGCAGATAACTTGCTGAAAGTCTCACATCTAGTGAGTTGACAAGTTAAAACTGAAACCCAGGTTTTCTGAGTCCAAATCCTAAGTTTGTTCTCCCATTATGGTTTATCTAATCCTATAATGTATGTAGTTACCTTGTAAATAATTGTATTTACAAATAATTTAAGTAATTATGTAGTTATTTTGTAACTGTAGTAGTTATTTTGTAAAATGATGAAGGAAGAGAAAATGGTCTCTGGAAAAGCCAAGAACAAGTTTAAAAGACCTGAATGTGTTTTCCCTTTTTCCCTCTGTGTCCCTACCTCCCTTTTGCTGGCTCTATCATTCAGCTCTGCAGAATATTCGCATTGCCAGAAGCTGAAAGTGAGCAATGAAGATTCTCCTATATCATTAAATACTTTCATAGTAACTCCGCTTGACTGGCAGATACAAAGAGGCTTCCCTGTGACATCCATCACATGGCCCAGAACCGCTCTAAGCTTGGTCTCAGTGACAAATGCTTGAAGTTAATCATCCATATGCTTCCACTTTTCCTGTGAAGACATTGATCAAGCTGTGTTGACAGAGCCTGGATGAAATATAGGTCTCTGGGAAATGCTGAGCTGGCTTTGAATCTACCATTATTTGAGCACAAGGCAACAGCTTGAGGGACATCTGTCATTTTGGTTTGACATTAACTGTCCTCTTCAATTTGAGGCCACATGTGTTTTGGTCAGAGTTGTGGATTCTATAAATGTCCTACATGCCTATCATGAAGCTGATGACTGGCAACAGGCTAAAACAGACTTCCATGCTAACAACAGTATCATTTAAATAACCAAAGAACATTGTAGGGCTTCAATACAGAAAATCATACGATGCTCTGTTATCTAAACAATAAAAAAACTGCTTTATATATTATAACATTTTCCATTTAATAGAAAGCATCACATACATTATTCTCCATATAATTTAATGATCTGGGTTTCAAATGCTTTTAAAACTCCTATTTTTCTATACCCTTAAATTAGCTATTTTCCCTCTTCTAGACATAGAAGAAAGTGCACGTAGCTTTACAGACTATATGAAGAACTGAGTCATGCAAGTGAAGCAAGATATTTAGAATGAAAAATAATTTACTTTGGACCCATGGAGAAAAAAAAACTACATTTTATGTACACTGGAAAGAAAAATGTCAGAAGTCAGATGGGTACTAGCTCTGTGTAAATTTGCCCCAACTCTCAAATTTATAACGTTACACTTAATTCAAGTAAAATTTTTAGAATGGAAAAATTGTGTTATAAGTATTGTGTAGGTTCTAAGACTAGGTTGAAAAAACCAGTTACCATAAAGAAGCAGGGTTATAATACAAAGGACTCAGTAGAGTCCCAGATACAAGTAGCTGAGGGTATGTAATGTTAGGGGAAAACAAACAAACAAAATACCATAAGAGACAAGATTCTGTGTTTTGTAGTCATAGTACAAAGCAAAGCTCAGTAAAAATTGTGTAGCAAACAACTTGCCTTTTTATTTCTCCCAATGTCCTTTTTGATATACCGCTCTAACTTCTTCCCAGTTGCCCAATGTCATCATGCAGCCGTGCTTCTCTCATACAAACCCAGCTCCTGAACTATTTAATGCTAAAAAATTAAGTAATTATCTGCCTCCCATCATACATTCAATTTTACAAAAGAAGTGGAGCAATCCAGCTGAATTCATATGTGCAATATCTAACTGACATATGCAACTGTCTCACATATGTATATGTGTCTCATGTATGTAAACCTTTCTAAAGTAAATGTTTATTAACCCATATGAAGCTCTAATCTTGTGGATTTTCAAACTTTGAATATGGTTGAAAATACATTTCAAATTATAAGAAATTTCAAGATTCAGAGGTATATACCTGAATAGAAAGACCACTAACCTTAGTAAGCAATCTAACAAGTGAGTCTACTCAGGAATATGGCACTTGGATTGGCATTCCAAGCTATTCCCGATTGTTATACCTTCATTCTTTTTCATCTTCACCTCCTTTTTCTTCATTTTATCTATCAACGGATATCGACTACATATAGTGCCAAATGCAATAAATAAAAGATGATACCAAAATCATGGAATGTGATGTGATTCTCCCTTATAATTTAGAGTGGGGCGAGTGTGGTGGCTCAGCCTGTAATCCTGGCACTTTGGGAGGCCAAGGGAGATGGATCACTTGAGGTCAGGAGTTGGAGACCAGTCTGGCCAACATGGCAAAACCCCTTCTCCACTAAAAATACAAAAATTAGCAAGGAATGGTGGCATGTGCCTGTAGTCCCAGCTACTTAGGAGGCTGAGGCATAAGAATAGCTTGAACACAGGAGGCAGAGGTTGCAGTGATCCGAGATTGCATCACTGCACTCCAGCCTTGGCAATACAGTGAGACTCCGTCCCCCCCAAAAAATTAGAATGGCATGGATTCTTTCCCGCACCTATTAGTTCATGAGAACTAATGAGGTCACATTAAGAATAAAACTACTGGGATGGAGCCAAGATGGCCGAATAGGAACAGCTCCGGTCTACCACTCCCAGCCTGAGTGCAGAAGATGGGTGATTTCTGCACTTCCATCTAAGGTACCAGGTTCATCTCACTAGGCAGTGCCAGACAGTGGGCGGAGGACAGTGGGTGCAGCGCACCATGCACGAGCTGAAGCAGGGCGAGGCATTGCCTCACTCAGGAAGCACAAGGGGTCAGGGAGTTCCCTTTCCTAGTCAAAGAAAGGGGTGACAGATGGCACCTGGAAAATCAGGTCACTCCCACCCTAATACTGTGCTTTTCCCACGGGCTTAAAAAACTGCACACCAGGAGATTATATCCCGCACTTGGCTCGGAGGGTCCTACACCCACGGAGTCTCGCTGATTGCTAGCACAGCAGTCTGAGATCAAACTGCAAGGTGGGAGCGAGGCTGGGGGAGGGGCGCCTGCCATTGCCCAGGCTTGATTAGGTAAACAAAGCAGCTGGGAAGCTCGAACTGGGTGGAGCCCACCACAGCTCAAGGAGGCCTGCCTGCCCCGGTAGGCTCCACCTCTGGGGGCAGGGCACAGACAAACAATAAGACAGCAGTAACCTCTGCAGACTTAAATGTCCCTGTCTGACAGCTTTGAAGAGAGCAGTGGTTCTCCCAGCAGCAGCTGGAGATCTGGGAATGGGCAGACTGCCTCCTCAAGTGGGTCCTTGACCCCCGAGCAGCCTAACTGGAAAGCACCCCCCAGTAGGGGCAGACTGACACCTCACACGGCCGGGTACTCCTCTGAGACAAAATTTCCAGAGGAACGATCAGGCAGCAACATTTGCAGTTCACCAAGATCTGCTGTTCTACAGCCACTGCTGCTGATACCCAGGCAAACAGGGTCTGGAGTGGATCTCTAGCAAACTCCAACAGACCTGCAGCTGAGGGTCCTGTCTGTTAAAAGGAAAACTAACAAACAGAAAGGACATCCACACCAAAAACCCTTCTGTATGTCACCATCATCAAAGACCAAAAGTAGATAAAACCACAAAGATGGGGAAAAAACAGAGCAGAAAAACTGGAAACTCTAAAAAGCAGAGTGCCTCTCCTCCTCCAAAGGAATGCAGCTCCTAATCAGCAACGGAAAAAAGCTGGACAGAAAATGACTTTGACAAGCTGAGAGAAGAAGGCTTCAGACGATCAAACTACTCCAAGCTACAGGAGGAAACTCAAACCAATGGCAAAGAAGTTAAAAACTTTGAAAAAAAATCAGATGAAGGCATAACTAGAATAACCAATGCAGAGAAGTCCTTAAAGGAGCTGATGCAGCTGAAAGCCAAGGCTTGAGAACTACGTGAAGAATGCAGAAGCCTCAGGAGCTGATGCAATCAACTGGAAGAAAGGGTATCAGTGATGGAAGATGAAATGAATGAAATGAAGCGAGAAGAGAAGTTTAGAGAAAAAAGAATAAAAAGAAACGAACAAAGCCTCCAAGAAATATGGGACTGTGTGAAAAGACCAAATCTACATCTGATTGGTGTACCTGAAAATGGCGGGGAGAATGGAACCAAGTTGGAAAACACTCTGCAGGATATTATCCAAGAGAACTTCCCCAATCTAGCAAGGCAGGCCAACATTCAGATTCAGGAAATACAGAGAACGCCACAAAGATACTCCTCCAGAAGAGCAACTCCAAGACAGATTTACCAAAGTTGAAATGAAGGAAAAAATGTTAAGGGCAGCCAGAGAGAAAGGTCGGGTTACCCACAAAGGGAAGCCCAACAGACTAACAGCTGATCTCTCAGCAGAAACTCTACAAGCCAGAAGAGAGTGTGGACCAATATTCAACATTCTTAAAGAAAAGAATTTTCAACCCAGAATTTCATATCCAGCCAAACTAAGCTTCACAAGTGAAGGAGAAATAAAATCCTTTACAGACAAGCAAATGCTGAGAGATTTTGTCACCACCAGGCCTCCCCTACAAGAGCTCCTGAAGGAAGCACTAAACAAGGAAAGGAACAGCTGGTACCAGCCACTGCAAAAACATGCCAAGTAATAAAGACCATCAAGGCTAGGAAGAAACTGCATCAACTAACGAGCAAAATAACCAGCTAACATCATAATGACAGGACCAAATACACACATAACAATATTAACTTTAAATGTAAATGGGCTAAATGCTCCAATTAAAAGACACAGACTGGCAAATTGGATAAAGAGTCAAGACCCATCAGTGTGCTGTATTCAGGAAACCCAAATCAACTGCAGAGACACACATAGGCACACAATAAAGGGATGGAGGAAGATCTACCAAGCAAATGGAAAACAAAAAAAGGCAGGAGTTGCAATCCTAGTCTCTCATAAAACAGATTTTAAAACAACAAAGATCAAAAGAGACAAAGAAGGCCATTACATAATGGTAAAGGGATGAATTCAACAAGAAGAGCTAACTATCCTAAATATATATGCACCTAATACAGGAGCACCCAGATTCATAAAGCAAGTCCTTAGTGACCTACAAAGAGACTGAGACTACCACAGAAAAATAATGGGAGACTTCAACACACCACTGTCAACATTAGACAGATCAACGAGACAGAAAGTTAACAAGGATACCCAGGAATTGAACTCAGCTCTGCACCAAGCAGACCTAGTAGACATCTACAGAACTCTCCACCCCAAATCAACAGAATATACATTTTTTTCAGCACCACATCACACCTATTCCAAAATTGATCACATAGGTGGAAGTAAAGCTCTCCTCAGCAAATGTAAAAGATCAGAAATTATAACAAACTATCTCTCAGACCACAGTGCAATCAAACTAGAACTCAGTACTAAGAAACTCACTCAAAACCACTCAATTACATGGAAACTGAACAACCTGCTCCTGAATGACTACTAGGTACATAACGAAATGAAGGCAGAAATAAAGATTTTCTTTGAAACCAACGAGAACAAAGACACAACATACCAGAATCTCTGGGACACATTCAAAGCAGTGTGTAGAGGGAAATTTATAGCACTAAATGCCCACAAGAGAAAGCAGGAAAGATCTAAAATTGACACTCTAATGTCACAATTAAAAGAACTAGAAAAGCAAGAGCAAACACATTCGAAAGCTAGCAGAAGGCAAGAAATAACTAAAATCAGAGCAGAACTGAAGGAAATAGAGACACAAAAAACCCTTCAAAAAATTAATGAATCCAGGAGCTGGTTTTTTGAAAAGATCAACAGAATCGATAGACCGCTAGCAAGACTAATAAAGAAGAAAGGAAAGAAGAATCAAATAGATGCAATAAAAAATGATAAAGGGGATATCACCACCAATCCCACAGAAATACAAACTACCATCAGAGAATACTATAAACACCTCCACGCAAATAAACTAGAAAATCTAGAAGAAATGGATACATTCCTGGACACATACACCCTCCCAAGACTAAACCAGGAAGAAGTTGAATCTCTGAATAGAACAATAACAGGCTCTGAAATTGTGGCAATAATCAATAGCTTACCAACCAAAAAGAGTCCAGGACCAGATGGATTCACAGCCGAATTCTACCAGAGGTACAAGGAGGAGATGGTACCACTCCTTCTGAAACTATTCCAATCAATAGAAAAAGAGGGAATCCTAACTCATTTTATGAGGCCAGCATCATCCTGATACCAAAGCCTGGCAGAGACACAACCAAAAAAAAGAGAATTTTAGACCAATATCCTTAATGAACATTGATGCAAAAATCCTCCATAAAATACTGGCAAACCGAATCCAGCAGCACATCAAAAAGCTTATCCACCATGATCAAGTGGGCTTCATCCCTGAGATGCACGGCTGGTTCAACATATGCAAATCAATAAATGTAATCTAGCATATAAACAGAACCAAAGACAAAAACCACATGATTATCTCAATAGATGCAGAAAAGGCCTTTGACAAAATTCAACAACCCTTCATGCTAAAACCTCTCAATAAATTAGGTATTGATGGGATGTATCTCAAAATAATAAGAGCTATCTATGACAAACCCACAGTCAATATCATACTGAATGGGCAAAAACTGGAAGCATTCCCTTTGAAAACTGGCACAAGACAGGGATGCCCTCTCTCACCACTCCTATTCAACATAGTGTTGGAAGTTCTGGCCAGGGCAATCAGGCAGGAGAAGGAAATAAAGGGCATTCAATTAGGAAAAGAGGAAGTCAAATTGCCCCTGTTTGCAGATGACATGATTGTATATCTAGAAAACCCCATTGTCTCAGCCCAAAATCTCCTTAAGCTGATAAGCAACTTCAGCAAAGTCTCAAGATACAAAATCAATGTACAAAAATCACAAGCATTCTTATACACCAATAACAGACAAACAGAGAGCTAAATCATGAGTGAACTCCCATTCACAATTGCTTCAAAGAGAATAAAATACCTAGGAATCCAACTTACAAGGGATGTGAAGGACCTCTTCAAGGAGAACTACAAACCACTGCTCAATGAAATAAAAGAGGATACAAACAAATGGAAGAACATTCCATGCTCATGGGTAGGAAGAATCAATATTGTGAAAATGGCCATACTGCCTAAGTTAATTTATAGATTCAATGCCATCCCCATCAAGCTACCAATGACTTTCTTCACTGAATTGGAAAAAACTACTTTAAAGTTCATATGGAACCAAAAAAGACCCCGCGTCACCAAGTCAATCCTAAGCCAAAAGAACAAAGCTGGAGGCATCATGCTACCTGACTTCAAACTATACTACAAGGCTACAGTAACCAAAACAGCATGGTACTGGTACCAAAACAGAGATATAGACCAATGGAACAGAACAGAGCCCTCAGAAATAATGCCACATATCTACAACTATCTGATCTTTGACAAACCTGACAAAAACAAGCAATGGGGAAAGGATTCCCTATTTAATAAATGGTGCTGGGAAAACTGGCTAGTCATATGTAGAAAGCTGAAACTGGATCCCTTCCTTACACCTTATACAAAAATTAATTCAAGATGGATTAAAGACTTAAATGTTAGACCTAAAACCATAAAAACCCTAGAAGAAAACCTAGGCAATGCCATTCAGGACATAGGCATGGGCAAGGACTTCATGGCTAAAACACCAAAAGCAATGGCAACAAAAGCCAAAATTGACAAATGGGATCTAATTAAACTAAGGAGCTTCTGCACAGCAAAAGAAACTACCATCAGAGTGAACAGGCAACCTACAAAATGGGAGAAAATGTTTGCAACCTACTCATCTGACAAAGGGCTAATATCCAGAATCTACAAAGAACTTAAACAAATTTACAAGAAAAAAACAAACAACCCCATCAAAAAGTGGGTGAAGGATATGAACAGACACTTCTCAAAACAAGACATTTATGCAGCCAAAAAACACATGAAAAAATGCTCATCATCACTGGCCATCAGAGAATGCAAATCAAAACCACAATGAGATAACATGTCACACCAGTTAGAATGGCGATCATTAAAAAGTCAGGAAACAACAGGTGCTGGAGAGGATGTGGAGAAATAGGAACACTTTTACACTGTTAGTGGGACTATAAACTAGTTCAGCCATTGTGGAAATCAGTGTGGCGATTCCGCAGGGATCTAGAACTAGAAATACCATTTGACCCAGCAATCCCATTACTGGGTATATACCCAAAGGATTATAAATCATGCTGCTATAAAGACACAAGCACACGTATGTTTATTGCAGCACTATTCACAATAGCGAAGACTTGGAACCAACCCAAATGTCCAACAATGATAGACTGGATTAAGAAAATGTGGCACATATACACCATGGAATACTATGCTGCCATAAAAAATGAAGAGTTCATGTCCTTTGTAGGGACATGGATGAAACTGGAAGCCATCATTCTCAGCAAACTATCGCAAGGATAAAAAACCAAACACCGCATATTCTCACTCATAGGTGGGAATTGAACAATGAGAACACATGGACACAGGAAGGGAACATCACACTCCGAGGACTGTTGTGAGGTGGGGGGAGGGGGGAGGGATAGCATTAGGAGATATACCTAATGCTAAATGATGAGTTAATGGGTGCAGCACACCAACATGGCACACGTACACATATGTAACAAACCTGCACATTGTGCACACGTACCCTAAAACTTAAAGTATAATAATAATGAAATAAAAAAAGAATAAAACTATGGGGTTTTATTTTTGTTTTTTGTTTGTTTGTTTTTGTTTTATTGGTTGGTTTTTAACTAGCTCACCCTAGGTACCATAATTATGGAGGTTATGAATTTTATAGAAGAATAGGCAAAGAAAAGACTCCTAGCTAAAATAAAAATGAAAACAAATATTTATAAAGAAGTGAGAAAACAAAACTTTCAAAGAAACAGTGGATAGATTACCTGGAGTCAGAAATGTACAGAGGAAAGACCATGAGCACCTGAGTCATGGTGTCTACACCAGTTAGCTGGCAGTAGGAAGTTGAGGAGTACAAGGATTAAGATACATAAACTATTTGTCCTACAGTTACTGGTTCATGAATTATTGTATCCACCCTCCAGAAATCACAGGACACATAACACATATTTAAAAATGGAAAATAAAGTAAGAAAAATACCTTAGGTTGAAATGCATGCTAAGGAGTCTCAGTTTTTTTTTTTTTTTTTTTTTTGATACCATGTTCCAAATATTTAGGGGAAACTTGATAATAGGCTTTTACTTTGCAGTGGTATAAACTGTCCTAGAAGAAGACTGACTGCTGCATTAGGAATAAAAGAGAACACAAAAGTCGAAAAAAGGAAGTAAGCATCCAGACTGAGGGTAATAATGGTGAAGAAATAAAAAGACCTATATAAGAAAAGCTTGTATGTATTGATCTTTAAGGTCATAACAGTAACCTAGCAACAGGAGTGAGTCTGGGAAAATAAGGCTGTAGAAATACTACACAGAATTTGGAAACTATTATTAATTGGGTATCTGTGAATCAGAAGCTTTCTTTCATCTTTACATTTATTAGCCCTTTGGAAAGATCTTCAGTCCAAATCATAGAAATTTATTTCAGCAAAACTTTGATCAACCAAAATTAGAATGACCAACTAGCAGACCATTTCATTATTCAAAATGACAATTGTAAACCAGATGCAGTGGCTTATGCCTGTAAGCTCAACACTGGAAGGCTGAGGTGGGAGGGTCACTTGAGGCCAGGAGTTCCAGATCAGCCTAAGCAACATAATGAGACCTTACCTCTACAAAAAATATACAAAAAACAATTAGCTGGCTATGATGGTACATGCCTGTAATCCCAGATAATCAGGAGGCTGAAGCAGGAGGATCACTTGAGCCCAGAAGTTCAAGGTTGCAGTGAGCTGTGATCACAAATGGCATTCCATCCTGGGCAACAGAGCAAATTCCCTTCTTTTAAAAAAATTAATAATAATAATACTTGTAGGAAAAAGATAAAATCATCAAAATCCATTTGAATAGGAGGTTTATTCAAAATATTAACACCCGGGATACTTTTATTTTGCTTAGAATTTATTCTCTTTCATATCCTACTGTGAAATTCCTACCTGGACTCACTTTATATTTAATCCAAACTCTTTTTTAGAGTTATAAATTCAATCAGGAAAATCAAAACCTGATGGAAGGCAAAGACAAAGTTAGAATAATATTAACCATTTTGTATTTAATAAGAAGGAACTAAAATTATCCATAATTTTATGAATATTGTATACAAACATGTTTTCTCAATATAAAAAATGTATACAAACATTTTTCAAAAGAAACCAAATAGACTAATCTTATAAGAATCATGTGGAATAAAAATAAATTACAAAATCTACATATAGCATAAAGATAAATCTAGATAAAGAGAAGAAAAACTATGTTCCTAGGCCGGGAATGGTGGCTCATGCCTGTAATTCTAGCACTTTGGGAGGCCGAGGTGGGCAGATCACTTGAGGCCAGGAGTTCAAGACCAGCCTAGCCAACATGGGGAAATCCCATCTCTACTAAAAATATATATGTATATATAAAATTAGCTGTTGTGGTGGCAAGCACCTGTAGTCCCAGCTACTCGGGAGGCTGAAGCAAGAGAATCACTTGAACCTGGGAGGCAGAGGTTGCAGTGAGCCAAGATCGGGCTACTGCACTCCAGCCTAAGTGACAGAGCAAGACTCTGTCTCAAGAAAAAAAAAAAAAAAAAGGAAAAGAAAAAGAAACTGTCCCCCAGACAAGAAGGCAGAATAAGAAAAAAAAAAAAAACTTTTAAATTTTCAAATATATAAATATATTGAATGATGTAATTACAATAGAAATCTTAGTGGTAGAGTTCTTCTGTTCAATCAAATTTATAAGTCCTTTTAATTGCAAAGAATGGTCATAAACTCTGGGAATAAGCTGTAACTTTGAAAAAGACCATTGCCATCTTCATGGAGTTTACAAACTAACAAAAGAAACAAAAAGAACACATAAAATAACTTCAAGTTATTATAAATGCTAAAAAATAAATGAGATGCAGAGATGGAGAAAAATAGGGAATGTGCGTTATCAACTTTATTAGGATTCTCTAGGAAGACTCCTCTAGAAGGTGTTATTTAAGTGAAAACCCAAGTAATAAGAAGCCTTAAAAAGAAATGGAGAGACCATGTTCCAGGCAGAGAAAATAACTTATGCAAAGTTCCTCAAACTGAATGAGTTTGTTGTGCTCAAAAACTAGAAGGATTTCGTGAACGAATCATAGTAAGGGAGAGAATAATGTGAGATAGAGATGGAAAAATAGGTAAGTTATAGTAGACATTACTAATACATACATAAATAAGCATTAAATATATAACATACATAATATATATTATATGTAACATAAAAAGAACACATACGTATATACTCACACCAGTGAACAACTAAGTAAACAACAATATAAACAACTATATGTTTATGTATATGTGTGTGTGTGTGTGTGTGTGTGTGTATACATTTTTTCTTTCTTTCTGGGTATATAGATGGAGTCCACTTCCAAGTCTATTTTATTTAATGTAGACATGATCACATAACACATTTCAGCAAATAACATGTGAATGGAAATAATGTGTCACTTTCAAGCATAATTATTTAAGAGTTTAACGTGTGGTTTGTTATGTACTGTTTTCCTCTATGTACAATCTGAAGGCTGTCTGAAAAGGGAGTGTCAAAAGATGGTGGACCCTCCATAGGTCTGGATCCCTGAGTGACTATGTAAAGCAGGGATTCCCCTGCTGACTCTTATGGGATACATAATGCATAGAATTAATTTTAATTGGTAGACTACACATCAGCATCTTATTTCATCTACTCTCACCTAAGTCACAAAAATGTTAAATACATATTAACATTTCCTATTTCCCCTGCACAAATGACAGCCACTATTTGAACTTTCAGCTACTATGCAGTGAATCTTTTCATTGCACTTTGGAAAATTATATGACTTCTCTATCAATAAATGAAGTTATTAGAATGAATAGATTTTGCTGTGCTAACAAAATAATATGCCAGTGTATGCAAGAGAAAATAAGAAGTGGCTCAAAGTAACAAAGGTAAATTTCTCATTTCACTATGTATCCTATATGAGTCAGCAGGGGAATCCCTGCTTTACATAGTCACTCAGGGATCCAGACCTAAATATAAAATTATATAATTAGAATATATGCACACCACTCAATGAACAACTAACTAACAACAAAGACAAAGAAGATCTGAACATTATCAATAACTTGATCTAATTAATATTTATACAATGCCATAACCAGTAACTGCAGAATTCATACTCCTTTAAAATACACATGGTATATTCATAAATGCACATAGTATACTCACAAAGATAGACTATTTGCTGAGACTTAAAACAAGTCTTAGTAAGTTTAAAATGATTGAAATCAGAGATTTTATCTGACCACAAAATAAAAAATAGAAATAATTAAATTACATAAGAAAACCCCTAATATTTAGAAATTAATAACAAACTTCTAAATAATTGATGTGTCAATAAAGATATCACAAAAGAAGTTATAAAATATTTTCAATTAAACAGTAATGAAAATACATCTCACAATTTGTGGGATAAAGCTAACACGGTGTGTAGAAGGCAGTTTATAGATTTGAAGGGTTATTCAGAAAAAAAAAGTGTCTAATCCTATGTCCTATAGTCCTACCTTAAAAATACGTAAAAAGAAGAGTAAAATGTACTCAAAGTAAGTTGACAGAAGAAAATAGTAAAGGAAAAAGCAAAAATAACTGAAATAGAAACCAGACAATAGAAAAAATTAACAACTTCAAAAGTTAGTCCTATGCAAAGATTAAAATTGACTTTATCTATTTTGGCTGCTATAAAAAATACCTTAGACTGGATGATTTTTTTTTGAAACAGGGTCTCACTCTGTTATCTAGGCTGGAGTGTAGTGCTGCTACACTGGATAAATTATAAATAAGAGACATTTATTGCTCACAGTTCTGGAAGCTAGGAAATCTAAGATCAAGATGCCAGGAGATTTGGTGTCTGGTGGGGGCCTGTTGCTCAAAAGGCACCTTCCAGCTGTGTCCTCACATGGCAGAAGGAAACACAAGCTTCTTTAATCCTCTTTATAAGTGTTACTGGTGGAAAGTATCCAAGTTCCTGGTGGCAAATTATTACAGGTCTGCGGCAACCTCAGTTCTTGCCTCCTCAGAAGAAAGAATTCAACTGAGGGGCATAAAGCAGAAAAAGAAATCAAGGCAAGTTTCAAGCAGGAGTGGAAGTTTATTTTAAAAAGGCTTTAGAACAGAAAAGAAAGGAAAGTACATTTGGAAGAGCCCCAAGTGGGTGACTTGAACAAGGTGTTTTTTTTGTTTTTTTTGGTTTTTTTTGAGGCGGAGTCTCGCTCTGTCGCCCAGGCTGGAGTGCAGTGGCGCGATCTCGGCTCACTGCAAGCTCCGCCTCCCGGGTTCACGCCATTGTCCTGCCTGAGCCTCCCAAGTAGCTGGGACTACAGGCGCCCGCCACCATGCCCGGCTAATTTTTTTTGTATTTTTAGTAGAGATGGGGTTTCACCGTGTTAACCAGGATGGTATCAATCTCCTGACCTCGTGATCCGCCCGTCTCGGCCTCCCAAAGTACTGGGATTACAGGCGTGAGCCACTGCGCCCAACCTGAACAAGGTTTTTAACTTTGATCCTAGGACTTCATAGGCTGACCCCTTCCCCATGATTCTTCCCTTAGGGTGGGCTGCTCACATGGACAATATCCCCTTACCCTTGAGAAGTGAGCATGTGCAGTGTGTTTAGGAAATTGTATGCATGCCTATCTGAGGCTTTCTTCCCCTTTCCATTGCTTTGCCCCCAGAAGGTCATACTCTGTCATTTTGTCACTTAATACATATGTCCGGCAATTGTGTCTCCCTGGCATCTGCATTCAAATAACACTTTAGTGCAACAGGTGTGGACCATCAGGAAATGACCTCTCCCTGGCACAGGCTGCCAATTTATCACTTTTAGAGAGCCAATATCATTGCCTAACCATCACCCAACATTCCTAGTGGGTGGTGGAGGAGCCCTCTCCTGCCCTACTCATGCCTAGCTAACAACCTGTAACATAATGATGCTAATTCTGTTTCTGAGGGCTCCTCCCTCATGACCTAATTGCCTCCTGAAAGCCCTATATCTTCATATTATTGCAATGAGAGCTGGGTTTCAACACATGAATTTGTGGCAAACACTAACATCCAGTTCGTAACATTCCACCCCGACCCCTCAAAATTCGTGTTCTTCTCACATGCAAAATACATTTCATTCTATCCCTACAGAGCCAAGAGTTTTAACCTGTTCCATTATCTACTTAAAAGTCCAAAGTCTTGAGTCTTATTTAAATATCATCTAAAGCAAATATGAGTGAGACTCTAAGATTCATCCTGAGGCAAATTCCCTCCACCAACAAACCTGTACAATAAAACAATTTATATGCTTTCAAAATATCATGGAGGGACAGGCATGGGATAGACATTCCCATACCAACAGAAATAAGTAGGAAAGAAAAATCTAACAGGTCCTAATCAAATCCAAAACCCAACAGGAAAAACATTAAATATTAAGGCTTCAGAATAATCTTCTTTAACTCAAAGTCTCAACTTCCAGACACACTGTGGTAAGTGTTGGGGCTCTAAGCTAAGCTTAATATTAAGGCTTAGTGCCCCAACCATCATTGCTTTGCTGAGTACAGCCCACACTGAAGTTCTCAAGGGTTGGAGTCAAGTATCTGCAGCTCCCTCAGGTTTGAGTTCCCCACCAGTGGCTTTACTAGTTTGGAGTCAATGGGGCAGCCTCCACAGCTCCACTAGGCATTGCCCTAGGGGGGCTCTCTACAGTGGTTTTATACCCATAGCTCCACTAGGCATTCTCCTACTGGGGGTATCTGTGGTGGCCCCACCCCTGCCCTTGTTATAGTTCTTTCCCTGGGTCTTGAAGCTCTCTAGGGAATCCTTTGAAATCTAGGTGGAATACCCACACTCCCTCAGCTCTTGCACTCTGTGTCCTGGTGAAGATAGCACCATGGGGATGCCACCAAGATTTACAGCCTGTGCTCTCCAGAGGAGTGGCCACTGTGGCATGCACCATTCCTGAGCCCATTGGAGCCACATCTAGGGTGGTCAAGGAGAGCTACACCAGTATGTGGGAAGCAGGGATACAAAGGAGAACTGGGCAGCAAGCTCTGACGTGCCTGAGGCCTCACTTTTGACATCATTCTGTCTACCTCGGCATGCTGGACCTGTGATGGAAGTGGCAGCCCCAGTGACCTATGAAATGCCTCGGGAGTCATTCTCCTCCCATTGTCTTGATAAATGGCCCCTGGTTTTCACAGTTCTGTATCAATCTCCTTATCAAACTGTCAATCTAACCACACCCTTGCTGTTCTTTCCCAAATATACTTACTTTTTTTTGTTTATAATACAGCCAATCTCAGAATTGTGTTCGATCATAAATTCCATCTTCAGATTATTTCTCTCTTCTCATTTTTTATTTTTACTTATTAGCAGTCAAGAGAAACCATGCCACTCTCAACATATTTCTTAAAGACTTTTTCTGCCAGATATCCAATTCCATCACTCAAAATTCTAAGGTAAGGACATAAACACAATTCAGCCAATTCTTTGCCACTTTATAATAGGGGTCACCTTTCCTCTAATTTCTAATTACACGTTCCTCATTTCTCTCTGTAACCTCATCAGATTACTGTTGGTAAAACTTCTTGCCAAAACCGGGAGCCACCCTCCATAAGAGGAAGGCAAGATCAACCCAAAAAGGGGGCAGATCACTCCAGGTTGGTAGACAGTCAGATTTATTCAGGACAACTTACATATATGGCAGTTTTGGGTGGCAACAAAACCAGGTATATTTACATGCTTTCAACACACACCTGTCTAGTCTTTCATAAGATGAAAAGTAAAGGGCAGGAGAAAAGGGAAAAGCAGGGAAATCACCCTCATGACCTAATCACCTCCCAAAGGCACCATCGCATAATACTATCAAACTTAATACTATCAGATTTCAACATATAAATTTGGGGGGACAAAAACATTCAGACGATAGCATTGGCCAACTGGTAGCTAGACTGCTGAGAGAAAGACAGAGGGAGACAGAGAAAGAGAGAGGTAACATTTTGTTTCAAAAAACAATAGAGAACACTAATTTTTTATTAAAATACCAAACCTGATGAAGACTTCACAAAAATGTGTACACCAATACCCCTCCTAAACATAGATGCAGAAATTCTTAAGTAAATATTAGCAAACCAAATCCATTATGAACAAATACATATACAGCATAACCCACTAGGGTTTAGACCAAGAATGAGAAGTTGACTTAACAGTAAGAAATCAATGTAATTCATATTAAGATAATAAATATAAATAATATAAACATTTCAACATATAAAAATTGACAAAATTCAATACCCAATCATAATTTTAAGACCCTCAGCATACAAAGAATATCAGGAAGCTTTCTCATTCTAATAGAGACATACATGAAATATCTATAAATATCATGCTTAAATGGTGAAAGTTGAGCATGGCTATTGGAGGGCATGGAGAAAACAGACAGGTAAGCTCTAGACTGACACCTATGAGTCCTAAAGTAAAGAGGTCTTTACTCATGTTGGGCATGAAGATCAATTTAAACTGTTTTCTGCTGAGATCTTTCCTCCTTTCTGCTTCTCTCTCAGACCTAAGTATTCACTCTAAGAGCACATTCCAGATACATTATTACATTTAGAGAAAAAGTCCAGGGGATGGGAGTGCATATAGACAAGCAATCTTTAAGCTAATAACTCCTCCATACACAACACTTGCCTTTGTATGTGCTGAATCTAAGCTTGAAATATCCCTGGAATTGTTTCTATCACATCTGTGATAGTTTTCCCAATTGTTTTGGCCTGTGTTTTTATCTTTTCTCTAAAATTCCAATGCCATCTGCTTTTATTTTCAGGAATTCCTAAAAATATCTTGTGAGCTGATGGCTTTCTTTCCTTTCCTTTATACCATGTTGCTCTAGGTTCATTTTTAAAATATATTTTTATAAGTTTAAAGATTTTAGATGAGGAGGCATAAAAACATATCTCAGTCGGCCACACTGATTCAATTTTTAATGAATAATTTTCAAGATTTATAAGATGCAGTGAAATTGGAATTTTTAGTCAAGGTTATTAGGAATGAAAACAAATGAATGTAAACTTTGTATAAATTGTTACAAAAAAACAAAACAAATGAGGCATACAAGCATGCAATTTTGTAATATATATAAATACATTTTTAACATTCATTTATTTTGACTCAGTAATATCCCTTTGTAGGAATTTATACCAAAAAAATCAGATTCATGAGCAAGGATATTCACTCTGGCATTAGGTATGAATGTCAAAAAAGGCACTTCCAAGATATCCAACATAAAAAAAATGGTTAAATAATTTTGGCACATCTCCATCATAAAATAGCAGGCAGAAATGAAAAGATCATTTCAAAAATATTTAATCTTGTGTTAAAATGTTTATAACTGACAAAATAAAGTCTGAAATATTATAGACAGTAATGTGTCTACTTTTTTCATATATTTAATTACATGTGCACATTCTTAAAGGACCTGAAAGAAATCTATTAAAATGTAGTTGGTACCAGGTTGTTGAATTACTTTAATCATGGTATATTACTGTTTCTTTCATGAGCTTTTTTTTATTTTCCAACTTTCTAACATAAGCACATACTATTATAGTTGGAAAAAATACACAAGCATAAAAAGATCACTTTTTAAATGAAGGTGAGTTTATATTTAATAATTGGCCAAAATAACTCATTCCTCAAGCTTCCAGTTAATAAAGATCAGGGCTCTGTTTATTATCTTATTTAGAATGAGAACTATTCAGTCTCTCTTCATTAAAATTGGATTTTCAAAGTAATTTCTGGTTAGTTCTATTTTGTCTTGATGATGCCTATTATCATCACTGTATAGGGACTCCTTCAAAATTTTCCTCATGCTACTGAGGATTAATACAAAGCAACTCCACAAATTGTAGATTAACAATCACTGGGCTCTTTGGATAAAGTAATGTTGCACTCTGCTTTTCATCCTAGTGCTTAACTAATGAGCTTTTTTAACAATCACTGGGCTCTTTGGATAAAGTAATGTTGCACTCTGCTTTTCATCCTAGTGCTTAACTAATGAGCTTTTGAAAACTTAAAACTAAAAGCCTTAGAACTGTGGTCCTTTGTGGCTTCTCTTGTCTGTCCTGAATGATTAAGTGGCTTATTAAGACAATTAAGTTTGGACCTCTAACTAATCGTTTTTATGAGACACAATATCCTATTAGACAACCCTGAATCTTGTGGGACTTTTTTTATTCAAAGCTTCTGCTAAATTATGATAATGAGAACCAAAAAGCCATAGTAATTAATTATCATGGATTAGCTCATTTAAAGTAGCATCTCTTTTCTTTTTCCTCCCAGCCTTCATCTCTCTCATGCCAGAACTAGGATACGGACAAAAAGTTGTGGTAAGAAATCAATTTCTCTGTTTTTGTTTAAGGTGATCCAGTTTTGTAGACATGGCTCTTAATAAAGAGACACCCCTGCCATGTATCTGGCCGACTTACTATCCAAAGGGCCTCAGCTTAAATGTCACCCTTGAGGAAGGTCTCTCAAGCTCCCCATCTGTTATCACAATCACACATGGTCATTTGTTTGATTATATACATAATGAGTGTCTTCCACACTAAAATGTTTTACGAGACCCTATCTGCCTTGTACCCCATTGTACCTCCAGTTCAGCATCTGACACAAGGTAGGTGCATGATAAAAAAAAATGTCATGAATGGGTTAACTGTAAGTCATCTTCTCCATCTTATCATAGTTTAAATACGCAAAATGGGAGTATTTTGTAAAAATAAATTATAGTCAATCATTAGCTTTCGGAACCTTTTAAAAAAATTTCTTTAATTCTATATGCAAGGCAGAGTAACCTAATTGGAAGGGCACTGGATGAGTGTTTGAAGACACAGCTGTTTGTGCTGGCTGTCATTTCTTAGTCATGAGATCTTGGCTAATCTCTTAAATTCTCTGAGCCACAATTTCCTAATCTGCAAACTGAAGATAATAATACTTCTCCTGCATGCTTCACAGAGTTACTGAAAGGATCAAGAGAGAATTAATGTGAAATTTCCTTATAAACTCTAAAATACTAAGCCAAAGTAAGTGGTGTCATTCTAACAGCTTTTATGTATGAAGGCTGCTTATTTTTATTGATTGCCTCTCCATACACATACATAAAGTACTTTTAGGTAAAGATGAAAGCTATTACAGTACTCTGTTATAGCCCACCTCATTAATAGATCATTGAATAAACCACTAATCTATCACTTAAATAATGGACTATACAGCTAAAGCATAATAAAAAAGAGTTTTGATCAAGCTTTGAGTAGTGTTTTTCAAGACAGACAAAGAAGAAAATGCAGTTTTTCTCTCTCTCTCTCTTGCTCTCTGTCTCTGCATGTAAATCTATCTGCATGTAAATCTATCTCTGAGGTTTCAGAGTTGCATTATGGTGATAAAATCAACAAGCAATTGGTTCTGGCCATAAAACACATAAGCTTAAGGACCTACAAGTCAGCAATTTGAGAGTCAAATCCATCTTTCATGGGTGGATTTCACTCAGCTAATAGACAGAGAATGATGTATAAAATCATAATGCCAACTTGTAAATTTATAAATAGAAATATGGTTGTCATACCTCCTTAAACACTGACATCGGCATAACCACCTCTTCTCTCCCAAAGGCAGATCATTAAGGAAAGTCAAACTTTAATGGGAAGGGTCCTCAAGAAGCATAAAATCACAACAGAAGTAAGTTACATTAGTCAGATGATGGTCCAAAGCACCATGTCCACAATAAAACCATTGGCCAATATGTTCTTTCTGTATTTAGACTGGACACAGCTAATGTTTGTTCTTCTGGGTCAATTGTTTCTGACTTTATTGCTGAATAGTGTCTCCTTTGACTGTTAATTTTCCTTTAGGTTTATTTATTTATTCAGTCAAGTCTTGCTCTGGCCCTGCCAGTAAATCCATTTTTTTCCAAGTGGTCACATATCTCTGTTATGATCTACTATCCATTGATTTTATAATTTAATTCTCAGAGAATAATCTCATTCCTCCTACTTACAAGATCTCAGGGGAACTTCATGTGCCACTTAATGTGCCCCCATGTACCACTTTCAATAAAAACAAGAAATAAAAACATTAGCCAGACATGAATTGAGCTGTCTGTTGCTCATAGGACATTGAATTATGAAGCCAGCACTTAAATACAGAAAGACAAAAGAGTCAGCATTTAAAATGATGTTTGTCCAAAGTTATATTAAAACAAGACTAGTAAAGAACCCAAGGGATTTTTTAAATGTGACCTGTCTTGACAAATTATTCAACCAGATTTTAAGAAACATGGAGTAGCTTTTAAGGCATTAATGTGTTTAATGAAGTAGAAAAAGAAATGAAAAATCAATTTCTTACAACTTATTAATTCATACTAAGAGACTGATTTCCATTTATAATTCACTATTATTAATCTCTTTCATTGATATCTGACTGGGCAATTATAAAACAACACTCTTGATAAGCTAATTATAAAACAACACTCTTGATAAGCTAAGTATCATTAATTGTAACAAAAAATGGAAAAATATTGAAAACATACTTGGATTACCAACTACCTTGTGAATAAGGCTTAAACTATTTTAAAAACAATACAGGCCATGTGCAACCCAAATATCTACACATTTTATAATTGGGATAAAATGTGAAGAAAAACATTCCAGGAGCACATACATCAAGAAATAGGTTTTTATTTGTTATAAATTTTCATAGATTATGCTGCTTTAGTGACATTTAGGAAGAGAGACATTAGAATACACAATTAATGCAATCCAGGTTATTGCCATGAAAAGTACATTTGATATCTAATTTTATAAATCTCTATTTTAGAAAAATGTGTTCCCATTCCTAACAGATATCTCCAAAGGAGAGTAGAATCTTTTTTAATAAAAGATAAAAAAGAAGAAAAAATGTACTGATATAAGATCAACACAGCAGAGAGAGAAAGAGATGCAGTTTTGTCTCCATCTTAAGCAATATAGAATTTTAGTGGCATTTTATAATTACTATCACACTTGTTGTTGAAATAGGCATATATGGCCCAGATAATTGCCAGCAGCATGCTTACCTTTGAGTGTAACTCAAGCTCATTTCACTATTTGTTTGTTTCCTGACTCATTCCAAAACAGATTTATGTTTAGCTTTGTGCCATTTTGAATGTGTCAAAAGAAAGCATACAAACACCCAAAATCCCACACCTTAATGGAAAGTTACTTTGTAATATCTTTGTAGCATAGTTCTTAATCCAAATTAAGCTAAAACTTTCAAACATTAAAATCTATAAATGTTTGGAGTGCAGGGCATTGGAGGTATTTAACAAACATGAATTCCTAATCTAGATGTTTTCTCCTTGAAACCAAGCATGTTCCAGGACTACTATCCCACCACCTCTCAGCTTCTGCTAACAGAATGTGACTTGGTTTTGCTAGTCATCCAAGTTGTCAGCATCATGAACTAAAAATACATATAGATTTTAGATTAGCTGTTGTTTGAGATCCTTGTTTTTATTATTTCAATTAAACTTTTGTAAAGTGTTTGGCTCATGTCTTTGTGTTATGGCCTATGGTAGGGAAAAAAACCAACAAAAAGACATACTCTCTACTCTCAAGAAGCTCCACGTCTACTGGGAAACACAGATGCCATCAGTTCAAATGGCTGTAATACAAAACATGATGATAGCGATGACTAAAATAAATATCATTGGTTGAACACTTACTATGACATAGATACATTTTAAAGAATTTTGCAGGTATTTCCTACTCAATGAAGTATTAGGTTGGAGCAAAAGTAATCCAGTTTTTGCCATTATTTTCAATGGCAAGACCTGCAATTACTTTTGCACCAACCTAATAGATGTTAATAATCTTATTTTACATGTAAAGAAACTAAGAGAGAGAGTAAATGATTTTCCAGAGACCACACAGCAGAGAAAAACAACAGATCTAAACTATCTTCAGTCAAAGGTAAAAATCCTTGGGATTGTACATAGGCTAACATCTAAATGGGTCAATCTTTTCATTCACAAGTAGGTACACAACGGCCAGCCTCATGCCATGTCTCATATTATGCAGAATGAGCCACCTACAAACCCAGTCTATAAAATATAAAATAGATGAAACTCCCTCTCACAACTTAGTAGCAAAAAAAAAAAAACAAAAAAAACCCAGGATTTTCTTAAAATGATTAACTCAGTTTTAACTTTGTGTCTGTTTTCATAAATGTCCTTCAACCAAATTCTCATTATTCATTCTACGAGGCAATATCTTCTTGTGTATCACATACTTAGACTCAAAGTAAGTACAAAAACTGCTACCTCAGCTAGGTGGAAAGAGAAGAAAAATGGTATATAATTGCATAAATCTTCTAAACAGAATAACATTTACCATTGTTTATTAATCTCTTTAATAGCCTTTTCCCTGAACAAGGAAAAGAAGCATGACTTTTTAGAGCACTCCAGGTAACTGCTTAGCTGTTGACTGAGAAATAGTTACTCATATACACCTCCGCTCAAGCTTTGTTTCTTGAAGGAATGGCACAAACTGTATAATTTGGCTCAAAATCCACAACCTAGCAAGTGTAATTTCCCTGTAGCCTTAAGTGAAGGCAAACTTTAGCTGAGCAGTAAACATGGTATACAGATCAAATAGAGGTTTGAACATACTCTATTTGCTTCCCTTTAGAAAAAACAAAGAGAGGAATGACAGGAAATGGAAGCAAGCATATCAGGGCAGATGAGAAAGGAAGAAAATAAAAATACCTTAGAACTCATCCAACTTACTCAGCTGAAGCCAAGGAGTCTGAGTCACAAACACAGCTCTGCCCCTTCACTGGAGCTGGGGTTGCACAGGCAAAGTCCGACACAGACATTATTGTCTCTCAAATGTCCAGCTTTTAAAATGTATTTAAGAAACATGTCATTAACACTTAATTCTCATATACTCAATTTACCAATAGAGATAGGTAATATGATGTATCATAATGTGATCATACAGAGAACAGTTACTCAGCCCACAGACCCCTTGCTTTCCATTTCTTGTGGTACCAACCAATTTCTCCCATTTTGTCCCTTTCATAAAAGTAGAGGTATGAATAATATAGTGAAATGGAATCAATGGTTTCATCTGAACAATGTTTGCTCAGTTGACACCTTACTGATAAAAACGTAATAGCTATGTAAGAGTGGACTAAAGAGCTGATTTACTTTATTATTTCATTCAATATGAACTATAGGACAATGCGTTTCTATAAAAAATTTGTACCACAGATTTTGAGTGGCAATACATAGCAAAATAATTGTCCTTTCCCTTCTAAAATTATTTTTTGATAACTAAGTGAACTTGTTATAAAAAAATTTCCTCAATTGCTTCTCAGTATATTTGTAGTTAATTTGAGCTCATGATCCTCAAGAGATTATGTGAAAATCCTAATGGAAGCATAAAAAAGACTGAAAGCTTTGTGGATGTTTCACAGGCTAAGACTTCAAACTTCCGCACCAAGTTTTAATCCCGTTGGTATCTGTCCAGGGGAAAATATGTTCTGATTTTCATTCTTCTTCCTGAAGTTTTCAACTTGCTTTCCTAATATTCTTCATCAACACATGAGTTCTTCCACTGCATCTCTCTCCTAGCCACACTATTCTTGGGATCATCTCACCACCACTCTGCCAATAACCATGGGACTCATTAAAAATAGGATGCCAAAGGCATCCTTCCTTTTGATAAAAGGAAATGCGATAGTATTAAGAGCTGTAAAATCCCACGGATTCCGGGTTATAGGATTTAAAGTCTTATACCACTTTCAACCTTAAAATAGGAAGAAGAAAAGGAGGTAAGGAAAAATGGAGGGGAAAAAAGAAGAAAAGAAGGTAAGGAGAGGGGAGAGGGGAGAAAGGGAGGACTTCCTTTTAGGAATTGGATCTCCTTTCCCTGGGTTCCATAATGTCACTTATCCTGTTTATCCTCTTACTTTGCCAAAGCTTATCCCACAGTAATTTCATTTAAAAGAGCACAAGAATCACAAATGACTTTTCACATCCCAAAAAATATATTTACTCTATACAAATACTTGAATAATAGTTTGGTGGGCTATGTAATGCTAAGTTGAAAATTACATTTCTTTTTAATGTTAAGGTGTCTCTCCATAATATTCTAACTTCAGTGTTGCTTTTGAGAATTTTAATGCCATTCTGATTCCAGAGTCTTTGTAGTTAAATGTTTGTTTTTCTCTCTGGGAAGTTTTGGATCCTCTGCTTTTTCCAGGTGTTACGAAACAGCACAAAAAATGTGAATCTTTTCTTGCTGAACTCTTACTGGGTTCTTTTAACCTGAAGGCCTGTACTTTAGTTATGGAATTTTTTTTTGTGCCCGATTTCTTGAACAATTTCCTAAACTGTTTTCTCTGTTCTCTCTTTATTTAATATTTATTAGCTTAATGTTGGAATACTGGATTGATAATTTTCTTATCTCTTTTTTTTTCTATTTTCCATTTATTTATATTTTGATTCTATTTTCCCCAGGAATTTTCTCAATATCTAGTTGATCTTCTACATGATTTTATATTAATCTCCAGGAACTTTTTCTGATTGTTTCTTTACATAAATATCTTAGTTTTTCCTTTTGGTTTTTGTTTTTATTGGAAGCAATATTTCTTGTTATTCTTAGGATTTCAATTACACCAATTGCTTTTGTCTTCTTTATCTTCCTGTATTGTCTGTTTCTTTTACTTTTTCTTTTTTAACCATTTGCACTTCCCCACCCTGCTGACATGTTTACATTACCAGGTCTGGTACAAAGGAGTCCAGAGCTTCTCAGGTTCAGTTTCTCCTGAATATATTAATGGCTGGCCTCCTGCTTGAGGGGGAGTCACTTGATCTCCAGAAGGGAAGGAGAACTAGGGGCTTAACTGTACCTTATGCACATTTTCCTCCAATCCAAGAAAGCCTTACTAACTTCATAAGTCATGGAACTCCTTGAGAGTGAGTTTTTCAGGTTGCAGTGGTCCTCAGTGTGGTCTTCTATAAATAACAAACTCACATACTGGAAACAAAAATCACAGCCATTCATAAAGAACTTCCTAGGTATCTATCCTGATTGTTGCTTGGTGTTTATACATGCATGATGTTCAGCCGTGATTCACTAGACTCCAGTCACATTCTCCTTCCTTCTATTTTTCTAATACTTCAAGCTCTTTCCTATGCTTATTTTGGAATTAAGCCAATACTTCTGTATATAGATTGTTTACAATCAGATACAAACTAAAGGAAGGAACAGTGATCAAAAATGCATGACCAGGCTGGACATGGTGGCTCATACCTCTAATTCCAGCACTTTGGGAGGATGAGGCAGAGGCTTGCTGAGGCCAGGAGTTTGAGACCACCCTGGGCACCATAGTGAGACCTCATCTCTACTAAATAATAAAAATAATAAATAATAAATGCATGATTAGACAGAACCCCACGGCTGAAGGAACCATAAAGTTCTATAAAGTACTATCCTAATAATGCAAAGTAAATAAATTCTTGCTGTTATACCAATCTACCATTAAAAACCACATAAGTAAAACGGTATACTTTTAAAGAGATGCTTCACAAAGGCATATTGATTGATTGGATGTTTTTAAAAGAACTTAGCTATATAATTCCTTTAAATAACTATTGATTTAAATAACGATTTAAAATTCCTTTAAATAGCTATTACAAGCCAGTAAACATTTCGCTATGCCAATGTTTATAAACTTCGTCATTACATAAAACTAGATTTATGTAAATCTAAGTTTTTGCAACCTAATATTTCTGTGACAATAGTGAAAAGTTTCTATTGTTAAAATCTTTTTATGTTATTATGATTTGAGGATGATCCTGCCCAAGCCCCTTCTCTTGAGAACTGCCACCACCTGCCCCTGGAGTCATGTTTGTCCCTCAGGCCCTTGTTCCACAGCCATATTCTATTGGGCAATTTATAGAGAACTAGTAATCATGAGACTCAGTTGGATTAATGAGAATCTCTCTCCAAGGAATGTGGAATTGGGTCAATGAGCAGGAAGGTCAGTTAGTGGTGGTTGCTTCTTTGTTGTATTATAACGACTCCTAGGTCAGAGGATCTCGCTTTGAGGACACTGTGATAGGAATGTTTAAGGAGAGCACAAGAAACTGTCCTTTAGCAAGAAAAGGAGAATGAGAGAGGCACTAAAATGGCCCCATTTATTACCAGAAAAAGGCACATACTAAGAAAATCTGCAAGGTGAACTGTAGGTCTAGTTCCTGTCATAATGCCCCATTACTTATCTACCTTTGATCTCATGGGAAAAGTCGGTATCCTTCTAATTACACCTCTGTTTTATGAAACAATAAGTCACTATATAATATGCATGATTTTTAAATCAATTTCAAGACACACCTGACAACTGTCATATGAAGATTATAATTAGTGTTAATGGAAGGCCAGCTAAGATTGCATTGCAAATTTGGTGTCCTTTTACACTTCATAAAGGATAACCTCTGCAATGAACATTTAATTGGTAAATTATATGTTCTAGGTTTTCAGATCCATGGCAAAATCTATAGGATAAGCTAAGGAATTATGTTTTGATTTGACAGACACTAGGGCCTCTTTGAGGGTGGGAGGAGGGAGAGGATTAAAAAAAAATACCTATCAAGTACTATGCTTATTACCCTGGGTGATAAAATAATCTATACACCAAACCCCCATGACAAACAATTTTCCTATATAACAAACCTGCACCTGTACCCCTGAACCTAAAATAAAAGTTAAAAATAAATAATAAAGATACTGAAGAATAAACATCATAATAATAGGTGAATTTCTCAGTGCAGCCAAAGTTGTGAGGGTGTGTCTGTGAGAGTGTGTTTAAGCTGCCACATACAATATAAATCCTAAGAGGCTGCATGAAAATTAAATTACCAACTCAAAACATAGCTTGGAGAAATAATTATCAATCCAATGTGCATTTATGCTTAGAAATGTTTTGTCTATTGTGAATGAGTTGTTAGGGTATTAGATTGCAATATTTTCAGAATTAGAGAATGATTCATATGAATCCCTGTGCTTCAAAGAATAAACATGTTAGCATGAAGTAGAATTATAGGAATATCTAGTAATTGACTGTATACAACATATTTTTATATAACCACATAATAACAGTGATAACAAGTATTTGATTAAAACTTTGTTGCGTTAAAAATCTCTTTAATATACTTTAACATTACCTTATTGGAACTCCACAATAACCCTGTGAAGTACATATTCATCGTAACTTACTAAAGAAGAACCTGAAGTTCAGAGATGCCAGATAACGTGTGTAAGATAATACAGCTTGAAAATGGAAGAGCCCAAACTCAGTCCTAAAATTACTGCATCAAAATCTGTTGTCCTTTCACCACATAATACTGCCACCTAAAATATTTTCTTAAGCTAGCAAGGATGCAAGCCACTTAAGCACTACACTTTTTTTCAGAATAAAGTCACAATCTGTAATATAACTCAATAACTAAGCAACCAACATATCACAAAACATGAGACTTTGTGCACTACTTCCAGTATCGCCCAGATGAAAGCCTGTTCTCCATGTCCAAGGGCTTTGCTGCCCTTCAGGAATTATCCAAGTCAGCAGCAGCATGAGGCCTGAGGTCAGTTCGCAGGCAGCTGGTCACTGACATCCAGGATAAATAAATAAGAAAGCTACAACAAGCTAGATCCAAAGCATGGTCAAAACAGAGTAGTTCCTGTATCAACGCCTGTGCAGGGAGGCACACAGACCATTACTGGGTCACAGCAGGAGTAATATGAATACTTAAAGAGCACTTTGAAAAGAAATAATGTACAAATTCATTAATTAATCTCATATCCTGTAATTTCTGTGCCTTTTCACTTTCTCTGCCTTTTTACTAAAAACAAAAGAAAACAAAACAAAAAGCACATGCTGTGTCTTGTCCTCACTCCATGACCACAAAGTATGACTAACTACTGTCTTCCTTTCAGAGCATTTTTCCATAAATATGGGAATACTAACTACTACCTCATAAAATCGTTAAGAATATTTAAAAATACAATTCATGTAAAGCACTTAGAACTTCAGCTGGCAAGATAAAAGTCCCAATAAATGTTAGCTGCTGTTGTTTTTTATCATTATTATTGAGAACCAAAGCTATACAGCCCAATGTATATATTAACATGACTTTACTCTTACAAGAAACTCTTGCCCAAGAAGATGAAAAGGCAAATAATTGTATTTTTTGTTTATTTCAAGAAATTCCACCAAATCCATATATCCAAACTTTCAACTATGCTTTCATCATCTCATTTCTCATAACAGATCATGCAACCAGGCTTATCAAGAGATGACTTACCTTTCTACACTCATTCAAAATCCTTGCCTCACTGTGTCCATCAATTTTATACTATTATGTCACAAACTCTAGTCAATCCAGTTAAGTTCTCTGCATTGAAAGACCTGCCTGTCTTAAACCAGCACCCCAAAACCTCATAAATGCCCTGGCTTTCACCTCTACCCTAAGAAGATTTACTAAGATTTCAACAAGATATTGATCTTCCTTACTGGGTTAAGAATAAATGCAGTTTTCTTTATTTTGGTGGTCTTTTTAGTGAGTTGGCAGTTGACATTATTATTATTGTTATGTCTGTCTTTCAACTTCATAATCCCATGGTTACCAACTTTTTACCCAAGGGGCACTGGGACTCTGTAATGAACTCACAGGGTGCGCCAATATATTTTACATTTTTTAGGAAGACACAATTCCTGACATCTGTCAGACACTGCAAGACTACTTTAACATTAGATGGCTAGGTTCCTTTCCAAATATCATATCTTTCTGAAACAGGATTTTTCATGGTTGCTGGGATAAAAATCAAGTACAGCATGAAAGTCACTGTGGAAAGAAAACCAAGGGTAGCAGTGATATCAGTATTTGATCAATTGTAAAGTGTTCAACAGGCACACACATCCCATTGATAAGGAATCCTAGTTATTTCAGAAATAAATTTACAGGTTTTCTTCTCTTAATTTAAACATATTGTTTATTCAAATGGCTACTAAGTTGTTAGGACTTAAATACTGATTTATTTAGAACTAGCTACTTAATAAGTGAAACTATTGGCTTTTTCTTTTGGACTAAGGGCACTGTGAAAAAATAATGACTAACCCTAAGGGCACCAGGAACAAAGAAAGTTTAGAAAGTTCTGCACTAAAGTATTCTTTACACAAACTGTGACATTTAAAATTTAAAGACTCCTTAACTCCATGGCAAAATTGCCCTTGTGGATCTGTCCATTCTTCAGCCCTACTGATCTCTCTATGGGATTCATCCTTCCTTAGAATGTCCTCATATGACAGTCTGTATTCCCAGAACTTCCACCATACCCTGCTGAAAGTTCCCATTTTTTGTTATTGGGAATGTTTTCTTAATTTGTTCTTCCTGCTATAACAAAATATCTTATAGTGGATAATTTAATTCACAAAGAACAGAAGTTTATTTCTTACAGTTTTGGAGGGTGGGAAGCCCTAGATCAAGGTACGGTAGGTTCAGTGTCCGTTGAGGACCCAGTTTATGCTTCCAAGATGGCACCTTGAATACTGTGTTCTCACATGGTAGGGGAGATGGACGGGCCAAATTCACCCTTTAAAGCTTTTTCATAAGGCCTCATCACCTTTTGAAGGCCTCGCCTCTTAGTAATGTTACACTGGGATTTAAATTTCAACCTGAATTTTGTAGGGGACATAAACATTCAAACCATAGCAGAGATTTAATTTATGTATACTAAAGATGAAGTTGCCTCTATCTCAGCTAACTTAATTCATTCACTTAAAAAATAGTTATTGAATGCCTAATATGTGCCAGAGATTGCTCTGGGACTAAAGACACACTGGTTAGAAAATTTATTAAATTAATAGTTTTAATGCTCCAGCAGCTCATTTATAATTAGCTAACCATTTCCAACCATAAATGCATACTTGAGTAAAATTATTTTTACAGTTGATGGCAGAATTTTCAGCAAAGGACATGGAGACACACCAATTATTCTGCCCACATTAAATTTAGACCAGGAGTAGGGTTGGTTATTAAACCTTCAAATTTATTATTCAAGCTTTGAGAGAAGCAAACACATGAATGACCAATTTTATTTTGTCCCAGTTTTCTGCTTCACTTCATACACATTTCAAGAATTTCATTGAAATGATCCATTTTTTCCCTAGAATCTAAAATCAGTTCCAGATCATCCAGTTCCTTGATCAGGAAATAATTGTCCCTGTGAGCCGAGCTAATACTTTCCTGCTGTAGTTCAAATTTATTTTACTAAGACACTCCTGGATTACAAGTTCAAATTATCTTTGATATTATAATGATTTGAACATATTTTGAATTATATTCTGAATTTTTCTTTTTCCACATACAAAAATTTAGACAGTATATAGATTTGTTTTGTTTTGTTATTTTATTATTATCATACTTTAAGTTTTAGGGTACATGTGCACAATATGCAGGTTACATATGTATACATGTGCCATGCTGGTGTGCTGCACTCATTAACTCGTCATTTAGCATTAGGTATATCTCCTAATGCTATCCCTCCCCCCTCCCCCCACCCCACAACAGTCCCCAGAGTGTGATGTTCCCCTTCCTGTGACCATGTGTTCTCATTGTTCAATTCCCACCTATGAGTGAGAATATAGTTTTTAAACTTTACAGAGAACTACATTTTACTAATTAATAACAGTCTAGTAAAGATGCAAGTAAGTTTTATTCCTGCATGGAGATCCTAATTGCTTTGTCTATATTCCACTTTCCTTGTAACAAATTCAGAGAAAGAGGAGCCTTCAAGATTATATTTCATTTACCACCCCCCAAGAAAAATAAAAAGAAAATAATTCAGAGCCTTTATACCGGGGGGGCTGCTTTGGCTTGACAATAAGTCAATACAGGCAGTTTGTCAAACTCCAATAAGCAAATTAATGCCTTGTCTGATCTATAGGACAAGCACATATGTGAAGTAGAATTATCATTATAATTTTAAAAGAAAACTAGAATGGGGAAAAATACTACTCACTATGAAAGCCTTAAAAAAAAGAAAAACAAAAAAAAAACCCTGCTCTCTTTTCACTCTTTTTGAACATTACTTTCAAGTAGGGAAAGGGGTCACCGAAACACCTTCAGTTTTTTAAAAGCCAGGCCAGGGAAAGACAAAGCCAGTAACTTTTAGGGTCCACCTTTCTTCCTCACCCCAAATTGTACCCCAGATGTACAATCAGAGAACAACACAGCAGCAGGAAAGAGGGTTTCCAAACCAGCAACCCCTGGTGACAATAAATGCTTCTCGTTTCCTCAGGGAAGCTCAGAATGGAAAGCTTCAGCAAATGGACCCATTTTAAGTCCGAAGGACCAGTGTCTGCTAGTTTAAGGCAAGAATAACTCAATATGAAATTCTGCCTGAATGAAGCCCTAAAATCTTTAGGGACAAATTTGCAGAACCAGATATTGAATGTGCACTTCTGTCTCCTTGCTTAGCAACATGCCCTGCAAGCAGAACACACAATCACATGGCAAGAAGAGGCTTGGATGATGAAAAGTCTGCTTTTCTCAATTTTTCCAATGTATTCAAGTCCTGAAGGCTTACCTTAAAAATCATTAGTGTCAAAGAAAATTAATAATAATGTGCACCCAGGGTTGATTCTAGACCATTTTAAAGTCAGCTATTTTCATTCCCAGCATACTAGCTCTCTCCTTTCAAAGACTTTCCCGGCACAGCTCTCCCTACTTAGACTCACTCTTGTCTCTTCCTCTGCCCACTCCTTTCCTCACCATCATCCAAACCCACCAGTTCCTACCTTCATATAAATCCAAGCCACTTTGCTACTCCTTCCAGGGATTTTTGAGTTAAATGGCATCTCCAAAAATGGAGTAAATGGCTGTGACCCCCACTGATGAAATGATAGACATAAATGAAAGAGGTAAGAGAATTATTGAAATTACCTTTTGGCCAACACCTTATAAAAACAAAGACTTCAAAATATGCTTTCTGTTTTTATCCTCAGGGGACTCTGTAATGGAGCAACTATTTTTGATAAATTTTCTTAACCTCAACATTTCTTTCTGTATCTTCATATAAATTTGCAAATATTCAAGATGTTATTTTTTTAAAAACCCTGGACCTTCCAGAACCTAGGTTCACTTCAACCTTACTCTGGAGCTGCCTTTGGCAGACAGTACATGCCCAAAGGGTATGCTGATTAAATTGCATTTGAGCTGGAGTGTGCAACCCAGGTTCCGATTGCTAGATAGCATTTTGGCTAACTCCATCTGTCCAGAAACTTATTGCAAAGCCAGGGACTGCGACTGGTATAGTAAGACAGTAAGACAATGCAGTTTGAAAACTAGTTTAGCCTCTGCTATGTGCCCAACAATTTACGTGCAAAAAAACTTAGAAGATCCCCTAGCAAAAGATATCAAATACATGTTACTATTGAACAGAAAGGTATGCCTTTATTCAGAGCATACTCATGTTTTATTTGCTTTTCATTTTTTTTTCTGAACTTTGATTTTAGGTTTGGGGGTACATGCCTAGGTTTGTTACATGGGTAAATTGCATGTCACTGGGGTTTGGTGTACAAATGGTTTCATCACTCAGGTAGTGAGCACAGTAATAGTATCCAACAGGTAGCTTTTCGACCCTCACCTTCCTCCTACACTCCCTCATCAGGTAGGTACCAGTGTCTATTGTTTCCTTTGTGTCCATGTATACTCAATGTTTAGCTCCCACTTAGGAGAACACGTGGTATTTGTTTTTCTGTTCCTTAGGATAATGGCCTCCAGCTGCATCCATGTTGCTGCAAAGAACATAATTATTTTTTCTGGCTTTGTAGTATTCCATGATATATATGTACCACATTTTCTTTGTCCAGCTCACCAGTGATGCACATCTAGGTTAACTCCATGTCCTTGTTATTGTGAAAAGTGTTGTGATGAACATATGCATGCATGTGTCTTTATGTTAGAACAATTCATATTCCTTTCGGTGTATACCCAGCAATGGAACTGCTGGGTTGAATAACAGTTGTTTTAAGTTCTTTAAGAAATCTCCAAGCTGCTTTCCACAGTGGCTGAACTAATTTACAGTCAGCAGTGTAAAAGCATTCCTTTTTCTCTGCAACCACACCAACAACTATTATTTTTTGACTTTTTAGTAACAGCCACTCTGGTGTAAGATGGTATCTCATTGTGGTTTTGATTTGCATTTCCCTAATGATTAGTAATTTTGAGCATTTTTTCACATGCTTGTTGGCCGCATGTATGTCTTCTTTTGAGAAACATCTGTTTATGTGCTTTGCCCATTTTTTAATTGGGTTGTATGTTCTTTGCTTAAGTTCCTTACAGATTCTGGATATTAGACCTTTGTCAGATGCATACTTTGCAAATATTTTCTCCCGTTCTTTAGCTTGTCTGTTTACTCTGTTGATAGTTTATTTTGCTGTGCACAAGCTTTTTAATTAGGTCACCCTTATCAATTTTTGTTTTTGTTGCAATTGTTTATGGAGACTTCATCATAAAATCTTTGCCAAGGCCTATGTCCAGAATGGTATGTCCTGCATTTCCTTCTAGGGTTTCTATAGTTTTAGGCTATAAAGCCTTTACATTTTAAGGCTTTAATCGATTTTGAGTTAATTTTTATATGGTAAAAGGTAGGTGTCTAGTTTCAGTGTTCTGCATGTGACTAGACAGTTATCCCAGAGCCATTTATTGAATAGAGTCCTTTTCCCATTGCTTGTTATTGTCAACTTTGTTGATGATCAGATGGTTACAGAGG
This sequence comes from Homo sapiens, assembly GCF_000001405.40. Lineage (NCBI taxonomy): Eukaryota > Metazoa > Chordata > Mammalia > Primates > Hominidae > Homo > Homo sapiens. Next base: position 78,498,697 of record NC_000006.12, read on the forward strand.
TATGCAGCTTTACTTCTGGATCCTTGAACCTGTTCAATTGGTCTATGTATCTATTTTTTTGGTACCAGTACCACGCTATTTCGGTTACTATAGCCTAGTAGTATAATTTGAAGTTGAGTAGTAAAATGTCTCAAGCTTTTCTCTTTTTGCTTAGGATGGCTCTGGCTATTCAGGTGCTTTCTTCTTGTGGCTAATGTGAATGGAATTGTGTTCTTGATTTGGGTCTCAGCTTGGACATTACTAGTGTTCAAGTATTACATTAGCATTATAGAAATGCTACTGATTTTTTGTACATTGATTTTGTATCCTGCAACTTTACCAGAGTTGTTTGTCAGATCTAGGAACCTTTGGGCAGAGACTATGTGGTTTTCTAGGTGTGGAAGCATATCATCTCTGAAGAGAGAGAGTTTGACTTCCTCTATTCCTATTTGGATGGCTTTTCTTTCTTTCTCTTGCCTATTGCTCTGTCTAGGACTTCCAGCACTGTGTCGAACAGGAGTGGTGGTAGTGGACAACCTTGTGTTGTTCCAGTTCTCAGGGGGAAGCTTCCAGTTTTTGCCTGTTCAGTCTGACATTGGCTGTGGGTTTCTGACAGATGGCTCTTATAATTTTGTGGTATGTTCCTGTGATGACCAGTTTATTGAGGGTTTTTATCATAAAGGGATGTTGAATTTTATCAAGACTTTTATGCTTCCATTGAGATGATCATGTGGTTTTTGTTTTTAGTTCTGTTTATGTGATGCATTATATCTGTTGATTTGTATATATTGAACCAACCTTGTATCCCAGGAATAAGTCCGTCTTAGTCATAGGAGATTAGGTTTTGTTGGGCTGCTAGATTTGGTTTTTGATATTTTATTGAGGATTTTTTGCATCTATGTTCTTCAGGGATGCTAACCTGAAGTTTTCTTTTTTCATTGTGTCTCTGACAAGTTTGGGTATCAGAATGATGCTTGCCTCAAAGAGTGATTTAGGGAGGAGTACCTTCTCCCCAGTTTTTTGTAATAATTTCTGTAGGTTTGGTATGAACTCTTCTTCATACATCTGGTAGAAATTGGCTTGAATCTGTCTGGTCCAGGGCTTCTTTGGTTGGTAGGATTTTTATTACTGATTCAATTTTAGAACTCATTATTGGTCTGTTCATGATTTCAATTTCTTCCTGGTTCAATCTTAAGAGGTTGTATGTTTCCAGGAATATATCCATTTCTTCCAGGTTTTCTAGTTTATGTGCATATAGGTATTCATAATAGTCTCTGAGGGTTTCGTGTGTTTCTGTGGGGTAAGTTGTAACGTCACCTTTGTCATTTCTGAGTGTGTTCATTTGGATCTTCTCTATTTATTAATCTAGCTAGCCATCGATCAGTATTGCTTATTCTTTGGAAGGACCAACTTTTGGTTTGATTTTTGTATAGATTTTCACATCTCAATTCCAATCAGTTGACCTCTGATTTGGTTATTTCTTTTCTTCTGGTAGTTTGGGGTTGGTTTTCTCTCACTTTTCTTGTTCCTCTAGGTGTGATGTTAGTTTGCTAATTTTAGATCTTTCTAATGTCTTGATGTAGGTGATTAGTATTATAAACTTTCCATTTACCTTTTAACACTGCTTTAGCTGTGTCCCAGAGATTCTGGTACGTTGTATCTTTTTTATTTTCAATAGTTTCAATGAACATTTTATTTCTGCCTTAATTTCATTCTTTACCCAAAAGTCATCCAGGAGCAGGTTGCTTAATTTCCACGTAATTGCACAGTTTTGAGAAATCATCTTGGTATTGATTTCTCAATATTCTTGGTATTTTTATTGTGCTGTGTTCCAAGCAGCTGGTTGGTATGATTTCATTTTTTTAATTTTTTTAGAAAATTGCTTTATGGCAGATTGTGTGGTCAGTCTTAGAGTATGTACCAGGTACAGGCAAGAAAAGTGTATATTCTGTTGTTGGGTGGAATATTCTGTAGATGTCTGCTAGGTTCATTTTGTCAAGTGCCAACTTCCAATAGGTCCCAGATATCTATGTTAGTTTTCTGCCTTAATGATGTGTCTAACACTGTCAGTAAGGTGTTAAGTCTCCCACAATTATTGTGTGGTTATCTAAGTCTCTTTATAGGTCTCTAAGAATTTGTTTTATGTGGCCCAATGTTGGCTGCCTAAATATTTAGGATAGTTAAGTCTTCTTATTGAATTGCACCCTTTATCATTACGTAATGCCCTTCTTTGTCCTTTTTGATTGTCACTGGTTTAAAATCTGTTTTGTCTGAAATAAGCATAGCATCTTCTCTTTCTTGTTCTCTGTTTGCTTAATATTTCTCCATGCCTTTATTTTGAGCCTATGATTATCACTGCATGTGAGATGGGTCTCTTGAATATGGCTTATGGTTGGGTCTTGTGTCTTTATCTAACTTTCCACTCTATGTCTTTTAAGTGGGGACATTTATCCCATTTACATTCAAGGTCAATGTTGATATATGAGGATTTGATCCTGTCATTGTATTGTTAGCTGGTTGTTATGTAGACTTGATTGTATAGCAGCTTTATAGTGTCAGTTGGCTATGTTCTTAAGTGTGTTCTTGTGGTGGGTAGTATTGGTCTTTTGTTTCCATGTTTAGCAATCCTTTAGAACCTCTTGTAAGGCACGTCTGGTAGTAACAAATTCCCTTAGCATTTGCTTCTCTGAAAAGGATTGTGTTTTTACTTCACTTATAAAGTTTAGTTTGGCTGTATATGAAATTCTTGGTAGAAATTTCTTTTGCTTAATAATGCAGTATATAGCCCCCTTCCCTCATTTCTTCTAGCTTGCTAAGTTTCTACTGAAATGTCCACTGTTAGCCTGATGGGGTTCCCTTTGTAGGTGGCCTGCCACTTATCTCTAGCTGCTTTTTTTTTCTTATACGTTGACCTTGCAGAATCTGATGACCATGTGTCTTGGGGATGATTGTCCTGTATAGTATCTCACAGGTGTTCTTTTAATTTTCATGTTGACCTCTCTAATAGCGGAGATCAACATGAAAATGAATAATGAGATTTTCAGGGACAATATTCTCAAATATATTTTCCAATTTGCTTCCTCTCTCTCCATGTCCTTCAGAAATGCCAATGAGTCATAACTTTGGTCTCTTTACATAATTCCATATTTCTCAGTTCATTTTTAAATATTTTTTTTTATTTTTGTCTTCTTGTGTTTGTTCAAAGGAACAGTCTTCAAACTCTAAGATTCTTTCCTCAGCTTGATCTATTCTGTTATTAATGCATCCAGTTGCATTCTGAAGTTCCTGTAGTATGTTTTTGTCAAGATGTTCAGTTGGGTTCTTAAAATGCTTCTGTTATCTTTCAACTGTTGGATCATTTTACTGCTTTCCTTGGACTGGATTTCAATCTCCTCCTGTATCTCATTGAGCTTCCTTGTCAACCAAATTCTGAATTCTATATCTCTTATTTTAGCCATTTCAATCTGGTTAAGAACCATTTCTGGGGAGATAGTATGGTCATTTGGAGGTAAAAAGACACTATGTTTTCAGAGTTGCCAGAATTCTTGTGCTGGTTCTTTCTCATCTGTGTGGGCTGAGTTACTTTAATCTTTAAAGTTGCTGTCCTTTGGATGGGGCTTCTTGCTTTTATGTTCTTTGATGTCCTTAAGAAGTTGATTGTGATATAAGTTGGGTTTAGTCAACTGGCTTCATTTATGGATGCTTTAAGGGAACCAGGGCTTAGACCAGCACTCCTGGGCTGCCTACTCTAACCCTGAAGTGCTAGGACCAGGCCCACAGCTTTGTTCTCTGGCCCCTCAGGGTCAAGCTCCTGCTGTGCTATAGAGGCCAAGGTATTCTCAGTCCACTGGCAACAGCACTCTGACAGGGGCTGCTGGCATATGCTCTGCAGCTGGGCAGTGGGGGAGTCGTGGGAGACTGCTGCAGCAGGGGGGCCACAGGCAAGTGCCCCCACATGCATGCATGACAGCTGGGTGGCAATGAGTCCATGCATGTGTGCTTGCCAGTGGGGCAGTGGTGGGTCCCTGCACATGTGCACACTGGTGAGGCAGCAGGTCTCCATGTGCATGTGCACCATGGAGGCCACGAAGGGATACTGCAGGGTGGCAAGTGCATACTGGCAGGGGAAAACTGCAGGTGGGTATGCACCCAGCAGAGGTTCATCTGTAAAAGTACTCCAATGGGAAGGTGGGAGCTGCTGGTGAAAGAGCCATGGCAGTGGCCACTGGCAAGAATTTCAGCAAGTGGATGCAGCCAGAGACCCTGGGAGAGTCTGGTTGATGGGGGGCATTCATATCAGACTGGCCCCATCCCATGGGCAGGATAACCCTGCTCTCTCCATGTCCAGCTGATAACAAAGACTAAAGCCACCAAGTGTCATATGGCAAGACTTGGAGGATGGACATCCGTGGCTATGCTCTACTGCAGCTGTTTCCACACCAAACACTCTGGGCTCTGTGCAGACTGGAGTTCTGTCTCTGCCAACTCTCCAAGCAGTTCTCCCTGCCAATTCAAATGTTTGTGGGGGCTGTGGGGTCTCCCACAGCTGGGATCCCAGAGGTTCGTGACAAGAGTGGAATTATTCATGCCTTTTAATTCACCTCTTCCCTAGGAGCTGCTTGGGGACAGGAATGAGTCCTGGTGCTCAGCAACCACATGCAGGTTTTCCAGCTTCCTCCTCTTTCAGCCCCTGGGTTCCGTGTCTTCCCTGTATCCACTCTCAATGCCTTCTTTCCAAATGTTCAGAGTGTGTCAGTCTACCTGATGGTCTGGTCTCTCTTGGTGGGAGAAGCTCTTCCAGGCTGTATATTTAGCCATCTTCCATAACCAGGTTTTAGATTCACTTTTACTATCTCTCAGCCTTAGCACTGTACTCTCATAGAAGGCAAATTCAGCATCAGCTTTAGCTCCTATTAACTAAGGAGAGTCTTCAAGAAAATGTGAATTGTAATGATGGAATTTAATTCTCCCCAGAGTCTCACACTGGGGTGTGGGAGAAGGGTCAGTCATCACAACCCAGAACCTTTCATAAGTTTCTGTAAGTTTCCATGTGCTGTTGCAGTAGGACCTCTCATGATCCTATTGAGTGATGAAAAAAACAATAGCAGTTTTTCTCCTGAACTTTGAGAAACAAAAAGGTGTCATTTATTTGAAATCCAAGGCATTGTCACTTTCCAGAATGAATGATTTGATGATTTAACCCTCTTCTGACTGGTAGGAACAGTAATGGGAATTCAGGGCTCCCCGTGGCAGAGTGCACACACTGGAATTTCATTCCTACACACTACCATAGTGAAAGGAAGGCTTTAAATCTGGCTTTAAAGTTCCTAGGTATAATCTAGAATAATTAAAAACAGAAACTCAAATACTCGTGCACCAATGTTCATAGCACTATTATTCACAAGAGTCAAAAGGTAAAAACAAGCCTAATATCCATCAACAAATTAATGAATAAACAAAATCTGATATATTCACACAATGGAATATTATTGATCCATAAAAATAAAGTTCTGACACGTTACCACATATACGAGCCTTAAAAACATTATGCTATGTAAAATAAGTGAGATGCAGAGATGCGAAGGACAAATATGGTATGATTCCACTTATGTGTGGTGTCTAGAATAGGGAAGGTTATAGAGACAGAAAGTAGAATAGAGGTTACTTCAGATTGGAGGGAGGATGGAACTGGGAATTAATGTTCAATGGACACACTTTCAGTTTGGAGTAGTGAAAAGGCTCCACAAATGGATAATGGTGATGGTTGTACAACACTGTAGACGTATTTCATGCTATGGAATTGTGCATTAAAAATGGCTGAAGAGGCAAACTTCATGTTATGTATATCTGTGCCTAATGTCTTTAAAAAATAGTGCTTAATGGCTTCAGAGACATCACTCACAGGTGTTTAATTGATCCAAAATGAAGTTTAGGCAATTGAGTGGTATTAAAGATTTGTTGATGCTAGAATTTTTTTTTTTTGGCCTGGTGTCCATTTTGCATCATATATCATATTTAACATTCTTTCCACTGCTTAGTTTAGGCCTTAATCATTTACCTCATCTATGCAAAAATTTCTCAGAGGTTTTCCTAATTCCATTCTTTATTCTATTTTGTACAAAACCACAAGTTTGATGTTCCTATACCCTAACTCTAATCCCTGCCTTAGTCATCTTCCATGATCCCTATCACCTAAATAACAAGTACCTTATAACAATGGACAATTCTCCCCACACACTTAGCCTATCACCTAACTATTAACACCAGCCTCCTACTTGTCACAACAATGTTCCTGCCATTCTGGACCACTTGTTGCCCTGCCTTCTCCATTTGTGCCATTTCTACTATGTGAAAATATCTCCCTGGCCCCCATAGGATGCCCCTTATGATGGCATCAGACTAAGCCTGAAACAGCCATCTCCACAAGAAAGATACCCCTGCCACTTGGCCCTGAGAGGTTTGTTACTGACCAAAGGTCCTCTTCCTGTGAAAAGGTTGGAAGAGCACTACCGTGATATGGGCCATGACTTACCATTTTTACATTTTCATTTTAGTCCACCTCCTCAGTTGCTTGGTATCACCTTTGTTCCGATATAACATTATGGTTCAGGTATTGTCATGTGTTTCACTTCTTTGGGAGTTAGCTTAACTGTCTCCTTAGCTGGCTTTATTTTTGTTCCAACGTATTAGGGACTGATTTTCAGTTTCACTTTCTGAGGGCAGCTGTACTCATGCAGCTCACCATCACATATCCAGTGCAGCATGCTACCCCATTCAATCTTTAGTAAATTCTTTTATATGGGTTATCCTAGATTATTAGCCTTATGGAACACTTCAGGTTATTTCTTTCCCCATTCTAGTACCTCTGGGAAGAGCTAAAATATAGAATATTGCCTCGATATTAAGAAATTTGTTATTAGAAAAACATACCTATCTATATCTATATATGTGTACATATAGATATATAGAGAACAAAAAATTTATTGATTACTAAATAGACATTGAGAATAGATTCTTTAGCACTTATACTTCATTGTAACCAACACCAATTTGTTTACTCATTCAACAAACATTTTATTATGCACCTGTTAGGCATTGTTCTAGATTTGGGGAAATAGAAATAATTATAACAAGTTTCCTGCTCTCAATGAACCCATGATAGCAGAAGAGGTAGAGATATAAAGAAAGACATATAATTCAGTGTTTTAACTGTAGCAACAGAGTTATACACAAAATACTGGCTGGAGTGAAGATTAGTAAACAAAACCTAGTCTGAGAATTTATGGAAGTTCTCTCAGAGACCTTAATTCAAAAGCTGAATCTTCAAGAATAGTAATATAACATAAAGAATCAATTCAAGCCTAATATTAATTAAAAAGAACTCTAAATATTAGGGTAGAAACATACCCTACCCTAGTCTCTGCCCAGGGACTTTACAGCAGAATAGGTTTTCATGGAGGGCTCCATGTTTTCTCCATTTTCAACTGATTGATCTTTTGGGCTTGAAAGACATGTATTTAAGTTCATTTCCCTATCACCAACAGTGAGGATAGAAAAGCAAGAGTGCACATTTCCAGTATGTAAAATCTAAATAATTTAGGGCTCACATGTCTGACTTGGAGGCACCATAAAATTTGACCATGGTCTATTTGGAAGGGACAAGGCAGTGCCCTGGAAAAAATAATAAAAATCTCTCCTAATGTTCAATTTCACTAAATGGCTTTTCATAATGGGAAGGGTTAGCCATTGGGGTAAAACTGAAGCAGCATTTTGATGAAACTTTTGTGACTATTTCTTGGTCTATGTCATGCCTAAATTTGAATTTCTCTGACATTTAGGTCATGCAGAGCATCATGTGGCTACTATAATCTTCTCATATAATCTACTTTAAAATCCCATGTGACTTATTTTCTATTCTTTTAAATTACCCCCTGATATGGTCTTTGTCCCCACCCAAATCTCATCTTGAATCTCCACGTGTTGTGGGAAGGACCTGGTAGGAGGTAATTGAATGGGGGCAGGTCTTTCCTGTGCTGTTCTCGTGATAGTAGATCTCATGGTTCTATAAGAAGGAGTTTCCTTGCACAAGCTCTCTCTTCTCTTGTCTGCCACCATATGAAATGGGCCTCTCACTTTCCACCATGATTGGGAGGCTTCCCCAGCCACGGAGAATGGTAAGTCCACTGCCCAGTCTCAGGTATGTCTTGATCAGCACTGTGAGAATTGACTAATACAGTAAACTGGTACCAGGAGTGGGGCACTGCTGAAAAGATACCCAAAAATGTGGAAGTGACTTTAGAACTCAATAATAGGCAGAGTTTGGAACAGTTTGGAGGGCTCAGAAGATGACAGGAAAATGCGGTAAAGTTTGGAACATCCTAAGACTTGTTGAATGGCTTTGCCCAAAATGCTGATAGCAATATGGCAATAAAACCCAGGCTGAGGTGGTCTCAGATGGAAATGAGGAACTTGTTGGGAACTAGAGCAAAGGTGACTCTTGTTACATTTTGGCAAAGAGACTGGTGGCATTTTGCCCCTGCTGTAAAGATTTCTGAAACTTTGAACTTGAGAGAGATGATTTAGGGTATCTGATGGAAAAAATTTCTAAGCAGCAAAGCATTCAAGATGTGACTTGGGTGCTGTTAAAGGCATGCTGTTTGAAAAGGGAAACAGAGCATAAAAGTTCAGCAAATTTGCAGCCTGACAATGCAACAGAAAAGAAAATCCCATTTTCTGAGTAGAAATTCAAGCGGGCTGCAGAAATTTGCATAAGTAATGAAGAGCCAAATATCAATCACCAAGACAATGGGGAAAATGTCTCCAGAGCATGTTAGAGACCTTTGTGGCAGCCCCTCCCATCACAGGCCCAGAGGATTAGGAAGAAAAAATCATTCTGTGGGCCGGAACCAAGGGTCACTCTGCTGTGTACAGTCTAGGCACTTGGTGCTCTGCATCCCAGCCACTCCAGCCGTGACTAAAAGGGGCCAAGGTACAGCTCAAGCTGTGGTTTCAATGTGTGGAAGCCCTAGTCCTTGGCAGCTTCCATGTGGTGTTGAGCCTGCGGGTGTAGAGAAGTCAAGAATTGAGGTTGGGGAACCTCCATTTAGATTTCAGAAGATGTATGGAAACAACTTCACGCCCAGGCAGAAGTTTGCTGCAGGGGTGGGGCCCTCATGGAGAACCTCTGCTAGGGCATTGTGGAAGGGAAATGTGGGATTGGAGCCCCCACACAGAGTCCCTACTTGGGCACTGCATAGTGGAGCAGTGAGAAGAGGGCCACAGTTCTCCAGACCCCAGAATGATAGCTCCTCTGATGGCTTGCACCATGTGCCTGGAAAAGCTGCAGACACTCAATGCCAGCCCATGAATGCAGCTGGGAGGGAGGCTATACCCTGCAAAGCCACAGGGGAGGAGCTGCCCAAGGCCATAGGGGCCAACCTCTGCATCAGCATGAACTGGATGTGAGACATGGAGTCAAAGGAGATCATTTTGGAGCTTTAAGATTTGACTGCCCCACTGTATTTCAGACTTGCATGGGCCCTGTAGCTGCTTTGCTTTGGCCAATTTCTCCTGTTTGGAGTGGCTGTATTTACCCAATGCCTGTACTACCATTGCATCTAGGCGGTACTTGCTTTTGACTTTACAGGCTCATAGATGGAAGAGACTTGCCTTGTCTCAGATGAGACATTGGACTGTGGACTTTTGAGTTAATGCTGAAATGAGTTAAGACTTTGGGGGACTGTTGGGAAAGCATGATTCATTTTGAAATGTGAGGACATACGATTTGGGAGGGGCCAGGGGCGGAATGAGATGGTTTGACTGTGTCCCCACCCAAATCTCATTTTGAATTCCCATGTGTTGCAGGAGGGACCTGGTAGGAGGTAATTGAATCACAGGGGCAGGCCTTTCCCATGCTGTTCTCATGATAGTGAATTAGTCTCACGAGATCTGATGGTTCTATAAGGGGGAGTTTCCCTAACAAGCTCTCTGTTCTCTTGTCTGCTGCCATGTGAGATGTGCCTTTCACCTTCTGCCATGACTGTGAGGCTTCTCCAGCCACATGGAACTGTAAGTCCATTAAACCTCTTTCTTTTGTAAATTGCCCAGTTTCAAGTATGTCTTTATCAGCAGCATGAAAATGGACTAATTCGCCCCTAAAGCCCCAAAGGGTTGCAATCATAAAAAAATTGGAGATACTTCTTAGTTGCTAAAATAAGCAGAAATACGTCAAGGAGGTGAAGACGGTGAGGACATTTCAAGAAGAGCAATGACACAGACGTGTGAAATCATGTAACCGTAAACACTTCTTGCCAGGTGCCAGCTGAAGAGATGATGAAACAGGAAGTAGGTAGGAGCTAACGGAGGGTCTTAAATTCTACGGAGAGAAAATTGTCATGTATTAAGTGATACTGAAAGTTTTAAGAAGAGTAATGAATATTAGATTTGTGTCTAACAAGTTCAGTCTCTTACCTCTTTAGAAAATGGAGTTGAAAGGGGAAGAAGACTGAATATTCAGAAACCACTTAGAAAAGCACTATAGGAATTCAAGCTAACTAGAACACGGATAATAGAAACAAAGCAATGAAGACATATTTGGAAAATACTTAGAGATTAATTAGATACGGTTGGTGAGGGAGAAGGAAGTCTCAATAACTGCTCTGAAGTTCTCGGGAGAACTAGGTGGATAGCAATACCACCAGTTGCAATAAAGACTGGAAAGGGACTTTTTTACAGAAGGAAGTAGGGTTCTATTTTAACTATGCAGAATTTGAAGGGCATATCAGATGTAGAGCTGAAGGTGTTGTATGAAGAATCTACACACAAAAATACTTGCCAGAAAGAAGCATATACGTAGTACTCAAAACTGTGAGGGCAGATGAGATCAGCATAGAAGAGCACATAGATGGAGTAAAGATATTGACTGAGAATAGAAAACTCAAACTTGAACAAACACGAAAGGAATTAAGGGTGCGGCGGAGAAAGTACACTAAAGTCACAGAATTCAAGTTTTGAAACTGATTGTTTAAGAAAGCAGAGATCACAAAAATAAATTCAACAGAGAAGCCCAATAGTATGTAGACTGAAAGTGCCCATTTGACAATGAGGATGTCACTGTTGGCTTTATGAGGAATAATTTCTGTAAAATGGTGAAAGCAGATGCCAATTTGCAGTGGGAAGAAAATACATGGAAAGTGAGAGAAGGGAGATAATTTTTTTCTACCAATATATGAGAATGTATGAGAACTCTGGGCTTTGCTGCTTTTGAGTTCAGCATCCCAACACTCTAAGGTCTCCAATACAGAGGATGAATCTTAAAGACACTTAGTCATTTTTATTGTTGTTGTCATTCCTCTTCTTCCTGTTTCTATTTTCATTCTCCAAGCCTCCAGTTAACCTGGACTGTAAGTTCTGTACTTCCCCCCTTCTGGGAGGCAGCAGATAACACAAGATCTTTTATCTGTCTACCCTTGTTTCTATGGAAGACATTTCCACAAGAGTCTCTTGGATTTTGCTGGAGAAAAAAAGAACTCAATCTCTTTCATAGTTATTCATTATTTTCCCTCTTTCTTACTTTTCTTGTCATCCAGGGAGAAAGAGAAAGATACAGTGACACAGATGAGAGAGAGAGAGAGAGCGAGAGAAAGCACGAGCGCGCACTCCTGTCTCCTTGGGTTCTTTGCAGCCCTTCTGACACTTAACAGCTCTATAGTCAATAACCCTCACAACTTCAGGGGCTGTGAATGTGCTCCTAACCAACTGAGAAGTACTCAGTAATGAATAAATAAATATTTTTAAATGTATCTCTGTGTCAGTCTTGTTACATATCTTTTCATGTTTCTTTCCTTGTCTATGCTGTAAAAGCCTAGGAAACAGTAGCTGCCTTTATGTTTTGTAGCATTTTTTGTGCCTATATCACACCCAACTGTGAACGACATAGATAAATAATTTTTTCAGTGGTTGAATGAATTCCCACAGTAGTATGGAAAACAGCAGAAGGAGTACTCAGCACTGTCAGACATATATACAAAGAATAAAAATATCTTCTTCTCTTGAATATTTGGAAAAATTATATACCAACATACAAGAAAAACTTTGGGGAAAATGTTAACACTGTGTGATTGTAGCTATAAAACTGTTCAAAGAGCTGAAAGAGTCATGTGCACTGGAAATGGCAGGAAAAGTTTAGTAAACAAGGCAAAACTCAATTCGGCTCTTTGAGAAGGGGCTGACATTAAATAAGTGGAGGGAATATAAATTCAATACCTGGGTTGGCAGTGCCAAATTGCAAGAGAATGAGTCCCGAGGTGGAAGGGAAGACATTGGCAGTCCAAACTAGAAAGAAAGCTCTTCTCTTTGTTGGAGAGATAGGAAAAGATGACAGACTCTGTGAATGTATTTCAAGCTCGTATTCCTTTCTGTTGAACATGGCATAGTGAAATACATTGTACCGACTGCTCACTAATTTGAAATCCAAGTTCCTCCTCAGGGTGTCATGGTAGAGATAGTGCATCAGACTTGGCAGGGCCCTCCTGACTCTCCTAGTCAAGCATGCTGATGCTGGCAGTGAATCTGGGAGGCAGTCTAGGGGAAAGGCAAAAGAACAGATTTATTTTTCAGCAACATTTATTTCCTCTTGGCTCATCAATATTGATACAACTGATAAAACACAACAAGCAAAGACAGGAAAGTCTCTCTTCTCTCCAAAGAGAAGAGATTGGATGGAATGTAGCTAGGAAAAAAGTTGTGAGTATTTAAAGTGAAAACACTTGCAATACAGCTAACTCTTGTTTCCTACAGATAGACAGTGCAATAATATATCTGAAATAACACTAACAAGAGTAGCTGTGCATGAATAAGGAAGTCACTAAAAATTTGTGTTCTACTGTTTTTTAAAGGATTAATAGAGGCTCAATCAAACAGAACAGGATAGAAAACCAAGAAAGATAACAATATGGGTTGGGGGAAGCAATAGCTTTAACCAGGAGTTCAGTTAAGGATAGCTGCAGAATAACCACACAGGAGGCCTGGGATGAAGAGTCCTGACTGAAGCAGTAAGCAAGGGCTCTGAGAAAAAAGAAGCTTGGGTTCTTCAGAATATCAAGCATATCACTGAGAAGCAGAATGATTTTTCCTGATACGCTAAAACGCTATTTTGTGGTCTACAAGACAGAAAATTCCAAATATAGAAATGTCAAGAAAAACAAAAGCTCAACAAGAAAATAATTTTCCATAAAGGAATTAAATTTGGCAGTTAATTTTTTATTACAAAAATCTTGAAATATACACAGAGGTGGAGAGAATAGTGTAATGAACTATATATCCCTCTATCATATTCAGTAGTGGTCAAGAATATTCCACATTTGCTTTATCCTTGTTTCTTGCTTTCTTTGCTGAAGTATTTAAAAGCAAATTGCAGACAGCAAATAATTTTTACCCCTACTTTTGTCAGTGCCAATCTATAAAAAAAGATGGACATTTACTTTTCTAATCATAATGCTGTTATAACACCTAACAAAATTAACAATAATTTCTGGTATAATCTAAAATTCAGTTCATGATCAAGTTTCTCCAGATGGCTCAAAAATATGTTTTTACAGTTGACTTGTCCAAATTAATTCAAAATTCTTGTATTAAAAAAAAGAAATCTGTGTTCTTTCCAAAGTGTTTTTATTCATGAATAAAACTGAATTCTGTAATAATAATATAGAAAAATCTTCATTGTGCTACTTATGATGCCTACATATATTTGTTTTATTTTAAATGCTCACCTATAAATCCCATTTTGATAGTTGGTAGAATTTCAACTCACCCAAAGATATTCTTCACATGGTTTTAGTTTGCCATGCTCATTGTATCCAACAAAGGAATTACTGTCACTCATTAACAGTGCTAACAGTGCTTGGTATATAGTAGATGTTCCATCAATATTTGCTGAATTCAATCCTCAGGAGATTTATTTACTTTGCAGCTAAACACACAATCTAAAATAACTAATTTCTATAGAAATGCCATTTTTCCCCAGACTCTAATACCAGAGCTTAGAATTTTTGTTTTGTTTGCAATAACAGTAATGATACATAATCATAATTTATTCTCCTCTACTAGATTGTAAATCCCATGAAAGTAGCAATATTGCCATTTTGTTTGATGCTTGGTATTTCATAATACCAAGATTTTCAATAAATATTTGTTAAATGAATAAACAAACAAAAGTGACCTCCTTGACATCTTTGTGTGTGAAAGAGAAAGAAATGTTCTTAGTACTTTAATACATGCATACATTTACCTCCAAAAGCTGAACTGTTTTATAACTTTTTGTAGAGGTTTCTTCTGACTATTCTGCTTTAGAACTACAAGAAATGAACAGAATTAGAATGCATCTAATTCTAGACAGACTGGACACAATTGAGAATTTTCAGGAATTAAATATATCAACTCATTTTTTTCCATTTATTGGCCATTGGAAGCTTATTTTTTTTAAAGTTCTAAAAGAATTTCAAATTAAAAACAAAACACAGCAGCAACAAAATAAGCATAATTTCTGATTCAATAATGTTCTTAATCAAGGCAAACTTAAATAAGACAGAATGTTCTGCTTTACTATAATATGAATCTTATTCAGGAACCCTTGAATATGTCAATTAGAACCAAAATCCAAACATAATAAAAGAGAGGGCACTTTTCTAGAAGTGTCTCATCATGATTCTCGTCTTAAAAACTTACTTTGGCTATTATTTGCAGCCATTTGAAAACTTTATAAACTTCACAATTCTTTCAGAGAAAAACTTCTTGCAAAAAAAGCAGTATGGAAAATAGATTACATAACAGATTTGCTCAGGTAAAAAGTGTGGTGGAAGAAGGTGAGGATCCCCGAGGAACTAGAGGACACTGCTGTACACAGGGAATTTGGGAGCCAGCAAGAACTTGGTTCTAAGCACTGGCCGTCTAACTACACTGATCAGCAGTTAGTGACCTTCCAGCACCACAATTCTCATCTGTAAAATAGAAAATATCCCCTACCTTGTGGAGTTGTTATGAGAATTAAATAATTATTTGCTAGATCATTATTTGAAGTACTAAGTACAAAGCTAAGATGCAATAAGAGGTCACCCAATGGCTTTGTGGCATTAAAAAATGTCAGCACTGTGCCCCTTCCCCTCAGATTTCCATTGACCACTTTAGTACTCTACACACACACACACACACACACACACACACACACAATCACTTGCAGGAGCACTTGCCCTTGCTTTTGGAGCACCCAAGTGAGACAGCTGAAGGGCCTGGAAATTTACATCACCGACCCACACCATGCCTCAAGGACCTGGTCCTTAATGACTGACAGGTGGCAGGAGTATTTAAGGCTTTTCTTTCACTCTAGTGCCCCCTACAGAATCAGGGTGAAGTCACCTCTGAAATTTTGCCTAAAAAGCAAGCTCCCTTCCTTGGCTTCTTGCCCTTCCCTCTCCTGCTGTCCCATTCCCTTACAGGTCTTTGTGGGTGTGCTTCCTTAACAAAGTATTTTTTTCTCCTTTTTTGAGACAGTCTCGCTCTGTCACCCAGGCTAGAGTGCAGTAGTGTGACCTTGGCTCACTGCCAGCTCTGCCTCCCAGGGTTCATGCCATTCTCCTGCCTCAGCCTCCCAAGTACCTGGGATTACAGGTGCCCACCACCACACCCTGCTAATTTTTTGTATTTTTAGTAGAGACGGGGTTTCACCATGTTAGCCAGGATGGTCTTGATCTCCTGACCTTGTGATCTGCCCGCCTCAGCCTCCCAAAGTGCTGGGATTACAGGTGTGAGCCACCACGCCTGGCCTTAACAAAGTATTTACACACGAACAGTCTTCTCAGAGTAGACCTCTAGAGAACACAACATAAGTGGGGAGTGGTGGATGGTTATTAACATGGCATACAAGGTATCAAATAATAATCCCAGTCTCATTTTCAGGCACTTGGATCCATAATAACCTCTCCTCCGCCTAACTCAGCTGCAGAGAAGCTGTGGGGCCCCCATACCCCATGAATGTCCATGCCTCTCTTCTTTCTGTTTGGAATGGCTTTTCCTATGTAAAATATCTATTATCCTTAGGATCCAATTCAAACATCCCCTTCTCTATGAAATGCCCATAATCCCAGCAGAAATCCTTGTTTTCTCTTAAATTTTATCCACGTACCTTCTATAAAGCATATCATATTATATTGTTGAATATGTCTGGGAATTATTTGAGAAAAGTGAGTCCTATTTACCTTTGCATCACATTCAGCTGCCCTCCAGCCATCCTCTTGTCTGCCCTCACTCTTATCACACACATGTCAAATTTTTTTTACTTAAAACCTTGGGACCAGATAGCTTTGGAATTCAGAACTGTTCAATGCTTAGAATGGTATTGCAAGCCATGTACTACATCTTAAGGAACATTCCCAGCAGGTCCTGTGGTGGCACTCCAAAAAAACAATAACATCAGTTTCTTCAGTGAGAGGAATGTGTATTCACACTAAGTAGGATAAACAAAAAATGTACATAGCCTCATATCCATTCAGGTCAGGTCTTGCTACTAAATGATCTCAGGGTTTTTAGAGCTCTTTGGATTTCAGATTTATGGATAAGAGGTTGTAAACCTTTAATAGAAGTTCAATATGTGTTTATTGAGCTGGGTTCAAGAAAGCATCCTCTCATTGCTGTTATCACTAAATCTCTTTTCTGTTTAAAAAAAAAATTACAAACAACATTTTTTAAGCTCTTGGATTCAGTTGGTTTTTTTTCCCCAGAAGTAAAGATGAACTGCCAAAATCACCAGATTTCCTCGTTCAGTTTCTGGAGAAACAAATTATGCTGCTTTCCTGCTGCTCTGAGTGTCAGACCAGTGAAGCAAGGTCTTCAACATCGATATATAGAAGTTGAAGAGGCTGGAATACTACTAATTTGACTACTAAATCTGAGTGTAGCAAATCATTTAAATGTGCCTTTCCTTTGGTTTGCACTTGGCTAATAACAGTCTTACACACATAAAAACTAAATCCCCCAAAAAGGTGGAATTACATTTGATGGCTGGAAGAATCTTGGAGGGCATCTAATTCAATCCCTTCACTTTATATATGATGAAACCCAGGCTCAGAGAGGTTAATTCACTTTCCTGAGTTCACATAGTAGGTTAGTAGCAAAACAAACTAGAATCAAGGTCTCAGGAGGTGAGTCCTCTTTTCTCCACACTGTATTGCCTCCATAGAATAGGATTTCTTCCAACCCTGACCCTTAAGTCCAGCTGTTCAAAAGGCACAGATATCCTGTTCTCCAAATAACTGCATTGCGTGGATAGCATGTGTCTTGAATTCTGTGTACCAAGGCTGTCATAATAGTAGCTTCCCCTTTACTGAGAGGAATAGTAGCTTCCCCTTTACTGAGCCTGTATAATATCAAGGTCTGTACTCAGGGCCTAATAAAGGGAAGATATAAATGGAAGATAATATTACTATAGGTGATTATGGGTCTAACAGCATACATTAAAGGTTTAATAAAATTATCTTTGAAAATGTGCTTTTTTATATATACTCTATGTATCTTTTTTATATATACTCACATTGAAACAAGCCAAATTAGGCTCATTCACCAAATTCTTAATATGAAAGTTCCTTATAGACACTTTGTTGAAATATTGTCACTCATTTAAATGCTACATACATTTTAATTTGCTGGCTCCGTAGTATCACTCAAATATAAACTTTGAATTAAATTCTAATCATAAAATTTGAACATATTAGTCCAAGGAAATAGCTGGTTTTCATGTGTACACCATAAAATGTCAACATTATTTTAAATATTATCTTATCTAATGAATGGTGTTTTCTCAAGTATCAAGTAGCTTGTTTCCTATTACATCATAATATCCAGAGGGCATTTTCTCCTCCACTGCCCCCCACTTCCTTCTTACTTTAGGGAAGACAAAGACAAAGAGGTAAAGGGCAAAAAGCAATCGTGAGTTCAATTTCCCAAAAACTGTGAAGACTCAGGGGGTGGAAAATAAAGAAATAACAAGTTTAGAACATCAGTGTCCCTCCACCTCAGACCATTTGAAGTAAAGACAAAAGAATCTGAATTATTCTTCTTGCAGTTTATTCCTTAAAAAAAAAGCAGTGATTACCTTCAGTGAAAATATGTGAACCTCTCTAACAAGTCAAAGCTACTGCTGGTTTGGACTCAAACAATTGATCATCATAAAGGACTCTGTTAATATGTCCTGTAATCAAAAATGTTCTGATGACAGATTTAGTACCTCTCATAAGTAACAAAGCAGAGTGGCATATGAATGAAGTAAATTCATTTCTGCAAAAATGTATTGCAAGAACCCAAGAGCTGAGGTCTAGCCCCACTGAGTCTCCCCTGGGCTGTAGGTAATTGTAACACTGATTCTTTCAGAGACCATGTCAAGTCTCATTTGAGTTTCTTAAGTGAGTGGTATAGCTGCATGTTTCGTTTCACTAATGATCAAATTTCCCAACCAGTGTAATTAGACCAGCCAGGTCACTGAGAATTCTTAATTAATGAGAAATTCAAAGCCAATTTCACACACTACCTATGTCTAATTTTTCATTAACCTGTTGCTATTAATTTAAAGGCAGTAAAATCTCTTTGAAAGGTTTGTTCAAAAGACTTGTTTACTTAAATTTGTCTTTAAAATGGTTGGTTTCATAAAATTCACGGCTCCAAACTCACTCCTCTCCACCCTCCACTTCACTTGTAACCAGGTTATGTGAAATGCTTTATTCTGTTGATAACAAGAATGCCAAGTATAAAGTGAGAAGCACCAACTTGAAGTGTCAGGTAAGCAAAAGACAACATGAAGGAAAGGGCTAAGTAAAAACAAATGCAGAGATTTTGTTTTGTTCTGGTTTTCTTTCCCCTTGCTGTCTCTTCAGTACCTAGGACAGTGCCCAGCACACACTAGGCACTTGGTAAATAATTCTTGAAAGAAGAGCTGTCTTGTTCTTTATCACTCACGTGTGTCACATTATCCCAGGTAATGTCCTTAAAAGTACATTAGCTCTCTTTGCCAGACACACCCAGGGAGGCATCGACCCTGTAGAATTGCTCCACAAAGCACCCATCAGGAGACCACCTCTAGCATCACCACAACATGAAACATCTTCTGACCTAAGACAGACACTGCACTTACTACACTATGCTGACTTCCTTAAACGTGTCCCCCATTTCAATCCAGATATTACCTATAAATCACTTTTCTGTACCCATATGAATAACTGATATTTGACTCTGTAGCAGTCTAGGTCTAATCTGGAGATAGAAACTACAAAGTGGGTTAAACAAAGGAAGATTAATATAAAGAATAATTAAACTATAATAAAGGAGAATAAGATATAAGGAATTCTACATGGTATCCCAGGGCAGATGGAGAGTACCCAAAGAAGAACAAATTTCAAAAGGCATCCCTTCCCCAAGGTTGGGGTTTAGACCTCATTGGAAAAAGTATATTTCAGCTCATGGAAAACCAGAAGTTTTCTGGTTCCAGCCTGGAGCTAGTCTGCAGTCATTGAGCAAGTGGGAGGCAACCCTCTAGAGTGAAGGCAAAGAACAAGTGATCAACAATCAGTGGTGTGGGCATGCAGAAAGGGTCAGATCCCTCCAGGGTATAGAGGGAATCTGGGAGCCAGTAGGATTGGGAGGCCTTTGGGTGCTGGTGCAAGTAGGAAGCCTTTGAAGCACCACTTCTCAATTCAAAAGGGGCACAGAAAGGTTATCACCAGGCCAAGGCTGCAAGGTAGCTGAGGACTCTGGTCCCATGGCTGGAACGGACCTCTCTACCAGATGTTCACACTCAGACACTGCTAAGCCCTTCCACCCCACCTCCCTCTGCCATAGCAGAAAACAGCAGGAGAGCCACTTCCTCCTGCAATACCTCCCCATCACCCTCTGCTGAGAAAGCTTAGTGTTATACTTACTAGGAAGAAGAGATGCCTAAAGAAGTTCCCTCTATTATCATGGGATATACCTTGAAGTGTAAATTTGGAGCTAAGAAGCAATAAATTAATAGTGGCACAGACTATTATCCCAAAAATAACACTTGCGCACTTTGTGCATGGACCAGCCTATGAGTAGAAATATTTCCCAATCTGAACATAACGCAGCCTCCAGAGAACTGTCTCTCCAGAACATGCATCTCTCCAGACATTACCTCAAAGTTAGTTCTCAAATTGGGGGCAGGTCTAAACTTAGAGCCAAACCAGGTTTGGAAACATTTTTCTCCCCAGATATATCCAGAGAGATTCCAAGAATTGTCCTAAATAGCAACAAGACCCTTCCAATAGTATGATGATTACAGTTATCATAGAGATTAATTCATTTCCATTCACCTGCCTTTTACATCTATGACTATCCTGAAATTTTCAAGGAGACATTTTTTCCCTAAAATTATATATTTCAGTGACTTGATTTTGTTCTTCACCAATGAAAGTCTCACATATCAAACTACTTGCTACACTCATTACAGTGAGTAAGCCACCCCTCATTGTTTTTACTTTTAGGTTAAAGGACTCTTTGATTGTCAGGCAAGTAGAAAGTACACGTCTCCAACAACAGTAACACCAACAAGGTGCATTACAGTCCTTTAAGCAATGGCAAACTCTCTAGTGAGTTTTCGTATATAATGAAAATAATCCAAACATTTTCATTTCCAGACGTTCTTTTCACCTCCAGATCTTAGAAACAACTCTTCAGAAAGTTACTTTAATCTTTCATGTACTGCCCTTTGGCTTTCCTGAAAGTAAAAATTTGACAATTGCAAGACTCCTCCAAAAAGTGAAACAGAGAAGAGGGAAAATAAAAGGAGTTAATGTTTTATCTTTAAGGTAACACAAAGATAGAGCTTATGCATCTCTTCATCTGTCCACAAAAAGAAGTAAATAAGAAATGTTTCAGGTTACTCTGTGGCTCTGAGACTATAAGGACCTAGAAGGCCAGTGTCATAAAACCTATTAAGTATTCTTCCATTACATGACCTTAGGAATGAACGCCAATAAAACTTATGAAAATATTAGAGTATAAAATGAAGTGCTTATCCCCTAAGAGTAGAAAGCATCTTGAAGGAAAATAATCAGTTAATAAAGGCAGGCTCCCATCTTGAATTTTCTAAACTAATCCTGATTATACCATGCTTCCTCAAGTATCCCCATAGCTCATTTCTAAATGTATTTGTTTTAAAACAATTCTCACTTAGATTATGCAGGCACATGTTGTGGAGGAAGATTTGAATTCCCACTGAAAACAGGTTTTATAAATTGCTTTTTACTGCCCAGGGAGGGTCTGGAAAAACCTGGCGAAAGTTAATAAACTATTTTCTCAGTTTGTAAAATTTTACATTTTCAACTGTTGAATTATGAAACAGTTGTCAGAACCTCTATTTTCTTACAGCCCTAGGACCATCCTTGTGCAAATACCTGCAAGAAAAACAATAAAGGGCTAGAGGTAAAGAATACATGTTTCAATTAGTTATGCCGTGTTTGCAGCTCAAATTCCAACTATGTAGCCAGAGAATAGTATGCTATTTAGAGGTCTAAGCTACAGGTGTGTTAATCCCTACTATTAAAATTCCAAGCCCTTTTTAACTGACAAAAAGCGACTGTCCTCATTGATTTTAATATCTATCATATGATTTATGACCAGAAACAGTGAGTGTCCATTTCTTGGGAATCAAATAATGGTTAAAACTAAAATTCCACTGAAGGATTGGGCTATATCCAAGTTTAAGATTTCAAGAGTGTTAATTGAATAACACTCTTGTATTATTAGTAAATGTGGTTCATTTAGTAATCACATACTATGCATCTATATGTAAGTATAATAAAATGTTAAATTTGTCTTTTCCTATTTTCTCGGAGTTTCTACAGAACAATTAGTGAAATATCACTTATGGAGGACATGCTAAGATACTGGGAACCAGTTTTGAAACTCTCAGCTGTGACTCACTTTGAGTCTCCCAGTTTCCAAGAGCAGAGGGAGAGTCCACTTTCTATGCCTAAAGCTAAGGAAGACAGCTTCTGAGAACCACACAAAGAACTGGAGTTTGAGGGCCACGGTCTTGTGACTGTCGCCTGGAAAAGTCTACAGTCAAGAGGATGGCTGCAGCCTCTCCTGAAGACAAGAGGAGAGACAGCCAGGGTGGAATGGTAGTGTGCTGCACTTCCATCAACAGCAAGATAATTGTTTCCCATGGACCAGATATGGGTCCACCTAAAAGCACACCTGGAGAAGCAAGGTATCCCCAGAGTGATTCTAACAGAAAGTCTGGCAGGATGAGCCTCTAGAGAGGACTTTCAAGCAGTAGAGGCATCACTCAAAACAGAGATCTACAAATGGAATTACTCAGAAAAACACTCCACAGGAGAAAGTCAGTATTTGAATACCTGCCCCTGTTGATGCCATTTTAGCAGCCAAGAGAAATGTCAAATCATCCAAGCTACATATATATATATTTTTTGCTTCCTTTACCTGTTTCATCTTTTCTTCACACTCTCCAATCCCAGATGAGTTAGAAGCAGTGAATGGAGGAAGAAGGAAAGTATCAGAATGAGTGATGAAAAAGACTAAACTATTTATCCCACTGCAGATCTTGGAATCTGAGCTGAGTCAGACCTGAAGGAGAGAAAAGGTTGGATTGCATGAGATTGTGAGACTTTGAGACTAGATTGGACCAGACTTTTCAACTTTTGAAAAATGAGATATTTCTATTTGTTAAAACCTGAAAGTAACTAAGAAACAAAGCCAAAGAAAGAAACTAGGCTAAATGGGGAACAAAGTATCAACTTTGTTAACAGCTTGATGAAGCCTATTAAATGCCTCAAAGTCATGGTCTAATGAAAGCCAGATAGAGAGAGACCGTAACTTATATTGAAATCCCTAAATGAGCCTCTTTACTTACTCCCCACATCTGACGAATGCACAGGCACATCAAGATCAATTCTCAGGGTGAGATCAAACCACTGCAATCTAAGGAAAGTACAACATAAAACATGCACACCAGTGCAAGAACAAAAGAAGGAAGACAGACAGCTGGAAAGACCTTGTTTACCCCCAGCATCCAGCACTGTGCGGTATGTGCTATCTGGTTTATGCCTGGGAAATAGCCCCAATACAAGCTGCCATGTAGAAAAGAAGGAAGCTGAAGATCTTGCAAGAGAAATAAGGGTCTTGGGATGCATAGCAGGGTGTAAAGGAGCATTCAAGAGACTGGCTGAGGCTGGAGGGACTGAGAAGGCAGTCCTATGTCAGATCTCAGGAGGTAGGAGTGACACTTCACCACTTTCCCACAGTATAAAACATGGCCGTGGGACTATCTGAGTCTGACCAACTTGAGTCTATCCCTTCCTCCTGTAAGGACAAGGACTGGGAAGAAGTAGAAGGTGGGAAAACATTTTCTCTGGTAAGGGGAAGAATGAGCTCCCACAACATTACTTGATGGTTTTTTCTTTTTCTTTTTTTTTTTTTTTTTAAGAGATGGGGTCTTGCTCTGTCACCAAAGCTGCAATGCAGTGGCACAATCATAGCTGACTGCAGCCTCAAACTCCTGGATTCGAGTGATCCTCTCACTTCAGCCTGCCAAGGAGCTAGGATGTGATAAGACATCTGGCTTATCTTTTTTTTTTTTTTTTTTTTTTGTAGAGACGAGGTCTTGCTATGTTTCCCAGGCTGGTCTTAAACTCCTGGCCTCAAGCAATCCTCCCACCTCAGTCTCCCAAGCAAACTTGATGGCTTTTCAGAGAACTACTTATAAGAATAGACATAGCTCTTTCGAGGAAATTATACTTTCACTACATTGTATGATTTGTCTGAAGACCTAATCAATAGCTCTACTCCCTACTTCCCTTTTTGCTGTGAATGCCTAACATTAGCTAATGATGCAATGCCATCACCCATTATAGCAGCTAAGTTTCTTAAACCTAAACCTCATCATGTCTTCTGACCTACTCTAAGACTTAAGTAGTAAGACAGCTCTTCATAAATCCATATTCCATGAGCAAAGCTCACAGAATAAACGCATTCCA
This sequence comes from Homo sapiens, assembly GCF_000001405.40. NCBI lineage: Eukaryota > Metazoa > Chordata > Mammalia > Primates > Hominidae > Homo > Homo sapiens. The sequence continues at coordinate 78,522,732 of NC_000006.12, forward strand.
ATTTGTGATGATACCAAACCAAGCTCTATTAACGCCTATGTGAAATGCACAATCTTAATTGTTCTGAACAAAATAACAAAATCAAAGTGAAAGGTTTCTAACTTTTTAAATTCTTCACACATCCATGATCATGACAATAACACAACTTTAGTGTTTATCGTAAACCAAGCACTAGAGCTAAGCATTTTATATACTGTATGTATGCTTTATATACTCATGGGAACCCTAGAATCTATTATTTCCCCATTGTCAGCAGATGAAACAGTTTAACAATTGTAAGTCACTTATTCTAGGACATACAGCTATAAAGTGATAGGGAAAAGATTCTAACCCAGGTCACTAAGCTTGACAAAACACCTCTCACCAGAATAAATGGCATCCTTGGTTCTGATTCTTAGGCTGCTATTGCTAGTACCTTAAAGAAAACATGTTTAATGATTGTGATATAAAAAGGCATGCATGCCTCAACCAGTTGTTTTCTTACTTCGCAATTACTCCCTAAACATAAGGGGCCATTTTGAGATATCTTAAATCATGGGGTAAATGAAAACGACAGTACAAATAGGCCCTTATCAGTCTTTACAGAAATTTTGGTGAACAACATTATTTTTAAGTTTAATAACATTATTTTTAGACATTGCTTTTAGGTTAAAGTGTTGATTTTATGTATTATGCTGGACATGTGCTTCTGTGTGGTCAATACAGTTTTCTTAAAGTTATTTAATAAAAATGTTACTTAAAGGATTTTAAGAGGTGATACTTTCATGTGTATGTTCAGATATATATTTTATATATTTATATCAAATGATAACAGAATGCCTTTTGCCTTTTGTTATATATGTGCATATATACTGTATTCCCATCAGGTTTCCAAGAACAAAAACTTTGTACTTGCCCTGTATGGTGCCTGACTTGGAGAAACCTTAGAGAATGTTAAATAAGGAACTGTTGATTGCTTTATCTCATATCTAAGGATTCAGAAGAGAAATTCTGTGACAACAAAAAGTAAACATAGATTAGAAATGACTAAAATGCTTCTGTTGGTACTCCCCCACAGCTAAAGTGCCCAAGGAGTGTTCTATAAATGTATACACCATAGTAATTGTGCAAACAGGAAACTGCATTTTAGTAGTCATTTGTATTCCAATAAATGAAAGCTGAGGCCTTCTTGCTGCCAATGCTTTGCTTCAAACAGCTTTAGTAGCATGGAACATGTCCTAGGAGTGTTGCATAAAGAACTAGTGTGCCAGCTCTGGGGAGGGTCAGCAGTACCAGAGGACTCCAAATTATACTGAGAAGTAGCCCAAGAGTTCACATATCCCTTCCCTACTTCCTTTATTTCCTCTCAAACTTTCAGAGAGGACACTGAAAGTCAAAACTGCACTGAGCTCCACTGGACACAAACCACCCGAGGATATGTATCAAAATTGACACATGGCCTCAAGAACATAGCCTGAAGCTCAGAGTAGGCTCTGGGATTAGCCTCAGATAACCTGAAACAATTCCTATCTCTACTCCTAAGCCATGAGCAAGCATAGAACCCCCATGGTGAAATAAAAGAGATTTTCCCTGGGACCATATTTCCCATGTCCCCACAATGCATTCTTCCACAGATGCTTCAGTGAAATATCTACAGGATTGGGTGTCCATCTGGTTACTGACTGACCAGAGGAATTTCCAACATGCCTTTCCATCCTTATTGGGAAATAAACCACATTTTTTCCCCTTGGATTAATTAAGCACCTGAAGGTAGTTTAGAAAGTAGAACACCTGACACATGTGACTCCAGTGTATTTCCCCAACGCTCTCTCCTTGTGCAAGTCTAGTGAATGGACCAAGCTGATCTGTCATATTTATTCCAATTCGTGGAATAAATATGCCACCTGAAGCATCAGCCCATCTCACAGAGCCCCAGAATCTTCCTGCCACTCCCAGACTTTATTTTTATTTCTGGCACATGAGCATGAAGCACACAATCACATAGAAAGGCTGAATCTTGGAGAGCTGAGTGAATGTCAACTTATATTTCAAAAGGTGTTTTTCTGTTTCAGAAGACATATCATGTGCTCATTAAACATCCACCTACAATCAGCTCTGATGAAGAGTGGACCCTGATCCACCTCTTACAGATTTGCTTGAGAGCTTTAAACCCTTCTAATCTCAGGCTGGTTCACATTTGACTGCTGAAGTTTTAGCTGAGTATTCAGCTGCAATCACCACTTTATTTGATTATTTAAATAGAGAAATTCATTTTTTTCTCTTCACGCCTTTAATCTTTTCCTTATTAACAAAGAAGGCCTTAGGTCAGAAGGTGGGCAGGGATATAAAGCAAATTACTGATCTTTTTGGAGAAAATCTCTGTTCAAACATAAGGCATTATTGCATCTGGCTCTTCTAAAACTGAACTTCCTGCCCTTTACAAAACTTTTACCTTCTGTAGGGTTTTACGAATAATTGAAAACACCTATATTTGTGTTTTCTTAAGTAGTTCCTACATATTCTTTAGTACTGCAAGATAGGACAGTAAAGTGGAGACAGATTGCCTGGGCTCATACACCAGCTCTGATAATTCCTGTGCTTCTTAACCTTCCTGTCCCTCAGTCTGCTCATCCGTAAATTAGTCCATCATGGGCACAAGGTTGGGCTCTATAATCTTAGCTCTTATTTCTTAAAACAACCTGCCTAAAACATATTTTAGAAGTTCAAATTAAGTTAAACTGAATTTTTACTTCCTTTGCAGTTATCCATCATCAGGACCTGTCTCCTTCAGCAATAAACTCCAAGGGTTGCACCTTGAAGAAACCCTTTAATTTTTTGAGTTTTGATTTTCCTGGTCTATAAAATTGAGACAATAGTGATCCTTGCCTCATATAAGTGTTATCTAGAAAATGAAGCAAAGAATGGAAAACTGTTGTGATTCTGAGATCCTCCACCTGGCCCAAGGAAGGAAGGAACAACAAGCTTATTTCACATAAGAGCAGACGGAGTTGCTCTACTGAAAGCCAGAGTAGTGATGATTAGGTAAACAATGAGTAGCCTGGGATCTCCAAAAGGCAAGCACAGAACTGGATAGGATATCAAAATCAAAATAAGTCAGAAAGGAACAAAATACAGAAGTAAAAATAATTCAGGTATTGGAGCAGATAGGATAATTTTTCTATTTTTTTTCCCCCAAACCAAGGTCCCCCCCTGCATACAATATCCCCTAATATTTGCAATAATGTTAAACAAATGTGTAGCAAATGAACAGTTGAATGCTCAAAGAGCCAGATTCTCTAGTGGAGAAAGAAAGGAGATTAAAACATTTGGGCTCACATGGAAGAGAGGGCAAAGGGGAGGGTTTGGCCAGAGTGCAAGATGTCTGGGAGAACTGGCACAGTCCTCTTTTGTTCCATTCAAATTCTCATCCACCCCTCCATCTAAGGGAAACACATTCAGAAACCGGCCCACAGGCCTGCCAAAATTGGGCACTAGACATAGTAATCAGTCAAGCTGGTCTAATAACTATTAGCATGGAATAGTTGGTTGAATTCTCCCAGAACACAGATGGGCTGGCTGTTGAGAGGCATTGTGCAGGATTCAAAGGTCAAGTTCAAAGCAGGGAGGTGCTTTTCCCTAGTCAGGAAAGCCCCCACGGAGTTTTTTTCAGTCCAGTGTGTCTCAGTCCTTACTGCCACCTGAATTACCTATGGATCCTCTCCCTGTTCAGCAGGTCTGGGAGAACCTTCAAGATTCTGTACTTCTAACAAGCTCCCAGATGCTGCCACTTTTGCTGCTCCAAGACAGAATCACACTTTGTGGAGCGGGGGTCTAGTCCTCTGCGCAAGTCCCACAGAAACCAAGTATGTTGGCAGGGGCGTGACCTCTGAGAGATTTCACAAGAGGTAAGAGCTCATGTGTTGGTACATCTCTTTGGTGCTCTCTAGAGGTTGGAAAGGTGTGGACTCTTTTGCCCAGGTTTGTTCTCTGGGGAGTGGATAGATTCTCCTTCTCTCATGAAGGTGTGTGTTGGAAAATAAAATGTTTGGGGCATGCTTCTAACATGCTCTTCCAAGCATGTTAGAGATCCCCTTGTGAGACTGTCATTCTTTTTATAGATCAGAGGTAAGAGATCAACCCCAGTGGTCAGAACTACCACTGGGCTGGAGCCAAAACACCCAGATGTGACATAATGGGGTGGGATTGAATTATCTCTAAGAACTTGTCCTGTTCTAAAGTGATATCATTCTAGCTTTTAGTTCTTTTTTTCATCAACATATGGGGAGTTTTTTTTTTTTGTTACTGTTTGTTTTCATCAGAGCTAATGTGCTATACCCTGAACAAATGGGGGAACATAAAACATGTTCATCCAATAGTGAAAGAGATGATGCTTCTAACATGTTCTCTGGGGAGTGGATAGATTATTCTCCTTCTCTCATGAAGGTGTGTGTTGGAAAATAAAATGTTTGGGGCATGCTTCTAACATGCTCTTCCAAGCATGTTAGAGATCCCCTTGTGAGACTGTCATTCTTTTTATAGATCAGAGGTAAGAGATCAACCCCAGTGGTCAGAACTACCACTGGGCTGGAGCCAAAACACCCAGATGTGACATAATGGGGTGGGATTGAATTATCTCTAAGAACTTGTCCTGTTCTAAAGTGATATCATTCTAGCTTTTAGTTCTTTTTTTCATCAACATATGGGGAGTTTTTGTTTTTGTTACTGTTTGTTTTCATCAGAGCTAATGTGCTATACCCTGAACAAATGGGGGAACATACAACATGTTCATCCAATAGTGAAAGAGATGATGCTCCTTTTGGAGACATCTGATTATAAAAGTAGTTTAAATAAAACATGCAATTAACAAAGGAGAGAAAACCTGCAAAACCTGCTTTAAAAACCTCTGCGCGGTCCTACGAATTCATCCATTTTCTGTGACACAGACAAAATTAACTTTTCCTTTTTATGTTGAACATTAGCCTATAATCATTTTGAACTAAAAAAGTCTAAATATACTGAATATCCTATGATCATCTCCTTCAAGTCTTTACTCTTGTTTGTTTTCCCAAGAACAACCATCATCTTCTAGCAGATTATATAATTTAGATATTTCTTATGAATAGGGCTTATTGCCTATCATCATGCCAAGATGGGCCTCTACCTCATAAGAGCAGAAACCATTTTTTTCACTGAAAAACTTAGAATAGTGTTTGGTTTACAGAAAACACTCAAAAAACAACTTAAACCACCTTGAATATTGTAAGTCCAAACCTCTAATTCTATTCTCATGGGAAGATAAAATGTAAGGATAAAAACAGAGAAAGAGGAATACATTTGTGCATACTGATTAATCTTTACATTATGCATTGCACTTACTGGATGATTAAAAGCCTTCAAAGTTTTAGAATAAGCTTTACTAGTTAGTTATACCATCTAATGTGATTTATTTTTAAATTATCTTTCATTGAAAAGATATTTAGAAATCAAAGAGAAGAAATAGTAAGAATTGTAGTAAAGCAGTTTAGTGCAACTGATTTAATGACAGCAGAGACAGGTGAGGGTAAATTTTAATTTTCTTCCATTTTAAATACAGATGACTGGTTTGTTTTTATTTGTCAATATCTGTCCATCTTTGAAGACAGCAGAATCTTGATAACCTTTCAAATACTGACAAAGCCCAGTATTATCAAGAGCTCTCACGTATCCACAAAGATGCCATGGTGGAGATAAAAGTGGAAGTGAGTCCTTAGCAATGAAAGATGCTCACATCACATCACCTGCACCAGGAGTAACTGAGCAGTACCATCATTGCCTCTGCTGGCTTCTTCAATCGATGAAACTTATCTAAGTGCACAGCCTCCTTGTCCCAGGCATGTTTTAATTCTCCACTACAAAGCCTTTCATTCAATCATCTTCTGTGTACTAGTGCCTTAGGGAAGTTCTCTTTCATGTGGAATACATCAGTTTAGGTAACTGGAGAAATGTTCTTTTTATTGCTGCATTTATCTCTCAGTAATCCATTTAATAATAACAATTATAATAACATCTTGTATTTAAACAGTGCCCTTAGCACTGTTTTCTCTTCAGTCAGGGACTATTTCTTTGGTAGTTTTCCTCTCAATGACTACACATAAAATGTAGAGATGTAAAGAACTGAATCCTTGAATTATAAATACAACTTTACTGTATCATTTAGTCAAATATGGTGATGCCCAGAACAAATTACTGCAGACTGTTTTGTGATTTATAGTAGATGTGCCAAACTACTCATAAAATCCAGGCTCGATAAAATCTGGAAGGCCTTTGAGAAGAGATCATCTGCTACAAACACAGGCCAACAAGAGAATGCAGGGCACACATTTTCCTTGTGTCACATGGCACAGAAGAAAGAGCATTAACTTCAGAGTCAGAAGGACCGACAGTGAAACTGAAATTCTGGTTCTGCCCTTAGCTGTGTGACCTTGAGCAAGTTTCTTAACCTTTCTTCCCCTGAAGAAAGTTGAAGTGCAGATTAAATTGGATAATATAATACAGAAGGCACTAAATAAAAGTAGTTGGCATCTCTGCTACTCTTTAAATCTCCAAGATATTAGCTTTACAGCATCTACGGTATATTTCTATGAAGAAAAATGGCCATTTTAACAGATATATATTATATTTGTAATATTTATTGAGCATTTAATATGTGGTGGGTTATTTTTCACAAAGATAGAATATATATTGAGACTATTGTAAATATTATACCTACTTTATAGACAAGGAGATTGAACAAATCTTAACTTTTCAGTGTCCTGCCTAAAAGCCTTCAGAGGTTTCCCATTGCATTTGGAATAAAATTCACTTAAGCCCAGCAAAAGCTACCCCTGCAGTCCTCGGTGACCTCATCTCTTACCACTGCATTTCTCATCTTCCACTAGCCCCACCCCAGGTTTCCCAAACTCAGAAAGATTGTTCTCTGGCTGTACAGTCCTTGTACTAAGGGCCCCCACCACTCTCCTCAACCCCCACTTTTGCATGTCTATTTCTTTGTCATTTAGATCTTGGAATAAATTTCTTTTCCGGAGAAGTATTGCTTGACTAGTCAATCAATAGTAGCCACTGTGTCATCCTGTATGGCATTACTGGATGTTAATTTTGTTCATAGTTCTAATCACTCACTGATTGTTGCTCTTGTTTAGTTATGCATTTGTTTGTTATCAACTTGCACACAGAGACACACACAGACACATTGAAGTTAGCCCAAGGATCTTCCCAGGAATCTTGACAGTTTTGTTTACCTCTGCATCCCCACTTTTTAGAATACTGCCTGGTACATACACACTGGTGCTCATAAATGTAATTGACTGACAAGATGAGAAAATGAGTGAGTGACTTTATCATTTAGGTGTTTAGGAGGCTTTCTTGTGCCCAGGAAAAATTTAAATGTGAAGTCACGTTCTCTAATTTGGTTGTCTTTAGACACAAAACTCATGCATCAAAAATCTTTTATTTGCTTAAAACATAGTAACTAGCTCACCTTTTAGACTTTGAACACAAAAGTTGAAAATATTACCTTCCATACACTACCCACTTCATTCTCCTTTCCTGTGACTGAGTTTGTTGTGACATACTGATTTACTTCTATTGCATCTTTTCTGGTCTCGATTTACACTGAGAGTCTTCTTAAATCCCCAGTGTCACCATGGACAGCACCACCAATGCTGCCTTCATGGGCCACTCTGTCCCTTTGAGGCTCACACCACGAGGACACCCAGCACTGACAGGGACTGTGATGCCACACCATCCTCTCTGTGCTGTTCCTAAGCTTCTCGGTCCTAGTGAGCAATGTTCATGCTCTCTGAAATGTTTCTTCCTGAGATGAAAATACCTACTCAACTGGGTTATAATGGAAATTAAATGAGGTGATGCATGCAAGGCACCTGTGAACACTCAAAATTCGCACCTAATTTTATACATGTGTCTGGAAAGAGATGAATGTCAAAGGAAAATATCAAAAACTACTTAAAGTTGCAACAAAACAAGCATTTCTACAGTAGGCACAGATTTTCCCTGCCTAGAGCGCTTTAATAATTAAACCTTATAGCTATTTGCTTGTAACTAAGAGAGGAATTCTATCAGATAGCAATTAATTATTGCTGTAATATAGGGAACAAACCAGAATATGATTTGTATTTTTAAAAGGTACATTTTTAAATATTATTTTCAAAACAATCCAGACAACTTGTGAACAGACTGTCTCAAGTAAATCCCCGCACATTATGAGCTCTTCAGAACATAAAGCTGAATGCAGCTAAGCTGCACAAGCCTTAAAAACAAAGGTAAGGTAGTGAAAAGGCCAAAATTGAAACAATGGTGTGTATGGGAAATGAGACTCTCTTCAACAAAGTGGCACAGTTACCCAAATTAGTGGGCTTTTAATTAAAATTTTTAGTTCTCGTTCAACTAAAATTATTGGATATAAGACAGTCTTCAGTGTATAAAATTAATAGCCTCCAAGAAACAAACAGAAAATAATTCAGAAGCAAGACTCTTTCAGTTTGTTTCTATGTGCTTTCACGAGAGAAATTAAACGTGAGACCACATTTACATTGGAAACCACTTTACAAAAGCGTTCATCATAGAGTTCCTCTAAACACAGTGCTCCCTTTGTGTGGTTAATATTAAATTTACAAAAATTAAATTTACACACACTTTTCAGGAAAATATTGTCTAAAGTTTTAGTGAGCCATAACCTGTGAAAATCACATTTCATTATAGTTCAAATAAGGTAAATTAGGCACACAGATTTCTATTTTAAAACACACACACACACACACACACACACACTTCATTTGGAGGAATCTTGTTTGTTTTTAAGGAAATCCAAGAGTTCAGAGCTTCATTTAAGCATCATGAGTTTCTCTCAATAGTTCAAGAATGGCAGTCAAGGTAACTCTTAACTACTTAAGGAGACATACAGGGAGATGAGGGAGAATTAGATGGCAGGGGCGAGAAAAGGAATAAACTTCTGAATAGTGTTTGTATTCAATGTTTTATGGATAATTTTTATGTTTCTTCGTGGTGAGAGCTTTCTGAACAGAGATTGCTGGCAAGCTGGATTAAAGAATAATTGAATAGAAATTTTAAAAATAGAGACCCCTGAGAGACATAAAGTCTTAACTTTCCTTGGAGCTATGCTTTTACCTTCCAGGGTGATGAATAAAGACCTTTCCCCTCCTCTTTCCAGAGAAGAATTATTTACAATCCAGAGAAAATGGCTCCCTGCATCTTCTGGTGGCAGAATGCATACACATTCCAGCCACCCTATATAAGCTCCAAGATTCGTAATTCTGGGGTTCTTCTCCCATGGTGCATGCATAGGGTCACTAGGCCTTCACAGTACCTCCCTGTGGGAAAGTGGGGTCTGGCGAACTGATAGCAAGATGCTCTATTAGAAATAATTAGTCTATTTTCTGATCCAGAAATCTTGTGTTCCCTATTCAGGATAAATAAAAATACATGTTAAAAAGCAACAACAAGACAACAATAACAACAGATAAAAATAGAATCTGTGGATAAAGAAAGGGAGTAACATTGGGATCAAGGGGAAGAGACCTCTTAATTAGGCCTGAATTTCTCAACCTTAGCACCATTGACATTTTGTACCAGATAATTCTTTACTCTGAGAGACTGTCCTGTGCATTTACTAGCATCCCTGGTCTCTAGCCAACATTAGCAACCCTTCCAGTTTTGAAAACCAAAAATATCTCCAGACGTTGCCAAATGTTTCCTGGGTTGCAAAATGCCCCTACTTTAGAACCGCTGATATAGACAAATTGTTATCAACTATGGCCTCAAATTCATAGTAGGCTTCAAACATGGCCTGTTAAGAAAGCCGCTGACTGTCTGGGCATGGTGGCTCATGCCTATAATCCCAGTACTTTGAGAGGCCGAGGCAAGCAGATCACTTGAGGCCAGGAATGCAAGACTAGCCTGGCCAGCATGGTGAAACCCCATCTCTACTAAAAACACAAAAATTAGCCAGGCATGGTGACCTACACCTGTGATCCCAGCTACTTGGAAGGCTAAGACACGAGAATTGTTTGAACCTGTGAGGTGGAGGCTGCAGTGAGCTGAGATCGCACCATTGCACTCCAGCCTGGGCGACAGAGCAAGACTCAGCAATAAAAAAAATATGAAAAATAAATAAAATAAAATAAAATTTTAAAAAAGCAGCAGGCTTCCTCCTTTGGTTTTGACAGATGTTGCCTCAGAATTAGTTTGAGCTGTTAAATTTAAGTCACCATCCCTCAAAACCATACTTAAGAGGATTATTCTGTTTAGAATGGCTAGCTCTCCTAGAATAAATTACGGAATAAATTACGTAATTTACTAAAAAGAGTAGTCGTTCAATTAATTTGACAGGAGTAGCTCAATTTAAAAACAAAATATTAATATATGAAGTACTTCACCATCTACTGAATTTCAAATTTAGAATGGACCTAATTCCTCATCATTTCTGACAACATATTCCCACAATATCCCTGGTGAATAATAGTCCACTCAGTGCTTGAACATCTCCATTGATGGGAAACTCACTTCTCCAAAAGAGGCTGACTGATTTCTGGGCAACTGGAATTTTCTTCTTTAAATTGAGAGAAAAATAGTTAACATGTTTCTTCAACACCTACCTTTTTCTGGATTAAATATCTTCCACCATCTTTTGTAGGGCAAGATTTTGAGTTCTTTCATCTTCCTGACCATTCCCTAAAATGTCTGCAGTTGTTCCAATAGCTTTTATGATCTGGCTTTCAAAATTGAATGCATGCTCCAAGTATCTGAACATTAGCTGCACTGCAGATACAGAGCGACTATCACTTCCTATTCAAGACTACATTTCTCGTAACGTAGCCTCAGATGGTTGTATTCAGTAATAAAACAAACAGAGAAGTGCTACATGGCCTACTTGAGGTCAATAGTATAATTCTGATGAATAATAAAGAAAATAGAGATTATGTAATGTTTTTGTCTTCTCTAACAAGAAAAATTCTCTCTTGAAAGGGAATTTTAAAAGAGAAAGTTGCATGATCTCTTTTTTCAGACAAACCATATTGAATTTATCCTCTATTTCAACTCCAAAAATTTCCCTTCTCAAATGTGATGCTGCCAAATCCTCTCCTATCTTTATTTCTGATGGTAGTATTTGCAACCAAGTTTAGAATCTTACATTTAATCAGTGAATCTCTAAAATAATATTTTCTAGATTTTTAAGGTTAATATTAAAATCCCAAATGTATTGTTATGAACTCTGCATCCTCATGTTTTTAGAAAAACATGACATTTTGCCTCTTTCTCTCCTCTAGCACTTCCTGCAGTTGTTTATATTTCCATTGTTGTTACTCAGCCTCATTTAAGGCCTTCTACATTATGTTTTCCACTAAGATGAATGAACCACTTCAAGGGGGAATAAACTTGCCATCAATGGACATGATTAAACATAGGCAAGACCATCTCTTAAGAATTCTCTTTCACAAAACAATTTACTTTGTTATAAAAGACAGAAGGAAAAATCTATTTTATTATCAGAATTATACCATTAACACCTAGCAACTATTATTTCTTCATTTGTTCCATTGTTAACATGAGATATTAAAGTCTTTTGATGTTCTCATTTTTTTCTTTGCCTCAGTTTCTGAACTCTAGTACAGGTCTTGCTGACCTAAGATGTTTTGGGAGATGTGAAAAAGGATGAATGCTGAGTTTGAAATGCTGCTCAATATAAGGCAGAAGTTGTCCAAGAAGCCAAACAGGATGTAAACTTCCAGATTGTATAGATATTACCGGATAATTGCATTTGCCTTTACCTACTATAATATGCCTTAGCTTCCCAAAGTGCTAGGATTACTGGCGTGATGTATTTACTGTCGACAGAACTCCAATAAAGAACTACCAGGAGGGATTCCAAGAAAAAGGAAAATCACACCAAAGAGAAGTATAAGACAAAAAAGGAAATGAAGAACAAAATAGTTGGTAAATGTGTAGAAAATTCTCATTAAACACTGTTTGGATTAAGAATAAAAAGGCAAAACAATATGTAATGTGTGGAATTAAAAATGACAGAACAGGCCGGGTGCAGTGGCTTATGCCTGTAATTCCAGCACTTTGGGAGGCCGAGGCAGGCAGATCATGAGGTCAGGAGATCAAGACCATCCTGGCTAACACGGTGAAACCCCACCTCTAACAACAACAACAAAAAATACAAAAAATTAGCCGGGCGTGGTGGTGGAAGCCTGTAGTCCCAGCTACTTGGGAGGCTAAGGCAGGAGAATGGCGTGAACCCAGGAGGCAGAGCTTGCAGTGAGTGGAGATCGCGCCACTGCACTCCAGCCTGGGGGACAGAGCGACACTCCGTCTCAAAAAATAAAAATAAAAAAATAAAAAATAAAATGACAGAACAAATAATGGGCTGTAATAGCACATAGGTCAGAAGAAAATGATTGGAATAGATATATTCTATAGCCCATACTTTCCTTAGTAGAGAGATTTTGATATATTGAGACTCAGGCCTATATAATATTTCACAAATAACTATTTAAAAATAAAAATATGTATAATAGACTATGTTCGGAACTGAAATCACAGGCATGAAAGACAATGATTCCACAGGAAGAGAACAACAGGGAACACAGTGTGAAAAGACTGAGTACCAGGAAGTAGTATCACAAGAACACAAAGTTGTAACCATCTAGGCCAAGTTGGATTAGGGAGAGCTTTCAGGAGGAAATGATATCAGAGCTGAATTTTAAAATATGAACAAGAATTATCTAGACCTAGTAAGAAGATATGTGCTGATGCACAGATGTGAAGGAGGCTCTGGCAAGTGTGGGAAACTGAAAGTGAGTTCTCAGAGTTGAGTGGAGACTATATGTTCTGGAGTAAAGCATAATGTATGTTGAACTCAGTTTCTATTTTATTCAAAGGAATATTTTAAAACACATACATACACACACACAACAGGAAATCCCTAGTTGTTGGAGAATTTCAAGAAATACAATGATTTACTGTTTTAGAAAAATTATTGTGACAATGAAATGGAGAGTGGGCTGGAGGGGCAAATGCCAGAACAAAGGCAATTACAAAAGGATACAAAGAGAGGGAATTACAGGATCGATACAGAGTCAACCCAATCTGGTCATAGTTTTGGAGGTAGAAAGGTAGTTTCTTCACTTGGATGACAGGTTACATGATTGTCGCAGAAAGGGAAGTATGAGGAAAATAGAACATATTTGAGGAGAAGTTTCCCATAAAGCATCCAATAAGGTATCTGAAACAGCCATCACAGGAACCTCTCCTCTTTACCTATATTTTAAAGCTCATTCCAGATACTACTCCTGGGAAAAAAGTTTTCTCTCCTTGCACTTACTGTATTATTCATATATTGTTATAAAGTTCGTAACTAATTTACTTTACTCAATGACACTGCAGAAACAATCACATTTACTTTCCACAGAACTAAAGTAGACCTGAGACCTTAATAAGTACTCAACAAATATTGAGTAAATTAATTAATGCCTGAATGCCTGCCCCCCACCACCCCATGTTTACTAGGACTAAAGACTATAATACGGCCAGGTAGTTCCTCTTTTGAGAGAGCTGCTAAAAGTATCTCTTAGGCTTACTTCAAAGAAAGAAGGAAACATAATTAACTGTTTTAAGCATTGAGTAGAAGCAATAACCTTTATCAATCTCTCTCTTCCAGGTTACAATGTTGAAGTCACAAGATCAGAGAGAAACAATACTTTTAACAAGAGTTAATGTTTATTAAGCACCCACTGTGTACCAACACAATACCAAGTGCATTATTTGTGTAATCTCATTTCATTCATTCAATAAATATTAGTTGAATGGTCTGTGCAATATTCTAGGATTCAGGGACATAACAGTGAACAAAAACATATTTTCTGCCCTCATGGATATGGTGGCTTTAGGGAATATGAACAGTGAAAAAGGTAAACAGAAAAAAACTAAGTTCAGAATGTAAACTATCATAAAGGAAATAAGCTGGAAGACATAACAGAAGAGCTTGGAGGCAGAAGGCACAGGTTAGGTTGAAAGGTCTCTTTGAGAAGATAACATTTAGGCTAAAACCTGGATAAGAAGGATCCAGCCATATGATGGTCTAGAAAATTAACCACCTTGAGCAAAAGGAGAGGCAAGTGACAATATCCTGAGGCAAGAAATGGTCTCGTTTGTCTGAGAAAAAGAAAGAAAATGAGTGAAGCTGGAGTTTGATTAGCTGGGAGGAGATATGAAAGACCTGGGTTAATAAAGATTAGAAATGCCAGCCATGGAATGCCTAGTAGAGCATTATGAGGAAGTCAATGTTACTGAATTAGCAAAGGAAAGCCACTGAAATGTTTGTTTAAGCAAGAGAGTTACGTATGGTTGGAAGTACATGTCCTGGCTGCAGGGTGGAAAACAAATTTGGAGAGAAATTCAAGAGTGGACATAAAGGAAATAATTGGAAGACTCTCCCCTGAGGTGTGGAAAAGATGAAGAAAAGTAGATGGATGACTGAAGACAATGTGGAGGCAGAACATGCAAATCTTGCTGGTCAATTGGTCAATTGGGCATGGGTAATGAAAAGAAGACAAGTATCGGGGTAAAACCTAGGTTTCTGGTTGAGCAACTGAAAGTATAAATGTTGTCACTAATAGAGAAGAGAGGGAAAGAATTAAGTAGAGGGAATCAAGACAACTGTTTTGAGCAAGTAAAGCAAAATATACATCTAATTTTGAATAAGTAAAGTGATATATACATCTAAGTTATGTATCAACTCAGCAGTTGTATTTATTAATCTGAAGCCAAGGCAGGAGACAAACATTTGTAATTTATTGAGAAATAGAAGTTAATTAAAGAAATGAGGATGATGAGGATGGTTTAGATTACCAAAAGATAAAATATTAGAAAGAAGATAAAAGGGAGCAGAGGAAGAGGGAGAGATGAGGAGAACAGAGGGAGAAGGAAAAAGAGGAGAAACCAATTTAGCTTCAGAACATATTAACACTAGAATTTGGAAAGAAATAGAGAGGCAAGGGCTAAATAAAGGGGAAGACAATTAGGAGAGTAGTTTATACTCAAAGCGAAGGAAATAACGTGTTTCAAGAAGGATGAAGTTTGCCAAATGCCTTTGAGAGATTGAGTAATAGAAGAATAAAGAAACACATAAAATAAATTTTCATAATATCCCTGAGGTAATTATTACTGTATCTTAAAGTTGAAAAGCAAGAATCTTAGAAAGTTGTCACTTAGAAAGCAAGGTCTGGGAACATAATTCTAATTGAGACTATCTGATCATGGACAAGAAGCTTCACATAAAGAGGCAGCAACTGAAAAAGAGTACATAGAAGGTATAATCTGGGAGAGACAGCACCCTAAAGAAGTGATAAGAGATAGGATTCAGAATGACAAATTATGATTCAGGGGAATGAAACATTGCTCATTGTATTTCAATGTGAATGATTCATTCATTCACCAGAAACTTTGAGTGTCCCCACCGTGCCCATACACTGCTCTCAGCTCCAGACTGCTCTTAGCTCCATGATTCTGCCCTCAGCGTACTTATCTTATAGAGAGGGAAGCTAACAATAAACAAGCAAACAAGTAAATAATATTATAGTTTTAGACAGTAACTAATGTTGTGAAGAAAAATAAGTCAATGGAAGCAAAAAGACTATGTGAAGAAGCAAGCATTTTTCAATGGGGTGGTCAGGAAAAGCCCCCTTAGGACCACGCTGAAAATATTTGAGCAGAGACTTAAATGAAGTAAGAGTAAGCCCTGTGTTGATCTAAAGGCAGATCCATCAGCAAGTGTAAGGGCCAGGAATGGGCTGAACTTTGTTCTGTTTGGCAGCAGAGCCAGGCCAGAGGGGCTAGAGAAGAGTGAATGAGAAGGAGTGGTCAGGAAACAAGTTTTGGCCTAATAGGCCATGGCAAGGAGTTTTCATTATACTCTAACTATGATCTCTTAGAGGAATTTTGAACACATAGGGGATTTGGTCTGACTTATATTTTCAAAAGTTCATTCTACCTGCTATGTGAGAAATAAATAAGCTCTGGGAACAAAAATGGAGGCAGGAAGACCAGTTAGTAATCTACAGCAGTTGCCCATAGATTTAATATAGCTTTTCAGACATAATCCAAACCTTTAAATTATCGTAAGTCCTCATTATGCTGAGGCTCAAACTGCTCCTGACATGTGAATGACATGTGTTGATTAAGAAAAGTGCAATTTGAATGAGATGGTCTTGCCACCAACAACATAAGCATTTGAAACATAATTAACCGCTGTTATGTGCTAAAGGTTTGTGTCCCCTCAAAATTCATATATTAAAATACTAACACCCAATGTGATGGTATTAGGAGGTTAGGCCTTTTAGATATAATTAGGTCATGAGGTGGAGTTCTCATTAATAAAATTAATGCCTTTAGCTTAAAAAAAAAAAAAAAAAAGGAAGAAACACAGGATCTCTTTCCACCCTGTAAGGATACAATGAGACAACAACCACCTGCAAACCAGGAAAACAGCCCTCACCAGAACTCACTATGCTGGCATCCTGGCTTCAGATTTCCCAGTCTCCAGAGAAAAAAAATGTCTGTTAAGTCAACTATCTGTAATATTCTGTTATAGCAGCCTGGACTAACTAAAACAACTCCTATGGTTTTAAGGGCATTTATCCAGACAGAAGCTGTGTGGTTCCACTTTATATTTTCAGAAAATCTAGTAGAGTAAATGTTTTTTTCTGTTCTTGGAGATACTTTAAAATATTTCGTAAGTTATTAGCATCATTTACATGGATGCTAGGATATAGCATCACTTACATGTATTAAGGAGAAAAGATAAATATTATGAATCATTTAAATATTTCATATAATGATTGCATTTCAGTGTTAAAAGAGAATATAAGTATTAAAATATGGAATAAGCAAACATATGTTATAGAATAACCCAGTGAAAATCAAATGAATTTTAAAAACTAGACTGTCTTAAGTTTCTCGCTATTATTTTTCTAGGTAAGCATATCAACCTACAAGAACAGTAGAGAAAAAAATTGCTAGACACAGTATAAATAAGTTTCCTTATAAAATGTTAGAAAATGCTTTTGTGTCGGTGTGCCTAGGACTAAGAAATTTCAAAACTCCAGTTAACACTAATCCTATCCTACCTGGAATTCTATTTTATCCTTAGGGATTCTGAGTAACATTTTAGTAAAGAGGATTACTTCTAAATCAGGCTATAATCATGTATTTGATACAACAATGTTTTTCGAGTTTTTACCATTGTTGTCTGCCTTGAGCTAAGTGAAAATAATTTCAAAAGATTGAAATGAGCTTAAAGGAATATCATAGATTATTTTTAATGTCCTTTCCATCATGGAGGATGGGTTCAGAGATGGAGAGGAATTAAATCCTTGTAGGCTTCACGTCTTAATGATTCTGGAGGGAGAAAACAAAAGTTGTTGAGAAAAGCCTGAGGCAACAGCTGCCCATTTTCTGGGGAGTATAGAATCCAGGCCATACAGTTAAGTAAAAATTGAATAGTGCTCAAAGGGCTCGAGGCATATTCTGTTAAACATTTTTCCAGACTTTACAATTATTTATCAACTTGGGAGATAGGACCTGAATTTAATCCTATTCCCAAAATACACTTAGCTTTCTTATATTTCAATCACAGGTCTGAGGAGTGCTTCATACTCAGTCAGGGGACAGAGTCAGAGCACACTAATTCAGACAAGGGATAGAGCCACTTTGAATTGGGGGAATTGGAATTCAGAGTATTTTCAATCAAAGTGATCTTAATATTTCCAGATACAGCAAAGACCTGAAATTAAGCTATATTTTAGAAGTTCTTGGGTAATTGTGATTTAATCAAGAAAATATCTGTATTGACATCACTTTGTGAAAAAATGTACTTTAAAAATGTTCAAAAACCATAGAAAGTTGTTTGCATGTCTAAAGCAATTTAAATATACCCTGAACAATCTTTTTCTATAGAATTAATTTAGAAAGTTGGTATTCTGGGGTTTTGTTTCTTTAATAAAAACATTTTATTTTTTAACTTTTACTTTAGATTCAGGAAGCACATGTACAAGATTGTTACAAAGGTATATTGTGTGATGTTGAGGTTTGGAGTATGATTGAAACTGTCGCCCAGGTAGTGGGCATACTACCAATAGGTAGTTATTGAACCTTTGCCTCCCTCCCTTCCTCCTTTTTTTGGAATCCCTGGTGTATATTGTTCCCTTCCTTGTGTCCATGTGTACCCAATACTTAGCTCCCACTTGGAAGTGAGAACATTCAGTACTTGGTTTCCTCTTTATTAGTTAATGTAGGATAACAGCCTCCAGCTGCATCTATGTTACTGCAAAGGACATGATTTCATTCTATTTTATGGCTGTCTAGTACTTCATGTTGTATATTTTGTATTTTAATCATTTGTAGTGTAATGAGGTAATAACTACCTGCCGCCTTGGGAGTCATGTGGGTCACTAAAGTATTTAACATTCTGAACCTCAGTGTTTTACATCTGAAAACAGAAATAAATCGTAATGCGTTATATATATAGCCAGAAAGTGAGACAGCGAGACAGCGAGAGAGCCAGACAGCAAGAGAGCCAGACAGCAAGAGAGCCAGACAGCAAGACAGCGAGACAGCATCTTGTTCTGTTGCCCAGGTTGGAGTGTAGTGGCCTAATCACAGCCCACTGCAGCCTTGAATTCCTGAGCTCAAGTGATCCTCCCCTCTCAGCCTCCTGAGTAGCCAGGACTACAAATGCACGCCACCATACCCAGCTTGTTTTTTTTTTATTTTACTAGAGGTGAGGTCTTGCTATGTTGCCCAGGCTGGTCTTGAATTCCTGGGTTTAAGCAATTCTCCCACCTCAGCCTCCCAAAGTCCTGGTATTACAGGCATGAGCCACCCACCTGACCTAATTTATAAAATTTAAATAAAATAAGGTTAAACAGAGCATAATTCTTAGTGTTATAGAGAGTAAAGATGAGTTCCTCTGTCCTGTCCAATCACTGAAATAACATAAACCTACAGAAGTACAATATCTCAGTTTTCTGCTGTCAAAGACTATCATGCCTAATAGTGTTAGGATGTGGTTTGGACTAAAGTCAGACTGCATATAAAGTCCTTGGCCTAGTACTCAAGAGATGGTGATTGCTAGTATAATTTCCTGGACTTCCTTATTACCTATGGCCCAAAATGTTTTAAAAACCATTTGATTCATCAATTTTATCACAATTCTTAAAGCCCGCCTTATATTAGAGTTATGTACTCCTATTCATGGATATAAAGACAAATAGGTCACAACCTTTGCAGCATTAACTCTGACAGTTTGTTAGAACCAAGAGCAAAAGATGTTACAATGGTCTCTGACCTTAAAACCCCAAATCGGGAAGAGTAGCTATTTAATTATAATAAAATACAAAGAAATACCATTAAAGAATGATATGAATATGGCTTTAGAGGTGCAGAGCAAGAAATGAATAATTACCTTGGCAGAAAAAAAAACCTTCAGACATTGAAGGCAAGGCTCACTACAATATTCACTAGAATAAACTTTTGCATTCCTCCCTATGACTGAAATAGCATGATCACTTTTCAAAAATTAAACGTAAAATTAAAACAAAGTTAAGATGAGATAATTTGTTTCTTTTGGAGATGTAAAGAAAATAGCGACGGAATTTTTAAGTGTATATCACGTCGACAAACAAGAAAACATCTGACATTCAGGGATTTTAAGCATCCCTAAACAAACTTCCATTCAAATTACCAAAATATATAGAAATGGAGAAGTCGGCAAAGAGGAATAAGAACATGCCCAGATTTGACAAGCATCTGATGTGCTATTGTTGCAATAAGGTCTCATAAACAATTTCATCTGTATCATTCAGTAAGTTCTACTGCAGTTATCTAGGCAGAAAGGCTGCTGGGGAAGAAGCAGAGATATTTCAGTGTTACATTCTGTTCCTGCAATTATCTTGCCATAGCGAAGGTCCTGGTTTTGAGCGGGGGTGATAGAAGGAAAACTAGTAGGAGTTAACATTAAAAGTATAAGTGAGGGATAACTTTTAACAAAAACAACTTTCAAATAATAAGAAACTGATTTAAGTACCTTATTAAACCAAATATCCTTTGTAAGGTAAAAGAACTTGGGCTCAGTTCTGATAAGTATAGATATTCAAGTGATCTATTTTTTTTTTATTATACTTTAAGTTTTAGGGTACATGTGCACATTGTGCAGGTTAATTACATATGTATACATGTGCCATGCTGGTGCGCTGCACCCACTAACTCGTCATCTAGCATTAGGTATATCTCCTAATGCTATCCCTCCCCCCTCCCCCCACCCCACAACAGTCCCCAGAGTGTAATATTCCCCTTCCTGTGTCCGTGTGATCTCATTGTTCAATTCCCACCTATGAGTGAGAATATGCGGTGTTTGGTTTTTTGTTCTTGCGATAGTTTACTGAGAATGATGATTTCCAATTTCATCCATGTCCCTACAAAGGACATGAACTCATCATTTTTTATGGCTGCATAGTATTCCATGGTGTATATGTGCCACATTTTCTTAATCCATTCTATCATTGTTGGACATTTGGGTTGGTTCCAAGTCTTTGCTATTGTGAATAGTGCCACAATAAACATACGTGTGCATGTGTCTTTATAGCAGCATGATTTATAGTCCTTTGGGTATATACCCAGTAATGGGATGGCTGGGTCAAATGGTATTTCTAGTTCTAGATCCCTGCGGAATAGCCACACTGACTTCCACAATGGTTGAACTAGTTTACAGTCCCACCAACAGTGTAAAAGTGTTCCTATTTCTCCACATCCTCTCCAGCACCTGTTGTTTCCTGACTTTTTAATGATTGCCATTCTAACTGGTGTGAGATGGTATCTCATTGTGGTTTTGATTTGCATTTCTCTGATGGCCAGTGATGATGAGCATTTTTTCATGTGTTTTTTGGCTGCATAAATGTCTTCTTTTGAGAAGTGTCTGTTCATGTCCTTCGCCCACTTTTTGATGGGGTTGTTTGTTTTTTTCTTGTAAATTTGTTTGAGTTCATTGTAGATTCTGGATATTAGCCCTTTGTCAGATGAGTAGGTTGCGAAAATTTTCTCCCATTTTGTAGGTTGCCTGTTCACTGTGATGGTAGTTTCTTTTGCTGTGCAGAAGCTCTTTAGTTTAATTAGATCCCATTTGTCAATTTTGTCTTTTGTTGCCATTGCTTTTGGTGTTTTAGACATGAAGTCCTTGCCCATGCCTATGTCCTGAATGGTAATGCCTAGGTTTTCTTCTAGGGTTTTTATGGCTTTAGGTCAAGTGATCTAATACAAAGGGTGGAAGCCAGCAGCAAGGAAGAGAAAAGGAGAGTGAGAAAGGAAAACTCACTCTGGTTTAAAGCAGGACTTCAGGTGGTAGTCACAGTTGAAGAACCCACGTGGGGACAAAAATAACAGAGCTCAGCTTATACAGGGAAAGAAAGAGTTGGCAAGGGTTGGCAAATTTCTCAGGCTTAAACAAGTGGTATGTTCTTTAGTAGAAATCTTGGCCTTAGACTGCTCATGACAGTTTCAAATTTTATTCACAATTTTTATGTAATGAGAGAATTGCTGACCACTGTTACAGTTTAGAGTCCTCCCTACAGAGCTTCTCGTTTCTGATCTCATTAGCTCCCCCACCCCTATTTGTGCTAATGATATCCTGGAGCATCACAGGTAGCTGGGTCATAAATGGAGAGTGGGAAAGATAAACATCCTTGTTAGAATTGAAGAAAAAGTAAATGTGGGGAAATGTGGTGTATGGGGTATATAAAAAAAGTTGATGCCAGCAAGGTAAAGGTAAAGGAGGGTATGGTTAACAAGGGCCTTAAATGCCACCCCAAATTTGGATTTTAATTGTTCTGTAGACGATGGTGAGCTACTGGAAGTACTTCAGGTAAGGAGCAATGTTTCAGTCAGGCATTTTAAAAGCATAATGGTGGAGGGTATTTTGAAGAAGTAAGCTTTTAAGACAAGGATGCTAGTTAAGAGACTATAATAACAAAACAAATAACAATGATGAACTAAGACTAGATAGCAATAATGGAATGGAGAAAGAAAGGGTAAGAAAAGTTGGGGAGAGAGAGCCCTTAAATGTGGGGATGATGGACAGGGAGAAAGCGACAATGATGGATGCTTCTAATCCAGGCACATTTGAAGCTAGTGATGCCATCCATCCAGGAAAAGGAAAGGATGTTGGAGGAAAAAAGATAATGAATTTGGTTTGAGGCATGCTGAGGATGGAGTAGCAATATAAATATTAATGTATAAAGCCTTACTTTTTAAGGCCATTTTATATTCTCATCAAGCATATGACTAAAGGAAATCTTGCCTTTTTGAGACTCAAAAATTAGATAGTGATTTCTCACATTACAAGAAACTCCATCCTGTATAAAGTAATTCTACTAGATTCTTTCAATCAGAGCTTTGCCCAGTGCATCAAAATCATGATTGGATTTTTAATATTTATGTACAGAGATAAACAACAAGGGATTATTTGGTGATAGAATAATGTAAATGCAAAGAAAAATTTTCTAGAGGAGAGATAAGGAGAGACAGAGAAATGGGAAGGCAAAGGCAAGCAGAAAGGCAGAGAAAATCACAAGGGGAAAAGAACATGAATCTGAGGGAAAGTGTATCCAGCAAAGGAAGAGCTGGAGGGTGAAGCTGGGAAGCTTTGCAGAATGGTGGGGAACCAGAATTAAGGACAGAAAATAAATACTCTTATGTTAAATATTGTACAGAGTATCTCTCAGAATCCAATAGTCAAGTTAGCCAGGTGTGTATTTGAGGGTTGCAGGAAAGGCCCTCCTTAAAGAAGGAACTCTGAACCAGCTTTGCAATCTCTTAAGCCCTGAATTCTGCCTCTTATTAACACTGTGATCTAGACAAGTTGTTTGACCTCAGCCTCAGCATCTGTGTCTGTGGAATACAGATAAAATGTAAATGATTGATATGGAAATTAAATGAGATAATGTAGTGTGGTGCCTGGCACATAGAAAGCATTCAATAAATTATTATTAACAATAAAAAACATATATGGGTTCCAAGCAATTTTATATTCCACATTAGGTATTAATTCATTGTTCTTTCCAGCAGTCTTTTATTAAAATGAAAGTCCACTTTGGGAAGAATAAGCTATTCCACATAAATAAAAATGTGACATAGCATACTTCATTGTAGGTTGAAGTCTTTAAACAGCACCCATCTTCCAAGCAACAGAAGCAATTTAGGGTAGCACAGTTACAAGATAGCACATGGATACTTTTTAAAAACTGCAAAAGAAAGGGAAAAATTCCATTTTAGAATTTGGAATGTTCTGTCCTGGCTTCAAATATAGAAGAATTATATGATCCTGGCTTTTTCTTAATAAAGTAATTGTGTGTAAGAACCATTATATTCAAAAGATACCTGCACTCATATGTTTATCATAGCACTTTTCACAATAGCAAAGTCATAGAATCAACATAAGTGTCCATCATTGGATGACTGGATAAAGAAAATGTATATATATATATTATATATATATATATATGTGTGTGTGTGTGTGTGTGTGTGTGTGTGTGTGTGTGTATACATGGTGGAATACTACTCATCTATAAAAAAGAATGAAATTATGTCTTTTGCAGCAACATGGATGGAACTGGAGGCCATCATCTTCAGTGAACTCAGAAACAGAAAATCAGATACTGCATGTTCTCACTTACAAATGAAAGCTAAGTAATGTGTACACATGGACAGAGAGAGTAGAATAATGGACACTGGAGACTTGGAAAGGTGGGAGGGTGGGAGGGGGATGAAAAATTACCTAATGGGTACAAAATGCACTATTTGGATGATGTTTACACTAAGAGCCCAGACTTCACTATGCAATATATCCATGTAACAAAATTGTACTTGTACCCCCCTAAATCTATAAAACTAAAGACATTTTTAAATTTTAAGAAAAGATTTCAAAGGAAGTGTTAAACATGAGACAACCCAGTATAAAGGGAAGAGATTAAAAATTTAGCAAGATGCACCAAAAAAAAAAAAAAGTAAAGGATGTGAGTTTGAAATAAAAATGTGACAGAGCACTAAGGGTACTCACTGGTGAGCAAACAGATGTTGGAGATGAGTTAGAATGAGTCCCCAGTAACTAAAGAAAAAGACTGAGTCTAGGCACTGTGGGACACAGAAACAAAGGAATCGAGATTACAGGGAGGGTAGCATTTAGTGAAGAAATTATCCAAACTACAGTAAAAAGGGATACCTATTGGATTTCTGATCTAATATATATTGCTGTGTTTAGATTTCTTATACAGCATACTTATCGCCAAATATTGAGACATCCAATTCTGTAAACGGTTTTTTTTTAATTTTTATTTTACTTTTACGTTCAGGGGTACATGTGCAGGATGTGCAGGTTTTTACATAGGTAAATGTGTGTCATGGGGGTTGGTTGCACGAATTATTTCATCACCCAGGTATTAAGCCTAATGCCCATTAGTTATATTCCCTGCTTCTCTCCCTCCTCCCACTCTCTACCCTCCAATAGGGCCCTAGTGTGTGTTGTCCCCTTGTGTCCCTGTGTTGTCATCATTTAGCTGTCACTTATAAGTGAGAACATGCGGTATTTGGTTTTCTGTTCCTGTGTTAGTTTGCTAAGGATAATGGCCTCTCCAGCTCCATCCATGTCCCTGCAAAGGACATGATCTTGTTTTTGTGGCTACATAGTATTCCATGGTCCATATGAACTATATTTTCTTTATGCAGTCTATCACTGATGGGCATTTAGGTTAAGTACATGTCTTTGCAATTGTGAATGGTGCTTCGGTGAACATATGTGTGCATGTGTCTTTACATAATAGAACGGTTTATATTCCTTTGGTTATATACCCAGTAATAAGATTGCTGGATCAAATGGTATTTCTATCTTTAGGTCTTTGAAGAATCACCATACTGTCTTCCACAATGGTTGAACTAATTTACACTCCGACCGACAGTGTAAAAGGATTCCTTTGTCTCCACAACCTAGCCAGCATCTGTTGTTTGACTTTTTAATAACAGGCATTCCAACTGGCATGAGATGGTATCTCAATGTGGTTTTGATTTGCATTTCTCTAATGATCAGTGATGCTGATCTTTTTTTCATGTGCTTGTTGGTCACATATATGTCTTCTTTTGAGAAGTGTCTGTTCATGTCCTTTGTCCACTTTTTGATGGGGTTTTTTTTCTTGTGAATTTCAGTTACTTGTAGATTCTGGATATTACACTCCTAAACTAAGTTCTACCTTGTAATTTTTAAGTTAACACATATTTATAAGGAGAAAGTTGTTGAAATTAGTCTCTCATCCAATCAAAGCTATAAATATGGCTGGTAGAACAAGGGGTTCCATTGGTCAGTGTCTGTGAGTTGGATGAGTTGTGATTGTTTAATATTGTTTATCTAGAGGCCAGTGTTTGTTTGGCTGATAGAGAAAGAAAAATCTGCGGCGTTAGAACATAGTTTATTTTTCAAGTGTAGGGATATGTGACTTAATCCTTGTCTGGCATGGCATTAGGTCTTGTTTATACTTTGATATCTTCTTGTCATAAAGAGTCTACTCTGTCAGTCTTACAATCTCTATTTTAACATTAATGCTGGTCAGTTGTTGTGTTTAGACTGAAAAAGGGAGAAGGGTGTATAATGAAGAGTGTCTGGGCTCCCATTCTATCATAGCTGAGAACTCAGTTAAGTATATTGGGGGGGTCTCCTTGGCTAAGAGGGTGTTTCTTTAGTTGATGGGGAGCTTAGAATTTTATTTCTAGTTTACATTTCCCCCACTTTGGGCCAAGATTTGCCGCAGGCTGCATCTATGGCCAAACTTTCATTTTGTCCCATATTGTTGGGGTAGCATGGCTACCTGCCTGGGGTCTATCCTGTCCCTTGGTGGGATCGCTGTGGCCAAGGGACTTAATAGAGTCAAAAGATTTATAGTCAATTAAATGTTTTAGTCCAGATGGAAATGGAAGTAGGCAGGTACTCACTTATTCCTAAAATCCTTTAAGTAATACAAGAGCCAAAACCAAAAGCAAGATTATAAAATTGACTTATGTATAAGTTTTATGTGTTGAGTCATCAGCTGTTTAGGTATTTGCATACCCATCTTTGATTTGGAGGGTCTGAACTAATTTTCTGTCTTGAAACTGGCCCTTATAATCTTATATGCCCACCTTTTTGTGATAGTCTCTGGACATAGAGGTAAGTTGCTCAACATAGTTTAGATTTAGTAGTGTGCTGGCAATGGAAAATAGATTGGCCTAGTGGGATTAAATAGTTTTTAAATTTTGGACATAGTATTAAGTAGAGAAAGAAAAGTAATATTTGTTGTTTCATTCAATTTTTGTAAGCTATAGTTTTAAATTAAACTGACAAAATAGCTTGTTTAATACATTTATATACACTAAAAATAAAAGCTTAAGCCTTCTACCAACTAAATAGACCCCCTCTTAGCTAAGAAGACTCCCCAAAAAACTTGAAAATTGAGTTCCCAGCCATGATGAAATGAGAAGTCAGACATGCCTTGTTATGCCCCTCCTTTTGGAGTTTAGACACAACAGCTGACCAGCATTAGTGTTAAAATAGAGATCATAAGACTGACAGGACAGACTCTTTGTGACAAAAAAAGATACCAAATTATAAACAAGACGTAAGGTCATGCCAGGCAAGGTGCCATAACTACAGCTTTGATTGGACAAAGAGACTCATTTCGGTAACTTTCTCCTGATAAAACATCTACCAACCACGGACTGGTTCTGGCCAGTTTGCAGAGACTGTGCACTTACGTGCCTCCATGTCCTGAAAAGACTATTTGACATATAAAGCCTAATTACAATACATTTAAATGTTAAACCTTCACCCCCAAATAAACATGGGTCATATATACATCAATTTGTTCGATACACATATATCAGGACCACCTTCATAACTATTCATAACTCATCCTATAACCTGTTAAATATATATGCTTAGCCAACTTGTTCAACATAAAACTCCTACCCCAACTTATCTTCACTCAAAATGCCTACTAATGGCTTTGGCCAGAGGCATGCTTCCCAGTCTGCAAGATAGCCACCTTACAGTCTATAACCCTTTACAAAAAAATAAAGTATCCTTCCTAAATTTGTAGGTCCTGTGATTTTTTAACTTGACACACTGAGTCCTGTTTTTGGCTGGAGGTGCACTTCCTAGCCTGCCAGCATGGCCACCTTTATAAGAAATAGTCTCTTCTTTTCAAATATTTTTTTTTGTAAGTTACCATATCTTGTGATGAGGATTTTTCACTTAAATGTGTAAAATAATATATGGAAAGTGCTTAGCATACTGCCTGATATGTAGCAGGTACTTAAAAACTAGCACCTGTCATATTATTACTGATACATTCACCTACTTCCTGTTTTCTTCAGGCCTCTTTCCTAAGGAATGCTGAGGTGTTCACCAGTTACTGAAGAAGAGGAAGTCACTAAAGGGACTTAAAGTCACTATTACACATTGTGACACTTCCTATTATTTATTTATTTTTTATTTCTTTTTATGTATTTTTTTTTTGAGACAGAGTCTCGTTCTATTGCCCAGGCTGGAGTGCAGTGGTACAATCTCGGCTCGCTGCAACATCCTCCCCCTGGCTCAAGTGATTCTCTCGCCTCAGCCTCCCGAGTAGCTGGGGTTAGAGGCATGCACCACGACACCCAGCTAATTTTTGTATTTTCAGTAGAGACTGGTTTCACCATGTTGGCCAGGCTGGTCTTGAACTCCTGACCTCAAGTGATCCGCCAGCCTCGGCCTTGAAAGTGCTTCGATTACAGGCCTGAGCCACTATGCCCAACCCTCTTCCTATTATTTAAATGCTTTGGGTGTTTATGTTGCCTCCTCTACAAGAAAGTAACGCAGTAGATCATTTATATGATCTAAAATATGGTAAGTATTCAATAAATACAAAGTACTCTCCCAGGTGAATTTAAAAAGGTGCTTCCCTTTCTCCAGTCACCTGTCAAGTAAGCAAGCAGAAGAAAATGGGAAACAAGAGTCTGGAAAAGAAATTTTATTTTAAAAACAGAATAATTATTATAACACCTATGCAGCAGTACTAATCTACATAAGAAAAAAAAATGCAAACCTAGGCAGTGTTTTTTGTGGAAGAAAGTCCAAATCAGTTTTTTTTTTAAAAAAAATGAAGCATCATCTGAAAAAGAAAATATGGAAATATGTGTGTGTGTATGCTTGTGTGTGTGTGTGTGTGTGTGTGTTAAGGTCTAGGATTCAACAACAACAACAAAAAAAATAGAGACATTCTTACTAAGCCCCTGTGAAAATCAGATATAATGAATTACCTTCAAAGAGTTCTATGCCTGGAAACCCATTGGGGTTTGCAAAAAAAAAAAAAAAAAAAAAAAAGTGTAAGATGCAATATACACAACTATTATGGAAAAAAACTGAAAGAGCATCATTTTATGAAGAGAGTTTATTTTACCTAATATTCTATAGATACTAACAACTAGTAGAAATAACTTGTGTCAAACTGTATTTTTCCAGAACACTTTCACACTATGAAAGTCTATTCAAGAATTATATTTTCTGAGAATTGAGTCATATTTGGTTATCAAGGTGAGAAACCTACCCAAACTCAGTAATACCGGAAATGTCTAACCTCAAACACCAAGTTAATTAATTATTAAGGAAAAATTCTAAATTTAAAATAAAAATTAGAGTGGTACAATTTTCCGAAGGTCAGCATAATTGCTTTTGGCAATATGTATTGAATTCCTTGCAGCTGGCTTCCATTTATATTACATTTCCCCAATTATAATTTTTCTCCACAAATGACCAAGGTGTTTATGTAAGTGTCCCTTTCTTAAATTCTATAATGATTAATTAGTGACCATACAACTCTGCTTTAACATCTAATTGTTTAAAATTTTAATATACTCTAATTCATAAGAATGGGTTTAACATTACAATGAATAATTTTATAATAAAACAAGATAAAAATATCAACTTATCATTGTATTAAGATTGAGCTCTTCAATTATACATCCAAAGATTATAGGTAATTCTCCTCATCTTTGTAAGGCCACAAGTTTTCAACTGACTGTTAGGCAGCAAATTTGTGCAAATTAGACCATAAAATTAAGACATTCTCTACATCAATTCTAGAGATACAAATAAATAACACCCTGAAGGGAGAATCGTTTATCACTGAGTTTGTTTCCATAGTTTAAAAACCTTTTCTTCAAAATTCAAAAAAGTACTTAATGCAGTGTAAAATATCTGACGAAATTGCATAGGTATTGACATAAACTAATGCAAAAGCCCTACTGCCAAGCAAAATTTATAACTGCCAAACATTAAGACTAAAAGAGCTAATAAATCAACAAGCACTAAGGTCTTACTCTGCCTACAATATTAAATGAAAAGAAGCTTTAATAGACAATATCTATATTTAAGTAAGTTGCACTCTAGTGGTGGTGGTTAGAATATACATTCTAAATTTAATACTAACATATACCTAAAAATATGGGTAAATTGAGTGTCACAGGGGTTTAGTGTACCGACTATTTTGTCACACAGGTAATGAGCATAGTACTTGCTAGGTAATTTTTCAATCCTCACTCTCCTCCCACCCTCCATCCTCAAGTAGGCCCAGGTGTCTGTTGGTCCCTTATTTGTGTCCGTGCATACTCAATGTTTAGCTCCCACTAAGTGAAAACATGTGTTATTTGCTTTTCTGTTCCTGGGTTAATTTGCTTAGGATAATGGCCTCCATATCCTTTTCAGCAACATGGATGGTGCTGATTTTGTTCTTTTTTATGGCTGCATAATATTCCATGATGTGTATGTACCACATTTTCTTTATCCAGTCTACTGCTGATGGGCATCTAAGTTGATTCCATGTCCTTGTTATCGTGAAAAGTGTTGTGATGAATATATGCATGCATGTGTCTTTATGTTAGAAAGATTTATATTCCTTTGAGTATATACCAAGTAATGGGATTGCTGAGTCGAATGGTAGTTCTGTTTTAAGTTCTTTGAGAAATCTCCAAACTGCTTTCCACTGGCTGAACTAATTTACATTTCTACCAATAGTGTATAAGTATTCCCCTTTCTCTGCAC
The DNA here is from genome assembly GCF_000001405.40 of Homo sapiens. NCBI lineage: Eukaryota > Metazoa > Chordata > Mammalia > Primates > Hominidae > Homo > Homo sapiens. The sequence continues at coordinate 78,552,937 of NC_000006.12, forward strand.
CTTGCCAGCATCTGTTATTTTTTTGGCTTTTTAATAGCCATTCTGACTGGTCTGAGATAGTATCTCATTTTGATTTTGATTTGAATTTCTCTAATTATTAGTGATATTCAGCATTTTTTCATATGCTTGTTGGCCACGTGTATGTCTTCTTTTGAGAAGTGTCTGTTCATGTTCTTTGCCCATTTTTAATGGGGTTGTTTGGTTTTTGCTTGTTGATTTGTTTCAGTTCCTTTATAGATTCTGGATATTAGTCCTTGTGGGATGCATAGTTTGTGAAAATTGTCTCCCATTTTGTAGATTGTCTCTTTACTCTGTTGATAGTTTCTTTTTCTGTTCAGAAGCTCTTTAGTTTAATTAGTTTACACATGCCAATTTTGTTTTTGTTGCAATTGCTTTTGAAGCTATCATTAGATCTTTCCCAGGGCCAATGTCCAGAATGGTATTTCCTAGATTTTTCCAATATTTTAATAGTATAATTTCATCTGAAATGCCATCAATTAATAGAAAAGCATTTCTGACTTGAAAAGAAATTATGTTGTTACCTCTTCAAATACAATTTGAGAGTCATCTCTATGTTGCCATATAGTTGTCTTGATGACAAATATTATGCCCTCACATTGCTATTAGGTTTATAATAGGAGCAGTAAAGAGAGGAATAGAGCCACCATAGAATAAGAAGAAAAATATTTTGATACCTTTTTTAGTGTTGCAACATAGAATAAACGAATAAATGTCTCTAGTACCAAATAATGGATAGGTTTGTCACTGTGGCAAATATTTCTATTCTTAAATGTCAGTATTGTATGACTATAGGTTAGTTTTTAAGGCAAATCATTAAAATGTATCTTTCTATCATTATATATATGTAACAAAGGGAACACTCATACATACATACACACACACACACACACACACACACTTACATACTTTTGAAGCTCGATGGAGCTGGAGGCCATTATCCTATATGCTTCAAAAGTGTATATATATATATATATATATATATACACACACAGATATATGTGTATATATATATATATATACACACACACACAGATATATGTATATATACACACATATATATGTGTGTATATAATATACATATATCTGTGTATATATATACACACACACTATATATACACTTTATATATATACACACACATATATATAATTGTTCCCTTTGTTACATATATATAACAATTGACGATATATATACACTTCAAATACATACAAATAGAGTTTAGATATATATACTTCAAATATATATATATATATAGAGAGAGAGAGAGATACTTCAAGTCATAATGGTTCAAGAAACTAGAGCAGAAAGAGTAAACAGTAAGGGGCGAGGAATAATATTTGAAAGACGTGGGATTTAGACAACATCTTGAGAACAGGTACTGGGTGTTTTCATCTCTGTAGTAGAATGAATGTTGTCATGCAGTATTTGTATAATAAACGTTTGTGGAACTACATTTATTGCTAGCCATAGGAAAAGATATTTCACTTAGGAAAAGTACTGTACAAAATGGCTGGAGGGATGGGGGACACAACTATGTTTGTGAAAAGAATGCTAACTCAGGGAGACAGCTGGCATTTTGGCAGAGTGAGAGGTGAAGCTGGCAATGTCAGCTCCTGATCATTTATATCTTCTCTGATGTTCCTGTCTGCCAAGAAATAGAATCCAGCTAAATGCCCATCAGTGAATGAATGGATAAAGAAAATGAGGCATATATGCACAGTGGAATAATATTTAGCATTTAAAAGAAGGAAATCTTATCATTCGCATCAACATGAATGAACCTGAAGGACATTATGCTAAAAGAAATAAGCCAGGCACACAAAGACAAATGCCACATGATCTCATTTATATGTGGAATCTAAAAATGTTAAACTCATAAAGGGTAGAATGGTGGCTACCAAGCACTTAGAGTACTAGAAAGTTAGGGAGATGTTAGTCAAAGGAAACAAAATTTTACTTAGGAGAAATAAGTTCAAGAGATCTATTTATAAAACATGGTGACTATGTTTTATAGCAAGGTGCTATTTTCTTGAAAATTTCAACAACAAAATTAAAAAAAATTGAGTGAGCCATACACCTGCTTTACTTAGAAAAAACATGTCAATTTTTTATATACACTGTATACTGAAGATTTTGTTAAGAGGGTAGATTTCATGTTATGTGGTCATATTTTAAGTAAATATAAAGGGTACTAATGCAATTTTCTTACACGGATATGTTGCATAGTGGTGAAGTTTGGGCTTTTAGTGTATCCATCACCTAAATAATGTATGTACACTGTACCGATTAAGTAATGTCTCATTGTATTAGTCCATTCTCACACTTCTATAAAGAACTTCCTGAGACTAAGTAGTTTATGAAGAAAGGAGGTTTAATTGACTCACAGTTCTGCAGGATGTACAGGAACACAGCTGGAAGGCCTCAGGAAACTTAATCATGGCAGAAGGCAAAGGAGAATCAAGCATGTCTTACCATGGTGGAGCAGGAGAGAAAGAGTGAAGGGGGAAGTTCTACACACTTTTAAACAACTCATTCACTGTCATGAGAAGAGCAAGGTAGAAGTCTGCCCCTATGATTTAATCACCTTCCACCAGGCCCCTCTTCCAACACATTGGGAATGCAGTTCGACATTAGATTTGGGTGGGGACACAGAGCCAAACCATATCATTCTGCCCCCTGGCCCTTCCCAAATCTCACATCCTTCTCACGTTTCAAAACACAACCATGCCTTCCCAACATTCCCCCAAAGTCTTAACTCATTCCAGCATTAACTTAAAAGCCCAAGTCCAAAGCCATATCTAAGACAAGTCCCTTCTGCATATAACCCTGTAAAATCAAAAACAAGTTAGTTGCTTCCACGATATAACTAACTTGTACAGGGTTACAGGCATTGGGTAATGCTCCTGGTTCCAAAAGGGAGAAATTAGCAAAAACAAAGGGGATATAGGCCCCATGCAAGACTAAATCCCAGCTGGACAGTCATTAAATCTTAACACTCCAAAATAATCTCCTTTGACTCCATGTCTCACATCCAGAGCATACTGATGCAAGTGGTGGGCTAACAAAGCCATGGGCAGCTCCACTCCCATGGCTCCGCAGGGTACAGCCCCCATGGCTGCTTTCACAGGCTGGTGTTGAGTGCCTGTGGCTTTTCCAGGTTCATGGTGCAAGCTGTCGATGGATCTACCATTCTAAGGTCTGGATGACAGTGGCCCTCTTCTTGAAGCTCCACTAAGAAGTGCCCCAGTGGGGACTCTGTGTGGGGGCTCCAACCCCACATTTCCCCTCCAAACTACCCAAATGGAGGTTCTCCGTGAGGGCTCCACCCCTGCAGTAGACTTCTGTCTGGACATCCAGATCTTTCCATACATCCTCTGAAATCTAGGCTGAGGCTCCCAAACCTCAACTCTTGTCTTCTGCACACCTGCAGGCCAAACACCACATGGAAGCCACCAAGGCTTGGAGCTTGCCCCCTCTGAAGCAATGGCCTGAGCTGTACCCTTGGCCCTTTTTAGCCATGGCTGGCTCTGGAGTGGCTGGGACTCAGGGAACCATGTGCCAAGGCTGCACAGAGCAACTGGGCCCTGAGCCAGGCCCACGAAACCATTTTTCCATCCTAGACCTCTGGGTCTGTGATGAGAGGGGCTTCCATTAAGGTTTCTGAAATACTTTGGAGGCATTTTCCCCATTGTCTTGGCTATTAACATTCAGCTCTTCTTTACTAAAGCAAATTTCTACAGCCTTGAATTCCTCCTCAAAAATGGGTTTTTCTTTTCTACCTCATGGTCAGGATACAAGTTTTCCAAACTTTTATGATCTGCTTCCCTTTTAAATTTAAGTTCTAGTTCAGTTAATTTGTTTATGTAAATGAGTCAGGCTTTTAGAAGCAGCCAGGCCAAATCTTGAATGTGTTGCACCAGATACCTTCAATTATCCCTATCAAGTTCAAAGTTCCACAGATCCCTAGAGCAGGGGCACAGTACCACCAGTCTTTTTGCTAAAGAACAGCAAGAGTGACCTTTACACAAATTTCCAATAAGTTCCTCATCTCCATCTGAGACCTCCTCAGCCTGGACTTCATTGTCCATATCACTATCAGCATTTTGGTCAAAACCATTCAACAAGTCTCTAGAAGTTCCAAACTTTCCCTAATCTTTCTCTACCTTCTGAGCCCTCCAAACTGTTCCACCCTCTGCCCATTACCCAGTTCCAAAGTCAATTCCACATTTTCACGTATCTTCATAGCAATACCGCCCTTCTCTGGTACCAATTTTTTTTTATTAGTTCATTCTCACCACTGCTGTAAAGAACTTATTGAGACTGAGTAATTTATAAAGAAACGAAGTTTAATCAACTCACAGTTCTGCAAGCTGTAGAGGAAGCATAACTAGGAGGCCTCAGGAAACTTACAATCATGGCAGAAGGTGAAGGGGAAGCAAGCATGTCTTACCATGATGGAGCAGGAGACAGAAAGTGAAGGAAGAAGCACTATACACTTTTAAACAAACAGATCTCGTGAGAGCTCATTCACTATCACAAGAAGTGCAAGGGGGAAGCCGCCCCCATGATTCAATCCCCTCCCACCAGGCCTCTCCTCCAACATGTGGGGATTAAATTTGACATGAGATTTGGGTGGGGTCACAGAGCCAAACCATATCACTCATCACCACCCCCTTCCCACCTGCCCCACACTTCCCAGTCTCCAATTTCAATCATTCCACACTCTATGTCTATGTGTACATATTACTTAGTTTACACTTATAAGTGAGAACATGTGGTATTTGTCTTTTTGTTTCCAAGTTCTTCCATTTAAAATAACAGCCTCCAGTACCATCCATGTTGCTGCAAAAAAACACGATTTTATTCTTATTTATGAATTGTATTCAATTGAGTTTATATATACATTTTCTTTATCCAATTATCCATTGATGGACACTTTGGTTGATTCTAGATCTTGGCTATTGTGAGTAGTTCTGCAATAAACACAGGAGTGCAGATCCCTCTTTGATATACTGATTTTCTTTCTTTTGAATATATACCTAGTAGCGGGATTGCTGGATTGAATGGTAGTTCTATCTCTAGTTCTTTGAGAAATATCCATATTGTGTTCCATAGGGATTGTACTATTTTTCATTCTCAATAACACTGTATAAGTGTTCTCTTTTGTCCACACCCTCACTAACATCTGCTATTTTTTTTGTCTTTTCAATAATATCCATTCTCACTGGTATAAGACGGTATATCATTGTGGTTTTAATTTGCATTTCTCCGATAATTGATGTTGAGCATTTTTTCATATGCTTGTTGGCCATTTGTATGTCTTCTTTTGAAAATATCTATTCATGTCTCTTGCCCACTTTTTAATGGGGTTGTTAAGTTCTTTGTAAATTATTTATATTAGCCCCTCTCAGATGAACACTTTACATTTTCTCCCATTCTGCTGGTTGTCTGCTTGATCATGTCTTTACCACAATAAAAAATAAAGAATCAAGTTTTATTTTATGCTTTTATAATCTGTGTCTGAGGATGTTGTTTCCATTCATATTATATAAAACTGTTTTCTTCTGTAATGGCTTTATGTTGATTTTCAAGCTAAGCAAATATTTTCAATATATACATAGTGTTTCTTAATATTATAACCAAAATCTAAAATATTAACCAGTTTACTGTTCAAAATAATCTAATCATCAAAATGACACATATTTTATATTTAGATTATTTTAGCTGATTATTTTCAGGGTTTTTGTTTAAAAACACACTTTTTTATAGTGGAAACTTTCAATACTTTAAAAAGCCATGGAACTAGAGGCAGAAAATAACTAAGTCTGATTCTTAAATAGCTGACTTGGCTAACTGGTTCATAATTTCAATTACCTAATTAAAATTGATCCATCTTAGATGTGCTGCTAATTATTGGCAAAAATGAAAAATGTCTTCATCTATTTCCCAGATTTATTCCCAGATTTATTAATCCCAGTCCAGGATTTGAGTATAAAATACCCTTTCTTAGTCTCACCCAAGCAAGTTATAAATAGACTCCACATAATTATATATCTGAGAACATGTAGTATAATTCATATTAAGGTAGAATTTTGGGAATCCTGGTAAATATAATGTATTTTATCAAAATCTCATGTCATTATTTGGGAGTGCTAAATTAGTTTAAAGGCAGGATGGTTTGCCTGATCCTCTTCCCCTAAATGAAAAACCAAGAGACTGCTTTCCCAGCACGGTCCCACACACCTGGACTGGTGGAGAAATGCATCTCTCTCCCGAGGTTGTGGATTGCCAAAACCAATGGGGCATGAAAGGCATGAGTCAGGTCAGGAACATCTAGAAAGCTAAGAAAGAATACAACTTGCTCTATAAACAAGAAAAACAATTACAATTATCATTTGGGTTCAACTAATCCCTTCGCTGCTCATCTGTCCTCAAAGTGCCAGAATCCATATTTTATGCATCTTTGAAAACCAAGCTTCAACTCTGGTCCTCAAATATAGATGTTTAATGCATGTTTACTGAATTATCAATTAAATAGATTTAGCTTGGGTATATATAAAGACCAAAGAAATGGATTATATACATTTATAATTAAGCATGTAGAGATAAATATACATAGGTTTAGCTTTATAAAACTATAAATACACTATATACACACATACATATGTGTGTGTATGTATATATAGTGTATTTATATATCTATCCCATTTTAGTCTATACTGTTACAGCATATTCTGAGCATGAATGTTGATGCTTCTATGGCTGAGCTGTTGGCTATTGTTCCCTTTTTGCTATTGCAAACTTATGTGATGAAAAAAATTCCAGCAGTGTAAACATTGTCCAGTAAAAACCATGATACTCCCTCTGCTTCTCCAGCTGACTTCTCTACAACCACTGCCTTATTCTTCAAATTCTGGTATTAACAAATTGCAACTACCTGCATACTCTATGCTAATTTTACATCTCCTTGGCTTTTGTACAGCACTTGTTTGCTGAATCACTCTTTCAACCATAACTCAGCTGGCCCACTCCTATTTGTCCTTCAACTATAACCCCAAAGTCCTTTTTCTGAACACAATTATTTTTATCTTAAACTCACTTATAAGTTATCATGCCTTCATTATTTTTCTGTGTAATTCTAGTATTGTCTAGTTAGATACATTAGATAGGTCAAGTTTACTACAGAGCTAGAGATTGATATAATGATATATGGTAGGTTAGGAAGAGTGACATAAATTGATATATATTGACGTATATCAGACTGCATATTTTTTCTAAATTTCATCTATGGAATTTTCATTGATTTAAAATAAACCTACAAATCCTGCATCCTTTAACTTGTATACTTATAGCTATATAGCCATACAATTCTATAATGTATAACTAGGACTTTAGATTTTTAAATTATTCCTTATTTCTTGATGGTTAGAGCCAGTGGTGAAATTTCCAAGTGTTAGAAAGTTACTTCCATGGGGAATGAAGTCTGACCTTTTAGTTTATCATTCTGTATCTTGCAGATAGCAGATCACTTCATTTTTTAATCTCACTGAAAACTCCACTGATATGCTCTTTACCTACACTTTTGGGGGAATATCCAGCATACAATAGGTTCTACATAATTGTTGAATGATTAACTGAATAGAATATTTATTGAGTGCTTCCATGTATTAGTTTGTCAAATGAGAACATAGTTGTTACAAGCTTGGATTTTGGAGTCAGATAGATCAGGATTCCATTCGTGGCTTTACAACTTACTATCCAAGTGTTCTCAAAAATTACTTTACTTTCCTCTCCTGTTAAGTGAGGAAAATATCTTCAATAAGATTATCTAAGATTGTATTAGACAAAATAAGAAAAGCTTTTAGCATGATAACAAGTAGATTTTTGAATGAATGAATCCCCAGGGAAGTCCTACGAAAGGTGGGTGGTATAGAGAAGCAAGGAAACTGAGGCTCAGAGATGTTGAGCAAGTTATAAAGAAAATAAGCAGCAAAGCTAGGATCCAAATCAAGTTCAGTATGTTTGCAATGTCAAGGAAGTTTCTATTATTTCTGCAAGAAACATTAGTGGCATTTTCCACTCCAGAGTTTCTTTAAAGGACATATGCTGGGGAACTCCAGTTATTTGTCAACTCTGTCTCCCTAGAAATCTCTTTAGATTAGAGTTATCATCATCCTTTGGCATTTCAAACCCTGCACAACATGTTTATAATTGGATGGTCTGATAAATGATCCTGCATAAACCAGCCACTAACATCTTTGAACTTCCTCTGTCATTTCCTATGCAGAATTCCTCTTAAGTGCCTCATACACAGTTTGATGTGCCCTCTTTTAAAGTAGATATGCACTGATCCTATCAGTGTCTAAACTACCACCTGACTGTAAAGTAGCCCTTTTAAAATCTATTCTTTCATTGTTTTATCCATGTCACTGTTAGAATAGATGCCACATTTTTATCTAATTGGTTTTAATACCTTTTTAGCTTGATTGTAAAATTCTCATAAGTGGGAACAATTTCATCATCTTTTTATATGTAGTATTTACCATGATGCTTGATGTATAGTTGATGCTTATAAAATATCTAAATCAATACCACTATAATAATCTATAATAATTATGGTTTTATTATTCTATATGAATAATGTAAGGGGTAATAATTCTATTTTTATGATGCTGTCAATTTTATATTCTCACCTAGAAGGTTTGTTGTCCCATCTTATGGAAACATTAAAAATTCCCAAGCAGTTGTTGCAGAAATTGTTTGAAGTTTGAGCCATATTTTCTTTAGCAAGTAAAGTGATAAGAACAGACTATCTGTATTTATGTGAATTCCCAATCATTATAAAACACACTTCTTTGTCAAGAATGTCTCTTTTGGAACTCCCAGTCTTTAAAGAATGGGAAAAAGGGGCATCAGGATGCATAGGAGACATGTACTCATGGAGAGAGAGCCAAAGGTCTCCCAGCAGTTTTTGGGAATGGCTGTGGATAGGACTGTTGTAAAATAAACATTGCAACATTTCTTGAATATCCTGTCTGATGTTCCCGAGACAATTTTGATCCATTTATCACAAATCTATTTTTTCTGTCACTTCTGATTGTCTGAAGAATAACTTCCTTAATTTTATGAAGATGTGCCACAGAATATCTTTTTTTTTTTTAAGCAAAAAGAAATACCATATGATCTCACTGGTATGTGGAATCTAAAAAAGTTGATCTCACAGAAGTAGAGAGCAGAACTGTGGTTACCAGAGATTTGGCAAAGCAGAAGGGAGGGTGGGGAGTTGGGGAGATGTTGATCAAAGGATACACAATTCTGACAGGATAAATAAATTCAAGAGATCTGTTTTATACCTGGGTAACTATAGTTAATGATGATACATGGTATTCTTGAAAAATGCAAAGAAAGTGGACATTGAGTGCTTTCACCACAAAAACTAACTGTATGAGGTAATGCATTTGTTGTAGGACCCAATGTACCTAAATGTCTTCCCCAGTAGACTCAAACTGTATTGATTAAATATTTCCTTTAGTCTTTCTGGATTATAGCCTCCAAAAAGGCAGGGCACACTCTGTCTTGTTCACCACTGTGCCTGGCATATTTAGCACTCATGTGACTGCACTAATACAGGAAAAAGACACCCTGTCTCTCCCATTCTCCAATGTTTTAATTTTTTAAGTGGAAACTTGGATTATTTTGATAATGCACAGTATTAATGGGAAAATGGGTATGAGGTGGGTTTTTTGCTTAGACTGTCTCATGAATGTTGTTGCTTTATACATGTAGCAGAACCAGGTTTTGTGCCCTTTCACACATTTGTTCTGCCCCACCTTCCCCCAGCCCAGTGGAACAATCAGTTTACTATTCTCTCTCCCCTGCATCCTTTCAATTTCTCTCCATCCTTGCTCCTGGAGAATAGATGGTCTTTATGTATAAGAATACCTCAAAACTATCCTATGGAAAGGACCAATATTAGTAAGAAAATAGTCTAGTTAGTTTATAGATGTTCCACTCTGAAGAATTTAAAGTTTACAGTATCTGGACATTCTTAGAGATAAATGAGATTTGGCTAGAGGAGGACAGAACATAAGTGGAAAGAGATTAAAAAAAGAAGAAAGGTGAGAAATAAATGTGAGGGCTTCCAGTGCTCACCCCCATGAAATGAAACTTACTTTGACAGGTGACCTTGAAGGGACATATATGAATCATTATACTAGTCTTTACTCTCCATGTATTTCTAAATAGCTGCATACATGTTTGGGTCCATCTGGGAATGGACTGAATCAATAACTTTTTCCAATTATTGCAGATAGACAGATTCAGCCCAATTTTACCCATGTAATCTATGGATCAGGTGTTATATTTTCCCACAACAGCTAATTGGAGGGGTGAAATCAAGATTTAAACGTAAGTTCTGTATGAATTCAAGTTTTCATTATTTTTTCTATGTATCTTGATGTAAGTTTTATTTAGAAGACAGGAGAAGGGCAGAAGCTAGAGAAAAAGGGAGATAAAATTGAAGCAGGGAGACGAAAAACATGTAAGAGCTAATTTAAACTTTTTCCAAAAGAACAGATCCGGGTTCAAAGTTAAGAGTTTTTGGGGGTAAAGAAGAAGCAACTGGTAGAGAACCAAAAATCAGATTGAAATCTAGCACTCTAAAAGAGAGGAGATAACACCACATTGAAAAGATGCTAAAGGCAAACTTTTCTTTTAAATTTTCCCTGAAGTCCAAGCTGTCCCTTAGTCCCTCTTCTGTGACCAATAGAAGCTATCCCATTGAGCTTAGACTGAGCTTAGCTGGCTCCTCTCAGCTACTTCCCTTGACTTTGCCTAAGGGAAAGTTTCCAGCAAGATAGCTGTAACTTCCACCCAACAGCAGTGGTGTACTTTATACAAGTGTGATTGAGGGAAACCCTTCAGAGCAGTAAAGAACTCAGCAATTAAACTGGTTTGTGATAATAAAATCTCTGTGTATATGGCACTGTTTCCAAATTCACACATTATTTAAGCCTTTCTGAGCTTCTGTTCAAGACAGCAAGTTTAGTCTGTCCTTTTTCAATTGTATTTATTTTAGTGTCTTCCTATTTAAGAGGCTTACAGAGTCTTGGGCAATCTATAAGCAATAAAAAACACCTTCCAGTCATGGTGAAAATGACAAGGCAAACAAATAATGTATACAAATCCAAAATAAATAAATAAATAAATAATAATAAAAAAAAAAGCTACTCCCAAAAAGTGAGTTAGTTTTTGCCCTCCTAGAAAAAAAAATTTTGAAGTTCAGAGTGGTGTACTCAATATTAAAGGACTTTCAGGTACCTGTATTGTAGAGATCCCTTTCTTGTTTTTAAATGGAACTTTCAAAATCTGGGACTTCTAATATCAGTCATTCATTTAAAAAACATTCAATATTTATTGAATGTTTGCAGTGTGACATCAGCAGGTTGAAGGATTTGGCAGACAAAATAAACAAGATAAAGAGAGGTATAGATGAGTAAGAGGCAAGAGATAATTCAAAATCACCATTAAAATAGAGTCACCTTAACTCCCTGGGTAGTTTATGAATGTTTTGTGCACTGCGAGATATGGGAAGAACTCACTTCCTCTTAGGTGGGAGTCTAGTAAGCAGCCATTACAGATTTCTACCAGTTACCCACCCCTTATTACTACTTGTCTAGGTCCTTACCAAATGCAAATATAAATGGCACCATTTTGTACTGATCTAGTGAACCTATGCGACGTAAGCAAAAATGCTTGGAATCAGTTTATGTAGAATGAGTAATTTCCCAGAGAAAATAAAGAAGGAAAAAGAAAAGAATAAAAAAGAAAACATACACGCATCAAACTTTAATTCCTCAAAAGCAAAGATACTAATGTAAAAAAAATGATTTTTAATCAGCTGAAGGAAGTAAATCTAACTTCTACTTCATATTAACTCATAGTTCCTGGAATCTACTTAGCTGTAACCTATACTGCATCTAATAGTTGTTCTTAAGTGAAAAACTAACAATGGATTTTTATAATAAGAACTATAACCTTTGAATAATTAAGTTAAAAATCAGAAGAGTTTTTGCTAGATACTATCATCATAATCCAAACAGCTATTTATTTTTGTAAATCAGTATGTGCCAATGGTTGTTACAAAATAAAATACTATTGATTAGCCTCTAATAGACAATATTAAGTACTCCCATGTGGACAAGCTAAATAAAATCTGGCCTTGAGCCCCATGGTTCATTGTTGGTAGCTGAAATTATGTAAGTGAGTGAGATGGCAGGGAGACTGTGCAGAACAAGAACAAAAATTTAGAGGAGAGAAGCATCTGTGACAAGGGTCAGGCAAACTGAAATCAATTGAAATTTGAGTAAATGGCATTGTTTGTAACTGATCAGTTAGCCCAAACGACATAAGCAAAATTATCTAGTGTATCCATTACTCCAGGATGAGTAGCTCCCTAAACTTTTAAATTCCCAAACCTTCTTCTACATCTAAAAAGAGTGTTATTTTGATCTCTTATATAGCAAGATTTATAGTAAAACAATGGTAATAGAAATATATACATAAGTAAGTTTCCACAATGTAGCTGAGGCACTTTGATGTAAAACAAAATACATTCATTTTTTACTTTTTTTAAAAACTTTTTTTTCTCCTTAAATACCAAGCTTGTGGTTCTGCCATAAACTCTCCACTTTTCCCAGGATGGATGTTTTCTGCTTTTTATTCACTACTTATCAATGCTCAGACAGACTAAACCTAATGACTAAAACAGCCACAGGGAAAAAAACAAATCCAGGAAAGAAAAGCATTATTTTTACAAACAAGTGGTAAATCTTCTTGATGTGTAAGGAAAATATTTCTTCTATTTATTCTGTTTGGGAATAAACAGCAACTCTAAAATTTTTCTTCTCCTTGATGTCTTTTTTTTTTTTTTTAAGTGGGGGAGAGAAGCCTTCACTCATTTCCAGGTTCACATTAGTGTGGACATTGACAAATTGAAAAACAAAATTCTAAACTCCCAATAAAACGAGTTTCTGCTCTTGTTACTTTTTTTGTACCATGTAACTTGTCTTTAACCTATACAATGTATGTCCATAACTAAATCTGCTATCTTAATTTGTACACATCAACATGAAATCCATCCTGTGTAATTCTAACAATATGAAAGAATATGAGCATGACTAGAAAGGAATGCAGTCAGTTCTGTCCAAAAATCAATACAGGGTAGATGATTAGACCAAATGTCTTCTACAAGCCCTCTTCAGCTCTGTGCTGCTGATAGTCAGCACAAAATAACATTGTACCAAACACTGGACACAGAGCCTCCAATTCCAACTAATATAAAACAAACAAACAAACAAAAAAACATTCCAAGGTGAGAGGCCACTTACTCCAGCTACGCTGACTGACCACAAGCTGCTTAGGATCCTTTTCGATTTGTCTTCTAGGACCCAAAAAAAGGGGGTTCACAAGATGAGAAGTGTCTCTAGGAATGTGTGGGACACTGATAAGCTCAACAAATATGAGTCAGGTAACAAACCTATCTCCACTGAAGAGCCAGCTTGAAGAGCAAAATGTCAAATGATGAAAACTCCCCTCAAAAATAGCTTATGGTACTATGACTTAAAATTTCAGGAATGAGAAGTTTAGATGCCAACAAGATGGCAGAATAGGACGTCCCCAGTCCTCATTCCCCAACAGAAACAATGAATTGTCAACCACCTACAGACAAAAGTGCCTTTGTGTGTGGGAGCTTCAGGAGACAGGTAGGAAATAGTGACACCCCAGTGGAGCTCAAGATCAGAGAAAGCCACTTTGAGAAGGCAGGCCCAAGCCCAGGTAGCAGGCCCACTGCCATGGACCTGGCTCTGAACCCAGAACCCTTCTTCACTCAGCTCCAGTCTGCTTGTCCATGGTACTGGGAAGGTTCTGTCTGTCCAGGGACCCATCAGGAGCCACACCCAACAATGCCCCTAGTAACAGGCCCAGCAACTGAAGACCTGACTGTAAACACAGAAGCAGCCCTCTGACCTGGCTATAGCCCCACTCAACCACAGTCCCAGAGAAAATCTCATCAATAAACACAATGAAGGCCATTTTTTAAAAGCTTACACTAACATTATATTAAATGCTGAAAAGCTAAAATGCTTTCCCTCTAAAATGCGTAACAAGGCAATGATGCCCACTCTTCACCTCTCCTAGACAACATACTACTGAAAGTCCTAGACAGAGAAATTAGGTAAGATAAAGAAAATAAAAACATCCAAATTGGAAAGGAAGAAGAAAAAGTATATCCGTTTGCAGATGATATAATGTAATATGTAAAAACCCTGAAGACTCTACAAAAAAAAAAATTGCTAGAACTAAGTGAATTCAGCAAAGTAGCAGGATAGTAAATCAATGTAAAAAATCAGCTGCATTTCTATAGCCTAACAATGACCTATCCAAAAGGGAAATTAACAAAGGAGTTCAATTTACAACAGCATCAAAAAGAATAAGATATTTAGGAATAAACTTCACCAAGGAAGTGAAAGACTTGTACTGAAAACTACGAAACATGATGAAAGAAATTTTAAAAGACACAAATAAATGGAAACATAGCTTGGTTTATGGATTGGAAGAATCAATATGGTTAAAACGTCCATATTTACTGTAAGTTTTTTAAATTATAAAATTCATTTAGAGCATAATAGACCTCAAATAGCCAAAAAAACTTAGAGCATGAAGAGCAAAGCTGGAGGTATCACACTCCCTGATTTAAAAACATATTATAAAGCTAAAGTAATCAAAACCATATGGCACTGGCATAAAAATGGATATAGAGACCAATGGAGTAGAATAGAAAGCTCAGAAATAAACCAATGCATATACAATCAGCTGATCTTTGACAAGGGTGCCAAGAATACAATAAGAAAATCATAGTCTCTTTGATAAATGTTTTTGGGAAAATTAGATATGCAGAATAGTTAGAAATTAGACCCTTATCCCACATCATATGTAAAAGTCAATTCAAAATGGGTTCCATAATATAAACATACATCAAAATGTCACATTGTACCCCATTAATATATGCCATTTTTGTTGAGTAAAAAATAAAATTGAAAAATTAGAAAAAAAATCAAAAACTAAAACAGAACTCAAAACTAAGAAACTCTTAGAAAAAAAAAACAGATGAAAAGCTTCTAGACACTGGACTAGGGAATGATATAACACCAAAAGCACTGGCAACAAAAGCAAAAACAGACAAGTAGGATTATATCAAACTAAAAAGCTTCTCTACACAAAAGGAAACAAATAAAAAGGCAGCCTAAGGAATAGGAGAAAATATTTGCAAACCATCTGTCTGACAAGGAGTTAATATCCAAAAATATATAAGGACTCCTACAACTCAACAGCAAAAAAAAAAAAAAAAAAAAAAAACTCAATTGAAAATGAACAAGGACATGAATAGGCATCTCCCCAAAGAAGACACATGAATAGCCAACAGGAGTGTATATGAAACAAACACTCAGGAACACTAATCATCAAGGAAATGCAAATGAAAAACACAACAAGATCACCTCACACCTATTCGGATGGCTATTATCCCCCACAAAAAAGGACAGTAAGTGTTGGTGAGGATGTGGAGCAAAGAGAATCCTTTTACACTATAGGTGGAAATTTAAATTGGTACAACCACTATGGAAATTAATATGGAGGTCCAAATAATCAAAAATGGAATTACTCTTTGATCCAGCAATTTCACTACTGCGTATATCCAAAAGAATTAAAATCTGGATTTCAAAAAGATATCTGTACTCCCATGTTTATTGCAGCATTATTCACAATAGTCAAGATATGAAAACAATCTAAGTATCTGTTGATGAATAAATGAATATGGAAAATGTGGTGTCGTTTATATACAATAGAATACTATTCAATGTTAAGAAAAAAGAAATTTCTGCCATTTCCAATAACCTTAATGAACCTAGAGGACATTACACTAAGTAAAATAATCCAGACACAAAAGTACTATATCATGCCTCCCCTGGCTCTTCCCAAATCTCATGTCTTTCTCACATTGTAAAATATAATCATGCCTTATTAATAGTCCCCCAAACTCTTTTTTTTTTTTTTTTTTTTAGACAGAGTCTTGCTCTTTCACCCAGGCTGGAGTGCAGTGGCCCAATCTCAGCTCACTGCAAGCTCCGCCTCCTGGGTTCACGCCATTCTCCTGCCTCAACCTCCCGAGTAGCTGGGACTACAGGCGCCCGCCACCACGCCCGGCTAATTTTTTCTATTTTTAGTAGAGACGGGGTTTCACCATGTTAGCTAGGATGGTCTCGATCTCCTACCTCGTGATCCGCCCGCCTTGGCCTCCCAAAGTGCTGGGATTACAGGTGTGAGCCACCGTGCCCGGCCCCCCCAAACTCTTAACCTATTCCAGCATTAACCCCAAAAGTCCAAAGTCTCATCTGAGACAAGGCAAATCCCTTCCACCTATGAGCCTGTAAAATAACAAACAAGTACTTGTTTACTTCCAAGACACAATGGGGATAAAAGCATTAAGTAGATACTCTTGTTCTAAAAGGGAGAAAACAGCCAAAAGTAAGGGTTGCAGGTCCTATGTAATTTTGAAACCCAGCAGGGCAGTTACTAAACCTTAAAGCTCCAAAATAATGTCTTTTGACTCCATGACCCACATACAGGGCACACTGGTGCAAGGAATGGGCTCCCAAGACCTTAGGCAGCTCTGCCCCTGTGGCATTGTGGGATGCAGTTCCTTTGGCTTCTCCCACAGATTGTTGCTGAATGTCTGCAGCTTTTCCAGGTGCAAGATGCAAGCTGCAGGTGAATCTACCTCAGGTCTGAAGGATGGCGGCCTCCTCACAGCTCCAATAGGCAGCGCTGCAGTGGGGACTCTGTGTGGGATTTCCAGCCCCATATTTCCCCTCTACACTGCCCTAATAGATTTTCTCTGTGAGTGCTCTGCCCCTGCAGCAGGCTTCTGCCTGGGCACCCAGTCTTTTCCATACATCCTCTGAAATCTAGGCGAAAGCTGCCAAGAATCTACAACTCTTGCATTCTGTGCACTCAGAGGCTTAACACTACATGGAAGCCACCAAATGTTATGGTGGCTTGTGCTCTCTGGAGTAGTGGCATGTGCATTATCTTGGGCCCTTTGAGGCTAGGCTGGAGCCAGAGTGGCTGGGATGTGGGGAGCAGTGTCCCATGGCTGTGCAGCACAGCATGGCCCTGGGCCTGGCCCATAAAATCATTCTTCCCTCTTTGCCCTTTAGGCCTGTGATGGGAAGGGCCGCCACAAAGGTCTCTGAAATGCCTTAGAGGCATTTTCCCCATTATTATGTATATTAGCTCTTAGTTCACTTTTAATTGTGCAAATACCTCTAGCAAGTGGTCTCTCCACAGCCTGCCTGAATTCTTCTCCCAAAAAAGCTTCTTTCTCTGCCACATGGCTAAGCTGCAAATTTTCCAAACTTTTATGCTCTATTTCCCTTTTAAATATAAATTTCAAAATTAAGTTATTTCTTTGCTCCTGCACCTAAGCATAGGTTGTTAGAAGCAGCCAGGCCATATATTGAATGCTATGCTGCTTTGAAATTTCTTCCACCAGATACCCTAAATCATCAGCCTCATGCTCAAACTTCCACAGATCCATAGGGCATAAAGAGAA
Organism: Homo sapiens; assembly: GCF_000001405.40. Classification (NCBI taxonomy): domain Eukaryota; kingdom Metazoa; phylum Chordata; class Mammalia; order Primates; family Hominidae; genus Homo; species Homo sapiens. The sequence continues at coordinate 78,570,627 of NC_000006.12, forward strand.
TGCAGCCAATCTCTTTCCTAAGGCATATCACACCTAAATGACATTTGCTCCAGTTCCCACTAAGTTTCTCATTTCCATCTGAGACCTTGGCAACCCAGACTTCACTGTCCATATCACTATCAGCATTTTGGTCACAACCATTTACTCAGTCTCTAAGAAGTTTCAAACTTTCCCTCATCAAGAACTATATTCTTCTGAGCCCTCCAAACCGTTCCAACCTCTGCCCATTACACAGTTCCAAAACTACTTACACATTTTCAGGTATCTGTTCTAGCAATGCCCTCCTCCTCAGTACCAATTGTCTGTGTTAAGCAATTCTTGCATTGCTATAAAGAAATATCTCAGGCATTCCTATATACCATTAACAGACAAACAGCCAAATCATGAGTGAACTCCCATTCACAATTGCTACAAAGAGACAAAAATACATAGGAATCCAACTTACAAGGGAAGCGAAGGACCTCTCCAAAAAGAACTACAAACCACTGCTCAAGGAAATAAAAGAGGACACAAACAAATGGAAGAATATTCCATGCTCAGGGATAGAAGAATCAATATCATGAAAATGGCCATATTGTCCAAAGTAATTTATAGATTCACTGCCATCCCCATCAAGCTACCAGTGACTTTCTTCACAGAATTGGAAAAAAAACTACTTTAAAGTTGATATGGAACCAAAAAAGAGCCCACATTGCCAAGACAATCCTAAGCAAAAAGAAAAAAGCTGAGGGCATCATGCCACCTGACTTCAAACTATACAACAAGGCTACGTAACCAAAACAGCATAGTATTGATAGAAAACAGATATATAGACCAATGGAACAGAACAGAGGCCTGAGAAATAACACCACACATCTACAACCATCTGATCTTTGATAAACCTGACAAAAACAAGAAATGGGGAAAGGATTCCCTATTTAATAAATGGTGCTGGGAAAACTGGATAGCCATATGCAGAGAACAAACTGGATCCCTTCCTTACACCTTATACAAAAATTAATTCAAGATGGATTAAAGACTTACATGTTAGATCTAAAACCATAAAAATCCTAGAAGAAAACCTAGGCATTACCATTCAGGACACAGGCATGGGCAAGCACTTCATGTCTAAAACACCAGAAGCAATGGCAACCAAAGCCAAAATAGATAAATGGGATCTAATTAAACTAAAGAGCTTCTGCACAGTAAAAGAAACTATCATCAGAGTGAACAGGCAACCTACAGAATGGAGAAAATTTTTGCAATCTACACATCTGACAAAGGGCTAATATCCAGAATCTACAAAGGACTTAAACAAATTTACAAGAAAAAAACAACTGCGTCAAAAAGTGGGTGAAGGATATGAACGGACACTTTAAAAGATGACATCTACGCATTCATCAGACACATGAAAAAATGCTCATCATCACTGGTCATCAGAGAAATTCAAATCAAAACCACATTGAGATACCATCTCATGCCAGTCAGAAGGGTTATCATTAAAAAGTCAGGAAACAACAGATGCTGGAGAGGATATGGAGAAATAGGAATGCTTTTTATACTGTTGGTGGGAGTGTAAATTAGTTCAACCATTCTGGAAGGCAGTCTGGAGATTCCTCAAGGATCTAGAACTAGAATTACCATTTGACCCAGCAATCCCATTATTGGGTATATACCCAAAGGATTATAAATCATGCTGCTATAAAGACACATGCACACGTATGTTTATTGCAGCACTATTCACAATAGCAAAGACTTGGAACCAACACAAATGTCCATCAATGATAGACTGGATTAAGAAAATGGGGCACATGTACACCATGGAATACTATGCAGCCATAAAAAAGGATGAGTTCATGTTCTTTGCAGGCACATGGATGAAGCTGGAAACCATCATTCTCAGCAAACTAAAACAAGGAGAGAAAACCAAACACTGCATATTCTCTCTCATAGGTGGGAATTGAACAATGAGATCACTTGGACACAAGGCAGGGAACATCACACACTGGGGCCTGTCTGTGGGGGGTGGGGGTGCTGGGGGAGGGATAGCATTAGGAGAAATACCTAATGTAAATGACGAGTTGATGGATGCAGGAAACCAACATGGCACATGTATACCTATGTATCAAACCTGCACGTTGTACACATGTATCCTAGAACTTAAAGTATAATAAAATAAATAAATAAATATCTGAGGCCAGGCACAGTGGCTCATGCCTGCAATCCCAGCATTTTGGGAGGCTGAGGAGGGCAGATCACAAGGTCAAGAGAGAGACCATCCTGGCCAACATGGTGAAAACCCATCTATACTAAAAATACAAAAATTAGCTGGGCGTGGTGGGACATGCCTGTAGTCCCAGCTACTCGGGAGGCTGAGGCAGGAGAATCACTTGAACCCAGGAGGTAGAGGTTACAATGAGCTGAGATCACACCACTGCACTCCAGCCTGGCGACAGAGGGAGACTTTGTCTCAAAAAACGAAATATCTGAGATTGGGTAATTTGTAAAGAAAAGAAGGTTAATTGGTTCACAGTTCTGCAGGCTTTACAGGAAGCATGGTGCTGACATCTGCTTGGCTTCTAGGTAGGCCTCAGGAAGCTTACAATCATAGCAGAAGACAAAAGGAGAGTAGGCACATCACATGGTCAGATCAGGAGCAAGAGAGAGAATGAAAATGGAGGTGCCACACACTTTAAGATGACCAGATCACTAAAACTCATTACCACAAAGATATCACCAAGCCATGGGGGATCTGCCTTCATGATTCAAATACCTCCCACCAGGCCCCCCCTCCAGCACTGAGGTATATAATTCAACATGAGATTTTGGCGGGGACAAATATTCAAACTACATAACCACCTTAAGGGGAAAAATATTTGTTCTTCGAAGTTTCTACTTTATTCAAATGTGATGAAACTTTCACAATGGAAAACAGTTAAAAGAAGATGTTATAGTCCCCCATACACACCATGATAAATATCTTCCAAGACTTTTATGATCCTTAAATTCAAGTGTGAATAGCTTTTGCTACATATGATTTCCCACTTTGAAGGTATTAAATTATAACTGAACAATGTAAGTGACTCAAATCCTTAATGATTTTATTTTAAAAATAATTTATAAAGCTTTTACAATAAATTCTACCACCAAATAATTTCTAACCCACATTATCATTATTTCATCACTGTGCCAACATTAACCATAAACTGATCTATATTTCTAGTATCTACAAAAATCAACAAAGCAGTGATAATAAACATGTGGCTTGCCCTTATAAGGCAAAGATGGTGATGAAATAAATTATGCAGCAAATGGAGGCAAGTTGCATTAGTCACAGACATTCATTTCAGGTCACTTTTCATGAAAAAAATTAAAAGACTTCTCTATGCATAAACACAAATAAGGGGACAGCTCAAAACTGAATTGACATCTGGATAATGGACAGTCAGCTAGGTTTACTCACAAACTGACTGGTTGTTACCCAGGACAGTTTTCTGTGTCAGCAGGTTAGCAATTTATTCAATTCTGTGAATCATCATTTCACCTCAAACCTTGTGAAAACTATAAATATCCAAAATGTATTGCCTAGGATCTAAAAGACTTCTCGTATAGTCAGGAAACCAGATCTCTGGCTTAAAGTGTTTACACATTATTGTTTTAGTCACATGGAATAGTTTCACAATATTCTCAGGGATATGTAAATTAGATGAGAAAATGACATTTTAATGTGCTATGGATTTTCATAATTGCATCATTTTAGCTATTCATGCCCTGAGATTTTAATTTTCAAAATATTTTCATTTATACCCAATCTTTATTTCTGTTAATAAGAAGCATACTCTATAAATGATCAATGAATAAAATCCATTGATGATATAAGCAACTTAGTTTAGCCACCTTCTCTTTTACTAAGTCTCTTAACACAATCTGCAAAAAGAGAAAACTGTTAGTCTTTATTACATTTTCTATTAACCTTTTAATAGAATTGCAGTAAGCATGAGCAAAAGCAAAATTTGTGGTATGAAACAAAATTGTTACTTACACTTCACTAAACAGTGCCAGCATATGTTATAATTTCAGCATTAATTTAACAAGGTTAAATTTATAGGACAAATGTTAGAAATTCTCTAGGGTTTTCTAGGAAACTAACATTTCATGATGAGAAGGCTTGTTTAAGTTATTTTATTTTTTTGTTTAAGTTATTTTATTTTTAATGTTTGTGGGTACATAGTTGTACATATTTATGGCATACATGTGATATTTTGATACAGGCATATGTGTAATGACCAAATCAGGATAATCGGGATATCCATTACCTCAAACATATCATTTTTTTGTATTGAGAACATTCCAAATCTACTTCTCTAGTTCTTTGGAAATATACAATAGATTATTGTTAACTACAGTCACCCTACCAAACACTAGACCTTATTACTACTAACTATATTTTTGTATCCATTAACCAACCCCGGTTTATCCTTCACTTACCACTAACCTTCTCAGCCTCTGGTGACTATCATTCTACTCTCGACTTCCATGAGATTTTTTAGGTACCACATGAGTGAGAACATGTGATATTTCTTTCTATACCGTGCTCATTTCACTTAATGCCCTCTAGTCTCATTCATGTTGCTGCAAATGGCAAGAGTTCATTCTTTTGTGCAGTCACATAATATTCTATTGTGTGTGTATAAACATATATATGTATATTTATATGTATATGCATATATAAATACACACACACACACGTTTTTTATCCATTCATTCATTAATGGATATTTGATTCCATGTCTTGGCTATTGTGGATAGTTCTGCAATAAACATGGGAGTGCAGATCTCTTTGATATACTGATTTTCTTTCTTTTGAATATGTACCCAACAGTGGGATTGCTAGAGCACATAGTAGTTCTATTTTTAGTTTTTTGAGAAACTTCCATACTGTTTTCCACAGTGGCTGTACTAATTTACATTCCCACCAACAGTGTTGTATGAGTGTTTCCCCTTTTTATTTATTTTTTTTGCAACCTCTCCAGCATTTCTTATTTTTTGTTTTTTTTATAAAAGCCATTTTAACTGCAGTGAGGTGATATCTCATATGGTTTGGGTATGCATTTCTCTAATGGTTATTGACGTTCAGCGTTTTTTCACATACTTGTTGGTGATGTGTATGTCTTTTTTTGAAAAATGTTTATTCAGATCTTTTGCCCATTTGTTAATTATTTGTTTTGTTTTGCTATTTCAGATGTGTTCCTTTTATCTTCTGGTTACTAATCCCTTGTTGATTTGTTAGACCTTGTCCCTTGAGTCTTAGAGCTTTCATAATCCAAAGAGACCACTTATTTCAACAACCAAATTTTTTTCAACATAAGCACATTAATTAGAAAATACTTCTACAGATATAAAAGAAAAATACATTAGCATCCAGTATAGTCTTTTAATTATGTAAAGTATTTTACCATCTTTAATATAACCATAAAAAAACAGAAAATTCATTTTAAGGATATATATAAGCCAAGACACACATGGTGGGATAATTTTCTAAATAATCTCTTTTATACATTTTCTAACATTGGCTCATTTTAAAACATGTGTATTGTTTTAAGAAATATTTTTTCATTTTGTATCTTGTATCTGAATGGAGGGAATACGCTCCTTGATAGACACTACTCTGCATATCTTAATCCTGTGGTTTCCAACTCCCAGTAAACCTCACAAAAGTGGAGATGCTAAATTTTTGCTATTGTACACATTTATACTCATTTCTTTGATATCCACTCCACTGTCCTTCTCTATTACAGGCAGTTTGGAAATATAAAAAATATATATATATTTAATATATAAATTTATATATTTATATTTATATATATTTATATATAAATATAAAAATACACATAACAGGATGTGTGTGTGTGTGTGAGAGAGAGAGAGAGATAGGGTGTGAATGTGTGTGCATGTGTGTATTTGTGAAAGAGAAAGAACAATTTCCTCAGGCTATATTATTTAAAAACGCAAACACTAGTTTTTTTGCATTAAAAGTGAATATTTTTCTAATTTCCCCTGGAGAAAAAATATGTAAGAATTCCTGTGGTCATTTTAATAGTTTCTTTGGTGTTTGTGTCACTAGATCCTCTCAATACTGAAAGGCAAGGTTTACTGAACCTTAAGTTTTCTTTTTTGAAAACTTAAAATTGTACCATCAAGTAATTTATTTAGCAACCATGAGTTGCCTGTCTTATACAACAAAAGCACACTTCTCAAGTAGAAATTATCTGCAGGATACATTGAAAGAGATAATGGACTTTTTGTTTTCATCCTGTTTCCTAAGTATCTTCAAGTCAATGGGTTAAAATATTAACAGTTACTACTTCTGGGCTGTTTTTCACACAAAGGCAAGGATCATGGATTTTTCTCCATTATTGTAAACCCAGCGTCCTGCACAGCATCCAAAACATGGTAGTTCCTCAGCAGCTGTTTGTTAAATAGATCTCCACCAAAGTTCATTTCAAAGCAAATATTTGTCAGTATTTTTCCCCCTTTTCCTGTTTGTGCTCTAATTGGAGGGCTGGAGTGACACTGCAGATATACATTTGGAACATTAAATTTGCCATGCACTGTGCTAGGAGCTTTACACACCTCAGTGGATCTCAGATGTTTGTGGGTATAAGAACATCTGTAAGAGCTTGTTAAAAATAAAGAGTCCTAGCCCCCTCCCCCAGAGATGACTTGATAGATGGGGGCCAGGAAATATCTCAAAAGCCCCTAGATAATTCAAATGCTGTACATTTTCAGAAATCCTGCCAATTATGATTGAAAATTGGAGTAAAGGGGTTTTAGAAGCAGAAGGGTGCTTCCAAACTTAGGCAGACAGAAGTCAAATAAAGGATTTATAGTAATAGTATATTCAGAGAGTCAGTTGTTTAAATCCTGGTTCCTTTGACCCATGATCAGGAACTCAAGCCCAGGGACTTAAGACTTGTGATGGGATTCAGTTTTCCAGAGAAGCTCTTAGAAAATCACTGTCTTCTCTATTTTCAGTAATGGGTGAACTTGACTTGAATCCCCTTTTTTCTGTAGAGATGAGCTAGTATTTGATACTTTTCACTCTGAACCACCGGCTTCTTAACTCAATGACACAACTGCTGCAACAGCACTTTCAGAAACTAAAAAGGCAAGTGAGAAAGTAATTTCAGAGGCAACCTATTTGGCTCACCTTGCATTATTGAGCTGGAGACTAGGGGCTCTGAAACAAAGGGCAGAGACCTGGCAGCATCCACAAAAGTGTCTGCTGTGGCTGTCCAGGCCATAGACCAAAGAGAATCTGATGCATCACAGCTTATCTGGAGCAAGGACAAAATGCCTTAAGTCAGATCCAAAGCTCTGCTCTTTCAATTAATCAAAAGTAAATATTAAATCACAAATGCAGACCAACCTTGTGGTCTGTGCATGAAGATAAATTGTTTACTCCCATAAACTCAAAGTCTTTGGAGGGAAGAGGGGGAGGCAGACAACTTCTCTATTAAATCATATTATTTAAGGCATTCTTTGCCTCATTAATAAAATTGTGTGGCAAGATCTTCCACTGTCATGACTAATGTTATTAAGGCTCATCTATGTTTGCTAAAACGCATTTGAAAAATAAAAGTAGTTGCCAATGTTTTGAAGCTACTGGAGTGAAACACAAAATAAAACAAAAACACTTACCAAAAGAACCTGCAAACCTATTTACCTACTAGCAGTCTTGCTTGCACAGTTATATGCTTCACAAGCCTCTATTTCATTAAAATCATTTCTTCTTGAAATTCTGCTATAAAACATGCATCAGTCGCCTGCCTCAGTCTCAGTAACCTGTCCTTGCCCAGCACTTCCTTCAACCATAACCACAGGAAAACGTAGCACATCATCCATCTTGCTGAAGTGGGAGACAGGTCACATCTTCCCCGACCCCTCCATCCCTTTTAGTAAAGTGCTGACTTCTGATGCAAACTGAAAAGCCTCCCTGTGGGCTAACAGAAGGAGGAGAGCTTTTTTCACTCCTATGAAGCACCCAGTCTCCCCAGCATGCCACCAAGCATGGCCTTGACCATTGCATCTATAATTTGACTAACAAAGAGCTAGTCAAAAGTAACAGAAACCTCTCAACTGGGATTTATAGGCTTGTAAGCACTGGAATTGTTATATTCCCTGGCAAATTTAATGTTCCAAATGTATATCTGCAGTGTCACTCCAGCCCTCCAATTAGAGCACAAACAGGAAAAGGGAAAAAAAACACTGAGAAATATTTGCTTTGAAATGAACTTTGGTGGAGATCTATTTAACGAACAGCTGCTGAGGAACTACCATGTTTTGGATGCTGTGCAGGGCACTGGGTTTACAATAATGGAGAAAAATCCATGATCCTTGCCTTTGTGTGAAAAACAAGCACAGAACAAATAATTACTAGTTATATGTGGTGTGATAAGCCCTCTGATGATTAAAAAAAGAAGGAACGTTGAGAAGTCATTAGACCAACCTACTCAAATTGTATGGAGAAGGATGGCCTCTCTGTAGAGAGAATATTTGAACAAAGGCCTGCTGAGTAATAAACCAAAGAAAATGAGGGAAAGAGCATTTCAGGCCAAGTGAATAGCATGTGGGAAAGAGCTTGAACTAAAATAAAATTAAAGACCAGCATGGCTGGAAAATAATAATGGGCAAGTTAAAGAGATGCAGGGGCTGAGGTGATCAAGTTGGAAAAGGGCTAGATCGCGTAGGACTTCTAGGACTTTCCATTTCATTTGAGGCACGGTATGAGCCCTTGCAGGATTTTAGGAAGAGGAGTGGCATAACATGAACTGCATTCTTTAAAGGCCACATGACTGAACATGTGGAGGGAGCCAGAATGGAAGCAAGAGACAAATATTAAAGGCACATAAATGTGGCAGATAGGGTGATGTGATAGAAATTGATGTAAGAGAGACAGAATGCTGGAGAAATGCAATTGAAAACGAAATCTCCTCCAAACCCAAACACTTCTCCACAAAGGTAGAAAACAATTTTAATGTTCAATAAGTATCAAACCAGACTGCAATGCACATTATAGGCAGACTGCTAAGAGATTTCAAACTGGAAAGTAATCTCACCCTTTTATATAGCCAAGCCCATTCAACCTGTTACATGCCTATTCTTAAGGTAAGCAACAACTACAGACAGTCCCCAACTTATGAGTTTGTGACTTTCCAATGGTATAATATGGATACATTAGAGACCATATGTCAAGTACTCATATAAACATTCTATTTTTCACTTTCAATACAGTGTCCAATAAGTTACATTAGAAATTCAATACTTTATTATGCTTTATGTTAGATGACTCTGCCCAACTGTAAGATAATAAAAGTGTTCTGAGCACGTTTAAGGTGGGCTTGACTAAGCTATGATGTTTGGTAGATTAGATGTATTAAATGCATTTTAACATAATATTTTCAGCTTACAATGAGCTTATCAGAACATAACCGGATCATAAAACGAGGAGCATCTATAGTCCTTAAGTGGACTTCACAGCATCATTTATTACAGATAGTTCATCCTAGATTCACCTGGTAATTAGGGTGGCCATCTGTGTTTGCTAATCAGCTTTATCAAAAGGAGATTTTTAACTTCTCAGATCTTTATGAAAGGAAGTAGCTTTGTAACTCGGAGTAAGGTACTCCTATCCTCCCACAGAGACTGGGAGATAAAGATGCAATCTCTCTGGATATTTACATTTCAAGGAGATGATCTCAGGTCCTTGAAAAAGACATTCCTGGGTCTTAAAGCTGATAAGAGACTATTCAGCTTTTTAAAAGGTTTACACACATTTCAAAGAGATAGAGAAATAACTTATAATTACAATTTTCTTAAGTAAATAATCTAAGAAAGGGAAGGGGGGGAATGGTCTCTTCCCTTATTTTCAACAGGGAGAGTTAAATCTCTTGTTTTTAATTTTTATTTGCTCTTTTTCAAGAGATAGATAAATGGATTTGAGACTACTGTACATTGGGTTATATGTGAAGATTGGAGGAGGAGAAACTAAAATGATGACCAGTTTGAGCAATTACATCAGTTAAACTGAAAACAGCTGTTCTAAAAAACATAAGGGCATGCCTGTAGGTTTGTCGTGAATGTCCACGTGAATGTAATGAAAATTATGTTAAGAAAATGCAGCATCACCAAAAATATTGTTTCACAAAGTTGTTCCCTAATAGCATTTAATGTCAACAAACAGAAGTGCCAAGCTTAGCAATTATGCAGGCAGCCAGCCCCCAAGCAGAGCAGTCACACATTTGCAGAGATGTGGGCACATCAGAGGGTCTATTGCTAAAGCAGACAAAGGACTTGTTCCAGCTATTAAACAATGTTCTCCCTCCAACAAACCTAGTCCTCTGCACTGTGCTGTGTGATGCTGGGGCCATGGCTTACCAAATTCCACTGATCCTTTGACAAGGAGGCTTCCTGTTAGGTTCTGCCACCATAAAGGTACTAGAGAGGGGACTGCAAGGCTGGAGGAGGAACTGAAATACTCCTTTTTGCTTTGCTTCCTGTTCTTCTCAAATAGCCTGAGCAAGGCCCCTTCAACCTGGCAGGGGCAGTTAATTTCAATCTTCAACTTCTTTTCCGTATTCCCAAACAGTCTCACTGAGCCTCTTCCAAGGTAATAGCAGCAAGACAGTGACTCCGCCTCAGAGGTCTGAGTCCCAGTATACTAGGGCCCCACCTTTAAGCTTCTAGATTCCTACAACCCAACCCCTTCTCTCTATTCCCCCAACATTAGCGATGGCAGCCACTTGCTTTAGTTATTTATTATCTGTGTTTCCTAAGTGTCTTCTCTGATTTTTCAGTACTCCAACACTTAGCCAATTTCCCACCTTAATTTCTCTGTCAAAATATCTAGTATGAGTTTTGTTTCACTGACACAATGGGTGACTCCTGTCAATCATAGAAGTGATGTAGTGTCCTTGAACTCTGTCTTTAAAAGCTTAGTTTTGATGATCTCATCTTGTAAGAATAAAATAACAAAATATTTAGGTACTCCAACAAAATACATTTATTAAATTTATGAAGAAATAGCATTGCCTCATTGCACTGTAAGAAGAAATAAATGAGCGAATCTATGTAATGTCTAGAAGTTAAAAAGTAGTCACTAAGTGTTAAGCAATATTATTACTATTATAATTACTATTGCTATAGTTGAACTGAGTTCACAGGAAGTTAAAACTGTCTCTCATAGAGGGGCAGTTTATTCCAAACTCTTCCTCCTCAAAGGATTCAATCAAATAAGTATTCATAGCATTCATTGACATAGGTGTAATTTGGGCAAAAAAAAAGAGAAAGGAACTATAGCATTATCTTCCTTCTTCCACCCTGTTTTTTCCCTATATTGCATTAGAAAAACTGAAAGTTGTGGCTGAAGATGGAGTGGATTTCACAGACAAGGAAAGCAAAGCTTTGAGAGCTTAAATAGTATGCAGCCAGGATTTCAAGTCAAGTCTACTGCCAGTAGACCTTGTCTGAGGCTCCTTAGTTTTCAGGGCCTCAGCAGACAGGCTTCCTGCTGCCTAGGGATTTCTGGAGATACTGCTCTCCATATTCCCCATGGAGTTATGGTCTCTGTATTTTCAGGTCTCTCCTGGAAGATGGAAACCTGTATTGATAGAGATTTTATCTTGTTCACTGTAGTTTTCCCCCAAACCTCATACTACACCTAGCACATAGCAGACACAATAAATATTTAATGCATGAATTAATTATGCATCTTTAAAACTTTGCTTCCATGGTTACTTATCTCAGCATTTTAAGTATTTTATTATTCCCCTGTATTATTCAACTATGGCTAATTCAAACTTCAAAAGAATAATTTAGGACTATCTAGTGTTCAAGTTCTCTGTCCAGGAAGGAGAAATGCACTGCATGAAACTAAACAAGACTTAAAAATTGTGTTTAAGATATCACCTGGCATGTTTCATCTGGAGAAATCTCATCATTAGCTTACTTTCAGGTATTTTCCCAGTGCAGATGAAGTAAGGGCATACTATTCTCATTGTTTAAAATACAGTGGATGTGAGAAATGAAAAAGACACTTTACAAACTCCTCACTGTTGGTTGGCAACTAAACACAGCAAGAGGGAGTGTGATGTGGTGGCAACAGCCTGGAGTTTGGAGGCTGACTACTTTGGTGAAAATCCTGGCTCTCTTCCTCCTAGTAACTGCCTGGCCTTGAGAAAGTTACTATACTCTTCTGTGCCTCAGTTTCTTCAACTCTACAATAATAGTATCTATCTCATAGGATTATTGATTAAATGAGTTAACATATATAAAGCAATTACAACAGTATCTGGCACATACCCAGTGCTTACTATTTCTATCTAGAAGAGGTAACAAAATAGTTCATTAGTATCTACTACAAAATCATTTAGACACTTTGTGACTGAAGTAAAAAGAGATATGTTTTGGAAATTAACCAACATTTGAAATCTCCACTGCACTCCAGCCTGGCAACAAAGTGAGACCCCGTCTCAAAAAAAATGTAGATGATCATATTTACCTTGAAGCATCATTGTGAGTCACAGAAATAAGGCATATAAACCCCAAGCCTAGTTTTTAGGAGGTGCTGAATAAGCAGCAGCTATTACTAGCAAAGATGAGCTTTTCAGCTAGCTGAGAAGAACATGTGGGAACCTGTGAGAATAGGAGGAAAGGTAAGATGCGGTCACTGGATACAGTGGCATAGACATGGCTGAAACTCAGGTCTGAGCTGAAGATGGGGATTGGACAGGGCAGTTGCAGTCAACACACAGTGGAATGAAAGTTATGGTGACCTTGGGAGAACAGGTTCCAATCAGGGCCACTACACATCGTTTGCAGGGCTCATTGCAAAATAAATTTGCCAGTAGCCAGAGATGGGGAAATTGCCCCTTTTCATACCCCAACCCATAGAGGATGGGTAACCTCCAAGTAATTGCAATATCTTTGCATGGATGCACTAGGTACCTGCGCCCAAAGTCAGCAATAGGCCCTGCCAAGTCATCCCTCACCCCACAACTCACCATGGTGCTGCTATTTCGGGGCAACAAGATGGTTGCCTTTCCAGAGGATCATTAGGGAGAGAGGACAGCAACAAATGTAGCACCCCCACCAACACCTTACTCCTCACCCCCACCCCCAAGCTTTAACAGACCTGGCCGCTGCCTGAGGCAGAGGGTAACAGTAGTCCCTTGGTAGGGTCAGGGAACCAGCTATTCAGAACCCCTCCCAGCAAGGTGGGAAGACTCTAGGAGGTGACCTCACATGGGAGTCAAAAACACCAAGCCCCCAAAACATAATCATTGTGGAAAACAGAAGCCATTGCCCCATCAGACTGTACTTACAATGCACCATTCAAATACAAAATTATTGTATGAAGAATTTCAAGATTGCCATGGCAAATCATCAGACCCCAAGCATGGGGAATCCGTTTTTGAGATGCGAAGCAGTCTACCTTGGTCCCACACCCATGAGGCTGGCCTGGGCTTCCTGTTGAGAGGTCTCAAAAGCTACACTGCAGTCTTGCAGAGTGAGCGGGAGGTATAAAGATAGTATAGTCAAATCATCAAGACTGTTTGCTGGGAGAGAAAGGTGAGATAGAGCAATAGCTAGAAGAAGTGGAGTAAAAGAATTTTTTAAATCGTTTTGTTGTTTTAATATAGGAAATATTTTAGTAGATTTAAATGCTTTTAGGAAGAAAGCCCCAATAAGAAAGAAGCTAAAGAAAGAGTCAAAAGTGATGAAAATAGATGAAGTTCCTAAGGAAGCAGGAGGGGAAGGAGCTCAGAACCCAGATCATGGATTGGCTTTAGTTACAAACTCAAGATTAACCAGTGTATAGATGGAAATAGAGATGATATCCAGAGCTGAGAAAGGAAGGCAGAAACAGAGGCATCAGCATTTACATCTGATAAAGATACTCAAATGCTGCCACTAATTCTGCCATTAATGCAAAGAAATACATTAATGAAGAAGGTAAGTCTTGACACTACTATTCAACATACTGGCCTGGATCAAAGTCTCACGGGGACTTATCCTGCTTTAATGTATCAATTAAGAAACATTATCACCATGGCAGTACGTGATATTTTTGTTGCTATTGCCTTTCTTCTCAACACATTCTATTCATAAAAGCAACGTCAATCTTTTCCCAATAATTTTACTTGCAACTAACTACATTGCTTGTCAATTTTGAAATGCAGTTTTTCTTTTAATGGAGCAGACTCTTTTTTCTGTGCCCTAAACTTAACTTGAACACAATTCCCTACTTGTTTGGAGGCAGCAAATTACAGTGGAGACTGGGTACACAGGTATATCAAATGTCAGCTTTTAAATGACCAGTTTCAATGTAAAGGTTATCACTTCCCTTAATGGAGTAACTAGGGCTTCTGATGATAGGCCAATCCCCAAACTCCTTTGCTCTGCTCCAGTAAATATCAACTCTGATGGTGACATTTCTCTTCTGATACTCCATATGCAGTCACAGGAAATACTCATTGATGCTACTACTTAGGAATCATCAAAGAAATAATACCTCACTGCTTATCATTCTTCTCGGTGAGAGAATCTCTTTCTCTTTCTTCCCTCCCTCCATCCCTCTTCCTCTCTCCTTTCCTCTCCTTATTTCTCTCCTCTGCTGTGTCCCTTTGTCTTTTTTCTTGTTTTTTGACCCTCTCTTTCCCTTTCTATGATACTATGAAGGTTCAATGCAGTTTAGCAAACCCAATGTTTATTATCACTATTTTGAACTGCTTCCTAGATCATCTGAGATGATGAAAATTAAATTTTAAAAAAAACTAAAATTAAATTAAACTTAAATTTAAAAAACTAAAAATGAATAGAAAGAAGAGTGATTATTTGGGTAATTATGTAATTATTTACTTACCTACTTTTCTTCGTATTCATGTTTTTAAATAGCAGTAATAAAGTATTTATAAAAACTGGTCTCTTTACCTCAAGCAGTGAAAACTTAACATATCTTTGTGTTTGGCTGTGGTTTTCTTTCCCTCTTTAATTTAAAACTCATCCTTCGAAATCTGACCACCAGGCCAAGGAATGCCTGCAGCCCAGGATTCCTCCTAAGCCGTGTCCCATCTGTGCGGGACCCCACTGGAAATCGGACTGTTCGACTCACCTGGCAGCCACTCCCAGAGCCCCTGGAACTCTGGCCCAAGGCTCTCTGACTGACTCCTTCTGGGCTTAGCGTCTGAAAACTGACACTGCCCGATCGCCTCAGAAGCCCCGTAGACCACCACGGACACCGAGCTTTGGGTAACTCTCACAGTGGAAGGTAAGTCCATCCCCTTCTTAATCAATACGGAGGCTACCCACTCCACATTACCTTCTTTTCAAGGGCCTGTTTCCCTTGCCTCCATAACTGTTGTGGGTATTGACAGCCAGGCTTCTAAACCTCTTAAAACTCCCCAACTCTGGTGCCAACTTAGACAACACTCTTTTATGCACACTTTTTTAGTTATCTCCACCTGCCCAGTTCCCTTATTAGGCCGAGACATTTTAACCAAATTATCTGCTTACCTGACTATTCCTGGACTATAGCCGCATCTCATTGATGCCCTTCTTCCCAATCCAAAGCCTCCTTTGCGTCCTCCTCTTGTATTCTCCCACCTTAACCCACAAGTATAAGATACCTCTACTCCCTCCTTGGCAACTGATCATGCACCCCTTACCATCTCATTAAAACCTAATTCACCCTTACCCCGCTGAATGCCAATATCCCATCCCACAGCATGCTTTGAAAGGATTAAAGCCTGTTACCACTCGCCTGCTACAGCATGGCCTTTTAAAGCCTATAAACTCTCCTTACAATTCCCCCATTTTACCTGTCTTAAAACCAGACAAGCCTTACAAGTTAGTTCAGGATCTATGCCTTATCAACCAAATTGTTTTGCCTATCCACCCCATGGTGCCAAACCCATATATTCTCCTATCCTCAATACCTCCCTCCACAATCCATTATTCTGTTCTGGATCTCAAACGTGCTTTCTTTACTATTCCTTTGCACCCGTCATCCCAGCCTCTCTTCGCTTTCACTTGCACTGACCCTGACACCCATCAGGCTCAGCAAATTACCTGGGCTGCACTGCCGCAAGGCTTCACAGACAACCCCCATTACTTCAGTCAAGCCCAAATTTCATCCTCATCTGTTACCTATCTCGACATAATTCTCGTAAAAACACACGTGCTCTCCCTGCTGATCGTGTCCAGCTGATCTCCCAAACCTCAATCCCTTACAAAACAACAACTCCTTTCCTTCCTAGGCATGGTTAGTGCGGTCAGAATTCTTACACAAGAGCCAGGACCGCACCCTGCAGCCTTTCTGTCCAAACAACTTGACCTTACTGTTTTAGCCTAGCCCTCATGTCTGCGTGCAGTGGCTGCCGCTGCTTTAATACTTTTAGAGGCCTTTCCTACAAGGTCTGAGAAGGCCACCGCAGTCATTTATTCCCTTCTGTCAGACATAATTCCTCAGTTTAGCCTTCCCACCTCTATACAGTCTGATAACAGACGAGCCTTTATTAGTCAAATCAGCCGAGCATTTTTTCAGGCTCTTAGTATTCAGTGACAGACTAATGGTCTATTAAAAACACACCTCACCAAGCTCAGCCACCAACTTAAAAAGGACTGGACAATACTTTTACCATTTTCCCTTCTCAGAAGTCAGACCTGTCCTCAGAATGCTACAAGGTACAGCCCATTTGAGCTCCTGTATAGACGCTCCTTTTTATTAGGCCCCAGTCTCATTCCAGACACCAGACCAACTTCGACTGTGCCCCCAAATAACTTGTCATCCTTACTATCTTCTGTCTAGTCATACTCCTATTCACTGTTCTCAACTACTCATATATGCCCTGCTCTTGTTTACACTGCCGGTTTACACTGTTTCTCCAAGCCATCACAACTGATATCTCCTCATGCTATCCTCAAACTGCCACTCTTAACTCTTGAAGTAAATAAATAATCTTTGCTGGCAGGACTATGCTGAACCTCCGTAGGCATTCTCTAATTAGATGTCCTAGGTCCTCCCAATTCTTAGTCCTTTTATACCTGTTTTTCTCCTTCTCTTATTCCATTTAGTTTTTCAATTCATACAAACCATATCCAGGCCATCACCAATCATTCTATGCGACAAATGTTTCTTCTAACCACCCCACAATATCACCCCTTACCACAAGATCTCCCTTCAGCTTAATCTCTCCCACTCTAGGTTCCCACGCCGCCCCTAATCCCGCTTGAAGCAGCCCTGAGAAACATCGCCCATTCTCTCTCCATACCACCCCCAAAAATTTTCGCCGCCCCAACGCTTCAACACTATTTTGTTTTATTTTTCTTATTAATATAAGAAGGCAGGAATGTCAGGCCTCTGAGCCCAAGCCAAGCCATCGCATCCCCTGTGACTTGCACGTATACGCCCAGATGGCCTGAAGTAACTGAAGAATCACATAAAACTCATCCTTCAAAATATATACTACATCAGTATGTCAAAGTTTGGGACAATTTTTGATGATCTCGCAGTGGATAATCCCCCAAATTAAGGAGAAAGTCAAGTTGGTCTTCATTCTCAGTCCTGAGGCAGACAACTGTGACTATTCCCTGAAATGCAACTCATTCAGAGTCCCTCTCTTCTTTCTATAATTTCCTCAACTTTTAGAGGCAAAAAATGTTAAAGAATGTGTTGAAACTATAGACTTTCACCCATGAAAAATTCTCATGTACCTATATATACAATTTTATGCATATACATTCAGGTAGTTCTTTTCTTAGGTAATTATGTACTTTGTATAAGTAGAGCAGTCAGAAGTGTGAATAAATAATAAAGATCAATATTTTTTCAAGCTCTAAGAGTGACACATTGGACTCTGTTTATATTCACACTTCTGACTACCCCACTTACACAAATGGAAAAAACTGAAAAAAAACAAACTACCTGAAAGTGTCTCACAATGGTGAATATATGTATGTGTGTGCACATATACAATATTGTATATGTACATATATACATACAACATGATGTATGTGTATGAGGGTATATATATTTTTATATTGAATATATATACACATATGTAGTGCTAAAATGAGAATATAGTTAGGTTCAGAGAGTAAATAATGTTCATTATTGCCATAAAGTGACTCTATAATGATTAATAAAGATATAAAATCAAATGCATTTAAGAGGAAAGGCATTAATTGAATTAAGTACTATTATTATATTGGCATCTCCTTTATGCCTGTGCTATGTTACTGGTGTGGGAAATATATATGCACTTAAACTATTTTGCAACGTACACCCAAAATCACACTGCTGTTTTTGAAAAGCCCATAAAAAGCCTGAATTCTCCACACATATTCCATACATGAGAGCAGAAAAGAAGAATTTGCCAACTTGTAAAGTTTCTATGCATGTACTTAATTTCTTCCCAAAGGTCCAATTCACTAGTTATTCAGACTCAACATTGGGAAATGGACATAAGGAAGTACAGTTGGAGCAAAACATGGCTACACTTTGGCCAGCAAAATCTTCCTCACCAGCAATATGGATACTACAGACAGCAAAATTATCAATCAGCACTGGAAAAAGAAAATGAAATAACAACGTAATTTATCCAAACTATCTCATAAATGGAAAGCCAGAAATTTAAAGACTTCCCCCTTATTCTTTCCCTCATCTTCTCAGTTTTATTATACAAAAAGCTAAGTAAATTTAATATTATATTTTAATTTCCTCTCAGACCATTGTCTTTGAAGCTCAGTAAATTTAATTAATATCAATTATCTATCCAAGACTGAATCTTATCCAAGAGAGGAAATAGCAATCCACAAGTGCTAGAACTCTGCTCATGTTTAAGTTGCACATTAAAGTAATTGCTGTGTTTCTAATAGCTATGGAAAAGCCCATTATCTTGATTATAGCTGTTGGTAAGTGAAAACAGATTTACATTTCACAACTGTGTTAAGAGTGAAGGGGTTAGCAATTTTAACTACTAACATGAATTGACTATCTGCCAACTCTTTACTAAAAGTAGAATGACATAATTGTATCTTTAATTCCACACAAATAGAGCTAAAAAAATTACTGCAGCTTTTTAGCCATGTGCTGGCTATCTGCATGCATTCAGGGTATTTGTTTTGTACCACAATAAAGTTAGACAATTCTATATTTATGAATTGGCACGTTCATGTAGGCCTTGACTTTTTGTTGTTTTATTTTTTTTGGCAACAGGCGGTTAGGAGGTCCTCTTTGAGGAGGTGACATTTCATATAATATCTGAAAAGCATGCAGGTGATAGGAAAGATCAGGAGAAAATAATTCCAGAGAAAAAGAATAAGTTGAAAACAATTACTTTTAAAAATAGTAACAGCTACCAATTAAATGACATTTCTTTTATCTCTGACTTTCGAATACAGTTTTTTAATTGCGTATCTAGGGTGGAAGGTGAATACTTAATGCAGATGTAAGTAAGACATCCTTTTATTATTTCACATAACAGTCTAAACAACCTATTTTTTTTTCTTCTAAAACAAAACAAAACAGGATACATGTGCAGAATGTGCAGGTTTGTTACATAGGTATACGTGTGCCATGGTGGTTTGCTGTACCTACTGACTCATCCTCTAGGTTCTCTCCCCTCACCCTCCACCCCCCAACAGGCCCTGGTGTGAATTGTTCCCCTCTCTGTGTCCATGAGTGCTCAATGTTCCAACTCCCATTTATGAGTGAGAACATATGGTGTTTGGTTTTCTGTTCCTGTGCTAGTTTGCTGAGGATGATGGCTTCCAGCTTCATCCATGTCCCTACAAAGATGTGAACTCATTCCTTTTTATGGCCGCCTAGTATTTCATGGTGTATATGTACCACTTTTTTTAATCCATATATGTACCACATTTCTTTATGCAGTCTGTCATTGATATACAACCTATTCTTAAGAAAAACACTACCTACTAAACTCTGGGTTTGAGAATAGTAAAAATAGATTGTCATACTACATAATGATCTCTCTCTCTGCTTCTGAGTGGATTAACTTTTCTCAAGTTACCACACACAATGAAATAAAATATACATACAAGTTGAGTGTCCCTTATCCAAAATGTTCAAGATTCGAAGTATTTAAAATTCCAGGTTTATTCAACTTTCAGAATATTTGAAGATACATGTATTATTTCATTTTCACTCTGCTGATAAAGACATACCCGAGACTAGGCAATTTACAAAAGAAAGAGGTTTATAATGGACTTACAGTCCATGTGGCTGGGGAAGCCTCAACAATCATGGCGGAAAGCAAGGAAGAGCAAGTCCCATTTTACATGGATAGCAGCAGGCAAAAAGAGAATGAGGAAGACACAAAAGTGGAAACCTCTGATAAAACCATCATATCTCATGAGATTTATTCACTACCACAAGAACAGTATGGGGGAACCGCCCCCACAAGTCAATTACCTCTCACCATGTCCCTCCCACAACACGTGGGAATTATGGGAGCTACAATTCAAGATGAGATTTGAAAACCATATCAATACATAAATGAGATATTTTGAGGGTGAAACCCAAGTTTAAACATGAAATTCATTTATATTTAATATACACTTTATACACATAGCTAGGAGGTATTTTATACACTATTTTTAATAATTTAGTAAATGAAAAAGTTCGTGTGCAATGAAATGAGAAAGCAACGATGTCAGGTGTGGAAGTTTTCACTTGTGCTATCATGTCAGTACTCAAAAAGTTTGATTTTGGAGCATTTTGGATTTTTAGATTAGGAATGCTGAACCTGCAATAAAAGCTTAAATAATTGGAAATTAAATTTAAACAGGTTTAAATAAATTGGGGATGTTTTTGCATATGACAATTTAAGGCCAAAATTTCATCTTTGTTTTTATCCCTGCCATTTATAATTTATCTCTACTATCTGAAAAAGAGATACTACCTAAAGTATCCTATTCACATCTTTAAAATTTTTTTCCTCAAGTTGCTAAACAATATAACTTCCATTGAAAGTTAACATGAACTAGGTGCTTTCTAACAAAACAATAAATATATTCTGATCTGGTCTGAGTGCTCACAGTTTATATTATTGCCAAAAGACTGTTCTGACTAGCAGATATAATGTGGTACACACATTTTAGGTAAGAATGGAATCTAATGGAGCTGAAATTCAATTCTGTAAGTTATTCAGCCATCTGCTTTTGAGAAATTCATATAATGTAGAACATTTTGTCTATGAAATCCTTTGTTTAAAAGGGAGTTACATACCTATTAAAAAGCTGTGGCCAGCTCATATAAAATCTGCCAAACTATGTTACATTAATTAAAATTATTCACATATTTATTTTTAATATTTGGAAGTCACTGTTTATCTGAGATTCTGACTGTTTTTATGGAGTAATTCAATTTGGAACATGTCCACCCTGGCCATATTTTGAGGGCAGGTTGAGGAAGTGAAACTTTATCAGGTTAGAGTTCAAACAACACTACTCAAATATACTTCGTGGGTTTATACAAAACTATTCACAACATGAAAAGTACTTTAAAAATTGAAATATTAAGTGAATATGAAAAGGAAGAAGAGAAAGAAAAAGTCACAAAAACAGACAAAAATAGGCAAACAACATGAACAAGCAATTGACAAAAGAAGTAGATATGGCCCTTAAGTAAAGTAAAAGATGCCTGACTTCATAATAAGAAGCACAAATTAATCCTTCACTCAGATACCATTTCTCACCTCCTGTATCTGCAAAAATCCAAAGGCTGGACAAGACACTCTGTTGACAGAGTGAGAATTCTCTGTGTATACTTTCCATATAGATTTAAATTTTGAATTACTTAAATGTAATACTGTATTAGTCAGGGTTCTCCAGTGAAACAGAACCAATAGGATGAGAGATGGATTGATGATAAATAGACAAATACAAAGAGGTTTATTATGAGAAATGGACTCATGCAATAAGGAAAGCTAAATTCCTCAATCTGCCATCTTCAAACTGGAGACCCAGGAAATCCAGTGGGGTAATTCAGTATGAGTCCAAAGGCCTAAGAACTGGGAAGTCAATGGTGTATATCCCAATCTAAGGGCAGTAAAAGATAAGATGTCTCAGGTCAAGCAGTGAGACTCTTTGTTCTTTTCAGGACTTTTGGATTGGATGATGCCCACCCACATTGGGGAAGACTATCAATTTTATTGAGTCCACCAATTCAAATGCTAATCTCATCCAAAAATACCCTTGCAACCAGAAATAATGTTTAATCTGGGCACCTGTGGCCCAGTCAAGTTGACACACAGAATTAATCATCACGGCTATTCATTCAGAAAACATAAAAAAAAAATAATAATGATGCAAGTCTTCCCTCAAACCTTGAAAGCAATAAAAATTATTTAGGTTGGTGCAAAAGTTATTGCCGTTTTTCCCATTACTTTCTCTTTTTTTTGAGACAGAGTCTCACTCTATCACCCAGGCTGGAGTGCAGTGGCGCGATCTTGGCTCACTGCAACCTCTGCCTCCTGGGTTCACGTCATTCTCCTGCCTCAGCCTCCCTAGTAGCTGGGACTACAGGCGCCCTCCACCACGCCCAGCTAATTTTTTGTATTTTTAGTAGAGACAGGGTTTCACCGTGTTGGTTAAGATGGTCTCGATCTCCTGACCTCATGATCCGCCGGCCTCAGCCTCCTGAAGTGCTGGGATTACAGGCGTGAGCCACCAAGCCCGGCCTTCCCACTACTTTCAATTGCAAAAGCTGCAATTACTTTTGCACCAACCTAATATATTCATAATTCTGAAGAGAAATTATTTCCAACCTTAGATTCTGTATTTAACAATTTATCAAAAGTAAAATATAGAATTTGTTGAGGATGTATGGATGTAAAATCTTTTGAGTATTATTCTAAATGCTTGAAGTATATTAGCATATAAAATAGACGAAAATTATTGTCCCTTGTGGAACTTTCACTCTAGTAGTGAAGGCATACAATAATTACAATATGTAATAAATAAGCAATTTATGGTTAAAAATGGGTGCTAGGGGTAGGGTACCAGGAGAGGTATCATTCCAGAAAACAACAACAAAAAAACAACTAATAGAGTACCTGATGTGTTTTGTAATATTGAAAAGAGTTTTACACTTCTTTCAGAGAATTTGAAAAATAATTAGTGTTGAGTTCATTGAAAACTAAGCAAACAAGCAAGCATTTTTAATTTCATAGAAAATTAAAAAGTTTAATTCCCTTGGAAAAATATTTTCTTAAACATATTTACAAAGTCAAGATAATACATTGAGTGAATGTTGATTTTTTGAGACATAAAATGATGTATTATTATATATCATAATTCTATAGGTCAGGAATTCAAATATGGCACAGTGGGAAGATTCATCTCTTCTCTATGACATCTGAAACCTCAGCTGAGGTGACTAAGTTGCTGGGGGCCGAAAGAGTTGGGAGGTGACTAGGCATCTCTGTTTCTTTTTTCACGTGGTTTCTCCACATGACTAGCTTAAGTTTTCTCACAGCATGGACCCTCAGGGTAGTCAGACTTCTTAAATGGTGGCTCAGGGTTCAAGAAGCAGTGATTCTAGAGAACACCAATATTAGAAATTTGCATCACCCACAAGGCAATGCTCTGAGGACACAACATCACCTTCATTATATTCCTGCTGAAAATGCACAATTGGAATCCAATGTTGAGAAAACAGACAAGCCCAAACCAAGGAACATTTTATGAAACAACTGGCCCATATAACTCAAAAATATCAATGTCATGAAAGACAAGGAAAGATGAGAAACGATTTCAGATCAAAGGAGACAATTAGTTTGCTAGGACTATGATAACAAACTACCACTGAGTAAATATTGATTTTACCATAAAATGTGAGATAAATATATCATAAGGAAGATCTAGGAAAAAATGTGGGTGTTTAGGAATGAACTTAGCGGAATCCTTATCTTACATAACAAAGTCGACATATAATCTCTAATTGGGAAAATCAATAAGTGGTAGTATAGCATATTGTTCTCAAACATGAAGACAAAATCCAGAAAAATTAATAGCTAAATAAGTTGAAGGCGGTCACTTCTAGTGAAAAGAATATTGGGTGAGAAAGAATGATTGGCAAGTATTGTTTTGTGTTAAAACCTGTGGTACTAGTTGACTTTTAAGCTATGTACACATATTACTACGTATATTCCATTAAATGGCATCATAATGTGTTAAGCAAAGTCCAAAGTCCCCATAGACATTTCATTTAGCTTTGTGCATTTCTTCAAGTACTTCCTGAAGATAAATTCCTAGATTTTGAATTATGATATCATGGGAACACATATTTAAGATTTTTTATACCTATTGCCAAAATGTCTTCCAGAATGTTTATTACAACATCCTCCATCAAAGTCACTGTATGAAAATGCTCACTTCCCCAGGGTTTCTACAAAACTCTTTAAATCTTTACCAGTGTTACATTAAAACAAAGCCAAAAAAAATTACTTTCTAAATTATATTTCACTAAGTATCAGTCTGGTAACCTTTCATATGTATGTTTCATTGTATGTATTTTTCTTATAAATGTCTATGTCATTTGCCCATTTATCTATTGAGCTATCTGTCTTTTTCTTATTAATTTGTAAGCACTCTCTGTACATTGACATAATCCTGTGTAGGTCACATAATTTCAAACTATGAAAACTTTTAGTTTGTCTTTTGTCATTTTAACTTTGTCTATGACATTTTTTCATACAGCTTTATGTTTATATTTCATGTTTAAGGCATTTTACTATATAGTTTATCTTTGCTTGGCACTATTCTCTTTTTATGATTCATGTCTTGAATGGGATTGTGTCTGTGTTGTTATAAATATTTTATATTCAGAACAAGAGCTTGAATCTAGTCTATTGTGAAGGATGAAAGAGAAGTATTTTATCAGGGAAGCCACTTATCAGATTTATGTTTTCTAAAAATCAATGTGGTTGTTTTGTTTAAAGCACCACAGATTCTTTCACATTTCTCCTACTAATGGGTGGGATCTATGTTCCTTCCTCTTGAATCTGGGCAGGCTTGTAACTGCTTCAACCAATATGGATTGACAGAAGTGATACTATTTCACTTTCAAAGCCCAAGGTCGTATATCTTCTACCTGGTTCTCTTTGGAGGCTCACTCTGGAATAAGCCAAATTCCACTTAAGGATTCCAATTACACCATTCTGGAGAAGTCTGTAGGTACATCTGTCAGCAGTTCAAACCTTCTAGTCATCTCTGCCAAGACACCAGACAGGTGAGTTAAGGAGCTTCTAGAGGATTTCAGTCTCCAGCCATTTGTCACCCCCAGCTGTTTAAATATCCCCAAATGAAACCTCACACACTGAGGAGTAGAGACAAGCCATCCCTACTATACCCCATCCCAGTTTCTGACTCCTAGAATCCATGAATATAATAAAATGATTGCTGTTTATGCTATTCACTTTGAGTGGTTTGTTCACAGCCATATCACTCTAGCAACAACACTGGCAATGAATTAGAAAAGGGAATGAAAAAGGAAGTCCAATTAGGAGGCACTTACAAGTGTCCAGAAGAGACACAGAGAAACCTGAAACAAGGTTGGAAGGAAAATGGGAAGAAATTGAGAGTTCAGAAGCTGAATTTGCAATATACACATATCGCAAAAATAGATTAGTATCAAAATATAACCTTGTAGACTGCTATATCAGAAAACTAAGCCACTTATCAGCCTAAGCCACTATCAAACATGAGTCCATAACTAATTTATAGAAAAATGAAGTAATTTTCTTCCCAAGTGTCACACTTTTTACAAATCATGCATTCTTCCACTACAACTTTAAAGCTTTTTCTTTTGTAACCAGAGGGTCACAGATAAGTCAGGGCTCACTGAGGGAGCTCAGGAGATAATAAAATCAAAGGAAACCTGGCTTGAATATGTGACAATGGCACACATTTTAGTCACAGAAATAACACATAAGCAGTCTTTTAATAAAGGAGCTAAAGGATTATTTTTCACCCTCTGAAAAGCAAATTATCTTAATTGGCTAAGATCAGAAGATATCAACAGGGTTCCAAAAGCAATATAATATTGGGCCTTTAAACTAGTCCAAATTGTCTTAGAAGTAAAAGAGACAGATGGAGTCCATCAGCTCTATTTGAAAACCAACAATAGCAAGGCCAGTTGTGTTACAGCAGGTGAAACTGTTTAATCATTACTTCCTAATTGGGATCCTTTGCTTTCTCTGGCTTGTTGGGAAGCAGACTAACAGGTGATTTTAACTGTTTGTCCTGACTCAATACTTTTGCTCTAGACTTTGTAACTTACCTGGGAGTTTCAAAGCCAAAGTGCCTATATGAGCAATCCATGTATTAAAGTACCCCAATTCTACACTGTAAGAGTTTACCCAGGGGCTAGTAGAGTTAGACAAATTAGAAGAGGTTTATCATGGTGAGGAAAAAGTGCATTTAGTTCACCGATATTATCTAGATGATGCCGATTTGTACACTTCCAAGAAATCTCAAAAGGCAACATTACCTTGATAAAGTCTAGTCTAGTCCTAAGTCTCACATGTAAGTAGACACAGAGATTATCAGAATTTCCAGGTTTGTTTTTTGAGACGGAGTCTCGCTCTGTTGCCCAGGATGGAATGCAGTGGCACAATCTTGGCTCACTGCAACCTCCACCTCCTGTGCAAGGGGAAGCCCTTCTTCCAAACTCCAAGAAACATGGAAACTCAAACTAATATTCAGAAAACAAAATGGTGACTATGAAATTAAAACGAAAATTGGTGTATTCACATGAGAATTTTTTTCTTCCAAGCTGTTATGCAAATTGATGAGCTAGACTCTTCCCACCACAGAAAATGCTAATCAAAGGATGAGATAGCTCGATGTTCACAAGCTAATGTATTTAATACCATAGGCTGAACTCTTTAAAGAGCCAGTAACACCCTTTCCCTTCACCTTTCCAGTTAAGAAGTCAATACAGAGGTTATGTAGGGTTCGAATTTTCACTTATTGCTGGATTGTGGACTTCAACATGGACTTGCAGCCATATTCAGTCTTCCCGTGCCTTCCCTTCAAGTCTAGCCCTTGAGCTGCCCTCATGGAGAGTTGGGTCTACAAAGCAAGATATCACCAAGCCAGCTGAAAGTGGACGTATTAGTCCGTTTTCATGCTGCTGATAAAGGCATACCCAGGACTGGGCAATTTACAAAGGAAAGAGGTTTAATGGAAAACTCACAGTTCCTTGTGGCTGGGGAAGCCTCACAATCATGGCAGACGGCACGGAGGAGCAAGTCACATCTCACGTGGATGGCAGCAAGCAAAAAGAGAGAGCTCATGCAGGCAAACTCCCGTTTATTTAAACCATCAGATCTCGTGAGACTCATTCACTATCACGAGAACAGCACAGGAAAGACACGCCCCCATAATTCAATCACCGCCCACTGGGTTACAATTCAAGATGAGATTTAGGTGGGAACACAGAGCAAAAGCTTATCAGTGGTGTTGCAGCTGTTGAACAATCTGTTTGCCAAGGAGCTTCCTGAGAGCTTCAAAAGCAGTGGTAGTTAAGGCCTGCCTCTTGAAGATAGTCCTGATCCAGGTGTACCAACCACATAAAAAAGACAGTCCACAAAGGTCTCAGTGATTTATGCTCAGTCCCTTTCATTAATATTGCCAATCATGTAATCCATTCTTTACCCCTTGAAAAGAAGGGAGGGTAGAAGTGGGGGTAGTGTAGAAGAAATAGTGGGAGCTCTGTTCCCAGTTCTTCTGAAGGAGCTGTTCTTGTTTTGTGAGTCTAAGTGAAAACATTACGTCAAAAAGAATATAGCTTTTTCTTTGCTCTCTGCTCTGTGGAGCCAGGCAGGGTAGGAAAAGGAGATTCCAGGGAGCTAAGAATTTAAAGCCAGAGTGACTGTCAACATTCCCATAGTGAAACGCAGCTCCCCTTCACTAGTCCTAAATGGTGCCCTATAGAACCCTGGAAGACCTTCCCGGGGGCACGTCACAACCTCACTGACGCAAAATGTCCTCTTTGGGACTACCAGAAGACACCATGTAGTAACCTTTGTAGGTAGATGGCTGCTGAGTCACTATAATGAACATCTAAAATTTAACATCTTCTCCTTTTACTTTGTATTACCAATGATTTATTTTTTATTCTTTTTAAAAAGAATACAATATAACTTGGAAAAGAATTGGCTAGATACAGCTCAGTGGACTTAAAACAATGTGCTATGTTTGAACAACATCAAATTATTTTTGAAAACCTTGCCAAGTGACTTCAATAAGATGAGAACTATTAACATGAACTTTTAAAACAGCAAATTTCAAACATTTTTTAGATGTTTTCTGCACTGGATGTTGTAGAGTACTATTTAGATCCTCCCTGAAGACCAAGGCATTCTTTTCCTCAGGTGCTAAGAATCTTGCCTACTGATGACTCACAGCTGAGTCCACCTACAGGCATTTCCCTTCACTGAAAAAAGTTGTTTCCCCCAATCCTGCACAAACTATGTCCCATCCTGGAAGGCAGCCAATATCCAATGACTGATCATTGTGGAATTAACACGTCCTAACTCTCTTGCCTTAATTTGGAAAACTCTTTAAGAATCAGCTCAGCACCAGGATTTCCTGTAGGATCAATTGTTGCCATAGCATTAAAATTCAACTTCTATTTTTTGCCCATCCTCATTGCTCTTGACTGCAGTAAATCATAGTTGTAGACTAAAGAACAGGTCCAATTCTTCTTGCCTTTTCTCTTTTTTTTTTTTTTTTTTTTTTTGAGACAGAGTCTTGCTCTGTTGCCCAGGCTGGAGTGTAGTGGTGCAATCCCGGCTCACTGCAACCTCTGCCTCCCGGGTTCAAGTGATTTTTTCTCCTGCTTCAGCCTCCGGAGTAGCTGGGATTACAGGCATCTGCCACCATGCCCAGCTAATTTTTGTATTTTATTAGAGATGGGGTTTTGCCATGTTGGCCAGGCTGATCTCAAACTCCTGTTTGCCCGGGAGCTGGCATAATTTCAAGTCATCTGTGAGACATTCAAGGGGAATCTTAAGTAAATAATCTATTACTTCCTAGGACTAGGCAAGTTTGGAACAACCCTAAAACCAATAGCACTCTTCCATCTAAAGAGGAAGTTCAGGTCCTGTAACCCTTCAACACTTACTGTCAAGGCTAAGATACAGTTGGTTCTCAGTACTAGTGTAAAGGGTTTTGGAGATAAATGTTCTTGCTTCTGTGTAGACTGTCTATATTTGAGAGATTCTCTCATGTCCCTCCCTTTAGGATTGCTTGGTGCTTTTTTCCATTCTGTCTTCTCTCACGTATATGGGGCAGAAGGATGAGCAAGAGCTCTCTACAACTTGTCAGGGCAAACACTGCCACTTTTAAAAAGCCAAACAAGGATGAGAATGAGATGCAGAGAAAAGAGGACATGGAGGGAATGCCTTACGCCAATTACTCTAGGTTTTATGGTATAGTATCCGCAAGAATAATATTAAGAAGACACGGTGAGGGTAAATTACTCTTCAAGACATTGTCAAGGAAATGAAGGCAGGAGGTGAGACAAGAAACAAGGTGTAGATGTTTTAAGTATAAAGGGCTTCTGAGCTGCTTTATTCCTAAAGATTACTCAAATTAGTTATTTTGCTGAAGGGCAGGCATCAGTAAGAAAAGACAGTTGCAAGGTGAGAAATCAGGAGAGAGTAACTGATAAACAACTTCCTTAAAAAGCCTACATGGAAATAGACCAAAAGCACAGGGAAAGATATCAACTTTAAAGTGGAAGAATATTTCATCCTCTGAGACAGGCAATAAAAAGAGGGAATGTAAAGAGGTAGAAAAATTAGGGGGCTAAGAAAATTGTGTATATTGAGAAATATACACAAATTTCTCAATAAAATCAGAATTGAATTTATCTGCTGAATGTGAGATAGGCCAAGGGAATGGTGGGGACATAAGAAATGTGGAAAAGCTGAGGTGCATTTGCCCTAAAGGAGATAATAGGGGTTAACCAAGGGACCAAATAAACAATTTACTAAACAATAGCAAGGATCTAGATAAGGTTAAAGAGCTTAAATTTGTGATGTATTCACTCAACATAATTCTGCGATCAAGGGCTGACTCCTTAAAAAAAATAAATTGAGATGGTGGTTGGGTGCCTAGATTTGGAGAGTGACCAGAAAGACAGCAAAAGGTTGGGGGATGGTGGGGCAGTTGGGAAGGTAGAGTACTAATGGGTGAGAGCGAATGCACAGTTGTATTAGATGACCAATGAAACCATGCTGAGTGAGATAGAATAGGAATAGAAGGGAAACAACGGCAAGAGCCAAGGAGCTGGATGTCATACTGAAGGTTACAGCAAGAGCCACAAGTAACTGGGAGAAGCAGTAGGCTGGGAAGCTTAAATCAGATGAGGACAATTAACTGAGAGCACTTTAGACAGGTTCCATTGCCAGACTGCAAGAGCTAGTTCCACCTTACTAAGTAAGGAGATGAAGTAAATAGAATTGTTGTGAGAGTCCGTATGTGAACACATATAAAGTAGTTAGGTCAGGGTCTGATATGTACTGTTCACTCAATAAATGTTAAGCTATCATTATATTCCAGAGTTTACCATTGTAGAAGTTCCATAATCAAAACAGGTGAAGCATTACTCAAACTGATAAGGCATAACTTCCAATGATGTATCATTTTGCTAATGGAGAGGTGTCATTGAGAATAGATGGCTTCACGCCATCAGGAAGCTGAGGTTTAGTGAAGGCAAAAGCCACTGTATGCATATAGAAACAATTTACATTCTATCTTCTGGAGCTCTACCCTCAGTGACTAGGAATGACAGGAAGAGGATATGTTGATATTTATAAATGGAGGCATATTTAGGTGGGAAAAAATTGTTTTTGCTTTTCAGATTGTTTTTGCATTTGGGTGCCTCAAAATCACAGTATTAACTATATCCACCTGACAAATGACACATGCAATTAGTTCCACCATGAAAACTTCCACATTTCTGAGGTGTCCTGCATCAATGCCAGAATGATCTCTTCTATGCACTGTTCTACCAGGTTTTAGGAGTGCTGCTTAAGTCCATTTACAAAACCTTGAAGCTCTCTTGTTTAAACTGAGATATGAGTCTGATGTGCTTCTTTATAACATGTTATGAGAATTCAATTTCAGTAATAGATTAAGACATATCTTGGACATATTTCACAAAATTAAAATGAAATTGATATACCAATTGAACTCATCAACTCAATATAACCATCATCTACACCTAAGGGCACACTAAATATCATTTCATGAGCAGGATGAAAAGAGAATTATTTCCAATCAGAATCTCACACAGTTTTAATGTGATTATATCCAGTTGACTAATTGTGTCATTTCCCTTTATGTTCATTCATTTAACAAATATTGATCTACTGTCTGTTATGTGTAAGGTACATTCTAGTGGCTGCGTGAAATAAGTGATACAAGTTGGGATAAAACTCCTACCTGGGAACTTGCCATCTGTGGGACAGACAGAAAAGTACATATATTAAAAACTAGAATAAAGGGCAGAATGTATACATGGAAGTACTAAAGAAGTAGCAATTGATCCTGACTGGGAAAATTTCATAGAGATAACATAAACAAGACAAACATTCATGAGGTAGAGATACTCCAGGCTAATGACTAACATGAGAATAGAAGGACTGTGTAGAGCAGTGACATGGGGAATATTTGAGTCTTTAGGTGGCTTTGCAAATACCTAGCCTGTTCAACAACCTCTGTGTTGACAAGCACTGTGTCAAATTCACATTTTTTCCTGAATTTTCTTTATTTTTATTTTTTAATTTTTATTTTTATTTTAAGTTGTGGGCTACATGTGCAGGATGTGCAGGTTTGTTACATAGGTAAACATGTGCCATGGTGGTTTGCTGCACCTATCAACCCATCACCTAGGTATTAAGCCTAGCATGCATTAGCTATTTTCCCTAGTGCTCTCCCTCCCAACCTCACCCCCCAACAGGCCCTGGTGCGTGTTGTTCCCCTCCCTGTGTCCATGTGTTCTCATTGTTCAGCTCCAACTTATAAGTGAGAACGTGCAGTGTTTAGTTTTCTGTTCCTGCATTAATTTGCTGAGGATGATGGCTTCCAGCTCCATCCATGTCCCTGCAAAGGACGTGATCTCATTCCCTTTTTTGGCTGCATAGTATTCCGTAGAAATTCACACACTTTAAGACATTTCTTAAAAAGTAGCCCCACTCCTGTCCCAATCTTTCTTAGATGCTACTTTATAGATAGTAACTGGCACCTTTTCTTTATAAATTTGATTTGGACTTTGATATGATATTTCATACATTCAAACATTAGAATGGCCTCTCTTTCATTTTAATAATCATCCTTGAAATTTAAAAAAGAATTTCCATGATTATGTTCACATATAACATATACATGTTATTTATTTACATATCAATAATATTTAACGTAGCGTATCAAAGATTTACTTGTTTTTCATAATTTGTATTTCGGAAAGTTTAGTTGCCAAATTAAAAAAGCTAATGTGTAATTACATTGTAATTTCAAAGTGTAATGTCTCCTTAATAAAAAAAAAAGTTTTTTAAGATCCCAGAAGATTCTAGAATGAACTGACTTCTTGCTCCCTGTAAATCATTATTCTGGAGTGATTCTAAGTTTATTCTCCTTCTACCACCACCTCATTTTAATTCAGTCATAAGTTAATTTAGTCTATACCAGCGTAGGACTTGTCAAGTGCTAGCTGATGGTATACATTATCTTGCTGTACAAAAGCAACATTAAAAAGTACTTACTCTACTATAGGTAACATTTCTTCTCCCTTTTCATAGACTCTACTTTGCAATTCCATGACCTCTTACAGATAGGGCTTATGTTGACAGCACAAATTCATTCTTCTGTGATCATATGACCCCAGAGTCTTATGCAGACAAATGTTATATCATTCCCAGAAGATACCCACCAGAGCTAGATTTCTTTGCATTGCAAAAGCTAATCTTCTACTGTCATTATCTGGTAGTGTTACTGCAGATTTCAACCTGATGTCAGCCTTTGATGTTACCTGTAAAATCTTCACTACTTCAACAGCATAATTGCTTCTTGCTTAAATTCTGGCATAACAAGTGATAACTTGATTCTCACTGCAATTCCCACTGCTGGCTCTATTTGGTTTATATAAAAAACTATTAAGCTTTATTTTTTTAACTTAAAAATCAGAATTCAAGTATACAGCCTTATTTAATCCAAGGACAAAACAATGTTAACAAAAGAACTAGAGAAACATTTCCTAATTTTAATGAAATTGGAATTCCAAAGTGCCCTGAGCAAATAATGAAGCTCTTGTAGAAAATGATTAGAAAGATTATTTTAAATGTTTTTTGCTAATAAAACTTTTGAGTGACAAATAGAAAGATAACTTACTACATTTTCTCACAGTTATGTCAGGAAAATGAATAGGTAGCTGAATGTCTTTCCCAGCTGAAAATGAGCATGAAAATTATACCTGAATGGCATCACGAGTGCAGGGCCCCAGGAAGAGAACCTAAAGAATGCTGCTGCATTTTGGGACTGAGAAGTTTTAGGTCAGTCCCTGTTTTCTTCTGCACAAAGTAATGGTGAGAATAGCCTTCCTCTATCTGATTCCCTAATAAATAAAAAGTTTATATAATGGATTTGCAAATATTTTTTAGCCCATACTAGTAAAAATACCACACACTCTTCACACTACAAAAAAGTTATCACCAAATAGAATGGGAAGATTGGCATTGACTTGCCTGCCTCCCCATTCTAGATTTTATTAAAATTGTAAATATCTCCATCTGTTATCAAAACAAAGGAAGGAAAGGAAGTGTTACCTGTAAAATCTTCACGATTTCAACAGCATAATCACTTCTTTCTTAAATTCTGGAAGGAAGGAGAAAAAAAGGAAGTGTAATTCTGAAACGTTTATGGTAATAGAGAAGGGCACTAAATTCCTGAAGGACATTTAATGTTTACTAGTAGTCCCCGGATGAGGAACTTAGAGAGTCTTTGTCTTAATAAAGCCAGAAAATAATTTTAATCTACTTATGTGAAAATGAAAATTAATTGTAGACACTGCTAGAGAATATGCTTAGTTACTTTTTAAAGACTCAGTAGGACTCC
This sequence comes from Homo sapiens, assembly GCF_000001405.40. Classification (NCBI taxonomy): domain Eukaryota; kingdom Metazoa; phylum Chordata; class Mammalia; order Primates; family Hominidae; genus Homo; species Homo sapiens. The sequence goes on from NC_000006.12 coordinate 78,604,812, forward strand.
TTGTGCCCTTTCCTGTAAATAGTGTACACTCATAGGCACCAAAGATAACATGATTGATCACAATAAGAAAAAGAAAACTCACTTAACCTAAAGCCCCCGTGGCTTCCACTGACAAATCCTCTACAGAAAAATTAAAAAATAACAAAATGAATGTTTGTTTGATTTTTTTTCCTTTTGACTTGAAGGCAGAGGTAACCAGGTAGAATATTTAAATGAACAGACACTTGAAAGATGAAGAAAATTAAAAATAATTTTAATAATAATCTACACTTAAATAGTTCCTTAAATTAAGAATTACTAGAATATACCTATTTAGTTGACTTTAATTAAGACATTTTTATTCCACTTAGACATAACCTCTAGATATCACTGCATGCACCTATTTCACTGATGTGGTAATATCCAAAACATACCAAGTAAGCATATAGATAAAGAGATAATAGATAAATAGGTAATTAATCATTTCATTTCTCACAACAACCATTTAACAAACTGTCTTCTAACTAAACCAGCATGGCAAAAAAATAAAATCCCAGAGATGCATACAATCAGCCTAAAATACAGTAAGCTTTTTTTTTCCTTCCCATGCAATAATACTTAATTTACTCTCTGCCATTTGTTATACTTTGGATCCCACAGGAATAAAAACAACTCTTGGAAATAGACCATGCAGTCAGCAAGTACAGCACAGTGAACAGAACACTTAAGATTATGATTCTAAGAGATGGGTCAGCAATATTCTCCCCTTTTGGCTTTTACTATCTCCTAACATTCTTATGATATCCTTTTTTATAAAGTTCATGTATCCAGATATTCATCTGGACTCAAAATCTCAAACATGAATGGAAAACAAAACCATCACCGTCTTTTGAATCAAACAAGTTTCTATAAATGCTGCAGATTATAACAGCAGAAATCATTTCTTCTACAAGAATTAACATACATTAGATCACACAAGATAGATGATTATACCCAAAGATTTCAGAAGTTATCCACTGTTTCTCAGTTTCTGCTGTAAGTGTGACATCTTCATCACAGACACTCACACATCATTCTCTCTCCCATCCTGTATTAGCAAATCCCATTGCCATCCTCTGGAAGACTGAGGATCCCAACATCATTAGAATAGTTACTATGTTCTTTCTCTCACAGAGTTCTGTCTTCATTCCATTTTTATCTTTTCTGCAAAGTTCATGCTCCCATTATTTCTTATTGAAACTATAGTGACAACTTTGCAGTTAGTTTTATGTCTGATCCCTCCCCTTCTGACTCATCCTGTGCATTGCTGCCAACAGTCGTGTTATTAAAACAATAACTTGCGAATTTCAAGCTCAAAATTCTTACATGATTTCTCATTCAATACAAAATAAAATACAATCTCATCAACCCAGAATTCAAAGTCCTCTACCATATGAAATAGTCTTCTTAACAACTATTTGCTGCTGGACACACACAAACATCCACACACCATACTCCTCTTAATTCCTTCAGTCTACACTTTTAGAACTCTGTGTGGCTTTTGTTAAGCTATTGTTTAAGCTAAAAGCTCTTCTTCCAAGCCATCTCTTCCTTAACAGTTCAAATACCACTTTTTCTTACATCCATTAGTTGATTTTTTTCTTGAATTTTTATTGTACTTTAATTCTTCCTTTATTTTGATGCTGAACACTGCTTTTTCTATAACATACGTGAGTGCATACATATGTATTATATATGCATTTTTTAGCTCCTTAAAAGTTAAGAACTATGTCTTAGTAATCTTGACATAGAAGATTCTAAAAATAGTATTTATTAATTTCTATTGCAAGTTGGTAATAAGGCAATGATATTTTCCATAAAGAAAAATGAGAGTAGAACTTTATTTTAGTTTGTTGATATTTTGACTAATTGACTTACAAAATGGGAGTTGGAGTATAGGGTTGGGAAGAGAGTAGATTAATGCAACTGTAGAAATACTTAGAAAACAGGGGCAAAAAGAGGAAAGCCTAATTACTTGAGCCCAGAAGTATTTTATGAAAAAAAAATTACTTTCACTTAAATATGACTGAATCCAGCTAGTCTTCCTTTTCAGGTAAGTTAGAAAAACGAATATTTCTGTATTAGTCAGGGTTCTCCAGAGAGAGAGAACCAAAAAAGGATGGATGGATGGATGGATGGATGGACATATGGATGGATGGATGGGTGATAGACGAGAGAGAATTTATTAGGGCAATTGGCTCACATGATCATGGAGGCTGAGAAGTCCCACAACCAGGCAGGCTGCAAGCTTGAGACCCACAAAAACTAGTAGCAAGTCTTAGACCAAGCCCGAAAGCCTCAGAACTAGAGAAGCTGATAGTGTAGCTCTCAGTCTAAGGCCAAAGGCCTGAAAAACTGGAAGCTGCTGACGTAAGTCCTGGAGTTGAAAGACTGGAGAGCCTGGAGTTCTGATGTTCAAGGACAGGAGAAGAAGGATGCCCCAGCTCCAGGAGAGAAAGAGAATTTGCCTTTCCTTGGCCATTTTGTTCTGTTAGGGCCCCCAGATGATTGATGGTCCCCATTTACATTTCCTGGATCTTCCCCACTCAGTCCAATGACTCACACACCAATCTCCTCTAGAAACACCCTCACAGACACATCCAGAAATAACACTTTACCAGCTCTTTAGGAATTCCTTAATCCAGTAAAGCTGATAGCTAAAATTAACCATCACAATGTCTATTCAGTTTAGTTTGCATCACAGTCTCTTGGCCACTTCTGTTTCTTCAATAATGTTGCTAGTGCAGGGCATGCTACAATTAAGGATAGACTGGAAATCTAAAACCTAAAGCTGAAGAGGAATAGTCACCAAACACATGAACCCTATTATACTTCTAGTCCTAAAAGTCAATTTGAAAGAGTATTATGTTTTCAAATTCCTAAAGTCATGTGTGTTTTGTTATTAATGGTTCTTTATAGATTAAATGAATCTTCACTTCTAGTATGATTGAATATTATTCATTCTTCAGTTCATTGCCAGAAAGCCAAGTGCAGTAAGTCTTTTCAAGTTTAACCCCTCTGATCAAGGCATAAAGTTTATGTGACTAAACTAAGAACATAATTTTCTAGAAACAGAAATTTAGAAACAGACAGATAATGACTTATTCATTAATTTTAGAATATTTTGTCTTTATATAAAACATATGTTTCTTGACTGTGATTAATAGGGACAATTTTATTCATTTCAAAAACGAAAATGATACAAGAAAAGCAAGTAAAAATCCAAGCATTATTAAATGACACAATGAAGCTTCGTAGCACATTCAAGTTTAATACAACTTTAGAATTTTATGAATCTAGGTTACTTGCTTGGGATCAGGGAGCAAATTCAATTTTATGTGTTACTATAACCCAGAATCTAAATGTTCTTGCTATCCTGTACAAATATAGGTTGCATATTTTGAAGAGTACACTTTCTGATTTTTTATTTACTTTTTTGTGGTGGATAAAGGCTGCAATTTAGCTCAAAATCACATGACTCAGTGATTCATGGAGTTGCAGTTAGGTGTATAGGCTCTTCACTATGCATAGGAAGCCAGCCGTTGTGCCACTGGGAGGTATTTTGTCACTTAACAACCTACTATAGAAGTAAACAAGAAAGCAAATTTTTCATGCCTTTTTTTTTTTTTTTGTATTTCAGTGAAACCTACAAACCATTATATTGTAAATAAATCCTTTGGCACATAACCAATATATTTCTTTTCTGTCTCTAACTCCAGTAACTTCTGTCTTTGTTGACAGAATAGCATGTCACCAGTGCCTTTTGGGAGTATACAATTTATCTGTATAACATTTTGGTACAGAGAATTGTCTATTGGTCTTTCTTCCAATTGGTTTAGAGCAAAATAAGAAGTGTATACAATGTGAGTTCAAAGACCTGTCATTATAAAGGGAATAGAAATGAACACAAAGCCTATAAATTTTTATAATAAGAGTTTGAACTGATCTCAAAGTAAAGAAACAGAATTAGAGTTATAAACATTTAGAAAGAAAAGAAAAAGCAACAGTAAACTAATCACATTTATAACCGTTGCTCTCTCCACTTTCAATTTTGCAAGGAAACTGTTGAAGAGAGTGCTAGATTCTGTGAAATGGAAAAATACCTCCCTCAAAGGGCTGTTGAGAGGATTCAGTGAGATACATTTCTAAGGCACATATCCTGACACAAGAAAAGCATGTGATAAATAGCAGCTGAGGGAAGTTGTAGTAATTGTAATCAAAAGGCTGGGTTCTCAGTATCTTTTTGATCGCCTAATAGCAGCCTCTAGCATGTCTTTAACCTGTCTAACCTTCAGGCTCCTCAAAGGTAGAAGCAAAATATAATCCCTACTATGTAGACTTTCCCCACATTGTTATGAAATCAAATAAGAGAAGTAGATAGAAATATCTTTAAAAGTATAATTAGTTGTACAAATATAAGATATTATTATTTATATCTGGTAATTCAACATTAGACCCAGTACAGAAATCTCTTCTAAGTATCTCTGGAATATAATCATTCAGATCACACTTGCATAGCAAGAATGATTAGTAGTAGCTCTCTACTTGTAGTTTCAGCCAGCACAAGGCAAAAATGCTCTAATGCTTGTAGACATTAAAGCATTTGTAATTTAGTTTTCCCTCTTCCTGCTGATATTTCCCTATTGTCAGTGGCCCAGAATCTATCTTAGTGGGTGGTCAATGGTAGAGTTAGAAAACAAGGGCATGGGATGCATCCCAAGTCTTTCATCCTTTTAATATTCATAGACAACCAAGAGCCAACTACATACATCAATTCAAGATTAAAAACATGAAAGTTGAAAGGAAAAGAAATCTATAAGCAATTACCACCTTCCAAGTCTTATGTTGATATTACAGAGTATCTTGGGAGTTGGTTTGATTAAGGAAATACGTGGTGCTCCATTAAAATTTCTTACTTATTTTTATTACACTCTCACTTGCCCTAATGAAAATAATTTTCTTTCTGTTTCAGGCCTGTCCATCTTTTGTTAAAGTTAAATACGCCATTAGTAATATAAAATCAAATAACCAGATAGATGATAAAGCCATAAAGAGACAGACAGAGAGATAACAGTTTCAAATGCTTTTAGAGTCTACTAACATTGGTGAATTTCTAAGATTTAGTTAATACATCAGGAAACTGAGAAATTAGACCACCTCTTCATTTTCTTTGAAACCTAGTTGGCATATTGATCTGTGTTGGGTTGCAGGTTTAAAAAGGAGCCATACGCCAATTAGGACTGTGACAGTGGAATAACTCTTCCTGTATACCCCATTATGGAGCTGTTTATGCATGAAAGTAAGTGCTGCTCTTCACCTTAAACATAAATAATTACATTCTAACTGTAAGGTAAGCAAGAAGTGCATAATAGTATATTGCTGCTATGCTATTAAACAGTCACTTAAATGTTGTACTATTTGACAGCTATATGGCATAATTACATGCTAGATGAGAACATTCACTTTACAAAGTGCCTGTATTTTTTAAAAATTGAGTATTTTTTGAAAAATCAAGCATTTTAAAATAATGTCTTACTGAGCTGAACTGAACACTGCAACTAGCAATGAAACCAAGTCATCACTGATCAGCGGCTAAAGATGATGTGACTGTGAATTAAAATCTCCACAAAACTAAAGTTGGATCAGCATCCACATCGATCCAAAATTTTCCTAGCATCAAGCTGGATGTGTGGTAGATAATCAGGAAAGACTCTAAAACTTTTTTAGACATAAAGAGTTCAGTGCTAAATTCTCAGTATTAAATATATCTGCCTTATTATTCACACTTAAGCTAGATATAAATGGAATCTACAATTGAACTAAAAGTGAAACAAATTAGGAAGTTTAATTGATGTGGAAGTTAGAAAGAGTTGGTCAGAGTTTTGAGATAAATCTTTTTAGTTATCATTATCAAGTAAAGGTGACACATATATTGGTCTGAGGAAACCCTAGTATGTCCTCCAGCAAAGCTTATCCCTACAAATCACTTTGTTTAGAAAATGGCATTTGCTAGAATTGAAGTGTGGTTGTTGAATAAAACATTTTAGAATTCAGAAAATTAGAACCAACCTATTTTCTTTTCAGTTGACCTGTTTAATGAGGAGTAGTAGCCTCAGATTAAAATACAAAAATGTAATTTTAAGCATAAAATGGTGTGTATTTTTAATTATTTCAGAAGGAAATAAATAAAAATAAAAGTCCAATAGTCAAATTCACTAAAATGATACTACTTTTCCATTTGAATAAATTAGCTATGTTCAAATCATTTATTTGTTTCAAAATCTCCTGAAGAGAAACAAAGTTGGGTCTAACAATCAGGACGCTACTCTCTGTTTTTCAAATCTGAAATGTATCCATTGTTCCCATCTGCAGCTGAGGACCTGGGCAGCACACTGCCACATATATTAGATGTAAATGCATGACAGATCCTCTATACAGATGAAGCCTGAGAGTCCCTAAGTGGCCTGAGGAATCACTCAGCAGAGTACAGGAGATCATATTACTCAAGAAAGGTGACTGCAGGGTCTCGGTTATCATTACAGCATTTTCCTACTCCAGCCCTCAGTCACAGCTCAATGTCGTACCTGACCCTGCTAATGACGGGGCTCATTTTCCCGCATTGGAAAACTTGAGTAGTAGAACGAGGAAGCAGAGGTTTAGAAATATATGAGCAATCTTTCTCTTCACCTTGGACTCTACTTAAATTAATAAGGTAATGTTTTACTTTCAGTGATAATAATTAATAAAGAAGCCTTTATCTCTAGGAGAAACATGAGAAAGCCGCCTTTAGATTGTGAGACTCATATTTCTAATGCTAATTTGTCCTTGGACAGCTATGTGGCATGGTTGGCTACATATTAGTTGGAAGAAGTAGAATACTGAAATCATGAAAATGAAGGCATGAAGTGAAGTGTGTGTGTCTCTGTGTGTCTGTGTATATGTGTGTGTGCTAAAAAAGAAAAAAGATAAATCGTTTATTTTTTAAAAAAAAACAGGTAATCAGTAAAATTAAGTATGTATGTCATTTAATGGAATTCACACCTTATAGGGTAGGGAATAGCATATATGTAATAGAAGAGGTACATAATACACTGGAAAACTAAATTCAAAGGCAAGCGAGTGACAGAACTGAGATTAGAACTTGAATCTTGTGAGTGTAAACAAGTTTCCCTTATACTAAACTAGGACCCCTTCAGAAAATATTATTTCGAGTTAATAGGACAGTAATCTCAGGTTGTAACGCCCCTTTATTTAAATAAAGCAAAGCCCTCTAGTGGCTATCTTTAAAACAGCATTCAATTAAATTTACCAGGTCATCATGACTCTAAAGATGGGTGCTAAAACATCACCTTACTATGTGTAAACAATGGGACAATGGCTACTGAATGACAAAAATCTAATATACCACTGGAATTAAATAAATAGTGTCATATAGAAGGAATTACATTGGTGTAGAGGCCTAGGTTCTTGCCCCAATCTACAGTTGCCATCTAACTACATTGTACACATTACCATCATGAAACTCGATAAATAACTACTCAGATTGATAATAAGTAAAAGCCATTAGACTTTCCTTCAAAAATACATTGAGTACTCTTTTTCACACTCTTCAATCTTCAATGTTCTCACCAGTTGCTCTGTGTCTTGCAGATGAATCTTTGTTTGTTTTAGTTCTTTTTAGTTCTTTTCTTCTTCCTAGGATGTTTGTCCATATTAACAATTCCTTCCTTTTATAACAGCTCCCTAAAGAAACTCTTTGGTCTTTTCTCCCATTGCACCCTCTTCACATTGGAATCAAATTGCCTGGTTTTCCATCTGCATAAAATTATCTCTGAAATCTGAATTCTACATATCACCCAGGACCCGTTCCTATGCTATATTTTTCATGAGATTTTTACTGGTCCTCCCAGCTAGTGCTTCCTCCACTCATGGAACTTCCATAGCATTCAATCCATGCCTCTTTTAAGATAATTACAATTTTCTGTGAATATGCACTCATCCCCAAAAGAATATTGCACACAACACTACCACTACTACCACCACCACCACCACTAATTGTTTCTTAGTGTCCCAGTAACAAATCTAGTCATCTACCATGCAACATCTCCTTGCTGGCCCTAATATATAATGTTCATCTTTGGTGCCACCACTGCTACTGCGCTTCCCACTAGCTAACATCTGAATCCTCTTTGGAACCCTTGAGGTACCTGCTGCCTGATGTTCCATGTCCAACTAAAAGAGAGTATTTTAAGGCTCTTTTGTATTACACTCAGATATAGGGCCACCAAGTTAGTTATCAGGCCCTAATACTTTACCTAGAGGTATCGCATGTGGCATCTACACAAGGCTTGTCCATGGACATGAGCACAAAGTAGACTGAGCCAGAAACTAATCTATGTCACATTGAAATGCTCTCCTCCTGCCAAACATTTTATTACCAGGTAAGTAATTTACGCTAGGTTCAACCTTGTTACTAGGTTAGTCTGTCTTCTTCATAAAATGAGCTCACTTCCAAAAAGCCACAGTGTAGACACAGATTAGGCCTAAACTGGATTTTGCTCACCCACCCCCTAATTCCCAGTTCCACCTACCCTAATTCCCAATTAAAGTGTGATCAATTTCAGGCTTTATATCTATTTCATTATTATTTCTCCAATCAACCTTAACATGGTGCTTCACACATAGTAGGAACTAAATAAAAACCTGAATAATTAATGATAGAATGCAACACCAATTTCCATTTTTATCTTTTTCTCATGAATTCCATATACCCCTTCCAAGTTGGAATAGCTGTTTATAATAATAAGTTTCTGTGGGTAGATGATATGTAGAGAATGCAAATAAACCATTAAGCTAATGATCTTTCCCCAAAATTTTAGCACAGAATATGTCACTACTGTTATATCAGAAATATCATGTTCTATCACTAGTTTCCATTAAAATCAGAGTATATTTAAAAGGAAATGGAGAACCTAGCATTTTTACTTTCCAAACCTTTGCTCTCTTTTAAATAAATAGAAAGTTTAAATTTATGTAAATAAATGCATATAAGATATTTGAATGGAGGCAGATCTTTATTTCCTACACTTTGCAGCCTATAATTTTAGGCTCTGTCGAACAGAAATAGAGTAGAAAATAATATATTTTCAAAAAGTTTTGCTTTGAGGCAAGATTTTCATGGGTCTGCAGAGGGGTAACATTCTCCTGGTAGATGTTTTATATTAAGTATTATTCACTAGTATCAAAACAAAGTACTCACAAAGTCCAAGCTTGGGGAACAAATACAAGACATAATGAGGAAATAAAGAAATAAATGTTTATGAGCTAAAGCTATTGGGTTCTTTTATGTATTAAACAAAATTTATAAAGTAAAAAATCTGGTGTCTTCTGTGCAACAGACCAACTTAAAAGAAATTTTATCGGTCTTACAGTTGTTCTCTTCATCGCAAATGTAAAACACAATTAAAGACAATCAAAATAGTCTTATGGTTCAAACACCACGTTTTCAATCATAAGTAGGAGCTGAACAATGAGAACACATGGACACAGGAGGGGGAACAACATGCACCGGGGCCTGTCAGTGGGGCAGGGGGAGGGAGAACATCATGATAAATAGCTAATGCATGTAGGGCTTAATACCTAGGTGATGAGTTGATAGGTGCAGCAAACCACCATGGCACACGTTTACCTGTGTAACAAACCTGCACATCCTGCACATGCATCCTGGAACTTAAAATGAATTTTTTTAAAAAAAATAGACTTCTGGTTCTCTTTATTATGATTAATGGATACATACCACGCATTTCATTACTCCCATTAAATGTTTTAAACACCCAATAACTGATTATTATTATTATAGCAAATAATACCTCTAGTTGGCAGTCATCATTATACTAATATATTTTCCTATTCATTAAAATTATCAGTAAATCAAGTTTTTTTGTAGATATAGTAGAGACGGCTAGATATTTTCCGATATCCTCTCATTTTTTTTCTGTCATTTTCTAACTTTATTTCAATATATTTCTATCTCTTTGGAGCTAGGTGGCTATATTTTATTCTATTTCTGTATGCTAAATTTGTAGCAGTTCAAAAATAATATTTTTCCAAGCCTTCAGGCTTTTTCTTCCTATTTGTATAAAATATTACTAATATCTTGACTTCTTGGAGCTTTCAGCCCAAGTTGCCAAACTATGCTGGGTATGGGAGAATTTGAGCCAGATAATTTCAAAATAAGTTTTAGATTTTGGTTTGCATAATGTTTCTTGGTTCTTTACTTTGTGTTTCACTTTCTTTCCTTGTATCAATTTTTAACTTTAATGTTTCCGTGAATAGGACAGCCTCAGTGTAGGAGGGGAACCCAAAGAATGTGCCCCATGGGATGAAACCTTATAAGAGAGTAGGGCAGGAGGAAAGTTTAAAAAGCAGTGATGAAAATGCCAGGCTGTCATAATGGTAAAAAAGCCTTCTGGAGTGTCCAGAGCCTAAAACATGGGGAAAACATGGCAAATATCATATTTACCAAGAAGAAAGTGAAGATAAGGGCAGTTCCAGAGTTACAGACAGAAAGTTGGAGATCATGTTACAGATGAAAAGCTGAAGCCTAGAAAATTAATCATCTGACCTCACATTGTGGAGCTATTTAGGGTGCTCTCACCATTTCACAGTGCTACCTCAGGCAAGTGTGAAATGGGGAAGCCACTGAAACCCAGGTTTAGAAAGCTGCCTTCAATGCATATGTTACAAGGGGCAAGGTGGGAAGCACAGAGGTGCCAAGGCAAGAGAGCTGAAGGAAACCTTAGTCATTAGAGGGGAATCACTTGTCTCTTTTCCTTCTAATTCAATAAAGGAAAAGTCAAGCGTTCCACTCCCACCCATGAGAAGGTGGCAGCATGCTGGAATGAATAGCTTTAAACTCTCAACACTCATAACAGTCATAAAAGGAAGAGGGAAAAGATGATTCATCAGCATTGAGGACATAGATAGAATCTCCTTTTCACAAGAAGGTGGTATTACTGCCTGGCAGGACAATTCAGACTACCTCTCATTCTCTGTTCTTGTCTTCATCCTGGTGGCCACAAACACCTTAGAGTCTGGTCTACGACCCACTTCTCCCCATAGGCAGATCCCAAGATAAGGAGTAGATGGTTTAGTCTGAAGAGGGACCATAAATACTGTCAGTGAGAAGAAACAGGCAAGCAATGAGAAAAATAGATTCTGTGCAGAAAATAATTAAAGCCACAAAATTTAGAAACATAGTATTGTGTTTTGTAGTTCCCTTTTAGCAATGCATGTCCTCATTTTGAAGCAGAAAGAGACCTGAAAATCAGTCATGAGAAAGAGATTCAGAGATTCAAATTTGGGACATCAAATAAGATGAATTTGCAGTGAACAATGACAATGAAGCAAAGGCTATAGTTATTTGAGACCAAAATAGACAAATAACATATCACAAGCCCACAAAATAATATTATAATACAAATAATATTTTGTATATTCCTAGAATATTACATTTAATTTCAAGAATCTCAGTGTAACAAATATGTAGATTGAATAAAAAGATCCACAGAAGAGATGAAAAGTATTTAGAGAAACAGAAGTATTGATGTATTCCTACAGAATTACAGATTAAAAACACTAAATGCAGACCTCGACGAAATAATAATAACCCTGGGGCTGAATAACTGAATATAAATATTCAAAGGGTGTATATCCAAGAAAAAAAATGTAAGTGATTTAACTGGACATCAGGAGCACAAATAATTGGTAAATACGATTGACTTGCTCATTTTAGTTTGGACAAATTAATCTGATATATGTCTAGTTAAAACTGGAGACCTTCCTTTCTTCTAGCTTGGTCAGTGCTTAATCACCATAGACATACTACTATGTTCTTGGCTTCGATAAAACTGCTCAGCCTACACAAAATAATTCTCTCCACTAGGCTTTCTTTTCATCTTGCTTTACCAGAAATTTAAATCATTACAATGTGTGAAGAAGGCCTTGCCTAAGGCATTTTCTCTAAAAATGTATCTGATAAAGAAAGTGAATGTGTTATTTAGAAAGGAGAGAAGCATCCTGAGATCTCTTCATAATAGGTGCCCTAATTTGTTCATAGAGGTTTTTAGTTGCCTTCTTAGAAAGGAAAGCAACATAGTTCCGAAGGGAAAAGTTCTGTAGAAATTAATTTCACTGGAAATATGCCTATACTTAGCATTGATAAGCCCTTACCTAGCTGAACAACCTAATTTTGTAGAATTCTGAAGGGCATGCTCAGAAAATAGTTACTGGTTGAAGGACAGTACTCTTAGGGGGAGGAACTTTTCAGAATCCTCACATGTTATATTTTGTTACAAATTTGAAATTTGATTGATGAATCACTTTGTTATTTATGTATCTCAAAGCTAACTCAGTAATCTCCAAAGTGTATTATTTAAAATTCTTAATTCAGGGCTTAGCAATTTACAACCTGAGAGCCAAATCCAGATACTGTCTGTTTTGTAAATACAGTTCTATTAAAACACATCCATGCTCATTTGTTTATAGATGTCTGTGGCTACTTTTCCTATGCAAATCTGCTATGATGGAGTTAAATAGTTGCAACATAGACCATGTGGCCACCAACAATGGCTAAAATATTCACTATCTAGCCTCTTATAGAAGAGGGTTGCCAACTCTTTCTCTAGTTCTTTTGGGATGTATTAATAAGTATTACCTGATCAAAAAGCATGGGATACATGGTGAATCAGTGTCTCCACTAAAAATGCAAAAATTTGCTGGATGTGGTGGTGCATGCCTGTAATCCCAGCTACACGGGAGGCTGAAGCAGGAGAATCGCTTGAACCCGGGAGGCGGAGGTTGCAGTCAGCCGAGATCACACCACTGCACTCCAGCCTGGGCGACAGAGCGAGACTTGGTCTTTAAAAAAAAAAAAAAAAAAAAAAAAAAAAGTATGGGAGACATTTTACTTCGTTAAATAACATTAAAGTTTTCTGTAAAATTTCTGAGTCTTTAACATTTGAATCCTCAATATTCAATGGCTCACAAATTTATTCGAGACCACAAAATCCTTTTTTATGAACTATCTTGAAGTACCTGTTTTCTGTAGAATATGCTTAAAGGAACTACAATATTCACTCAATTAAAAGTAATATTAGCGGCCTGGCGTGGTGGCTAATGCCTGTAATCCCAGCACTTTGGGAGGCCCAGGCGGGCGGATCACGAGGTCAGGAGATCCAGACTATCCTGGCTAACACGGTGAAACCTCGTCTCTACTAAAAAATACAAAAAATTAGCCGGGCGTGGTGGCGGGCGCCTGTAGTCCCAGCTACTCGGGAGACTGAGGCAGGAGAATGGTGTGAACCCGGGAGGTGAAGCTTGCAGTGAGCTGAGGTCCTGCCACTGCACTCCAGCCTGGGCGACAAAGTGAGACTCCGTCTCAAAAAAAAAAAAAAGTAAATTAGCATGTTCTCACACATAAGTGGGAGCTGAACAATAAGACCACATGGACGCAGAGGGAAACATCACACACCGGGGCCTGTCGTGGGGCCGGGTGGAGGCAAGGGGAGGGAGAGCATTAAGACAAATACCTAATGCATGCAGGGCTGAAAACCTAGATGATGGATTGATAGCTGGAGGAAACCACCATGGCATGCGTATACCTAAGCAACAAACCTGCACGTTCTGCACATGTATCCCAGAACTTGAAGTAAAAAATAATAATAATGATAATAAAAGTAATATTAATAGATCATCCAATAGGTGACAAACATTAGAGATTTAAAGTTGTATCAGATACTAGCTTTGCCCTTGAAGAGCTCAGTGATTATTAGGGATTCAAACATTAAACAAATAATTGCAGTGCAGTTCAGGAAGTCCTAACCTAGGATTTACATGCTGATCAGTATTAGTTCAAAGGAAAGAAAAATCAACTTTCATTAGGGTAGGTGAAAGTTAGAAATCATAAGAAAGGTATAGAGAATATACATGAACCATGTATGCTTTCAAGAATGTACAAAAATTTTCCCTGCAGAAAATGTAGAGAATGTCATCCCAGACAAAAGAGACAAATATATCTATAAAAATAAAATTTTTGTTTTGGAAACTACAAGGAATTTGCTTTTGAGAAGTCGGCAAGATATTTGGTTCAAGAAGTAGGTAGCTCTCATATCCCTAACCTTGAGCATGTGTGAAGGACCTATGAGAAACAGAATTAATGACCAAGATAGAGACATAACATCACATACCATCTGTGTTAGTGCCATACAAAATGATGAAGCAAATCAGTAGTGCTTCCACTTCCCTCCAAAAGCAAGAGTTTGGAAACTAAAATGAAACATGATATTTAGAGATAACATGGAAAGTTTTCAGTAATAACGTAATTGTAGCTTCATCCCTGAGGCAGTGTTCAACTTCTCCTTCAGATAACTAATGGGGAAATTCGTTGAAAATATGGATGCCTGCCAGGTAGACAGGGGAATTTTGACTTTAAAAAAAGATTGCAGATTTCATGGAGGAGAGCTATTCCCAATCTGCCTGACAAGGAATAATACAAATTTCCACAGTGTTAGCCTGACTATATTTGGAAACTCAACCAATAAAAATGCCTGGCACAGAGATTGGCATGATCCATAGATAGATTTGGAAAAAAAAATCAATAAAATTTTAAAAGATGCTTTGGAAACCACAGATAAACTATAGGCCAACAGACCCCTGGTAAATAGTTGGCTATTAGTATACATAGCTTTTTATGTTTCACGATGGTGACAGGGCCTCTGGTAAAGGCTGCTGTGGAAAAGATCTAGAAACATTAACAAATATATTTTCTGTTCATAATTTTCAAATTCTGCCTGAATTTTCTGCCTTACCATTTTTCTCTTCAATTCCATTGCTTTTTCTCCAGATAACCTTTCTATCTGTCTCTGAGTCCTAAGGAATCCACTCCTTGGCTTTTCCAACTTTGTCTTGTTTACACAGCCTCTGACTCTGCAATAGTAACTACACTGAGATGATAAGGTGTCTCTGATATGAAACTTCTCAACCTTTTTCTCTTTTATCTAAAAATGTCTATAGATCCATACCAGTTTTCTCTTCTTTCCCTTCTTCTTTCTTAAAAGAAAAAAGTGTCCTCACTCCTTTCCAAGCTAGCCTTTTAACATGTTATTTTTGATCCCATTTGAGCTCCCAGAACTTGCCTCATAACTTTTCTCTTTTTTCATCACCCTCAATCTTGTCTTCATGTTGGCTTCTTTCTTCATCTGCAAATACACTAAAGGTTCTCCAATTCTAGGTAGATTTTTCCTCAAATCTGCCTTTCAACCTCTTCCCTTTTCATTCCTCTGAACACCCATAGGAGTAATTCTCCCTCGATTCCTCTATTCAACATTGCTCACTTTCACCTTACCCTTAGTCTAGGTTTTAATCTTATACGGCTTCCATAACACTCCTCTTTAAAATAACCAGTAATGTCATTGCCTAGTCTAAGAGTTTTGACTGTTTCCTTATCATGCTTTATCAGAAGCAGTTGACAATATTAAATGGAGCCTCCTTCATGAGATTTACCTCCTCTGTCTCCAGCGACTTTGAAACTCCTTCTGTTTCTTTTCCTACTCCTTCTCTCACCAAGTACATCATGTGTTTCTCAAAGTTCTGTTCTTCCCTCTTTCCTCTTCTCTGTATTTTTATAATCCTTTTGTAAGCCTTTATTCTCTCACACTGGGCTATCATAGAAACACCCAAATTGGACATGGTGCTGTTCTCTCATTTCTCCCAATCATTCTTTAAACTGGCCCAATGACTATTTCATTAAAACAAATGTCAGATCATCACAGCAAAAATAAGAACACTTAAAATCTGTATAGAGCTGTATCATTTTCCAAGCACTTTTATTATTAGTGAATGGATAATATTCACTGTCCTGTCAGTATTATTCTAATACATTTCTGAGCTAATATATTAAGGCACTGAGTAAGTAAATGACTTTCCCAGGGTCACACCATTTATGAAGGGCTGCAATCGTATTTGAACTTGTCACCTTTGACTTCCTAATATTAGGCAGCTGCTTTCATGTCACTCCCCTTTTACCGAAACCATCCCTGAATTTGGAGTATGTGGTTTCTTATCCAGTGCCCCCTACCTTTCCATCTAATCTCCCACTATATGTAGTAGAATATGTAAAATGCTAAAAGAACACATCACAAAGTGTAAGTGCTACATGGTACATAAAGTTTATTACTATTTCTATTTTCATCTTTCTCACTTTGCCATGTGCTTCCCCAATTCATATCTCTGCTCATACCTTTCCTTTCTTTTCTCTCTTTACTTTCCGAATCCATGTAAAAGATTCTAATGGATTATCTAAAGGCCCCCATATTAAATGCATTGCTCCTCTAACAGTTCTGCTATCACATGTGCTTCATTCTGTTTGTATATCTTCCCCAGGAGACTCAGGCCTATTGATGTAAGTGTTATCATCCCTATTTTATAAGTTCATACCTAGTCTTAGAAAGCCTACGCAGTTTGGCTTCTCAAAAGGTGAGTGAGTTAGACTCAGTCAAGTTCCCCAACTGGAAATAATCCAATTTTTACAAGGCAAAATGGAGAAGACTGTTACATAAATAGATGTAAATAATCTTTTATGTCAATCCCAGACACATCTTTATTTTCAACATGTGACAATGCAGTGATTGCTATTAATATGTACCCTTTTCTTGTTTAATATCTTCAATTAAAAAAATCATGGTTGTTCATATTTATTTAGGGCTCTTATTTTCACATCTTTTGTTCTTTGGAGCATCCTAATTTATACATCTAAGATAAACTCATTATGGTGAAGATTAAAAAAATTTAATAAGATTATGATTCTAAATATGCAACACTCTCATTGTTGACTTTTTGGACTATGTAAAAAGTCAAAAAAAATTCTCACCTATTCATACCTTCCAGAAGATAATAATTCTTAACAATTTAATGTATTAGCATCCTGTTTTTCATTTACACATAACAAAAATGAAATGATTGCAGATACAATTTTGTACATTATTTCATTCACCTAATATGATATATGTCCTCATGCCTTTAATTATTTCATAAACACCATTTTAATGCCCTCAGAGCACCTCATCATCGATGTATCAAATTTTATTTAATCATTTTTAAAATTTGGGTGTTTTATATTACTGTCCGTTGTTACTATCACAAATAATGTTGTGATGAATTTTTTGTACATAAATCTTTATTTGTTCTTCAGAGTATAGAATTATACAATCTTGAGTTCATACTTTGATTCTGCCTTTTTTTACAACTTTACTTCAAATCATAGGTCCTATAAGTCACTAGAGTATTGAATGGGAACCCTTAAGAATAAAAGCATTTGAGAACATAAAACAGCAGACTAGGTAATCCACTTTGTCAGTAGAAAGGCTGAAAAATTTTATAAATCAGATACCATGAGGGTGCCAAAAAAAGAGCACTAGTGACCCAGGTGGAAGTTCCTGTTTACAGTAGATCTACACATGTTCTGTACCTGTCATCATAAAATTGAATTTGTCTGGATGGTTTGTTGAGATGGGCAAAAAAGAGTTTCTGTAATGCTCTGTTTTTAAGTAGAAAGTTTCTTTGTTATAACCTATGGAATAAAACGATTGTCCTTAAAACTCTAAATCTTGCAAATCTGGTTTTACATGTTTGTTTTAAGAAATTGAATTTACCCACTATATGTTTGTTATAGCAAATTGTATTTATTAGGATATGTTTGCTGTAGAAAATTGAATTTACTTCCCTAAGTCATAATATACACATCAGCACAGTAATGATGAACTAACTCACTGTCTGTGCCATCACTAATTTTATTCGGTAACTTTAGCAAATGGCATGAATTCACTGAGAATCATAATCTTCTGCGTTTGCTTTCTTCTACATGACTTTTTGAGAAAAATTAATTAGAATAACAACAACTTCACTCTTAAAGAATACACAAAAATTTTTTTACATCAAGATCCACTTCTAAAAACTGGATTCAAAGGAAAATGTTACCAAATTTCAAGGATCTTTATACATTTTACAAAAGATATTTATATAAAAACTCATTTATTCAACAGATTCATATTAAGCATTGATTATTCCGAATGCTAAACAGGGATACAGTCCACGATGAAAAATAAATGGGTCCAAAGTCATAGTCCCAGTGATGATGAATGAGGGTACTCAAGGTACTATGCCTTTCCCAGTACTGAGTATCATTACTTTAAATCTTGATGGTTTTATTTGCCAAATAAAGCATACCATTTTATTAATTTGCTTAACTGTTACTAAAACTGATGTTAAAATTCTCCTTATATCTATTTCCCTTTTCATTTACTCATTTTTCTTCTGGGATTTTTCATTTAATTTAGTCATGGGTGTGCATTATATTAAGGCAAATATAATTTTGTATCAAATATATATATTATATATTTTACATGTAGAATATATATATTTATAATTATATATATAATATATAAATTATATATAAATATATATAAATTATATATAAAATATATAAATATAAATCTATAAAATATATATATAATGTATATTTATATATTTTACACGTAGAATAGTTTTTATTTCCATCTATTGTTTTTATGATACCTGATATCATTTTATGCTTATAAATTTTTTTGTCCCAAGATCAGGCCTACCTCTGGCCACCTGCCTGATACCACAGCATAGCACACGCTTGGAAGTAACATTTACATGTCAGACAGTGTGAACAGCACCCTCAGCAGATATGTAATGAATAGGTCCCTGAACATACCATCATGTCACACCTATTCTGGAGTGCCTTGTTCACAGGTCTCCCCTGCTCTCAAATTCCCAAACCCTTATGCAAGTTTTAATCATGCCCCAAGGTATGCATGCATATGCACATACCACACACACACACACACACACAGATACACACACAACCAAATAGGATGTGGCTAAGTATGAGATGCCAGAAAGTTTGACTCTTTGCAAGGTGACTCTACCAGGCTCCATTCATATGATGCTTCCTCCCATTTTTCTTTAGGTTTGGCAAATTTACAATAACTTTGATGAGACTTGGGAGTGAGAAGCCTAAGTCTGACTCAGCAGGTCTTTTCCTAAATCCTGAGTTCTCTTAAATAAGAGTCTAACTTCCAAAAGCCTTTATTCACACTCACCAGTACAAGTTCTGATTATCTTATCAATGCTTGAGCCTAAGGGAGATCAGTGATGGTCACTTGCCTTTACCCCCACTTCCATTTGCTTATACCTGAAGTCCTGTCCAGTCATATCCAGCAGAATTTTAAAAAATAAAAGATGGCCAATAAACTAGACCAAAGGACAAAAAGATAATCGGTGAAACCTCACCTCAAAGATGGCAGAGGACAGGAGTTTAAGAAAACAAAGGGACAGTTGAATGGACACTAAGGAGAAAGAGAGGTTCCCAAAGAAGGGATATAAACACTTCCTGAGAAATCCAGAGATGTTCAACCCCTAGAAATAAGAAGAAAGACACATTGGGAATAGGTGTTTAAGATGTAGATGAGGCAAGATCAATAAAATAGAGGCACATATGTGCCACGAAGGGACACTCCATGTGAATTATAATAGGCAACTTATGGCTCACCTCAAGAACAGTTATGTCCATTGTTCTGAACTTTGACATATGCACCCACATTATTGAACTTACAAAGCTTAAGGAGTGGAAAGAGATCAAATGCATTTGGAACTGATGATAAACGTATGTGACAGAATGTGCCTGTACTTTGGGTGATATCATTGAGTGAATACACATATAGAAGAAAGCTTTAATTTTCATTTTTTGCCAAAACTCATGTCAACTTTAAAATATGCTCATATTTCATTAACAAGAAAACAAAATATCCTGTCATAAAAATGCTTTTACCTTAGTTTTATTGTTTTGTTTTGTTTAATTTTTATTTCTGGAATTCATTTTTTCAAGAGTCCTACCTGAACTCTATTCACATCTAACCATATGGCTCTGACAATTAAATTGTTTTTATTATCACAAACTTCTTCTTATGGACCAAATGCCAAATCAGTCTCAAACGGCACCATCGATGTTTCCAATTGTTTTAAAATACACATCTTTTTAAATCTAAGCATAACAATGTAATAGCTTATAAAATTGTACAATTCCTCTTTATGAAAAAGCAATCTATGCCTTAACTTAGCTTTGGGTGTGTTTTTAATGTATATCTCAGTATTTTCATCACTTAAGCCAGAGAGTTGCTATCTAATATTAATGCCAACTTAAATCAAGCATATTCAATATGCCAAACTATTCCCTCTTTCTAGTTCCTAGAAAAAGACGTATTCATCTTTGGTTAAACACACTTATCAGAATGAAAGGGAAGGTTTTGCTAAATATTGGGTTCTTTTGGCAAGTCGCATTTTCTTCCTCCCCCCACCACCACAACCATCACACTGACAATCTCTTTTAGGCTCTTCTCTGTATCACAGAGGCTAGAAGCCAAGGAACTGCAACTCCTGAACTCCCCTGCTCTCAGTATTCTAAATGCATTTAGAGTTCTGCCAATAGGAAGCCCTTGCTCAAGATTTGGAAGGAGAAATAGAATCACTCTGGGTCCATTTCTCTTTTCCCACAGGAGGCAGATACAAGGATTTCTCAGCTGTAAGTGTTGGCAGCAGCCTTCAATCTCTTAACATTCACCTGCCTTGGGGTTGAATTAGACTGCTCTCATCTTAAGGGATATTTCTGATTCTCAATATCATCAATATAAACATCTGGAAATTACTGACGAAAAATCTGGAAGGGGAACATTAGAAAAGGAAAAATATTTCCAATTAACCAACTCAAGTCACAGAGATCAACACTGCTACAAAAATTGATTGAATTGTCCTGAGACCAGACAAAAGTGTAAGAAATAATTTACATAAGTTTCCACCTGTCATGGGTATCAAAAAGACAAAAAGGCTCAAAAGCAAATAGAAAGCTTCTTCATTGTGCCCAGAGTGATCTATTTATCAGGGCAGAGAGGTAAGAAGAACTAAGGTGGAAAAACTCTCAGAGGAGTGCTACTCCCTCAAATCTTACCCTGGAACAGATTCACTAGAAGGAGAGCTTCAGTCAGTAATACTTGTATGAGAGATTTATTGAGGAAGGAAGTGGCTGGGGCTGGGAAAGAAGATGAGCAAAGATATGGTTTCAGATAAGCTTGGGAGTCTGATGGCTCCACAGAGTTTTTCACCTGGATGAAAGGGGGCTGGGCTCTGGCTGGGAAACGCAGCACCAGGGCATGGCTCATCCTCTCAGCTAAGGATGTTGGTGGGGCACCAACATCCACTGCAAGCCCTACAGCAGAGCTACTTTTTGTTTGCATGCAATGTACACCTATACTCACTGACAGCCAGACCCAAATCCATGTCCCATCACAGAAGAAATTTTATGCCTATAGTACTAATACCAGGACCACGGAAGAAAAATGAGATGTACTCTATCACCAATTCTGTTCAATTTTCCAGAAACAGTAAGTTCTTTTTAAGACATTGATAAGATGATTTATCTTTGGATATTCTAAAAGTGCCATCATAGCTATATTTTAAACAGTTGTATACATTCCACTGAAGATCAAGTTAGAGACTAAAATTAACCTCTAAAATGAAAGAAACGGAAATACCTTCATACAATGAAAATCTTATATACCAATGTATCTGTTTCTGAGCTCTCTACTCTGATCCACTGGTAAATTTATTTATCCCTTTGCCAATATTATATTGCCTTAATTCATGGAGCTTTTTATTAGTATATTCAGTAAGACAAATTCCTATATCTGTTTCTTCTTCAGGAAAGTTTTGGTTATTCTTGAGCCTTTATGTTTTCATTTAAATTTTAAAACCAACTTGTCAAGTTCCTTAAAAAAAAAAGTTCTGGTGACATTTTGAACGTAATCCCATTCAGGCCATAGAACAAAGTTAGGAAGAACATTATTGAGTCTTCCTATCTATGAGTATGTCGTGTTTTTTTCTTTTATTTGTGTCTTATTTAAGGTTGTTTAATAAACTCTTAATAATAAGATTTTGATAGATATTTTTCTAGGTGTCATGCTTTTATGTTATTATCAATGGTATCTTTTTGCAAATAACTTTTTCCAACTGTTGCTGTTTAAAATAATCATTGATTCTTGCATTTTAATTTTATATCCTTCTACCTTATTACTTTCATTAATGCCAGTAATTCATCTGTAAATACTTTTGGTTTTCTATATTATCATCTTATATAATAATAATAGTTATAGTTCTTCCTTTACAGATTCTAAATCATTTATTTATATGTCTTTCTTCTTTGTCTAGGCTATTACAATATTGAATTAAAATAATATTAGACATCATTGTCCATTCCTGACTGTAAAGTAAATACTTCTAATGTTTTCACTGATGTTTGGTACAGGAATTTTGTTGATATTCTTTATCACTTAAGGAAAGATTTCTACTCATATCTTTAAAACAACTTCATGGCCAGGCATGGTGGCTCATGCCTATAGTCCCAACACTTTGCTAGGTTGGAGGATCATTTGAGCCCAGGAGTTTGAGACAAATCATCTCTACAAAAAAATTTTAAAAATTAGCCAGGCATGGTGGCATGCACCTGTAGTCCCAGCTACTTGAGAAACTGAGGCAAGAGGATCATTTGAGACCAGAAGGTCAAGGCTGCAGTGAGCCATGATCATGCCACTGCACTCCAAACTGGGCAATAGGGCAAGACCCTGTATCCAAAAAAAAAATAAAATAAATGATTACATTTTATGTCTAAAAGTTCTGTTTAATTCTTGTTAAAAATTTCCAGGTCATTCTGAATAGTTTTTATTGCTTGCTTATTATTGTAATTCCATCTTTTATTATCTTTTTCATTAACTTTTATTTTAGGTTCAGGGTACATGTGCAGGTTTCTTATGTAGGTAAACTCATGTCACAGGGATTTGTTGTACAGTTATTTCATCACCCAAATATTAAGCCTAGTAACCAACAGTTATATTTTCTCATCCTCTCCTCACACCCTCTACGTTCAGGTAGGCCCCAGTTTGTGTTGTTCTCCTCTATGTATCTATGCACTCCCATCATTTAGCTCCCCCTTATTAATGAGAATATGCGGTATTTGGTTTTCTGTTCCTGCATTAGTTTGCTAAAAATAATGGCCTCCAGTTTCATCCATGTTCCTGCAAAGGACATTATCTTGTTCTTTTTTGTGACCATACAGTATTCCATGATGTGTATGGACCAAATTTCCTTTACGCAGTCTGTCATTAATGGGCATTGAAGTTGATTCCATGTCTTTGCTATTGTGAATATTACTGTAATGAACATACATGTGCATGTGTCTTTATGACAGAATGATTTATATTCCTTTGTGTATATACCCAGTAATGGGATTGCTGGGTCGAATGGTAGTTTTATTGTTAGCTCTTTGAGGAATCACCACACTGCTTTCCACAATGGTTGAACTAATTTACACTCCCAACAATAGTGTATAAGTGTTCCTTTTCTTCACAACCTCACTGGCTTCTGTTACATTTTTTAACTTTTTAAGAATAGCCATTCTCACTGGTGTTAGATAGTATCTCATTGTGGTTTTGATTTGCATTTGTCTAATGAGTGATACTGAGTTTTTTTTTAAATACTTCTTGACCACATGTATGTCATCTAAGAAGTGTCTGTTCATGTCCTTTGCCCACTTTTTAATGGGGTTGTTTTTCTTGTAAATTTGTTTATGTTCCTTATAGATGCTGGATATTAGACCTTTGTTGAATGCTAGTTTGCAAAAGTGTTCTCTCATTCTGTAGGTTTTCTGCATATTAGATCTTTGTCAGATGCATAATTTACAAATATTTTCTCCCATTCTGTAGGGAG
Organism: Homo sapiens; assembly: GCF_000001405.40. Classification (NCBI taxonomy): domain Eukaryota; kingdom Metazoa; phylum Chordata; class Mammalia; order Primates; family Hominidae; genus Homo; species Homo sapiens. The sequence goes on from NC_000006.12 coordinate 78,628,725, forward strand.
TCTGTTTACTCTGTTGATAGTTTCTTTGCTGTGCAGAAGCTCTTAAGTTTAATTAGATTCCATTTGTCAATTTTTGCTTTTGTTCCAATAGTTTTGGCATCTTCGTCATGAAATCTAATGGTATTGCCTAGGTTTCCAAGGTTTTTATAGTTTTGGGTTTTACTTTTCAGTCTTTAATCCATCTTGAGTTCATTTTTGTATATGGTGTAAGGAAAGGGTCCAGTTTCAATCTTTTGTAAATAGCTAGCCAGTTATCCCAGCACCATTTATTAAATAGGTAGTCCTTTCCTCATTGCTTGTTTTTGTCAGCTTTGTCAAAGATCAGACGGTTGTAGATGTGTGGCCTTATTTCTGGGCTCTACTAGGGGTCCTCTCCAGCCCCTAGTTGCTTCAGACTCTCCAAATCCCAAAGACAACAACAGCTAAGACTGCAAAACAGGAAAGATGGTGACCGGCTCCTCCCTCTGGGAGCTCCATCACGTGGCTGGGGGGTTTGAAAGTGCTGTCAGCCAGAAAATACCGCTGGGGATGGCTATAGGCCTCAAGAGGGAGATTTTGCCCAGCGAAGAGAACCGGGATCGGGACCTGCAAGAGAAAGCAGTCTGGTCGCTTCTCTGCAGAGCTGCTGCTGGGAGACGGCGCCAGTCCCTAGTTGCGGCGGATTCCCTACAGCCTGACGGCAACCAAGCTAAGGCTGTGAAACAGCAATTACAGCCCATCCCTCTCCCTGGTAGTTCCGTCCCACGGAGGCTCCGAACTACAGCCAGCTGGAAAACACCGCCAGGGTGGCTGGCGACCCAGGTCTGGAGGCCCCGCCCAGTGAAGAGAAGCGGGGTCAGGGACCCGCATAAAAAAGCGCAGTCTGGCCGCTTTTCCCACAGGGCAGCTGTACCGAAGGCACCAACAGCTAAGGCTGCGAAACAGCAAAGATGACGGCCGCTCCTCCCTTTCGGGAGCTCACCAGGGAGGTGTAATGCTGCTGGCTGGCTGGAGTTCCAAGCCAAAGGTGCCATGGAAGCCGGGCTTACAGACCATTGCTGCTCAGCTCCCTGGATTCAGCCCCTTTCCCAGGGGTACGTACGGAGGTCTAACCTCCCGCTGTGCCAGGCTTGCAGCCACTTTTCCCGAAAACCCGGGTATATGAAGTTCCCTGGGCTCCACATGTGCCTGAGCGGTCGCTATGCCAAAACGCCATCTCCATGTAGCTCTATTTTTTTTTTTTTTTTTTGCCCAGGCTGGAGTGCAGCGGTGATCCGCCTGCTTTGGCCTCCCGAAGTGCTGGGATTCCAGGCGTGAGCCAGTGAGCCACCGCGCCCGGCCAACTGTTTTTGTTTGTTTGTTTGTTTGTTTGTTTGTTTGTTTTTGAGACGGAGTCTCGCTCTGTTGCCCAGGTTGGATTGCAGTGGCACGATCTGGGCCCACTGCAACCTCCGCCTCACGGGTTCAAGCGACTCTAGTGCCTTAGCCTCCCGAGTAGCTCGGATTACAGGTGCGGTCCACCACACCCGGCTAATTTTTGTATTTTTAGTAGAGACTGGGTTGCACCATGTAGGCCAGGCTTGTCTCGAACTCCTGACCTCAAGTGATCCGCCCACCTCGGCTTCCCAAAATGTTGGGATTACAGGCATGAGCCACCGCGTCCGGCCTCCAGTTACATCTTATTGGATGTTTTTTCTGTTTTATTTTGTTGCATAGAGAGAGGAGTTTGTTTTTCCCCCCTTACTTCTTATGAGCCGTGCAATGAATTAAATATTATGGTTCATAAAGGGTCTGGATGTTTCATCATAAGAGAATCCTATATGGCCAGATGCTGAAGCCTTACTCTAGCTCTATCTCCCAAATTGCAATGTGTTAGAAATTACAGTTAAACCATAAAACACATTCAGTATCAGAACCAGATCTCTATGAAGCATAGTTCATATCAAATGTACATTTTTATTTATTGAACTCTTGCATCAGAATTAATAATATTTTTGGTAGTAGTCTTCCTTAGGTTGCAGAAATATCAACATGCTGAGTCCCTCGGGATAGCTGTTTTTGTTCAACAGATATTAGAGTGCTTCACACATAGCAGGCACTGATAAATACTAATTGTTTGAGAAGACTAGACATAAAACACAAAAGAATAAGGTGGCCAGACTTTATCCAAATAAATCCTTAAACCCATCAGCATGTTATTTTATATAAATATACATCATTTAGATACATTTCCTATTATATCACCCAAGTTTCAATTCCAACTTAATTCCTTCAACCTGCCATAACTGCACTCAACCTCAAGGAATAAGAACACATAATAAAAATCTAAGGGTGGAAAACTGGATAAAGGTTCTTAGTTTTATTTGGGCGACTTGGTACAAGTAAGGCAGAGGGACCAAAGGGGGAATTATTCCAGAAATATAGAAAAGAAGAGATGATGTAGATAGTACTTCAGTGAAAAAAAAATAAATGATTATTTTGATTCTTTGTTGTAGACAGCTGCAAGCCAAACAAGTACACTTTTTCCTATGGCAGATATGTATGGGAACCACACCAAACTTCCTTTACACATCTACAAATGGATGTACAATTTAACCTCTGGGTTGGACCGGCACCTCCACAAAGAACTAATTTTCCTTCCATTAATACTCTAGCAAACAATAGGAGTCTATAGAAACAGCCGGGTCACATTTGTTGAGAAAGGGAACAAAACATTATGTCCACATGTTAGATATAGAGTATACTGTATATGGCACTCCATTCAATCCACTAACAAACTTTCCAGTGCAGATCCATGACTCTTTCACTTCCATAGCATTCCTATGCATAATTAGTGGTAGCTTAGGTTCTTTCTCTCTCAGTCAAAATAGAACATTAGAATACATGCAAACAAAGAGCAATGTTGTTTTAAAGATAAATGTGAATTCATTCTAATGTATTAAAAAGTAGATTATTTATGAACTTAGATTACTTACAAACTTTAATATTTTACCTATGATTTATAATAAACTACCTACAATACATATTACACCTGAATATGACATGCCAGTGTATATGGTAGTTGAAAACCACTGCCATTTATCAACTAAATTTTGATCATCTGCAAAAAAGTGAAGATAATCTGCAATTATAAGTATCTTCTATTAAAAGAGAAAGAAATGAGTGGCTCTAGTCACTGACAAACATCAAAGCACAGCCAAATGGTATGATACTTATATTAATTAATAGACCATACAAATAAATGTGAAGAAATGCTGAGATTTCCCAGTATTTTTTGACTTGACATTTCTTCCAGAATATCACATTTTGTTGTCCCTAATTTATTGGTGCCCAAAGCACGTCTTTCTCATCTTTATTGGATGTCCCCACAGGAGAGGAGGGAGGTGGTGGGGCAGAGTGCCCAAATGCTGTTGGTGGCTACTGCCACCTGGCACAGGAGAAAACTGAGGAAGTCCTAGCGACTGTTAGTACGGCAAAAATCTCTTATGGGAATTGCTCCATTCTACAAATACAATCCCATCTGCATTGGCAACCTTACATTGTTTCTGGATTAGTACTGGCAGAAAAACAACTCTATCATATGCTCTGCTGACATGTCAATAACAGCCTCAGGATGCAATTGGCATTGTAAATGATTATCAGCTAATGTATGCTTACATTGCTTAACTGAGTGGTTTTACTAATTTTGAAAATTTAATTACTTTTGATTACATGTAACATTAATGGTGTAAGAGCCAAAAGCATATTCACATATAATTCTATAATCTAAGTATAAAAAGAAATGAGAAGCATGACAAATTAAAAGTTCAAACACTGAAAAACAAAAATCAGATACTCAGATATTCATCAGCTAGTTTTCTCCTTCCTCCACTACCTAGTTTTATTAAATAAATTTTGGTGATAAAGAAAGATTAGGAATAAAAGCCTACATGGTAAAATCAATAATACTAAATGTACTGAAGTGCTAAATCTTATGATCATGTGGGTGAAGCATTTATTTATTGTTTTATCCATTTGATGAAGCAAACAATAAATTGCTTAGGGAGACTGCTATGTCACTAAATTGAAGAGAGATTTATGTTTTAGAAGCTATATTTGCACTTGCATTCAAAACAAGTTTTGTAAATAGATTTCTCCAGAATTGTTTATTCAGGTATTCAGTATTAGAGGCCATATTTTGAAACTGGCAAATAGAACAAAGGAAAGGCTGTAGGATTTCTTGAATTACATGGCCCTTTTAAACCTGAAATTGTAGCATAGATTTCCCAACAAATGTAACCTATTCTACAAGAAAAATGGTGTATGTTTTATCCCACCGAAATGATTTGCTTATTCTTTTAAACTGGTCATTGGAGGATATTCTAAGATTAACTTGAAATATAAAATTTAACAGAGCATAGAAAAATGAGAAATGGGATATACTTATTATCTGAGAAAAAAATAGCATTATAACTTAGTATTCTTCTGTCCATAATGCCCTTAAAATTGTGATGCTTGCTTGATGTAGTCTCTGCCAGGTTAGACAATAGTATACAAATACCCTATTCTTAAATTTTACCTTCACTTTGAAAAATAAATCCCATCTGGCCTCTTTTAAGAGCCAGCCTCTCTACTTATCCCACCCCCAAACTGTTTTCACCCAACAAAATACATCTATATGTAATTGGGTCACATAGTGCTACATACTCTGGCCTCAGGTTTTAATATACATATATTTAAAATTACAAACAACAGGGGAAGGCAAGTAGGTATAATCCAAACCCAGTGATTCCTAAGCAGGATTTTTCCACTAGGCATTTCTCTACCTCAGTGGAATTTATTGTTTTCTTGTCAACCAAGTCCTGATAAAACCATCTTCTTACAAAGGCAAGCAGGCTGTCTAAGAGACAGGTGGGTAGGGAGGATCTTTCCCCCACATCCATACCCTACACCAACACTAGAACTCATGCTTCTTCTTTTCTCTAGAAAGAACTTCTATCCTATTTGCTTTTGTAACTGTCTGGGTGTCTAAGGCATGGTACATGCTTTTGAAATTTTTTTGATTCCTTGAAAATATGAAATTTGAGTAACTCCCACTTATTTCTGGTCTCTAAGGAAGCAAGAATACTTGAAGGATTGTAATAAGAGGATTGAACTGTGTTCATGAGGACTATGCCAATTGATTACCAATTTGAAAGTCCTAGAACACAATGAAATAAAAATTAAGAATAAAATACTTCTAAACCAAACATAGCCTGTCATTGATCATTTAGCAAGAACTTCAGTATTTTATTATACTTGAAGGTCATTGTTATTTGTATCATTTTTTACTGCGTATTAGAGGTATTAAATATATATCAGGCTGAGTCTGTATGGACTTCATAAAATATCCTGGAAGTTAGATTTTAAGATAAATCTGTGACTAGATAATTTATTTAACAGTTGGTTCTAAATTATTAGAAAAACACTGCAATTCAGAGCTATTCAAGGTCTCTAATTCAAGATAAAATGAGAATATGTTGAAATGAAAACCTTAAAATCAGTTATCACACTGGAAAGATATGAAACACATTTCTCAGTACACATGGTGGTCACTTAGGTGCTGTACAATTATCTGCTTGGGTTCAGTCTTCATGCCACCACTTGGTATGAAGTGGTCATACACCACTTGGTATATAACCTTGGACAGGGATTCTTGCTTCTTAGTGCCTCAGTTTCCTTATCTGTAAAATACAGATTATAATAAAACCTACCTCATAAGTTATTCTAAGGATTAAAATAATTGATGTTATCCTTGATTTCTAATTTTTCTCATCCCTCACTCTCATATGCAATTCATCATGAGGTCCTATTTTTCTTCCTCTAACCATATCTTGATCCTTTCCATTTAAAACTATTTTTATGTGCCCATCTTCATTAAGACCACAATCATTTTACAGATGCATAAATAGATCTCCCTAAATCCACACATTTCCAACTCTAGTCCATTCTCCAGAGTGATCCTTTTAAAATGTTTAAACAAATCACATCTTTCTCCTTCTTAAAATTCTGTCATGAATTCTTCTTATTGTTCTTTAAGGAAAAAAAAAACAGACTTTTTAACATGGTCAATATCATTCAGCATGATTCATTTCCTCCAGATCTATGAATTTCATCTTCACAATTCTGCCCCTTCACTCATTTGCCATCCTCCTGTCAGTTCCTCAAACCTAGCAAGTCCTTCGCATTGCAAGGTTGTGGTATACATTCTTCTCTGGAGCCGTAAACCCTTCTCTGAGCCCTGCACATGAACTTCTCCTGTTCATTCCTGAAGAATCTCTGAAATGTATCTCCTTATGTATGTATTTCCGTGCCACTCTATTTAAAGTGGCGATCCCACATTATTAATTATGCCATTACCTTGAATACTAATTACCATAATCTTCAACTATCTCATTTGTTATTTACTGCCTACTTTCCCCAATCAGAATATAAGTTCCTCAGAGTCAGGCTATCTAATTCATTCTTTATTTTCATTGCTTGGCACATAGTAGGTGGTTAACAAGTTAAGAATAAAGAAAAAGCTCACCACTATTTGTGGCACATATAAATGCTCCATCAATAGTGGCTTTTATCATTAGAATAATTATTTTATTCAAGGAAATTATGTAAATTATCAGGTAAAAGAGTTAATATAAATGCATAACTTGAGAGACTGCTTTTGGCATTGAAAGAAATTCACCAGCTCAGTGAATAAACACTGTGACGCTGAATAGCATCCAAATTAATTTTATCATGCATATTGAGATCCCGAGTTTAATTTTTTGGCAGTATTATTTGGGTTTCTCTTTGAGAACTGCAGAAATATTCAAAGAGTAGATAGTAAATACAACCTCCATTGCTGCTTCATGGCTGTCTATCAAACCCCACTGGTAAGCACCTTGTGGATAGGCATGATATTCCACTTAACATACATACACCACACACACACACACACACACACACACACACACACACACACACAAACACTCAAGTTAACATGCAGATGACAGGTGTTCAAATATTTGTTGACTTGAATTGAATTTGATAGAAAGGTGGAGCAATGTCACAAGAGAAAGATCGAAGGTTTATTAGCAAGAGCCACACAAATGCTTGTCTACTTAGATAATAGCTTGGGCTTTGGTGCTCTCAATTAATCAGTGATTCTAACCAACTGGCCAGAATTGTTTAATTAGCTGAAACACAAACAATTAGCTGTTTTACTAGACAACTAATCCATGGAAATAACTAGCTAGAAAAATTCCATAGATTATCCAAGGTCTGTGGTCTGTAACTGTCTCTTTGTAGGTCGTCTCGCAAAATTCAGAGAAATGTATGCTCTGCCTGTAATGTCAGGCAGTGGAAATGCTCTAGGATGAGAGGGAAAGCTGAAAATGACAGAAGGGCTGAAAACATGACTCGACTTGATTAGAGCAAAGAGAAGACATTATTGTTGCAGCACAGAAAGAAGAGGAATAACGAATAGGGAGACTTGCTGACAAAAATAGAATCAAGTGACTAGATTGGAAGTTTTGAGGTAAAATGCAATTTCAGTTATAGAAAACAAGAATAAAGAGAAAAGCAGATAGGATAGAAGGCAAAAGAGGAAAGTTTGGAAAGCTTTCATTCATAATCGTAATTAAATATTCAAAATACCCTACTTATCCCTTATTAATACAATATAAAAGAACATGCTTTAGTATTAAAATCTAAGTCTGATTTTTTAAGAAGTTTATAAACTTTGTTCGGAAAGTTTACATTTCAAAGGAAATGAGATCCAGAAAAATAACAATTTAGAGCACTTAACGATAAAGTAAAAGGAAAAGGTGTTATTTCAGACACAAAAACTTCCATTAATATCTGAAGATCTCTGTGCTATAGCAGAAATTGTGTAGAATAAAATATCACATATGTATGTGTGTACATATATATATACATAGCATGTATAAAACTAAATAATTTGTAACATGTCTGCAGCTTTCAGAGATCAAAACCAAATAATATCTTCGTTGATTTAAAACCTTCTTCTCATGATTTCAAAGCATGTTATTGCATGATAAAATTCATTTGTTACACCTACTCAGGTGGTAATACATGTTATAGCAATTTTGTAGAAAAGGAAATTGAGTATATTTTGTGGGACTTCTCTAACTTAAAGCAATGAATCAAATCAAGCAAAAAAGTTATAGTCTCAAGCCAGAAGACCCAGTTCACCAAGTCTTTTCTCTCTCTTACTTTCAATAACTAAAACTAATATAATATTGAGCCACTGATTTGATTTTTACCTACTACTTGTATGTGCTATTATAAATAAGATCAATGAAGTGAAAAATTTAAAAATAAAAGTCAAATTATATATTTTACCTTTAACTTCAAATAACTTTGATCATTGGAAAATGTAACCCATGGATTTTTCTAGAATAAAACATATAAAAATGAATAGACATACTTAGAAAAATAAGACTCTAACACTGACTCTTCTATTTCTTCTTAAAAGTCTTACATTTGGGGACGGGCGCGGTGGCTCACGCCTGTAATCCCAGCACTTTGGGAGGCCGAAGAGGGCGGATCACGAGGTCAGTAGATCGCGACCATCCTGGCTAACACGGTGAAACCCCGTCTCTACTAAAAAAATACAAACAAATTAGCTGGGCGTGGTGGCGGGCGCCTGTAGTCCCAGCTACTTGGGAGGCTGAGGCAGGAGAATGGCGTCAATCCAGGAGGCGGAGCTTGCAGTGAACAGAGATCAAGCCACTGCACTCCAGCCTGGGCGACTGAGCGAGACTCTGTCTCAAAAAAAAAAAAAAAAAAAAAAAAGTCTTACATTTGGGTCCTGGAAGAAATAGCAAAACCTTATACATTACTGATCTTTATTCCCTTTGGATTTGCAAGTACATACTCAGCATCTCTTGTACTTTACAAATTCCAAACAGATTACTGAGAAGCTTGTTAAACACCCAAGCACCTCAGGTGGTTCTGATCCAGGTAGTCTAGGGAACCAACTTTAAAAACACTTGATCTAGGAGTTAACAAGCCAGTTGTGAAAACAAAAAACATACATAACACGAGAACAACACATAGCCATCAATGCAGGGCAGATGTTACTACATGGTCACTTGTGTGGTCAACAGAGAGAGAATGCGGGCATGGTCAGGGCCTGCTCTACAGGGTTGGTGTTTTCTAAGTTACTTAATTAAATAATTCACCCTGGAACCAGGCATAACTAGAAGAATGAAATATCCGTCTTCCTATTTCCCACAAAAAAGCCTGGGGAAATATTTTTTTCCCTGGCTAAAATTTAACTGAATCCCACAAGTAATCAATCCAAGACTTTTTCTAGATTGTACTGAAAAGAACTAACTCTAGCCTTGAAAATTATGAGCAGTTAGGAAAATACTTCCCCTATTTTTCCCACAGGGAGGACAAGAGGCTTTACTCCATTACTTACAATTTCCCAATAAATAGCTCCTCATTGCTTTCAATTTCAATTTCAAACTCCTCAGTATGGGCACAGTCTTCCCAATACAACCTCTACCTCCCTTTCCAGATTACTATTTGAGGATTACACAACCCTGGCCCTTCACTCCAGTGGAAAGTAAGATGGTTTCAGATGTGAAAACAAGGAAATGCATTGGCTCACTTAAGAATAAGCCCCAGTTGCTACAATTGACCATGTAGCAACATCTGCTTTGCACTGATGTCTATGTATTGTCCTTGTGTTCTGTATTTTTCTTGTTTTTACAACTAACTTGTTAACTCACAGGTCAAGTGTTCTCAAAGTTGGAAACTAAACAGCCTGAAATGGGCTTTAGAGTTGGTTGATAAAGTGCTTCAATGATTAAATGAAGAACCTGTAGTCTCTTTACTTGTAAGCTCTACTAAATATTAGATTGATCCTAAGATTGGTTCCTCTGAAATTGCATAATGGCTTCCAGTAGCAATAGAGGCTAAATGCATCTTCCTTTTCATCCAGCAGGAGACAGAAGGAAGCTTCCCATAGTTTGTTCTAAGAGTAAGAAACTTTATTCTCAGAACTCACCAACAAATTTCTTGTTGGGTCTCATTGGCCCAGATCACTGTAAATGTGCCCATCTCTGAACCAGATATGACCTGATATGTCATGATGTTTGATAGTCAATCACAGTTTCCACTACACTGACCTACTTGCAATTCTAGTAATGCCCACATTCTCTGAGACCACCGTAGCTTTCACATTCTTTTGCCTCTACCTTGAATTTATTTTCTGCTCATCATGATTGGTCAAGTCATACCCTGTAATATTTATTTCAAATGTCACCTCCTTTTGAAAGGATGTTTTATCACTTTATTCACCTCCCTAAATTTAGTTTGTTGCCACTCCTTTTTATTCCCATACTACTCCCATAAAAACCTTGATGCTAACATTGTACTCACTTTTTTTTGGTCTCAATTATTTAAGGGTGTAGTTATAACACTCTAGTTATAACAGAACAGTGACTGTCAGTGACTTACATGTATGGTAGATGATTAATAAAATACTGGTTAAATTAATTAGTAAAGAAATAAGTGAAAACAGCATCACCATGAAACTGCCCTCCCCAAAGTCAAAACCAAGACCTGCCCTGTTTATGAGCCGTAACACCCCCACCATTCAAGGGGGTGGTGACGTCAGCCAGGAAGCGTCTTGAAAGCAAGAGTCAACACTAATTAAATGCTCAATAAATGTTAATGAATATAGGAATAAATATTAATACATGAAAAATAAAGTTACACATAAATATGTTAAAATTCCCTTACAAAACAAATATAATTCCCTTATATGTCACCCTCTGGGTAGGAACCAAGTCGCAGTTTTATTTTGACTAATCGTATTTTGTGAATAGAAACGATAGCCCTGGTTGCTGTTCTCTGGGAGAAAACACTCTACCTCACTTCATCCAAACCTCATTTTACAAACTGAGTTGCCCTCACTGGCTTTATAGGTCTCTCAACTTACTGGTTTTCTTGCTGTATTTGTCAGATGCCTATACTTTCTTAGAGGTAACAGGAGCTACATTAGTATAGCCATGGGGCCAAGAGTCAAACCAAACAGGCAAGGTTCCCAATTCTTCCTCCTGTTTTTATTGGGTGTGCTGTGATTTGTATGTATTTTATATATGAAAGGTCTTTTAAGATTTTAGTCTAATCATTTTCAAAACATTATCTTAGCCCTAATGACTAACATTTATTAATCATTAACTTTGTACAAGGTTTAGTGTTTAACGTGGATTATAGGGCTATAAAAAACCCTGTAAAATTTGTACTATATGATTTTCATTTTTATAGATTCAGAATCTAAACTTAAATGAACACTCTAATGGGGAAATTACAATTTAATAAAAAAATTGTATAGAGATAAATTTGGTAATATTTGTCTAAAGCCTTTAAAATGTGTATATTTTTTGAAAATCTTAATTCTAACTTTCATTTATATGGGCTAGCAAAATGAGCCAATACGACCAAGTTATTTTCTTGACAGTCTTGGCCTAAGTTGGTCATTTTCATTGTATTTAACTTATAAACAATCTTTTTCCTCAAAAGAAAATATGCAAGAGTTGTTCATAAATTCATCTAGTAGTCACACCTTACCCACAAGGCACTGATATGTCATGTGAATTTTGGAGTCTCTTGTCCTTCTGTGACTTCAGCCTCCCATAGCCAGCCTTTTTGCCCAATTTCACATCAAAGTTCATGTATTGTATAAGTCTGAAAAATGCTATGAATAAATAAATGAGAGATATATTCCTGAAAAGATAGAGTATTGGACTGGGACTAAAAAGAATAAATAAATGAATCTTTTAAAACTTGAGGATACAGAATAGACTGCATCCATTGAAAATATATTTGTGTCCAAAATTGAAATAATAAAACTTTTATAATATAAAGAGCTTTTAGAAATTAATTAAAACTAGATGAGCTATCCTCCCCCCAAAGAAATTTGCCTGTGAGTTTAAAAATGTGCTCAACTATGAATTAAAGAACTATATTAAATACAGTTGTGCATCATTTAATGGTAGGGATACGTTCTGAGAAATGTGTCATTATGGGAACATCATAGAGTATACTTACACAAACCTACAAGCATAGCCTGCTACACACCTAGGCTAGATGATATGGCCTTTTGCTTCTAGGCTACAAATGTGTACAACATGTTACTACACTGATTATCACAGGGTATTGTAACACAATGGTAAGTCTTCATGTATCTAAATTTATCTAACCACAGAAAAGGTACAGAAAAATATGTGGTATAAAAGTCAAGAATGGTACACCTATATAAAAGCACTTACCATGAATAGAGTTGACAGGAAGTTGCTCTGGGTGAGTCAATGAGTGAGTGGTGGGTGAATGTGAAGGCCTAGGAAATTACTGTACACTACTGTAGACTTTATAAACACTGTACACTTAGGCTACACTAAATTCATTCTTAAAAATTTATTTCTTCGGCCAGGCGCGGTGGCTCACGCCTGTAATCCCAGCACTTTGGGAGGCCGAGACGGGCGGATCACGAGGTCAGGAGATTGAGATCATCCTGGCTAACACGGTGAAACCCCGTCTCTACTAAAAATACAAAAATTAGCCGGGCATGGTGGCGCGCGCCTGTAGTCCCAGCTACACGGGAGGCTGAGGCAGGAGAATGGCGTGAACCCGGGAGGCGGAGCTTGCAGTGAGTCGAGATCGCGCCACTGCACTCCAGCCTGGGCGACAGAGCGAAACTCCATCTCAAAAAAAAAAAAAAAAAAAAAAAAAATTTATTTCTTCAATAATTAATTTAGCTTAAAGTAACTTTTTAACTTTATTATTATTATTATTTATACTTTAAGTTCTGGGTTACATGTGCAGAAGGTGCAGTTTTGTTACATAAGTATACACATGCCATGCTGGTTTGCTGCACCCATCAGCCTGTCACCTACATTCGGTATTCTCCCAATGTTATTCCTCCCCTAGCCCCACACACCCTGCAGGCCCTGGTGTGTAATGTTCCTCTCCCTATGTCCATGTGTTCTCGTTGTTCAACTCCCACTTACAAATGAGAACATGTGGTGTTTGGTTTTCTGATCTTGTGATACTTGGCTGAGAATGATGGTTTCCACCTTAATCCATGTCCCTGCAAAGGACATGAACTCATCTTTTTTATGGCTGCATAGTATTCCATGGTGTATATGAGCCACATTTTCTTAATCCAGTCTATCATTGATGAACATTTTGGTTGGTTCCAAATCTTTGCTATTGTGAATAGTGCTGCAATAAACAAACATGTGCATGTGTCTTTATTGTAGAATGACTTATAATCCTTTGGGTATATGCCCAGTAATGGGATTGCTGGGTCATATGGTATTTCTAGTTCTAGATCCCTGAGGAATCGCTACACTGTCTTCTACAATGGTTGAACTAATTTACACTCCCACCAACAGTATAAAAGTGTTCCTATTTTTCCACAACCTCTCCAGCATCTGTTGTTTCCTGACTTTTTAATGATCGCCATTCTAACTGGTGTGAGATGGTATCTCATTGTAGTTTTGATTTGCATTTCTTTATTTTGAGCCTATGTATGTCTCTGCACATAAGATGGTTCTCCTGAATACAGCACACTGATGGGTCTTGACTATCCGATTTACCAGTCTGTGTCTTTTAATTGGGATATTTAGCCCATTTACTTTTAAGGTTAATATTGTTATGTGTGAATTTGATACTGTCATTATGATGTTAGCTGGTTATTTTGCCCGTTGATTGATGCCGTTTCTTCATAGCATCAATGGTCTTTATGATTTGGCATGTTTTTGCCATGGCTGGTACCAGTTGTTCCCTCCCATGTTTAGTGCTTCCTTCAGCAGCTCTTGTAAGGCAGGCCTGGTGGTGACAAAATCACTCAGCATTTCCTTGTCTGTAAAGGATTTTATTTCTTCTTCACTGATGAGGCTTAGTTTGGCTGGATATGAAATTCTGGGTTGAAAATTCTTTTCTTTAAAAATGTTGAATATTGGCCCCCACTCTCTTATGCCGAGAGATCCGCTGTTAGTCTGATGGGCTTCCCTTTGTGGGTAACCCGACCTTTCTCTCTGGCTGCCCTTAATATTTTTTCCTTCATTTCAACCTTAGTGAATTTGACAATTATGTGTTTTGGGGTTGCTCTTCTCGAGGAGTATCTTTGTGGTGTTCTCTGTATTTCCTGAATTTGAATGTTGGCCTGCCTTGCTAGGTTGGGGAAGTTCTCCTGGATAATATCCCAAAGAGTGTTTTCCAACTTGGTTCCATTCTCCCCGTCACTTTCCAGTACACCAATCATAGATTTGGTCTGTTCACATAGTCCCATAATTCTTGGAGGCTTTGTTAATTTCTTTCCACTCTTTTTTCTCTAATCTTGTCTTCTAGCTTTATTTCATTAATTTGATCTTCAGTCACTGATATCTTTTCTTCCACTTGATTGAATCAGCTACTGAAGCTTGTGCATGCATCACGAAGTTCTCGTGCTGTGGTTTTCAGCTATTTATCACGTTTGTGATAAATTGACCTTGTTATTTTGAGATATGTTCCACCAATACTTAGTTTATTGAGAGTTTTTAGCATGAAGTTTCAGGTCATTTAAGGTCTTCTCTACACTCCTTATTCTAGTTAGACTTCATCTAACCTTTTTTCAAAGTTTTTAGCTTCCTTGCAATGGGTTAGAACATGCTCCTTTAGCTCGGAGAAGTTCGTTACTACTGACCTTCTGAGGCCTACTTTTGTCAACTCGTCAGACTCATTTTCCATTCAGTTTTGTTCCATTGCTGGCGAGGAGCTGCAATCCTTTGGAGGAGAAGAGCCACTCTGGTTTTTGGAAGTTTCAGCTTTTCTGCTCTGGTTTCTCCCTATCTTTGTGGTTTTATCTACCTTTGGTCTTTGAAGTTGGTGACCTACAGATGGGGTATTGGTGTGGATGTCCTTTTTGTTGATGTTGATGCTATTACTTTCTGTTTGTTAGTTTTCCTTCTAACAGTCAGGCCCCTCAGCTGCAGGTCTGTTGGAATCTGCTGGAGGTCCACACCAGACTCTCTTCACCTGGGTATCACCAGCAGAGGCTGCAGAACAGCAAATATTGCAGAACAGCAAATATTGCTGCCTGATCCTTCCTCTGGAAGCTTCATCCCAGAGGGGCACCTGCCTGTATGAGGTGTCTGTCGGCCCCTACTGGGAGGTGTCTCCCAGTCAGGCTACGTGGGGGTCAGGGACCCACTTGAGGAGGCAATCTGTGCATTCTCAGAGCTCGAACGCTGTGCTGGGAGAACCACTGCTCTCTTCAGAGCTGTCAGACAGGGACGTTTAAGTCTGCAGAAGTTGTCTGCTGCCCTTTATTCAGCTATGCTCTGCCCACAGAGGTGGACTCTAGAGAGGTGGCAGGCCTTGCTGAGCTGTGGTGGGCTCTGCCCAGTTCAAGCTTCCTGGCTGATTTGTTTACCTACTCAAGCCTCAGCAATGGTGGACGCCACTCCCCACCACCAGGCTGCAGTGTCGCAGGTCGATCTCAGAGTGCTGCACTAGAAATGAGCAAGGCTCCGTGGGCATGGGACCCTCTGAACCAGGCACAGGAGGGAATCACCTGGTCTGCTGGTTGCTAAGACTCAGTTGGAAATGCAGAAATCACCCATCTTCTGCATCAATCTCGCTGGGAGCTACAGACCAGAGCTGTTACTATTTGGCCATCTTGGAAGAAACCTGATTTGCATTTCTCTAACAACCAGTGATGATAAGCATTTTTTCATATGTCTGTTGGCTGCATAAATGTCTTCTTTTGAGAAGTGTCTGTTCATATCCTTTGCCCATTTTTTGATGGGGCTGTTTGCTTTTTTCTTGTAAATTTGTTTAACTTCTTTGTACACTCTGAATATTAGTCCTTTGTCAGATGGGTAGATTGCAAAAATTTTCTCCCATTCTGTAGGTTGTCTGTTCACTCTGATGATAGTTTCTTTTGCTGTGCAGAAGCTCTTTAGTTTAATTAGATCACATTTGTCCATTTTGGCTTTTGTTCCCATTGCTTTTGGTGTTTTAGACATGAAGTCTTTGCCCATGCCTATGTTCTGAATGATATTGCCCAGGTTTCCAGGTTTTCTTCTAGGATTTTTATGGTCCTAGGTCTTACTATTAAGTCTTTGATCCTTCTTGAGTTGATTTTTGCATAAGGAGTAAGGAAGGAATCCAGTTTCAGTTTTCTGCATATAGCTAGCCAGTTTTCCCAGCACCATTTATTAAATAGGGAATCCTTTTCCCATTTCTTGTTATTGTCAGGTTTGTCAAAGATCAGATGGTTGTAGATGTGTAGTGTTATTTCTGAGGCCTCTGTTCTGTTCCAGTGGTCTATATATCTGTTTTGGTACCAGTACCATGCTGTTTTGGTTACGGTAGCATTGTAGTACAGTTGAAGTCAGGTAGTGTGATGCCTCCAGCTTTGTTCTTTTTGCTTAGGATTGTCTTGGTGATGTGGGCTCTTTTTTGGTTCCATATGAAATTTAAAGTAGTTTATTCCAATTCTGTGAAGAAAATCAGTGGTAACTTGATGGGGATAGCACTGAGTTTATAAATTACCTTGGGCAGTATGGCCATTTTCACAATATTGATTCTTCCTATGCATGAGCATGGAATGTTTTTCCATTTGTTTGTGTCTCCTCTTATTTCCTTGAGCAGTGGTTTGTAGTTCTCCTTGAAGAGGTCCTTCACATCCCTTGTAAGTTGGATTCCTAGGTATTTTTTTCTCTTTATAGCAATTAATGGGAGTTCACTCATGAATTGGCTCTTTGTTTGTCTGTTATTGGTATATAGGAATGCTTCTGATTTTTGCACATTAATTTTGTATCCTGAGACTGTGTTGAAGTTGCTTATCAGCTTAAGGAGACTTGGGGCTGAGATGATAGGGTTTCCTAAATATACAATCATGTCATCTACAGAGACTTCCTCTCTTCCTATTGTAATACCTTTTATTTCTTTCTCTTGCCTGATTGCCCTGGCCAGAACTTCCAATACTATGTTGCACAGGAGTAGTGAGAGAGGGCATCCTTGTCCTGTGCTGGTTCTCAAAGGGAATGCTTCCAGATTTTGCCCATACAGTATGATGTTGGCTATACGCTTGTGATAAATAGCCCATGTTATTTTGAGATATGTTCCACCAATACTTAGTTTATTGAGAGTTTTTAGCATGAAGGGTGTTAAATTTTATCAAAGGCCTTTTCTGCATCTATTGAAATAATCATGTGGTTTTTGTCATTAGTTCTGTTTATGTGATAGTTTATGTTTATTGATTTGCATAAGTTGAACCAGCCTTGCATCCCAGGGATGAAGCTAACTTGATCATGGTGAATAAGCTTTTTGATATGCTACTGGATTCAGTTTGCCAGCATTTTATTGAAGATTTTTGCATGGATGTTCATCAGGGATATTGGCCTGAAATTTTATTTGTTGTGTCTCTGCCAGGCTTTGGAATCAGGATAACGCTGGCCTCAAAAAATGAGTTAGGGAGGAGTCCCTCTTTTTCTATTGTTTTGAATAGTTTCAGAAGGAATGGTACCAGCTCTTCTTTGTACCTCTGGTAGAATTTGGCTGTGAATCCATCTGGTCTTGGATTTTTTCTTTCTTTTTTTGTTTTTTTTGGTTGGCAGGATTTAAATTACTGCCTCAATTTCAGACCTTGTTATTGGTCTATTCAGGGATTCTACTTCTTCCTGTGGTGTATGTGTCCAGGAAGTTACCTATTTCTTCTAAATTTTCTAGTTTATTTGCGTAGAGGTATTTATAGTATTCTCTAATGGTAGTCTGTATTTCTATGGGATCAGTGGTGATATCCCCTTTATCAATTTTTATTGTGTCTATTTGATTCTTCCCTCTTTTCTTCTTTATTAGTCTGGCTAGCGGTCTGTCTATTTAGTTAATCTTTTCAAAAACCAGCTCCCTGATTCACTGATTTTTGAAAAGTTCTTCATGTCTCTGTCTCTTTCAGTTGTGCTCTGATCTTAGTTATTTCTTGTCTTCTACGAGCTTTTAAATTTGTTTGCTCTTGAGGGTGGAGCCAAGATTGCCGAAGAGGAGCAGCTCCAGTCTACAGCTCCCAGCGTGAGTGACGCAGAAGATGGGTGATTTCTGCATTTCCAACTGAGGTAGCGGGTTCATCTCACTGGGGAGTGCCAGACAGTGGGTGCAGGACAGTGGGTGCAGTGAACTGAGCATGAGCCGAAGCAGGGCGAGGCATTGCCTCACCCAGGAAGTGCAAGGGGTCAGGGAATTCTCTTTCCTAGTCAAAGAAAGGGGTGACAGACGGCACCTGGAAAATCAGGTCACTCCCACTCTAATACTGCGCTTTTCCAACAGGCTTAACAAACGGCACACCAGGAGATTACATGCCGCACCTAGCTTGGAGGGTCCTACACACACGGAGCCTCGCTCATTGCTAGCACAGCAGTCTGAGATCAAACCGCAAGGCTGCAGCGAGGCTGGGGGAGGGGCGCCCGCCATTGCCAAGGCTTGAGTAGGTAAAGAAAGTGGCAGGGAAGCTCAAACTGGGTGGAGCCCACCACAGCTCAAAGAGGCGTGCCTGCCTCTGTAGGCTCCACCTCTGGGGGCAGGGCACAGACAAACAAAAGGCAGCAGTAACCTCTGCAGACTTAAATGTCCCTGTCTGACAGCTTTGAAGAGAGTAGTGGTTCTCCCAGCACGCAGCTTGAGATCTGAAAACAGGCAGACTGCCTCCTCAAGTGGGTCCCTGACCCCGATGTAGCCTAACTGGGAGGCACCCCCCAGTAGGGGCAGATTGACACCTCACACAGCCGGGTACTCCTCTGAGACAAAACTTCCAGAGGAATGATCAGGCAGCAGCATTTGTGGTTCACCAATATCCGCTGTTCTTCAGCCTCTGCTGCTGATACCCAGGCACACGGGGTCTGGAGTGGACTTCAAGCAAACTCCAACAGACCTGCAGCTGAGGGTCCTGAATGTTAGAAGGAAAACTAACAAACAGAAAGGACATCCACACCAAAAACCCCTCTGTACGTCACCATCATCAAAGACCAAAGGTAGATAAAACCACAAAGATGGGGAAAAAACAGAGCAGAAAAACCAGAAACTGTAAAAATCAGAGTGCCTCTCTTCCTCCAAAGGAATGCAGCTCCTCACCACAACGGAACAAAGTTGGACAGAGAATGACTTTGACAAGTTGACAAAAGATGGCTTCAGAAGATCAAACAAATCTGAGCTAAAGGAAGAAGTTTGAACCAATGGCAAAGAAGTTAAAAACCTTGAAAAAAATTAGATGAAAGGCTAACTAGAATAACCAATGCAGAGAAGTCCTTAAAGGAGCTGATGGAGCTGCAAACCATGGCATGAGAAGTACGTGATGAATGCACAAGCCTCAGTAGCTTATGCGATCAACTGGAAGACAGGATATCAGCGATGGAAGACGAAATGAATGAAATGAAGTGAGAAGAGAAGTTTACAGAAAAAAAGAATAAAAAGAAATGAACAAAGCCTCCAAGAAATACGGGACTATGTGAAAAGACCAAATCTACGTCTGATTGGTGTACCTGAAAGTGACGGGGAGAATGGAACCAGTTGGAAAATACTCTGCAGGATATTATGCAGGAGAACTTCCCCAATCTAGCAAGGCAGGCCAACATTCAAATTCAGGAAATACAGAGAATGCCACAAAGATACTCCTCAAGAAGAGCAACTCCAAGACACATAATTGTCAGATTCACCAAAGTTGAAATGAAGGAAAAAATATTAAGGGCAGCCAGAGAGAAAGGTCGGGTTACCCACAAAGGGAAGCCCATCAGACTAACAGCTGATCTCTTGGCAGACACTGTACAAGCCAGAAGAGAGTGGGGGCCAATATTCAACATTCTTCAAGAAAAGAATTTTCAACCCAGAATTTCATATCCAACCAAACTAAGCTTCAGAACTGAAGGAGAAATAAAATCCTTTACAGACAAACAAATGCTGAGAGATTTTGTCACCACCAGGCCTGCCCTAAAAGAGCTCCTGAAGGAAGCACTAAACATGGAAAGGAACAACCAGTACCAGTCACTGCAAAAACATGCCAAATTGTAAAGACCATCGAGGCTAGGAAGAAACTGCATCAACCAACAAGCAAAATAACCAGCTAACACCATAATGGCAGGATCTAATTCACACATAACAATATTAACCTTAAATGTAAATTGCTAAATGCTCCAACTAAAAGACACAGACTGGCAAATTGGATAAAGAGTCAAGACCCATCAGTGTGCTGTATTGAGGAAACCCATCTCAAGTGCAGAGACACACATAGGCTCAAAATAAAGGGACGGAGGAAGATCAACCAAGCAAATGGAAAACAAAGAAAGGCAGGGGTTGCAACCCTAGTCTCAGATAAAACAGACTTTAAACCAACAAAGATCAAAAGAGACAAAGAAGGCCATTACATAATGGTAAAGGGATCAATTCAACAAGAAGAGCTAACTATCCTAAATATATATGCACCCAATACTGGAGCACTCACATTCATAAAGCAAGTCCTTAGAGACCTACAAAGAGACTTAGACTCCCACACAATAATAATGGGAGACTTTAACACCCCACTGTCAACATTAGACAGATCAACAAGACAGAAAGTTAACAAGGATATCCAGGAATTGAACTCAGCTCTGCACCAAGCAGACCTAATAGACATCTACAGAACTCTCCACCCCAAATCAACAGACTATACATTCTTTTCAGCACCACACCACACCTATTCCAAAATGGACCACATAGTTGGAAGTAAAGCACTCCTCAGCAAAAGTAAAAGAACAGAAATTATAAAAAACTGTCTCTTAGACCACAGTGCAATCAAACCAGAACTCAGGATTAAGAAACTCACTCAAAACTGCTCAACTACATGGAAACCGAACAACCTGCTCCTGAATGACTACTGGGTTCATAACGAAATGAAGGCAGAAATAAAGATGTTCTTTGAAACCAACGAGAACAAAGACACAACACACCAGAATCTCTGGGACACATTCAAAGCAGTGTGTAGAGGGAAATTTATAGCACTAAATGGCCACAAGAGAAAGCAGGAAGGATCTAAAATTGAAACCCTAACATCACAATTAAAAGAACTAGAGAAGCAAGAGCAAACACATTCGAAAGCTAGCAGAAGGCAAGAAATAACTCAGATCAGAGAAGAACTGAAGGAAATAGAGACACAAAAAACTCTTCAAAAAATCAATGAATCCAGGAGCTGGTTTTTTGAAAACAGCAACAAAATTGATAGACCGTGAGCAAGACTAATAAAGAAGAAAAGAGAGAAGAATCAAATAGACGCAATAAAAAATGACAAAGGGGATATCACCACTGCTCCCACAGAAATACAAACTACCATCAGAGAATACTGTAAACACCTCTATGCGAAAAAACTAGAAAATCTAGAAGAAATGGATAAATTCCTCGACACATACACCCTCAGAAGACTAAACCAGGAAGAAGTTGAATCTCTGAACAGGCTTTGAAATTGAGGCAATAATTAATAGCTTACCAACCAAAAAAAGTCCAGGACCAGATGGATTCACAGCCAAATTCTACCAGAGGTACAAGGAGGAGCTGGTACCACTTCTTCTGAAACTATTCCAATCAATAGAAAAAGAGGGAATCCTCCCTAACTCATTTTATGAGGCCAGAATCATCCTGATACCAAAGCCTGGCAGAGACACAACAAAAAAAGAGAATTTTAGACCAATATCCTTGATGAACATTGATGCAAAAATCCTCAATAAAATACTGGCAAACCAAATCCAGCAGCACATCAAAAAGCTTATCCACCATGATCAAGTGGGCTTCATCCCTGGGATGCAAGGCTGGTTCAACATATGAAAATCAATAAACGTAATCCAGCATATAAACAGAACCAAAGACAAAAACCACATGATTATTTCAATAGAAGCAGAAAAGGCCTTTGACAAAATTCAACAACACTTCATGCTAAAAACTCTCAATAAATTAGGTATTGATGGGATATATCTCAAAATAATAAGAGCTGTCTATGACAAACCCACAGCCAATATCATACTGAATGGACAAAAACTGGAAGCATTCCCTTTGAAAACTGGCACAAGACAGGGTTGCCCTCTCTCACCACTCCTATTCAACATAGTGTTGGAAGTTGTGGCCAGGGCAATCAGGCAGGAGAAGGAAATAAAGGGCATTCAATTAGGAAAAGAGGAAGTCAAATTGTCCCTGTTTGCAGATGACATGATTGTATATCTAGAAAACCCCATCGTCTCAGCCCAAAATCTCCTTCAGCTGATAAGCAACTTCAGCAAAGTCTCAGGATACAAAATCAATGTACAAAAGTCACAAGCATTCTTATACACCAATAACAGACAAACAGAGAGCCAAATCATCAGTGAACTCCCATTCACAATAGCTTCAAAGAGAATAAAATACCTAGGAATCCAACTTACAAGGGATGGGAAGGACCTCTTCAAGCAGAACTACAAACCACTGCTCAATGAAATAAAAGAGGATACAAACAAATGGAAGAACATTCCATGCTCATGGGTAGGAAGAACCAATATCGTGAAAATGGCCATATTGCCCAAGGTAATTTATAGATTCAATGCCATCCCCATCAAGCTACCAATGACTTTCTTCACAGAATTGGAAAAAACTACTTTAAAGTTCATATGGAACCAAAAAAGAGCCTGCACTGCCAAGTCAATCCTAAGCCAAAAAAACAGAGCTGGAGGCATCATGCTACCTGACTTCAAACTATACTACAAGGCTACAGTAACCAAAACAGCATGGTACTGGTACCAAAACAGAGATATAGACCAATGGAACAGAACACAGACCTCAGAAATAATGACGCATATCTACAACTATCTGATCTTTGACTAACCTGACAAAAACAAGAAATGGGGAAAGGAGTCCCTGTTTAATAAATGGTGCTGGGAAAACTGGCTAGTCATATGTAGAAAGCTGAAACTGGATCCCTTCCTTACACCTTATACAAAAATTAATTCAAGATGGATTAAAAACTTACATGTTAGACCTAAAACCATAAAAACCCTAGAAGAAAACCTAGGCAATACCATTCAGGACATAGGCATGGGCAAGGACTTCATGTCTAAAACACCAAAAGCAATGGCAACAAAAGCCAAAATTGACAAATGGGATCTAATTAAATGAAAGAGCTTCTGCACAGTGAAAGAAACTACCATCAGAGTGAACAGGCAACCTACAGAATGGGAGAAAATTTTTGCAATCTACTCATCTGACCAAGGGCTAATATCCAGAATCTACAATGAACTCAAACAAATTTACAAGAAAAAAACAAACAACCCCATCAAAAAGTGGGCAAAGGATATGAACAGACACTTCTCAAAAGAGGACATTTATGTAGCCAAAAGACACATGAAAAAATGCTCATCATCACTGGCCATCAGAGAAATGCAAATCAAAACCACAATGAGATACCATCTCACACCAGTTAGAATGGCGATCATTAAAAAGTCAGGAAACAACAGGTGCTGGAGAGGATGTGGAGAAATAGGAACATTTTTACACTGTTGGTGGGACTGTAAACTAGTTCAACCATTGTGGAAGACAGTGTGGCACTTCCTCAGTGATCTAGAACTAGAAATTCCATTTGACCCAGCCATCCCATTACTGAGTATATACCCAAAGTATTATAAATCATGCTGCTATAAAGACACATGCACACATATGTTTATTGTGGCACTCTTCACAATAGCAAAGTCTTGGAACCAAGCCAAATGTCCAACAATGATAGACTGGATTAAGAAAATGTGGCACATATACACCGTGGAATACTATGTAGCCATAAAAAATGATAAGTTCATGTCCTTTGTAGGGACATGGATGAAGCTGGAAACCATCATTCTCAGCAAACTATCAAAGGACAAAAAACCAAACACCGCATGTTCTCACTCATAGGTGAGAACTGAACGATGAGAATACATGGACACAGGAAGGGGAAGAACACACACCGGGGAATGTTGTGGGGTGGGGGGAGGGGGGAGAGATAGCATTAGGAGATATACCTAATGCTAAATGACGAGTTAACGAGTGCAGCACACCAACATGGCACATGTATACATATGTAACAAACCTACATGTCGTGCACATGTACCTTAAAACTTAAAGTATAATAATAAAAAAAAAATTTGTTTGCTCTGGCTTCTCTAGTTCTTTTAATTGTGATATTATGGTGTCGACTTTGATCTTTCCCACTTTCTGAGGTGGGTATTTACTGCTGTAAATCTCCTTCTAAACACTGCTTTAGCTGTGTCCCACAGATTCTGGTACATTGTCTCTTTGTTCTCATTGGTTTCAAAGAACTTCGTTATTTCTGCCTAATTTTGTTATTTACCCAGTAGTCATTCAGGAGCAGGTTGTTCAGTTTCCATGTAGTTGTGCAGTTTTGAGTGAGTTTCTTAATTCTGAGTTCTAATTTGATTGCTCTGTGGTCTGAGAGGCTGTTATGATTTACGTTCTTTTGCATTTGCTGAGGAGTGTTTTACTTCCAATTATGTGGTCGATTTTAGAATAAGTGCTATGTGGTGCTGAGAAGAGTGTATATTCTGTTGATTTGGGATGGAGAGTTCTGTAGATGTCTGTTAGGTCCACTTGGTCCAGAGCTGAGCTGAAGTCCTGAATATCCTTGTTAATTTTCTGTCTTGTTTATCTAATATTAACAGTGGGGTGTTCAAATCCCCCACTATTATTGTGCGGAAGTGTAAGTCTCTCTGTAGGTCTCTAAAAACTTGTTTTATGAATCTGGGTACTCCTGTATTGGGTGCATATATATTTAGGATAGTTAGCTCTTCTTGTTCCATTGATCCCTTTACCATTATATAATACCCTTCTTTGTCTTTTTTGATTTTTGTTGGTTTAAAGTCTGGTTTATCAGAGACTAGGATTGCAACCCTTGCTTTTTTTCCTTTCCATTTGCTTGGTAAATATTCTTCTATCCCTTTATTTTGAGCCTATGTGTGTCTTTGCATATGAGATGGGTCTCCTGATACAGCACACCAATGGGTCTAGACTCTTTATCCAATTTGCCAGTCTATGTCTTCTAATTGGGGCATTTAGCGCATTAACACTTAAGGTTAATACGGTTATGTGTGAAATTGATCCTGTCATCATGATTCTGGCTGGTTATTTTGCACATTAGTTGATGCAGTTTCTTCATAGCATCATTGTTCTTTGTATTTTGGTGTGGTTTTGCAGTGGCTTGTACTGGTTTTTCCTTTCCACATTTAGTGCTTCCTTCAGGAGCTCTTGTAAGGCAGGCCTGGTGGTGACAAAATATCTCACCATTTGCTTGTCTGTAAAGGATTTTATTTCTCCTTCACTTATGAAGCTTGGTTTGGCTGGATATGAAATTCTGGGCTGAAACTTCTTTTCTTGAAGAATGTTGAATATTGGCCCCCACTCTCTTCTGGCTTACAGGGTTTCTGCCGAAAGATCCACTGTTAGTCTGATGGGCTTCCCTTTATAAGTAACCTGACCTTTCTCTCTGGCTGTCCTTAACATTTTTTCCATCATTTCAACCTTAGAGAATCTGATAATTACATGTCTTCTGGTTGCTCTTCTTGAGGAGTATCTTAGTGGTGTTCTCTGTATTTCCTGAATTTGAATGTTGGCCTGTCTTGCTAGCCTGGGAAGTTTTCCTGGATAATATCCCGAAGTGTGTTTTCCAACTTGGTTCCATTCTCCCCATCACTTTCAGGGACCCTAATCAATTGTAGGTTTCGTCTTTTCACGTAGTCCCATATTTCTCAGAGGCTTTGTTTATTCCCTTTCATTCGTTTTTCTCTAATCTTGCCTTCACGCCTTATTTCAGTAGTTGATCTTCATCTCTGATATCCTTTCTTCTGCTTGATAGATTTGGCTATTGATACTTGTGTATGCTTCATGAAGTTCTCATGCTGTGTTTTTCACCTCCATTAGGTCACTTATGTTCTTTTCTAAACTGGCATTTTAGTTTGCAGTTCCTGTAACCTTTTATCAAGGTTCTTAGCTTCCTTGCATTGGGTTAGAACATGCTCCTTTAGCTCAGAGGAGTTTGTTATTACCCCCTTCTGAAGTCTACTTCTGTCAGTTCATCAAACTTATTCTCCATCCAGTTTTGTGCCCTTGCTGGAGAGGAGTTGCAATCATTTGGAGGAGAAGAGGCACTCTGGTTTTTGGATTTTTCAGCATTTTTGCTTTGATTTTTCCTTTGATTTTTCCTCATCTTCTTGGATTTACCTACCTTTGATCCTTGAGACTGATGACCTTTGGATGGGGTTTTTGTGTGAGGGTCCTTTTTGTTGATGTTGATGTTATTGCTTTCTGTTTGTTAGTTTTTCTTCTAACAGTCAGTTCCCTCTTCTGCAGGTCTGCTGCAGTTTGCTAGAGGTTCACCCCAGACCCTATTTGCCTGGGTATCACCAGTAGAGGCTGTAGAACAGCAAAAATTGCTGCCTGCTCCCTTCCTCTGGAAGCTTCATCCCAGAGGGGCACTGTCCTGATGTCTGCCAGAGGTCTCCTGAATGGGCGGTCTCTCCTAGTCAGGAGGCACTGAGGTTGGGGACCCACTTGAGGTGGCAGTCTGTCCCTTAGCAGAGCTCGAGTGCCGTGCTCGGAGAACATTCTTTGTCAGGATCTGCTGCTCTCTTCAGAGCTGGCAGGTAGGAAAGGTTGAGTCTGCTGAAGCTATGCCCACAGCCATCCCTTCCCTCAGGTGCTCTGTCCCAGGGAGATGGGAGTTTTATCTATAAGTCCCTGACTGGGGCTGCTGCTTTTCTTTCAGAGATGCCATGCCCAGTGAAGAGGAATCTAGAGAGGCAGTCTGGCCACAACCACTTTGCCACACTGTGTCAAGCTCTGCCCAGTCCAAACTTCCAGGCCTCCTTAGCACTATCAGGGGAAAACCATCTACTCGAGCCTCAGTAATGGCAGATGCCACTCCCTCCACCAAGCTCAATCATCCGAGGTCAACTTCAGACTGCTGTACTGGCAGGGAGAATTTCAAGCCAGTGGTTCTTAGCTTGCTGGGCTCCATGGTAGTGGGACCCACTGAGCGAGACCAGTTAGCTCCCTGGCTTCAACCCCTTTTCCAGGGGAGTGAATGGTTCTGTCTCGCTGGGATTCCAGGTGCCACTGTGGTATGGGGGGATAAAAAAACTCCTGCAGCTAGCTCAGTGTCTGCCCAAAAGGCCACCCATTTTTGTGCTTGAAATCCAGGGCCCTGGTGGTGTAGGAACCTGAGGGAATCTCCTGGTCTGCAGACTGCAAAAACCACAGGAAAATTATAGTATCTGGGCCAGATAGCACAGTCCCTCACAGCTTCCCTTGGCTGGGGGAGGCCACCCACTTCCTGGGTGAGGTGATGCCCCACGCTGCTTCTGCTCGCCCTCCATGGGCTGTACCCACTGCCTAACCAGTCCCAATGTGATGAACAGGGTACCTCAGTTGGAAATGCAGAAATCACCTGACTACTGTGTTGGTCTCACTGGGAGTTACAGACCGGTGCTGTTCCTATTTGGCCATGTTGCCAGATCCCCCTGATCTTTTTCAGCTTTTTTACTTTAGAAACTTATTAATTTTTTTAACTTTTGTGTCTTTTGTAATAACACTTAACTTAAAACACAAAGACATTGTACAGCTGTACAAAAATATTTTCTTTCTTAATATCCTTATTCTATAAGCTTTTTTGTTTTTAATTTTTTTTTTTACTTTTAAACATTTTTGTTAAATATAAGACACAAACGTAAACATTATCCTAGGCATAAACAGGGTCAGAATCTCAATATCACTGTCTTCCACCTCCACATCTTATTGCACTAGAAAGTCTTCCAGGACAATAACACACACGGAGCTATTATCTCCTATTATAATAATGCCTTCTTCCAGAATACTTCCCATCACTTCCTGGACTTTTGGCTAAGACCTAGTGTGGAATACCTTATAAAGGACCTGCCTGAGGCTGTTTTACACTTACCTTTTATTTTACATAAGTAAAAGGAACACAACCTAAAATATTTATGCTACATAAGTAAACCAGTAACAGAGTTATTCATTATTATTATCAAGTATTATGTACATACATAATTGTAGGTGCTGTACTCTTGTATGGCTAGCAGTGCAGTAGGTTTGTTTACACCACCATCACCGCAAACACGTGAGCAATGTGTTGCACTACAACATTATGACAGCTATGTCACTAAGTGACAGGAATTTTTCAGCTCCATTATAATCTTATGAGACCAGTGTCGTATATGCCATCCATTGTTGATGAAAGTGTTATTATGCGGTGCGTAACTGTATTCAATACTATGTATTAAATAACTATAAATTATAAAACAGGATGCCAAATTTTGATTGTCAAATTAGCAAATTTTAACAACAATGAGAGAAGTCTTTGTTCAGAAGCAAGCATTCAGAGAAAAGTTTATTTAACATAAAGCAGAACTGAGTATAAATACATCTAAAACTGGGGGGGAGATTTTAACAAAGTTTACTAAAACCTTTTTTTAAATATTTCATATTCCCTTTCATCCTAAGAAATAATCAGTGAAATGCACAAAGTTATAAGAATAAGAATATATATCTCAGTAATATTTATAATACTGAAAAAGTTTAAGCAACCTCAACATCCAAATATAGGGGATTGATGAGGTAAATTATGCATTCAATAATGGAAAGCTATCCAAGCAATAAAGTTTAATGACTTGGAAGATGCTAAATATATGTATTTAACGAGTGGCAATAAGCAGTCCTTAATATTTACATCATAAATCAATTTGTGTTTTTAAGAAAAAGAGACTGGCCGGGCGCGGTGGCTCACGCCTGTAATCCCAGCACTTTGGGAGGCCGAGGCGGGCGGATCACGAGGTCAGGAGATTGAGAACATCCTGGCTAACATGGTGAAACCCCGTCTCTACTAATAACACAAAAAATTAGCCGGGCATGGTGGCGGGCACCTGTAGTCCCAGCTACTCGAGAGGCTGAGGCAGGAGAATGGCGTGAACCCGAGAGGCTTGCAGTAAGCCGAGATCGCGCCACTGCACTCCAGCCTGGGAGACAGCGAGACTCCGTCTGACAACAAAAAAAAAAAAAAAAGAAAGAAAGAAAAGAAAAGAAAAAGAGACTGAAAAATGTTAGGTAGATAACTCTGATTAGTAGAAATACAAAGATTTCCTGTATTTTCCAAGTTTTTTTCAATGAATCTATATTATAATTATAATATAATTATTTTGAAAGTAGTGGAACAGAAGTATTCAGAGCCCACTGAAAGAGGAGAACAAAAAGAAGATAATCATGGCTAAACATAAGAAGCATGCTACAAAAAGAAGAACCAAAATGAAAGCCAGTGGGGTAGGAAGTTTTCAGAAAACACCTGATTCAATCCCCACTGTTGAATCACTTCAAATTGCAACTATCTTGCCCTGCACTGAATAAGCCAGCTCCACTAGCCTAGAATTCTACAGATGACCCTGTCTATGACAAGAAAGGTAAAATGAAGACACACTTGCCCGTGGCCCTGACTGAGAATGATGCGTAAGTTCTGGATTTAGTTAAAAGTAAATATACTCCTCAAAGTGAGAAGCTCTCTAATTCTTAATCAAACTGCAAGTCTTCAAACAAAGCTCTTGGCAATGACTTCATCACAATTCATGAGAAATCTGTTCTCATCAACAAAAAATTAAATTTTTGTCTTTTGAAGTGTTTTGTCAATATCCCTATTAAGCATTCATACTATGTATATATTTCTCTATGTTAGGAAGTTTAGAAGAAATAAATATGTGAGACTTTTTTATCTCACCTTTATATTAAGTGACAACCTGTTTCACCTCCATCTATCTTCTCACAGAAGTACAAGGATGGTAGGTCTCTTACCAATCAGGCATCAATGTCCTCCCAATTTGCAAGTTTGTCTCCATCTTCATGGTGAGAATGGTATTAACTGATATACTTAAGAAGGTAAACTTCACTTTTTAAATTTTTGATTCACTTTTAAAATTTTTTTACTAGATTGTGCAGAATATATTACACTACATAGTAAAAAGTTAAATACAATATACTCAGAAAAAAATCTGTCAAAAAATCAGTCCTTTATTTTCTCAGTGATCTTCTTAATGTTCATAAATTTCATTATGGTATATGGTCTCCTTTGATTTATCCAGCTTAATGCCTGGTGTAAAAGAAGTACTAAAATAAGAAATAAGTTCAACAGTTTTTTTATCCTTTAAGTGTTCCAAATTTTTATCAGTCTCATTGAGTTTGATCTCCATTCAGAAGTTAATGAGGCTGGATTAATACCATGATGTCAAGACATTTCAATTTTTATTGGCTTATAGAAAAATATAGTTGAAAGGAGCCCGTAAAGGACACCAGTGTCTCTCCTCAATACAAAAATTTATTCTCCAGCTTTTCTAGTAAATGATCATCAAGGGTATATTTGAACATAACCAGTCATGAGTAACTATCAGTGGTGAACATTATGATATGCCACTGGACACCCTTCATGGAGGACTCATTGCCAGCTCCTGGTGTGCTAGTAGTAAACAGTCTTCTCTGGGGATGGCCTCAGCTGCGTAGGCCTGCCTCACCCAGAGACATGCACCTCCAGAATACTCAGAGCCAATGATTGGCCCAACTGAAGACAATTTTGAGGGGCCACTGGGCTTCCATTGTAGTTAAAAATCTGCAGAATTCTACTTAGTTCTCCTGCTTTCCACATGCATTCCATGGGCACTTTTCAAATAATTCCCTGAACACTAAACTCTGTCCCAGAGACTGCTCCTAGGGAATCCAACTGGCAATGCTTTTCATGCAACTCCATCCATTGTTTTCTTCATTTTTCTCTTATTGGGCCCAAAAATATGCCTCTTGCATTTCCACTTACCAATCCTTCTTCTGTCCTCAGAACCAACACAAATAGGAATATTCTGATGTTAATTTGAAAATTCCTTTAAATATTTGTTTATTGGAATTTCTTGAAACATACCTGATCAATGCAATGACAACAGTTAACTAGGTCAATATTTATACCAACATATAACTTGCAATTCTTTCTCCAAGAATTAAAATACAAATTCATTGAAAACTGCTAAAAAACTAATCGATACTTTCCAACATATTTATACTGTTATAAGACCTATTTCATCACTTGGACCCTCCTTTTCTAACATAGCTGTCAAAAGAATGAATTTTACTAGAGTTAATATTGGGTTTTTGCTATTGATTGTTATTTTAGCCAGGGACACAGGAATAGTAAAATTCTGCGCTGTCTATATTCCTAATCCACCTTCACCCTCAGTCTGTCTAGAGGTTTCTGATAGAGATTAGTGCAAAGACATCAGTGATACAGAAGAAGAAGTAACATTTTATTAATATTTAAGTCTGTGTCTGATAAAGATTAATATAGGGCTCTAGTAAATCTTGGATTGAGCATGTAGCTTTGGTTCGAGTTGAAACTGCAGTACCCTACCTTCCTTCAAGTCTGAGTCCAACACTTGCATCTTTGTTACTACTTGCTGATGGCTGGAAAGAATAGGAACTAGATGCAAAAACCAACATACTCAACTGTGAGGAGGCCCTGAATACAGTTAACAATCAAAATGCATAGAAGACAGATAACTACTATGCATAGATACAAGAACTTCTATAAGAAACAGTAATCCCACCTACTAGTAACCATGGTCAAAATTGCATCTAGAAAGTGAACTGATCCCATTGGAATTTCTTTATGCTTGAAAGAAAGTTCTTAGGGAGATGGAAAAGAAATAACAACTCTTCCTACATTATTCGCTACTTGCCACTGTCTTAGAATATGAAGATATTTACCCTCAAACACCTCTTCTCTGTGATTATTTTATCTAGACTTCTCTCTAATATATGTTTTCAAACATGCTTCTTAATATCTGTGTTTTCCCTCCATATTATACAACCTACCCTAAATTTATAGATTTAGATTAGAATGAAATAACACACTTATGAGCCATATGGTCTTTGAAAAGGTATCTCCTCAGTTTCTGTTTGCAAATCTTAAAAATGGTAATAATGTCTACCTCATAAAGTGTATAATTAGGAAGGAATACGCAATCACATGTAAACTGACATAGTGGTTAAGAGCTGTGGAGTCAGATACCCGCATTTTAAACCAGTAAATTTAATTAACCTTGCAAGGTATCATTTTAACCCACAGGTAAATTGGAAATAACAGCATCTTCTTTATAGCTATGTCATGGGGAATGAAATAAAATCATCTACATAAATCACTTAGCACAATGATTGTTTAACTATTATTAGTTACTATTCTTATTTAAGAGCCTGGAATATAGCAGACACTCAATAATTGTTGGTGCTATCTCCCTCCTCCCAACCCCCACTTCTTTTACCTTTAACCAATGTCTACAGAAAGTACATACGCCTTTTACTGCCTGATCCTTGACAATAATGATGGGTAAGGGACTCATATCCATGTTTTTTTGCTAAAGGGCTCTAATTAAGAACGATGCCATAGTATATCTTTTGAGTTATTTGAAGATTCTTCTCTGAAAACTTTATTCAGTGGAGGGCCCATATTGGTGCTAAATCTGAGACTCAAAGTACATGGATAGATAAATATATTTTATATTTATTGGCTTTGGCAATTTAGGTGGCACATATAATATTTTACTTAGAATAACCTTGAACTATCTCTTTCTAACCAAAGTGTAAGTATCCTTCAGTAGTTACAATCTTTTAGAGCATAAGCATCTTAGGACATACTTTAATGCCTCTCGGACAGCACAGATCAGTAAAGAAAGAAGGAAGGAAGTCTTTGTGATCCAACATTATCTTTTATGGCCCATCAGAGCTTTTACTGTGTCATTTTCTTTAACTCAGACCCATATTGAAGTTGTCTTTTGTTTTCTTAATGAGCTACTTTTACACAAAATCATGTGTCCAATCATGTACTTTTAAAAAATATGCTGTATTATCAAGGCACAAGTTTACAAAAAGGCAATTATTTAGTGTTAGCACTTCTATCCAATCCCAGCATGACACATGCATTAAATGTGCTCTCAGTTGTAAACATTGTCATTATTCATGGCACACCAGTAGGCACTACAAAAATAAATCAAATACTATTCATTTATTTCCACTTCAACTCAGTTATGCTTTTGCTTCACAAAATTTCTTTAAAACTAAGAAAGATGATTCTAAATTAAAAGTTTTAATTTCTCCACAATATGAAAATGCTTCAAATTTTCTTGTTGTAAATGGCAGAACGTTAACTTTAGAGAATCAAATATCCATAAACCTCATTATGCTAATACCAATTAAAATTTCTAACTTAAGGTAAATTCCGATAAGTTTGTTCAGAAATAGAGGTGTTTCTTGTTATTCAGCATAACCTGATGGAGAAATAGAAATAATCAAATCTATATCTATACATAAAAAAGACTCCTTAACTAATTCTAACCTCTAGATGCCTCAGTTCCCCAGTTTATTAACAAAGAATAATATTCTTCCCTCTGGCAAATTTGCTAGTCTGTTTTAGAAATAAGTTACACCTACCAATTATGAAATTAAAATTCCTCAACTAACAGAACAACAAAAGATAAATCCCCTGCGATGTAATGGTCACTTGGAAGTCAATAAAATTCACTTTATTCTGTGCTTAAGTAAAAATGCTTTAAATTGGAAGAAAATGTTATTAGGGAATGTATGCAGAAAAATATGTATTAACTAAAATATTACTTGTCATGCTTTATTACCAAAAGGGGATTATTTTAAACACTGAGTAATATTAATTAGACTTTTACAATCTTAAGTTAAGGTTAGTTTTCTCCAGCAATGACTTCTTTCTCAAAGTACCTTTGGTCGACCAGGATGCATAGAGTTAAAGAGACATTTTAAACCCCCTCTGCTGAGGCCATTTATTAGCCCTTGATACATTCTCAGAGCAACAGAGGTTTTCACACCAGTGACTACTATCGTATTTTTATAATTATTGGATTAATGTCTGCTTCTTGTGATAGATTTTGAGTTTTGTGAGAAAAAGGATATTCTTGGTATTGGTTGTGCTGTATACCCAGCACCAGTACTGTCTTTGACATAGAGTTGATTATACAAATTTTCATTGTTGTTGAATGAATTGCTAAATTAATAAACTAGAGAAAGGGTATACTTGTGAAAGAGTGAATGAACAATTAAAGTACAAAATTCCCCTAAGCAGTCAGTATAGGGAGATTTTTATTAATTACTTGCATCACAGAGCAATGGAAATGTTTACTGATTATTCCTAGGAGAGAGAAATAAAATAATAAAACTTGGCATAGTCACAACACGTGACATTTTATTTTTAAAAATGCAAATAGGCTGGGCACAGTGGCTCACGCCTGTAATCCCAGCACCTGGGAGGCAAAGGCACGTGGATCACTTGAGGCCAGGAGTTCGAGACCAGCCTGACCAACATGGTGAAACCCCATCTCTACTGAAAAGACAAAAATTAGCCAGGCGTGGTGGTGCACACTTGTGGTCACAGCTACTCAGGAGGCTGAGACACTAGAATCCCTTGAACCTGGGAGGCAGAGGTTGCAGTGAGCAGAGATTGTGCCACTGCACTCCAGCCTGGTGACAGCAAGAAAGACTCAGTCTCAAAAAAAAAAAAGCAAATAGTGAAAGTTTAGTGCTTCAGGTGCTTCATAGTAAATTAATTTCAATATTTCTAAAATAATTTTACTGGAGCTCTTAGGTTGTATAATAAGGCAAGGCAATAAAACAAAAGGCATACAGATTGGAAGGGAGGGGGAATATTTCTCCTTATTTGCATATTATAGGATCATGTACATAAAAAATCCTAAGAAATTCCTAAGAAAAAAGCTGTTAGAAATAATGCAGTGGTTTTCATATATCCATAAATTGTCTGATACTCCTCTCTTCAAGAGATGGCACCTAATTTTCCTTCCCTTGCATGAGGTATATCTATACATTCACCGTGTCCAGCAGTTGAGTACTTACTAGCTGCCAGGCAACATGGCATGGGTTTTCCATTACTGTACCACTTAATCTTCACAACAAATCCCTGAGATATGTACTTAGCACCTTCAGACAGAGGGCATGGAAATATAAATTAACAGAAGAGGCAGAAACAGAGGAATGTAAATCATGAACTGTCTGAAGGATCCCTGTATGTGTCATCACCACATTGTTCTTCCCTACTCTCAGGCTTGAAATAGTGTTTTGCCACCATGCTGATGCCAGAGAAACAGCCTATTTAAAAATGAAGTAATCTAAATAAAACTCTCAGAGTTATCACCATAGGAAGGCCCTTCTTACTTTGCTATTGGCAAGATTTTCTTTTCATTGGAGGAGGTGGGCAGAGAAGTGACCAAAGGACATGTAGTCTTATTGTCTTCTCCCTGCCTCCATACTCTAAAACAAACCTTGCCAGTCCAGGTGGCCTGACCATGTCTGCAGGTCTTGTAGTTTGCTCTTTCAGAGATGGCCAAGACCAACACACACACACACACATACACACACACACACATACACACACACAGACACACACACACACACACACACACACACAGGTAAGCAACCTAGAGGATCAGTCATGGAGGTTCAGTTTTCATTTAAGAAAGTTCCACAAGGGAAAAACAGAAAAAATAGAAGGGAGGAAATAACAAAAAAATCAGGCGCAATTTTTCAAACTGAGAAAATACAACACAAATTTTTAAATTGAAAGGGATCACCAAGAAGAAAAATGGAAACATTTTTAAAAGAATTTTTTTAAAAATGACTTCTAGAATCAGCCCTAATATGTAAAAAGCAATATGGTGCTATTTGAAAATGGACTTAGATTACTTTATGATGTGTACTGCTAACTTTAGAGCAATCACTAAAAAATTTTAAAAGTGTAAATGATGAACTAAAAAATGAAATAAAATGGAATTATATAAAAGGCTCAATTAAAACCAAAGATATCAGAAAAAGAAGGAAAGTTTAAATAAATAAATAACAAAGAAAAAGTGGAACAAATAGAAGAAATATTACAAACATGGTAGATATTAATCCACATATATTTAAAAAGCCACTTTAAATGTGAACAGTCTAAATTATTACTGATTTAAAACCAGGGGGGTGTCAGAGTCAGAATAGGTTTTAAAAAAACAAAAACAAGAACAAGACCAAACTATCTACCATCTACAAGAAATCCACTTTAAACATAAAGTCAGAAACAAGTAAAACAAAAAGAGATGGAGAAAGACATACATCACTAACCCTAATCAAAACAACCCGGAATAGTAGCATTAATTTCAGAGAGAATAGACTTCAAAATAAGGAAAAATTTCCAGGAAGACATAATAATCTTTAATGTGCATGCAGCAACAACTGACCATCAAAATGCATAAGCAAAAACTGACAGAGCTGCAAGGAGAAATAAACAAATCCACTATTACATTTGG
This sequence comes from Homo sapiens, assembly GCF_000001405.40. Taxonomy (NCBI): domain Eukaryota; kingdom Metazoa; phylum Chordata; class Mammalia; order Primates; family Hominidae; genus Homo; species Homo sapiens. Next base: position 78,665,168 of record NC_000006.12, read on the forward strand.
GGTCTTCAACATCCCTCTTTCAGTAAGAATAATTCAAGATGAAATGCAGAATGCAACACATCAATCTATTACAAGTGTAGAAAATAACCTCACAAAAGCAGGTAGGGGAAAAGGTGCAGTATACCACAGATGTATAGGTCAATAATTCTGATATTGCTATACATGTAATTGGAATTGAACAATTAGGTAAATGGATAGTAGCTGGTGGGATCCGGCCTTCTTGCTGCTGAAGCAAGGATTCACAGATAGTAAGGGAAGGAGGCTATGATGATTCAGGTGGTAATGCATTAGAATTGTAGCCATCAATAAAAACTCTGCTTTTATTTGTATAAATGTAGATGGTTACATATAGAAATATATATATGAGTGTATACACATGTGTTAGTATGCACACATGTATTTCTATAATCTGTCAGCAGAGAGGCCCTAGAAGCAATGACACTTAGTTTCAATCATCACAGTTAAGACCCAAATCTTAGTTCTTGTGGCATTTTCAATAAAAGGAACCATGGGTACATGTGCACAACGTGTAGGTTTGTTACATATGTATACATGTGCCATGTTGGTGTGCTGCACCCATTAACTCCTCATTTACATTAGGTATATTTCCTAATGCTATCCCTCCCCCCTCCCCCTACCCCATGACAGGCCCTGGTGTGTGATGTTCCCCACCCGGTGTGTGATGTTCCCCACCCTGTGTCCACATGTTCTCATTGTTCAGTTCCCACCTATGAGTGAGAACATGTGGTGTTTGGTTTTCTGTCCTTGTGATAGTTTACTGAGAATGATGGTTTCCAGCTTCATCCATCTCCCTACAAAGGACATGAACTCATCCTTTTTCATGGCTGCATAGTATTCCATGGTGTATATGTGCCACATTTTCTTAATCCAGTCTATCATTGATGGACATGTAGGTTGGTTCCAAGTCTTTGCTATTGTGAATAGGGCCGCAATAAACATACGTGTGCATGTGTCTTTATAGCAGCATGATTTATAATCCTTTGTGTATATACCCAGTAATGGGATGGCTGGGTCAAATGGTATTTCTAGTTCTAGATCCTTGAGGAATCACCACACTGTCTTCCACAATGGTTGAACTAGTTTAGGTTCCCAGAGAAATTGCTGATTCTAGGACTGTAGCAGGAAGTATACAAAGTGAGTTCTGGTGGTGACAGAAAGTAACAAAGTCCTCAGGAAAAATAAAAAAGCAAACTACATTGATGGAGTATGTCAAACAGGCACAGAAGCCAATTGAAAGCTTTTCCAATGGCCAAAGCTGGAACAATTTGAACAACAAAATAAAGTAGCATTGGATTATAACCCAGAGTATAAAAAAAATTATGAGGCTATACTAATATATATGTGTATGTGTGTGTATATATATATAAATATGATTAAATAAATTAATAAATGAGGAGAAGAGACAAAATTACCTTGCAGAAAAATTCCAAATAAGTCTATGTAGTTACTCTAAATGAGGGGGAGCAAAACTCTGCATCCCTTAGCCATAGGCTGTCCTCCTTGCAAAGAGTGTAGTGCAAAAAAGTGGAGAAAATGATAACTTTAAAGTGGAGAAACCTGAAAAAACAGTTTCAGTCAGATTATCAAAATCCAGGTCAGCAGCCACAAATCATGTTGACACTATGTGCGTTTGATATGATGTGAAGAAAATGACACTTTACTTCTGTGATCTTCCTCCCCAAATCTTATAACCCCAGTCTATTCATGAAGAAATTTTTTAATCCAAAAAATGGGCATGCTACAATATACCTAACCAGTACTCTGAAAAACTGCCAAGGTCATCAAAAACAAGGAAAGTTTGAGAAACTCACAGCCAAGAGGAGTCTAAGACACAACAACTAAATGTGATAACCTAGATGAGATCTTGAGGCAGAAAAAAAGTCAGTTAATAAGAAATGAGAGACAAACTATGAACTTTAGTTAATAATAAGGTACCAGTATTGATTCACTAAAGATAACAAATATAACATAGTAATATAACATAGTGACATAACATGTTTCTAATAGAAGAAATAGAATATATGGGGTGAGTGTATTTGGGAACTCTCTGTACTATGTGCTCAATTTTTCCATAAATCTAAAAGTATTCTAAAAAGTAAAGTCTGTAAATTGTTTTAAATTTTTTCAATGAACTTTTCTCATGCAGAGCCTCTAGAAATTTCTGAACCCCCAAGAACAAAAAGAAAAATTAGACAAGATTTCAGAAAGAAAAAACGTGGATGATTTTCAAAGTGCTGAGGCTCAGGATAGCATAAAATTTCTCATCAATAATACTGGGTACCAGAAGAAACTGGGACAATGCCATCAAAGTTTTGAGGATAAAAAAAGAATTTTGAGCCAAGAAAAATAAATAATTTGGAGCCTAGCCAAGCTGCTACCCAAATAAACTAGTAAAATAGTAACATTTTCAAACTTTCAAGGACTCAGAAAATTCGCAGACTTTCCCCAAATAATTATTAAAACATATTCTTTAGCAAAATTAAAACAAGGAACAGAAGAAAGAAGACAACATAAAAGCTAAGATGAAAAAATGTAGCATACCAAACCCAGAATTACAATGAAATCTTAGAAAAATGAGTGTATATCAGGATGAGAAGGAAAATGGTCCATACAGAACTGCATATCAGAACCTTTGAGAAGACGGTCTTGAAGAAGAGAATGAATTCCCTATAACAAAAAGCACGGTGAAAAATCTGAATCATTGTAGTGAGAAGATGAGTAAATATCATATTAGATAATTTAAATAAAATGTTTACCTCCATGCCTCAAGTTTTATAAATCATGCTTCTCATTCAAGAAGCCAAACTTAGTAAAATAAGATTACCTCTCCCCCCCATCGTTTCAAAACTCAACCTCATTCCTTAGTAAATAATATCTATATACTCAACTGTTTGACATCTTGTAGTAAAATATTTACAATAAATCTATAGAGAAAGCATGAAAGACTTATAGAATAAGATATAAATGATATAAGCATAAATAAATAAAAGTCATAATAAGGAGGATGGTGGTGGTATGTGGAAAAGTTGGGAGGGTTGGTGAGCACCATAGATGTACTCATTCTTTCATCTAATAGGGCAGTCAAGAGAGTCTGCCTACAGTTAAGAAACAGATGGTTAATTCTATCATGTACTGATATAGGCAACCAATAAAATAACTGAAAAATAAATATGTGACTGAATGAGAGAGTAGCAGTTTGGGAGGGAGTTGGAGGAGTAACGAGAAAGTAATATAATGACCTAAATTCCTCATTTTTCAGAGTAGGGGGTTGTAGCTATTCACTTACATTGATAAATGAAGAAATATAGATAATCCCGCATTAAAAAAAATGTTAAAGACAAGATAAGGTGTAATTTATTTTGAATTTTTTAATTGAAACATCAAAAAAATTAAATTTAAGCTTTCTTTGGTTATTTGGAAATTATAACGCTTAGTCCCAAATTCTGAAAGATAAATACACCTACATCCCTGCAACATTAATTGCAGTCTACATTCCTTAGAAAGCCACAGATTCATGATACAAATGGAGACAGCCATTCTGAGCTCAAAGCATGTACTGAGCTTCAAGTCTTCACTGTTTAACAAAGAAAGCATGAATATAAATCAAATACTCAGTTCATAATATAGAAAAACAAAAAGCTAAGAAATAGAAATACAAGCAAAACAAGACAGGAAAAACAAATTCCTAAAGATTTTTTTTAATGAATGAATAATGAAAGAAACAAAATAGTTCTGACAAATAATCCAAATTTTATTCAAAATATGAAACATACATACTTCCAGCAAGTTGGTTTACTTGTTTTCTGTAAAGTGAAAATATAAGTATACATAATTAGGAACCAGAAATGGAACAGATAAAATATATTATTAAATCATATATAATATAATGGATAAAATATATTTTTATAAAATATATTATTTTATTTTTAAAATATATTATTTTATATTATTAAATTATATATCAGATAAAATTATATTATTAAAAATACTATAAACAGATATCTGTTAAGCAGATAAAATATATTACATAACAGATAAAATTATATTATTTTTAATTATAATTATGATAACTAGACTCTGAGAAAGCATGAAGCAATTTAAGCACAGAGCTTGTAATGCAGTACCTTATAAGCCAGCCCATGCAAATATAAAAATAACTTGAATGTAAAACATTAATTAAGTACCCTAAAAGTAACAACAATAAGTAGAGCCAGTTATATGAAGAAGGAAGAACAGGATAGTTCAGTAACACGGAAGCTGAATAATGAGAAAATTTCCAGAAGAAATAGGCAATCAGTAAGTCAATGATGCAGTGTCATCAGGCAGAATGGATTCTGCATAGATAGGAAGCCAAATAGTCCCTTTGCTACAATCTCTGAAATAGCTATCAATTAAGAAGTGACTGGATGACCAAAGTTTGTCAACCAAAAAAGCAGGTCTTTGAAATATCTATGAAACAGAGAGGAAGAAAAAAGGAAATGGGCAAAGGAAGAAAGATTGAGAAGGAAATAGAACAAATAAATTTCTGGTTTCCTCTGAGGCAACATTGGACACCATTATCTTTCACAGACATATCAACTTAGGAGTGGTAAGGACCTTAGAGATCATTTTCTGAATCCTCCCCATTTTACACATGATGAACTTGTGCTCCTCGGTGAGGAACAAGGAAAGTCACACTCCGGAGAAGAAAACCGGGACTCCAGATTTACAGTACAATTACCATTCCATTACACCGCATGGTCTCTCATTTACTTCAACAAAAGACAGGGGGTGATAATCCATGATTTTTCACCATTTTAAAATTTATTTACAATATTTGTATTTTTCTTATGTAATTAAACAACACTTAGGTTGCAATGGGGTGAGTAAAGAAAATCTTAAAAAGGAAGCCATCTCCATTTCATAGTTACATTCTATGAAACTATGAAACTCTACTTTGCTCAATTTCTACATGGCTGTTCCTGCTGAACCCTTGGGGCTCAGGCACTTGCACAGAAATTATCTGGCAAAGTGCTGTCCTATTGGGACATGGCAGCATATTATCTTGATTCTTATTCAAATGTGCAAATCATGAAGTCCCCTGTAATAGAATGTAAATACAGTTTTTGCCTTTCAATACAAGGTCAAGCCGCAATTTAAGGCTCTTTGTAATATTCCTAGCATCCTAGTCTCCAGGCCTCTAAGAACACTTAAAAACAAAAACCTGCAACCAGCAATGTTTTGCAGTTCAATTATGCCGGAAATAGGAAGTAATTCTAAGATTCTGAATAGGTTCTTGATGAAAATATTGGCTAGGAAAATGATTGTGCCCTCATGCCTATCCAGCACATCTGGTAGGAAAGGATTGTTACTTTATTTGCATTCCATGAACAATTAAAAAACTAATTTGCAGTTTGGGACAAACAAAGAAATGTGAAACAGCAGTTGACTGATTGAAATCTTTTAAATAAAAGAATAATCCTGACAGAATTACTTTAAAGGGTTTTTTCTTCCTTTAAAAATCTTCATTAATTGAGTTCCATTACTTTAAAAATTATCTTGGTTTGAACTGATATTTATCTTTGTGCTAAATAATTTAGCAGCAGTGGGAAGGTTGGGGGAAGGACTGTATGGGACATATGGTTAAAAGACACGAGTGGAAAGAGGCTCACAAAAGACTAAGTAAAAGAATCCCCATATACCCTCAAAATGGAGAAGAAAGAGTGAGAGAGAGGACAGAAGGAAGCTGACAAGCCAGGGGACAAAGAAAACAGAAAAGCAGTTAACACAGAGGTGAAAAGAACTCATGTGTCTTCCTTTTCCAGTAGGTGGGGAGGTTTGAGCAGAGAGGTTGTGAATAGTCCAGGCAGGCAAGCATGCAGCAAAGTCCACATCAGCATCAGTGATGTTTCCTGCAGGCTCTGAACACACTGAAGATCTGGTCCTCAGCTAAAGTGCCCTACCTGTGAATGTGCGCTATCCTTCAGGCACATATTAAATGGAAGGGCATCTACACATTCTGATGCTGTTAACTTAAAGAACTACATTTTTCTTAGGAAATTTCTGACCTAATATTTGGTACATTTCATTTCTAATTTCTAATTAAAATATATGTTGAGATAATTCTGCTTAACAGCATCTGGAACTCTACTTCAAATATACTCTTGTGTTCTAGTAGAGGCCAGCAGGAATTACATTCTATGAAACTAAATATCTGTAGATCAGAACATGAATTGAGAAGTAAAGCTTGTGAGGGACAGGGTTTACCCCATAGTAAGAGCTATGGGAAAGTATAGCTGGCTGAAATGCAATATCGGGTACACTCTTACTTTCAGTTCTGGACAGACACTTGCACTGAATCTGAGACTTCTTTTTCCAATGGTTATTTTAGGAAGAACAATTATAAGATCTGTACACCACTTTCCCCATGCCACTCAACTCCTCTGCAGACATTACTGACCAGTCACAGTTTCTCTTCTATCTGAAGCAGGACTCAGCTTCATTGTAACATTATACTCATTAAAGTGGCTTGAGAGTAGAAATCTTTTCTACCTGTGAGTTATTCTCTTATCTTCTATGATGCTTTACTCAAAAATTAGCCATTAGTAATTACATTCAGGCCAGATTCTTACAACTGCAAAAATGTAGAACTGGAGGACAAATGTAGATCTACAAAAACTTCTTTAAAATTGCTATAAAGGGCCAGGCATGGTGGCCCATGCCTGTAATCCCAGGACTTTGGGAGGCCAAGGCAGGCAGATCACTTGAGGTCAGGAGTTCAAGACCAGCCTGGTCAATATGGCAAAACCCCATGTTTACTAAAAATACAAAAATTAGCCAGGCATGGTGGTGGGCATCTGTAATACCAGCTACTCTGGAGGCTAAGGCAGGAGGGTCACTTGAGCCCAGGAGGTGGATGTTGCAGTGAGCTGAGATCATGCCACAGCATTCCAGCCTAGGTGATAAAGCAAGACCCTGTCTCAAAAAAAAAAAAAAATTGCTATAAAGATTTTCAGAGTGAGAAGTTATATTTTAAATCTAGGTGTTGTGTATTAAGTATGCAATTGTATAATGTTTCATAATCTTCAAAGAATTTTCACATACTTTTTTCAATTTGACTTATATTGCAATCCTGTGTGAAAGAGAAAATGAATTCAACAAAAGAAAGAAACCACCAGAAGATGAGAAATTGAGGCTTTGGTAATTTTGCTTTGATGATTTTGAAAGGCAGAAGTACTAGTTCATTCAGTACACGGCAGGCTTGTTATTTCTCCTCTGCTCAATTTAGTGCTAAACAAATAGTCTCAAACTTGCTGTATTACGTGGCACTGCTAAATCCATGGTTTTTCTTTGCATTTCTAACTCAGTATTTCAGGAGCTAGGAATAAAATTGAAATTACAAGTGTTCTATGATCTGCAGCCAAAATTTGATCTTAGAAACAAAAGCAATCATTAAGGTAATATGCTTGAAAAATACTTCTACTTCCATGAAGTGTTTGCTATAGAAAAATAATTGGACATATTTTTTCCTAGATCTAAAGCATTTCAATGCAGATCATTCTAATTATAGCTGATTAAACCAGGCCTTTGCTATGACACATTAGGTCAAAGACATCTTTTTCCTTTAAAACAAAAAAAATTAATCTTTCTGAATAAGTAATTACTGAGATCCTTTCAATACTTTAACTCCCCCCAACCCAAGTCACCTACATATAGTTAACATATACCAGTTAATCCTACTGTGTTCCTTATCATTTGGATTTTAATTGCCACAGTAAACTTGTTATTCATATCTATGACTGTAATATCCTTTATTATAATGATATCCAAAGTATACAATGTTCCAGAAAGAAAAGGCTTTGACTCAGCAGAAACAAAAACCTAGTATATAAAACACCACAAAGTCAATCAAATCAATTTTCTTTCATTTTAAGATGTACATTATTTTGGATACATATTTTCTTATGCTCTATGTAAGTCTTCTCCTAGGATTCTTTTTATTTTTGTGAATTATTGGCAAGAAAATTGCTAACTCATGAAGTTCAGCTTATAGAAAAGCTAGTTATGTTAAATAAATTGATTTTACCCCACCCAACCTGCCTTCCCTATTTTTCTGTGTTTTCCACTTTAGTATTTCTCTCTTAGATTTGCAAAATTATAATAACAAAGTTGGAAACAGAGTTCCCAGGAAAAGTTTCCATGTCATTGTATCTTTTTGTTATTATTTGTATAAATTTATAATGTACAAGGGTTACTTTGTTCATAGATATATTGACTATTGATAAAGTCAGGGCTTTTAGTGTATCCATCACCTGAATAATGTGCATTGTACACACTAAGTAATTTGTCATCATCCACTATCCTCTAATCACTCCCTTCAGAGTCTTCATTGTCTATCATTTCACGCTCTATGGCCATGTGTACACATTATTGAGCTCCCACTTATAAATGAGAACATGTAGAACATGTGGTATTTGTCTTTCTGTGTTTGAGTTGTTTCACTTAAGATAAGGGCCTCCAGTGTCACCCATGTTGCTGCAAAAGACATGATTTTGAGACAGGAATAATACAGGGTGGTTGCAAAGGAATAGAAAATTCTAGGCAGTAGTGTTGCAGGACTTTTCCTTAGTTCAGCTAAAGACAGGGTCCTTGTCTGTCCCATGGCCATGAAAATTTAGGCTTGCAGATGGTTTGAAGGGTGAGTAAAGCAGGGTTGTATTGGATGAAAAGGAAGAAAAGGGGGAAAAAGGGACTCTTGCAAGGCCAGAGTCCCTGCTAGAACGCTTCCTGCCTGCAGCTTGAATCCCAGGTTCCACCCAGGAAAAGGAGGGGCCAGGCTCCTCCTGGCTGCAGAGGGTGAGGACTTCCCAAGGCTCCACCCCAGTGGGCAGGCTGGTGGAAGTTTCTCCAGGGACCCTCCCTTCCACCAGACTATCTCATTCCCCCCTGTAAAGAAGTATGTCTAACTGCCATTAGATTAAGGATAAGGACAAAGACTGATCTTAACTGCTTCCTGCTGACAGGGGCACAGTTTTGGGGAAATGGTAGTCAGAGCTTTCTCAGAGGCCTATTTAAGGGTTCCCAGCAGAAAGGGGCATCATCAGAGGCTCCAGTTGCATGAGAGTTTGGAGTTTGATGCCCTGAAGGCAAGAACAGACAAACCAGGTTATTAGAAAACATGTATCAAAACGAAACAAGGGGAGGGGTAAGGACAGCTCAAAAATTCCAAGGCCTTTCACAACTTTGCACAAGAGGGAGGCCGAAAGCCCAACTGGTAAAAAAAAAAAACCTTTACCCTTTTGCCGACATGTTGGGCTTCTGGGTTCCCTTCACCTGAGCCCAATCTTAAGCCAACCAGTTTATGGTTTGGGAAATTAGCGCTTTCTAGTTTGGAGGATGCATCTGAGGGGAGTGACCTATAGGATGGAGACACAATTACCTAACTGAAGAAAGGAATGAGGAGGAGAAAGAAAAAAAACAAGGCACTTTTCAAAGGAGTCCCAGGGGTTCAGGTTGCATTCCAAAGGCGTACAGACTGAAGATGAATGGCTACCCATCTAGAAAAAGGGGAGCAGGTATCTCTGGTTCCCTTCTCTTCCTTGCAGATAATGGGTACATGAGGGAGAGAGGGAGGAGCATCCTCTTTCCCTCTTCTGTCCTTGCATCCCCAAGTCCTGGTGACCTTGGCAGGCACTGCCATGGGTGTAAAAGTGGCTTGCACCTATGAAGCAGGGGGGTTTAGGGGGTGGGGTGATAATCATTCACTCTTACCCATGTATGTCCTATCTCCCATGTTGTCAGTAGCCTTGGAGTTCTCTAGACCTCATTTATCCCATGGATACTAATGTGGCCTTTATCCATAAAACAGGAAGCTTGGGATTGGCTTAATCAGCAGGAATCAGCCATACTTACCTGCACTGTGCCTTTTAACTTCTGTTGCCTGCCTCTGGATCCCTTAGATACAGTTTTCTTTCCCAGGACTTTGGCTCAAAGCTTGGAATTGAGTCTGGAACAAAAATGTATCTAAGGGGCATTGCACAGACTCCTTATGATAAGCCAAATGCTAAGGTGAAACTGTGGAATTGAGTCCTCCTCCAATAAGGGAGAGAAAATAATGTCTTGTGACACACTGAGATAACTGGTGACTATAGTTACACTTGCTAGGATTTGGGTGCATGGTACTTGACTTTAGTTAGCTCCCTTGGTCTTACTTTCCCAAAAAGGAAACCTCCAAGTGATAGGCATCCTATTTATTCCCTATTTATTAAATCACTTGGCAGGATTTGCAGGATAATTACTCAGAACTAGAATACTGATCCAGATTTTTACATTACCCATCCCTCTTGTTCTTTCTGAGCTGCAGTCAGAGATTGCTGGTTGGTTCACAGAAACAAACAGGATTAGTCTTAAATGTAGGTGAAAACTTAAAAACAACTAGTGAGTTTAGAATTTAGTGACAACTATGTAAGTTTTGAAACATGATTTCTCTCTCTCCAGTCCTCATGTTTGTTAAAAAAACAAATCATCATAGGACTGAGTGGTGTGCAAAATAGACTTTTGCCTTTTTCTTTGCTAAAGATTTTACACGCTAATTTGCATAAAGTGCAGCAAGAATAACTATTTCTATATAGGCCTTTAGGACTGACTTTAATGGAAGTCTGTTCCACAAGGAATCTCATATAAGACCTTTTAAAGCTGAGCCCACCCATGAGATTATCCTCAAATAACTGTGAGTTGGGTGATCTTAAGATCTCAAGATAAACTTGGAGCTCCTGAACCTGTTAGAAAGTGACATTCTTGAGGTGGGTTCCAAGATGGCCAAATAGCAACAGCTCTAGCCTGCAGCCCCCCACCGTGATTGAGGCAGAAGACAGGTGATTTCAGCATTTCCACTGAGGTACCTGGTTCATCTCATTGGGATTGGTTGGAAAGTGGGTGCAGCCCACGGAGGGCAAGCCAAAACAGGTCAGGGCATCGCCTCACCCAGGAAGTGGAAGAGGTCAGCGGATTTCCCTTTCCTAGCCAAGGGAAGCCATGACAGACTGTACCGGAAAAATTGGGACACTGCCAACTAAACACTGTGCTTTTCAAACGGTTGTAGCAAACAGCACACCAGGAGATTATATCCTGTGCCTGGCTCAGTGGGTCCCACGGCCACAGAGCCTTGCTCACTGCTAGTCCGAGATCGAATTTCAAGGCCGCAAGCCTGGCTGGGGGAGGGGCATCCTCCATTTCTGAGGCTTGAGTAGGTAAACAAAGCCACCAGGAAGCTCGAACTGGGTGGAGCCCACCGCAGCTCAACTAAGCCTGCCTGCCTCTGGAGACTCCACCTCTGGGGGCAGGGCATAGCTGAATAAAAGGCAGCAAAAACTTCTGCAGACTTAAACGTCCCCGTCTGACAGCTCTGAAGAGAGCAGTGGTTCTCCCAGCATGGTGTTTGAGCTCTGAGAACAGACAGACTGACTCCTCAAGGGGCTCCCTGAACCCCGTGTAGCCTAACTTGGAGACAGCTCCAAGTAGGGGCCGACTGACACCTCAAACAACTGGGTGCTCCTCTGAGATGAAGCTTCCAGAGGAAGGATAAGGCAGCAATATTTGCTGTTCTGCAATATTTGCTGTTCTGCAATATTTGCTGTTCTGCAGGCTCTGCTGGTGATACCTAGGCAAACAGGGACTGGAGTGGACCTCCAGCAAACTGCAACAGACCTGCAGCTGAGGGACCTGACTGTGAGAAGGAAAACTAACAAACAGAAAGGAATAGCATCAACATCAATAAAAAGGACACCCACACCAAAACCCCATCTGTAGATCACCATCATCAAAGACCAAAGTTTGATAAAACCACAAAGATGGGGAGAAGCCAGAGCAGAAAAGCTGAAAATTCTAAAAACCAGAGCACCCCTTCTCCTCCAAAGGATCACAGCTCCTTGCCAGCAATGGAACAAAGCAGGACACAGAAAGACTTTGATGAGTACACAGAAGTAGGCTTCAAAAAGTCAGTAGTAACAAACTTCTCCGAGTTAAAGGAGGATGTTCAAACCCATCGCAAGGAAGCTTAAAACCTTGAAAAAAGATTAGATGAATGGGTAACTAGAATAAACAGTGTAGAGAAGACCTTAAGTGACCTAATGGAGCTGAAAACCATGGCACGAGAACTACATGACGCATGCACAAACTTCATGAGCTGATTCGATCAAGTGGAAGAAAGGGTATCAGTGATTGAAGAACAAATGAATGAAATGAAGTGAGAAGAGAAGTTTAGAGAAAAAAGAGTAAAAAGAAATGAACAAAGCCTCCAAGAAATATGGGACTATGTGAAAAGACCAAATCTATGTCTGATTGGTGTACCTGACAGTGACAGGGAGAATGGAACCAAGCTGGAAAACACACTTCAGGATATTATCCAGGAGAACTTCCCCAACCTAGCAAGGCAGGCGAACATTCAAATTCAGGAAATACAGAGAACACCACAAAGGTACTCCTCGAGAAGAGCAACCCCAAGATACATAATTGTCAGATTCACCAAGGTTGAAATGAAGGAAAAATGCTAAGGGCAGCCAGAGAGAAAGGTCGGGCTACCCAAAAAGGGAAGCCCATCAGATTAACGGCAGATCTCTCAACAGAAACCCTGCAAGCCAGAAGAGAGTGGGCCAATATTCAACATTCTTAAAGAAAATAATTTTTAATGCAGAATTTCTTATCCAGCCAAACTGCGCTTCATTAGTGAAGGAGAAATAAAATCCTTTATAGACATGAAAATGCTGAGAGATTTTGTGACCACCAGGCCTGCCTTACAAGAGCTCCTGAAGGAAGCACTAAACATGGAAAGGAACAACTACTACCAGCCACAGCAAAAACATGCCAAATGGTAAAGACCATCAATGCTAGGAAGAAACTGTATCAACTAACAGGCAAAATAACCAGCTAACAACATAATGACAGGATCAAATTCACACATAACAATATTAACCTTAAATTTAAATGGGCTAAATGCCCCAATTAAAAGACACAGACTGGCAAATTGGAAACACTCCAGACCCATCAGTGTGCTGTATTCAGGAGACCCATCTCACATGCAGAGACACATATAGGCTCAAAATAAAGGGATGCAGGAAGATCTACCAAGCAAAGGGATGCTGGAAGATCTACCAAGCAAATGGAAACCAAAAAAAAGCAGGGGTTGCAATCCTAGTCTCTGATAAAACAGATGTTAAACCAAGAAAGATCAAAAGAAACAAAGAAGGACATTACATAATAGTAAAGGGATCAGTTCAACCAGAAGAGCTAACTATTCGAAATATATATGTACTCAGTACAGGAGCACTCAGATTCATAAAGCAAGTCCTGAAAGACCTAAAAAGAGACTTAGACTCCCATGGAATAATGGGAGAATTTAATACCCCACTGTCAATATCAGACAGATCAACGAGACAGAAGATTAACAAGGATATCCAGGACTTGAACTCAGCTCTGCACCAAGCAGACCTAATAGACATCTACAGAACTCTCCATCTCAAATCAACAGAATACACATTCTTCTCAGCACCACATCACACTTATTCCAAAACTGACCACATAGTTGGAAGTAAATCCCTCCACAGCAAATGTAAAATAACAGAAATCACAGCAAACTGTCTCTCAGACCACAGTGCAATCAAATTAGAACTCAAGATTAAGAAACTCACTCAAAACTGCACAACTAGGCTGGGCGTGGTGACTCACGCCTGTAATCCCAGCACTTTGGGAGGCTGAGGTGGGCAGATCATGAGGTCAGCAAATCGAGACCATGGTGAAACCCCATCTCTAACAAAAATACAAAAAATTAGCTGGGCATGGTGGCAGGCGCCTGTAGTCCCAGCAACTTGGGAGGCTGAGGCAGGAGAATGGCGTGAACCAGGGAGGCAGAGCTTGCAGTGAGCGGAGATCGTGCCAGTGCATTCCAGCATGGGTGACAAAGCAAGACTCCCTCTCAAAAAAAAAAAAAAAAAAAAAAACTGCACAACTACATGTAAACTGAACAACCTGCTCCTGAATGACTACTGGGTAAATAACGACATGAAGGCAGAAATAAAGATGTTCTTTGAAACCAGTGAGAACAAAGACACAATGTAGTACAATCTCTAGGACACATTCAAAGCACTGTGTAGAGGGAAATTTATAGCACTAAATGCCCACAAAAGAAAGCAGGAAAGATCTAAAATTGACACCCTAACATCACAATTAAAAGAACTAGAGAAGCAAGAGCAAACACATTCAAAAGCTAGCAGAAGGCAAGAATAACTAAGATCAGAGCAGAACTGAAGGAGATAGAGACACAAAAAAACTTTCAAAAAATCAATCAATCCAGGAGCTGTGTTTTTAAAGAGATCAACAAAATTGATAGACTACTAGCAAGACTAATAAAGAATAAAAGAGGGAAGAATCAAATCAACGCAATAAAAAATGATAAAGGGGTATCACCACCAATCCCACAGAAATACAAACTACCATCAGAGAATACTATAGACATCTCTATGCAAACAAACTAGAAAATCTAGAAGAAATGGATAAATTCCTGGACACATACACCCTCCCAAGACTAAACCAGGAAGAAGTTGAATCACTCAATAGACCAATAACAGGCTCTGAAATTGAGGCAATAATTAATAGCTTACCAAAAAAAGTCCAGGACCAGATGGATTCACAGCTGAATTCTACCAGAGGTACAAAGAGGAGCTGGTGCCATTCTTTCTGAAACTATTCCAATCAATAGAAAAAGAGGGAATCCTCCCTAACTCATTTTATGAGGCCAGCATCATCCTGATACCAAAGGCTGGCAGAGACACAAGAAAAAAGAGAATTTTAGACCAATATCCCTAATGAACATCGATGCAAAAATCATCAATAAAATACTGGCAAACTGAATCCAGCAGAACATCAAAAAGCTTATCTACCAAGATCAACTTGGCTTCATCCCTGGGATCCAAGGCTGGTTCAACATATGCAAATCAATAAACGTAATCCATCAGATAAGCAGAATCAAAGACAAAAGCCACATGATTATCTCCACAGATGCAGAAAAAGCCTTTGACAAAATTCAACAGCCCTTCATGCTAAAAATTGTCAATAAACTAGGTATTAATGGAATATATCTCAAAATAATAAGAGCTATTTATGACAAATCCAGAGCCAGTATCATACTGAATGGGCAAAAACTGGAAGCATTCCATTTGAAAACTGGCACAAGACAGGGATGCCCTCCCTCATCACTCCTATTCAAAGTAGTGTTGGAAGTTCTCGCCAGGGCAATCAGGCAAGAGCAAGAAATAAAGTGTGTTTAATTAGGAAAAGAGGAAGTCAAATTGTCTCTGTTTGCAGATGACATGATGGTATACTTAGAAAACCCCAACATCTCAGCCCAAAATCTCCTTAAGCTGATAAGCAACTTCAGCAAAGTCTCAGGATACAAAATCAATGTGCAAAAATCACAAGCATTCTTATACACCAATAACAGACAAACAGAGAGCCAAATCATCAGTGAACTCCCATTCACAATTGCTACAAAGAGAATAAAATACCTAGGAATCCAACTTACAAGGGATGTGAAAGACCTCTTCAAGGAGAACTACAAACCACTGCTCAACGAAATAAGAGGACACAAACAAATGGAAAAACATTCCATGCTCATGGATAGGAAGAATCAAAATCATGAAAATGGCCATACTGCCCAAGGTAATTTGTAGATTCAATGCCATCCCCATCAAGCTACCAATGACTTTCTTCACAGAATTGGAAAAAACTACTTTAAAGTTCATATGGAACCAAAAAAGAGGCCACATTGCCAAGACAATCCTAAGCAAAAAGAACAAAGCTGAAGGCATCACCCTACCTGACTTCAAACTATACTACAAGGCTATAGTAACCAAAACAGCCTACTGGTACCCAAACAGAGATACAGACCAATGGAACAGAACAGAGGCCTCAGACATAACACCACACACCTACAACCATCTGATCTTTGACAAACCTGACAAAAACAAGAAATGAGGAAAAGATTCCCTATTTAATAAATGGTGCTAGGAAAACTGGCTAGCCATATGTAGAAAGCTAAAACTGGATCCCTTCCTTACACCTTATACAATAATTAATTCATGATGGATTAAAGATTTAAATGTTAGACCTAAAACCATAAAAACCCTACAGGAAAACCTAGGCAATACCATTCAGGACATAGGCATGGCCAAAGACTTCATGACTAAAACACCAAAAGCAATGGCAACGAAAGCCAAAATTGACAAATGGGATCTAATTAAACTAAAGAGCTTCTGCACAGCAAAAGAAACTACCATCAGAGTGAACAGGCAACCTACAGAATGGGAGAAAATTTTTGCAATCTACTCATCTGACAAAAGGCTAATATCCAGAACCTACAAAGAACTTAAATAAATTTACAAGAAAAAATCAAACAACCCCATCAAAAAGTGGGCAAAGGATGTGAACAGACACTTTTTAAAAGACATTTATGGAGCCAACGGACACATGAAAAAATGCTCATCATCACTGGTCATCAGAGAAATGCAAATCAAAACCACAATAAGATACCATCTCACACCAGTTAGAATAGTGATCATTAAAAAGTCAGGATACAACAGCTGCTGGAGAGGATGTGGAGAAATAGGAACACTTTTACACTGTTGGTGGGACTGTAAACTAGTTCAACCATTGTGGAAGATAGTGTGGCAATTCCTCAGGGATCTAGAACTAGAAATACCATTTAACCCAGCCATCCCATCGCTGGGTATATACCCAAAGGATTATAAATCATGCTACTATAAAGACACATGCACACGTACATGTATTGAGGCACTATACACAATAGCAAAGACTTGGAACCAACCCAAATGTCCATCAATGATAGACTGGATTAAGAAAATGTGGCACATATACACCATGGAATACTATGCAGCCATAAAAAAGGATGAGTTCATGTCCTTTGTAGGGACATGGATGAAGCTGGAAACCATCATTCTCAGCAAACTATGGCAAGGACAGAAAACCAAACACCACATGTTCTCACTCATAGGTGGGAATTGAACAATGAGAACACTTGGACACAGGGTGGGCAACATCACACACTGGGGCCTGTTGTGGGATGGGGGATAGGGGAGGGATAGCATTAGGAGAAATACCTAATGTAAATGACAAGTTAATGTGTGCAGCAAACCAACATGGTACATGTATACATATGTAACAAACCTACACATTGTGCACATATACCCTAGAACTTAAAATATAATAAAAAAGAAAAAGAAAAAGAAAGTGACAGTCTTTACTGACCACAGGTCAGGAACCCTATACAGGGACTGCATAGACAAGAGTATGTGGTCAGATTCCCCATTAGGCTTCTATCAGCTCTGCAAGTTGAGCTTGACTCCCCAAAGGGAAGCATACTCTTCCAGTAAAGCCTTGGCAAAACAACCACTTTCTCCAATTGTGTTCTGCTGCAAAAGAAAAATGGATTCCTATTACACTGATGCAAACAACTATATTGTCATAAAAATACTCACAGAGAGTTTCCAAACTCTAGAGGAACCAGGCAAAGAGAAACAAACATACTCCAAATCTTGGTCATAGGAACACACCTTGCTTATTTATTAAAGGCCGTAAATAGCTTAAAATAAGTTTCCTTGACTGGCTTCTCAAGCCCCATGTTGGGTGCCAAAAATGTTGTGGGACTATTCCCCACTTCAGTTAAAGATGGGGTCCTTGTCTGTCCTATGGCCATGAAAATTTAGGCTTGCAGATGGTTTGAAGGGTGAGTAAAGCAGGGTTTTATTGGGTGAAAGGGAAGAAAAGGAGGAAACAGGGACTCTCACAAGGCCAGAGTCCCTGCTAGAACACTTCCTGACTGCAGCTTGAATCCCAGGTTCCACCCAGGAAAAGGAGGGCCCAGGATCCTCCTTGCTCCAAAGGGTGAGAACTTCCTGAGGCTCCACCTCAGTGGGCAGGCTGGTTGGAGCTTCTCCAGGGATGCCCTCCCTGCTGGCTGTCTCAGTAGTTTCACACAATTAGCGAAAGGAAACTGTTGAAATAGCTCCATAAGATAGGGGCTAGTAAGACTCTGAAAAACCACGGTGTGGACCAAGCTGACTAAGACTGACTGAACCCAACATGGTGCTGGGTTTCTCCTAGGACCTTATTATGCACTAATTAACATATTAAATCACATACTTACTAGTGCCATGACAGTTCCAGGAATACCAATATTTGGTGTAAACATGCGTGGCACCACAGTTCTGGGAAATCTTCCCCTTTTCCAGAAATCTTAATGAGTATTACACCCCTTGGTTAAAGAAACCCATAAAGATAGAAACCTCAAATCTCATGGCAGGACTTTCTCTTGAGGATGACCACACTGTTTTTGCTTGCATGTGTACTTTTCACTTTGTAACAAATCCTCATACTTTCAGTATTTCCAAACTTGTCCTTGAATTCCTTCTCTCAGATGGTGTCAAGAACCTGGACACCAGCTGTGGTCAAGGTCCTACCAGCATTTGAGGATCTCCTCTGGCAGTATCAATTTCTTTCTTCATTCTGTCTTCTTCCCAACATGCTCAGAAGTAGGAAGCCTAGAGTCGGGAAGATGATGTGGTCATGCTATCATTCAATCATCAGTAAAAACAATTCAGAAATGTTTCCTTTTAAATGTGACTTGACTGAGGAGGGAGAGATGTAGCCAGAGAATCAAGCATTTATACTGACTATTGGCAAATATGCCTTACCTCACATTTCAAAATGCCCACCCAACACTAAATATTCCTCACGGACTGCACTGCTTTCCAACAGTTTGTTAACGTGAGATGGAACTAAAGAACAAAAGGTATTTCTATTCATGAAGGTGGATACTTGCTCAGTAAACACCATAAAAATGTAATTGTACTGTTTTCATCAATCTGAGAGATATTTATTCAATGATTTTGTAGATTAATTCCCTAGTAGGATGAATAAAACATTTTTTCCAAGATTTATTTATTTGGTAAGTTTTTAAAAACACCTTGTAGCAACAAACTTTCTATGTTGGCAAAACTGAAGAAAAACAGAGCTTGTAAAAGCAAACTCATTAGTTAGGAGTTATACCGAGATGAAGCTGACTTTTGCTTCGCTACCTACATGATTTTGGACAAGTCCTTTGACATTTAAATTCAGGTTTTTAATCTATAAATTGGTATTATATTTATCCCCCTTAACATTGTGCTAAGCACTAGCATATACCAGCCTCACATCAATGATAATCAGTAGGAATAGAGGGAAGAGAACAGGATCATAGCAGTAGCATAATGATGTTTTAAAAAATCAATCCCAGTTTCAATTTTATTTCATTAAAAATTTTTCTATAAGTATATATAAAAGCTACAGGCTCAGAAGATCCAACTCCTATTAAAAAGCAAGGCTTGCTGCTGAGAGGAGAGATTGGGGGCAGGTTTAGGATGAGATAGCAAAGTAAAAGGGAAATAGACAAAAAAAAAATCAGTGGTTTGTTAGTCTATTTTGCATAAATTACCATGTAGTCAATTCAAAGTTTCTTAATTTCAAAAGCATAAAATGCATTTATTCATCCATTCCTGAGTCAAAATTCAAGCCACAACCTGAAGAGATAAATAACATCTGATCACATATCAACGAAGGGGACACATTTCTGAGAATGGAGTTGAAGCTTAGGGCATTGTGTTTGAAGGCTTTTATTTGATGTGCCTTGCAAGCCTGAGTCTTTCACATAAGGATCCTTAAGACCATAGTGCAAGTCTCACAATTATCAAGCCTGACTGTGCTGCATGGGTTGGAAGGTCACAGTTAGGGACAACAACCCCACAGAGTGCCCAGTAGATTTCCTAATGACTTGCTGGTGTAAACAGTGGTGGATAATGGTGATTCCTCTTTCAACTTTGATTCTTTTTTTAATTAAGAGAAAATAGCATTTGAATAAAACATTTCAGTATTGTGCAATCTAATTTGTCCATAATAGTCCCTGTGTTTAAAGCCATTGCCAAGTGACTAGTTATCTAGAAAACAACTCTACTCCAGACTCCAAAATACCCCTTAGGTAAAAATGAACCAAGATGGATTTTCTACTGCTTCATGAATACATTGTCATACATAAAACCAGAAATTTAATTTGGTGAGAAAACAATAGGTGCTTAGCAAACTTTCAGAAGCTTAATATCTAGGACCTATGGCCAACCACCAGACCTTGTCACTTAACCATGAGAGAGGTTTTGAAGTGAAAGAAACCATCATGACCCCTCCTCTAGCTAAGATTTCTGGTGACTCTCTCATTCCCACTGGACACTGAGACCAATGTCCTCCCTATAGCGATGTCCTTTCCTTTCGGCTCTTGCTCTTTGACTCTGACTTAAAGCTATAAAGATGATAAGGTATGTATACTTTTTGTTTCTACATAATATTCTTTATGCTTAAGTAGTCTAAAGTATAGTTCAAAGTAGTAGGAGAAGAGAAGAGACAGAAAATGAATATTTTGTTTTGTTTTTCTTTTTTTCTTTCTTTTTCTTTTTTTTTTTTTTTTTTGAGACAGAGGTTCACTCTGTCACCTAGGCTGGAGTGCAGTAGGAGGCAGCTTTTATGGGCACAGCTTTGGAGTCAAACTCTGAGGGTTTGAATGCTGACCTTGAAGTTTACTAGTTTTGCATTGGAGAAATTACTTAGTCTCTCTACATCTCATTTTCTTCATATGTAAAATAGACCTAAATAAAGTTGAAAGAAATGAGATTGTTTAGGTTAATCATTTTACATAGTGTTTGACATGATATGTACCCAATAAATATTAGTTCTCACAGCATTGTCATTATAGAAATATGCAGTGTGGAGCAAAAAAACAGTAAATTATTGAGTGTAAAATCTAAAAGAAACTTGAAATATTTATTTAGGAGAATTCGGAGTGGAAAATTTGTAGCTACAGGAAAATAAAAACAAACATGCGCCTATTAAAAATATATTATTTCCCAAACATTGTGTTAATCACTTACATGATATCTTATTTCATTCTCAAAACAACCCTGCATACTACATGTTGCAAGTATTGTTACTCCACAGGAAAGAAAACAAACCTAAAAGGCTTCATGTTAGTTTCACAAGACTACCCAGTTTATTGGAAGCAAAAAGGAGATTCTAATACACATTGATCCAACTTGCAAGTCATGTGTTTTCATCGAACTAGGGTTGGCCCCACAATATATTCAGTGAACACTTTCCCCCACAAATTGTGTCAGCTCAGATGAATCAACATACCTAGGGTGAAGACAGATTGGCTTAAGTTATTATGAAGTACTTAAAGTACTTAATAACACTGTACTGTTACTGTACAGTAATTTCAACAACAACAAAAAATACACAACAATTAACAACTCTAACCATAAGGGTTTGGGGTAAAGAGTTTGTTCATTTTAATTATTATTAGACCCATCAGTTGTCTTATTTAATCACTTTGACCTTTATTACTTAGAAAAATACTCTGTGAAAAATAATGTAAAAGGAACATTAAGGAAGCAAATTTTTTCTCCCAAGGAGGAAATTTTATAGGTGTCAATAGATTGAGTGATGTGCCTTAGGCACATGAAAACCAGGCTTTCCAGATGCAGCTCTGAGGTTAATGTTTCACTGTTGTATAGCAACTTTCCATCCGAGGGTTCCTAAGAGCTTTATAACTTTACAAACAATCTAATGTCTTTGAAGTCAATACTCTTCCTTTCCTAAATGAACATAAATTCTTCTCGAATTCACCAGGGAAAAAAAGCACAATGACTGCTCCATTGCTTCATCAGTGTTAGCTGTGCCTGACACTGGACTCCAGCTGCACTTTTTTATATAACTGTTATAGCTCTTATCACATTATGGCAAAATTATTAATTTATACATCTGTCTCCCCAAATAGCCAGCAGGCAACTTGATGGCAAAGACTGTGTCTTATTCACCTTGGTACAGTTTCAGTTCAACAACCATTTAATGAGCACGTACTCTGTGCCAGGATTCAAGCTAGATGGTGTCAGGTTATAAAGACAAATGAAACACAGCACAGGCCCTTGAGGATGCTGTGGACAAGTGGAGGAGACAGGTACATTAATTGTTCATTTCAGCAGAGTGTGGAAGAAACTACAATGGATATTTAAAGCCCTGCATAGACTTTCTTCTGCCTCTAATACTCTACCCCCATCTTCTAATACTCTCCCCATTGCTTACTGGACTGTAGGTACATTGGTTTTCTTGCTGTTTTTTTGAACATAACCAGCATGTCATCACATCAAAATATTTGAACTTTCCTTTATGGAATAGTGTTCTCCTACATATTCACGTGGCTTACCCCTGCACATCTTTGAGTGTTTTTAATTCTGCCAAAACATTACCTTCTCAAAAAGGCCTTCCTAGATGACCTTTCTAAAATATTGGCCACCATCCTTGTCTATACCTTTGTCTCATTTTATTTTCCTCAAAGCACTTAGCTACATGACATTATATTATGCATCTATTTTTCCATTTGCCTGTCTCTTTCAAAAGAACTGAGCTCCTCAAAAACCTTGGCCATCTTGTTCATGTTATTTCCACTCTCAAGCATCTTCTTTGCATTGTACAAGATTGAGGAGAAGCAATGCATCAGTAAGTGAAGTAAACATTTTGCAGGTTTAGTGCTAAAAGGAAAAAAATAATTGGGATGCTTTTCAAGGAGGAACTAAAGTTGAAGGAGGGCTTCTTTTTAAAGTAGGAGAGATTTGAGAATGTTTATGGATTGAAGGGAAGCTTGCATGATGGAAGATGATACAGAATGGTAAGGACTTTTTGTCTTGTTCTACCTGTGATTGGAAGCCTTGAGAAGATATTAAGCAAAGGAGTAAGATCACTTGACTTAATATTTTAGAAGAATCCCTTTGACTGCAAAATTAAGAAAAGACTTAAAAAGGCCAGTTGAAGCAGAGACCCAGATGCAGTGGTTTAGGCAAGAAATGAAAGTGATTAAATTAGGGAGGAAGAGCCAAAGGGGATGAAAGTGTTTAGGATACATTAATATATTCAGGATTCAGAATATATTAATATAAAGCTTTAGAATTTGCTGGAGTTTTAATATGGCATATGAGATAAAGAAATAAAGGATCAATCCAAAGTTTTTACTCTGAACAACTAGATGAACTGTGCAATGAGGAAGCCAAGAAACTGAGAGAGTAGGCTGTATAGGAAGGATCATCTACATGAATTTTGCAATAGATAAGAATGATGACAAGAGTAGTGGAGGAGAGGACAATGAATGATTTTAACTAGAAGCAGCAGCTAAAGGGATTGTGTGGAGTACCTCTCCTGTTCAGAAACCTTCTGTGTCTTCTTATTTGTATTGTTTCTTAAGGGCAAGGACCATGTCTTATTGCATCTAAGGTTGGAATGCCCTATACAACCTGGGAGCTCTGTAAATATTTGTGAAACAATGAATGAGTGGGATAAATGAATGATACACATGGCTCTTCAAGATTTCTCCACTCATCTCCCACAATCACATCACCTATTTTCCAGCACCACCATAATGCTTCATATTTCTGCATCTACCCTGCATTTCTCCACTTTCATGTTTGCTGAGAGAGCTTATAAGGCTCTCTCAGCACAGATGATTTTCTTATGTTTCATCACTCATGTGCCTCTTGAAAAATCTCCTCATGTTTCAAGACTCAGCTCCCACCCCATGTCCTCCAAGAGCAGTGTCACTGAATCTCAACTCCACCCATGTGGCAAGG
Organism: Homo sapiens; assembly: GCF_000001405.40. NCBI lineage: Eukaryota > Metazoa > Chordata > Mammalia > Primates > Hominidae > Homo > Homo sapiens. The sequence continues at coordinate 78,688,933 of NC_000006.12, forward strand.
TCATTCTGCCTCCTGCTCTGTGATCCATTAGCATCTAAAATTGCACTTCTCAGGCCTTCCTTGAATTGGAGTTTACATTTATTTGCCTTCTCCTCTAGACTATCCAATCCAGAGCAGTAGAATTTTTTTCTTCTTTTTTACTTTTGCCTTCCTAGTCAGAAAATTTTCAAAATTCTGTGCAGCTGCACCACAAATAATAATTGTATTCTATTCAATTAAAATGAATTTGCAACAGGCAGGGAAAGATCTCTTTTAGCTAAACACAATTAGTATACTATCTATACTTTCAAATTATTTTGTTTAGGGAACAAATCTGAAATCATGAGTTATTTTTTAATGAATATTCTGTATTTGGGGAATGAAAAAGCCCCGCTCAGTTTTAAATGATGGTAAATCTCTGTAATGAACTGAATACGTGTATCTCCCCAAAATTTGTATACTGAAATTCTAACCCCCCAGTGTGATGGTATTAGGAGGTGGAGCTTTTGGGAGGTGGTTAGGTCATGAGGATGAAGCCCTCATGAGTGGGATTAGTGCCTTCTTAAGAGGCCCCAGGGAGAGCTCTAGTGCATTTTCTGCCATGTGAGAGTACAACAAAAAAGATGGCAGTCTGCAACCCAGAAGAGGACCTCACTAGAACCCAACCATACTGGCATCCTGATCTCAGACTTCCAGCCTCCAGAATTGTAAAAAATAGATGCCTGTTGTTTACAAGCCACCCAGCTATGGTAATTTGTTATAGCAGTATGAACTAAGAGAATCTCCTAAATCTGCATGCCTGTCTTGCAGCCTCATTCTCCATCATTCCCCCAAGTGCTCCTGACTTCCACCATGTTCCATTACTTGTTATTTCTTGCACATAATCTGTCACAATTCTCTGTGAAAGCTCTTTCCTCTAACTGAAATGTTCTTCCCCACTTTTTACTCTTGGGAATCCCTGACTCAAAGCTTTTCAGATTTAACTCAAATGACCCTTCTACTATGAGACCTTCTCTGTCCTACTGGAGAAGTTGGGCACAGAATATCCTCTGTTTCTCCAATACCTTCCATATAACTCCCTTAGGATACCTGTCTTAAGCCAGTGCTCACCTGTCTTGACTTCCTTCCCAAACTATCACTGTGAATCCTTCTAGGACAGTATTTGTGTCCAATTATTTTTGTATCACCAGGACTTAATATTGGCTAGGTAAAAGTAGGTAGTCAATGAATAATTGCTGAGGTGAATGAACCTTAAAACCTCCAGTTCGCAGCCTCATGGTGCTACAAGGCAATTTTGTCTTAGTTTTTTATAACCTCTTGTATCAAAGATAAACGCTGATTAATTGTTGTATCTGGAGCCAAAGGCACATAGATACCTCCTACAAGCTTCAGGCAGCCCAAGTTATAGTGAGCTACCTTTGTTCCCCCAGCAATTATGGTTGCCTTTTTTTTTTCTTAATCCCTCTGGCCCTTTCAGTTCTGATTGTGTTATCCAGCTGTGCAATGAGCCTGAATAATATACTGTCAGCAGTCACTTTTTAAGTTTCTTTATCCACAGGTCTGGGATGTATTTTTTTCAGGGGGTGGTGCAGGATGGGGAATGAAGAGTGTTTTCTAGTAAAGTGTATAAAGGAGTTTTATAGGTACACATTTCTGTTCTTACATAAAAATATGCATGCATCCTGGTAGTAATTATCAAAGTACTTCTGACTTAATTATAATTAAAACATAAGAACTTCCCAACTTTGAATATAATAGACCCTGCGAGCCTGATTTTGCCCTGACTCTGTAGTTTCACACTTAAAGCCACCTACTTTCTCCAAGTCTGTTTATTCCATTAAGAAAATGGCTTTCTAAGATTAGAAAATCAACACAAGATTTTGGAAGACAGAGAAGGGAATCATGACTTGGGCTCTTCAATGCCAAAGTCTCCTGTCTCATCTCAACATACATCCATAGAATGAAATTAAAAGACTGGTTATTAAGTGCTTGTAATACAATCAATTCTGCTCTAAAGTTTCTGGTCCGAAGGAGAACACATGCAATACAATGTTTTTTTCTCTGTTAAGGAAAAGCTTCCCTTATTTATTAATATTTTATTAAAAAGCCCAAGACAGGATGTCTCATCCACAGGAAAGAGAAATTTAGACAGAACATTCAAGCTCAAAGACAGGTCTGCTAGTTATTTACCACACAAGCGTGAACAAAGAGAAATGCCAGCAAATAATAAGCAATACTAAAATTCAATTAGCCTTGGAGTCTGTTAAGTTCCTTTCTCAATTAAGCCCTCTACCTGTGCCTAGTATTCAAACATTTGTAAAGTGAATGAATGAATGAATGAATGAATGAATGTATAAGCAGTTCCTGTGTCTGCCAAAGGCAGTTCTGATCAGCCCCACAGCCCTAGGTATTAACAGCCTGTAGGAGAATTTATATTTATTAAGCTATTTAAACACACATTACTAGAAGTAATTTATTATTATCTTTACCTTTTAGGGGAGAAATCCAAGGTTAAGAAATATGTTCAGGATTATACGCTGCCTAATAAATTCAAAATTGGGATTAAACCCAGTTCTGACTGTTTTCAAAGGTCATGCTACTATAATTCTACCAAGATACTTCTATGATTTCCCAGTAGCTAAGCATGATTTGATGCTGTTCCTGGTGCATTATTTTCTCTAATGATTCAAGATTCCAAGCAGAACTTTGGGCATTTTATGTATGCTACAAGACGTAAAGCCTAAGTATCTGGGGAAGAGAATGTAGAGCTGCTATTAAAGAGGATTTCCAGGCAGATGAATTAAACCAGTTCTTTAAAATGGGTATAATTGATTTTGTGCTGCAATACAGTTGGACATGATTTACAAGTAGGTGACTTTAATGACCATAAATAATTAATACTTTCACGTACAGTCCCACAAAATATTTCAGTAGTTAGCTGTTGGGGGGAAAGTAGGAAATTCAATGGGCAGAAAGCTTTGAAGCTAATAGATTCAGTTGCCTAATCCCAACAGTTCTCTATTTAAGTGTCACCTCCTAGCCAGGTTACAGCTATGGAGATGCACAAACTATTAGGGCTTCTTTCCCCTGTCTGTCCCCAGAGCTCATACATGCAGAATGCTGAGTGGTCAGACCCAAATTGTTTGCCCCCTATTGGCTGAAATTGTAACATGTAGAAATTAATTTTGTTTAATAAGTATCCCTCATAAGGTAGGAGATATCACCTAGTTAAAACTTAGAAAAGATTCATTCAAGCAGCTCCATCTGAACACCTTGTTGGGATGCATACACTGTAAATGTGGTAGTTCTAATGGATGAAGAAGAATGTATGAAATTTAGGGAGAGAAGGGCAGAGCAAGAGGATGTGACACAAGGGTAGCTAGAGGGCAATGAGAAGTTGAGGGGCTCTAGGTTTCTTCTCCAACCCTGGCAATGACATCAGTCTTGCATATGCATTAATGCTAAAGTAGGAGAATTAATTCAGTATAAAAATAACTATAATGGCATTGTTTAGGTGAGAATATATGTATATTGGGTTTGAGCCAAGTAACTAGTATGCTGCCCAGATAATAGACCCTTCAGTCTCACTCTCAAGGGCAGCAGTTGGGGGAAGGAGTTGTTTCTAGGGCAGCTGGAGCGCTGATGTGATGGGCATTGGAATACACTGAGCTAGAGCATGGGCTTTGCAGTCAGGAAAATATGGCTCTGCTAGTTTAAATGCTATGTAATCTCAGTTAGGCAAGTTAGCATCTCTAAATATTTCAATTCCCTTCCTGTGGGAAAAAAAATGAATACTTTCATTGTGTCATACCCATTAAATAGTGTTAGATCTGTGAAAGGCTTAGCAGAGTTTCAGACTCATAGCAGGTGCCTAAGGAGAGAGAATTAGCTAATTAAAAGTATTATAAGCATATTACAATTATAATACACTAATGAAGTATAAAAGTAATCTAGTCGTTCATATATTCTTTGACTTTTTGCCACGTAAAACTATAAGACAGATCTGAGAATTGCCCTGAGAGATAACTCAGCATGCTGTGAAAATGAAACAAATTGGTATAGGTTGATAATCTCCCTGAAAAAAAGGATTCCCAAGCACCATAGGTGAGAAGGGCAGTGTAAATGTCAGTCATGCTTCTAGAGCAGTGGGTCCCAGAAGGATTAGGATGTTACTGTCTCTTCCCTCAATATTACTAAACAACATCCAAAACGTCTACCAAAGCAGGGAGTCTGTGAATGCTCCTACCAATGACCATGTTAAAAGTCTTGCCAGCAGCTCTCCTGAGGACCTAAGTTTCACCCAAGTCATTGGGAGTTAATTATATGGGTGTAAAAGGTTAAAGGCCATCTTAAAATTCTTGCTAGCAGCTCTCCTGGGGACCTAAGTTTCACCCAAGTCACTGGGAGTTAATTACATGGGTGTAAAAGGTGAAAAGTAGTTTATCTTTAAATTATATTTTGCTCAGTGCAACAATCTCATTAAAGGTTGAAAATGTGGTTGTCATCAAAATACAATGTATATGTGTCATAATCATTGTTTCTGTAACAGAAACTCAACTCTGCAAAGTGTCCTTTCCCTTGTTCTAATTTTAATATCAAAAAATATAATTTTGATTGGTTTTCTTTAACAGATATTAAAAACAATTCTTCAAGCTCTGGTCATTAGCAACCTAAGAAAGTTGATAGTAGCTGTCAATATTCCTCCAATGTGTTTTATCCTCAAACCCTATTACATACTGTGGTTGTGAGGGAAGAAATGTGATTTTACCCAATTATAGAGGCACTGCCAGGAAAATGGAAAAGTTGAGCTAGATCTCTACAAAGATCAATAATAAAATCTTAACTTCAAAATTGCCTAAGAAGACACTTCTTGGTCATTGTAAGGACAGGAAAATTTATACAACTATGAAAAATAGCATCAAGAACTCATAAGTATCCTCCCTATTTTGTATATTTAATTTCATCCTAGAGGAAAGTCCCACTGTGATCTACTGTTATTAAAGTTATTTTCTTTCTAGAATTTGCTAGTAACTATTTCACATCTAGTGAAAACAGGATTCTTCTATGCCAGATTTGTGTAAAAACTCTCTGAAAAGCTCAGCATAAAGTAAGGCATTCACCAGCAACATTTCTGGAGTGCTTGCTCCTCCATGAGGTTTTGTAAAAGACCGCCTAGAATTCATAAATTTAGTGCTAAAGAATATCTTTACTGGGTTGCTCTCTATCAAGTCAAAATGCAAAGTGCTACGTTTGCTTCTATAAGAAGTATATTTGGTAAAAAATATGACACATTATTTGAAAGATCCTAATGTGTTAGTCAAAATCTTTTTATGACAGCAAGGATTTTAATTAGCCATACATTGGTAATTTCAGTTAGTCATACATTTTGTAAATAAAAACGGAAGTGAGGATGGCCAAATAGGAACAGCTCCAGTCTATGGCTCCCAGTGTGAGTGACACAGAAGGCAAATGATTTCTACATTTCCAACAGAGGTACCAGGTTCATCTCACTGGGGATTGTCCGACAGTGGGTGCAGGACAGTGGGTGCAGTGCACCGAGCATGAGCTGAAGCAGGGCGGTGAGCTGAAGCAGGCAAGGAATCGCCTCACCTGGGAAGTGCAAGGGGTCAGGGAATACGCTTTCCTAGCCAAGGAAAGGGGTGACAGACAGCACCTGGAAAATTGGGTCACTCCCACCCTAATACTGCACTTTTCTCATGGTCTTAGCAAACGGTATGCCAGGAGATTATATCCCACGCCTGGCTCGGAGGGTCCTACGCCCAGGGATCCTCACTCATTGCAAGCACAGCAGTCTGAGATCAAACTGCAAGGTGGCAGCGAGGGTGGGGGTGGGGCGCCGACCATTGCTGAGGCTTCAGTAGGTCAACAAAGCAGCCTGGAAACTCGAAATGGGTGGAGCCCACGCAGCTCAAGGAGATCTGCCTGCCTCTGTAGACTCCACCTCTGGGGGCAGGGCATAGCCAAACAAATGGCAGCAGAAACCTCAGCAGACTTAAATGTCCCTGTCTGACAGCTTGGAAGACAGTAGAGGTTCTCCCAGCACGCAGCTTGAGATCTGAGGACAGACAGACTGCCTCCTCAAGTGGGTCCCTGACTCCCGAGTAGCCTCCCTGGGAGGCATCCCCCAGTAGGGGCAGACTGACACCTCACACGGCCGGGTACTCCTCTGAGACAAAACTTCCAGGGGAATGATCAGGCAGCAACATTTGCTGTTCGCCAATATTCACTGTTCTGCAGCCTCCACTGCTGATACCCAGGCAAACAGGGTCTGGAGGGGACGTCCAGCAAACTCCAACAGACCTGCAGCTGAGGGTCTGACTGTTAGAAGGAAAACTAACAAACAGAAAGGACATCCACACCAAAACCACATCTGTACATCACCATCATCAAAGACCAAAGGTAGATAAAACCACAAAGATGGGGAAAAAACAGAGCAGAAAAACTGAAAATTCTAAAAATCAGAGCGCCTCTCCTCCTACAAAGGAACGCAGCTCCTCACCAGCAATGGAACAAAGCTGGAGGAAGAATGACTTTGACGAGTTGAGAGAAGAAGGCTTAAGATGATCAAACTTCTCTGAGCTAAAGGAGGGAGTTCGAACCCATGGCAAAGAAGTTAAAAACTTTGAAAAAAGATTAGACGAATGGCTAACTAGAATAAACAATGCAGAGAAGTCCTTAAGGGACCTGTTGGAGCTGAAAACCAGGGCAAGAGAACTACATGACGAATGCACAAGCCTCAGTAGCCGATTCAATCAACTGGAAGAAAGGGTATCAGTGATGGAAAATCGAATGAAATGAAGAGTGAAGAGAAGTTTAGAGAAAAAAGAATAAAAAGAAACGAACAAAGCCTCCAAGAAATATGGGACTATATGAAAAGACCAAATCTGTCTGATTGGTGTACCTGAAAGTGACGGGGAGAATGAAACCAAGGTGGAAAAGACTCTGCAGGATATTATCCAGGAGAACTTCCCCAATCTAGCAAGGCAGGCCAACATTCAGATTCAGGAAAAACAGAGAAGGCCACAAAGATACTCCTCGAGAAGGGCAACTCCAAGACACATAATTGTCAGACTCACCAAAGTTGAAATGAAGGAAAAAATGTTAACAGCAGCCAGAGAGAAAGGTCGGGTTACCCACAAAGGGAAGCCCATCAGACTAACAGCTGATCTCTTGGCAGAAACTCTACAAGCCAGAAGAGAGTGGGGGCCAATATTCAACACTCTTCAAGAAAAGAATTTTCAACCCAGAATTTCATATCCAGCCAAACCAAGCTTCATAAGTAAAGGAGAAATAAAATCCTTTACAGACAAGCAAATGCTGAGAGATTTTGTCACCACCAGGCCTGCCCTAAAAGAGCTCCTGAAGGAAGAACTAAACATGGAAAGGAACAACCAGTACCAGCCACTGCAAAAACATGCCAAATTGTAAAGATCATCGAGGCTAGGAAGAAACTACTTCAACTAACGAGCAAAATAACCAGCTAACATAAAATGACAGGATCAAATTCACACATAACAATATTAACCTTAAGTGTAAATGGGCTAAATGCCACAATTAAAAAACACAGACTGGCAAATTGGATAAAGAGTCAAGACCCATCAGTGTGCTGTATTCAGGAAACCCATCTCACATGCAGAGACACACATAGGCTCAAAATAAAGGGATGGAGGAAGATCTACCAAGCAAATGGAAAACAAAAAAAGGCAGGGGTTGCAATCCTACTCTCTGATAAAACAGACTTTAAACCAACAAAGATCAAAAGAGACAAAGAAGGCCATTACATAATGGTAAAGGGATCAATTCAACAAGAAGAGCTAACTATCCTAAATATATATGCACCCAATATGCGAGCACCCAGATTCATAAAGCAAGTTCTTAGAGACCTACAAAGAGACTTAGGCTCCCACACAATAATAATGGGAGACTTTAAAACCCCACTGTCAACATTAGACAGATCGACGAGACAGAAAGTTAACAAGGATATCCAGGAATTGAACTCAGCTCTGCACCAAGCAGACCTAATAGACATCTACAGAACTCTCCACCCCAAATCAACAGAATATACATTCTTCTCAGCACCACACTGCACTTATCCCAAAATTGACCACACAGTTGGAAGTAAAGCAGTCCACAGCAAATGTAGAAGAACAGAAATTATAACAAACTGTCTCTCAGACCATGGTGCAATTAGAACTCAGGATTAAGAAACTCACTCAAAACCGCTCAACTACATGGAAACTGAACAACCTGCTCCTCAATGACTACGGGGTACATAATGAAATGAAGGCAGAAATAAAGATGTACTTTGAACCAGTGAGAACAAAGACACAACATACCAGTATCTCTGGGACACATTGAAAGCATTGTGTAGAGGGAAATTTATATCACTAAATGCCCACAAGAGAAAGCAGGAAACATCTAAAATTGACACCCTAACATCACAATAAAAAGAACTAGAGAAGCAAGAGCAATCACCTTCAAAAGCTAGCAGAAGGCAAGAAATAACTAAGATCAGAGCAGAACTGAAGGAGATAGAGACATAAAAAACCCTTAAAAATATCAGTGAATCCAGGAGCTGGTTTTTTGGAAAGATCAACAAAATTGATACACTGCTAGCAAGACTAATAAAGAAGAAAAGAGAGAAGAATCAAATAGATGCAATAAAAAATGATAAAGGAGCTATCACCACCGATCCCACAGAAATAGAAACAACCATCAGAGAATGCTATAAACACCTCTATGTAAATATACTTGAAAATCTAGAAGAAATGGATAAATTCCTCAACACTTAACCCTCCCAAGACTAAACCAGGAAGAAGTTGAATCCCTGAATAGACCAATAACAGGTTCTGAAATCGAGGCAATAATTAATAGCTTACCAACCAAAAAAAGTCCAGGACCAGAGAGGTTCACAGCCAAATTCTACCAGAGGTACAAGAAGAGGTACAAGAGGTACCATTCCTTCTGAAACTATTCCAATGAATAGAAAAAGAGTGAATCCTCCCTAACGCATTTTATGAGGCCAGCATCATCCTGACACCAAAGCCTGGCAGAGACACAACAAAAAAAGAGAATTTTAGACCAATAGACCAATATCCCTGATGAACATCGATGCAGAAATCCTCAATAAAATACTGGCAAACCGAATCCAGCAGCACATCAAAAAGCTTATCCACTGTGATCAAGTGGGCTTCATCCCTGGGATGCAAGGCTGGATCAACATATGAAAATCAATCAACGTAATCCAGCATATAAACAGAACCAACGACAAAAAACACATGATTATCTCAATAGATGCAGAAAAGGCCTTTGACAAAATTCAACCGCCTTCATGCTAAAAACTCTCAATGTATTAGGTATTGATGGGATATATCTCAAAATAATAAAAGCTATTTATGACAAACCCACAGCCAATATCATACTGAATGGGCAAAAACTGGAAGCATTCCCTTTGAACACTGGCACAAGACAGGGATGCCCTCTCTTGCCACTCCTATTCAACATAGTGTTGGAAGTTCTGGCCAGGGCAATCAGGCAGGAGAAGGAAATAAAGGGTATTCAATTAGGAAAAGAGGAAGTCAAATTGTCCTTGTTTGCAGATGACATGATTGTATACTTAGAAAACTCCATTGTCTCAGCCCAAAATCTCCTTAAGCTGATAAGCAACTTCAGCAAAGTCTCAGGATACAAAATCAATGTGCAAAAATCACAAGCATTCTTATACAGCAATAACAGACAAACAGAGAGCCAAATCATGAGTGAACTCCCATTTACAATTGCTTCAAAGAGAATAAAATACCTAGGAATCCAACTTACAAGGGATGTGAAGGACCTCTTCAAGGAGAACTACAAACCACTGCTCACTGAATAAAAGAGGATACAAACAAATGGAAGAACATTCCATGCTCATGGGTAGAAAGAATCAATATCGTGAAAATGGCCATACTGCTCAAGGTAATTTGTAGATTCAATGCCATCCCCATCAAGCTACCAATGACTTTCTTCACAGAATTGGAAAAAACTACTTTAAAGTTCATATGGAACCAAAAAAGAGCCCGCACTGCCAAGTCAATCCTAAGCCAAAAGAACAAAGCTGGAGGCATCACGCTACCTGACTTCAAACTATACTACAAGCCTACAGTAACCAAAACAGCATGGTAGTGGTACCAAAACAGAGATATAGACCAATGGAACAGAACACAGACCTCAGAAATAATGCTACTTATCTACAACTATCTGATCTTTGACAAACCTGACAAAAACAAGAAATGGGGAAAGGATTCCCTGTTTAATAAGTGGTATTGGGAAAACTGGCTAGCCGTATGTAGAAAGCTGAAACTGGATCCCTTCCTTACACCTTATACAATAATTAATTCAAGATGGATTAAAGATTTAAATGTTAGACCTAAAACCATAAAAACCTTAGAAGAAAACCTAGGCAATACCATTCAGGACATAGGGATGGCCAAGGACTTCATGTCTAAAACACCAAAAGCAATGGCAACCAAAGCCAAAATTGACAAATGGGATCTAATTAAACTAAAGAGCTTCTGCACAGCAAAAGAAACTACCATCAGAGTGAACAGGAAACCTACAGAATGGGAGAAAATTTTTGCAATCTACTCATCTGACAAAGGGCTAATATCCAGAATCTATAAAGAACTCAAACAAATTTACAAGAAAAAAACAAACAACCCCAGCAAAAAGTGGCCAAAGATATGAACAGACCCTTCTCAAAAGAAGACATTTATGCAGCCAGAAGACACATGAAAAAATGCTCATCATCACTGGCCATCAGAGAAATGCAAATCAAAACTGCAATGAGATACCATCTCACACCAGTTAGAATGGCGATCATTAAAAAGTCAGGAAACAACAGGAGCTGGAGAGGATGTGGAGAAATATAGGAACACTTACCCTGCTGGTGGTACTGTAAACTAGTTCAACCATTGTGGAAGTCAGTGTGGTGATTCCTCAGGGATCTAGAACTAGAAATACCATTTGACCCAGCCATCCCATTACTGGGTATATAACCAAAGGATTATAAAACATGGTGCTATGAAGACACATGTACACATATGTTTATTGTGGCACTATTCACAATAGCGAAGACTTGGAACCAACCCAAATGTCCAACAATGACAGACTGGTTTAAGAAAATGTGGCACATATACACCATGGAATACTATGCAGCCATAAAAAATGATGAGTTCATGTCCTTTGTAGGGACATGGATGAAGCTGGACACCATCATTCTCAGCAAACTATGGCAAGGACAGAAAAACAAACACCGCATGTTCTCACTCATAGGTGGGAATTGAACAATGAGAACACATGGACACAGGAAGGGGAACATCACACATCGAGGCCTGTTGTGGGGTGGAGGCAGCAGGGAGGGATAGCATTAGGAGATATACCTAATGTTAAATGACGAGTTAATGGGTGCAGCACACCAACATGGCACATATATACATATGTAACAAACCTGCACGCTGTGCACATGTACCCTAAAACTTGAAGTATCATAAAAAAAATTACAGCAGACCTTCAGTTTCACCTCTTGATAACAATGTTTGCTACTGCTAGAAAATTGATTAGCCTGAGGAGACTAAATCTGAAGCATCTTTAACCATCCTCCTTCCTAATTATAAAATTTAACTGACTCCTTTTGTGTCCTGGGGTGTTCTTAGAATACGAAATTATATTACAGAAGAAGACCTATCATGAGAAAGATAAACCATCATGAAATAATACTGAGCCCCAGTTGCCCACTGTTTAGTGCATGCCTGCCGGGTACATTTTAGGCATTCCACAAATACATTTTTAGAGAATGAAAGAATTAAAGGACTCCATCACATTTTAAATCAAAGAAAATATTTTAACATTCTTTGAGTCTATAATTCTGTCACAAATCAAACATTACATAAAGTTCAGAGGCAACTATGGCTACTTTCAAGTCTGGCATCTGTCATATTAATTTTCTGATGAATTTTTTTAGGGCACTGGGAAATCTCAAGAAAAACATTTTCAAAAAGTGGGTTCTGCTGATGTTTTATTTGAAGATAGCTGGAACTTCGAAGATAATGTAACCAAATCAGAGAACTGAAGACTCCCTCTCAATACAATAGCTTCTCTTCCAGTCCATTCAGACTGTTCCTTCCCTGGGTAAAGACCTCAGTCACTCCAACACTAAAGTGTGTTGATTGTGCAGAGGCTGCTCTCATTTTACATTCAATGGAGACTGAAAATAAATCTAGGATATGCTGACTAATTCTTCTGGCAGATACCAGCCTTTAACATGCATGAGATATTCCCACTGTCATTTGTCTGAAGGGCATCAGAGGGAGAAAGGGAAATGTACTTCCTCAGAGTGAGCTTAGTCTAAGTTCTCATATAGTCAATATCATTATATTTTCCTGGGTTCAAGGCACAAGGAAATGTGATGGAAAAATAATAAAAAATTTAAAAGTCTATCAGCATTCACCTCCACATTTAAACAAACATCAAAATGTAATGGTTCAGATGCAGTCAGATGCAGTACTGAATAGAATTCAATACCCTAAATAATCAGACATCTTCTAATGGGATAGATCCAGTGTGGATAGTTTCACTGAATTCTACCTCTCTTAGCATCATCTTACTGATAAAAGCACGTATGACTAATACAGAACTTGGACTGCTCACCATTACTCACCTCCAAAAAGAAACTAGAGTCATCGCTTGTGTTCATTGGTTGTCTCATTAATTACCAACAAAAAATTCTAGTCATGTGTTAAGCTAACCTAACCTAATAAGCAGTCCACTGAAGTTGTTAAGAGAGAAAAACAAAAGTGAATATAAAAAGATAAATTTTTTAATTCTAAAAGATTATTTTATGCTATATTAGCATCATCTAACACACAAAATCTAGAAACACTTAATTTTTTAAAAAGCAGTAGAAAAAAAACTTACCTAAGAAAAAGAACAGTGGGGATAATGATCACAAGGTATACCTTACAGTCTCCAGAAATTCAATACTGATAAGTTACTGAAAAAAAAATGTTAATAACACATTCTGCAAGCAGAAGATACTTGTAAATATGTAATTTCATTCCATTACTCTGTGAGACTAGCATGAAAATGAGCAATAAAAGTACAGAGACTGGAAGAAGCAGAGAGAAAACAGAAATAAAGAACATAGATGAGAATAAAACACAGCCAGAGAGAACAATAAACCAGGCAAGGAAGGTGGAAAGGAGAGACAGGAAAAAAAGGAGAAGGACCCCACTGAGCAGATGATACGTGTAATGCAAATCTTGGTTTGTAGCTTCTATTTCTTCTATTCTGTGGTCAGTTCCCCCAGTTATATGGCCTATGAATGTTTAAAACACATCTGAGGATTTTTGCAAATCGTAGGGGTTAAGGGGAGGGAAAGGCTTCATTGATTCCAGCTTTGCATGTTTCTGATAGAATTCTCAAGCCACCATGATATTTTACCTTTCTAAGGTAACTTGATGTTTTTGCTCAGATATCAAACATTTCTTTCTCTGTCTCTGAAGTTCTATGATAAGTAAGAATTAATTTGTAGAAAATTGATCTCCTGCAGGTTGGCCTCCCAGAAAAAGTATCACCCTCCTAAAAAGTTGCTTGGAAGTCAGCCATCAGCAGTGCTTATGAAAATCAATCCTGGTCAACTTCAAGGCTAGAGCTTAGTGCACTAATCACATCAGAGTGAGTACAATACTCCCCTTCTCCATCCTTGAAAGGTGAGGTAATTAATTATGCTACTAGCTCACTATGTCATACAGGCACAAGCAGCAAGCCATGGACCCTAACCCTCCTATTGTGCCAGGGGAACATCTGGAGCTCCCCTGACTATGATTGCTAAATTGTCAGATTAAGATTGGAGCCAAGACTTTACTAGGTTCTATCCAAACTCCTGATCAATCAGAAGATGGACCAGAGCTTCCTTAACTTAAAAGCTCCCCAGCCAAAGGGTTGGAATCCTTCTCCTGGAATCTGACATCCAGCTCTACCAGATCTTTGTGCACACCCTGAGAACACATGATCTCTCCTATCTCCCTGAGTTTCCCCCCAGTACATACCACTCCACAAAATCTGATGCGGGTGCTTCCTGGTTATGTGACATTGTTTGCACAACAGTCAGGAACTTTACAAAATATATCTTATTGTTGAAATGTTCCCCAGATTTTAACAAGATAGACTATTAAGGCTGTGAAGCCACTTGAACTTAATACTCTATAACACTGGCTCTCTCCCCGACCCACCCATGAAAAGTCACTAGAATATGCAATTATTAGAACTAAAATCAAACTGAATATTCGAAGCACAGTGCCTCTTCACTCACATTGCACCTTCCCTTGGGTATGTGGCTGGGCCTGTGCTTTCTAATTCCAAAGCACTTCTCATGGCATCACAGAGAGATAGCTAGAGGAATGTCATAGAGGCCAGTCATGCATTTGATCTCCAGCTATAAAATAATTTTTATTTCTTCCAGATACCAGATTGCTTCTTTTCCTGTAGTCAGCCACTGGTTATGACGTATTAAAAGAAAAAAAGCAAAGAATATACACTGATGATTGTAGGTAATCAGCATATATAATCTTTCTGTAGAGCAATCAAAATGCCATCGTCACTGTTTGGGGATTGAGATATACTGACAAATAAAATAGATGTCCCACACTGAAGAAGTAATATGAGTTTTGCTTAAGGAAGAAAATACCGATTCCTGCAATTGTAACCCATCACTGTAATAGCCTCTTGTCATCTAGTTAGAGGGAGCCTCTCTGGTTGTGATAACGCATCATCAAATTGGTAGTCTCTTTGTATCTGAACAATTTAGGAAAAATAATAACAGGCTGGATTGAGCATTGAGGACCTTTTTAGCCTCTGAAAAAATTTAACCTCATAAAAATTGGATGTCCTATGCTTGGGTAATTTGAAAAACGAATTGAAAATTTATGGCCATAGAACTTTTTAAAATTTGATAGTTCTTTGAAATTGCATATTAAACTATCTCTTGTTTCTTCTAAAAGGAAGATATTTTTTCTATTTCTCTCTGAAAGTTTTCTCTTAAACAACATTTCTATCTGGAGTTTTAAAAAATATTTTTGTCTGTCCTTTTGTTATTTTGAATTACTTCTCCCTCCTGTCTGCCTGTCTGGCTGGCTCTCTGTTTCTCTGTTTCTCTCTCTCTCTTCTGATTTGAAAGCAGAGTTGGAAATTCTATGAGAAGTGGAAGCTTTGAAAAATAAGAAGCTGTATAGCCTTCTCTCCATCAATTAAGAAAAATCCAACCTCTTTTCTAGGTGCTTTTGCTTGCGGAGACTCCCTTACTCTGAATGAGTTTTTTCTTCTTTTTTTTTAACTGACAAACATTAAAAATCCATCAGGAGGCATTTCTCAGTGTGAGAGGCCTCAAAAAGGCAACAGAAAATCTACTTTCTTTAATGGAGATATTTCTGCTATGATGTTGATTCTCAGCCTATTTCAAGAAGAACTAGGTGCCCCAGGGTACTAATTATAAACTACATTATTCTTTATGACTAAATATTCAGCTTGAATTTGATCCATCTTGGCACCGAATCTAATTCTTTGCCAGCTAAAAAATAGTTGGGTGAATTCTTCCCCAGGAGACACTGCTAAAAGGCTATGTAGTTCGGAGGCTAGACAACAGGCTCTGAGATCCAGGATCAACTCCCTGTCAGTTTCTGCATCTTTGGAAACATTTCCTAACGTTCCTTTGCCTTAGTTTCCCCACAGGCATATGAGATTAATACTGATGAAAACACCTAACTCACCTTAGAAGAAAGTATTTGGCATGAGGAAGCACTCAAAACCCATCACTAATTGCTCTAAAATCATATGTTCAATAGGCTATGAATTAAGCTAACTTGTCACAATTCCTCCTATCATCACTTCCACATTTCTCTTGATGATATTAACAACTTCATAGAATCATTCCTCTGTAATAGTTTGGTGGAAGAATCTGCTATATAAATAAATGCATGTTATAGAGACACTTTGAAAAGCTCATGTCGCCTTTATCTGACAGCACCTCTGTTCAGAAAAGTGGAAACCTGGCTCTATGAGTATATGCATTCATGAGCTCTTGATTGAAAGGGGTCAGTTTCAGAAATCTCTGAGTTGGAGGTCTTGGGCCTGAGCCTATTAAGATAAATAACTCCCCCAGGGTAACTCATCAATGAGGAGACTTCAGCAGTTAAATTCCCTAGACTAAGTCTCATGTTCTCACTCAGCACACTAACCCATGCACAGCTAAATTATCTCATCCACAATTTCAATTTTTGATTCAACTAAAAAATACATGCCTATAAAGATAAGTCTTCAAGTAAGCCAGACACACGGTAGTAGGAAGTATGTTTGCTTAGAGTCCCATGAATCAGTATTAGAATCCTTCTCTACTCTGTGAGATTTTTGGCAAATTAAGCTATCTCAATCTCAGCTTTCATATGTGAAAAATGGGGATAAAAATAACTGCCCCACAATATTTACTTTTTGAATTCAAGATAAAATATTTAAAGCTCTCAGTACAGCTCTTGACAAAAAAATGGATTTTAAATACATGGTTATTACTATTATTATTACTATTATGTAGATTTAAAAATTAATGTATTAATATGTGATTTCCTTATTCATTAGGAACTCTGGGATGGATATAGTTATGATGAAGTTGGGAGTGGCAGAATAAAAAGGAAAGTGATCCCAGTAAAAAGAAAAAAAAAATAGGGAGGAATTAAAGTTGAGAGGACAGACATAAATTTGTCTTTACGTGCCTTTAGGTTAAACATCAAAGACCTTTTGAAAAATCTGATAAAACCTGAGAACCCCATCTCCACAAAAACAAATCCACACATAAATATGCAAAACTGTATGGCCCTAAGAACTCCAGGATATGTGCTACTAGAATCTAGACCAGTGTTTTACGCACCGTGCATCCCAACCCACTAATAAGTAAAAGTAATTTAAGTTTGATGAGCATTTTTAAAATAAATACATATCCTATCTATGCTTATAGAAAAGAATATAATGAAAATATTAGAAGGCATCATATATAAGAGTATCATTTGCCAGGTGTGGTGGCTCATGCCTGTAATCCCAGCACTTTGGGAGGCTGAAGCGGGTGGATTACGAGGTCAGGAGATTGAGACCATCCTGGCTAACACGGTGAAACCCTGTCTCTACTAAAAATACAAAAAATTAGCCAGGCATGGTGGCGGGTGCCTGTAGTCCCAGCTACTCAGGAGGCTGAGGCAGGAGAATGGTGTGAACCCGGGAGGTGGAGGTTGCAGTGAGCCGAGACTGCGCCACTGCACTCCAGCCTGGGCGACAGAGCAAGACTCTGTCTCAAAAAAAAAAAAAAAAAAGAGTATCATTCCATTAATTTGTGTTCCAGTTTGTATGTGTGCATATGTGTATGTGCATCTGTGCAAATTTATCAGCACACCAGACCACAAGGTTGAGTATACTTTTTCCATAGTTCATAGTCAAAAACATTTCAGATACACTATTTAGCTAGTGTGATAATTACAGCTACTTACTTCCAAGACTAGATTTCTGTCATAAGCACCCACTCACTATTTGAACTCTCCTGCAATGAACTGCTTAAGAAATATCCAGACTTTCCTCTCAACACTCCGACTTAATTAAGGTATGAACTCAAAGATAATCATGACTGTTATTAAATAGTAGGCCTGTTACTTTAAGAAATGTAATGTTCTTCTGTTGAACAATGTAGAGCTACAACTTGAGGATATCAGTGTGTTAGAAATCCTATTTTTAAAAAGCCATGAAGATCCAAATGATTTGTAGCACAATGCAATTGCTGTGTCACGATAAGATTTTAAGATTTAACATACACTCTTCTGCTTTATATGAGGAGAAAACAAGCAAGCAGATAAGGAATCTGGATCATCATCTGAAACTTCTGTAAATGCTGTGAGAAGAGCTTGGGGAAGAAGAGACATTGAACTCTCTTCAAACATAACCATGAAATGTGAAGTCACCCTACCAAAAGGAG
The DNA here is from genome assembly GCF_000001405.40 of Homo sapiens. Taxonomy (NCBI): domain Eukaryota; kingdom Metazoa; phylum Chordata; class Mammalia; order Primates; family Hominidae; genus Homo; species Homo sapiens. The sequence continues at coordinate 78,706,973 of NC_000006.12, forward strand.
CCTCTCATCTATATAAAAATGAAAAACAACCAGGCAAAAAAGAAAAAAAAAACATTTTGCTCTTCAAGTTAAAATAATAAGAATCAAAAGGTAAGGCTGAGTCCTGGGAAGTATGTTATATAAATATACAACACAAGAGAGACCATTATGTTAAGAAGGCTCCAGCAAGAATTATAGCTGCTTTCCTGTTTACGTGACAATCTACCTATGACAAAAGTTTTCCACCCTTTCTCTTATTGTAGACTTTTAACAAAATCTCATGCTCATACTCTTCTCCATCATTTAAAACTCAACTCACTGGCATCCTCACTACAATGCCTTACCTTTGAAATGTACATCATGTAAACTTACAGCCAAAACGTTGTGGAATAAGGAGTGCAGATTAGAAAACTTCTTAATTTCAATGCTTGTCCTAATACTGTTACTAAAATGAATGAAAAGTATATTCCTGGGCAGGCACAGGTGGGCAGATCATTTGAGTCCAGGGGTTTGAGACCAGCCTGGGCAACATAGAGAAACCCTGTCTCTACTAAAAATACAATAAATTAGCCGGGCATGATGGTGCACACCTGTAGTCCCAGCTACTTGTGGGGGCTGAAACGGGAGGATCTCTTGAGCCCAGGAGGTCAAGGCTTCAGTGATGGTGCCACTGTACTCCAGCTTGGGCGAGAGTGAGACCATGTCTCAAAAAAGAAAGATATATTTCTTCCAAATTCCCTAACATTTCCATATTTGGGTATTAGGGACCATCTAGAGATAAATGTGAGAAGCAGGGATCAAAAATGTCCTGAAATATTTTGAATTCCACTATCAAACCCATGCTGTATAGGAAAAATCAGAAGAGAAAATCACAGGGCAATTTGTAGTTAAGACTTTGGATTAAAGGGACCCCAAGGTGGCAGCAACCCATCAAGAGATCTATGTTGATAGAGCATTTTTCTAATAAGCAGGTAACATATTGTTTATGCTTCTGATTATCTTCATCAATGTTTTCCCAATATAGCAGCAATGAAAAAATCTCTAAGGCTTTATAAGAACTTTAGACAATGTAAATGATGGTCATAATGTTTTAATGTAACTAGCATTTTTTATTACTTCACTTGAGTCAGCAGTTCAGAACTGATACAAACCTAAAAAATAAAACTAGTGTAGCAGAAGGTAGAGGGAATATTATTAGCACAAATTCTAGCATAGAGTATGGTCACAATCACTTTGAAAGTAGCATCTCTTCTAAAACAAAGGGGCACTGAGAGATTGAATACTGGCAGGAGCCACTGTACCAGTTAATTAAACATATTCTGAATTAAAATTTGGCCATACTTCCAAGCTACAAAACATGAAGGAATAATATCTTTTCTCTCCCAAGGAGAACTCAAAGAATATTTTTTCCAAAAAGAAATAAGAAACTGAAACATAACAAAATAGAAACAACTCCAAATACAAATTGGCTCAAATAATCAAATTTTTTAAATAGGATACAAAGTTTATTCAAAATATCCAAGTATTAAAAATATAAACTATGAAAATATTAAACCAGCAACAGATTAAAAACAATACACATTTCCAACAAAAGAATAACATGCCCCAAAATTATAGGGTTACATCCCACCACCAAGATAATAAGCACATAGTAGTAACAGAGATAAACTGCTGAGAGAAGGGCAAGAACATAAAGAGAGATCCTCTCTGAGGCATGATGTAAAATAAATTCCTAAAGCTGAGGGTGGAACAGACATTTAGAATAACTCCCTGGCAAACCAGGCCCTGGCAAACTCACCAATGAGGTTGAAGCCCAGGAAGTACTGACAGTAATGAAAGGAATGATAAATCCCTCAGTTCCTGACTAGACTGATTCAAAATCCCACATTAAAGTCCTAGCAAAAGGACATGTGGACAAGAAGACATTTGTCCTGCTATCAAGAAGGTTTACACTCATTATATATTTAGAGAACCATCATAGTCATTTGGGGCTACAATAACAGAATACCATGAACTGGGTGGCTTGTAAACAACAAAAACTTATTTTTCACAGTTCTAGAGGCTTGAAAGTTTAAGATCAAGCTCCTGGCAGATTCAGTGTCTGATGAGAGCCCACTTCCTCATTCATAGACAGCTGTCTTTTCCCTGTGTCCTCCCATGATGGAAGGAACAAGACAGAACCCCGCTGTCTCTTTTATAAGAGCACTAATCCCATTCATGAGGGCTCCACCTTTATCAGTTAATCAGCTCCCAAAGGCCCCACTTCCAAATACCGTCACACTGGGGATTAGATTTCAACATATGAATATGGAGCAGGGAGGGGACACAAACATTTAGTATATTGCAAGAACTATTTTTCTTGCTGTTTCATGATGTAAGGTAAGTTCTCTTCCGCTGCTCCTGTGGACAGTACCTCCTACTGGTGGTGTCATGGTGGCTGAGGATGTCTGTTATGAAGCAAAACAGAGAAGAGAAGAGGCCTCTTTTTTGGCTGTATTCAGTTAAAGGAGTCCTACAACAGTGTTGCTCATACTACAAGGTGTTAAAGAAGTTAATTAAATAGTCCTCTCAGCATTCACTCATAATCTTCTCTGGAACCAGAACTTAGACAAGCATCCTGAGTGATGGAAACATTTTCATGGAGGAAGGACCAGACATTTTGAGAACATTTTATGTCTATAGTAAAAGAGAAGAGAAAACAGGAATATCAGGGTAATTCTTGCTAGCCCAACCTACACAGCTAAATTTCTGGCAAATAGTAATGGTATAGAGGCAGAGCTGGCTTCATGGGTCTATGACCTATACCTTTACGCAGATTGTTACGTTTGGTTTAATTGCTTGTCTCTTGCCATACTGAAATTCTTAACAACTTTTGAATGACTCCATATTTTTATTTCATACTAAACCAACAAAATATATAGCCAGTCCTAAATTGTAACAGAAAGCTGAATGTGACAGCTCTACAAAATTCCCTGCCTGCTAAAATACGGTTATTCTAGACTTTTGTTCATTTATATAAACAATGCTTTCAAGGTTATATTGTCAATGTAGTCTAGGTATAGCATTTCCTACATTCTACCTGACAACATAATTTCAGTTTTCCTAATAATGATAATTTTCTCAGAAATATTCAGGCGATCACTCAAGGGGTATAGAAGCTAATCTAAGCTGTAGGCTACCAGTCCTTGGAAAGCTTCTGTGAATTCTATAGAACTTCTGCTAGACTCCAAAGGATCTGCAAAAGCACCAGGACATCTTTAAGTTCTCATTCTCCCACCTTTTCTTGAATAGCCTCAGGTACAAAAGAAAACAAACATTCTCCCATAATCTAGAGATGTTCCTCCAGTGATAAAGTACTGAATGGGATTAGTGCTCTTATAAAAGAGACTGCAGGGTTCTCCCTTGTTCTTTCCATCATGTGAGGACACAGTACTGTGATAGAGGAAATGGGAAAGTAGGGCAACAGAGGCAAGAGGTAACTCTTTCAAGGTAGACAAGGTCATCAACATTGTGAAATGCTATAGGGTGATAAAGGAGGATGAAGCCAAAGAATAAATCTTTCAGTAATTGGACCTTTTAGAGGGAAATTTCTATAGTGTGGTAGAGGTTGGCCCCAGGATCTGAGGAGAGAATGGGAAATGAAGAAGGGGAATTGTGTGTATAAACTTTTTCTAAGTATTTTGGTGAAGATAAGAAAGAAATAGAGTGATAGGTCAAGCGGATATCACTGACAGGGGAAGGAATGTGAAATAAAGGCTTTCCTAGGCTCCATATCACAGAGAGCTCAGTCAGGCATTCGATCCTCTTCTAAATATTTTAAATATATGAAATGCTATCTAATGTTCATTCTTAATAACAATAATCTGGAAAAATGTCCCACAGATAGTTGAACATAATGGAAACCCTTTTTTAAATGCTACCAGGAAATAACATAAAATATTTTTTTAAAAGTTTCTTAATGGAAAAACTACGCATGTGTGAGGCAAAAAGTAAAGAGAAACAAACACACAGTGATTCCTTAGAGGAAAGTCATGGTTCAAAAGTCAGATGACTATATCAGGAGTAGTGCTGACCTAAGAAGTGAACAAGAAAACTCCATTAGTATGGTTTTTCTTTTCTCTGAGCCATAGCGCTCTATCCCATGAGAATGCCAGGGGAATTTTTACAGCATAAGGGCTTTCCATTTATTGCAGTGATTCTTCACCATTGTAGAGTTTTTTTTTTTTTTTTTCAAATAAAGGCCCTTCTGCTATCCATCACGGCAAAGTTCAAATAAGTCAGTGTTTCTTACTCAGGCCTAAACCCAAAGTCTCTTGAGGCAAATGCAAGGCGCCATAAGGTACTTCACCTGCTGTAAACAGAGCGCTAGGACTGCACAGGTTACATGCTTAGTACCTAAATCGTAAGTGTGTCTAAGTCAAATTCCTCTTTATTTCCCAGCTTTGTGGACTAACTCTTCTACCTAGGCCTCCAAAAGTGTGGAATAACTGTGTACAATGATGCAGGTATGTCATGGCCTTTCTTAGAAGACTCTCTTCCCAAGTCACTAAATATTACCCTCAAAAAAGACATTTTTACAAAGCGCATCATAGCAAGTGCTCAAAATGAAATTGCTAAAATTAAACAGAATTGTCAAGGACCAAATACGCAAAGACGGCTGCTTCTTCTTTGCTTATACTTTCAGGAGGAAGGTCAAGGTACTTGGCTTAGACTTTTATGACCCAGTCTGACTCCCTAGGCCTATGCCCTTCCCAGTGGGCATTCCCAGTTTTGGCAGTATGAGCTGAGGCCTGTACCTTGTAGCAGCACCAATAGGATCTCCATGGAATGATCCAGCAATGTAATTTCAGCTAAAATCACTTCATAAACTAATGTATTTTTTTGTTCACTTTACCTTATGTAACTAATGTAATTTAATAAACACTTTTGGCAAGACTGTTGGAGTGGTTTTCATTATTAACAAGTAACCCTGATTGAAGCTATATCTATACTCAAGTATGACATGAAATATATATCCAACAAATGGTAGTTCCCCGTCACCCCTCTTTACAGAGTCCGCTATATTAAAGAATGTTAGTTCGAGAACAGCCTGGCCAACATGACAAAATCCTGTCTCTACTAAAAATACAAAAATTAGCTGGGCTTGGTGGCAGGCACCTATAATCCCAGCTACTGGGGAAGCTGAGGCAGGAGAATAGCTTGAACTCGGGAGGCAGGGGTTGCGGTGAGCCGAGACTGCGCCACTGCACTCCAGCCTGGGGGACAGAGCAAGATTCCATCTTAAAGAAAAAGAGTGTTAATAACAGTTAACTTTTGTTCAATACTTGTTAAGAGCCCAAAAAGTGAGAAAACTAAAGCATACTGATTATATTAATTTCCAGAGTTCAAATGGCTAGTAAATGGTAGAACCCAGATTGGACTATCATCATCATAAATAAAACCTATATTACAGATAAGGAAACTGGCATACAGAGAAGTGGATAACCTCTCAATGTCACAGAGCTCATAAGCAAAGCAGCCAGGACGTCATAATATACTACTATGCTTTCTCCTCATTTCAATCATATAGCAATAAGGCTTATCTTTTTAATATTATTTACCAATTACAAAGACAATTCAAATCTTGTTTCTAGAATAATTCTCTCTCTTTGACTTCTGAATTAACATAATAAAAAGTCCCACCCTAGTTAATGTGAATGGAATCCTATCTTTTAATCTTCAAGTTGTCTTCAAAGTAAGTTCAGACTAGTGGCATATTCTGTGCCTGAAGAGTAAGTAAGTCATTATTTATTGATCGATCCTGATGTCCTATTATCTTCCGCTCTGGAACTAAAAACTGTAAATTATATAGTCAATAAATCTCATAGGGTTCATTATAGCTATGTACTTGGGACATCAATTCCTGATTTTGGTACTTTTGTTGGTTTGCTATCTATATAAGACCAAAAAAATGAAAACAGCATTATCTATGAAAGGCCCTTCAATACTGAAAACTGCAGTTCTCTCTGTTATATACTAACTCTATTAAAGTCATTAAATGTGGCTTTAGCACTTAGGATACTTGAAGTAGCTGCTGTTGTTCTGATAGTAAAACAGTTTAAAGCCTGTCATAACGTATAGTAAACACTCAATAGGTATCAGTTGAATTTTTAAAAAATGAATACATATGATGCTCATGCTTTGTACAGATTATTATGCTGAACAAACATTACACACTTGGCCGGGCACAGTGGCTCATGCCTGTAATCCCAGCACTTTGAGAGGCCGAGGCTGGCTGATCACAAGGTCAGGAGTTCGAGACCAGCCTGGCCAACATAATGAAACCCCATATCTACTAAAAATACAAAAAATTAGTCGGGCCTAGTGACAGGTGCCTGTAATCCCAGCTACTCGGGAGGCTGAGGCAGGAGAATCACTTGAACCCAGGAGGCAGAGGTTTCAGTGAGCCAAGATCGCGCCATTGCACTCCAACCCCAGACAACAGTGCAAGACTCCATCTCAAAAAAAAAAAAAAAAAAAGAAATACACTTTTTACTTTGTAGCTAGAAACTCTTTGTGAAAAACAAGGAAGGTAAGATTTTAGTTTTGCATATCCCAGGTTAGATGCCTGGAAGCATTTAAAACATTGCCTTCTCAATTTCTCCATTTTGTGCTTGTCACATTCCTGGAAATACAATAAACAGAAACATAAGAACCAGAGGCATAGAAGCAAAACTCTACTCACGGTGTTCCTGTTCACATTAGATCAGTAAACCACAAAACCTGAAAGAATACTCTTAATCTCATTTCAACCATAACCACCAAATTTGAACACTCTAAGGGGAAATTTGGCCACCTGTAAACACTTTAACTCATTTGAGACATCAGACTTCTCTTTTGACATCTCCAATATGCGTGTGACACAGCAGTGCATATTGGATGCCAAATCCACAGGTTCAGAAAGAAGAAACTAGGCAACATTTGAGAAAGAATAGTTAAACTCGTTTTTCACTAAATCCATTTCATCACGTTTTGACCTCATTACTTTCCAACTGTTTTGTTGTTGTTGTTGTTGTTTGCTCTGTTTTGGTGTGTTTTTTGTTTTGTTTTGTTTTGTTTAATGTAAGAACAAAAAGAAACACCAAAAACAGTAGCAAATCTCTTTGGATCATGTTGAGACAACAGAAGCAAGTAACTGAAGTTTGGCAAGTCAGGAGGAAGGGCATTTCAAGGAATGAGCAGCAAGCCTATCACTGAGGGAATACGAAAGATTCCAAGTCTCCTAATACAGCTTGAGGGCTGCTGCTCCTGGACCTGTAATAGCAGAGGCTATTAGATCCTTGAAGTTAGAGGGCAAGCTTGTACACAAGTGGGTTATACTATCATCGAGATCTGATGCTAAAGACAGAGAGATAGCATGTGCACATAAACATGGCTGGGCCACAGCAAAGGCTGTTAGAAATGAAATGATATGGTAGTCACATGAAAACACTGACAAAAAAAAAAAAAAAAAGACCTGGCTTCCTTGGCTCTGCATGTAGATAATCTCCCTCAGCTAATTACAGTAAATGCCAAAGATCTAACATCTTTCCTGCAGACCCACAAGGAAGATATATGAGAAAATACTGTAGGATGCTTGCAAGACTGAATTTCCAAAGCAGCTTTAAAGGGAATTATAAGGAAGATGTTAGAACATTAGGGGAAAATCAGTGCTGTATTGCAAAGGAAATGTTTAATTGTAAAGAGATAACTGTTTTTTTGTACATGTGTTCCAACAGGAGATTCATGAAAACTTAACTGAACTTAACATGGTTATATGAGACAGCAAGTGACATGAAGGAGCAGACCACCAAGATTTTGGTAGTATATCCCAGTGTTCCTTTGTCATTGGCAACTTGTTCTCAGTAAAATATATATATATATATATATATATATATATATATATATATATATATATGTTTATTCCTCCTCCCTCATAATTATTAAGTGAAACTCCCAGTTACCAAAGTTAGTTATTATTTTGATTAATTTGGCATTAAACCATTAGGAGTGATATACTTAACTCTTCCCATGGGAATTTTTCCTGCCAAAGAGACCACCTCTTCTTAACACAGGTCAGTCTCCAGTTGGTAGATGCCTTTCACTCTCCCAATGGCAGGCATTTCAGGAGAAACAAACTTTTTGTCAGCACTCCTTAAAATATACCTTGGAGGTGACTGCATGTTCTGACTAAGCCTAACACTAGCTGTGTTAGGTACTTTGGATTTGCACACTGAGTTCCCTCTGGTGCTAATTAGTATTAATAAAATGGAAATTTGTTATAGCATTTTCATTACCAAAATATAGTAAGTACCAACATTTATAAAAGATTTTGAGCCTCACTAAAAAATGAGGTGAGGTAGCAACTTTTTATCACCATATGAAATGTTTTCTGTAAAATACAAAAAATTAAATCTTTAATTACTAGAATCAAATAAAAAATTCACTTGTCAAGGAGTTTCTTTAAAAGATACTAGAAATAAAGTCTACAATATTGCATCTTCTCATCTCTCTTTTGAAAACTAATTTCAAGAAAAATATAAGCCTATTATTATTCTAATTTATATCATAACAACTTCACTCTATAGATACATGTTTATTCAATACATTAGACATCTTTAAAATGCCCAGCTCCAAATGATATATAAAATATTACAAAAGAGAACTGAACACAGTTTAAGATATTGATTTCTAAGTAAGAGAAATTGGCCAGGAATGGTGGCTCATACCTATAATCCCAGAACTTTCGGAGGCTGAGGCAGGAAGATTGCTTGAGCTCTGGAGTTCAAAATCAGCCTGAGCAACATAGCAAAATCTTGTCTCTCCAAAAAAAATAAAAAAAAATTGGGTGGGCATAGTGGTGTATGCCTGTAGTCAGTCCCAGCTACGCAGTAAGCTGAGGCAGGAGGATTGACTAAGCCCAAAAGGTCAAGGCTGCTGTGAGCCATATTTGTGCACTCCAGCCTGGGCAACAAAGTAATAATCTGTCTCATAAAAAAAAAAAAAAGAAAAAAAAAAAAAACACAGAGAAATCTTAAAGAAATCTCAAAAGGTGAAAAATTTTACATTCTATCTTGAGCCATGAGCTAGGATAATAATAATCACAGGTCTACTAAGTTATAATTCTGGTCATCATTTCCTACACTAAGTATGATGATTAACTTTGTGTGTTAACTTGACTGGCCATGGGGTGCCCAGATATTTGGACAAACATTCTGTATATGTCTGTGGGGGTGTTTTGGGATGATATTAACATTTGAATCAGTAGACTAAGTAAAACAGATTGCCATCCCTAATGTGGCTGGGCCACATCCCATCAATTAAGCCCTAAATAGAAAAAACAAAAAAAGGCTGAACATCCCCACAACATCATGTAAATAAGGGAGAACTCCTCCTGTCTGATTACTGGAGCTGGAACACTGGTCTTTTCCAGCTTTGACTCAGATGGAAACATTGGTACTTCATGGGTCTTGAGTCTTCTGGCTTTCCAACTGAAACTTACACTATCAGCTCTCCTCGTTCTCAGGCCCCAGACTTCAGACTTGGACTGGAACTACACATTGGCCCTCGTGGGTCCCCTCATCTCTTATTAACTGCAGATCTTGGGACTTCTCAGCCTTCATAATTGTGTGCACCAGTTGCTTCTAATAAATAAATACATACACACATGCACACTCTATTGGTTCTCTTTCTCTGGAGTATCCTGACTAATACACTAAGTTGCAAGCAAACAGTGTTGTGATAAAAGAAAGGAACTCACTAACCCTGTAGGTGACCCAAATTTCTCTTTTCTGGATAACTTTGAGGAAGTTAATATTTATGAATAACTGAATAGCCTCTACTTCCTAATGACTAGATTAAGATTACACCTTTTTAAAAAAAACTAAAAATAATATGTCTACAAGACAAAAACTTTCTTAACGAGTCAGTGGATTCAAAACCAGAATGAGTAACCTGTGCAAAACATGCATGGATTACTCCCAACACTTTGGGAGGCCAATGCAGGAGGATCAGTTGAGCACAGGAGTTCAAGACCAGCCTGGGCAAAATAGCAAGACCCTCTCTCCACAAAAAAAGTTAGCCGGGCATGGTGGCACATGACTACAGCCCGAGCTCCTTGGGAGGCTGAGGCAGGAGGATCACTTGAGCCCGGGAGGCCAAGCCTGCAGTGAGCCAACATCACACCACTGCACTCCAGCCTGGGCAACAAAGCAAGATCCTATCTCAAAAAAGAAAAGAACTGACTAGAAAGAGGACCCAAAAAAAGCAGAGGTCACATCAAAAAAAAAAAATTTAAAGGAAAGAAGAAGTCCCCTTTGTCCATTTATGACCATTTAGAAAAGGAAGCAAAGGGAAAGGAAACTAAGTTTGACCAAAAGCAACTTAATGGCTTCTCAAGCAGAAGACTTAGTTTTCAATATCTGGAATGTTTACATGACAGTGTAATATTTTCTTCTCTTTACATTCATACCAACGTCTCTCAATTCAACACCCACTCCAAATTTGCAACAGATTTTTTGATTCATCATATAGCAGAAATTTATAGTCAACTGAACTTTTGTTAACCAATGGAATCTGTTACAAACTACTGTATTAAATATTTTGAAGGAATAATAAATTCACTTTAAAAGTCCCTCCCTCTTTGGAAAAAGATATACTATTCAATAGAGTGTTGGCATATTGGGCACGGGCAGAATATAGGGGACATCTTCATCTCACACCAAATATAAAACAAATTCCAGGCCAGGTGAGGTGGCTCACATCTGTAATCCCAGCACTTTGGAAGGCTGAGACAGGTGGAACACGAGGTCAGGAGTTCAAGACCAGCCTGGCCAAGATGGTGAAACCCCATCTCTACTAAAAAAAAAAAAAAAAAAAAAATTACAAAAATTAGCCAGGCGGGTGGCAAGTGCCTGTAATCCCAGCTACTCAGGAGGCTGAGGGAGGAGGAGAATCATTTGAACACGATGGGCAGAGGTTCCAGTGAGCTGAGATCGTACCACTGCACTCCAGGCTGGGCGACAGAGTGAGACTCTGTCTCCAAAAAAAAAAAAAAAAAAAAGAAAAATAAATTCAAGATAAACTGAAGAGCTTAATGTAGTGTAAAAATATATAACTGACAGAAGAATATATACAATATCTTTTTATAGGCTTTTGGTGGACAAGGTCCCCTAGGCAAGACCTAAAATTCAGAAGTCATAAAGAAAAAGACTACTAGATTGGATTACATAAAATGCTAAATTTCTGTGAGGGAAAAACACACTTGATTATAAAAAAAAAAAAAAAAAAAAAAGTCACAGTCTTCAGTCCCTACTCCCAACCTAGCTAATTAACATCGGAGCCTTGTAAGAGATGCTATCATTGGCAGTTTTAGCAAATCTCTCACTAAGCACAAGATTCAAGAATCAGATTCAAATCCACCCACCTCTTCAGCTAGAGTCACCTCTTGCTTTGCTACTTGGTGCCTCAGGAGCAGATCAAGTTTTTGAGGGGTCACAATTTATATAAGTTAGAGGGGTTATTTCTAAGAAAAAAAATATATTACAAATATAAAATTAGGCAAATAATTAAGTATGTATTTAAAATAAAATAAATGATAACAAAATTTAAAATATATGTAACACAAAAATTTTTATATCTAGAAAAATAACATAGTATTTTTATTTTCTGACTATACATTTTCCACATTTTTGCTTCCTACTCTTTGATCACGTTTTTTGAAAATTGTGTAATATTTTCTAGAGAGGATAAAAGGATAGTCTTTCTTCTATAAAAATGTATGGAAATTGTGTTTTATTAATAGGTTCACAAAGGTTTCTTTTGAGCTTTCCAACAATGGGCACCAGAGCACATATTCTTATTCACTTTGGTCATGATTCTGGATAAAGTAAGAGTTTTCCTGGAAGCAATTCCTACACAGAAAGGCCTAACAATAGCTTAACTATGTACAGAGGTGGCTGAGAACTATATCTAACTTACCAACTCCAGACTCACTGATGACCTGTCTCATTCTCTCCTTACCCAGATCTCAAAACTACCCACAATAATCAAAAACCCACCTTCCAAAAGAAGAAATGTGATCAAGGGAGAACTGGAATAGAAAAAGACAACAGTTTTAATTTCATATGGTTAAAATGTGTTACTCTGCAAATTTTACAAAGGCATATAACCCTATAAAAGCATCACTAGGATCCCTCACAGAGCTGTGGAAAGTGCCTGGCCAGTGAGGGGCCCTGTAACTTAAGTGTAATTCAATTAACAGTAAAATTTATCTCTGGTTTCTTCCCATACAGAGCAATGAATAAGGAGTTGGAAGAATGAGAGGCAAATAAGTGACAGAAGCAGTGATTTCAAGAAGTCCATAATCACGTCAGCACACATCCTGCCACTTCTAGGCAGGGAGGCAGAAGCGTTGTTGGTGTGAAGTAAGCAAGGAAACAGGATCAGAATGAAATGCTTTAGGATATATCGCTCAAAGTAGGAGTCATATGATGATTGAATATGCAACATCACACTGCAGACATACATGAGATATACATGTGGGATGTATAATGGAAGGGTTCTCAAGAAGAAGGAAGGAGAAAGAAAGGAGAGCCTTGGAGTGGCTAAATACTTTATATACAAAATTTATTTAACTCCCACAACAATCCTAGGTATTATCATGCCCATTTTACAGATGGAACTGAACATCAGAGAGGTTATGTAACTTTCCCAAGGTCACAAGCTAGTAAGTACTAGCCCTGATCCCCTGATTTCCTGCCTGTACTCACTGGCAGTAAGCCTCTTTCATGCACCCTAGATAGGAAATGCCAAAACATAGGGACTTTTCAATACAAAGTGTATGAAATGGTTTGGCTGAGTCCCCACCGAAATCTCTTCTTTTAGTTCCCATTATCCCCTTGTGTTGTGGGAGGGACGAGGTGGTAGGTAATTTAATCATGGGAACAGTTGCCCTCATGCTGTTCTCATGATAGTGAGTTCTCATGAGATCTGATGGTTTTATTAGGGGCTTTTCCCTCACTTCACTCATTCTCTCTCCTGCCGCCTTGTGAAGGACATGTTTGCTTCCCCTTCTGCCATGATTTTAAGTTTTTTGAGGCCTCCCTGGCCCTGTGGAAGGGTGAGTCAATTAAGCCTCTATCTAATTTATAAGCCTCTATCTAATTTATAAATTACCCAGTCTCGGGTATGTCCTTATAGCAGCATGAGAACAGACTAATACAGTAAACTGCTACTGCAGAGAATGGGGTGCTTATATAAGATACCCAAAAATGTGGAAACAACTTTGGAACTGGGTAACAGACAGATGTGGGAATAGTTTGGAGGGCTCAGAAAAAGACAGGAAAATGTGGGAAAGGTTGGAACTTCCTAGAGACTTGGAGGGCTTAGAGGACAGCAAGATATAAGAAGGTTTGGAACTTCCTAGAGACCTGTTGAACGGCTTTGACCAAAATGCTGATAAGGATATGGACAATGAAGTTCAGGCTGAGGTGGTCTCAGATAGAGATGAGGAACTTCTTGTGAACTGAGTAAAGGTCACTCTTGCTATGCAAAGAGACTCTAGGGCATTTTGCCCCTGCCCTAGAGATCTGTGGAACTTTGAACTTGAGAGTGATAATTTAGGGTATCTGGCAGAAGAAACTTCTAAGAAGCAACGCGTTCAAGAGGTGACAGAGCATAAAAGTTTAGAAAATTTGCAGCTTGACAATGCAGTAGAAAAGAAGAACCCATTTTCTGGGGAGAAATTGGAAATTGTGTTTTATTAATAGACTTCGGAGTATGTATGGAAATGCCTGGATGTCCAGGGAGAAGTCTGCTGCAGGAGCAGACCTCTCATGGAGAGCCTCTGCTAGGGCAGTATGGAAAGGAAATGCGGGATTGGAACCCCAACACAGAGTCCCCACTGGGGCACTGCCTAGTAGAGCTGTGAGAACAGGGCCACCATTCTCTAGGCCCCAGAATGGTAGATCCACCAATGGCTTGCACCATGCACCTGGAAAAGCTGCAGGCACTCAACACCAGCCCATGAAAGCAGCCAGGTTGAGGGCTGTACCCTGCAAAGCCACAGAGGCAGAGTTGCCCAAGGTGTAGGAGCCTACCTCTTGCATCAACGTGACCTGGATGTGAGACATGGAGTCAAACGACATCATTTTGGAACTTAAAGGTTTAATGACTGCCCTATTGGATTTCCAAATTGCATGGGGCCTGTAGCCCCTTCATTTTGGCCAATTTATCCCATTTGAAATGGATGTGTTTACCCAATACCTGTACCCCCATTGTATCTAGGAAGTAACTAACTTGCTTTTGATTTTACAGGCTCATAGGCAGAGGAAATTGCCTTGTCTCAGATGAGACTTTGGACTCGGACTTCTGAGTTAATGCTGGAATGAGTTAAGACTTTGGGGGATTGTTGGAAGGGCATGATTGTGTTTTGAAATCTGAGGATATGAGATTTAGGAGGGGCCAGGGGTGAAATGATATGGTTTGGCTGTGTCTCCACCCAAATCTCATCTTGAATTTTAGTTTCCATAATCCCCATGTGTTGTGGGAGGGACCTGGTGGGAGGTAATGATATGGCTTGGCTGTGTCTCCACCCAAATCTCATCTTGAATTTTAGTTTCCATAATCCCCATGTGTTGTGGGAGGGACCTGGTGGGAGGTAATTTAATCATGGGGGCAGCTGCTCTTGTGATAGTGAGTGAGTTCTCATGAGATCTGATGGTTTTATAAGGGTATTTTCCCCCACTTCCCTCATTCTTCTCTCTTCTGCAGCCTTGTGAAGAAGGACATGTTTTCTTCCCCTTCCACCATGATTGGCCTCCCAAGCCCTGTGGAACTGTGAGTCAATTAAACCTCTTTCCTTTATAAATTACCCAGTCTCAGGTTATTTCCTTATAACAGCACAAAAATGGACTAATACAGTACTGAAGTCAAATTAAAAAAATGTAGAGATGAATCTGTATATTTCACATTTTATTTGGGATACAAGAATTGTAATTCACGGCATAAACACAGATTGGCTAGTCTTTGGTATATCCACAAAACAAAGAGTAGTTTGATGATTTTATAAAAAGGAGAAATGTTATGTGTTGTGTTTCCAGAAAGTTAATTGGCACTAGCAAATTTGGGGGGAGCTTGCAAGTTCTGATTGCTGAGTGACAGGAGTGGGTAAAACTAGTTTAAGAGTTGTAGTAAGTTATTTCAGAAGCCTTTAGATATAACTGGTTTCAGGGTACAGCAGGCAGTTTCAGCAGCCAGGTTTGCAGAGACTTACATTCTTGGAGCAATGTTTCCTGTGCCCTGAATGCCTTTTCTCCTGGTTTCTCAACTCTGTTTTAATTGAATATGACAAGAATGATTCAATTCATATGATCAACTTTCACAAAGGTCATAGCCATTCAAATGGGCCTGTGAAAGTGAATAAATCAGCAGTTAAAGAAAATAAAGCAAGATATCTATAGTCAATCTTATGTAAAGCTGATGAGGGCAAGTGAAAGAAGGCTTCCTAGGAAATAGAAATTCTATAACGAAGCTTTCTGTTCCTAGAAAATAGAAATTCTATAACAAACAAAATAGAAATAGAAATTCCCAGGGAACAGAAATTCTGTAACAAAGCTTTCAATCAAACTTTCTAGCTAAATGCTATTGGAGTAGGTATTCAAGCCTCCCCTCATGTAATGAGATTTGACTGGAGACGATGAGCTTGAGTCAGGTGGGCATTGAATGAGAGGTGTCCACTCACCTGAACAGGAGTTTGCCAGCAATTCCCCATAAAATACAGGTCTTAAGCTAGGCAAATTCAAAGTGTGATTGGCATGTTAAAACTATGCCAATTTAAGTAAGAAATGGGCCTGCATAAATGAAAACTGGGCAGAGAGTATGGATATAAATGGCCATAAATTTATTTCTTCATTTAGAAGAAATAAATGAGAAATCTGTGAGATGAGTTTGAAGGGTTAAAATGTCAGACATTATTTGGAAATCAAAAAATCATTATTTTCTTGATAATTAGAAAATAGAGGCAGGGTTAAATAATGACTTATTTATATCTAAGATAACTTAGGCTCATTTTCTCCTTTATTGAAATAATACCTGCAGTGATAGATATTTCCAGAAGTGAGAGATATATGTGTATTTGTATATATTTTTCCCAGAGCTTATTATTTTGCATATTACCACTACATAGAGATGTTGTAAAAGAACTAAGAGCAAACTATGGCAAAGGCAGATAATGAAGGGATAAAATTAATGTTTAAAATAGAATCCTCAACAATCGGTGACAATAAAGGTAAATGATAAGTGAAATTGTATATTTCAGTAATGTAAGCATATAAAAGAAGATAGCTTTTGAAAGATTGAATTACCCTCATTCATTCTGAAGAAAAAAAATAAAGTTTTATTATACATAGATGCTATGGAGTGGAACTCAATTGTGGGTGATCATAAAAGTATCTTTTACTTGCTGTCCCAAGCATTTGGAAGTGTAACAAATTCCAAGATTGGGCTGCAGAGCCTCTTTAAAAAGGGTATCCACATAGTCACATGGAATGAAGGCTAATGACTGGGGTCTCATAAAAAAAAAACTAGCTATTTGAATGTTTTCTCAGATGAGGGTTATACTAGGAAAATGAGAATCTACCTGAAAAGTTATCCTATTTGGAAAACGAATCAGAGAGCTGGGCAGGTATAGGGTATTTGTCTCTAAGCTACCAGAGACATATTTTTAATTGACTTACAACCACTAAAATCTGGCATATTATTAGAGGAAATACTTGTATGAGAGAAAATGGGAAGTGGGGGGGTAGGGAAGAATTGAGTAAGGCTAGAAGAGCTGCCGATATGCAGTGCAAGTCTGAGGGAAGGTTGAGTGCTGTGCAATCTAAGGAAGATCCAGCAAAGCCATCACAGATCCCTCAAGCCTAAGTTGGCTGTTAAGGTGTCCTTATCTCCCAGGAATTGAACTGTTTTAATATTCCTGTGTCATGCAGTCATTGACTGCAAGTAGCCCATTGAAAGGGCAGCCACGGTGCCTCATATAATACACCTCCATCACATGCCAGGACAACTTGGGCATCTCTACTTCATTGAGTGCTGGAGAATATTTTCCATGTTTCTATGAGCCACTTCAATAGCGAGTTTGCCCCATCCTCTACTTTCCTGGCTGAAGTGTAAAGCCCTTTGCCCCAAGACAGTGTTCCCAAGTCAAAAAATTCTAACAAGACTATTAAAACCCCTGCTGAACAGATTTTCCCGGACTCATGTGTGCCCAGCCTAACTACTGCAGCCTTAATCTGATGATTAGAGAAGACAGGTACAGCTAAGCTGGGCCCATTACAGAAAAAAACAGAGCCCAATGGCAAAATTTACATCACTGATTGAGCATAAATCCTCAATACCATATAGAACACACCCAAACATGTCTACTCATCAAAACTACCTGGGGAGATTTATTTTTAATAAAGATGCTCACCATCCCTCCAATATATACTAAATTTAGACTCTTCAGAAGTGGAGGTCAATAAGTCGAAAGCTAGATATACTGAAATTAATTCCTATGTGAATTGATTAGCTGGCTTGGAAGGAAATTCTTTAAAAGAAATTCTATAAATACTTTTCAGCAACAGCAATATTTTGGAATAATGGCTTAGTTCTCATTTCCTAGTCATGTTATAATTATATTTGATACTAGTCTTTATCTCAATGACTAAAAAAGAGCTTGCTTTCCTAGCAATAGATATTTGAGTCTCTTTCAATTGCAAATAATAGAAATCTAACATCTTGACCTTCATGCCAATAGACTAACAAAATGAAAGCATTGAAACTAAATGCTGCTAAACTAATAGAATATACAGTTACCCTAGTGTCCACCAATTTAATGGAATTTCAAGATATTTACCCAAGTATGTGTAATTACTCTTGTGATTCATTTGCCTTTTGTGAAGACACTGTTTTTAAAGTTTTAAAAAAGACAGATGAGAAAACCAGTCCATCTAAAATTAGAATCCCAGCACCATAAACATACACATTTTGTTTCTCTGGTCACACAAGTACAAGAATTCCCCACAAACTCCAAAATAATCATTATATTGATATTTCATTAACACTCACTGACCTGAAATAGCTTCAGGAAAATGTAACACCATTTTTAATACCCAAAGTATGCAAATAGCTTATACTTCATTGAATCTCCTCATAATTCAACAGTGATCTAAACAGAAATTCAATACAGACACACAAAAAATGCAGAGAAAATAAATAAAATCCCAGTAATTTACAAGATGCAACAAAAGGAGAAATCGGTATATGATGATGAAAAGAGAGAACCATATGCCTCAAATATAGCTAGTTAGTATAATCTGAATGGTTCATCAGATTTTTAGATTAGTATCATTTATTTGTTGAGCTAAAAGGAAGAAGCTGAAGCAAAATTAACATAAAGAGTTTATTTGGGACAAGATTGAGGACTGTGGCCTGGGACACACTTCCAAAGTGCCTTGGGAAGTGCTCTGGCAAACAAAGGAGAGACTCAAGTTTTTAATGAAAAACGAGGCAAATCAGCAGAAGGGGAAACTATAAAAGTAGTTCATCAGGAATTCTCACTGGTTTACAGAAGTAACTTTGATTAGCAATTGGCTATACATTGTTAAATTACAGGGTAAGAGTTATGGTGGTAAGAGTATGTTATTTTATGGCTACTTGGTATTAGTTAGTAGCCACAAAATGCTCACACAGCAAGTGGTTTCAAGAGGTAATGGTACTCAGTTCAATGGGGAGTGAAATTTGTTACATTTTAAATGCCTCTTTGGGACTGAAAATGTAAAGGAGCTCTCATTGCTCAGATAATTTTTTTCTTTCTCACATTCAATATTTATTCAACAAATGCCTATTGAATGAACGGATGGATAGATGGTGAAAGATAAAATGAAAAAAATTCAATGGTGTGCAATATCAAAGAAACATCAGCTTGGAGCCAGACATACAGGGATTCAAATTTCCTATCTGCCACTAACTAGCTGTGTAATCTTGGGAAATAACTTAGATTCTCTGAGTTTCAAAGTTGTTGTTGTTGTTGTGTGTGTGTGTGTGTGTGTGTGTGTAAATTGGTGACAATGATATCTGCTTTGTAGGTTGCCTAGGAAAACTAAATGAGCTAATAAGCCCAAAATAAAATACCGACTACTACTCTTTATATGTGATAAATGTTATTGCTGGTCTCTCTCTTTTCTACTAAGAAGTATAATGCATTTAGTTCTAGCTTCATAGGTATTTTGGCATTCATGTGTGATCAGAGCACAAAATATTTTTCCCACTAGACCTACAAAATGTAAATAACTTCTGTCTCCTGTATTAACATCTTGACTTTTACAGAAGTGTGCTTGCATAGAGAAAAAAGTAAAAACATGAAGCCATAGACAGGAATTCTCTAAGTCTAACCACAGGTCCTGAGTGACATTAAAGAATATATAAATTGTCAACATCCAGTTTATACAGTAGTGAAAATCAGAGCTCAAAAATTTTTGCCACCTACCTACAAGATAAGTTTACTAAATCTCCCTATCAAACTTATGGTTTTAATCAATTTTGCTGCTCTTCTTTGCAAACAATCACATTTCATGGTTTTAATACATTACATAATAGTACATAACATTCTCTTAGCTGACAATAGACCAATTAGCAGCTTCCCTAATGCATCCCTGCAAAGGAAGTGAAATTAACAGAATATGACATTCATAGAGCCTTTATCGGAGCATCTGAAGATAGGTAGAAGAGAAAGGACTTGGATGATATGATTTGAGAGAAACAATCAAGAACTCCTTGCCCAAAAGCATGTCTTTCCACCATGTGTTGATGTGTAAGTCTTAATATTTCATTGTTTTCAGGGAATTTATTTTTTGATAAGCCATTGATTGAAATATTACATACATACAGAGAATCACATGGACAGCACATTGAATTTTCACACAGTAAACCCACCCATGTAACCATCACCAAGTTCCAGTAATAGAACATTATCAGCACCCTGAAGCACTGCTCCCACCCCTGGGGTTTAGATATCAGTTCATCTCCCTTTCCCCAAACTTGGCCATTACCTCACTTCTATCACCATAGATTAGTTTTTGAACTTTAACCAAATAGAAGTATACAAAAGAATTCTTTTAACTCTTTTAATAAATGTTATGTTTCTGAGATTCATCCATGCTATTCTATAACTACACTTCAGGCATTTTTATAGCCATTTAGAATCCATAGTACAAATCTGCCACCATACAATTATCCATTATACTATTGCTTGCTGTATACTTAGATCATTTCAAATATGGAATTGTTCTGTGTATGTCTTTGGGTGTAGATAAGTATGTGTTTCCATTGGTTATATACCTAAGAACAGAACTGTAGAATCTTTGGATATGCTTATGTCCAATCGTAGTTAATATTGCCAGTCTTCCAAAATGATTGTATTAATTCACTCTCTTGCCAGCGGTGTCTGAGATTTTTAGTTGGTCATCATTTTTGCCAATTCTTGTTGTTGTCAGTGTGTAACCACTATAGCGTGTATATAGGGTTTCTTGATGTGATTTAAATTTTTATTTCACTGATGAGTAATAATGTTGAGCACCTATTCAAATGTTAATGACCCCCAAATTTCCTCTTTTATGAAGTGCTGTTAAAGTCTTTTGCCTGTTTTTCTATTGGTTTTTGTATCACTCTTGTATTGGCTTTAAAGAGTTCCTAATTCAGACTGGAAACAAGTCCTTTGTTAGATATATGTTCTGAACTCAATTGTGTCCCTCAAAATTCATATATTAAAGTCCTAATCTCAGTACCTTAGAATGTGACTGTATTTGGAGAAAGGGCCTTTAAAGAAGTAATTAAGGTTAAATGAGGTCTTTAGGATAGTGTCCTAGTCCAGTATGGTTGGTGTCCTTACAAGAAGAGGAAAACACCACAAATGCTTGTGCCCAGAGAAAAGGTTGTGTGAGGACAGAGTGAGAGGCAGCCATCTGCAAGCCATAATGAAAGTCTACAGGAGAAACCAACCCTACTAACACCTTGATCTTAGCCTTCTAGCCTCCAAAACTATGAGAAAATAAACTTCTGTTATTTAAAGCCACCAGTCTGTGGGGTTTTTTTTAGGGCAGTCCTAGCAAATACAATGTACACATTAGAAAGATCTTCCTCTAATCTTCTGTGACTTACTGTTCCTCTCTTTCTCTCTCTCTCTCTCTCTCTCTATGCTATCTTTTTAAAACAAAAGTTCTTGATTTTAATGTGGTATTTTTTTTCCTTTTTGGTTTCTGCTTTTTGTTATCTGCTTAAGAAAACTTAGCTGCCAAAATTCGAGCATATATTCTCTCAAGTTTTCTTCTAGAAGCATTTTTATTTTCCTTCACATTTCAATCTACAGTCCTCAGAAGCTAATTTTTTTAATACAGTGGAAAATAGAGGTCAAGATTTATTTTTCTCATAGATAAACAATTGGCCTTGCAACTCTGGTGAAAAGACTCTACCTTTGCCTACTGTTCTACAGTCTCACTTTATAAATCAAATAAACTTATTATAGGAATAAGTTTGTTACTCACCCTTCCAATCAGTTGTACTGATCTATTTACCTAGATTTGTGCCAAAATCAAACTGTCTGAATTGCTGTACCTTTACAACAAGTCTTTGTTTCTGTTATGTAAGTTCATGAAATTTTTACTTTTAAAAAATTTTCTTGGCTACTCTTGAATCTTTAATTCCCATATGTTTTACAAATAGTTGGTCAATTTCTATGAAAATACCTCCTGGGGTCAAATTGAATCTATAGATTCAATACATCAATTTGAGATGAGATCACTTTAAAGAAAAGGGTCTTCTAAGCCATAAATGTAGAGTCTTCCTTCATTAATTTAGGTTACCTTTAATTTCTTTGAAGATACTGTGTAGCTTTTCGTGTTGATCCCTTAAATTCTTTATTATATATATATTCCTAGACATTTTATATCTTTTGATGCTATCGTAAAAGATATAGTTTGGCCGGGCGTGGTGGCTCACGCCTGTAATTCCAGCATTTTAGGAGGCCAAAGTGGGTGGATCATGAGGTCAGGAGATCGAGACTATCCAGGCTAACACGGTGAAACCCCGTCTCTACTAAAAATACAAAAAATTAGCCGGGCGTGGTGGCGGGCGCCTGTAGTGCCAGCTACTCGGGAGGCTGAGGCAGGAGAATGGCATGAACCCGGGAGGCAGAGCTTGCAGTGAGCCAAGATAGCGCCTCTGCACTCCAGCCTGGGCGACAGAGCGAGACTCCATCTCACAAAAAAAAAGATATAGTTTAATTTAACTTTGTGTCTTAATTTATTGTTGCTAAAATATAGAAGTTAAAAAAAGGTAGGCTTTTTATGTCTAGTAACCTTGCTAATTTCACCTATTAGCTTGAATAATTTAACTGTTATTTATGCTGCACTCTCTCATTATACAAGCATGTAATTTGTGAAAGAAAATTTTTATATTTCCTGTTGAAAACTTTTCAGTTATATCTTCTTTTTCTTTCCATCTTGCACTGACTAGGCCAAGTTCTCTATTACAATGTTTACAATGTTTAATTTAATTAGTAAAAGTAACATTTTCCCAGTCTAGGGGTGAGGAGAGAAATCTTTCAATATTCTATCATTAGGTGTGCTGTTTGCTTTAGATCTATTGTAAATATTCAAATTAAGGAAATTGCCTGCTATTTCTAGTTTGCTTACATATTTCATCATAAATTATATCAAATGCTTTCCATTCCTCTGTTGAGATTATCATATTCTCTCCTTTCATCTGTTAATGTAATGAACTCTATTGATTGATAGAATTATAGTGATTTCTTTTAGATGTTAAACCAGTTTTGTCTTCCTACAATAAGTTGCAGGTTTTTTCATGTATTATCCTGTTTACAGATTGCTGGATTCAATTTGATTTTTTAATACAATTTTTACACCTGTGCTCATGAGAGTGATTAGCCTGTAATTTTTCTTTCATGTAACACCATCATCCTGGTTTTAATGTTAAGTTTATGCTAGCTTCATAAAACAAATAGTACTCCCTTATTTTTTCTATTATCTGAAAAAAATGTCTGTAAGATTAATGGTATTTCTGCCTTAAATGTTTATTAGAATTGACTGGTAAAGCCATCTGCGTATGAAGTTTTCTCTAAGAAATGGGAAGCTTTGTTATTATGAATTTAAATGTTAATAGATTTCTTATTTTTTCCTATGTCAGGTTTGACATGTTGTGAATTTTATTCTCAGAATGCATCCATTTTATCTTCCTTTTCAAACTGGTGAGGAGGCTGGTCACAAGATGGCCAACTAGAAGCAGCTAGTGCCACTCTCACAGAGAGAAATAGAATAAATGAATAAATACAGCACTTTCAACTGGAACATCCAAGTACATGCATTGGGATTTACCAAGGAAACAACTCGACCCATGGAGAATGCAGATAAACAAGGCAGGATGACCATCCAGAGTGACACAGAGTCACAGGAGCCTCCCCTGCCCAGGGAAGCAGTGAGTGAGCGAGCGACCCTGGGAACTTTAAAATAACAAAGATCAAAAAAAGACAAGGGCATTATGTAATGGTAAAGAGTTCAATTCAACAAGAAAGCCTAACTATCCTAAATATGTATGTACCGAACACAGGAGCTCCCAGATTCATAAAGGAATTTCTTAAAGACCTACAAAGAGACTTAGACTCTCACACAATAATAGTGGGAGACTTCAACCCTCCACTGACAGTATTAGATCATTGAGGCAGAAAATTAACAAAAATATTCAGTGCCTAAACTCATCATTGGATCAAATGAACCTGCTAGACATCTACAGAACTCTTTACCCCAAAACAACAGAATATACATTCTTCTCATTGCCACATGGCACATAATATAAAATAAACTACTCAATTGGAAATTAAGCAATCCTCAGCAAACACAAAAGAACTGAAATCATAACAAACACTCTCTCGAACCACAGGACAACAAAAATAGAAATCACAACCAAGAAAATTGCTCAAAATTATACAACTTTGTAAAAATTAAGTAATCTACTCCTGAATGACTTTTAGATAAATAATAAAATTAAGACAGAAATCAAGAAGTTATTTGAAACTAATGAGAACAAAGACACAGCATACCAGAATTACTGGGAAACTGCTAAGGCAGTGTTAAGCAGGAAATTTATAGTACTAAATTTCCATATTAAAATGCTAGAAAGATTTCAATTTGCCAAGCTAACATCACAACAAAAAGAACTAGAGAAGCAAGAGCAAACCAACCCCAAACTAGCAGAAGATACGATATAACCAAAATCAGAGTTGAATTGAAGGAGATGGAGACATGAAAAACCATTCAAAAGGTAACAAATCCAAGGGTTGGTTTATTGAAAAAAAATCACGATAATAGATCACTAGCTAGACTAATAGAGAAGAAAGGAGAGAAGATCTAAATAAACAAAATGAGAAATGACAAAGAGGATATAAACACTGACCCCACAGAAATAGAAATAACCATCAGAAACCACTATGAACATCTACATGCACACAAACTAGAAAATCTAGAAAAAATTGATACATTTCTGAACATATTACGCTCCCGACTGAACCAGAAAGAAACTGAATTGCTGGACACACCAATAACGAACTTTAAAATAGAATCAGTAATAAGTAGCCTACCAACCACAAAAAGACCAGGACCAGATGGATTCACAGCCAAATTCTACCAGATGTACAAAGAAGAGCTGGTATCATTCCTACTGAAACTATTCTAAAAGATTGAGGAAAAGAAACTCCACCCTAACTCACTCTATGAGGCCAGCATCACCCTAATACCAAAACCTGGCAGAGACACACACACACACACACACACACACACACACACACACAAGAAAACCTCAGGCCAATACCCATGATAATCGTCAGTGCAAAACTCCTCAACAAAATATGGGCAAACTGAATCTAGCAACATATTAAAAAGCTTATCCACTTTGATCAAATAGGATTTATCTTTGGGATGCACGATTGGTTCAACATATGCAAATCATTAAGGTGATTCATCACATAAACAGAACTAGACAAAAACCACATGTATATTTCAATAGATGCAGAAAAGGCTTTCAATAAATTCAACATCCCTTCATATTAAAAACAGTTAATAAACTAGGTATTGAAGGAACATATTATAAGAGCCACACATGACAAACCTACAGCCAACATCATACTGAATGGACAAAAGCTGGAAGCATCCCCCTTGAAAACCAGCACAAGAAAATAATGTCTTCTCTCACCACTCCTCTTCAACATAGTAATGGAAGTCCTGGTCAGAGCAATCAGGCAAGAGAAAGAAATCTCTTTCTCTTGGGCATCCAAATACAAAGAGAGAAAGTCCAACTATCCCTGTTTGCAGATGACATGATTCTGTATTGAGAAAATTCCACAGTCTCAGCCCAAAATCTCCTTCACCTAATAAACAATTTCAGCGAAGTCTCAGGGATATAAAATCAATGTACAAAAATCACTAGCATTACTATACATCAACAACAGCCAAGCTGAACATCAAATCAGAAATGCAATCACATTCACAACTGTCACAAAAAGAATAAAATACCTAGGAATGTAGCTAACTAGGAAGGTAAAAGATCTCGATCTCTACAAGGAGAACAATAAAATAATGCTCAAAGAAATCAGAGATGAAACAAACACATGGAAAAGCATTCCTTTCCATGATCACGGATAGGAAGAATCAATATCATTAAAATGGCCATACTACCCAAAGCAATTTATAGATTACATGCTATCTCTATTAAACTACCAGTGACATTCTTCAAAGAGATACAAAAATCTATTTTAAAATTCGTATGAAACCAAAAAAAGCTGAAATAGCCAAGGCACTCCTAAGCAAAAAGAACAAACCTAGAGGCATCACACTATAAAACTTTAAACTATACTACAGGGCTACAGTAGCCAAAACAGCTTGGTACTGGAACAAAAGCAGACACATGGACCAATGGAACAGGATAGGGAACCCAGAAACAAGGCTGCACAGCTACAACCATTCAATCTTTGACAAAGCTGACAAAAACAAGCAATAGGGAAAGAACTTTATTTAATAAAGGTTGCTGGGATAACTGGCTACCATATGCAGAAGATTGAAACTGGACCTCTTCCTTATATTATATACAAAAATCAACTCAAGAGGGGTTAAAAACTTAAGTGTAAAACCAAAACCTTTGAAAACCCTGGAAAACAACCTAGGCAATACCTTCCTGGACACAGGAACTGGCAAAGATTTTATGAGGAAGACACCAAAAGCAATTACAACAAAAGGAATAATTGGCAAATAGGACCTAATTAAACTAAAGAGCTTCTGCACAGCAAAGGAAACTCAATAAACAGCCTATGGAATAGGAGAAAATATTTGCAAACTATGCATCTGACAAAGGTCTAATATCCAGCATCTATAAGGAAGTTAAACAAATTTACAAGAAAAAAACAACCTCATTAAGAAGCTGGCAAAGGACATGAACAGACACTTTTCAAAAGATGACATACATTCAGCCAATGAGCATATGAAAATACACTCAACATCACTGATCATTAGAGAAATGCAAATCAAAACCACAATGAGATACCATCTTACACCAGTTAGAATGGCTATTATTAAAAAGTAAAAAAAAATAATAATAACAGATGATGGTGAGGTTGTGGGAAAAAGGAATACTTATATACTGTTGGTGGGAGTGCAAATTAGTTTAACCACTGTGGAAAGCAGTGTGGTGATACTTCAAAGAGCTAAAAATACAGCTACCGTTTGACCCAGTAATCCCAGTACTAGGTATATGCCCAGAGTAATATAAATCATTTTACCATAAATACACATGCACATGTATGTTCACTGCAGCAATATTCACAATAGCAAAGACATGGAATCAACCTAAATGTCCATCAATGGTAGACTGGATAAAGAAAATGTTGTACATATGCACAATGGAATGCTATGTAGTCACAAAAAATAACAAGATCATGTCCTTTCACGTGAACGCAGAAGGAGCTGGAGGCCATCATCCTTAGCTAACTAATGTAGGAAAAGAAAACCAAATACCTCATGTTCTCACTTATAAGTGGGGGCTCTGATGAAAACACCTGGACACATAGAGGGGAACAACAGACACTGGGTCCTACCTGAAGGTGGAGGGTGAGAGGAGTTCAAGGATCTGGAAAAATAACTAATGAGTGATGAAATAATCTGTACAAGAAACCCCCATGACACAAGTTCATCTATATAACAAACCTGCACATGTACACCTGAACTTGAAAAAAAAAAACTGGTTAACATAAAGTTGTTCATAATATCATCTTTTTTCTCTTTTATTGATATATAAAATTCACATATTTATGGGGTACCTGTGAGTGTTTATTATATGCATAGAATGTGTAACTGGGGTATCCATCCCCTTGAATGTTTATTATTTTTATATGTTGGGATATGATTTCAATTCCTCTCTTCTAATTACTTTGAAATATACATAAATTGTTGCTAAATATAGTCACCCTAGTCTCCTATCAAACATTGGAACTTATGTCTGCTATCTACCTATATGTTTGTACCCATAACTAACCTTTCTTCATGTCCACCTTCTACCTACTCACCTTTCCCAGTATCTGGTCTCAATCACTCTTGTCCATATGTCCATGAGATCAAGTTTATTAGCTCCCACATATGAGTGAGAACATGAATTATTTGTCTTTCAGTGTCAAGCTTATTTCATCCATGTTCTTTCAAATGACATGATTTAATTCTTCATTATGGGCAAATAGCATTCTATTGCCAATACTATATTTTATTTATATTTATATTCTATAGTATATTTTCTTTATCTGTTCGACCTTTGATGGACACTTAGGTTAATTCCATATCTCTGCTATTGTAATTAGTGCTGTGATAAACATGATGGACACTTAGGTTAATTCCATATCTTTGCTATTGTAATTAGTGCTGTGATAAACATGTGAGTGCAAGTACCCCTTTGATATACTGATTCCTTTTCCTTTGAATAGATACCCCATAGTGGGATTGCTGGATCATATGGTAGTTCTATTTTTACTTTTTTGAAAAATCTTCGTACTCTTTTTCATACCAGTTTTACTAATTTACATTCCCACCAACAGTGTATAAGAGTTTCCTTTTCTTCACATTCTTGTCAACATCTGTTGTTGTTGTTATCCGGTTAACAACAGCCATTCTAACTGGGATCAGATGATAACTCACTGTGATTTTGATTTGCATTACCTCATAATAAGTGATATTGAGCATTTTTTCATTTGTATATCTTCTTTTTAGAAATGTCTACTCTTGTCCTTTGCCCATTTTTTAACGTAATTGTTGTTTCATTGTTGAGTAGTTTGAATTCCTTGGATATTGTGGATATTAGTCCTCTGCTGGATGAGTAGTTTTCAAATATTTTACCCCTTTCAAGAGATTGTCTCTTCCCTCTGTGATTTGTTTTGCTATGCAGAAGCTGTTTAGTTTAATATAGTGCCATTTGTCTATTTTGTTTTTGCTGTTGTTTTCTGTGCTTTTAAGGTCTTAGCCATAAAATTTTTCCCTAGACTAATGCCCTAGGAGTTTTCCTGTTTACTTCTAGCAGTTTTATAGTTTGGGGTCTTACGTTTAACCCCTTTTGAGTTGACTTTTGTATATGGTGAAAGATAGAGCTCCAGTCTCATTCTTCTGAATATGATTATCTAGTTTTCCCAGTATTATTTATTGAAGAGGGTATTCTTTCCCCAGTGTATGTACATGGTGACTTTGTTGAAGATCAGTTGTCTGTAAATATGTGGATTTATTTCTGGGTTCTTTATTCCATTCCATTGCTCTAGGTGCCTATTTATATACCAATACCATATTGTTTTCATTACTATAGGCCATGTAATGTGTTTTGAATTCAAGTAGTGTGATGCCTCCAGCTTTGTTATTTTTCCTCAGAATTTCTTTAGCTATTTGGGCTTTATTTTGGATCTATATGAGTCTTATACTTTTTTTTATATTTCTGTGAAGAATGGCATTGCATATTTTGATAGGGATTGCACTGAATCTATAGACTGCTTTAGGCAGTATAGTCATCTTAATGACATTAATTCTTCTGATCCATAAGCATTGATGTCTTTCTATTTGTTTGTGTACTCTTCAATTTCTCTTACCAGATGTTTGAAATTTTCCTTCTGGAGATCATTCACATTCTTAGCTAAATTTATTCCTAGTAATTTTTTGAAGATCTTATAAATGAGATTGCCTTCTTGATTTCTCTTTTGGCTATTAGAAATGCTACTAATTTTGGGAGGCAGTTCCAAGGTAGCCGAATAGGAACAGCTCCAGTCTATAGCTTCCAGCATGAGCGACGCAGAAGATGGGTGATTTCTGCATTTCCAACTGAGGTACCGGGTTCATCTCACTGGGGCTTGTCGAACAGTGGGTGCAGGACAGTGGGTGCAGCCCACCGAGCATGAATCAAAACAGGGTGAGGCATCACCCCACCTGGGAAGTGCAAAGGGTCAGGGAATTCCCTTTCCTAGCCAAGGGAAGCTATGATAGATGGCACCTGGGAAATTGGGTCACTCCCACCCTAATACTGCACTTTTCCAAGCATCTTAGCAAATGGCACACCAGGAGATTATATCCCACGCCTGGCTCGGAGGGTCTCAAGCCCACAGAGCCTTGCTCATTGCTAGCACAGCATTCTGAGATTGAACTGCAAGGCAGCAGCGAGGCTAGGAGAGGGGCGCCCACCATTGCTAAGTATTGAGTAGGTAAACAAAGCAGCCTGGAAGCTCAAACTGGGTGGAGCCCACTGCAGCTCAAGGAGACCTGCCTGCCTCTGTAGACTCCACCTCGGGGGGCAGAGCATAGCTGAACAAAAGGCAGCAGAAAATTCTGCAGACTTAAATGTCCCTGTCTGACAACTTTGAAGAGAGTAGTGGTTCTCCCAGCATGGAGTTTGAGATCTGAGAATGGACAGAATGCCTCCTCAAGTAGGTCCCTGACCCCTGGGTAGCCTAACTGGGAGACACTCCCAAAAGGGGCTGACTGACACCTCATACAGCTGAGTGCCCCTCTGAGACGAAGCTTCCAGAGGAAGGATCAGGCACCAACATTTGCCATTCTGCAATATTTGCTGTTCTACAGCCTCCACTGGTGACACCCAGGCAAACAGGTCTGGAGAGGACCTCCAGCAAGCTTCTCCAAGCTAAAGGAGGAAGTTCGAAACCATAGCAAAGAAGCTAAACACCTTGAAAACAGATTGGATGAATCGCTAACTAGAATAACCAGTGTACAGAAGTCCATAAAGGACCTGATGGAGCTGAAAACCATGTCACAAGAATTACATGACGAATGCACAAGCTTCAGTAGCCAATTCGATCAACTGGAAGAAGGGTATCAGTGATTGAAGATCAAATGAATGAAATGAAGCAACAAGAGAAGTTTAGAGAAAAAAAGAGTAAAAAGAAACGAACAAAGCCTCCAAGAAATATGGGGGTAAGTGAAAAGACCAAATCAGCATATGACTGGTGTACCTGAAAGTGATGGGGAGAATAGAACCAAGTAGGAAAACACTCATCAGGATAGTATCCAGGAGAACTTCACCAACCTAGCAAGGCAGGCCAACATTCAAATTCAGGAAATACAGAGAATGCCACAAAGATATTCCTTGAGAAGAGCAACTCCAAGACACATAATTGTCAGATTCAACAAAGTTGAAATGAAGGAAAAAATGATAAGTGGAGCCAGAGAGAAAGGTCGGGTTATGCACAAAGGGAAGCCCATCACACTAACAGCTGATCTATCAGCAAAAACTTTACAAGCCAGAAGAGAGTGGAGGCCAATATTGAACATTCTTTTTTTTTTATTATACTTTAAGTTTTAGGGTAAATATGCACAACGTGCAGGTTTGTTACATATGTATACATGTGCCATGTTGGTATGCTGCACCCATTAACTTGTCATTTAACATTAGGAATATCTCCTCATGCTATCCCTCCCCCCTCCCCCCACCCCACAACAGGCCCTGGTGTGTGATGTTCCCCTTCCTGTGTCCATGTGTTCTCATTGTTCAACTCCCAGCTATGAGTGAGAACATGCAGTGTTTGGTTTTCTGTCCTTGTGATAGTTTGCTGAGAATGATGGTTTCCAACTTCATCCATGTCCCTAAAAAGGACATGAACTCATCATTTTCTATGGCTGCATAGTATTCCATGGTGTATATGTGCTACATTTTCTTAATCCAGTCTATCATTGATGGACATTTGGGTTGGTTCCAAGTCTTTGCTATTGTGAATAGTGCCGCAATAAACATACATGTGCATGTGTTTTTATAGCAGCATGATTTATAATATTTGGGTATATACCCAGTAATGGGATGGCTGGGTCAAATGGTATTTCTAGTTCTAGATACCTGAGGAATCGCCACACTGACTTCCACAATGGTTGAACTAGTTTACAGTCCCACCAACAGTGTAAAAGTGTTCCTATTTCTCCACATCCTCTCCAGCACCTGTTGTTTCCTGACGTTTTAATCATCGCCATTCTAACTGGTGTGAGATGGTATCTCATCGTGGTTTTGATTTGCATTTCTCTGATGGCCAGGGATGATAAGCATTTTCTCATGTGCCTTTTGGCTGCATAAATGTCTTCTTTTGAGAAGTGTCTGTTCATATCCTTTGCCCACTTTTTGATGCGGTTGTTTGTTTTTTTCTTGTAAGTTTGTTTGAGTTCATTGTAGGTACTGGCTATTAGCCCTTTGACAGATGAGTAGATTGCAAAAAAATTTCTCCCATTCTGTAGGTTGCCTGTTCACTCTGATGGTAGTTTCTTTTGCTGTGCAGAAGCTCTTTAGTTTAATTAGATCCCATTTGTCAATTTTGGCTTTTGTTGCCATTGCTTTTGGTGTTTTAGACATGAAGTCCTTGCCCATGCCTATGACCTGAATGGTATTGCCTAGGTTTTCTTCTAGGGTTTTTATGGTTTTAGGTCTAACATTTAAGTCTTTAATTCATCTTGAATTAATTTTTGTATAAAGGGTAAGGAAGGGATCCAGTGTCAGCTTTCTACATACGACTAGCCAGTTTTCCCAGCACCATTTATTAAATAGGGAATCCTTTCCCCATTTCTTGTTTTTCTCAGGTTTGTCAAAGATCAGATAGTCGTAGATATGTAGCATTATTTCTGAGGTCTCTGTTCTGTTCCATTGGTCTATATCTCTGTTTCAGTACCAGTACCATGCTGTTTTTGTTACTGTAGCCTTGTAGTATAGTTTGAAGTAGCGTGATTCCCCCAGATTTGTTCTTTTGGAGTAGGACTGTCTTGGAAATGCAGGCTCCTTTTTGGTTCCATATGAACTTTAAAGTAGTTTTTTCCAATTCTGTGGAGAAAGTCATTGGTAGCTTGATGGGGATGGCATTGAATCTATAAATTACTTTGGGCAGTATGGCCATTTTCACGATATTGATTCTTCCCACCCATGAGCATGGAATGTTCTTCCATTTGTTTGTATCCTCTTTTATTTCGTTGAGCAGTGGTTTGTAGTTCTCCTTGAAACAGTCCTTCACATCCCTCGTAAGTTGGATTCCTAGGTATTTAATTCTGCTTGAAGCAATTGTTAATGGGAGTTCACTCATGATTTGACTCTCTGTCTGTTATTGGTGTATAAGAATGCTTGTGATTTTTGCACATGGATTTCGTATCCTGAGACCTTGCTGAAGTTGCCTATCTGCTTAAGGAGATTTTGGGCTGAGATGATGGGGTTTTCTAAATACACAATCATGTCATCTGCAAACAAGGACAATTTGACTTCCTCTTTTCCTAATTGAATACCCTTTATTTCTTTCTCCTGCCTGATTGCCCTGGCCAGAATTCCAACACTGTGTTGAATACGAGTGGTGAGAGAGGGCATCCCTGTCTTGTGCCAGTGTTCAAAGGGAATACTTCCAGTTTTTATGCATTCAGTATGATATTGGCTGTGGGTTTGTCAAAGATAGCACTTATTATTTTGAAATACATCCCATCAGTAACTAATTTATTGAGAGTTTTTAGCATGAAGGTTGTTGAATTTTGTCAAAGGCCTTTTCTGCATCTATTGAGATAATCATCTGGTTTTTGTCATTGGTTCTGTTTATATGCTGAGTTACATTTATTGATTTGCATATGTTGAACCAGCGTTACATCCCAGGGATGAAGCCCACTTGATCACGGTGGATAAGCTTTTTGATGTGCTGCTGGATTCGGTTTGCCAGTATTTTATTGAGGATTTTTGCATCGATGTTCATCAGGGATTTTGGTCAAAAATTCTCTTTTTTTGTTGTGTCTCTGCCAGGCTTTGGTATCAGTATGATGCTGGCCTCATAAAATGAGTCAGGGAGGATTCCCTCTTTTTCCGTTGATTGGAATAGTTTCAGAAGGAAGGGTACCAGCTCCTCCTCGTACGTCTGGTAGAATTTGACTGTGAATCCGTCTTCTCCTGGACTTCTTTTGGTTTGTAAGCTATTAATTATTTCCTCAATTTCAGAGCCTGTTATTAGTCTATTCAGAGATTCAACTTCTTCCTGGTTTAGTCTTGGGAGGGTGTATGTGTCCAGGAATTTATCCATCTCTTCTAGATTTTCTAGTTTATTTGCATAGAGGTGTTTATATTATTCTCTGATGGTAGTTTTTATTTCTGTGGGATCGGTGGTGATATACCCTTTATCATTTATTATTGCATCTGTTAGATTCTTCTCTCATTTCTTCTTTTTTATTCTTGCTAGCGGTCTATCAGTTTTGTTGCTCTTTTAGAAAACCCCATCATCTCAGCCCAATATCTCCTTGAGCAGATAAGCAACTTCAGCAAAGTCTCAGGATACAAAATCAATGTGCAAAAGTCACAAGCATTCTTATACACCAATAACAGACAAACAGAGAGCCAAGTCATGAGTGAACTCCCATTCACAATTGCTTCAAAGAGAATAAAATACCTAGGAATCCAACTTACAAGGGATGTGAAGGACTTTTCAAGGAGTACTAAAAACCACTGCTCAACGAAATAAAAAAGGACACAAACAAATGGAAGAACATTCCATGCTCATGGATAGGAAGAATCAATATTGTGAAAATGGCCATACTGCCCAAGGTAATTTATAGATTCAATGCCATCCCCATCAAGCTACCAATGACTTTCTTCACAGAATTGGAAAAAACTACTTTAAAGTTCATATGGAACCAAAAAAAAAAAGCCTGCATTGCCAAGACAATCCTAAGCAAAAAGAACAAAGCTGGAGACATCACACTACCTGATGTCAAACTATACTACAATGCTATAGTAACCAAAACAGCATGGTACTGGTACCAAAACAGAGATATAGACCAATGGAACAGAACAGAGACCTCAGAAATAATATCACACATTTACAACTATCTGATCTTTGACAAACCTGAGAAAAACAAGAAATGGGGAAAGGATTCCCTATTTAATAAATGGTGGTGCTGGGAAAACTGGCTAGCCATATGTAGGAAGCTGAAACTGGATCCCTTCCTTACACTTTATACAAAAATTAATTCAAGATGGATTAAAGACTTAAATGTTAGACCTAGAACCATAAAAATCCTAGAAGAAAACCTAGGCAATATCATTCAGGACATAGGCATGGGCAAGGACTTCATGGCTAAAACACCAAAAGCAATGGCAACAAAAGCCAAAACTGACAAATGGGATCTAATTAAACTAAAGAGCTTCTGCACAGCAAAAGAAACTACCATCAGAATGAACAGGCATCCTACAGAACGGGAGAAAATTTTTGGAATCTACTCATCTGACAAACAGCTAATATCCAGAATCTACAAAGAACTTAAACAAATTTACAAGAAAAAAAACAAACAACCCCATCAAAAAGTGGGCAAAGGATATGAACAGACACTTCTCAAAAGAAGACATTTATGCAGCCAAAAGGCACATGAGAAAATGCTTATCATCACTGGCCATCAGAGAAATGCAAATCAAAACCACAATGAGATACCATCTCACACCAGTTAGAATGGCGATGATTAAAACGTCAGGAAACAACAGGTGCTGGAGAGGATGTGGAGAAATAGGAACACTTTTACACTGTTGGTGGGACTGTAAACTAGTTCAACCATTGTGGAAGTCAGTGTGGCGATTCCTCAAGGATCTAGAACTATAAATACCATTTGACCCAGCCATCCCATTACTGGGTATATACCCAAAGGATTATAAATCATGCTGCTATAAAGACACATGCACACGTATGTTTATTGCAGCACTATTCACAATAGCGAAGACTTGGAACCAACACAAATGTCCAACAATGATAGACTGGATTAAGAAAACGTGGCATATATACACCATGGAATACTATGCAGCTATAAAAAGTGATGAGTTCATGTCATTTGTAGCGACATGGATGAAGCTGGAAACCATCATTCTCAGCAAACTATCTCAAGGACAAAAAAACCAAACACCGCGTGTTCTCACTCATAGGCGGGAATTGAACAATGAGAACACTCGGACACAGGAAGGGGAACATCACACACCAGGGCCTGTTGTGCGGTGCAGGGAGGGGAGAAGGATAGCATTAGGAGATATACCTAATGTAAATGACGAGTTAATGGGTGCAGCATACCAACATGGCCCATGTATACATATGTAACAAATCTGCACGTTGTGCACATGTACTCTAGAACTTAAAGTATTAAAAAAAATTTTTTTAAAGTTCAAATAACCGAACCCTCAATTTGCATTAACCCACCCCTTAATTTGCATGCAATTGTAAGTGGGTATAGGTGAGTATAAACACAGTTGCCAAGAGCCCATATTCTGCTGAATCTGTGTGCACTGCTAGGAGCAGTGCTATTCAATAAAAGGTTGCTAATACAAAAAAGCAAAAACAAAAAAGCAATGCTATTAATTTTGTATGTTAATTTTTTATCCTACAACTTCACTGAATTTGTTGTTCAGTTCTAAGATTTTTGTGCCAACAACTTTTAGTTTTCTAAAGATAAGATCATGTCATCTGCAAAGAGGGACAATTTCACTTTCTCTTTTCCAATTTGGATGCCTTTTATTTCTTTGTCTATAGTGTGTGTGCATCAATAGATTGTTTATTTAAAATCTTTCTGGTTTATTGATGTAGGTGTTATGGCTGTGAACATCTCTCTTTTAACTTCTTTTGCTGTGTAAAATAGGTTTTGGCATGTTGTGCTTATATTTTAACTTGTTTCAAGAAATTTTTCAATTTCCATCTTAGTTTCTTTATTGACTTAGTGGTCATTCTGGAGCACGTTTAATTTCTTTGTCTTTTTGTAGTTTCCAAGATTCCTTTTGGTATTGATTTCTAGTTTTATTCAACTGTGGTTTGAAAAGATAGCTTGACACAATTTCAAATTTTTAAAAATTAGTTGAGAGTTGTTTTGTGGCCTAACATAAGGTCAATCCTGGGGAATGTTCCATGTGCTGATGAGAAGAATGTGTGTGCTGGAGTTATCAGATAAAACCTTCTATAAATGTTTACTAGGTTCATTTGATATTAAGTCCAGTTTAAGTCCAATGTGTCTTTCTTGACTTTCTGTCTAGATTATCTATCTAATGCTCATAGTGGGTGTTGAAGTCCCCTTTTGTTACTGTAGTGGAGTCTTTATTTCTTTATATTCAGTAATATTTGCTTATGAATCTGAGTGCTCCAGTGTTGGGTGCCTACATATTTAGAATTGTTACATCTTCTTGCTGGAGTGATCCCTTTATCATTATATAATGACTTTATTTGCCATATTTTATTGTTTTTATTTTAAAGTATGTTTTATCTTATTAAGATAAGATAGTCATCCCTGCTTGCTTTTGGTTTCCATTTGTGTAGGAAATTTTTTTCATCCCTTTACTTTCAAGCTATTTGTGTTTTTATAGGTAAAGTGTGTATGTTGTAGGCAATATATAATTGGGTCATGTTCTTTTTTAAATTCATTCAGCCAAATTATATCATTTAAGTGGAGAATTTAATCCATTTATGAATGAAGGTTATTATTGATATGTGAGGTTTTGTTCCTGTCATATTGTTAATTATTTTCTTCTTGTTTTGTATATCCTTTGTTCCTTTCTTTTTATCTTATTGACTGTCCTTGAGGCTTACTGCTTTTCTGTGGTGGTATCATTTGAGACTTTTTTCTTCATCATTTGTATACTTGCTTTATAAGTGTGTTTTCTATTTTTGTGTATGTTAATGATGATAATTATCATCCTTTCAGGTTTAGTACTCCCTTGAGCATTTCTTAAAAGGCCAGTCTAGTGGTGATAAATTCCCTGTGCATTTGCTTATCTGAGAAACACTTTATTTCTCCTTCATTGATGAAGAATAGTTTTGCTGGACATAGTATCCTTTGCTTGAAGGTTTTTTCTTTTGTCACTTAATATATCATACCAATCTCTCTTGGCTGTTAAGGGTTCTGCTGAGAAGTCTGCCATTAGTTTAATGGGGGCTCCTTTATAAGTGACTAAACTCCATTGTCTTGCACTCTTTAGAATTTTTCTTTTTGCCATTGACTTTAAAGAGTTTCATTATAATGTCCCATGAAGAAGACCTTTTTGCATTGTATCTGTTTGTGTATCACTGGGTCTCCTGTATCTGAATGTCTATATATCCTACTAGACTTGGGTAGTTTTCATGTTATTTTGTTAAATGAGTTTTTGAACCCCTTTTCTCTCTCTTTGGCTTTGGGATACTGATAATTTGTATATTTGGTCACTTATGGTATCCCATATATCACAAAGGTTTTATTTACTCTTTTTTTATTCTCTTTATTTTTTCTGCATGGGTTATTTCAAAAGGCCTGTCTTAAAGTTCAGAGATTCTTTCTTCTGCTTTATTGAGTTTATTGTTGAAGGTTTCAAGTATTCAAGGAGTTCCTCACTTCCAGAATTTCTGTTTTGGTTCTTTTATGTGATACCTATTACTCTGGTAAATTTCTATTCATATTCTAAATTGCTTTTGTGATTTCTTTGGGTTTTTTTTGGAATTATCTCGAACTTCACTGAGCTTCTTAGTATCATAAATTTAAATTCTTTTTCTAAAAATTTGTGAATTTCTTTTTGATTGGAATCTGTTGCTGGAGAATTTTTGTGTTCCTTTGAAGGTGTCATTTTTCCTTCTTTTTTCATGTTTCCTTGTCCTTCAGTTAATATCTGTGTGTCTGGTGTAATAGTCACTTCTTGCAATTTTTTTAATTTGCCTTCATGGGAGGACTTTCTCCTGGAGATGTATTAATGGTGTTGGTTTTATAGGACCCTTTAGCTTTGATTCTGGGTGCATATGGCAATGTAGCCTCTATATGGTTTCTTTGGCTGTAAACAGTATGAGTAACATCTGTGGTTTCCTAGGTGGTTTAGGCTCTAATTATTAGTGGAGGCTATGGTGAAGTTTTTCTGGGGGCAGGGATGGCAGGTGGGTCCATATCTGGTCCCCATTGGTGGAAGCAGTGGGCTGAGCATGCTTACTCTTGGGCCCAAGCATAGCAGATGCTGGCACTTGTGTTAGTGGGATAAAGTAGGCCAATTCTTGAGCCTGTAGTGGCTGCAGTGGGCTGGGTGGGTAAATGGGTTCCCATGTCCCCGAGAAGTCAACGTGGTATCAGTGAAGCCAGTAGCAGTGGTGGGATGACTCTCTGGGTCCTGAGCACTGCACATTGGTATTGGTGGTGGTTGTATGCAAGGTTGCCAGTCACAGCCCCAGACATACAGTTCTCAAATGTTCCTGCTCTCCACAGCAGCAGCACCACAGCATCACACAGAAGCAGGTAGGAACCACACATTTCATGTGCTAGCCTGTGTATATAGGCTATGCTACCAAAATATGTCATATGATAACAAGTATTAGTGAAGGTATGAGGAAATTGGAAGTATTGTATATCATCAGTGTAAATGTAAAATGACACAACTGCTATAGAAAACAGTATGGTGGTTCTGTAAAAAATTAAAAATAGAACAGCATATGATCCAGCAGTCCTAGTTTTAGATATTTATCCAAAAGAATTGAATACAGGATCTCAAAAAGATGTTTGCATTCTCACGTTCATTGCAGCACTATTCACAATAGCCAATATGTGGAGACAACCTAAATGCCCATCAACAGATGAATGGATAATGAATATGTAGTATATACAGAAAATCCTGTCATATCTACAACATGGATGAACCTTAAGGTTATGCTAAGTGAGACAGCTCATCGTATTAGGACAAATACTGCATGCTTCCATTTATATGAGGTATCTAAAGGAGTCAAACTCATAGAAGCAGAAAGTAGAATGACAGTTGCCAGGGGTTATGGGGAGGGGAAAATGAAGAGTTGCTATTTAATGGGTATTGAATTTCAATCTTGCAAGATGAAACAGCTCTAGAAATTTGCTGCACAACAGTGTGCACATAGTTAACAATACTGTGCTGTAACACTTAAAAATTTGTTAAGGGAGTAAAAAAAATCTTCATTTAGTTATCTCACACTCACTAAGATGGCTACAACAAGATACGATCACGAAAAAAAAAAGAGCATTGGTGAGGAAGTAGAGAAACTGAAACATTCATGCCTTACTCATGGGAGTGTAAAATGGTGTAGACTTTGTGGAAAACAAATTGGCATTTTCTCAAAAAGTTAAACACAAAGACATCATATGACTCAGCAATTTCACTCTTAGGAATATGCCCCAGATAATCAAAAACATATGTCCATGCATAATTTTCTATGCTAAAATTTGTAGCTGCATTATTCATAATAGTCAGAGGGGTAACAACTAAATGTTCATTAATTAATGAATAAATAAAATATTTGTACAATGTAATATTATTCAGACATAAACAGGAATGAAGTACTATGACATGGCAAAATGAATAACCTTGAAAACATGCCAAGTGATGGACATCAGACACAAAAGACCACATATTATATAAATCCATTTCTATGAAATTTCCAGAATAGGCAAATACATAGAAAAAGAAAGTAGATTAGTTGCCATGGGATCTGGAGAAGGTGAGATTGAGACTAACTGCTAATAATTACCAGGTTTCTTTTTTGACATGATGAAAATGTCTGGAATGAAATAGTGGTGATGTTTGTACAACATATAAGTAAACTAAAAATCACTATATTGTGCATTTTACAATAATGAATGTTGTGTGAATTGTGTCTCAATTTAAAAACTTTTTGAGGTATATTGTTTAATTTGCAAAAACAGATGGTCTCTGGCTTATGGTAGTTTAACATACAATTTTTTGACCTTATGATACGTTTATTAAGGTATTAAGTACATTTTTGACTTATGAGTTTATCAGGATGTACTCCATCATAAGTCAAGGAACATCGATATGTGGTGATGTTTGTATTATTGTTTGAAATTTATTTTCATATTAATTCTCTTATAATCAAAGAAACTGTGTATTATTTAAATCTTTTGACATTTGTTGAAATTTAATTTATATACTAGTATATGATCCATTTGGTCGATAGTTTATAATTATAAAAATGTGCATTCAGTTGTAGTTCATTATAGTGATCTATATATGTCATTTAAGTCAAGTGTCTTAATCACGTTAATCAGAACATTTATAACCTGATTTTTTGTGTCCATGCTTTACTAATTACTGAAAATTAGAATTTCCCACAATTTGTATATTGCCATTAGATATGTCATTTTTGTTTTATTGGTTTTGATGCTACGTTATTTTAGTCACATACAAACTTAGAAGTGTTCTATCTTTCTATTTGACCATTTTATCATTAGAAAACATTCTACCCTTATTCCTGATAATATTTTTTGCCATAAAATCTACCTTGTCAGACATTAGCTTTCTTTTGCTAAATTTTACATGCTGTTTATTGTTCCATTTTCTACATTCAAATTTTGTCTTTATGTTTAGAGTCAGCCTTTTAAAAGCAGCATATAGTTGATTTTCTAAAAATATGAGCCTGACAATCATTGCCTTTCACTTGAAAATTTTAGACCATTTATGTTTAATATACCACTAATATATCTCAACTTAAACATATCATCTTATTATTTGTCCCACCTTGTCTATTTTCTCTCTTTTCTCACCTTCTTTTGAATTAATCAACTATTTTATTATTTCATTTTCCTCTTTGTTAGTTTTTATTTTTGATATTTGTCTACATTTTCTAACTGGTTACCATGGAGACTACTTCATGCAGCCTTAACTAATATACATAAGTACTTTCACTACTTCTTGGACAATGCAAAAAACTCCTTTATGTTAATCATTGTCACGTACCTTGATATGGTTTGGCTGTGTCCCCACTGAAATCTCCAGTTGAATTGTATCTCCCAGAATTCCCACATGTTGTGGGAGGCACCCAGGGGGAGGTAATTTAATCAGGAGGCTGGGTCTTTCCCATGCTATTCTTGTGATAGTGAATAAGTCTCACAAGATCTAATGGGTTTATTAGGTGTTTCTGCTTTTGTCTCTGCCTCATTTTTCTCTTGCCACTACCATGTAAGAAGTGCCTTTCACTTCCCGCCATGATTCTGAGGCTTCCCCAGCCATATGGAACGGTAAGTCCAATTAAACCTCTTTTTTTTCTCAGTCTCAGGATTGTCTTAATCAGCAGTGTGAAAATGAATTAATACATACCTTAAATCTACATATATATTTTAAGACTCATTCCTTTTACCCCTGGCTGCTTTTAATTTTTTCTTTTGTCTTTGGTTATCAACAGTTTTATAATAATGAATGTAGTATGGCTTTTTCAGTGTTCATACTTTTGGGAGTTTGTGATTCTTCTTAAAGTTGTGGATTATTGTCTTTCAGTTTGAAGGAACTCTCAATTTCTCATCAAATACTTTATCTCCCCATTACTTTACACTTCTCTTTTTGGAATTCCAATTACACATATTTTAGACCTTTTAATTGTATTTTATATATCTCTGATAATTGTTTTTATATTTTTCCTCATTCTTCCTTTCCATGATTCAGTCAACATTTTCTGCTGAATCATCCTCCAATTCATTAATTCCTCAGGTGTGTCTAACTTGTTGTTAAACTCTATTAAGTTCTCAATTTTAGTTATTTTATTTTTTAGTTATATCATTTTCATTTTATTATTGTTTTTTACTACTTTTAGTATAAATTTTTCATCTCATCCTTTATATCTTGCATGTATTAATCACAGATACTTATAAGTCCATGTCTGATTCACTCAATATTTGTTTGTTTTTATGTGTTTTTTCTCGTGTGTGTGTGTGTGTGTGTGTGTGTGTGTGTGTGTACATGTGTGCCTGGTCTTTTCTTTGATATGGGTAAGTTTTTTATTCAAAAATGAGTGTTTTGAAAGAAAAGTTGCATAAATAAATTGAAGCCTTAGAGAATGTTATCTGCTTCCAAAGAGTATTTAGTCATACTTCTGTTAGAAAGAGTAGAAGCTGATTGCCTTAATCCAACAGGATTAATCACTTTTAAAAGAGAGTTTCCAACTTTGTGATGGTTTATTTCTAGTTTCCCATGACTCATAGAATATAGTCCCTCCCATATGAAAGCCTGGGAGGTTTACCAAGGCTTCTGCTCATTTTTTTAATGTAAATGTATTACAATAGAAATAATTCAAAGTTCTGCTCCACTTCCTAGTCTCTTAACCACAATTTTCTGCTCAGTCTCAGCTTCTAAACTGCTGGTTCCAAATAAGCAAATCTCTCAAGGAAAAGGCATTGCAGAATATTGGGATTATCTCAATGCATTTCCCATCTCAGGAATCTTGGCCTTCAAGCCCCATTGCCTTCAAGCTCTCAAATGCCTTCAAGCAAATATTTATTCAGCATTTCTAGTTGTTCTCAATAGAAAAGAAAATCTGATATGTGCTATTTTCTTATTTAGATGTGGAGTTAAGGAGATACAAGAACTTACTATTTCTCTCTCTGCTCTCTGCCATGTGAGAATATAATGAGAAGGCAGACATCTGCAAATCAGGAAGCCAGCTCTCACCACACATTAGATCTACAAGCACTTTGATCGTTGACTTCCTAGCCTCTAGAACTGTGAAAAATAAATCTTTGCTATTTAAAACATCCAGCCTGTGATAATTTATTATAGCAGTCTGAACTGACCCAGACATAGGGTAATAACAATGTAGTGTTATATTTCTTTCTTCTGGGAAAAATACGACTGTCAATATATTTCACATATTACAAATACAATGCATGTTCACTGAACAACTTTGAAAAATTAGAAAAGCATAAAGAAGAAAATGTAAATCACCTATAAGTTCACCATCCAGAGACAAACTCAGTTAGTCATTTGATATATATTCTTCCACTATTACTTTACAATATTTTTTCACAAAAAATATTATAATATATACACATTATAATGTAGTTTGGTGTTCTTTTTATTTAAAAATATGTGTAAACATCTTTCCATGTCATTAAATGTTTCTCTCCTGTAGTTCTTTGGTTTTCATTTTGGCTTTAAGCAGTCACCATAATTTAATAATAAATCTTCATTGTTGGACACTGAAGTTGTTTCTCAAATTTGGAATTGTTATAGATAATTTTTATACAATTATCCTTTTATTCATATGTATGCAATATGGTCTAAGTATAATCCTATAAGTGGGATTGGTGTGTCAAAGTGAACAAACATTTTAAGATTTTTGATACATGTATATGGTTAAGTTGCCTCCTAGAAAAATTATATGACTTGACTTCCATTCAAGATGATGTGAGTGTTCATTTTGCTACACCATCTATTACTGAATAAAATTCATTTTTGACTGGGTGCAGTGGCTCATGCTTGTAATTTCAGCGCTTTGGGAGATCTAGACAGGAGGATCACCTGAGCCCAGGGATTCAAGACAAGCCTAGGCAACACAGTGAGACCCTGTCTCTACAAAAATTAAAAAATAATTTTTAAAAGAATAGTAATAAAATAAGATTCATTTTCATCACCAATTTGACAGATAAAAATGGATCTTTTCTATTTGCAGTTTTGATTTCTGGCAAAAAAAAGAAAATTTGCCATATGTGTATTATCTTTTGTAAAATTTTTTCTGTTGGTAATTATCTATGTCTTTTGCTCATTTAAAGAATTATATTTATAAAATAAATTCATAGGATGGTAAATTCTGTTGCTGTGCATGTATGAAAAGTAGTTACTATGGAAAATTCCTTTACAAACAATGCTGGGAAATTTGCTTCATAAATGAATCCTTAATTAGCTGCAAAACTTATTTGTTAACAATACTGGATACTGTATTACTAGCATTGAGAATTACCATTATTCTTTAGTTGCAAAATTTCTTATGGTCTGGCAACATAATAAATTATTCATTGCCATGGTTTGATGAATTCTGATTATTTATACTTGAATATATATGTTATGTTACTGCAATGAAAAGGCCATTTATTCAGTACTATCTCATCATCTTCTCTTTCTAGGGATTCATCATGAATATCCATAATATGGTTTCTAAAAATGCATGAAGGAATCAGAGGAGACCTGCTAACCATGAAAAGAAGAGCATAGCAATAGAGAACCAAAGTGGCACAAGAATGATCATCTTTGAATAATTTAGAATCAAATAACATCAA
This sequence comes from Homo sapiens, assembly GCF_000001405.40. NCBI lineage: Eukaryota > Metazoa > Chordata > Mammalia > Primates > Hominidae > Homo > Homo sapiens. Next base: position 78,751,597 of record NC_000006.12, read on the forward strand.
ATCAACAAACACTTATTGAAGCTCTCCATCTTTCCATCCTTGATTCCTGTGTTATTCAGCATTTTTGGTAGGTTTCCAGCAGGCAGCCTTCTCTCAAAAGTACTGTTAGGTTGTAATGTTTGCAAGTGCTGTCTTCAGGCTCTCTTACTGCTGATGAGTATCAATCACATAAAATTGTGTAAACTCCTGCTTCATAAAAAAGCAAGAGGCAAAAATCTTCCTGCTTGGCATTTCAATGAAGTTGAATTCAATGTCATGATAGCAGTAAATATAAATTGATTTCTAGTATAATAACCAATAAGGAGACCCTAAGTTTCTCTCAGAACCCAGATAGCATGTAATAAATTCTCCATATCTTGACAAATTTTTAAACAAAGTATTTTAGCTCTTCTTCCAGCTTTCAAAATATGCATTAAAACCAGAAGACAAAGACTTAAATCCAAATGCAGTATCATCATATGGCAATGTCACATAATTGCATGAAAAAGTTGATTCTAAATTATAAAATTCATTATAAATAAAAGGTGAGAATGCAGTGATATATAGTGTAGTGGTACCAGACAACATGAGTTGAAATCCTAAATTAACCGCTTAATAGATGCATAACCTTGTCATATTTCTTAACATATGTGTGCTTCATTTTCTTTGTCTGTAAATAAGAATAATGGTAACTACTTTATAGGATAGTTGCAAAAATTCTATGGATTAATAATGCCTGGCACATAGTAAGCGCCAAAAATTGTGTTTGTCATTATTAGTAGTATTGCTAGTACTATTACTCCTATGAATAAAAGACTCCATGAGCAATTAGGAAAATAAAGTGATGCTTACCAGGAGTCAATATGTATTCAGCATGAATTCTCTTTCATTTTATACAATAACCAGTGTAAAAGATGTAGAAATCTTGTCTATGTTCTTTCTTTTGAAGCTTCAGTATTCACCTGTGAAAAATAAGTAAAGAGGAGAACTTTATTTCCATAACTTAAGAGATTTTTAAAGACACAAAAGATGATAAGGTATTAATTTAACAATTAAAAAGCATTGGAGAATGGAGTAAGAGGAAAGAATTGAAGCCTACACCATTTTTTCCCTTGGCAGGAACACCAAATTTTGACAACTATCTGTACAAAGAAAAGCACCATCACAAGAACCAAAAATCAGGTGAACACACGCAGTACCTGGTTTAACTTCATATCACTGAAAGAGGCATTGAAGAGGGTAGCAGACAGCCTTGAATTGCTGATGCCACCCCTTCTTCATCCTCCAGCAGCAGCCATGCAGCACAGAATCTAGGCAGTTGGGGAAGGGACAACACAGTGACAGGAGCACTTTACATTGAACTCAGGGATGCCCTCTCACAGCAGAGAGCAAAGCCATGCTGGGTTCAGCCAGCACCCATGCATGAAGCAAGCATTTGGACCACACCTAGCCAGAGGGGAATGTGCCCATCCCAGAGGTCAAAACTTGAGTTTCTTGGCAGCTTTGCCACCATGGGCCGAAGTGCTCTGGGGTTCTAGGTAAACTTGAAAGGCAGTCTAGGACACAAAAACTGCAACTCCTAGGAAACTCCTAGTGCTGGGATGGGCTCAGAGCCAGTAAACTAGGGTTGTATTTGACCTAGGGAGACACCAGCTAGGGCAGCTAAGGGAGTGCTTGAGCCACTCATCCCCCAATCACAGGCAGTACAGCTCATAGCAATGAAGGTGACCCCTTCCTTCTGCTTAAGATCAAAGATTAGAGAAAACTTTGTCTTGCATTTTGGATAGCAGCTCAGCCACAGTATGACAGAGCACCCAGCAGAGTCGTGAGGCCCCTGTTCCAGGGTCAAGCTCATAGATACCATTTCTAGACACACCCCAAGGCAAAAAGGAAACTTCTGCATTGAAGGGAAGAATTCAGTCCTGGCAAAATTTATTACCTGCCAATTAAAAAGCCCTTGGACACTGAATAACCAGCACTGATACCCAGGTAGTATGTCATGGGCCTTGGGCTCTGAGATGTGACCTAGCACACTCCCAGCTGTGGTGGATATGGTGAAAATTTCCTTCTATTTAAGAAAAGCAGAAGGAAAGTAAAGGGGACTTTGTCTAACACCTTAGGTACCAGCTCAACCAAGTGGGGTAGAGCAAAAAGCAGGCTCTTGGGGTCCCTGGGTCCAGGCATAGGCTCTTGGACAGTACTTCTAGACCTTCTCTGGGCCAGAGTGGAACCCACTGCCCTGAAATGGAGTCCCAGGCCTAGCAGCATTCACCACAAGCTGACTGAAGAGCCCTTGGGCTTTAAATGAACAGCAGCAGTGGCCTAGCAAAACCCAATGTGGAACAGTGGTAGTCGTGGCCACTGGGACAGGCTCCTCTGCCTGTGGAAAGGGGATGGAAGAGCAGGAAGAACATGGTATTCTAGTTTGAGTATCAGCTTAGCAGCAGAATAGAATGTCAGGTAAATTTCTAAGGTTATTGACTCCAATCCCTAATGCCCAGACAGCATCTCTGGAACTGCTTAAGGTGTGGGGGAACTTGCCACTGTAAAGAAAAGGACATAAACCTGGTTGGCTTTGCCACCTGACAATTATAGAGTGCTAGGGACTTGAGTGAACGTAGGTGGTAGCAAGGTAATGGTTACAGTGGGCCTTGGTCAAGATCCAGTGCTAGGCTGGTATCAGGTCTGACACAGCATAGTCCCAGTGGTGGTGGCCACAAAGATGCTTACATCATCACACCCCCAGTTCCAGGCAGCTCAAAACACAGAGAGAGAAAGACTCTGTTTGGGAGAAAGTAAGGGAAAAGTATAAGAGTCTCTGCCTGGTAATCCAGAGTATTCTTCTGGATCTCATCCAAGACCACCAGGGTGGTACCTCTATGAGTCTAAAAAAAACACAGCATTTTGGTGCTTGAGGCCCAAGCCCCTTTGAATTCATGGAAATAATTCTCAAGATGGACAGGCATAAACAAGCCCAGATCGCAAAGACTACAATAAATACCTAACTCTTCAATGCCTGGACAGGAACAAGCATCTAAAGCTTCAAGATCATCCATGAAAACATGACCACACCAAATGAACTAAATAAGGCATCAAGAAAACAGAGATATGTAACACTTCAGACAGAGGATTCAAAATAGCCATTTTGAGGAAACCCAAAGAAATTGAAGATAACACAGAGAAGAAACTCAGAATTCTATCAGATAAAGTTAACAAACAGATTAAAATGATGAAAAAGTACCAAGCAGAAGTACTGCAGATGAAAAATGCAATTGGCATAACTGAAGAATGCAACAGAGTCTTTTAATAGTGGAATTCATCAAACAGGAGAAATAATTAGTGAGCTTGAAGACAAGCCATTTTAAAATACATGGTCACAGGAGAAAAAAGAAAAATGAATAAAAAACAATAAAGCACACCTACAATATCTAGAAAACAACCCCAAAAGGGCAAATCTAAGAATTATTGGCCTCGAAGAGGAGGTAGAGAAAGAGATGTGGTAGAAAGCTATTCAAAGGGAAAATATTACAGAACTTCACAAACCTAGAGAAAGACATCAACATTCAAGAACAAGAAGGTTATAGAACACTAAGCAGATTTAACCCAAAGAAGTCTCCTCAAGGCATTTGATAATCAAACTTCCAAAGGTCAAGGATAAAGAGAAGATTCTAAAAGCAGCAAGAGGAAAACAACAATATACAATGAGCTCCAATACATCTGGCAGCAGACTTTTCAGTGGAAACCTTACAGACCAGAAAAGAGTGGCATGGCATACTTTAAGTGCTGAAGGAAACAAACTCTTACCTTATAATAACATATCCCATGAAAATACCCTTAAAGCATGGAGGAGAAACAAAGACCTTCCCAGACAAACAAAAGTTGATTTCATCAACACCATATTTGTCCTACAAGAAATGCTAATGGGAGTTATTCAAACTGAAAGGAAAGGTTGGTAATGAGTAGTATGGCTAGGGTTTGTGTCCCCAGCAAAATCTCATCTTGAATTATAATCCAAATAATCCCAATAATCCCTACATATGAGAGAGAGAGCAGGTGGTGGTGAGATCATGGGATGGTATCTCCCATGCTGTTCTCATGATACTGAGTGAGTTCCCATGAGATCTAACGGTTTTTAAGGATTTTTTTCTTCCTTCACTCAGCGATTCTCCTTTCTGCTGCCTTGGGAAGAGGTGCCTAGCTTCCCCTTCACCTTCTGCCAAGACTGTGAGTTTCCTGAGGTCTCCCCAGCCATACTAAACTGTGACTCAAATGAACTTATTTCCTCTATAAATTACCCAGTCTCAGGCAGTTCTTTATAGCAGTGTGAGAATGGACTAATACAATGAGCAAGGGGAAATTATCTGAAAGTAAAAACTCATGGATAATAGTAAGCACACAAGAAAAACATAGAATATTATAACACTGTAATTGTGGTGTAAACTACTTTTAAGTAGAAACACTAAATGATAAACCAGTCAGAAGTAATAACTACAAAAACTTCTCAAGACATAGTACAATAAAGTATAAATAGAAATAACAAAAACTGGGGTTGCTTCCAAGATGGCTGAATAGAAACAGCTCTGGTCTGCAGCTCCCAGCAAGATTGATGCAGGAGATGGGTGATTTCTGCATTTCCAACTGAGGTACCTGGTTCTTCTCACTGGGACTTGTTGGACAGTGGAAGCAGCCCACAGAGGGTGAGCTGAAGCAGGGTGGGGCATTGCCTCACCCAGGAAGAACAAGGGGTCAGGGGATTTCCTTTTCCTAGCCAAGAGAAGCCATGATAGACTGTACCTGGAGAAACAGCGTACTTCTGATGAAATACTGCACTTTTCCCACAGTCTTAGCAACCGGCAGACCAGGAGATACTCTCCCATGCCTGGCTCAACAGGTCCCATGCCCATGGAGCCTTGCTCACTGCTAGTGCAGCAGTCTGAGATTGACCTGTGGCACTGCACCTTGACGGGGGGAGGGGCATCCACCATTGCTGAGGCTTGAGTAGCTCACAGGGTAAACGAAGAGGCCAGGAAGCACGAACTGGGCAGAGCCCACCAAAGCTCAGAAAGGCCTACTGCCTCTACAGATTCCACCTCTGGGGACAGGTCATAGTAGAACAAAAGGCATCAGACAGCTTCTGCAGATTTAAACCTCCCTGTCTGACAGCACTGAAGAGAGCAGTCGTTCTCTCAGCACAGCGTTCAGGCTCTAAGAATGGACAGACTGCCTCCTCAAGCAGGTCCCTGAGCCCCATGTAGCCTGACTGGGAAACACCTCCCAGTAAGGGCCAACAGACACCTCAAACAGGTCAGTGCCCCTCTGGGATGAAGCTTCCAGAGGAAGGATCAGACAGCAATATTTGCTGTTCTGCAGCCTCTGCTGGTGATACCCAGGCAAACAGGGTCTGGAGTGGACCTCCAGCAAACTCCAACAGACCTGCAGTTGAGGGGTCTGACAGTTAGAAGGAAAACTAATAAACAGAAAGGAATAGCATCAACGTCAACAAAAAGTACATCCACACGAAAACTCCATCTATAGGTCAACAATATCAAAGACCAAACTTAGATAAAACCACAAAGATGGGAAGACACTGGAGCAAAAGCTGAAAATTCCAAAAACCGGAGTGCCTCTTCTCCCCCAAATGATCGCAGCTCCTCACAAGCAAGGGAACAAAACTGGATGGAAAATGAGTTTGACAAATTGACAGAAGTAGGATCAGAAGATCGGTAATAACAAACTTCTCCGAGCTAAAGGAGCATGTTCTAACCCATTGCAAGGAAGCTAAAAACATTCAAAACAGGTTAGACAAAAGGCTAACTAGAATAAACAGTGTAGAGAAAACCTTAAATGACCTGATGGAGCTGAAAAACACAGCACAAGAACTTCTTGATGCATGCACAAGCTTCAATAGCCGATTTGATCAAGGGGACGAAAGGATATCAGTGATTGGAGATCAAATTAATGAAATAAAGTGAGAAGACAAGATTAGAGAAAAAAAGTGGAAACAAATGAACAAAGTCTGCAAGAAATATGTAATCATGTGAAACAACCAAAGATACATTGGATTGGTGTATGGGAAAGTGAAAGGGACAATGGAACTAAGTTAGAAAACACTGTTCAGGATATTATCCAGGAGAACTTCCCCAACCTAGCAAGGCAGGCCAACATTCAAACCCATGAAATACACAGAATGCTACAAAGATACTCCTCAAGAAGAGCAACCCCAAGACACATAACTCTCAGATTCACCAAGGTTGAAATGAAAAAAAAAAAAAAAAATGTTAAGGGCAGCCAGACGGAAATGTCGGGTTACCCACAAAGGGAAGCCCATCAGACTAAGAGCAGATGTCTCTGAAGAAACCCTACAAGCCAGAACAGAGTGGGGGGCAATATTCAACATTCTTAAAGAAAATAATTTTCAACCCAGAATCACATATCCAGCCAAACTAAGCATCATAAGTGAAGGAGAAATAAAATCCTTTACAGACAAGGAAATGCTGAGAGATTTTGTCATGACCAGGCCTGCCATACAAGAGCTCCTGAAGGAAGGACTAAACATGGAAAAGAAACAACTGGTACCGGAATAGAACAGCTCCAGTCTACAGTTCCCACCGTGAGCGACTCAGAAGACGTATGATTTCTGCAATTCCAACTGAGGTACTGGGTTCATCTCGCTGGGGATTGTCAGACAGTGGGTGCAGGACAGTGGGTGCAGCAGCGCACTGAGCATGAACCGAGGCAGTGTGAGGCATCGCCTCACCCGACAAGCACAAGGGGTTAGGGAATTCCCTTTCCTAGCCAAGGAAAGGGGTGACAGACGGCACCTGGAAAATCGGGTCACTCCCACCCTAATACTGTGCTTTTCCAGTGGTCTTAACAAGCGGCACACGAGGAGATTGTATCCTGTGCCTGCTTGGAGGCTCCAGCACCCACGAAGCCTGACTCATTGCTAGCAAAGCAGTCTGAGATCAAACTGCAAGGCCGCAGCGAGGCTCGGGGAGGGGCGCCCGCCATTGCCAAGGCTTCAATAGGTAAACAAAGCAACCAGGAAGCTCAAACTGGGTGGAGCCCACCACAGCTCAAGGAGGCCTGCCTGTCTCTGTAGACTCCACCTCTAGGGGCAGGGCATAGCCAAACAAAAGGCAGCAGAAACATCTGCAGACTTAAATGTCCCTGTTTGACAGCTTTGAAGACAGTAGTGGTTTTCCCAGCACACAGCTGGAGATCTGAGAACAGACAGACTGCCTCCTCAAGTGGGTCTCTGACCCCTGAGTGGCCTAACTGGGAGGCACCACCCAGTAGGGGCAGATTGACACCTCACACGGCCGGGTACTCCTCTGAGACAAACCTTCCAGAGGAATGATCAGGCAGCAACATTTGCTGTTCACCAACATCTGGTGTTCTGCAGACTCCACTGCTGATAACCAGGCAAACAGGGTCTGGAGTGAACCTCCAGCAAACTCCAACAGACCTACAGCTGAGGGTCCTGACTGTTAGAAGCAAAACTAACAAACAGAAAGGACATCCACACCAAAGCCTCATCTGTATGTCACCATCATCAAAGACCAAAGGTAGATAAAACCAAAAAGATGGGGAAAAAATAGAGCAGAAAAACTGGAAACTCTAAAATCAGAGTGCCTCTCCTCCTCCAAAAGAAGGCAGCTCCTCACCAGCAATGGAACAAAGCTGGACGGAGAATGACTTTGACGAGTTGAGAGAGGAAGCCTTCAGAAGATCAAACTACTCCAAGCTAAAGGAGGAAGTTCAAACCAATGGCAAAGAAGTTAAAAACTTTTTGAAAAAAGATTAGACGAATGTCTAACTAGAATAACCAATGCAGAGAAGTCATTAAAGGACCTGATGGAGCCGAAAACCATGGCATAAGAACTACGTGACAAATGCACAAGCCTCAGTAACCGATGAGATCAACTGGAAGAAAGGGTATCAGTGATGGAAGATGAAATGAATGAAATGAAGTGTGAAGAGAAGTTTAGAGAAAAAAAGAATAAAAAGAAACGAACAAAGCCTCCAAGAAATACGGGACTATGTGAAAAGACCAAATCTACGTCTGATTGGTGTACCTGAAAGTGACGGGGAGAATGGAACCAACTGGGAAAACACTCTGCAGGATATTATGCAGCAGAACTTCCCCAATCTAGCAAGGCAGGCCAACATTCAGATTCAGGAAATACAGAGAATGCCACAAAGATACTCCTCAAGAAGAGCAACTCCAAGACACATAATTGTCAGATTCACCAAAGTTGAAATGAAGGAAAAAATGTTAACGGCAGCCAGAGAGAAAGGTCGGGTTACCCACAAAGGGAAGCCCATCAGACTAACAGCTGATCTCTCAGCAGAAACTATACAAGCCAGAAGAGAGTGGGGGCCAATATTCAACATTCTTCAAGAAAAGAATTTTCAGCCCAGAATTTCATATCCAGCCAAACAAAGCTTCATAATTGAAGGAGAAATAAAATCCTTTACAGACAAGCAAATGCTGAGAGATTTTGTCACCACCAGGACTCCCCTACAAGAGCTCCTGAAGGAAGCACTAAACATGGAAAGGAACAAACGGTACCAGCCACTGCAAAAACATGCCAAATTGTAAAGACCATCGAGGCTATGAAGAAACAACTTCAACTAACGAGCAAAATAACCAGCTAACGTCATAATGACAGGATCAAATTCACACATAACAATATTAACCTTAAATGTAAATGGGCTAAATGCTCCAATTAAAAGACGGACTGGTAAATTGGATAAAGAGTCAAGACCCATCAGTGTGCCATATTCAGGAAACCCATCTCATGTGCAGAGACACACATAGGCTCAAAATAAAGGGATGGAGGAAGATCTACCAACAAATGGAAAACAAAAAAAGGCAGGGGTTGCAATCCTAGTCTCGGATAAAATAGACTTTAAACCAACAAGATCCAAAGAGACAAAGAAGGCCATTACATAATGGTAAAGGGATCAATTCAACAAGAGGAGCTAACTATCCTAAATATATATGCACCCAATACAGGAGCACCCAGATTCATAAAGCAAGTCCCTAGAGACCAACAAAGAGACTTAGACTCCCACACAGTAATAATGGGAGACTTTAACACCCCACTGTCAACATTAGACAGATCATGAGACAGAAAGTTAACAAGAATATCCAGGAATTGAACTCAGCTCTCCACCAAGCAGAACTAATAGACATCTACTGAACTCTCCACCTCAAATCAATAGAATATACATTCTTTTCAGCACCACACCACACCTATTCCAAAACTGGCCACATGGTTGGAAGTAAAGCACTCCTCAGCAAATATAAAAGAGCAGAAATTATAAGAGACTGTCTCTCAGACCACAGTGCAATCAAACTAGAACTCAAGATTAAGAAACTCAAAACCACTCAACTACATGGAAACTGAACAACCTGCTCCTGAATGACTACTAGGTACATAACGAAATGAAGGCAGAAATAAAGATGTTCTTTGAAACCAACGAGAACAAAGACACAACATATCAGAATCTCTGGGACACATTCAAAGCAGTGTGTAGAGGGAAACTTATAGCACTAAATGGCCACAAGAGAAAGCAGGAAAGATCTAAAATTGACACCCTAACATCACAATTAAAAGAGCTAGAGAAGCAAGAGCAAACACATTCAAAAGCTAGCAGAAGGTAAGAAATAACTAAGATCAGAGCAGAACTGAAGGAAATAGAGACACAAAAAACCCTTCAAAAAATCAATGAATCCAGGAGCTGGTTTTTTGAAAAGATCAACAAAATTGATAGACCGCTGGCAAGACGAATAAAGAAGAGAAGAGGGAAGAATCAAATAGATGCAATAAAAAATGATAAAGGGGATATCAGCACCGATCCCACAGAAATACAAACTACCATCAGAGAATAATATAAACACCTCTACACAAAAAAACTAGAAAATCTAGAAGAAATGGATAAATTCCTCAACAAATACACCCTCCCAAGACCAAACCAGGAAGAAGCTGAATCTCTGAATAGACCAATAACAGGCTCTGAAATTGAGGCAATAATTACTAGCTTACCAACCAAAAAAAGTCCAGGACCAGTTGGACGCACAGCCGAATTCTACCAGAGGTACAAAGAGGAGCTGGTACCATTCCTTCTGAAACTATTCCAATCAATAGAAAAAGAGGGAAACCTCCCTAACTCATTTTATGAGGCGAGCATCATCCTGATACCAAAGCCTGGCAGAGACACAACAAAAAAAGAGAATTTTAGACCAATACCCCTGATGAATATCGATGCAAAAATACTCCATAAAATACTGGCAAACCGAATCCAGCAGCACATCAAAAAGCTTATCTACCATGATCAAGTGGGCTTCATCCCTGGGATGCAAGGCTAGTTCAACATATGCAAATCAATAAACTTAATCCAGCATATAAACAGAACCAACGACAAAAACACATGATTATCTCAATAGATGCAGAAAAGGCCTTTGACAAAATTCAATAACCTTCATGCTAAACACTCTCAAAAAATTAGGTATTGATGGGACGTATCTCAAAACAATAAGGACTATCTATGACAAACCCACAGCCAATATCATACTGAATGGGCAAAAACTGGAAGCATTCCCTTTGAAAACTGGCACAAGACAGGGATGCCCTCTCTTGCCACTCCTATTCAACATAGTGTTGGAAGTTCTGGCCAGGGCAATCAGGCAAGAGAAGGAAATAAAGGGTATTCAGTTAGGAAAAGAGGAAGTCAAATTGTCCCTGTTTGCAGATGACATGATTGTATATCTAGAAAACCCCATTATCTCAGCCTAAAACCTCTTTAAGCTGATAAGCAACTTTGGCAAAGTCTCAGGATACAAAATCAATGTGCAAAAATCACAAGCATTCTTATACACCAATAACAGACAAACAGAGAGCCAAATCATCAGTGAACTCCCATTCATGATTGCTTCAAAGAGAATAAAGTACCTAGGAATCTCACTTACAAGGGACGTGAAGGACCTCTTCAAGGAGAACTACAAACCATTGCTCAATGAAATAAAAGAGGATACAAACAAACGGAAGAACATTCCATGCTCATGGGTAGGAAGAATCAATATCATGAAAATGGCCATACTGCCCAAGGTAATTTATAGATTCAATGCCATCCCCATCAAGCTACCAATGACTTTCTTAACCAAATTGGAAAAAACTACTTTAAAGTTCATATGGAACCAAAAAAGAGCCGACATTGCCAAGTCAATCCTAAACTAAAAGAACAAAGCTAGAGGCATCACGCTACCTGACTTCAAACTATACTACAAGGCTACAGTAACCAAAACAGCATGCTACTGGTACCAAAACAGAGATATAGACCAATGGAACAGAACAGAGCCCTCAGAAATAATGCCGCATATCTACAACTATCTGACCTTGACAAACCTGATAAAAACAGGAAATGGGGAAAGGATTCCCTATTTAACAAATGGTGCTGGGAAAACTGGCTAACCATATGTAGAAAGCTGAAACTGGATCCCTTCCTTACATCTTATACAAAAATTAATTCAAGATGGATTAAAGACTTAAATGTTAGACCTAAAACCATAAAAACCCTAGAAGAAAAAATGGGATCTAATTAAACTAAAGAGCTTCTGCACAGCAAAAGAAACTACCATCAGAATGATCAGGAAACCTACAGAATGGGAGAAAATTTTTGCAATCTACTCATCTGACAAAGGACTAATATCCAGAATCTACAATGAACTCAAACAAATTTACAAGAAAAAAACAAACAACCCCATCAAAGAACACATTTATGCAGCCAAAGGACATGTGAAAAAATGCTCATCATCACTGGCCATCAGAGAAATGCAAATCAAAACAACAATGAGATACCATCTTACACCAGTTAGAATGGCGATCATTAAAAAGTCAGGAAACAACAGGTGCTGGAGAGGATGTGGAGAAATAGGAACACTTTTACACTGTTGGTGGGACTGTAAAGTAGTTCAACCATTGTGGAACTCAGTGTAGTGATTCCTCAGGGATCTAGAACTAGAAATACCATTTGACCCAGCCAACCCATTACTGGGTATATACCCAAAGGATTATAAATCATGCTGCTATAAAGACACATGCACACGTTATGTTTATTGCGGCACTATTCACAATAGCAAAGACTTGGAATCAACCCAAATGTCCAACAGTGATAGACTGGATTAAGAAAATATGGCACATATACACAATGGAATACTATGCAGTCATAAAAAATGATGAGTTCATGTCCTTTGTAGGGACATGGATGAAGCTGGAAACCATCATTCTCAGCAAACTATCGCAAGGACAAAAAACCAAATACCGCATGTTCTCACTCATAGGTGGGAGTTGAACAATGAGAACACATGGACACAGGAAGGGGAACACCACACACCGGGGCCTGTTGTGGGGTGGGGGGAGAGGGGAGGGACAGCATTTGGAGATATATCTAATGTTAAATGACGAGGTACTGGGGGCACCACACCAACATGGCCCATGTATACATATGTAAATAACCTGCACGTTGTGCACATGTACCCTAAAACTTAAACTATAACAAAAAAATTTGAATTTTTAATAGAGATGGGGTTTTGCCATGTTGGCCAGGCTTGTCTCGAACTCCTGACCTCAAGCAATCTGCCCACCTTGGCCTCCCAAAGTGTTTACAGCACATTTTATTCAATTGCTACAGAATACGCATTCTTCTTCTCAGCATATGGATCATTCTAAAGGCAGACCAAATGTTAGATCACAAAACAAGTCTTAAAACATTCAAAAAATGAAATAATATCAAACATCTTATCTGACCACTATGAAGTAAAACTAGAAAGCAATTAACAAAAGGAATTTTGAAAACTATACAAACAGATGGAAATTATACAATATGCTCCTGGATAACCAGTGGGTCAGAGAAGAAATTAAGAAGGAAATTGAAATGTTTCTTGAATCAAATGGTAGTGGAATCAAACAACATCAAAAACCTATGGGATACAGTGAAAATGGTACTAAGAGGAAATTTTATAGCTATAAGTGCCTATCTACATCATAAAAGAAAAAAATTTTAAATAAACAACTTAATGATGTATCTTAAAGAATTAGAGAATTAGAAAAGTAGAAAAGTAAGAGCAAACCAAACCCAAAACTAGTAGAAGAAAAGAAATAATAAAGATCAGAGCATAAATAAAGTGGAAATGAAGCAAACAATACAAAAGATCAGTGAAACCAAAAGGTGGTTTATTGAAAAGATGAACACAATTGACAAACCTTTAGCCAGACAAATGAAGAAAACAGGAAAAATATCCAAATATAATAAATGAAATTGAAGATAAAAACAAGACATTACAACTGATATGAGGAATTGAAAGGATCATTAGTGGCTACTATGAGTAACTGTATGCCAATAAGTTGGAAAATCTAGAAGTGGATAAATTACCAGACACATAGATACCAAGATTGAGCCATGAATAGAAAAATAACAAGTGATAAGTTGAAACAATTTTTTAAAGTCTCCCAGTAAACTTTTTGGCCTGGGACCCAATGGCTTTATTCTGAATTCTACCAAACATTTAAAGAATGAATACAAACCCTACTCAAACTATTCCAAAAAATCAAGAAAGGAATACTTCCAAACTCATCCTATGAGACCAGTATTAACTCATCCTATGAGACCAGTATTATCCTCATATCAAAACCAACAAAAACACCTTAAAAAAGTAAGAAAACTTCAGGTCAATATTTCTGATTAATATTGATGCAACAATCCTCAACAAAATACCAGAAAACTGAATTCCAACAATACATTAGAAAGATCATTCATCATGACCAAGTCGAATTTACACCAGGGATGCAAGAATGGTTCAACATATGCAAATCAATTAATGTGATACATTATATCAACAGAATGAAGAACAAAATCCATGTGAGCATTTTAACTGATGCTGAAAAAGCATTTGATAAAAATTCAACATCCCTTCACGATAAAAATACTCAAACAACTTGGTATAGAAGGAACATTCCTAAACATAATAAAAGCCATATATGACCGACCAACAGCTAGTATCATACTGGATGGGGAAAAACTGAAAGCCTTCCTCTAAGATCTGGAACACAACAGGAATGCTCACTTTCACCACAGTTATTCGACATAGTACTGGAAGTCCTAACTAGAGCAATCAGACAACAGAAAGAAATGAATGGCATCCAAATTGGAAAGGAAGAAGTCAAAATAACCTTGTTTGGAGATGATATCATCTTATATTTGGAAAAACCTAAAGACTCTACAAAAATACTATGAGAACCAATAATGCAGTAAAGTTGCAGGATACAAAATCAACATACAAAAATCAGTAGCATTTCTATATGCCATCAGTGAACAATCCAGGAAATAAATCAAAAAAGTTATCCCATTTACAATAGCCACAAATAAAATTAAATACATAGGAATTAACCGAAGAAGTAAAAAATCTCTGCAATGAAAACTATGAAATACTGATGAAAGAAATTGAAGAGGACACAGAAAATGGAAAAAGATTCCATGTTCATGGATTAGAAGAACGAATATTTTTAAAATATCCACACTACCCAAAGTAAGCTAAAGATTCAATGCAAGCTCTATCAAAATACCAAAGACATTCCTCACAGAAATAAAAAAAACAATCCTAACATTTATATGGAACTACAAAAAAACAAACAAACAAAAACATAATAGCAAAAGCTATCCTGAGCAAAAACAACAGAACTGGATGAATCAAATTACTTCACTTCAAATTTTACTACAGGGCTGTAGTGATGAAAACAGCATGGTACTGGCACAAAAACAGACACATAGACCAATGAAACAGACTAGAGAACTCAGAAACAAACCCACACACCTACCGTGAACAAATTTTTTACAGAGATGCAAAGAATATATACTAGGGAAAACAGTCTCTCCAACAAATGGTGCTGGGAAAACAGACTATCCACATGCAAAATAATAAAGCTCGACATCTGATATGGTTTGAATTTGTGTCTCTGCCCAAATCTCATGTTGAATTATAATCTCCTATGTTGGAAGAGGGACCTGGTGGAAGGTGGTTCCATCATGGAGGTGGACTTTCCCTTGCTGTTCTCATGATAGTGAGTTCTCGTCAGATCTGGTTGTTTAAAAGCATGTGGAACCTCCCCACTCTCCCACTTCCTCCTGTTTCTGCCATGTAAGATGTGTCTCCTTATTCATTGCCTTCCACCATGATTGTAAATTTCCTGAGCTCTCCCCAGCCATGCTTCCTGTACAGCCTATAGAACTGCGAGTTAATCAAACCTCTTTTCTTTATAAATTACCCAGTCTCAGGTGGTTCTTTATAGCAATTCAAGAACAGATTAATACAGAAAATTGGTACTTAGGAGTGGGATATGGCTATAAAGATACCTGAAAATGTGGAAGTGACTTTGGAACTGAGTAATGGGCAGAGGTTGGAAGAATTGGAGGGCTCAGAAGAAGACAGGAAGATGAGGGAAAGTTTATAACTTCTTAGAGACTTGTTGCATTGTTTTGACCAAAATGCTGATAGTGATGTGGAAAATAAAGTCCAGGCTGAGTTGGTCTCAGATGGAGATGAAGAACTTCTTAGGAACTGAAGCAAAGGTCACTTTTGTTATGTATTAGCAAAGAGGTTGGAAGAATTCTGCCCCTACTCAAGAGATCTGTGGAACTTTGAACTTAAGAGAGATGATTTAGTGTATCTGGCAGAAGAAATTTCTAAGCAGAAAAGCATTCAAAATGTGCCCTGGCTGCTTTTACCAGTGTATGCTTATATATGTGAGCAAAAAGAAGATCTGAAACTGGAACTTACATTTAAAAGGAAAGCAGAACGTAAAAGTTTGGAAATGTGCAGCCTGGCCATGTGGTAGAAAAGAAAAACCCATTTTCAGGGGAGGAATTCAAGCTGGCTACAGAAATTTGCATAAGAGGAGCCTAATGATAACAGCCAAGACAATGGGGAAAATGCCTCAAAGGCATTTCAGAGACCTTTGCAGCAGCTCCTGCCATCACAGGTGTGGAGGGCTAGGAGGGAAGAAAGGTTTTGTGGGCCAAGGCCAGGGCCCCACTGCCTTGCACAACCTCAGGACACTGCTCCCTGAGTCCCAGCTGCCCCAGCTCCCGCCATGGCTAAAGGAGCCCCAGATACATCTCAGGCTCCTGCTCCAGAGGGTGCAAGCTGTAAGCCTGGCAGCTTCCACATGGTGTTAAGCCTGCAGGTGTGCAGAGGGCAAGAGTTGAGGCTTGGGAGCCTCTGCCTAGATTTCAGAGGATGTATGGAAACATATGGATGTCCAGGAAGAAGTCTGCTACAGGGGCAGAACTCTCATGGAGAATCTACCAGGACAGTGTGGAGGGGAAATGTGGGGTTGGAGCTGCCACACAGAGTCCCCACTGGGACACTGCCTAGTGGAGCTGTGAGAAGATGGCCACCATCCTCCAGACCACAGAACAGTAGATCAACCAACAGCTTGAACCATGCACCTGGAAAAGAAGCAGGCAATCAATGCCAGCCTGTAAAAGCGGCCAAGGGGGGCAAGTACCCTGCAAAGCCACAGGGGTGGAAATGCCCAAGGCCTTGGGAGCCCACTCCTAGCATCAGTGTGGCCTGAATATGAGACATGGAGTCAAAGAAGATTATTTTGGAACTTTAAGATTTAATGACTGCCCTGCTGAGTTTCAGACTTGCATGGGGCCTGTAGCCCCTTTGTTTTGGCTAATTTCTCCCTTTTGGAACAGGTGTATTTACCCAATGCCTGTACCTGCATTGTATGTTGGAAATAACTAACTTGCTTTTTATTTTACAGTCTCAGATGAGACTTTGGACTGTGGATTTTTGAGTTAATACTGAACTGAGTTAATACTTGGGAAACTGTTGTGAAGGGATGATTGTATTTTGCAATGTGAGAAGAATGTGAGATTTGGGAGGGGCCAGGGTGGAATAATATGGTTTAGATTTATGTCCCCACTAAAATCTCATGTTGAATTTTAATCCCCAATATTGGAGGAGGGGCCTGGTGGGAGGTGATTGGATCATAGGGGCAGACTTCCCCCTTGCTGTTCTCATGTAGTGAGAAAGTTCTCATGAGGTCTGGTTGTTTAAGTGTGTAGCACCTCCCACTCCTCTCTCTTCCTCCTGCTTCCGCCACATAAGGCATGCCTCCTTCCTCTTCACCTTCTGCCATGATTGTAAGTTTCCTGAGACCTCCCCAGCCATGCTTCCTGTACAGCCTGTGGAACTGTGAGTCAATTAATCCTCTTTTGTTTATAAATTATCCACTCTCAGGTAGTTCTTTATAGCGACGTGAGATCGGACGATACAACCACTATCTCTCTCCATATACAAAAATCTAATTTAAATGCATTAAAGACTTAAATCTAAAACCTCAAACTAGGAAACTGCTATAAGAAAACATTGGGTAAACTCTCCAGAATATTGATCTGGGCAAAAACTTCTTGAGTAATACCCCATAAGCACAGGCAACCAAAGCAAAAATGGATAAATGGGATAACATCAGGTTAAAAAGCTTCTTCACAGCAAAGAAAACTATCAACAAACTGAACAGACAACTCACAGAATGAGAAAATATTTACAAACCACACATCTGACAAGGGATTCATAAAACTACAATGAGATATCAATTCATCTCAGTTAAAATGGCTTTTATCTAAAAGACAGGCAATAACAAAGGCTGGCGAGGATGTGGAGTAAAGGGAATCCTGGTACACTGTTGGTGGGAATGTAAATTAGTACAACCACTATGGAGAACAGTTTAGAGGTTCCTCAAAAAACTAAAACTAAATCTATCATATGATCCAGCAATCCTACTGTTGTGTATATACCCGAAATCAGTATATCAAAGTGGTATCTGCACCCCCACACTTGTTGTAGCACTGTTCACAGTAGCCAAGATTTGGAAGTAACCTAAATGTTCATCAATAGATGATTGGATAAAGAAAATGTGGTACATTTACACAATGCAGTACTATTCAGCTATTAAAAAGAATGAGATCTTGTCATTTGCAACAACATGGATGGAACCAGAGGTCATTGAACTAAGTGAAATAAGCCGGGACAGAAAGACAAACTTCACATTTTGTCATTTATTTGTGGGACCTAAAAATCAAAGCAATTGAACATAGAGATGGAGAGTAGAAGATGGTTACCAGAAGCTGGGAAGGGTAGTGGAGTGGCAGAGGGGGAAAGGTAGGGATGGTTAATGGGTACAAAAATACAGGGCTCCCCAACCACCACCCCTCTCCAAAATGGCCACAGACTGGTACTGGTTAGGAACCAGGCCACATAGCAGGAGGTGAGCAGTGAACAAGCAAGCATTACTGCCTGAGCTCTGCCTCCTGTCACATCAGCTGGGCATTAGATTCTCACAGGAGCACAAACCCTATTGTGAACTGCACATGCAAGGGATCTAGGTTGTGCGCTCCTTATGAGAACCTAACTAATGCCTGATGATCTGAAGTGGAATAGTTTTGTCCTAAAACCATCCCCACAACTCCTAGTCCATGGGAAAATTTCATGTAACTGGTTCCTCATGCCAAAAATGTTGGGGACCACTGCAACAAAATAAAGAAAGAAAATGAGTAAGACCTACTATTTGATAGGACAATAGGGTGACTATAGTCAATAATGATTTAATTGTACATTTTAAGATAACTAAAAGAGTAAAATTGGGTTGTTTGTAACACAAGGGATAAATGCTTGAGGGGATGGATACCCCATTTTGCATGATGTGATTATTCCACATTGCATGCCTGTATCAAAATATCTTATGTACCCCATAAATATATATATATCAATTATGAATCCACAAAAATAAAAATAAAAAAGTCTGAAATTTTTTACTCCTAAAGCACCCTATTTCTTATTTACTTCTAACATAACCTACAAGTCACTAAAGCAGTTAGGTTAGAAAGAAAATGTCTGCAGTGTCTCATAGAGCAAAGACCCCTCCAAAGACTCCAGACTCTGGGTGAAGATTAAGAGCAGGCCAGCAATATTACACTGTAATAAATGACAACTGTCAATAAGAAGTAAAAGTAAAAGGGTAGTAATGGCATCTTAAAAAGGCAACTACATTTTGCTTTCTTGCTTTCTTTATATGTTATATCCTGCCTTTTATCTTTTCCTATCGACCCTGGGTTTATCCGTATGCCAACCTCACATATTAAAAGCACTCTAATGTCTCCACAAAGAAGTACTTGTGTGCATTTATTTATCTATGTATATTAAACGAAACTGGTTTTCTTTGACTTCTTAATCCTTCTCGTTAGGTCCTTAATTCTCAATAAAGAATATCCTTTAAAACAAAATTGGTCTACACAAACATACAGGCAGTGCCACCTAATGGCAGCTACCATTCATTTTAAGGCATTCAAACCGGAGAGACTGCTGTAGTATTTAGATGTCTTTGTGAACAAATATCACACAATCAAATATCACAGTGGGGTGTTGAAGCTCAAAATCTGAAACCATCCATCACCCTTATGCTTTCTTCAGAAGTATGTTATCACAAGAAAAACTTTCTTGAAACTCTTCCGTGAAACTTCCCTTCAGCCCTGTTGATAGGATCCTTAATCTTTTTTGTCATTCTCCTGTCAATGGCTTTCATCTTGGCGCCATCCCCTTTTATAGCATATTATCTGTCAAAATTATTTAAAATATAACAAGTTCTATTTTAAAAAAATACAAAAAAGGATGTAATTTTACACACTAGTGTCATCTACTGATGTTACTACTCCTTGGTCTTTAGCAAATGAAGCTCATGTGAATTCTTTCTCATAGATTAAAAACAAAAAAGCAAAAAGCCATTTATTTTGTCTCTCCTATCATGTTTCCAGCCATCAAATATCTATTAGCCTAGCAGGACTATGGCAGCAGCCTAGGGTGGCACTGGATCATAGATGCTTCTAAACACACTAAAACACAACATTTTGTAAAGGGGTAAAATAGCCCCAAAGGGAACACCATTTGGCACCCTCTCCACACAATCTTGTGTGTAATTTTTTCTCCTGAAATTATTGAAACACAATGATGGATTTACTGTCTCTTTCTCTTCCACTTTCCCCATTTAAGCAAGGTTATTTGGCCCTGTACTCACCAATTCAGCAAAAACAATTAATTACCTAAATGCAAGATTAGATTGCATTCTATGATATTGTCTCCAGCTGCCATAAAAGAAAATTACAAATCCAACTTACTGGCTATCATTTTTCCAGATTGTGCTGATAAAAAGCAGGCTTTGTTATTCACTAAATGTTCTTATGAGCAGGGCCTGCTGTGTTATTCATGAGGCCTAGCATAAAATGAAAGCACAGGACCTCTTGTTTAAAATGCTGGGAAAAAAACAGTGCTGTTGAAGTCCTAAAATATAAAGCTGTTTCCTTTCTTCCATGATCTCTCTCTTGACTTCTTGTGGTGTCTTTTATTTGTTACTTGTGACAATCTAAGTTTTAAAAACTCTGTTTTTTTATTTTTTAAATTAAAAAAATAGATTCAGGGGCCCATGTGCAGGTTTATTACATGGGTATATTTTGTAGTAGTGGGGTTTGGACTTCTAGTGTACCCATCACCTGAATAGTGAACATTGTAGCAAAAGGTACTGTTTCACTCCTCACTCCGTTCCCACTTTCCTCCCTCTTGGAGTCCCCAGTGTCCATTATTTCCCTCTGTAGCTCCATGTGTACCCATTGTTTATCTCCCACTTATAAGGGAGAACATGCAGTCTTGGGTTTTCTGTTTCTGAGTTATTCCACTTAGGATAATAGCCTCCAGCTCCATCCATGTTACTGCAAAATACATGTTTCATTCTTTTGTGTGGCCATAGCAATTTTAAAATATAAGGACATTTAACTAGTATACAGGATAGTCAAAATTACACAATTTCTCAGACATACATATGTATTTCATTCTTAGCAGAGGAATGTAAATGATGCTCAAAACTAACTCAATTGTTTTATTTCATCTTTTAGTGCCAGCACATTCTACCAACACTCTCTACCTTTGGCTTACTGATGAGTAGGAAAGGACTGAAAGGAAAAGGAACTGTGGGTTACCCAATATTTCCTTTTGTATGTTATTTCCAGCAGAAGTAGTTGACAAATAGTGGGAAGCAACATGAGTAAAAAAGGAAATGATAGGTTTCCGTGGTCATTTGTGTTTCTTAGGATGCCACTGCCTTCTTTCTGCATTCAAAGCAAGCTCTGGTTCAAACAAAGTGTGGTCTCTTGTGACTATGAGCACCCCCACTTAGCCATAGATATAACACTTCTTCTATACTGGCTTGAATCTCATAGAACCACCATGCATTATGCATTCACTGGAATTTTGTGCTCAGGGAGCATTGCAAACACTCTATGTGAATGGGGCTGCAAAGAGAGGTGGACATACATACTAAATGTACCACCTCTGCTTATGCACATGTTGCATTGCCCACTGGACCTCACTTACACAAATTTAAAGATAAAATTATTAATAATTTCAAGACAATGACAGCAGAGCATTAGTCAAGCATGGAGCCCTTCTGAGTCCCTGTGTGACTGCACAGGTTGTGAACCTAGCCCTGTTTGTGAAATGTAGTAGGACAAAAAAAATCACTCTTCTTTAATCAGGGATAAAAACAAGACTTACATTTATTACTTCCCACATGCTGAATGGTAGGTTAAGTCCTTCACATACACTATCTCATTTAACCATCAAATAACAGTTTGGGGTAGGTATTATTACCTTCATTTACAGAGAAGGAAATAGGAGATTTTAGAAACTAAGTGATTTACCCAATATCTATTGACTAAAAGGTAGTGGAGTAGGGATTTTAACCCGGGTTTGACTGACCCCAAAGCCCAGTTAATCTACTACTTCCATAAAACCATTTAGTGCAGATTTTAAATTACAAAATATTTTTAAACTGTTAGTATTAGATATACACATATAATAAATACCTACATGCTAATAAGACCAAGTATGAATTAATGAAATAGCATGATTCACAGATTAATTTTTTAAAATCTCTTCTGGCCTTCTAATGTAATATGACAAGTGGAACACATATGTTTATCTCCTTTACCTCCTGAGGCTTCATTAAAATGATGATAGTGCTTTTTTAAGGTATAAGCCATCAACTACAAATATCACAGGACAGAGGCTATTAGTAAATGAGCAATTTCAATAAATCAAATGAGCAATTCACTAAAAAATGCATTACAAATCTATTTATAAAGTTTAAAAGCAGGCAAAACTAAATAATAATTGTTTAGTAATACATACATAGGTGGTAAAACTATTTTTAATAACAAAGGAATGATTATCACAACCTTCAGTGTAGATGTTACCTCTGGAGGGGAGGGGCACATGATGAAGAGGGAGAACACAGGAACTTTTATGCTGTTTAACCAAGGCAAGAGGTGCATGGGTATTCATTTTGTTATACATTTATTGTACGCATATACATTATTATATATGTATATCACATTCTCTTGAATGTGACTTATTTTCCTCTAAAATAATTAAATTTTTAAAAAATACTGCATTCATAAAATAACTATAACATGGTATGAAAGAGGAATTATTGAATTACAAGAATAAAAACTTTGGAAATCAAAATATGTTTGCCAAAATAAAAATTTAATAGAAAACTTAGAAAATAAATCCAAACAAATCTCCCAAATTACAATACAAGGAAACTTAAAAATGACATAAAAGACAAAAGATCCAAAGGGCTATTCGAAGAGGTTTTACATCCAAATACAAATTACAGAAAAAACGAAGAGGGAAAAGATTATCACAGAAATGCTAATAGATAATTTCCCTAAGATGGATCCAGTCTTCAGACTAAAAGAACTCATTCTGTATCCAGGACTTAAATGTGTCCTGGAAAAAAATGTTATATATCTAAGGATAAAGAGAAGACCCAAATAACTGCCAAGGAGAAAATACAGCTCACATGCAAAGGAATAAGAGTCAAAGACGTTAGCTTTCTCATCAGAACACAGAATGTGGAAAGTCAATGAAGAAAGGTCGTCAAAGTTCCCAGGAAAAAATTATTTTCAACCCATATTTCTATAACTAACCTTATAACCACTGAAAAGAACATCATAAAAATGTTTTTTAACATGCAAGGACTCAGAAGTTTACTCAAATGCACCATTTCTTAGAAATAAAAATGTATCTCAAGAAAATAGGCAAGTATTCCATCAAAACAAAGGAAGAAAGCATAATGGCCTCAGAAACAGTGATACCCAAACTAAGAGAGGAATGAAGCAAAATTCCAGGATGACATCCACACTGCTGTTCTAGAGAGTGCTAGTAAAGATTGGGGCCAGAGAACAGAATGTTTTGCATGGGAAGTTCACAGAGAAAATGAGAACAAACAATAAATTATGCTGGGAGTCTGGAAAAACTTGAGGATAAACAAAGCATTTGGTGAAGTGTAAAAAGGAGAATATTTGAACTTGATACAAGGAACATTCTCCATTAAATGGCACAGGGATGGTTACTTTGTACCTCACACAAAAGGAAATATAATACGGGCATATTACTTGACTCTACAGTGAACAATATACCTGTGTGGGTTCAGGACCTCTAAGAAGCAGTGGTCAAGGCAGACTTAGAAGTGTGGGAGATGTATTGGATGTGGATGCCTGTGAAAGACAAAGGGGACAGGAAGAGGAGTTGGTTGAAAAAACCTTCAGACCTCAATGTAGATTTGACACCTGTGAAAAGAAAAGAAGGTAAAGGAGGAGTCTTGAGTAGGAAGAACCCAGACTGTGGTACTTCTCTTAAAGGAAAAACAACCAGTCCAAGAGGGAGCTACAGAGCAAAAATTGTCCTGTGCTGGGTCCCATCTTGGGCAGCAGTGACCAGTACCTAGAACCCCAACAACGCTCAATCATTGGCTAGAGTTGCCCAGAGAGAGTCAGGGAGAGCATGTCCTCTGCTAGAACACTTTGATGGATCTTGAAGGTACTGAAGTTCAGGTTGCCAGTGATTACACTCTTTGCTGGAGAAGTTCTCTTAAAGTGATGCCTGAATGGTGTAGCACACTTCTTCTAAAATATGCAACATACAAACCAAGACCCAAAGGATACTACCTCATGGCTATACCCAATTACTGCATCAGTTGGAAACTTCTTCAGTGATATGTACTCCTTTACATCAAATCCTGATATGGTCTAGTCATTTACAAAAAATAATAATAATAATAAGGCAAGTTAACTTATGCAGCATGCCCAATGGTGGAGTAGGTAGAGCACAATCACAATAAAAGCTACTCAATTATCATATACCACTGGGCCATATAGTGAAAACTCCCAGATTTCTCACAACTGTCTCTACTAGCCAAGCTAGAAGACCTCAGTTTTGCTATCTGCTTGTCCATTTTCCTCAGAGGCCTCTGGTTTTCGGGGTGGGGAAGGGTGTCTTTCTTTTCCATTATCCTCCTTAGATACCTCTGAAGTGGGACTACACAGCTTTCACAACCTACTTCCCACTAATGTAGGTTTACAGATTTGCAAATTGCTTTCAAGGTCAGAAAATGTCAAGTTTTTGCAGGCCTGATGTATGGGTTGTTTGGCAATAATATTCCCTCAAAATCATACGAGGCTTCTAGTCTTTTAGATTCCAAGAGTTAAGTACAGCTGAAGATTCATCAGCACATCGTTTTTAGACTTTAAGACTGACATTTTACTTATCATCCTCTGTCCTATGGCTAGAACACTCTCTGGAGTAACTGGCAGCTCCTGGAAGCCAACTGAGGCAGCAGGCTTGGGTGGCAAGGTAACATCCTTAATTTCATCTTTGCAGGTACACCAGTTCCCATAGTCTAACGAAGGTGCTTGAAAAGGTTTGTGGGTCTATTCTTATCTCCTGCTAAAGCCGACAGTTCTATAATTCCTTACATTTGGATTACAGAAATAGTTGACCTTTTCAGTACTATAAGCCCCAAATTACTAGACTCCCAGTCATCTAATATTGCCTTAAACACAGAGTCCCTCAGCTGAGCTGTATTCCCTCTATTTCTACTTATGAACTTGCCTGACTTCTCCTCTCTCTTGTGGGGCCTTCTACAAAAGGAGCAGCCAACAGACATTGATTTTTTTTTCACCATTTCCCCTGAAGTTATTGGCTCACTTGGCCCATAATCTGCCTGTCCAGTTATCAGAGGCACATTGTCTACAGCTTTGCCACACCATTAATAAAAATGCCTCCCCCTTACATTCTGCAATGTCTATATACTTGAAACCATCAAACAAATGCAGCTATTTAAGTTCCCATTATGTGCAGTACTCCATTTCATATACCAAATTGTATACTAGTTAAGATACAGGTTTAGCTGCATGAAAATAGAAACTCAAGCTAACATACATTTAGAGAGAAGACAGTTTCTCTCTCCCATGACAGCAGCAGGATGGAGGAAGTGGGGATAAGCAGTACAGCCCCTTCCCTTAAGGACATGTCTTTGGAAATATCATGTGCTATTTTCACTCACAAGCCCCTGGCTAAAACATAACCTCAGGGCCACTCTTAAGTGAAAGGAAGGCTGGGCAATGGATGGCCCTGTACCCTACCGAAAATGCCATGGTTCTTACCCTATAGGAAAAAAAAGAGATGGCAAATCAGAGATAGCCAGCCTCCTCTTCCTATTTTTCCTTATTTAGCAGAGAACATGTAGACTAATTATCCTAACAGAATTTCCCCTATAATTTGCTTAATCCAGATGATATTAATCTCTATTGCCTAGTACATAAAAAAATTATTTCCTCTATTCCCTGACTTCCAAGGCTCCTTAATTATACTTCTTTCAAAGCCAAGCTCAAATCTCATCTTCATCAAATCACAGGCTGCTCCTGCCTAGTTTCTCTGTTCTCTTAGCTGTCAGTGATGCAATTCAGCTTTTGATAGTTCTCTAATTTTTACTGTGCATGTTTTGTCTATAAAGACTATTTGTGTTCATTACAAGAAAATTTCAGAATTTATCATCTTTTTGTCCCATAATACATATTAAAGTGTTAATTCCATAAGGAATGCTTAACAAATAATGATTAATAGTTCATAATCCTAAATCTTTAACATGCAAGAATTATAACAACAATAACTTAAAAGTACATCAAATAATCTATATTTTCTCTAATGCCATGGTTTGGTAAATATAGTATTTAGGGTTGAATTCTTCTTACAAATAAATTTCTAAGGTTCACAAAGACATTCTTTCTTTGGAAAAACATGTATTTGCTCTCTTAATATTAAAAAACTTTTTAAAATATTAGGAAATATAAATAGAAAAATAAAATGCTCTGCAATCCCTACAAGAATAGGTTACCACTAATAATACTTTGGAATACATTATTCAATGAAAGATATTATTTCAAATGTTGTAATGAGAATTATACACACAGGGTTTAAATTGTCAGAAACCTAGTAGAGTATTATCTTAAACACCATTAATGATTTTTCTTATTTGTTATCTAACAGGACTTCTTCAAGCCTGCAACATTCTTCTCTATTAATCACTTTCCATCCAGGGATATATTTAAGCTGATTTTATGATTTCAGGATTTACCACAAACTCATGGCTTTCAGAGATATAGTGACATATCACACCATCTATAGTCATAAAACAAAACATATGGCATTTTTATGTGTTTCATTTTTTTCTACTTTATAGGTTATAAGCATCAATATATAAATTTTCAAGAAAAAATGGATATATGCACTATAAATTTATATTTATATGTTTCAATATATATATGATCTTCACAATTCTTAGCAAGAGCCATAAGATATATCCTCTCAACTTTCAAATAAAATTTCAAAAGATACATTTTCCCCTTAAAATGTTAATGATTAAATTATATCTATACCTTCTTGTCTACATCATAGAGTTATGATGGAAATAAATAAAGAAATAAATTTGAAAGAATTTTTTAGCTTTTAGAAGGAAGAGCAGTATATAAAGATGAAGTATTATTTTATTTACAAATTCAATATATATTTTGAAATAGAGCATTTTATTGTATATATACAGATATTTCCCAGAATCATTACTTTCCATCTCAATAAAAATTATATTATTGATTGCTATTCTTTTCTCTGTAATGGGTCCTCAGAGCTAAAATATTTCATTGAAATTATCTATTTTCAGTATTGAAAATAGTGCATCCCGTTGAGAATAAATGGCCACCCACTTGTTTCAAAGGGGGAAATTACACAGATGTGGATTACTTATGAAAAACTTGAAAAGGAATCCACCCACAATAGGCAACGGAATTTCAAAAATAAACATCAGGTATGATATGAAACTACGAGAAGGAAGTAGTATCCTGATAATAGCTCCATTCCTTCAATTTTGAGTTATCGAAGTGTTATTGCTAACTTCCTATTTTTCATATTGCCATTTGGCAGTATTAGAAAACCAAAGAGAGAACTAATTTTTAGCAAAATGTAAGCAATTATTAAATCCAAGTGATCCAACGATCCAATACTTGGATGTTTGTTATAGCACTCTCTCTACTTTTCTGTCTTTTTCTAACTTGACATAATAAAAAGTTGTTTTATCCCAAAGTTTTAGTCACTCCCATTTCACCAATTAATGACTCTTTTTTGGCCAGAATTAGTACTAGCAAAGTAATTCACTTTATTACTCTCTTTACCTTTTACAAA
Source organism: Homo sapiens (assembly GCF_000001405.40). NCBI lineage: Eukaryota > Metazoa > Chordata > Mammalia > Primates > Hominidae > Homo > Homo sapiens. Next base: position 78,779,276 of record NC_000006.12, read on the forward strand.
ATAAATTGTTAAAGTAGTGTCTGATTTTAACTAAATAAGCCAACCAGTACATGTTCACATAAGAAAAAGCCCTGTCTTCATCACCCCTTGCCTCTGTGCAATTTATGTAATCTATTTCAAGAATATATCATACATGTTCTATGTATCACACCAAGCAACCTCTAATACTCTCCAAAAATATCATTTATGTTTATTCCCCCCAAAGGATTTCCTGGGTACTTCTGCTTGTCGACTCATTGATGTTCATTGCAAGTATATATCATTTTCATAGGCATTATTTATTTTTTCCTGCATCATAATAAGACCTTTTCTTTTGATGGTCGTATTGAAGGAAATGAGCAGCAAAACAGAGATTTTATCAAGTAAGTTCAATTTGCCACTCAAGGAGTACCCTACATATTAGATTGATCTTGAATCTAATTTTAAATGATAACTAATATTTATTGAGCACTCACTATTTTCCTAGTTCTGGTCTTAGCACTTTCATCTCATCTTCTCATTTAATTCTCATAATAATAATAACTCTATATGTAGTATAGATGTAGAGAAAATTCACCTGTCTCAAAGAACTAGTATTTGAGATATTACTGTCTTCATGCAAAGTTTAGAAATTTGCAACGATGTCACCCATAGTCACTGGGTCTGATGTGAAGTGACTTTTCTTGCACATTCAAAACCTCTTCCTTTCTACTTCTTCTTTGAGTCCTGTGTTTCTGGGCTCCATGACTATACTCTTGTGAGCAAGTGCATTGAGCCCTACAGTGAAACTTCAGCTCCTTGCTATGAATTTTCTTAGTCCTGTGGAATCTATTTCACATTTCTTTAGGCTGGAAAATCATCCTCCACATATTTCTAAGCTGTTGCTTATCTTATCCATTGCATTATTCCAACAAGTTATCCTACTGACACATTCTATTCTGGGCTGCAGCCATCTACCTTCCATATGCATAGTAGGTGAGAACAGACTTCAGTATCTCCAAGGGTTTCTTTGTGGAGTTTTGTTGTTGTTAGTTCCTTGAATCCATTTCTGTTCTTTGATTCTACCATTTCTCCAAAGTTTATATGAGGAAGCAAGCCAACAACCTTGGTTGATTCATTATATTCATAAAAACCAGAAGCCTTGATATTGCTTATTTGCTTTGTATTAGAAGTTACACTTGGAGAGATGCAGGCAATCATGGAGGATGGGAGGCAGGACTAGATTGCAGCTCTGTTCAGAGCAGCCTGTGGAAGTTTGCATTGTAAATTTTAGCTCTAGACTGACTGCAAGAACAAACCATCAATCCCAAGAGGACCCATAGACCCTCTGAAGGAAGCAGACTGCTTCTGCAGGACCTAGGAAACACCCCAAATACTGTGAGTGCCCCAACTGCGGAAGTGGGAAAGGGAGACCCTCGTCTCCTGAACACACACCCACACTGGAGAAGCTGCAGATCTGTTTGTGGGAGAAGTTTCTGACTTTACCTGGAGCTGAGTCAATTTAGAGAGCCGAGCAAAATACATGGGTAGAGGAAACAGCAGAAAGGTCCTGGGAGCTCACTGCATCCCCTAGCAGGCCATTCCTGCCTAGCACAACAGGAATCCATCCGGAGGGTGACCAGAGGAGCAGGGGGGTAAAACTCCACAGGGAGAAGGAAGTCTCTAGCTGAACTTTGTAACAATTTGAACAGGGTAAGAAGCCCCCTGGCCACAAATCAAGGGAAGGTGCAAATCCAGCGTGCAGACTCCACAGGCAGTGGAAAAACCAACCCCTTTTCTTTAGCAGCTGGAAGGTGGGTAGCCTGGAGCAAGTTTTCAAGCCCTTCTTGCCCGCCACCTGGAAACAGACTCAGGGCTGTTGGGGAGAGCATGGTGGGAGTGAGACCGGCCCTTCAGTTTGCATGGAAGCTGGGTTTTCCCCAACTTCCCCAACACCCTGCATGACTCATCAGAGGCAGCCACAATCTCCCTAGGTACCCAACTCCAGTAACCTAGGAATCTCACCCCCATCCCCCACAGCAGCCACAGCAAGACCTGCCCAAGGAGAGTCTGAGCTCAGACACGCCTACCCCCACCCGCACCTGATGGTCCTTCCCTATGCACCCTGGTAGTAGAACACAAAGGGAATATAATCTTGGGAGTTCTAGGGTCCCATCCACTTCCAGTCCCTCTCTATACTACTACAGCTGATGCTTTCTGGAAAGTGCCACCTCCTGGCAGGAGGCCAACCAGCACAAAAGTAGACCATTAAACCATCAAAGCTAAGAACCCTCACAGAGTCCATTGCACCCCCCAGCCACCTCCACTGAAACAGACACTGGTATCTATGGCTGAGAGACCTATAGACAGTTCAGATCACAGGACTCTGTGCAGACAACCCCCAGTACCAGCCCAGAGCCAGGTAAACTCTCTGGGTGACTAGACCCAGAAGAGAGACAACAATCACTGCAATTTGGCTCACAGGAAACCACATCCATAGGAAAAGGGGGAGAGTACTACATCAAGGGAACACCCCATGGGACAAAAGAATCTGAACAAGTCTTCAGCCCTAGACCTTCCCTCTGACAGAGCCTATCCAAATGAGAAGGAACCAGAAAACCAACCTGGTAATATAACAAAACAAGGTTCTTCAACACCCCCCAAAAATCACACTAGTTCACCAGCAATTGATCCAAACCAAGAAGAAATTCCTGATTTACCTGAAAAGGTATTCAGGAGGTTAGTTATTAAGCTAATGAGGGAGGGGCCAGAGAAAGGCAAACCCCAATGCAAAGAAATTCAAAAAATGATACAAGAAGTCAAGGGAGAAATATTCAAGGAAATAGATAGCATAAAGAAAAAATAATCAAAAATTCAGGAAACTCTGGACACACTTTTGGAAATGCAAAATGCTCTGGAAAGTCTCAGCAATAGAATTGAACAAGTACAAGAAAGAAATTCAGAGCTCGAAGACAAGGTCTTCAAATTAACCCAATCCAAGGAAGACTAAGAAAAAAGAATAAAAAAAATATGAACAAAGTCTCCAAGAAGTCTGGGATTATGTTAAATCACAAAACTTAAGAATAATCCATGTTCCTGAGGACGAAGAGAATTCTAAAAGCTTGGAAAGCATATTTGGGGAAATAATTGAGGAAAACTTCCCCAGCCTTGCTAGAGACCTAGGCATCCAAATACAAGAAGCACAAAGAACACCTGGGAAATTCACTGCAAAAGATCTTCACCTAGGCACATTGTCATCAGGTTATCCAAAGTTAAGATGAAGGAAAGAATCTTATGAGCTGTGAGACAGAAGCACCAGGTAATCTATATATATATTTTTTTTTTTAAAAGTATCAGATTTCTCAGGAGAAACCCTTTAAGCTAGAAGGGTTTGAGGCCCTATCTTCACTGGCAGCACTAGACAGGTCATCAAGGCAGAAAGTCAACAAATAAACAATGGATTTAAATTATACCTTGGAACAAATGGACTTAATAGATTTACACAGAGCATTTCATCCAACAACTGCAGAATACACACTCTATTCAACAGGACATGGAACTTTCTGCAAGATAGACCATATAATAGGCCATAAAACACGCTTCAACAAATTTAAGAAAATTGAAATTATATCAAGCACTCTCTCAGGCCATGGTGGAATAAAAATGGAAATCAACTCCAAAAGGAATCTTCAGAACCATGCAAGTATATAAAAATTAAGTAACCTGCTCCTGAATGAACATAGGGTCAAAAATGAAATCAAAATGAAAATTTAAAAATTTTCAAACTGAATGACAATAATGACACAATGTTATCAAAACCTCTGGGATACAGCAAAGGCAGTGCTAAGAGGAAAGTTCACAGCCCTAAGAGCCTACATCAAAAAGACTGAAAGACGGGGAGGAGCCAAGATGGCCAAATAGGAACAGCTCCTGTCTACAGCTCCCAGCATGAGCGACGCAGAAGACAGGTGATTTCTGCATTTCCATCTGAGGTACCGGGTTCATCTCATTAGGGAGTGCCAGACAGTGGGCGCAGGTCAGTGGGTGCACGCACCGTGCATGAGCAGAAGCAGGGTGAGGCATTGCCTCACTAGGGAAGCACAGAGGGTCAGGAAGATCCCTTTCCTAGTCAAAGAAGGGGGTGACAGACAGCGCCTGGAAAATTGGGTCACTCCCACCAGAATACTGCGCTTTTCCAACGGGCTTAAAAAAACGGTGCACCAGGAGATTATATCCCACACCTGGCTCGGAGGGTCCTATGCCCATGGAGTCTTGCTGATTGCTAGCTCAGCAGTCTGAGATCAAACTGCAAGGCGGCAGCCAGGCTGGGGGAGGGGCACCTGCCATTGCCCAGGCTTGCTTAGGTAAACAAAGCAGCTGGGAAGCTTGAACTGGGTGGAGCCCACCACAGCTCAAGGAGGCCTGCCTGCCTCTGCAGGCTCCACCTCTGGGGGCAGGGCACAGACAAACAAAAAGACAGCAGTAACCTCTGCAGACTTAAATGTCCCTGTCTGACAGCTTTGAAGAGAGCAGTGGTCCTCCCAGCATGCAGCTGGAGATCTGAGAACAGGCAGACTGCCTCCTCAAGTGGGTTGCTGACCCCTGATCCCCAAGTAGCCTAACTGGGAGGCACCCCGCAGCAGGGGCAGACTGACACCTCACAGGGCCGGGCACTCCAACAGACCTGCAGCTGAGGGTCCTGTCTGTTAGAAGGAAAACTAACAAACAGAAACGACATCCACACCAAAAACCCATCTGTACATCACCATCATCAAAAACCAAAAGTAGATAAAACCACAAAGATGGGGAAAAAACAGAGCAGAAAAACTGGAAACTCTAAAAGGTAGAGCGCCTCTCCTCCTACAAAGGAACGCAGTTCCTCACCAGCAAGGGAACAAAGCTGGACGGAGGATGACTTTGACAAGCTGAGAGAAGAAGGCTTCAGACAATCAAATTACTCCGAGCTACAGGAGGACATTCAAATGAAAGGCAAAGAAGTTGAAAACTTTGAAAAAAATTTAGAAGAATGTATAACTAGAATAACCAATACAGAGAAGTGCTTAAAGGAGCTGATGGAGCTGAAAACCAAGGCTCGAGAACTACGTGAAGAATGCAGAAGCCTCAGGAGCCGATGAGATCAAATGGAAGAAAGGGTATCAGCGATGGAAGATGAAATGAATGAAATGAATCGAGAAGGGAAGTTTAGAGAAAAAAGAATAAAAAGATACGAGCAAAGCCTCCAAGAAATATAGGACTATGTGAAAAGACCAAATCTACGTCTGATTGGTGTACCTGAAAGTGACGGAATGAATGGAACCAAGTTGGAAAACACTCTGCAGGATATTATGCAGGAGAACTTCCCCAATCTAGCAAGGCAGGCCAACATTCAGATTCAGGAAATACAGAGAACGCCACAAAGATACTCCTCGAGAAGAGCAACTCCAAGACACATAATTGTCAGATTCACCAAAGTTGAAATGAAGGAAAAAATGTTAAGGGAAGCCAGAGAGAAAGTTCAGGTTACCTTCAAAGGGAAGCCCATCAGACTAACAGTGGATCTCTCAGCAGAAACTCTACAAGCCAGAAGAGAGTTGGGGTCAATATTCAGCATGCTTCAAGAAAAGAATTTTCAACCCAGAACTTCATATCCAGCCAAACTAAGCTTCATAAGTGAAGGAGAAATAAAATACTTTATAGACAAGCAAATGCTGAGAGATTTTGTCACCACCAGGCCTGCCCTAAAAGAGCTCCTGAAGGAAGCACAAAACATGGAAAGGAACAATCGGTACCAGCCACTGCAAAAACATGCCAAATTGTAAAGTCCAGCAAGACTAGGAAGAAACTGCATCAACTAACGAGCAAAATAACCAGCTAACATCATAATGGCAGGATCAAATTCACACATAACAATATTAACCTTAAATGTAAATGGGCTAAATGCTCCAATTAAAAGGCACAGACTGGCAAATTGGATAAAGAGTCAAGACCCGTCAGTGTGCTGTATTCAGGAAACCCATCTCACATGCAGAGACACACATAGGCTCAAAATAAAAGGATGGAGGAAGATCTACCAAACAAATGGAAAACAAAAAAAGGCAGGGGTTGCCATCCTACTCTCTGATAAAACAGACTTTAAACCAACAAAGATCCAAAGAGACAAAGAAGGCCATTACATAATGGTAAAGGGATCAATTCAACAAGAACTAACTATCCTAAATATATATGCACCCAATACACGAGCACCCAGATTCATAAAGCAAGTCCTGAGTGACCCACAAAGTGACTTAGACTCTCACACAATAATAATGGGAGACTTTAACACCCCACTGTCAACATTAGACAGATCATGAGACAGAAAGTTAACAAGAATATCCAGGAATTGAACTCAGCTCTGCACCAAGCAGACCTAATAGACATCCACAGAACTCTCCACCCCAAATCAACAGAATATACATTCTTTTCAGCACCACACCACACCTATTCCAAAATTGACCACATGGTTGGAAGTAAAGCACTCCTCAGCAAATGTAAAAGAACAGAAATTATAACAAACTGTGTCTCAGACCACAGTGCAATCAAACTAGAACTCAGGATTAAGAAACTCACTCAAAACCACTCAACTACATGGAAACTGAACAACCTGCTCCTGAATGACTACTGGGTACATAACGAAATGAAGGCAGAAATAAAGATGTTCTTTGAAACCAACGAGAACAAAGACACAACATACCAGAATCTCTGGGACACATTCAAAGCAGTGTGTAGAGGGAAATTTATAGCACTAAATGCCCACAAGAGAAAGCAGAAAAGATCCAGAATTGACACCCTAACATCACAATTAAAAGAACTAGAAAAGCAAGAGCAAACACATTCAAAAGCTAGCAGAAGGCAAGAAATAACTAAGATCAGAGCAGAACTGAAGGAAATAGAGACACAAAAAACTCTTCAAAAAATCAATGAATCCAGGAGCTGGTATTTTGAAAAGATCAACAAAATTGATAGACCGCTAGCAAGACTACTAAAGAAGAAAAGAGAGAAGAATCAAATAGATGCAATAAAAAATGACAAAGGGGATATCACCACTGATCTCACAGAAATACAAACTACCATCAGAGAATACTGTAAACACCTCTACACAAATAAACTAGAAAATCTAGAACAACTGGATAAATTCCTCGACACATACACTCTCCAAAGACTAAACCAGGAAGAAGTTGAATCTCTGAATAGACCAATAACAGGCTCTGAAATTGAGGCAACAATTAATAGCTTACCAATCAAAAAAAGTCCAAGAACAGATAGATTGTATTTCTACATACTAGCAACAAATAATTAGAAAATGATATTTTATTATATACATATATATATATATTTTTTTTACTTTAAGTTCTGGGATACACATGCTGAGCATGCACGTTTGTTACATAGGTATACATGTTCCATGGTGATTTGCTGCACCTATTAACCCATCATCTAGGTTTCAAGCCCTGCGTGCATTAGGTGTTTGTCCTAATGCTCTCCCTCCCCTTTCCCCCCAGCCCCCTGACAGGCCCTGGTGTGTGATATTCCCCTCCCTGTGTCCATGTGTTCTCATTGTTCAACTCCCATTGATGAGTGAGAGCATGTGGTCTTTGGTTTTCTGTTCCTGTGTTAATTTGCAGAGGATGATGGTTTCCAGCTTCATCCATGTCCCTGCAAAGGACACGAACTCATTCTTTTTTATGGCTGCATAGTACTCCATTATGTATATATGACACATTTTCTTTATCCAGTCTAACATTGATAGGTATTTGGGTTGGTTCCAAGTCTTTGCTATTGTAAACAATGCTGCAATAAACATACATGTGCATGTGTCTTTATAGTAGAATGGTTTATAATCCTTTGGGTATATACCCAGTAATGGGGTTTCTGGATCAAATGGTATTTTTGCTCCTGAGTCCTTGAGGAATTGCCACACTGTCTTCCACAATGGTTGAACCAATTTACACTCCCACCAACATTGTAAAAGCGTTCCTAAGAAAATGATATTTTAAAATGCTATTTACAGTAGCCTAAAAACAATAATAAATGTAATGAAAACACTGAAAACTAAAAACCATTTCTCAAGAACATTTAAAGAAGATCTAAATAAATGAAGACAATTTAAATATATATGCTCTGGTCATGTATTTGAAGATTCAACATTATTAAACTATCAATAATTCCCCCAAATTAATCTGTATATCCAATTCAATCCTAACCAAAATCCCAAAAAAATCCATTTTAACTGTTGAACTCAGTTTACAATTTATATACAAATTCAAAGAATTTAGAATAGACAAAACAATTTTGAAAAACAACAAAGTTGTAGGATTTACACTCCCTGATTTCAAGATTTACTATAAAGCTATAGCGGTTTTTACAATGTGATCTTTGGCCAAGAATAGAGAAGTAAATCAATGGAACAAGATGAGGTCCAGCCATAAGCCCACCTATACATGGTCAATTGGTTTTCAACAAAAATACTAAGGCAATTTAAGAAAGAAAGATAATGTTAATAAATGGTCTGGAACAACTGAATCTCCATAAGAAAAAAAGAAGAATCTTGACCACTACCTCTTACCATGCTAAAAAAAAAAAGGGGGAGGCGGGTGAATATCTTCATGAGTGTGGAGTAAAGATTTGTTTACACTAGGCCAAAATATGTGTGTGTGTGTATATATATATATAAACTTTAATAAATTTTACTTCATCAAAATTAAAAACTATAACTATTCAAAAACACCATTATGAAAATGAAAAGGTGATCCACAGATTGGGAGGTAAATCTTTCCAAAACATGTATCTGACTAGTATTAAAGATATACAAAGAGTTCTGTATCAATCAGGGCTTGATTAATGAAACAGAACCACTAAGAGTCCCATACATATGTGTATGTATATATATATATATATATATATATATATATATATATATATATATATATGTATATAAACATATTTCATTATATGGATTTGATCTCATACATTTATGGGAGACTGTCTCTGTGAAACTGTTGTCTGTACATCTGATACTAGAGTCTGAGATCTGCTAATAAAGCAGTCAGGAAGAGAAATTAAATGCAATGTGAGAGAAGCAAGAAGAAACTCACCTATAAGGATGGGCTGAAATCTCCAAGGACAGACTGTACCAATCTCTCACCAACTTCAATCAAGCTTCCAACTTCAATGATTAGGGAGATGTATTAGTTTGCTAGAGTTGCCAGAGCAACACGATAAAAACTGGATAGCTTAAAATAGAAATTTATTGTCTTGGTTCTAGAGGCTAGAAATCTCAGATGAAGACATTAGCAGGGTTGGTTCCTCCTGAGAGCTGTGAGGGAGAACCTCTTCCATTCTTCTTGTTTAGCTTCTGGTGGTTTGCTGGCAATCTTTGGCATTCCTTGGTATCTGCTACATCACCCTAATCTCTTCCTTCATCTTCACATGGCATTCTCTGTGAATGTGTGTGTCTCTGTGTTCACATTGTCCCTTCTCAAAAGGACACCACTGTATTTGGATTAGGGCCCACTCTAATGACTCATTTTAACTTGATTACCTTTGTCTCTACAAAGACTCTATCTCTAAATAAGGTTACATTCCGGGGTACTGAAGGCTAGTATCCCAACATATATTTTTGGGGAGACACAAATTCAACTGACTACAGGAGATAAGTATGTACCTGGCCCAGGATTCAGCACAATGTAAAGAGGAAGTCTGGCTGGAGGAGCTATGAACTCAGATGCCACCTCATGCTCACAGGGTGACCAGCAAATTAGCAACAGTGTGTGTGAGCTGCAACAGTGCCACCTGCCTTGCTCCAGCTTTCCATGAATAAAAAGAAGATAGTTGCTGCTTTATGTCTGCATTCTAAATCCTGCACAAATTTTCAGGCTCAAAACAACCAGAGAGGGACATCCCAGAAAAAAGTAGTTCCAGTTTAGTTAAGGTGACACAATAGCAACTTCACCACAAACTCATACAACACAATGCAGACAAAATGCAATTTTCAAATGAATAAAAGGTTTAGATATACCTTTCACAATATGAGATACATAAATGGACAAGAAACACATTTAAAGGTGTTTATTCCCATTAGTCTTCAGGAAAGTGCAAATTAAAATCATAATGACATACTACTGAATATCCCCCAAATGGCTAACGTTAAAACAAAAACCGGGGCATATCAAATGTTGATTGCAATGAGTTTTTAAGTTATCTTGAAGCACATGAAAATACTTTACCCAGCCAATAGTATATTCTATCATTATGGTAATTCATAATGATGATGTACCTTTATATTTGATTCCTTTACCAACTAAAGTGGGCATAGCCACTTTCAAGGCATAACAATGGCTCCCCAAAATGTTCACATTCTAATCTCAGAACCTATGAATATGTTAGGTTACATGGTAAAGGGAAACTAAGGTTGCAGAGGAAATTGAAGTTGTTAATCAGCTGACCTTAAAATAGAGAGATTATCTTGGATTATCCAATGGGTCCAGTGTAATCACAAGGATCATTCAAAAAAGGGGGAAGCAGAAGAGGGAGTGTCAGAGAAAAACATATAACAACAAAAGTATCATCAAAGCTACATTGCTAGCTTTGAAGATGGAGGAATGAGACCCCAAATCAGTGAATGTGAGCAGGCTCTAGAAGCTGGAAAAGACAAGGAAACAGATTTTCTCCTAGTACAACCAGAAAGTAACACAGCCTGGTGGGCACCTTGATTTTAGCCCCAAGCAACTTGTGTTGGATTTCTGACCTACAAAACCATAAGATAATAAATTCGTGTTTTAAAGTGTGTAGTAATTTGTTACATCAGCCATTGGAAGTTAACACAAGTAGATACTATTAAGATTGTTTTACAGATAAAATAAAGCAGGGAAGTCCAGCATCTGGGCTATCACCAGTTGCTCACAGGGCCCAGACAGTCTACACCTTATGTTTCTGGGCTCTCACTCCATGATTCCTTCCACAGTGCCACCCAGCTTTCTCTGGGTGTGAGCAGGATCATGTCAGCAAATGACTCAAAGAAATTATGAGCAGTGAGACTCAGACATGGAACAGGTCTTAGCTTTCTGATAAGAAAGTCACGTACATCTCCACTCTCAAAACTTCATGGATTTGAGCAGGGCACAGTGGCTCACACCTGTAATCCCAGCACTTTGGAAGGCCAAGTTAGGAGGATCACTTGAGGCCAGGAGTTGGAGACCAGCCTGGGAAACATAATTAGACCTAATCTCTGAGAAAAAAAAAATTAATTAGCTGGGGAAAGCTGGAATCATTCCCCTTGAAAACAAGCACAAGACAAGGATGACTCCTCTCACCACTCCTATTCAATATAGAATTGGAAGTCCTAGCCAGCACAACCAGGCAAGAGAGAGAGAGAAAAAGGGCATCTGAATAGGAAGAGAGAAAGTCAAACTATTCCTATTTGCAGATAACATAATCCTATTAACTAGAAAATCCCATAGTTTCAGCCCAAAAGCTTCTTGCTGATAAACAATTTCAGCAAAGTCTCAGGATATCAAAATCAGTGTACAAAAATCACTAGCATTTCTACACACAAACAACAGTCAAGCCAAGAGCCAAATCAGGAATGAACTCCCATTCACAATTGCCACAAAAAGAAGAAAATACCTAGGAATACAACTAGCTATGGAGGTGAAAGATCTCTATGAGGAGAACTATAAACCACTACTCAAAAAAATCAAACATGGCATAAACAATTGGAAAAATATTCCATGCTCATGGATAGGAAGAATCAATATTGTTAAAATAGCCATACCGCCCCAAGCAATTTATAAATTGAATGCTATTCCTATTAAACTACCAACGACATTCTTCACAGAACCAGAGAAAACGATCTTAAAATTCATATGAAACCAAAAAAGAGCCCAAATAGCCAAGGCATTCCTCAACAAAAAGGACAAAGCTGGAGGCATCACACTATCTGACTTCAAACTACTGTACCGGGCTACAGTCACAAAAGCAGCACGATACTGGTACAAAAACAGACACATAGACAAATGGAACAGAATAGAGAACCCAGAAATAAGACCATACACCAACTATTATCTGATCTTTGACAAATCTTACAAAAACAAGCAATGGGGAAAGGATTCCCTACTCAATAAATGGTGTTGGGAAAACTGGCTAGCCATAGGCAGAGGTTGAAACTGGTCCCCTTCCTAACACCTATATGAAAATTAACTCAAGATGAATTAAAGACTTAAATGTAAAACCCAAAAGTATAAAAACTCTGGAAGATAACCTAGGCAATAACATTCAGGATATAGGCACAGAGAAAGATTTCATGTCAAAGATGCCAAAACAATTGCAACAAAAACAAAAATTGACACATGGGATTTAATGAAACTAAAGAGCTTCTGAACATCAAAAGAAACTATCCACAGAGTAAACAGACAGCCTACAAAATGGGAGAAAATTTTTGCAAACCATGCATCCAAGAAAAGTCTAATATACAGCATCTATGAGGAACTTAAACAAATGTATAAGAAAGAAACAACACCATAAAAAGTAAGCAAAGGACATAAACAGACACTTTTCATAAAAAGACATACTTGTGGCCAACAACCATATGAAAAAAAGCTCAATATTACTGATCATTAAAGAAATGCAAATCAAAACCACAATGAGATACTATCTCACATCAGCCATAGTGACTATTAATTAAAAGTCAAAAAGTAACAGAAGCTGGCAAGGTTTGGGAGAAAAAGGAACACTTATATACTGTTAGTGGGAGTGTAAATTAGTTCAGCCATTGTGGAAGACAGTGTGGCAATTCCACAAAGACCTAAAGACAGAAATACGATTTGACCCAGCAATCCCATTAATGGGTATATACCCAAAGGAATATAAATATTATATTTATTTATATATATTATAAAGACACATGCACATATATGCTCATTGCAACACTATTCACAATAGCAAAGATGTGCAATCAACCTAAATGTCCATCAGTGAGAGACTGGATAAAGAAAATATGGTATATATACACCATGGAATACCATGCTGCCATAAAAAATAACAAGATCATGCTCTTTGCAGGAACATGGATGGAGCTGGAGGCCATTATCCTTAGCAAACTAACACAAGAATGGAAAAACAAATATCACATTGTCTCACTTATAAGTGGGAGCTAAATAAGGAGAACACATGGGCACATGGAGGAGATACTGGGGCCTACTTGAGTGTGGACAGTGGGAGGAGGGAGAGGATTTGGAAAAATAACTAAAGGGTAGTAGGCTTAATACCTGGATGACGAAAAAATCTGTACAACAATCCCCCATGACACAAGTTTACCTAAGTAACAGACTTTCACTTGTACCCTTGAACTTAAAAGTTAAAAAAATATCAGCCAGGTGTGGTGACGCACACCTGTAGTCTTAGTTACTCAAGAGGCTGAGGTGGGAGGATCCAGCAGTTCAAGGTTATAGTGGGCCACGATCACACCACTCCATTCCAGGCTTGATGACAGAACAAGATCCAGTCTCTAAGAAAAAAATTAAAATCTCTGTGAACTTGAACTGAAAATATATAACACGAGAGGTTTTTTTTCTTTTTATTTTCTTTTTTTTTTTTTTTTTTTTTTGAGACAGAGTCTTGCTCTGTCACCCGGGCTGGAGTGCAGTGGCACGATCTTGGCTCACTGCAGCCTCTACCTCCCAGGTTCAAGCAGTTCTCCTGCCTCAACGTACTGAGTAGCTGGGATTACAGGCACACGCCACCATACCTGGCTAATTGTTTTTACTTTTTAGTAGAGACAGGGTTTCACCATGTTGGCCAGGCTTGTCTCCAACTCCTGACCTTAGGTGATCCACCCACCTCAGCCTCCCAAAGTGCTGGGATTACAGGCATGAGCCACCATGCCCAGCAATGTGAGAGTACACTTATCTTGCTTTGCCCAAAGATGTGTCAGCAACATAACCTTCAGACTAAAACCAAAAATTTCAATTTAGAGTATTTATCCCAGGACCTAAAAGACACTAAGGCCTACCACACACATCAATCATTTTAAACAATTTTATAGGAGGACTATGTGAATTTATGTTATTGAGCCTCTTGTGGCTTGGTACCAGGAGTCTCCTTTTGTAAGAAATCAAATAAATGACCCTGACCTTCTTCAAGAATTGAAAAGTGGTTCAGAGAAGTACTTTGTTTTATCCGGGTAGCAGGTTAAGTATCAAAGTATCATCCCTTAGAGAAACTGATTTAACACATTAAATTATGAAGCAATCTAGAGTGTCCCCAGGGCTGCTGCTTATTATTGACAACATAAGTAGGTGGTCTAGAAGTAAATGAATATATGGGAAGAGCACAGCAGCTACACGTTTCCCAACTCCATGGGGGCATCATTCACATAAAAGACATGTGAGCAGTGACCTCTAGAATTGTACATTACCCTCAGTCCCTGAGGGTTTGAGATTTTTTGAGACTGTATACTCTTCAGCCTGTCACACTCATAAACTGCCTCCTTGTTCATGGATGGAAAAGGTTGTCCCTTAAACACTGTGATTTGAGGAAGAAAGAAGGATCCATCTTCTTGATAATCCCCCTCCCCACAAGTTAAAAGGCTGAAACTTCACCTCAAATTTGTTCCCTCAGACTGTAGTTTTTCTAACTTCAAGTATCTTTTTATGACTTTTATTGTTTACACTTAAATATTATCCACTTATTGTAGAATAGTGCTGCAATGAACATACATGTGCATGTTCTTTATCACAGAACAGTTTATATTCCTTTGGGTATGTACCCAGTAATGAATTGCTGAGTCAAATAATTGTTCTGTTTTTAACTCTTTGAGGAATTGCTGCACTGCTTTCCACCTGGTTGAATTAATTTGCAATCTCACCAACAATGTATCAGCATTCCCTTTCTCTTCAACCTAGCCAGCATCTGTTATTTTTTTGACTTTTTACTAATAGCCAGTCTTAACTGGTGTAAGATGGTATCTTATTGTGGTTTTGATTTGCATTTCTCTAATAATCAGTGATGTTGAGCTTTTTCTCATGTTTGTTGGCTGCATGTATGTCTTCTTTTGAGAAGTGTCTGAACAGACACTTTATGCAGCCAAAAAACACATGAAAACATGCTCACCATCACTAGCCATCAGAGAAATGCAAATCAAAACCACAGTGAGATGCCATCTCGCATCAGTTAGAATGGCAATCATTAAAAAGTCAGGAAACAACAGGTGTTGGAGAGGGTGTGGAGAAATAGGAACACATTTACACCGTTGGTGGGACTGTAAACTAGTTCAACCATTGTGGAAGTCAGTGGGGTGATTTCTCAGGGATCTAGAACTAGAAATACCATTTGACCCAGCCATACCATTACTGGGTATATATCCAAAGGGCTATAAATCATACTGCTATAAAGACACATGCACATGTATGTTTATTGCAGCACTATTCACAATAGCAAAGACTTGGAACCAACCCAAATGTCCAACAATGATAGACTGGATTAAGAAAATGTGGCACATATACACCATGGAATACTATGCAGCCATAAAAAATGATGAGTTCATGTCCTTTGTAGGGACATGGATGAAATTGGAAATCATCATTCTCAGTAAACTATCGCAAGGACAAAAAACCAAACACCCCATGTTCTCACTCATAGGTGGGAATTGAACAATGAGAACACATGGACACAGGAAGGGGAACATCACACTCTGGGGACTGTTGTGGGATGGGGGAGGGGGGAGGGATAGCATTAGGAGATATACCTAATGCTAAATGATGAGTTAATGGGTGCAGCACACCAGCATGGCACATGTATACATATGTAACCAACCTGCACACTGTGCACATGTACCCTAAAACTTAAAGTATAATAATAATAAAATAAAATAAAAAAGTGTCTGTTCATGTCCTTGGCCCACTTTTTAATGAGGTTGTTTGTTTTTTCTTTTGAATTTGTTTAAGTTGCTTGTAAATGCTGGATATTACAACTTTGTCAGATGCATAGTTTGCAAATATTTTCTCCCATTCTGCAGGGCAAGGGTCCCCAAACCCCAGGACACAGAATTGTACTAGTTCATAGCCTATTAGGGACCGGGCTGCACAGCAGGAGGTGAGTGGCAGGCAAGTGCACATTATTGCCTGAGTTCCACCTACTGTCAGATCAGCAGTGGCATTAGATTCTCATAGGAGCGTGAACCCTATTGTGAACTGTGCATGTGAGGGATCTGGGTTGTGCACTCTTTATGAGACTCTAACTGACACCTGATGATCTGAGGTGGAACACTTTCATTCCAAAACCGTCCCCCAAACACCCCACCATCTGTGGAAAAATTGTCTCCCATGAAGCCAGTCCCTGGTGCCAAAAATGTTGGGTGTCTGTTTGATCTGTTGATAGTTTCTTTTGCTGTGCAGAAGCTCTTTAATTTAGTTAGATCCCATTTGTCAATTTTTGCTTTTGATGCTATTGTTTTTGGCATGTATGTCATGAAATCTTTGCCAATTCCTATGACCAGAATGGTATTGCCTAGGTTGCTTTCCAGGGTTTATTTAGTTTGGAGTTTTACATTTACGTCTTCAACAAATCTTGAGTTGATTATGGTATAAGGAAGGGGTCTAATTTCAGTCTTTTGCATATGGCTAGCCAGTTATCCCAACATCATTTATTGTATAGGGAGTCCTTACCCCATAACTTGTTTTTGTCAACTTTGTCAAAGATTAGATGGTTGTAGGTGTACAGCATTATTTCTGGGCTTCCTATTCCATTTCACTGGTCTATGTTCATGTTTTTGTACCAGTACCATGCTGTTTTTGTGACTGTAGCCCTGTAGTATAGTTTCACATTGAGTAACAAGATGCCTACAGCTTTCTTCTTTTTGCTTAGGATTGCCTTGGTTATTCGGGCTCTTACTTGGTTCCATATGAATTTTAAAATTTTCTGTGAAATGACATTCTGTGAAAAATGTCATTGGTTGGATAGGAATAGAATGAAATCTGTAAATTGATTTGGCAGTATGACCATTTTAACAATATTGACTCTTCCTATTTATAAGCATGAAATATTTTTCCATTTGTTTGTGTCAACTCTGATTTCATTGAGCAGTGGTTTGTAATTCTCATTGGAAAGATCTTTCACCTCCCTGGTTAGCTGTATTCCTAGGTATTTTATACTTTTGTGGAAATTGTGAGTGGGATTGTGTTCCTAATTTGGCTCTTGGCTTGGCTGTTGTTGATGCATAAGAATGTTACTGATTTTTGTATATTAATTTTGTATCCTGAGACTTTGCTGAAGTTGTTTATCAGCAAGAAGATTTTGGGCTGAGACTATGGGGTTTCCCAGCTATAGAATGATGTCATTTGCAAACAGGGATAGTTTGACTCTCTTCATATTTGGATGTCCTTTATTTCTTTCTCTTACCTGACTGCCCTGGCCAGGACTTCAAATGCTATGTTAAACAGGAGTAGTGAGAGAGCACATCCTGTCTTGTGCCAGTATTCAAAAAGAATGTTTCTAGCTTTTGCCCATTCAATACGGTGTTGGCTGTGGGTTTGTTGTAGATGGTTCTTTTTGTTTTGAGGTATGTTCCTTCAATACCTAGTTTATTGAGAGTTTTTAACATGAAGCGATGTTGAATTTTATTGAAAGCCTTTCCTGCACCTATTGAGATAATGATGTGGTTTTTGTCTTTAGTTCTGTTTATGGGATGAATCACATTTATTGATTTGCATATGTTGAACCAACCTTGCATCACATGGATAAAGGCTGTTTGATTATGGTGCATTAGCTTTCTGATGTGATGCTGGATTCAATTTGCTAGTATTTTGTTGAGGATTTCTGCATTGATGTTCATTAAGAATATTGATCTGAAGTTTCTTTGTTGTCGTTGTGTCTCTGACACATTTTGATATCGGTATGATGCTAGCCTAATTGAATGAATTGGGGAGGAGTCCCTCCTTCTCAATTTTTTGGAAACATTTCGGTAGGGATGATACCAGCTCTTCTTTGCCCATATGGTAGAATTCTGCTGTGAATCCATCTGGTCTTGGGCTTTTGTTGGTTGGTAGGCTATTTATTACTGATTCAATTTTGGAGTTCATTATTGGTATGTTCAGGCTTTCAATTTCTTCCTGGTTCAGTTTTGAGAGGTTGTATGTGTCCTGGAATTTATCTATCTCTTCTAGGTTCTCTAGTTTGTGTGCATAGAGGTGTTGAAACTAGTCTCTGATGGTTATTTGCATTTCTGTGGGGTCAGTGGTAAACACACCTTTGGTCATTTCTAATTGTGTTTATTTGGAACTTCTCTCTCTTTTTCTCTATTAGTCTAGCTAGCATTCTATCTTTTGTTTTTCTCAAAAAACCCACTCCTGAATTTACTGATTTTTTGAATGGTTTTTTATATCTCAATTTTCTTCAGTTCAGCTCTGAATTGTGTTGTATCTTATCTTCTGCTAGCTTGGAGGTGGTTTGCTCTTGCTTTAATAGTTCTTTTTCTTGTGATGTTAGATTGCTAATTTGAGATCTTTCTAACTTTTTGATGTAGGCATTTCATGCTATAAATCTCCCTCTTAACACTGCCTTAGCCATGTCCCTGAGATTCTGGTATGTTGTATCTTTGTTCTCATTAGTTTCAAATAACTTCTTGATTTCCGACTTCATTTCATTATTTAACCAAAAGTTATTCAGAAGCAAGTTGTTTAATTTCCATGTAAATGTACAGTTTTGAGCAATTTCCTTTGTCTTGATTTCTATTTTTATTGTGCTGTGGTTTGAGAGACTATTATGATTTCAGTTCTTTTGCACTTGCTGAGGATTGTTCTATGTCCAACAGTGTGCTCAATTTTAGAGACTGTACCATGTGGCAATAAGAAGAATGTATATTCTGTTGCTTTGTGCTGGAAAGTTCTCTAGGTGTCAATCAGGTCCACTTGATCCAGTGCTGAGTTAAGATTCTGAATAAGGATTCCCTATTTAATAAATGGTGCTGGGAAAACTGGATAGCCATATGTAGAAAGCTGAAACTGGATCCCTTCCTTACACCTTATACAAAAATTAATTCAAGATGGATTAAAGACTTAAACGTTAGACCTAAAACCATAAAAACCCTAGAAGAAAACCCAGGCATTACCATTCAGGACATAGGCATGGGCAAGGACTTCATGTCTAAAACACCAAAAGCAATGGCAACAAAAGACAAAATTGACAAATGGGATCTAATTAAACTAAAGAGCTTCTGCACAGCAAAAGAAACTACCATCAGAGTGAACAGGCAACCTACAAAATGGGAGAAAATTTTTGAAACTACTCATCTGACAAAGGGCTAATATCCAAAATCTACAATGAACTCAAACAAATTTACAAGAAAAAAGCAAACAACCCCATCAAAAAGTGGGCAAAGGATAAGAACAGACACTTCTCAAAAGAAGATATTTATGCAGCCAAAAGACACATGAAAAAATGCTCATCATCACTGGCCATCAGAGAAATGCAAATCAAAACCACAATGAGATACCATCTCACACCAGTTAGAATGGCAATCATTAAAAAGTCAGGAAACAACAGGTGCTGGAGAGGGTGTGGAGAAATAGGAACACTTTTACACTGTTGGTGGGACTGTAAACTAGTTCAACCATTGTGGAAGTCAGTGTGGCGATTCCTCAGGGATCTAGAACTAGAAATACCATTTGATCCAGCCATCCCATTACTGGGTATATACCCAAAGGACTGTAAATCATGCTGCTATAAAGACACATGCACAGGTATGTTTATTGCGGCTCTATTCACAATAGCAAAGACTTGGAACCAACCCAAATGTCCAACAATGATAGACTGGATTAAGAAAATGTGGCACATGTACACCATGGAATACTATGCAGCCATAAAAAATGATGAGTTCATGTCCTTTGTAGGGACATGGATGAAATTGGAAATCATCATTCTCAGTAAACTATCGCAAGGGCAAAAAACCAAACACCCCATGTTCTCACTCATAGATGGGAATTGAACAATGAGAACACATGGACACAGGAAGGGGAACATCACACTCTGGGGACAGTTGTGGGGTGGGGGAAGGGGGGAGGGATAGCATTAGGAGATATACCTAATGCTAAATGATGAGTTAATGGGTGCAGCACACCAGCATGGCACATGTATACATATGTAACTAACCTGCACATTGTGCACATGTACCCTAAAACTTAAAGTATAATAATAATTAAACAAAGAGAAAAAAAAGATTCTGAATATCTTTGTTAATTTTCTGCCTCAATGATCTAATACTGTCAGGGGAGTCCTGGAGTCTCCCACTATTTTTGTATGAGAGTCTAAGCCTCTTTGAAGGTCTCTAAGAACTTGCTTTATGAATCTGGGTGCTCCTGTGTTGGGTAAATATACATTTAGGATAGTTAGATCTTCTTGTTGAATTGAGCCCTTTACCATTATATAATACCCTTGTCTTTTCTGATAATTTTTGACTTAAATATTGTTTTTTCTGACATTAGGATTCCAACCCGCTGCTATTTTCAGTTTTCCATTTGTTTGGTAGACTTTTCTCCATCCCTTTATTTTGACCCCATGGGCGACACTGCTTGTGAGATAGGTCTCTTGAAGACAACATACCAGTGAGTCTTGGTTCTTTATCCAGCTTGCCACTATGTGTCTTTTCTGTAATTGGGGCATTTAGTCCATTTACATTTAAGGTTAATATTGTCATGTGTAGATTTGATTTTGTCATCATGATGTTAGCTGGTTATTTTGCAGACTTGTTTATGTGGTTGTTTTATAGTGTCACTGGTCTGTGCACCTCAATGTGTTTTTGTCATGACTGATGGTGGTTTTTCCTTACCATATTTAGTGTTCCTTCAGGAGCTTTTGTAAGGCAGATCTGATGATAACAAATTCCCTCAGAAATGGCTTATCTGAAAAAGATCTTATTTCTCCTTCACTTATGAAGCCTAGTTTGTCCAGACATAAAATTCTTTGTTGGAATTTATTTTAAGAATGTTAGAAATAGGCCCCCAATCTCTTCTGGCTTGTAAGGTTTCTGTTGAGAGGTCCATTGTCAGTCTGATGGGCTTTATTTTGTAGGTGACTTGTTCTTTCTCTCTAACCATCTTTAACATTTTTTCTTTCATTTCAACCTTGGAGAATCTAATGATTATGTGTAATCTAATGATTATGTGTCTTTGAGACAACCTTCTTCTGAAGTATCTTCAGGGGTTCTCAACATTCCCTGAATTTAAATGTTGGCATCTTCCACAAGGTGGGAAATTTCTTATGGATGATATCCTGAACTATGTTTTGCAGGTTGCTTCCATTCTCATCTCTTTCAGGGACACCAATGAGTCATAGACTTGTTCTCGTTACATAATCCCATATTTTTTGGAGGTATGTTTATTCCTTTTCATTCCTTTTTCTTTATTCTTGTCTGACTACCTTATTTCTGAAAGCCAGTATTCAGGCTCTCAGATTCTTTCCTCATCTTGATCTATTCTACTTTTAAAACTTGTGATTGCATTATGAACTTCTTATACTGTTTTCAACTCTAACAGGTTGGTTATGTTCTTTTCTACAGTGGCTATTTTGTCTGTCAGCTCCTCTATCATTTATTGTGATTCTTAGCTTTCTTGGATTGAGTTTTACCTGAATCCCAATGATGTCATTTCTATCCATATTCTGAACTCTATTTCTCTCATTTCAGACATCTGAGCCTGGATAAGAACTCTTGTTAGAGAACTAGTGTCATCATTTAGAGGAGAGAAGACACTCTGACTTTTTGAGTGTCAGAGTTCTTGCCCTGGTTCTTTCTCATATTGGTGTGCTGACAGCCCTTCAATCATTTAAGTTTTTGTCCTTTGGGTGGGTTATTTTATTTTATTTTTTAATTTATTATTATACTTTAAGTTCTGGGGTACATGTGCAGAACGTGCAGTTTTGTTAAATAGGTATACACATGCCATGGTGGTTTCCTGTACCCATCAACCTGTCATCTACATTAGGTGTTTCTCCCAATGCTATCCCTCCCCTAGTCCCCCACCTCCTAACAAGCCCCAGTGTGTGATGTTCCCTTCCCTATGTCCATGTGTTCTCACTGTTCAACTACCACTTATAAGTGAGAACATGCAGTGTTTGGTTTTCTGTTCCTGAGTTAGTTTTGCAGGTGTTCCATGTATGGTGTTAGTTTTGTAGGTGTTCCATGAACTACGTTCCATGTTCCATAGTATTCCATGGTGTATATGTGCCACTTTTCTTTATCCAGTTTATCACTGATTGGCATTTGGGTTGGTTCCCAGTCTTTGCTATTGTAAATAGTGCCACAACAAACATACATGTGCATGTGTCTTTATAGTAGAATGATTTATAATCCTTTGGGTATATAACCAGTAAAGGGATTGCAGGGTCAAATGGTATTTCTGCTTCTATATCCTTAAGGAATCGCCACACTGTCTTCCAAAATGGTTGAACTAATTTACACTCCCACCAACAGCATAAAAGGATTCCTATTTCTCCATGTCCTCTCCAGCATCTGCTGTTTCCTGCCTTTTTAGTGATCACCATTCTAACTGGCATGAGATGGTACCTCATTGTGCTTTTGATTTGCATTTCTATAATGGCCAGTTACGATGAACATTTTTTCTTATGTTTTTGGCAGCATGTCTTCTTTTGAGAAGTGCCTCTTTATCCTTTGCCCAATATTTGATGGGGTTGTTTTTTTCTTGTAAATATGTATAAGTTGTTTGTAGATTCTGGATATTAGCCCTTTATCAGATGGATAAATTGCAAAAATTTTCTTCCATTCGGTAGGTTGCCTGTTCACTCTGATGATAGTTTCTTTTGCTGTGCAGAAGCTCTTTAGTATAATTGGATCCCATTTGTCAATTTTGGCTTTTGTTGCCATTGCTTTTGGTGTTTTATTTATTTATTTTATATATATATATTTTTATTACACTTTAAGTTCTAGGGTACATGTGCACAATGTGCAGGTTTGTTACATACGTATACATGTGCCATATTGGTGTGCTGCACCCATTAACTTGTCATTTACATTAGGTATATCTCCTGATGCTATCCCTCCCTCCTTCCCCCACCCCACAACAGGCCCTGGTGTGTGATATTCCCCTTCCTGTGTCCAAGCATTCTCATTGTTCAATTCCCACCTATAAGTGAGAACATGCAGTGTTTGGTTTTTTGTCCTTGCAATAGTTTGCTGAGAATGATGGTTTCCAGCTTCATCCATGTCCCTACAAAGGACATGAACTCATCATTTTTTTATGGCTGCATAGTATTCTGTGGTGTATATGTGCCATATTTTCTTAATCCAGTCTATCATTGTTGGACATTTGGGTTGGTTCCAAGTCTTTGCTATTGTGAGTAGTGCCGCAATAAACATATGTGTGCATGTGTCTTTAGTCATGAAGTCCTTGCCCATGCCTATTTCCTGAATGGTATTGGCCTAGGTTTTCTTCTAGGGTTTTTGTGGTTTTAAGTCTTAAGTTTATGTCTTTAATCCATCTTGAGTTAATTTTTGTATAAGGTGTAAGAAAGGGGTCCAGTTTGTTTTCTGCATATGGCTAGCCAGTTTTCCCAGCACCATTTATTAAATAGGGAATCTTTTCCCCATTGCTTGTTTCTGTCAGGTTTGTTGAAGATCAGATGGTTGTAGATGTGTGGTGTTACTTCTGAGGCCTCTGTTCTGTTCCATTGGTCTATATCTCTGTTTTGGTACCAGTACCATGCTGTTTTGGTTACTGTAGCCTTGTAGTGTGGTTTGAAGTCAGGTAGCGTGATGCTTCCAGCTTTGTTCTTTTTACATAGGACTGTCTTGGCTATGCAGGCTCTTTTTGGTTCCATATGAACTTTAAAATAGTTTTTTCCAGTTCTGTGAAGAAAGTCCTTGGTAGCTTGATGGGGATAGCATTGAAACCTATCAATTACTGTCGGCAATATGGCCATTTTAACAATATTGATTCGTCTTATCCATGAGCATGGAATGTTTTTCCATTTATTTGTGTCCTCTCTTATTTTCTTGAGCAGTGGTTTGTAGTTCTCCTTGAAGAGGTCCTTCACATCCCTTGTAAGTTGGAGTCTTAGGTATTTTATTCTGTTTGTAGCAATTGTGAATGGGAGTTCACTCATGATTTGGCTCTCTGTTTGTCTGCTATTGGTGTATAGAAATGCTTGTGATTTTTGCACATTGATTTTTTATCCTGACACTTTGCTGAAGTTGCTTATCAGCTTGAGGAGATTTCGGGCTGAGAAGATGGGGTTTTCTAAATATACAATCATGTCATCTGCAAACAGGACAATTTGATTTCCTCTTTTCCTATTTGAATACCCTTAATTTCTTTCTCTTGCCTGAATGCCTTGGCCAGAATTTCCAATATTATGTTGAATAGGAGTGGTGAGAGAGTTCATCCCTGTCTTGCACCAGTTTTCAAAGGGAATGCTTCCAGATTTTGCCCATTCAGTATGATATTGGCTGTGGGTTTGTCATAAATAGCTGTTATTATTTTGAGATATGTTCCACCAATACCTAGTTTATTGGGAGATTTTAGCATGAAGTGCTGTTGAATTTTGTCAAAGGCCTTTTCTGCATCTATTGAGAAAATCATGTGGTTTTTGGCTTTGGTTCTGTTCATGTGATGGATTACGTTTATTGATTTGAGGATGTTGAACCAGCCTTGCATCCCAGGGATGAAGTCAACTTGATCGTGGTAGATAGGCTTTTTGATATGCTACTGGATTCGGTTTGCTGGTATTTTATTGAGGATTTTTGCATCGATGTTGATCAGAGATACTGGCCTGAAATTTTCTTTTTTTGTTGTGTCTCTGCCAGGTTTTGGTATCAGGATGATGTTGGCCTCATAAATTGAGTTAGGGAGGATTCCCTCTTTTTCTATTGTTTGGAATCATTTCAGAAGGAATTTTATCAGGTCCTCTTTGTACCTCTGGTAGAATTTGGCTGTGAATCCATCTGGTCCTGGACTTTTCTTGGTCAGTAGGCTATTACTTACTGCCTCAACTTCAGAACTTGTTATTGGTCTATTGAGGGATTTGACTTCTTCCTGGTTTAGTCTTGGGAGAATGTATGTGTCCAGGAATTCATCCATTTCTTCTAGGTTTTCTAGTTTATTTGCATAGAGGTGTTTATAGTATTCTCTGATGGTAGTTTGTATTTCTGTGGGATCAGTGGCAATATTCCCTTTATCATTTTTTTATCATGTCTATTTGATTCTTCTCTCTTTTCTTCTTTATTATTCTGGCTAGTAGTCTATCTATTTTGTTGATCTTTTCAAAAAAAACAGCTCCTGGATTCATTGATTTTTTTGAAGGGTTTTTTGTCTTTCTATCTCCTTCCATTCTCCTCTGATCTTACTTATTTCTTATCTTCTGCTAGCTTTTGAATTTGTTTGCTCTTGCTTCTGTAGTTCTTTTAAATTTTTATTTTATGGTGTCAATTTTAGATCTTTCCTGCTTTCTCTTGTGGCCATTTAGTGCTATAAATTTCCCTCAAAACATGGCTTTAAATGTGCCCCAAAGATTCTGGTACATTGTGTCTTTATTCTCATTGGTTTTAAAGAACATCTTTATTTCTGTCTTCATTTCATTATTTACCCAGTAGTCATTCAGGAGCAGGTGTTCAGTTTCCACGTAGTTGTGCAGTTTTGAGTGAGTTTCTTAATCCTGAGCTCTAATTTGATTGCACTGTGGTCTGAGAGACTCTTATAATTTCTGTTCTTTTGCATTTGCTGAGGAGTGTCTTACTTCCAATTATGTGGTCAATTTTAGAATAGGTGCGATTAAAGTGCTGAGAAGAACGTATATTCTATTGATTTGGGGTAGAGAGTTCTGTAGATGTCTATTAGGTCAGCTTGGTCCAGAGCTGAGTTCAAATCCTGAATATCCTTGTTTATTTTCTGTCTCATTAATCTGTCTAATATTGACAGTGGGGTGTGAAAGTCTCCCACTATTATTGTATGGGAGACTAAGTCTCTTTGTAGGTCTCTAAGAACTTAAGAACTCTAAGAACTTTATGAATCATGGTGCTCCTCTATTGGGTGCATATGTATTTAGGATAGTTAGCTCTTGTTGTTGCATTGATCCCTTTACCATTATTCAATGCCTTTCTTTGTCTCTTTTCATCTTTGTTTGTTTAAAGTATGTTTTATCAGACTAGGATTGCAAAGCTTGCTTTTTTTTTCTTTCTTTCCATTTGCTTAGTAAATATTCCTCCATCCCTTTAATTTTAATTTGATCCTATATGTGTCTTTGCACGTGAGATGGGTTCTCCTGAATACAGCACACAGATGGGTCTCCTGAATACAGCACACCGATGGGTCTTGACTCTTTATCCAATTTGCCAGTCTGTGTCTTTTAATTGGAGCATTTAGCCCATTTATATTTAAGGTTAATATTGTTATGTGTGAGTTTGATCCTGTCATTATGATGCTAGCTGGTTATTTTGCCAATTAGTTAATGCAGTTTCTTCATAGTGTTGACGCTCTTTACAATTTGGTATGTTTTTGCAGTGGCTGGTACTAGTTGTTCCTTTCCATATTTAGCACTTCCTTCAGGAGCTCTTGTAAGGCAGGCCTGGTGGTGACAAAATCTCTCAGCATTTGCTTGTCTGTAAAGGATTTTATTTCTCCTTTGCTTATGAAACTTAGTTTGGCTGGATATGAAATTCTGGGTTGAAAATTCTTTTCTTTAAGAATGTTGAATATTGGCCCCCACTCTCTTCTGGCTTGTAGGGCTTCTGCCAAGAGATCTGCTGTTAGTCTGATCACCTTCCCTTTGTGGATAACCCGAACTTATTTTCTGGCTGCCCTTTTTCCATCATTTCAACCTTGGTGAATCTGACAATTATGTGCCTTGTGGTTGCTCTTCTAGAGCAGTATCTTTGCGGTGTTCTCTGTATTTCCTAAATTTGAATGTTGGCCTGCCTTGCTAGGTTGGGGAAGTTCTCCTGGATAATATCCTAAACAGTGTTTTCCAACTTGGTTCCATTCTCCCTGTCACTTTCAGGTACACCAATCAAATATAGATTTGGTCTTTTCACATAGTCCCATATTTCTTGGAAGCTTTGTTCATTCCTTTTCATTTTTTCTCTAATCTTGTCTTCTTGCTTTATTTCATTAAGTTGATCTTCAATCTCTGATATCCTCTCTTCCAGTTGATCAATTCAGCTATTGATATTTGTGTATGTTTCATGAAGTACTCATGCTGTGTTTTTCAGCTCCATCACGTCATTCATGTTCTTCTCTAAACTGTTTATTCTAGTTAGCAATTCCTCTAACCTTTTTTCAAGGTTCTTAGCTTCCTTGCATTGGGTTAAAACATGACCCTTTAGCTCGGAGGAGTTTGTTATTACCCACCTTCTGAAGCCTACTTCTGTCAATGTGTCAAACTCATTCTTCATCCAGTTTTGTTCCCTTGCTGGCAAGCAGTTGTGATCCTTTGGAGGAGAAGACGCCTTCTGGTTTTTGGAATTTTCAGCCTTTTTGTGCTGGTTTCTCCCCATCTTCATGGATTTATCTACCTTTGGTCTTTGATGTTGGTGACCTTCAGATGGGGTCTCTGAGTGGACATCCTTTTTGTTGATGTTGGTAATATCCCTTTCTGTTTGTTAATTTTCCTTCTAACAGTCAGCCCCCTCTGCTGCAGGTCTGCTGGTGTTTGCTGGAGGTCCACTCCAGACCCTGCTTGTCTGGGTATCACCAGCGGAGGCTGCACAACAACAAACATTGCTGCCTGTTTCTTCCTCTGGAAGCTTCATCCCAGAGGGGCACTGGCCAGATGCCAGCCAGAGCTCTCCTGTATGAGGTGTCTGTTGGCCCCTACAGGAAGGTGTCTCCCAGTCAGGATAAATGGGGGTCAGGGACCCACTGGAGGAGGCAGTCTGACCCTTAGTAGAGCTTGAACACTATGCTGGGAGATCTGTTGCTCTCTTCAGAGCCATCAGGTAGGGACGTTTACGTCTGCTGAAGCTGTGCCCATAGACACCCCTTCCCCAAGGTGCTCTGTCCCAGAGAGATGGGGGTTTATATATAAGCCCCTCACTGGGGCTGCTTCCTTTTTTTCAGAGATGCCCTGCCCAAAGAGGAGGAATCTAGAGAGGCAGTCTGGCCACAGCAGCCTTGCTGAGCTGCAGTGGGCTTCTCCCAGTCTGAACTTCCTGGAGGCTTTGTTTACACTGTGAGGGTAAAACTGCCTACTCAAGCTTCAGCAATGGTGGGTGCCCCCTCCGCCACACCAAGCTCGACCAACCCAGTTCGACCTCAGACTTCTATGCTGGGAGCAAGAATTTCAAGCCAGTGGATCTTAGCTTGCTGGGCTCCCTGGGGGGGGGGGGGAACCACCGAGCCAGACCACTTGGCTCCCTGACTTCAGCCCCCTTTCCAGGAGAGTGAATGGTTCTGTCTCCCTGGTGTTCCAGGCACCACTGGGGTATGGAAAAAAAAATTCTGCAACTAGTTTGGTGTCTGCCCAAATGGCCGCCCAGTTTTGTGCTTGAAACCCAGAGCCCTGGCAGCATAGGCACTGGAGGGAATCTCCTGGCCTGCGGGTTGTGAAGACGGAAAAGTGCAGTATCTGGGCCAGAGTGCACTGTTCCTCATGGCACAGTCCCTCACGGCTTCCCTTGGGTAGGGTAGAGAATTCCCTGACCCCTTGCACTTCCTGGGTGAGGCAATGCCCCACCCTGCTTCAGCTCGCCATCCGTGGGCTGCACCCACTGTCCAACCAGTCCCAATGAGATGAACTGGGTACCTCAGTTGGAAATGCAGAAATCACCTGTCTTCTGCATCAATCTTGCTGGGAGCTGCAGACCGGAGCTGTTCCTATTCGGTCATCTTGCCAGCAGATCCCTGGATGGGTTATTTTTTTATTTTATCCTATTTTATAACCTTGGGTGTTTGACTGTGGTATAAGGCAGGTTCCGTTGACTGGCTTTGTTTCTGGAAGATTTTATGGGGCCAAGGTTCAGCTTGGAACTCCGCAACTGGGGAACTGGTATCTGGCCCAGCTTTGTTCCCTGGCTTTTCAAGGTTAGGAACCTGCTGTACTGAAGGGGCCAAGGTGCTCATAGACCACTGGTCACAACACTCTGATAAGTGTTGCCAGCTAAAGCACTTCATAGGATGGGAGCAGTGAGCTATATCCTCATTTGCACATGCCAGCAGCCGCAGCAGCACAGCTGAGTTCATGCTCATAGGCTACAGTAGGGTGCTAGCAGGTGCTGGGTTACCAGCTTCTGCACAGGTGTTCACTGCAGCTGCAGAGGCAGCACAGTACAGGCGTATGGGGGGCCCCACTGATGTCTGTGCATGCATTCACACTGGTGGTGGTGTTAGCATAGGGGTGGGGAACTGATGGGCACAGGATTGTGTGCACCTCCTGTGCACATTCACATGAGCAGCAGTGGCTGGCAGCTCAGAGTAGGGGCAGGTCTGCTGTTCTCTGCCTAGTTTCACCCAGGTGCAGTGTCAGGGCAGGGTTGTGGTGCTAGTGGTAGTGGGGTTGGCAGGTTCTGTACCCATCAAAACTCCCACAACAATGGCAGTCCAATGGGGTCACGGGGAGGCGTGCACTCACACCAGCACCAGTGGCATGGCAAGGTGTGTGCCCACACACACACACACACACACACACACAGGTTAGGAAGGGGATGTAAGGTTTGTCCACACACACACACACACATGCCAACAAAGCAATGTAGGGGTGGCTGTGGGTAAGTGCGTGCAGGCAAAGCAGCATGGAGAGGCTGCAGTGTGAGGTGTGAGTGGACAGGTACATGTCGATGGTTGCTACTCTGCTGGAGCTTTCTGTGGTCAGGCATGGTCTGCCAGCACGGGAGCTATAATGCAGGTGCCCAGGAGGTACCCCCTTGGGTACCCAAGGCTACAATGCAAGCAGGCACAGCCAAGCTGGGGCCCCAGGGGAGGCCAGTGTACCAAGGGGTACTCAGGTTGTACTGGCCCAATCTCATGGGCAAGATCATCCTGCAAAGTTCAGGTCTTACACTTCCCCTAGCACTAACGTCTCCTAGAGGAGCAAGTCAAGCCTAGGGAAATGGGCGCCCCTGGCTATGCTCCACTACAGATGCTCCTGCACCAAACCCTCTGGTCTTCACGCCAGCTGGAGTTGTGACCTTACCACTTCTCTATAAAGCTCTCCCTTCCAACTCAACTGTCCTGAGCAGGCAAACAGGTTGCTCTTTGCCTGCTCAACTCACTCCTTTCCCAGTAGTCATTGAATGCCAGGAATGAGTCCCTGTAGCCCCATGCAGGGCTCCCAGATTCCTCCTTTTTCAGCCTAGCATCTGCATCTTCCCTCCATCCACTCTCAATGCCTTTCCTCTGAAGATCTGTTAGGAGTGTGCCAGTCTTAATGTTCCAGTCCCTCAGCGACAGATGTTCCTTCTAGCTGCATCTAGTTAGCCATCTTGCCTCCAATCTACATCAGTCTTTACACATCCTTTTAATTATTTTTTAAATTGCTGAGTTAAGAAGAATATGCACATTTTAAGTGTTTTATTGCATATTGTATATATAATTACATGTTATATATTTTATAGTGACCTCCCAAAAGATAGTATACTTCTAGCATTTTATTAGGATATTTGCTTCCCCACAACCTTCCCATAAGTGTGTTGTCATAAGTCTGAATATTTAGCTAGTTTGATAAGTATAGAATGATATCCCCTTATTTTGTCCACTAATCATAGTTTACCAACCCCTGCTCTAAGAGATTCAGAAATAGCACTTACGGAAAAAAAATTATTAGGCTGAAGGGGTACAGGAAATGAAGAACCAAGAATTTTGAAGAGGGTAGGGCTACCACTTTCTGTCAGAGGGGAAGAAACAACAGAGGGAACAGATCTGACCTGAAATATAAAAGTGGTCCAGCTAGGTAGGAAGACAGCTCCCTAAGTGTGTGTACAGAACTGCCAGTAAAACAGCCCCTAGGTGAGAGGGAGGAGTTGGTCTTGATGATCAGCTCCACTAGGCCATCTGCACACTGATCTACTGACTTTCACAATGAATAACAAGGAATGAGGACTGGAACCTGGAAGGGAAGCACCCTCCTGCCATCATCCCCTCAACAATGTCCCTCTAGCACCCTCTGTTGATAAAGCTTAGCATCAAGCCAGCTGGAGAAAGAGAAATCTTTACCAGGTTCAGCTCCAGTTTCACAAAGCAGTGCACAGAATGGTAGTTGGAGCTGAGAGACAATACATTAAAAACTGATATATAGGTGTCAGATTTTTCTGGTGATTCGGCTTCATTTAATGATATAAAGGAACAAAAACTTAGTATATCACTGTAATCTAAACATCAAGTCTTAGCAGAGTTTTTGACAGACTATGGTAAATGGAAGCTATAAATGACTCCAATCCTTCCTTCCTCTCTTTACCCATGTTTTTTGCCACATGCCTTTGCAGTTCTTCCCCCTAAAAAGGCAGGGTCCACCTCCTTACCTTTGGAATTTGGAAAGCTCTCCTGTTCTGGGCTGGTTTTGCAACTTGCTCAAGCCAATAAATGTTATCAGATGTGATGCAAGCAGAAGCCTGAAATTTTATTTATATGTCTCTGCCTACCTATTGCCCACGGCCATTGTCATGAAAACATGTCCAGTTTGGCCTACTGGAGGACATAAGACACATGGAGTGAAACCAAGTCATCCAATGTTGCAAGAATGACTAGATCAACCAACAGCCTGCTGGCACACAATCATGGAAGCAAGTCCAGCCAAGAACAGCAGAGCTGCCTAGCTGACAGATACATGAGCAAGCCCTGTCATGCCACGACTGGACTAGGGGAACTCCAGAGTATAAGCTGAATAAATGCTTATTGTTGTATACTACAGAGATGTTTTGTTTATTATGCAGCATTATAATAACAACACTAATCCGTGTAACTAATACACTTTCCTTCTATATATTAATAGACGAGAGCAACATGATTTGTATACCACACAGGTTTATGAGTAGTAGATGTTTTACTATGAAAACTCAGATTCCTTCTTGTTTTCCCACATTAAAAATACACAACCTAAGCTTCTAAGTAATGGTTAGCTATACTGTAAGTCAGGGTGAAAGCTTTTCCCAGGACCATCTTTGGAGTTGCTAGACATGAGCATGAGTAAACTGCTACTGAATCTGTTAAGGCATAAAAGAGGACCTTAGCATTTGCAGACTAGAGGAGTGGTTTCTTTCACCCTTAATACCTCCAGTTTAGAAGTCCTCAGCACATGCATAGAGACGTCCAAACTTACCTACATCAGCACTTTAGCCCACCACCATCTACTCTATCTAAAAAGGTCCACCACAACACAAAATCTACATAAGCGCAAAACATAAAAGCTTTTCTTCAGCCCACTTCTACTTCTACTAGGCCATTCCAGGAATCCTACTCTGAATAAAGGCATCTTCCTTATAAGGTACTCAAGATCCCCATGCCATACCCTGGCAGCCTCCTGTAGCCTGCTATCCTTCATCTTTCTCCCAACCCTGACTTATCTCTATCCTACCATATATCAAACCTGCTCTCAGCTGTGAGCTTCCATGAAACTCACATTCACTGAGATTACAGTGACTGATAACTGAGGAGCAATTGAAGCTTACCAAGGGGAGGGTTTAAGTGTAAAAGATAGAATGGCAGACATCAGTAGTTGAATAGGAAGGAAGGTGGGGAGCACAGCCGGAGGCAGGGCCAACTTCATGGGTGGGAGACATGTATAGTCAAACAGTGCCCTGCACCTATAAGAATCCCCCACTTGGTTTAATGTTCTGCTGCTGCCATCATGAAACTTTCAATAATCTTTGAACAAGGGATTCTGCATTTTCATTTGTATTCGGCCCCACGGATCCTATAGCTGGGTTTGTCCAGAGGTAACAGATTGTTCTTCCAGATGTGTTCTGTTCTACAAAAGAGTGGGATTTTATGTATGGAAATAATTTTATCTACAAAGTCTTCTAGGTGTCAATGATCTAATAAGCTACTGCAGTCTAATCCTGACTTCTACTATTTTAAACCTCCATTTTTTTCTGCTTCCCCATAGTCATTTATATGCCAGTGCATACACCCTTTAAAAAGCGTTGAAAAAGATATTGGTAAGCGTCTGAAAATGATCTGTGAGAGGACTGTTTTGATTTCCCCAAAAATAGAACAAATTTACTATTAATAACCCAGGATCATGTTAAACGTACTGCTGGGACTGCCATATAAACCCTTATCTCTCTTGACTTCATTCCACTTTCCGTTCACGGCAGGGAAAATGGAGATCTAAAATGCAATTTTTCCCTAGAGGTAACATTTTATGTACTATTTATTAAACCTATATTGTGTGTCAGGTATCTTAAAAAAACCCATAAAAATGACCTCTTTCTAAAAAGCCTTTTCAATTACCTCTCAACATAATACCTTTGTAACTCTTCCAGATGTTACAAAGCCCAAGGACCAGAGTTTCCTAGAAGTGTCATTATTGCTGCCAGGCAACAATGAATCTGCTTACTGAATTTTTCCCTAGCCTTCCCTTGTTGCACTATATTTTACATCCTTCCCTTGTGGAACATCCCCCACAGTCCATCCACCTCCCATCAATACAAGGGAGAAAATCCCAGCCCTTGGATTTTGTTTCCCTTTACTAACAAATGAATGAGGTTGACTGCCTACCTGTTTAATACAGTGACACAGAAACTCCCATTCGTCTCTAAATATTTCCACCACCAACCTGCTAAAAGAGTTTAAAAATCCAATCTCTAGAGTCATCCTTTGTATTAATAATTATTACTGAAATGATTATTTTAAAGTGTAATGGATACTTGGAAGAGGCAATACAATCTATATAATACTGAGCAGAAAATAATTAAATACTAACATCTCTTCCATTCTTCTTAGAGCTTCTGTAAGATATGCAGAAGAAGTCAATGATGTCAGAGATGTTATCTTCTTGCTACAAATTGAGTGATCACATACTCAACGTATACACTAAGCAGGAAGGAACCCATTCCACCAGGAAGAACTTAGTCAATCTTCCTACTGATATAGCCCATGCAGGTCCTAAGTGTAGCAAACAATGCAAATCATGGTAGAGAACAGAAAATGCAACCAGTAGTGAGAGAAAGAAGAATCAAGACAAACAGAACTTGGGCTACAGAGAAAACACAATGGCCAAGGAATCCATAAAACCTATTTCTTTTACAGGGAATTTGGCTGCCTGAACTCCTCAGACTATATAAAAAAGGAGCAAACCCTTTTTTAAGCATGACATTCGATCATTAACAGGATCATAGTCTGAGAGCTGGATGCAAATAAAGGACTCTATAATGAGAAAACAACAATTACTGCAAGTATCACAGAGCAAAATATTATGATAATAAAAGAATAACTGAGACAACACAAGGAGATATAAACAATAGGTCAGAACAGAGATTGTTCCTTGGATCACGCCTATCTGGGATAAACTTTTACAAAGTTTTATTTTTATTTTTTTAAATTGGCTGGGCACAGTGGCTCACGCCTGTAATCCCAGCAGTTTGGGAGGCTGAAGTGGTTGGATCAGCTGAGGTCAGGAGTTTGAGACCAGCCTGATCAACATGGAGAAACCCCATCTCTACTAAAATTACAAAATTAGCCAGGCGTGGTGGCACATGCCTGTAATCCCAGCTACTCCAAAGACTGAGGCAGGAGAATCGCTTGAACCCAGGAGGCAGAGGCTGCGGTGAGCCGAGATCATGCCATTGCACTCCAGCCTGGGCAACAACAGTGAAATTCCATCTAAAAATAATAATAATCATGCATATCAAATTGAGCTTAAAATAATGTTTAGCACTCATTCCAGAGTCTGAGTGTAGTCACTATACAAACTTTGGTCTTCATAAAGCTCTCAGTTTAAAAATTCCAACAAATCTTTAGTATTAAACACAGTATAAATACAGACCTGTATATCATGGGAAGTCATTCCAAAAGAGAACAGAAAAGAAAAATGTAAACTGCATCCCTAACCACAATATGAGAAAGAAATGACAAGTTCAGCAAAAGGCAAATATGGAGTGTGGTAAGCTTTTAAGAAAAATTTGTGCCTGCAAGCCCAAACAAAACTGGAAAATATCAGTAGTTCAAAAAGTTATTGGCATACCTAGAAAGCACAACTATTCATTCTATCAGGACAACTGAAATATGCCCTGCATCATAAGCATACATGAATTTGCTTTGTCCTGTTGACTAAAATGAAATAAAAGTTAATAGAAGACACATACACTCAATACTGTTTTATAAGGAAATTAAGTAGAGCTTCTTGGTTTGGGGGGGAAATTTAACTCATCTGAGGATGTGTACCAATTTAAAAAGAGCCAGAATAAGATGAAGAATATTTATATTAACATTGCCACGGAACCAATAAAAGTGTCACAAAATATAAATTATAAATATAAAACACTTTGTAAAACAAATTCCTGGGTAAAGTAAAACTTCAAAAGAGAATTATTCAAGATCAAGAAAGACATGGTGACACAACAAAATTAGTTAAAGATAAGTTTGCAAGCACACAAAAAAAGAGAAAGAAAAATAAAGACGTCCTGGCAATTAAGCCCACAAAAAGTCATGAAATAATGCAGATACATAGAAAACATGATTTAAAGTATTTTTTAATTGAAGTGAAATAGTTAACAATCAAAGAGAAAATGATAAGTATGGAAGGGAAAGGAAATTCAACATACACAAAATTGGAGATACTGAGAGAGTGGAAATTAAGGGAATGAAAAATATTTAAAATGCCAATCATGAAAAAGTCATAGGAACAAAATAAGACTTGAATCTAAAAACTGAAGAAGCACATTATGTTCCTGGAAAGATAACAGAATGGTCAACACCAAGACATATTTTAGTAAATGTACCAGTCAGGTTCCATCAAGGACAGAATCTGAAAATCCTCGGCAAAATACTAGCAAACAGATCCAGCAGCACACCAAAGGGCTAATCTACCATGATTGAGCAGGCTTTATCCCTGGGATGCAAGGTTGGTTCGATGTACACAAATCAATAAATGTGATTCATCACATAAACAGAACCAAAACCAAAAATCACATGATCGTCTCAATAGATGCAGAAAAGGTATTCAATAACATTTAACACCACTTCATGTGAAAACACCCTCAATAAACCAGACATTGAATGAACATACCTACTTCAAAATAATAAAGGCCATCTATAAAAAACCCATAGCCAACATCACACTGAATGAGCAAAAGCTGGAAGTATTCCCTTTGAAAACTAGCACAAGACAAGGATGTGTTCTGTCATCACTCCTATTCAACTTAGTACTGGAAGTCCTAGCCAGAGCTATCAGGCAAGAGAAAGAAATAAAAGGCATCCAAATAGGAAGAGAAGAAGTCAAGCAATTCCTGTTTGCAGAGAATATGATTATATATGTAGAAAACCCCATAGTCTCTTCCCAAAATCTCCTTGATCTGATAAACAACTTCAACACAGTCTCAGGATACAAAATCGATGTATAAAAATCAGTAGCAATCCTATACACAAACATCCAAGCCAAGAACCAAATGAAGAACACAATTTCATTCAGTTGCCACAAAAAGAATAAAATACCAAGGAATACAGTTAGATGAGGAGGTGAAAGATCTTTACAATCAGAACAACAAAACACTGCTCAAAGAAATCAGAGATGGCACAAATAAATGGAAAAACATTCCATGATTTTCCATCCTTCCATGGTAGGAAGAATCAATATTTTTAAAATGGTCATAATGCCCAAAGCAATTTACAGATTCAATGCTATTCCTATTAAACTACCATTGACTTTCTTCACAGAGTTTTTTTTAAAAGAAAGAACTATTCTAAAATTCATAGGGAACCAAAAAAAGATCCCAGAAAGCCAAGGCAATTGTACGCAAAAAGAACAAAGCTGGAGGCATCACATTATCTGACTTGTAACTATGCTACAAGGCTACAGTAACCAAAGCAGTATGGTCCTGTTTCAAAAATAGACACACAAACCAATGGAACAAAATAGAGAGCACAGAAATAATGTCACACACCAACAACTATCAGATATTAGGCAAAGTTGACAAAATCAAGCAATGGGGAAAAAACCCTTTATTCACAAAATGGTGGTAGAATAATTGGCTAGCCATATGCAGAAGATTGAAACTGGACCCCTTTCTTATACCATATACAAAAATCTCAAAAAAAAAACCTTAAGATGGATTACAGACTTAAATATAAAACATAAATCTATAAAAATCCTGAAAGACAACCTAGGCAATACCATTCTGGACATCAAAACTGGCAGAGATTTCATGACGAAAACTCCAAAAGCAATTACAACAAAAACAAAAATTGATAAATGGGACCTAATTACACTAAAGAGCTTTGGCACAGCAAAAGAAACTATCAACAGAGTAAACAGACACCCTACACAATAGGAGGAAAATTTTGCAAACTATGCATCTGACAAAATCTAATTTCCAACATTTATAAGAATCTTAAACAAATTTACAAGCAAAAAATAAATAACCTCATTAAAAAGTTGGCAAAGGCTAGGCATGGTGGCTCACACCTGTAATCCCACTTTGGGAGGCTTAGGCGGGTGGATCATCTAAGATCAGGAGTTCGAGACCAGCCTGGCCAACATGGTGAAACCCCATCTCTACTAAAAATACAAAAAAAAAAATTAGGAGGGTGTGGTGGTGTGCACCTGTAGTCTCAGCTACTCAGGAGGCTGAGGCAAGAGAATCACTTGAGCCTGGGTAGCAGTGGTTGAAGTGAGTCAAGATTGCACCACTGCACTGCCGCCTGGGCAACAGAGCAAGACTCCATCTCAAAAAAAAAAAAAAAAGTTGGAAAAGGACATGAGCAGACACTCTTAAAAGAAGTGGCCAACAAGCATATGAAAAAATGCCCAACATCACTAATCATTAGAGAAATGCAAATCAAAACCACAATGAAATAGTGTCTCACACTAGTCAGAATGGTTATTAATAAAAAGTCAAAATATAATAGATGCTGGTGAAGTTGAAAAGAAAAGGGAATGGTTATACCCTGCTGATGGAAATGTATATTAGTTCAGCCACTATGGAAAGCAGTTTGGATGTTTCTCAAAGAACTCAAAGCAGAATTACCATTCAACCTAGCAATCCCATTACTGGGTATATACCCAAAGGAATATAAATCATTCTATTATAAAGACACATTCACAAGTATTTTTATTGCAGCAGACATGGAAACAACCTAAATGCCCACCAATATAGACTGGATAAAGAAAATGTGTTACAGGGCGGGGAGGTTCCAAGATGGCCAAATAGGAACAGCTCCAGTTGACAGCTCCCAGTGTGAGCAATGCAGAAGTTGGGTGATTTATGCATTTCCAACTGAGGTACCAGGTTCATCTCACTGGGGCTTCTCAGACAGTGGGTGCAGCCCATGGAGCGTGAGCCGAAACAGGGCAAGGCATTGCCTCACCCGGGAAGTGCAAGGGATGGGGGTATTCCCTTTCCTAGCCAAGGGAAGCCGTGACAGATGGTACCTGGAAAATCAGGACACTTCCACCCTAATACTGTGCTTTTCCAAAGGCCTCAGCAAATGGCATACCAGGATATTCTATCTTGTGCCTGGCTCAGAGGGCCCACAACCACAGAGCCTCGTTCACTGCTAGCACAGCAGTCTGAAATTGAACTGCAAGGTGGCAATGGGGCTGGGGGAGGGGGGTCCACAATTGCTGAAGCTTGAGTAGGTAAACAAAGCTGCCTGGAAGCTCGAACTGGGTGGAGCCCACCACAGGTCAAGGAGAGCTGCCTGCCTCTGTAGACTCCAACTCTAGGGGCAGGGCATAGCTGAACAAAAGGCAGCGAAACTTCTGCAGACTTAAACTTCCCTGTCTGACAGCTTTGAAGAGAGTAGTGGTTCTCCCAGCATGGAGTTTGAGATCTGAGAATGGTCAGACTGCCTCCTCAAGTGGATCCCTGACACCGAGCAGCCTAACTGGGAGACACCTCCCAGTAGGGGCCGACTGACACCTCATGGAGCTGGGTGCCCCTCTGAGATGAAGTTTCCAGAGGAAGGATCAGGCAGCAACATTTACCATTATGCAATATTTGCTGTTCTGCAGCCTCCACTGGTGATACCCAGGCAAACGGGTCTGGAGTGGACCTCCAGCAAACTCCAACAGACATGCAGCAGAGGGTCCTGACTGTTAGAAGGAAAACTAACAAACAGAAAGGACATCCACACCAAAATCCCATCTGTATGTCACCATCATCAAAGACCAAAGGTAGAAAAAGCCACAAAGATGGGGAAAAATCAGAGTAGAAAAGCTGAAAAGTCTAAAAATCAGAGCATCTCTTCTCCTCCGAAGGAATGCAGTTCCTTGCCATCAACAGAACAAAGCTGGATGGAGAATGACTTTGACAAGTTGAGAGAAGAAGGCTTCAGATGATCGGTAATAACAAACTTCTCCAAGCTAAAGGAAGATGTTCAAACCCATTGCAAAGAAGCTAAAAACCTTGCAAAAAAGACTAGACAAATGGCTAACTAGAATAACCAGTGTAGAGAAGTCCTTAAATGACCTGATGAAGCTGAAAACCACAGGATGAGAACTACGTGACACATGCACAAGCTTCAGTAGCCGACTCGATCAAGTGGAAGAAAGGGTATCAGAGTCTGAAGATCAAATGAATGAAATGAAGCAACATGAGAAGTTTAGAGAAAAAAGAGTGGAAAGAAATGAACAAAGCCTCCAAGAAATATGGGACTATGTGAAAAGACCAAATCTACGTCTAACTGGTGTACCTGAAAGTGATGGGGAGAATGGAACCAAGTTGGAAAACACTCTGCAGGATATTATCCAGGAGAACTTCCCCAATCTAGCAAGGGAGGCCAATATTCAAATTCAGGAAATACAGAGAATACCACAAAGATACTCCTCGAGAAGAGCAACTTCAAGACACATAATTGTCAGATTCACCAAAGTTGAAATGAAGAAAAAAATTTTAAGGGCAGCCAGAGAGAAAGGTCGGGTTACCCACAAAGGGAAGCCCATCAGACTAACAGCTGATCTCTCGGCAGAAACTCTACAAGCCAGAAGAGAGTGGGGGCCAATACTCAACATTCTTCAAGGAAAGAATTTTCAACCCAGAATTTCATATCCAGCCAAACTAAGCTTCATAAGTGCAGGAGAAATAAAATCTTTTACAGACAACAAATGCTGAGAGATTTTGTCACCACCAGGCCTGCCCTAAAAGAGCTCCTGAAGGAAGCACTAAACATGGAAAGGAACAACCAGTACCAGCCACTGCAAAAACATGCCAAACAGTAAAGATCATCGAGGCTAGGAAGAAACTGCATCAACTAACGAGCAAAATAACCAGCTAACATCATAATGACAGGATCAAATTCATACATAACAATATTAACCTTAAATGTAAATGGGCTAAATGCTCCAATTAAAAGACACAGACTGGCAAACTGGATAAAGAGTCAAGACCAATCAGTGTGCCGTATTCAGGAAACCCATCTCAGGCATCTGCAATCTAATGGTAATCTAATCTAATCTAATGCTAACATCTTGCAATTGCAAGATTGCAAGATTGCTATCATCTTGCAATCAGGCAAGAGAAAGAAATAAAGGTATTCAATTAGGAAAAGAGGAAGTCAAATTGTCACTGTTTGCAGATGACATATTATATATTTAGAAAACCCCATCTTGTAAGCCCAAAATCTCCTTAAGATGATAAGCAACTCAGCAAAATCTCAGGATACAAAATCCATGAGCAAAAATCACAAGCATTCCTATACACCAATAACAGACAAACAGAGAGCCAAATCATGCGTGAACTCCCATTCACAATTGCTACAAACAGAATAAAATACCTAGGAATCCAACTTACAAGGGATGTGAAGGACCTCTTCAAGAAGAACTACAAATCACTGCTCAACGAAATAAAAGAGGAATCAAACAAATGGAAGAACATTCCATGCTCATGGGTAGGAAGAATCAATATGGTGAAAATGGCCATACTGCCCAAAGTAATTTATAGATTCAATGCCATCCCCATCAAGCTACCAATGCCTTTCTTAACCAAATTGGAAAAAACTACTTTAAAGTTCATATGGAACCAAAAAAGAGCCCACATTGCCAAGTCAATCCTAAGCAAAAAGAACAAAGCTAGAGGCATCATGCTACCTGACTTCAAACTATACTACAAGGCTACAGTAACCAAAAGAGCATGGTACTGGTACCAAAACAGAGATATAGACCAATGGAACAGAACAGAGCTCTCAGAAATAATACCACACATCTACAACCATCTGATCTTTGACAAACCTGACAAAAACAAGAAATGGGGAAAGGATTCCCTATTTAATAAATGGTGTTGCTGGGAAAACTGGCTAGCCATATGTAGAAAGCTGAAACTGGATCCCTTCCTTATACCTTATACAAAAATTAATTCAAGATGGATTAAAGACTTAAATGTTAGACCTAAAACCATAAAAACCTAGAAGGAAACATGGC
This sequence comes from Homo sapiens, assembly GCF_000001405.40. Taxonomy (NCBI): domain Eukaryota; kingdom Metazoa; phylum Chordata; class Mammalia; order Primates; family Hominidae; genus Homo; species Homo sapiens. The sequence goes on from NC_000006.12 coordinate 78,820,772, forward strand.
AATATCATTCAGGACTTAGGCATGGGCGATGACTTCATGTCTAAAACACCAAAAGCAATGGCAGCAAAAGCCAAAATTGACAAATGGGATCTAATTAAACTGAAGAGCTTCTGCACAACAAAAGAAACTACCATCAGAGTGAACAGGCAACCTACAGAATGGAAGAAAATTTTTACAACCTACCCATCTGACAAAGGGCTAATATCCAGAATCTATAAAGAACTTGAACAAATTTACAAGAAAAAATCAACCCCATCAAAAGTGGGTGAAGGATATAACAGCACTTCTCAAAAGAAGACATTTATGCAGCCAACAGACACATGAAAAAATGCTCATCATCACTAGCCATCAGAGAAATGCAAATCAAAACTACAATGAGATACCATCTCACACCAGTTAGAATGACGATCATTAAAAAGTCAGGAAACAACAGGTGCTGGAGAGGATGTGGAGAAATAGGAATGCTTTTACACTGTTGGTGGGACTGTAAACTAGTTCAACCATTGTGGAAGTCAGTGTGGCGATTCCTCAAGGATCTAGAACTAGAAATACCATTTGACCCAGCCATCCCAATACTGGGCATATACCCAAAGGATTATAAATCATGCTGCTATAAAGACACATGCACATGTATGTTTACTGTGGCACTATTCACAATAGCAAAGACTTGGAACCAACCCAAATGTCCATCAATGATAGACTGGATTAAGAAAATGTGGCATATATACACCATGGAATACTATGCAGCCATAAAAAAGCATGAGTTCGAGTCCTTTGTAGGGACATGGATGAAGCTGGAAACCATCATTCTCAGCAAACTATCACAAGGACAGAAAACCAAACAATGCATGTTCTCACTCACAGGTGGGAACTGAACAATGAGAACACTTGGACACAGGGTGGGGAACATCACACACCAGGCCTGTCATGGGGTGGGGGTAGGGGGGAGGGATAGCATTAGGAGATATACCTAATGTAAATGACAAGTTAATGGGTGCAGCACCCCAACATGGAACATGTATACATATGTGACAAACCTGCACGTTGTGCACATGTACCCTAGAACTTAAAGTATAACAATAAAAAAATTTTAAAAAACAATAATTCAAAATTAAAAAGTGTCAGAAAAAAATCAATTAAAAATCTAGAAGATAAAATAGAGGAAATCTCTCAGAAAAGAAAGTGATTAGACAAACAGTTGGGAAATATTTGAAGAGATTTAGAGGACTAACCCATGTGGTCCAATATCTAAATAATAAATGTTACAGAAAGATAAAACAGAAACAACTGGAGAGGAGAAATTCATCAAAAAATTGTACAAGGAAATATGCAAAGACTTAAGGACATAAATTTACAAGGTGAACAATCCCAATGAATACTCAGTATAATGAAAGACAAAAACCCTATTTATGGCACATCTTGATGACATTTTAGAGTACCAGGGGTAAAAACAAAAATGTAAAATCTTTCCAAGTAAAAATCAGATTATATACAAAGGATTCAGAATGGCAGGAAATCTGATGCTTTCAAAATGTTATGGTACAATTATTTTTACTTAGAATATAATATCCAGCCAGATATCAATAAAGTGTGAGGGGAAAGTAAATGAAATTTTGGATGTGCAATGAATTTTTTAAGTTGTTTAACATTGCACCTTTTCCTAGATAGCCATAGTAGGATATGCCTCAGAAAAAAGAGGAAATATACTTTTTTTAAGATGAAGACACAGAATCTAGGAAAGAGTAGAGCCAACACAAGCTAGAGCTACAAAAGAAGGTCCTAGGATGACAGGAATTCATCAGGCCAAGGGAGCAACCAGTCCAGATGGGAAAAGTAGGATACAGGGATCTAGAAGAGGAGTCTAAGAATTCATGAAATTGATAGATTATCTGAAATGTTTGCACACTTGGAAATTAATATTGATAAGCGTAAGATAGAACCCTTAAGAAATAATGGCAGATGACCAACTGCATCGACCTTGAGCCCTGAAAAGCCTCAGTTGTGGGCAGGTCATACAAGCTGCAAGACTTGGACATGCCTCAGTGCTGTGCTGGTCTTGGTAGCCACAGGCTTCAGGAGCAACCAGCACTGTGTTAGCCTTGACAACCAAAGGATTTCAGCCATGGCAGTCCTGGTCTTAGGGTACTCCCCAGCCCTGCAATAGACAGAGTGGTAACAGACTTAGGGACCTACCAGGCAACCTTTTCTGAATCTCTAAAGAGGCTCATAAAGAAAGCCTTAAAAATGCTAAAGGAAGCTCACAAACAAAGCCAGACTGCAAAGGCTGAATTAGGTACCTATGTCAATGCACAGACATCAATGCATGGCCAAAAGGATTAAGATAAATTAGGGAAATATGTCACCAAATGGACAAAATAGGTGCCAGTGACTGACCCTAAAGAGATGAAGATGGAGGAACTGCCTGACAAAGAATTCAAAATGGCTACCTTTAAGGAAGCTCAGTAAACATCAATAAAATATGGAAAAACAAGTCAAAAGTTGATCCGAGAAATTTTAAAAATTGAAATAATTTTTTCAAATATCAAACTGTATTGGTTCGTTTTCACACTGCTGATAAAGACATACCTGAGACTGGGTAATTTATAAAGAAAAAGAGGTTTAATGGACTCACAGTTCCACATGGCTGGGGAGGTCTCACAATCATGGCAGAAGGTGAAAGGCACATCTTACATGTCAGCAGACGAGAGAATGAGAGACTAGTGAAAAGGAAAACCCCTCATAAAACCATCAGATCTCATGAGACTTTTTCACTACCACGAGAACAGTATGGGATGGAGGAAACCACCCCTATGATTCAATTATCTCCCACCAGGCCCCTCCCATAACATATGGAAATTATTGGAGCTACAATTCAAGATGAGATTTGGGTGGGGACACAGAGCAAAACCATATCACAAACAGAAATCCTGGAGCTGAAAAATAAAATGAAAACAAATGAGAAATGCAATATAGAACATCAACAGCAGAACTGATGAAGCAGAGGAAAGAATCTATAAACTTGAAGACAGGTTACTTATAAATACAGTCAGAGGAGAAAGAAGAATAAAAAAGAATGAAGAAAGCTTATGAAATTTATGGGATAACGTCAAAACAGCAAATTACAGGGCATTAGTGTTCAACAGGGAGTAGAGAAAGAGAAAGGAGTAGAAAGCTTATTTAAAGAAATAATAACAGACTATCTTCCAAATCTGGAAAACGATATAAATTCCCAGGTACAGGAAGGTCAATGGTCTCCAATCAGATTCAATCCAGGTAAGACTACCCCACAACATATTATAATCAAAATTTCTACAATCCAAGACAAAGAGAGGATCCTGAAAGCAGCAAGAGAAAAGAAAATAACATACAAGGGAATCCCAGTATCTCTAACAGCTGACTTCTCAGCAGCAACATTAAAGCCCAGGAGAAAGTGAGATAATATATCCAAAGTGCTGGAGGAAAAAAAACTGCCAATCAAGAATACTCTACCCATCAAAGCTGCCTTTAGAAATAAAGGAGAGGGAAAGACTTTTCCAGACAAACAAAGCTGAGGAAATTTATCACCACCAGACCTGTCTTACAAGAAATGCTGTCTTCAAGAAGAAAATGAAGGGTGCTAATGAGTAACAGTTAGCATCTGAAAGTATGTAATTCAGTAATAAAAGTACACAAATTTGGAATACTCTAATAATGTAATGGAAGTTTGTAAATCACATATCTTTAATATAAAAAGGAAAAAACTAATAAAAAATGACTACAATAATTTGTTAATGACTATGCAATATAAAAAGACATAAATTGTGACATCAAAAATGCAAAGTGTGGGTAGAGAACATAGTTAAGGGATACAGGTTTTCTTTTTTCTTCCTTTGTTGTAATTGATGTTAAGTCGTTATCAGTTTAAAATAACTTTTATAACTATAAGATGTTTCTTGAAATCCTCATGGTAACCACAAAGCAAAAATCTATCACAGATACATTAAAATTAAAAAGCAAGAAATCGAAACATGCTAATAGAAAAACATCACTTAACCACAAAGGAAACTAGAAAACAATTAAAAAATAAATAGATTTAATTATTCAATTAAAGGATATAGAGTGGCTGAATGGATAAAAAATAATTAATGATAGATACACTAAAAATTAATGTATATGGAAAAAGGGGGAATTATTAACTACAAAGGAAAACATCTTATTAAAAAACAGTCATAGACTACCACTTGGTTTTGTAGTAAAAAATATTTTCACAATAACAATGTAAAAACTGAATACTGATTTATTCTAAAAATTATTATATGATTACATCAAAAGGGTAGTTGGGCAGGAAAGTAAAATGTGGGAAAAGAATAAAAGATTTTATTTCAGAAAGCCTTATATTGGCTGGGCGTGGTGGCTAACACCTGTAATCCCAGCACTTTGGGAGGCCGAGGCAGGTGGATCACTTGAGATCAGGAGTTCAAGATCAGCCTGGCCAATGTAGTGAAACCCTGTCTCTAGTAAAAATACAAAAATTAGCCAGGTATGGTGGTGTGTGCCTGTAATACCAGCTACTCGGGAGGAAGAGGCAGGAGAATCGCCTGAATCCAGGAGGCAAACGTTGCAGTGAGCCGAGATCAGGCTACTGCACTCCAGCCTGGGTGACAGAGCAAGACTCTGTCTTTTTTTTTTCTTTATTACTATACTTTAAGTTTTAGGGTACATGTGCACAACATGCAGGTTTGTTACATATGTATACATGTGCCATGTTGGTGTGCTGCACCCATTAACTTGTCGTTTAGCATTAGGTATATCTCCTAATGCTATCCCTCCCCCCTCCCCCCACCCTACAACAGTCCCCGCTGTGTGATGTTCCCCTTCCTGTGTCCATGTGTTCTCATTGTTCAATTCCTTAAAAAAAGAAAGAAAGAAAGAAAGAAAGCCTTATCTTATCTTATGGGAAATCAATGGATAACATGGGTGAAAATACTACAAGAAATGGCTGAAATAAATAAAAATGATTGCCTCTGGGAGGACTGGGAATTTGGAGGGGCAAGACAAAGGACAGCAGTTTTTCATTATTATGCTATTTTATATTTCACATTTATGAAATACTTTGAGATACAAGTGAGAATAAATGAAACAGTCAAACTCTGTATGTTCAAGAAGTATTTGTGCCCTTTACTCTGCTTGAAAAATCTAAAATTTTGATTTAGTAAAAATTGAGGATGAATATATTCTACAAATGCAGTATAATTTGCTAATTTAATCTATTCAATTATGCTACTCATTCTGTATTGATCAACATCTATCAAAACATATCTTTGGATCATAAAGGATTGATAACACTTCAAATTTAAGGTAGTGTTTCTTAAAATTATTTATCTACTTATAGTTAAATGTAAGCAAACAAAAGGGAGGTATAATCTCTCCTGTGATATTTTCTTTGTTGATTTATCGAAACATATATACAAATCTGTTTATACATGGATAATAATAGACCTATTAATTACTCTGAGCTAAATTTCCTTAACTACAAAAAGGTAAAATACAGTCTTACATCAGGCAAATGAAAAACAAGCAGAGGAAACACTATACAAAGGGAAGCACTATAAAGACCATGCAAGTATCACAGAAATTAGCACTTTATAACTTTATAAAACATGATCTCTCCTTTAAGTGTCTAAATTGTGACTAAATAATTTAATACTTACCTGAAAATTATATGTTTAATCTGTGCAATCATTTTTTGGCATACAACTTTCTGGACTGTTTTTGTTTTTTCATTTGATTAGTTGGCTGGGCTGTTGTTTTATTGTGTGTGTGCAATGAAAAATCTCATGTATTTTAGTGAGTTCATCTGTACGCCAAGTACTCCAACCATCTCTCAACTTTTCAAACAAATCCCCAATGGCCTCCCTGAGTTAAATCAGCAGAACAATAATATTTCATGGCTCATTAGTGCATGCAATCAAGCAACAGATCCTGATCCAGTAGTGGAAAGGGAGAAGCAATAGTTGGTTTCAATTTTGTTAATACCACAATATGCCCATAGGCCTCAGCCAAAAGGTGTAAATTAAGGATTGAACATAACCACGAAGCAATTGGCTGACAACAAAAAAGGGGGGAAAAAGACTTTTAACAGAAAGAGCTACTGCAACTTAAATTGTTCTCACATTTTAAATGTGTTAACAATATCTATTTTTATTTGTAAGCCAACTTTGTGTTGCAACTCTGCTGAGTTTCATCTTTTAAGCCTCTTTTGCCTCTCTGAGCCAGTTTTATCTTCGTATTTGAGGCTTTACATTCAGGTGACTTCTTTCATTGCATTTCAAGGGTTCTCTAACCCAAAAAAAAGATGGAAGCAGCACACGACAATCCTTTGGGGTGAGTAAAGAAAAATATTAGAATTTCTATTTCCATTTTCTCTAAATATAATATGAGTCTACATTTGATATATGGATTTTCACAGGCATTCTTGTTCAGTAACTATATCAGAGGATCCATATCTCATACAGTGAGCAAAATATCCTGAAAGAAGCATGCATGTTCCAGGCACAGAGGGGTAGACAGTGGTGCCCTCATGTAGTCATTCTCTGATTTCAGCAGGTTACAATCTATGGCAGTTTACAAGAGACCAGTTAGGAGAATTTGTAGAGTATATTGTCAAGTTTTATCTATACTAAACTTCACAAGGACAAATAGGTCTAAAATATTCTTTCAAAGGCATCACATGCTGAGGATAATACCAGTGATGGAAGTGTGTAAGTGAACAAGAAAATGGTAACATGGGAAATTCTACTCCTGGTATAAGCTATTCAACAGCCATATTATAAGATTAAAAATGAAGATGATCAAATTAGATTCGACAAAAAGTTGTAGGCCAAAAGATTCAAAGTTATCAAGATTGCAATTTGAAGGACAGATTTACATCTATAATCATTCATTATAAACCATTCTTAAGCATACATTCTTCCCTGTGATGGTTAGTCATTGATTATGTGAAGCCCTTATGCAATTACAATTAGCCTGATATTTTAAAACACCACTATTTTGTTCCCTTTTGCCTTGTTCTTTTTAATTTTTATGTATCTTTTGTAACACACAGAATATATTAGAACTTATTGTTTATAGTAAATTTTTATTTATTATAAAGGCAGCTTAGTGGATTGACAGCATGAGCACGCAGACAGACTGCTCAGCTCTGTGACTTATGACTGTCTAACATGGGCAACTTATTTAATCTATGACTCAGTTTCTTTTCATGTAAAACAAGGATAACTAACTACTCCATAAATTTGCAAAGTTCTTAAAACAGTGCCTTAAATATAGCAAGCTCCATATAAGTATCATTAAATTAAATTAAAACATTACTATTTTTTAAAAATAATAGAAACATATGGAATATATGCTCTTATGTTTTTACTGACATGAGTAAGAAATAACAAAGTCTGAAGGGTGCTGTTCTAGAAAATCCTGTGTCACATTTATGTTACTTGAAAACTTAAACATAGTCATAGTTTATCAATAGAAAATTCCTACTCCATCTACTTAAGGTGAAAAAATATATCTTTATAATTTCACACATCAATTAATCACTTGCTTTTCAAAATTATAACAGAACAGCTAAAATAAGATGCTTAAAATAAATAACAAGATATCATTTACATATGGCTAAGAAAATACTGTGCCTGGGATTCCTAATTGAGTCACCTTATCAAGTGTTCTTTATGTTAATATTTAAATTGGCTCATATTAACTGAGCACCAGAAATTAATCATGGGGGACACAAAGGAGCCATCAACCTTCCCAGATAATAAAAAATCAGCACATGTGAGAGTTCAGACAATTGATGGTTACTGATGGCCAAAGATGGACAGGATGTGTGTGACTCATACCTCAAGAGCCAATAATAATGGTTCTGAATGCAAATTGCTGCACCTTAGTAAGACACATATGCATAAGGGAGCCTACAAATGACGTTAGACCATGATTGGCTGGGACTAGGAGGAAGAGTGGGGGCTTTTCAGAGGCTATGATGTTTAAACAGAACCTGAGTGAAGAGTTTACAGGGAACTCTTATGGGGTTGGTAGTGATAAATAAAAACACTAAGCAGGGAACGTGGGCAAAGTCGAAAAGGCATGAAACAATGTGATCTGTGCAGGGATGTACACGTAGCCACTCTGTATAAGCAGGAAAGTGAGTGGGAAAAGATGAGACTAGAAAGGCAAATTAGGGTAGATCTTAAGGGATCTTGTAGTCACCCTAGAAGCCTGGATTTGGTACGAAAAGACAGAGAACTATAAAATGAAGTTGGTCTGGAAAGTGGCATGATCAGATTTTTGTGGAAGGAAAACTCAGAACAATGCAGACAAAGATGAAGAGACTAGAGGCAGGAAAATCAGTCCAGAAGCTACCTCAGTCATCAGACACAAGTCCATGTCTAAGCTATCGTGCACTATTTGCACCCAAAGGCATACTTCATAAATCAGGACTTGTAATTTTCCATAAATGACAGTTGTCTCTATCTCAGCTAGTTTTATACATTCTTTCAACAATATTTTTTTGATACTTATTCTTTACTAAATGAAGTTTAAAATGCTGGAGACAGACTAATGGACAATGCAGAAAAAGCCCGCTACGCCACGGTGCTTACATTCTACAAGGGGCAGACAGACAATAATAAAATAGCAATGTCAGGTAGTAATGGAGTTATAAAGAATGGAGAGTGCTACGGGTGTTCTATTTTACCTAAGATGAGCAGAGATGACTCTCTAACAAGGTGACAGAGGTCCTGGTGAAGCAAAGAGGTAAGCCATGTGGCTATCTAGAACAAGAGTTGTCCTGGCAGAGGAAATGAAAGTGCTATCACATGAAGCAGAATTCTGCTTGGGGTGTTTAAGGGACAGCAATGAAACCGAAACCACGAATAAGAACCTCTGGGGGCCAGGTGGACACTCTTTTACAAAGTCAGGAATACATCTTTAAATCAGAAAAGAAAAATATGTCACTGTCACTTGGAAGCCTGAGGGAGAGAGAATAAATGACCCAGAGCAATTTCATCCCCACAATCAGAAAACTCACTCACTGATTTTCTACCCTCCTGGTGGTGGGCTGTTATAATTGTGTGTGTGTGCGTGTGTGCATGTGTGTGTGTGACAGAGAGTGAGAGAGAAAGTCTGGGTACCAGTTTACATGGCTATCAGCATGATTTAGAGGCATCACTCTGGTACGTTGGACCAAGCCATGCATGTTAGCACACATTAAAATGTAAGAAATATCACAAGATTTCTGAGAAAAGATGATAGACAGTTGTTTAGCTAGAATAGTTTATTATGGTCCTGTGAAAGACCTCTTTGCATCTCATACAAGTTGGAGATTTACAATCTTTTCATTTGTAACCATCTAAATGTAATTATGCCACAGACTATTACAGATCTCAAGTTTTACTTTTGTCATAATGCTGCTGTCAAGAAAAAAAGTTGAATAGTATTACATAAGTACTTGTGAGAACTGACTATTCCTTTCTGATGTTATTTTTACCTTAAGTTCACGCGTTTAAGCACAGAACTTCAACATTTGTGATCCTTCTAATTATTAAAAACACTAATGCTAGTGAGCTCTATTCTATGCCAGATGCCGCGCTTCTATGCATTATCCCATTTAATCCCCACAACACCCTTAGAGGCCTGTAAAAGTGATCACAGAAAATAATTTCCATGTATTTGCCACCCAGGCATAAAGTATAAAAGTAATGAAACAATGTCATTTATTAACTTCCAAATTAAAATATTTTAATGGAGAGTAGAAAAAGAAATGCAATAATTTGAGTTACTAGACAGAACAGGAAATAAATTCGACTTAAATATTTATTAAGTATTTTTATGGTTTGAAGATAAACTAGGCCCTGAGAAACTTATATTTTAGCTGGGAAAGAAGGGAGGAAAAGAAGGAGAGAGAGAGAGAGACAGAATGAATGAATGAATTATACTGCAAGGCAGGATGCAGGAATTGTCAATAGCAAGTTACGGGAGGAATTAATTCTGCCTGAGAGAATATGGCTAAAATTCTAGGGGAGGTACAGGTCGCATGGGAGAGAACACAATCTGGTTCAGATAGGGCAAAAAGCAAAGGAGAGAGACTCCATAAAATATAAACAAGCAGAAATTAGCGAACAAAGAGAACAGCACTAGGAGCCAAGCCAGAAGAAATAAAAGTGTCCAAAGAGCAAAGGTGGGATTGAGTGGAGTGTCTCAAGCAAAAGAGGAAAAGAAAGATATAGAAACAGAAGGCACACATGGGTGTGGTTTATAGGGCTATAGACTTGCCTGATAGGTGAGTAAGGGAGATGGAGAGAAGGGTAAAAGCCCACCTCCAGTACAGGGTAAGTGACAGCACAGTCCATCTAGTAAAAAATAACATTACTATGAAATAATAACAACCATTTATGTTTTTGTGATCTCTTCTTTTTTGTGTGTGACATGGAGTCTTGCTCTGTTGCCCAGGCTGAAGTGCAGTGGCGTATCTTGGCTCACTGCAACCTCCGCCTCCTGGGTTCAAGTGATTCTCCTGCCTCAGCCTCCTGAGTAGCTGGGACTACAGGCATGCACCACCACACCCAGCTACTTTTTGTATTTTTAGTAAAGATGGTGTTTCAACATGTTGGCCAGGCTGGTCTCAAACTCCTAACCTCAGGTGATCCACCCACCTCGGCCTTCTAAAGTGCTGGAATTACAGGCATGAGCCAACATACCTGGCCAATCTCTTCTTATTACGAGTAACTGTTAGCCAAGACCATCACTTATGGCCAAAGTTACCACAATAATTCAGTTAACAGCTGCACAGAACTGACAAGAAGAATGCATTGTGAAGGCAAATCACAGCAAAAGCACACACAGTTGAGAAGAGCTTTGAGTGGGAGGTAGCTTTTGCTTGACATTTTTGTTCCAGAGATCTAGAAGCTTATCTTTCTTTTACTGGCCTCCCTCCAAGGTTCCAGCCCCAGTGTTAGCAACAAACCAGACTGTTTGCCATTGTTCAATCACAGAATGTTCTTTCAAATCTCCAAACTGTTCTTGCTTTCTGTGCCTGAAAACAGCTCCTCATCCTCCTTCAAGGCAAAGTTCCCAAATACGGCATTTGAATTTAATTACAATCTATTGATTATATTGGCTTTTTCCTTTGGCAAAACTTAGTGATCCTACTGAAATAGGGATTATAGTGTAGCAAAGTAATTAGGAGTTAAATAGAAAACCTTCTTCTAAGGACTGATGTTCCCAGAAAGGACTCTTGTGATCTCAGTACAAATGGTCCCTAAATGAATGCTGAGTCCCTCTAATAGGGAAACTGAAATTTCCTCAGAAGTAGATTCAGGAAGCAGAAATATTCTCAAATCCTCACAGTAGCAAAAGCCTAAGGAATTTTCCATACCTCAGGATACATATCAGGGATTTGACATTTGGCACCTACTGTACCATTTCCCCCAAACCACCAATTTATCATTACCCTTTTCAGATGGGGCATTCTAGTGCTACTTACTTCCTAGGCAAACTCTGTGGAAACACCACATTAATCATTTCACATACTTTCAGGGTTGATAGCATTGCTGAGTTTGAGTTTCAGACCTCAACCAACTGGCTTTCAGATGTTTCTCAGTTGTATAGAAATTATCCTTTTTTAAGACTAGAAATATGAAAGTATAATTAGTTTGTGGAAACTGTCTAATATCTGTGACTTATTATACTGAGTTCAGCACTGAATTCCTGCCATTTTATGGCAGGAATTTTGAGCATTTTATGACTGACAAGGCAGAAACCACATGAGTCTGAGCATTCTGTGTGAACAACTAATGGGAATGTAACCAGGCTTTGCTGTTGAAGAGCACCTGTGGAATGGAAATGCTGACTGGCCATTGGCCAGCTTGCTGTTAGTACTTATAATTACCAAGTTCACCACATGGTCATTTGATTTGGTGTGACATTGGTCTCTCCATCAAAGTGCTGCCATTTTTAAGTGTACTATCTATTGAAAAGAGCAAAAAGGACCAAGTACTTTCACATCAGCTCCTGGATCTATGCTCATACATTTTAAACTAGATATTTTCTTTCTCATTTTGGTGTTCCTGTCATTGTTGGAAGTTCAAGATCTTCCCTAAGAGCTACTTTTTAAGTTTGTTCCTGTGGAATATGCCTCCCATGTATTCTCTGAAACTACTTCATTTGGGCTATATCTTTGAATAATATAATAATCAGAGCTAACATTTACTTACTTAGTGGTAAGCAATGCACTGTTTTTACTTTCATTAACTCATCCAATCTTTATGCCATTATTAGACCAGAGAGCTGAGGTTTAGAAAGGTTAAGTCATTTGCCCAAGGTCATGGAGCTGGTGAGTATCAGAACCACTAGCTTTTTTTTTTTTAATAGAGAGCATTGGAGCTAATTCGTATTGAAAGTGATTGTTTTTATCTGGAATTAGCTGGAAAGAGCTATTATTAACTTTGACTTTGAATGTCTTAACTATAGGATCATTCCGGAGCATATGATTAGAGTTGGATTAGTTACCACTGGATGGAACTATGTCTTCTCAGGTAGCAAATTCCTCCCTGTAAAAATCTGTTTAGGAAGCATAGTTTTTGGTCAGGCACGATGGCTCATGCCTGTAATCCCAGAACTTTGGGAGGCCGAGGCGGGTGGATCACCCAAGGTCAGGAGTTCAAGACCAGCCTGGCCAACATGGCGAAACCCTGTCTTTACTAAAAATACAAAAGTTAGCTGGGCGTGGTGGCTTGCACCTGTAATCCCAGCTACTTGGGAGGCTGAGGCAGAAGAATCACTTGAACCTGGGAGGAGAGGTTGCAGTGAGCTGAGATTGCACCACTGTACTCCAGCCTGGGCCACAGAGTGAGACTCCATCTCAAAAAAAAAAAAAAAAAAAAAAAAACTTTGCTATTGTGAAAAGTGCTGCAGCAAACATGGGAGTGCAGATATCTCTTCAATATACTGATTTCCTTTCTAAAATAAAAATCTTTTTAAAAATGCTAGGCTATAGGACTATTTGCATACTTTTGCCTCTGCAGCCCTGGGCAGAAAGCATTTCAAAGTAGAGTTTTTGTGTCACTCTTTGAGAATTTTATCAATTGAACAATAAAGACATGGGACAATTTCATGGGAAGGCACACATACAGAACCCCACTCCACTGCTGCCCCAAGATACTTTATTGCATTAACTGTGCTCCTTGCTAAAAGGCCACTAGTTGCTGGTCAGAGCTGAATAGAAACTCTAGAGCTTGCACAATATTTAGGATCTAGTGTAACTGAGATGCTGAGTCCTACAGACAGCTGTCTATATGACAGAGAATTAGTTCAGCATTTGTGGAAACAGTTAAGACCCAAAAATAAAGGGCAGCAGAGAATAGATTCCCCCACTATGAAAAGACGTCCAGCTAAGAGCTGTAGATATTGAAGGATACTCATTTTGGAAGCTTGTTGGGGAACCATGAGTATTGCTCACTCAGGCTGCATGGGTAAGAATCGGTATACAGGTACAGTGGGTAGGCTGAATTTAGATGAAAAGGAAAAACAGACATCTGAATATAAAAACTCTGACGATAGGGCTACAAATAGAGACAACATAACTTCTTTAAAAAGTAAAACTTTAAAAACCTTGTATCCAAGAATATTCTACTACTCTCTAGCAAAATCTGATGAAGAATAACACTATTAAATTAAAAGTTAATTTGTTATAACATTATGAAATGTTTAAAGAAAAATTAAGTGACTAGGATGAGAAAAGATAATATTTAACATATACACATGAAATAATAAACAACATGTACTGGATGAGAGTAAAATAAACTATTCATTATAATTAAAAATTTTACTCATATGGTTTAAATGATCAGAAAGCAATAAACATAAAATTTCATATTTCATATCTAAAATAATAATAGTAATAATACCCTGCAATTTCCTCTTATGACTTGTAACACTTGCTGATTGACATATTTTTAAATCTACCAGTTTTCAGGTATCAAATTTAATTATGTAACAGTTTTATGTTTATAATTTCATATTTGTTTAATTGCATTTTGAATAAACAAATTACATTAGGTTTAATATGCATGATGTTGTAAAACAAAAGCTATGCCCCTTATTTTATCCCAAGTGTACAGAATTTATCCCAACAGAGCAGGGAAAAAATATCAAATCCTCAATGTTTAGGTATATAAAGAATGTCACAACTTTTCATATTCTGGAAAGTCAAAAAGTCTGGAAGTCTGGAAGAATTAAAATGTAATTTCCTTTACATAAGAAGAGTAATAGTTAAAAAAGATCATATTTGTCATCAATGAAGTGTTTCTCCTGTGGTAATTTATTCATTGGTTTATGGACTTCAATTCTCTAGGTTTAACAACAAATCTATATCAAGATTCTACATAGATTCTATATAGATAGATTCGATGTTTTCCTCTCTGATTTAGCAGATTTGCAGAGTTGTCTACATTCAGATGGTCCTCTGGTGTTTATGGACTGACATTAAAGAATGCATAAGTTCTTCCAGAAAAATAATAAACAGTACAAATATTAGAAATTTTGTGCCCAATGTTTGCTTTTGTTATCAATATACAGTCATTATTTATGGCTTATCTTAATTTCTGGGCTTCTAATGGTTAGAGGCACAAAGCAATATATTCATCTTTTTGGAAACAGCAAAGCACATAAAGCTTACTATCAATCTCTTATATCTAACTACATCCTGGAAAACCTAGTTCATCTCAGATTAATTTTCTAAGATTAAAAATAATAACATAATCTTTAAAATATCAAATCCAATAATATGTAGGAAAAAACAATAATGAAATAGTTAATCTCTGGAAATATATCCTTTTTATGAGTTTACAGCAGGCAATAATATCTTTTTATTTAATAAAATGCTAAAATATTATAAGAAACCTTGCCTTACTCTATTAAGTCATAGTCTAGAAAAACAAGCAAAATTTTAGTTTTTAGAGAGTTGGGCAGAAAAAAGTGAACTGAAATATAACATTGTATATGAATCCTTTTTAAAAAAGTATGTGAAATAAAAATAAGAAGCTTTCTTCATTCCATTATAAAAGTGATGGGTAGTCAATGAAGATTTTATATATATATATGAAATCTAGCAATCCAAAACAGCTATTATATAATTGTGTTTATTATATTTTACAGGCCAATTCATTGGAACATGTCACTCTGAGAGGGAACATTTGTAATCTCCTACTGCCATCTTATGTAATGTCTTGTCACTACACAATACAGAATATGCATGAAGGAAAACCAAAAGCACTTTCTGGAGGTTGTATTTCAAACCCATCACATAAAAAATTAAATATCTATTGTTCCATTCCCCACTCTAATTATACTATTTATTTATAAGAAATTATTTCTAATTTCTTCCTATTAATTTTGTAAACTTTCTATTCTAGTCATGTTTATCTTTTATATACAGTTTATTGTAATTTAAAATGCTATATAGCACCGTATTATTTAGATGCATGAGTAATTCAAAAGCTAGAGTTTAAAATTTATAATAAAGCAGAATCAAAGTACTATTCTCTTTTTTAAAGCAACAGAAGTCAACAGACTTTCTTAGAGACGTTTGTCCTGATGCTGACAATGTCAACTGTAAATATATGCCAGTATTTTAATCTAATAATCACAATGCACGTAGGCTGAATAGGTATTGATTTGTCTATAAATTCTAACAACTCTTGTTTAATACATGTCACAAATTGATCACTATTCAAAAGTCTGTATCGCCCAGTATAATTTGGAAGTCACTAGGAGAGTCTCTCCACTCTTATTTTGCTACATAATACCAACATTGCAACTATTAGGGCTATATATCAATTAGGAATGTGCTCATTCACAAGTAACAAAAACAGCCAACTAACCATGGCTTCTACAAATAAGAGTTTGTCTCCACAAGCAGCAGTACGTTGCCTTTGATTCTATTTCTCAACAATGCCATCAATTCTCAAGGTTCTTTCCAGCTTCCCATTCTACTGTCCTTTGTACAATGACCTTTGTCCTCATGCTTGTCATCTCATAGTCACAAAAGAGTTGCTATAGTTCTAAACATTAAGTCCGGTATCAAAATTGGAACAAAGGTGAAAAGGAGAGTGCCAGATGCACCCATCCCTTTATTATCCTTATTAGTTTCACTGGCCAGAACTATTTCATCCGGCCATTTCTAGCTACAAAGGAAGCTGAGAAAATGAGTATTTAGTTCAGCATAGTCACTGTGACAAAATTAAGAAGTTACAGAGAAGAACAGATAGTGGAAAGAAACAATGTCTGCCAAAAGAATGAGATCAATATTGGTCTATAATTAAGAATTTGGGTCCAGAGAGTGGGCTAAGCAGTAGCAGGAAGCCTCCCTCCCTTTCTAAACATATAATAATGCTAGGTAAAATATGAGGGAAAATACATAGCCAAGCTTAAAGCAAGGAAGGAAATCTTCAAGTGCCATAGACAAAGAGAACCAATAATAATGCTTAGAAGCTGAAGTCCAAACTTTACAGAGGTAACTGGAATGAATGCACCCAAGAGGCAGAAAGGAAGATGCCTGATGACATGTGCAGGCAAGAGCTGGCACTGACCTGGAAGCTGGGAATGGAAGGTCTAACTGGGAGGACATCCCCTACCAATGCAAAGACATGGCACAGATACAAACAGTGTACCTCAGGCCTGGGCCAAACTAGAATCTTTTGTAAGAAGTAAGTTTCTGGCCTGCGTAGTACGCAGATGTGGAGTCTGAATCCTTACACAATTCACACAGAATGGAAACCTCAAAAAGTAAAACCAATGGAAATGGTCTACAACAGGTTCTGTAGGACACTGTAACTGACAAGCATAAAACCTCCCCAAAGGGACACCTTCATAACCATGGGCACATAGAAGATAATTGCTATAAAAGATTAAGTTGCTGGAAAAGCAAATGCCATGAGTGGCACATCAAATGGAAAAAATCATCCCCAGGGATCCACAGATAATAGAGCAATCTCAAAGTAACTCTATAATAAGGGTGTTTAAAATATTTAAAGAAATTGTAACTATCAAGGCAAGATTGGGTCATTATGAAAAAGAACAGGCAGATTTTAAAGTGAATCAAATATGTTTTACAAATGAGAAATATCTCATAATATAAATAATTCCTTAAGAATCTCAACTTTAGCATTGTAGAGTGGTTAGCAGGTTTTTAGGATATCATTTGGAGAATTTTCCACAGATTAATATTTGATATATTTTATAGGAATACACATATTTTTAAAAGAATTAGTCATTGGTCTTTTCAAATCTGGTCTTTGTCAGACTCTATCACCTTTAAAAAATAAAAGCCATAAACATAATCCATACAAGGTTCTGGGGAGTTATGGGAGGAGACCAAGAAAAAGTATTAAAGAAAAACAAGACTTGAGTTGTCCCTTTTCTCCCATGACCCTAAAATGAGCTTACATGTCATTCAGAGAAAACAAATGAAAGGGCTAAAGGACACAGAGTCATTTACAAGAACAAATCAATATAAAACCAATTGTATTTTAAGGAGCTAAGGGATATAGGACAGCGGTCATATAATCAAAAATTGCAAAGATATACACCTTGACCCTGAAGGTCTCCAAAACATGGCCACAAGGATAAATGTAGTAGACCAGATGAGGGCCTCAATCCAAGAAAAGCATCATAGAGAGATGAATTTTCAGCTAAATTTTGAAAGATCTGTGGGGTTGTGGGAGATACACAAATAACTATCAGAGTACTGCTGACTCGCCTTTCAACATTCCTAGGCTTGTGTCTAGTCCTAATCACACAAATTTAAATGAGTTTTAGAGAAACTGGAAAGATCCAAGAGATGTTAAAATTTGTCCAGTAGATGGAATATCAGCATTATGAACAAAAATTAAATGGAGTTGCTTCATTTCACATAAAAAATACACGTGTGCTATGTTCAAGTTCTTCTTTGAAAGTACGTAAAATATTTCGGAAGGAAATTAAGTTACTGTTCCCAGTGAGGAAAAAAGATCCAAATTGGAACAGAATTGATACACAAAAGGCAGACTCTATGACTTTCAAGATCATAAACGCTGAAATTGGCTATCAGATCAGGAACTAACTTCCATCTCTAGGCACAATGGAACAGAACAGAGTCCTCAGAAATAACACTACACATCTACAACCATCTGATCTTTGATAAACCTGACACAGGCAAGCAATGGGGAAAGGATTCCTTATTTAATAAATGGTGCTGGGAAAACTGGCTAGCCATATGCAGAAAACAGAAGCTAGACCCTTTCCTTACACCTTATACAAAAATTAACTCAAGATGGATTAAGACTTAAGCATAAAACCTAAAACCATACAAACCATAGAAGAAAACCTAGGCAACACCATTCGGGGCATAGGCATGGGCAAAGACTTCATGACTAAAACACCAAAAACAACTACAACAAAAGCCAAATTGACAAATGGGATCTAATTAAATTAAAGAGCTTCTGCTCAGCAAAAGAAACTATCATCAGAGTGAACAGGCAACATACAGAATGGGAGAAAATTTTTGCAATCTATCCATCTGACAAAGGGCTAATATCCAGAATCGACAAAGAACTTAAACAAATTTACAATAAAAAAAAAACCCATCAAAAAGTAGGCAAAGGATATGAACAGACGCCTCTCAAAAAAAGACATTTATGTGGCCAGCAAACATGAAAAAAAGGTCATCATCACTTGTCATTAGAGAAATGCAAATCAAAACCACAATGAGATATCATCTCACGCCAGTTAGAATGGCAATCATTAAAAAGTCAGGAAACAACCAATGCTGGCAAGGATGTGGAGAAATAGGAATGCTTTTATACTGCTGGTGGGAATGTAAATTAGTTCAACCATTGTGGATGACAGTGTGGCAATTCCTCAAGGATCTAGAGCCAGCAATACCATTTGACCCAGCAATCCCATTACTGGGTATATACCCAAAGGATTATAAATCATTCTAATATAAAAACACATGCAACACATATGTTTATCGCAGCACTATTTACAATAGCAAAGACTTGGAACCAACCCAAATGCCCATCAATGATAGACTGGATAAAGAAAATTTGGCACATATACATCATGGAATACTATGCAGCCATAAAAAAGAATGAGTTCATGTCCTCTTCAGGGACATGGATGAAGCTGGAAACCATCATCCTCAGCAAACTAACACAGGAACAGGAAATCAAATACAGCATGATCTTACTCATAAGTGGAAGTTGAACAATGAGAACATATGGACACAGGGAGGGGAACGTCACACACTGGGGCCTGTCGGGGGGTGAGGGCCAATGGGAGGGGGAGCATTAGGACAAATACCTAATGCATGCAGGGCTTAAAACCTAGATGATGGGTTGATAGGTGCAGCAAACCACCATGGCACATGTATACCTACATAACAAACCTGCACGTTCAGCACATGTATCCCAGAACTTAAAGTAAATAATAAAAAAAAAGAATCAATCATTATGGGATTATGACTGATTTTCACTTTCTTCTTTGTACCTTGCTAGAATGTCTAAACGTGTGTTGCTTTTTATGTTAAAACAAAATGGAAAAAATAAAAATTGAAAAGTTACATGGTTCAGAACATCAGTTGCCTGAAAGACGAGAGTG
Source organism: Homo sapiens (assembly GCF_000001405.40). Classification (NCBI taxonomy): domain Eukaryota; kingdom Metazoa; phylum Chordata; class Mammalia; order Primates; family Hominidae; genus Homo; species Homo sapiens. The sequence goes on from NC_000006.12 coordinate 78,840,440, forward strand.
GGGAAGACGCAGAAGTCTCTCTAGGCCTTTTATTCTATAAGGAAAAAGCTCTTCCACAAATTATTTTCCATGTCAAAAATTTCTGATGAAATATTAATTATTAATACAAAATTTAAGAACATAAATATACTCAATTGGTTCTTCAACATCGAAATAATAACTAATGTAGTTCTCTTAACTGTTGAATTTCTTGATGGTAATTTAACTTCTTTAGCAATAATTATGGATGCTAGAGAAAGGGTGATAGTAGTATTTTCCCCCCTTCAAAATAAAAATATACAAAAAAAAACCTAATTAATAAGCTACATCATACTGATCATTTAAGAAAAAAAGATGAAACGGAAAATAATAATTGTCCAACCTATTCACCACCCAGTTCTTTAAATAATTTTCTTTATATAAAGTATGTAAGTATCATAATGAACAATAACCATGTTCTACTTCATTGTATAGTAGAACTACAAAACTGATCAACAAAGTTACAAAAGAACATAATAAAATAATTCTTCCACTAAAAGCAATAAGGCCACATAAAAACAACTAAATCCAATCATAGCAATATAGAATACTTCTTACTAAGACAATGACACAAACAGGAACACATATATGTAACAGACCAATTATCAGCCTGGTTTCCTAAAAGTACCTATACAAATCGCTGTTAAATGAATGTATTAACAAGTCAATTTAAACCAAGTTAGGCCTAAAGCCACACAAGGATCCCCTAATTTCCTAGCACTAACATAAAGAACCTGAGACATTCCTGTAATTCTATGTTTTGCATATTTAGCCTGGGGTTCTTAAACTTATTTCAGAGGACTAGGCTGAAGAAATTCTACTTTGATGCCATCCTGTTCATGGTGCTAAGAAGAAAAGACATTGTAATTCAGAGATGGAAGCTAATAAAATGTTGGGCATCTGGGAAATCAGTGGCTGCAAATTGGAATCTCCTGGGGAGTCTTTTTAAAAATACCAGATTAATTAAATCAGAACCTTTAGAAATTGAGCTCATGCTTTTTCTTTAACTTACCAGATGATGCTCTAATACAGAAGATGAATTAAAAAGCATAGCAATAGATGATATCAAACAAACAATATTATTCAGTTTGAAAACATCCAAAACACAGAATCATGTTCCCAACCAACAGTGAGCTCCAAACAGCATTAGAACACAAATATGGCAATGTTGGTAGTCCCAGAATACAAAGATGACAATTTATAGTAGCCAAGGCACCAATACATTATCAGAGGAGCTGATAATGAAACTAAAGCAACTATTCTCCCTGGTGCTCTTACTCTTCAAAAGCCATGAGAACAAATATAATATGAAAGGTGAATACAATTTACTGGAATGTACCATATCTTCCCTCACTATTTTTTCTTATATTTTACTAACAAAAAGGAGTTAAATGTGACAACCCTGTTGTACTGTCATTTGGGGTGGCATTTAGTTGATACCAAAGCTAAACCTAAAGAACTTAAATATGAAAATAAAAATTAAAAATTTTATCTTTTTCCCAAAATTTGCAAGTATCTGGATATCTGACATCATCAGCGCTTTAATAGGTAAAAGACATGCCTTCCAACTTCTCAGTATGTCTCTCAATATCCCTCCATCTGGCTTCTCTTATATTTTGCTTTTAAGCCATATGAGTCAATGCATGGTTTAACACACAGAACATTGTCTAGCATATTGTAAGGGTTATTGAAGATAGCTATTTTATAATATTACTAACATATAACACATTATAAAAATATTAATTACTATATTATCTAATTATATTGTTATAAATGCTATCATTTATATTATTAACCATTATAATTATTACAATTGATAGCTTTATCATTATTATTACCATACATGCTTCTATGTCCATAGCTGCTGCAAAACCCAGAGGTACTTAAGCTTCAGAGACTACAAAGTCAAAAGTATAGGACCATCTTTAGGCAAGCACCTTTTGTAGTATAGCAGTTAATGGTATGAACTTCAGAGTCAACAGAAAACAATCTGAATCCTGACTGATGCTGTGTAACTTTGCACAAGTGAGTTCGTTCTCCATGCCTGTTTCTACAACTTCAGAAGTGTGATAATAATGGTTGTGTCTGAGGACTCTTGAGAGGATTAAATGAGAGAGTATCCATTCAACACTTGGTATAGCACCTACAAGTGCTCAATAAATGTGAACTGGTATGCAACATCCCCAAGATCTGCTCTAGGGAAAATAAGAGGTTCTTCCTGATTTTGTACACATAGAAGTATAGAACTGGCTGTGGAACATTCTATCAAATTATTTTAATGAATATTTTGTTTTTATACCAATGGAAATTTCTATGAAGAAAGCCAAGGCAAAAATCTTACACATTCAAATGTTATTAAAGATGGTCTGAGTCTAGCAGCATCACTGTCTCACACATAGTGGGCCCTCAACAACACATAGTGGGCCCTCAATAAATGTTAAATTAGTGAAAAAAATGATTGCTGAAAGACATATAATGTAATTTTCCTTGCTTTTTTATCTTTTGATACTCTGGGAATAAAATTTTTATATAACACTTTACACTTTCTGTGTTATACTCTTCTGAAGTTAAAGATAAACATGCTCTTTTACCAAGTGTTTGATGGAGTGGGAACTCTGTCAATTTGAATTGGAGAGAATATTTGGAGTAATGGTAATCTTATGGTTTGAAACCTTTTGAAGTGTTAATAGGCTTTTGCTTCAGGAAGGAAAATAAGCACATGTCAACTTGGGTCAGATCAAGCATTTCAAGAGTAGTGCTCACAGACTCTTAGTAAGAATAAAAAGTAAAAACCAGAACAGAATAGTTCTTACAAAATCTACCTTCATAAACCAGAAATAAACATGATAAGTTAGCCTCTAATGTAAGTTAGAGGCATGCATAAAATGCATGAAATGCAACTCTGGTTTTCAATAGTTTCTTTGCCTTTTAAAACAAGTCTAATGATTGAAAGCCTTGGCCCCTTTGATTTTTAAATATTGCGCTCAAAGCGATCATGCCACAGCGATGTCAAAATATGAAAACTAAGCATGCATAAAACAAAAGGTGAATGAGAACAGAGATGTAAATTGGGTAGGTGACTTGGTCAAGTCCATAGAGCTCATCGAGAGCACAGCCAGAAGAAAGAATGGGAAAAGTTCAAGAATTCCATTGTTCTCACTCTCCTAAGATTGAAAGAATCCTAATATGACACAAGCAGGTCAGCTTTTAAACTTAACCTCAGAAATAGTATGATTTCAAAGACAATAATTTTTCTTTGTTCAAAAAAAAAATCCTACTTGATATTGCCTAAAACTTCAATAGGAAACAGAGCCTTTAATTGAAAAGAGGTGAAAACATTAACATGCAAATAAAGCATGAAATTTCTCAATAAAGAAGGATCCCTAGAAATCAGGAAGAAGCTGTGTACTTGAAGGGTAAGGGAGTTCTCTGAAGGAAGAAAGATTGTTAAAAGGTGACAACAACAGAGGGCTTGTATCTCTGACTTAACAAATTTGTCCTATAAAATCTGTATAGGATACTAATTAAAAGCTTAAATTTGAGAGTCAGACTTTCACTCAAATCCTGCCGAGGTATGAGTATGGCATGTCACTTAACATCCCTAAGCTTCAGTTTTCTCATCTTTAAAACAAGGATGCAAATACTGTGCCTACCTCATAAGACTGTAAGAGGAAGGCATCTAGCACAATGCTTAGCAAATAATAAACAATTAATACATGTGAATTATCAATATCATTTTATATACATCTTGAACCTAGACTTCTTGGGAGTAAACATTTCTAAAAGTCGCATTCAACAAAGCATGTAAATTTCAGCAGTGTTATTTCAGGCCTCTCAGATTAGGACATTATTTACTTTTAGCTCTATAAAAATATGTTTCCCAAGAGTAAAACTGAACTATACTTCTTGAAAATATGTTTCCTATTGTTAAATCTAATTTTATCTATCTTTGTACTTCACCCAAATATACTTCCGTTTAATGTTTATAAATAAATGTAAAGCAGTGACCATACAGATGTCATTGTTATGTGATTTGATAGAAAATTCAGTAAAACAAGTCCCCATCAATAGATTTTATGCAACCATGTCTGCCAGTCAACTACATCCATATCTGATATCATATTGGTTAATAAAAAGATTTTTGAGTGGTAAAATCCTATGGAGAGAGGACACAATACAAATATTAATAGAGAAATATTTCTAGGTATCTGGATTAACAACATCATATCCTGGGAACTTGCTGGAAATGCAAAATTTCAGGCCCCACCTACAGCTAATGGATCAGAAACTCAGGGGTCAGAGATCAGCAATCTATATGTTTACAGACCCTCCAGTTGATTCTGACGCACACAAAACTTTGAGAATCACTTGTCTAAACTCTAGTCAGTATGGTTCCCTGCTTTAAACACCCCTCACTGCAGCTGCATAATACCTGAGGGGCTGCACCTGCAGATGATAAAGAACCTAGAATTCTTGGTCCCTGCCATGTGATTACAGGCAAAGTTCCATGCCCTGTAACCAATTGCCAAAAACCCATGAAGGGTGAAGGGGAGGGATTTGGCAAAACTTCAAGTTGTATAGCCTCAAGACACAACTAGACAGCTGAAGGCCCTGAATTTTATTCCCTGTCAGAAATTCCTAGCCAGAATGAACACAGCTGCAATCAGAGTAAGGACCTCGTGTTCCTTCCCACAATGCCACCACCATGAAGCTGGACACGGTTCACTAATATCAGTGGTAACAAAGGGGCCTTCAAGGGAGGCTTGACTTAGAAGGTCCTTAACAATATTCCAACTCCCTTTTAAGAGATAAATCAAAAGTACCTTAAAGGTTTAATCCATTTAGATAAACTGAGACTCTCGGCTTTCTAAACTATTGGGTTGGAAAGTGTGGACCTCAGTTATTTCAAGAGATTATCAGTTTGTAGACACATAAAGCACTACATGTCGATAATAAATAACAAAGCAGCCCATGTTCAGCCTATGCTCAGCCTATAGCAGAAAGCCTCACCCAAACTTCCCAATAACCCTATGTGGTAGTTCCTTAGAAGAGTAATTTATTCAATGTCCTCTGGCTAGCAAATGATGTTGACAGCAGTCTAATTCAAAAATAAATATTCTTAACACTACTACTTGGGCTCAGAAATGTGCAGATATCTGGGAAACTGAGTCACTACACCATAGAGAAATTTTGCTTGAGAGACTGAGAAACTACAGAAGACAGGACTTCTTATTTTAAGGGAGAGAAGAGCCAGCCAAGCACAATAAACTTGACTAGGTGACAAAGTCTTAGTTGCCACATATTTGTACAATCTGCATAGCTGTCATTCAATCCACCTTGGCCTAGCTGCCTGGACTTATGTCTGTGGTGTAACAAGAAAGAGGGCTTGGACAAACCCTAAGTGGGTTTCTAGTAAAATATTAAGAAACAAGCAGTATTGTTTTAGGATACCTCAAACGAAGAGTAACCCTAAAGACAGATAGATGAGGGCATTTTCTTTGACTTCTCTATTCTCTCCTCACCTCCAGTGCACATATAAGAGCAGTATATTAACCATAGCCAGGCCACATAAGAGTTAGAAACTGGAAAATGAGGAGCAGAGGTTCTTCTTGGTGTCTCCTAAGCTTCATCTTTTGTTCCACTGTGGCTAAGTGCACTGATTTTTGTATCTATGATAATAGATCCAAGTTTGAATTTCAGTTCCAGCCCTTAGTATGTATATGACCATAGACATCTTTGCAACCTCTTGAAGATTCCATTTCTTTATTTGTAAAGTGGAATAATAATCAGTACCTACCTCATAAGCAGTCATATATTACCCATAGGCAGAATAAGAATGTGCTCCATGCACCAGCAAAGCAGGGGAATCAAGATGAAGGGATAAAATATTTCAAAAAAATTGATATGAAAAAGCATCCATATGGTCATTAAAGTGGTGATTTTGCAATATAATGGGTATTATATGAAATTATCTTGGGTTTGTGCTTACATTGCAGGAGTGGCAACAAAACACCATAATCTTTTCAATGCTTATTGCAGCTGTCTCAATTTGGCCCTGTCCATAGCATGGATATGAAGACTAAAGGAGATTATACATAGGGTGTGCTTGGAGAAATGTTTGGCCTAAAGTAACTTCTCAATAAATGTTGACTGTTACTATGATCTGCATATCAGCTTCCTCGGCTCACTTATACCTTCTGCTTACTCATGACTTCAGCTTGTGAAACCAACCGTAACCCTTGCTCTACAAAACCTTTCAGCTCAAGGTCACCATAATTGAACACAACATTCTATGCCTCTCAGTTCAAATCCTTAAGAGCAAAATGTAGGAGTGGATTGGACCCAAGCAACTGCAGGCTGAAGTGCAGGCTGGTAGAACAGAAGTGAGTTACATGACCACCTAAGTTTCCTTTTTTTCATTCAACAAGAGCTGCAATTACAGTCTGAGAAGTCAGCTTTTCCAAGTTTCTGCTGTGGTAAAAATCAACCCCCAAATCCTGTTGTTTTACAAAAAAGGTTTATTTCCAGCCTATGTTCCATATTGACTGCAGGTGGGCTGTGACTCTGTTCCACGTTTTCTTCATTCCAGGATCCAGGCTGAAGGAACATTCTCTATGACACACCATTCTTGTGCCACAGGGAAAAAAGCAATGGTGAAATGACTGATGGCAAGTAAAGTTTATGGTTAGACAACATATAAGTCACTCATGTTCCCATTAGTCAAAGAAAAGCACATGGCCAACCCTGGGGCTGGGAAGTACAATCCTCCTATGGGGAACTCAGTGAATAATTGGGGAAAATAATAACAACCTAGCACATGGACCCTGGGGAAGCAAGTTCTTTAATACACATCTACAATCATGTGAAGAACCATGACATTTAAAGAATATAACTTAGAAAGTAACTATTTTGGGAACTACTGCTTAAGAATGTTTGTTTAAGGTCTCTTAAGTCACCAGATAATCTGAAGAAGTTTCTGGTCAGCAGGAAAAGGTATCATTTTCTGTATGTGAACCAGCCAATACAGAAGTGTTTTGGGGATAAGGAAGCTATAAAAATATGCATTGCCTTAAATTTTAATACAGTTATACACCTTTCTATACTCAGTGCACAAATGGCTCCTTAAGAGAGCCATTGCTATTTTTTTAATAAATTAAGGAATTTAGAAAACAATTGTTTCTAGTAGCATATAAGCTTGTACATTCAAATGTAATCAGTTTCTTCTGCTTTATTAAAATATGAATTTAGGGAAACATTATAATTAAATTAGTTTTAAATACCATAGGGAGCATCAATAATTAGTGCTATATTTAGTAATGATAATATGTCATATGATCCTAGAATAGTACAGGGAATCTACAGACAATAATATATAATCAAACCATTCTTTTTCAAATTGACCATAACACAGTAGGTCAAAAATATATAATTTTAAGTATCCGCAATTAGTAAAAGGCATGATTATATGTTTCATGCTCTATGAATAAATGCACTGAATCTAAAATTAAACTTTGAAGAGTTGTAGCAAACAAAGCTAAGAACAGTTCCATTGCTATGTCTTCTCTCTTCTCTCTAGAAATCAAAAAGTTTTTCATTATTCTCCCTACTCTGTCTGTAAAGAGACCTTATATAGTCTGCTGCCCTTTAAGTCAAGGAGTTAATATAGCTCTATCTTCCAAGAGACCCACAGCAAGCCTAGGGGAGGTGTCACATCAAGTAGTATCTGAAAAATTGCAAAAGTGAATCAGTATTTTTTTTTTAAGGTGGAGTCTCACTCTCTGTTGCCAGGCTGGAGTGCAGTGGTGCGATCTTGGCTCACTGCAACCTCCGACTCCCTGGTTCAAGCAATTCTCCCGCCTCAGCCTCCCGAGTAGCTGGGATTACAGGCATGCACCACCATGCCCAGCTAATTTTTTGTATTTTTAGTAGAGACGGGGTTCACCATGTTGGCCAGGATGGTCTCGATCAGTTATAATGAGCTTTTTTTCATATACCTGTTGGCCACACGTGTCTTCTTTTCAAAAGTGTCTGTTCATGTTCTTTGCCCACTTTTTAATGGGGTTGTTTTTCTCTTGTAAATTGGTTTAAGTTCCTTATAGATGTTGGATATTAGACCTTTGTCAGATGCATAGTGTGCAAATACTTTCTCCCAGAATGTAGGCTATCTGTTTATTCCATTGATAATTTCTTTTGCTGTGCAGATGCTCTTAAGTTTAATTAGGTCCCACTTGTCAATTTTTGCTTTTGCTGTACTTTATTTTGGTGTCTTTGTCATTAAATCTGCCCATTCCTATGTCCAGGATGGTATTACCTAGGTTGTATTCCAGGGTTTTTGTAATTTGGGGTTTTACATTTAAGTCTTTAATCCATCTTCAGTTGATTTTTTTGTATATGGTATAAGGAAGGGGTCCTAAAACCCTATCTTTCCTAAGCATTAGATGTATCTCTTGTTTCTCTAGCACATGTTAAATTCTCTTTCAGTGCTTTCAATATCAGATACTATTTCCTTCTCATGATATGACATCTTGAATAATCCATTCTCTTTCAAACTTGCAACATATTATTCCCTCCCAGAAGTGACTGCCTGTCACCTTTAACCATACTATGTATTCAAACATTGTTTACAATGTTTGAACTAAACTCTGTTTTACTTTTATGTCTTTGAAGTAAACTCTGTTTTACCTTTTGTATACTGGAAAATGACTAGTTTCTGCACTATAATTGAAACAAGGATAGATGTGCATTTCAATACACAGATTTCTAAAGTCTATATTTTATTTAAAAAAATAAATTTCCTTTAAAAATTGAGACCAACAGTAATAACAAACAGTTATTCCTTAAGAAAAATAAAACTTTTATTGCTTTTAAATTTTAGGGTTATTGTATTTCAGGTTCATGGCTTCCCTTAGGATATGAGCTCAGAATGTTTGGTTTCTTGTAAGAGATACACATATTTTTATTATAAATGTATGAATATTGAACACATAATTATGTGAACATTGATCACCTCCATGAATGACTCTCTGCAAGAGACTTCTATATGCAAAGTACCACAGCAGGTGGAGCTACAATGAAGGTTCAGGACTTGTGTCTCCCAATAAATAACATCTCATATGTAAAATGCTCATCTCCTGGATGAGCATCCTGGTGATGTGATCCTCATCTGTTTCCCCAGAACAATAAAAATAAGCTATCCTTCATGTACAAAGAAAATGTGGCGAACCCAGTATTGGTGGCACGTGACTTTGACATTTCTTGTTTCTTTCAGCTGTAGTAATAGCTCTTTTCTGAATTATCTATTGTTGAACTGTCCAATATGGTAGCCACTATATAAATGTTACTATTGAGCACTTGAAATTAGGCTAGTCCAATTGAGATGTGCTGTCAGTTTAAAACACATACTGATTTCCGAATCAGCACCAAAAAAGAATACAAATAATATTTATTACATGTTGAAATAATATTTTAGAAATCTTAGGTTAAATAATATACTATTAAAATTCTGGCACATGTATACATATGTAACAAACCTACACATTGCACACATGTACCCTACAACTTAAAGTATAATAATAATAAAATTTAAAAAAAATTCATTTTACCTGGTTTTTTCTTTACCGTTTTTAATGTGACTATTAGAAAATTTTAAATCAAGTATGTGGCTTGGATCAGATTTCTGTTGAACATCATTGATCTCATCTCTCTCTCCTAGCTCTTGAATAGTGACACAATTACAGGTATAAGACATACAAATTAAGTTAGGGGTATCATATGTTAAGATTATACTAGATAAAACTAACAAGCCAATAAAGGAATGAAACATATAACCTCAAAATCTATCATTAAATGAATTATCCACCTATACAACTAAAAAATAGCGGAAATTGTAACGGTGGGTCTAATTATAATAGTGGCAGCAAAATGTCAATTCTGCCAGTTCAGATCCTGTAGAATCTGGTCATGTGGGTAATTCTTAGCACCTGCAATGCTTGAATGCTTACCTGTTTATATGTGTAAAGGATGATGGTGATGAAAACTATCATTTACCAAACACCTAATTTATATCAGGCACTTTACAAAGATTCCTCATGTAATCTTCATAATAATCCAATGAAGTGTATTAATCAGGGTTGGCTAACTGCTGAAACAAACATCCCCCAAGTTTCAGTGCCTTAACAAAATAAATACTAATTCTTGTTTGCAACTGATGGGGGTGGCAAGGGACTCACAGCAAACTTTAATTCAGGCCTCTTCTGTCTTAGTTATTCATTCTCATAGGTCTCTGGAGTCCTCTCCAGTCAGCCAGCTAAAGAAGAGGGCACATGGAAGATTTTCATGAGCTAAGTTAGGAAGTGGTGCACTTTATTTCCACCCACATTCCAGTGCCAGAAGTCAGCAATGAAGACACCAACCTACAAGGGAAGCTGAAAATATAGTTTAACTGTGCCCAGGAAGAAAAGGAAAACACATGGATATTGGTGAGCATTAACAGTCTCTGCAACTAGTAAATTTTATCTCTATTTTATAGCTGAAAAACTGGCTCTCAGAAACACTTAAATTTTACAATGTTACATACCTAGAAAACGGCATTCACAATTCTGTAGGACACCAAAGCCCAGGCTTTTTCCAGGCAACGTTGCAGAACTCACAAAAATTGTCACTATCTCAGTATGTACACTTACCTCAGAAGAAGGATTAGGCAAATGAGCAAGAGATGACAGGAATTGAATCTTCTGTCCTCTCCCACCATTACAAAAGAGCAATGTTGGGAAAATCAGTTTAGACAACCAAAATTTCCCTTTGCATCATTAAATAATATGTCTATGAGACTTGAGATCAACCTTCAACAAACAAACAAAAAGAACAAATGGGGTGGGTTATTCATTGCCAAAATGCTGAGTAGTCAAATACATAAGTCCCCAGGATGTTTAATAAATAATTACAGTCTAGCAGGACTAGTATCTGTTACCTCCCAAAATATTTATTTATCTCTTATTTATCCAGAAGCCAAAAACACCTAGAACATCTTAACAATTGGGTTTATTTTGCAATACTATTGAATAATAATTATTGTTTGTATTGGTGAGGCTAAGTCACTACAAGATTCTGAAGTTTCTTTTGAATTATTGTTTTATTTTATTTTATTATGTTTTAGCATTATCATTAAGGATTCTATTATAAAACAGAAATTCCATTATGTTTTAATATCATTAAAGATTCTATCATAAAATAATTCAATGTTGATAATTTGCATAGACTACTTGTATTAAATCAGCCACATTGCCCAAAAATTCAGAATCATTTAATCCCTGATATTTCTGAGTGAACAAAAATTAATTATAATGGGGGAAGGACAGAACATGAAATGACTAATAGGAAATTAGAACATTTTCTTCTGGACAGATGACTAGTGAGCTGGCTATGAAGTGTATATAAAATTGTTAGGTGTATATGAAAATCATTAAACTAATCTGGCTATAAATGAGATGGAAATCAAGGCACATCAAAAGATCAGTAAGGTAAAAAGTGCTGGAACCACTCATAGGAAACCCTGAAGTTCACAGATTTGAAACTTAAATTTGATATGAAAGATCACTTTAGACTCAAAATTGCTGATACCAATGATAAAACTCTTTTAGTGGCCACTGAATTAGACAATTGGTTCAGGAAGGAAAGTCTGGAAGCAAAGAGACAGGAAAACTATGACTATGACAGAATAATGATTATGGTTGTGAAAAGGGGCTGATCCAAGGATACTACTAGTCATTTTCTATGTTTTTTCTCTATTTTTATATTCATTGCATCTCAGGAGCACTTCATCCACCTCTATATCTTATTAATCAGTATTCTTGAATGTACTGAATTTTATGAACATGTTTCCGAGAGAATATAGTTTCTTTTTCAGTTCTATTGTCATTCCCTGAATGTTATTTATCTAATGTAAGCCTCCTTCGGACAATCTTCTATGGTTCTTATAGTTTATTATATTCTCTAGCTTTGTATGAGAAGTATAATTTATGCTTTGTATGAGAAGCATAAAAGTCTGGGGAAAAAAGATGACAAGTCATAACTTTATCCTCATGGGCACACAACTTCAGTTAAATCTTTTTGTCTAACAGGTACTGTCTCTTAACTGGGTGAATGGCATTTTCAGATAAGCAGTTTTCCTCCATGCTTTGTTAGAAATCATGGAAAAGCTTTGTTCCATCAAAACTTCTGTACTAATTGCTCAGATAATTCTCAAAGCTAAGGCTGTCTCAGCTCCAAAAGTTGTGATGCCAGACTATACAAGACCATTGAAGTTGAGTGCGTTAAGTTTTTACTGCCACGTGTCAAGCACTGTGCTGCAAACCTTTAAATATCTGCACAACCATTCTGTCAATCCAGTTATCTGATCTGTCAACTGGAATCTCATCCTCTGAGACAGGCTCCTGTGGGAAATTCCATTGTTCTTAATCCTATGGACTTGCTTTCTCATAATTGACTGTGTCTTCCACTTTTGCTGAACTCTTGATCTCACATATCTTGCCCTTTGCAGATGCTCCTTATCTTTGTTATACACATAGCTTCTTTCCTTGATTTCTCCCAAATCACAATGCAACACAGTCATGTTGTTACATTGCCAAGATGCCAACAACTAAACATTGTAAATTAGACTTCTGTGGTCTTTAAAGTTATGGCCACTATTGCTATCAAGGCATTTGTCTCCTTCTCCACAGGATTCAGCCTCCTATCTATCTTGCATGGCCTTTTCTCTAATTCCTCCCCCTTCTCTTTCTGGCATTTCTCCTCCCACATCTCTATTCATTTCTTTGTACACAACTGTTTAGTTCTTTGTATTGCAATCACCTTCTAGAACTCACACTCAAGGCCTCACCTTCCACACTCAGATAAGCTTATCAAGGCATTTTTTCTAAATGAAGACAGTGCCCAGTTCCCTAAGTGGAACTCTAGTACCACTGGTTCATAATATTTTTGGCCCATTAAATATATATATAAATATATATGTATATACACACATAAACGATAAAGCAGGCCGGGTGCAGTGGCTTACACCTGTAATCCCAGCACTTTGTGAAGCCAAGGCAGGCAGATCACGAGGTCAAGAGATCAAGACCATCATGGCCAACATGGTGAAACTCTGTCTCTACTAAAAATACAAAAAAAAAATTAGCTGGGTATGGTGGTGCACACCTGTAGTCCCAGCTACTCAGGAGGCTGAGGCAGGAGAATCACTTGAACCTGGGAGGCGGAGGTTACAGTGAGCCAAGATCGTGCCACTGCACTCCAGCCTGGTGACAGAGCAAGACTCTGTCTCAAAAAAAAAATAAAAAATAAAAAAATAAAGCAACTGGGCCTCACAAGAGATGAATTACACAGCTCACCAATCTTAAAAATGCAGGCCATTTTACTCTAAATGCCTTTGCCTTTTAAAAACACAATGCTGGTTTAAAAACATGCTTTAATTAGTAAACTTTACTTTTTTTAAATTGGACCGTGTTTTTTATTTTTATTAATTTTTTAAAGACCAGGTCTCACTCTGTCGCCTAAGCTACAGTGCAGTGGCATGATCTTGGCTCACTGCAACCTCCATCTCCTGGGTTCAAGCAATTCTTCTGCTTCAGCCACTCAAGTAGCTGGGATTACAGACATGCACTGTTGGGAAAAAGCTGAGTGTTGGGAAAAGAAACTGAGGCAGGGCTTGCATGTCTGACATAATGGCCTCTGGAATGTGTCTAGACTTGCTGGCTCCTTGCTTCTAGCCCTCCTAGGCTCCTAGATCAATTGTATTCCCATTATCTGAGGTAGCAGAACATATTCCATATAAATGCTAAACCATCACAGCTGTAGATCATGTGCCTGCCCTTTTGAACCCCACATTCTCACCAACTGTTTCTTTGTTAGATTACCAATAAATAGCATGGGCTCCCAGAGTTCAGGGCCTTTGCAGCCTCCACGATCGTGATGGCCCCCTGGTCCCACTTTACTTCTCAAACTGTCTTTTTCTCAATCCTTTGACTCCACTAGACTTTATCGCCCCCACGACGTGGTGTTGGGTCTGATCACCCCAACATTCCTGGCTGCCCAATGTGGAGCAACAAAGACCTGGTGAAGAAATGCTAGAGCGTGTGAAAGCGGACGATGCATTGTCAAAGGATACCCAAGTACGTCTAAAAGAAGCTCGGTGGGAAAGCTGAGCACTCCGGAAGAACCAGGGTAACAATGGGACAAAGTGAAAGCAGACATTCTGCTTGTTTAAATTTCTGAAGGCATTTACTACAAAGAGATGAAGTGAAAGTTAGCACTCAGAATTTGTTATCACTCTTTATTGCAGTAAAGCAGTTTTGCCCATGGTTCCCGGAACAAAGGACTATAGAGTTGGATGAATGGGAGAGAATTGGCAGAGATTTAAAAAAAGCATATAAAGATGGAGCAAAAATTCCAGTCTCGGTTTGGTCAATGTGGGCGCTAATAAAAGCAGCTCTTGAGCCATTTCAAACAGATGATGAGGCAGATTCAGATGAGGAAGAGGACAAGTGTAAAAAACTAACTTCAGATTCTGAATGTGAGGAACAGGAAACAGAGGAAATTAAATAAAAGAAAGCAAATTAAATAAAAGAAAGAGAAATTTTAAAAAAGTATGTTTTACTAGCCGACCTGCTGAATTAAGTGAAAGGCCACCTCCTCTCTCTCCCCTTAATGGGTGAGAAGATGAATTAGCTACAAAACTTACTGCTCCTGTAGTTGCAACATTAAAATCTGGAGCAATTGGTGGTGCTATACAAAATTCTATTCAAAAGGCCAGAGCCGAGGGAGACCTTGAAGCATGACAATTTCCCGTAACTATAATCCAGCAGGGAGGACAGAATATAGCTAATTGGACCACCTTTCCTTTTAAGCTGTTAAAGGAATTCAAGCAAGCCATTAGTCAATATGAGCCAAACTCTCCTTTTGTGCAAACTTTATGAAAAATGTTTCTCTTGATAATCGATTAATAGCACATGATTGGGATACTTTAACAAAATCTATTCTCACTCCATCTCAGTACTTGCAGTTTAAACCTGGTGGGCTGATGAAGCTCAAACTCAGGCAAGGGAAAATACACAAGCACAACCACCTGTGCCTGTTTCCTTTGAACAGTTAATGGGAGTCGGACCTGATTGGGGTCGATTAGAAAATCAAGCAGTAATGGAGGATGTTGCCATTGTTCAGCTGCGCTCTGTGTGCTTACAGGCATGGGAAAGGATACATGTTACAGGGGAAAAATATCCTTCTTTCAGTTCTGTCTGACAAGGACCTAAAGAATCCTATTGATTTTATTGCTCGGCTCCAGGAGGCTGTGTATAAAACCATAACTGATAAAATAGCTCAAGATTTGTAATGCAGCTTCTTGCATACAATAATGCTAATGCAGACTGTCAAACTGCTATTAGACCCCTGAGAGGGAAGGCTCATTTAGCTGGATATACTAAGGCTTGCGATGGCATTGGAGGTAACTTACATAAGGCTACTCTTTTAGCTCAGGCTATGGCTGGATTAAGAGTCGGAAATAATATGCCCCATTTCTCAGGCTCTTGCTTTAATTGTGGGCAATTTGGACACAGAAAAAAGGAATGTAGAAAAGGAAATCAAAAGGCAAGAGCTACCATCAAACAACAGAAAAGTCCCAGTGTATGTCCCCGTTGTGAAAAAAGCCATCACTGGGCAAGTCAATGTCATTCTAAAAGTAGCAAAGATGGACAACCTCTCTCAGGAAACAGGAATAGGGGCCCGCCTTGAGCCCCTCAACAAACCAAGGCATACCTGGCACAGCCAGTGCCCTTACAAATGTACAATTGTCCCCTGCCACAGCAGGCAGTGTTGTCGTAGACCTCTGCAGCACAATTCCCCTCTCCTTACTTCCTGGGGAGCCACACCAAAAAAGGTCCCTATGGGAGTTAGGGGACCCTTACCAGCAGGAACAGTTGGTCTATTACTTGGAAAGTCGAGTTAAATTTGAAAGGTGTCACTGTGCATATGGGAATAATTGATTCTGATTATACCGGAGAAATTCAATTAGTTACTAGTTCCTCAACTCCGAGATCTGCTTCCCCAGGAGAAAGAATTGCTCAGTTGTTGCTGTTACCTTACATAAAACTAGGAAGCAGCACAGTGAAGAGAACAGGAGGCTTTGGTAGTACTAATCCAACAGGAAAGGCTGTATACTGGGTTAATCAAATGTCTGACAAAAGACCTATTTGCACAGTAACTATTCAGGGAAAAGATTATGAAGGACTACTAGATACTGGAGCTGATGTCTCTATTATTGCTATAAATCAATGGCTCTGACATTGGCCCAAGCAAAAGGCATCCATTCGCATTGTTGGAGTAGGAGCTGCCTTGGAAGTTTTTCAAAGTTCCTTGATTTTACCATGTCAGGGGCCGGATGGTCAGTAAGGGACAATTAAGCCTATCATTACACCTATTCCTGTCAATTTATGGGGTAGAGACTTATTCCAACAATGGCATGCTGAAATATCTATTCTTATGGGTCAATATAATAATAACAATAGACGAATGATGAAAAATATGGGATATCGCCCACGGAAAAGGACTAGGAAAAGATAAATACGGCCAATCAGAACTTTTAGAATTAAAAGGACAAACAGATCAGACCAGATTGGGGTGTCATTTTTAGGAGTGGCCATTGTTGAGCCTCCAGCTCCCATTCCTCTTGTTTGGCTAACTGCCAAACCAGTTTGGGTAGACCACTGGCCGCTGAAACAGGAAAAACTGAGGCTTTAAAAGAGTTGGTGCAGGAACAATTATAAAAGGGTCATATAGAACATACTTTCTCCCCTTGGAATCCTCCTGTATTTGTCAATAAGAAAAAATCAGGGAAATTGAGAATGTTAACAGATTTAAGGGCTGTTAATACTGTAATTCAACCCACGGTGCAGCGGAACAATGCCTGACAGGAAGGAAGGAAGGTAAAAGGGGCTGGACAGGATATGTGGTGGAGGGATGCACATGCAGGGAGCTGGGAAAAAGGAAAAAGGAAAGATAATTATTTGGGGAAGAGGATTTGCTTGTGTCTCTCCAGTTGACAATCAGCTGCCAGTGTGGGTGCCCACCAAACATCTGAAGATTTATCATGAGCCACAGCATCTAGGGGACCACCTGTACAGTGCAAACTGAAGGTCTGAAAAGCCTCTATTTGCTTTCCCTGTGCCTTGTGTTACAAGGGGCCTGTTCCTCATTATCAGTGGCCTCCCGGCTACAGCCACAAAAGTTTTTGCTTCTGTTTCAGATTTACTAAGGTGGGGGTGAGGGTATGCTTGTGTTTTTGCAGGATATGAATGAACCCTGTGGATGCCCTCAAGATGTGTACGACCATGGAACGGGAGACTGGAGGGACCCATGGATCCCAACCATGGACCGGGTTCCCCCAGTACAAGACAGTTGAATCTGAATGCAAAGATGGAACGAAGACCAACTAGAGTCACAATGCTTAAAGAACCAATGCTTTCTGACTCAGCTCCTCTCTACCCTGAATACAAGAGAGCCTAATAGTTAGGCAGG
Source organism: Homo sapiens (assembly GCF_000001405.40). Lineage (NCBI taxonomy): Eukaryota > Metazoa > Chordata > Mammalia > Primates > Hominidae > Homo > Homo sapiens. The sequence continues at coordinate 78,858,020 of NC_000006.12, forward strand.
AATATCATCACCCCTATTCAGCATGAAGGAATTACATAAGATGGACCTTCATCCTTCTGCAACCCCTAGGATTAAGGGTCCTCTCGTAAAAGGAAAAGGAGAGATATGTGTGAAGCATTCAAACCAGAGTGACTCCAGTTTGAATAAGGGCTAAGAAAAATGAAGCTGGATCACCAACCAGCAATTAGGGCTGCACAGCCTGCAATTGCCTTGCTCAATTAAAAGAGGCCACCTTTTATGTTAGTAATAATGATAGCTAGTAATAATGATAGTAATAATACCTTCTCTTTTACAAAAAAGAGAAGGGGGCATGTTGGGAAAAAGCTGAGTGTTGGGAAAAAAAACTGAGGCAGGGCTTGCATGTCTGACATAATGGCCTCTGGAATGTGTCTAGACTTGCTGGCTCCTTGCTTCTAGCCCTCCTAGGCTCCTAGATCGATTGTATTCCCATTATCTCAAGTACCAGAACATGTTCCATATAAATACTAAACCGTCACAGCTGTAGATCATGTGCCTGCCCTTTTGACCCCCACATTCTCATCACCTGCTTCTTTGTTGGATTACCAATAAATAGCATGGGCTCCCAGAGCTCAGGGCCTTCGCAGCCTCCACAATTGCGATGGCCCCCTGGTCCCACTTTATTTCTCAAATTATCTTTTTCTCAATCCTTTGGCTCCACCAGACTTCGTCGCCCCCATGACCTGGTGTTGGGTCTGATCACCCCAACAATGCACCACCACGCCTGGCCAATTTTTGTATTTTTAGTAGTGTGGGGAAAAGCAAGAGAGATCAGATTGTTACTGTGTCTGTGTAGAAAGAAGTAGACATAGGAGACTCCATTTTGTTATGTACTAAGAAAAATTCTTCTGCCTTGAGATTCTGTTAATCTATAACCTTACCCCCAACCCCGTGCTCTCTGAAACGTGTGCTGTGTCAACTCAGAGTTAAATGGATTAAGGGCGGTGCAAGATGTGCTTTGTTAAACAGATGCTTGAGGGCAGCATGCTCCTTAAGAGTCATCACCACTCCCTAATCTCAAGTACCCAGGGACACAAAAACTGCGGAAGGCCGCAGGGACCTCTGCCTAGGAAAGCCAGGTATTGTCCAAGGTTTCTCCCCATGTGATAGTCTGAAATATGGCCTCGTGGGAAGGGAAAGACCTGACCGTCCCCCAGCCCGACACCCGTAAAGGGTCTGTGCTGAGGAGGATTAGTAAAAGAGGAAGGAATGCCTCTTGCAGTTGAGACAAGAGGAAGGCATCTGTCTCCTGCCTGTCCCTGGGCAATGGAATGTCTCGGTATAAAACCCGATTGTATGCTCCATCTACTGAGATAGGGAAAAACCGCCTTAGGGCTGGAGGTGGGACCTGTGGGCAGCAATACTGCTTTGTAAAGCATTGAGATGTTTATGTGTATGCATATCTAAAAGCACAGCACTTAATCCTTTACATTGTCTATGATGCAAAGACCTTTGTTCACGTGTTTGTCTGCTGACCCTCTCCCCACAATTGTCTTGTGACCCTGACACATCCCCCTCTTTGAGAAACACCCACAGATGATCAATAAATACTAAGGGAACTCAGAGGCTGGCGGGATCCTCCATATGCCGAACGCTGGTTCCCCGGTTCCCCTTATTTCTTTCTCTATACTTTGTCTCTGTGTCTTTTTCTTTTCCAAATCTCTCGTCCCACCTTACGAGAAACACCCACAGATGTGTAGGGGCAACCCACCCCTACAAGTAGAGATGGAGTTTCATCATTTGCCCAGGCTGGTCTCAAACCCCTGACCTCACGTGATCCACCCGCCTAGGCCTCCCAAAGTGCAGGCGTGAGCCACCACACCCAGCCTAAACTTTACTTTTTAGATCAATTTTAGGTTCACAGCAAAACCGAGCACAAAGTAGAGAGAGTTTCCATATCCGCCTTCCCTACCTCCACACACAGATACAACAACCTCCCCTATCAATATGCTGCACCACAAAGGTATATTTGTTACAACCAATGAACCTATATTAACACATCATTATCACCTAAGTCCACAGTTTGTGGGGTTTTTTTGTTTGTTTGAGACAGAGTCTCCCTCTGTCACCCAGGATGGAGTGCAGTGGCGTGATCTCAGCTCACTGCAACCTCCACCTCCTAGGTTCAAGCAATTCTCCTGGCTAAGCCTCCTGAGTAGCTGGGATTACAGGCACCCACCACCATACACAGCTAATTTTTGTATTTTTAGTAGAGATGGGGGTTTCACCATGTTGGCCAGGCTGGTCTCAAACTCCTGACCTCAGGTGATCTGCCCACCTCGGCCTCAAAGTGCTGGGATTACAAGCTTGAGCCACCACACCTGGCCCACAGTTTGTGCATTGTACCTAAGGGTACAACTGCTGGATCTCACGTAAGAACAAGTTTAGTTTTGTAAGACACTGCCAAACTGTCTTCCAAAGTTGCTGTACTACTTTGCATTCCCACCAGCAATAAATGAGTGAGTGGTCTTGTTGCTCCACATACTCATCAGTACTTGAAGTTGTCAGCGTTTTGGATTTTGATCATTTTAACAGGTGTGTAGTGTTATCTCATTGTTATTTTAATTTACAATTCTCTAATGATATAGGAGATTCAGTATCTTTTTATATGCTTATTTGCCATATGTATTAACTTCTTTGGTAAGGTGTCTAGTCAGACAACGGGTTTTTAAAATAAGACTTTTATAACATTCATCATTTTGTATTAAACTTTACTCAGCTTTTAGAATTAAAAAGAAGCAACTCAAATTCTCTCATACTACACACAAGAAAATTGAGCCAAGGCCGGGCACGGTGGCTCACGCCTGTAATCCCAGCACTTTGGGAGGCCGAGGCGGGCGGATCACGAGGTCAGGAGATCGAGACCATCCTGGCTAACACGGTGAAACCCCGTCTCTACTAAAAATACAAAAAATTAGCCGGGCGTGGTAGCGGGCGCCTGTAGTCCCAGCTACTCGGGAGGCTGAGGCAGGAGAATGGCGTGAACCCGGGAGGCGGAGCTTGCAGTGAGCCGAGATCGCGCCACTGCACTCCAGCCTGGGCGACAGAGCGAGACTCCGTCTCAAAAAAAAAAAAAAAAAAAAATTGAGCCAATAGAGGTGAAAACTGAATCCATGAAAGTAGCTATAAATTTAGAGGGAGAGGCCGGGCACGGTAGCTCACACCTGTAATCCCAGCACTTTGGGAGGGGGAGACAGGCAGATTATGAGGTCAGGAGTTCGAAACCAGCCTGGCCAACATAGTGAAACCCTGTCTCTACTAAAAATACAAAAATCAGCCAGGTGTGGTGGTGCATGCCTGTAGTCCCAGCTACTTGGGGGGCTGAAGCAAGAGAATCACTTGAACCCATGAGGCAGGGGTTGCAGTGAGCCAAGATCATGCCACTGCACTCCAGCCTGGGCAACAGAGCAAGACTCCATCTCAAAAAAAGAAAAAATTAGAGGGAGAAGAAGCAAGCTGAAATGCCAGTGAAACTTACAGGAAAGACGTGACAAGAGAGAAGGAAGTAGAACAAGAAGAGCAGTGTTGTAAGAATCAAAAAAGGCTAGAGGTGAAGTAGATTTTTTTATTTGTTTTGAGAAAGAGCTTTGCCAGCAGCAATAGGCTCTGTAAGTAGTGCAAATAATCAGTGATTACTGGGAGGCAGCAGGACAGAGTGGAAAAGAGTATTAGACTGCCTCTGCCGGTAACCTGGGGGACATGACTTGAAAAACTTTTCTGGGTTCTAGTGTGTTCATCTGTAAAATGAGACTATGCTTCTCTAGTTTCTAAATTCAATGTTTTCTTACTACAGGATCTTCCCTTTGTCAATTTTTTGGACACCATCTTTTTTCTTGGATAATTTTGCTAATTTATTATCATCTATATCTCTGTGCCCTGTTAGATCTTTAATAACTGACCATCTAATCAAGATTTCATTTCCTTCTGCATGCTTAGAGAATTACAGTTACAATAACTCTTTACAAACATCTAATATAGTATTCATGGACACAGAATTTATGTAAGCAGTCTTCTCTTACTTGTTACAATTTTGCCAGGATGTTATAGTATAAACTTGACTATTTATTCTACATAAAATATCAAGAAATTAAGATTTCCTCCCTAAGTAACTTATGTATCTGCAATATCCTGTTAGCTTTGACACTATTAAAATTTGGAATTAAATACTTTTGGGAGGTTAAAATATCTGTGGGCAAAGCTACCTCTAATCCACTGCTTTCAAGGAGAGACATCAAGAAGAAGCAGTCTTTATCAAAGTGAGAGTTTCACAGCTTAAATCTGAAAAGAACTGTCAAACATTTCTTAGTCTCTTGGATACGATGTAAATTAGTTAAGATATAATTACAACTAATACTTGTTACTATTACTACCATAGCTTCATTTATAAAATATTACTTCTCCACTAATTAAATGAAGCATTCAGTGCTTCCCATAACCAATTAAAATGTTAAGTAGTTACATTATGCAGCTAGATATGTGAAAACCAAGAATAATAAGCCAGATAATACAAAAGAAAAACAGTGATGTGAAATGAGTTACAGCGAAAATGAGCAAAGTGAAAACACATTTAAACCATAAACTTTTCTGAAAATTTGAGGTGTCCAAGAGGACAGTCAAGCATGTACACAGAATCAGGTGGTATGAAATCTAACAGCAAAATATAGGGTAGCCCAGTCTAACAACAAAATGATATAGTGGATTGGCTGATTCAGGTTTATTTTCACTCAGATATCAAGATACACTTGAGAGCACTTTTCCTGGACTAAATTGTAACTTTCAAGGTGAAGATGTAATCATGAGACTAGAACCCTGTGTAAGGGGGCAGCAGAGACAAGTAAACAAAGCTGACTGGCAAAAATCCCCATGGTCCACACAGCATCCTATTCTACCTGTATCATTTAAGGTGCCAGAAGATAAACAACCGCAACCTATTAAGAAAGCAAGAAACAAACCTGGAAATAAAATAAAAGCCTAGACGGAAAGCTATACCCAGTGTCTGGGTTATTTGTGAGATAAAATAGGATAATACCTCACTTCATTTCTGGAAAGTCTAAATCCAATTACTTAAAAAAAAAAACTCACTATAGAGAACATTAACAAATATTTATCTCTTTCTACTTTTCCCAATCACTTTTCCTTAACCCTTTGCTATCTGGTTAACAGTAAAACATTTCTTTGAATGGTCACTAAAAATCTGCTAAATATTACATGCAATAGGCATGTCTTCATCTTCAAGTTTTTGACCTGTACCATGACATTATGGATCACCTCTTTTTGACAATTATACAAACTTTGGTTCCACAACATTGTACTATCTTAATCTTTCCCTTACCCCTTTGAGCCTTTTTTCTGTTCCTTTTGGCTTCTTCATTTACCAATATATTTTCCATAAGTATTTAATTATAAAGTGTAACAAAGTCTAAAGTGATTTTAGTACATCTGACATCTTTTTGAACAAGGCAAGGACCTTAATACACACTTCTAGGTTAGGTTTTTTTCCCCCTCAGGATTTAGAATGTATTATTCCATTCTCTTCTGACACTTGGGATTTTAATTTTTGAGATGTTTGGAATTGCCCATCATAAGCTGGGTACTGTCAGAGACTTCAACTCAAAGTCAGATACCCCACCAGAAACAGATAAAAAGATAATGGCACATCTGAGACACAAGCACCAGAGGGTATAAGCAAGCTGCATGAGCAAGCAGCTCAGACGCCCATGCCACCCACCAAGGTTGCACCAAAACACCTCCCTCACCTCACACCAATGGCTATGTAGGGATTACTCTATGGCCAACTGAAGGAGGAGGAAAAAAACCTGAGCTTTTATGGCAAGATTATGGATAGGCTGGCTTGGTATGCAGGTGCCAGTAAAAAATGAGAAGCAGCTGTGGAACAACGTCACTTGTAAAATCTCTGAATAACAGTGGAGAAGGAAAATTTCCCCAAAAGGTGAAGCTTTGAGCAGTGCACCTACAGATCCACTTTGTGTGAAGTTCTATAAATTCCTTCAGGCTGACAGGTATAAAAGTCAGCTTTAAATTCTCCTTCTCATTTATTCTTATCAGTCTTGGTTTTAAGATAACATAAAACTTGGTCAAGCTACTTATGCAAAAAAAAGGGGGAGGGGAATTTTTATAAGGATACAGGAATATTTTAGAGAACTCCAGGGCAGGAATGAAACCAGGCCTAAGAAAAAATTCTTAAAAAAGAGACTGGAATTGCATCTGGACTATTTTTCCATCTCACCTCTGATCCTCTTGGAAAGTATCATTTTCTCTTTCTCTCTCTTTCTCCCCACCCCATCTCTACACTTTTTCTATTTCTCTAATAGAAAAATGGCCAATCTATATCTCCCAAGGTTTTACATAAATATATATATGAGTGTATGTCACAGCCCTGTCACCTAAGAGACTAAATTTTTAAAATTTGGTGTAAATATAGATTCTCATGTGAAAAATTCCAACGGGTTCAACTGGAATTAGGTACCTATTCTTAGTACAATCAACTTGGTAGAGTCACCTTATTCAAAACAGTTGCTAGGGGCTCAGCCTTGACTCTGAGAGAGAACTGGGCTACTATGAGCTGAACAAATAGCTCTATGCTCTTCATTCATTCTCCCAATCATTCCAGCTGAAAACTTCATAAGTCAGTTTAGGCTTATCCTTCTCTTTCATATACTATTAATTTATAGTTCTGTCACAAAGAATTAATTCATTCTTCTTTCAAAATCCAGTATTATCTATTCCTTCTCCATTCTCACGGGCTTTGTTATTTGCCAAAATGATAGTTCAAAAACAGACATTACACTGTAGTTAAATTTGCATTTCTTAAACTACTGGTGAGGATAAACTATTTTTTTTTTCATCCTATAGACTACTAACATTTCTGCTTTCTTGGTCTGTATTGTGGACTTGTGTTCCCCAAAATTCGTATGTTGGAGTGCTCTTCAATGTGACTGTGTTTGGAACAGGGCTTTTAAGAAGGTAATTAAGGTTAAATGGAAGTCACAAAGGTGAGGCTCTATGAAGAGACATCGGGGTAATGTGCACAGAGGCAAGGCTATGTGAGGATGCTGCAAGAAAGTAGCCGTCTGCAAGCCAACCAGAAAGGCCTTGGGGGAAACCAAAACTGCTGACACCTTAATCTTGGACTTCTAGGCCCCAGAACTGTGAGAAAATAAATTTGTGCTGTTTAAGCTCCAAAGTCTTTGAAGCCGAAAGACTTTTGTTATGGCAATAGCAATCTAATACAGTTTGCCTCAGTGTTCATTATTTTTCTTTTGACACGTTTGTTTCTTCTAGCAACAGTTCTCTAAGCATTAAGACTCTTAGCCCTTTATACATAATAAACATTAACAAACATTTTTCCCCATTTATTTGCCCCCCCACCTTTGTTTTTATTTTGCTTTATATAACTGATTTTTTTTAGTATAGTCCAATTTTTCAAACTTTTCCTTCATGGTTGCTGCACATGAAATTATGATTAAGGCCAGCCTTCCCATCCCCCAGAATATTTATATTTACATATAGGTTCTTCCAATTATTTTTCTTTTTGGTCTCATCTGAATTATTTTCAATGTATGATATAAGATACAAATTCTTTAAAAATATAGCTTACAATGGGCCAGGCACCGTGGCTCATGCCTGTAATCCCAGCACTTCGGGAGGCCGAGGTGGACGGATCACGAGGTCAGGAGATCGAGACCATCCTGGCTAACACGGTGAAACCCCATCTCTACTAAAAATACAAAAAAATTAGCCGGGCGTGGTGGCGGGCACATGTAGTCCCAGCTACTCGGGAGCTGAGGCAGGAGAATGGCGTGAACCCGGGAGGCGGAGCTTGCAGTGAGCCCAGATCGCACCACTGCACTCCAGCCAGAATGACAGAGCGAGACTCCGCCTCAAAAAAAAAAAAATATATATATATATAAAATATACTATAGCTATATAGCTATAGTATATTATATATATAGCTTACAATTATCCCTGTACCATGTAATCATTTTCCACTGATATGAAATCTTTTATCGTATACTAAATACTTACACTTTAACTCCTGTTGCTTTTTGTTTATGACATTCACTCATTCAATAATTTATTTTGGAGGCTATATTCTTCCGCATTTATCGTAAGGGAAAAAGAATTTTTCACCAAGTTTAAGAAACATTATTTTGGGTGTCTTAAATAATAAAAGACTATGACGGAAAGTTCTTAACGTTAGTTTTTAAATTAAAATTGTTTTCAGCTAACAATAAACAAGATGGATATACACAAAATTATGTTAATCTAGTGATGAGCCTAATTAAAGGAGGGGGGTACCATTGATTTAGTTGAATTATACTAATCGAAAAGAACAGAAAAAACGATGGTGAAGAAACTACAAGAGGACTGTCAGCTTTTCAGGGTCCTTTTAAAAGAACAGTTCTTGTCCTTCTAGAACTAGTTATTCAAAATTCTTTTTTCCCCCCTCGATTCTCTTGATAAAATTCAGATAGTAAAGACGTATAAGTCAGTGGGGCTATTTTTACAAAGATCATTGCTTAGTGCTAGGAAGAGAATCCAGAAGACGGGAAGTTGAGGGTTGTGTTCTAAAAGTTCTCTGAAGAAAAGGGTACAGAGAAGCTCCAAGTTGTGCAGGCCCAGCAAACTCCATGTTGGACGTGCTTTGCTACCACCTAAATCTCTTCTGTCGGAATTCAAGGCCCGAACCATTCCAGGGATTTTAGAAAAAAATGGGGAGACACAAAAATGATGCCAAAGCCATAGCTATCATTACAAACATCCATTATGTTCACTCTGCTTTCCATATGCAACGCACTCTACATACAATGGGCGCCTTATAAGCACATAGCAAATGTGAAAAATATTATCAACATTGCTTTGATAATATTAATATATTATATATATTAGAATATATTATATATTAGAATATATTATATATATTAGAATATATTATATATTACTAATATAAAAAATATTATCAACCCTGCTTTAGAGAAGATGATACTGAGATATGAAGAATCATAAACTGTCCAAGATCACAGGGGCAAAAAGTTCACCTCAACTGAAACCTCTCACGAACCACAAAAATGTGGCCGAGGGAGCCTCAAAAAGCAGTACCCCAAGCGGGGACGGTAAAGTCAGAAAAGACAAGGCTGGGGGTAATCACAGAGAAATCTAAAAACCCGCTCGGCCTCGCTACTCTTCTCCTTCCTCTGAGGTGCAGAGGCGCGGTGGGACGACAAGGAGTTGCGAGAAAGGGCAGAGCTCACTGAGGAGGCAACAGAGAAAGTCCGCTAACAATTTTTGAAGGCCGTAAGTTAAACATGTTAAAAACTGTAGCTACTCACTCAGCCGACATCTAGTAAAAAAGATGCGGCAAGATCAACAAGGCATATAGCTTGCGCCCGCCAGAAGTTCCGCGGCCTCCACACCCATCCCGGCATACTTTGCGCCGTGCACAGGCAAGCCCTGGTGCGCATTGGCCCCTTCGGCCGCCGTCGGCCGGTAGTTACTATGGAAACCCAGCTGCCATCGCTATGTCTCTGCAAAAGACCCCTCCGACCCGAGTGTTCGTGGAACTGGTTCCCTGGGCTGACCGGAGCCGGGAGAACAACCTGGCCTCAGGGAGAGAGACGCTACCGGGCTTACGCCACCCCCTCTCCTCAACACAAGCCCAAACTGCTACCCGCGAGGTGCAAGTAAGCGGCACCTCAGAAGTGTCTGCGGGCCCTGACCGGGCGCAGGTGGTGGTGCGAGTGAGCAGCACCAAGGAGGCGGCAGCCGAGGCCAAAAAGAGCGTTTGTCGCCGTCTAGATTACATCACGCAGAGCCTCCAGCAGCAGGGCGTGCAGGTGAGATCTCCGCGGGGGAGGAAATAAGAGCCGGAAGACACAAAAGGGTTGGCAGATGGTCGGGCCCCACAGGCCCCCCTAGCGGGAAGGGAGATGTGGAGGGTCTGGAGCGTTTAGGACGCGTTTGTTGCAAAGGTACTCCGGGACGCCAGGACCTGGCAGAGTGAATATTTGACCCATTCTTCTCCTAGACGAAGGTAATTATTGGCCTCAGGCAAATTAAAAATAAAAGAATGCAAATTGGGTAGGTTTTTATCTGGGGATATTTGCTTCAGTGATTTTGTTTTTAAATTTAAAGTGATGAAATGTTAAAACTTGAAATGTTAGTTGTAAATACTTGCCCACGTGGAGTGCTGGACACTAAATATTTTGTTTTGTTTTGTTTTTATTCCGCACCATGGAATTGGCAAGTGAAGAGCACGACCTGCTTCCTTCCGATCATGTAAAACTTTGCATGGAATGGTTCTTGAGTATGTTCCGCAAACAGTAACGTTGGGAAGTGGGGAAGAAGTTGCGTCCATTTTCATTTTATAATGATTTTCATTTTATAGTGATTCCCCCAAAATTTCTTCGGCCTTCTTAGGTTTAACTTAAAAGAAAAAATCAAGCCAGTATTGTGGATACCACATATACGAAATACTTCTACTTACTTAACGGAGATGTCCATGAGACAAATCACTAAACAAATCTTACCTTAAGCCTACTCCTAAGGCAAGAAAAAAAATGAAGCCATCATTTAATCCACACAATAGCACTGTTAGGCATGTTTTAATATCCCTGTTTTCCAAATTTAAAGAGGTTAAACAATGCTCTGAACTTTAGGTAGAGCAATATTTGAACTCATGTATTCCTGAAACCAGAATGTAAGTTGCTTCCAATTCTGCCGATAATTAGAATGAAAGAAAATTAGAAATCATAGGGATCAACGATTTCAGTTTTCTCATTTTATAGAGTAGGACCCCAAAGGCCAGAGATGTAACTTATCCAGGATGACATTGAGTTGGTAAAAGTGCAGGCATTGTTACTTCCAGTCTATTGCAAGAAATTCCATACCCCGAAAAAGCAAGTCCTTATTTTTAACAAGAAAAGATATTTGAATTGCATTTATAATACAAACATACAAGTTATTACAAAGTCATTTGGACAAGATTTCTTCAAATGATTTTACAATTTAGAAAAATACAGATAATTATAAATAATGTGAGTAAAGTGGGTTTAATATGTAGAAAAATAGTTTTAAAAAACTGCTACTAGTGCTGTAGTCGTTTGAATAATGTTAACAAGTTTTTAAGTTATTTACATAAAATAAAAAGAGCTCACAGGTCTCTAATATATAAAACAACATAAGCTGGGCATGGTGGCTCATGCCTGTAATGCCAACACTTTGGGAGGCCAAGGCAGGTGGATCACTTGAGGCCAGGAGTTCGAGACCAGCCTGGCCAACATGGCAAAACCCAATCTCTAGTAAAAATACAAAAATTAGGTGGGCATGGTGGCACAGTCCTGTAATCCCAGCTACTAGGGTGACTGAGGCAGGAAAATCTCTTGAATCCGGGAGGCGAAGGTTTCAGTGAGCCGAGATGGTGCCACTGCACTCCAGCTTGGGTGACAGAGACTCTGTCTCAAATAAGTAGTAAGTAAATAAATTAACTAAGTCCAACTTAGAGTAATCAAGATTCAGTGTTCAAGGCAAGACATAAGAAAGACAGTAACCTCCCAATTATCTCTGCTAATGGATGAAAGCAGTCAGGTAGATAATTTGTTCAGGAGATAATACAAAATATCATTTATATTTTCAGAATGAATTATGGGTCTTCACAAAGTCTGTATTCATTTTAAACTTTAGAATTCTGAGCTGTAAGATTTATAAACATCACTTCCCTGCTTAAAGGGCTCCTCATAATCCAAACTCCTTTGCTTAAAAGATGGAGCCTGAGCCGGGCGTGGTGGCTCACGCCTGTAATCCCATCACTTTGGGAGGCCGAGGAGGGCAGATCACCTGAGGTGAGGAGTTCAAGACCAGCCTGACCAACATGGTGAAATCTCGTCTCTACTAAAAATACCAAAATTAGCCAAGCATGGTGGTGCATGCCTGTAATCCCAGTTACTTGTGAGGCTGAGGCAGGAGAATTGCTTGAACCCAGGAGGCGGAGGTTGCAGTCAGCTGAGTTCGTGCCATTGCACTCCAGCCTGGGCAACAAGAGTGAAACTCCGTCCCAAAAAAAAAAAAAAAAAAAAAAAAAAAAAAAGATGGAGCCTGACTATCCTCATCTCCTATCATATCTTCCTCCCCTCTATTGTATTTTTCTTTAAGAATTAGCCCAAGTCTGAGCTATGGAAGTGAGACACTGTCTCAAAAAAAAAAAGAAAAGAAAAGAATCAGCCCAAATTCACCTTCTTGGCATTCCTTTCCTAATATAACACTAATCCCTGCCATGCAACACTTCACTCCCTATACTTGTAATAAAAACTTATCCTGTATCATAATTCTTAATTTACTTGTTTCTCCTCCATATTCTAAACTTCTCCAGAGCCAAGACCATTTGTTCTTTTTTTGCCTGTATGAGTTATGGTCCATACACTTCACATAATGTGTACTCAGAAAATGCCTTCTGAATGAATAATAGAAAAAAAATGAAACAATAAGTGAACAAATTATTCAGCTATGGTATAGATCATAGATTTATGAACTTGTGTGAAGGTATAATCCTTACTTCTAGCGTGGTTTTCATTGAAAAGTGTTTTAAAGTTCTAAGCAATATTTACTCATTCAACCAACAAACATTAAGCCTTTCTTTTCATTGTTCATTTTTGTTTTTGGTTTTTGTTTTTTTTTGAGATGGAGTTTCGCTTTTGTCGCCCAGGCTGGAGTACAATGGAGGCAGTCTAGGCTCACTGCAACCTCCGCCTCCCAGGTTCAAGCAATTCTCCTGCCTCAGCCTCCCAAGTAGCTGGGATTACAGGCGCCTGCCACCACGCCTGGTAATTTTTGTATGTTTAGTAGAGATGGGGTTTCACTGTGTTGGCCAGGCTGGTCTCGAACTCCTGACTGATCCCCCACCTCAACCTCCCAAAATGCTGGGATTACAGGCGTGAGCCACTGCGCCTGGCCCATTGTTCATTTTTAAACAATACTTTATATTGTCTTAGTTTGTTTGGTCTGCTGTAATGAAAAACCATAGCCTGGGTAGCTTATAAACAACAGAAATGTGTATCTTACAGTTCTGGAATCTGGGCATCCAAGATCAAGGAGCCAGTAGATTTGGTATATAGTGAATGCTACCAAGAATTACCCTGATATCTCTGCTTCCCCTTTATTTTCTTCTCTCTCCAACTGTAGGCATAAAATGACCTCACAATGTCTGGTCCTCCCTCACAAAAGTGTTTCGGTCACTCAGGATGCATATCTAAGTTCTAGTGCAAGAGAGGACTAGGAGTAAATGCTGAAGGGAGTGTTTAACCCCTTTAACCCATTGCAGTATGAGCAAGACTACTGTAAGATTCCTTTAACACAGTGCAACCAAAAGACAGACACCTTTTCTCCTTTTTGCTTCACAACAGACCACCTCAGCCACCATGACACCCAGTAGGAGGTATTCCACAGGAACAGCAGACGAGAACTTACCTTACATCATGACACATCAAGGCATATAGTTCTTGCAATGGACTAAATGTTTGTTTCCCCCCAAAATTTATAGTTGAAACCTAATCCCAAGTATGATGGTATTCGGAGGAGGCTTTTAGGAGGTGATTGGGACATGAGGATAGGGCTGTTTATAGATGAGAACTCCAAGGACCAGAGTGATTATTGGCAGGTTGCTTGCACACGGTCACAGCCAGGAAGTGGCAGAATTTTAACTTTAGGGTCCATGCTCTTAACCACTACAGGATGTTGCTTCTTTATTCTCTTGACAGTGGATAATTGAGATTTTAGGTAGGGAAGATGTCACTGATGCTATTGATACCACTACTTGTATCCTTTGGCACTTCACATTTGTGTGCATGCAGGCCCAGCTTCCATCTGACAACATTTGTAAATTCTTTGCCTGAAAGTGAAAGCTTTCCCTGGCTGCCGGAATCCACTCTCTGCAAATGGGGCCAGAGTGTAATGCCAGGGAATTAAAGTCCTCTCCCCCAGCCCCAGCAGCCTTCATCTGAAGGCTAATGTAGAACTAGAATGACTGAGGGAAATGAATGGAAAGAGACCCCAGCATCTTCACCCCTTGGGGTCGGATAATTCTGAGGTATGTGTTCCACCCTGGTTCCTAGAGTTTCTCTGCAGGATTAAATTTGAGCTGACCACAGCGGTAATTTGCTTGACAACATATCCTTTAGTGCCTTTCTTTCCTTATCTGTCTTGCATCCCACTCTGTTAATGGTGTTTTTTGGGATCACCTTCAAAATTAACTGTATGCAAATCTTTGTCTTAGGATATGTTTCTAGGGGCACCCAAATTAAGATAAGAAGTAGTGGCAACAAATTGAACATAGGCATTGGCTAAAGTTTTTCATTATTAAAAATGGTCACAACATGAATGTCCTCGTAAGCTATATATTTATACATGTCCTTAATTACAGGTTAAGCATCCCATCCAAAATGCTTTACCAGAAATGTTTTGGATTTTGGAAGTTGTGGATTTGGGAATATTTATATTTTATATGTACCAGTGGAATATTTGTAATCTGGAAATCCAAAATTCAAAATGCTCCAGTTTCCTTTGAGTGTCATGTTGGCACTCAAAAAGTTTAAGATTTTGGAGCATTTTGGATTTTCGGATTAGGGATCCTCAACTGGTAATGTTCTTTGGACATTAATTCCTGGATTATGTATATTTGAAGGCTTATGAAAAATTGTACTCTAAAAATATACGTTTACATCTTCACTTGGCACAGTAGGCATTATTTTCTTCTGTAATTTTGCCAACTTAGCAGTCCAAGAAATGATACTGCCATTTCTTTTTTATCATTTGAACTTAAACTTTTTAAATATAAATTTCTAGTTCACAATATTTTGCCCATTTTTCTATTGTCTTTACCTTATTAAATTGATAAGAACCTTAAAAATTAAGATTATAAGTAACCTGGCCAGGCACGATGGCTCATGCCTGTAATCCCAGCACTTTGGGAGTCTGAGGCAGGCGGATTACTTGAGATCAGGAGTTCAAGGCCAGCCTAGCTAACACGGTGAATCCCTGTTTCTACTAAAAATATAAAAATTAGCCAGGCATGGTGGTGGGCGCCTGTGTCTCAGCTACTCCGGAGGCTGAGGCAGGAGAATCACTTGAGCCCAGGAGGCAGAGGTGGCAGTGAGCTGAGATCACGCCACTGCACTCCAGCCTAGGCAACAGAGTGAAACTCTGTCTCAAAAAAAAAAAAAAAAAAAAAAAAAAAGATTGTAAATAACCTGTCATATATTGCAAAAAATTTTCTCAGTTTTTTATTTGCTGTATAACTTAGTTTATAGTATTGAACTTTCAAAATCTTAAAGTTTTGTTTAGCCAAATTCATTAATTTTTTTCTGTATTTTTTTCTACCTTTGTATATAATGTTTATTGGGTGTATTGGGTTCTTCTCAAGCATAAAGCTATATAACTTTTTTTTTTTAAACACAGGGTCTCATTCTGTTGCCCAGTATGGAGTAGGGTGATTACTATCATTGTTCACTGCAGCCTAAAACTCCGGGGCTCAAGCTATCCTCCCACCTCAGCCTCCCAAATAGCTAGGACTACAGGCACGCACCTCCATGCCCAGCTAATTTTTTATAGAGACGGGGTCTTACTATGTTGTCCAGGCTGGTCTCAAACTCCTGGCCTCAAGCAATCCTCTCACCTTGCCCTCCTGAAGCACTGGAATGCCAGGCATGAGCCACCACACCTAGCCTTATAGAACTATTAACTAATATTTCCTGGTCTCTTAAGGAACCTTTGTAGTATATTAGATATGTGTACTGTGCTTGGAATTTACTTTGGTATAAGGATAAGAGTTTTGTTTTCTCTTAAATAGGTAAGTAGCTGAACTGACACCATTTACTGAAGTCTGTCTTTCCTTTACTACACATGCAAGAACCTTGCTTTACGTAATTGAAAGTCAAGTTGTAATATGGGCTTTCATTGTCAAGGCTCTGCATACTTTGATGTAGTTCTCTTGGCTTTACCTTCATCTTCCTGCATGATACTAAAATGGCTGCAACATTCCCAAGCCTTACATCTTATACCATAGCTTAAAAAGAAAAACAATAGTCTTTGTTTCCTGCAACCATATTTATTTTAAAAAATCCTACAGTTCACTCTAAATAGACAACCTAAACTTATTTTTGTGGCCAGAGAAATGCCAGACCAATTAGCTTAGATATGGATTTCTGTCCATCTTTTAACCTAATCCTATAGCAAATCAGATGTGATCATCCTAAGTAGTTTAAACCTATTACGGCTTACCCTGAATCACATAGTTACTGCTCAGAGGTAGTAGGGGAAGAGTGTATGACATGAGGATTCTGTATTTCTTGTTTTACCTACTGCTTTGAAATGTTACTGTTTATTGCTATTTGTAATCTTCAGATGTTCTTGAATTAGTTACAGAATTAATTAGTTCATTTGATCCTTGTTACGGTCCTGTGCCAGTACTATCCTGTTTAAATTATTATCTTCATAAAGCATTTGTAGGGCAAGTTCTCCCCTCATTACTCTTCTGAAAAAAATTCCCTGTCTGCAAGGAACAGAGGGACATTTTAAGTGACAACATGAAATTATAGTCAGAAATTCCAGAGGGTGGAAAATTTCTATACAAAAAATTTCTATTTATATTTTGCATTCAGTTTACAAATTAATTTCAGGATAATGGCTGATTTTACAGTGTTGTGTCCCAGTCCATTTATTTAAATGCTTTGTTTTTCTGTAAAGTTTTTTGGTTTTCTAGGAAATACTCTTCTAGACATTGACCTAGGCAAAGAATTTTTGATGAAGACCCCAAAAGCAAATGCAACAAAATAAAAAATAGACAAATGGGACTTAATTAAACTAAAGAGCTTCTGCACAGCAAATGAAACTATCAACAGAGTAAACAGAAACACTATAGAATGGGAGAAAATATTTGCAAACTATGCATCTGACAAAGGTCTAATGTCCAGAATCCTATAAGGAATAAGCAGGAAAAAAAACAATCTCGTGAAAAAGTGGGCAAAGGAAATGAGTAGACACTTCTCAAAAGAAACCATACAAGCAGCCAGCAAACACATGGAAAAGTGCTCAGCATCACCAGTCATTGGAAAGATGCAAATCAAAACCACAGTGAAATACCGTCTCACACTAGTAAGAATGGCTTTTATTAAAAAGTCAAAAAATAACAGATATTGGCAAGATTGTAGAGAAAGAGGAGTGCTTATACTCTTGGTGGAAATGTAAATTAGTTCTGCCACTGTGAACAGCAGTTTGGAGATTTCTCAAAGAACTAGAAATAAAATTACCATTTGACCTGGCAATCTCTTTGCCGGGCCTATACCCAAAGGTAAATAAATCGTTCTACCAAAAAGACACATTCACTTGTATGTTTATTGCAGCACTATTCACAATAGCAAATACATGGAATCAACCCAGGTGCCCATCAACAATGGATTAGATAAAGAAAATGTGATGCTTATACACAATGAAATACTGTGTAGCCATAAAAAAGAACAAAATCATGTACTTTGCAGTAATATGGATAAGGCTTGAAGCCATTATCCTACCCCAGTGCAGAAACAGAAAACCACATATTCTCACTTATAAGTGAGAAGTAAACATTGGGTACACATGGACCCAAAGATAAGAACAATAAACACTGGGAACTCCAAAAGTAGGGAGGGAGCACAGAAGTGGTTGAAAAAGTAACCACGTAGTGTTTCCTACTTGGGCAACGGGATCAGTTGTACCCCACACCTCAGCATCACGCAATGTACCCATGTAACAAACATGCACATGTACCTTCTGAATCTAAAATAAATAAATAAAAATATATATATTGAATAGATGAGATGTTTTCCCAGAAGATTTTAAAAGACTGTTTAAAGTTTTATGGTTTTCTTCTTGTTTACTTTTTTAAATTTTATTCCTATGAAAATAATTTTTATGGCTATTGAGATTGTTATCATCATGATTTGTGCTTCCCTATTGATATGGTTTGGCTCTGTGTCCCCACCCAAATTTCATCTAGAATTGTAATCCCTATGTGTCAAGGGGGGGATCTGATGGGAGGTAATTGAACTATGGGGGCAGTTTCCTCCGTGCTGTTCTTGTAAGAGTGAGGGAGTTCTCATGAGAGCTGATGCTTTAAAGTGTGACACTTTATCACTCTCTCTCTCTCTCCTGCCAACATGTAAGACGTGCCTTGCTTCCCCTTTGCCTTCTGCCATGGTTGTAAGTTTCCTGAGGCCTCCCCAGCCATGTGGAACTGAGAGTCAAACCTCATTTGTTTATAAATTACCCAAACTCAGGTAGTATCTTTATAGCAGCGTGAAAATGGACTAATACACCCATATTACTTAAGTAGTTATTCCTGTCTTGACCATTTTGTCTTAAAACTCTGCCTTTTGTATTTAGAAATAAACAGTAGCTTAATCAAGAAAACTTAGCAGAGTAGGCTGATATATTTCAATATTTTTCAGTTTTGTGCCCCTTATAGCAGGCTTTCTCAATCTTGGCAGTATTAACATTATGGATTGGATAACTCGTTGTTGTTGGGGGCTGTCCTGTGCATTGTAGGATATTTAACAGCATTCCTGGCCCCTACCCATGGGGTGACCAGCATGTCCTCCTTTACCTGAAACTGTTCAAGTTTTAAAACTGGCAGGTCCATGTCTGAGGAACCTCCTCAGTTTGAGGTTCACAGGGACACTTGATCATCTTGTGTATCCACTTAGTAGTGTATTCCTCTTCCCCAGCTGTGACAATAAAAAATGTCTCCAGGCATTGGCAGATGTCCCCTAGGGCAAAATCATCTGGTGGAGAACCACTGCCCTATAGATAAACAAAAAATCTCATACTCTGTGTTGGAACCCACCAGCCAGACTATCAGAAACGTATCTATAGTGAAACAAAGTTAGGTTTATTTAGCATGATGCAACAAAGAATAATGCATCCCAAAGGACCTTAGGAGTGTTTCAGAAACAGGTATTCAGGAGGAGCCTCTTAAAGGTTTTGGCCTTGTGCTGAGTAGTTCCAGGAAAGGATCAGTGAAGCAGACAGGGACAGTTTGGTGATTGGCTATTTTATTAATTTTTTCATAGGAAACCCAGAGGATTACAGTTAGGCTAGGTGTGCCTTTAGTAAAGGCACAGCAATCAAGCAGAAAAAGAATGTTAATTATTTCTTGTGGTTGCAGGTCTGTTAGTTTCTGTTAGAAACTTTGGCTCTGTTAAAAACTTTCTTAGATTCTATGTCCTCTGGAAACATTGTTTATGTTCTGCTTAGACCTTCTCCATCTGATTGTCAACAGGCAATTTTTATTTCTCCATTCCCTGTAATATTATTTAGAATTTCAAAATATATCAGATATTTTACTATATAGAGAAGCAAGATAACTGTCTTCTTATATGGGTTGTTTTCAGACTGCACACACTTCCCTTTAAAAACTACTGGGCTGGCATAGGTTCCAAGATGGCCAAATAGGAACAGCTCCAGTCTACAGCTCCCAGCGTGAGCGATGCAGAAGACGGGTGATTTCTGCATTTCCAACTGAGGTACTGGGTTCATCTCACTAGGGCTTGTCAGACAGTGGGTGCGGGACAGTGGGTGCAGCCCATGGAGCGTGAGCCGAAGCAGGGCGAGGCATCACCTTACCCGGGAAGTGCAAGGGGTCGGGGAATTCCCTTTCCTAGCCAAGGGAACCCGTGACAGACGGCACCTGGAAAATCGGGTCACTCCCACCCTAATACTGTGCTTTTCCAACAGTCTTAGCAAACGACACACCAGGAGATTATATCCCGCACCTGGCTCAGAGGGTCCCACACCCACAGAGCCTCTCTTGCTGCTAGCACAGCAGTCTGATATCGAACTGTAAGGCAGCAGTGAGGGAGGGGGAGGGGCTCCGCCATTGCTGAGGCTTGAGTAGGTAAAAAAAAAAAGCAGCCGGGAAGCTCAAACTGGGTGGATCCCACCACAGCTCAAGGAGACCTGCCTGCCACTGTAGACTCCACCTCTGGGGCAGGGCATAGCTGAACAAAAGGCAGCAGAAACTTCTGCAGACTTAAATGTACCTGTCTGACAGCCTTGAAGAGAGTAGTGGTTCTCCCAGCACGGAGTTTGAGATCTGAGAACGGACAGACTGCCTCCTCAAGAGGGTCTCTGACCCCCGAGTAGCCTAACTGGGAGGCACCTCCCAGTAGGGGCCAACTGACACCTCATACGTCTCAGAGGGTGTCCATCTGAGACGAAGCTTCCAGAGGAAAGATCAGGCAGCAACGTTTGCTGTTCTGCAGTATTTGCTGTTCTGCAGCCTCCGCTGCTGATACCCAGGCAAACAGGGTCTGGAGTGGACCTTCAGCAAATTCCAACAGACCTGCAGCTAAGGGTCCTGACTGTTAGAATGAAAACTAACAGAAAGGACATCCACAACAAAACCCCATCTGTACGTCACCATCATCAAAGACCAAAGGTAGATCAAACCACAAAGATGGGGAGAAACCAGAGCAGAAAAGCTGAAAATTCTAAAAATCAGAGTGCCTTTTCTCCTCCAAAGGAATGCAGCTCCTCGCCAGCAACAGAACAAAGCTGGACTGAGAATGACTTTGACAAGTTGAGAGAAGAAGGCTTCAGACGATCGGTAATAACAAACTTCTCCGACCTAAAAGAGGATGTTCAGACCCATTGCAAAGAAGCTAAAAACCTTGAAAAAAGATTAGATGAATGGCTAACTAGAATAAACGGCGTAGAGAAGACCTTAAATGACCTGATGGAGCTGAAAACCATGGCACAAGAACTACGTGACGCATGCACAAGCTTCAGTAGCCGATTAGATGAACTGGAAGAAAGGGTATCAGTGGTGGAAGATCAAATGAATGAAATGAAGTGAGAAGTTTACAGAAAAAAGAGTAAAAATAAACGAACAAAGCCTCCAAGAAATATGCGACTATGTGAAAAGACCAAATCTACGTCTGATTGGTGTACCTGAAAGTGACGGGGAGAATGGAACCAAGTTGGAAAACACTCTTCACGATATTATCCAGGAGAACTTCCCCAACCTAGCAAGGCTAGGTTGAGTTCTCACTCAAAGGTGGGAACTGAACAATGAGAACACTTGGACACAGGATGGGGAACATCACACACCAGGGCCTGTCTTGGGGTGGGGGTAGGGGGTAGGGATAGCATTAGGAGATACACCTAATGTAAATGACGAGTTAATGGGTGCAGCACACCAAAATGGCACATGTATACGTATGTAACAAACCTGCACGTTGTGCACATGTACTGTAGAACTTAAAGTATAATAATAAAAATTTTAAAAAAATAAAAAAATCACTGGGCTAAAGTAAATAAGTATTTTACTGGTTCTAAGATTGTTTTTCAGAGAGAAAAACAATAGAAGTGTAGAAGCAATTCGATAAAGAAAGGAGTCTTTTCAACAAATGTTGCTGCAACAGTCAAATGTCTGTATGCAAAAAAATGAACCTCCACACTCACCTCACACCTTATACAAAACTTTGTTCAAAATTGGTCAATATTGAGCATGTAGCATCTGTTGCCTGTTACCAGGATAGAAGTCCAAGCACTTCTGCCCACTGCATTTTGGTATGAGAGTCACCAAGAAAACACAATGCAGTCAAGCACTGGATGGAACAAACCTTACTTATGTAGAGAAAAGACAAGAGTGACATCAGAGTCAGTAGTACATGTCAGTCCCCCATGGCCAGCAACTGCTTCCCAGCAGCTAATGCAGGGGCAGTTGACCTACATGCACATCTCTTGTGCTGCAACAGAAGGACTCAGTCCCCTTCCTGCAGGGTACAGATATAGTAGTGAGGTTGGTCAGGTGTCATATGACATACAACCTTTAAGTAGAAGCAAAAAGTACATATTGAGTCTGAAATGGGGAAGGTATTCCCATACAAGGAAACAAGCCCAGCACAAGCTCTGAAAGATACTTTATCTCTTAGTAAGCAAGTGTTCCAGGGCCACAGCCCATTCCTGGGCAGTTGAGTGTAGATCAAAAGACTATAGCATGAGATTGCCTTTCCCAACAGTAAAACACAAAACTTCTAGAAAAAAAGAAAAGGAGAAAATCTATGTGACCTTGGGATTGAAGATGAGTTTTTAGATACAGAGGTTGAGTATCCCTTATCTGAAATGTTGGGACCAGAAATGTTTCAGATTTCAGATTTTTATTTTGGAATATTTGCATTATATACTTAATGATTGAATATCCCAAATCCAAAAATCTAAAATTCAAAATTCTCCAAAGAGCATTTTCTTTGAGCATCATGTTTGTGCTTAAAAACAAGTTTTGAATTTTTGAGCTTTTCGAATTTTGGATTTTCACATTTAGGATGCTCAACCTGTGTTACCAAAAAGCACAGTCCATGAAACAAACAAAAAGATAAATTGTATTTTATGACAATTAAAAACTCACTTTGTGAAAAACATTGTTAAGAAAATGAAAAGTCAATCTATAGACTGGGAGAAAATATTTGTAAATTACATAGCTGATAAAGGACTTGTATCTGTTAAGAAAATGAAAAGTCAGTCTATAGACTGGGAGAAAATATTTGTAAATTACATAGCTGATGAAGGACTTGTATCAAGAACATATATAGACCTCAATTCAGCAGTAACAAACAGCTCAATAAAAATGCACAAAAGATCTTAACAGACACTTCGCCAAGGAACTTATACAGATGGCAAATAGGCACATGAAAAGATACTCAACATTACTTGTCAATAGGGAAATGGAAAATAAAACCACAATGAAATACTGCTATGTACCTATTAGAATGGCTTAAATACAGTAACACTGATACCAAATGCTGGGAAGGATACAGAGCAACAGGAATTCTCGTTCATTGCTGGTGAGATTGCAAAATTATATGGCCACTTTGGAAGGTAGTCTTATAGTTTCTTATAAGTTAAATATAGACTTACCATAGAAGTCAGCATTCTAGGATAATTTGCCGAAGTGAATTGAAAACGTAAGTACATATAAGAATCTGTACACAAATGTTTATAGCAGCTTTATTCATAACTTCTAAAACTGGAAGCAGCCAAGATGTCTTTCAGCAGTGGCATGGATTAAAAAAATTGTGGTACATCCATGCAAAAGAATATTATTCAGCAATAAAAAGGAATGAGAATTGATTCACAAAACAATGTGAGTGAATTTAGCTGCATATTAGTCAGTGAAAGAAGCCAGACCCAAAAGCTTTGAATTTTATGATTCTATTCATATGATCTTCTGGAGAAAAGCAAAACTATGGGGAACGAAAACAGATTAGTGGTTAACAATCTGTTGGAGGGCAAAGTGGTTGACTAAAAGAGATGCACGGAGAAATTTTTAAGGTGAAAGAACTATTCTTTATGGTACTGGAGTGGTACATACATGACTTTATGCATTTGTCAAACCTCATAGAGCTGTAAATCACAAATAGTGAAGCTTGATGTATGTAAACTGGAGGAAAAAGGCATCAAAGAGCCTATCACAGGATCAATCCCAGGATAAAATTTATTCTCTTGACAAATGAACCCAGTTCTTACAAATGAGTGACATAACTGTGCTTAAGGTGATAGGGGCAGGGACTGTCCTAAATTACTGGAAAATGGTGTTTTGACTGGAAATTATAAGGATGAAGAATAAAGATACAAAAACTCCATGCTCTAGTTGGTAAATAAGTTTTCCAAAGGGGTATTTGTTAATAAGTCTGAAAGTGCTTTACATGTATATACTGGGGTTAAACAAATAAATAAGTGGATAGTGGATGGTGGGAGCCAGGTTTCTCACTATCAGAGAGGGAAGTTACAGATAAAAATGGAAGGTTAAAATGAATTCTGTGATTCAGGATTAGAGTTGAAAACATCAGTGTGAACTCATGTTTACCTTTGTATATTGTACAGGTGGAAAAATACAGAAAATTTTACATGTAAGTTAGTATCTGTGTGCGTATATATATGTCTATGCATATATATATGTAACCTAGCTCTGTCCACTGAGAGAGCCTAGAAGGAATGACACCCCAATAGCAGTGAGCAGTCTCAGCATTCAGATCTTGGTTCTACATAAATCTCAAAGAAAAGGTACTATGCTTCTTGGAGAAAGGGCTTATTCTAGGACTGGGGCAAGGAAACTGCATAAGCCTATAATATCTTGCAACAGAAAGTAAGAAAGTGCTCAAAAAGTAAAGGAAAGGGGTATGTCAAACAGATAAAGGAGCCAACCTGAAAGAAGTCCCAATGGCCAAAGCTAGAACAATTGAGCAACAAAAGAAATAAAGTAGTATTTATTGAGTGAGTGTGGGCTGCACTTAGTGACATGCTTCCAATTAATAAAGTATGGAAAGGGGAAAATAGTAACTTTACAGTGGAGGAAACTGGCAAACACTACTTTACCCAAGTGACCAGTATTAGTATTTGGAGTAGTGTCATGTGGATACCATGTACTGCCTGATGTGTTGTGATTAAAAAGGCATTTCACCTCTATGGTATTCTTTCCTAAAATTTATAACTCTAGTCTAATCATGAGAAAACATCAATGTCAAAATGAGGGACATTCTGCAAAATACATGACCAAAACTTTCAAGGTCATGAAAAACAAAGGAAGACTGAGAAACTATCAAGAGACCAGAGGAGACTAAGGAGACTTGATGAATTAATGCAATACAGTATCATGGATTTGATCCTGTGGTAGTAAAAAGGACATTTAATAGAAAAACTGGTGAAATCCAAATAAAGTTTGGAGTTTTGTTAATGGTAATCTACTAATGTTGGCTTTTTAGTTTAGACAGATGTACTATAATATTAACATCAGAGAAGTCTGAAAGTGAGGTAGATGGGACCTCTGTACTATCTTGGTAACTTCTCTGTAAATTTAAAATTATTTCAAAATTAAAAGTTTATTTTAAAAAGTTCAGGCCAAGTGTGATGTCTCATGCCTGTAATCCCAGCACTTTGAGAGTCTAAGGTGGAAGGATCACTTGAGGCCAGGAATTTGAGACCACCCTAGGCAAAATAGCAAGATCCTATCTCTACAAAAATTTTTTTAGAAAATCTGGGCATGGTGGTATGTGCCTGTTATCCTCCTAGCTACTCAGGAGGCTGAGGCAGAAAGATTGCTTGAGCTCAGGAGTTCAAGATTACGGTGAGCCATGCTTGTACCACTACACTGCAGCCTGGACAGCAAAGCAAGACCCTGTCAATCAGTAGTTAAGAACAAAATGTAGAATATAATTTTATTTATGAAAAAGTCTGTATATAGATCTAGATACATTTATATGCATTGATGGTTTATTAAAATGTTTACTAAAATATTAACAGTAATGGGGTTTGAGAATGTTATTACTTTTTGATTATTTTCTCTAGTATTAGATTTTCTTTGATTAGCATGTATTTTTATTTTAAAAACACTATTAAAAACAAAAATAGCAATAAAAGATACTTTTCTTTCCAATTACCTTTCATAAAATTATCTCTCTAATAATTTTTCAATCAGAAGTTTATCAAGTGAAGTGGGAGAAAAGTGAAAAATGAGACATGTTTTATGACATATGTTTACATGTCATAAAATATTAAATGACAAAAAAGTTTCATGTTAAGTGAAAAAGTGATTGCAAGCAATATATATAGTACAGACCCCTAATTCTTGCAGTCAGTCTTGGTCCAAAAATATTAAATGTAAAATTCCAGAAATAATCCATAAGTTTAAAATTGTACACCATTCTGAGTAGCGTGATGAAATCTCTGTGTCCTGCTCCGTCCCACCTGGGCATGTGAATCATACCTTGTTCAGTGTGTATCCGTACTGTATGTGCTACCTACCCATTAGTCACTTGTAGCTGTCTCGGTTATCAGAGCAGAAAAAAATGTTATATATAAGGTTGGATACTATCTATGGTTTCAGGTATCTGCTGGAGGTCTTGGAATTTATCCCCTGTAGATAAGGGAGAACTACTGTACTGTTTAAGGGAGAACTACCGTACTGTTTTGTACTTAACCTGTATTCTAAATTTTCCACAATGAGTAGGTATTACTTTCATAATAAAAATATTGTGTTAATATTTTCATGGGACTGACAGACATCAGAGTGATATTTGGAACTTGAGTCAAAAGCTTTTAACTTAGGTTAAAACTTTTAAGAATTTTTCTGGATAACATAAACTGCTTGTAATTAGTTTATATCTTAAAATTTAGATGCAACCATGTCTTCTTCAAATAACATAATTAAATTACTTGGCATAATCATATATTGATTTAACATATATTTTGAAAGGTACAAAAAAAATTACATAAAATATAAGTTTTGCTTGTCCCCAAAGAATGAGAGTAGCTGAAGATTTTAATCACTGAATTTAAAAACCCTTTTGGAAAGTAAATAAGAAATTCAACTTTTTTGTCAGTATTATATGCCTTGTATTTACCCTGAGAATATATAAATATTAGTACTTTTCTAAAACCAAACTGGCTCAGGTTAGATGTTTCAATAAATATTTATATCATAGTGGTATAGCATCCACTTTTGGTGAGTGCCTTCTCTATGCCAAATACTTGATATACAACTTCTCATTAAATCTGCACAATGATGCTATATGGTGTACGTGGTATTAACCTGATTTGATAAATGTGGAAACTAAGGCTCAAAAAATTTAGTAACTTGCCCAGAGTTGCACATGATAAGTATTTGGTAATTTTGTATTAAAATATTTGTAAATTAAATATTTTTTAAAACACTGACACTCAACATTAAGTATACTTTATGTGCAAACAATTGCTCATAGATATCACCCTAACTTCATACTTTCATTATAAGGTAATATAAACTAAGAAATAGTTTAAAATGGAATAAAAACAGCAAGTGGGAAATAGCAGTTAATTGCCACTAAATACAATTTTAGTACTGTCATCACCCAATGTGCAGGTGACACCTACAGGAGAGAAATTTCTTTTTAGATAAAAAGCAAATCAAGTCATAACATAAAGGATTTGAAATGCTTTTCAACATTCTTTTGTTTTGCAGTGCAATTTTACCGTATTGTGATAAATATTGTTTAAAAATGAAAACCATT
Source organism: Homo sapiens (assembly GCF_000001405.40). Taxonomy (NCBI): domain Eukaryota; kingdom Metazoa; phylum Chordata; class Mammalia; order Primates; family Hominidae; genus Homo; species Homo sapiens. The sequence continues at coordinate 78,885,124 of NC_000006.12, forward strand.
CAACCTTTATACAAATTGAAAAGAATAAAACTATTTTCAAATTATAAAAGGAGTGACATTTATGAAATTTTAAGCAAAATCAATTTCTGAATTCATTTTATGTCACTTTTAGGAAAGTTTTAAAACATCAGGCAAAGTTCTTTTTGCATATTTTATGTTTTTCTGATTTTAATTAGTGTAGGTTTCTAATTTATGTTTTAGAGTAATTGCATCAAATATTTAGTAATCATACTCTTGGACTTTTTCTGTTTCAGGCAGAAAATATAACTGTGACAAAGGATTTTAGGAGAGTGGAAAATGCTTATCACATGGAAGCAGAGGTATGTACTTAACAAATAATTGGAAGCAGCATGATTTTGTGGAGACAGTCATTTTTATTCTTGAACTGAAATGAATGGTGAAAAATGCTTCTCATGATATTAATAGAAGATTATTTTTCTCAAAATCATCTTGGTGTTATATATCTATTTCGGCTTTTAAATAAACTTGAGATTTAAAAGAAAGTTTAAAATGGAATAAAAACAGCAAGTGGGAAATAGCAGTTAATTGCCACTAAATACAGTTTTAGTACTGTCATCACCTAATGTGCGGGTGACACTACAGGAGAGAAATTTCTTTTTAGATAAAAAGCAAATAAAGTCATAACATAAAGGATTTGAAATGCTTTTCAACATTCTTTTGTTTTTCAGTGCAATTTTACTGTATTGTGATAAATATTGTTTAAAAATGAAAACCATTCAACCTTTATACAAATTAAAAAGAATAAAACTATTTTCAGTACACTCAGTTAATGACAACATTTAGTTCCTGCAACTGCCTATGCTTTTTACTTATATTTAAAGATTTAATGGCCAGGATTTTGTGAAATCAGAGTATGTTCTAGTGGTGGTTAGGTTACAGGACTGCTGTTTCTGATTCCAAACATTTTGGAGTACGTGCCTAGTACGTGCCACCTCCTTGTAACAAGAAACGAAGAGTGGGTTTATATTGAAATCTTGTATATCAAATGAGAGAATCTTTGTCTTTTGAAGTAGAAAGTATCTCCATCACCCGTTTCTATCTTCAGGCAGATAATACATTATTTTTCTGACTTTAAAGGTGTGACTTTAGGTTCAAATCACTTAGGCCCAGATTTCTCAAAGGTCATATAACAAGAATTAGATAGAAATTAGAACCCTGGATTCTTATCTCTTGAGAAGCAACTTCCACAATATTCTGTTTGTTGCCCCAATGCTTCCTGTAATCATTTTGTGATTTCTCCACTTAAAATTTTACTATGTCAAGGAATTTTTAAATTACTCATTATGATTTTAGGGATCCACTTGGCAAAACTTATTTCGTAGTAGTAGGAACTGAAAAATACCTTTCAAAACAGTATGAAGAGCAGTCTGATCCAAATTATCCAAATTACAGAGATTAAGAGCTGGTAGTATGTTATAGCACTCCTCCAGTAATTATCACCTGTTAGCACTTCAGATTGTAATAAATATAGATGGAAGCAAGTTATCTTAGTTAAGGAGGTTTATTATGAAGGTACCAAGGGAATAATAAGAAAAAAGAAACAGTTCCAGAAACTACACAGCCAGGCTTCATGGAAAACTGGAATGTGTTTGAAACCACTGAGTTGTCCTAGGAACTGACCTTTCAGATGCAGAAAGAGAGCATTAGAGCTGCTTGTTTTAAAACATGACTAAATGAGAGTTTGGCTAAACTCTGCTCCTCTTCCTTCTGCTTTACCTTTTTAATGTTTTATATTCAGATTTCTTAAGAGAGAATCTGATTATATTTTGTATAGGGATTCCAGGTAGCCAGAATTTATATCATATCACACAGTCCAATACATGATTGCCTTTAGGTCAGCACCAGCAGTCAGTGGAAACCAAAGTATTGGGATCACAAGATACAAAATGTACCAACCTAAGCATTAATAACAATGTGTGGCTTTATGACTATGGATTTAGCAAACACTAGAGCCTAATGTATAACACATACCAGTATTCTTAAGTACTGTTAAATATATGGAATGAGATTAGATGGTTGGTAGACTTATACAACTCAGTAGAAGAAAAGCAAATAACCTGATTTTAAAAATGAACGAAGGACTTGAATAGACATTTATCAAAAGAAGACATACAGATGGACAAAAGGTATAGAAAAAGGTGTTCAGCATCACTAATTATTTGAGACATACAAATCAAAACTACATTGAGCTATAACCTCACACCTATTAGAATGGCTATTATCAAAAAAGCAGAAGATTGGCTGGGCGCGATGGCTCTCACCTGTAATCCCAGCACTTTGGGAGGTCGAGGTGGGCGGATCACGAGGTCAGGAGTTCAAGACCAGCCTGACCAATATGGTGAAACCCCATCTCTACTAAAAATACAAAAAAATTAGCCAGGTGTGGTGGCGGGCGCCTGTAATCACAGCTACTCGGGAGGCTGAGACAGAAGAATCAGTTGAACCCAGGAGGTGGAGGTTGCAATGAGCCAAGATTGTGCCACTGCACTCCAGCCTGGGCGACAGAGCAAGACTCCATCTCACACACACACACAAAAACAACAACAACAACAACAGAAGACAGTGTCGATGAGAAAGTGGAAAAATTAGAACCCTTGTGCCCTGCAGGTGGGAATGTATGATGATGTAACCATTATGGAAAACAGTATACAGGTTCCTCAAAAAATTAAAAATAGAACTACGATATGACCCAGCAATCCCACTCCTGGGTGTATATCCAAAAGAACTGACATCAGGATCTGGAAAAAATACCTGTATTTGCATGTTCATTGCAGCATTATTCACAATAGCCAAGATATGGAAGCAACCCAAATGTCCATTGACAGATAAATGGATAAAGAAAATGTGTTATATACATACAATGAAATATTATTTAGCCTTAAAAAAAAGGGAAATCCTACCATTTGAAACATTGCTATGCCTGCAAGACATTATGTTAAGAGAAATATCAGTAACAGAATGATAAGTACTGGATTATTCCACTTACATGAGGAGTCTAAAATAATCATATCATAGAAGCAAAAAATAGAAGCTGGTTGCCAAAGAATGGAGGGAAGGGGAAATGGGATTTCTTACTCAATGGGTATAAAGTTACAGTTATGCAGATGAATTCTAGATATGGGCTATACAGTGTAGTGCCTACAGTTAACACAGTGTTGTGCACTTAAAAATTTGTTAAGAGGGTAGATCTCATGTTGTGTTGTTATCATACACATACACAAAGGACACAAGGAAAATTTTGGACGTGATAGATAGGTTTTTTGTCTTGATTATAGTGATAGTATCACAGGTGTATGCGTATGTCCAAACTCATCAAATTGTATATTCTAAATATGTGCAGTTTTTATATATAAATTACACCTCAGTACAGCTCCAATTTTTTTTTTTTTTTGAGATGGAGTCTCACTCTGTCACCCAGGCTGAAGTGCTGTGGCATGATCTCAGCTCACTGTAACCTCTGCCTCCCAGGTTCAAGTGATTCTCCTGCCTCAGCCTCTGGAGTTGCTGGGATTACAGGCACCTGGCTAATTTTTGTATTTATAGTAGAGATGGGATTTCACCATGTTGGCCAGGCTGGTCTGGCCAACTCCTGACCTCAAGTGATCTGCCTGCCTTGACCTCCCAACGTGCTAGGACTACAGACATGAGCCACCTAGCCTGGCCTAAATAATTTTTTTTAAAGAATAGATGAGGCCAGGCACAGTGGCTCATGCCTCTAATCCCAGCACTTTGGGAGGCTGAGGTGGGCGGATTGCTTGAGCCCAGGAGCTCCAGACCAACCTGGGCAACATGGTAAAACCCTTCTCTACAGAAAAATACAATAATAGGTGGATGTGATGGCATGCACCTGTAGACCCATCTACTCTGGAAGCTGGGGTGGGAGGATTGCTTGAGCCCAGGAGGCAGAGGTTCCAATGAGTCAAGATCATGCCACTGCACTGCAGCCTGGGCAACAGAGTGAGACTCTGTCTCAAAAAAAAAAAAAAAAAAGAAAGAAAGAAAGATTAGATGGTGGAACATTACTTTTGACATAATGTCCAAAAATTTCATTCCAAAAGGCATGAAATTCTTTATCTACCTTCCACCTGCCATGCTGCTTCTCTTTGTTTCAAAGATAAAAATATTAAACTCAAGATGGGTTAAAGACTTAAGTGTAAAACCTAAAACCATAAAAACCCTAGAAGAAAACCTAGGCAATACCATTCAGGACATAGTCATGGGCAAAGACTTCATAACTAAAACACCAAAAGCAATTGCAACAAAAGCCAAAATTGACATATGGGATCTAAGTAAACTAAAGAGCTTCTGCACAGCAAAAGAAACCATCATCGGAGTGAAGAGGCAACCTTCAGAATGGGAGAAAAATTTTGCTTGCTATCCATCTGACAAAGGGCTAATATGCAGAATCTACAAGGAACTGAAATTTACAAAAAAAAAAAAAAATCCCCATCAAAAAGTGGGTTGGAGGGTATGAACAGACACTTCTCAAAAGAAGACATTTATGCGGCCAGCAAACATGAAAAAAAGCTCATCATCACCGGTCATTAGAGAAATGCAAATCAAAACCACAATGAGATACCATCTCATGTCAGTTAGAATGGCAATCTTTAAAAAGTCAGGAAACAACAGATGCTAGAGAGGATGTGGAGAAATAGGAACACTTTTACACTGTTGGTGGGAGGGTAAATTAGTTCAACCATTTTGGAAGACAGTGTGGCAATTCCTCAAGGATCTAAAACCCGAAATACCATTTGACCCAGCAATCTCATTACTGGATATATACCCAAAGGATTATAAATCATTCTACTGTAAAGACACATGTAGACGTACATTTATTGCAGCACTATTTACAACAGCAACGACTTGGAACCAACCCAAATGCCCATCAATGATAAACTGGATTAAGAAAATATGGCACATATACACCATGGAATACTATGCAGCCATAAAAAAGGATGCGTTCATGTTCTTTGCGGGGACATGGATGAAGCTGGAAACCATCATTCTCAGCACACTAACACAGGAACAGGAAATCAAACACCGCATGTTCTCAATCATAAGTGGGAGTTGAACAATGAGAACACATGGACACAGGGAGGGGAACATCACATACCAGGGCCTGTCAGGGGGTGGGGGGCTAGGGGAGGGATAGCATTAGGAGAAATACCTAATGTAGATGACAGGTTGATGGATGCAGCAAACCACCAGGGCATGTGTATGTAACAACCTGCACGTTCTGCACATGTATCCCAGAACTTAAAGTATAAGTTAAAAAAAAAAAAAGTCCAAAAAGAGAGCACAGAGTGAAAGAGAATAAAATAATCAAAAAAATTTATCCAAAATTTACTAAAATGCAAGATTTGAATTTCCATATTCAGTGGACCCAGTGGGTGCCCAGCGCAATGAACAACAACAACAACAAACTCATCAAAGCATATTGGAAATGTTAGAACCCCAGGAATAAAAGGACTCCAAAAGTTCTAGAGAAAGAAAAATAGTTCACAAACCAAGGGTCAGAAATCTGAACAGCAATTGGACCTCTCAGTGTCAACACTGGAAGCTAGAAACTGAAAAGCAAGACAGCAACATCTTCCAATTCTGAGAGAAAACAATGTCTAATCTAGAAATCCTTACCTGGCCAAAAAACAATGAAGGAGACGGTAATACAAGGACAAGCAGACAGGGCTGACCAGAAGTGTCACACTGTTCTTTATTTGGCCAGGATCTGATGGATTAATGCCCTCTGAAAGATGTTAAAAATGTGAAACATCACTCCTGCATACAAGGTCTCAAAACATTTCCCTACCATACGTGAGGAAGCAAACCAAGAAAGAGAAAAACAGGAGTTCCCAGGTAATGGCAAAGGAATGTCCCCAGATTCAGGGGACAGGAGGACTAAGGGCTTCAGTAAAATGCCTCCAAGAAAAAAATAAAGGAACTCATAGATTACCCAATTAATTTGACCTATTTATTTGAATTTTATAGCTTTTGTCAGAGGGTTTGAAGGACATGTACAACTAAGAAAGCAAACAAATAAAAATGAACTGATTATTAACTCCCAGGAATTCAATGAAGACTAGAAGAAAAGAAATGCAATCATAGTACACTATATTGTTCAGCTGTAAACAATCATAATAGTACAAACACTGACTGTTGATTTAATTTTAAAAAAAGGTTCTAAGTGATGACTTTAATGGTAGGTGAATGAATGGATGTGGGAAGGAGGGTTGGATTAAAATCCTAGCTTTGTGATTCCTATACCAGTACTCTTTCCACTTTTTATGTTATTTTCATGTTATAACCTTAGTGTTTAGAGGAATTTTTTTTTTTTTTTGAGACGAAGTCTCACTCTTGTCACCCAGGCTGGAGTGCAATGGCGTGATCTTGGCTCACTGCAACCTCCGTCTCCCAGGTTCAAGCGATTCTCCTGCCTCAGCCTCCTGAGTAGCTGGGATTACAGGCTCCTGCCACCACACCTGGCTAATTTTTGTAATTTTAGTAGAACCGGGTTTTCACCATGTTGGCCGGGCTGGTCTCGAACTCCTGGCCTCAGGCGATCCGCCTGCCTCTGCCTCCCAAAGTGTTGGGATTACAGGCGTGAGCCACCGTGCCCAGCCTAGAGGAATTTTTTAATCCTGGGGTATAATAGGTATTCAATACTGTGTATCAGGAAGCAAAAGTAGTAGTATAACTACTCATATAGTTTTCTCCCCCTTCTTTCCCTCTCCTTTTCCTTGCATGCCTGCTATGTGTTAAGCATTTTCCATATATTATTCCATCCAATCTTTTTTATTTATTTTTATTGTGAAATATTTTATACATATATAGGCATGAATATATAAGACTCATTCCGTTTTCAGACATCTGATCAATAGAGAATCTTTGAACATTAAGCCAAAATTGACTCACTAGTAGCCATCTATTAGTGTACCTCTGTAAGAAGAAACAAAACAAGGTAAATACTTCTTCCTTAAAATATATACTTGAAGTTCATTTTCATATTGATGCTACTTTTTTTTTCTTTTCCAGGGTAAGAACCCTGTTTGGCCATTTCTTATGTAACAAACTCTTTCTTTAGTTAGCCAGTTTCATTCAAAACCATCTATAGCTATATTGTTCTACTTATGATTTGGCCAGTCCAAACTAGAGAAAGTTGATTATCTCCCTTATTCTAGAATATTTATTTCTAATAACACATGCAAGACTGAATTAACTTTTTGGCATTTGCATCATATTGTTCCCTCAATTCAGCTTATAGTCATAATAATTATAAACAATAAAAGTGTCTTTCTCATGTGCTACCTTTAAATCATATTTTTTTCATCTTATACTTTGTTACTGCTATTTCAGTATGAACTGTGGGATTTTACATTTATTTATATGAAATTTTATCTTAATTCGGTTTACCTGTATTTCTAGTCTATAAAATAGCAGAGAAGTAAAGCTCATAATAAGGAGAAAAATCAATTCCAAACCAACTCAGGAGTGACACAGATGTTAGAATTAAAAGACATAGTCATTAAAAGTTATTTTGGCTGTAGTTCACATGCTCAAAAGTTAAGGAGGGATGTGCAAGATATTAAAAACAAAAAACAAATTGAATTTCCAAAGATGAAAACTACAGTGTATGAGATAATAAATACACTGAATAGGATTAACAGCAAATTAGACCTTACACAAGACGTGCTTAGTGAACCTGAAAATGTAGCAATAAAAAGTATCCATAATGAAACACAGAAAAGAAAGATGTAAAAACGAGTTAATAAAATGTAGGACAACATCAAATAGCCTATTATACATATAATTGAGGTCCCAATGCAGAGGAAAGTGGGGGACAAGAAAAATACTTGGAAAAATTATGACCCAAAAATATCCAAACTTTATGAGAATTATAAACCCATGGAGTCAAAAAGTTCAACTAACCCTAAGCACAAGAAATTGAAAAAAAAAATGCACCAGTACACATTATAATCACATTGCTCAAAACCAGTGATAAATCTTAAAACAGCCAGAGGAGGAGAAAAAAGACATATTATCTACAAAGGAACAAAGGTAAGACAACAGATTTCTTGTTGAAAGCAATGCAAGCAAGGAGACAGTTGTGCCACATCTTTAAAACTAAAAGGTGTATATATATGTGTGTATATATGTGTGTGTGTGTGTGTGTGTGTATATATATATATATATATATATATATATATATATCAACGAAGAGTTTCTATTAATATATCCAGCAAAAGTAGTGCTGAAAAACAAAGACCAATTAAAGACCTTTCCAGTAAGCTGAAATAATTCATTACCTGTAGACCTACACTATGAGAAATTTAAATGACATCATTTAAGCAGAAAAGAATGATGCCAGAAAGAAATAGGAATTTATACAAAGGACTGAAGAGTACTGAAAATGGTAACTACGTGGGTTTTTCTTAATATAAATCTCTTTAGAAATCTCTATATTTATATAAAAGATAACTGACTAGGCTGGGTGCAGTGGCTCACACCTGTAATCCCAGCACTTTGGGAGGCCGAGGTGGGTGGATCACCTGACGTCAGTTCAAAACCAGCCTGGCCAACATGGCGAAACCCTGTCTCTACTAAAAAATGCAGAAATCAGCCAGGCATGGTGGTCACGCCTGTAGTCCCAGCTACTCAGGAGGCTGAGGCAGGAGAATCGCTTGAACTCAGGAGGCGGAGGTTGCAGTGAGCTGAGATCACGTCACTGTACTCCAGCCTGGGCGACAGAGCAAGACTCTGTCTCAAAAAAAAAGATAACTGACTAAATAAATGATAATGATGAACTACAGGGATTATAACATATGTAAAAATAAATTATATAACAACAATAGCACAAAGGTCAAGAAGGGAAGAACAGAAGTACAGTGTTATAAACTTCTTATATGTGAAATGATATGCTAGCTCTTGATGGTAGATTGTAATAACTTAAATATGTATTCTGTAAATCCTAAAGCAAACACTAAAATAATGGAGTTACGGCTAATAAGTCAATGAAAGCTATGAAATAATATAATAAAAATATCAAAAAGAAAACAGAAAATGAGTAAAGGGGAAATAACAAGACCACAGGTTTAAATTTACCCATGTCAATAATCACGTTAAATGTAAATGGTCCACATACCTTCATTAAAATACAGATATTTTAAGTTAACTCCACTTACATGCTGCCTGAGAGAAGTGTACTTTAAATATGAAGACATATGTTGGTTAAAAGTAATGGGATGGAGAAAGATATGTCATGCTAACGTAAATGAAAAGAAAGCTGGAGTGGCTATAGTAATCAAAGTAGATTTCAGAGCAAAGACTATGAAAGATAAAGACAGTCATTTCATAATGATAAAAGTCAATTAATCAAGAGGACATACAGCACTAAATATTTATACATATAATAAAGCTTCAAAATACTTAAGGGAAAAATGATATAACTACAAGGAAAAATAAATAAGTCTACAACTTTTGTAGATTTCAATACCCCCCTTTTCAGTAGTTGATAAGACCATAGACAGAAAATCAGTAAGAATATAACAGATTTGAATCACACTGTCAACCAATTTGACCTACTTGACATATATAGAACACTCCAAAAACAGCAGCCTACACATTCCTTTCAAGTGCACATTGAACATTTGCCAAGGTAGACCATATTCTGTGTCATATAAAAGTATTTGGCCGGGCGCAGTGGCTCACACCTGTAATCCCAGCACTTTAGGAAGCTGAGGCGGGCAGATCACCTGAGGTCAGGAGTTCAAGACCAGCCTGGCCAACATGGTGAAACCCCGTCTCTACAAAAATACAAAAATTAGCTGGGCATGGTGGTGCACACCTGTAATCCCAGCTACTCAGCAGGCTAAGACAGGAGAATCGCTTGAACCCGGGAGGTAGAGGTTGCAGTGAGCCGAGATCGTGCCATTGCATTGCACTCCAGCCTGGGCAACTGAGCAAGACTCCATCTCAAAAAAAAAAAAAAAGTATTTGAATCATACAAAGTTCACTGACCACAGTGTAATTAAATTAAAAACCAGTAATAGAAGGGCCTCAGGAAAATCCCCCAAATATGCTGAATTTTAAAACATACTTTTCAGTAACCCATGTGTCAAAGAAGAAATTGAAAAGGAAACTAGAAAGTGTATAAGGAAGAAATCATGCCAATTCTATACAAATTTTTCCAGAAAACTGAAAAGGAAGAAATATTTCCTAGCTCATTCTTTGAGGTCAGAAGATAACCAGAAAAATACCATTACAAGCAAAGAAAATTACAGACCAATATCCATCATAAATGTGCAAAAATTATAAACTAAATTTTAGCCAAATTTAATGATTTATACACATACATGCTTACACACATGGACACACACACGTATCCTTTACATGCAGGTATAAAGAATAATATTAATACATAATGACCAAGTGTGTATCCCAGGTTGGTTAACATTCAGAAATTGGTCAATCTAATTCACTACATTAATAAACTGAAAAAAATCACATGATTATCTCAATAGATACAGAAGAAGCACTTAACAAAGTCCATTATTTATTCCTAGTAAAAATTATCAGTAAAATAAGAACAGTTGAGATTTTCCTCAAACTGATAAGAGGAATCCATGAAAACCTACAGCTGTCATACTTAATGGTGAAACAGTGAATGCTTTGTGCCTACGATCAGGTACAAATCAAAGATGTCTTCATTCATGTCTTCTTTCACCATTGTACTTGAAAAAGAATAAAAGACATCCAGAGTGGAAAGGAAGAAGTGCAACTATCTTAATTCATGGACAACATGACCATTGTAGAAAATCTGATAGAATCTACAAAAAAGCTATTAGAACTAGTAAACATCAAAAAATTTAAAATACATAGGGATAAATCTGTTATAAAGATGTGAAAGACCTGTGTGCTAAACACTGCAAAGCATTCCAGAGAGAAATTAAAGAGGACCTAAATAAATGGAGAAACACTTCTTGTTCATGGTTTGGAAGATTCACTATTCCAGATATCAGTTCTCCCTAAATTAATCTATACAATCCTAATCAAAATCTCAGCCAGCTTTTCAAAAAATAGAAACTGACAAAAACCGATTACAAAATACATTTGGAAATACAAAGGATCTAGAACTACTTTGAAAAAGCAGCATCTTTATTTATAATAGCCCCAAACTGGAAGCAACCTAAATGGAAAAAAAAAAAAAAAAACAACCTGTGATTAGATCATGTAACGAATACTATTCAGCATAAAAGGAACAAAAATATTATGCAACAATGTGGATGAATTGCAAATACATTATGCTAAATGAAAGAAGTAATCTCAAAGAGCACATACTATATGCTTCCATTTATATGGCATTCTGAAAAAGGCAAATCTTTAACAGTGGAGAATGTATCAGTAGTTGCCAGGGTTTAGGAACTGGGGAAGGAACTGATAAAGGAGTTACCTGAGAGAATTTTTAGGGGTGTTGGAACAGGTCTAAATTTTTGTTATGGTGGTTACAAAGTTCTATACCTTTTTCAAAAGTGATATAATTCACTAGGCATGGTGGCACGTTCCGGTAGTCCCAGCTACTCGGGGGGCTGAGGCAGGAGGATCATCTGAACCCAGGGGTTGAGGCTGCAGTGAGCCCGTGATCACACCACTGCACTCCAGCCAGGAAAACAGAAAGAGACCCTGGCTCAAAAAAAAAAAAAAATTATGATTAAAGACAGATGTTCTGCATTGTATAAGGTGAGGTTATCTTATGTCTCTCTCTGCTACTCCAGCTTATTCTGTAGTATCTGTATTTTGTTTTGCATATTGACCTTGTGTTAAGGGTTCTTTAGAAGAAAAGGTTTAGGCTGCGTGTGGTGTCTCATGTCTACAACCGCTAAGGTGGGAGGATTGCTTGAGGCCAGGAGTTTGAGACCAGCTTGGGGAACATAGTGAGACTCCACCTCTACAAAAAAAATTTTTTTAATTAGCTGGGCATGGTGGTGCATGCCTGTAGCCCTTCCTACTTGGAAGGCTGAGGTAGGAGGATCGCTTGAACCCAGGAGTTTGAGGCTGCAGTGAGCTATGATAATGCCAGTGCACTCCAGCCTGGGCAACGTAGCAAGATCTTGTCTCTCTTAAAAAAAAAAAAAAAAAAAAAAGACAAGGTTTAGTTCCCTTCATTGAAGACTTAACAGACCGGTTTTAAAGTATTGCCGAATATAAGGACTGCTTCCACATATTTAAAGGCAGAAGACAGAGTGAAATACATTAGCTTCCACATATAGATCTGAACAGAACTATTGGAAGAAGAAACATTTCTCAATGATAGCAGTGAAGTATGGCATGATTACTACTAATCAGGAAGCTAAGGGCATTGATTAGACAAAGGAATCATGCTAGTTATCAGGATTAAAATTTAGCCAAGTAATAAGGTTTAAGGGAAACTCCTTCAATTTCATTTAAAAATCCCTGGTTTAAAATATAAGTTTTTTAATATTCAAGACAATATTAGATAAATTTGAAAATTCAAAAGCAAAAATCTTAAAGAACAAAATAATTTAGTTATAAGTATCAAATAGGCTTTTAAAAATCTGTTACATACTATAAAATGACCTCATAGTCTGGCTATACTTTTTTTACTTACATGTAGAGAAAATCTTGAAACAGTACATCAGACATGAAAATAATATCGTGTCATTTCATTTACAGGTCTGCATTACATTTACTGAATTTGGAAAAATGCAAAATATTTGTAACTTTCTTGTTGAAAAGCTAGATAGCTCTGTTGTCATCAGCCCACCCCAGTTCTATCATACTCCAGGTTCTGTTGAGAATCTTCGGTAAGTTTAAGCACATCTTTAACTAAGATATTCTTTAAACAAAACTATCCAGTGCTACATTTCATTGAGTGTCATATTAATAATCTCTCCATTTAATTCCTAAGACGGCAAGCCTGTCTTGTTGCTGTTGAGAATGCGTGGCGCAAAGCTCAAGAAGTCTGTAACCTTGTTGGCCAAACCTTAGGAAAACCTTTACTAATCAAAGAAGAAGAAACAAAAGAATGGGAAGGCCAAATAGATGATCACCAGTCATCCAGACTCTCAAGTTCATTAACTGTACAACAAAAAATCAAAAGTGCAAC